>NC_000009.12:85720552-88220552 GCF_000001405.40 Homo sapiens | reverse complement strand
AAACACAAAAATTAGCTGGGCATGGTGGCGCGTGCCTGTAGTCCCAGCTATTCGGGAGGCTGAGGCAGGAGAATTGCTTGAACCCGGTGTAGCAGGACAAGCCATAGACAAAACCCCTCAGACACCAAGTTAAAAAAGGAAGGGCTTTATTCGGCCGGGAGCTTCGGCAAGACTCACGTCTCCCAACAACTGAGTTCCCCGAGTGAGCAATTCCTGTCCCTCTTAAGGGCTTACAACTCTAAGGGGGTCCGCGTGAGAGGGTTGTGATGGATTGAGCAAGCAGCGGGTACGTGACTGGGGGCTGCATGCACCGGTAATTAGAATGGAACAGAACAGGACAGGGATTTTCACAGTGCTCTTCCATATAATGTCTGGAATCTATAGATAACATAACCAATTAGGTCAGGGGTCGATCTTTAACTATCAGGCCCAGGGTGTGGCGCTGGGCTGTCTGCCTGTGGATTTCATTTCTGCCTTTTAGTTTTTACTTCTTCTTTCTTTGGAGGCAGAAATTGGGCATAAGACAGTATGAGGGGTGTTCTCCTCCCTTACCAGGACCCGGGAGGCAGAGGTTGCAGTGAGCCGAGATTGTGCCACTGCACTGCAGCCTGGCCACAGAGCAAGACTCCGTCTCAAAAAAAGAAAAAAAAGCAAACACAGTTTGTAATCAGGAAAGTCTGGTCATAAAACTGGGATGGACAGAGAGATTGTGGGGACAGAAAGAAATCCTGGTGTTCTTTGGCAATCAGTGTGTCCCAAGGGAGGGTCTCTCTGTCAGCTCAGAGGAAAATGTGATTTGGTAAGCGGTTTTGGCACAAAACTATCCATCTGGAAAAAGTTAAAAGTGAATCCTATTCTTAACATCATCTACTAAAATTACAGATGGAATAAAGCACAGGTAAACAGTGATATAGGGCAATGGTTAGGAAAATAATCTAAGAAAATATATGTAAATCCGGGATTAGAGAGACCTTTTTAAATTCAAACTAAAAACCAGAAACTCTGGATAGACATAGTTATTCCATAAAAATTATATACATATGTATGTAATATCTGTTTTGTGTATATATATAATACACATGCATATACATATATAAATGATATATACATCTAAATAACAAAAAATACCAAAGAAGTCAAGACTAATGTTAGATTGGAAACGTATTTGCAATGCCTATGAAAGAGAAATAATTAATGCATTAATATACAAAGAACACTTTTGCAATAGAGAAAAAGTAAAAGATGACAAAAGATATGAATGGTCATTAAATAGAAATAAATAATCTTCAAGGATACACTAAAATTCAGATATGCAAATTTACAGAAATTACAAAAAATGATAACCTCTATTGCTGGCAAAAATATATAGAAAGGGTATTCATTTATTGCTGAGGGAATTGTGAATTACTGTTGCTGTTTGGAGAGTAATCTGGCAATATGTATTAAGATTTAAGTATGCGTTCTGCAATACAGCTGGCTCACGGTGAGAATTTAGGCAACCAAAATAGAAACACCAACGTATACATTTATATAGTAATATTTATTGCAGCATCATTCTACAAGTAACACATGATAAAATGCCTGAAACAAAGGGATTGTCCATGCATTGGTCAAGGCTTGTGAACCATGAGATGTACATTCCATGAACTAGTTGTAAACATTTAGGAATGTGTGAGAGCTATGCTGTATGGTGTGGAGGAATTTCCAAACTGTGAGTGAGAAAAGCAAGATACAGAAAAATTAGTAAAATATTAATCCTTTTTGGCCAAATATGACAAAAAAAACACCTAAAGTGTTGTAATATGTTAACAGAATTATAGGCACATAGAAAGAATGGGCTTAACTTGGTGGGGAGTGGGGTTAAATGAGTTTAAAGGAGGTACCCAAAAAGTGGCCAAAAAAGGAAAGTGTGTATAGTAGAAACGGCAACTATGCTATGATCCCGTTTTTGTAAAATTAAGTATGTGTGTGTAAATGCATAGAAATTGGTACAGGATGGAAACCAACAGGTTAACATGGTTAACAGAGGATTTCAGATGTTTTTCTTACGCTTTAAAAAATTGTGTGCGGTGGCCAGGTGCGGTGGCTCACACCTGTAATTCCAGCACTTTGGGAGGCTGAGGCGGGTGGATCACAAGGTCAGGAGCTAGAGACCATCCTGGCTAACACGATGAAACCCCATCTCTACTAAAAATACAAAAAATTAGCCGGGTGTGGTGGCATGTGCCTGTAGTCTCAGCTACTTGGAAGGCTGAAGCAGGAGTATTGCTTGAAGCCGGGAGGTGGAGGTTGCAGTGAGCCGAGATCGTGGCAACAGAGAATCCGTCTCAAAAAAAAAAAAATTGTGTGGGGCTACCCGTTTTCTCCAGGTCCCCTCTCTCTGCAACAGAGAGAGCTTTTCTCATTGTTTTGCCCATTAGACTTCCACTCTTAACCTCAAAAATAAATAAATAAATAACAAATTGTGTGAAATGTTTAATGAGCATATATTTGTATAACCAGAAAAAATTTTTTAAAGAAAACATAAACATGTGATTTGTTACTAATTCCCCAAAATGTGTCTGTGAGTCACCTCCAGGCTCCATCTGTCCGCCTTGCATGTCTTTGAGTAGCATTTCTAAAACCCTACAACCAGCACCTCCCAGGACCCTAAATGGCTTCCACTGCTGTGCTCCCCATTGGGACACTGCCAGCCCAAGACAGAAGCCGTGAAGCCACAGGGCACGCTGGGTGGGCATGGGCCCTGAGACTCTGAATCCACTCAGGAGCAGGCTATGGAAACACTTCTGTTCTAGTAAAAGAAACGTCTACTGTATACTGTTGCCGAAAACAAATGGTATGGCACTTTTCACGTGGGGCTTCTGGTTGTATTCCCAGCCTCTGTCCACAGTGGGCTTGCTGTCAGTAGGAGTATTCTGGGTTTTTTGTTTTTTTCATTTACTCTACTTCATATGTAGCAGTATTCTGATAGGAAGAAATGTTTGAGAAGTGCTATATAGAACATTCTCAGCCAAAGTACAATAGAGAACATTCTCAGCCAAAGTACCATATACAACATTCTCAGCTATTTAGGGTCTTCCTTCCCTGAGTGCCCGCCCAAGGTTTTAAGTAAACTTTGTTTACTTAAAAATATCCTCCCGGCCGGGCGCGGTGGCTCACGCCTGTAATCCCAGCACTTTGGGAGGCCGAGGCTGGTGGATCACGAGGTCAGAAGATTGAGACCATCCTGGCTAACATGGTGAAACCTGGTCTCTACTAAAAAAATACAAAAAAAAAAAAAAAATTAGCCAGGCGTGGTGGCGGGCGCCTGTAGTCCCAGCTACTCGGGAGGCTGAGGCAGGAGAATGGCGTGAACCCGGGAGGCGGAGGTTGCAGTGAGCCGAGATCGCACCACTGCACTCCAGCCTGGGTGACAAAGCGAGACTCTATGTCAAAAAAAAAAAAAAAAAAAAAAAAGGGAGGGGAAAATAAAAAAATCCTCCCTAGGGCAAATTCATGGTGTCTGCAGACACCGGAACCCTTCTCCCGTGGAGAGCTGGGTCTGTTTCCTTGTTCCCTGAATCAGGGCTGGTCTGTGAGTGCTGCGGCCGATAAAGCATGAGAGAATGAACACTGTGCCAGTTCAGGGAACTGCCAGGGCCCACCTTGGGCTCCTGGGGCCCAGGGCTGCCCTGTGAGAGGTCACCTTACTGGCCCAGGGAGCCCCCGTGTCTGTAGGAAGATGGTGAAGGACCCAGCGAGCCTGCTAGCGTCAGGCATGATCCGGCCCAGCGCATGGGCCCTAGCGTGGCGGGTGGGGAGTCACTCCGTGCCAGGCGCGAGGAGCAGAAGTGTGAGGGGTTCATCAGGATGAGAGGAGGCGATCTTTCCGGCCCAGCCACCCCAGGTCTCCCTATCCATTCCGGAGGAAACAGTCACATGTATAAGCTAGGAAGTGAACAATGATGTTCACCATTTGGACTCGGGGCCACGCTGCGTCTGACTGAATCTGCCCTTAGTTTTGGGTTCTTTGAGCCGGTTAATTCCCTTCTCTATCTGGTAAGTGTTTCTTCCCTACTTGAGGCCCAGGTACACTGCAAGCCAGCTGAACGCCATCTCCGAGTGAATCCAGCCTCACTCCTTCAGCATCATGAGTAGTTCTATTCTCCTCGAGAAATCCTCTGCCTCTTCCCAGACTGGCAGCTTATCCCCTGTGAAGGTTTCTGCCTTCGGGGTGTGCCTGCTGCTGGACTGCGCGTGGCTGGAGGGAGGAGTGGCCTGCTGCTGGTCTTTGCAGCTCCGCACCAGGCAGTATCCAGTGCTCAGGCGATACCTGTTGACTGAACCGACTCACTAATTCAGAAATGCATTGATATGTACATAGCATACACTTTCTCCCGCTCACAGCTTTCTGATAATGAATTTGGCTTCCACCTCAAGGCAAATGTATCATGAACCCATGGTTCATCTAAAGGCCACTTTGTGTAATATATTTTTTAACTTATTTGTAAAAACATTAAAAATGAAAAACAAACAGTACCAAATCTAAGTCACATTGTTTCCTCTTGAATTGCTGTATATTTTTAGCACGGGCAACAACTGCAGTAGGGTCAGAGACAAACTGTCTGTCTTTTTAAGCTGCGGGAGTGTCTGCATCCCTCACTAAACACACTGGGATACGCTGTCATCTTTGCAGTTGAGGGGGACACATTGGTGGATGGTTTTTGCATTTGTGTGCTTTTTGTTGGTGATGTCACGATTTAAAATGGTCCCCAGCAAAGTGCTGAAATGTCTAGTGTTCCTGAGTGTGAGAAGGCTGCAATGTGCCTTATGGAGAAAATTCATGTGTTAGATAAGCTCAGTTCCGGCATGAGTTATATATAGTGCTGTTGATTGTGAGTTCAATGTTAATGAATCAAAAATATGGTTCATCCATAAAAAGGAAGAGGAAATTCACCAATCTGCACTTGAGGCTGCTCCAGAAAATGCTAAAGTAATATCTATAGAGCATGACGAAACAACAGAAAAGATAGAAAAGCAACTAAATTTATGGATTCATTAGCTGATGACTAAAGAAAATCCCCAAGCCCCCAAATCATAGTGGACAGAGTTGTGAGACTGAAAGCCAAAGAAATTTGCAGTCACATTACTCAGGGTCAGGAAAATGCCAGACCTCTCTTGGCTAGTACTGGGCTGGCTTGCATGTTTCAAAAGGCAATGTGGTGTGAAAAATGTTAACCTCGCAGGAGAGGCAGGTTCTGTAGATAGGGAGGCTATGGAAGAACTTTAAAAACACCTTCTAAGTGTTACATAGGAAAAGCGTTATTTGGGAGAGCAAATTTTCAACGCTGATGAGACTTACTTGTTTTACAAGGACGTTAGCAAACAAAGCTATATAGAGTAAATGGTGTTTTGGTTGGTGAAAATGTTATGTCTGGAGCCTGGAAGGAACCTAACCCTGTGGTTTAGCTTTTGCTAAGTTGATGTTTGCAATGACTTTATGGAACATAACTACCCCTAAATTTAAATGAGAATAGGCTGTAACTGTGTCTTTTATTTCCTTCTGTTGCTTTTTGCACGGGTTAGAGCTTCCAGGACTAAGTTGAATAGTAGTAGTGAGGGTGGGGACCTTTGCTGTGTTTGCTCCTGATTTCACGAGGAGAGCATTCGGTCTTTCACTGTTATGTTTTGCAGGAATTTTTTTTTTTAATCAGGTTGAGGGAGTTCACCTTTATTCCTAGTTTTCTCAGAATTTTTTTAAAATCATGAAAGGTATTAAGTTTTGTCAAATGCAGCCTAGTAATCCCTCTTCTAGGCATATATCCAAAGGAAATGAAATCTCTACCTGGTAAGGATATCTGCACACCCATGTTGCAGCATTTTTCGCAATGGCCAACGTATGAAAACAACCTAGGTGTCTATTAATGGATGAATGGATAAACTATGGCATAAATAGACAATGGAATATTATTTAGCCTTTAAAAAGGGAGATCTTGGGCTGGGTGCAGTGGCTCATGCCTGTAATCCCGGCACTTTGGGGAGGCCGAGGCAGGTGGATCACGAGGTCAGGAGATCGAGACCATCCTGGCTAACACAGTGAAACCCTGTCTCTACTAAAAGTACAAAAAATTAGCCGGGCATGGTGGTGGGCACCTGTAGTCCCAGCTACTCGAGAGGCTGAGGCAGGAGAATGACTTGAACCCGAGAGGCAGAGCTTGCAGTGAGCCAAGATGGCACCTCTGCACTCCAGCCTGGGCAACAGAGCAACACTCCGTCTCAAAAAAAAAAAAAAAAAAAAAAAAAAGGAGATCTTGGCCGGGTGTAGTGGCTCACACCTGTAATCCCAGCAGTCTGGGAAGCCAAGATGTGAGAATAGCCTGAAGCCAGGAGTTCAAGACCAGGTTGGGCAACATATCTATAAAAAATATATGAGAGCCCCATATCTATAAAAAAAAATAAAAATTAGCTGGGCATGGTGGTGTATGCCTGTAGTCCCATCTACTAGGGAGACTGAGGCAGGAGAATTGCTTGACCCCAGGAGTTCGAGGCTGCAGTAAGTGAAGATCACACCACTGTACTCTAGCCTGGGTGACAGAACAAAACCCTGTCTAAAAACAAAACAAAAACAACAACAAAAAGGAAGATCTGCCATTTGCCACAACATAGGTGGACTTGGAACATATTATACTAAGTGAAATAAGCTAGACACAGAAAGAAAAATATTGCATGATCTCACTTATGTGGGGTCTCTAGAAAAAAAGAGATCAAGTATATAGAGACAGAGAATAAAACAGTGGCTACCAAGGTTGGAGTTGGGGAGGAAATGGAGAGGTTTAGGTCAAAAGATACAAAGTAGCAAATAAATATGTAGAATGAACAAGTGGAAAGGTCTAATGAACAGCATGAAGACTACAGTGAATAATAGGGTATCATATTCAGGATTTTTCCTTAATGGGTAGATTATAGCTGTTTTTGCCACAGGAGGAATTATGGATAACTAAATGAGATGATGGAGATGTTAATTTGTTTCACTATAGTAACCATTTTCTTATATATGTATCTTATAACATCATGTTTGTACACAATAAAATTTATTTAAATAAACAAATTTTGTCAAATACTTTACTGCATCAATTGATAACATCATGTGAATTTTATTCTGTTAATGTGGTGGATTACATTGACTGATTTTTTAATATTGAACCAACCTTGCATTTCTGGAATAAGCTTCATTTAGTTATGGTGTGTAATTCTTCTTAAAAATCACTGAAGCCTATTTGTTAATACTTGTTTAAAGGTTTTTGTGTCTACATGCATGAAGGATATTGATCTGTAAGTTTCTTTTTTTGTAATTCTTTGTCTGGTTTTGGTATTAGTGTGATACTGGTCCCATACAATGAGAAGGGAAATATTTTCTCTTCTTATATGATCTGGAAAAAATTGCTTATTGTTAGCATTGATTCTTCCTTAAACAGAATTATCCAGTGAAACAACTTGACATGGCGATTTCTTTTTCAAAGAAAAACGTTGTTTTAATTTTAGAATTAAAATATCTATACATCTAATTGACGAAGATTGTTACAAAGAATAAGTTCCCTGTGTCTATTCACCCATTTCCCACTCCCACAGAGCAACTCTTGTAAACTTTCTTAGCTAACCTTTTGATATCTTCCTCCATGTCTTCAACAAAAATGCCTATATTGTTACTTATTTGGTTTTGCAGATTAAAAATTTCTCTAAGACTTCCCAATGTGGAAGATGATTTATCTCCTTCCCTCCTTCCCTTTCCTAACCTGACAAGCAATTTCTGTCTTCACTTTCTCCCAATCTAATTAAATAGACATTTTTTTCTTAAGCTTAGTAGTCAGCATTTTTATTAGTTGCACCTTTCCAGCTGAACCATGGACCATATACAATGATGATGGTGACGGTGGTAGTGGTCGTGACAACCACAATAGTTAATACAACCTGGGCAACACAGCAAGACCTTGTTACTACAAAAAAAAAAAAAAAAAATCAGCTGAGTGTGGCAGTGCACACCTGTAGTCCTAGCTACTCAGGAGGCTGAAGCAGGAGAATTGCCTGAGCCCGGGAGGTCAGGGCTGCAGTGAGCTGAGCTCGCACCACTGCACTCCATCCTGGGCAACACAGCCAGACCCAGTCTCTAAAAAAATAAATAAAATAAAAAATAAAGACCGTTAACATTTACATGGGGCTTTCTCTGGGCCAGAAAAAGATCCAAGGACTTTAATTTTCACAAAACTTTCACAAGACTGTTATAATAATCCTGATTTTATATATGAGGACCATGGAGATGAAGTGATTTGCCCAAGGTAATTCAGCCGTTAAGTGGCAAAACCAGAATTTGAACCCCAGGCATTCTGGATCTGTATTCTGTAGGTGTGGCCACTACCCTACAGTTTCTAACAAATTTATGTTTGTTCTTGAGTTAATAATAATCTTTTGTTGGTTGCTTATTTTTCCATATATTTATCACTTACGCATTTCAAGTTCTACTTCAGTCATGAAAAGCTTCTCTCAATGTGTTCAAACACATTAGCACTATTATTGTCTTCTTGAAAAAATATTCTAGAGTTCTGGGCTGTCTGTTCTCCAAGCCTGCTTGTGGCTGGCATCCTGGACTCTTTCTCCTGTCCTGTCCTGAGGACTCCCTTCATCTCTCCTTTGTTTGGAACCCACTGTTTTCTGAATGCTAATCATGTTCTTTGTTGTTTTATTTCCTCATTTTGATCAACAACATCCTCTCAGCTTCCAGAGACAATAGAATAGAAAGTAAATTTTGCAACTTCTTCATGTCTAAATATGTCTTTATTCCATCTTCACATTTAATTCATACTTTGTCTGGGTATTGAAGAATCTATAGGCAATCCGAATGTTGAAGATAATCCTCCATTGTTTTTTAGCTTCTACTGTTGCTGTTGAGAATTTCAAAGCCATTCTGATTCCTACTCTTTGCATTTGACCTGCTTTTCCTCTAAGGAAACTTGGAAAGTCATCTTTCCGTTCCCAGGATTCTGAAGGTCACTAATGATGTGTTTGATGGGGGACAAATCTCATTTAATGTGCTCCCCATTTGGTGGATCCTTTTCATTTGGCAAGTCAAATTCTTCAGTTATGATATATCTTCTTGAATTATTTTTTGATTCCTCCTGCTACCATTTTTTCAGTTCACTCTCAGAAACTCTCTTTATTGGAAGTTGGCCCTTCTGAAGTTGGTCAACTAATTCTTTAAAACCTTAAAAAATAATTAATATCCTCAGAAACAAAACAAAAACCTTAGAAATAAACAATAACAAAGGCGCTGATAATCACAAATTTAAAATATAATATCAGAAAAGTCACACTAGATCCATATATTTGACGACATTAAAATCAAGAACTCCTGTTCATCAAAGCACATCATGAAGAGCTCTTTCACATCCCTTGTAGGTTGGATTCCTAGGTATTTTATTCTCTTTGAAGCAGTTCTGAATGGGAGTTCACTCATGATTTGGCTCTCTGTTTGTATGTTATTGGTGTATAAGAATGCTTGTGATTTTTGCACATTGATTTTGTATCCTGAGACTTTGCTGAAGTTGCTTATCAGCTTAAGGAGATTTTGGGCTGAGACAATGGGGTTTTCTAAATATACAATCATGTCATCTGCAAACAGAGACAATTTGACTTCCTCTTTTCCTAACTGAATACCCTTTATTTCTTTTTCCTGCCTGATTGCCCTGGCCAGAACTTCCAACACTATGTTGAATGGGAGTGGTGAAAGAGGGCATCCCTGTCTTGTCCCAGTTTTCAAAGGGAATGCTTCCAGTTTTTGCCCATTCAGTATGATATTGGCTGTGGGTTTGTCATAAATAGCTCTTATTATTTTGAGATACGTCCCATCAATACCTAATTTATTGAGAGTTTTTAGCATGAAGGGCTGTTGAATTTTGTCAAAGGCCTTTTCTGCATGTATTGAGATAACCATGTGGTTTTTGTCTTTGGTTCTGTTTATATGCTGGATTACGTTTATTGATTTGCATATGTTGAACCAGCCTTGCATCCCATGGATGAAGCCTACTTGGTCATGGTGGATAATCTTTTAGATGTGCTGCTGGATTCAGTTTGCCAGTATTTTATTGAGGATTTTTGCATCAATGTTCATCAGATAAAAGAGGACACAAGCAAATGGAAGAACATTCCATGCTCATGGATAAGAAGAATCAATATAGTGAAAATGGCCATACTGACCAAGGTAATTTATAGATTCATTGCCATCCCCATCAAGCTACCAATGACTTTCTTCACAGAATTGGAAAAAACTCCCTTAAATTTCATATGGAACCAAAAAAGAGCTCACATTGCCAAGTCAATCCTAAGCCAAAAGAACAAAGCTGGAGGCTTCATGCTACCTGACTTGAAACTATACTACAAGGCTACAGTAACCAAAACAGTATGGTACTGGTACTGAAACAAAGATATAGACCAATGGAACAGAACAGAGCCCTCAGAAATAATGCCACACATCTACAACCATCTGATCTTTGACAAACCTGACAAAAACAAGAAATGGGGAAAGGATTCCCTACTTAATAAATAGTGCTGGGAAAACTGGCTAGCCATATGTAGAAAACTGAAACGGGATCCCTTCCTTACACCTTATACAAAAATTAATTCAAGATGGATTAAAGACTTAAATGTTAGACCTAAAACCATAAAAACCCTAGAAGAAAACCTAGGCAATACCATTCAGGGCATAGGCATGTGTAAGGACTTCATGTCTAAAACACCAAAAGCAATGGCAACAAAAGCCAAAATTGACAAATGGGATCTAATTAAACTAAAGAGCTTTTGCACAGCAAAAGAAACTACCATCAGAGTGAACAGGCAACCTACAGAATGGGAGAAAATTTTTGCAATCTACTCTTCTGACCAAGGGCTAATATCCGGAATCTACAAAGAGCTCAAACAAATTTACAAGAAAAAAACAAACAACCCCATCAAAAAGTGGGCGAAGGATATGAACAAACACTTCTCAAAAGAAGACATTTATGCAGCCAACAGACACATGAAAAAATGCTCATCATCACTGGCCATCGGAGAAATGCAAATCAAAACCACAATGAGATACCAGCTCACATCAGTTAGAATGGCGATCATTAAAATGTCAGGAAACAACAGGTGCTGGAGAGGATGTGGAGAAATAGGAACACTTTTACACTGTTGGTGGGACTGTAAACTAGTTCAACCATTGTGGAAGACAGTGTGGCGATTCCTCAAGGATCTAGAACTAGAAATACCATTTGACCCAGCCATCCCATTACTGGGTATATACCCAAAGGATTATAAATCATGCTGCTATAAAGACACATGCATACGTATGTTTATTTCAGCACTATTCACAATAGCAAAGACTTGGAACCAACCCAAATGTCCAACAATGATAGACTGGATTAAGAAAATGTGGCACATATACACCATGGAATACTATGCAGCCATAAAAAAGGATGAGTTCATGTCCTTTGTAGGGACATGGATGAAGCTGGAAACCATCATTCTCAGCAAACTATCGCAAGGACAAAAAATCAAGCACCGCATGTTCTCACTCATAGATGGGAAGTGAGCAATGAGAACACTTGGACACAGGAAGGGGAACATCACACACCGGGGCCTGTCATGGGGCGGGGGGAGGGGGGAGGGATAGCATTAGGAGATATACCTAATGTAAATGATGAGTTAATGTGTGCAGCACACCAACATGACACATGTATCTATACATAACAAACCTGCACGTTGTGCACATGTACCCTAAAGTGTTAAAAAAAAATACACCATCACAGGAGTGAGAGGCAGACAACAGAATAACAGAAAATATTTGCAATTTTATATCCAAGGAAGTACTTGTATCCAGCATATATAAAGAACTTCTACAAATAAATTTTAAAAAGACGGAAAGCCAGTAAATCGCTTGTCTATCAGCAACAGAATGACAATCTCCTCCATCATGTTATGACACAGCAAGAGGGCCCTCACCAGATGTAGTCTTTCAATCTTGGACTTCCTAGCCTCCAGAACTTTGAGCCAAATATATTTTTTTCATTATAAATTATCCAGTCTGTGGTATTCTGTTATAGCAGCATAAAGCAGACTAAGACACTTGTGTTTGTTTTCTTGTCCGCATGGTATTCTATTGTGTGAATAAACCACAATGCACTTGTTCATTCTGCTGCTGATAGACAATTGATTCCAATTTTTATGGATAGTGCTGCTGTGATAATTCTTGCACATGTCTTTTGGTTTACATATATGTGCATCTCTGCTAGATATATACCTAGTAGTGGAACTACTGGGTTATAGAGTACTCATATGTTCAGAATTAGGGGATGTTGCCAAATGATTTTCCAAAAACGGGTTTTACCAATTTACACTCCCTCCAGTAGTGTATAAGAGTCCTTGGTATTGTTTGTTTGTTCTTCACTTTAGCTGTTCGGGTTGATGGAATATTATCGTGGCTCTAATTACATTTTCCTAAAGCTGAGTACCTTTCATACCCATCAGAATATTCTCCTTTGTAAAGCACCTGTTCAAACTTTTGCCCAATTTTTTATTGGCTTTCCATTTTTTTAAAATTTGTTTGTAGAAGTTCTTCATATATTCTGGATACAAGTACTTCATTGGATATAAAATTGCAGATATTGTCTTTTACTCTGTCAGCTGCCTCTCACTCCTGTGATGGTGTGTTTTGATGAACAGAAGTTCTTAGTTTCAATGTTGTCAAATATATAAATCTAGTGTGACTTTTCTGATATATTTTAAATTTATGGTTCTCTATCAGCTCCTTTGTTATGGCTTATTTCTAAGGTTTTGGTTTTTTGTTTTGTTTCTGAGGATATTAATAATTTTCTTTTCTTTTTTTTTTTTTCTGAGACAGAGTCTCACTCTGTCACCCAGGCTGGCATGCAGTGGTGTGATCTCGGCTCACTGCAACCTCGGCCTCCCAGATTTAAGTGATTCTCCTGCCTCAGCTTCCTGAGTAGCTGGGATTACAGGTGTGTGCCACCACACCTGGCTAATTTTTGTATTTTTTTTTTTTTAAGTACAGACGGGGTTTCACCATGTTGGTCAGGCTGGTCTCGAACTCCTGACCTCGTGATCCACCCACCTCAGTCTCCCAAAGTGCTGGGATTACAGGTGTGAGCCACCACTCCTGGCCTGATATTAATGATTTTCTAAATCTTTCTTTTTCCTACACAGCCTCTGTTTCTTCCCACAGCCTTCTGTTTACTTCTTCCCATCAATCACCTTAGTGGGTTTCTCCAAATGTCCTGTGATTTTGGCTGTCTGGTGATATTTAAGAGGTTTTTGTGCACGGCGACTTTCACACAGTATGGTAGTCTGAAGGAATTGTCTTGTTGGAGGAATCCCTGTTTTGTTTTTGTTTTTTTTTTGAGACGAAGTTTCACTCTGATGCCCAGGCTGGAGTGCAGTGGCACGATCTCGGCTCACTGCAAGCTCTGCCCCCCGGGTTCAAGCCATTCTCCTGGCTCAGCTTCCCGAGTAGCTGGGACTACAGGCGTCCACCACCATGCCCGGCTATTTTTTTTTTTTTTTGTATTTTTAGCAGAGATGGGGTTTCACCATTTTAGCCAGGATGGTCTCGATCTCCTGACCTCTTGATCTGCCCGCCTCAGCCTCCCAAAGTGCTGGGATTACAGGCGTGAGCCACCACGCCTGGCCTTAAAGGTGTTCTTAAACCATAAACAATAGCATGAGTGATCTGTGCCTTAAGGACATGCTCCTGCTGCAGGTAACTAGCTAGACCCATCCCTTTACTTTGGCCCATCCCTTTGTTTCCTGTAAGGAATACTTTTAGTTAATCTATAATCTATAGAATCAATGCTTATCACTGGCTTGCTGTCAATAAATACATGGGTAAATCTCTGTTCAGGGCTCTCAGTTCTGAAGGCTGTGAGACCCCTGATTTCCCACTCCACACCTCTATATTTCTGTATGTGTTGTCTTTAATTCCTCTACTGAGCTGGGTTAGGGTCTCCCCAACCGAGCTGGTCTCGGCAGGATAGAATCTGTTTGTGAAACTCCTTAAAAAGATCTGAAGCTGCCCGGCGCGGTGGCTCACGCCTGTAATCCCAGCACTTTGGGAGGCCGAGGTGGGCGGATCATGAGGTCAGGAGATTGAGACCATCCTGGCTAACACGGTGAAACCCCGTCTCTACTAAAAAATACAAAAAATTAGCCACACGTGGTGGCGGGTGCCTGTAGTCCCAGCCACTCAGGAGGCTGAAGCAGGAGAATGGCATGAACCCAGGAAGCGGAGCTTGCAGTGAGCCGAGATCGTGCCACTGCACTCCAGCCTGGGCAACAGAGCAAGACTCTGCCTAAAAAAAAAAAGATCTGAAGCCAGCCTTCTGATTTATAGCCCACTCTTCTCCTTTCCTCCTGGAGGTCCATGGCGTTCACCATTTCTGAGCCATTGGGGATTCTGGATTTTAAGTCAGGTGCCTCTTGGACTTTCCCACTGCTGTCACAAAACTCAGCCTTCCAGGTTCTGCTAAGCCAACTTCTATGCATCCTTCTGCTTTCTACCTTCCAAATATTTTGTTGTTGTCTCTTTGTAAGTTTATGTCTTTACAAAGAAAAATCTCCTTAAGGGAGGAGACCACCCCTCATATTGTCTTATGCCCAATTTCTGCCTCCAAAAAAAGAAGTAAAGACTAAAAGGCAGAAATGAAATCCACAGGCAGACAGCCTGGTGCTGCGTGGTGGGCCTGGTTAAAGATCGACCCCTGGCCTAACCGGTTATGTTACCTATAGATTCCAGACATTGTATAGAAAAGCACTGTGAAAATCCCTGTCCTGTTCTGTTCCGTTCTGATTACCAGAGCATGCATCCCCCAGTCACATACCCCCTGCTTGCTCAATTGATCAGGATCCTCTCACGCGGACCCCCTTAGAGTTGTAAGCCCTTAAAACGGACAGCAATTGCTCACTTGGGGAGCTTGGTTTTTGGAGTTGTGAGTCTTGCCAAAGCTCTCAGCTGAAAAAAGCCCTTCCTTCTTTAACTCGGTGTGTGAGGGGTTTTGTGTGCGGCTTGTCCTGCTACATCCTGTCATCTTAATAAGTTTTGGGGAAGGAGCCAGCATAGATGAAGGTGCTCAATTCACCATCTTTAACTGGAAGTCACTGCATTTAGTTCCATAATCCATCTAGAATCTCTTTTTGTGTGTGTATGGTGTAGGGTAGGATAGATAATATACAAGTTCCAAAGAGATATTTATTTGTTCCAAAACCATTTGTTGAGTTGTTCATTCTCTTTCCACTCATTCAGAATGCTACCCTCATTATACGCAGACACACTGTTCTCTCCGTTCCTCTAGCAGGCCAGGTACTAGCCCATCCAGAAACAGGTCAGTGCTGGTTCCATGGCCTGGGTGTCCTTCTGCCAAATGTCTGCCTAGGATAGTCTCTGTCCTCCTTCAAACCTTTGCATCAATGCCTCCTGACCAGAGAGGATCATGCACATCACGTACTTAAAATTGCATGTTACCCCTATCATTCTCTTTCTTCCTCAACGTTTTTTTCTCCATAATATTTCTCCTCTCGAATTTCCAATGATGTTGACTCATCTATTCCGGCTGATTGTCTTGCCCCGCCTCACTAGACTATAACCTCTTTGACCCAAGGATATGGACTGTTTTGGTTGTTATGCTATGCACAATGCCTGTTGTTCATTAAACACATGTAGAATAAGTTAATAAACATGCTACATTTCCAAACAAACATGGCTGTTTCTGTACTCTCTATTCCGCGCTACTTATCAATTTGTTTATTCCTGTAACAGTTCCACTCTGTGCTGTTTTCAACAGTTTTATAATTCACCTTAATATTGACAGAACAAACTGCCATTCATTGTTTTTTTGTTTTTTTTTTAGACAGAGTTTCACTCTTGTCGCCCAGGCTGGAGTGCAGTGACGTAATCTTGGCTCACTGCAACCTCCACCTCCCAGGTTCAAGTGATTCTCCTGCCTCAGCCTCCTGAGTAGGTGAGATTACAGGCACCTGCCACCATGCCCGGCTAAGTTTTGTATTTTGAGTAGAGACCGGGTTTCACCGTGTTGGCTAGGCTGGTCTTGAACTTCTGACCTCAGGTGATCCACCCGCCTCAGCCTCCCAAAGTTCTGGATTACAGGGGTGAGCCACCATGCCTGGCCATTGTACCTCTTTTTCAAATATTCTTGCCTATTATTGGGCCTTTTTTCTTCTTTTCTTTTCTTTTCTTTTCTTTTTTTTTTTTTTTGAGACAGAATCTCGCTCTCTTGCCCAGGCTGGAGTGCAGTGGTGCGATCTCGGTTTACCGCAATCTCCGCCTTCCGGGTTCAAGTGATTCTCCTGCCTCAGCCTCCTGAGTAACTGAGCCTACAGGTGTGCACCACCAGGCCTGGCTAATTTTTTGTATTTTTAGTAGAGACGGGGTTTCACTATATGGGCCAGGCTGATCTTGAACTCCTGACCTCATGATCTGCCAGCCTCGGACTCCCAAAGTGCTGGGATTACAAGTGTGAGCCACCGCACTGGGCCTCTTTCTATTTATTTAGTTTTGTAGACAGAGTCCCACTATGTTGCCCAAAAATCATAAATGTGATTTTAGCTCCAGATTATTATTTATTCATTAATTAGAGCCATCAAAAATTACTTAACTATATATTTTACTGTTTTTTGTATTTACTGCTCTTTCTTATATAATTTATTATTATTTTGCTGAAGTACAGCCTCTTTATTTTTTCATAGAGGTTTGTAGGGGTCAAATTTTTTGAGTCCTTGCAGGTCTAAAAATGTGCTGTACGCTTGAATGAATTTTGGCCAGGAATAGAAACCTAGTTTAAAAATCCTTTACTTTCAGAACTTCAAAAGAATTGCTCTATGAGTTTTCTATTCACTTCTTATGTTTTTGTAAGTAGTTTGTTATTTTCTCTGAGGAAGCTTTGAGGATTTTTTTTCTCTTTAGTCTTGGCATTTTGGAAGTCTTACCATAAAATAGCTAAAGGCAAATCTGTTTCAGTCTGAAGGTTTGCATCATTGTTCTTTTCTTAATTCATTGATTATTTTGTGACCATCACTCTCACAATTCTTATAAATTCTTCTACACCAGTAGGAAGGTCTGGAACTGTCATCTGTGATTTTTTATTGTTACATTTTCAAGTTTTGGTCTTTAGTTGAGCGCTGAGATTCCCACTTTCCACACGTGACTATAGATTCAGTAGGTTGAGTGGGGGTGGGTGCAGAAGCCTGAGAAGTCCTCGATAAAGGAGGGCTTGATAAGTACGTCCTTGATAAGGAAGTTTTTAGAACCTTGGTAATCATAGGGAAAAGTTTTAAATGTCTTCTAATATTTTGCGTATCGTTTCACAGAACTTGTATCCTATATGCAGTTTCTTCTTTTTTTTTTGAGACGGAGTGTGGCTCTGTCGCCCAGGCTGGAGTGCAGTGGCGCGATCTCGGCTTACTGCAAGCTCCGCCTCCCGGGTTCACGCCATTCTCCTGCCTCAGCCTCCCGAGTAGCTGGGTCTACAGGCGCCCACTACCACGCCCGGCTAATTTTTTGTATTTTTAGTAGAGACGGTGTTTCGCCATGTTAGCTAGGATGGTCTCGATCTCCTGACCTCTTGATCCCCCCACGTCGGCCTCCCAAAGTGCTGGGATTACAGGCGTGAGCCATCGCGCCCGGCCATCCCATATGCAGCTTCTAAGAACTGGCACAGCATAACACTTATAGATTCTCAAATACTTTTTATTTAATTAATTAATTTATTCATTTTGAGACACGGTCTTGCTCTGTCACCCAGGCTGGAGTGCAGTGGTGCAGTCTCGGTTCACAGCAACCTCCACCTCCCGGATTCAAACAATTCTCCTGCCTCAGCCTCAAGAGTAGCTGGGATCACAGGCATGTGCCACCACACCATGCTAATTTTTGTATTTTCAGTAGAGATGGGGTTTCGTCATTTTGGCCCAGACATATCTCGACCTCCTGGCCTCAAGTGATTCGCCTCTCAGAGTGTTGGGATTACAGGCGTGAGTCACTGTGCTCAGCCTCAAATACTTTTTAAAAAGTGATTCTCTCCATCCGTCAATGTATAATATCTTTCAGAGAGGTAATAATTTAAAATAACTTTGGTAATTTATACTCTAGAACGAATAGATTAGTGAGAATAGACTAAGTATTTCAGCATATGGTAAACTACAAGATGAAAATTTGGCCAAATATTCAAACTCCTTCAAAAGTATCAATCTCAGATGTGTTCAGTAAAACTTAAAGGATGGTTAGGTCATTGTTCACTGGGAAACATGGAAAATTCCTCTTAAGAAAGCAAGCTATGTATGTCCTTATATCTTGGGCAGGATGAAGAAGACTTCCAAGTCAACTGGAAGTTGAAGTTTAAAGAAAACCGAGGGTGGACTTGTGGGGGTAAATTCCAGGCTATGAGGCAAGAGAGAGGCAAGATAGCCGGCCTGAGCCTAGAGATGTTTGCTCATAGTTTCTGTAAAGGAAGAAAGCATTTTCTTCTTTCATATGTCACACTTTATTATTATTTCCAAACTGAAGGAAATTCACATTTGCTCCAGGGACATCAGACTGCCTCCCTAAATTGGCTTTCAGTTTTCTTATTTCAAATAAAATATTTTATTGTTTAAAGTAACAATAAAACCCCAGGTTTTAACCTTTTATACTTATGATAACCAGATGGGAGTTATAGAACTTTGTGATATACATCCGAGGCTGAACATTGGATATCTGCTCAATCTCTTGGGTAGATTCCATAAATCTCCTGGTTTTTCCCATGAGAAAAAAAAAAAAAAGTAGTGAAATAGATGAGACCCGGTTACATATTGTTACATTAGATTTTTTTTTAACCTTAAGCTCTAAAAGGTAAGGGGTTTTTAGTAGGTAAAATTAACATTTTTAGAAGTTGAAGCTTCAGTTTTAGAAAGCTGCTAGGTTTTTCTTTTTAAACTCAATATGTGGCTTTAGTGAATGATTTCGTCTTGACTTACTTCTCTGAGAAATCGATTGCAGTTACAGAGGTGAACTGCGTGTGGCCTTCGTTGATGCAGGCAGCGTTTGGTGTCCTGCTATGCCGCTGTTCATATTGGGTAAACACACCCTCATTGATATTGACCAAAAGTATTCATCTAGTTCAAATACCATAAAATTCCTTTGTCAAAAGTATGTTACGTGAGTGTGAAAACATTTCAAAATAATTCCAGTGATCTTTAATAGGGGTTGGGGGGATGAGGGATATAATATAATTCATTAATTTTTTTTTTTTTTTTTTGAGATGGAGTCTCGCTCTGTCGCCCAGGCTGGAGTGCAGTGGTGCCATCTCGGCTCACTGCAAGCTCCACCTCCCAGGTTCACACCATTCTCCTGCCTCAGCCTCCCGAGTAGCTGGGACTACAGGCGCCCGCCACCACGCCCGGCTAATTTTTTGTATTTTTAGCAGAGACAGGGTTTCACCGTGTTAGCCAGGATGGTCTCGATCTCCTGACCTCGTGATCCACCCACCTCGGTCTCCCAAAGTGCTGGGATTACAGGCATGAGCCACCATGCCTGGCCAATTCATTAAATTTTTTTATTTTAATTTTTTATTTTACATTCCTTGTATTGAAGTGATCTCACAAAGACTGTATAGGCAGATCACCATGGGATGAGAGTTTCCACATAGATTGCCTGGTTTTCTAAGAAAAACACTGTATTTTCCCCAACATGATTGGCAACAGCAAGATGGACTTGTAATTCTGTGAAAGTAAATGTTCCTCAAAAAATTGTTAGCATCCACGTTATCTTGGAAATAACCATGTACAAATACTAGAACTTTTACTTTTTAGGAGCCCCTGGATGGCTGAAGCCCCACAGGAAGCTCACAGGGGCTGTGTGGGGCTTGTCGAGGTGCCTCCAGTTTTTACCCACTGGTCCCTAGCGTGTAGGTGAGCTCGGGGCTCCTGCATCTGCCTTTCTCACACCCGTGTTAGCTTATTTTCCACCAGTGCCAGAAGCTGAACTGCCCATTGTTAATTTCCTTGAGTACCATAATAGTGCCATGCCTAGTTTTAGTTAAGAAATTATTAAGTTTTTATATAACAGAGAAGCAAAAATAATGTGTACCATCAATTTCAATTCTGTTTTTTGTTGTTTGATTTTTTTTTTTTTTTTTGTAAAGGAAACTGAAGCCCGAAGAGTTACAGAGGTTTTCTGTTTTCTGCTTGAGGGTCTTTTTTTCCAAGATGCCACTTAGCCCCATCAAATGGATCAATAATGACCTCAGCTATTCATCTCAGAGATAACTAATACTTTTTCCTTCCCCAAAATCGGAGTCAAAGGAGTTTCTTCTTAGAGCTCCCAATCACCTCTTTCTTTTCTTTCTTTCTTTCTTTTTTTTTTTTTTTTTTTTTTGAGACAGAGCCTCACTCTGTTGCCCAGGCTGGAGTGCAGTGGATCAATCTCTGTTCACTGTAACCTCCACCTCCCCGGTTCAAGTGATTCTCCTGCCTCAGCCTCCCGAGTAGCTGGGATTACAGGCACGTGCCATCATGCCCAGCTAATGTTTGTATTTTTAGTAGAGATGGGGTTTCACCATGTTGGCCAGCCTGGTCTGTCTTGAACTCCTGACCTCAAGTTATCCACCCACCTTGGCCCCGTGAGCCACCACTCCAGGCCAGAGATCTGATTTTTTAAAAATACTCATCTGTTCCCTTGCCATAATGGCATTTAAAAATTTTGAATGTTCTTGTTCCACAAATGTCATTCTCTACGTTATCAATTTGAGGATTCAATATTTTTATCAGGTCACTTTAGAATTCCTACCGTAAGGTTTTGCATGGGGTGTGTGTATGAGTGTGCAATTGTGATCAATGTGAATTACACACCTACAATTGTACGGTCTGTATGCAGCAGACCTGGGTTTACTATTGTCACAATACTAGACATTCTTGTATGTTTTTTGCAGTTCTTACATGTGAGTTTATCTTCTGTGGAAATTTTACCTTGTGGACTCCCTCAGCTGTGGTTGCCTCCCTGAGAAGTAATTTCACATTGACCCATAGGGTACATAGATTCCAACCAGATCACAGGTTAATGACGGGTTCAGGGCTCCTGTGGATGAAGCTGATGCAACCATGTTCATGTGAATGCACCTATTTCCACCCGTGACTGGTGCAGAGGCATTTCAACTCCTAATGAGCCAGCCCTGCACCCAGTTTGGGTCCTGAATACAAGACTCTCCCAGGCTCAACTCTTGTCCCTGTGTGATATTGGGCCCTACCCTTTCTCCTGTTTCAATCTCCAAAGGGGAATTTTTTTAAAGGTGTAGAAAAATAGGGGAAAAATGAACTCATAGATCTCAATCTTGGGTTTGCTAAGAATATTTTCCTAAAAATATGTATATCCTTTTTTAAAAATATTTATACGTTACTAAAGCAAAAAGAAAGTGTTACTTTCCCAGACATGCTAACTTCCCAGCAAATAAAGCTTTGGCAGATTGGCAAGTTTTGCAAATAAACAGGGACCATTCATCATGAAAGATGACAAGCATAGACACTCAAGATACCAGTTTCTAAAACAATGTCTAAACAACGCTTGAGTAAATTACTAACTTTAAAAATATATTTAATTTAAAAATTTCACAATTCGCATGAAGATGGCTTCTTCTTATTAAGAAACGTTAAAATCTTTGTTTTAATTTCTATTGTGAAATTAAATAATTCAAACTTCAAGTTGTTGGAACTTTAAGTTATTCTGAGCCTTGAGACAAATGTGGCTATGCAGCCTGAGTCACGTGCAGCGGCAACTTCCGCCTTTTTTTCCCCCTGTGAATAATTAAGAAGACCAAACAGCACGAGAGAGAAGACCTCCTCAGATCACCATCCCTCCTCATTGAGTAATAAAGTAATCTTCCTTGGCACGTAGCAATCTGTGACCAATCAAATTGCTTTAATGTATGCACTGGTCTCCTATAGAAAATGTTGTAATCCTCTGAAAATGTCTTTGTCTCTGTCTGTAAAAGTGAAACCTTAACTTCTCCACTTGGGAATGCTGACCATATTCATTTGGAGCTGACGCTTCATGAGTGGCTATCCTCAAGCTTTGCACTCGAATAAACTCTATCCTTAGTCATATTTTCTGAATCTCATTATTTAAGGTTGACACTATTTATGAGAAAAAGATGAAACAGAAACAACCGCAGCCAAGGTGAACTGGTCAAAACTGGCTAAGGTCGTAAAATAAAATAGAACTTTTACAACATACAGATGTGAATTAATAAAGTTTAGGCATCTCAGCTGAGAATAGAAGATTTGTATCTGAAGTCTCACAAATCTGGGTTTCATCAACTGCTTCAACTCAGTAAACATTGCCAGGGATTGCTCTAGGCACAATGCTGTGCTTGACAATGGGCATGCAAAGGCGACTAACATGTGCCCTTTGCCTCCCAAACAGCTACTTTTTAACTGATCAACCTCAAAAGTGCTAAACCTGGGATCACCAGACATTCTGCAGTGCAACTGGAACTTTCATGCTAAAAAAATTCAAACCTGCGTCTAAACAAGCCTCTAAATGTAAACATCAGCTTACAGGAAATACAAGAAGCAAAAGAATGTGTTAGTTACACCATAAGAATGCAATTCATCAAGATCCAGACTGTGGAAAATTGAGCAGACCAAACATATGGCCTGAAAGCCAGAAAGAAGAAGGGGAAGTATCACATATTGAAAGAGCTTAAGAGATTTATCAAATGCACGATGTAGACTTTGCATAGAGCCTATTTGAACACACCAACTGCATAAAGTTATTTTTGAGAAAATTTTAAAACAAACTGGGTATTAGATGAAATCAAGAAATATTAATTTGGGAAAGTATGATAATGTGCTGTGATTAGGTTTTTTTTAAGTGCTTATTTTTAGACAGACGTGATACATTTAAGACTGAAAACCTGGAATTTGCCTTAAAATGATCCAGAGAAACATTGAGTGGTGAGGAGAGGAAGGGGTGGAGAGTAGATAAAACAAGATTGGCAAAATGTTTATACTTGAAACTGGGTAATAAATACGTGAAGATTCATTTTATACTTCCTTTATTTTTGTGTATGTTTGAAAATATTTATAACAAAATGTTTGTAGAAGTAACACACAATTGAGTTTGACTCAGCAAAGGAAGGAAAGAAGAAAGGAAGGAAGGAAGGGAGGAAGAGAGGTAGGGAGGGAGGGAGGGAGGAAGGAAGGAAGGAAGGAAGGAAAAAAAAGAAGAGGGGGAGAGAATGTGCCTGTGTGTAGCAGCAGGAAAGCTGCAGTGAGCTTATGAAGATTTGTGGTGACGGCTGGCTGCCTTCCATGAGTGTCTCAGTCTTGGGAAATATCTTAATTCTGCCCGATGTGAGAAGTAATGGAAGGGTAGCAGTATTATAGACATATAATCTTTTTCTCTTCTGCCCACTTTACTTAATCTTCTCATCGATAATTTGGGACTATCTCTCTGCCTTTGGTTGTTTCAAAGTATTTCACTCCAAAATACAGGTCCCTGGTATAATGAGTATTTTAAATTAAAAACCCTTAGAGATCAATAAGCACTGGTTTTCTCCTATCTATACATACAGGTAGGACAGACTCACCAAGGAGAACAATTATTCTTGCTGTCTTCCCTGTTATCTCCTTATCCATTACAGAAAAGAAGATAATAACTTGCTCCAGGGATCATTTAAATTCCAAAGAGAACTATTTACAAGTTAATTTCTGTTTCCCATACAGTCATTCATTCTAGTAATCATTTATTGCCCCTCAATGGAATTCTTCTCTCCACTCCCATAACCTGTTTTACCAGGATCCAAGCTCCCATTCTTTCTGTAACTGACATCAGTGGGCTGCGGGAAGTCCCCAGTTGCTAGTGGGACCTCCACCCCAGTGAGAATAAATTCAAGGCTGAGTCAGAAAATAGTCCAAGTACGGAAATGTATTGCAAAGTGAAAAGTACACACTCAAGAAAGGGGAGTGCAGGTGTACTCAAGAGACAGTCACATGCAAAGGGGTTTGGAGGGGCTGCCTTTGTGGGTTTCTTTAACTAAGGGATGGAATATTCATGAAGATTCCTGGAAAAAGGTGGAGATGTTCTGGAACTCTAGTGCTACTCATTTTCACACCAAATATGGATGTTCCTGGAACTGTCATGGTGCTGGTGGGTGTGTGATTTGTATGCTAATGAGCGTATAATGAGGTTCTAGGTGAAACCTAGGTCAAATCCAGTGCCACATTGAGTCCGGTTAGTCTCACCCAGCTTAGTCCGCACCCTGGCTTTTAGGGTCTTATCAGCCCATAGTTTCTGCAGCTATTTCTACAGTTTCCTTTTGCTAGCCATGTGAAACCACTGCCTGGAATTTTCTATTCTCCTGCAACCACCCTTGTTATTCCTGTCTCCTAACCTCAGAATGGTATATAAGCTTCTGTACCTCACTGGGAAGTTGGGTCTTCATTCAGAAGGCCCCCGATGTATACATGTTAAATGAATTTGTATGGCTTTTCTCCTATTAATCTGCCTTTTGCAAGTTGATTTTTCAGTGAAACTTCAGAGAGGGTCAAAGGGAAAGCCCTGCCTTGGCCCCCACATGTTATTGAGGTATGTTTCTCATGGATAAAAGCAATCTTTAAGTGATTCTTGGAATTTATTACTACCTTACTGGTAACTCCCTTTGCTTCTATAAGAAACAAAGGCAGAAAGTTGTAGTAAATTCCAGGGCTCTCCATAGAATTATTAACCCGTTATAAAAGTAATAAAGTTGCTGAGAAATTGCCTGCTTGTTTTTTAGGTGTCCTTTGGCTTATTTTGTTTATATACATTACCTAACACCCTAAAACTTCAGGGCCAGGATGTGGGCTATCATGGGTTCCAGTGAGGATCGTGAAGGAAACCAAAATATTTCGCTCCAAAGTATCCTTCTTTGACGTATTTTGAGATGGCTGTTCAGAGGGCTTGCAAACAGAAGTAGCCCTGAAAAACTGTCTTTCCTGGGAAACTTTGCATCTGTGCAGAATCTGCACGGTGCAGCCAGGCCTCCTCTGAGGCCCTCTCTTATCCAGATCTAAAAAAGATTAACTGAGAATCCAACATCTTTAAAGGTCTGAAGGAAACTCTTACCATGTATTCTCTCCGAGAGCTGCAACCTGTGAGGTTTCATCATCTACATAACAGGACTCCCCTTTGTGAGACAGGCCTCTTCTCTCCCTCCATAATCTCTTACTGCCATAATTTACGTTGGCCGTGCTCTGAGCCTCCATTCTTTCTGTAACCACAAGATGGTAGAAAAGTGTCAACCATCTGGCGATTTCTTTCAGTTTTTATTTTTATTTTATTTTTTTTGAGATGGAGTTTTGCTCTTGTTGCCCAGGCTGGAGTGCAATAGCGAGATCTTGGCTCACTGCAACCTCCGCCTCCTGGGTTCAAGCAATTCTCCTGCCTCAGCCTCCTGAGTAGCTGGGATTACAGGCACACACCACCACACCCAGCTAATTTTTGTGTTTTCAGTAGAGACGGCATTTCACCATGTTGGCTAGTCTGGTCCGGAACTCCTGACCTCAGGTGATCCACCTGCCTTGGCCTCTGAAAGTGCTGGGATTACAAGAGTAAGCCGCCATGCCTGGCCTGAGTTTTTATATTTTGTATGACTCCGAAGCTCATATGCACGTTTCTAAAATTTGTAATCCTTTTTTTTTTTTTTTTTTTTTTTTTTTTTTGAGACAGAATCTCACTGTGTCACCCAGGCTGGAGTGCAGTGGCAAGATCTCGGCTTACTGGAACTTCCGCCTCCTGGGTTCAAGCGATTCTCCCACCTCAGCCTCCGGAGTAGCTGGGGTTACAGGTGTGCACCGCCAGGCCCAGCTAATTTTTGTATTTTTAGTAGAGACAGGGTTTCACCATGTTGGCCAGGGTGGTCTTGAACTCCTGACCTCAAGTGATCCGCCGCCTTGGCCTCCCAAAGTATTGGGATTATAGGCGTGAGCCACCACACCCGGCCAGTAAGCCTTTTTTCTTTTCTGTTAACCTATTTGTTTTATAAACTAAAATGATCAAACCTTCTGGGAAAACATCTAAACTTCCCTACAATCGTTACCATGAAATCCTTTCCATTCTAGATCAATCTACCCACATAAAGACTGGAGAAACTGATGAAAATGTGAGTTATTCCTGCCTACTCTCAATTTGGGAGGAGAATACTCTGGTTTCCTTTCCCTGGAGATATATGATATTTGGGGGAAATGGAAGATGGGGGCTGAGAATATACAAATATGGATACTAGACAACCTGGAGTGTCTAAACATTTTTTTTTCTATGTAATATACTGCCTTTGGATTCTATAAACTCTAGAAATATCTGAGGAATCACAGGATTATTTTGAGAAACTTTTATTCCCGTAAGTGGCCCAAGTATCGCTCTTGTTCTAAATTTTAGTTGGAAAAATACGGTCACTGAAAGCATAGACTAACCTAAGCAGACTCTCTGCTAGTTTATTTTTAACTAAAGCTGTATGCCAGGCACTGTTTTGAGAACTTTACCCTCGGAAGCATGCATGATTATTTTTAGCGCTCTTCTACAGAGGAGAGCACCCAAATGCACACAGGCATCAAGATGCAGCCAGGACTCACACCCAGACAACCTCATCCTCAGAGTTCTGCACCTCCCCACTGCCCTACGCATGGCTGTCTTTTGTTGAGCTTTAAATTTTGTATCTGATGTTTTTTAACACCAGATTTTCTATTGATTTTTCCCAAGTAATAATGAACAAAACACTCATATTGAACTTACTAATCCCTAGAACTATGCAATGGTTAAGAACCAAAAAACCTTTTCTCTGTGCCAAAACTGGAATAATTAACCAGAAACTTTGGTACATATGATATTGGAAATCACCCAACTTCGTACTTCCCCGCTTTGCTTTTTTTTTTTTTTTTTTTTTTTTTTGAGACAGAGTCTCACGCTGTGGCTTAGGCAGTGGTGTGACATCAGGTCACTGCAACCTCCACCTCCCGCGTTCAAGCAATTCTCGTACCTCAGCCTCCCGAGTAGCTGGGATTACAGGCATTTGCCATCAGGCCCAGCTAATTTTTGTATTGTTAGTAGAGACGGTGTTTCACCATGTTGGCCAGTCTGGTCTCGAACTCCTGACCTCAGGAGATCCACCTGCCTTGGCCTCCCAAAGTGCTGGGATTACAGGTGTGAGCCACTGCGCCTGCCTCCCCCCAACCCCCATTGCTTTATTCACTGATGAAGCAGGCAAACTTATAAACAGATCCTATGCTCTTTTTTCAACTTCTTTTGGGTTCTTCATTGTAACTGTGATTCTTTTTTATTACATTGATACATACGACATTTTCTAAAATACACCTTTGAAGTCCAGAAATTCAATACTAATAAAGCTAACCTATTGAACAGCACTTTGCAAGTCACTTTGTTGGATACTTTGTGGAATTAAGATGCATGAGACATGGATACTACTTTCAAGGGGTCTAGACCACAGGGTTCTGAAAAGTGTTCTCCTTGGACCAGCAGGATCTGCATCAGCTGAGAGCATGCTAGAAATTCTTTGGTCCCAGAGACTCTGGGAGTAGGGCTCAGCAAAGTCTTTACAAGCTCCTTGGGTGATTTTGATGCGCACTAAACTTTGAGAATCACTGATCTAGCAGTGTAAGAAATATAAACAAAAGACTCTAAAACAAAGTTAAAATCAAGTTTAAACAAAATTCAGTGGAATTTCCAAGAGGGAGAGTTGAGTTGAGGTGGAGGGAAATCTTGAAAAGGCTTCCTGGATTTGGTGCTGGGGCTGGCTCCTTACGGAAGGGTGAGATGGGATGGCACACATTGGAAAGGGGCAAGAGGTTCATCTCAGGAGGATAACAGAGAACATGGAGGTGGACACAGTTAAGTATGGCCCGTGAGGGGGCCTTAGAATCCTCCATGTGGGTGGAGCAGAAAGTGTGAAACAGTCAGTAGAGGCTCAGTCATGGAAATCTTTGAATATCATTTTTACTATTTTAATAATGAAAGAAAAAAGAGAACACTTAAAGACAGTATGGCATTTCTATAATGGAGGAAAATAGTGGGAATATAAGTACACAGTTAGAATAATGGGAAATGTTCTTATATTTGTTAGGACTTCAAGGAAACCTGGAAAACACTGATACTTTAAAAAAATATTTATTCTGTATATTAAAAAAATACTAAAGTACTCATTACTTTTTGAAGACACTACTATGGAAATTTCATTCACAATATGGATAACATTTTTGCCTTATAAAGAAGTATGGTAGTGACACTCTATTATTGTAATAAAGCCATAATCCTAATTCCTGGCCTTTGCTAGATAATTTCCTGATTCAACTTTAGAAATGGCTTCACAGAGCATTTTGAGAGAAGTTGTAATATGAGTAAGTATAAGGTAGAAAATAATATTGCTATTAAAATGAAAGCCTGATATTGAAATATAAAAATGAACTTGCACTATAATAACTAGAGAAATATTTTAAATATCCAAAAATAAGTATATTTTTAGGTTTACTATTCAAAGAAAGACTGCAGAAAGTCAAAGGAATTTTATCTGATGCCTCTGCAAATGGAGAAGACAGTGTAAAATGGAAGAGATTTTAAAGGGCTTTAAATTTGGTTGAAATGGAGTAACAATCTCCTGCTTGAAACAACCAAAATAAATACATGAAAGAACAACATTGCATGGACATCAGGCACCAAAGACAGTGATATCTAAGAAGCATGAGAAACGTGCAGTTGAGGAAGGAGGCTGGCAGGATTTGCTTTCCAGTCACAACCCTGCTGACCAAGCCAGGATCTGGTCAAAACAGGACGCAGTGAAGAAACTGGCAAAAACCAGCAGGTGGCTCAAAGGCAGCTTCTAGTTGCTCCCAATGCTCATTAGCATAAGATACTCTCATCAGCACCAAGACAGTTTACAAATGTCATGGCAATGACCAGAAGTTACCACCTCTTTCTGTGGCAATGACCAGGAAGTTGCCCCCTCTTTTCTAGAATGTTCTGAATGACCTGCCCCTTAATTTGCATTAATTCACCCCTTAATTTTGCATGTAATTAAAAGTGGGTAAAAGTAGGTAGAAACACAGGTAACCAACAGCCCACAAGAAATGCTTTGGGGCACTGCCTATGAGTTAGCCCTGCTCCGTGAGGACAGTTCTGGTTCAATAAAAGATTGCTGTCTAATACCCCTGGCTCACCCTTGAATTCCTTCCTGGGTAAAGCTAAGAACTTTCCTGGGCTAAGACTCCAATTTGGGGGCTCAGCTGCCCTGCGTCAAAGTGAACCCTAAGATTGCCCACCTTATGGCTCTGAGAAAGCTTTCAGGCCATGGCGCAGGGAGGGGCAACCAGGCGGAACATGGTGGTCTTTCTGAGTTGAGACAGAGCTGGGAATTGGGGAAGCCAAGAGAGCAAGAGTTCTGAAGAGAAGAGAGCGGCACAGAGGAAGAACCCTGGAGACCTGCAGAGAGTTCCCATGGGATCTTGAGCAGAGCACTGATCAGTACATATGTGTGAAGAAACGCTTTGAGGATGGGGGAAGAATGATCCAAAAGGTTGAAGAGAACAGTGCTTCAAAGAACACACAAGGCCAAAAATAGCACCTGTTCCGAAAAACCGGAATGGAAAACCTTGTCATTCAGAGAGCATCAGTTAATGTACTAAGAACCACCTTGCCACTGTAGTGGAGAAAAATGAATCCTAGAATAAATTCAGATCTGCTTCTAATGGACAAATTTTAAAAGCAAGCCGAGAAATGATCAAACTCTTTCAAAGTACCTTAACGACATCTCAGAACAGAGCCCAGAAATATTTATAGGAGTACCAAAATAGTCAACAACCAATGAAATAAATCATCAATATCTACCATTCAAAGAAAAATTGCCAGACATTCCTAGAAGCAAGAAAACACAGCCCATAATGAGAAGAAAAATCAGTGAATCAAAACCAGCTCCAAAATGACACAGATGATAGAATAGGCAAGGACTTTTAAAACAGTTATTCTGATCAAATTTCATATGTTTAAGAAGATAGAGAAAAGATTAAAAATGCTACGTAGTGACATAGAAGATCCAAATCAAACTTCTAGAGATGAAAACTTCAAAAACTGAGTTGAAAAACATATTAGATGAGAATTACAGCAGATCAGAAATTTTAGAAGAAAGTATCAGTGACCTAAAAGACAGCATTAGATGCTATCTAAAATGAAATACCAAGATAAAAAAAGATGTAAAAAAAATTAACAGAGCGATCTCTTGGAAAGATGGGGCAGCTTGGGGGCTTCTCCACTGAAACACTTTGTGCTGGATAAGAAGGCAATTACTGAAATCTTTGACCAGTTACTGGAGTTTGTTACTGAGGATCACATATTGTTGAAGTATGTGAATCTCCCTTCTCAGCTCAAGATCTGAAGATCCAATCAGGGTGGAATAATAATAGCAACATATAAGAATCTAGAACTTGACTGAGCTACTGAGGATAATCAAGTAGAAATGTAAGAATATAAAAACAAGCTTTCTATCATTGGTAAGGTGCTATCTCGGAGACAAATGAAGGTGGCATTTTTTGGCAGGACAAGCTCTGTTATCAATGCAATGTTGTGGGATAAAGCTCTCCTTAGTGGGATTGATCATACAACCAATTGCTTCCAAAGTGTTTAAGAGACCAATGGAGATAAAACCTATCTTATGACAAAAGGATAAGATGAAAAAACAGTGTAAACACAGTTCATCAGCTGTCCTATGCCCTTCATGTGGACAAAGGCTTGGAAGCTGGCTGTCTTATACATGTGTTTTGGCCAAAGACAAAGTGTGTCCTCTTGAAAGGTGAGCTGGTTTTAGTAGACAGTCCAGGCACAGATGTCACTACAGAGCTGGATACCTGGATTGATGAGTGTTGCTTAGATGCTTATGTCATCATTTTGTTTGTAAACTCTGAATCAACACTAATGAACACAGAAAAACATTTTTTTCACAAGGTAAATGAGCAGCTTTCCAAGCCTAATAATTTAATTCTGAATAATCACTGGGATGTCGCTTCATCAGAGCCAGAATATATGGAAGATGTATGTAGACAGCACATGGAAAGATGCTTGCATTTCTTTGTGGAGGAGGTTAAAGTTGTGGATCCTTTAGAAGCACAGAATCATATATTCTTCATTTCAGCAAAGGAAGTTCTTAGTGCTAGACAGCACAAACCACAGGGGATGCCAGAAAGCAGTGAAGTACTTGGTAAACGATTTCAGGCAAGATTACAGGAGTTTCAGAATTTTAACAAATCTTTAAGGAGTGTATCTCACAATCAGCAGTGAAAACAGGGTTGAAACAGCACACTATCGGAGCTAAGCCAATACTAGATATTGTGAAAAACACAATGGATTCAATAAACGTGGCAGCAACAGAGAAGAGTTTATTCAAAGAAAGAGCGGGAAGAACAAATCGACAGACTGAGCTTTATCCCAAACCAGATGAACCTTTTAACACTAGATGTTAAGAAAAAAATCAGGAAGGCCGGGCGCAGTGGCTCACGCCTGTAATCCCAGCACTTTGGGAGGCTGAGGCAGGTGGATCACGAGGTCAGGAGTTCAAGACCAGCCTGGCCAACATGGTGAAACCCCGTCTCTACTAAAAAGACAAAAATTACTCTGGCGTGGTGGCGGGTGCCTGTAATCCCAGCTACTTGGGAGGCTGAGGCAGGTAATTGCTTGAACCTGGGAAGGGAAGGTTGCAGTGAGCCAAGATCGCACCACTGCACTCCAGCCTGGGCAACAGAGTGAGACTCCATCTCAAGAAAAATAAAAAATAAAAAATAAAAAAATCAGGGAGGTTACCAAGGAAGTGGCAAACAAGGTTTCACGTGCAAAGACAGATGAAATTTGTTGACTGTCTGTTTTGGTTGATGAATTTTATTCAGTTTCATCCTACTCCACGTGTATTGAAAGTATGTAAAGGTGACTTAAATTAGCACTTAGAAGACGGTATCAGAAGAAATATGGCTGATTGATGCACCAATTAAGACAATGCCTCAATGTTTAATCCAAGCAAGAAATTATTAAAAATTTGAAACCATTACTTTCAGCTATATATAGAATAAACTGCATACACTAATCCCTTGCAAGAAATTTGATCTCAGTCATGACCTATATTGCCACAAGTTATGACCAGATTTTCAAGAGGGTATTGTATTCCATTTTTCCCTGGGCTGGTCTTCACTTGTGCATTGATTCCTGGGCCCTACAAATGCTCAGAGGGTGCTCCTAGGATTGTCAGAGCCTAACTTTCCCTAGCTCTTTAGCCTGTACTCCCACTGCTTCTATCAACCCAGCAACACCAGATAATGCATCACACAAAGAACTCATGGTTACCTTAATAACAGGATTAGCTTCTCTTACATCTAGGACTTCTACGGACATCACTGTTGGAGGAGTAATTTGGAAAACTATAGGCTGGCAATTCGTATATGTTTCATTATGTATGTATGGAGTTTGGTATCTTTATGGAAGGCTGTCCTGGACCACTTGTGCCAAGGAAAGAGGCTTTAAACAACAGTTTGTGAACTATGCTTCTGAAAAACTTCAGATAATTGCTAGCTTCAGGAATGCAAACTGCAGCCATGAAGTACAACAAGAAATGGCTATCACTTTCGCTTGCCAGTGCCAACAAGTTGTTACTAAAAGACATCTGGAAGAAATTACTAGATTATCCAAAGAAATAGATCAGTTAGAGAACATACAAAACAATTCAAAACTCTTTTTTTTCATATTCATAGCTTTAATAGTGTGTTCTACTCGACATTTCTACTCTTATAACTATTACAATTAATAGCTTCCAACAGTTTCCCCTCACCTCCCCTCCCTCCCTCCCCTCCCCTCCTCTCCCCTCCCCTCCCCTCCCCTTCCCTTCCCTTCCCTCCCCTTTCCTTCTTTCAGAGTCTCACTCTGTCATGCAGGCTGGAGTGCAGTGGCGTGATCTTGGCTCACTGCAACCTCCACCTCCCGGGTTCAAGCAATTCTCCTGGTATCCAGGTGGCAGAGGGGAAATAGAGTCTGGAGAGGGAGGCTGGGCGCAGTGGCTCACGCCTGTAATGCCAGCACTTTGGGAGGCCGAGGTGGGTGGATAACCTGAGGTCAGGAGTTCGAGACCAGCCTGGCCAACGTGGTGAAACCCTGCCTCTACTAAAAATACAAAAAATTAGTCAGGCATGGTGGTGGGTTCCTATAATCCCAGCTACTCAGGAGACTGAGGCAGGAGAACCGCTTGAACCTAGGAAGTGGAGGTTGCAGTGAACCGAGCTCATGCCATTGCACTTCAGCCTGGGCGACAAGAGCAAAACTCCATCTCAAAAAAAACAAAAACAAAAACAAAAACAAAAACATAATAAATAAAAATAAAGAAAACACAACTTAGTTAGCTTACCATCCTGTGGGTCAGCAATTTAGGATAGGCTCTGCTGTGCACTTTGGCTGGTGTCAGCCAGCCTCGGCTCATTCATCTATGTGTAGCCAGCTGCTGGTCCAGGGTTCCTAGTTGTTTTTATGCAGACTTTTATCTTTCCCATCATGTTCTGGTCCACACCTTATGTCTGCCTTCAAGGTACCCATGACTTCAATCCCTGAGCATTTCCAAGTACTGTAGGATGAATCAGTCCTTGGTAGGCATCTAGTTTTCATTCTACACATTCTGCTAAGGCAGCTCCCAGTCCTCAAATGTTCATGTGCAATGAACAGGTATCTCTTAGCTTCATTTAAACAGTCTGTGTTTCTGTCTCCTTCTCCTTCTTTTCTCTCCCATTCTGCTAGCTCATCATTAATTATCAAGGGGATATGGGTGCAGAAACACCTTTACTCTGCCATACACAAAAGTCTGAAATAAAACTTCTTAAATAAATGATGACCCTTTTTTAATGTCAAAGAAAGGAATGATGAGTCTAAACCCAGCTCTCTGAGTGGCAGCCAGGCGGGGAGATGTTTCCCCAGTTACTAAATTAGAACGTAACCCACAAGAATAGACTGTGACGATGGCAGCAGGAGTTTGAAGCCTCTGTCAGAATATTCTGGATGTTCTTATGGCACATGGACTCATAAATTCAAAGGTCTTTCTTATTTTTTACTAAAGGCTATGTCTTTGTCTTTGGGGCTTCTGTCAGACTCCAGTTAGCGCACTAAAGGCTGGAAGGCTGGCTGTTTTGGGGTGCGAGATAATGATGGTTGAGCTCCTAATAATTATCCGCATTGGCTGCCTTTTGTTCTGGAAAGTATTTACTACTGCTTTATGGTGGCTTTTGAAAATGATTTTCAAAACATCCCAATTATGTCATTTATTTACTTTTCTGAGAGATTATTTTGAGGTTTGAGAAAAAATTAAATTTCTGGCATTAGAACTGTAATAAAGCCATTTTTGGGGTCTGACTGCTCATTGCTTTCAAGCCTGGCCCCTCTCTCTTCCTCTCTGCCCACCACTGGACAGGCTGGTGCTCCCTCCTTCAGCACCAGTGGGAGATTCACACCACACCAGACCCTGCCCTCACGGAGGAACCTACACCTCGGGCCCAGCCACTGACCTCCATCAAAACCCAGCCAGTATCCTTTCCTTGTTCTCTCACATCATTTTCTTTGTGCATTTTTCTACTCCTTCCCTCTCTTTTTTAGCAAATTTGCAGAAATTCTCTGTATTTTTGACGTTAAGTTTTCACATGTTATGAATGATGCAAATATTTTCTCCAAGACTGTCACTTATGTTTTAGTTTTGCTCATTTCTTTTTTGCAGTACCAACATTTTGACTTTTATAATGTCACATTTGACAATCTTTTATTTTGGATTTTGTAACATTCTTAGAAAGTACTCCCTCCTTGCCCAAATTATGAAGGTTATGTTTTCCTTCTAGAATTCCTATTAGATGGCCACTGGAATTTCTGGATCTATCTCCCCTGTCTCTTATATTTGTTTGTATTGCATTCTGGGATAATTTCTTAATCTTTTAGTTTACAAATTTTATCTTCAGCTGTGTCCACTTTGCTATTGTACATCTACTGGCCTCATTTACTGGCCTTATCTACTGGCCTATTTTCATTTTGGCAATCATTGTAATTTTTGAGGTGGAAGAATAGGGAGTTGGGGTAACCAAGGGTTAAGGCGTAAGCAAAAGGACAGCAGATGCAGTTCTAGGCAAGGTTAAGCAGCCTACAGGCCAGACCCTCACTCCTGTGATAACCAGACAGAAGTCTCCACTTCAGCCTCTGATTGGCTACAGGCCAACTCTTCACTTCAGCCTCTTATTGGTCACAGGCGAGGTCTCCACTTCAGCCTTTGATTGGCTGTGGGCCAATCCTTCAAAGTGTGTAATCAATTAGAGGCCTCTAAAGGGCACCTAGGGGGTGTTACCAAATTCTTTTAGCTTAATAGAAACCCTAAAGAACATTGTAATCTGGGCTCTTGAGCCACTTGCTCCAGCCTGCTCCCACTCTCTGGAGCATAGTTTCACTTCAGTAAGTCTGCACTTTCATTGCTTCTTTCTTCTTTTGCTGTTTTGTGTGTTTTGTTTAATTCTTTGTTCAACTTGCCAAGAAGCTGGACAACTCACAGTTAACACTTTCCATCTGTGGCCAGGTGCGGTGGCTCACGCCTGTAATCCCAGCACTTTGGGAAGCTGAGGTGGGTGGATCACCTGAGGTCAGGAGTTCAAGACCAGCCTGGCCAACATGGTGAAACCTTGTCTCTACTGAAAATACAAAAATTAGCTGGGCATGATGGTGTGTTCCTGTAATCCCAGCTACTCAGGAGGCTGAGGCAGGAGAATTGCTTGAACCTGGGAGGCGGAGGTTGCAGTGAGCCAAGATCATGCCACTGCACTCCAGTCTGGGCTACAGAGTGAGACTTCATCTAAAACATTAAAAAAAAAAAAGACTTTCCATTCATTAACATTTTCAATAAGTTAATTTTTTTCATAACACTTAAAAAATGCAGTATCTACTTAAACGATTCTCAGGATATTCATTATACTTATGATGAAAATCCTTTCCTCTTTGCCTTACTAGTTTTGTTTTCTTTGGGGCTACTTCTGTTTCCTCAAATGATTGATTCCAGGTTTTCTGTTCCTGTGTGTAGTTGAGGGTCTGTATTAAACATTGGGTTTCCTCAGCCCAAGGGGAAAGTCCTGGTGGTCCGATGCCAATTGTCATGGAAGAAACCCTACACTGGTGAACCTGGGAGTGGAAGACTGTGTGGTCCTCTGGCATGGGAGCAGGGGTTGCCTTCTGAGTTTGATTTCCCACTCCTCTCCTTATCCAGGGGGCTTGGACCCGGGCTTGGGGTCTGCTCTAAAAGTAGGGAGTTCTTGGGCTTATATTTTGATTCTCCTTCCCCACCCAGGAATGTTTTGTTTTCTCTTCAGAGCGTCCATCACTTGGGTCCAAAGCTGTCGCTCCAGCAGCTCCACATACAGGGTGTCAGAAAGGCATGGTGGCCCACTGACCCTGAATGCTGCTCTGCAGCCTCCTGGGCAATCTGCCTGAGCCCCATTCTGGGCTTTGTGTTTATTGGCTCTCAGCCTGGAATTTTCCAAGGACATTGTTAACAGCCCTGACTACCACATCATCTGGATACTTCAATTTTTCTTCCGTCACTCAAAACCCATCTTCTTCCCCTAATTTTTATTTTTATGAAAGTTATTATATACATGTATCAGGAGATATTCTAAGAATGCTTATAGAAAAATACAGCATTTTCTTACACCCTGTGCCCTACACCCCACCCCAGCTTTTCCCCAACCCAGAATGCTTTTTCTTGGGGGGAATTTACCTGCTGTATCTGCAAACAACATGCTTATGTTGTCCCATCTTGAAATTTTGGACTTGCAGACCCTCTATTGGCTCCCCAGCCCCACCACAGAATTCCATGCTTCCCACTCCCCTCCCTGTGCTGTCAAGACGGTCGCATCCTGGTGTTGGTAGAACAGTGCTCACTACTCACATTATGACAGTGATAGACATATCTGCTGTCACTGAGATTTTTGCAAAAGCCTATGTTGGCTTTTCCTTTTCTACCCCAACTTTTTGTTTTCCCTAGAGATAGTGTTCATTTTATTGTTTTTTTTTTTTTTTTTTTTTCGTTGAGACGGAGTTTCACTCTTATTGCCCAGGCTGGAGTGCAGTGGCGCCATCTTGGCTCACCACAACCTCTGCCTCCCGGGTTCAATCAATTCTCCTGCCTCAGCCTCCTGAGTAGCTGGGATTACAAACATGTGCCACCACAGCCAGCTAATTTTGTACTTTTAGTAGAGACGGGATTTTACCGTGTTGGTCAGGCTGGTCTCGAACTCCAGACCTCAGGTGATCCACCCACCTTGGCCTCCCAAAGTGCTGGGATTATAGGCATGAGCCACCATGCCCAGCCTATTGTTTATTAACTTGGTTTTAAAAATATATATAATCGTCGTTAATCCAAGCACAATTTTCCACCAGTTATCTAAGTCTCTTCTCAGTATAATCAGGTTCATCAGGTATTTTATCACTTTCCTCTTTCTGAAGATGCCTTTCCCACCCACTTCAATCCTTCCTGGGTTGAATCTTCTGTATTCTATATCGCAAAATTTCTTCTTTTTGGCTGAATTCTCTTTTTGGGCAAAAGGACATCCTCTAGTGGCTTCATGAGATACTCTCATTATTTGCAGTTCCAAACTTCCAAATTTGCCTGCTCGCTGAAATTTATTTGTAACCCCCAAATCAATCATTGTCACGCCTCCTCAGTCATTCACAAGCATGCCCCGAGCAGTGAAAAATGTGTTTCTCCAGGCACAGTTCTTAGCTGAGGTCAAACAAGGCAATGCGCTGCCTCTTGTTTCAGCTGTCATACTGTTACCTTGTCGTTATCACTGTCTATTTAGTGTCACATTTTTGGCATTTTTGTGCTTTTTGTCAGTGTTTTTTTTTTTAAAGAAAAATTTCATTTTAATCCAGCCTGACCCCCACACGTGTGTTTCACACAGACCTTATTTTTTAAACAGACTTTATTGTATTTAATACAATATAAAATTTGAAAAATTGCAGGAAAGCAGCAGACTTGAACTGGAGCAATTCTAACAAGGAATAATAAAGTTCACATCTGTGAGGTGGACAAAAAGGTGTGACTTCTGTACAAACTACATTTAGCATTTCATGTCTAACATCTTTCAAATGCAATGTGCTCATGAGGGTTTTTCTGAAGTCCTGCCTGGTCCCTGCCTAAAGAGAGACGTAGAACCTCCATATACAAAGAAACTTGATTCAAGGTGCTTTTTTTTTTTTTTTTTTTTTTTTTTTTGAGACAGAGTTTCGCTCTCCTTGCCCCGACTGGAGTGCAATGGCACAATCTCAGCCCACCACAACCTCCGCCTCCAGGGTTCAAGCAATTCTCCTGCCTCAGCCTCCCGAGTAGCTGGAATTACAGGCATGTGCCACAACACCTGGCTAATTTTGTATTTGTTTTAGTAGAGACGGGGTTTCTCCATTTTGGTCAGGCTGGTCTCGAACTCCCGACCTCAGGTGATCCGCCTGCCTCGGCCTCTTAGAGTGCTGGGATTACAGGCGTGAGCCACCACGCCTGGGCTTGTTTTTTTTTGTTTTGTTTTGTTTTTTAAAAAAGGAAAAAGAAAGACAAAGGAAAAAGAAAGAATGGATGGCTGTTGGCAATGGAAACTGTGAGGAAACTGTCCTCACCATTCACGGCTTGTTTATTGGTCAGAGGCCTCGGGGGGCCCAGGATATTTCATGGCTATCACAGCACCAACTGCGGCTGTCACCTTTTTTTTTTTTTCTTTTTTGCATTTCCTACCTTTTGACATATATATATATATATATATTTTTTTTTTTCACCTTGAGGATATCACTATTCCAATTGTTCCCATATGAATACAGGTGTGGTCTCTATTGCATATAAATGCATCTTTTATTCAATTTTAGGTGCAGGACTTGGTTTTCTGTCCCAACTGCACACAAATGTCCCTTTTTTATTATTTGTTTATTAGTTGTGTGTGTTTTCCTTTTTGCATAAGAAATATGTCCGTTTAGTCCAGAGGCTCTTGCTTTATCCAGATGATGGAGGGTACGGGAAGGCATCCGCCTCAGTTCCCTATGAAGGACGTATTTGCTGAACTAGGACAAGCCCACTCCTCCCCTACAGGAGCCCACGATTTCAAATCCTCTTTGCTGCAACCTCTCGAGGACCTGGACTGAGTTGAGGTGACAGTAGCCACTTAGTGGAAACCTGACGATGTGCGTGGAGTCGTGATTCCAGCCTGCACTGATAAAGTTGCACATCACATCGCCGATCTCTGGAAACACTTCTTCTACCAAGGATTTGTCACCACTTAGCGTGATCCTTTCTCTGAGGTCTGGGGCCACACAAACAACAAGGCACTCACAGGGCCTTGAAAAGCGACCAGTTTCTCTGTCCTGCTTCCATCTTTCCATCTCCAACAACATGGGCTGAAGCTGAAAATATTTTGCCTCTTCATATAACAAAGTGTAGTCCTTGAAATCATCAAGAATGAGGAGTTTGGATGTTCGTAGAAAATTCAAGATATATCTGAACATCTGTCCATCTCTGTCAGTGAAATAGTGCTGTTTGAGACTGTCCAAAACTATGGGCTCTGTACCATCACAAAGTCTTCTGATTCTGGATACAGGGTATTTGGTGAGGGTGGCCAGGCTGCTGGTGTACATGTGGCTGCCCACATCAGTGTGGACATGCGCATTGGATTTTGTGAGTTGTGCCGGAGTAGGGGTGCCTTGGTTGTTCAGTGGAGATGCAGGGGATCTAGTGATCAGAGGTCTTAACATATGAGGCCGACTGTCCCTCTGGCGGAGAATTGCGCGGGCCCCGGGCGGGAGAGAAGGAGGGCCAGCGGGAGGGCGGGACGGTCTCGCTTCTCTAGGCAATGCCCGAGGAGTAGTGCCCCTTCCACTGCCCCCTCATTGCCCCCTGGAGCCAGGGGTTCGGGGCAGCAGGTGCGCCGGGCGTGCCGTGGTGCTGCCATGGGAAACCCGTGTCTGGGGCCGCCCTGAGCGGAGCGGAGCCTATCAGTGATTTAATTGTTTAAAATGGCCCCCAAGTGTACTGCTGAAGTGCTGTCTAATGTTCCTAAGTGCAGAAAGGCTGTGATGTGCTTTACAGAGAAAATATACCTGTTAGACAAGCTTGGCTCAGGCATGAGTTACAGTGCTGTTGACAGTAAGTTCAACAGCAATGAGTCAACAATATGTTACATCCAGAAGGAGGAAGAGGAAAGTCATTGACGCAGATGTGAGGCCACTCTGAAAAGTGCCCAAGTAACATCTATAGTACCTGGTAAAGTTATGGAAAAACAAGAAGAAGAAAAAAAACCAGTGAAATTTGTGGATTCATGAGATGACATTAAAAGTTTGGTGGACTGGCCAGGCGCGGTGGCTCGCCTGTAATCCCAGCACTTTGGGAGGCTGAGGCAGGCGGATCACGACGTCAGGAGTTCGCGACCAGCCTGACCAACATGGTGAAACCTCATCTCTACTAAAAATACAAAAATTAGCCGGGCGTGTTGGTGCGCGTAATCCCAGCTACTCAAGAGGCTGAGGCAGGAGAATCTCTTGAACCCGGGAGGTGGAGGTTGCAGTGAGCCAAGATTGCACCACTGCACCCCAGCCTGAGCGACAGAGCGAGACTCCATCTAAAAAAAAAAAAGTTTAGTGGACAGCATTGTTGTGAGGCTGACAGCCAAATAAATTTTTAGTCACATTACCCAAGGTCAGGAAAACGCAAAACTCTTCCCAGCTTGAGTTTTATTATAAAGAATAATACATACAGTTAACTATTGGTAAGAAACGTATATTAAACAAGGTGTCTGTAGATAAAAACACATAAAACAAAAATATGTATTGGTTGGATGACAAAAATGTAGTGATCAGAGGCGTGGAAGCTAACCCTGTATTTCTCCAGGAGCAGTGGTTCAGTATGGGCTAATAGTGTTCACAGTGTCTTTAGAGAACATACTCCAGCACTCACCAAGGCCATGCTTCTTGCATCACAGCTATGCTTCCTGCACCCACCAAGGCCATGCCTCCTGTGTTATAGCCATGCCTCCTGTACCCACCAAGGCCATGCCTCCTGTATTCACCACTGCTATACACCCCATTCAATAGCCACACTACACTTCCTACACCACAGCCTTGCCCCCTGCACCCACCACAGCTGTGACTATCCAATAGCCACACCTCCCCTACCACAGCCACACCCCCAGCACCCACCACAGCCACACTCAGCACCCTCCACAGTCACACCCCCTCCACAGCCACACTCCGTCCATAACCACACCCGCTCCACAGCCACGCTTCCTGCACCCACCACAGCCACACCCCAGCACTCTCCATAGCCATACTTCCTGCACTTTCCACGGCCACGCCTCTTGCTCTGGCCTTCACAGGCTGCAGTAACGTCTCCTCTCCTCCCTCCTTTCCCTTAACCTTTGTGGCTAATCTTTAGGTTCCCCCAACATGGCTTTTCTTTTACTTCTGCCGATACTTCTGGTTAAATTCTTTTCATTTAAATGCTCTCCAGCATCTATCTCTCTTCTTTCAGACCTTGGCTGACTTCCTTCTTTCTCAGCTGCTCGGAAGCTGTCTGGCCTCTCCACAGGATCCATCCATTTCTCCGCCTTCCAGAATCCCCTTTTCCCCTCAGACTTCAGCAGGAACCTGTGCCAATGAGATCCACAGAGCAGAGTAATTTCTCTTCGATATCGTCAATCTCTCCTCCTCTAAGGAGATAGGAATAGCACGGGTAGTTGCAGGAGTATGGACAAACCCAAAGAACCCCTGAAGCAGGGGCTAGGCAAATAATCCACAGGGTAGAGAAAGCCCAAAATAAGGCAGAGAAAATGACCAAAACCCTGGTCAGGGTGACATGTCCATGACTCTTCCAGGTAAACCCAAATAAGGGAGAAAGGAGGCAATAACAGGAGCGGGGAGGAGTCCCTGAAATCCCCTCCTTTTCCAGAATACCTAATGAGCATTCCACCCCCTTATTAAAGAAACATCCGGGCTGGGCGCGGTGGCTCACACCTGTAATCCCAGCACTTTGGGAGGATGAGGCAGGCAGATCAGGAGGTCAGGAGATCGAGACCATCCTGGCTAACACGGTGAAACCCTGTCTCTACTAAAAAATACAAAATATCAGCCGGGTGTGGTGGCCGGCGCCTGTAGTCCCCGCTACTCGGGAGGCTGAGGCAGGAGAATGGCGTGAACCCGGGAGGCGGAGCTTGCAGTGAGCCGAGATCGCGCCACTGAACTCCAGCCTGGGCGAAAGAGAGACTCCGTCTCAAAAAAAAAAGACAGAAAGAAAGAAAGAAAGAAGAAAGAAAGAAAGAAAGGAAAGAAAGAAAGAAAGAAAGAAAGAAAGAAAGAAAGAAAGAAAGAAAGAAAGAAAGAAAGAAATAGAAAGAAAGAAAGAGAAAGAAACATCCCTAAAATAAGAAACCCAGCCTCCGTTGTGCCTGACTTGTTCTCACGGGCATGGCTACGCTCCTCTCAAGAGCACACTTTCGCTTTGCAATGGAAGCTTCTCGCCTTGCGCTTCATTCTGACTCGACTCCCCCCTGAATTCGTTCTTGTGATGCTGTCAAGAACCTGGAAAACCGGCTGGGGCTGGGGTCTCACTGGCATCCAGAGACCTTCCCGAGCCCTCCAGCAACACTCACAGCCTCTTTCTCTCGAGATATAAACAAAATTGCATGATTTTCACCTTAAAAGATAGAGAGCTATCCACCTCAAGTCTTCTTCATAGCCAAATTTCTAAAAATAGTTTCATTTCCCTCCTAACTTCCCTTCTGGCTCAACCCCATTTAAAATCTAGCTTCCACCTTCTTCCCTCTATTGAGACTACTAGAACACAGGACTCCAGTTTTACCCAGAATCATGAGAGTTGTAGACACTTCCCATCCTTCTCCTGCATGCCCTCCCGCTGACTTTTGGCACAGATGCCATCCCCTCCTTCCTTCCTCATTGCTCCATTTCTGTGATTGCTGCTCTTCTCTCCACTGCCACTTCGTTCTCAGTGACTTGAATGTTCAGATTTCTCTCCTTCTCCCAGTCTCTCACATCGTTCTCCTTAAAGGATCTGTGGATTCACCCAGCCCAAATGCCAATGACTGTCAAGTCTCTCTCTAGATAAATCTCTCTTTAGTACTCCAGACCAATCTTCCAAACTGCTGCCTGGGTTTCTACAATAAAAACCCAAACCACGATTTGCATCTTAACTTTATGTGCCCAAAGCAGAAGCTCTGTCTTCTCTTCATCAAACTTATCCTGTGTTTCCTGAGATACCTGGTTTGGGCATTTCCTACCGTGTCACTCAATTTCAAAACCTGGGAGCTGACCCGCTGATCTCAAGATAATCATCCAATCATTTTAACCCTGACTCCTGTAGTGGTGAATTCTGTGTGTCAACTTGATTGGGCCACAGGATGCCCAGATATTTAGCAACACATTGTATTTAATATATAATGGATGTGTCTGTGAAGGTGTTTCTGGAAGACAGCAGCATTTGAATTCGTGGACTGAGAAAAGCAGGTGGCCCTCCCCGATGTGGGTGGGCAGCGTCCAATCTGTTGAAGGCCTAAATAGAACAAAAAAGGTGGAAGAGGGTTGAATTCACTCTGCCTGGCTGTTGAAGCTGGGCCATTGATTTTTTCCTGCCTTCAGTGCTCCAGGTTCTCAGGCCCTCAAACTTAGACTGGAATCTACGAATCTACATCACTGGCTTTCACGCCCTCAGGCCTTTGAAGTACACCATCAACTTTCCTGAGTCTCCAGCTTGCAGGCAGTAGACCATGAGTCTTCTCAGCCTCCATAATCCTGTGAGCCAATTCCTCATAATAAATCTCTACACACACACACACACACACACACACATTCTATTTGTTCTGTTTCTTTGGAGAATTGTAATAATACTCCTAAATATTTCTCAGATTTGTCCTGCCTCTTTCACCATTGCCTTATTTCAGATTCATCTTCTCTCACCTGGATGAATGCAATAATCTTCTAGCTGAGTGGTTCTCAAAATGTGCTTCCTGGACCAGTAGCCGCAGCATCCGCCATGCTAGACCTTCTCACTAGACATCCAATTTAAAAGAATGTCCAAGTTATAAGACTCCAAGAATGTGACAGTTTTCTAAATTGTTTGCTTTATTAGCTAAAAACATGAAAGTGGATAAATCACACAGCTTGTCAAGATCCTGATTCTTTTTTGCATCCCCTTCCTCTGTTCAATTCTGTTCCAAAATTAAAGTGATTCAAAGCACCTGTGTTCATTAGCCACATGTTTTCTTTCTCATTTCCATCTGCATTTCCAAAGCCTTAACTGCTTACTATTTTTAGGAAGATGAAGGCAATAGATCTTTTGTTCTTTTTCTATTAACAAGGATCTGTACGTATCTAACACACAGTTCCCTTTTTTATGACTTTGGAACATCATGAAAGCATTTCATGATATTTCATTAAAAAACAAACCCTGAACAATGGTTTTAAACCCTGGGAAGAACTTAGAATCAAGATTTTTAAAATACAACTGAAAAACATGGTAGGAACAAAGTTAAACTGATGCTTGTAGTGAGAGGTGCCAGGCAGATGGGGCCATTGGCAGTGGGTGGGACCCTCTGCTCCCACAGTGACTGTTCCCACGCAGACAGGTGCAGTTTCCCCTTCAGCCATCAATACCTTTGCTACCATGATTACAGTTGTGTCAACAGGTTCTCAGGCTATTGTTCCCATTTATTTAACTGGGGGAGCTTTGAAAACCCCCGATGTCCAAACCAATGTCCTCAGACCCCTGGGATTGGAGGGAAAGCAGGGGATCAGGATGTTTTAAAGAGCCCTGGTGATTGCAGCGTGTCACTGAGGTTGAGAACCATAAATTAAACTGTTTCTTTCCAGAAAGTACTTACAGATTATGTGATTGATCTCTTGCTGTTCTTCTCCTGCTAATGAATGATTTTTTTCTGACAGAGACAATAGAAATTCAGTTTTTCAAGGAACTGCTTCTTTAGTGACCTACTGCAAAGGCAAAGAGGCAAAATGTCAACAACAACAATAATAATAATATCTAATGTCAGATGGCCATGTATAGGAATCCAATTATTTTCAGAAAAATAAACTATCAAGAAATTGGTTTTATAACCCATAAATGCAGAATTGAAAAGAAGAATCTTAGTTGGGAAAACTGAGATTAGATTAGTTTGATTTTTTAAATTATCAAATGCAAATGTCTCAGCAAAGATTATGTTGACTTTGTGTGTGTGTGTGTGTGTGTTTGTGTGTGTGAGCAAAATGCCTACTTTGTTTTTATCAACTGAACCAGCAAGTAACACTTAAAAGTCTCAGCAGGGGAAGACTTATGAACAATCAATCTTCTGGCTGCTGTGCAGCCAAAGGAGATTATTTGATCATCAATTATTAAGTAAGGAAAGTCAACATAGATGTCTCCAGATTCTAACATGTGCCCTAAACAGTTTCTTAAATAGGCTAGTATGCACCCAGTATGTTTGTTTATATTTATCATGGGTTTATATATATATATCCTTAAAATATTTTAAGTATACCATTACATTATAACACTGTGTTCATTATAACATATGCAAAAATAGAAATTAAAAGGGATAAATTGGAGATGAAATAAGCATTATTTAAAAATGCATTATATCTAATGATATAAAAACTTATTTTACTTTCACTAGAAAACATTATTCTAATACAGTAATGTGATTGGATGTGTATTGTTATTTTTGAAAAATTGAGCTTGAATCTTTTGATACAAATTCTTTTGTGAAGTTCTGGCTCTAGATTCCGTTTATTTTGATGCCTGGTTTCTATCTCCATCACTGTTGCAAAGGCTTCTTTGAAACACAAGAATCCAGACAGAAGCCTGTGGCTGTGCTGCCCTTGCCAGCTGTGCATCCCAGAGTCCAGGTCCACCTGCTGGCTTTGCAGAGATCTGAAGGGAATCAGGCTCATCTTTCCTGATGCAGTTCAGGCGGCCGTGCAAATCGATTAGAAGAGGTTTTACTTTTTATGTTTTATGAAGTGGGTTCTTCATTGGGAAGATTTCAAAACATTAAAAAAACTCTATTCCTCAATTTTTAAGTGTGTTATAAGAAATTTCACAATGACAGAATTTTCTCATCTCTCTTTCAAAAAAGTTCATTTTTTTCTCCTTGTTAGAATCTAAAATTTGCCTTGAAAGAGTAGATTTTTGTCTGTTCTTTTTTCGTTGTTGTTGTTGTTGTTGAGACGGAGTCTCGCTCTGTTGCCCAGACTGGAGTGCAGTGGTGCGATCTCGGCTCACTGCAAACTCTGCCTCCCGGGTTCACGCCATTCTCCTGCCTCAGTCTCCTGAGTAGCTGGGACTACAGGCACCTGCCATCACGCCCGGCTAATTTTCTGTATTTTTAGTAGAGACGGGGTTTCACCGTGTTAGCCAGGATGGTCTCGGTCTCCAGACCTCGTGATCCTCCTGCCTCGGCCTCCCAAAGTGCTGGGATAACAGGCGTGAGCCACCATGCCTGGCCGTCTGTTCATTTTTTGAAAATATATTCCAGGCAACAAATTACTAAGACATTTCTATTTATAGAAAAGTTTAACAACATTAGCACACTTTGGTTGTAATGTTTAAGTTAAAAACTCTGGTTTAAATATTTTATTATGAGATGATCTATAAATTACCATGAATGCCAAAGACTTTCTTGGTTGTTCCCTGTATAATTACGATACTTCTCAATTAAAAGACTTTCAACTTAATAATAACACCTATAAATTCACTTAATTGGATGTGGGCAGAAGTTCATGAGTAATAATTGAGTGTAGGGGGCGCTCTCATTATGGAATTTCTGCTTATTTCTCAGATGCCCCTGCCGCCCCCTTGTGACAAGGGGGCATAAACTCTGAATCCAAATGGTAGGTCTGATGGCTCCCTCCATGGGTTTGGAAATCGCTGGTCTAGACAACCAAGAAGGTGAGCGTTTACCAGGAATTCAGCAACTCTGCTGTTCATCTTTTTTAGTTTTTCATTTTATATTTTTGTCTTTTAAAGTTTTAATCATACAGGTGGTCTTCATTTCTTGCTATGTGTATTTCTACATATTTTTAATTAGGTTGTTATTATCAATGGGAAATTTAAAAAAGTGGTTATTATATGAAATTCTGAGCACCGTTGCTTCTGGATATTGGCCCTACCACTTACCAGCTTTTGACCTGGACAAATTACTAGCTTCTTTGTGCCTCAGTTCCCTCATCTTTACAATGGGGATAACAGTAATGTGTGCCTCTCAGGATTGTTATGAGAATGAAACTAGCTCATGTGTGAGAAACACTCAGCACAATGCCTGGAGAGAGTGAGCTGTCATTATGATGATGATGATTCTCCAGCCATCTCGCTGAGTTCTTTTTTCCTTATGATAAAATTTTGATTCTTTTAGATTTTCCAGGCATATATCATCTAAAAATGATAATTTGCCTCCTTCTGTCCTATATTTATACCTTCTTTATTTTGTCTAATAACAGGCAAAACAATTTAATAATGAGAATACAACTAAGTAATGGAGATAACACACAACCACATATGCCTGATTTTAATGGCATATTTTATCACTAAGTGATACATACACACACACACACACACACGTCTTATTGAATTATTGAAATATTTTTGTTTCTATTATACTTATGGCTTTAATCAAGCATGAGGCTTTGTTTGTTTTTTTGTTTGTTTTGAGACAGAGTCTCACTCTGTTGCCCAGGCTGGAGTGCAGTGGCGTGATCTCGGCTCACTGCAACCACCACCTCCTGGGTTCAAGGGATTCTCCTGCTTCAGCCTCCCGAGTAGCTTGGATTACAGGTATGTGCCACCACATCTGGCTAATTTTTGTATTTCTAGTAGAGACGGGGTTTCGTCATGTTGGCTAGGCTGGTCCTGAACCCCTGACCTCAGGCGATCCACCCTCCTCAGCCTCCCAAAGTGCTAGGATTACAGGGTGAACCACCACGCCCAGCCTAAGCATGAATTTTTATGTGATCATACAGTTTTTTTTAATCGATTTTTAATATGATTAATTATACTGGTTGATTTCCTGATATTACACCATCTTCATGGTGACTGAGATGACCTTAAACTTGTCTGAGGTTTATGATTTTATAATGCACTTAATAAGCTCTATTTATTAATATTAAGGATTTACATTAATATTTACATTAACATTAAAAAGTGAGATTTGTCTCTTGATCATGTTTAATGTTTCCCTTTGCTCCTCCTCATATTTCTGCTAGATTAATATTGTTACTAGGAACTTGATTGGATTCAAGTGTGGTTATTTGGGAGTCCCACCTCACAGATGCTGCTCTCTTCCATCAGAAGACTTTTATTGTCTGGCAATATTGTCTCTCTCTCTTTTTTTTTTTTTTTTTTTTTTGAGACAGGGCCTTGCTCTGTTGCCCAGGCTGGAGTGCACTGGTGCAATCACAGCTCACTGCAGCCTCAAACTCTGAGGCTCAAGTGATCCTCCCACCTCAGCCTCTCTAGTAGCTGAAACTATAGGCGTGCACATCACGGCTGGCTATTTTTTTATTTCCAGTAGAGACAAGGTCTCACTACATTGCTCAGGCTTGTCTCAAACTCCTAGGCTCAAGGAATCCTTTCACTTTGGCCTCCCAAAGTGCTGGGATTACAGGCATGAGCCACCAGGCCCAGCCAGGCTGTCTCTTTTAGTGATGTCAGCAGCCAGTGATGCACAGAGCTTATATCTGTTAATTCAGTAGAAATTGCAAAATAGTGGTATTATAATTGTATCAGCCTTTCTCTTCAATTATCTGAAACACTAACTTTTCCTTATCTACTTCAATTTGTAAAGGAAAGATGAGAAGAGAGCTTGAAAATCTTATTTATTCCCCCATTAGCATCCTCCAGATGTGACCAAGGAGCCAATGTACTTTCTTTATCTTTTTTTCCTTGAGAGGGAAAGGAGTTGGGTGTATTTAATATTATTATGTATTTAGTATTATTATAAACCAATATGTTTAAACATATTTGATGTGCTTCAATCAATTGTGATTATTGAGCATCAAATTGTTCCACCATTTATCAGTGGGAGGTTTTTAGGTTGGCTCCTGAGGCCTTCGGATGCCACTTTACTTCTTTGTTATGTGGTTGGCTAGATGTTTCAGGTCATTTCTGCCCCTGACCAGGAATCAGCCATCTTTCCAAGGAGCCCTTGTTCATTCAAGTGAGCAATGGCCACAGAGACCACAGTCTGGGGCAAGGGCTGCTTCTAGCTTCAGGGTTGGTCAGTGGTTCTCTATTTATCAGCAGACAGAAACAGGACCTAAGTTGAGTTATTTTTGTTTCTTAAGGAAAAAAATACATCATAAATTAATACTTATATTACCAGTTCAAGTTCAGCAGTTCTCCTGTAGCTGGGCACAGTGGCTCATGCCTGTAATCCCAACACTTTGGGAGGCCAAGGCAGGCGGATCACCTGAGGTTAGGAGTTCAACATGGCAGAAATCTCGTCTCTATTAAAAATACAAAAATTAGTGGGGTATGGTGGTGGTCACCTACAGTCCAAGCTGCTGAAGCTGAGGCAGGAGAATCGCTTGAACCCAGCAGGCGGAGGTTGCAGTGAGCCAAGATCGTGCCACTGCACTCCAGCCTGGGCAACAGAGTGAGACTCCATCTCAAAAAAAAAAAAAGTTCTCTTGTAGAGCAGCATATTCACAGGGATGATGCTGATGATGATCACAATTTGCTTTCTTAGGTTATGCTTTTTTTCATAATAGATTCTTTGTTTATCTGTTTCATGCTATGTTTTCTTTGCTTTATACTTTCTATAAAATGTTTGCTCAGTTACATACGTCACCTTACCAAATTTAGCTATTTAAATAGGTAATGTACATACATGCTATAAAATTAAAAATAAAAAAGGGTCCATGTGAAAGGAAAATATTACTACCCCCAGGTCCAGGCCCCTCCGTCCCCTCAAGTAGCAACCTTGGATATAAGTTTCTGCTGCATCCTTCCAGAGATAGTGACAGTGCATTCCAGTATATGAGCGTCTTTCGTTCATAAATTATAGCACTCAATAGAAATGACCTTTTGCTTTCCCTTAAAAGTTGTATCTTTCAAGGTTCAGGGCACAAAGAAAAACTGCTCCAGGCATTTTAAACAGAAAAGGATTTAATGGAGGGATTTAAAAATTGTTAGGCTTCTAAGAACAACTCCTAGAACACAGCCTAAATGACTTCTCAAGAAAGCTTCTACCTCTGCAGAAAAGGAAATAGTATGTAAGTGCTGCCTGTTACTATTTTTATTATTATTGGATAGACAGATAGATGATTAAAAAGATTATATGATAGTAGAGTAACAATAATAGCAATAATAGATAGATGAAGATCAATAGATAGTTTTTCATTGGTGGATCAATAAGTTACTCAAAGTTCCTCTGCTGATGAGTATTATGTTGTGACCCATTTTTGCTCTGATGAATAATGCTGCATTAAGAGCCCCTGTATATTCACCTCTGTGCTCCTGAAAGCATAGATGTTACAAAATTTCTGGGTCTTAAATCACATCCATGTTAATATTTGACAGATATTGCCAAATTGCTCTCCATAGAAACTATAACAAATATTTGAAATTACTTGTTTCTCCATACTTCCACCAACAGTGTGAACAGTTTTTTAAACATTTCAAAATAAAATGGATGAGATGATGGATCTCACTGTGGTTTTCCTTTTCATTTCTCTTTTGGAGGTTATTCTTACATTAAGGAAGTAATACTTTGTCACATGCATTCAGTATTTTCCCGTATTATATTTATCTTTTAAACTTTGTGTTCAGCATTTTTTTAATTTTATGAAAAAGTGTGTCTTATTTTTAGACTTCTAGGCTTTGTATTATAATCAGAAAGTCTTTCTCACTGATATTATAAAATTAAAACACAATCATTTTCCCTGAATGTTCTGTATTTTAATTTTTTACACCTAAATTTTTATCTGGGCTATATTTATATTTTTACAGGAAGGCTTTTGATATTTGTATATGAATTGTATTTCCACCACCCTACTGAAATGTCTTAATTTCTTTACCAGTGTTTTTCTAGTTCATTCCTTTCAGATTCCTTGATATACACTGTGTCTCCAGCACTAAAAGAATATTTGCACCACCTTCTCAATTTCCTTCCATTCGTCCTTCTCTGTTTTCTTCTTTTACCTTCTTCCCTCCCTTCCTTCCTCTGATTTTATCAGCTAGTGTCTCCAGAACAATACTAAATAATGGTGTATATCCTTGTCATATTTCTACCTTATTGGTAACCTTTCAGTACTTCTCCATTAAATATAATATTGGATTTTACATCAATTATAAGGAAAATATTTTTCCATTTTATTAAGAAGTTTTAAGGAATAGATTTCAAAATTTGATCAAATCTTTTTTCAACATCTATGGAGTTGATTATGTTTTTCCAATTTTATCTATAAATATGATTAATTTTATTGATAGATTTTCAGTATTGAGCCATCCTTGTATTCCACTTATGAAAACAATTTATCATGATATAAAATGCGGCTGGATTCGATTTCCTACTATTTTACTTTGAATTTCTGCATTAGTAATTATACTTCAAATTGCTTATGAGATTATTTCTTAGTGCTATCCACTTCAGAATTTGGTGTCAGCATTATGCTGACTACATAAAAATTTTATGTTTCCCTTTCCCCCTGTGCTTTGGAAGCCATTTAAATATCTTTGGTTTACCTCAACCTTAAAGGTCTGTAGACTTCATTTGTAAAACCATCTGTGTTCTTTTCTCCCCATGGGGGTAGTCTTTTGAAACCATTCTCTCATTACTTTTTGATACTCGAATTGTTAATATTTTCTAAATAGTTTCCATTTATTTTTCCTAGAAAATTATCAATTTTATTTACTAGGTATTCTAATATTCTTTTATATATTTTAGCTGATTTTAGGTTTATTAGTTTTTTTGCTTTTTGTTTTGAGATGGAGTCTCATTCTGCTGCCCAGGCTGGAGTGCAGTGGTTTGATCTCTGCTCACTGCAACCTCCACCTTCCAGGTTCAAGTGATTCTCCTGCCTCAGTCTCTGGAGTAGCTGGAATTACAGGCATGCCACCATGCCCAGCTAATTTTTGTATTTTCAGTAGAGATGAGCCATGTTACCCAGGCTCCCCTCAAACTCCTGACCTCCAGTGAACGGCTTGCCTCAGCCTCCCAAAGTGCTGGGATTACAAGCATAGCCACCATGTCCAGCCCCATCTTTTATTTTAGTGTTTCAGTTAGTTTATTTTAGATCTGTCTTTTACATATTACATATACATTAGGTTTTGCTTTGTGATTCCATCTGAGATTTAAAAAATTTTTAAATTGTGGTAAAACATACATAACATAAATTTTACCACTTTAACTTTTTTTTTTTTTTTGAGACAGAGTCTTACTCTGTTGTCCAGGCTGGAATGCAGTGGCACAATCTCGACTCACTGCAACCTCTGCCTCCTGGGTTCAAGCGATTCTCCTGCCTCAGCCTCCTGAGTAGCTGGCATTATAGGCGCCCACCACCATGCCTGGCTAATTTTTTTATTTTTTGATATGTTGGCCAGGCTGGTCTCAAACTCGTGACCTCAGGTGATCCGCCCAACTCGGTCTCCCAAAGTGCTGGAATTACAGGCATGAGCTACCTCGCCCAGCCCCACCTTAACCATTTTTAAGCATACAGTTCAGTAGTGTAAAGTACATTCATCAGTCATCGGAACTCTTTTCATCTTGCGAATCTGAAACTCTGTACCCATTAAACAATAACTCCCCATTCCCTCTTCTCCCAGCCCTTGGCAATCACCATTCTACTTTCTATCTCTATGAATTTGGCTAATCTTGGTACCGCACGTAAGTGGAATCATACAGTATTTATCTTTTTGTAACTGGCTTATTTCATTGAACATAATGTCCTCAGGTTTCATCCATGTTGTGGTAGCATGTGTCAGAATTTCCTTCTTTTTTTTTTTTTTTGAGATGGCGTTTTGCTCTTGTTGCCCAGGCTGGAGTGCAATGGCGTGATCTTGGCTCACCGCAACCTCCACCTCCTGGGTTCAAGCGATTCTCATGCTTCAGTCTCCCGAGTAGCTGGGATTACAGGCGTGCACCACCACGCCCAGCTACTTTTGTATTTTTAGTAGAGGTGGGGTTTCATCATGTTGGCCAGGCTGGTAACTGGCCTCCTGGCCTCAGGTGATCTGCCCACCTCGGCCTCCCAAAGTGCTGGGATTACAGGCGTGAGCCACCACGCCAGGCCTCCCTCTCCAGACTGTTTCTCCTCTGCCACCTGGATACCAGAGAAAAGTAAACCCTAGGGATGGGTGGATCTACATTCCAAAAGAAGCCTAAGTTACTGAATGACCACACAGAAGAGTAGTGAAAACATTGCTGTAACCTTACTAGGGAATCAGAAAACTATGGAAAGTATAATTTTCCTGCTTGGACTATGGGAACCAAGATAAACCAATGTGAAACTTACCATTGTGTATGTGTCCTTGGGGGACTAGTGAGTCACAGCAGATGGTCTCCATCCGTCCCCTAATTAATTGCTGCAAATGAATATGAGTGTTTTGTCCTTTAAGATTTTAAATTCTGTTTTGTAACCACCATATGGTGTCCTGTCATCTGCATAGTTATCTATCACTTGAACAGTGACTTATTTATTATATGGCAAAAATATTTGCAGAATGAATAATGACTTGATACTAGTAAAAATACTCATTAGAATCTGGTTTCTGAAAGCAATCACTGAGTGTCTCAGAGCATCACCCCATGTCCCCAAAACCTAATAACTCAAAAAGGGAGGGTTTGCTGTGGTGTGAAGTATGCAGCACACCTACTTTTATGTTTCAACGTCAGCTTCATGAGAACACCCTGTGCTTATTAATTTTTACTCATTTTGCACAAATCGAAATGAAAGCTTAGCTTAATCATTGGAACTCATGCAATCTCCTTGCCTATAGCAACCTCACACACTTGTCACCCGGGAAAACATTGGATTCCTGTTCAGCTTGTTCACCTCATCCCTCAGAGTCCTGCAGTGGCTAAGTTCCAGAAAAGCTGTTTCCTTATCATTCCACAAATGTAGCTCTCTTACAGCTGTGGTTTTGTTTGTGTTTTATCTTTTTCTTTCTTGAAATGGTGGGTTTGTGAGCATTAAGGCCCTTTCTTGCTAAGACCCACCAGCAAAGCTGCAGCTGTTCCTGATGGCCACTACATTGAGATGTTTAAAATGAACAGCTAGGTCACCTCAAGAAGCAAATCAAATCTGACTTTATTTGGACAGCAAAATGTGGAGGCAGGTGCTCACAAGATTAAAGTTATTGTGCCACAAACAATTTATTTGCTTGTTTGTTAACTAGCTCATTCTCTTCCTGGAAGTTTTGTTTGTTTGTTACCTAAAACTGATTTTGTTCCCCTGAAGTAATGCTAACTGAATTTGACTGTAGCATCAGTCTGTGCTGCATTTATTTGCATAACTGAGCTTTTCCACTTTCCTTTTAGGAAAATGGTAAGCGCTGAAGCACAGATGATGGGAGAGACAGCCAAAGGAGAAGAAATCAAGAAAGACTGCATCACACCTAGTGTTGCACTGTTTTCAACTTGGGCATGAAAGAGAGAGTCTTCCAGGGCATAGCTAGTTTTAGGTTATGCATGTGGTGGTGTGCTGAGACACTTCCACAGGCAAGGATGGGACTGTGGCACTTTTAGAAAAGAAAATAACTCCTTAAAAATATTATACTATTGGCTGGGTGTGGTGGCTTATGCCTGTAATCCCAGTACTTTGGGAGGCCGAGGCAGGTGGATCACCTGAGGTCAGGAGTTCAAGACCAGCCTGGCCAACATGGTGAAACCTCATCTCTACTAAAAATACAAAAATTAGCTGGGCATGGTGGCGTGTGCCTGTAATCCCAGCTACTCAGGAGGTTGAGGCAGGATAATCACTTGAACCCAGGAGTCGGAGGTTGCAGTGAGCCCAGATCGTGCCTTTGCACTCCAGCCTGGGTGACAAGAGTGAAACTCTGTCTCAAAACAATATATATATTATATATATATAAATATATAAAAATATATATAAATATATATATATATATAATCTAGAAAATCACATCTACAACTTCCAGAAAAAGAAGGCTGAGAGATGGTTGTAGGGTTATCTCTACAACATCTGACAAAATGAACAACAGAGAAAAGAAACAAGAAGCACACACACGCATGTGCACACACATGAGCTCTCATTCCTCAGCCAATGATGAGAAAGGAGACTTTATGGCCATGACCTCTGCAGAGTGGTGCTCACAGAAAGAAAGAAGCAGAACAGCCTGACTTGGTTTGCAGAAGTATCTAGCCTCAGAACACTCCCCCAAATAAGGGGAAAGAAGTGGGTGAACAAAATCTTGAGAATTTTCACTGATATTTAAAACTTTAGAGGAAGTAATGACATTGATTCTTGCCAACACACGTTATTGAGAAAGGGAGGGAGACGAGGGAAGATACAAAGAAAACCTTAGAAAGGAGACACCCTTCACTCTGACTGCAGGGACAGGTATAGGGAGAGGTAATTGGGATCTTCTGAACTCACCACTTTCGTTTCTTCAAGGTGGGGGGAAAATAAAGGCAAAATTATTAAAATCACAAAGATCTAATAATTCTCCTGAATAGATAGAAACCTAACAGAAGGGAAGAAAAATGAGAACAAAAATCACATCTGTAATCTCAACACTTTGGAAGGCTGAGGCTAGAAGATCACTTGAGCCTAGGAGTTTGAGATCAGCCTGGGCAACACAGTGAGACCCCCATCTCTACAAAAAATTAAAAAATTAGCCAGGTGTGGTGACACACGCCTGTAGTCCCAGCTACTTGGGAGGCTGAGGCAGGAAGATTGCTTAAGGCCAGGAGGTCGAGGCTGCAGTGAGCTATGATCACACCACTGCACTGTCACCTGGGTGACAGAGCAAGACCCTGTCTCAAAAACAAAACAAACAAAAATCTCCAAAAGTAGGAGAGATGGTGGAGGGGGAGGAGGAGGATAGATCTCAGGAAGGAGGTGAAATGTCAGCCCCAGCCCTGGAGGGACTGAGCCATAAAGGCCAACTCAGGTGGAAACGAAGGCGCCCCGTGGCAGGCCACAGGAAACTGAGTCCAAAACCCATGGGCTCAATCCCACAGCAATAAACATCTCTGACACAAAATGTAGCCAAATTGCAGAAGAAATAGGAGTCTTGGTAGGGCAGTCAAGGTTGTGCCCATTCCCAGCTGAGCTCCCTATCCTGAAGTGGCCACCATCCAAGAAGGCAGGGAAGACATTGAGGATGTGGCATATACAGGCCTCACTGCCTGTGGGAGTGGCCTCAGGGAGGCTTCAGAGGCAGTGGGAGGATAGTGGGGCCTGTTTCAAAGCCTCAGAGCTGCCTCAGGTGAGCAGGACTTAAATATGGCAAAGTAAGGACTTCTCAGACCCCTCTTTTCTCTTAAACCATAAGAAAATGACAAGGAGACTAAGAACAGAAATGGCAATCTTGGTGTTAATAAGAGAACATCTCTAATGCCCAACTTCAATATGCTCGAAGCAGGGCTGCCAAGGGCAGGGGAAACTCGTAAACCTGAGCACACAACAGGACCAGACCTTGTACACAGCTGGGGAGCAGGGAAAAGGCACAAGTGAGAAGGCACTCCCTACAGTGTGCAGATCCAGCATGGCATGGGAGATCACGGGAGGAGCTGGTGAGAAAACTTTAGAGGAAGTAATATGACATTGATTTAAGTCTTTTGAGAATTCAAGAACTGTGATGGCTACTGCAACTACCAGCAGAAATACAGTAGAGCAGGCTGGAGAATGTTCGCGTCTTGGTTGCCATGAAAGCACACTCAACAGAGACAGCAAGCCAGGCAGCACCAGGGCATGTACAATTCAAAAGCAGTCTTATCTTCAGTGTTTGCAAGAAAACCTCCCAGGTCAGGGGCTTTCAGACTGTTTTGCTCTAGACCATTGGTAAGAAATACATTTTCATCACACACACACACACACACACACACACACAATTTACATTACTAAATACAATTTTTATTTAGAAGTACATACTCCTATTACATGTGATACATTCTGGTATCTTCTATATAATCCTATTCGATTTTCTAAATATAGATGTGGTGATAAGACCCTAAGATGATCCCCAGTGAACTGTACCTGCTGGTGTTGACACCTTTGGATACTCCCCTCCCCTCAACTCTGGGCAGGACCTGTGACTTATGCTCCTATGGGTTAATAGGACATGACAAAGGTGATCATGTGCCACTCCCAGGACTATATTATGTCATCAGACTGGAGTAAGAGAGCATCCTTGCTGGCTCAGTAAATGGAGTGCCACGTTGAGGAAGCCCATGTGGTAAGGAGCTATGGATGGCCTCCAGCAACTGTGGGCAGCCTCTAGGACCAAGGGTGGGCTCCCACCAACAACCAACAAAAGGCAGGAGTCCTCAGCTATACAGCCACAAGGAAATAAATTCTGTCAAAGGCCTGAATGAGCTTAGAAGTGGATTCTTCCCCAGTTGAGCCTCCAGATAAGAATGGAGCCCAGATGGCATCTTGATTGCAGCCCTATGAAACCCTGAACAAAAGACCCAGCAAAGCTGTTTGCAGATTCCTGACCTACAGAAACTGTGAGATGATAAATATGTGTTGTTATAAGCTGCTCACTTTGTCATAATTTGTTATGCAACAGTAGGAAACCAATCCAGCAGATTACAATCCACTAAATAGATTTCATGACCCCATCATGAGTTGCAGGCTGCAATTTGAAAAACACAGACTTGGCTTGGTGTATTGTGTCACACCTGTAATCCCAGCACCTTGGGAGGTCAAGGCAGAAGAATTGCTTGAAGCCAGGAGCTTGAGACCAGCCTGGGCAACAAAATGAGACTTCATCTCTACAAATTTTTTTTTTAATTAAAAAATATTAGCTGAGCATGGTGTTATGCCCCTATAGTTCCAGCTACTCAGGAGGCTGAGATGGGAGGACTGCTTGAGCCCAGGAGTTAAGAGACTGTAGCGAGCTATGATCACACTACTGCTCTCCAGGCTGGGTGACAGAGCAAGACCTCTTCTCTTTAAAAACAAAAAATGCAGACAGTAAACTGAAAGCTACACATATTTCTATATTCTACAGGAATGTGACCTTGTGATAACAGTAAATCTTATAAGTGTATTTGTTTAAAAAAATGGATTTATGTGCCTATAGAAGAGGACTAAACAAATGTAACATGTAAGTATTTAGGATGATGATTCAAAATAATTTTTTTGAAATGAGAGAAGAATCAAATCTGCAGATTTAAAAAGTGCACCATGTTATGGAGGAAAATGATATAGAAAAGTCATCACTCAGCCATACCCTGGTAAAGCAATTAGACTTCAAAAATAAAGAGAAGATAATTTGGGCATCTTCTAAAAAAGATCAAGTGACTCAGAAAGAGAAAAATAATAAGACTTGATTCCGATATCTCCTCCTCCACCATGGCAGAGCCTGCCAGCTGTCCAACAAAACCCCATTTTCTCTGCTTCCTGGGCACATAGCTCAACATTCCTACCCCCCCACAACCTCCCCCACCCCCTGCCAATGCAGATAGGTGGCCAGTAGTGACTTAGTAGCAGAAGTGATTGTGCTATTTGGGGCCTAGTGTTAAGAAAGCTGCAGTCCAGTCCCCTCTCCAGACTCTTTTTTTTTTTTGTAGTGGGTGCTGAGGTCCTTAGGCTTGTTTTCAGGGTTTCTTCCTCTCCATGTTGTTTTTTTTTCTGTTCTGACTCAGATCCAAGGTTCTTTACCCCCTTGTATTCTTCTAGCATCTCTTCATGTCCCTTGGGAGGAGCCAGGGATAGAAGAGGAAGCACCTTGTTATGTTAGGTATAGCTTTCTTCATATTATCAGACATAAGAGCAGGCATTGAAAGAGATGCTAAAATGTGTATCATTGCACAAGACTTCCTGGGCAATTTGAATGGCGATAATGTACCTTCCGAGAAAAGGTCTCAAGTCCCAAGTATTTATCACGTCAAAGCTTTAATCTCCCTAGTGCCATATTGTTCTGCTCAGCGGGAGACTTCTAGGCTAAAAATACAAAGTCAAAGCAAAAAGGATTAGGGGAGAGGGCAAGCAATTACCTAAGCATCTGGTACTGTATAGGAAAATGTTAAAATGGATCGTTCAGGGGAAGGAAAGTATTCCTGTAACCTCACCCAAATGACTACGAATTTCTGCTTCATTTTAGCATTTGCATGTTTGTGTTCGTTTTTCTTGTCCCCCACGTTCCTATGGGGCTGGTCTGGAGCATCCAGATGACACCGGCACATAAAGTAAGTTGTACGAGAAGAATATGAACATGAGAAATCCATCGCTTTAATAGCAAGCAGCAAACAAGCCTCCTCTTTGTCCAGAGAGAGACATTACCCCATCCCTCAAGGTTGCCTGCTGCGAACAGCCCTGAGAAAAGACGCAGATAAAGCGTGATCGGGGTTTGGCATTTGTGGAAATCAGAGTAACCGGCAGTGGTGTGAGAGACCCAGGAGGGCTATCTTTCCTCAACAGGGAGGAAGTGGAGGTGGCAAGAAAAGCATTTTTAAATGGAAAAGTGAAGAGGCTGTGGGAGCAGGATGGTCACTCAGTACTGGTGGAGGCCCCAGGTGCAGCTTTTGAGGCAATGTGGCAGTGACTCCAACTGGTCTACCAGGCCTGACCTTTACCTGACAATGTCTAGTCATTGAGGGAGGGAGGGAGAGAGACGGGAGGGAGAAGATATAAGAACAATTTGGAAGAGTAGAAAGGAAATAAAGTGAATCTGAGGTGTTTGCAAAGGAGGCAGAATAATGTTTAGGGAGACACAAGATTATGGGAAGAGTGGCTAGGGTTTGCTTCTTGGATGTGAGTTATTCGGCAGAAAGTTCTGTCAGGGCATGGGAGAAAGTCAGGAGAGAGACGAGCAACAGCAGAGCTGAGGATACCAGTTGGCAAGGAAGGTATCTGTGCAGGTCCCCATGGCAGGGCAAAGACTTCCGTAATCATATGCACTAGAGGCTGAGGTAGAAAATGCCTGGGAACATGGCCCATGTGCCAGCCCACAATAGGTCACACACAGAAGCAAAGAGGAGCAGGGGCTGGAGGGAGCTGGGGCTGGGGAAATTCTGTGCAGGATGGAACCTGTAGGAGAAACGAGGGAGTCCCAGGGCCACCCAGTGACCTACACAGAGGAGCCAGCATTGGATGCTGCTGAGTCTGGAGATCTCAGGCTAAGGAAGGGGACCACAGACACGTGCCTGATTGCAGGAGCCCACAGGCCCTCCCTGCCCTCTGCTAATGAGCAATGGGCCCTTTCATACACCAGGAGGAAGGAGGAGAAGAACCAAGAGTGGGAGAAGACTCCCTCAGGAGCATCAAGAATGGGGGGAAAGTGATTAGGTTTGGCAGAAAAGCTCTCTGAAGGAGACAGCATTTTAAAACTCAAAGTGACTAAAGAACCAAAATGAAGCTAAAATATAAAATTGATTCCTCTTAGCAGAGAGAGAGACAAGAAAATTTCATTTTCTAAACACATCTTGACTTTATATTTTTAATTTTACTGTTCATACCTCTTTCACCCAGTGGTAGAAGGTGACACAGGCCCATGTAATCACAGTCCCCTCATCCCAGAGCAGAGGCAGCCCAGACAGGGGCTTTCCTCCCACAGTGGGACAGGTAGAGGTCCCTTTGGCAGCGCAGAGAAAAATAGGCAAGGGGCACACTGCCCTGCAGAACCTGATGCCTCCAGATCCCCTTTCACCTGCACGGACGATGAAAGCTGGCACCAGGTGGCTGAGAGCAAATGAGGAAAATGCTCTCGTCGCAAGTGCTGGTATTTCCCACCGACACCCAGTGTACCGGGGAAGTGCACTCCACCAGCTCGGACCAAGGGAAGGACACGGGCAAGAACAGCACCGCGGAGGTTTCGAAAACTCTACTGTCATTAGAACCACAGACCACAGGCCGGGCGTGGTGCCTCAAGCCTGTAATCCCAGCACTTTGGGAGGCTGAGGTGGGCAGATCACCTGAGGTCAGGAGTTTGAGACCAGCCTGACCAACATGGAGAAACTCTGTCTCTACTAAAAATACAAAATTAGCCAGGTGTGGTGGCACATGCCTGTAATCCCAGCTACTCGGGAGGCTGAGGCAGGAGAATAACTTGAACCTGGGAGGTGGAAGTTGCAGTGAGCCAAGATCATGCCATTGCACTCCAGCCTAGGCAATGAGAGTGAAACTCTGTCTCAAAAAAAAACAAAAAACAAAAACAAAAACAAACAAACAAAACACAAAAGAACCATAGCCCACAAAAGCAGGAATAGGACCTATGCACTAAACTTAAACAGGGTGACTGACTGCTAGGAAAGGAGATTTAAGTAGAATCTAAAGTCATAATGTGCAAATGTTTAGGATACAATCAAAATTCACTTGTCATACCAAGAACCAGGAAATTGAAAATGGAATGAGAAGAAACAATCAACAGACACCATACCAGGGTGAATCAAGGTTGGAACTATCTCACAAAAATTTTAAAGTAGCCATCTTACAAAAATCATTCAAAAGAGCAATTACAAATATACTTTGCAAATGAAAAAAAAATTAGGTCTCGCTAAAGAAGTAAAAGATGTAAAAAGGAACCAAATGAAAACTATAGAAATGAAAAGTACAATAGTTGAAAAAAAGAGACTTATTGGATGGGTGCAGTGGCAGAATGAATATGACAGAAGAAAGAAATCAATGAACCTGAAGATAAAACAATAAAAATTACTCAATCTGAACAACAGAGAGAAAAAGACTTAAAAAAAAAAAAAGAACAGAGTTTTCAGGACCTGTGAGACTATAACAAAAGATCTAACATTCATAAGCAGACAAAGAGAATAGGGCTGAACAAGTATGCAAAGAAATAATGGGCCAGGCACAATGGCTCATGCCTGTAATCCCAGCAGTTTGGGAGGCCAAGGCAGGCAGATTACCTGAGGTCAGGAGTTCAAGACCTACCTGGCCAACATGGTGATAACCCTGTCTCTACTAAAAATACAGAAATTAGCTGGGCGTGGTGGCATGTGCCTGTAGTCCTAGCTACTTGGGAGGCTGAGTCAGGAGGATCGCTTGAGCTTGGGAGGCAGAGGTTGCAGTGAACCGAGATTGCACCACTGCACTCCAGCCTGGTAATAGAGAGAGACTCCATCTCAAAAAAAAAAAAAAAAAAAAGAAACAGAGAGAGAGAGAAAGAAATAATTGGTGAAGACTTTCTAAACATGGCAAAAGAACTAAGCTTATAGATTAAATTACCTAAGTGAACCCTAAATAAGATAAACCCAAGAAAACTCATGCCAAAACACATCATAATTAAATGAAAGGCAAAGAAAAAATATCCTGAAAAGAGTCATCTGGAGCCATGATACTACAAGGAAGTGGAAACAATTTTTCAAGTTCTGGAAGAAAAAACTATTCATTGTGAGTTGTATGTTTGGTGAAAGTATCCTTCAGGAATGAGGAGGAAATAAAGACACATTCAGATGAAGGTAAAATAAGAGAATGTGTGGCTAGCAGACTGACTCTTAAAGAATGGCTAAAGAAAATTCTCTAAACAGAAAGGAAATGACAACAGAAGAAGACTTGGAAATCAGTAAGGAAAGAATAACAGAATGGACAAAAATAGGAGTAAATAGACGATCTTCCTTGTGAGTTTCTAAATCATATTTCATGGGTGAAACAAAAAATATAACACCATCTGATGGGGTGTTTAATGTATGTAGAGGAAATACTTAAGACAGTTAAACTTAAAAACTGGGCAAGATAAAAGAAACTAAGGAGGAGTAAGGTGTCTACAGTTCACCTGAAGTGGTAACACTTTGTGTGACAGTAGACTGTCACAATTTATGTATAAATACTGTAATGCCTAGAGAAACCACTAAGAAAACTATCCAGAGCAGTATACTAAAAAATCACATACATATTTATATATCTCATTAAAATAAAGAAAATGTTGGCTGGGCGTGGCTGGGTGTGGTGGCTTACACCTGTAATCCCAGCTCTTTGGGAGGCAAGGGGGGCAGATCACCTGAGCTCAGGAGTTCCAGACCAGCCTGGCCAACATGGTGAAATCCCGTCTCTAATTTTAAAAAATACAGAAATTAGCCAGGTGTGGTGGTGGGCGCCTATAATCCAGCTACTCGGGAGGCCAAGACGCAAGAATCACTTGAACCTGGCAGGGCAGAAGTTGCAGTGAGCTGAGACAGTGCCACTGCACTCCAGCCTAAGCGACAGAGTGAGACTCTGTCTGAAAAAAAAAAAAAAAGTTAAAGAGAAACAGAGAAATAAGAAACAGAGAGAACAAACAGAAAAAAAAAAGATAGTAAAATAAAGACTTTAGCACTAACATTTTAATAATTACTTCAAATGAAATGATCTAAATACACTAAACAGAGATTGGAACAGTGGGTTAAAAAAAAACACAACCTAACTGTATGTTGCCTACAGGAAACTCAGCTGAAAAGCAATGACATAGGTAGGTTAAAAAAACATGTAAAATGATTATGCAAACCTTCATTTTTAAAAAGTAGCCATGGCTATATTAATATCAGATAAAGTAGACTTCCAAGCACAGGAAAACATTAGGGACAAAGGAACATCACTTAATGATAAAAGGATTAATACACAAAGAAGACCTAACTGTGCATGCACCAAACAGCAGAGCATCAAAACACTGAAGCAAAACTGATAGAGCTGAAAAGAGAAAAAGATACATTCACAGTTAGAGTATGTTCTCTGATCACAGAATATCAACTAAGAAATCGGTAATAGAAATTCAATAAAAATATTCCCAAACTTGTATATTAAACATCACAATTCTAAATAATCCATGAGGCAATAAAAACTTTCAAATAAAAATTTAAAATACAGAGAAGAAGAAAGAAAAATGAAAATATCATGAGTTAAATTTCGTGGAATACAGATAAGGCAGTACTGAGAAGGAAATTTAAGCAGTAATTGCTTATGTTTAAAAGAGAAAAGATCTCAAATTAGTGATCTTAAGTTCTTACCTCAACAAGGTAGAAAAAGAAAACCTAAATTAAATCCAAACAAGCAGAAAGAGAGGAAATAATAAGAGCAAAAATCAAAGAAATTAATACAGGAAAACAATAGAGAAAATCAATGAAACAAAAGCCGGATCATTAACAAAAAATAATAGGTAATTGAAAAACCCCTAAGAAGGTTGATAACAGTAGAGAGAATATACGAATCTCCAATGTCAGAACAAAATGGAATATCACCGTATCTGTTGTAGTCATTAAAGAGAAAGTAAGGGACTACTACGAACAAGTTTATGCCCATAAATTCAAGAATATAGAAAATCAGACTAATTCCTTGAAAAGCACAAACTATCAAAATGCAACCAAGATAAAATAGATCACCTGAACAGTCACATAAGCATTAAAGTAATTTAATTTATAGCTGAAACACCTGTGAGAAAGTTTCCAGGCCCAGAGAGTTTCACTGGAGAATTCTACCAAACATTTAAAGAAGAATTAATAGCAATTTTACACACTGTCTTCCGGAAAAATAGAAGAGAAAGCCCTTCCCCACTCTTTGTGTAAGGCAAGTATTACCCTGATACCAAAATTACACAAAGACAGAAGAAAGAAGAGAGGAAATACAGAAAGAGAGCAAGGGAAGAGAGAAAGGGAAGGAAGGGAGGGAGAAAAGGAGGGAGGGAGGAAGGGAGGAAGGGAGGAAGGAAGGATCCATATCTTGTATGAACTTAGACATAAAAATCACCAAAATACTGGCAAATTTAATCCAACAATGAAAAGAATTACACGTTATGATCACTTAGGATTTATTTCAGGCATGCAAAGTTGACTCGATATTCAAAAATCAATCAACATATCACTAGGCTAAAAAACCATAAGGTTTTATGAGCATATCAGCTGACACCAAGAAAGTCTGACAAAATCCACCATCCACTCATGATGAAAATTTGCAAGACACTAATACTAGAAAGGAAATTTCTGAACTTGACAAAAAGCGTTCACCCAAAGAATTACAGCTAACATCGTAGTTAATAGTGAAGAACCAAATGCCCTTCCCTAAGATCAGGAGCAAGGCAAAGATGTCCAAACTTACTACTCATATTCAACGTAATACCGGAAGTTCTAGCAAGTACAACATGGCAAGAAAAAGAATTAAAAGGCATACAGACTGGAAAGAAAGAAATAAAACTGTCCCTATTGACAGATGACTTGATCATCTATACATAGAATCTAGAAGAATTTTCCTCAACAAACCTCTTAAACAAGAGAGTTCAGCACATTTGCACAATACAAGATCAACACACAAAAATCAACTACATTTTTATATACTAGCAACAAACATGTGGAAACTAAAATTAAAAACACAATGCTCTTTACAATTGTACCCTCCCCAATGAAAATAGGTATAATTCTAAAAGAACATGTACAGAATCTACATACTGAATGTTGCAAAAATGCTGACAAAAAAACAAAATAAAAGAAGAGCTAGTTAAATGCAGAGACATACTGTGTTCATGGATTGGAAGACTCAACATAATAAATATGTCAGTTCTCCACAAACTCATTTGAGGATATAACAAAATGCCTTTCAAAATCTCAGCAGTTTTTCTTTTTTTTCTCCCTCCCTCCCTCCTTTCTTTCTTTCTTTCTTTCTTCTCTTTCTCTCTCTTTCTTTTGAGATGGAGTCTTGCTCTATTGCCCAGGCTGGAGTGCAATGGCGCAATCTCAGATCACTGCAATCTCTGCCTCCCGGGTTCAAGCAATTCTCATGCCTCTGCCTCCTGAGTAGCTGGGATTACAGGCGCCTGCCACCACACCTGCCTAATTTCGTAATTTTATTAGAGACAGGGGTTTCACCATGTTGGCCAGGCTGGTCTCGAACTCCTGACCTCAAGTGATCCGCCTGCCTTGGCCTCCCAAAGTGCTGAGATTACAGGCTTGAGCCACTGTGCCCGGCCTCAGCAGTTTTTCATACTGAGACAGGAGGCCAAGCTGGTCTTGAACTCCTAACCTCAAGTGATCTGCCTGCCTCAGCCTCCCAAAGTGCTGGGATTACAAGCGTGAGCCACCGCGCCTGGCCTCAGCAGTTTTTCATACTGAGGCAGGAGGACATAGAGAAGCAAATTCTAAATGTGTATGGTAAGGCAAAGGACCTAGAACAGCTAAAACATTTTGAAAAAGAACTAGAAAATGGAGCTGGGTGCAGTGGTGCATACCTGGAGTCCCAGCTACTCAGGAGGCTGAGGTGGGAGAATCAGTTGAGCCCAGTCCAAACGTAGCCAGGCAACATAGCAAGACTCTGTCTCTAAATAAGTAAATAAATAAATCGAGTGGGAGAAATCACTTTACCTGATGTTTAGACTTACTATAGCTACAGCTGTTAAGACTGTGATATTGGTGAAGGTATAGACACATAGATTAATAGAACAGGATACAAAACCCACACAGCCATGCCCATCTGATTTTTCTTTTCTTTTTTTTTTATTTTTATTATACTTTAAGTTTTCGGGTACATGTGCACAACGTGCAGATGAGTTACGTATGTATACATGTGCCATGTTGGTGTGCTGCACCCATCAACTCGTCATTTAAAATTAGATATATCTCCTAATGCTATCCCTCTCCCCTACCCCCAACCCACAACAGGCCCTGGTGTGCGATGTTCCCCTTCCTGTGTCCATGTGTTCTCATTGTTCAATTCCCACCTATGAGTGAGAACAAGTGGTGTTTGGTTTTTTGTCCTTGCGATAGTTTGCTGAGAATGATGGTTTCCAGCTTCATCCATGTCCCTACAAAGGACATGAACTCATCATTTTTTATGGCTGCATAGTATTCCATGGTGTATATGTGCCACATTTTCTTAATCCAGTCTATCATTGTTGGACATTTGGCTTGGTTCCAAGTCTTTGCTATTGTGATTTTTCATAAAGTGCAAAAAATAATTAAATGGAGGAAGGATCACCTTTCAACAAATGATGCTGAAACAATGGGACACCCACGGGGAAACGAATGGACCCAAACCTCACATCTTATATAAACATTCACTGAAAATGGATCACAGACATAAATGTGAAAGGTAAAATTATAAAGCCTTTAGGAAAAATAAATAGGAGAAATCATCTGGATTTAGGGTTAGGTAAAGAATTCTTGGACTTGGCCCCCAAAGCACAATACATAAAAGGGAAAATTATAAATGGAACATCATCAAAATTTTAAAATTTTGCTCTGCAAAAGCATAAAAAAGAAACAATGCAATTAGAAAATGGGCAAGACTGGGTGCTGTGGCTCACATCTATAATCCCAGAGCTTTGGGAGGCTGAGGAGGGAGAATCACTTGAGCCCAGGAGTTTGAGACCAGCCTGGGCAACATAGTGAGATGCCGTCTCCACAGAAAAAAAAAAAAAAATTAATCAGCGGGGCATGGAGGCACACACCTGTGGTCCCAGCTACTCAGGAGGCTGAGGTGGGAGGATCAGTTAAGCCTGGGAGGTCAAAGCTGCAGTGAGCCCTGCCACTGCACTTCAGCCTAAGTGACACAGTGAGATGAAAGAAAAGAAAGAAAAGGAAGAAGGAAAGAAGGAAGGGAGGGAGGGAGGAAGGAAGGAAGGAAGGAAAGAAGGAGAGAATGAAAGAAAGAGGAAGAAAGGGAGAGAGAGAGAGAAAAAAGAGAGAGAAAAGAGAAAGAGAAAGAAAGAGAAAGAGAAAATAAAGAAATTGAGCAAAAGGCAATGAATAAACATTTTTCCAACGGCCTATGTGTCTGGCAAATAAGCACATGAAAAGATGTTTATCACTCTCCTTTAGGCAAATTAAGACCATGCTGACATATCACCAGACACCTATTAGGACAGCTTTAAAAAGCAATGATCCACCAAATGCTGGGGAGATTGCAGAGAAACTGGATCTCTCATATTAATATAAATGTAAAACGGTACCAGCCACTCTGGAACATAGCTCGATAGTTTCTTTTCAAACTAAGAAATGCACATAAGATATGATCAGTAATTTCACCACTGGTCCTGTATCCCAGAGAAGTGAAAGCCTATGTCCACAACAAAATACATACACACAGGTTTATAGCAGCTTTATTTGCAGTAACCCAAAACTGGAAATAATCCTGATGTCCTTCAGTGGATGAATGGTTAAACAAAGTGTGGGAACTTCCACACCACGGACTATTACTCACCAATAAAAAGGAATTCAGGGCCTGGTGCGGTGGCTCACGCCTGTAACCCCAGCACTTTGGGAGGCTGAAGCAGGTGGATCATGAGGTTAGGAGTTCGAGACCAGCCTGGCCGACATGGTAAAACCCCGTCTCTACTAAAAAATACAAAAATTAGCCAGGTATGGTGATGCGCACCTGTAGTACCAGCTACTCAGGAGGCTGAGGCAGGAGAATCGCTTGAACCCGGAAGGCATAGGTTGCAGTGAGCCAAGATCACACCACTGCACTCCTGCCTGGGCAACAGAGTGAGACTCCATCTCAAAAAAAAAAAAAAAAAAAAGAAAAAGAAAAGAAAAAGCAATCAACTACTGCTATGGCAACAACTTGGATACATCTCAAGGGAACTATGCAGAATGAAAAAAGCCAGTCTCAAAGGTCACATACAGTATGATTCCATTTATAAATAATCTTGTAATAGCGACATTATAGAGATGGAGAGTGGATTACTGGTTGCCAGGGGTTAGAGATGGGAGGCAAGGAGGGCAGACCTCTTATGTCTTTTCCCCCTAGCTGCTCTGAGCCCACATGAGCACTTTCTTTTAATTCCCCAAGACAGTTCTAACTTCACAGCATACGAATGGTGTGCTGATGTTTTCCAGCGAGAAGGACAGGAGAATCCGTATTGCACACTACAGTTAAGAAGCCTCATCGCAATCCTTCTCATTGGCTCCATGTTTCTTCCCATGGTTCTATCAGTTTTCTCACCTCTTGTCTCCTCCTCACCTCCACCCAGCATAACCTCTAAAATCCACATCATTGCCCATGGACACACGGGAACTCAATTCTTGCCTGTACTTTTCACACCCTACTCAGCAAAACAAAAGCGTGTAGCTTCTAAATGACTGCCATTTATGATTTCAGGCATACCTGGGTAGCAGGTAAGGATCATGCTTATTTGGGGTTGTTGGGGAGGTCTCAGTGCATCTACTTATTATGATTATTATTACATGAATATATCCCCTTCTAGCCCATATGCATCTTGAGTGCAGGGACTCTCTTATTCAACTTTTTATCACTCTCTCTTTTAAAAATCTCGAGTGCTTAGCACAGTGCCTGAAAATATAAGTTTAAAATATTTGCCATGGGAAAAAGTGATTAAGTGAATGAACACTATAAGGCACCTGTGACTTATCTTCTTTCCTTCCTTCCTTTTTTCTTCCTTCCTTCCTTCCTTCTCTCCTTCCTTTTTTCTTTCTTTTCCCCCTTTCTCCATTTCTCCTTTTCTTTTGACTTTGGTCTAACATATTGTTTCAGTGCCTAAAAGACGTTGACCAACTACAGCCCACTTTGCCTGTTTTTGTAAATAAAATTTTATTGAAACATTGTGATGTTCATTCATTTATGTATTGTCTATGGCGTGTTCATACAATAGAAGAGTTGAATAGCTGTGATGGACAGTAGAGTCCACGAAACCCAAAATATTTACTATCAAGTCTTCTACAGAAAAACTTTGCCAACCCCTGCTTTTCAGGGATTGGGTAATGAGAAATTTTATATTCCATTCCTGAGTGATAACTCAAGTACAAAACTCATTATCTCATAAAGATATTTTACATTATTTTTCCTACTGTGCCCAGAATATCAATCATTCATATAATTTGAGTTAAGAGGAATCTTCCACATCATCTATTCTGTCTCCCTTGTCTGCAGCTGAGGAAAATAAAGTCTGTATGGAAAGACTTTCATGAAACCTTCCCCAAAATCATCTTACCTGTTTTACGTGTGTTCCAACTTCAAGAAGCCTGTGTGAATTAGTCTTACTAGTAATTCCAAAAACTAAATTCGGGGCAAAATTTCTACCCATGCATTTGGATGGAACATTTGTACTCAATAGGAAAGCTAAGGCACAACCCAAACAAGTTGCAATTTGCCTCTGAACATTGTTGCCTCCAGAACACACGATGGCTTCCTACTCCAAAGGGAAGCAAAGGACCGCTAATGCTTCCTTGCCCCACTATTACTTTTATATTTTATTATTTCTAATCAATAAGATTCTATTAGTAATTTTTAAAAAGTTTTAGATACTCATGAGAAGTAGTTTTATCAAATGCAGCCTGTGATACTTCTGCAGCATATATTTTATTAATTGACATTACTTTTAGGTCAGTTTTAGGTTTATAGAAAGATGAGCAGGAAGTAAATATAGCCCTCTCTTTCCACTGCGCCCTAACCAGCAGTTTCCTGTATTGTTAACACCTTGCTTTGGGATGGCACGTTTGTTTCCATTGATGAACCAATATTGATGCATTACTATTAATTAAAGTCCATCATTAACATTAGGGTTCACTCTTGTGTTGTTCATTCTACAACCAAATGCATAATACCCTTGTGTCATCATTATAATACCATATAGAATAGTTTCACTGCCTTCAAAATCCCATGTGCTCTACTGTATTAATCCCTCTCCTCTTCCTCCTGTGCTTCCCAAATCCCTTTATATCATTGATGTATAGTTTTGCCTCTTCCAAAATGTCATATAGTCGAAACGATACATTACATAGCCTTTTCACATTGGCTTCTTTCACTTAGCAATACGCATTCGTGTGCAGGTTGTGTAGACATAAGTTTTCAACTCATAGGGTAAATACCAAGGCGTGTGGTTGCCTGATGTATGGGAAGAATAAGTTTAACTTTGTAAAAACACTACCAAATTTTCTCCCAAAGTAGCTGGGCCATTTTGCTTTCCCACTAGCAGTGAATGAGAGTACCTGTTACTCCGCATCTTTACTAGCATTTGGTATCATCAGTATTTTAGATTTTAGTTATTCTAATACGGGTCTCCTTATCGCTTGAATTTGTGTTTCTCTGATGTGTTACGCTGCATTTGCATCACTATAAAGAAATATCCGAAGCTGGCAATTTATAAAGAAAAGAGGTTTAATTGGCTCATGGTTCTACATGCTGCACAGTAAGCATGGCACTTGTACCTGCCCGTTAGGGCCTCAGGAAGTTTACAGTCATGGGGAAAGAGAAGGAGGAACAGGGGCATCACATGGTGAGAGTGGGAGCAGAAGAGTGGGGAGGTGCCACACTCTTTAAACAACCAGATCTCCCGTCAACAGAGTGAGAACTCACTCATTATTGTGAGGACAGCACCAAGCCATTCATGAAGGATCCCCCCCATGACCCAAACACCCCCCACCAGGCCCCACCATCAGCATTAGGGATTACAGAGATTACATTTCAACATGAGATTTGGAGAGGACAAGCATCCAAGCTATATCATCTAATAGCATATGATGTTGAGCATATTTTCCTATGCTTGCTTTTAAGCTGTATATCTTCTTTGGTGAGGTGTCTGTTCAGATGGTTTGTCAATTTAATTGGGCTGTTTTTTTTTTATTGTGAATTTTTAAAGAGTTCTTTGCATATTTTGGATACACGTCCTTTACCAATAGTGTTTTGCAAATATTTTCTCCTAGTCTGTGACTTATCTTTTCATCGTCTTAACAGTATCTTTCACAGATGAGAAGATTCTAATTTTTTTTTTTTTTTTTTTTTTTGAGATGGAGTCTCGCTGTGTTGCCAGGCTGGAGTACAGTGGCGCGATCTTGGCTCACTGCAACCTCCGCCTCCTGGATTCAAGCGATTCTCCTGCCTCAGCCTCCTGAGTAGTTGGGACTACAGGCGCGTGTCACCACGCCCAGGTAATTTTTGTATTTTTAGTAGAGACGGGCTTTTGCCATGTTGGCCAGGAAGATCTCAATCTCCTGACCTTGTGATCTGCCCACCTTGGCCTCCCAAAATGCTGGGATTACAGGCGTGAGCCACCGCACCCAGCCCAGAAGATTCTAATTTTAATGAAGTCCCACTTACCACTTATTTTTTTTTGTGGATCATGTTTTTAGCATCATATCTTAAAACTCATTACCAAAACCAAGGTCATCTAGATTTTTCCTCATGTCATCTTTTACATGTTTTATAGTTTTGTGTTTTACATTTAGATCTATGATTTATTTTTTTTTGAACTAACTTCTGTGAAAAGTGTAATGTCAGTGTCTAGATTCTTTCCTTTTCTTTTTCATAAGGAACTCCAGTTCCAGCACCATTTGTTAAAAAGACTGTCTTTTCCCTTTCTCCATTGAATTGGTTTTGATCTATCTATTCTTTCACCAATGCCACACTATTTTGATTATTGTAGCTTTATAGAAAGACTTGAAGTCAAGAAGAGTCCGACTTCTTTGTTCTTCTTCAATATTGTTTCGACTATTGCATCTTTTTGCCTTTTCGTGTAAACCTTAGAATCAGTTTGCAGATGTCCACAAAGTAGCTTTCTAGGATTGCATTGAATCTATGGATCAAATTGGAATGAACTGACACATAACAAGATTGAGTTTTCTTATCCATTAGCATAGTTTGTCTTTCCATTAATTTAGATCTCCTTTGATTTATTTCATCAGAGATTTGTAGTTTTTCTCACATACCTTTTTTACTTCTTTTGTTAGCATAATACATATTTCTCCCTCTCTCTCTTTTGGTAATAATATTAATGGTGTTGTATTTTGATTTCAAATTCCAATTGTTCATGGCTGGTATATAGGAAAGGAATTTACTTTCAGGTATTAAGCTTGTATCCTGCAACCTTGCTATAATCTAGAACTAATTAGTTCTAGATTTGTTTGTTTGTTTGTTTTGTCAGTTCCTCGGGATTTTCTACATAGACAATCATGTCATCTGTGAACAAAGACAATTTTATTTTCTCCTTCGCAATTCATGTACTTTTTATTTCCTTTTTTGTCTTACTGTCTACAGTGTATTTTCAAAGCAATATATAACTACAAATATGATTACAGATTACAAGGTGCATCCTTTAAGCCAAGGTCTATAGTATTTTAATTATCAGTTTTAAATGCAATTTCTAAACACTAGGTAAAGTTCTTAAAAACAGGGAATTTCTTTCTATGTATTTCCATAGTCTATCACAGAGTCTGTACATGGTAAGCATTCAATGAGTATGTAGTGGGAGTGAATGTACGACATAATTTTGAAACTTAACATCTATGTCTGGGGTTTAAGCAGAAAATAGAATTCACATCAGATGCTTCAAATGAAGAGACTTTAACACAGTGGACTCTCAACCATGACTGTCATTAGAATCAAAATCCCCCGTCTGAGAATGAGACATGGGCTTCTCGGTCATTCCAATGGCCAGGAGTAGTTAAAAATCAGTAATAAAAGGGCTACTTGTAGATGCGTAGACAAGATTAAGAAAGTCAAAAAGCGATGTTGAGGCACTTGCTTTATAAATGAAGAAACTGAAGCTGAGTGAGGAAAAGTAACTAGCTGAAAGTCATAAAGGTAGTTCATGGCTGAGATGGGCTTCAAGCCCAGGGATGTCTAATTCTATACTCCATGCTGCCTTCCAAATGAGTTTTTCTCTGGAACAAAATGTAATATTTGACCAAGCCCGAAGTAAAAAAACACTTTCAAAGTAAGCACAAGATGCTCCTTTACTTAAAACCACATCAAATAGATTAAGATCAAAGTTTCCCTTGTGTTCTCAAAAGAATTAGCGCCTGAAATAAAACCCATCCAGTTTTTGTGACTAATATAAGACATGTGATGCTGTCTCCTTTTCTCTCCATCTTGCAATAAAATCATGTCTGGATTTTTCTGGAAAGAGAATGAGAAACCAGAATGACAGATATTATATCTGCTAATGTGTGGTCTAGGAGACAGGACCCCTGGCGGGGAGTGGGTTATGAGGGCAGAGAAGATGTTGACCTCTGATTAGAGCAAATGCCCAGACCTGGATTTCAAAAGCTCTTTCCCTTCCAGTGTTGCCATGCATAGCATCCTAGCTTTACCTCTGAACTAAGAACTTCATGCAAATATATTTTCAGTTCATCTGCCACTTATTGTTGACTAGATTATAAATCACTTAAAGCTTCTGAGACCAGCAGGTACCTCTTAAAATGAAGTGGTCTCCTGGTTTTGTGTAACATGCATTTGTCTTTACAATGCTTTATATTTTTTATAAATTTCTCCCTCATATAACCTAATTCACAACTCCATTCTATTTTATACATCTTGCATGTCCCTAGACTATTCATGCTGAAGCCTCTTCTCACTACAGAATGAAAGATAAAATGAAATGATTCTCAGGAAGGTGCTCAGCTTAAACTGAAGCAAGTTCAGTGGATGCCAGCGGCACCCTGATCTGAAGAAACATCTCAGGGTCTGTGGCACTTGCACGTCAAAGGAAGGTGTGAGCCCAAAGTTCTGGACCCAGCTTATAGAAATGGGATGCCAGTCATCAAATACTGTAGAAGAAAGCAGAACTGAGAGACAGAGAGATAGAAAAAAAAAAGCACTGTAGATGGTCCTCATCGAGGAGTTCTTCAGATAGTAGAATATACAGGTGAAAGAAAGAAGGAAGGAAATCAAGATCAAAGTCAAAATCTTGGTCCAGAGATCTTCAGCCTTATTCGCATTCTTATGATAGAAGATGCAGGCATCAACCAAGGAGTAGCTCTCATGGCTCTAGAAGGAAACTAACTCGAAGTCGTTCAAGGGATGGAGAGAAATCCTATGGAGTTAAGAGGTCTAGGTCAAAAAGCAGAATAAGAAGATCTAGGTCAAGGCCTTGTCTGTGTTCTCACAGTCGGAGCAGTGAAAGGTCCAGCCACAGAAGAATGCATAGTTGGTCTCGGGATAAAGAACAACGTAAAGTCAGAGATAAAGAGAAAAGGGGAAGGATTAAGGGAAGGACAAGGATTACATAACATCAAATCTGGAATCTGGAAACATCAAAGCTGGATTAAACCATCTGCCACCAGCTGAAGAGGCCAAAGCCAGAATACAGCTGGTTCTTGAAGCTGCTGCAAAAGCTGATGAAGCATTGAAATCCAAAGAAAGAAATGAGGAAGAAGCAAAGAGAAGAAAGGAGGAAGACCACGCCACCCTGGTAGAACAAGTGAAAAAAGTGAAAGAAATGGAAGCTGTTGAAAGTGATTCCTTTGTTCAGCAGACATTCAGATCAATTAAGAAGTCAAAAAGTTAGTGGAATCTGGTGAAGCGAAACGTGCAACTTCAACATCAGGACCAACATTAGCAGGTGTTGATCCACCCAGTACTGAAAACGAAATACAACTGAGCAGCATCCCTACTTCTATCAAATACCAAGATGACAATTCCCTGGCCCATCCAAATTTATTTATAGAGAAAGCTGGTGCTGAGCAAAAATGATTCAGAGGCTAATTGCTCTCTGACAGGAAAGACTAATGGGCAGTCCTGTGGCCTAAGTAATATACATATGGTTGGATTGGATGGCCAGCAGAAACATTGGAAATGTAGGTTTTTAAATACCAATATTAACTTTTTGCCCTTAAAAAGAATTCAGCTGATTATATAAAAAGGTAATCTCATTTCATTCTTCTTTCATGTAGGCTTGAATATTTGTTGATTTGAATTAACATGCTTGTTATTAAACTGTATATTTTAAACTGTAATATTGTGAAAATTAAAACAAAATTTAAGAATTCATGAAAATGTTACACTGTTAATAAAGCTAATTACAGATTTTTAAAAAAGATTATCTGGGTGTGGCGCGTGCTCTGCAGTAGACTGCAGTTTCCAGAGCTCCCTATTAATGCCTAACAGACCCAGCTTGTCTATCTGGATGCCAAAGGCATATGTGTATGTATCTTTTGTCCCGCTTCAGCTAATTCCCTAGTATTGACTATGAAAGTCAGCAGATGTGTGTGTTTGGGGTTATGTTGTTTCGTTTTATTTTGCCATGCAGAATATGTATTTTAAAATGAGTTTGAATACATCTGACAGTGGACTAATATCCAGAATTTACAAGAAATTCAAACAACTCTACAAAAATACCTCTAAAGAATCCCATTAAAAAGTGGAAGAAGGACATGAATAGTGAGTTTTCAAATAAGCCATACAAATTGCCCACGGGCATTTGAAAAAAAGTTCAACATCACTAATCATCAGAGAAATGCAAATTAAAACCACAACGAGATACCATCTAACACCAATCAGAATGACTATTAAAATGACAAAAAATAACAGATGTTGGCAAGATGTAGAGAAAGAGAACCCTTATAACACTGTTAGTGCAACTGTAAATTAGTACAACCTCTGTGGAAGACAGAACAGAGATTTCCCAAAGAAACAAAAATAGAACTACTACATGATCCAGCAATCCCACTCCTGGGTATCTACCCAAAAAGAAAGAAAGAATTATATTAAAAAGATAACACGGCCAGGTGCGGTGGCTCACGCCTGTCATCCCAGCACTTTGGGAGGCCAAGGCGGATGGATCACAAGGTCAGGAGATCGAGACCATCCTGGCTAACACGGTGAAACCCCGTCTCTACTAAAATATACAAAAAAATTAGCCAGGTGTGGTGGTGGGCGCCTGTAGTACCAGTTACTCAGGAGGCTGAGGCAGGAGAATGGCGTGAACCCAGGAGGAGGAGCTTGCAGTGAGCAGAGATTGTGCCACTGCACTCCAGCCTGTGTGACAGAGCGAGATTCCGTCTCAAAAAAAAAAAAAAAAGAAAAAGATAACACGGACTCATATGTTTATCACAGCACTATTCACAATGGCAAAGATACAGAATCAACCTAAGTATCCATCAATGGCAGATTGGATAAAGAAAAGGTGGTATTATACACACTTGAATACTACTCAGTCATAAAAAAGAATGACATCATGTCTTTTGCAGCAACAGGGATGGAACTGAGGGTCATTACCCTAAGTGAAACAAGACAAACATAGAAAGACAAATATCACATGTTCTCACTCATAAGTGGAGGCTAAATGAGGTGTACACATGGGCGTAGAGTGCAGAATAATTGACAATGGAGACTCAGAAGGGTGAGAAGGTGGGGAAGGGAATGATGAGAAATTACACAATGGATACAATGTACATTATTTGGGTGACGGATACTTTAAAATTCCTGACTTCACCAGTATGCAATGGATTTATATAACAATATTACACTTGTACCCATAAATTTATATAAATAAAAGTTTTTAATAAAATAAAAATGAATGTGAATATTTATACTTTTATGACCATAGATTTGTTTTTGCTTTTTCTTGTCTGTCATTCTTCTCACTTGTTTCTCTAGATTATTATGATATTTAAACATTATATTCATAAATAAAATTCATGTGTGACATATTACATTACATGGGAATTTCCAAAATGTACCCAAATTATTTGAATTGAGAGAGTTTAATATGTGGAAAATATCATGAAATTATATAGGACTAAAAACTACATCAGCAATATTTAAAATGTCTAATTTTGATCAATAATTGGTCTAAATCAAATGGTTTATAATTATAAAAGGAATGAATTTCACATTAAAATAATCTCTATGCTGAAAATAAGAAAAACTGATTTTTCCACCAATGACTATTTTCAGTGCCACTTACTGGTGAATAAATCAAATTAAATACCTGCCTTCCCCACCTCAAACGATGTATTAAGAACAGATATCCAGGTATTGCTCTACTTTCTATTAGGAATTTGAGTTTAAATTGAATAGAATTCAGAATACAACTTAGCAGAGAAAAGAAAACTGATGTAACAGGACTGAAGAGCTGTGTGGGGACAGAAAGAAGGAAGGAAAGAAGGAAGGAAGGAAAAGGAAGGAAGGAAGGAAGGAAGAGAGGGAGGGAGGGGCGAAGGGAGAGAGGGAGGGAAGAAAGAGGAAATACATAGTTCGAACAGTTAGAACCAAACTCTCAGAACGTTGGTATGCCAAGAGTGTCTGGGGCAGTCTCCTCCTTCTTCCATCCAGGGCCTATCATTGCAGAAAGATTTTTCTTGAGTACTGTCAGTGAAGTCTGCAGGGAAGTCACCCATCCTTTCTTCATTATTTTATTTATTTATTTTTATTTTATTTTATTTTTTATTTTTGAGACAGAGTCTTACTCTGTTACCCAGGCTGGAGTGCAGTGGGGCAATCTCTACTCACTGCAACCTCCACCACCCAGGTTCAACAATTCTCCTGCCTCAGCCTCCCGAGTAGGCGGGATTATAGGCACCCACCACCACACCCAGCTAATGTTTGTATTTTTAGTAGAGATAGGGTTTCACCATGTTGGCCAGGCTGGTCTCAAACTCCTGACCTCAAGTGATCCTCCTGCCTCAGCCTCCCAAAATGCTGGGATTACAAGCATAAGCCACTGCACCTGGACCTTTCTTTGTTACTAATTCTTGTCAGTACCTCCTATCTGCTAAGCTTGGGAGCGTTTCCTAACGTCTAGCTTACATCCTTACTCTTTCAATTCAGGTTGGTTATCACCTTGTGCAAATGAAAATGCTCTCCTGGATTAGATGTCTAATTCATAGTGCCCTACCCCTCCCATCCTCTCTGCACACATCTCCAGCAGCGATCCTCAGGCAGGCAGGACCCAACTGTGTACACTGTACTTGGCCTCCACTGCAGGGTGTAGACCAGACTTCTCTCCCAGGGCTTGAGAACACTGCGGGAAGCTCTCTGGCACCCATGGAACGTGAGGGTGTTACCATCTTACAGGTCATTGGGAAACAGGAGCTGATGGAAACACCAAGATTCCACAGACAGTGGCACTAGGTGCCTGAAACGAGTCACTTGAGAATTCACCCTGTATTACCTTCCCATCCTTTCCTGTTGCAGTCCTCCATTTCTGTTCTCTGGAATTACCTGCATTCCTTTGGCTCAGCCCTTGCTTTTCAGGGGAACCCAACCCAATATGCTCAGCATCAGCACATATTCTTTATCTCAGCTCTTGAAGGCTAGTTATTTAACGTTGTTTGATTTGTGATAAATTAACTCGCCTTTTCACTCCGGAGAGAAAGCTTGTCCTGATAAAATGCTGAGATTACAGGTGTGTGATTGTGCTTTTCTGGTGTCATGTCTAATAATTATTCATCAAGTCCTAGGACCTGAAGAATTTCTCATTAAATTTCATATTTTTACATTGAGATATGTGATCTTTTTTTTTTTTTTTTTTCTTTGAGATGGAGTCTCGCTCTGTCGCCCAGGCTGGAGTGCAGTGGTGCCATCTCGGCTCACTGCAAGCTCCGCCTCCCGGGTTCACGCCATTCTCCTGCCTCAGCCTCCCGAGTAGCTGGGACTACAGGCATCTGCCACCATGCCCGGTTAATTTTTTTGTATTTTTAGCAGAGACTGGGTTTCACCTTGTTAGCCAGGGTGGTCTCGATCTCCTGACCTCGTGATCCTCCCGCCTCAGCCTCCCGAAGTGCTGGGATTACAGGCATGAGCCACCGCGCCCGGCTGATCCTTTTTTTTTTTAATAAAGACATGAGGTTAGATTGAGGTTATTGTTTTGTCTATGGTATCTAACTGCTCCAGAACCACTGTACTATTGAACTGATATTGCACTTTTTTCAAAAGTCAGTTGGTTGTACTTGTATGGAACTATTTCTGAGTTCTCAATTCTGTTTTATTGAACTGTCTGTCCCCCTGCCAATACCACACTGTCTTGATTTCTGTAGCTATGTAAAAAGTTAAAAAATTGGGTAGAATAATTCCTCCCACTTTATTCTTCTATTTCAGACTTGTTTTGTTGAGCTGTATTATAGAAAAAACTATTCGTGACACCTGTTAAAAAATAGTAAGACAAACGTTATTCAGAGGGATTATTGCAATAGATATAGAGATTACTGCAATAGGGTCTTGCAGTAATCTCCAGTTTCCATATATTCAGGTTTCCCTCTGAATAGAAATTTTATAGCCACAGAGCAGGGTGGAGGGGTGGTAGTGTATGGAAAATTACTAATAGGAGGGAATCTGGCTAAACTGACCTCACAGAATTCTTGCTGAAGCCATGCCAGAGTGATCAGATATCACCTGGGGATGGTAGACAATAAGAAAACCAATTAGATACCAATGGTGGTCAGATATGAAGATGGAGGAAGACTCCATCTCAAAAAAAAAAAAAAAGATCACATCTCAATGTAAAAATATGAAATTTAATGAGAAATTCTTCAGGTCCTAGGACTTGATGAATAATTATTAGACATGACACCAGAAAAGCACAATCAATTCTAAGAATTTATTAATTGGATGTTATCAAAATTTAAAACTTTTGCCCTGCATAAGAGCCTGTTAATAAAAAGACAGGGTAAAAACTGGAAGAAAAGTGCAAACCACACCTGATAAACCGTATCTGACAAGGAGCTCATATCTAGAATATTGTTTAAAGTTTTCAAAAGTCAACAACGACAACAAGAAAAAACAAGCCAATTAGAAAATGGGCTAAAGGCATGAACCGATATTTCACTGAACAGGATATATTGATGGAAAATGAGAAAATAAAATAACTTTCATCAGAGGAATGCCAGTCCTTTTAAATTATCAAGCCCAGAGAGACATTAAAATAAGACAGCAGGCCCGGCACGGTGGCTCACGCCTGTAATCCCAGCACTTTGGGAGGCCAAGGCGGGCGGATCACAAGGTCAGGAGAACAAGACCATCCTGGCCAACACGGTGAAACCCAGTCTCTACCAAAAATACAAAAAATTAGCCGGGCGTGGTAGCACATGCCTGTAGTCCCAGCTACTCGGGAGGCTGAGGCAGGAGAATGGCATGAACCCAGGAGGCACAGGTTGCCGTGAGCCAAGAGCGTGCCACTGCACTCCAGCCTGGGCAACAGAGTGAGACTCCATCTCAAAAAGAAAGGAAAACTGCAGGTCCTGCACATGTACCCCGGAACTTAAAATAAAATTACATAAGTACATAAATAGAATTTTTAAAAAATCTTAATTGTATGTGGGTAGGTCCCTTTGATTGAAAGTGAGATAGAAGGATGGGCGCAGTGGCTCATGCCTGTAATCCCAGCACTTTGGGAGGCAGAGGCGGGCAGATCACAAGGTCCGGAGATCGAGGCCATCCTGGCTAACACGGTGAAACCCCGTCTCTACTAAAAATACAAAAAGAAATTAGCAGGGCGTGGTGGTGGTGGGCGCCTGTAGTCCCAGCTACTCAGGAGGCTGAGACAGGAGAATGGCTGGAACCCGGGAGGCGGAGTTTGCAGTGAGCCAAGATCACGCCACTGCACTCCAGCCTGGGCGACAGAGAGGGACTCCGTCTCAAAAAAATAAAAAAAATAAAAAAAAAGGAAAGTGAGATAGAAATAATTTTTTAAAACTTACTATTCAAAATTTGCAAAACTAAATAAGAGTAAAAGAAATTTACATTTTGTCCCTGGATTCACAGAAGACAAAAACATTGTGTGGGAAAGCTGGAGTTGAGGACGAACGAGATTCTGAAAATAAAAATCCCTGGTACATAGCCAAAATTTCAGAGTCAACTACAGATTTTCAAAGGCTATGAAATAGGTAACCTCAAGCCACCGACTCCAACAGATAAAAGGAACCAGGTAATATCTGTGTTCCAGGGAGAAAGAATAGAAAACTGGCTGAGTTCTATCACTGACAAAACTTAGTGCGAAGGAGGGATCTGGAAGGCGGGAGGGTGAAGGGATCCCCGGCTTGGAGGGTGGGGAGGGGCTGTGCTTCGGCCTCCCCCTCCTACTGCCCCTCCCCAACAAAGGAGCCCTTTGTGATGTGAAGCCCCAGCTCTGTGATGCGGGCCTGGGCCCCAGTCCCTAGTCTCCACGAGGATGCCCAGAGCTCAGTTGCTAGAAAGCAATGCGCCTATTCACATGGAGAATCTTCCCTTTCCTCTAAAATTACTTAGTGCCTCATCACTAAACACCCCCAGCTCCACACCATGGGTGTTGGATATCTTCCTCACCTTGGTGTTTGCCCTGGGGTTCTTCTTCCTATTACTCCCCTACTTCTCTTACCTCCGTTGTGACAACCCACCCTCACCATCGCCTAGGAAGAGAAAGGTAAGGAGCTCTCAGTCCAGACCCACAGAGCTTGATTCTCTTCTTTCTTTTTATTATTAGTTCCACCTTTCCAAATCCAGTGGAGACTTCTGCGATGGGAAGTCTCAGGAGAGACCAGAACAGCATGCTTCCAGGGAGAGGCAGGGCAGCCAGGGGTTGGTAGGGGTAGATCGTGTACTGGGATTTCCATCCCAAGCTCTCAGTCCATCTGTGGGGGAGCGCAGGAGGCATGAAGGCAAAATCAAACCCGTGGGCTCAGCGGCCAGGACCGGTCATGAGACGGGGGAGGTCTCTGGTCATGAGACGGGGGAGGTCTCTGGTCATGAGATGGGAGGTCTCTGTCCGAGGCCAGGCCCTGAGCCCTGGCTCATCAGTCCCTTCCTGGGGCAGGTGGCTCGGGACCCAGCCTCTTCTGTGTGGGGTGATATGGGGCCTGTGCTGGGCCCCCGAGGGCCTCCCACCGGGGCCTGGCATCTCCTCTGGTCTCCTGGCAAGCAGAATGCTACCTGACAGCTCAGTGGTGCCTGCGGGCCTGAGCCTGGGTGTTCCTGGAGCAGAGGAACAGGGACTGATGGCGTCCATGGTGGACCTCATATTGAAAATCCCTGTGTGTGTGCGTGTGTGTTTGTGTGTTATTTTTATTTATTTTGTTTTTTGTGCAGGCTGCAGTGAAATGGAGCGATACCGGCTCAGTGCCACCTTTGCTTCCAGAGTTCAAGCTATTCTCCTGTCTTAGCGTCCTGAGTAGCTGGGGATTACAGGCGCCCGCCACCACGCCTGGCTAATTTTTGTATTTTTAGTAGAGATGGGGTTTCACCATGGCCAGGCTGGTCTCAAACTCTTGACTTCAGGTGATCCACCTGCCTCAGCCTCCCAAAGTGCTGGGATTACAGGCATGAGCCACCGCGCCCGGCTGATCCTTTTTTTTTTTAATAAAGACATGAGGTTAGATTGAGGTTATTGTTTTGTCTATGGTATCTAACTGCTCCAGAACCACTGTACTATTGAACCGATATTGCACTTTTTTCAAAAGTCAGTTGGTTGTACTTGTATGGAACTATTTCTGAGTTCTCAATTCTGTTTTATTGAACTGTCTGTCCCCCTGCCAATACCACACTGTCTTGATTTCTGTAGCTATGTAAAAAGTTAAAAAATTGGGTAGAATAATTCCTCCCACTTTATTCTTCTATTTCAGACTTGTTTTGTTGAGCTGTATTATAGAAAAAACTATTCGTGACACCTGTTAAAAAATAGTAAGACAAACGTTATTCAGAGGGATTATTGCAATAGATATAGAGATTACTGCAATAGGGTCTTGCAGTAATCTCCAGTTTCCATATATTCAGGTTTCCCTCTGAATAGAAATTTTATAGCCACAGAGCAGGGTGGAGGGGTGGTAGTGTATGGAAAATTACTAATAGGAGGGAATCTGGCTAAACTGACCTCACAGAATTCTTGCTGAAGCCATGCCAGAGTGATCAGATATCACCTGGGGATGGTAGACAATAAGAAAACCAATTAGATACCAATGGTGGTCAGATATGAAGATGGAGGAAGACTCCATCTCAAAAAAAAAAAAAAGATCACATCTCAATGTAAAAATATGAAATTTAATGAGAAATTCTTCAGGTCCTAGGACTTGATGAATAATTATTAGACATGAACCAGAAAAGCACAATCAATTCTAAGAATTTATTAATTGGATGTTATCAAAATTTAAAACTTTTGCCCTGCATAAGAGCCTGTTAATAAAGACAGGGTAAAAACTGGAAGAAAAGTGCAAACCACACCTGATAAACCATATCTGACAAGGAGCTCATATCTAGAATATTGTTTAAAGTTTTCAAAAGTCAACAACGACAACAAGAAAAAACAAGCCAATTAGAAAATGGGCTAAAGGCACGAACCGATATTTCACTGAACAGGATAGATTGATGGAAAATGAGAAAATAAAATAACTTTTATCAGAGGAATGCCAGTCCTTTTAAATTATCAAGCCCAGAGAGACATTAAAATAAGACAGCAGGCCCGGCACGGTGGCTCACGCCTGTAATCCCAGCACTTTGGGAGGCCAAGGCGGGCGGATCACAAGGTCAGGAGAACAAGACCATCCTGGCCAACACGGTGAAACCCAGTCTCTACCAAAAATACAAAAAATTAGCCGGGCGTGGTAGCACATGCCTGTAGTCCCAGCTACTCGGGAGGCTGAGGCAGGAGAATGGCATGAACCCAGGAGGCACAGGTTGCAGTGAGCCAAGAGCGTGCCACTGCACTCCAGCCTGGGCAACAGAGTGAGACTCCATCTCAAAAAGAAAGGAAAACTGCAGGTCCTGCACATGTACCCCGGAACTTAAAATAAAATTACATAAGTACATAAATAGAATTTTAAAAAAATCTTAATTGTATGTGGGTAGGTCCCTTTGATTCAAAGTGAGATAGAAGGATGGGCGCAGTGGCTCATGCCTGTAATCCCAGCACTTTGGGAGGCAGAGGCGGGCAGATCACAAGGTCCGGAGATCGAGGCCATCCTGGCTAACACGGTGAAACCCCGTCTCTACTAAAAATACAAAAAGAAATTAGCAGGGCGTGGTGGTGGTGGGCGCCTGTAGTCCCAGCTACTCAGGAGGCTGAGACAGGAGAATGGCTGGAACCCGGGAGGCGGAGCTTGCAGTGAGCCAAGATCACGCCACTGCACTCCAGCCTGAGCGACAGAGAGGGACTCCGTCTCAAAAAAATAAAAAAAATAAAAAAAAAGGAAAGTGAGATAGAAATAATTTTTTAAAACTTACTATTCAAAATTTGCAAAACTAAATAAGAGTAAAAGAAATTTACATTTTGTCCCTGGATTCACAGAAGACAAAAACATTGTGTGGGAAAGCCGGAGTTGAGGACGAACGAGATTCTGAAAATAAAAATCCCTGGTACATAGCCAAAATTTCAGAGTCAACTACAGATTTTCAAAGGCTATGAAATAGGTAACCTCAAGCCACCGACTCCAATAGATAAAAGGAACCAGGTAATATCTGTGTTCCAGGGAGAAAGAATAGAAAACTGGCTGAGTTCTATCACTGACAAAACTTAGTGCGAAGGAAGGATCTGGAAGGCGGGAGGGTGAAGGGATCCCCGGCTTGGAGGGTGGGGAGGGGCTGTGCTTCGGCCTCCCCCTCCTACTGCCCCTCCCCAACAAAGGAGCCCTTTGTGATGTGAAGCCCCAGCTCTGTGATGCGGGCCTGGGCCCCAGTCCCTAGTCTCCACGAGGATGCCCAGAGCTCAGTTGCTAGAAAGCAATGCGCCTATTCACATGGAGAATCTTCCCTTTCCTCTAAAATTACTTAGTGCCTCATCACTAAACACCCCCAGCTCCACACCATGGGTGTTGGATATCTTCCTCACCTTGGTGTTTGCCCTGGGGTTCTTCTTCCTATTACTCCCCTACTTCTCTTACCTCCGTTGTGACAACCCACCCTCACCATCGCCTAAGAAGAGAAAGGTAAGGAGCTCTCAGTCCAGACCCACAGAGCTTGATTCTCTTCTTTCTTTTTATTATTAGTTCCACCTTTCCAAATCCAGTGGAGACTTCTGCGATGGGAAGTCTCAGGAGAGACCAGAACAGCATGCTTCCAGGGAGAGGCAGGGCAGCCAGGGGTTGGTAGGGGTAGATCGTGTACTGGGATTTCCATCCCAAGCTCTCAGTCCATCTGTGGGGGAGCGCAGGAGGCATGAAGGCAAAATCAAACCCGTGGGCTCAGCGGCCAGGACCGGTCATGAGACGGGGGAGGTCTCTGGTCATGAGACGGGGGAGGTCTCTGTCCGAGGCCAGGCCCTGAGCCCTGGCTCATCAGTCCCTTCCTGGGGCAGGTGGCTCGGGACCCAGCCTCTTCTGTGTGGGGTGATATGGGGCCTGTGCTGGGCCCCCGAGGGCCTCCCACCGGGGCCTGGCATCTCCTCTGGTCTCCTGGCAAGCAGAATGCTACCTGACAGCTCAGTGGTGCCTGCGGGCCTGAGCCTGGGTGTTCCTGGAGCAGAGGAACAGGGACTGATGGCGTCCATGGTGGACCTCATATTGAAAATCCCTGTGTGTGTGCGTGTGTGTTTGTGTGTTATTTTTATTTATTTTGTTTTTTGTGCAGGCTGCAGTGAAATGGAGCGATACCGGCTCAGTGCCACCTTTGCTTCCAGAGTTCAAGCTATTCTCCTGTCTTAGCGTCCTGAGTAGCTGGGGATTACAGGCGCCCGCCACCACGCCTGGCTAATTTTTGTATTTTTAGTAGAGATGGGGTTTCACCATGGCTAGGCTGGTCTCAAACTCTTGACCTCAGGTGATCCACCTGCCTCAGCCTCCCAAAGTGCTGGGATTATAGGCGTGAGCCACCGCACCGTGAGCCACTGCACCCGACCCCCTCTTCCTGTTTTTCTAAGAAAAGCAGTTTATCATCCATTTAAACATGAGTGGGAGGGGAGGAAGCACACAGAGCTCCCTGAGCAAGACAGACAGAGCCATGCGGTTCATGAGTGCAGCGTGCTGCGGCTGGGCTGGGGGCAGAGAGGGAGAGCCGGTCCTAGCTCCTCGCCATTTCTTGTCTCCCAGCGTCATCTTGTCTCCCAGCGTCCAGCAGGGCGGAGGGGGAGGCCCAGAGGCAGGATGAAAAACCACAGTCTGAGAGGTAAGGCTCTGCCAGGGCACACTAGAGTTAATTTGATCTCATCTGTCCGGGAGGGAACTGACTCTGAAGAAGTCAGTTGAAAAAACCTGAGGTGGGGGCTCCTAGGAAGGAAATCAGAACCCTGGGTCCTTCTCAGATTCTGTGCCGCCGGAATGAAGCCATGGTGGGCCAGGGACTGAGCGTTACCCAGCAGGGGGCAGTGTGTGTGTCCTGGGGAGACCAATGCCTGCCTGGATGCGGAGGGGGGTGAGGGGCCTCCCGCTCCCTGGGAACAGCTGTTCAACTCTGCTAAGGCTGATTCCTCTCTGAGACCACCCCAGTCCTTTCTCCTCACAGGGCAGTTGTGAGGACCGTGGGGGTGGAGGGTCTGTGTGTGGAAGCCCTTTGTGAATGACAAAGCCCTGTCCTCTATGCCTTGCTATTACCGTCGGGGCCATGTGGCTTTGGACACAGATGGGTGGGTTCCAGGGTCTAATTCCCCATGGTCTTCCCTAAAGAAACATACACTCAGCCTCCTGTGAGATCCCAAGCCCCTCCCTCACTGCCCTAACCCGGTCTGATTTCCAGCTTGTAGAGAGTGCCCGAGAGGCCTGGAGGAGACTTGGGACCTGCTTTCACAACTGCAGAGGTGAGGCACTTCCCCTTCCCTGCGTCCTTCCTACCAGGGCTGGGACGTGACCCCAGGGCCACAGGCAGCCTGGAGCTGACCTGGGATGGAGAGACCAGGGGGACAGAGGATGGGAGTAAAGCCCTGGGGCGAGGGGTAGCAGGAGAATTGGGTGGTCAGGGTGTGGCGTGGTGGAGGGGCTGTGGCCCAAGCGCCCACTCTGCCCTCCGAACCCATCTGCTCCTGGCTGCAGCTTGTGCCTCCTGTCTCCTGCAGCCTCCTGGGGCCACACCTTGAAAAAGGTGACTTTGGTCAGCTCTCTGGTCCAGACCCGCCAGGTGAGGTGGGCAAAAGAACACCTGATGGAGCCTCCCGGTCCTCTCATGAGCCTACGGAAGACGCTGCTCCCATTGTCTCCCCGTTAGCTTCCCCGGATCCTCGAACCAAGCATCCTCAGGATCTGGCCTCCACCCCACCACCAGGCCCAATGACCACCTCAGTCTCCTCCCTAAGTGCCTCCCAGCCACCAGAACCTTCCCTTCTCCTAGAACATCCCTCACCCGAGCCACCTGCACTTTTCCCTCACCCACCACGCACTCCTGATCCTCTGGCCTGCTCTCCGCCTCCTCCGAAAGGCTTCACTCCTCCTCCCCTGCGGGACTCCACTCTGTTAACACCATCTCACTGTGACTCAGTGGCACTTCCACTGGACACCGTCCCTCAAAGCTTGTCTCCACGTGAGGATTTGGCGGCTTCTGTCCCAGGCATCTCAGGCCTTGGCGGCTCAAACAGTCAAGTTTCTGCCCTCTCCTGGTCGCAGGAGACTACCAAAACCTGGTGCGTCTTCAACTCGTCAGTCCAGCAAGATCATCTTTCCCGCCAAAGGGACACTACAATGTCCCCACTGCTTTTCCAGGCCCAGCCCCTGTCCCATCTGGAGCCTGAGTCCCAACCCTTTATTTCATCCACACCCCAATTCTGGCCCACACCTATGGCTCAGGCCGAGGCTCAGGCCCATCTTCAATCCTCTTTCCCAGTCCTATCTCCTGCTTTTCTATCCCCGATGAAGAACACTGGAGTAGCTTGCCCTGCGTCGCAGAATAAAGTGCAAGCTCTCTCCCTACCTGAAACTCAGCACCCTGAAAGGCCTTTGTTGAAGAAACAACTAGAAGGTGGGTTGGCTTTACCCTCTAGGGTCCAAAAATCTCAGGACGTCTTTAGTGTCTCCACTCCTAACCTTCCCCAGGAAAGACTGACATCCATTCTGCCTGAGAACTTTCCAGTCAGTCCTGAACTCTGGAGACAACTGGAGCAACACATGGGGCAACGTGGAAGGATCCAAGAGTCTCTGGATCTGATGCAGCTTCAGGATGAATTGCCAGGGACAAGTCAGGCCAAGGGCAAACCCAGGCCCTGGCAGTCCTCCACGTCCACAGGTGAAAGCAGCAAGGAGGCACAGACGGTGAAGTTCCAGCTAGAGAGGGACCCATGCCCACATCTGGGGCAAATTCTGGGTGAGACCCCACAAAATCTATCCAGGGGCATGGAAAGCTTCCCAGGGAAGGTTCTGGGGGCGACCTCTGAGGAGTCGGAAAGGAACCTGAGGAAGCCCTTGAGGAGTGACTCAGGAAGTGATTTATTAAGACGCACAGAGAGGAATCATATAGAAAACATCCTGAAAGCCCACATGAGCAGAAAGTTGGGCCAGACCAACGAGGGCTTGATCCCCGTGAGTGTGCGTCGATCCTGGCTTGCTGTCAACCAGGCTTTTCCCGTCTCCAACACCCACGTGAAAACCAGCAATCTAGCAGCCCCGAAAAGCAGGAAAGCCTGTGTGAACACAGCCCAGGTGCTTTCCTTCCTTGAGCCGTGTACTCAGCAGGTGCTGGGAGCCCATATTGTGAGGTTTTGGGCCAAACACAGGTGGGGTCTACCCCTCAGGGTCCTCAAGCCCATTCAGTGCTTTCAACTGGAAAAGGTTTCATCCTTGTCCCTTATACAGCTTGCTGGTCCCTCCTCAGACACCTGCGAATCTGGGGCTGGCTCAAAAGTTGAGGTGGCCACGTTCCTTGGAGAGCCACCAATGGCAAGTCTGAGAAAGCAGGTGCTGACCAAACCATCTGTTCACATGCCAGAGAGGCTTCAGGCCTCCTCACCTGCATGTAAGCAGTTCCAGAGGGCCCCGCGAGGGATCCCATCTTCGAATGATCATGGGTCCTTGAAGGCTCCTACAGCTGGACAGGAGGGCAGGTGGCCATCTAAGCCCCTCACATACAGCCTCACAGGCAGCACCCAGCAGAGCAGGAGCTTAGGAGCCCAATCTTCAAGGGCTGGAGAGACCAGGGAGGCAGTGCCACAACCCACAGTCCCCTTGGGAACCTGTATGAGAGCAAACCTCCAAGCCACAAGTGAGGATGTGCGTGGTTTCAAGGCTCCAGGCGCCAGCAAAAGCTCTCTACTCCCTAGAATGTCTGTCTCCCAAGACCCAAGAAAGCTGTGTCTCATGGAGGAGGCTGTTAGTGAATTTGAGCCTGGAAAGGCCACGAAGTCAGAGACCCAGCCTCAAGTTTCTGCCACTGTTGTGCTCCTTCCAGATGGGCAAGCATCTGTTGTGCCCCATGCTTCAGAGAATTTGGCTTCTCAAGTGCCCCAGGGCCATCTCCAGAGCATGCCTACTGGGAACATGCAGGCTTCCCAGGAGCTATGTGACCTCATGTCAGCCAGAAGGAGTAACATGGGGCACAAGGAGCCCAGGAACCCAAACTGTCAAGGCTCATGCAAGAGCCAAAGCCCAATGTTTCCCCCTACTCACAAGAGGGAGAACTCTAGGAAGCCCAACTTAGAAAAACATGAAGAAATGTTTCAAGGATTGAGGACTCCTCAACTTACCCCAGGCAGGAAAACAGAAGACACCCGTCAGAATGAAGGCGTCCAGCTACTGCCATCAAAGAAACAGCCTCCTTCAATAAGCCACTTTGGAGAAAACATCAAGCAATTTTTTCAGACGATTTTTTCAAAGAAAGAAAGGAAGCCAGCACCAGTCACTGCTGAGAGCCAAAAAACAGTAAAAAACAGATCATGCGTGTACGGCAGCAGTGCTGAAGCTGAGAGGCTCATGACAGCAGTTGGACAGATACTGGAGGAGAACATGTCACTTTGCCATGCGCGCCATGCCTCGAAGGTAAATCAGCAAAGACAGCAGTTTCAAGCCCCAGTCTGTGGGTTTCCCTGCAACCACAGACACCCGTTCTACTCAGAACACAGCAGAATGCTGAGCTATGCAGCCAGCAGTCAACAAGCCACTCTCAAGAACCAGAGTCGTCCCAACAGAGACAGACAAATCAGAGATCAGTAGCCCTTGAAAAGTGTCCGGTGCAACAATGAGCAATGGGGCCTGCGACATCCCCAACTCTTGCTCCCCAAGAAAGCTGTATCCCCAGTCAGTCCCCCTCAGCACCGGCCGAAGACACCCAGTGCCTCCAGCCACCATCACCACTGACCAAGGCACTGTCTTTTTCAGGGAGGTATCTAATTTGGTCAGTCACAAATTCCTTTTTAGCCTTCCCTAGAGAAAAACAAGTCACCAAGAAAAAATTCACTCTATGTAGAGGAAAAGTATTTTCTCTCATGTTAGTACACGCAGAACATTTAATATTCCACAATATATACGGTTTTTTATTCATAAGAGGGTGATGGCTTTTATTTGTGCTGTGCTTGGTGTGGGCTTGGTTTCTAGAAGCAACAGGACATGGAGGGAGGCTGACAGCGGTGCTGTAAGCCCACCTTCATCCTGAGTTCCTTCACTGAACCTTATGTTTCCGTAATACCATCTTTACACAAACAACAAAAAATTCTAAAAACAAGATGAGAAAAACCTATGAAGATCCCACTCTGAAATAAGGTTCAACCCATCTTTCCACTACTTACTGTCCACCTCAAACTTTATGCAACTATAGGGAGAAGGTTTGCAGAGATGTCACAGGGCTGAACATCTCCATGCAGGCTCCAGGAAGTGCCACAGCCGAATAACTTCATGTGTCACAAAATAGTGGAAGTTTGGGTGGGAGAGTGCTGGACCCTGAGTTCAGAAGTGGGAGAAGTCTTGACCCTGGGTATCCTGGTGAAGAATAGATAATGTCTGCCCTGGAAAGCCCCTTCTCTCCCTGACAAAGGCTGGGATGGAGATGGGCCCTCTTAGCTCAGCCAACATGTGAAGCACAGAGTCCCCATCCCACTGCCTCTCCCTTTCTCGCACTCTGGAGTGGTGGTGGGGATAGACCTTCCAGCTCTGTGCATGTGTAGGTGGGGGGCGGGGGGCTGGGGGGACGGCCTTCATGGAGGCTGCTGAGGGCGGTGAACTCCCCTGCCCCAGATGAGTGAATGACCCTGCTAGGAAGTCAGAGCCTGCAAGGGCCGTGGGGGTATCAGGTGGAGTGGGCTCCAGGTACACCCTCAGTGCACTGGGCAGGTCTCAGGCCAGGCTCTCTGGACCCCACCTGGGTGATGTGGTCACTCCCTGGGGGACTGCTGTCAGGCCCCGGCCACCCACCCTGGGCAGCACCGTCCCATCGCAGGACTGGACTTTCTGAGTCCTGAGACAGGACGGTGCTGCCCAGGCCTGACAGACTGGGAGGAACTGTTACGTCCTCCATCTCTAGACCAGCCTCCCACACAGCACGGACAGTCTCTTACCTTTACCTTCAGGAATGATCCTTCTCACTCTAAGGCAACCAAGGCAGAGCTGAGGACCTGTGCCAGGCTGGGAGTCAGTCCCCTCCCTAAACGGGCCTGAGGGAAGCACCATCCCTGTCCCAATCCACCACAAATTTCTGCCCAGGAGACACATAGGGAAGGGAGGACGGGGCCTCCCTGCTGGCTGACACTGGAAACGCGGGACCTGGAAGAAGAGGGAGCGCAGGGCTGGCAGGGGATGCTCCAGGTCCATGGAGATCTCGGGCTGCACCATGGGGCTGCCCCTCCTGGGCTGGAGGCTGTGCCCTCTGCAGGATCTGAGAAAGTCCAGTCCTGAGATGGGACAGCACTGCCCAGGGTGGGTGGCTGGGGCCCGACGGAAGTCCCCCAGGGAGTGACCGCATCACTCGGCCAGGGTGCAGGGAGCCTGGGCTGAGACCTGCCCAGTGCACTGAGGGTGCAACTGGAGCCCACCCCACCTGACGCCCCCACAGCACTGACAGGATCTGACCTCCCAGCATGTACCTGCCTCTCCCTGCACCCCAGCTGCCCACGCTGTCTGTTCCCTGGCTTCCTCCATCCCGTGCAGCCCATAGACTGTGACCATCTCACCGGCCACTCTGGCCCTTCCTTTGCCTTTGTCCTGTCAAAATCTCTGAGCAAGATCTCCCAGGTCCATCCAAACACCTGCTTTGTCCACTTTTGACTGGGCTTTTGGGCACCACTGGCCCATCCGAGCTGTCCATAGGGCCTGTGATAACGTGCATTGCACCTGGCATCTCCCAGCAGTGCTCAGCAGCCCCCGCACCAGGTCCCTGCTGACCAGATCCCGCACATCAGGTCCTCCCTGACCACACCCTCACTGATTAGAACCCCATGACCATGCCCCACTAACCAGGCCCTGCTGCCAGGCCCACAGTGACCAGGACCCTACTGACTGACCACGACCTTACACACCAGGGCCTCACTGACCAGGTCCTCACTGACAAGGCCTCATTGATCAGGTTCCACCGATCATGACCCCATTGCCTGGCCCCACAGATGAGGTTCTACTGACTAAGCCTCCGGGGAACAGGCTGCCACTGACCAGGCCCCTATTAAGCAGGCCCAAGGTGACCAGATACTTCTGACTATGACCCTAGTGAGTAGGCCCCACTCAATGGGCACCCACTGCTCAGATCCCTGCTGACCAGGTCACCCACAGACCAGTGCTACAAAAGCCACCACTGACCACGCTCTCTCTGAACAGGCCCCCACTGATTAGGTTCCACTGACCAGGCTGCCCTGATCAGGGCCCCACTGACAAGGGCCTCACTGATGAGGACATGGCCACCAGGTCCTGCTGACTAGGTCCCATGTGACCAGGCCTCCACTGAATAGCACCCATTGACCTGGTCACCAGTGACCCAGCTCATGCTGACAAGGCCACCACTAAGCCCCAGCTGACCAGGTCTCCACTGACAAAGTCCTGCAGCCTAGTTTTACACTGACCAGACACCAAACAAGTGGCTGCCACTAGGTCCCCACTCACCGAGACGCCCACTACTAGATCCCCCTAATGAGACCCTCTCTAAGCAGACCCCTGCTGACCATGCCCCCAATAAACAGGCCTCACTGACCAAGTCCCAACTGACTAGGTCCACTGACGAGGCCCACACTGATCAGGGCCCTCCTAACTATACCAGAAGACCAAGCGACAATGAGATATTTCATATGGCAGGAGTAGGAGCAAGACAGAGAGAGGAAGGAGGTGCTACATCCTGTTATACAACCAGATCTCAAGAGAACCCACTATCAGGAGATCAGCATCAAGAAGATTAACCATTGGTGAAGGAACCACCGCCCATACCACCACCCACTGTTGCCAGGCAGAAGCCTCCTGCAGAGGCAGAGCCTCTTGGGAAACTTCCACTATGGCAGTGCAGAAGGAAAATATGGGCTTGGAGCTCCCACACAGGAGGCCACCATCCTCCAGACCCCAGATTCATAAGCCCACCAACAGCTCGCACCCTCAGTATGGAAAGGCTACAGGCACTCCACACCAGCCCAGCCCATGGGAGCAGCCATGGGGGCTGAAGCCTGCAAAGCCACAGGTTCACTGTCCTAGTAGAGGTTTTCCACAAACCTCTGCCTCTACAGCAGACTACTCCCTCTTCCTACTACCCCCCACCCTCCCACCACCCTACTGCCAACCTACTCTCCACCCTACCCACCCCTTTTCCTTCCAACCCCAACCCCCTCTTGCCATGATTAAATCACCTCCCACCAGGTCCCACCTCCAACATTAAGAAGTACAATTCACATGAGTTTTGTAAATAAACACAGCCAAACCATATTATTCTGACCCTGATACCCCAGAATCTCATGTCCTTCTCACAGAGCAAAATACATTCATGCCTTTTCAAAAGTTTCCTTCCAAATGTCTTAACTCATTCCAGCATTAACTCAAAAGTAAAAAGTTCAACATCTCATCTGAGACAAGTCTACAGTCCCTTTTGCCTATGAGTCCCTGAATTTAAAAGGATGTTCTTTTCTTTCAGGGTACAATGATGGTAAAGGCACTGGATAAGCTTTCTCAATCGAAAGGGAAGAAATTTCCCAGGAAAAAAACACAAATAGGACCACAGGCCCAATGCAAGTCCAAAACCCAGGAGGCCAGTATCCATTCAATCTCACAGCTCCAAAATCATGAAGAAAACTCACTATCATAAGCACAGCAATAAGGAGGTGGTGTTTAATCATTTGTGAAGGATCCACCCCCGACCACCACTTTTCACCCCTCACCCCCACCATAATCCCCTCATTCTCCCTACCCCCACCTTCCAACCCCCCCTCTCCACCATGATTAAATCACCCTCCACCAGGCCCCACCTTTAACTTTATTATTCTGTCCCTGGCTCCCAAATCTCATGTCCTTCTCACATTGCAAAATACAATGATGCCTTCTCTACAGCCCCTCCAAATCTTATATCATTCCAGCATTTGTACAAATGTCCAAAGCTTAAAGTCTCATCTGACACAAGGCTACAGTCCCTTAGGTGCATGAGCCTCTGAACAATAAAGCAAGTTAACTACTTCCAAGGTACAATGCTTGTGCAGGCAATGTTACGTAAGCATTCTCAGCCGAAAGGAAGAATTCTGCCAGAAAGAACAAAACACAGGACTTACAGGCCCCATGAAACTCCAAACCCAGAAGGCTAGTCATTCAATCCTACAGTTCCGAAATCATCCTTTCTGAAACCTTGTCCCACATCCAGGGCACAGGGACGTGAGGGCTGGGCTCTGAAGGCCCTGGGCTGCTCTGCACCTTTGGTTTTGCAGGGTTTATGCCCCACGGCTGCACTCATGGGCTGGGCGGGTGTTGAGTGCCTGTAGTTTTTCCCGACTGATGGTACAAGCTATCGGTCGGTCTACGAATCTGGGGTCTGCATGATGGTGGCCTCCAGTGTGGGGGCTCCAACCCCGTATTTTCCTTCTGCACTGCCCTAGTAGAGGTTTCTTATGAGGCTCTGCCTTTTTGGGATGCTTTTTTCTGGTCACCCAGGCATTTCCATACATCTTCCAAAGTCTACAGAGAGGCTTCCAAGCCTCTAGTCTCAAGATCCGTCCACCCAGTGGCTTACCAATATGAGGAAGTTACCAAGGCTTCTAGCCTGCACTCTCTGAAGCAGTGACCCAAGCTGCATCTGTGCATTTTCAGCCATGGCTGGAGCTGGAGCTGCAGGGATGCAGGCAGCAGTGCCCTGAGGCTGCACATAGAGGGGGGTCATGGGACTGGCCCAGGAAACCATTCTTCTCTCCTAGGCCCCAGGGCCTGTGACAGGAAGGGCTGCTGCAAAGTTCTATGAAATGCCTTCAAGGCCTCTTCCCTATTGTCTTGGCTATTAGCACTGGGCTCCTTTTTATGCAAATTTCTGAAGCCTTCCTGAATTTTCTCCCTGAAAATCAGATTTTCTTTTTGACCACTTGGCCAGGCTGCAAATTTTCCAAACTTCTGAGTTCTGTTTCTTATTTAATGTAAGAGTTGGGACTTGTTTAATGGAAGTCCCATCCAGAGGTCATTTCCTCAGTCACACATCAGAGCACAGGCTGTTCAATGCAGACAGGACACCTCTTGAGCTTTGCTTCCTAGAAGTTCATTCCACCAAATATGTACTAAGTCATCACCCTCAAGTTTAAAGTTTCACAGATCTCCAGGGCAGGGTCACCGTGCCACCACATTCCTTGCTACAGCAAAACAAAGGTAACCTTGGCTTCTGTTCCCAATAAGTTCCTCATTTTTATCTGAGACCTTCTAAGTCTGGCTTTCACTGACCATTTTCCTGTCAGCCTTCTGATCACAAGTATTTAACAATTCTCTACAAAGATCCAAACTTTTCCTCATTTTCCTGTCTTCAAAGCCCTTCAAACTCTCCCAACCTCTGTCTGCTACCCCCTTCTGAACCTGCTTCTACTTTATCACCTATCTTTGTCACAGCCTGGCAATGTGGTAAAGGAAGGCAAGTCCATTTTCAGGGGGAAAATTCAAGGCTTCAGATACTTGAATGAAAAGAAGCTGAGTGCTGATTGCCAAGACAACAGGGAAAAGGCCTTGAAGACATTTCATACATCCACTTTCCAGTACTAATTTTCTCTATGATCATAAAGAATCTCATGATTCTGCAGGCTGTAAGGAAACATAGTGGCTTCTGAATCTGGGAGGACTCAGGAAGCCACCCAGTCATATCAGAATGTCAAGGGGCAATGAGATGATTCATGTGGCAGGAGTAGGAGCAAGACAGAGAGAGGAAAGAGGTGCCACACCCTATTATACAACCAGATCTCATGGGAACTCACTATCACAAGCTCAGCATCAAAAAGATGGTGCTTAACCATTGATGAAGGATTCGCCCCCCACCCCCAACTCCCACTGTTTCCAGGCAGAAGCCTGATGCAGAGGCAGAGCCTCTGGGAAAACCTCTCCTAGGGAAGTGCGGAAGGAAAATATGGGCTTGGAGCTCCCACACAGGATACCATCATCCTCCAGACCCCAGTCATAGACCCACCAACAGCTCCCACCCTCTGCATGGAAAAGCTACAGGCACTCAACACCAGCCCAGCCATGAGAGCAGCAAAGCCACAGGTGCACTGCCCTAGTAGAGGTTTTCCATGAGCCTCTACCTGTGCAGCAGGCTACTCCCCCTTCCTACTACCCACCACCCTCCCACCACCCTACAGCCAGCGTACTCCTCCCCACCCCTTTCTCCTTACACCCCCACCCACCTCCCATCCATGATTAAATCACCTCCCACCAGGCTTCACAACCAAAATTCGGGATTACAATTCCACATGAGTTTTTCTAGCAAAACACAGCCAAACCATATTATTCCGACCTTGACCCTTCCGAATCTCATGTCCTTCTCACAGGGTAAAACACAATCATGCCTTTTCAAAAGTTTCCAAAAGCCTTAACTCATTCCAGCATCAACTCAACTATAAGAAGTTCAAAGTCTCATCCGAGACAAGGCTATACAGTATCTTCTACCTATGAGTCCCTGAAGTTAAAATGGAGTTCTTTTCTTTCAAGGTACAATGATGGTACAGGCATTGGGTAAGCTTTCTTAATCCAAAGGGAAGAAATTTCCCAGAAAAATAACACAAATGGGACCACAGGCCCAATGCACATCCAAAACCCAGCAGACCAGTATTCAATCTCACAGCTACGAAATTATGAAGAGAACTATCAGAAGGACAGCATTAAGGAGATGGTGTTTAATTACTTGTGAAGGATCACCCCCACCCCTGCCTTTCACCCCCAACCCCACCATAATTCCCCCCAATTCTCCCCACCACCCCCACCTTCCAACCTCCACTCTCCACCATGATTAAATCACCTTCCACCAGCCCCCACCACCTTTAACATTTCCCGTTACAATTTCACAGCAGTGGGACACAGAGCCAAGTCATATTATTCTGTCCCTGCCCATGCAAATCTCGTATGTCTTTCTCACGTTGCAAAATACAATGATGACTTCCCTACAGTCCCCCAAATCTTAACTCATTCCAGCAAATGTCCAAAGCCCAAAGTTTTATCTGGGACAAGGATACAGTCCCTTCTGCCCATGAGCCTCTGAATTATAAAGCAAGTTAACTACTTCCAAGGTACAATGATTGTACAGGCAATGGGTAAGCATTCCCAGCCAATAGAAGAAAAATTGCCTGAAAGAAAAACAAACACCGATGGGACTCATAGGATACACGAACATCCAAAACCCAGCAGGCCAGTCATTCAATCCTACAGCTCCAAAATCATCCTTTTGGAATCCTAGTCCCCAGCCATCTGGGGCTGTAGGGCAGCTGGCCACAAGCTGCCCTGGCTTCTTCCATGTTGTGCTCATCACTACCCACCAAGGGAGGTCAGATGCAGGCATCAAGCAGGGCGGTTGTCTCTGGACCTGCGTCTTGGTTATCATGGAGCCAAACTGGGCCTGGTGACAGGGCCATGATGGGGTTGTTCTGGTGGTCCTGTGGGTGTCCAGAAGAGATGCAGAATGGAATTGCTACCAGGATGAATCAGATGACTGTCAACACAGAACAGGCACCTGGTGAGTGCTCAGGGTTTACCCTCAGTAGCTGCCCAGAGGCCAAAACCATCCACCTGATAGCGACTGTCCCTAAGCCAGGAGGAAGAGAAGAGAGCAGGTTCCACTCACCTAAGTCTGATCAGTGAGCTGTGCTGAGATGTGCCTCTCACCTAGAAAATGGCCCTTCATGCAGAGCCACTCACAGACACTGCTGTGTGTCTCTAACTGCTCCACAACGCATAGGCAATGGGGGCTCAGCAACAGTGACATCGTGGGGTGACACAACACACCACAACGGGAGCCTGCTTGGGTCAAGAGGGCCCAGAATCAGTGTCCTCTATCCCCTGAACTCACATGTGTGCATGCAATGTGTTTATGCATGCATGTGTCTATGTGCATATGGGTGTATTTGTCTTGCTTCTCTGGCCTGGCCTAGCTGCTCCACTCACAGGTGCACCCAGGTCCTCATCACTATCACCACCAGGGCCCCAGGACCAGGATTAGAGAATCCACAGGTGCTCCCCAATCTCTGCCCTCCCCACCGAGTGTGGTACTGGGGATGCAGACAGAGGAGGGGCGCCGAGCAGAGTAGAGCGGGCTGGTACCCTCTCTAGGTGGAACCCAGGTTGTGTGTAAAGTTGGAGGTCTGCCAAGCAGTGCTGAATTCAACACATCTTCTCACATTCTCTTTCCAGCAACGCTCCAGGGTGCCCTGACTCACCTTCCTACACATGGAAGCAAGGAGGCTCCACAAACCCCCTGCCTAAGGTCACACAGCGGCCAACTGGCCAGGTTCCTACTGACCAGGCGCCCCCCAAACCAGGTCCCCACTGACAAGGCCCCTAATGACCACTCCTCCATTGACCAGGTCCCACTGACCAAGTCCCCACTGGCCATGTCTCCATAACCAGGAAGAGGTCCCTATTAATAGGCCTCACGGACCAGACCCCACTGACTGGGTTCCCACTGACAAGACCACAATTTACCAGGTTGCCCCTCACCTCACCCCCACTGAACAATTCTCCATGGATCAGTCCCCAGCTGACCGAGCCCCCTCTGACCAGGCCCTCACTGACCAGGCTCCGAGCCACTAAGGCCCCACACTGACCAGACCCCTAATATACTGAATAGACCCCACCGGCCAGTTTTTTATTGTTTATGTTCCAACCGATCAGGCCCCACTAATAAGGCCACCACTGACCAGGTCCCCACTGACTAGGCTTCCAATGACTAGGTCACCAGATCCCTACTGGTGAGGCCTTCACTGAGGAGGCCACCCCCTAGCCAGGTCCCTGCTGATCTGGTCCCAACTGACCAGGTCCTGATGGCTAGGTCATCTCTGACCATGATCCACTGACGAGGCCCCTGTGCAGTGGTGCTCAACGTCTCATTACAATGCCCCAATCAGCCCACAGACCCTCCCTCCCTGCATGTGTGCCCAGAGATCAGGCCCGGGGGGGTTTCTTGGGCCCCAAGGCCTCTCCTCCAAGACATAGGAAGGGACAGTCAGCCTCAGGCTCCAGGTACCCAGCTTCACACTCGCCCCCCAAGGCCCTCTGGGCCCATCTCAAAGGAGACAATGAGGTGGCCTGGCACTGCCTGGACATGCCATCTACCCTATTCCTGAGTGTCAGAGTGGGAGAAGGGAGGGACATTTGGCAGACGAGACACCCTGTGCTGCTGGGTCTCCCAGGGCCCTTCCCACAGAGCCCCGATCTAGAGACACAGCACAGAGGCTGCAGACAAATTAATCCAGAACCCTTGAGGCTGAGCCAGGGACCACATGAGGACTGTCCCCAGACAGCCAGAAGGCCCTTTGCTAGTTTCTTGGTACCTCAATGGATGCAGCAACAGTTCTTCTGTTGGGGACTAGCGAGTGTGTGCTGGGGAGGGCTCACCTGTGCTTCCTCAGTGGTTCCAACTCTGCTTCTAAGAAAAATTACTCATTCTAGGGCTGGAACAGAGAAAATACAAGATTAGTTTGGAACATCTTGTGCCAGAAAGTAAAAAAGTGCTGACAAGAGTAACAGAGACAAATCAAAAAGACATAAAGTCAGACATAAAGAAATGTCTACCACTGGCCTCATCTTGGGGAATTGGAGCACCAGAATCATGAGCTTTCCCTTCTCCTTTATTTATTGGTTTTATTTCTCCATGTAGAACAAACAAGAGAATACGAAAATAATCATCTGGCAACCATCACAGTAATACTTGTTCAAAGACAAGACATCAATGAAATACCGAATCTAGTGGGTTTTTAGGAGTAACCAGATATTTACAGAGCCTCAAAGTATCTCCACACAAAATACGGTTGAACTACAAAAAGAAATTCATAACATTAGTATGGACAAACCTGGCAGGTACTCTTTAAGTCTCCTACTATATATAGTAATAAAACCTGTAAAATGCAAAGAAGGCTTCGATGACCTTTACTAAAGTATCAAGGATGACTTGGTTGTTTGGCTTTTTAAACAGCTGACATTTGGGCAATTTGAGTATGTCAAACTCCATAATACTGGTGTTCATTTGCAAGATCCACTTAAAACTTAAGGGGGCTAAAAAACATCATTTAAAATACCATACTAAATGTTCATCATACATATGATATGAAAATATTCTACTTTAGTAAAGATTGTGATGTTATATATTTTATGAGAAGCAATTAAAATTTCATGTCAATAGCCCAGTAATAAAGTTTTATGATCTTTTAAATCACACAACTTTTCCTTAAGATTTTATGGTTAAATATTCTCTTTATTAGATGTGGCTTACCAGTGGATTCTAGAGAAGCAAGCAGATGGGAGCAAGTGCCCAACACAGCAAAAGCTGGAAAGAAAAAGAAAGGATTATGTTCTTTACCCAAAACATTTCAGTTAACTAAGTGTGAGTTTAAAATCTAAAGAGTTGAGAACGTTATCAGAGTTAAAAAGAATGAGAAATATGTACGTATAATTACAATACAAAATTACTATTAAATAATTAACGCATGGCATTAATTCTAATTGTGGTTAAATATCACAGCTTTTCCATTCTTTATTCATGTACTCAACACCCACGTGCTAAGGCACTAGAATCAGTACTGGAATTACAATATGAAGATGGCATGGTCCACCTCTCAACAGTCATATGCTATAACCTAAAACAACAGACAGGCAGGCAATGTCCGTATAGAGTCATAGACACTATGACAGGTATAAAGCAGGGCACTACTGGAAAACACAGAAGGGACATCTACCCCACTTTTGTGTCAATATCATGGGCTTTGTGGAGGAGATAAATAGGTTGATACCTGAAGGACAAGGAAAAGCTTGCCAGATAGAGAGACGAGGCGAAGGCAAAGAGCCTGAGGTGAGGAAGAGCCCTACAGAGTTCTACTCCGCCCACTTTGGTGCTAGAGCAAAGGGCAGAGTGCAGTAAGCGGCGAGAGATAAGGCTGAGTAACCTGACAAGAATTACATTGACACAGGTGTTTTTATTTCATGGTGAAAATTTTGGAACTTTTCCTGAGAACAGATGTAAGCCAATGGCACAGTAAATGACAGGAGATTTAAAATGTCACCTGTCAAGCCACTGCTTATGAAGGGTTTTTCCTCAACTAAGTATTTCTAAATGAGTCTGAGGTCTGTTGGTCTTCAACTCCACCAAAACCCAGAGAACCTGATGATGACTTTGTTTTCAGAGAATCCTTTCAACGTGCTGGCTGACAGTTCCATGAGGATGGCAAAAGTGAAGAAATTGTAGAGCCAGTAAAAAAGAGATGGATACACTTCTTGGGAATTTTTTAAGCTATCGGACATGATGAATTAATGGTACATGAGTATACTCTTCACTGTGAAAGTTTTTGTTTTCACATCTTTCACTAGATGTGTGTAAGGAAAAGATACTGAACGTAGTATCTACTAACCCAATAATGAAAAGGAATGCCATTTGCTATTTACACTTTATTACTAAAATAAACCTAAATTTAATTAATAAATTTTGGAAACATACTTTTCTTTGTTTCTGTAATTATTTGTTCTACACAGTCCGGCTCCATCTAAAATACATTAAAAAAATAATAATGTTTAAGTTAAACAAGAGACATTATCATGAGAATAATATATCACTTACAAAATGTGGCCTTTAGTATTTTTAGGGACTAGACGTAACATGAAGTTTGCTTAAAAAGAAAAGTAATCACATAAATAAAGTAAAATTCCTGCTTATTTTAAGTTTAGATAATAGAGGATGTATCTGTGCAATGCTGTTTAGAGTAATCTGACAAAAATAGATAATATTGGTCTATTGGATATACATAATTTTAGAAAGGTGTTGTTTTATTAGTACAAAGGTTAAATAATGGCCGGGCACGGTGGCTCATGCCTGTAATCCTAGCACTTTGGGAGGCGAAAGCGGGCAGATCATGAGGTCAAGAGATCAAGACCATCCTGGCCAACATGGTGAAACCTCGACTCTACTAAAAATACAAAAATTAGCTGGGTGTGGTGGTGCATGTCTGTAGTCCCAGCCACTCGGGAGGCTGAGGCAGGAAAATTGCTTGAACCCAGGAGGCAGAGGTTGCAATGAGCTGAGCTCGTGCCACTGCACTCCAGCCTAGTGACAGAGCGAGACTCCATCTCCAAAAAAAGAAGAAAAGAAAAGTTAAACAATTAAAGTCATATTTTGCAATGAATGCATTGCTTTGAAATTCTTAGCAAAACTCTGTCCTTTGTAAAAGTTTAATCCATTTTTTTACTTCAGTAATTTTTTCTTAAAAAGAAATTTATATTTACTTACAGAAAATTTTTTATAGTAAATTTTTCTTTTTTTTTTCTAGTTTGTATTCTAAATTAAAGTGGTACCTGTGTAAGTTTCTTCCAAAGGTATATCGAGGGATGCTGAGGTTTGGAGTACAATTAAACCCATCACACAGGTAGTGAGCATAGGACCCAAGAAGTAGTTTTTCAACCCTGGCCCATCCCCGTTCTTATTTCCCAGTGTCTATTGTTCCTATGTTTATGCCAATGTGCACCTAATGTGTAGCTCCCACATATGAGTGAAAACGAGACACTTGGTTTCTCTTTCTGCGTTAGTTTGCTTAGGATAGTGGATTCCAGTTGTATCCATGTTGCTGCGAAGGAAATGATTTTGTTCTTTTCATGGCTGCACAGTATTCCATGGTATATATATGGAATTTTCCAATCTACCTTGGATTTTCAATCTATCTTCGGTGCACCGGGATTGACTCCATGTCTTTGCTATTATGAATAGTGCTGCAATGAACATACATGTGCATGCATCTTTTTGTTACAATGAGTTATTTTCCTTGAGGTATACCCCTAGTATAGTAATGGGGTTGCTGTGTGTGGGATTACATGTGCCTGCCACCACTCCTGGCTAATTTCTGTAGTTTTAGTAGAGACAGGGTTTCATCATGTGGGCCAGGCTGGTCTCAAACTCCTGACCTCAGGTGATCTGCCTGCCTTGGCCTCCCAAAATGCTGGGATTACAAGCATGAGCCACCACACCTGGCCAAGCACAAAGCCTTTAACAGAAAAATGGAAATGAACCTTTCAGTGTTTTGTTTATTTAATTCATAAAATGCACTTATTTTGGATTCTATTAAATAATAAATATCTACATGTCATTAAGTGTTTGGTTGTCATTCACTTGTGATTATGGGTGGAAAGAGTTAAGATGATGCAAAGAAACTTTAGAAGTGGTATAGGCTGGGCATGGAGGCTCACCCCTGTAATCCCAGCACTTTGGGAGGCTGAGGCGGGTGGATAACAAGGTCAGGAGATTGAGACCAGCCTGGCAAATATGGTGAAATCCCATCTCTAGTAAAAATACAAAAATTAGCCAGGTGTGGTGGTGGGCACCTGTAGTCCCAGCTACTCAAGAGGCTGAGGCAGGAGAATCACTTGAACCCAGGAGGCGGAGGTTGCAGTGAGCCGAGATCGTGCCACTGTACTCTAGCCTAGGCAACAGAGCGAGACTGTCTCAAAAAAAAAAAAAAAAAAGTGATGTGAACCACAGACAAACTACAATCAAGTAGAGTAAGACCCTAGGTGTACCACCACCACTGCCACCGAGGCCTTCGTTACAGCACCCACAGGTTCCTCCCCACCCCAGAACGGGATGGGCCCTGCAGTGCTCCTACTCCCCCTTCCTGGCCCCCAGACTTCCTACTGCTACCACCACTAGCGCCGATGCCAATACAACCACCGTCACCCTCAATGTACCAGCCCACCCTACCAGGCTCCTACCACCTGGCCCCCGTGGGTGTCCTCCTACCGCTCTGATCGAGCTGCAGTCTCCATCACCACCACCAACCACATGAGGCAAGCTGCAGAACCACGTCATCTGCAGGCTAAACCGTACCACAGGCAACTCCTCCTTCTCCTCCTTCAGCCTGGCTTGGAGCAGCTGGGCAGGCAAAGCCCGAAAAGCCCAAAACAGGATTCAGGGAGTGGAACCGTTAGAGCCTCACCTTGTCACACTGGTGACTGGGTGGCAAGGATCAGTTTCATTGAAGGCACTCACACCCACCTTCCAAAGTCCAGCCTCTCCTTCTGGCAAGAGCTGGCCAGGAACTGGGGCCTGGGGTGGGAGTGAGTGCCTTCACTGAAACCAGCCCCTGGCCAGGTCCACCCGGCCAGGAATTACTGGGCCCACCAGGGCTGCCTTCCTCGGGGAGCCTGAGTAGGAGAAACTCAGACCCAGCCAGCCCTCCCCACCCAAGGGCTGGTTCCCATTCCTGACGCCTCCACCCACAGTGCCCTGTCCCCCACTTCCCCCGTGGTGCCTACTACTCCCTGCCCAGTAGTCCCAGGTGGTCTCTGCAACACAGAGCATGAGGGCGGGACGGGAAATCACAGTGGGTGTGGGGGCCCTGCGGTGCAATCTAGCTCAAGCAGGAGAAGATCTCCTTCTAGAGTCTGGAGTCCGGCAAGAAGAGAACGATCCCTTACTTGGAAGCCACCAGAAGGAAGAAGGAGGCCATTACTGTTGCTGCCTTTGCCACCTCCTCAGCTCGCCAGCACCGCTGGCAGTGTAGCCCCCGTAGCACCCCTAATCTGCCCCCTGCCACTAGCAGTGTAGCCCCCAGATAGCACATCCAACACACCCTACAGTTTCAGGCAATGTAACCCCAATACTCCCCCCCAAAGCACTCCCCCCACACCGCAGGGAGTGTACCATCCGATAGTGCCCACAATCTGACCCAGCCACAGGTGTTGCTGCACTGGATAGCATCCCAAACCCGCCTCCCCCCACTCCACCCCAGCAGTTCAGCTCCTGATGGCGCACCCCCCAGTCACAGGCAGTACAGCACCCAACAACGCCCCTAAACCACCCCCCACTGCCAGCATTGTAGCCCTGGGTAACGCCACCCAACCCACCCCCTGCTGCGGGAAGTGCAGCAGAAGATAGCACCCCTAACCCTTCCCCAGCCACCAGCAGTACACGTTAGTGTACACAACCTGCCTCCCGCCACCACTCCTGCCACCGCGGGCAGCATAGCCCCAGATAGCCAGTCAACCTGCCCCACCACCAGCAATGCAACCCCGGAGAGTGCCCCCAACCAGACCACTACCACAGGCAGTGTAGCCTCTAGCAGTGAGCCCCAATAGGACACCCAACCCTTGCCCCCAGAGACGTACAGGGCAGCCCCGGAACACTCACCTACCCCAACACATTTCTACCACTGTGGCCGAGCTGCAGTCTCCGACGTCACCACCAACCACAGCAAGGCGAGCTGCCACCAACCACATCGAGGTGAGCCACGGTGGCACAGGCTCCAGCCTCCAGCATGTGGCGTTCCCTCTCCCTTCTCCTAGTCCTCCAGCCCGGCAGAAGAAGCTCCCGCTGCCAGCCGCCCTCCTACTGGTCTGTGGCCACCACCAACCGCAGCGAGGTAGTGTCCCAGGCTCCAGGGATCCAGGTTCCATCCGTTCTCCAGCCTCCATCAGGCGGAAGGTGGCTCCCCCTTCCAGTTCTGTAAGCCGGGCACAGAGCAGCTCCTCAGCTCGACACAGAAGAGCTTGAAATGATCTGACATGACCTCAGCATGCTTTATCTACTGAGGTTATGCAAAAGCGGTTCCTGGACTACATGTTCTGATTGGACGAGAGAAAAACCTCTAGGCCTACTTTGATTGGACTTTATTTTCATGCTGTGGTTGGTTGTTAAGACTTGCTCTCATCCAATCAGAACATGATCATGAAGTCCAATCAGAGTAAGCCTGGAGGTTTTTTTCTCATCCAATCAAAACATGCAGTCCAGGATCCTCCGTGGGCATAACGGCAGTATATAAATGATGCTGAAAAGAAATCTGGTCTTTTCAGGTTCCCGTACTGACGTGTCGAGGTGGTCGCATCCCGGCGTAGAGGACTAGGAATCGGGAGTCACTGGCCGTATGCTGGAGGCTGGAGACGCGGGAGCGTGGCTTGCCTCGCTGCGGTTGTTGGCAGCGATGGAGATGGCGCGGCTGGAGAGGTAGAAGAAGGAAAACAGTTTTGGGATAGTTGGAGGGGGGTAAAGAGGGTAGTTAATGCCAAGGGGAAAAAAAGGATAGCAGGAGAAGGGGTTGCAAAAAGATGGCGGCGAAAAGATGGTGGGGAAAAAAGTTTTTGGGTACATGGAGGCAGAAAAACAGGGTGGGGAGCGGGAGGGAGGGAAGGTTTTGCAGAAAGCCGGTGGGTAAAAAGTGTTTCGATAGATGGAGGGGGGAGAGAGTGACGAGGAGGAGGAAAGAGGGTGGGGAGAGGGAGCAGGGATTAGAGGGTTGGGAAAACGACGGGAAAATAGTTTGGGGTAGATACAGGACAAAAAAGAGGATGGCAAGCAGGATTGGGGAAAGAAGAGCACGAGTGGTAAAGGGGGGAGACTTTGAAAAGATGGTGGGGAAAGTTTTGGGGGGTGGATGGAGGGGGGAAAGAGGAAGATGAGCAGCAGTGGGGAGAAGGCTTTGTGAAAAGATGGGGGAAATGTTTTTGGGTAGATGGAGAAGGGAAAGAGAAATGGCAAGGAGGAACGGGGGGAAAGACGATGAAGAACACAGTTTTTGGGTGGATGAAGGGGGAAAAGACGGTGGTGAGCAGCAGGAGTGGGGAGAAGGTTTTGGGAAAAGGCGGGGGAAAATGTTTTTGCTTAGATGAAGGAGCAAAAGAGTGTGATGCGGGAAGGGTAAAAAGAGGGTGGCCAGGGATAAGAGGAAAAGACGGTGGGAAGAAACAGTGGGGAAAGGGTTTGGGTCGGTGGATGGGGAAAAGGGTGTTGAGCAGGAGAGTAGAGAAGGCTTTGCGAAATGATGGTGGAGAAAAATGGTGAAGAAGTTTGGGGGCAGATGGAGGAAGAAAAAGGGTGGCCAGAGGGAGGGGGTCAAAGGTGGTCGGGAAAAGAAGGTGTAGGGAAATGATGGTGGGGGACAAAGGTTTTGGGTAGATTTTTTTAATAAGATCGTTTGTATTTTTTCTTTTGAGTAGTTTGAATTCTTTATATATTTTGTGGATGAACCCATTGTCTGATGCATAGTTTGCAAATACTTGCTTCCATTCTCTGGTTGTTTCTTCATTTTTAAAAAATTTTAATTTAATTTAATTTTTTTTAGACGGACTCTCGCTCTGTCGCCCAGGTTGGAGTGCAGTGGCACGGTCTCGACTCACTGGAAGCTCTGCCTCCTGGGTTCACGCCATTTTCCTGCCTCGGCCTCCTGAGTAGCTGGGACTACAGGCGCCTGCCACCACACCCGGCCAATGTTTTTGTATTTTTAGTAGAGACGGGGTTTCACCGCGTTAGCCAGGATGGTCTCGATCTCCTGGCCTCATAATCGGCACGCCTCAGCCTCCCAAAGTGCTGGGATTACGGGCATGAACCATTATGCCTGGCCTTAAAAGGCTAATTTTTGTCTTAAGATTTGTGGTAAGGAAGGAGAAAGAAACAAATTAGTAATCACAAATATACATATAATCACAATATGCAGTAGGTTCTATAAAGGAAAAACAGGGTGTTATGTGGAGTTTAACAAGGACAGTGAATTATAATAGTAGGTTCCATGGAGAAAGTCACCTAAGAAAGTTATACTTTAGCTCCAACATGAAGAATAAAGACAAATGAGGCAGGTACGGTGAGTGAGGAGCAGTGGCCCAAACAGACCAGAGAGTGAATGGCCTGACCGGAATTTTTTGGAAAGAATTTGAAGGAGGTCAGTGGGACTAAATCACAAAACAAAGGAGGATGCCAAAGAAAGGGTGTGGACATTGGCTGGGCCTCGTCAGCTACTATAAAGATTTTTTTAAGAACCCTAAATGCAAAGGAAATCGTTCCCAGGCTTTTAAGCAGGGGCATGATATTATCTGAATTGCATTTTAAAAATCTCACTCTGGACATTGTATAAATGATAGATAGCAAAGGAAAAGGAGTAGCTTTGAGGGAAAAAACGAGGAGCCTGGGAAAACAGAGCAACTCTAGGTGTGAGATGAAGACTGACAGTGCTTCAGAGTGTATTAAGAACATAGGGCACAAAAACATATTAAAAACGTGAAATAAAAAGCACACATCTTAGGCCGGGCATGGTGGCTCATGCCCATAATCTCACACTTTGGGAGGCCAAGGCAGGCTGATTACTTGAGATTAGGAGCTCGAGACCAGCCTGGCCAACATGGTGAAACCCCATCTCTACTAAAAATACAAAAATTAGCCAGGCATGGTGGTACACACCTGTAATCCCAGCTACTCAGGAGGCTGAGGCACAAGAATCACTTGAACCTGGGAGGCAGAGGTTGCAGTGACCCAAAATCACGCCACCGCACCCCAGCCTGGGTGACAAAGCAAGACTCAGTCTCAAAAAAAACATAATAAGATGGGGAGGACTAAAGACAATGAGGATCTTAAAAGTAGTCAGAGGAAAACATACCAGGAATAATCAGTTGCATTTTTATATACCAGCAAAAAGTTACATTAAGTAGATTTTTAAAAAGATACTTAGAATAACAAACACATGATCAATCTATTATATACATGGCATGATAAATTTAGACTGTTCAAAATATATAACACTTTAGTCAGAGGTATTAAAAGAAAAACAATAAAGTTATGATAGATGATCATGGATGGGAAGACAGTAACATAAAGATTTTGGTTTTCAAATATGATCATATATGCAATACAATTTCTGTCAAAATAATGACATTTTTATGGAAATTCCAAAAATATCTTAAATTTTATATGAAAGATAAGAGGGCCAAACATAGCCAAGACAATTTTGAAGGAGAACAAGGCAAAAATTAGCACAGAGAGGGCATGATTTAAGTTTATAATAAATTTGATAGGTGATAATAGAGCAAAGATAGTGGTTGTATAAGAGAAGAGAATAGAGGCTAAGGAACAGAATCACAATCATAAGGAAATTTTATATATGACCAAAGTGGCATTGAAAATAATTTGGGGCTGGGTGCGGTGGCTCACACCTGTAATTAAAAATTAAATTATAATTAATTTTTAATTAAATTATAATTAAAAATTATATTATAATTAATTAATTTTTAATTAAATTATAATTAAAAATTATAGGGAGATACAGAGAATAAAGATACAGAGAATAATGTCATAAATACTTTTGTACTTATTACACAGAAAAACAAATCTAGACATTTCATTTCGGACACATTTATCAAAGAACATAAAACCATTGGAGAGAACGTTGAAATCTCTATTTTTAATTTTCTAAGCCTCATTCCCCTACATCAATCCCCAGAAGCTGCCACTACTCTGAATTTGGTATTTTTTTAGCCTTATTCTGTTTGCAAAATATTATTTTGCACGGTTTAATATTTATACCATTATTTCAATTAAAATTTACTTTAAAATTTACATAAATGGTATCACACCTTATGTTTCATTTTGAAACATTTTTATCCATTTTATTTGTGTAAAATGTATGCATGTTGATACACATGGTTCTGGATCATTTCTCTTATTTACTGAAATATTCTACTATATGACTATAATTTATTCATCTGTTTCTTCTTTTAGACATTTTTGCATGTCCCTGGGGCTTTTCCCTCTTATGAATAGCACTGCTGCTATGAACACATTTTTGTGCACATCTTTTGGTACACATGTGCAAGTTTTTTTTCAGGTGTTTTCTTGGTCATAAGGAAAAGATGTTTCTAACTCCTCTATATGTTGCCAAACTACTCTTTTGAGTGGTTCTTCCACTAGCAAAATGAGAATTTCTGCTTTTTCATATTCCAGACATCATTTGATATACTAAATTCCTTTAAAATACTTTGCTAGTCTTATGAGTTTGAATGGATCTCCTTTTGTTTCATTTTGTATTTCCCCAATTATTAGTGAGGTTTAATGTCTATTCAATTATTGAGCCATGAGTTTTCTTCTTTTAAGATTAAAATGTCTGTTTTGTCCGTTGGACTGCTTTTGTCCAATTGATGTGTAAGAATTCTTCAGATCTTTTTATACCAAGCTTTTGCTTATTGTTGCTGTTGCAAATCTATTTCTCGATATTGCATCCGGAGTTGGTTCCTTTGGGTGGGTTCGTGATCTCACTGACTTCAAGAATGAAGCCGTGGACCTTCATGGTGAGTGTTACAACTCTTAAAGGTGGCACTGACCCAAAGAGAGAGCAGCAGCAAAATTTATTGTGAGGAGCAAAAGAACAAACAGTCCAGAGGGTGGAAGGGGACTGGATTACAACTACTGGCTGGGGTGGCCGAGCTTTTATTCCCTTATTTTCCACGCCCATGTCCTGCTGATTGGTCCATTTTACAGAGTGCTGATTGGTCCATTTTACAGGGTGATGATTGGTCCAGTTTACAAACCTCTAGCTAGCTACTGAGCACTGATTGGTGCATTTTTACGGAGCACTGATTGGTGCATTTTACAAACTTCTAGCTAGCTACAGAAAAGTTCTCCAAGTCCCCACTCAACCCAGGAAGTCCTGCTCCCTTCACCTCTCAATATGTCTCCTATATTTAGTTTGTCTAGCATGTCTTCTGTAGTACTCAATTTTTTAACTTTAAGTCAAATGTATCAATTTTTAGTTTATCAGCTAATTAATTTTCATGTCAGATTTTCCCATGAGTTAATCAGTCATTTTAAAGAATCGTCTTTCATTTTGGTTTGTCCGCTTGGTTTGTTGGTTTCTCTTTCTCTGATTTCTGTTCTTATATTTACTAATCCTTTCCTCTCCTTATTTCAGCAGACTCTATTTTTATTTTCTAGCTTTGACTACTACCTTCATCTTAGTCTTTCAGCAAATTCATTTTAACTCACTTTGTCTGCGTTTTTCATATTTTGAAGTATACAGTACTTTTAGTGACAACAGTTCTAGAGATTTTCCTTCTTAAACCATGGTACACTTAAAATTTTTAAGTTTAAATGAAATAATTTATATACATACTAGAAAAGGAAAACAAGTTATCTCCCATTTCTCCTGTCCCTCTGTTCCCTCCCCAGATGAGGGCAACCAGATTATTAGAGTGCTAACCTGGGTTACTTAAACTTTATGTTATGTAAGATGAGAAAAATTGGTGTTTATTTGAAATGATACATATTATTTACTTTTCTGTTACATAAATGCTATCATTTAAACAAAGTGAAATGATGAATTTATTATTTAAACAAAAACAATAGAACTAGTTAACAGTGGCAATTAGTAGTAGGGCTGATTAAACAAAAAATATGTGTGAGGAAAATATAACAATATTTTCATAATTTTTTTATTCTCTGACAACTTATTTTACTCTTTATTACATTTAATAAATTTTGTAGGTCATATAATTGTGTATTCTCAAGATACATGTGAATGTTTTAACAAGGAGAATGTACAATAGGACTAACTAAAGAGAGACTACCTATATTTAGTTGAAAACAACAATGACATCTTTTTTCTGTACCATGAGACAGTGGGATATTTTTACTCTTTCTGTTTCATTTTTCTTAATACTTCCCTGAACTGCTGTACCCTTAAGTCACATCAGTCACCTCACTCGCTCCTCACTTAATGCCCCATTGCAGGGAACCCCAAGTCGTGGGTGCCAACATCAGTGGGCAATGGCCATGGTAGCAGGGGATCTGTGCTGTACTCAGCCCCTATTTTTTAGGATGCTCTATGAGTTTTGTACTTTTCCCTCAACTTTCCTCATCCATCATGAAAAACTGAGATGTCTTGTATCCTAGGACTGAGGACTTTTCCAGAGTGTGGGACTGACAGTCCTGAGCAAGCCTGGACACTTGGCCACCACAGCAAAGTAGTAATTTTAGCTCTCTTAGCTGGTTCTCTTGGTCTTAGTCTCCATATTGCTAAATAACATACTTATATTGCTATTTCTTGATTATTCTATCTCAGATATCATTTACTGTGTTTTAGTATGAAAATGAGGATTTGACTCTCTTTCCAAATCCTTTTTTCTTAGCTCCAGTGTATTTCTTTTTGTTGCTTTACACATTCACTTTTTTTGGAGAAAACTATGCAGTGGCTTCCCAAGAAGTGTTGCATGCGAGGGGAGTCTTTTAAAAAATAAGTGTTTGTGCATGACCCCCACCCCTCACCCCATTGTTTCCCACCTGGAAAAAGCACACAGAATTGTTTCCAGATACTCTAAAACAATGGCTTTACAAAGGAAAAGAGTCTTATCCCAAAAACACACTCTTTTCACTTATCCCCAAAGGAGACTAACCATAAAAAGTTTTCAAAACTGAATCAAGATGTCAACACCTTCATTTTTAAGAAGGACTCTAAGGTACCTATGCTGCCAAAATGCCTGCACCATCCTCTCGCTCCATTTCCACATTCACAGGGGCTTTGCAGCATTCTTAGGACAAGATCTTTTCAAGGCAACTCTTATTAACATGTGTTAGCTATTTCCTTATAGAGCATCAAGGTAAGAAAGGTTGATAATATTATTAACCATGCCCCTGCTTTGATGTGGTTATGGGAAATTGAGCGGCTCAGCTTTCCTGGTCACTGGCACTAACCTTTCACACCAGGATTTCCTGCAGTTTAAGGGTGAGAGACTGGCTAGGGGAATGGTGATGTCTTACAGCAAGCCTCATTTGCTTTTTACACGTGGTTTCTACAGACTACTCAATTTTGTCCAAAATCTAATGCTCACCTTTCTTTACAGTGCCATCTGCTGCTGCCTCTGACTACTGCATTTTCCCCCGTTTGCTTAGTCCACGCCCAGTGTGGTAAAAGATGGGAAAGAGAAAGCCATCCTCTCATTAAAGTAATTGGTCCGGCATATACTAAGCGTCAGGCACTTTTTTTTCAGACACTACAGAAATATATCGACACAGGCAAAATGTATTTTCTGTACCCTATAGTCTCACTTAATAATGGGTACATTAGGCTGGGCACAGTGGTTCACGCCTATAATCCCAACACTTTGGGAGGCCGAGGCGGGTAGATCGCCTGAGGTCAGGGGTTCAAGACCAGCCTGGCCAACATGGCTAAACCCCGTCTCTATTAAAAATACAAAAATTAGCCGGGCATGGTGGCTCATACCTGTAATCCCAGCTACTCAGGAGGCTGAGGCAGGAGAATCACTTGAACGTGGGAGGCGGAGGTTGCAGTGAGCCGAGATCGCGCCACTGCACTCCAGCCGGAGACAGAACGAAACTCCGTCTCAAAAATAAATAAATAAATAAAATGATAGGTACAATAAGTAACATCAGGGGATGATATCAAAGAAAAATTTAACATATAAAATGCAGAGATACTGATGGGGTGCTGTTTTATACAGGGTGGTCATGAAAGACCTTTCTGCTAGCTATTTCTGAATGTAGTGTAGGCATTGAGCCATGTAGATGTCTGGGAGGAAATTTTCAGGCCTAGGATCAGCAAATGTGGAGATCTAGGAGGATCATTCAGCAGAGGGAACAGCAAATACAAAGGTCCTGAAGTAGAAGCACATGGGGCATTTTCCAGGCTGTGGGAGGAGGTGGTGCCCGAAAGTAGAATGAGGGAGTGAGGCGTTGCTGATGGGGGCTGAAGTGGAAGCCATGACCAGGTCATGGAACATTATGTTGGCCACAGTGAGGACCCCGAATTTTTCTAAGTGTGATGGGAAGCTACTGGGCAGTTTTGAGCAGAAGAGTATCACAATCACATTCAGATTTTGAAAGAATTACTCTGTCTGTTACGCAAATAGCCAAGAGCAGAAGAGTAGACAATGATGCCATCCTGAGGGCTAGCAATGGAGGCGAAGGGAAGAGATTCTGGGTTTTGGATATATGTGAAGAGAACGCTGAAAGGATTTGCGAGCAGGTTAAATATTGAGTGTGAAACAAACACAGATGTCGATGATGCAGAGGTTTCGCCTGAGCAGTAGCGTGAATGGCGGTGCCACTTTCTGAGACTGAGAATCCTGCTGGAAAGCAGGTTTGGGGACAAGAACAAGAGTCTGGTTTTGGATGTCGATTTACTTTTGCATTTTGAACCAACATTGCATTCTAGGAATAAATCCCATTTGGTCATGACGTGTAATCCTTTTAATGTGCTGTTGAATTCAGTTTGCTGGTATTTTGTTGATGATTTTTGCATCAATACTCATTAAAGATATTGGTCTGCAGTTTTCTTGTAGTATCTTTGGCTTTGGTATAAGGGTAGTGCTGCACTCATAAATATGAGTTTGGGAGTGTTCCCTCCCTCCTCTTTAATTTTTTGAAAGAGTTTTAGGAGGATTGGTATTAATTCTTCCTTAAATATTTGGTAGAATTCTCCAGTGAAGTCATCTGGTCCTGGGCTTTTCTTTGTTGAGAGGTTTTTGATTATTGATTCAATCTCCTTACTAGTTTTAGGTCTCTTTAGATTTTCTATTTCTTTATGATTCAGACTTGGTAGATTGCGTGTTTGTAAGCTACCAAGATTATCCATTTTGTTGGTTTATAATTATTCATAGTAGTCTCTCATAATTGTTTTTATTTCTGTGGCATTAGTTGTAATGTCTCCTCTTTCACGTCTGATTTTAATTATTTAAGCCTTTTCTCTTTTTTTCTTAGTCTAAGGATTCATCAATTTTGATCTTTTCAAAAAACCAATTTGTAATTTTATTGAGTTTTCTCTATTTTGTCTTCCATGTATTATTTGTTTATTTATCTTATTTTATTAATTTTTTATTGAGGTGGAATGTGGCTCTTGTTGCCCAGGCTGGAGTGCAATGGCACAATCTCAGCTCATTGCAACCTCTGCCTCCCGGATTCAAGCGATTCTCCTACCTCAGCCTCCGGAGTGGCTGGGATTAGAGGCACCCGCCACCACACCCAGCTAATTTTTGTATTTATAGTAGAGATGGGGTTTCACCACGTTGGCCAGGCTGTTCTCAAACTTCTGGCCCCAGTTATAAGGCGTGGTGGTACGTGCCTGTAATCCCAGCTACTTGGGAGGCTGAGGCAGCAGAATTGCTTGAACCCTAGAGGCAGAGGTTGCAGTGAGCCAAGACCATGCCACTGCACTCCTGCCTGGGCGACAGACTCCGTCTAAAAAAAAAAAAACTACTCTTCCGCATAAAATATCTCCCTGGGTAACAGACCACTGCAAAGATGACTACAGATCTCTCTTGTTGTGTATCTATATGGAGAATACTGAAAAAACCATCCTTCTCATCAGTTTCCATTGGGAACCATGTTACAAACTACTGCGGTTTCTGTGTGTGCATGTGCGTGTTTCTGTAAAATTCTGCTACATCAGTCTTTTCCATACTATGCACTGAAAAACACCAATGTCAGAAACAACTCAAATATCTACCAACCCAAATATCTACTGAAATGGATAAACTGACTAGAGTGTGTTGATACAATAAAATACCACTGAGCAATAAAAATCATTAACTATGATACATACAACAACACTGATAAATCTCAAAAACACTGTGTATTATGAGGCCAGGTGTGGTGGCTCACACCTGTAATCTCAACACTTTGGGAAGCTGGGGAAAGAGGATTGCTTGAGCTTAGGAGTTTGAGACCTGCCTGGGCAACAAAGTGAGACCCTGTTTCTATTTAAAAAAATTTTTTTTAATTGGGCTGGGCTCGATGGCTCACGCCTGTAATCCCAGTAATTTGGGAGGCCGAGGTGGGCAGATCACCTGAGGTCAGGAGTTCAAGACCACCCTGGCCAACATGGTAAAACCCCGTCTCTGCTAAAAATACAAAAATTAGCAGGGTGCGGTAGTGCGCACCTATAATTCCAGCTACTTGGGAGGCTGAGGCAGGAGAATCACTTGAACCCGGGAGACAAAGGTTGCAGTGAGCCCAGATTGTGCCATTGCACTCCAGCCTGGGGGACAGACCGAGACTCCAAAAAAAAAAAAGAACCTCTGAACCTCTGATGCACGTGGAAATATGAGGAAAGAGGAGGAAGATGGAAGATGGAAGGACTCACGGAGCATGCAGCTGTCAGTGCTGTGCTGTCTATGTGGAGCTGCCTGCCCCAACCAGCATCTAAGTGTATCCAGGATGCAGATTCTCTGAGCAGCACCATGGTGCTTTATATACTTTATATTTTTACAGGTATTTTATGAACCACTTCAGAAAGCTTTCATCAAGCTCAGGTTTAAGCTGATGACCTAAAATTACATGAAGTTCCTAAAATTATATGAAGAAAATCTATCCTGTTATGAGGCTGGCCAGAAGGATAACCGGAGAATCTCCAGCTATGTCATCAGCTTCCCAGATAAGCCATGGTCAGGGGCCCTTCCTCTAAGCTTCCTGGGACTCCATGGATAGGTGAGGCTTCTGGGCAGCAGTCGCTCATCTTTCTGTCCCACTTCAGCTGCAGTGAGAAGAGATAAAGGGAACACTGCATATTGAGCCTCATTTAGTTTTGTCATGCACTGTGCTTTTGAAAAAAGGCAAATAATTGTCAACATGTAAAAACTGAGAAGGTTCATACTAAAAATAGATTCTGATTTTTCTAAAAAAAAAAACACTGAGTTTGGATTCATGCTGTCTTGGATAATAGACATCAATTTCTTTTTTTTTTTTTTTGAGACAGAGCCTCACTCTGTTGCCCGGGCTGGAGTACAATGGCACAATCTCGGCTCACTGCAACCTCTGACTCCTGGGTTCAAGTGATTCTCCTGCCTCAGCCTCCTGAGTAGCTGGGATTACAGGCATGTGCCACTACGCCCAGCTAGTTTTTGTATTTTTAATAGACAGGGTTTCGCCATGTTGGCCAGGCTGGTCTTGAACTGCTGACATCAGGTGATCCACCCGCCTCAGCCTCCCAAAGTTCTGGGATTACAGGCGTGAGCCACTGCGTCCGGCCCAGACATCAACTTCTAAAAAGTCATCGGGTAAATTGATGGAGATTGCATACTTAGATCTAAGAGTTTAATTGCTGACACTACTTCAGCTATAAGCATTAGCAGAAAGTAAAAAATGTATGCTTTTGAAGGGGTTCAGAGTTTGGGGGTTCAGAGTATGATGCTCCAAAACATGCCACTGTAGCATTGGATTTATTCTGAGCTAAAGGCAGTTGAGAAAAAGCAGACACAGGATGAGCCCTTTGCCCTCCCTCTCTATGCCTGAAAAGTAAAATACAAATTCCCCTTGAAAAGAAGTCCCTCCCCATTCCTGTGTCAAGAAGGGAATAATGACCTTATCACTGGAGATGAGATGGCACCCAGAAAGAGCCTAGACAAACAAACCCCGCTAACTAGCACTTACTGTCCATTAGCTTCCCTGTAGATTTACCCCCTCGTGATTGGCCATCCCTAGAAACTCAAAGGTTTTTTTCCTTTGTCTTATTACTTCTCTGCAAATGTATTGTTCTTTATGAAGATGCCACATAAACCCACGATGGAACCACTCCTTTGAGTTACTCATCTCTGAGTGCTCCCATGTGAATACATGGTGCATATGTTAACAAACTTCTCTTCGTTTTCCTCTTGCTAATCTGTCTTTTATCAGTCTAATTTGCAGGACCCCATTCAATGAACCTAAGATGAGCAGAGGAAAAAAATAACAGTTTTCCCTTCCCTATAGTTTCTTATGAAATATTCTTTTGTTGAGCAACTGACTTGAATATTTTGATACTTCCAGATTAAAAGTATTCCTTATGTGCAAAGAAATACAAATGGTTATTGTTAGAGGAGGTATTAAATGCATTGATTGAATTATATTATTTTATAGGTCTTATTCATCACATTAAAAGTTTTGAAAGATCAATATGTGTTCTTGTTTAACTAAAAAGAGAAGACAGATGTTAATAACAATTCACTTATTAAACTAATTCTGTTATGTTGTTAATTAAATTTTTTTTTCTTCAAAATAACCCCTAGGGACGCATTAAAAAAGTCATTAAGGGCCAGGCACAGTGGCTCATGCCTGTAATCCCAGCACTTTGGGAGGCCAAAGTGGGTGGATCACCTAAGGTCAGGAGTTCAAGACCAGCCTGGCCAACATGGAGAAACCCCATCTCTACTAAAAATATAAAAAATTAGCCGGATGTGGTGGTGGGTGCCTATAATCCTAGCTACTCAGGAGGCTGAAGTAGGAGAATCACTTGAACCTGGGAGGCGGAGGTTGCAGTGAGCTGAGTTCGTGCCATTGCACTCCAGCCTAGGCAACAAGAGCAAAACTTCGTCTCAAAAAAAAAAAAAAAAAAAAAGTAACTAAGTGCTTGCCAAATACCCACCTTCGCATGAGACTGTAGCAGTATCCACCTGCTGAAGTTCCGGAGCACCAACATGTTTTCACTTGCATTTTCTTTTCCAGAGACTATTATGGGGGGATTTAATTTGATATACCAAATGTATCTTTCCTAGAGAAAAAAATATGCACTCAAGTAACTTCAAGAGCACATCAGAACAAAGTTTTAGTAAATTGCTAAAATAATAGTTTCTTATTCTGTACTCAGCAAGACCATAAATAAAACTGTCATTTAAAAAAATGTAGAAAAGGGAATAAATTCTGTAGCATCAACTCCTGCTTGAGTTTCCAGCCTCCTAGTCTGCCCTACAATTTCAAACTTACCTACCCTACAGACTTTGGACTTGTCAGTCCTCACAATTGCATGAATCAATTCCTTGAAATAAATCTCTAGCGCCTCAGGAGGACAAGAATTTTTGTTTTGTTCACTACTGGATCTCCAGTGTTTAGAACAGCGCTTGACAACAGAGGTTCAATGAGTGAAGGAATAAAATGACAACTTTCTTTTTAAAAATATGGAAAAGTATCTGCTAGGTGAAAGCAGATGAGTATAACACAGAAGAATTCTGTTTATGGGGTGGGGCAGTTGCAAGAGACCCTTCTTTTCCTTGAAATAAATCTCTAGCGCCTCAGGAGGACAAGAATTTTTGTTTTGTTCACTACTGGATCTCCAGTGTTTAGAACAGCGCTTGACACATAACAGAGGTTCAATGAGTGAAGGAATAAAATGACAACTTTCTTTTTAAAAATATGGAAAAGTATCTGCTAGGTGAAAGCAGATGAGTATAACACAGAAGAATTCTGTTTATGGGGTGGGGCAGTTGCAAGAGACCCTTCTCCAGTCCTCACTGGGGAGACAGGCATCCACAGAACCCACTGGATTGTGCCTTGGGCCCTACTGCTTTCATTCTGTCTGGTGGGGCTTCCAGTCTTGCCTTTTCTTTTCTCATATCCATATTCCAAAAACAATATAAAATAAATGGTGGATCTCCCCTCAGGGCGAAGGCCCTCATTTTCTGGCTGCTGGGAGTATCGGTTGCTAATGGCTCCCTCCTCGGGAACTGCCCTCAGCAGAAAGACGCTGCCTCACTCAAGTCATGTTCTTTTCATTGGGGGGCAGTCAGAAAAGCCATCCCAGGTCAGAACTCCTTATGGTCCACTGAGGCTGCTGTTGCACCCACATCACAGCCCAACTCTGCCTCTTCCCTTCTGCTACCCACATTCCTTCACAGGATGATTCCCATGAGGGTGCCTCAAAGATCTTGGTGTGCAAATCTCCTCAAAAACTCTGTTCTAGGGAACCTCAATTATAATGAGGCTTCTGACACTTCATTTATGTTGTCGTTGTTGTTGAGACAGATCTCGCTCTGTTGCCCAGGCTGGAGTGCAGGGGCACAACCTCAGCTCACTGCAACCTCCACCTCCCGGGTTCAAGCAATTCTCCTGCCTCAGCCTCCTGAGTAGCTGGGATTAGAGGGACGCACCACACCTGGATAATTTTTGTACTTTTAGTAGAGACAAGGTTTCACCATGTTGGTCAGGCTGGTCTCCAACTCCTGACTTCGTGATCCACCCACCTGAGCCTCCCAAAGTGCTGGGATTACAGGTGTGACCCACCACGCCCAGCGACACTTCACTTTTTAAAAGAATGTTGCAAAAATATCAAATGTCACAACCATTATCAGATTTTAATGTACTGGTCTCAAGATTTCCTCTTAGACATTGGTATTTAACTGATACTGAAAAAAGCATATTTTGCTCAATGGTGTTCAATAAATTCATATGACACCAAAATAGCAATTTAGTAGAAACAAAAATTATAAAATTAATTATTTTGAAGCATAATTGTCTGTTTTTGAAAGGTACTTACTTGAAATGTATAACCATTGAATTCAGTTGTGCTTTGAACAGCCTTGGTTAAGAGGAATCCTGCCTTCCAGCACACAGGGAGTTGCTCTTGTCAAAATCCATCTCAAAAAGAAAAAATTGTCAGCCAAAAGATGGGAGCAAGACATGCTGCTTCTCTGCTGACCTTGGAAACCAGGCACCCTGGACACATCTGAGTCGTTGTGGGCAGGGATTGAGGTGGAGGATGAAGGTAGAAACATCCCCTTTCTGTCCACACCTGACACTGCCCTCCAGGTGGGCTTGTTGCTTACGTGTAACTTCATTTTAGATTCTATTTCAGTGTCATGTCTCCGATGATCCAAAGACAAGGTAGGGGATGGGTCAAAGCAGAGAGTGATTTGGCAAAGAAGATGCATTTTTGGTTTCTTTTCTTTCTTTCCTCAGTCCCCACATCAGTCCTACCCATGCCACACTGGGTGTCCTGAGGAAACCTGGGCCTAGGGTGAGGCCCCTCCCATTCTCAAAGCCACCTGGAAAGCAAACAGTGGGCACCACCAGTCTCAGAGGGGCTTTTCCTCCAGATGGAGACTGTTCTAATCAAGTAGAGGGATGCAGGCTGACAATAATGTTTCCCATGTCGTTCCTTGAAAAATGTGGCATGGATTTTTGCATTTTTTTTTAACCTTGAATCCTTGAAGAAAGTTACCAGCAAGTCAGTGAGCACCCATGATCCACTCACAAAATGCAAAGGGAAGCCATGTGGCAGGAAGTAAATGGCCTGTCAATCATAGAGACAGAGCTACAGTGGGATAGAAGAGGGTCCCTGATATCAGCAAATGCAAATAGGCAGAACTTCTGACTCAAAAAAAAATAAAGATCATTGCCAGTATTACAAAAAAAAAAGTTCAGTACTTGACCCCCTACAGGAGGCACACGTGAAATAAAAATACTCAAGCAGGCTGGGCGCAGTAGCTCACTCCTGTAATCCTAGCACTTTGGAAGGCTGAGGTGGGCGGATTGTCTGAGCTCAGGAGTTCGAGACCAGCCTGGGCAACGTGGCGAAACTCCGTCTCTACTAAGAATATAAAAAATTAGCTGGGTGTGGTGCGAGCATGTAATGTCAGCTACTAGGGAGGCTGAGGCATGAGAACCGCTTGAACCTGGGAGGTGGAGGTTGCAGTGAGCTGAGATCATGCCACTGCACTCTAGCCTGGGTGACAGAGCAAGACTCTGTCTCAAAAACAAAACAAAACACCGCAAGCATATTAGAAAGTAAGATCCCTCTGCTGGTGCAGACTGAAAGCAACATGTGTGTCTCTTATAAAAGTCACTGAGAGACAACGTCCACATGGGATGATGCGAAGATTAACTACATGCAATGATACTAAATTTGTGACCTCAAAAGCATGACTAGACAGAAGAATAATGATAATACCTCTATTTCTACCTAGATGATAGGAGATCAAGAACTGGTATTAAAATTATTCCTCAGAATAACACAATAAATGTAGATTTGATTGGCAGGTGGGAGATACCAAGAGGGACACTGTAGTGGGGATCCCAGATGTGTGAAAACTCCAGAGAGCAGACCCAGCACCATTCTCACTGCACCTGCCCCCAGAACATAAACTCCACTTGGAATAGGCACTGACTCTGCTGAGGGTTGGAATGAAAATGTCTTTAATTGTGCCTGACCCGCTTCATATAAATAAACTTGTTAATGGGCCAGTAGAAGGCCAGGATTTCTGTGCTGGGTTTTTCTGTTTCTTTCCCTGCCCCCCTCCCTCTGTGGTCTCCATCCTACTTTAGCCCTGCCTGAATACACACATTCTTTTCTAGGATTTATTTGTAAACTGCTAATATTATGCCACCCGCAATAAACCAATGCTGAAACAAAAGCAGCATATATAAAAAACAAATTAATAAATTGTTTGACATGCCCTAACTTCCAAACCATGAAAAATAAAGATGCAGCTAAATAACATCAATGCTGCCGGGCGCTGAGCAAGGAAAGGCATCCACGCAAGCTAAATACAAGGCCATCCTCATAAAGTGAAGTTTGAACTACCCTGAAATATCATCTCTAACTATATAGACACTGGATTTAGGAATATCCAGGTAGGATCAAGGGGTGTAAATCGTGTAGGAGAAACAATGGTTAGGCCTAAAATAAGATTGTCGCTCAGAAGCTGAAGTCACAACACACATGTTGCATCTTGTCAGAATGATCGACACCAATGAAAGGGAAATGGTCTGGGAGTACTTTAGACAATGGGGCCTACAAGTTGCAGTACGGATTTTTCAGTGTTTCAGCCAAGTGCACAGTGAAGCTGTTCTGGCCAACTTGAGGTCCACGTATGGGAGTGACGGACACATCAGTCACAATAGGACACAGCTCTCAGCTTCCAATTCATAGATGCTTCCTGAGGCCACCATCTGGGAAGATGCCTTTAATGTGTCTCATGCACCCCTCTCCTCCACCCCAGCACAACCTCCTAGGAATAACGGACTTCCCATATTGAGGGCAGAGAATGTGCAACACAGCAGAACTGTGCTTCTGGTCCTCTATTCACTCCGAATTTAAAAAATTAGGGCCAGGCATGGTGGCTCATGCCTGTAATCCCAGTAGTTTGGAAGGCCAACATAGGTGGATCACCTGAGGTCAGGAGTTCAAGACCAGCCTGACCAACATGGTGAACCCCCATCTCAACTAAAAACAAAAAATTATCCAGACGTGGTGGCGTGTGCCTGTAGTCCCAGCTACTCAGGAGGCTGAGACAGGAAAATCGCTTGAACTCAGGAGGTGGAGGTTGCAGTGAGCTGAGATCGTGCCACTGCGTTCCAGCCTGGGTGACAGAGCGAGACTCCATCGCAAAAAAAAAAAAAAAAAAAAAAAAAATATATATATATATATATATATATATATATATATATATATATATATATATATATATTTCGTGTTTGAGGTCTCTTGAGAGTTTGGTTAACTTGAGTTTATAGCTATGGGTCTATGGAAAATAACTGTGGACACTAGGCAGTAGAGACCTTGCTAAGGTGGCAATGTCTGGGAGAAAGCTCCCTGGCCAGCAGGCATCTTCCCTGACATCACAGTGAGGTCAAAGCTTCAACACTGATGCTTGTTCAAAATGGACTGGGGAGTCTGGGATCAGCCCACCAGTAACACACCAAAGGCCTTCTCTGCATGTCGTTTTCCACTGGAAAACATTTTCTCCAAAGAGAAAATTCCTTGGACGTTTTTGTCTCATCTTTTTATAAAATTTTTTCTCAATCAAACAACAGACATTTCATGAAAGTCTGAGTACTTCCTTTTTTTTTTTTTTTTCGAGACAGAGTCTTGCTCTGTTGTCCAGGCTGGAGTGCAGTGGCATGATCTTGGCTCACTGCAACCTCTGCCTCCCGGGTTCAAGCAATTCTCCTGCCTCAGCCTCCCGAGTAACTGGGATACAGGCATGTGCCACCATGCCCGGCTAATTTTTTAGTAGACACAGGGTTTCACCATGCTGACTAGGCTAGTCTCGAACTCCTGACCTCGTGATCCATTCGCCTCAGCCTCCCAAAGTGCTGGGATTACAGGCGTGAGCCAACGCGCCTGGCAGAAAGTCTCAGTACTTTCAATAACAAAAAAATGTAGTTTAATTTTGGCCACAGAATTTCTTTTTTGACCCAAAGTTACACAACATGAAAGTTCTGCCAGACATTTTGGGTTGGGCCAGCCTATCTAAAAGTTGGCATCTCACTGGGGATTTTGATCCCTGTTCTTGAGCATCTTGACCTGTGACCATGCTGTACAACTCTCGTGATACGGAAGCTGCTTCTTGTGAGAAGAGGACTCTTAGCTTAGATCTCACAGTGGTGATTTTCTAGCTGATGGGAAGATATGCAGCAGGTCAGTCTTGATATAGGTGTGGTGAGAGCAACAGGCTGGGGAAGGACTTGATATCCACAGATGAGCAAGCTGGGACAGTCACACAGCTGCAAGGAAGAGGCAGGTTCGTGGGCCCAGGATGAAAATCTTTCAGAGGGAAGGGTTAGCCTTGGTGCAGTGGTTAACAGCTCCAAAGCTATCACAGCTGACAGCTTACTTCACGACCCCCGATCTAGACTTCTGCCTCTCCTCAGCAGGAATGGGAGAATGGGAGAGATTATGCTGCACCAGCTGCCTGTCTCCTGGGGGTCAAATTTGAAGACATATATCTCCTTCAGAATTACAAACCAAAAAGGAAACATTTATTATAACAAGAAGACCCCCATTCCCTTTGATAAAGTTGTCATATATTTTATTGAAAATTATCAAAATTATAGTTTAATGCATTTCAAGGTGCTAGTAGCAATATCACAAGATTCTTGGCATGAATGAACACATGAGCGCAGTCATCTCATAGCTCTATCAAGATAAGCTGTGGTGTCAGTCATGACACAGGAGCAAAGAGCTTGCTCAAATAATGATCAGAGTTCCTGCCACTTCCCAGCTCTCTATTTGTCTACAAAGCTTCTTTTTTTCATTAAATTTTTAACATTTTGTACAAAACAGTTATTCCAGGCACTTTTCTTTCAAAATGATTTCATTACCCATTTCCTTCTTTTAAAATATGCCAAATTGGGGGCCAGGCGTGGTGGCTCATGCCTGTAATCTCAGCACTTTGGGAGGCCGAGACAGGCCAATCACTTGAGCTCAGGGGTTCGAGACCAGCCTGGGCAACATGGCGAAGCTCCATCTTCACTAAAAATACAAAAAATTAGCCTAGCATGGTGATTTGTGCCTGTTGTCCCAGCTACTCGGGAGGCTGAGGTGAGAGAATCAATCACCTGATTGATTATATATTGATTATATATATATAATATATATATACCAAATTGAGAAACTACAGCTCTCTCATTCCTTAAGGTGTAATGCTGAGTGTTTTATTAGAAAATTTGATTACGTTAGGGGAAAAATAATCCCACTAGACAAGGCTCTGACCAAACTGCATTCAAGGTGCTACCTTCAGCTCCAGATGCTGGGTCTTCAGTGGGGGCTACATCAGGTGCACCCTTGGTAGAGAGCTGCCCTCAAGCACAGGAACCTGGAGCCAGGATGTCTCAATGTGGTCAAAAAGACCAAGGCTATTAAGGCTAGAGAATAAAAGACTTCAATATTTGCTTTTCGTTATTCAAGAATGCATCACAGAGAATTAAGTGTCTTCTTCAACTTCACTCTTGGCCTCAGGGATGAGACTAAAAAGTAGAAACAGGAGAAGGGAACTAATATTTCTCATGCATCTTCAGTGCACCTGGAAATGCTCTCAGGCAGTCCTCCCATAATTGGCCCCATTTTACAGAAGAAGAAGTTGAGGCACAAGAGGATTAAGAATTCACATTCTCGGCCGGGCACGGTGGCTCACGCCTGTAATCCCGGCACTTTGGGAGGCTGAGGTGGGTGGATCGCAAGGTCAGGAGTTCAAGACCAGCCTGGCCAAGATGGTGAAACCCCACGTCTACTAAAAATACAAAAAAAAAAAAAAAAAAATTAGCTCGGTATGGTGGTGGGCGCCTGCAATCTCAGCTACTCGGGAGGCTGAGGCAGAGAATTGCTTGAACCTGGGAGGTGGAGGTTGCAGTGAGCCGAGATCACACCACTGTACTCTAGCCTTGGCGACAGAGCAAGACTCCGTCTCAAAAAAAAAAAAATTCACATTTTTTGCCTGTGAATTAGTTACACAGTCACCTAATGGCAAGATGTATCTTCGAGGAAGAGGAAATAGATACCCCCAACCCACAGGGAAGTCAGGGCAGGGTCTCACACCTGGAGGAGTCCTGGTCAGATGCTCCCTTTGGAGTTGAGTGAAGGGCAGGTAGATAGAAAGCAAAGAAGACAAACAGCCAGGAGACCAGCCGTGCACAGGCCATGTGCAGGCTAGAGCTGACAGAGACCTGGGCCAGGCCAGAGGCAATCAGACGGCAGAGAAACGGGGCTCCAGAGGGGCCCAGGAGGCGAGTCTGTACAGCGGCTGCCTCATGGGTCAGAGTGTGAGATGGTGCCCAGGTCACATGTCTGCTGTGCAACAGACAAACACAGCTGTAGAGGGCTGCAGCAGAGAACAGTTTCGTCATCACTAGTGCTCAGTGAGGAAAGGGGGGTAGTTCTCAAGCCTCTCATTTCATTGAGGGGTTCTGGGCAAAGGTTTTTAAGGGGATTTGTGGAGGTGAGGGGCTGGGAAATTTGGATGGTCAGTTGGTCTGGGTGAGGGGATGAAATCATCAGGATGTGGAAACTGCATTCCTTCCTGAGCCAGCTTCCTCCTGGGCCCTCCACACCAGCTGGTGTCTGTCGCTGAGCAGAACCTGAAGAAGCAGCTCGAACAGAAAGCTGATGGCCTCACAGCGCCTCAGACTTTATCCACAGAACGGCAACCCAGAAGCGGGCCAAAGGGCAAGCCGACCTAAAGATGGCTGTTTCAAGCCTAGTTGGATTTTATTTTCTTTTTTCTTAATTGATTTTACAAAATTGCGGAGGGGTGGGGGGGGCGTGGGGGGAGTGCGGGAGGCAGTTTCAATATGAGGAATACAGAAGAGAAAAAGAGATCTCCTGATCATCAGGAAGTTCATGTAAGATAGCCCATCCCAGACTACTGATCAGAAATCAAACAGGAGCTAGCCACAAACAGAGATCATTGGAACCGAAGAAAATAGATTTTTAATCAAAATTTCTATTTTTCAATTGTCTGGCTTTGTTGAGAGGAAATGTCCTCAGCACTGGGGCCCTTTCTCTAAGTCATCTAGCTGTGTGGGCATCTGCTTACTGTTAGTGACAGCACTAAAACGATTAGTAATAATTTATTGGTCATAATCATCGACAGTTTACAGCAGAAGGCAGCAAACTACAGTCCACCACCTCTTTTATGCCACCTATAAGCTAGAAATAGTTTTTTTTACATTTTTTAATGCCTGGGGGGGCAGGACAGTGGGGAGAAGAAGAATATTTAGTGACATGTGAAAAGTATGTGAAGTTCAAGTTTTAGTGACTGTAATAAATGTCCAAAATAAAGTTTTATTGGAACACAGCCATGCTCGTTCATTCAGGACTGGTCTAGGGCTGTTTTCCCACTGTAATAACAAGGTTGAGTAGTTGTGATAGAGGTTTGCAAAGCTTAAAATATTTACTATCTGGCCTTTCATGGAAAAAATTTGCTGACCTGTGATTGAGAGAATAAAGTATGTGTGTGTGTTTAATTCATTCCTTGCTTACTATTTGAAATGGCTGACTACAAAAACATGCTTAAATTTATCAAAGACATTTAGAAAAGAGAGAGAGAAATCAGAACCACACAAAGTGGCTTTTCCAGAGAAGGTATTTGTGAAATAAATGACAACATGAGCAAATTCCCAAAACTGATTAGAATTTCATACCCTTCAAAGAAAAGAGAATTTTAGATATGCTTTGAGATTTAGAAAACAGGCTCATATTTATAATATGTTTAACACAGAAAAACTGGACAGAAGAATCAAAATGGTAACTAAAATGGAAAGGTTTCCATTCATATCATATTAATGGAGTTGTGATTGTCCACTTAGCTGATAGCTAAACAACGTTTGCGTGGGGCGAGGTGAGGTTCACATGACAACCTCTTGTAGCAAATGTGAAAATTACAATGGGCATCCTCATAATCTGGAAACCTAACAGTCTCCATGGCTGGTAAGCCCTTTGTGCCTGATATACCCTGGGCACTCTTCTAAGCACCTGGCAGGCATTATCTCAGGAGGATTCAATTTTGAATTAGTGACTCATTTTTAGATCACGCTACTAATTTATTTCTTGGATTTTTTTTTTTTTTTTTGAGACAGAGTCTCTCTCTGTCACCCAGGTAGGAGTGCAGTGGCGCGATCTCAGCTCACTGCAAGCTCCACCTCCCGGGTTCACTCCATTCTCCTGTCTCAGCCTCCCCAGCTGGGACTACAGGTGCATGCCGCCATGCCCGGCTAATTTTTTTGTATTTTTAGTAGAGACGGGGTTTCACCGTGTTAGTCAGGATGGTCTCGATCTCCTGACCTTGTGATCCGCCCACCTCAGCCTCCCAAAGTGCTGGGATTACAGGCATGAGCCACCGTGACTAGCCTATTTCTTGGATTGTTTTAAAGGGTTTGGGTTTGTTTGTTTGTTTTTTAGACAGAGTCTCCCTCTTTTTTGCCCAGGCTGGAGTGCAATGGCGTGATACTGGCGCAGTGCAACCTCAGCCTCCCGGGTTCAAGCGATTCTGCTGCCTCAGCCTCCCTAGTAGCTGGGACTACAGGTGCCTGCCACCACGCCTGGATATTTTTTGTATTTTTAGTAGAGATGGGGTTTCACAATGTTGGCCAGGCTGTTCTCAAACTCCTGACCTCAAGTGATCTGCCTGCCTCAGCCTCCCACAGTGCTGGGATTACAGGCGTGAGCCACCATGTCCAGCCAAGGGTTTGAGTTTTTTAAAAAAAATTTAAACAGAGGAATCGATATGGAATGGTAACAATGTAAAATACATAGAGCCTGTCAAAGTCAAAATATAAATGTAGACCCAAATATCTAAATTTAATGTTTCATTTGGGAAGAGAGAATCACAATTCGGGGCATACACACAGAACAGGTGGTCTCTGGTACGCTCCGCAATGTTACGTATTGTTCTTTGAGAAAGTTCATTGACACTGGGAAGCTCCTGGAGAGCTGGCAAGCTCTGATTGTTGAGCAATGGCAATGGGAAAAATTAGTCCTAGAGTTGCAGCAAGTTATCTCAGAAGCTAGAGATAAAACTGGTTTCAGATTTCAACAAGCAGTTCCAGCAGCGAGACTCGCAAAGGATGACACCCTGGGAGCAATGTTTTGGTCCCTGAGCGCTTTTCCCACAGCCCTGTCCCACACCCCCCTGCCCTCCAACCACTGGCTTCTCGCTTCTTATCTCTGCTTTAGTTTGGTAGGACAAGAATGACCCAGTTGGGATGATCAACCCTCACAGGCCTAAGGACAATGTTGACATAACAGCCAGAGCATTCCTCCTGGTCTATGGGAGGCCCTGAACACCATTTTGATGGGGATAGATTGGTTTTAAATGCAGGCAAGGAGGCAATAAAAACACTCTGGATTTTCACGATGGGCTTCTGAAGTCTCGATGCTGCTCCCTGACTCGGCACCCCACAGCAGGTGAGGGCTGCTGGCAGGCAGGCAAAGCGGTTTAGGATTCCTGGTTTCTCCAGTGACTTACCTTTAATGCTTTTTACTAAAGTATAAGCTTGATGCTTCTCAAGGAGCCTGTGACCCCAGTCCTCTCCCTGCACAGTCATCTTTTCTTACCCGGATTTTCTGTCACTACGCAGTGCGTCCCCTCCTTCGTGCAGACTCCCACAGTGGGAGGGGACCTGCTGCTGGCAGAGAAAGACAGCTTGAAGCACGTTGCATATAGTTTGAGTGACATGGGATATAGAGGGGAAATTCCCAGTCCCCATCCAGAAACAAGACTGTTGAATGCTTCGTCCCTTCCCCTTGAGCCATGAGAACAGGCACCTGGACGGGAGGACACTTACTCTGGAGGACTGAAGAATGTGTCTGGAAAAGTCCTTTCAACTCAGGGTTCTTGTCTGACCACGACACACAGCAATTTGGACAAGCCCTTGTGGCTTATTTGGGTTCTGTATTCTAGGGAGCTCTTATCTGAATTGTTGTGTACCAACTGAGAGAGGGAGGAAGCAATTCAAAATCTCTCAGTTTAGAAATAGGAAAGCTGGGTCCTTGGCTGTGCCTGCCACCAACAGGGCCCTTCTCCAGGCCCTGATGGGAAAACATGAGGTGGGGGTGAAATTGCTATTGTCTCAGGCCCTTCAAGGCAGACATTAAAACTGCCTATGATGGCTGGGCGCGGAGGCTCACGCCTGTAATCCCAGCATTTTGGGAGGCCGAGGTGGGCAGATCACTTGATGCCGGGAGTTCGGGATCAGCCTGGTCAACATGGTAAAACCCGGTTTCTACTAAAAATACAAGAAATTAGCCCAGGTGCGGTGGTGCACACCTGTAATCCCAGCTACTCAGGAGGCTGAGGCATGAGAATCACTTGAACCTGGGAGGTGGAGGTTACAGTGAGCTGAGATCGTGTCATTGCACTCCAGCCTGGGCAACAGAGCATGATTCTGTCTCAAAAACAAACAAACAAACAAGCGAAACCTGCCTATGATGAGAATTGACCCCAGCAGAGCATTAACAGGTTTTGCTAGTGCATTCAGCTGGTTAGGACTTCAAGTGACCATTCACCTTTGTTTTGAGAATGTATTTCTAAGGCACAGGGCAGAATTATTTTAGAAATGTTATTTAACATTTCTAAATTAACAAAGCCTATTATGTGCATAACCTGATTAGGAGGAAGGAAGCAGAAAGTTTAACTCTATGAGATGAGTCAGACATGTGCGATTGAAAAAGACTTGTTCCTACCTCTCTTCTGAGAATGTTCGTGAACATCACAACAGGACACTTTAACAGAGGAGCTGATAGACATGGTCACAGGCATTAACCTTGGGACACCAGGCCACAGTGTGTGCACTAAATGGCACTGATGGACACTTCAGAGGCCTGATAGCCCATCTCCCAAAGAACCTACCTTATTATAGCTCAGAAACAGCAGAATGAGGTACTGTTTCCCAAGCTTAGCAGAAGATAAGAATGGCCTGGGATGCTTGCTAAAGATACAGATTTGGGGTCCAAACCAGGGAATTCTTACTTGTGTAACCACTCTGGATTGAAGTGAAACTTTCAAGAAATGGGGAGAGAAAAAAAAAAAGAAAAAAGAAAAAACTAAGTGAAAATTTAAGTGTGAAAGAGGAAGAGAAGGGATTTGGAGCCTATGTGCTCCCTCATCTCCTTCTGCCTCTCACAGCTCCCAGGGGTCTCCCTGCCTGGTTACAGAAAGAAGGACATGGACAGAGCTGGATAAAAGCAAATGTGTTTTCTGTTTCTTTGCTATGAGAGATCCCGACCTTAGATTTCAGAGTCCATCAGTCGACAGCAGACAAGGACTACTTTTGTCTCTGGGCGCATGTCAGTGATTACTAAATTGAGTGCATTGGCAATTCACTAGGCCATGGTAAAACTCTTCAAAGAGAAAAGCTTTCGTGGTTTTTAGTCACTGTGAGATGGTCATCTATGTGGCAGGCTCTTCACAAACCACAAAGTGCCACCCTCTTCTTTTCCTTGTTTTAAAAGATGGAGTAACCAGAACGTGGGAAAAGACATGAGCTGACATTTCACTGAAAATCTACAGACGGCAGACAGGCACAGGAAAAGACTCTCAGCACCATTAGCCATTAGGGAAATGTAAAGTAAGCAAAATGAGATATCACTACACTCCTAACAGGATGACTGAAATACAAAACAGTGGCAGCACCAAATGCCAGTGAAAATGCTGGGAAAACAGATCACTCACACACTGCTGCTGGGAAGGCAAAGTGGGACAGCCACTCAGGATAGTTTCGGCCAAGTTTTTTGACAGTTTCTCACAAAACTGAGCATGCAACTAATCTACAAACAAGCAAGTAAACTCTGGGGTATTTATCCTAGAAATATGAAGATTTATGTTCATACAAAAACCTATATGTGGCCGAATTCAGTGGTTCACACCTGTAATCCCAGCAGTTTGGGAGGCCGAGGTGGGTAGATCACTTGGGATCAGGAGTTCAAGACCAGCCTGCCCAACATGATGAAACCCTGGTCTCTAATAAAAACACAAAAATTAGCTGGGTGTGGTGGTGGGCGCCTGTAATCCTACCTATTTGGGGGGTCTAAGGCAGGAGAATCGCTTGAACCTGGGAGGCGGAGGTTGCAGTGAGCCAAGATCGTGCCACTGCACTCTGGCCAGGCTGACAGAGCGAAACTCTGTCTCAAAAAAAAAAAAAACAGCCTATATGTGAATGCTCAGAGCAGCTTTATTTGTAACAACCGAAAACTAGAAGCAAACCAGAGGTTTTTCATTGGATGAATGGTTAAACAAGCTCTGGTACATCCATATCATGGACTACTTCTCAGCAATCAACAAACTATTCATGCAACAACTTGTATGAATCACAAGGCAGTTACACTGAGTGTAAAAAAAAAAAAGCCACAGGTAACGTACTATATGATTGTTTATATATCATTCTCAAAATTACAAAATTAAGAAAGAAAAAATGAAATTACAAAATTATAGAAATGGGGAATAATCTAGTGAAGATTAGTGATTGCCCAGGGTTAGGGTTGGGATGGGAAAGCCAGGGGCCAAAAATGATTAATATGAGGGATCCCTGGAGTGCTGGGAATGTTCTGTATCTTGACTATGCCAGCATCAACATCCTACCGTGATACTTGTTTTACAAGATGTTACCATTGGGAGAAACTCAGTGAAGGATACTCAGGATCTCTCTGTATTATTTCTTAAAACTGCAAGTGAGTACACAATTTTCTCTAAATAAAAGGTTAATTTTCGAAAAATGTGGTGCGATTATAAGTGTGTTTCACTTCATTCTTATTGTTTTATATATCCCAGCACAACACACATTTATATTTGCTTGACTCCATAAGTATTTGAATTTCTGAACTCTTCTAAATGACAATTAAAACAGCCAAATGATTAATTAAACCACTGAAAAGATGTTAGCTTCTTGTTGTTTGTCAAAAGGATTTATCTCTTTTATCTGTTTCACATGACTGAATCATTCCTCCATATACATATCGCTGAGAAGCACCGTATAAATTTTTTTAGAAGTTATATATAAATAACATTTGTTGGCCGGGCGTGGTGGCTCACGCCTGTAATCCCAGCACTTTGGGAGGCCAAGGTGGGCAGATCACCTGAGGTTGGGAGTTCAAGACCAGCCTGACCAACGTGGATAAACCCCGTCTATACTAAAAATACAAAATTAGCTGGGTGTGGTGGCGCATGCCTGTAATCCCAGCTACTCAGGAGTCTGAGGCAGGAGAATTGCTTGAATCCGGGAGATGGAGGTTGTGGTGAGCCGAGATTGTGCCATTGCACTCCAGCTTGGGAAACAAGAGCGAAACTCCGTCTCAAAAAATAAATAAATAAATAAATAACATTTGTTATTCAAAATTGGGATTCCGAAATGAGTTTCACTGAACATTTTATTACAGAATGATTAAATAGAAGAAGCAGATGGTACCATGGCCTTGAGACCCAAAGGATGGGGAAGAGACTGTTGCTTAGATGAAGGAATGACAGTAAATTAGATATTTCAAGTAGACAAAATTGCTTACAATGATGGGGCCTACCATTTGCAAGCAAGTACAACTAGAATCAAGCACTGAACAGTCTGTAGGATCACATATAAAGACTATAAAGAATAAAAGCTAAGTCTGCAAGCATAAAATGCTATCTTTCATTTTCATCTTTCCTACGAAACATAAAAGACCCAAATCAAAAATTAAACCCACAGCCAGTGAATTGAGCGAGTCATCTCTGCAGCTGAATAGGCCTTAGGTGATCTTGGTGAGCAACAAATGAATAATGAAACACTTGAAATGCTAAGACATTTGTATAATTATGGAACCTGCTGAGGAAGGAGCGGCTGTAATGAAAGCCACAGGGAAATGCAACGCAGAGCATTCTGGGTAATCCCCTAATCACACTTTTTAACGAGAGAGAAGTCCTTTCAGGCATGTACCTTTCATTCCTCTAGAAACTAAGTGCTGAATTTCCCACTAGAAAATTATTTAAATCAATGAATCAATGAATATTCTTTGGAATTTGTCTTTATGTAGAAAGACAAACGAAGGATAAATAGTCCAGAAAAATAATTAAGTCCCATCGTTTTTCATAAGGCTCTTTTTCCTCGTTCTGAACTCAAAGCACTTTGATCTAGATACACTATCGTACTCTCCAGTATAGACTCAACTTCCACCCAGTGCTCGGTGGGACGAGAGCCAATGGCCTTGGACACCCCGGCTGCTGGGGTTTGGTCTCCTCCAGCCCCCATCTGCCCTCTCATTGTCAGAGGCATTTGAACCAGAACAACTCCATCTTGAATAGGGGCTAGATAAAATAAGGCTGAGATCCACTGGGCTGCATTCCCAGGAGGTTAGGCATTCTAAGTTACAGGAGAGACAGGAGGTCAGCACAAGATACAGATCACAAAGACCTTGCTGATGAAAGGCTGTGGTAAAGAAGCTGGCCAAATCCTACCAAAACCAAGGTGGTGATGAAAGTGACCTCTGGTTGTCCTCACTGCTCATTATGTGCTAATAATAATACATAAGCATGCTAAAAGACACTCCCACCAGCACCACAACAGTTTACAAATGCCATGGCAACATCTGGAAGTTACCCTATATGGTCTAAAAAAGGGAGAAACTCCCAGTTCCAGGAATTGCTCACCCCTTTTTCCCGAAAACCCAAGAATAAGTCACCCCTTGTTTAGCATACAATCAAGAAATAACTATAAAAATAGCCAAGCAGTAGCCTTTGGGGCTGCTCTGCCTATGGAGTCATTGTTCTTTCATTCCTTTACTTTCTTAATACACTGGCTTTCACTTTATGGACTCACCCCAAATTCTTTCTTGCATGAGATCCAAGAACCCTCTCTTGGGGTCTGGATCAGGACCCTTTCCCAGGCACATCATCACCATTCAGGAGGGTTAGTCCACTCACATTTCCAATCCCTGCTCCAACTGACTGCCAGCCAGAAAGGAGCTCCCAGTGTCTCACACGTCATTCTTGACATCTTACCTCCTTCACGAAAACCATTTTAACAGACAGGAAACGAGACCATAGAACTTATTGCCTTCTTCTCTGCAACTCACCCCAACACCTCTCGTATCTTTATCTTTGTCCCTGCTGCAAAGAATACAAATATATATATTGGTTGAGATGGCATGTGCCTCTAGTCCCAGCTACTTGGTGGGCTGAGGTGGGAGGATCTCTTGAGCCCAAGAGTTTGCGGCTGCAGTGAGCTATGATCGTGCCACTGCTCTCCAGACTGGGTGATAGAGCAAGACCCCATCTCTAAAAAATAAATAAACTAAAAGTTTTAAAAAAATCAGTGGCGTAAAACAACATCCATTTTATTATGCTGAAAAAAGAAAAGAAGAAAACAAACTTTTTATCCGAGGAATATGAGCCCCTTTAAATTATCAGGCCCAGAGAAGTGTTGGAATGAAACAGCAGTCTTATGTCTCCCCCTTGAGCTAAATAGTTATATTTTGAAGCCCCTTGCTTTGTGGACTCTAGGCTAACTGACAACAAGTAGCCATAAAATGCCATACATCTGGCCAGGAGAGGTGGCTCACGCCTGTAATCCCAGCACTTTGGGAGGCCAAAATGGGCGGATCACGAGGTTAGGAGATGGAAACCATCCTGGCCAACATAGTGAAACCCCCGTCTCTACTAAAATACAAAAAATTAGCTGGGTGTGGTAGTGTGTGCCTGTAGTCCCAGCTACTCGGGAGGCTGAGCAAGGGGAATTGCTTGAACCTGGGAGGCAGAGATTGCAGTGAGCTGAGATCACGACACTGCAGTCCAGCCTGGTGACAGAGCGAGACTCCATCACAAAAAACAAAAAACAAAAAACGAAGCCATACATCCTATGGTTGGTTCAACAATGTGTAGCTAATTACTAACCAATGTTATTTCTGAAAGCCAATGAGAATTCCTGACAAACAACTTTTGTAATATCCCCTCTCCTGATTCATCCTTTTTTCTTTGAAAACCAGAGCCTCCCCCTTGTTCCCCAGAACACTCTCCAAGGCAACCTGGGAAGTTTGTCCTGGGCACAGCCCTCAACCATGGCGCAAATAAACTGTTGGTTTTAATTTTGCCTCAGTTTCTTCCTTTTACATCAACAATGCTATCTGGATTCTCAGGTCAGGACTTTGAACAGGCCCCGAGAGGACAGCTTGTCTGCCCTACAAGGTCTGGGATCACAGGTAAAAGGACTCCAATGGCAGGGGCTGGAATCACCAGAGGCTTCTTTATTCACTTGAAGAAGTGAGTGAAGCTTTGACTTGAAGGCTGAACTCATCTAGGACTTGCCAGGTTTACATCATGTGCTTTTTGTCCCATCACATTTCTACATGGCTGTCAATCATCCTAGGAAATGAGTCCTCCATAAAAACCCAAAAGGACAGAGTTTGGAGAACTTACCTCCAGAGAGCTGAACGCGTGGAGGCTGACAGGAAGGTGAGCAAGAACCCATCCACATGCTGGATGGAGCTAGGACTGGAGCTCTGACGTGTGGCTTCTCTGTGAAGCTTGGACTTCCTGCCAGCATGGCTACCTCAGGTGGATGTGGATTCTTCTTACACAGGGACCCACGGCTGTGAGAGTGAGTGTCTGATAATGAAGGCAGAAGCTGCGTGGTCTTCTATGGTCCAGAATCAGAAATCCCATAGTGTTTGGGAAAAAACAAACTAATTTTTTTCTTCTCTCACACCAACACACCACCAATCAACACAGCAGACTTCTGTGACCAAATGAAGGGTTTTTTTCCCTACACACCAAGAAGCAGACACCAGCTGGGCATCCTCTAATTCAATTCCAAGATTATCTACCTGGAGATAGCATCAGATCCCACAGGTTGAGGGCTCAATCCCACAAGCCCCCTCTCCTCCTTCCCATCAATTTCAAGTCCAGGCCTCTGGAACTTCAGACTGACTGGCTTCAGGGTGGGGTTCCCATAATTCCCTCTTTGGGTTTCACTAATTTGCTGGAGCAGCTCACGGAACTTAGGGAAACACTTACTTGTATTTACCTGTTTATTATGAAGATATTTTGGTTTTTTTTTTGAGATGGAGTTTCGCTCTTGTTGCCCAGGCTGGAGTGCAATGGCGTGATCTCGGCTCACCACAACCTCCGCCTCCCGGGTTCAAGTGATTCTCCTGCCTCAGCCTCCCGAGTAGCTGGGATTACAGGCATGTGCCACCACCCTCGGCTAATTTTGTATTTTTAGTAGAGACGTGGTTTCTTCATGTTGGTCAGGCTGGTTTCAAACTCCTGACCTCAGGTGATCCGCCCACCTTGGCCTCCCAAAGTGCTGGGATTACAGGCGTGAGCCACTGCGCCTGGCCTTATTATGAAGATATGTTAAAGGATACAAATGAACACCCAGATGAAGGGATACACAGGGCAGGTCTAGAAGGGTCCCCAGGGCAGGAGCTTCCATCCCTGTGGAGTTGGGGTGTGCCACCCTTCCGGCATGTGGATGGGTTCTTGCTCACCTTCCTGTCAGCCTCCACGTGTTCAGTTCTCTGGAGGTAAGTTTTCCAAACTCTGTCCTTTTGGGTTTTTATGGAGGACTCATTTCCTAGGATGATTGACAACCATGTAAAAATGTGATTGGACAAAAAGCACATGATCTAAACCTGGCAAGTCCTGCCTGTCTGTTCAGACTTCTCTCGGCCTCTCTATGTAGCCTTCCTTCCTCTAGGGTTGGAAGCTGGGGCCTCTCTGGACTGGGAGTCTTTCGACCCACAATCAGATTAAGTCCTGCCTTTGGCAGATGAAAGATGGGCAGGAGAAGGGCAGAGAGAGGTTCTGTTTCCTGAGGCCTGCCTCTGAGGCCCAAAGTGTCCCAACACTATAACAAAAGACTGTAACAAGGGTTATGGGAGTTATTAATACAAGCCAGAAACTGTGGACACACACACACATATATACACATGTATGTGTGCATGTATGTATATATATATGTGTATATATATTGGTTTAGGACTCATATGTATACATATGTGTGTGTGTGTATATATATATATAATATATGAAATCATAATATCACAAATAGGGTCACCTCTGCCATATTCTGTTGGTCAGAGCAGCCTGCCCAAATAAAAAGGATGGGAACACCCCCTACCACTCCCCACCTGATGGGAGGGGCTGCAAAGAATTTGTGGCCATTTTTAAAAACTGCCGAGTGTCTCATACATGTTCTTCATTTGACCTCCTGAGCATCTCTGGGACTGCTTCTTTTCTTCTCTCCCACCTGTTCCAAACCATCCTCTCCCACCTGGACCAACTTGATATCCTCCTCACTGCTCACCCTGCACATGACCTTATGCACTGCTCAGCCACCATCTATTCTCCGCCCTATAAGCAGGGTGGTTGGACAAACCCAAATCTGCTTATTACCAGCCTCCAACCTTCGGAGATTAAGATACAGAGTCCTGGGCCGGCCGCGGTGGCTCATGCCTGTAATCCCAGCACTTTGGGAGGCTGAGGTGGGCGGATTGCCTGAGGTCAGGAGTTCGAGACCAGTCTGGCCAACATGGTGAAACCCCATCTCTACTACAAATACAATAAAAGTAGCCAGACGTGGGGGCGTGCATCTGTAATCCCAGCTACTTGGGAGGCTGAGGCAGAGGAATCGCTTGAACCAGGGAGGTGGAGGTTGCAGTGAGCTGAGATTGCACCACTGCACTCCAGCCTGAGTGACAGAGTGAGACTCCATCTAAAAAAAAAAAAAAAAAAAAAAAAAAAAAAAAAAAAAAGATACAGAGTCCTTGCTTGGTCTAGAAGGCCCTGTGTGGTTTAGTCCCTGGTGATATATCTAGTTTCCTGACCCTGGGCTTCATTATCTTCCTGAGTGCTGGGTGCCCTCTAGTGCCTCAGGGCCTTTGCACATTCTGGTCCCTCTGCCTCAAATGCTCTTTTTTGCAGATCCCACTAACCTTCACCCAGAAACCTCCTACTCATACCACTTGCACATGGGAGGCTTCTCTATGCCCCAGAGTAAGTAGGAGCCCCCCCGTAATGTGACCTTACAGATCGCACCATCAAGAGGTAGAGTCTACGCATGGGAGTCGGCGGTGTGATTTGCTTTGCCCAATGGGTCATTCACAAACATGAATACAAGAGGAAATCTGAAAAGTGCTTGTCCATCAGGGCCTACTCTCTTGCTATGACTGGAAGCCCAAGACCACCAAATCCTAATCAGCTTTCTGAACGCTGGAAGGTCATGTGCAGAAGAGCTAAGGCTCCCTGGCAGAAGACCTGCTGACTGGCAGACACATGTGTAAGGCCATCCTCCAACAGCCAGCGCCAGCCCACTCCTTAACTGACCAGGGACAGAGGAGAGAGCTGAGCAGAGACCACGCAAGCTGACCCAGCCTGGAAGGCCCTTCCAGCCCAGATGACACACAGAATCATGTACAACAATAAAACGGTGGTGGATTTAAGCCACTGAATGTGAGGGGAAACTGACGGATATCCATGGAAATTTGTTTACTATCAATAACCTCATCAGACTACGAGCTTCATAAAGGCAGGCACCAGGTGTATCTGCTCGCCGCTTGATCACATATGTTTAAAACAGCACCCAACATGAAGTAGATTCTCCGTAATTATTTATTGTTTAGTGAATTAAATGAATAAGTCAATAGTCTCCACTGGAGAGACAAAATTGACTGTCAAGGTTTTGCAGCTCTTTTTTTTGTTTGTTTGTTTGTTTTGTTTTGTTTTGTTTTGTTTTGTTTTTGGGACGGAGTTTCGCTCTTGTTGCCCAGGCTGGAGTGCAATGGCACAATCTTGGTTCACCACAACCTCTGCCTCCTGGATTCAAGCGATTCTCCCGCCTCAGCCTCCTGAGTAGTTGGGATTACAGGCATGTGCCACCATGCCTGGCTAATTTTGTATTTTTAGTAGAGATGGGGTTTCTCCATGTTGGTCAGGCTGGTCTCAAACTCCTAACCTCGTGATCCGCCCGCCTTGGCCTACCAAAGTGCTGGGATTATAGGCGTGAACCAACGTGCCCAGCTGGTTTTGCAGCTCTTAAAAACAGTGACTCTACAATGTTTTTCTCACATTTGCTGGGGTCACTTTCTAAGGTGTATAGACTAGTCCTTTACAAACCAACCCTCTCCTCTCCCTGACAACTTGGATATTGCTTCCTCCTCTGCCTGTCGAGGTGTTTTGTCTGTACCTTAGTTTGAGTTTCCCTGCTAAGCACCAAGTTCAGAGCCAGGCTGTGGGACACACGGTAACTAACCCAATATGTCCCCTTCCTGCAGAGAATACACAAGTCCCAAGAAGGTCCATGGGGCCTCAGGGAAGGAAAATATGGTAGGAGGGCTCAGGTCTAATTGAAAGTTGCTCACCTCCAGCCCCAAGGTTTTTTTTGACCCGGATAAAGTAAAACAAAGAAAGCACACTGAAATTAGAGGGAGGCAATGGCATTTTGCACACCTTAGTAACAGCATGTGGTGGCCTGTGGGCATCCTGTATGACTGCAGAGGACCAGGGAGCTTTCTGGGGCAATGAAAACATTCTGAATTTCCTCTCTGGTGGTGCATATTCGTCAAAACTTAGCAACTGCACACTTAAAATAGGTGCAACTTGTACATAAATCATTCTCCAAAACAGTGATTTTGGAAAGGCCTCATGTGGTCCTTTTCTCTTTCCTGGTTCCTTCTCTGCTCACCTGCCAACAGTGCTCCATGGTCCCCCAGGTTGGAGCACGTGGAGGGATGAAGCAAAGGGAAAAAAGAAATGTCATTCACATGGATCCAGAAGTAAGCTGGCTCATACTGGTGCCTAGAAACACCTCCCCACACACCTTCCCACCAAGGAGCAGTTTGCCAGCCCATCTGTTTTGCCCTCTGTGTTTCCCTGGGCAGGAGTTATCCCCCAGCCATTGCATCCCCCAAACTCCAGAGGTTCAGTTGAGCTGAACTTCACCGAGCCTGAGGCAAGAAGACAAGCTCCCCCTACCCAAGCCCTTGACAAGGCAGGAGGAGGGGCTCACAGCACACGGCTGCCTACAGAAGTCTTCCTCTCAAAGCTCCTTAACCTTCCTCCTTCTCGCCATGTGTAACTGCTCACTGCTTCATCACAGATGTTTAAATCAGCACCGTCTGTATTTTGGTCTGGCAGCTCACTTGGGAATGCAGCATCCTTGGAAATGTGGTGTCGGGTGGATGCACCAATGTCCATCTCCTGCTACAAATGGCAACTGAACTTGTGGCCATCTGGGCTTTTTAGTCTGTTGTTGTTGGTTTTACCTCTGTTTTATACTACCCAGCATCCACCAACAATCACAGGCTAATTTTTCCTACATGATGGCTACTTCCCCAACTCCAGGTGGTTGTAGTAAAGAGGACTCCAGCGACATACGGCCTAGTTCAAGGGGTGGACAGGTCAGCCTTGCAGATATTCAAGGGAGAGCCACCTGGGCAGAGGGAAAGTTATGGACTAAACTGTGTCCTCACAAAATTTGTATGTTGAAGCTCTAACCCCTAGTGTGACTGCATTTGGAGGCAGAACCTATAAGGAGGTAATAAAGGTTAAGTGAGGTCATAGGGTGGGCTCTGATCCAATAGAACTGTGTCCTTATAGGAACAGGAAGAAGCGCTAGGGATATCTCCCCTCCCCCGCTCCCTCTGTCTCCCTCTCTCCCTCCCCTCTCCCCTCTCCCATGAGAGGACACAGCCAGAAGGAGACCGTCTGCAAGCCAAGGAGAGAAGCCTCACCAGCCATGGAATCTATAGGCACCTTGATGTTGGACTTCCAGCCTCCAGAGCTGTGAGAAATGCGTTTCTGTTGTTTAAGTTGCCCCGTCTGGATTCTGTTACGGCACCCTGAGCTAAGACAGGGACTAACTGGTGCAAAGGCCCTGGGGGGGACCTGGAGGCAGGTTTGAAGGGTGGGGGGAGGGGAGGCCATGATCACCGGGTGGAGGGTGGGAGTAGGTGGACATGGGTTAGAAAGGTCGTGGGCCAGGCGGCCTCCTAGGCAGCTTCCTGATGTTGGCCTTTTCATAGATGGAAGCCAACCGTCGGGAGCACACACACCACATTACAAGGATCCCAGCCAGGCCCAGGAGGGGAAGCAAGGACACCCTAGAGGCAGAGAGAACTGGCAGGTAGCACCGTGGGGGATGAGAGCGGGTTGGAATCTAGATCCTTCTTGAGAAAGGAGGACGCTGGAGGGTGGGATGTGAAAACTGGGGGAGAGAAGACTCAGAGGTCACTGGAGGTCTGAACAAGTGCAAGGATAGAGGTGCCCCGAGCTGACACGGGTGGCCTGGGCAGGGGCCGGTGTGTTGGGGGAGATCCTGGGGTCTGGAGGCCAGGGGTCGGGCCATGAGGCCGTACCGGCAAAGGCGGTGCGGGCCCTGAAACCAGGCGAAGACAGAGCTGGCGGGAGGCAGCGGCCCCAAAGTCAGGACCGAGGAGGGCCGGGCTGACTGCCAAGGAAGGCCGGGCTGGCTGCCAAGGTCAACCAGGTGGAGGCCTTCGGGGTTCGGCAAGAGCAGTTCTGTGAGCTGGCGGAGCCTGGCGTCTGCCTGCGTGACGTGGAGGAACCGCAGGCGGCGACCGCGGACAGAATGTACAGGTTTCTGGGCGAGGAATGGAGAATGAGGCGGAGCTGGGCTGCAGGAGACGGAGGCAGAGAGAGACGGCCTGGCGGGAGATGCAGGGGCCCGCGGCAGGGCCCTGGAAGCTCCAGGCGGGAGGAGGGACGTGGTGGCGGGCGGGAGGGCAAGGGCTGGGGCCCGGGCTCATTCCGCAGAGCCTGCGGGTACAGCAGGCTGAGGGGTCAGACTGAGCACAGGGAGCTGAATAGCGAGCCCCGCCCGGCAGGGGAAATGAAGGGAGGGTGGTGTGAGAGCTTCTGCCAGGGGCAGAAGGACACCGAGGGACCGCAAGCAGAGCCGAGGGAGTGCGCGCTAGCCCCGGAAGAGGGTGCGCTGGGCTGGCTGCTGAGCTACCCTCAGGAGCTGCAGGGGCTCGAGGGGCTGGAAATGCTGCGGCAGAAACTGGAAGGGCCCTGCCTAGGTTGGCTTAGGAGTAGAGGGGTGCACCCTGGTCAACCCTGCACCTCCGGGGCGCCACGCGCTCGCTGGCGGGAGGGCGGAGGGAGGCGGGAAGGAGACGCTAAGGCGCTGCGATCCCGGACGCGCAGCCCTCTAGGCGTGGAGGCTGCTGGAGCCGCCAGGCAGCTTCTCGGCGACTCCACGCGTCAGTGCAGAGATGCTGCAGGGACGCAGCGCTCACAAAAGCAGCTCCGCTCACAAAAATACGGCCACACCGAGCAGACGTCTGCTTTGACACCACTCGACCCTGCCAAAAAGAGCAATTAATGGGATCAGAAGGGCGGGAGGTGGGAGGGAAGGCGGGGAGTGGGCAATGAGCAGAGCCTGGCTTTCTATCCCAGGACAGCGTGGTGTTCTCAAGGGAATTTAGACAAACATTTCATCCTAACCTCAACAACAGGTCCTCCTGAGTCCTCATACAACCTATCCTTAGGCGGTAACAGGCTGCAGCTGTTGAAGTCTAATTTCACTCTATTGATTGGTACTTTCAATGGAATGCTTTCTGATTAATTCTGTGCCTTTAGTTTTACCCTGGACATGTTTCAAGACAATGTATTAATAAGACTCTGGTGTTACGTATTCAATCAATTTATAGATGAAACCCAGAAAACTCAAATATGGTTAGAGGACTGGATTAAATGATATTTACTTTGGCAATAGAGAAATAAAAGTATACTGAACTGATGGAAATATTCTAAAACTATATTGCAGTGATGGTTACACAACTCTACAGATTTACTGACAATGGGTGAAATATGTAGCATGTTAAAAATACCAGCTGTTAAAAATGAAGAAAAAGTCTATCAGTAAAAAAATAAATACGTGTCTAACTGGAAGAAGATAAGATACAGAGGCAGGGGGGAAAGAGGGTAGGGTAGGGGGGCTAAGAGCCTCATTCACATCGTGGTGTGGCAGTTAATACAGTCTAAGTTTACAGAACAAGAAATTCAAGTTCAAGCATATTGCTTAAATCTAGTTAACCTATAGGAAAACTAAGTATAATAATAAGCACAGCAAAGTAGGAGGAAGAAGACAAGTAGCCTTAATCAGCTAAACCTTCCTCTTTTATAATGGAAAGCCACTGCAAAAGAAATCGAGGTTGATAAATACAGAAGCTCGATAAGTGTATTATTACTTAAAATTTTGAATTTTGAAAGGAACTCCCCAAAAATCTAAAAATGCTTATTGTTAAAAAAAATTTTTTTTGAGATAGGATCTCTCTCTGTCACCCAGGCTGGAGTGGAATGGTGTGATCATAGCACACTACAGCCTCTCTACCTCCTGGGCTCAAGCGATCCTCACGTCTCAGCCTCCTGAGTAACTGTGACTACAGGTGGGTGCCAGCACACCCAGCTGATTTTTTTATAGAGAAGAGGTCGCGCTGTGTTGCCCAGGCTGGTCTCAAACTCCTGGCCTCAAGCAGTCCTCCCACTTCAGCTCCTAAAGTGTTGGGACCACAGGCATGAGCCACCATGCCAGCCTAAATTTTGCCTTTAAAAATTGTCCCATGAATTCCTGGATTGGCATAACAGTTGGTATTGTCTTGATAGAAGAGTTGTTGAAATAATCTATCACCTTCACACTGCCCGGCATGTGCACACACGTGCATGTCTGCGCATGTCCGTATGTGTGCACATGTCACATGAATGTGCAAGTGTGTGCAAATGTGCAAGTGTTTGTGTGTGCTTGTCTGTGTCCATGTGTATGTGTGTATGTATGTTTTAAGAGACCTGTAAAATCAAAAGAAAACTAGCCTCAAGGTAAAATTACAAAAAATCCCCACATATTTACAGTGATCAGTGACATAGTCTTTCTTTTCTTGAATAAATATTACAATTTGATTATCTGAGATGCTTTTATATTTAGGAAATGAGTTAATACAGATTAAATTACATTTCAATATTTTAAATATCTTCCTAAATCTTCATGACTTTTATTACTGAATCTGCTGCTAAAGGTCTTGGTACAATTAAATTTTAAAACTTTTTTGAAAGGAGGGGAGAAAATTTTATTTTTCTAATTTTATGCTTCAAATTTATATTACGTACATTAAGTGCTATGTAAACTTGTCTTTAGGATATCAGTATTTAACTTGGGCAATATTATTTCATCTTAATTTATTTGGAGAAATACAACTTAGCTGTCTGCTTATAAACATCAAAAAATGTGCCAAATGAGAAAATAGGGCATTAACAATCAGAATTTAAATTTTTTTTAATTTCGATGGTTTTGGGGGTATAGGTGGTTTTGGTTATGTGAATAAGTTCTTTAGTGGTGGTTTCTGAGATGTTGGTGCACCCGAGCAGTGTACACTGTACCCAATATGTAGTCTTTTATCCCTCACCCCCCTCCCAACCTTCGCCACTGAGTCAAAAGTCCATTATATCATTCTGTGCCTTTGCATCCACATAGTTTAGCTCCTACTTATTAGTGAAAACATACAATATTTGGTTTTCCATTCCTGAGTTACTTCACTTAGAACAATGGCCTCAGGCTCCATCCAAGTGGCTGCAAAAGACATTATTTCATTCCTTTTTAGGGCTGAGTAGTATTCTGTGGTGTGTATGTACCACGTTTTCTTTATCCATTCATTGGTTGATGGGCACTTAGGTTGGTTCTTTGTCTTTGCGATTGTGAATTGTACTGCGTGTGTAGGTGTCTTTTTCATATAATGACTTGTTTTCCTTTGGGTAGGTACCCGGTAGTGGGATTGCCAAATCAAATGGTAGTTCTACATTTAGTTCTTTAAGGAATCTCCACACTGTTTTCCATAGTGGTTGTACTAATTTGCATTCCCACCAGCAGTGTAAAAGTGTTCCCTTTTCACCACATCCATGCCAACATTTGTTGTTTTTTGGCTTTTTAATTATGGCCATTCTTTCAGGAGTAAGGTTTCATCTCACTGTGGTTTTCATTTGCTTTTCCCTGATGATCTGTGATGTTAAGCATTTTTTCATGTTTGTTGGCCATTTGTATATTTTCTTTCAAGAAATGTTTATTCATGTCCTTTGCCCACTTTTGGAAGGGATTATTATTATTATTATTATTTTCTTGCTGATCTGAGTTCCTTGTAGATTCTGGATACTAGACCTTTGTTGGATGCAGTTTGCAAGTATTTTCTCCCACTCTGTGGGTTGTCTGTTTACTCTGCTGATTATTTCTTTTGCTATGCAGAGCTTCTTAGTTTAATTAGGTCCCATTGATCTTTGTTTTTGTTGAATTTGCTTTTGGGGTCTTAGTCATGAATTCTTTGCCTGAGCCAATGTCCACAAGAGTTTTTCTGATGTTATCTTCTAGAATTTTTATAGTTTCAGGTCTTAGATTTAAGTTTGATATTGTTTAGATCTGTGTCCGGATCCGCACCAAATCTCATGTTGAATTGTAATCCCCAGTGTTGGAGGTGGAGCCTGATGAAGGGTGACTGAGTCATGTGGGTGGCATTCTCATGAATGGGTTAGCACCATCCTCTTGGTGCTGTTCTCATGGTAAGAGTTCTCAGGAGATCTGGTTGTTTAGAAGTGTGTGACACCTCCCCACCATCTCACTCTCTCTTCTTTCTGCTCCAGCCATGTAAGACATGCCTGTGCCTGCTTCCCCTTTGCCTTCTGCCATGACTGAAAGTTTCCTAAGGCCTCCTCAGAAGCCGAGCAGATGCCAGCATCATGCTTCCTCTAAAGCCTGTGGAACCATGAGCCAAGTAAACCTCTTCTCTTTATAAATTACCCAGTTTCAGGTATTTCTTTATAACAATGTGAGAACAGACTAATACAAAGTGTTTGGCCATCTTGAATTGATTTTTGTATAAGGTGAGAGATGAGGATCCAGTTTCATTCTTCTACATGTGGCTTGCCAGTTTTCCCAGCACCATTTATTGAATAGAGTGTCCTTTCCTCAATTTATGTTTTTGTATGTTTTGTCAAATATCAATTGGCTGTAAGTATTTGGCTTTATTTCTGGGTTCTATATTCTGTTCCATTGGTCTACATGCCTATTTTTCTTTTTTTTTTTAGACAGAGTCTCGCTCTGTCTCCCAGGCTGGAATGCAATGGTGCAATCTCGGCTCACTGCAACCTCTGCCTCCTGGGTTCAAGCGATTCTCCTGCCTCAGCCTCCCCAGTAGCTGGGATTACAGGCACCTGCCACCACACCCGGCTAATTTTTTGTATTTTTGGTAGAGACGGTGTTTCACCATGTTAGCCAGGATGGTCTTGATTTCCTGACCTTGTGATCTGCCCACCTCGGCCTCCCAAAGTGCTGGGATTACAGGCGTGAGCCACTGCGCCTGGCCTACATGCCTATTTTTATACCAGAACCGTGCTGTTTTGGTAACTATAACCTTGTAGTATGATTTGAAGTCAGGTAATGTGGTGCCTCCAAATTTGTTCTTCTCACTTAGTATTGCTTTGACTATGCAGGCTCTTTTTTCGTTCCATATGAATTTTAGGATTGTTTTTTCTAGATGATCATGATATCTTTTTCTTTTTCTAGAAGAATGATGATAATATTTTGGTGGGAATTGAATTGAATCTGTAGATTGCTTTGGACAGTATGGTCATTTTCACAATATTGATTTTTCCCATCCGTGAGCAGGAGATGTGTTTCCATTTGTTTGTGTCATCTATGATTTCTTTCAGCAGTGTTTTGTAGTATTCCTTGTAGAGATCTTTCTCCTCCTTGGTTAAGTATATTCCTAAGTATTTTATTTTTGCAGCTGTTGTAAAATGGATTGAGTTCTTAATCTGATTTGATTTTCAGCTTGGTCGTTGTTGGTATATAGCAGTACTACTGATTTGTATACATGGGTTCTGTATCCTGAGACTTTATTGAATTTGTTTTTTAGATCTAGGGGCTTTTGGGATGAGTCTTTAGGGTTTTCTAAGTATACATTCATCATTGGCAAATAGCAAGAGTTTTACTTCCTCTTTTCCAATTTGGATGCCTTTCATTTCTTTCTTTTCTCTGATTGCTCTGGCCAGGATTTACAGTACTATGTTGAATAGAAGTGGTGAGAGAGGGCATTCTTGTCTTGTTCCAGTTCTCCAGAGGAATGCTTTCGACTTTCCCCCATTCAGTATGATGTTGCATATGGGTTTGTCATATATGGCTTTTACTACTTTCAGGTAAGTCCCTTCTATGCCTATTTTGCTGCAGGTTTTTATTATAAAGGGATGCTGGATTTTATCAAATGCTTTTTCTACATCTATTGAGATGACCATACAGTTTTTATTTTTAATTCTGTTTATATGATGTATCACATTTATTGACTTGCATATGTTAAACCATCCCTCTATCACTGGGAAGAAACCCACTTGATCAAAAAGATGTATTATCTTTTTGATATGCTGCTGGATTCAGTTAGCTAGTATTTTGTTGAAGATTTTTGCATCTATATTCATCAGGGATATTGGTCTGTAGTTTTCTTTTTTCTTATGTCCTTTCCTGGTTTTGGTAGTAGGGTGATAGTGGCTCCATAGAATGATTTGGGGAGGAGTTCCTCTGTCTCTATCTTTTGAAATAGTTTCAGTAGGATTGGTACCAATTCTTTGAATGTCTGCTAGAATTTATCTGTGAGTCCATCTGGTCCTGGACTTTTTTTTTTTGTTGGCAATTTTTTTAAATTACTGCTTCAATCTCACTGCTTGTTATTGGTCTCTTCTGGGTTTCTATTTCTTCCTTATTTAATCTAGGAGGGTTGTACATTTCCAGGAGTTTATCCATTTCCTCTAGGTTTTCTAGTTTCTGCATATACAGGTGTTCAAGATAGCCTTTAAATCTTTCGTATTTCTGTGATATCAGTTGTAATACCTTCTGTTTCATTTCTAATTGAGGTTATTTGGATCTTCTGTCTTCTTTTCTTGGTTAATCTCACTAATGATCTATGAATTTTATTGTTTCAAAGAACCAGCTTTTTGTTACAATCAGAATTTTTAGATTTACCCACATACGTTTTTCTTTTAACCTGCTATTGGGTTAACTTATATATAGCATTTACCCTTAAGGTTGTTGAAACATCCTATCAAGGTATTATGCAGGAGTTTACATCTTTTGCATAAGTGGTGCCCTGGGTTGCGCTTATTCTTGACCAAATGAAAAACAAACACTGCTGGCACCATACTCTAAACTATCTTTGTATCATAGGTTGTAAGACTTGGTGAAAGCCAAAGGGAACCTTTAAGGTTGGAGGGACCCGTTAGTGGTACATCTTTGGGCTTAGAGAAGGAAAAAAAATTGTCCTATACTACATTTCACATCTCCTACAAATAGTGTTTTAGCAGCTGAAGCCTTTTTACCTCTAAAACTTATTACACTAGGATTTACTTGGAAATATAGTTTACAACCAAATCAAGTATAATATACAGACACTGGCACTTTAGCACAAGGGCAAACTTTTTAAAAATTTGTTTTGGACCTTTAAAAGTAGGCCATAGTATAAAAAACAAGTCCACGCTCTTACATTCAGCAAATTCATACTAAAATATCTCATTCTTGTAGGATAAAGGCCAAGAAAACTTTACATATGCTACAAGTTTATTACATGTATTTACATGGCTCTTTCTTCCCTAGTTACTTAAAATTTTCACATTATACAACTCCCCAAAGTAAGTGTCCTCTCCCCAAAGCAAGCTTTGCAGAAACAATGAGGCCAAATCACCATAAGAATAGCTTGTGCAGGCGGGGCATGGTGGCTCACACCTGTAAGCCCAGCACTTTTGGAGGCTGAGGGAGGCGGATCACCTGAGCTCAGGAGTTTGAGACCAGCCTGGCCAACATGGCAAAACCCCATCTCTACTAAAAATACAAAAATTAGACAAGTTTGGTGGCCCATGCCTGTTAACCCAGCTACTTGGGAGGCTGAGGCACGAGAATTGCTTGAACCCGGGAGGCGGAAGTTGCAGTGAGCTGAGATGGCACCACTGCACTCCAGCTTGGTGGACAGAGCAAGACTCTGAAAAAAAAAAAAAAAAAGAATAGCTTGTGCAGTGCTATAATACAAAAGTGTATTTTGAAAGCTGTTGAGTCACTATTAAATAATGTTTCTGTAAAAATGGTTTTGGTGTATTTGTTGGCAGACACCTATCCACTGCATTTAAGAAAGAGAGCTATTGGGGTATACTGTGCCTCATTCTAATGAGCCCCAAGTGGCCTTTCCACCTTCATCACTGTACAGTTTACTAAAATGCAACTATTAGGAAAACTTCATCTTTTTATTTTACAGTACATCAAGTTGTTGGCATATTACCGTCTTGGGTATTTCTAGTATACTGAACATTTAGATGTTTACCTACTTCTCAATCTTTATATTCTTAGCTAGATGCTTATAATCTGATTCAGCAACTTTCAGCAATTTACTGTCCATGACTGATAATCTTATATTACTATTTTCCTCAACCCAACAATAGAAAAAGTTGGTTCTTTTACCACTCCCTAGGTCTAAACATGAATGGTTTCACTTAAAAGTTACTCAGTTGAGAACATTTAATATCAAGTACAATTATTAATTTAGTTACTTTAAGTTGTACTGATGCTACCATTACATCACAGTGCACCCAACACATAAAGCAACACATAAAGCAGATGAGATGAAGTCTAATTATGTGTGTGTGTACATATATATATATATTTTTGTTTGTTTGTTTGTTTGTTTGTTTGTTTGTTTTTTGAGATGAAGTCTTGCTCTACCATCCAGGCTGGAGTGAAGTGGCATGATCTCAGCTCACTGGAATGTCCACCTCCTAGGTTCAAGTGATTCTCCTGCCTCAGCCTCCCAAGTGGCTGGGATTACAGGTACATGCCACCATGCCCAGCTAATTTTTGTGTTTTTAGTAGAGACGGGGTTTCACCATGTTGGCCAGGCTGGTCTCAAACTCCTGACCTCAAGTGATCTGCCTCCCTCGGCCTCCCAAAGTGCTGGGATTACAGGCATGAGCCACCACACCCGGGCATATTTTTTACATTAATTAGCAGTTCTATGCAAATAGATTAATTCCCTGGTGAATTTGTTTCAGACCAATTGACAACTATCTGTAAACATAATTAAATTTAAACATAAGTACTTTATCTTATTTTATATCTGCACTTTTTGTTTTTTTGAGACAGGATCTCACTCTGAGATGGAATTTCGCTTTTGTTGCCCAGGCTGGAGTGCAATGGCATGATCTGGGCTCACCGCAACATCCGCCTCCTGAATTTAAGCAATTCTTATGCCTCAGCCTCCCGAGTAGCTGGGATTACAGGCATGTGCCACTACACCTGGCTAATTTTTGTATTTTTAGTAGAGATGGGGTTTCACCATGTTGGCCAGGCTGGTCTTGAACTCCTGACCTTAAATGATCCACCTGCCTCGACCTCTCAAAGTGCTGGGATTACAGGCATGAGCCACTGCGCCTGGCCTATATCTGCACTTTAGATTTTACGTTCAAATGTCTTTATTTTCTTATCTAAAGGATTAAAGGCAATAGGAAGTATATTAGTCCATTTTTGTATTGCCATAAAGAAATACCTGAGACTGGGTAATTTATAAAGAAAAGAGGTTTAATTGGCTCACAGTTCCGCAGGCTGTATGGGAAGCATGGTGGCATCAGCTTCTGGGAAGGCCTCTGGGGAGGGAACTTACAATCATGTTGGAAGGCAAAGGGAGAGCAAGCACTTCACATGACAGGAGCAGGAGGAAGGCGAGGAGATGCCACACACTTTTAAACAACCATATCTCATGAGAACTCACTCGCTATCACAAGAACAGCACCAAGAAGGAAATCCGCCCCCATGATCCAATCACCTCCCAGCAGGTCCCACCTCCAACATTGGTGTTTACAATTCTACATGATATTTGGGTGGGGACACAGATCCAAACCATATCAGGAACCCAGTGGTTTGGTGGTTAGGGAAGAATACTTGGTGATGGCAGCTCACTGCATTTGGCTCTGGCATCATTCTGGTTAGCTTCAGATTTTTGGTTTTTTTTTTTTTTGTGAGGTAGAGTTTCACTCTTATTGCCCAGGCTGGAGTGCAATGGTGTGATCTTGGCTCACTGCAACCTCTGCCTCCCGGATTCAAGCGATTCTCCTGCCTCAGCCTTCCGAGTAGCTGGGATTACAGTTGCCCACCACCATGCCCGGCTAATTTTTTTGTACTTTTAGTAGAGACAAGGTTTCACCATGTTGGCCAGGCTGGTCTTGAACTCCTGACCTCAGGTGATCCACCCACTTCAGCCTCCCAAAGTGCTGGGATTACAGGTGTGAGCCACTGCACCTGGCCATAACTTTAGATCTTAGAGTAAGCTGGGACTTGACAAACTAGAGCTCCAATTTGATTATTTGGAAAAGTTTTGTTAGTCCCCTTATCTTGCATGGCTTGCCAGGCAGTTGCTGATGAGTTATAACCCTGTCCTCTTTCTTCTTACAAACAGTCTTCATCGGGGAATTCTGATCCTTGGTCTTCTATTAAGCTACTGGTAGTTCTTACTCTCCTTTCTAGATGGAGGAGCTGGGTTGTTATTCCTCTCTCCACCACCTATCTTCAGCTGCTTTGTCACCTTTCTGTCTGCTTTTCAGATTGCAGGATTTCCACTACCTGTCCTCTTCCTTGGTGTCAAGCCCAGGACAATAGGTGTTGCTTTCTGACAGATCCTTTGCTTTGTCTCAATATAGGATTTTTCATGGGCCGATCTGCTGAATTCAGCCTAGGAGCTGAGACCAACATCTGAGTCTCTTCAGCACACAAGTTTGAAAGAAGTCCTAGCAACTTCAAGCTCAGAACTACGGGTGGCAGCAGCTCCCTCTTGACGTCGAAGCCTCCCATTCCAGAGAGAGTCAAGGCCTGGATCAAACAAAGCCCACAAGCACCGATGACTGAGCTGCTGACTACCCCCAGCATCTCCAACTCAACCTCCTCTTTCTGCCTCTACCCAAATTTTAAAACTTTCAAACATGGGTTTAAAAATGGTAATGAGTAAAGTTGCATCCAAGTGTATCAAATAAAACTAAATATCCATAAATGCTGTAATAATTCCTGCTTTGATGCTGAACTAAAGAATTTTCTGCCAGGCGTGGTGGCTAACACCTGTAATCCCAGCACTTTGGGAGGCCAAGGCAGGTGGATCACGAGGTCAGGAGTTCAAGACCTGCCTGGCCAACGTGGTGAAACCCCATCTCTACTAAAAATACAAAAATTAGCTGGGCATGGTGGCAGGCATCTGTAGTCCCAGCTACTCAGGAGGCTGAGGCAGGAGAATCACTTGAACCCGGGAGACAGAGGTTGTAGTGAGCCAAGATGGCACCACTGCACTCCATCCTGGGCAACAAGCGAGATTCCATCTCAAAAGAAAAAAAAAAAAGAATTTTCTGTTTATATTACATATAGTCTCACTTCATATTTCATTTCTCTCACCTCTGATACCTGGAGTCCTTTGCTAGTACTGAAATTGAGTAAAGTCATTCTCATGAGTTTTAGTAAACTCAAAACTCAAAACTCATGAAGTTGGCAAAACTCAAAGAATGCTTTGGTCTAGTTTGACATTGGCCAGTATGTTTTTCATATCCAGTCATTCCTTTTTTCCTGGCTGACATCCTCACTTCCTGCCTGTGGAGGAAAAGTTAAATATTAAATTTGAACTCAATTGAATGTGGACACAAACAATGGTCACCAAGTCCGGGAACAGGTTGTGTGAGTCCCTTGAGGCATTTATCCTGCCCTGTTTCGGAGAAATCTCTATTTCAAACTATTCCTATGTGTTACTTACTGAAAAACAACAGACAATCGCAAAAACAAGTTGACCTTTTTGTGTTCCTTGAGCCCAGTCACAAAGGGCCCTCATGACTGGGCCTCATGCCAAACAACTTGTTACAAAAAGAGCTAGGGTCCCAGACCGCACCAAAGACCCATGAGACCTCTCCTCGTCTGTGCACAGACTGGTGGCCGACTCTGGAGCCCAGGCTGTTGCTTCCTGGTCTGGTGATGAATCCTCCATAGTCTGGTGAGTGTAAATATATATATACATATATATCTTTTCCCGTCTCCCCTTCCCATTGCAATTTGCTTATTATATCATTTGCTTATTATACGTGTATTGCGATATACTTGGGATAAAGGCTGTTTACCCTTAAAAGTATTGTCTGTGCCTTTTCTTTTCCCCTCATGCATTTCCCACACAGAACACTGCCCTAGAGGAGGGGGTGGGAGAAATCTATGGAGATAGTACATTGAGTCTTAAAATGGACTTTGAAGGTCTCAGCAGAAATAATAGTTTGGAAGAAAAGACTTCTGAATCTCAAAACCATGAATTCTGAGTGTCATAAGCAGTGGTACTCAGTGTCATAAAAGATTTGTCATAAACAAGTTTTGCCATGAGGAAGATAGTGGGCCATGTCTAGGAGGGAAGTTGTAGAAGAAATTAAATGTGCTAAAACCCCAGGTGTGTGGACTAGGAGGATACCTTACCAGCTACAAGTTAAAATGTGCTTAAAATCGTATTAGTGTAGCCAGTGGTAAAAAGAAGGCTAAGAATTGGGATGTGTTCTTTGTCATTAGTCTAAGAATCTAAAAACTTACCTGCTGAATAAAAAATACTGAGTCTTAAGGCAAATTAGAGCCTATCTTGCTTCAGTGTTTAAAACGTGTTGGCACTTGGCAGAAATGCTGCTTCTCCTCACAATTTCACATAGTCCAGACACAAAAGCAGAACATCTGGCGGGATAGAATAGATTGTTTTAATTTAATTCTAAGTATGGGAAATCCCCAAGACTCCCTGTTTGAAAGCAAACGGCTATGTTGCAAGATTTAATAGATGATTTTTATTTAGGAGACATGGGACAGTGTGAATTTTGACAAAGACATACTTCCCCGCCACAGTGACTGTTCTCCACCTGCCCTGGAAGTGGAGGTAGACAGCAGCCCTGGGGTATATAATTCACTGTTTCACTCATTACTCCTTGTTTTCCAATCTCTGAGCTCCTATGATCAATTTTATGTAAAATAGCTGGGAAATTAATATTTCAAGCCCATTGAAGGATATATAAAATACATTGCAATTTTATACATGTGTGTGTTGCAATAAAAATGCCCTGATTAGAAAGAAAAAATTCCACCAGCTCTTGTCCAGCATCCAAGAGAGACAGGAGATGGAGCTTCAGACCCAGGAAACAAGTTCTCAACCACCTCAGCAACCATTCTTTATTTTCCTTTCAAATGCTGACTCAAACTTGGGTTTAAATCTTCTGTCTTTATTTGTGTTGGACCTTTTGTTTCTTCATCTGGAGACAGGAGTCATACCCCCTCCACACATCTAAAAAAGTACCCAGTGCCATAGCAGGCTGACCCTGGGAACTCCAAGAACAGAAGCTATTAAAATCAAAACAGAGGTTGCTTGGATCCCAGGACTCTCTACCTCGCCACTTCTGATACTGAATACCCTCCACAAACACAAAGATGTGAGGTTATCTAGAATATTTACTGATGTCTTGAGAAAGGTCTCAACGTGTGGTTCCCTCCCCCAACACTTGGTAAAAATTTTCAAATAAACAGCCACTCAACTTGTCCAAATGCTTCTTTTGAAAGATCACTCTGTGTGTTTTCAGTGACTTTTTTTTCATTATAATGAGTGTGATGGTTAATTTTATTTGTCAACTTGCCTGGGCCATGGGGTACCCAGATATTTGGTTAAACATTATTCTGGGTGTGTCTTGTGAGGGTGTTTTCAGATAAGATTAGCATTTGCATTGGTGGAGAGAGGGAAACAGTTGCCCCTTCCCAATGTGGGATCATCAAATCAATCTGTTGAGTGCCTCAGTCAAACAAAAAGGTGGATGAAGGTTGAATGTGCTCTCTCTGCCTGACTGCCTTTCAGCTGGGGCATCAGTCTTCTCCTGCCTTTGGATTTAGACTATAGATACCACCACCTCTCCTGGGTCTCCAGCTTTTGCTGATGCAGATCTTGGGACTTCTCAGCCTCCACAATTGTATGAACCAATTTTTTTTTATAATAAATCTTTTTCTATATATATATATACACAGATCCTATTGGTTCCATTTCTCTGGAAAACCCTGACCTAATACAAAGGAGTAATACATATATTAACTTTTTTAAACTTAGAATTTATAAAAGCTATTTTAAAAATCACCTATAGGCCAGGTGCAGTGGCTCATGCCTGTAATCCCAGCACTTTGGGAGGCCGAGGTGGGTGGATTATTTGAGGTCAGAAGTTCGAGACCAGCCTGAGCAACATGGCAAGACCCTGCCTTTACTAAAACAAAACAAAAGAAAACAAAAATAGCCTGGCATGGTGGTGCACACCTGTGGTCCCAGCTACTGGGGAAGCTGAGGTGGGAGGATCGCTTGAGCTTGGTGGGTGGAGGTTGCAATGAGCCAAGATTATGCCACTGCACTCCAGACTGGGTGACAAAGCCAGACCCAGTCTCAAAAAGAAAAGAAGAATAAAGATATTCACCTAAAATCTCAATTCTCAGAAATAACTAGAAACATTTAAATGCAATTATTCCCAATCATTTTTCTTTATATAATTGCACAGCAGCATAATATACAGGGTTTTGTCTTGTTTTGACTGAGATGGAGTCTCGCTCTGTCGCCCAGGCTGGAGTGGAGTGGCATGATCTCAGCTCACTGCAACCCCCGCCTCCAGGGTTCAAGTGATTCTCCTGCTTCGGCCTCCCGAGTAGCTGGGACTACAGGCACATACTACCACACCCAGCTAATTTTTGTATTTCTAGTAGAGATGGGGTTTCACCATGTTGGCCAGGCTGGTCTTGAACTCCTGACCTCAAGTGATCCACACACCTTGGCCTGCTAAAGTGCTGAAATTACAGGTATGAGCCACTGTGCCCGGCCTGCAGTTTTGTAATCTACTTTCTTTCACATTATTAAATTTTTAAGAATATGCTTTTTTAACATTATTATTTCAAATAATAGATGATTATTAATTTTAAAAAATATAGGTGATAACAGAAAAAAACACAAAGAACATAAACTATCATCCTAACTCCCATCAGCCAACAACAGTATTAGGTAGCACCCAGCGAACAACACTCAATGCATCCCTAAACACAGACAGAAGAATAGAAAAATTTTCACAAAAATCAGATGATATTATGTATGCAATTTTTAAATAAAGCTGTCAAATTTAATTTTCTGCAATTTAATAGAAGAAAATGAAACAAGTCAAATGTAAGGAATTTCTGTAGATCAAACAAAAGTTTCTTCATAAAAATTCATACCTAAATGATCACTCTGAAGACAGAAAAATGCACAGTATTGGGTTGGAGAATGTGTTAGAGAGGGTTCTTTTTTGCATACCTCAGAAAACAACTGGTTGGCTTGATCATAAAGAGAGGTTTTGTTTTTTGAGACAGAGTCTCACTCTGTTGCCCAGTCTGGAGTGCAGTGGCACGATCTCGGCTCACTACAATCTCTGCCTCCCAAGTTCAACAGATTCTCCTGCCTCAGCCTCGAATAGCTGGGATTACAGGCATGCGCCACCACGCCTGGCTAATTTTTGTATTTTTAGTAGAGATGGGGTTTCACCATGTTGGCCAGGCTGATCTTGAACTCCTGACCTCAAGTGATCCACCCACCTATGCCTCCCAAAGTGCTGGAATTACAGGCATGAGCCACCACTCTCCACCAAAAGAGATATTTTTTAAAAGAGACATGGTAGCTCACAGAATGTGGAAAGGTTGCAGGGCAACCTTTAAAATTCTTTATTGAGAATGTATCCTCTTATTGCCTTCACCTAGGGTGAGTCATTCCCACCACCTCTCCCCAGTTTAAGGAGTAGGGAAGGGGCCAGGCACAGTGGCTCACGCCTGTCATTCCAGCACTTTGGGAGGCCAAGGCAGATGGATCACCTGAGGTTGGGTGTTCGAGACTAGCCTGACCAACATGGAGAAACCCCGTCTCTACTGAAAATACAAAAATTAGCTGAGCATGGTGGTGCATGCCTGTAATCCCAGCTACTCGGGAGGCTGAGGCAGGAGAATCACTTGAACCCAGGAAGCGGAGGTTGCGGTGAGCTGAGATACGCCATTGCACTCCAGTCTGGGCAACAAGAGCGAAACTCTGTCTCAAGAAAAAAAAAAAAAAAAGAAGAAGTAGGGAAGGAAGAAGGGCCAGGCAGTCATGCTTACACTGCAGGGGTCAGTTGGAGACCGTTGGGCACACAGGCCCTGGACCCTTGGCCTGGCTGCTGCCACCACAAATGAACAATGTTACCGTCCCCATCTTTCCATCACTCCCTCAAGATTCAAGTCCCAGGAGGACACACCACAGGCCATGGTGCAGGGAGTGTGGACAGCAGGCATCTGGCCCACTCCGTGCCATACTGGGAGGAAAGGGCCAGTTATTCCGAAATCAGGGAATTATCCAGCACAGGATGAGTGTTTCTACTAGGTAGCCACAAAAATGTACTCTACAGTCACCGCTGCCTGCCCCACATCCATGTATATCCTTCTGCTACTTGTCGCAGAATTAATCACGGCTAACACCCCCAGTGGGCAGTGCCTTCCTTGCCATCTTATCCATGAGTCCAGTAAGCAAGCACTGGGTTAGCAGCTGACTCATTTCGTCATGTGGATCGTCTCATCCACCAGATTCTTGACAGCTCCATTCATGGTGGGGCATGGCAGAGACTTGAGTGTGTGTAAGCCAAACCCAAACTGTTCTCAAAGTGTGGGACCATTCTCATTTATGTCATATAACCTTACTTGCAAGGATGTTCAAGGGCGGGATGGTGCAGGTCTCAGATGGTGTCCTGTGGAATGTGCACTGCAGATGGCTGCGGAGAGCCAGACCACTGAAACCCTCGAGGCAAGACACAGAAGATGTGCTTCTTGGTCAAAAAAACTCTCTCAGTTGTTTTCTGTTAATTTGGGATTAAGAAAAAAAATTTCCTTATCTGTAGCTGCATTCTATATGCCTGAGTGTGTTTCGATTTGCTCCACTACAAAGCTCACTTCTGGGGCCGGGCGCGGTGGCTCATGCCTGTAATCCTAGCACTTTGAGAAGCCAAGGTGGGTGGATTGCTTGAGCTCAGGAATTCGAGACCAGCCTGGGCAACATGGTGAAGCCCCATCTTTACTAAAATACAAAAAATTAGCCAGGTGTGATGGCACACGCCTGTAACCTCAGCTACTAGGGAGGCTGAGACAGGAGAATTGCTTGAACCTGGGAGGCGGAGGTTGCAGTGAGCCGAGATTGCGCCATTTCACTCCAGCCTGGGTGACAGAGTGAGACTCTGTTTCAAAAAAAACAAAAAAGCTCACATCTGGAAAAGCAACTGTAATTATTGGTGAGTCATAATCCACTGTCATTATCTACCATCCATCCACTTTTCATGCTGGTCAAACTGGAGGTTAAATAGGACTATGACAGGAATCAACATCCATGCATCTTTGGTCACAAACAGCCAACATCCTCTGAATTTCCCTCATGGATTTGCTATTGCTTTTGGCTTTTTTGCCAATGGTGAGGGAAGCTATCAAGAGTTTTCTATTGTAATGATTTTTTTTTTTTTTTTTTTTGATGCAGGGGTCTCACTTTGTTGCCCAGGCTGGCCTATTCCAGGATTTGACTTTGCAGTTGATTCCCTAGACATGTGAAGATCTGAGTCTAATCAAAGATAATTCAGAGATCGTCAGGGTAACATGCAAGGACTGGTGAGTGAGGAGCCATTTCTCCATGCAATGGAACTTGCTTGAGCAAGAGGCCTTCAGGGTCTTTATGCCAGGAAAGTCATTCTGGTTATATTATGAGGGCAGGATGTGGGCTGGTAAGGAGGACCTGGGGGCAAGGGGAGGCGGGGTTGAGAGTAGTCTAGATGCTTCGGCTTCTCTTCTAGATCCCTAATCTAATTCTTAGAGTTTTGAGCAATGCTCTAACTTTCACCTAAGTGATATTGAGATTCTGTAAACTCAATGGACTTTACAATTCAGCAACCTGCAGGACTGAACTTTATCATTTCAAAAGGACCCTGGGTTACACTTTGTGCCTCAATTTCAGAATGTAAGACTTTTAGGTTTCTTTTTGTTTTTCCTCAAGCTGTCCTATGCCATATCAGCATTGTGTCCCTAAATACTAAGTGGATTTTCATGACCTTTTGTGACTACTAGGTCAGACTGCTAAGCCCACACAACCCACATTTCTTTAACAGTTTGCTTTCTGTAACTCACTTTCTGTATTACCTAAGTTTTTGGTGCAGTTAATAGAAAATGTTCCTGGCCATCCTAAGGAAATTTATTGAAGATATTGGAGGGCTGGCTATTGGGGAGCTACTAAAGCCAATGGGAAGGCCAGAGAAATAAGGCTTTGAAAGTAGTTGAGAATGAAGTGAGGCCAGGTGGAGGAAATACAGCCGAGGCCACGCCATCCGTATGTCACTAACCTACACCGTCAGCAGTGCCGCAGGCCAGCACCGCATTACCACCCCATCCCCTCCAGGTCCTCCCTTGCCATCATCCCAGGAATCCCCTGTGATTCTCTCCTAGGTCAGATTCCCTAGTTCCTGAGTGGCAGGTGTTTCTCTTAATGTGTTTCCTCCATGCCCATTTATGATTTAAATTAATACACTCTCAGAATATAAAAAATAAGAAATGTCCTCACCTTGATAAACATTACATTTTTTAAAAACACAGCAAAAAAAATATGTAATTCAGAAATGTCAGATGACTCTCCTTCAGACTGGAAGCAAAACAATTATGCCTGTTGTTAGCGCTATTTTTCAATATAGTACCGGGGGTGTTACCCAATGTTACAAGACATTAAGAAATTAAAATTGCCATCCAAATGAGTATTGGAATAAAAAAAGAGAAAACTGTCATTCTTTGCAGATGATGTGATAGTTCACATATAAATCTCAACAGAACAACATGTAATCTATTAAAACTATTAGAAGAGGTAAGGCCAAATCACAGCTCATGCCTGTAATCCCAGCACTTTGGGAGGCTGAGGTGGGCAAATCGCTTGAGCCCAGGAGTTTGAGACTAGCCTGGGCAACATGAAGAAACGCCATCTTTACATAAAATTGGACAGGCGTGGTGGTGCACACCTGTAGTCCCAGCTACCTGGGAGGGTGAGGTGGGAGGATCACCTGAGCCCAAGAGGTCGAGGCTGCATGATTGTGCCACTGCATTCTAGCCTGGGCAACAGAGTGAGACCCTGTCTCAAAAAAAAAAAAAAATTACAAGAGTTTATAAAGGTTTCCAGGAATAATATTAACTCATAAAAATCACTAGTGTGGGGCCGGGCGCGGTGGCTCATGCCTGTAATCCCAGCACTTTGGGAGGTCGAGGCTGGCAGATCATGAGGTCAGGAGTTCGAGACCAGCCCGGCCAAAATGGTGAAACCCATCTCTAATAAAGACACACACACACACAAAAAAAGGCAGGCGTGGTGGCACACACCTGTAATCCCAACTACTTGGGAGGCTGAGGCAGGAGAATCGCTTGAACCCAGGAGGCGGAGGTTACAGTGAGCTGAGATTGCACCATTGCACTCCAGCCTGGGTGACAGGGTAAGATTCCAACTCAAAACAAAAACAAAAACAAAAAACACAAGTGTTCCTTTTCACAAATTTACAACTGTATAAAATTATAAAGCAGGTAGGAATTAACTCATCCCAAAAAGCACATGATATTAATGGAGTCAATTTTGAAAGTCTAAAAAAGTCGTAAAAGAGTGAGTAGGCTAAGCCAGGCACGGTGGCTCATGCCTGTAATCCCAGCACTTTGGGAGGCCAAGGCAGGTGGATCACTTGAGGTCAGGAGTGCGAGACCAGCCTGGCCAACATGGTGAAACCCCATCTCTACTAAAAATACAAAACTTAGCTGGGCATGGTGGTACACAATTGTAGTCCCAGTTACTCGGGAGGCTGAGGCAGGGGAATTACTTGAACCTGGGAGGCAGAGGTTGTAGTGAGCCAAGATGGCACCACTGCACTCCAGCCTGAAGGACAGAGTGAGACTCCATCTTCAAAAAAAAAAAAAAGAAAAAGAGTAAATGGAGAAATAGACCATGTCCATAGAAGGGATAACTTAACATTGTAAAGATATCAGTTCACCCCCAAAATAATCTAGAAGGTTTATAGAATACCTATAAAATGTTGAGGTTTTGTGGGTTTTTTTCAATTTCAATAAACTAATTCTACAATGTACATGGTAGGTCAGGCATGGTGGCTCACTCCTGTAATCCCAGTACTTCGGGAGGCTGAGAAGGGAGGATAGTTTGAGCCCAGGAGTTCGAGACTAGCCTGCACGACATAGCAAGACCACATCTTTGCAGATAAAAAATTTATCTGGGCACGGTGGTGCATGCCTGTGGTTCCAGCTACTCAGGAGCCTGAGGTAGGAGAATTGCTGGAGGCTAGGAGGCGAAGCCTGCAGCGAGTCATGATTACATCACTGCACTCCAGACTGGGAGACAGAGTGAGACCCTGTCTCAGAAAAGAAAGAAGAAAGATTGAAGGAAAGAAAGAGAGAAGGAAGGAAGGAAGGAAGGAAGGGAACGAGCGAGGGAGGGAGGGAGGGAAGGAAAAGAAAAGAAAAGGAAGGAAGGAAGGAAAGAAGGAAGGAAGGAAGGAAATAGAAAATCAAAACAAAACAAAACAAAAAAACACTCAACAAACGAAGAGGTCTTTGAGGACCCTTTGTAGGCCTTTGATACTTGACTTGCCAAGACATATATTTATTTCTTTGTAGATCATAAATGTTTTCCTGGATAAATACTGCAACCTTTTCCAAATACATGCTGTCTGCATCTTTCCACTACTGTGCTTGCCTGCAGATTGTCACAATGTTCCACATTTGGCCTAAGCACCATGATGAGTCCCTCCTCCATGCTGGCCACAAACCCTGGAAAGGGCTCTGAGTGTCAAAGCCAGCCTGGGGCACCACTGCTTCAGGGACTGGCCTCTGACCTTGAGCTGCTTCTGTGGAATGGTCACAAGACACCTGGTCACTAAAGGGAATGGCTTATATCACGATTACTTATCATTTCTTTTTGTTGCTATTGTTGTTTTTGTTGTTTTTGAGACAGAGTCTCGCTCTGTCACCCAGGCGGAGTGCAGTCGTACAAATGGCTGGCCGCAACTTCCACCTCCTGGGTTCAAGCAATTCTCCCACCTCAGCCTCCCGAGTAACTGGGATTACATGTGCGCACCACCACATCTAATTTTTGTATTTTTAGTAGAGATGAAGTTTTCACCATGTTGGCCAGGCTGGTGTCGAACTCCTGACCTCAAGTGATCCACCCACCTCGGCCTCCCAGAGTGCTGGGATTACAGGTGTGAGCCACCGCTCCCAGCCAATTACCTATCATTACTAATCGAAGGGTCCCTGGTAATAATTTAACTTTCCTTCCATCCTATGAGATAAATTGATCTGTGTCATTGACTGTCAGCAACAGATATTTAGGGGCATTCTGGAACTTTGAAGGCTATGAACTTCACCACACATACCTGACGGTGTATTTTGAGTACTGACGACTCTGCATCTGGGAACCCACAGATCGCCAACGCCCACTCTTCTTTGTGAAGTCCAGCGGAGGAGCTTGGGCTTTAGAATAAGTCTCAGATATGCTGGCCGCTGCTGGCCAACTACGCTGCCTGGATAAGTTACGTTACCTTCGCCTCAGTTTCTTTATGTTAAAGCATGAGGACCACCTACAATGTGTGATTGTGAGAGCCTGACACAGTGCCATGGAGTCTGACGCCCTGCCTCACACCTGTCTCCTTCCTAATGCCTCTGGTTGCTGGTGCCGTGGGCCAAATCGCGTCTCCCCCAAAATTCAGACATGGAAGTTCTAACCTCCAGGACTTCAGATGTGTCTGTATTTGGAGATGGTGGCTTCAAAGAGGTCATCAAGTTAAAATGAGGCCCTTAGGGTGGGTCCTGACTCATCATGACTGGTGTCCTACAAGAAGAGGAGATGAGGACACTGACAAGCACAGAAGGCGACCATGTGAGGACCCAGGGAGAAGACGCGATCTGCAAGCCAAGGGGAAGCCTCAGGAGAAACCACCCTGTCAATGCCTGGATCTTAGATATCCAGCCTCCAGAACTGTGAGAAAATAAATTTCTGTTGTCTAAGTCCCCCAGCGTGTGGCACTTTGTTACGGCAGCCCAAACTGACCCATGTGCCTGGGCAAAGTGGAAGATGAGTGGGGATTCTGGCGAGAGGCAAATCCAGATCTCAGCAAGCCAGGCAGGGAGGCCGACGTCGCTCAACAGAAGCCCAGGAGCCGGCCCTGGCCTTGACCAGGTACTCCCTGCTACACTCTCTCACAGATGTTCCCAGCATCATGGGGCAGGGTCCCAAGGGCAGGATCCCTCCCTCCAGGACAATCTCCTGCTGCTTCTGCACCGTTTTGCAGATGGAAGAGCTCCAGGGCCCTGAGCCCTCTGCGGCTCCTCTGCTCACAGCATGTTCCCACAAACCTCATTTTGTACGGGCCCTGTGCTCGGCTCTGGGATGTGCTGCCAAGCCCTTTGCACGACACACGCTTCTTTCCCACACCTTGCCCCTCCAGCACCCCCTGGGTGCCAGGATCATGTGACCTCTTGCACCCCCAGAAGTCCCACATCCTGCCCCATGGCCACTGATGCAGAGACGACAGTGATAACTGACAATGGACAGCCTTTCCCGGGGCTCCCAAATCACACTTGCTCAAGCTCAACATAAAACCAGAGTGGTAGCAACTTCAAATGTGAGGAAGCTGAGTCTCGCAGAGGCAGGGCGAATTCTCAAAGGCACAGCGCTGAGATACTTGCGTTCACCCTTCTGTGTATCACAGAAGAAGCACTGAGCTCTCTCACAGCTTCGTCTGCACCACCCAGTGCCCAGGACCCAGGCTCCGTCATTGGAGGAGCATCATAGTTACAGATGTTGCTCTTAACATGAAAGCTGTTGTTGAATTCAGATCAAACCAAAAGAGAAGATCTTCCCAGTGAGGTGACTTCCCCTCCAGGCTGGATACCCCTGGGTGGCCTGGGTCAGGTGGTCAACACCTGGGCTCCCGTCCCAGCTGCAGAGGTTGCAGCGCAAATGACTCAGGTGTTGGAAGGGCTTGGCCTTTTCAAGTCCGTGTCTGTGTGCAGGACCAGGGAGCACATTCTAGCGCCTCTAGACCGGCCAAGGCCATAAGCTCAGCCAGTTCCCAGAAGCACGTGTGGCCATTTAGCAAGTGTGTTGGCCCCTTTCCTGGTTATACGGAATCAACGGTGGGAGGAGGAGTTGAGGTCAAATGTGACAAGCATATTTGGCATTCTCTGGTTGGTCCTAAGTTGGAAGCAGGAACAAAAAATGGGAAGCTGTCAGTTACCGATCAAGCCCTGGCCATTTGGGGCCAACTGTTACAGGAGAGTTATTGGTTGGCTTCCTGGATTGTCACTAGAGATAGCAGTCTGACTTCCTAGAAGTCTGACTTGTAATGGACAGCCTGCCTGCCTGGGCTGGTTCCTGTAGATAAACATTGGTTTCCTGGGCAGCTTGCTGCAGACTGTGGGGCAGGGCTCTGTTTTTTTATATAGTCTGACCATTGTCTGTTTGTGTACTCAGTCCTTTAGTAGCTAAACCAGAGACGTGCAGAACCATCTGGGCTACCTTCTCTCCTGCCACCCTGTAGCTACTTGTACTGAAGAACCAAGCCTGTGGGCTCAGAGGACCCACATGCAGGTGGGAAATGGCACCTTCCCTCCACCCAGGGCACATAGACCTGTGCCAACCCAACCAGCCATTGCAGTGTGGCTTATGGATTACCTATCAGATAAGTGCTCAAAATCAGCCTTCTTTTTATGCCTGGAGCCAAAAATATCTGGTGTGCTCTGCACACCACTGGGGCCCTCTGCACTAAAGGCCAGTGATCAGCCAAGTAATTGCTTCTCTCCTGGACAAAATAAGAGGCAGCCACTGCTCCCTCTTGGTGATGTTGCCCTACCCTGAGTATCCAAGTCTTTCCCCCATGTCTAGCCCAGTACCTTGACCAAGGTCAGGAGCTACTTTGGATTCTCTCAGAGGAGACTCTGCGCAAGGAGGGGAGGAGGCAGGAAGGGACCACTGGGAAGTGACAAAGATTGTTGCCCTGACGGTACTTGAGTCAGGCTCCCGAACCTTCTCCTAGACCTTGTAAGATCCAGTTTGGCTAGAACCCCCACCCTTGATATCTGATCACCCTCCATATCTGATCGGTTTCAGGTGACATCTGGTCACCCTGGCCTGTCTTCAGCGAGAATCCTATTAGGTCAGTTTAGCCAGAATCCCCCTCACCCCTGACACTTCCTCTTAGCAATTCTCCATCCGCTGACCCCCACCCTGCTCCTTGGCTGTAAAATCCCCCCTGCCCATGCTCTATTCAGAGTTGGGCTCAATCTCTCTCGCCCACTACAAGACCCCAGTGCAGCATCTCCTGCACCTGCAGTGACGGTCCCCACCAAACTTTCGCAGGTGTCATGAAGATATTATCCTTTAATAGGAGCTCTGGGGACAGGGTGGAATGTGCAACCCAAAGTCATCTCCCCACTGGGCTCTGGCTTCCTTGGTCATGCCTGAAGGCCAGTGGGCAGCTCTGGCCTGACACAAACCCAAACAGAGAGGGCTCCAGTGGCCAGTGAGCCTCTGCCTGGGATGCAGCTCCACCAGGGACGCAGCTGTGGCAGCTGGGGGTGGGGGATGGGGTGATGGCCCACTGTGGCCGTAACATGCCCTCTGCTTGACAGCTTCTTCCTGCCTCCAGGGCCCTGACTTATCTTTTCTTAGAACGTTTTCTTTAGAAAACTGGTTGTAAGTTCTTTCTCTGTCCCTTTGAGGTGTATGTAAAATGTTTTTAAAGGCCTCTTGCCAGCATTACAACCCAGGAATATCTTTCTTAAGGGCCTAGAAACCCTTTCTTTGAACTATAATCTCCCAGTGACTGTGAGAGGGTAGGAGCCTAACCTCCAAGCTGTAAAACTACTTCCTGTCTTAGAGATGTGAGAAGTTTACTTTTCCTTTGGGTAAAGCCCACTAGCACACACAGATGGCCCGAGGAGTCCACTCTGCAGGCCTTTATTTATTTTATTTTATTTTTTCGAGATAGAGTCTCTGTCTCCCAGGCTGGAGTGCAGTGGCACAAACATGGCTCACTGCAGCCTTAACCTCCTGGGCTCACATAATCCTCTTGCCTCAGTCTCCCAAGTAACTGAGACTATAGGTGCATGCCACCATTCCCACTAATATTTATTTATGTATTTATGTACGTATTTATTTATTTATTTTGAGATGGAGTCTTGCTCTGTCGCCCAGGCTGGAGTGCAATGTCACAATCTGAGCTCACTGCAGCATCCACTTCCTGGGCTCAAGCAATCCTCTCACCCCAGCCTCCCTAGTAGCTGGGACTACAGGTGCATGCCACGGTGCCTGGACAATTTTTGTATTTTTTATAGAGATGGGGTTTTGCCATGTTGCCCAGGCTAGTCTTAAACTCCTGGGCTCAAGTGATCCTCCTGTCTCAGCCTCCCAAAGTGCTGGGATTATAGGCGTAAGCCATCGTGCCTGGCTACAGGCCTTTAAAAGCCCTCTGCCCTTTGTCTCAGCAAAGTTGAGTTCAGACTGGGTTCTGCCCTCTCTCCCCCATGGTCATAGCCTGGAGTAAAGTATTCTATACCTGTCTGACTGTCTGGTACAGTTTTTGTTTCGTTTTGTTTTGAGACTGACTCTTAATCTGTTGCCCAGGCTGGAATGCAGTGGTGTGATCTCAGCTCACTGCAATCTCCACCTCCTGGGTTCAAGCAATCCTCCCACCTCAGCCTCCCGAGTAGCTGGGATTACAGAAGCATGCCACCACACCCAGCTAATTTTTGTATTTTTAATAGAGATGGGGTTTCGCCCTGTTTGCCAGGCTGGTCTCGAACTCCTGACCTCAGGTGATCTGTCCACCTCAGCCTTCCAAAGTGCTGGGATTGCAGGTGTGAGCCACCGCGCACAGCCCAGTTTTTGTTTTGACAGCACCCAGGGCCTCCTGTGCAGGTCTCTGGTTGGCCTCCTCACCTGCTTTCCTACTCTGAGGTGCTAACTGCAGAACACAGGGACCACCCGCCAGCGGCACAGCCAGGGGAGCTCAGGGCTAACAAGCCCCACAAGCCGCTACCAGTGCTCACCACAGGCCCGGGGCTGCCCTGCCGCATGCTCCACAAAGGCACATTTCTATAGAAAGTAAATCTGCAGGAAATGAAAGCAGTTATTGATTTCCATTAGGTCAATGAGATTCCCGCTGGGCAAAGGATGGGGTTCATTTCTCTTCCTTTTTTTTTAAGTTGAACTATCTTTATGTCCTAAAAAAAAGAAATTTCTGACATGCACCTCAATTTTCTACCTACACACTTAGCTTCTGCTAAAAAATGAAAATACCTGCTCATAGAGGGAAAAACTCTTGAATTTTAAGAAGATCCCTGAAAAATAATCCTTGGCCTTTCGCAGAAAGCTTAGAGGCCACTGGTGTGACCAGAGCCTGACTTTAGCCCCTTCTCTGTGAAGAGCTATCTTTTTTCATACATGCCAGGCCCCCAGAGAAGGCGTGACACAGAGCCCAGTGTGAGCGTCATAATTTTTCACGAGAACAGGTCATCAGGACACATGGTGGTAGCTGGCTTCTGCAGGCAAGGGGCTGCTGCCACAGCGAGGAGGGGAATGGAGGTGAGAAGGTGGCATTTCCTTCAAAACCATTTGGGGGGCTGGGCATGGTGGCTCATGCCTATAATCCCAGCACTTTGGAAGGTCGCGGCGAGCGGATCATTTGAGGTCAGGAGGTCAAGATCAACCTGGCCAACATGATGAAACCCCGTCTCCATTAAAAAAAATACAAAATTAGCCGGGCATGATAGCGGGTGCCTGTGATCACAGCTACTTGGGAAGCTGAGGCAGGAGAATTTCTTGAGCTCGGGAGGCAGAGATTGCAGTGAGCTGAGATCACGCCACTGCACTCCAGCCTGGGTGACAGAGCAAGACTGTGTCTCAAAAAGAAAAAAAAAAACCATCTGGGGAACAACAGGTTAGGTGTACTGCTCGGTTTGGGTTTTTTTTTTAGGTTGGGTGTCCTAGAGTTGAAAGCCATCCCCGTATTCAGAGAAGAAAGAGCAGGATGAAGCAGATGTTTTGGGAAGATAGTTCTTGGGAGGTGGGGTGGGGGGACCAGCACAGACCAGCTGGACCCTGGGCCACGCCGCACTTCCCATGACACCACCCCACACCTGGGCAGCAGGGTGGAAAGACTGCTGCAGGGCATCTACACCCTGCCAGAGCCCGCAGCCTCTTACGGTTCGCTTTTGTTTTCTCCAGTACTTCTGCGCTCATCAAGCTGGCTTGAGATGCATATTGCAATGAGAGCTAGGAATAGAAGCCTCTTGGAAACACTGCTGAGTTCCAGATAAAGAAAGGAGGCTCTTCTGGAAGCTCTTCCCCGCAGGGGCCACAGACCCAAACACAGCCATAGATGGGGTGGGGAGGGCCTCTTCACACTCAGCCCCCCTTCCTGGGGCTTCTTTTTCTCAAGAACTCTTAAAAGGTCACTTTGCAGTACTCGGAGGGGACTCCTGATAAATATTTCAGCTCTGGCCTTGGTCCTGAGCCTCCTGCCTTTTGTGATCACTGAGAGTCCATTTTTCCTCTCTCTGCTCTCAAGTGCTACCTGGTGGCTACTTAAAAATCAGTGGCCAGGCACGGTGGCTCACGCCTGTAATCCCATCGCTTTGCCGCTTTGGGAGGCCGAGGCGGGTGGATCATTCGAGGTCAGGAGATCGAGACCATCCTGGCTAACACGGTGAAACCCCATCTCCACTAAAAATACAAAAAAATTAGACAGGCGTGGTGTCAGGCGCCTGTAATCCCAGCTACTCGGGAGGCTGAGGCAGGAGAATCACTTGAGCCTGGAAGCCAGAGGTTATGGTGAGCCAAAATCACGCCACTGCACTCCAGTCTAGGTGACAGAGTGAGAACCTGACTCAAAAAAAAAAAAGAAAAAATTAGTAAGGGCTGTATGAGACATTCCGGAGAAAACATGGTGAAAGTTTCTTGACATTTTTGCAATAATTGTCATTATGAAAGCGAAACTGACTTTCCAGGCAGTCAAAAAAAAACAAAAAAAAGCTTCAGTTGTGTTCTAGTGGAAACTGGCTCTTTATTACAGCCTCAGTACTATAGGAGCCTGTAGCGCAAGCCAATGCAATGCCATTTAACATCACATAAAAAAATGTTTAAAAGTAGTGGTTAGGGGACGGCACGGTGGCTCACACCTGTAATCCCAGCACTTTGGGAGGCCGAAGTAGGCTGATCACCTGAGGTCAGCAGTTCAAGACTAGCCTGGCCAACATGGTGAAACCCTGTCTCTACTAAAAATACAAAAATTAGCCAGGCATGGTAGCACATGCCTGTAATCCCAGGTACTCGGGAGGCTGAGGCAGGAGAATCACTGGAACCCAGAAGGCAGAGGCTGCAGTGAGCCGAGATTGAGCCACTGCACTCCAGCCTGGGTGACAGAGCGAGAGGCCATCTCAAAAAAAAAAAAAAAAAAAGGTGGCGATTAGGATATCAGTGACGGTTCAAGTATCCTTTTGGAGTAAAAGTGTAAAGTGAGGGCTACTTGTCATATTTAATATTGTTCTTCCCCATCGCAACTAGAATCCAGCCTTCACTCTTCAGTAGGGCAAACAGTCTTCCTCAGAGCACCCCATTTTACACCTGCCATGTAGAACTAGAAGATCTTTATAGAAGTCCCTGGTACCTAACACCACAAATACATATTTTTTTCCTTTAGCAGTTTCATCTCCATACCTCTCAGAATACTCAAAACTCCCTATATATCCTCAGGGCCCTCCACCATGTGGCTTCAGCTCCCCTCTCCCTGCTTCACTGCGGTGCACTCAGACCACTTCCCCACCTTTCCTCATCCAAGTCAGGACCCATCATCCACTTTCCTGGAATGGTCTTCATCATTTTCACTTAGTCAGTGTGATGGTTAATTTCATGTGTGAACTTAGTTGGGTCTTGTACCCAAATATTTGGTCAAGCATTATTCTAGATGGTTTCTGGAAAGGTATTTTTCAGATGAGATTAACGTTTAAGTCACCAGACTTTGAGTGAAGCAGATGAACCTCCGTAATACAGGTGGGGCTGAAGGGGTTCAGGATGTGCCGCCCAGAACAAGCCGCTCTGGCGTAAGTATTATTTTGAGTTGAAGGCAACTGAAAAAAGTAGACAAAGTGAGCTCTCTGCTGCCCCACTCACTTCCTTAAAACAGAGCACAAATTTTCATTTGTGAAGGTGCTCCCCACTTTCCTGTATCAGGAAGGGGCTAACAGCCAGATCACCGAGATGAGATAGCACCAAGGAAGACTACTCACACAAGCCCTTTCTTGCCTTTTCCCCAGACATTAACCTTGTCTGTTCGCTGCCCCTAAAAGCCTAACTCCTCTTTCCTTTTTCTAGTCAATTCTCGACAAAGTTATTCTTCTTTATTAAGACACAACAATCTCAGCCCAAGTTCTTTTTTTGTTTTTGAGACAGGGCCCCACTCTGTCACTCAGGCTGGAGTGCAGTGGTGCGGTATGGACTCACTGCAATATCCATGCAACCTCAGCTCACTGCAACCTCTGCCTCTCAGACTCAGTGATCCTCCCGCCTCAGCCCCCCAAGTAGTTGGGAACACAGGCACATGCCACCATGCCCAGCTAATTTTTATGTATTTTTTTGTAGAGACAGGGTTTTGCCATGTTGCCTAGGGTGGTCTCGAACTCCTGGACTCAAGTGATCCACCTGTCTCTGTCAAAGGAGTTTGAACCAGAGCAACTCCATTTTGAATAGCGGCTGGGTGAAATAAGGCTGAGAAATGCTGGCCTGCATTCCCAGACAGTCAGGCATTCTAAGTCACAGGATAAGATAGGAGGTCATCACAAGATACAGGTCATAAAGACCTTGCTGATAAAACAGCTTGCAGCAAAGAAGTGGGCTAAAACTCACAAAAACCAAGAGAGCGACAAGAGTGACCTCTGGTCATCCTCACTGCTACACTCCCACCAGCACCATGACGGTTTACAGATGCCATGGCAACATCAGGAAGTTACCCTATAGGTCTAAAAAGGGGAGGCAGGAATAATACACCCCTTGTTTAGCATGTAGTCAAGAAATAGCCATAAAAATGGGCAACCAGCAGCCCTCAGGGCTGCTCTGCCTATGGAGTAGCCATTCTTTATTCCTTTAGTTTCTTAATAAACTTGCTTTCACTTTACTGTATGGACTCGCACTGAATTCTTTCTTGTGTGAGTTCCAAGAACCCTCTCTTGGGGTCTGGATCAGGACCCTTTTCCTGTAACACTTCAGCCACCCAAAGTGCTGGGATTACAGGTGTGTGCCACCGTGCCCGGCCCTAAGCCCAAGTACTAACTACCCCTTTCAACGACTCATCTCTGAGTCCTCCCATGTGTAAGCATGCTTTAGCAAACTTTGGTTTGTTTTTCTCCTGTTTCTTCGTCTTCTACTAGTCTAATTTGCGGGGCCTCATCCAATGAACCCTAAGATGGATAGGGTAAAGATATTTTATTCCTCCCCTACAGGGCTCATGCAATCAGTTGAAGGCCTTAAGAAAAAGGCTCACCTCCCCCATGGAGGAGGGAATTCTGCCAGCAAACTGCCTTTGGGCCCGAGCAGCAGCTTCAACTCTTCTCTGAGTTTTCAGCCTGCCACCTGCCCTGCACATTCCAGACTTGCCAGCCCCACAGTCATATGAACCAGTGCCTCAAAATAAACCTCTCAATCTATTTAGGAAGTTTATTTTGCCAAGATTAAGGATGTGCTCATGACACAGCCTCAGGAGGTCCTGATGACATGTGCCCAAGGTGGCTGGGGTACAGCTTGGTTTTATATATTTTAGGGAAACATGTAGCTTTTTTATCTTTGTAGCTATCTTATTTAGGAATAAAATGGGAGGCAGGTTTGCCTGATGCAGTTCCCAGCCTGACTTTCCCCTTTGGCTTAGTGATTTGGAAATCCCAGGATTTATATTCCTTTTACCATAGGTAGATAGATAGATAGATAGATAGATAGATAGATAGATAGATAGATAGATGATAGATAGATAGACTGATGAAAAAAGCCAAATTCTGTAAAATATTTGAAAAGGTTTATTCTGAGACAAATGTGAGGATCATGATCCTCAGGTGGTTCTGAGAACTGGTGCCCAAGGTGTTTGGGTTATAGCTTGATTTTATACATTTTAGGGAGACAGAAGTTACAGGCAAAGACATAAATTAATACATGTAAGCTATACATTGGTTTAGCCTGGAAAGGCAAGACATCTCGAAGCAAGACGCTTCCAGGTCATAGGCGGATTCAAAGATTTCCTGATTGGAAATTAGTTGTAAGAATTAAACTTTGACTGAAGAGTTGAAGTCAGCAGATAGAAATGCTTGGGGTTAAGATAAGGGGGGCTGTGGAAGCTGAGGTACTTGTTATGTAGATGGAGCCTCCAGGTGGCACGCTTCAGAGAGAATAGATGGTAACTGTCTCTTATCAGACCTTAAAAGGTGCCAGACTCTTAATTAAATCTCTCCTGGATCAGGAAAAGACCTGGAAAGGGAAGGGGATTTTCTACAGAGTGTAGATTTTCCCCACAAGAAATGGCTTTGTGCTGGGCGTTGTGGCTTACACCTGTAATCCCAGCATTTTGGGAGGCCAAGGCAGGTGGATCACCTGAGGTCAGGAGTTCAAGGCCAGCCTGGCCAACGTGATGAAATCCCATCTCTACTAAAAAAACAAAAAATAAGCCAGGTGTGGTGGTGGGCATCTGTAATCCCAGCTACTCAGGAGGTTGAGACAGGAGAATCACTTGCACCTGGGTGGTGGGGGTTGCAGTGAGCCAAGATCATGCCACTGCACTCCAGCCTGGGCAACAAGAGTGAAACGCCATTTCACAAAAAAAAAAAAAAAAAAAAGAAAGAAAGAAAGAAAAGAAAAAGCTTTACAGGTCCATTTTAATATATGTCAAAGAAAAATAAATTTTGGAATAAAATACTTTGATTCCCTTTAGGGCCTGTTATCTGTCATGGGATGTTATACCAGGGTCAGTTCAGAGTGGGTATCTCATTGCTACACAGAATCTGTGTTGTCAGTCTTGGGATCTCTATTTTAATGATAATACTGGTCAGTTTTTCTAAACTCCAAAAGGGAGGGAGTATAATGAGGCACGTCTGACCCCTCGTCCCTTCCTGTCATGACCTGAACTAGTTTTTCCCATGTCTTTGGAATCCCTTTGGCCACTGATCCATTCAGTCAGTTAGGAGGCTTAGACTTTATATTTGGTTTACATTCAGATAGATAGGTAGATAGATAGATAGATAGATAGATAGATAGATAGATAGATCATCTTATCTCTGTTTCTCTGGTGAAGCACTAATCCAGTGAGGCAGCTCTCTTCAACCATCGTGTCTAGAGGTGGTGGCTGACAGCGTGGCCTCTCTTGATGTTCTCCTTGGGCATTTTCACACCTGGGGCTACCATGTGTACTTGCCGCCTGATGTCCCAATGCCTGAGGGCCTTGATGGGCACTCATAGCACGACCCTGAGCCAAGCACAGGCTATCTGCTGAGCAATGGGTGGATGGTGAATGTAAGATACAGTAAATTCCCCTTCAAAGATTTAGCCTGTTAACTTCCTTATTCTTTGTTCTCAAACTCAGCTTCCTTGTTCTCCATGTCTCCTTGCCTCTAGTTACTGTAACAACCTTCTCACCAGTTCTAATCAATAACTCACATCTTTCCCTTGGTTACCCACTCTGCACCCATTCTTCCCACTGAAACTGCACGTCCCATCACTGTAACTCACATCCCCCTTCCCTTCCTTATTTGGAAAAGTATTCACAAATAGCCAATCAGGTCAACTTAGAATGTGTGGTCCAACCCCAACCCCTGGGGTAGTGACACAGAGGTAGGGACTGCATTAGGGATAAAAACCCTTTCCCTCCTTTGTTCAGTGTGCTCCTGTGATCGTGATTGACACAGGCAGCACCCTTCTGCAGAAGTAAATTGCCTTGCTGAGAAAACCTTTGCCTGAGTGCTGGTTTCACTTTGCAGCTCTGAGCATTTGTTTCCAGCAAATCTGGGGACTCATCCAGGATCCCCATTTTCCTCCAGGAAAGGGGTCTCCAGTCACCTCTCATGAGGAGACGCGTCCCACTGCCTCATTGAGGTGGCCTCAGGGTGAAGAATCAGGACCCACCTGGTGCAACGAATAAACCCAGACTCTCAGCATCGCGAGGAGAAAAAGTCTTGCAACACCGTGGCGACCAAGTAACTCTGTGCACATACTAAGGTAAGAAACTTTGCAGCAGCAACAAAGTACTTCCTTGGTGGTTGGGATATTCTGGAGGCTTAAAGCACATGAATGGCAACAAGCATGACTGCTGTGTAGTGTGAGTGAGTCCAATCTGCAGTTCTGTGGTCACCTCATACGGCTTAGGGAGGCCCTTTGGGGGTCCCAGCAGGGGTTTATACTGACCCGCCATCAATGCTAAGAGGGGCCTGAAACATTCCCAAGAGGGAAGTGGCCAGAGTGGGCGAAGCAAAGGGAGAAGGGTGCAAAGAGCCTCCAGCAGGTGGGGTTAAAGGATAAGCAAGAAATCTCTAATATGAGGGATTGAGCCTCAGCAAGCCTCAAGAGAAGAATAGGTAAGAAGTCTCCAGTATGAGAGATTGAGCCTAATTGGAACCCAACATGGGAAATACCCCAAGCAAGACAGGGAGTAAAAAGGATAAAGATAGGGCTGGGCACGGTGGCTCACGCCTGTAATCCCAGCACTTTGGGAGGCTGAGACGGGCGGATCATGAGGTCAGGAGATTGAGACCTTTGTGGCTACCACGGTGAGACCCCATCTCTACTAAAAATACAAAAAATTAGCCAGGTGCAGTGGTGGGTGCCTGTAGTCCCAACTACTTGGGAGGCTGAGGCAGGAGAATGGAGTGAACCCAGGAGGCAGAGCTTGCAGTGAGCTGAGATTGCACCACTGCACTCCAGCCTGGGCAACAGAGCAAGACTCCATCTCAAAAAAAAAATGGATAAAGATAGCAATAAAGATATTCCCCCGATAGTTCCCTAGGTCTCATGTTGAAATATTGGAAAGATAATGAGAGGACTAAACATAAGAAAAAGCAACAAATGATAAAATATTGCTATTTTATTTGGACTCAGGGACCCATCCTCAATCCCTCAATCTTCTGGCCAAAGTTTGGGTCTAATGAGGATGTGATGTGTCAACTTCTAATTCAATATGTAAATGATAAAAGTCCAGTTTCTCAAGAAGAACTGGACAGGCCGGGCGCAGTGGCTCACACCTGTAATCCCAGCACTTTGGGAGGCCGAGGCGGGTGGATCATGAGGTCAGGAGATCAAGGCCATCCTGGCTAACATGGTGAAACCCCGTCTCTATTAAAAAATACAAAAAATTAGCCAGGCGTGGTGGTGGGCGCCTGTAGTCCCAGCTACTTGGGAGGCTGAGGCAGGAGAATGGCGTGAACCCAAGAGGCAGAGCTTGCAGTGAGCTGAGATCCGGCCACCGCACTCCAGCCTGGGTGACTGAGCGAGACTCTGTCTCAAAAAAAAAAAAAATATTAAGAAGAACTGGACTATCCTCTTTGTTGAAGGCAGGGACCTGTCCTCCTCTTTCCCTTAAATACAACTAGGGAAAAACCCAATCTAGCAACTCAGAATGAAGAGTCAGAAAAGCCAGTTCCCGTGCCTAAAGACTCCAGCACATGGGCTCCCCTAGACCATCTTCCCCCACTCAGGGCCCCTAAACCTTCCCCTCAGGCAGCTGTTGCCATCCTGGATCCCGCTCCAGATCCTTCCCCTGCTCACATTATTTCTCCTCCTTAAAATCCTGATTCTTGGGAATCATCATCCCATGAGCCTGTTCCCTCCCAGCCCAAGTACTCCTCCCTAAAAGGACTCCAGCATGAGGTAGAACAATATAAAAAGAATATCCAGAATTTCCCATTTCTCTCCACACCTAAGAAGTCAGCCCTGACTCTCTTCCCCTTAAAAGAGGTGCCACAAGGAGGGGGAGCTATTGGCTTTGTGAATGCTCCCTTAACCAGTTCAGAAGTCCAAAGTTTGAAAAAGGAAACGAAGCCATTGTTAGATGACCCTTATGGGGTGTCAGATCAGGTTGATCAATTCTTGGGACCTCAGTTATATACTTGGGTCAAGTTAATGTCCATCCTAGGTATCCTCTTTTCAGGGGAAGAAAGAAGCATAATCTGTAGGGCTGCTATGGCAATTTGGGAACATGAACACCCTCCTGGTCAAAACATTCCACTGCAGATAAAAAATTTCCCACCCAAGACCCACAGTGGGACAATAATAATGCAGCTCACTGGGAAAATATGCAAGACCTATGGGAAATGATAATAAAAGGAATTAGAGAATCAGTACCCGAACCCCAAAGCTCTCTAAAGCATTTAATATACAACAGGAAAAAGATGAAGGGCCTATGAAATTCTTAGACAGGCTAAAGGAGCAAATGAGACAATATGCAGGCCTAAATTTGGAAGATCTCCTTGGACAGGGAATGTTAAAGCTCCATTATGTCACTAAAAGTTGGTCAGACATTTTCTAAAAGTTACAAAAATTAGAAGATTGGGAAAACCAAGCCCTAAGTGAACTTCTCAGAGAAGCTCAAAAAGTGTATGTGAGGAGAGGCGAAGAAAAGCAGAAACAAAAAGCAAAATCCATGCTATCTACTTTCCAGCAGATGGCTCCAAACCCATATGCTTCTAAACAAGGTCTCCAGGGGGCCAAAAACTATAAAGGGTCCAGACCCCTGTTCAAAGGACCCAAGCCTCCAACTAGGTGACCTAGGCCTTCATTTCCCAGGCCTTCTAAAGAGAAAGTAGAGGAGAGACCAAGTATATAATTCCTGAGAAATTGGTCTTTTGTTTCTAATGTAGGAATGTCAGCAGTGGAGTGTAAATAAGGCAATCCATAGAGCATCTCATAAGGAGAAAGGCCAGTATCTTTCCGAGGGGCAGTTCAGATTCTTAACAAGGCAATAGGAAGACATTTAATCCATGGCAGCCAAGTTTCTAGAACTAATTTGGTTAAGTGGTTCTTCAGGGTCTGATTCATCCTTTCTACCCTACCTGACAAAGGTGGGTGCCAAAGAGTATGATATTCCCATTTAATGTCTAGTGTTTGGGATAACTTTTTAATGATATGTGCTGTGAAGAAATCATCTAGGCTGGGCACAGTGGCTCACATCTGTAATCCCAGCATTTTGGGAGGCCAAGGCGGGTGGATCACCTGAGGTCAGGAGTTCGAGACCAGCCTGGCTGATATGGTGAAACCCTGTCTCTACTAAAAATACAAAAATTAGCTGGGCGCCTGTAATTCCAGCTACTCGGGAGGCTGGGGCAGGATAATCACTTGAACCCGGGAGGCGGAGGTTGCAGTGAGCTGAGATCTCGCCATTGCACTCCAGCCTGGGTGAAAGAGCAAAACTCCGTATCAAAAAAAAAAAAAAAAAAAGCGGTCGTTATAAACCCAAATGAAGTAGTTTCCCAATACAGACGTTTTTGAGTGTCTGCATCACCATAGTGACTTACTTTCCCCTATTTTGCCAACAGTCCTGAAATCTTGGTTGTATGGATCTTGAAATGATCTTTCATGAGAACAACCCGGGTCAACATTAAGGCCACACAGACAATCATCACACTGGGGTCACTGTCCAAACCAAACATAACTGTCTCAATCCCAATCTGCAAAATAGAAATGTATTAAAAACCTAAATCATGAGCCGCTGGCTCACGCCTGTAATCCCAGCACTTTGGGAGGCGGAGGCGGGCGGATCACAAGGTCAGGAGATCGAGATCACGGTGAAACTCCATCTCTACTAAAAATACAAAAAATAATTAGCCGGGCATGGTGGCGGGCGCCTGTAGTCCCAGCTGCTCAGGAGGCTGAGTCAGAAGAATGGCGTGAATCCGGGAGGCGGAGCTTGCAGTGAGCCGAGATAGCGCCACTGCACTCCAGCCTGGGTGACAAGAGCGAGACTCCATCTCAAAAAAACAAAACAAAACAAAACAAAAAACAAAAACAAAAAAAACAACTAAATCATGATGTGCTACATTTTCTTCTCCTTAAGCATAAAATGCACTGTTTCCTGTTATATTGAATATTTGATCAGATTCTGCTTAAAGAAAGAAAATTTAAAAAGCTTTCTCAAGTCCAACAGAGCTTATAAAAATAAAAAGTAAAAATAAAAAGCTTTCATCAGACTCTACGTTCTCTTTTCTTAAAACCAAAGGTCTCAAAACACAGGCACGGCCCCTGGAGTTCCCAGTACATCAACATCAGCCTGGGGATCATGTCCTCATCAAAAGCTGGAAAGAGGAGAAACTCGAACCAGCCTGGGAAGGACCTTACCTGGTGCTCCTAACACTGAAACCACAGTCCAGATAGCAGAAAAAGGATGGACCCATCACACCCCAGTCAAGAAAGCATCACCACCTCCGGAGTCATGGGCCGTTATCCCAGGGGAAAACCCTACCAAACTAACGCTAAGAAAAGTTTAACTCTCCTTCATCTATTCTATTACTCCTTCTTCTTTCCTCATTCTATGGCTGACCACCTCATTATTAATGTAACCAGGTCAAGCTCACCCCAAACTATTACCTTCGATGCATGTCTTGTCATACCCTGTGGAGATCTCCAAAGTCAAAAGCAACTCTCAGACTCAGAGAAGTATCTCTGCCCCTTTAAGATAAAAGGCTCCCCCTATCAAGACCCTTGTTCCTTAACGAATGCAGGAAAACAGGTCTGCCATAGCTGGAATGATGTTGTGTGGACAACTGAATATCAAGGCTGGACCTCGTCAACCGGTGGTTGTATGTCCTTAAAACCATACATTCACTTCACTAAAGAAAGTACCCCCCATAATTGCCAGTATAACCAATGTAATCCAGTGCAAATTTCTATTCTCATTCCAACTTCTACTGACCCTAAACCTACTTTAAGTTGCTTATATGGCATGGGAGCCGAAATAGCAGGGGCACATCTTATTGGATATTTTGAGATATGTTTTATTACTCCTTCACCTCCTACATTCCTTCTACATTATCCCCCAATGTTCTGTTCTTCCTCCACCCAAAGATAAAACCAAAATAGATATTGTAGAAGTAAATGACCTAAAACAAACTTTAGCAATTGAAACAGGATATCAAGATGCAAATGCCTGGATGGAATGGATTAAATATTCCGTCCACACTTTAAACAAAAGCAATTGTTATGCTTGTGCGCACAGCAGGCCAGAGGCCCAGATTGTCCCCTTTCCACTCAGATGGTCCTCCCGTCGACCAAGCATGGGCTGTATGGTAGCTCTCTTCCAGGATTCTACAGCTTGGGGCAATATATCATGCCAAGCTCTCTCTCTGCTCTATCCTGAAGTTCAACACCCTGCGGGTCAGCCCCCGAGGGCCATCCAGCTTCCGTCTCCCAATGTCAGTTTCATCTCATGTCTCTCATGACAAGGGAAAACTTGGCATTCCGTGGAAGCTTAATGGGATGTAGTGAGCTTAAGCCCTTCCAAGAGCTTACCCATCAGTCTGCTGTTAGTCATTCTCGAGCGGATGTAGCGGATGTATGGTGGTATTGTGGTGGACCCTTACTGGACACTCTGCCAAGTAACTGGAGTGGTACTTGCACTCTTGTCCAATTCGCTATCCCTTTTGCCCTTGCATTTCTTCAACCAGAAAAAGAAAAGCCACAACACCGTAAAATAAGAGAAGCCCCTTATGGGTCTTTTGACTCTCAAGTTTATTTAGACGCAACTGGAGTCCCACAGGGAGTACCACACAAATTCAAAGCTCAAGACCAGATAGCTGCAGGATTTGAATCAATATTTTGGTGGGTAACTATCAGTAAAAACATAGATTGGATAAATTACATCTATTATAACCAGCAGCGGTTTATTAACTACACTAGAGATGCTGTCAAAAGAATAGCTGAACAGTTAGGGCCTACTAGCCAGATGGCTTGGGAAAACAGAATGGCCCTAGACATGATATTAGCCAAAAAAGGTGGAGTTTGTGTTATGATCAAAACTCAATGTTGTACCTTCATCCCAAACAATACTGCCCCTAGTGGGAGCATAACAAGGGCCTTACAAGGCCTTACTGCTTTATCCAATGAATTAGCTAAAAATTCTGGAGTCAATGACCCTTTTTCAGGATGGCTAGAAAGGTGGTTTGGTAAATGGAAAGGAATCATAGCCTCAATTCTTACTTCTCTTGCAGCCGTAATAGGTGTAGTCATTCTTTTTGGGTGTTGTGTCACACCATGTATCCGTGGGCTAGTACAGAGGCTTATAGAAACAGTACTTACTAAAACCTCCCTTAGCTCTCCTCCACCTTATTCAGATAAGCTTTTCCTTTTAGAGGATCAAGTCGAACAGCAAAGCCAAGACTTGTTAAAAAGGTTTGAAGAGGAAGGACCATAACAATTGAAAGGGGGAAATTATAAGATACAGTAAATTCCTCTTCAAAGATTTAGCCTGTTGACTTCCTTATTCTTTGTTCTCAAACTCGACTTCCTTGTTGTCCATGCCTCCTTGTCCCTAGTTACTGTGAACAACCTTCCCACCAGTTCTAATCAATAACTCACATCTGCTCCCTTGGTTACCCACTCTGCACCCATTCTTCCCACTGAAACTGCACTTCCCACCACTGTAACTCACATCCCCCTTCCCTTCCTTATTTGGAAAAGTATTCACAAATAGCCAATCGGGTCAACTTAGAATGAGCGGTCCAACCCCAGCCCCTGGGGGAGTGACACAGAGGTAGGGACTGTGTTAGGGATAAAAACCTTTTCCTTCCTTTGTTCAGTGTGCTCCTGTGATCATGATTGATGCAGGCAGCACCCTTCTGCAGAAGTAAATTGCCTTGCTGAGAAAACTTTTGTCTGAGTGCTGGTTTCACTTTGTAGCACTGAGCATTTGTTTCCAACAGTGAATATTCTACTTGTTTTAAAAAATGTCTACTTTGAGGTAACTGTGAGGTTTGACAGATACAATTTTAAAGCATAATAACATTTGAAAGTTAATTCCAAGTTTATTCTTTTTAGAAGCTGGAACACAGAAACATAGGAACTGGAGTTAGAGAGCATCTCATTAATAGCTAACCCTCCTCTAATAACTCATGAATTAATTAATAATTACAACCTTAAAACCTCATCAGTAACTAATTACTCATTGGTAATTCATTTTTTAACTCACTAGTCACCTACGACTTCCCCCAAGTGTCCACAGAAGGGAGGAAGGTAGGAGGGATGCGCTGGCCCCGCCGGCCTCTGCTGGCACATCCCATCACATCCATCATCTGTCTCACAGATTCCCTGGCCTGTCCCCCAACAGGATCCAACACCACCTTCCCCAGCCCCTGCCCAGAGCTTCCTCTCCAAACATAGCTCACTGGATCAAGCTGGGCTGGGGCTCTTCTCCCCTTTTCTCTTTGATTGATGTAATTTAAGGGCATGGAAGGAAATCAAATTGCACATTGTAAACTTTTGCATAGAAAAGTTTATGATGAAAATTTCCTTTGCCCTGCTCATCCCCACCTGGAATGCAGCTTCCCAGTGAAAGGACCCACAACCCACCAGGAGGCAAGAAAGATTGCTTTAGACCAGCAGTCCCCAACCTTTTTGGCGCCAGGGACCGGGTTTGTGGAAGACAATTTTTAACCCGGGGTTGGGTTGGGGGATGGTTTCAGGATGAAACTGCTCCACCTCAGATCATCAGGCATTAGTTACATTCTCATAAGGAGCAAGCAACCTAGATCCCTCACATGTGCAGTTCACGATAGGGTTTGTGCTCCTATGAGAATCTAGTGCCGCTGCTGATCTGACAGGTAATGCTGGCTCACCCACCCACCATTCACCTCCTGCTGTGTGGCCCCGTTCCTAATAGGCCACAGACGAGCTCCAGTCCATGGTCCGGGAGTTGGAGACCCCTGCTTTAGACTGAAGACATCTGAGATACAGCAGACACAGCTAGATACTTTTTTTGTTTGTTTGTTTTTTTCCGAGACGGAGTCTCTCTCTATCACCCAGGCTGGCGTGCAGTGGTGCAATCTCAGCTCACTGCAACCTCCACCTCCTGGATTCAAGCGATTCTCCTGCCTCAGCCTCCCAAGTAGCTGGGATTACAGGTGCACACCACCACACCTTGCTAATTTTTGTATTTTTAGTAGAGACAGGGTTTCACCATGTTGGCCAGATTGGTCTCAAACTCCTGACCTCAAGTGATCCGCCCGCCTCGGCCTCCCAAAGTGCTGGGATTACAGGGGTGAGCCACTGCACTCAGCCTAGAGGCCTTTTTTGAGCTTCCCATATATGATTAAAGGCAGAGATTTCTGATCATGAAGCTGCCATACATCCCCTCTCAAGGTGCCTGTTAACACCAAGAGTAAACCCTGTGTAAGCAAGCCCTCTGAAAACCTTCCATACTTCCCTCCAAAGTCCTAACCACCCTATTTTTACGATGCTGATGTATGAACTCTCACCCCTGGCGGCTCCTGGAGCCACTCCTTTTGGAGTGCTCCTAAATACAGTGAAAGCGAACTTTTCTGCTGTTATTCTTTCTATTGTCAATTAAATTGCCATCCTCTCCACCTCCCCACCACTCAGATCTATTGGTAAAGAAAAGCTTTCCTAGGCCGGGCACAGTGGCTCACACCTGTAATCTCAACACTTTGGGAGGCCAAGGTGGGCAGATCACCTGAGGTCGGAAGTTCGAGACCAGACTGACCAACATGGAGAAATCCCATCTCTACTAAAAATATAAAGTTGGCTGGGCGTGGCGCATGCCTGTAATCCCAGCTACTCGGGAGGCTGAGGCAGGGGAATCGCTTGAACCTGGGAGGCAGAGGTTGCAGTGAGCCGAGATCACGCCATTGCCCTCCAGCCTGGGCAACAAGAGCGAAACTCCAACTCAAAAAAAAAAAAAAAAGAAAGAAAAAGTTTTCTGTCAAAGCTGGGAACACATGTTAATACTTTTCTGGTGGTTAACTCTATGATTCTTCTTTAAAATCCTATAGTTTCCCTTTTATTACTATTCTATAAATCCTCAGTTCCTTTTGATTCTTTTATTGCTTATCTTTACACTTTCAAATAATAATCTCAAAACTCCATTTCTTGTTTTGTCAACTGAACTTGCCCTTGGACTATGTGAGAGCATCAGCACCTGCTGCTCGGTCGCCAGCGCAGCGGCCCCTCCTAGCTCTGGCCAGCAGCACTCCAATTTTGACAGCACTGAGACTTGCCCACTTGCATTCTATTCTGCAACTATATTGGATTTGTCCATGTTTTTGTCTAACTGCTGTTTCTACAAGATAAAAATCAATATGCATCAAATGCATTATATTGACTACTATGTAAAAAGTGGTCATTATAGCCTGCTGTGGTGGCTCACGCCTATAATCCCAGCACTTTCAGAGGCCAAGGTGGGTGGATCACCTGAAGTCAGGAGTTCGAGACCAGTCTGGCCGACATGGTGAAACCCTGTCTCTACTAAAAATACAAAAATTAGGCAGCCGGGCGATGTGGCTCATGTCTGTAATCCCAGCACTTTGGGAGGCCTAGGCGGGCAGATCACAAGGTCAGGAAATCGAGACCATCCTGGCTAACATGGTGAAACCATGTCTCTACTAAAAATACAAAAATTTAGCTGGGCATGGTGGCGGGTGCCTGTAGTCCCAGCTACTCAGGAGGCTGAGGCAGGAGAATGGCGTGAACCTGGGAGACAGAGCTTGCAGTGAGCCAAGATGGCGCCACTGCACTCCAGCCTGGGTGACAGAGCGAGACTCCGTCTCAAAAAATATATATATATATACAAAAATTAGCCGGAGCCTATAAACTTGGGAGGCTGAGGCAGGAGAATTGCTTGAACCTGGGAGGAGGAAGTTACAGTGAGCTGAGATCGCACCACTGCACTCCAGCCTGGGTGAAAGAGCAAAACTCCATTTCAAAAAAAAAAAAAGGGGGTCGTTATAAACCCAAATGAAGTAGTTTCCCGATGCAGATGTTTTTGAGTGTCTGCGTCACCATAGTGACTTACTTTCCCCTATTTTGCCAACAGTCCTGAAATCTTGGTTGTATGGATCTTGAAGTGATCTTTCATGAGAACAACCCTGATCAACATTAAGGCCACACAGACAATCATCACACTGGGGTCACTGTCCAAACCAAACATAACTGTCTCAATCCCAATCTGCAAAATAGAAATGTATTAAAAACCTAAATCATGATGTGCTACATTTTCTTCTCCTTAAGCATAAAATGCACTGTTTCCTGTTATATTGAATATTTGATCAGATTCTGCTTAAAAAAAAGAAAATTTAAAAAGCTTTCTCAAGTCTAACAGAGCTTATAAAAATAAAAAGTAAAAATAAAAAGCCTTCATCAGACATTAGGGGCTGAGGTTTTCTGTTTGTAATTAAATGTGCCATTAACAAGAATAGAGAATACTTGAAAAAAAATTTTTTTTTTTTGAGACAGGGTCTCACTCTGTCGCCCAGCTGAAGTGCAGTGGTGTGATCTCGGCTCACTGCAGCCTCAACCTCCTGGGTTCAAGCCATCCTCCCACCTTAGCCTCCTGAGTAGCTGGGACTACAGAAGTGCACCACCATGCCTGGCTAATTTTTGTATTTTTTGTAGAGACGACATTTCACCATGTTGACCAAGCTGGTCTCAAACTCCTCAGCTCAATCTACCTGCTTCAGCCTCCCAAAGTGCTGGGATTATAGGCGTGAGCCACCATATCCAGCCAAGAATAGAGAATACTTAATCTCCATTTCTCTGTATAACATGCTGGCAAAATACTACATAATGCTCTTAGGCCCTTGGCCAACGAATACCTCAGTCAATCATCCAATTAACCTTGGTGGTTCGTTATTACCTGTCATAAACAATACAATACACCATTTCCTCTACCTCCCACATTTAAGGTTCTTTAAACATCAACAGTTCCATGTAGCTGAGTCCAACCCAGAATCAATGCAAGAGCATGTTCTTCAACCATTTTTAAGCATGGAGTTTTCCTTTCCTTTGAGTTCATAGTCCTCAGTAACTAGAGCTACTTAATATGTACATATGCAGGCAGGAAACCTGATGCAGAAGGGTCTTATAAATGCACTTATGAACCTGGGCAAGTTGCTGTGTCAAAATATGCACAGTCTAACCTCTGGCTGAGTTAGCTACAACCAATAAACAGTAGATCCATGCAATTTTTATTTGGGAGTTATCTTTATAAAATCACAGACAGAACTAAGAAGTCACGAATGTGAAAAGGCACAGGAAATGTAAATGAGTGAACAGAGCAAATCAGACAAGAAGGATGGAGGTAAGAGGGTAACAGGGAAACAGGGAGGTAAAGAGGGTAACAGGGAAATGAATGTGAGGATCAGACACTTTCTTCATCATTGAAATGGTCAGAACAGGGCTTTGGACCTAGGCAAAGCCTCCATGCCGGTGGTTCCCAAATTTCAGCATGAATCAGAATCCCCTGGAGGCAGAGCTGCCAGATACAATACAGAACCCCAGGCCGGGCGCGGTGACTCATGCCTGTAATCCCAGCACTCTGGGAGGCCGAGGTGGGTGGATCACGAGGTCAGGAGTTCAAGACTAGCCTGGCCAAGATAGTGAAACCCTGTCTCTACTAAAAATACAAAAATTAGCCGGACGTGGTGGCATGTGCCTGTAATCCCCGCTATTCGGGAGGCTGAGGCAGGAGAATCACTTGAACCTGGGAGGTGGAGGTTGCAGTGAGCCAAGATCACGCCACTGCACTTCAGCCTAGGCGAAAGAGAGAGACTCTGTCTAAAAAACAAACAAACAAACAAACAAAACAGTACCCCAGCTAAAGGTGAATTTCAGTTAAACAACAAATCATTTTAGTATTAAACATGTCCCATGCAATAATTGAGACATACTCATATTAAAAAATGATGTCACTTATCTAAAATGAAATGTAACTGTGTGTCTTGCATTTTTGCTCTACCTACACAGAGGTTCAAATACTGATTGCTGTGCCCACACCCAGAGTTCTTGATTCAGTGGATCTGGGATGGGGCCCAAGAATCTGCATTTTTTGAGACAGGATCTCAGCTCCGTTGCCCAGGTTGGAGTGCAGTGGCACAATCACGGCTCACTGCAGCCTCGATCTCCTGGGCTCAAGTGATCCTCCCGCCTCAGCCTCCCAAAATGTTGGGATTATAAGCATGGTCCATGGCACCTGGCCAAGAATCTGCATTTCTGATACTTTTCCAGCTGACGGCGATGCTGCTGTGTGAGGATGCCCTTTGAGAATCCCTGCTACAAAGCCCCTGCCAGTGGAGTGGCATTGCTGTGTGGTGGCCTTGCACTGCGGATTGCCCACCGGAGGGATGCTGTGTGAGCACTGGCTGTGTCACCCTGCCACTGTGTCTCTGCTTCCCTGGAAACATGCGTTTCTCCACTTTCAGGCAGAAGCACCAACTGCTCCTGTGAATTAATATGCTCATTTAATGCTCATTACATTTAAATTTTGTCATTGAAAGGGCTCATTTTCCCATACTGGACCGTGGCCCTCTCCCTGCTCACTTCTTTAGAATAAAGAAGAGCATGAGGCTGGTGAAGGGGACTGATGCATTATTGCACTGGCTCTGTCTGTGGTGACAGGCTCACAAAAATACTGTCACCATGGTATTTCTCAGCATTTGCTACATAGGAGGTTTTTCATACTTCAGGAAACATATTTACCATTTTAAAACCAAAGACATCAGGGTCCCATCAACATCTGTGATTTAGCTGTTACTAAACATTGTAAATCTATCAGTGTCTTGTTCCTTGGAAGTAGAACACCTACCACTGGACTCCCTTTACTCTAATTAACCAAAGGCACCCCACATGAGTGGTTAATAACTGGTTGGGCTTTGTCCCCTTCAGAGGGGACACACATGGTATAGTTGCCAAGTCCTGGACTCACTTTCTGACAAAAGCTTTTCCAAGATGCTCCTGGCTGGAAGCCGTGTGTGTCAGTTTGCTATGGCAGATAATACTCTGTCCTCTGGACACCCGAAATTCGTGTGTTGAAGTCCCAACCACCAGCGTCTCAGAATGTGACTGTATTTGGAGGCAGGGTCTTTAAAGAGATAACAGGCCAGGCGTGGTGGCTCCCACCTGTAATTGCAACACTTTGGGAGGCCAAGGCGGGCAGATCACCTGAGGTCAGGAGTTCGAAACCAGCCTGGCCAACATGGAGAAACCCTGCCTGTACTAAAACTACAAAAATTATCTGGGTGTGGTGGCGCATGCCTGTAGTCCCAGCTACTTAGGAGGCTGAGGCAGGAGAATTGCTTAAACCCGGGAGGGAGAGGTTGCAGTGAGCCACTACACTCCAGCCTGGGTGACACAGTGAGACTCTGTCTCAAAATAAATACATAAATTAATTAATTAATTAAAATAAAAAATAAAGAGGTAACTAAGGTTAACTGAGGTCCTTAAGGTGGAACCTAATCCAATATGACTGGTGTTCCTTATCAGAAGAGGAGATGAGGACACAGGGCAAGGACGCCCATCTGCAAAGCTAAGGAGAGAGGACTCAGGAAAGAACAACACCGCAGATGCCTTGATCTCAGACTTCCGGGCTCCAGAATTGTGGGAAAACAAATTTCTGTTGTTTAAGCTGTCCAGTCTGTGATACAGAAAGCCCTCACTTAACATTGTCAGTAAGTTCTTGGAAACTAACTTTAAGTGAAATGATGTATAACAAAATCAATTTTCTAATCAATAGGCTAATTGATATAAACAAGAGTTAAGTTCCTACAGCACGCTTCTCCCTTTGCAGGGCGCACTCACACACATGCCCACCCTCACTCACCTTGGGACCACGTAGACACATCAGTTCACCTAATGGGCACAATCATGGGATCAAGGAGGAAACGAGAGCACCCAGAAAAAACCCACACAGACATGGGGAGAACATGCAGACAGACTCCAACACAGGTAGTGGCCCCAGGTGAGGATTATTCTTTTCTCATCGACCTTATAATAAAGACCTGTTGAGGCCAGGGGAGGTGGCTCATGGATATAATCCTAGCACTTTGGGAGGCTGAGGCAGTAGGATCGCTTCAGCACAGGAGTTTGAGACCAGACTGGGCAACACAGGAAGACTCCAGTCTCTACAAAAAATATTTTTTAAAAATTAGCCAGAAATAGTGGCAGGGGCCTGTTGTCCCAGCTGCTTGGGAGGCTGAGACGGAGGAAGATCACTTGAGCCATGATTGTGCCACTGCACTTCAGTCTGGGCAACAGAGCAAGACCCTGTCTCAAAATAAATAAAAACAAAATGACCTTATTCTAGGACCTGCTGTACTTTGTTACAATAGCCCAAGCAAACTGAGACACCATGTAAATGCCAGTTTTCCTTTACAATAAAGACAATAGTGCACGTACCCCAGATGTGACAACTGTAGGATTCCATTTGAAAGAGCAGGCAGGCTGGGTATGGTGGCTCATGCCTGTAATCCCAGCACTTTGGGAGGCCGAGGTGGGCAGATCATGAGGTCAGGAGTTCAAGACCAGCCTGGCCAACATGGTGAAACCCCATCTCTATTAAAAATACAAAAATTAGCTGGGCGTGGTGGCGGGCACCTGTAGTCTCAGCTACTCAGTAGGCTGAGGCAGGAGAATAGCTGGAATCTGGGAGGCAGAGGTTGCAGTGAGCCGAGATGGTGCCACTGCACTCCAGCCTGGGTGACAGAGCAACTCTGCTCAAAGAAAAAAACGAAAGAAAGAAAGAGCAGGCAATTTTCACCTTACAGTAACCTATGATTGAGGATCTCAGTTGCCCCTCTCAATAGGTTTTCCTGTTTTATCCTTCAGTTCTTCTCTGCCCCTGGCTGGAGACCAGACATAAGCACAAATCTGAAGGTTGAGCCCTGGGGTGGAGGACAGGAACCATTTTCTCACTACCACCACCCTCTGTGAGCTACCACTTGCTTCTGCCAAGAATCATCCTTACAATGAGCTCCTTCCTTACTCATTATTTTTCTTCTTCCTTGCAACACGCAGAATTTATCTCTCCTCATCTTGATGTTGATGAAAGGCAATATTCTTTGCTAATTTAAAGTGTGATGAAACATACAGAAGAAAACAAGATTTCTGATAAACACTTTTTGCTAATTAAGTATTTGGAAATCTGCTTGTACCAAAATAATATGACATTCCTCCCTGTGCCCTCCCTGTGCCTTTTATTTCCTCTAATAGAATTGTTTTCCTCCACACAGAGGTTCTCTTTTTTTTTTTTTTTTTCAGATGGAGTCTCACTCTGTTGCCAGGCTGGAGTGCAGTGGTGCTATCTCGGCTCACTGCAACCTCCGCCTCCTGGGTTCAAGCGATTCTCTTGCCTCAGCCTCCCGAGTAGCTGGGATTACAGGCACCCGCCACCGTGCCCAGCTAATTTTTTATTTTTAGTAGAGACAGTGTTTCACCATGTTGGCCGGGATGGTCCCGATCTCTTGATCTCGTGATCTGCCTGCCTCGGCCTCCCAAAGTGCTGGGATTCCAGGCAAGAGCCACTGCTTCCGGCCAACAGAGGTGCATTCTAGATCTTTAATTTCTCCACCTCACTTGGAAGATTGCTAGAAATCACAAATAAAGTTTGTAATGTAGTTATATAGCTTTCACTGAACATTTTAAATACTTGAACAAAAAATTCATGACGATTACACATAACCAAGCCCATCCCAAACTTTTTGAAGACTTCATATGTCAATCCCCCGATAGTTAATAAATACTGTATTTTTTCATGACTCCCACTCTTAATCATCATACTGACTCATACCACTCAAAACTGCAGTTTAATTATATTAGTTTTCTCTAATATAAAATTAGTTACATATTTAATTAACTTCCTTTCTCCCAAAATAGCAACCATCCTCTTTGATTAACCTGGCTGAGTCATGCAAAACCTTATGCTTATCTTGCTGTCAATTACAAGCATATTTTAGTTTTAAGCAGAAATAGCTTACATTGTACCATGCAAAAATTACGGTGTTAGGGCCGAGCGCTGTGGTTCATGCCTGTAATCCCAGCACTTTGGGAGGCCGAGGTGGGTGGATCACCTGAGGTAAGGAGTTCAAGACCAGCCTGGTCAACATGGTGAAACCCTGACTCTACTAAAATACAAAAATTAGCCGGGCATGATGGCGGGTGCCTGTATTCCCAGCTACTTGAGAGGCTGAGACGGGAGAATCTCTTGAACCTGGGAGATGTTGGTTGCGGCGAGCTGAGATCACGCCACCGCACTCCAGCCTGGGCAGCTGAGTGAGACTCCATCTCAAAAAAAAAAAAGAAAAAGAAAATTACGGAGTTAGGAGGAAGGATGGCATATGGTTAGGAAACTAATTTCACAAGTAAATGGATCCTCTATTGACTTTGACAGACAAAATGTAAGAACAAGAATGCAAAAGTAAGACCTTTTTTTTTTTTTTGAGATGGAGTTTCGCTCTTGTTGCCCAGGCTGGAGTGCAATGGCAAGATCTCGGCTCACTGCAACCTCCTCCTCCTGGGTTCAAGTGATTCTCCTGCCTCAGCCTCCTGAGTAGCTGGGATTACAAGGCATGTGCCACCACACCGGCTAATTTTGTATTTTTAGTAGAGACTGGTCTCAAACTCCCACCGTCAGGTGATCCACCCGCTTTGGCCTCCCAAAGTGCTGGAATTACAGGCATGAGCCACTGTGCTTGGCAGTAAGACTCTTATATTCCTAGACTTTTTTTGTATGTATGAATCACTTTGGTACCAAAAGGTCCTTTATTTGATAAAGACAGTTCATGACTGCTTTATTCATTACCAGTTTATTTCATTTAAAATTTTATTACTTTTGGAATCTGGATGTCACAGACAAGGTTGGGTGATAACAATTTAAGGTTAGAGTCCTCCTGCAAGGACAAGGATGTCAATAAGAGGTGAGGAGGGTTCCAGGCACATTGCTGCCCACATAAAAGAGCAAGCTAGGACCCAGGCGCGGTGGCTCACACCTGTAATCCCAGCACTTTGGGAGGCCGAGGCAGGTGGACCATGAGGTCAGGAGATCGAGACCATCCTGGCTAACACAGTGAAACCCCATCTCTACAACAAAATACAAAAAAAAAAAACAAATGAGCCAGGCGTGGTGGTGGGCACCTGTAGTCCCAGCTACTCGAGAGGCTGAGGCAGGAGAATCTGTTGAACCTGGGAGGCAGAGGTTGCACTGAGCCGAGACTGTGCCACTGCACTCCGGCCTGGGCAATAGAGCGAGACTCCGTCTCAAAAAAATAAATAAATAAAAATAAGAATACCAGCTTTTTAAAGGAAAAATCATTTAGGACCAAGGTCTAAAAGCAATTCTTTGGGAGTGTGTGTCCTAACAGAGCAGACCCTGAGTACTGAAACTAACAGATTATTCCGTGTGATGGCTGCATGGTGCCTCTCAAATGTCATATGTTGAAATGCTAACCCCAAGAACCTCAGAAGGTGACTATATTTGGAGGAGGGGCCTTTACAGAGGTAATCAATTAAAAATGATGTCATATGGATGTGTGGGCCCTAATCCAATCTGACTGGGTCCCATAAGAAAAGGCTTGGGTGCAGCGGCTCACACCTGTAATCCCAGCACTTTGAGAGGCCGAGGCAGGAGGATCGCCCGAGGTCGAGAGTTCGAGACCAGCCTGACCAACATGGAGAAACCCTGTCTCTACTAAAAATACAAAATTGGCCAGGCGTGGTTGCGCATGCCTGTAATCCCAGCTACTCAGGAGGCTGAGGCAGAAGAATCGCTTGAATCCAGGAGGCGGAGGTTGCAGTGAACCGAGATTGCGCCATTGCATTCCAGCCTGTGAAACAAGAGCGAAACTCTGTCTCAAAAAAAAAAAAAAAAAAAAGAGATGAGGACATAGACACACACAGTGGGGACACAGGGAGAATACAGCCTCAGCCTTCTGCAAGCCAAGGAGAGAGGACTCAGGAGGAATCAACTCTGCCCACACCTTGATTTTGGACTTCCAACCTCTAGAACGGGAGAGAATAAATATCTGTTCTTTAAGCCCCCCACTGTGGCACTTTGTTATGGAAGCCCTAGCAAATTAACACATGCATGCAACAATATTCCTCAACAAATGCAAAAGTAGCTTTAAATGGGAATTTGTTAATCCCATCCTCAGAGTACTGTAAGGTCAAAATGTCTACATTTAAATTGCTGAATGCAATTTTCAAGGAGGGACATCACTTTCAAACAAGTGAGATTTGCAAATTCCTCTGCCCATTGCATGCTTCTCAAGATCAGAGTTAGGAAAGAGAAAGGGGTGCCCCCTCTTCGTGGCACACACAAATGACCCTAGGAATGATGCTAAGCAAACAGGCCCTCCCCATGGGGAAGCCCTTGCTGCTGACTCTGTGTCACGAGCAGCAGTGCCACAGAACCAGACTCTGGCCATGCCGCTTTACAGCGGCGGGTCTTCCCTGTGCATTGACACATTCATCCCAAGTGAAATGGCTTATGGAGAAACAGCTCTTCCCTGGGTGCTAACTTCTATGGGGCAACTAATTAGTGCTATGGCTTAGGATAATAAAGAGATACAAAAAATATTTGAGTTGGGAAATGTGACCATGACATATCAAGGCTAAAGACAATAGCTGCATCCTGGAGGGCCAGGGCCTTTGCCAAGCATCAAAAGGACTGGTCTACTGCAGGAGCTCGACTCCTGCCCTTCAGAACCCAGGGTCTCCACCCCTTCCCAGTTCCCTCCCCAAGCTGCCAGAGTGCCACCTGCTGGGGGCCTCAGAGGAATTGCCCTCTGCCCCCAGGAACTGCCCTCTGCCAAGTTTTGTCCCTTTCCTGGGAGCAGCCTGGATCTGATGGTTGCATGTGCCGCAAAGCCAGGAATTCAGAGGGGCCAATCTCACCCAGAGTCCATTCCAGACAGCCAGCTACGGAGAAGGCATATTTCCTTGGGGTGGCACTGGATTGAAAGTCCTTCAAAAATGCTACATGAGAAGTGCCATGTGGTGTTAAACAAGACTCTAGGATTTCAGGGCAGCAGGTAGTGAGCAAGAGCCCCAGCCTGCCCCCTCCTCCTACTGCCCTTGCTTTCATGGAGAACATTTGCGTTCTTCTTTGGAAGTAAAGAAAGTAATGCATAATAACTTTCTTTGACAAGTATGTCTTTCTGCCGTGAGCTAACAGGCACTGGACTGAGACGCAGGAAAGCCTGCAGTGAATCCTAACAGTTCACTTCCCTCTTACAATGTGAATTCATTCAAATTAGACCTTCGAGTGAAAGCCTCTTAATTAGATGATTTCCTAAGTCCCCATTGATGTCTCCTTTCCCATACAAAGGCATCTACAAATGACTGCATGTTTAGTCCTGAAGTAGTGGCTTTGAGAAACAGGCTTCAGAGGGAAGTGAAATATAACCAGGTTAGCAGGCCATGCATCAGCTATTGACTGAATGAGTGCCAGGAAGTCACCTGAGGAGATATCATCAAACTACTGCTCCTCTTGCAGCCTATCATGCAGATAATAGTAGAAAAAAGTTGCAGGATCTGGAGTCATTTTCAAATAGTTATCAATGATCACCATCATGTGATCCACAAGCAGGTCCCTTCATCGTCCCTAGAACATATCTTATCTTTTATTATCACTTGTGGATTTTGCATGAATTTGCATGAAGTCTCTCCCATTACCCCTCAAACCTAGTAAAAAGTTTCCAAAGCCCTTTCTAAGCACTGCAAGTCAAAACAACTTTGACTTGGCCAGGAGCGGTGGATGACGCCTGTAATCCCAGCACTTTGGGAGGCCGAGGCGGGAGGATCACCTGTGGTCAGGAGTTCGAAACCAGCCTGGCCAACATGGTGAAACCCTGTCTCTACTAAAAATACAAAAATTAGCTGGGCATGGTGGTGTTTGCCCATAATCCCAGCTACTTGGGAGGCTGAGGCAGGAGAATAGCTTGAACCCAGGAGGCGGAGGTTTTTAGAGAGCTGAGATCATGCCATTGCACTCCAGCCTGGGCAACAAGAGCAAAATTCCATCTCAAAAAAAAAAAAGACAAACTCTGGCAACCTGTATTATATGGTACCTGTGTTATCTATGGGCTTTGAAACTCATCGGCTATTATGTATGGTCCTGTCTTTCCATGTTCTTTGCCTACATCTCTACTGAGCATCTTTCTATGGTTCAGGGATATTACATATTTCCTCCTCTGCAGTTATAAAGGTGTATTTCGTGGAAGAGCTATGCAGTAAATCCTAATTAATGCACTTAAAGAATTTTTTAGGCCAGGTGCAGTGGCTCACATCTGTAATCCAAGCACACTGGGAGGCCGAGGCAGGCAAATCACCTGAGGTCAGGAGTTCGAGACCAGCCTGGCCATCATGGTGAAATTGTCTCTACTAGAAATACAAAAATTAGCCGGGCATGGTGGCTGTGCCTGTAATCCCAGCTACTTGGGAGGCTGAGGCAGGAGAATCACTTGAACCCAGGAGGCAGAGGTTGCAGTGAGCTGAGATCGCGCCATTGCACTCCAGCTCAGGCAACACTCCGTCTCAAAAAAAGGAAAAAGAAAGAGAGAGAGAATTTTTAATCAAACAATCTGGCTTATTATTTTTGAATATATTACTTAAGTCTTCCTTCAGGACCCAGACAAAATTCCCATAGGATGCCCATACATACACCCCATCCCTGTCCCCCCACCACCACCAACAGCCAGCTTCTCCCCTTCCGGGCACACACAATGCACAGGTCATATTCTGCCCATAGTCCTTTGGCTTCATTTTCTCACATGCATATCAAGACCAGAACCAACCGCTTGTTAAAGGATTTCAAGGTGTTTAGCATATGCATGAGGAAGAAACACCCAGGGCCTGGAAGGTGACTAGATTACCCATTTTCTTCTTACCTGTTTATTGAGTAATGGGCGGTGACTGCTTTCAGCCTGTAAGTAGGAAGTAGACTGATGCAAGATGACTCTTGAAAAAAAAATAACTTTAAAAATGTATTTAAATTGCCCCTAGATCGCTTTACTTAATGTGTGTATTAGCCCATTTTGCATTGCTAATGGAATTCTTCAGACTGGACAATTTCTAAAGAAAAGAGATTTCTGGGCTCACAGTTCTGCAGGCCGTGTAAGCATGGTACCCGCATCTGCTCAGCCTCTGGGGAGGCCTCAGGACATTTTCACTCATGGCGGAAGATGAGCAGGGAGCAAGTGTGTCACATGACAAGAGAGGAAGCAAAAGAGATGCCAGGCTTTTTTAAACAGCCAGCTCTTGCATGAATTAATAGAGCAAGAATTGACCCATTACCACAGGGAGGTCACCAAGCCCTTCCAGAGGGATCCGCTCCCGTGACACCTCCCACCACGCCCCACCTCCAACTTTGAGGATTATATTTTAATGTGAGATTTGGAGGGGTCAATGTCCAAACCATGTCACTCTGACTGTAAGTTGAGCTCAGAACCAAGTATATTCTTTCTTTTATTCGCTTTCCACTGCTTCCATTTTGTTACAAAACAGCCCTTAGAGAATATCAAATTGGCGGGGCACGGTGGCTCATGCCTGTAATCTCAACACTTTGGGAGGCCGAGGTGGGTGGATTACCTGAGGCCAGGAGTTCAAGACTAGCCTGGCCAACATGGTGAAACCCCGTCTCTACTAAAAATACAAAAAATGAGCCGGGCGTGGTGACACGCGCCTATAGTCCCAGCTACTCGGGAGGCTGAGGCAGGAGAATCGCTTGAACCTGGGAGGCGGAGGTTGCAGTGAGCCCAGATCGTGCCACTGCACTCCAGCCTGGCGACAGAGCAAGACTCCGTCTCAAAAAAAAAAAAAGTATATATATATATGTGTGTGTATATATATATATATATATATATACACACACACACATATATATGCGCTATCAGTCTTTAGGTACAAAAGTGAGACTTCCAAATTTAAAGGCAGATCTTTAAAAAAATCAGATCTGGGAGAGAACTAGAGAAAACAATTGGGGTAACTCCCAACTGTACAAACATACATCTATTGTTTCTCTTGCTGGTCTTACAAAGGTGGGTCAGGTAAAACCAGAGGTGTTGATGTGGCAGGACTGACCACCGAGTTATTTGTGGTGAAGGAAATTGAAGCAATAAGAGGAAAGGAAAACTACTGATTTTTCCCTAAAACTAGACTCTTTTAAAAATGGAAACTCATTTCTTTGAAGAAGCGGCAGGATTTTTTATTCTGCTCTAGCTCTGTGGGGTGCCTGGTTGAAGAGCCGCGCACATTGACTTGAGGGTTCGGTCTTGAAGGAGCGGTAAAGGGCCGCTCATTGTGGAGGAGACGGGGCAACCGTCAGGAAACTTGGCTGCAGGTGAACAGTGCCCCTGAGAACCGTGAGAAGTTCCCCCAGATGCCCGGCTAAAAGACAATGAGCTGGATTCAGAATAAACAAGTTAGTTCACACAAAACTGTAAGTTCCTTGCCCGAAGGATTAATTGTCAAAGAGAAATGAGAGGCTCTCTCTTCCCAGAAAGCTTTAAAATGGAGACCCAAGAATATGGCGGCAACCGTGGCAGCAGCTTGGTTTTTGGATCTTATAACATCTTTTAAAGAGAGAGAGAGAGAAGGCCAGGCGCAGTGGCTCACGCCTGTAATCCCAGCACTTTGGCAGGCCGAGGTGGGCGGATCACAAGGTCAGGTGATTGAGACCATCCTGGCCAACATGGTGAAACCCCGTCTCTACTAAAAATACAAAAATTAGCTGGGCGTAGTGGCGGGCACCTGCAGTCCCAGCTACTCGGGAGGCTGAGGCAGGAGAATCTCTTGAACCCGGGAGGCAGTGGTTGCAGTGAGCCGAGATTGCGCCACTGCACTCCAGCCTGGCCACACAGCTAGACTCCGCCTCATTAAAAAAAAAAAAAAAAAAAAAAAAAAGTGGGAGCTGAAAATTGGGTACTCATGGACAGTAAGATGGCAACAATAGAAACTGGGCACTGCGACTCTATGGCCGGGTGCAGTGGCTCATGCCTGTAAACCCAGCACTTTGGGAGGACGAGGCAGGAGGATTGCCTGAGTTCAGGAGTTCGAGACCAGCCTGGGCAACATGGCGAAACCCCATCTCTACTAAAATACAAAAAATTAGCAAGGAATGGCGGTGTGCCCCTGTGGTCCCAGCTACTTGGGAGGCTGAGGCAGGAGAATTGCTTGAACCCAGAGGCGGAGGTTGCAGTGAGCCAAGATCGTGCCACTGCACTCCAGCCTGGGCGACAGAGTGAGACAAAAAGAAAGAAAGAAAGAGAGAAAGAGAGAAGGAGAGAGAGAAGAAGGAAGGAAGGAAAAGAGGAAGAAGAAGGAAGGACGGAAGGAAGGCACGCACTACTAGAGAGGGGAGAGAGGGGGTGGGGGTTGAAAAATTCACTATTGGGTACTGTGCTCAGTACCTGGGTGATAGGATCAATCGTACCCCAAACCTCAGCATCACACAATATACCCAGGTAACAAACCTGCACAGGTACTCCCTGAATCTAAAATAAAAGATTCTTTAAAATAAAAAATAAAATGTCAAGTATGATTTGACAGTGTATCTACTACAAACTTCACAATGGAAATATGACAAACTTAGATATCCTAGAAAATCCTGGGGGATCCATTCTTCTTTACTTTGCTGGTCAGAATGAGAGCTAATGGGGTCAAGTGGTTTCAGGGGCCAAGGGAAAATTTCCCCTTTGCCCTCTGAAGATTTGCTAAAAAATCAACTCACAAAAGGCAGATTAATTGGAGAGAAGGCACAGAAGTTTATTGGTGTGCACAGGGGAGAACCACAGAGTGATTGCCCAGTATCTCAATGGGGTGCAAATGCTTTTACACCTTACTGCTTAAGAGAAAGGGAGATGGAAAAGTGTGGATGATTTTAGGGGAATAGTAAATGACTTTCAGTGGATATTTAAAACATACAATGGTAGCCAGGCACGGTGGCATGCTCCTGTAATCCCTGCTACTCAGGATGCTGAGGCAGGAGAATCACTTGAAGCTGGGAGGTAGAGGTTGCAGTGAGCTGAGATCACACCACTGCATGCCAGCCTGGGCGACAGAGTGAGACTCCATCTTAAAAAAAAAAAAGAAAAGAAAGAAAGAAAACAGATATTCCCATTACTATTGGTGCATCACAGACCATCCCCAAATTTAGTGCTGCAGCTTTGCCACCATCATTTACTATACACACAAATCCTATGGCTCAAGAATTTAAACTGAGCAGACCAGGGATGGCTTGTCTCTGTTCCACAGTGTCTAGGGCCTCAGCTAGGACAACTCAATGGCTGGGGCTGGATCATCGGGAGTCATCTTCATTCACATATTAAGAATCAATAAGGCCGGGCGTGGTGGCTCATCACTGTAATCCCAGCCCTTTGGGAGGCCGAGGTGGGCAGATCACCTGAGGTCAGGAGTTCGAGACCAGCCTGACCAACATGACGAAACCCTGTTTCTACTAAAAATACAAAAATTAGCCGGGCATGGTGGTGGGCTCCTGTAATCCCAGCTACTCGGGAGGCTGAGGCAGGGAGAATTGCTTGAACCTGGGAGGCAGAGGTTGCAGTGAACCGAGGTTTCGCCGTTGCTCTCCAGCCTGGGTGACAAAGGGAGACTCTGTCTCAAAAAAAAATAGAATTGATAGTTGGGCAAGGTGGTTCATGCCTATAATCCCAGCACTTTGGGAGGCCAAGGCAGGAGGATCGCTTAAGCCCAGGAGTTTGACACCAGCCTGAGCAACATGGCAAGACCTCATCTCTATTTATTTAAAAAAGAAAAAAAAAAAAAAAGAGGCCAGGCACGGTGGCTCACACCTGTAATCCCAGCACTTTGGGAGGCCAAGGTAGGTGGATCACCTGAGGTCAGGAGTTCGAGACCAGCCTGGCCAACATGGTGAAACCCCATCTCTACTAAAAATACAAAAATTAGCCGGGCATGGTGGTGGGCGCCTGTAATCCCAGCTACTCGGGAGCCTGAGGTGGTAGGAGAATTGCTTGAACCAGGAGGCGGAGGTTGCAGTGAGCTGAGACCGCACCACTGCACTCCATCCCGGGCAACAGAGCAAGACTCTGTCTCAAAAATAAATAAATAAATAATAATAAAATAAAATAAATTTAATTTAATTAAAAAAAATGATAATCCCTGTTGACCAGGGCATCACTGGACTTTTGGCTGAAACAACTACACATAGCCCCACTATGTGGTATCTCTGCATGGACTAGTTTGGGCTTCTTCATGACATAGCTTCCCAAGAAAACCAGGTGGAAATGACCTTCTTTTATGACCTCATTTTAGAAGTTGCAGAGAATCAACTTCATCCTAGTCAAAAACCCATGCAAATCTAAGAGGAGAAAACAGAGACTCTACTTTTCAAGTGTCAAAATTATTGCAAGAAGAGGGTATAGAGTTAGAGATATTGTGGTAGCCAACATTGGAAAAATCTAATACTCCCTTAACAGGAAACGAGAAAACAGCAATCAACTTTGAAAGCTGGAAAAATAAAGAAAACTAATGATTAATTTTGCAAACCTAAGAAAGATGATTTTTTAAATTTATTTATTTATTTATTTATTTTTTAGACAGAGTCTCAGTCTGTTGCCCAGGCTTGGAGTGCAATGGCACAATCTCAGCTCACTGCAACCTCCACCTCCCAGGTTCAAGCAACTCTCTTGCCTCAGCCTCCCAAGTAGCTGGAATTACAGGTGTGTGCCACCACACCTGGCTAATTTTCGTATTTTTAGTAGAGACGGGGGTTTTGCCATGTTGGCCAGACTGGTCTCGAACTCCTGACATTAGGTAATCTGCACACCTTGGCCTCCCAAAGTGCTGGAATTACAGGTGTGAGACACCACACCTAGCCTAAGAAAGATAATTCTAGGCCAGAAGCGAGTTCAGCTGAGAATCAAGATGTTTAAGAAGCAGTTGGATCCCTCGATCCCATTCCCCACCCCACAGGGCTGGGTAACATTCAGCAGAACGCTGGAGGTCTATTTTCTTGAGAGGACCTTTGGGCTGAGAGTTGACCACAACAGTTGAGCTTAAGGGCACATTCCTCAAAAAGGGACGCAATTACATTGATGCAAACTGATTGCTGACAGCCCCAGCCCTCTTGGCTCACAGAATGCTAAAACCACATAAGAACCCTTCAAACAGGAAATTGGAAGACTACTTTCTGGAGAATCTGAACAGTACATGAGGAAAAAGCAAGTAATATTGATACACGTATTGGGTTCCCTAATAGCATACACACAGACCTCACGGTGAATTGCAAGGTAAACAAGCCACACCTACTTACAAGACTTCCAATAAGTTGTTCAGTTCCATATTTCTAACTGCAAGCCAGGCTGGGTGCAATGGTTCACGCCTGTAATCTCAGCACTTTGAGAGGCCGAGGCAGGCAGATTGCTTGAGCCTAGGTGTTGGAGCCCAGCCTGGGCAACATAGCCAGACCCTGTCTCTACAAAAAAACTCATAACACTAGCCAGGAGTGGTGGCAAATGCCTGTACTCCCAGCTACTTGGGAGGCTGAGGGAGGAGGATCACTTAAGCCCAAGAAACCATGGAGGCTACAATAAGCTTTGGTTGCACCATTGCACTCCAGACTGACCAACAGAGTGAGACCCTATCCCCCAAAAAAGAAAAAACCCTGAGCAGACAACCAAGATTTACCAGACAAAGCCTCTAAAATGGAAGATATGGGCCAAAACAAGCAGAGACAGAAGCAAGTTGGAGGAACAAAACTATGGAAATGTATTATCATGTTCACATATTTAGAATTTCTTTGATGATATTACACATCTATCTATGCCTATTTAGAGTATGCATATGAATATATAACTATGAAAAACAAAGAGGTTGCTGTTAAAAAGAGCATTCAGAACAGAGGAAAAACAAAAGGTGAGTAATTAAAAACTTAGTAGAATAGTTGGAAGAGCAAGTTGGGGAAATCTCTCAGAAGGTGGAGCAAAAGTACAGAGATGAAAATGAAAATGTTAAAATCAGAGATTAAGTTCATGGATTCCAATGTTATGACAGGATTTCCAGAAGAGAGAATGGGAGGAGGAGGAGTGTTGGGAAAGAGGGAAGGAAATTAAATGTTGGACTGGCAAGATTCTTTCGTTTTTGTTCAACTGATAGCAACAACTATTCTTATTAGTGGTATTGGCCAAACTCTCCTAAAGTCATTCTTTTATTTATTTATTTATTTTTTTGAGATGGAGTCTCGCTCCGTCACCCAGGCTGGAGTGCAGTGGTGCAATCTCGGCTCACTGCAACCTCTGCCTCCCGGGTTCAAGGGATGCTTCTGCCTCAGCCTCCTGAGTAGCTGGGATTACAGGCGCATGCCAGCATGCCCAGCTAATTTTTGTATTTTTAGTAGAGATGGGGATTTCACCATGTTGGTCAGGCTGGTCTCGAACTCCTGACCTCGTGATCTGCCCGCCTCGGCCTCCCAAAGTGCTGGGATTACAGGTTTGTTTGTTTGTTTGTTTGTTTTAAGGATTTTTGGCTGTAAGTTTATTCAATGCAAAAGAATCCTCTCCAATTTTACTGAGGTGGCTGACCACGTCCATGACCAAATCCGCCTCTAAACTGGAATTCGGTTGCTGACCCAGCCCCAGCCTCAGCTTTCTTGCCGGCACCAGGTGGCACAGCACTCATCTGTGGGTATCTCTGTCAGCTTCCCCTCTTGCGAGTCTCGTAGGTCGCTCAATCTCCAGACCTTTAGGCCGAGGCCTGCCAGTCTCTGGACGGCTACGGCATAGGGTGGCAGGCACAATCTCTGGGGGCAGATGAAGGTAATCACGGAGATACTGGATACCCTCATTGGTAAGATACCAGTAGAAATGTCTCCAGGCAAACTGTTCCTTCACATAGCCTCGGGACTTGAGAAACTGCATGGCCTTCATGACATGAAGGTTGGGCACATTCTTGTCTGCCAGCTCCGGGTGCTTAGGCATGTGGACATCCTTCTTGGCCACCATGACTCCCTCCTTAAAAAGGAGTTCATAAATGGCAATCCGGTTCTTCTTAGGCATCAACATCTCTGCAGCTGCAAGGGCCGGGCTGGGGCTGGGAAAGGGGATTACAGGTTTGAGCCACCACACCCGGCCCCAAATTCATTCTCAAGTAAAATCGGGGGTAGGGGCTGGGTCATCCAATGCTGTGCAATGAACTCTGCTCTGTTGAGACTCACTACAGAGGTTGGGCATGGTGGCTCACATCTGTAATCTCAGCACTTTGGGAGGCTGAGGCAGGCGGATCACAAAGTTAGGAGTTCGAGACCAACCTGACCAACGTGGTGAAACCCTGTCTCTACTAAAAATACAAAAATTAGCCAGGCGTGGTGGAGCTCGCCTGTAATCCCAGCTACTCAGGAGGCTGAGGCAGGAGAATCGCTTGAACCCGGGAGGCAGAGAATGCAGTAAGCCAAAATTGCACCACTGTACTCCAGCCTGGATGACAGAGTGAGACTTCGTCTAAAAAAAGAAGAATTAGATTGGCATGGTAGGTGCCTGTGGTCCCAGCTATTCAGGAAGTTGAAGTGGGAGGATCACTTGAGCCCAGAAAGTCAAAGCTGCAGTGAGCTGTGATTGCACCACTGCTCTCCAGCCCAGGAAACAGTGAAACCCCGTCTCTAAATACATGAATAAATAAATAAGTTTTTAAAAATAAAAATAAAAATGATTTGCTTTAAAAAAAAATCTACCTGGTATCATTTGGTTTCTAGATCCAGTTGAAGAGACCACTGAGAGCTAAAAGTGGGGCTGGAGGTGATCTCTGGCTCCCCTAACATTCTTGATCAAAAATCACACAGTGCCTTAACCACTCTGTGATGCAGTCAGCTACAGGTTTTTCCCTGCAGGCTTGACCCAAAGCTGGGCCTCAGCATTGATAAAGATACCTAGGTTGTTTGCCAAAAACACAGAAAGAAACTGGCCCTGACCCTCAGCTAAATTCCTTCAACCCTGACATCTATAAACCCTGGTCCCCCTACTGCAGACATACCTAGGGAGAAGATGCTTGTCTCTCGCTGTCCCTCGAGTGGGTTGCTGCAGCCTCTGTATGTAGGTTCCCTAATAAATGCTCTGGATTCATCACCCTGGTGTTACTGGTGTTAGTGCTTTTTTTTTTTTTTTTTTTTTTTTTTTTTTTTTAAGACTTAGTTTCACTCTTGTCCCCAGGCTGGAGTGCAATGGCACGATCTCAGCTCACTGCAACCTCCGCCTCCCAGGTTCAAACTATTCTCCTGTCTCAGCCTCCCAAGTAGCTGGGACTACAGGCGTGCGCCACCATGCCCGGCTAATTTTTCTATTTTTAGTAGAGATGGGGTTTCACCATGTTGGCCAGGCTGGTCTCGAACTCCTGACCTTGTGATCCACCCGCCTCGGCCTCCCAAAGTGCTGGGATTACAGGCATGAGCCACTGCGCCTGGCTAGTGCTTCTTTCTTTGGAATCCCAACCAACCCCATCTTGGGATGGTATGGGGCACTCCCTTCTGGCAATTTCCCTGCCAGCATTTTGAGGCAACTCTAGCTGTGTGCTTGGCGGGACAAAACAAGACCATGTGGAGCACAAGTGTTGGTGTATTTTGCTCTTTCCTTTAGGCCAAGTCCTACCCTAAGTCCTCATGTGTATTAATTAGTCCTCACAATCTCCCCTAATCCTTTTATCCCTTTTCTTTCTTTTCTTTTCTTTTCTTTTTTTTTTTGAGACAGGGTCTTCTCTGTCACCCAGGCTGGAGTACAGTGGTGTGATCACAGCTTACTGTAGTCTCAACCTCTGGGGCTCAAGCAATCCTTTCATCTCAGCCTTCTGAGCAGCCTCGACTGCAGGCATGTGCTACCATACTTGGATAATTTTTGTTGTTGTTGTTGTTTTCTAGAGACAAAGTCTCACTATGCTCCCCAGGCTGATTTTGAACTCCTGGGCTCAAGCAATCCTCCTGCCTCAGCCTCCCAAAGTGCTGGGCCTATCTCCATTTCTTTGAGAGAGAAGGCCAGAGCACAGACTGAGCTCCTCTCTCAGAGCAGCCCTGGGATTCTGGCCCGTCTCAGCCACCATGAACTACCACACTGAACCCGAGAAGGGCTGCTTCCTCCTCTTACAGACTAGCAGGTGTGGGAGGAGAAGGGCAGGGAGGGTGTTCGTGTTCACTTGTCCTGTGCTATCCAGGACAGCAGCCCTGGTCCACACACAATGATTGTGCACCTGAACATGGCGAGGCCGAATTGAGTTGTGCTGTGAGTAGACGACAGGACACACACCAGATTTTGGAGATTTACCATGGAAAACAGAATGTGACCTATCTCAGTGATTTTTATATGCATTACATGTGAAAATAACATTTTTGACATATTGGGTAAAATGAAATGTATTATTAAAATCAATTTCACCTGGTTCTTTTTAGTTGAATGTTATTAGTGTAAACGTAATGTTACATATGTGGCTGACATTATATTTCTCCTGAGCAGCACGGCTCCAGGAGGGTGGACACTGAAACTGCTCTCAGCCCGCATGGTTGTGCGGTAGAGCTGTGCTGCCAACTCAGGCCTGGGGACTGGTGTCATCCCTATGTTTCCATGGAAACAGGTATTCCTAAGAGAAACACCAACCCTCCTCCACCTAGGGACAGATGTCTATTTTCTTTTTTCTTTTTTAGTAGAGATGGTGGCAGGGAGGGTGGGGGTCTCGCTATGTTGCCCAGGCTGGTCTCGAACTCCTGACTGCAAGGCAAACCTCCCGCCTTGGCTTCCCAAAGTGCTAAGATTACAGGATTGAGTCAATGAGCCCAGCTGGGAACAGATGTTCATGTCCTCCTCTCATCTTTTCCCCAAATTGCCCTTGGAAACTCTTGACAAGTCTTGGCCTAAGTTCTCTACCTCTTCCCCACCTATCTAGAAAAGGCTACCAGAGCCCAGAACACCTGGAGAGATGATAGCTTTCAAGGTGCAGAGATAAAGAGTTCCCAGAAAGGAGACACATTTTGGGGATTGTGAATTGTCTCCTTAGTGGAGAGAAGGACAAGCTTCCTGCAGCTTTCACTCTCTCCTTTGTCCTGGAACCTGTCCCTGCCTAAGGAACTCTTTGGCAAAAGACTTTGCTTTCTGGGTCTCACTTCCTGCTTGATGAAATAAGCTGCTCAGCATAGATTATCCTTAAATGCCATTGAGATGCAAACAAATGTCACTGGTGCCCTTTGAGCACCGCCCGAATATTTTAACACCTCCAGACAGGAGGACTGCACTTGTCTCCTGTTTGTTGTGACTTTTCTCCAGCTTCTTTTCTGTAGGTTGTTAGCAGTCAGAAAACTGTTACAATTACCATGGAGCTGGGTTTGCAGGGGTGAAGGCTAGGAGATGGAAAATCACTTCCCTAAAGGGGACCTTACCCACAAGTGGCAAAGCCAACATTTTAACCTGAACTGCAGGTTCCAGGTGAGGGCCGGCACCCCTGCATCACCTGAAAAAGGAGGTCACTGGATCACGAGTTCTAAGAAATCATTCAACTCTGACATGTGGGGGCCTATTTATTTTTATCTCACTAGAAAACAAAGTCAGAGACTGGGTCTGAAGGTAAGGATGCAGACATCTGAGACAAAATCTCTCTCCTTCCTGTCTTAACTTTGTTTTATTTAGTGTGTGAGGTTTGTTTTTGTTTTTGTTTGTTTTTGAGATGGGGTCTCACTCTGTGGCCAAGGCTGGAGTACAGTGGCATGATCTCAGCTCACTGCAACATCTGCCTCCGAAGCTCAAGCAATCTTCCCACCTCAGCCGCCTGAGTAGCTGGGACTATAGGCCTGCGCCACCACACCCAGCTAATTTTTGTATTTTTAGTACAGACAGGGTTTCACCATGTTGCCCAGGCTGGTCTCGAACTCCTAGATTTAAGAGATCCACTTGCCTCAGCCTCCCAAAGTGCTGGGATTACAGGCATGAGCTACCACACCCTGCCCTGTTTTATTATGTATTATTGTTTATTTTTTTGTAGAGAAGGCGGGTTGCACTATGTTGCCCAGCCTCCTCTCGAGCTCCTGGCCTCAAGAGATCCTCCTGCCTTGGCCTTGTTTTATTAGTTTCACTAGGAAAATTACAGAGGAAGATAAAGCATACAAATAAGGTTAAAACCAACAATAATCCCACAATTTTTTAAAAAGATATAAAATTAAAGTGAAGCATCTGCCCTCGGCTCACCACAGCCCTCAGTACCTGCCCTTCCAAGAGAAAACCCCTCCCCTCCAATAGGTAACTATTCATATTGTCCTCCCAGAATTTTCTTTTTTTCTTTTTCTTTTTCTTTTTTTTGAGATGGCGTTTTGCTCTTGTTGCCCAGGTTGGAGTGCAATGGCATGGTCTCAGCTCACTGCAACCTCCACCTCCCGGGTTCAAGTGATTCTCCTGCCTCAGTCTCCCAAGTAGCTGGGATTACAGGCACCCACCACCATGCCCCTCTAATTTTTGTATGTTTAGTAGAGACATGTTGTCCGGGCTGGTCTCAAACTCCTGACCTCAGGTTATCTGCCTGCCTCGACCTCCCAAAGTGCTGGGATTACAGATGTGAGCCACTGCACCTGGCCCAGAATTTTCTTATATTAATACACACAGTATATTATTTATTTTACAAAAAGGTAAGCATGCTAAATCTATTAGACTGCAAAATATGTTTTCTCATCTCTTGGATATCCTTTCCTGCCAGCACATTGGCAGTATTTAGTGGGTGCACAGAATTCAGTTTCCTGGATTTTCTCTATTTTAACTCTTCCTCCCTCTGCTGGTAGACATTTAAGTTTTTCTCCAGTATTTTGGAGCTGCAGTGAACAGGGCAGCTCTCTACAGGGGCAGATTCCCAAAGAGAGACCTAGTGCCCTGGGAAGAGAAGGGGGTTTCATCTACCAAGAAGCCAGGCAATTAGGAATGAGTTTGCCATCAAATCTGTCAGAAAGAAAGGACTGGGCAACAAGAGCAAAACTCCGTCTCAAAAAAAAAAAAAAAGAATTTAAGTTGCTAGAGAATGTGGAAAGTTTCAAAGGCAGAACTTGTAGCCCTGACATAGTAAAACCTTAAAGCAGCTTTTAGAAAGTCTTGGGCAAAGGCCTTGAAGCCCAACTGGCTCTACACTGATTCTCGCTCCCAGCCTTGGGCAAGCAGATCCACCTGCCAACTCTCAGTACTGCCTTTTCATAAAACCTCAGATAAGCACAGTGCTCTCAAACAGCATAAAAAGCACTAGCCACAAAGGGAAACAATGACTCCATTAAAAACATTTGACTCTATTAAGGCCAAGAACTTCTGTTCATTAAAAATCTGGATTTAAGAGTGAAAAGGTGGGGCCAGGCTCGGTGGCTCATGCCTGTAATCCCGGCATTTTGGGAGGCCGAGGCAGGTGGATCACAAGGTCAGGAGTTCAAGACCAGCCTGGCCAAGATGGTGAAACCTCGTATCTACTAAAAATACAAACAATTAGCCAGGCGTGGTGGTGGGCGCCTGTAGTCCCAGCTACTCGGGAGGCTGAGGCAGGAAAATGGCATGAACCCAGGAGGCAGAGCTTGTAGTGAGCTGAGATTGCGCCACTGCACTCCAGCCTGGGCGACAGAGTGACACTCCATCTCAAAAAAAAAAAAAAAAGAGTGGAAAGGTCAGTCATAATGGGAAAAGACTTTTATCATCCATAAATCCAACCAAGAACTCTGCATAATTGTGGCCCTATATTAATTTTAGGAATTGGTATCACTATCACATAAAAGAAAATAATATTTTTGGTGGTAAGGGATGGAGCCTTGCTCTGTTGCCCAGGCTGGAGAGCAATGGCATGATCTTAGCTCACTGCAACCTCCACCTCCTGGGTTCAAGCAATTCTCCCACCTCAGCCTCCCAAGTAGCTGGGATTACAGTTGTGTGCCACCATGCCTGGCTAATTTTTGTATCTTTAGTAGAGATGAAGTTTCACCATGTTGCCCAGGCTAGTCTTGAACTCCTGACCTCAAGTGATCCTCCTGCCTTGGCTTCCCAAAGTGCTGGGATTACAGGTGTGAGCCACTGCGCCTGAACTGATTGTGTCCTCTAATGCACAAAGTTTTAAACTTGTTTGTTTGTTTGTTTTCTAACCACTAGACCACCAGGGAAAAAGTTTTCCATTTTTATTGACTTCAATTTATCTATTTTTTCTTATGTTGCCCATGCTTTTGGTATCACATTCAAGAAATCATTGTCAAATCTGATATAAGGAAGACTTCTTTTAAGATTCTTATAGTTTTTTTTTTTTTTTTCGAGACGGAGTCTCACTCTGTTACCCAGGCTGGAGTGCAGTGGCACAATCCTGGCTCACTGCAAGCTCCGCCTCCTGTGTTCATACCATTCTCCTGCCTCAGCCTCCCGAGTAGCTGGGACTACAGGTGCCTGCCACCACACCCAGCTAATTTTTTTGTATTTTTATTAGAGATGAGGTTTCACCGTGTTAGCCAGGGTGGTCTTGATCTCCTGACCTCGTGATCTGCCCGCCTCGGCCTCCCAAAATGCTGGGACCACAGGCGTGAGCCACTGTGCCCAGCCTAAGATTCTTACAGTTTTAGCTTTTATAGTTAGGTCTTTGATCCATTTTGAGTTAATTTTTGCATATGGCACTGGGTAAGGGTCCAGCTTCATTCTGTTGCATGTGGAGACTCAATCTCCCTACAACATTTATTATTTTTATTTTTTCAGAGATGAGGCCTCACTATATTGTCCAGGCTGATCTTGACCTCCTGGGCTCAAGCAATCCTCCTGCCTCAGCCTCCCAAAGTGCTGGGATTACAGGTATGAGTCACCATATCCAGCCTTTCAACACTATTTTTTGAAAAAACTATTCTTTCCCTGTAAATGGTCTTGGTATCATTGTTAAAAAAAATCATTTGAAAGCCTGGCGGGGTGGCTCACGTCTGTAATCCCAGCACTTTGGGAGGCCAAGGCGGGTGGATTGCCTGAGGTCAGGAGTTTGAGACCAGCCTGGTTAACATGGTGACACCCTGTCTTTACTAAAAATACAGCAATTAGCTGGGTGTGGTGGTGTGTGCTTGTAGTTTCGGCTACTCGGGAGGCTGAGGCAGGAGAATCACTTAAACCTGGGAGATGGAAGTTGCAGTGGGCCAAGATCATACCACTGCACTCCTGCTTGGGTGACAGAGCAAGACTCCATCTCCAAAAAAAAATAAAAATCATTTGACCATATATATAAAGGTTTATTTCTGGGCTTTCTGTTCTATTCCATTAGTCTATGGGGCTGTTTCTATGCCAGTACCACACTGTTTTGATTACCGTAGCTTTGCAGTAAGTTTTCAAATCCAGATGTATGAGACCTCCAACCTTATTGTTTTTGAGATTGTTTTGGTTACTTAAAGTTCAAGAAAATAACATTTTGACAGACACAATGTGATGCACTGACAGCAAATTATACCATTATTTGTAAAATGCTTGGTCAGGCACTTATACAGAGAACTACAGTAGTTTCCCCCCTCCTTATCCATGGGGGACACATTCCAAGACCCCCAAGACCCCCCAGTGGATGTCTGAAACCTCAGATAGTAACAAACCCTATATATATTATACTCTGGGTTTTTTTCTATGCATACATAACTATGATAAAGTTTATTTATTTATGTATTTTTTTTGAGACAGAGTCTTGCTCTGTCACCCAGGCTGGAGTGCAGTAGTGCGATCTTGGCTACTGCAACCTCTGCCTTCCAGGTTCAAGCAATTCTCCTGCCTCAGCCTCCTGAGTAGCTGGGATTACAGGTGCGTGCCACCACACTTGGCTAATTTTCGTATTTTTAGTAGAGACAGGGTTTTACCATGTTGGCCAGGCTGGTCTTGAACTCCTGAGCTCAGGTGATCTGGCCACCTTGGCCTCCCAAAGTGCTGGGATTACAGGCATGAGCCACCACGCTCGGCCTTATGATAAAGTTCAATTTATAAATTAGGCACTGTAAGAGATTAATAACAACAATAATAAAATAGAACAATTATAACAATATACTGCAATAAAAGTTATGTAAATGTGGTCTCTCTCTCTGTCTCTCAAAATATCTTATCCTGTACTTACTTTTCTTCCTGATCTGATAACTGAGACAGCTAATAAGTGACTAATGGGAAGGTAGCATAGACAGGGTGGATATGCTGGACAAAGGGGCGATTCATGTACTGGGTGGGACAGAGCTGGACAGGGCAAGATTTCATCCCACCACTCAGAACAGAATGCAATTTAAAACTTACTGTTTATTTCTGGAATTTTCCATTTAATATTTTTGGACCAAGGTTGACCTCCTGTAACTGAAATTGTGGAAAGCGAAACTCCAGATTAGGGGTGATGACTTTAGGTGTATTTCTTGTCTCATGTCACAGAGGAGCAAGATAAAAATAAATTATAGAGCCGGCTTCAGGCAGCTGCTGCCTAAAGTCAGGGCCTAGAGGGAAAATGTAAAAACTGACTCAGTTTGTTACCTGAGGCATTTTATTTTTCTGCCAAAGGCAGAATGAGCCACTGTGAGCTCTGCAGATTCTCCAGGCAAAAGGATTTAAATGGCTTCTGGGTACCTCTCCAGGGACAGTCACCACATTTGGGGGTCTTGAAACATTTCAGGGAGCATCTGCTATTTCAGTTCTTTAACAGGATCAGTCTGAGAAGCCGCTATGCCGTCTGAGGCACCCCTGGCATTCTTGCTATGTGGCCTACTTTTTCCTTTCTAGGTTCTTCCATCCCTTGAGAAGTCCCGCCAGACGCCTCTTCACCTTCCCAGCAGGAGGGGCTGGGCTGCGGGAAGAGTTGGGGGTCGGAACCACGCCGCCAAAGGGCGGGAATGAGCGTCTGTGACCTCTGAGCGCTCGAAGCACACCCACATAAGGTGTGAGCCAGCTCAGAGGAGGAAAGAAACCAAGAAAATCTTTAGCAGAAGAGAATCTGGAGAGGAGGGAGGTTAGCGTGGCTTACCGCAGGAGTCTGCTATGAGGAGAGGTGGGGACTTCCCAGACAGTTCTGCAAGTCATGTGAAATTTCCTTTTACATCCTGTGGCTTAAAATGGAGCGGCAATAGCCTCTCAGAGCAGAAAGGAACACCTACCCACACCCCACCCCACCACACCACACCGAGGGCAGGGCATGGGGGTGAGCCGGCCAGCTAAGGAATGGCCGGGACATCAGCGTTCAGATGCTCGTGCGGGCCCTGTCGTTTCCATCCTGAAGCTGGCCCGGGAGGAGCGCCGCAGAGCGAGCCTGGAGCCTGGGGAGTCCCCCGACGTGCGAGAGCCGGAGCTGCCTGGACCGGCCTCCCTACTCGCTGGCTGGACTGCGGCCTCAGGGGCTGCCTCGAGTTCTGGGGCCTGCAGGTACTGGACACGACATCTGAGCTTCCCGCCTTCCCCTGCTCTGCATCCTCAGGCGCTGGAAGGTCCTCGGACAGGATGTGCTCGGATGGGCAGTCCCCGAGTTGTCCTGTGGCGGAGCGGTCCAGGGACTGGGCCACCCTGGGGCTGGGTGGTCCTCGGATGAGACTGTCCCCCGCGTTGGGGGGTTTGGGGTTCCTTGAGAGAAGCTTCAGGTCATGCGGCTGATGGGCCCCCTGAGCCTGAGAGTAGGGATGACCCTGGAAGCGGCGCTAGTGCTGATCCGCAGGTCCCCGCGCTCCCGCCAGAGCCGCGACCCGGCTTGTGCCACCCAGCTTCGGGGCCTGCAGGGAGCGCTGCTTCTTCTGAGCCTGAGTCTGGGACCCTCTTTGCAGTGTGGCTGTGGGGGCGCTGGTCCCATCACGGCCTTTTTCATAAAGTAAGGAGACTGTTTTAGGCCTAAATAGTAGGATTATACTGATTTGCCAGGCAGCCTTTTTCCATGATTTTGGAAACATTAGCCTCAAATAACAACAAAAAAAATTCGTTGATTCACAGCTATGTTGCAAATCCTGGCTGGGCGCGGCGGCTCACGCCTGTAATCCCAGCACTTTGGGAGGCCATGGCGGACAGATTGCTTGAGTCCAGGAGTTCGAGACCAGCCTGGTCAACATGGTGAAGTCTCTACTAAAAATACAAAAATTGGCCGGGCATAGTGGTGGGCGCCTGTAATCCCAGCTACCCGGGAGGCTGAGGCACGAGAATCTGTCTCAAAAACAAAACAACAACAAGAAAACACATCCAGCCATCTCTTATGGAAAGAACATATTAATTTATGAGTGTCTAATATACTTTGTGAATAAAAACATAGTCTTGACTAGATCAACTCAACTCACTATGGAATGTCTTGTTTGTTGTTGTTGTTGTTGTGGAGACACAGTCTAGCTCTGTCGCCCATGCTGGAGTGCAGTGGCACCATCTCGGCTCACTGCAACCTCCACCTCCCAGGTTCAAGCAATTTTTGTGCCTCAGCCTCCTGAGTAGCTGGGATTACAGGCGTGTGCCACCATGCCCGGCCAATTCTTTGTATTTCTTCTAGTAGAGACGGAGTTTCGCCATGTTGCCCAGGCTGGTCTTGAATTCCGGAGCTCAGAAAATCTGCCCGCCCTGGCCTCCCAAAGTGCTGAGATTACAGGCATGAGCCTTTGCACCCGGCTGAAATGTCTTTTGAGGAAAAAAAAAAAAAAATTAAAACAAAACAAAACTTAGTGTTTTTGTTGTTGCTGTTGTTGTTGTTGTTTTTGCCTCTTTCCCTGTTATTCTTTGAAGGAATCCAGAACTTTGATGGTCTCTCATGAGGTTCATGGAATATTTTTGAAGCCATAAAACAAACCGTATTTTCCTTGTTTATATACTTATCTTTAGAATCTTACCCAGTAACTGACACTGAACAGGCACCACATAGCAATTACAAGCACAGAATTCAGTTACTTAGGAATTGTATTTCAGTTCACCTTCATTTTTGAAAGGTATTTTCTCTGGTTATAGAATTCTGGTCTGGCAGGGTTTTTTCTTTCAGCAAATATGACATTAGTTCCATTACTCACATAAGAAAAATGAGGTTTACAGCATTTTTCGGAATCTTCCAACTTGAGGGAGCTAGAAGGGGAGGAGCCAGAACCACAACAAAACCCACCCGATCTCAATGCCTCACTCCGCTCCCTGAAAGAAAAGAGAGAGCCGGGCGCAGTGGCTCATGCCTGGAATCCTAGCACTTTGGGAGGCCGAGGCGGGTGGATCACGAGATCAGGAGTTCAATACCAACCTGGCCAAGATGGTGAAACCCCGTCTCTACTAAAAATACAAAAAATTAGCTGGGCATGGTGGCAGGCACCTGCGATCCCAGCTATTCAGGAGGCTGAGGCAGAGAATTGCTTGAACTCAAGAGGCGGAGGTTGCAGTGAGCCAAGGTCATGCCATTGCGCTCCAGCCTGGGCGACAGAGTGAGACTCCGTCTCAAAAAAAAAAGAAAGAAAAGAGAGAGGAGACAGGAGGGGGAGATGAAGGGGGGAAGGGACGGGGAGACAGGGAGCAAGAGATAGAAGGGAGAGAAACAAGTATGAGAAAGAGAGATTAATATTAAGAGTGATTGAGGAACTAAAACTATTCTTTCCAAACTTATTTTCACCAAGGCTGTGTATCAGCTGTCTTCAAGGCCATCCTCCCCCAGTTGACTGAAATGAACCAAACCCCTTTAATTTTTTTTCCCACACGTTCTGACCATGTTCTAGATGACTAGATTCCCTCAATCATGAAATACACACTCAATAATAATAATGGCAACTTAATTTGACTGTGTGCTTACTACATGCCAGGAACCAGTCTAAGCCAGTTCATGAATTATTTTAGATATTCTTGACAATTACCATAAGAAATCAGTACACATGCAGCTTTTCAATGACTTAGTATGATTTGGGGGCTTGGTTCTTTTTTTTTTTTTTTTTTTTTTTTTTGAGACGGAGTCTCGCTCTGTCGCCCAGGCCGGACTGCGGACTGCAGTGGCGCAATCTTGGCTCACTGCAAGCTCCGCTTCCCGGGTTCACGCCATTCTCCTGCCTCAGCCTCCCGAGTAGCTGGGACTACAGGCGCCCGCCACCGCGCCCGGCTAATTTTTTGTATTTTTAGTAGAGACGGGGTTTCACCTTGTTAGCCAGGATGGTCTCGATCTCCTGACCTCATGATCCACCCGCCTCGGCCTCCCAAAGTGCTGGGATTACAGGCATGAGCCACCGCGCCCGGCCGGTTCTTAAATTCCTTCCCTATGCACAAGATGACAGTAAACAGCCACACTAGACAATTCCTGTGAACTTGCTTGTCTTTAATCCACATGGGACCTAAGCAGCTGAGTGTAACAGCAGGGTGTGGCAGGAATGCTCTGAGGGTGCCAGCCTTCCTTGCCTAAGGTATTCAAATTCAAATCCTTTCTAAAATACTCAATCTGTCCTCGTGTTTTAATTTCTATGCCCAAAATTTGACCTGCACTTGATTTTGCTTTCTGTATATCAGCTCAAAAAATATTAGTCCGTAATAACCATTAGAGAAGAAACGTTAAGTCTATAATTTTTATAAGTTTTTTTTTGGAAGTAATAAATGACTTTATGATGATAAAGGTGAGGGGAGGGAAAGCTAGAATCCTCACAAATTGGTAGCAATTGAATTAGGTTTATCATTTTCTAAACTATGAGCTTGGCTGGGCACAGTGGTTCACACCTGTAATCCCAGCACTTTGGGAGGCCGAAGCAGATGGATCACTTGAGCCCAGGAAGTCAAGTCTGCAGTGAGCTGAGATCATGCTCCAGTCTGGGTGACAGAGTGAGATCTTATTTCAAGAAAACACACACAAAACTATGAGCTTACAATAAAGTTCCTTAGGAGTATTAATAAATTATAATAAAGATATTTAAAATAACAAAATTATAATGAAATATAGCCAAGCAGTTATGGATCTGATCCCAATACTAAATTTTCCTTATCTCTGAGATGGAACTGGCTCTGTTAGCTTAAGAGAGCTGATTATTATTATTGTTTTTTTTTTTTGAGATGGACTTGCTCTTGTTGCCCAGGCTGGAGTGTAGTGGCATGATGCTGGCTCACTGCAATCTCTGCCTCACAGGTTCAAGCAATTCTCCTGCCTCAGTTCCCTGAGTAGCTGGGATTACAGGTGCCTTCCACCACACCCGGTTAAATTTTGTATTTTTAGTAGAGACGCCATGTTGGCCAGGCTGGTCTTCAACTCCAGACCTCATGATCTGCCTGCCTCGGCCTCCCAAAGTGCTGGGATTACAGGCGTGAGCCACTGTGCCTGGCCAAGAGAGTTGATTATTAAATTATTAAATTTTGCAAGCTAATTGTTAAAAACACTTGTATTAGACTGTTTTCACACTGCTGATAAAGACATACCAGATACTGGGCAATTTACAGAAGAAAGAGGTTTATTGGACTTACTGTCCCATGTGGCTGGGGAGGCCTCACAATCACGGTGGAAGGTGAAAGGCACATCTCACATGGTGGCAGACAAGAGAAGAGAGCTTGTGCAAGGAGACTCCCATTTTTAAAACCATCAGATCTTGTGAGAGTAATTCACTATCATGAGAATAGCATGGGAAAGACCTGCTCCCATGATTCAATTACCTCCCACCAACACGTGGGAATTGTGAGTGTTAGAATTCAAGATGAGATTTGGGTTGGGGCACAGCCAGTTCGTATCATTTTGCTCCTGGCCCCTCCCAAATCTCATGTCCTCACATTTCAAAACCAATTATACCTTACCAACAGTCCCCTAAAGTCTTAACTCATTTCAGTATTAACTCAAAGGTCCACAGTCCAAAGTCTCATCTGAGACAAGGCAAGTCCCTTCCACCTATGAGCCTGTAAAATCAAAAGCAAGTTAGTTTAGTTACTTCCTAAATACAATGGGGGTATAGGCATTGGGTAAATATAGCCATTCCAAATGGGAGAAATTGGCCAAAACAAAGGGACTACAGGCGCCATGCAAGTCTGAAATCTAGTGGGGCAGTCAATTCTTAAAGCTCCAAAACGATCTCCTTTAACTCCAGGTCTCACATCCAGGTCATGCTGATGCAAGAGGTGGCTTCCCATGGTCTTAAGTAGCTCTGCCCCTGTGGCTTTGCAGGGTACAGCCTCCCTCCCAGTTGCCTTCACAGGCTGGCATTGAGTGTCTGTGGCTTTTCCAGGCACATGGTGCCAACTGTTAGTGGATCTACCATCCTGGAGGATGATAGCCCTCTTCTAACAGCTCCACTAGGCAGTGCCCCAGTAGGGACTCTGTGTAGGCGCCCTCACCCCACATTTCCCTTCCACACTGCCCTAGCAGAGGTTCTCCATGAGGGCGCTGCCCCTGCAGCAAACTTCTGCCTGGACATCCAGGTGTTTCCATACATCTTCTGAAATCCAGGCGGAGGTTCCCAAACCTCAATTCTTGACTATTGTGCACTCCCAGGCTCAACACCAGATGGAAGCTGCCAAGGCTTGATGCTTGCACCCTCTAAAGCCATGGCTGGAGCTCTATGGTGGCCCCTTTCAGCCATGGCTGGGGTGACTGGGATGTAGGGAACCAAGTCCCTAGGCTGCACAAAACATGAGGACCCTGGGCCTGGCCCACAAAACCACTTTTTCCTCTAGGCCTCCATGCCTGTGATGGCAGGGGCTGCTGCAAAGGTCTCTGACATGCAATGGAGACATTTTCCCCATTGTCTTGGAGATTAATGTTTGGCTCCTTGCTACTTATGCAAATTTCTGCAGCTGGCTTGAATTTCTCCTCAGAAAATGGAATTTTCTTTTCTATTGCATTGTTAGGCTGCAAATTTTCCAAACTTTTATGCTCTGTTTCCCTTTTGAAACTGAATGTCTTTAATAGCACCCAAGTCACCTCTTGAATGCTTTGCTGCTTAGAAATTTCTTCTGCTAGATACTCTAAATCATCTCTCTCGAGTTCAAAGTTCCACAAATCTCTAGGGCAGGGGCAAAATGCCAGCAGTCTCTTTGCTAAAACATAAGAAGAATCACCTATGCTCCAGTTTCCAACAAGTTCCTCATCTCCATCTGAGATCACCTCAGCCTAGACCTTATTGTTCGTATCACTAGCAGCATTTTTGTCAAAGCCCTTTAACAAGTCTCTAGGGAGTTCTGAACTTTCCCACATTTTCCTATCTTCTTCTGAGCCCTCCAAACTGTTCCAACCTCTCCTGTTACCCAGTTCCAAAGTCACTTCCACATTTTTGGATCTTTTCAGTAATGCCCCACTCCCGGTACCAATTTACTGTATTAGTCCATTTTCACACTGCTGGTAAAGACATACCTGAGACTGGGCAATTCACAAAAGAAAGAGGTTTATTGGACTTACAGTTCCATGTGGCTGGGGAGGCCTCATAATCATGGTGGAAGGTGAAAGGCACATCTCACATGACAGCAGACAAGAGAGCTTGTGCAGGGAGACTCTCGTTTTTAAAACCATCAGATCTCATGAAACTTATTCACTATCATGAGAATAGCATGGGAAAGACCCACTCCCATGATTCAATTACCTCCCACCAGGTCCCTTTCACAACACATGGGAATTGTGGGAGTTAAAATTCAAGATGAGATTTGGGTGGGGGACACAACCAAACCATATCAACAATCATTTATGAAAAATTAAATCATATAAACTTGTAATTAAATACATTATATTAAACACACAGGTATTGAATGCTCAAACTCATCACTTTCTATTTATTTGACTAATTATTAGAAGTCACCCATATCATTGCGCAAGTGAAGTTCTCTCATGTTGGCAACAAAACTATTAAATACTCTTCTGGATTTTACAAGAAATAGCAGTTCAAAGTGAAGTCATAGGTGCATAAAATTTGTGATAGAGTATTGTATATTTTACTATTAGTAGTAAATTGTGTGCTATATATTCTTTATATCAGTAAAATTTATAATAAACTCATAAAATATATATAATAACTCCCTATAAGGCCTGTTGATAGACATTTAGTCATACACCACTGAATGAAGCTGTTTTGTAGCACATGGAACTACAAGGAGATTTGGGATGAAAAGCTCTAGAAGATTTAGGGTAAAATACATAATCCAGCATTTATTATGCAGCACTTTAGATCCTTAAATACATTATTATTTAACTTCTCCAGGCTTGTAAAGACTTAATAATAACAAACATTTATTGAGGTCTTAAGGACTTACTATGGACAGGCCAGTAACATGATGATCTCATTAAATCATTGCAGTAACCCTCTGAGAGGAATATTATTATTATTATCCCCAATTGAAGAGGGGGAACGCAGTAGTTGTCATGGTACCCCAGATGGTGAAGAGCAGTTTGAGAAACCTACTGCAGATGGCTGTGCTCTGAGCCCTGTCTGAGCCTATACATGCTCAGGTAGAGACAGAAGCTCCCTGAGATCGAAGCTTGGTTCATGGACCTGGGCCCAGGAGATGGCACATTATGGACACTCAGCAGAGGTTTACTGATTTATTACTTAATGGATCAAGTAACAGTGGATCAAGTCATGATTTAAGCATCATGGGAAGCCACTGATCCAGTTTTAGTCTTGAGAAAATAGTGAATTTGGGGGAGATGAGAAGCTGTAGAGGGGAGCAGAAAGATTAACTAGAGCTAGAGTTTAAAACACTTGCTGCAAATATATTAATATTTAACCCTCACAAAGGTCCTTTATGAGAGCTGTTGTCTCCTTCCTTCAGCCAAGGAACTGCAGGCACTTGCGTAGAAAATGGGACTCATGTCTTCATGAAGAAGAGCTTATAGAGGGTCGTTCTTGACCTGTAGTGTGTATCTGAGTCATCAAGGGACCTTGTTAAAAATGCAGAGTCTGGTTCAGTAGGTCTGGGGTGCTGCTCAAGCATTTGCACTTGTGACGAGCACCTACAGGAGGCTGAAGCTGCTGGTCTGCCAGTAATACTTGGAGTAACTAGTCAAGAGGGTTTGTGTTGTTTGTTTGTCATTGAGAAAACTTTCAATGAAAGTTTCAGTTGAGAACTTTCAAGCTCATTGGCTTGGATGGGATAAGGCAAAATAACGTATTCTGTGTATTCTGAATACACAGAATAACCTGGGGTCCTGCATAGCTCCCTTTTGATAAATGAGAGCTCCCTTTTCTAGACAGATAACTCACTGTTAACTTATGGTCAGAGTATCTCACACAAGATTCCATGGAATCCTCCCAGCAGCTCTGAGAGATGGATATTGTCTGTGGATAAAGATGCTAAAGCATAAAGGGAATTCCACATTCTAAAATAAATAAGAGGAGGAGAGAGAAAATTAATATAGAGTAAGTGAATATAAAGTCCAGAAATGAGGGATCTATTGACATTACTCCTGAAGGACAAAAAGTTGTCGAGATGAGTTTTAGGCTCCTGAACCGACCATGTCACTAGGAACCAATTGTTACGGGAGCCAGAAGAGAAACTGATGCGCTAATGAATTTTTGATTGCATGAAGCTGGAGGCTCAGTGAGGGAGAACAGAGGTCTAAAAGAAAGATAGTTCTATGCTAGTTCCACTACCATTACTTTTGTCTGGAAATTTAAAGTTTGTATCAGTGTGTAAAGTTTGTTATTCACTCCCATTTCTTCATATACACATAGAACACCTCTGTCAAGAAAGAACTGCTGGGGCCGGGGGAATGTGGCTCATGCCTGTAATCCTAGCACTTTGGGAGGCTGAGGCAGGTGGATCACTTGAGGCCAGGAGTTTGAAGCCAACGTGGTGAAACCCTGTCTCTACTAAAAATACAGAAGTTAGCCAGACATGGTGGTGTTTGCCTGTAGTCCCAGCTACTCAGGAGGCTGAGGCAGGAGAATCGCTTGAACCCAGGAGGTAAAGATTGCAGTGAGCAGAGATTGTGCTACTGTACTCCAGCCTGGCTGACAGAGCAAGGCTCTGTCACAAACAAACAAACAAACAAACAAAAAAAAAACAAAGAACTGCTGGATACAGGTCATCTTGGCTGCAGAAAGGAACCTGCCTCCTTACTATATATCTGTGCTAATATTTATATTTTAATTCATGCACTTACTAATTTTTCAAATATTTTATATTAAAATCAGAATTTATGTGCTTGCTTCTGCAGCACATATACTAAAACTGGAACGATACAGAGAAGATTAGCATGGCCCCTGCACAAGGATGACACACAAATTCATGACGTGTTCCATATTTAAACAAAAAAAAAAAGAAAAAAAAATCAGAATTTATGAAAACTACCAGTCTGTTGGGTTATGAGCTCAAATTTGTAGCATAAATACATAAGCATATTTTGAAAGAATAAGTATATGAAGGTATACCAAAGGAGAGAGTAAGAGTGAGAATCCAACAGGATGTAAACCCAGGCTTCAGCAGGGGCTGTCCCTGGGTGGACATGATTATGGGGGTAGTTCATGACTTTTGCTCATCTGAATGGAGTGAGGTTGTTTTCACTGAACTTGCTTTGAATAGTGATAAGAAGGTGTCAGTCCCTTCTGTGCTGCTATAACAGAAAACCTGAGACAGAAATTTATAAAGATCTGAAATGCATTTCTTATAGTTCCAGAGGCTGTGAAGTCCAGGATCAAGGTACTGGCATCTAGTGAGGTCCTTCTTGCTTCATCCTCACATGGCAGAAGGCAGAAGGGCAAAAAAGAGCAAACCCACCCTTAGAAGCCTTTTTTTTTTTTTTTTTTTTTTTGAGGTGGAGTTTCACTCTTGTTGTCCAGGCTGGAGTGCAATGGCGTGATCTCGGCTCTCTGCAACCTCCGCCTCCCGGGTTCAAATGATTCTCCTGCCTCAGCCTCCCAAGTAGCTGGGATTGCAGGCATGCACCACCATGCCCGGCTAATTTTGTATTTTCTAGTAAAGACAGGGTTTCTCCATGTTGGTCAGGCTGGTCTCAAACTCCCAACCTCAGGTGATCTGCCCGCCTCGGCCTCCCAAAGTGGTGGGATTACAGACGTGAGCCACCACGCCCAGCCAGAAGCCTTTTTATACTGGCATTAATCATGACCTAAATACCTCCCCAAAGGCCCATCTCTTAACACTGTTGTCTTGGAGATTAAGCTTCCAACACATGAATTTGGGGGGACAGAGTCAGCCCATAGCAGAAGGGAAAGAGGAAAAAAGAAACAAGCTGCAAATGAACCTTTGAAACCAACATATTGTTAGACCTTTAGCTGTTCCAACTAATCTTCTGTTGTAGGACATTTTTGTTCTATGTAATCTTCTATTGTTGAGAATTCACTGATTTTTAATACTGTACCTGGATTAACCATGAGTAGTTATTAAGTGTGATAAAATAAAGATAAAAGTTAAAAGTACAATTAAGAGGAAAAACAACAGCAGATTAAATCTCCAAAATTCTGTCCAATATAAAAGCAACAAGAAAAGTAGCAAAAAATGGTCAGAATCAAACATTTTCAGAACTCTGGAAATTAATTCAGAGAGTATTTATTCAAAGAAAGTGGCTGAATTTCAGGAAGGACAGTGAGCTTTGTGATACCATCACTGGTTCTAGTCCCATCCCTTCTTGACCAGCTCCATAAAACAGCTCACAACTGCCAATGAAACCAGCAGCTTGGCAGCTAATGGAGGGGCATAGCAGGATTTGAAATCCTTCAAACCCTCATTCCCAGAGAATTGTCATTATTTGACTCGTCTAGTGGTTTCCTGGATACCCTACTCAATAACGCTATCTTTATCTCACCTAACTTGCAGTTAACCCAGTGCAAAAAGCCTTTGCCCTGGGACATTAGAAGCAATTTATTGATTTTGTAGCTGCATGATGCAGTAGATAACAATTTGGGCAAACAACAGGCTAACCAAAAAGCTTGAAAGAAAAGGCTGAGGAATGAAATGCTGACAGGGCTTTAAAAACTCTGACATATTCCTGGGAATCTAGAAGGCCATGCACATGTATGGTAATGTGTGCATGCCCAGGGCTATGTGCCTGCTCGGAAGAGATGTGAGAAGGCCCTAAATTCTCATCTCTGGGTCATCCTGAGGCTCTATGTAAGGAGGAAGTGAAGGATAAGTCCCAGTTAGCAACTTCCTAGCTGAGTGTTGAAAGTGTGTCCCAGCACATACACAGAATCCCTCTGCAAGGACTAGAAACCTAGTGGTTTCAGGTATTTAAGGAAATTTCTCTCTAATTATTAGTTGATCACTAAGCTAACTAAGCAGAGATTTCAGAGGCCACCATGATAAGAAAACAGACATTACTCAACCAAGTCAGAAAATACACTAAAGAAGCAAACAACAACCAAAAGCAACAACAATAAACCTTTAGGAAGAAAGAGAATCTGATTTCCAGAGTTGCCAAAATACGTTACTTTAAAAGTTCAGTTTTCAACAAAAAGTTATGAGACTTGCAGAGAATTTAAAAAGTATGGTCCACAAGCCGGAAAGTAAGCAGAAAACAAAAATTATCCCTGAAAAGCACAGATGTTTGATTTACTGGACAGACCTTAAATCACCTATTTTATTTTTTTCTTTGAGACAGAGTCTTGCTCTGTCACCCAGGCTGGAGTGCAGTGGTGCGATCTCTGCTCACTGCAAGCTCCGCCTCCCTGGTTCACGCCATTCTCCTGCCTCAGCCTCCCAAGTAGCTGGGACTACAGACACCTGCCACCACACCCGGTTAATTTTCTGTATTTTTAGTAGAGACGGGGTTTCACCGTGTTAGCCAGGACGGTTTCGATCTCCTGACCTGGAGATCCACTCGCCTCGGCCTCCCAAAGTGCTGGGATTACAGGCATGAGCCACCGTGCCAAGCGACCTATTTTAAATATGTTCAAAAACTAAGCAAAACTATGTGTAAAGAACTAAAGAAAAGTATGAGAATAATCTCTTCCCAAATAGAGAATATTAATGAAAAAGAGAGGAAATATTAAAAAGAACCATATAGAAGTTCTGTAGTTCAAAATTACAGTAACTGAAATGAAAAGTTCACTAGGGAGGCTTAGCAGCAGATTTAAACACTCAGAAGAAAGAATAAACAAACTTGAAAATACATCAATGAACATTATCTAGCCTGAGGAACAAAATGAAAAAAAAATGAATGAAATTGAATACAAATGAATCAGTGGGATATCATTAACTGTGCCAATATATACACACTGAGAGTCCCAGAAGGAGAGAAGAGAAAGGGCAGAAATAATATATTAACAAATAATGGTCTAAAGTGTCTGACTTTATTTTTTTTGAGACAGTCTCATTCCGTCACCCAGGCTGGAGTGCACTGGCATGATCTCGGTCACTGCAACCTCCACCTCCTGAGTTCAAGTGATTCTCTTGCCTCAGCCTCCCAACTAGCTGGGATTATAAGCACCTGCCACCATATCCAGCTAATTTTTGTATTTTTAGTAGAGACGGGGTTTCACCATGTTGGCCAGGCTGGTGTCAAACTCCTGACCTCAGGTGATCCACCTGCCTCAGCCTCCCAAAGTGCTGGGATTACAGGCATGAGCCACCACGCCCAGCTCTTGGGCAGTTCTTTATAGCATCCTGAGAACAGACTAATATACCTGCCCTATAAGAAATGCTAAAAGGAGACCTTTGTACTGAATTGTAGGGCTCTAGATAGTAATAAGAATCCACACCTATAAATAAAGAGTACCAATAAAGATAACTACATAAGCAAATGTAAAAGACAGTATACATGTATTTTTGTTTGTAACTCTTTCTTTTATTTGATGTAAAAGACAGCCACATAGAGAAATAATTCAATAATTATAAATCTGTGTTGATGCATACTCTATGTATAAAAATTAGTTTGTTTGCCAATAACAGCACAAAGGAGAAGGGAAAGAACAGAGCTATAGGACCAAAGTGTTTAGATGCCATTAAAATGAAGTTGATATTAATCAAAATTAGATTAATATGTTATTAATTTTAATCCCAAAAGCAACATTAAGAAGATAATGTTTTTAAATATAGAAGGCCAGGCGCAGTGGCTCATGCCTGTAATTCCAGCACTTTGGGAGGCTGAGACAGGTGGATCACTTGAGGCCAGAAGTTCAAGACCAGCCTGGCCAACACAGCAAAACCTGTCTCTACTAACACAAAAATTAGCCAGGTGTGGTGATACACGCCTGTAATCCCAGCTACTTGGGTAGCTGAGGCACAAGAATCACTGGAACCAGGGAAGTGGAGGTTGCAGTGAGCTGAGATTGCGCCACTGCACTCCAGCCTGGGAGACAAGAATGAAACTCCACTTCAAAAAAAAAAAAAAAAAAAAGAAAAAAGAGTGGGGAAACCCAGTGTCTGTCTAGGTTTTTTGTGGTCTCTGTGAGCATGCTTTCTTTCCTTCTGGGTGTGGAGCAGGGTCCTCTCAGCAGGGATCGGAGCCTTATGACCTACAATCAAACAAGGTAGGTCAGATAATCCTTTATGACCAGTTTTTACACAGAAAGATGGAGGAAAGGCTAGATTCATATTTTTAGGTTTTATAGCTGGCTTTGGGGAAAAGGGGTTCTGGTTTCTATAACCCACCTTGTGGAAAAGGGATTCTAGGTGTCTCTGGCTAGCCTTGGTGGAGAATGGGACTGAGAGACAGGAGGGTAGGAGAAGGTCAGAGAAAAACTTTTTCTTCTGAGGCTGTTTCTGAGGCTGTCATTCTGGGGTATGGTTTTATGAATGCCAAAATTCACAATGGGATGAAATTAGATATCAACAACAAATTTGGCAAATATGTGGGAATGAAACAACACACTCTTGAATAACCAATGCGACAAAAAATAAACACAAGAAAAATGAGAAAATGCTTTGATATTAATGAAAACAAAAACGCAGAATACCCAAATTTATGGATGCAGCAAAATTAATGCTTAGGGTGAAATTTATAGCTATAAATGCCCATATTTTTAAAAAAGAAAGATTTCAAACAATAATCTAACCTTCCATCTTAAGACACAGGGGCGCCAGGGATGGTGGTGTGTGCCTGTGGTCCTAGCTACTCAGGAGACTGAGATGGAAGGATCACTTGAGGCTAGGAATTTGAGGCTGCAGTGTGCTATGATTGCACCTGTGAATAGCTACTGCACTCTACGCTGGGCAACTTAGTGAGGCCCATTTCTTAAAAAAAAAAAAAAAAAAAAAAGACGCTGGGGAAAAAGGAGCAAAATAAACCCAAGGCAATCAGAATTAAGAAAATAATAAAGATTAGAGGGAAAATAAATGCAACTGGGAAGATAAAAACAATATAAATAATTAACAAACCCAAAAGTTAGTTATTTGAAATGATTGATAAAACTGGCAAAACTTCATTATAGCTAGAATGACCAGGAAATAAGAGAGAAGACTTGTATCACTGAAACCAAGAATAAAAAATAGGACATGACCGGGCGCGGTGGCTCACGCCTGTAATCCCAGCACTTTGGAAGGCCAAGGCGGGCGGATCACGAGGTCAGGAGATTGAGACCATCGTGGCTAACATGGTGAAACCCCGTCTCTACTAAAAATACAAAAAAAATTAGCTGGGCGTGGTGGCGGGCGCCTGTAGTCCCAGCTACTCGGGAGGCTGAGGCAGGAGAATGGCGTGACCCCGGGAGGCGGAGCTTCCAGCCTGGGCAACTCCGTCTCAAAAAAAAAAAAAAACCAGATTCGTGGAAAGACACAGACTACCAAAACTGACTGAAGAACAAATAGAAATTCAGAATAAACACATAACAATTAATAATTATAAAGCTTACCACAAAGAAAAGCGCAGGACCAGATAGCTTCACCGGTGCATTCTACCAAGTGTCTAAAAAAGAATTAACACCAAACTCTTTCAAAATATAAAAGAGGAGGAAATACTTTTCAACACATTCTATGAGGACTGTGTTACATTGATACAAAAACCAGACAATGACATTGTAAGAAAACTACAAACCATTATCTTTTATGAAAAAGGATGAAAAAAATTCTCAACAAAATACTAACACACCAAATCTAGCAACATATAAAGATTACATCAAAAGAATATTAAGACAATTCATAGACTGGGAGAAAGTATTTGCAAAAGACATATCTTACAAAGGACTGTTATTTAACCCAATTAAAAAATTGACAACATGTCCGGGAGCAGTGGCTCATACCTGTAATCCCAGCACTTTGGGAGGCCAAGGCGGGTGGATCATTTGAGGTCAGGAGTTTGAAACCAGCCTGGCCAATGTGGCAAAACCCGATTTCTACTAAAAATATAAAAATTAACCAGGCAAGGTGGTGCATGCCTGTAATCCCAGCTACTCGAGAGGCTAAAGCAGGAGAATTGCTCGAACCTGGGAGGCAGAGGTTGCAGTGAGCCAAGATTGTGCCACTGCACTCCAGCCTGGGCAACAGAGCAAGACTCCATCTCAAAAAAATAAAAAATAAAAATAAATTGGCAAAATCATCTGAGATATGAGGACTTGAAAATTAAAAAAAAAGAAAAAATTGGCAAAAGATCTGAACAGATACCTCACCAAAAAAGATATACAAATGACAAATAAGCTTATGAAAAGATGTTCAACATCATATTTCTTTAGGGAATTGCAAATTAAAACAATAAGTTATCACTACAAATCTATTAGAATGGTGAAAATCCAAAACACTGGCAACAGCAAATGCTAGCTAGGAGATAGAGCAACAGAAACCCCCATTCATTACTGGTGAGAATGCAAAATGATATATCCACTTTGGAAGATAGTTTGGCAGTTTCTTACATAAGTAAACATACTCTTAACATACATTCCAGCAATCATGTTCTTTGGTATTTACCCAAATAAGGTGAAAACATGTCAACACAAAAACCAGCACACACATTTTATGGCAACTTTATTAATAATTGCCAAAACTTGGAAGCAACCAAGATGCTCTTTAGATGAGATCAGGTGCGTTCAGGGTGGTATGGCCGTAGATCAAGATGTTCTTTAGTAGGGGAGGAGATAAATAAATTTTGGTACATCCAGGCAACAAAATATTATTCAGCACTAAAAACAAATGAGCTAACAAGCCATGAAAAGACATGAAGGAAACTTGCATATTGCTAAGTGAAAGAAGCCAATCTGGAAAGACTACATATTTTCTGATTCCAACCATATGACATGTTGAAGAAGGTGAAACTATGGAAACAGCAAAAACATCAGTGGTTGCCAGGGGTTTGTGTGAGGGGAAGAAGAGGTAGAGCACAGGCATTTTTAGGGCAGTGAAACAATTCTATATGACACTATAATGGTGGATATGTGCCATTATATTTGTGCCAAAACCTACAGAATGTATGACACCAACAATGAAACTGAATGTAAACTATGGAACGTGGATGATAATTAAGTGTTAATGTTGGTTCATCAATTCTAGTAAATCTCCCACTCCAGTGCAGGATATGGATGGTGAGGAGTGCTATGCATGTGTGGGAACTCTGTACTTTCTGCTCTATTTTCTGTGAACCTAAAACTGTTCTAAAATGTCAGGTGTATTTTTAAAGAAAAGGATTAGACACAATGAGTAGGTGCGAGTTACCCCACAAATGCAAACTGGGTTCAACATAAGAAAACCAATCAATGTAATACACTATATTAATAAAAGACAAACTCTACATGATAATCTCAAAAGAAAAAAAATTTGACAAATCCGAAACCTTTTCAGGATACAAAATATTCAACAAAGTAAGAATATTCCTCAACCTAATAAAGCCATCTACAAAAACCCTACAAGTAACATCCTACTTAATGATAAAAAGCTGAAAGTGGCTGGGTTCAGTGGCTCATGCCTGTAATCCCTACAGTTTGGGAGGCTGAGGTGGGAGGGTCGCTTAAGCCCAGGAGTTCAAGACCAGCCTGAATAACATAGCAAGACCTTGTCTCTACAAATAATTTTTTTGGAGACGGAGTCTAGCTCTGTCGCCCAGGCTGGAGGGCAATGGCGCAATCTTGGCTCACTGCAACCTCCGCCTCCCAAATTTAAATGATTCTCCTGCCTCAGCCTCCTGAGTAGCTGGGATTACAGGCGCCCGCTACCACGCCCAGCTAATTTTTGTATTTTTAGTAGAGACGGGGTTTCACTGTGTTGGCCAGGCTGGTTTTGAACTCCTGACCTTGTGATCCACCCACCTCAGCCTCCCAAAGTGCTGGGATTACAAGCATGAGCCACCGTGCCCAGTCTTACAAATAATAATTTTTAAAAACTAGCCAGTCATGGTGGTGTGCACCTGTGTTCCCAGTTACTTGGGAGGCTGAGGTGAGAGAATCACTTGGGTCCAGGTGGTTGAGGCTGCAGTGAGCCATGATCATACCACTGCACTCCAGCCTGGGTGACAGAGAGAGATCCTGTCTCAAAAAAAAAAAAAAAAAAAAAAGCTGAAAGTCTTCCTGCCAATATAGGGAACAAAACAATGTCTGTTTTTTCCATTTCTATTCCACATTGTACTGAAGATTTTAGTCAGGACAATCAAAAGAGGAAGAAATAAAAGGCATACACATTAAAAGGAAGGAATAAAACCATCCATTTGCAGATAATATGAATTTGCACGTAGAAAACACTAAGGAATTCACATGAAAATTGTTAAAGCTAACAAATAAGTCTGGCAATGTTGCAGAATACAAGGTCAATATATGAAAATCAATTATATTTATACACACTAATAGTGAACAATCTGAAAATAAAATTAAGACAATAATTCCATTTACAATAGCATAAAAATACATTTTTAGGAATAAACTTAAAAGAAGCACAACTTGTTGAGATAGTTTTGATATTTGTCCTCTCCAAATCTCATATTGAAATGTGACTGCTAATGTTGGTGGTGGGGCCTGGTGCAAGGTGTTTGGGCCATGGGGACAGATCCCTCAGTAATGGCTTGGTGCCTTCCCTACATTAATGAGAGTTCTAGTGCCATTAGTTCAAGCAAGATCTGGTTGTTAAAGAGTCTGGGATCTGCCCTATCTCTCCTGCTCCCTCTCTCCCATATGACATGCCAGCTTCCCTTGCCTTCTACCATGAATAAAACTTTCCTGAGGCCCTCACCAGAAGATCAGCCAATGCTGATGCCATGTTTCTTGTACAGTCTGCAGAACTGTGTGCCAAATAAACTTATTTTCTTTATAAATTACTCAGCCTCAGCCAGGTGCAGTGGCCTGTAATCCCAGCACTTTGGGAAGATGAGGTGGGTAGATCACTTGAGGCCATGAGTTCAAGACCAGCCTGGCCAACACAGTAAAACCCTGTCTCTACTTAAAAAATAGCAAAAAATTAGCTGGGTGTGGTGCACATGCCTGCAATCTCAGTTACTTGGGTGGTTGAGTCACAAGAATCACTTGAACTCGGGAGACGGAGGTTGCAGTGAGCTAAGATTGTGCCACTGCACTCCAGCCTGGGCAACGGAGTGAGACTCTGTCTCAAAAATAATAAATAAAAATAAAAAACAAACAAATTACTTAGCTTCAGGTATTCCTTTATAGTGGTGCAAAATGGACTAATATGGAAAATTAATACTGAGGAGTGGCACATGGCTATAAAGAAAGCTGAAAATGTGGAAGCAGCTTTGGAACTGAGTAATGGACAATTTGGAAGAGTTTGGGGGACTCAGAAGAAGAAAGGAAGATGAGGGAACGTTTGGAACTTTTATGAGACTGGTTAAGTGGTTGTGACCAAAGTGCTGATAGAATTAGGGACAGTGAAGGCCAGGCTGATGAGGTCTCAGATGGAAATAAGGAACTTATTGGGAACTGGAGGAAGGGTCACCCTTGTTACACCTTAGCAAAGAACGTAGCTGCACTGTGCCCATGTCCAAAGACTTTGTGAAAGTCTGAACTTAAGAGTGATGATATGAAAAACTACAAAACAACATTGAAACAAATTAAGATCTAAATAAGTAGAAAGACATCCTGTCTTCATGGGATTAGTATTTTCATCTTAAGATTGTGTACAGATTCACTACAATCCTCACAAAATTTAGTTGGCTGTTTTTGTTGGAAACGTTGAGAAGCTAATCCAAAAATTTATATCAAAATTTTGAAGTCTTCCAAGGACAAAAAAATTTTTTTTAAATCCAAGGAACTCAGAATAGCTAAAACAATCTTGAAAAAGGGAGACAAAGTTAAAGGATTTACATTTCTTGATTTCAAAACTTACTACAAAGCTACAGTAATTAAGATCAGGTAGTACTGGCATAAGGATAGACATGTAGATCTATATCCATATGAACAGAATTGAGAATCCAGAGATAAACTTATACATTATGGCCAACTGATTTTTGACAAGGGTTCCAAGACAATGCCAAAGGGAAATAATAATATTTCCAACAAACACTGCTGAACAACTGGTTATCCCTACATCCAGAGGAATAAGGTGGACCCCTGCCTCACACCATATACAAAAATGAGCTTAAAATGAATCAAAGACATAAATGTAAGAGCTAAAGCTATAAAAATCTTCAAAGAAAATATAATCATACATCTTTGTCATGTGGAATACTCAATGGTTTCTTAGATATTACACCAAAAACACATGCAACCTCCAAAAAATAGGTAAATTGGACTTCATCAAAATTAAAAATGTTTGTGCTTCAAATGACACTATCAAGAAAATGAAAGACAATCTCCAGAATAGGAGAAATATTTGCAAATCATATATGATAAGACAGCGGTCCCCAACCTTTTTGGCACCAGGGACTGGTTTTGTGGAAGATAGTTTTCCACGGATGGAAGTAGGGGGATGGTTTCAGGATGAAACTGTTCCACCTCAGATTGCATAATCTAGATCCCTCACATCTGCAGTTCACAATAGGGTTTGCACTTCTATGAGAACCTAATGCTCCCGCTAATACAACAGGAGGCAAAGCTCAGGCGGTAATGCGAGCTTACCAGCTGCTCACCTCCTGCTGTGCCAGTACTAGTCTGTGACCCTGGGGTCTGGGGACCCCTATGATAAGGAACTAACACCTAGAATAATACATAACTCTATTGTTATATAAGTCAGTGGTAAACTACAAATATCTTTAACGAAAATGGGCAAAGGATTTGAATAAACATTTTTTCCAAAGAAGACATACACATGGCCAAGAAGCACATGAAAAGAGGTTCAACCTCACTGATTATCAAGGAATTGAAAATCAAAACCACAATGAGATACCACTTTACACCCACTAGGATGGTTGGAATAAAAAAGACAATAGCAAGTGTTGATGAGGATGTGAAAAAGTTGGAACCCTCATACATTGCTGGTTGGGAATGTAAAATGGTGCAGCCATTTTGAACAGTGTGGAAGTTCCTCAAAAAGTTAAACATACAGTTACCATGTGACTCAGCAATTCCAATCCTATGCAGATACTAAAGACAAGTGAAAACATAAGTTCACACAAAAATTGTACATAAATGTTCATAGCAGCACTATTTATCATAGCCAAAATGGAAACACTCCAAATGTCCATCACTGATTAATATATAAACAAGATATGCAGCCTGGGCAACATAGCAAGACCCCATCTCTATGAAAAATTTTAAAACAATTAGCCAGGTGTAGTGGCATGTACCTGTAGTCCTAGATATTCAGGAGGCTGAGGCAGGAGGATCTCTTGAGCCCAAGAGTTCAAAGTTACAGTGAGCAATGGTCATGCCACTGAACTGCAGCCTGGGCAACAGAGGGAGATACTATCTCCAAATAAATAAATAAATAAATATAAACAAGATATGCTATATTTATTCAATGGAATATTATTCAGCCATAAAAAGAAGTACTGATATACATTTCAACGTGAATAAACCTTGAAAATATTATGCTAAGTGAAAGAAGCTAGGCACAAGAGGCGACTTACTGTATGATTCTATTTATATAAAATGTTCAGAAGAGGCAATTCCATAGGGACAGAAAGTAGATTAGTGTTGTCAAGGACTGGGGGAAGGGAGGAATGTATACTGACTGCTAATGGGTGTGGGCTGTTTTTGGAGGGTGACGAACTATCTGGATTAGATAGTGACAATGGTTGCAATCTTGTGTATGTAACAAAAACATTGTAAATATGCTAAAACATTTAATCATACACTTTATAAGGGGGAATTTTATAGTACGTGAATTCTATGTCAATTAAAAACTAACAGTTGGCCATATTAGTGTTAGTCTACTCTTGAACTTGATTCCCTTCCATCTATTTGTATGTCTGCCCCTCTGCCATATCATGCTATCTTGATTACAGTAGTTATATAAAACCTCTTAAAATTGGGTAGGGTGAGTCCTCCAACTTTATTCTTTACCTTCAAAACTTTAAAAAAATAGCTATTCTAGAGCCTTTGCTTTTCCATGTAAATTTGACAACCAGCTTGTCTCCATCTACAGAAAATCCTGTAGTTACCTGGTTGATGGTGCTGTTCAGTTCCTCTATACCCTTGCTGATTTTCTGTCGGGTGATTCTGTCAATTACTGTGAAGAGTGTTAAAATGCCTGACTATAATTGAGAATGTGTCTACTTCTTCTTTCATTTCTGTCATTTCTTTTGTTTAGTGCATCCACATTTTTGATTATATCTTCTTAGCGAATTCATCCTTTTATCATGATAACGTTCTTCTTTGATTCTGGTAATTCTCTTTGCTCTGAAGTCCACCTTATTTTCTAATAATGTAACCATTCTAGCATTCTTTTGATTAGTGTTTTCATTGTCTATACTTTTTTATTACTTCTTTTTTTTCTCTTCTCCTTTCTTGTTTCTTCTTTCTTCTTGTATAAATTTAGGGGGTACAAGTGCAGTTTTGTCACATGAATGTATTGTGTAGTGGTGAAGTCTGGACTTTTAGTGTAACCATCACCAGAATAGTGTACATACTCATTAAGTCATGTCTCATCTCTCACCTCCCTTCCACCCTGTCAAGTCTCCACTGTCTATTATTCTACACTCTATGTCCATGTGTATACATTATTTAGCTGTTACTTATAAGTGTGAATATGCCATATTTGACTTTCTGCTTTTGAGTTATTTTACTTAAGATAGTAAGCCGGGTGTGGTGGCTCATGCCTGTAATCCCAGCTCACCCTGTAATCCCGGGTGACAAGAGCAAAATTAGCTGGGTGTAGTGGTATGTGTCTGTAGCCCCAGCTACTCAGAGGCTGACATGGGATGGTTGCTTGAGCCTGGGAAGTGGAGGCTGCAGTGAGCTATGATTATACCATTGCACTCTAGCCTGGGCAACAGAGGAGCCCCTTTCTTAAAAAAAAAAGGAAAACGGGAAAAGAAAGCCAGGCACGGTGGCTCACGCCTGTAATCTCAGCACTTTGTGGGGCCGAGGTGGGCAGATCACCTGAGGTCAGGAGTTTGAGACCAGCCTGGCCAACATGGTGAATCCTCAACTCTACTAAAAAAATACAAAAATTAGCCGGCCACGGTGGTGTGTGCCTGTAATCCCAGCTACTCAGGAGGCTGAGGCAGGAGAACTGCTTGAACCCGGGAGGCAGAGGTTGCAGTGAGCCAAGATCCTGTCACTGCACTCCAGCCTGGGTGACAGAGCAAAACTCCGTCTCAAAAAAAAAAAAATATATATATGTATATACACGTATATACACGTATATACGTGTATATACGTATATACACGTATATACGTGTATATACGTATATACACGTATATACACGTATATACGTGTATATATGTATATACACATATATACATGTGTATGTGTGTATATATATATAGATATAAAAATGATATCCAGTTCCATGTTGCTGCAAATGACATGATTTTATTCTTTTTTTATGGCTGTTGGGAAAAGGGCTTGTGGGGTGCCTGCATAAACTGGCCATAAAAATATGGGACAATAAGTTGTGGAAAGCCACAAGAGGCCTCTGAGGAGGAAAGTCTTCTAATTGCCATAACGTTCCCATGACCAGAGCGTGACCTGCTCTCTTATCTATAAACACTGTGCTCAAGGAGAAAGACACTCCTTTGAAGCATTGGAATGTGGCCAGATATGCCGGCTCCTAGTTATGCCCACTCCCGATAGCTGCTCTCCAATAAGTTAAAGAATAAATCAGTAGTTAAGTTTATGCTGCTTCAGCACAAAGAAAATTTACCTAAACCGCCATTGCTATAGATTAGGTGTATGTCACACCGCCCCCCGCTTTCACCGTTTCACCCCTGAACATCTGCTTCTTAGATCTAAGTGACTGTACTCAATAAATAGTGTGGAGACCAGAGCTTGGCACCTTCGCAGCCTCTGATTTGTTCTGGCCCCCTGGCTCCCACCTTTATGAACTCTTAACCTGTCTCTTCTCATTCCTTTGTCACCACCGGACTTTGGGTACCCTACGGGTGGTGTTGGGGTTGGTCCCCAACATATGGCTGAGTAGTATTCCTGTATATACACATACATATATGTGTGTGTGTGTGTATAAAACATTTTCTTTATTCAATCATCCTTTGATAGACACCTAGGTTGACTTAGGTTGATTCCATATCTTTTCTGCTGGAAATAGTGCTACTACATACATACAAATGCAGGTACCTTTTTGATATAATGATTTCTTTTCCTTTAGGTAGATACCCAGTAATGGGATTACTGGATTGAATGGTAGTTCTATTTTTAATTCTTTGATAAATCTCCATACTGTTTTCCATAGAGGTTGTACTAATTTACATTCCCACCAACAGTATATAAGCATTCCCTTTTCTCTGTATCCTCGCCAACATTTTTTTTTCTTTTTTCTTTCTTTTTTTTTTTTTTTACAATTTATTTATTTTGAGACAGAGTTTCGCTCTTATTGCCCAGGCTGGAGTGCAATGGCACGATCTCGACTCACTGAAACCTCCGCCTCCGAGGTTCAAGCAATTCTCCTGCCTCAGCCTCCCTAGTAGGTGGGAGTACAGGCATGTGCCACCATGCCAGGCTAATTTTGTATTTTTTTAGTAGAGACAGGGTTTCTCCGTGTTAGTCAGGCTGGTCTCAAACTCCCGACCTCAGGTAATCCACCCGCCTCGGCCTCCCAAAGTGCTGGGATTACAGGCGTGAACCACTGTGCCTGGCCTTTGACTTTTTATTAATAGGCATTCTGACTGGTGTAAGCTGATATCTCATTTTAATTTTCATTTCCCTGATGAGTAGTGATGTTGAGAATATTTTCATATGCTTGTTGGCCATTTGTATGTCTTTGTTTGTCAAATGTCTGTTCATGTTCTTTGACTGCTTTTAGTGGGGTTATTTGGTTTTTGTTGTTGTTGTTAAGATGTTTGAGTTCTTTGCATATTCTGGATATTAGTCCGTCAGATGCATAGTTTGCAAAATATTTTCTCCTATTCTGCAGGTTGTTATTCACTGCGTTATTTTTCTGCTGTGCAGAAACATTTTAGTTTAATTAAGTCTCATTTGTCTATTTTTGTTATTGCTGTATTTGCTTTTGAAGTCTTAGCCATGAATTCTTTGCCTAGACCAATATCTAGAAGAATTTTTCGTAGGCTTTCCTTATGTATATTTATTTTATACTTCGGTTAATAATGTACTATTATATTTTTTATTTTCTTGGTCAAATTGTTCTAGCTTTGGCCATTAGGAATTCTTTCAGCTGGCTCCTGTGTCTCTATAACATACCCCCATCACTTCTTTTTACAACTTCTTAGTTTTTGTCACTACTTGTTTTCAAACTATTTATATTGTTATATTTGGAATGAGTTCGTTGTAGATGGCTTATGGTTGGGTCATGTTTTCTTTAGATTCATTCTGTTTGGTGTTCACTCAGCTTCATGAATCTCCCTTTCCGTATATTGCTTTTTTATTCTGTTGTGTCCTTTGATGCACAGAAGCTTTTAATTTTGATAAAATCAAATGTGTCTATTATTATTTTAAAATTTTGATTGACATATAGTAATTGTATGTATGTATGGGGTACATAATGATGTTTTGACAGGTACAGTGTCCAATACATAATGTATAAAGATCAGATAGGGTAATTACCATATCCATTATCTCAAATATTTATCATTTATTTGTGTTGGAAACATTCAATATCCTCCTTCTACTTATTTGAAACTATATATTATTGTTAACTAATATATAGTCATACCACAGTGCTACAGAACACTAGAACTTATTCCTTTTATCTAACTAGTTGTAATTTTGTATCCTTTAACAAATCTCTCACTATGTACCCCCCCTTCTCCACTACAAGTATGTTCTGTTCTACTTTTTACTTCTCTGAGATTAACTTTTCTTGGCTTCCACATGTGAGAATATGTGATGTTTCACTTTCTGTTCCTGGTTTATTTCACTTAACATACTATCCTCCAGTTCCATCTATGTTGCAGTGAATGACAGGATTTCATTCTCTCTGAGGCTGAATAATATTCCATTATATATATATACCACATTAAAAAATTCATTCATCTATTGTTGGACACCTGGGTTGATTCCATATCTTGGCTGTTATGAATAGTGCTGTGCTGCAATAAACATGGGGATGAAGATGTCTCCTCAACATACTGATTTCCTTTCCTTTGGATAAATATCCAGTAGTGACAGCACTGGATCTTATGGTAGTTCTAGTTGCAGTTTTGTGATGAATGTCCATACTGTTCTCCACAGTGGCTGTACTAATTTACGTTTTCATCAACAGCATATTAGAGTTTTCTTTTCTCCGCATCCTTGCCAGGATTTGTTATTTTAGCCATCCTAACTGGGATGAGATTATACCTTATTGTAGTTTTGATTTGCATTTCTGACAATTAGCATCATTGAGTACTTTTTCATATGTTTCTTGGCCATTTGTATGTCGTCTTTTGAGAAATGTCTTATCTAGATCATTTGCCCATTCTTAAACTGAATTGTCGTTTTTGTTTTGTTTTGACTGTTGAGATGTTTGAGTTCCTTGTGTATTCTGGATATTAATCCCCTGTTGGATGAATGGCTTGCAGATATTTTCTCAGATTCTGCAGGTTGTCTGTTCACTGTGTTATTTCTTTTGCTGTGCATAAGCTTTTTAGTTTGATATAATCCCATGTGTTTATTTTTGCCTTTGTGGCTGTGTTTTTGAGGTCTTACTCATAAAGTCTTTTCCCAGACCAATATCCTGAAGCACTTCCCCTATGTTTTCTACTAGTAGTTTTATAGTTTTTTGTGTTACTTTTAGGTCTTTGATCCATTTTGGGTTGATTTTTGTATAAGGTGAGAGGTGGAGGTCTAATTTCATTTTTCTGCATATGGATATCCAATTTTCCCAGCACTATTTGTTGAAGACATTGTCTTTTCCTCAGTAAGTGTTCTTGGTGCCTTTGTCAACAATCAGTTTGCTATATATATGTGGATTAATTTCTGGGTTCTCTATTCTGTTCCATTGGCCCACGTGTCTGTTTTAAGGTCAGTACTATGCAGTTTGTGTTACTACAACTTTGTAGTAGATTTTGAAGTCAGGTAGTGTGATGCCTTCAGTTTCGTTCTTTTTGCATAGGATTGCTTTGGCTATTCAGAATCTTTTGTGTCTCCACATTGTTTTTAAATCTTTTTTTCTATTTCTGTGAAGAATGTCATTGGCATTTTGATAGGGATTGCATTGAATCTGTAGATTGCTTTGGGTAGTATGGTCATTTTTTTTTTTTTTTTTTTTTTTTTTTTTGAGACAGAGTCTCACTCTGTCACCCAGGCTGGAGTGCAATGGTGCAATCTCGGCTCACTGCAACCTCTGCCTCCCTGGTTCAAGCTATTCTCCTGCCTCAGCCTCCCGAGTAGCTGGGATTAGAGCTGCCTGCCACCGTGCCCGGCTATTTTCTGTATTTTTAGTAGAGACAGGGTTTCGCATGTTGGCCAGGCTGGTCTCAAACTCCTGACCTCAGATGATCCACCTGCTTCGGCCTCCCAAAGTGCTGGGATTACAGGTGTGAGCCACCATGCCCGGCACAGTATGGTCATTTTAACAATATTAATTCTTGTACTCCATGAGCATGGGATGTCTTTCCATTTATTTGTATACTCTTCCATTTCTTTTATCACTGTTTTTTAGTTTCCTTGTGGAGGTCTTTCACCTCCCTGGTTGGATTTATACCTAGGTATTTTATTATTTTTTATTTTTTGTAGCTATTGTAAATGTGATTGCCTTTCTTTTTCAGCTAGTTTATTGTTCAAATATAGGAACACTACTGATACTTATATGTTGATTTTGTATCCTAAAACTTAACTAAATGTATCAGTTCTAAGAGTTTTTTGGTAGAACCTTTAGGTTTTTCCATATATAAGATCATGCCATCTGCAAATAGGGACAATTTGACTTTCTGCTTTCCAATTTTGATACCCTTTCTTTCTCTTGCCTAATTACCCTGGCTATTATTACATTTGTTGCCTATGTTTTTAGTGTTACATGAAGAAGTCACTGTCAGGCCAGGTGCGGTGGCTCATGCCTGTAATCCCAGCACGTTGGGAGGCCGAGGCAGGCAAATCATGAGGTCAAGAGATCGAGACCATCCTGGCCAACATGGTGAAACCCTGTCTCTACTAAAAATACAAAAATTAGTTGGGCGTGGTGGCATGCGCCTGTAGTCCCAGGTACTTGGGAGGCTGATACAGGAGAATTGCTTGAATCTGGGAGGCAGAGGTTGCAGTGAGCCGAGATCATGCCATTGTACTCCAGCCTGGCAACAGAGTGAGACTGTGTCTTAAAAAAAAAAAAAGAAGTCACTGTCAAACCCAATATTATGAAGCTTTTCCCTTATGTCCTTATGTTCTCCTCTAAGAGTTTTATAGTTTTAGCTCTTTCATTTAGGTTTTCTTTTTTTTTTTTTTTTTTGAAACAGAGCCTCCCTCTGTTGCCCACGCTGGAGTTCAGTGGCGTGACCTCAGCTCACTGCAACCTCCACCTCCTGGTTTCAAGTGATTCTCCTGCCTCAGCCTCCTGAGTAGCTGGGATTACAGGCATATGCCCCAATGCCCAGCTCATTTTTTTGTATTTTCAGTAGAGACAGGGTTTCACCATGTTGGCCAGGCTGGTCTCGAACTCCTGACCTCAAGTGATCCGCGGGCCTTGGCCTCAAGTGATCCTGCCTCAGCCTCCCAAAGTGCTGAGATTACAGGTGTAAGCCAGTGCACCTGGTGTAAATTTGGGTCTTTAATCCATTTTGAGTTAGTTTTTCCATATGATATAAGGGGTCAATTTTTTCATTTTCTTGCATGTAGAGCTCTAGCTTTCTCACCATCATTAGTTAAAGAGACTGTCCTTTCCCCATTGAATGGTCTTCATAATTTTTTTAAAAATCATTTGATCAGGTATGTGAAGATTTACTTCTAGGCTCTCCATTCTATTCCATTGGGCTGTCTGCCTTTATGTCAGTACCACACTTTTTTGATTACTATAGCTTGTGGTAAGCTTTAAAATCTGGACGAGTAAGACCTCCTCCTTTTTTAAGATTGGTTTTGGCTATTTAGGGCCTCTTGAGAATCCACATTGGTTTCTGAATAATTTTTTTTTCTAATTCTGCAAAAAAGAAATCCCATGGAGATTCCATTAAACCTTTAAATTGTTTTCAGTAGTATTGACATATTCAAAATATTAAGTCCTTCAGTCCATGAACACAAGATGTCTATTTATTTGTGTCTTTCTTTCAGCAACATTTTTTAGTTTTCAACCTATGAGTCTTTTGCTTCCTTATTTACTCCTAAGTATTTTATTCTTTTTGATATTATTGTAAATGGAATTATTTTCTTAATTTCTGTTTCAGAGTGCTCATTGTTAGTATATAGAAACTATTGATTTTTGCATATTGATTTTGAATCTTGCTACTCTGTTTATCTTGTTTATTAGTTTTAACAGTTTTTTGTGGCATATTTAGGATTTTCTACATATATTATCATGTTGTCTCTAGACAGAGATAGTTTTTTCTTTCCAATTTGGATGCTATTTATTTATTTACCTACATTCATTTATTTATTTATTAGACGGAGTCTCACTCTGTCACCCAGGCTGGAGTGCAGTGGTGCGATCTCGGCTCACTGCAACCTCCGCCTCCCGGGTTCAAGCGATTCTCTTGCCTCAGCCTCCCAAGTAGCTGGGACTACAGGTGCGTGCCACCATGCCCGGCTAATTTTTGTATTTTCAGTAGAAATGGGGTTTCGCCATGTTGGCCAGGCTGGTCTTGAACTCCTGACCTCAGGTAATCCACCTGCCTCAGCCTCCCAAAGTGCTGGGATTACAGGCATGAGCCGCTGTGCCCGGCCTATTTATGTATTTATTTATTTATTTTTCTAATTGCTTTGGCTAGGACTTCCAGTATTATATAAAATAAAAGCGGCAAAAGTGAGGATCCTTGACTTGTTCTTGATCTTAGAGGGAAAGCTTTCAATCTTTCACCATTGAATGTAATGTTAACTGTGGGCTTTTCCTGCATGGCCTGTATTATGTTGAGGTGGTTTTCTTGTATTTATAGTTTGTTGAGTGCTTTCTTCATTAAAGAGTGTTGAATTTTGTCAAATGCTTTTTCTGCATCAATTGAGATTATCGTCTCCTTTTACCATTTCTTGAAGAGAATAGTGAAATAACTCCCATTACCATAATCATACTAGTCTTTGTGCTGTGATGTTATGCACAAAATGGTGCTTCATAAAGCATTTGATAATTGTACGACAGTCTTATGTGTGGGAAGATAAGTAAAATTTAGTCATGTAAAAGTCATTATGCAGTTATTGATTTGGCAAAAAAAAAAAAAAAAAGAAAAAAAAGAAAAAAGTCACTAGTCCAATAAAAAGGCATTTGCTTTGAAACTTTTCTTGAACCTCAAACTAGCTAGTAAAACTTGACAAAGTGGAGCCGTGTGTGGTGGCTCAGGCCTGTAAGTCCAGTACTCTGGGAGGCCAAAGTGGGAGGATCCCTCAAGCCCAGGATCAGCCTGGGCAACATAGAGAGACCCTGCCTCTACAGGCGTGGTGGTACGTGCCTGTGGAAAAAAGTGCCAGTTTTTCCAAGGGGTTGTATGAACTTGCACTCTTAGCAGCAGTGTATGAGAGTTCAAGTTGCTCTTTGCTAGCATTTGGTATTATCTATCTTTTTCATTTAAACTATTCTAGTGATTACAATAACACTCTGTTGTGGTTTTAATATGAAATTCCCTTCTAGTCAGGGAAGTTAAACACACATATTGCAAAATTTATTGGCTGTTCAGGAATCACCTTTTGCGAAGTGTCTATTCCAGGTTTTTCTAATTTTTTTTTTGTAAGATTGTCTGCTTCTTCTTCAGTGTTATAATAAAAGTTCTCTATAAATTCTACATGTGAGTCCTTTGTCAGATATATGTATTACAGTTCTCTTTTGCCTTTCTGTGGCTTTCTTGTTCACTCTCTAATGGTATCTTTTTTTTTTTTTTTTTAATTTGAGATGGAGTCTCACTCTGTCACCCAGGCTTGAGTGCAGTGGCGTGATCTTGGTTCACGGCAACCTCCACCTCCTGGATTCAAACAACTCTCCTGCCTCAGCCTCCTGAGTAGCTGGGATGACAGGTGCATGCCACCATGCCTGGCTAATTTTTGTATTTTTAGCAGAGACAGGGTTTCACCATGTTGGCCGGGCTGGTCACGAACTCCTGACCTCAACTGATTCTCCCATGTTGGCCTCCTAAAGCGTTGGGATTACAGGTGTGAGCCACTGTGCCTGGTCTCTAATGGTATCTTTTGATGAATAGATATTCTTAGCATTGATGAAGGCCAATTTCTCATTTTTGTTTTTCTTTTAGTGTATTCTGTAACCTAAGGATCTTGAATTAATCCAAAGCCATTAAGATATAATTTTCTTCTAAAAGCTTCATTATTTACCTTTTATATTTAGATTGCAGTCCATCTGGAATCAATTTTGTGAATGGTGTGAGACTGGGGTCAATATACATTATTTTCCCCTTATGACTTCTCAAATGACCCAGCACTATTTGTGAAGACCATCCTTTCCCTACTGTATCTTTTTTTTTTTGTTTGTTTTTTTTGAGACCAAGTTTTGCTCTGTCGCCCAGGGTGGAGTGCCTTGGCACAATCTCGGCTCACTGCAACCTCCGCCTCCTCCATTCAAACGATTCTCCCGCGTCGGCCTCCTGAGTAGCTGGGACTACAGGCCGAGTGCCACCATGCCCGGCTAATTTTTGTATTTTTCGTACAGGCAGGGAGTTTCGCCATGTTGGCCAGGCTGGTCTCAAACTCCTGATCTCAAGTGATCCGTAGGACTCGGCCTCCCAAAGTGCTGGGATTACAGGCCTGAGCCACCATGCCCAGCCTATCTTCGCCAGTTTTAATGCTAAAAACTATTCCATTCTATGGCACTCCCTTAACTTAACTTAGCCATTTTTCCATCTGGGTATTTGGGTTGTTTTCAGATCTCTGCTATCATCAAACAGGAGGAATACTTTGTATGGACATCAAGTCATTCTTCTGCAATTATTAACCCAGAAGTGAAATTTCTAAGCTAGAAAATATTTGCTTTTTTGGAAAATTAATAAATTATATTCAAAACTCAAATAATGTAAAGAGACCCAGTGAAAAGTCTGCCTCCTATTCTGTCCCCCTGTCCTCCCAGTCCCTCTTCCACCAGGTAACCACACTCAGGAAATCTTGTGTATCTTTCCAGATATCTTGTAATGGATGTACAAGCATTATTTATATTCTTTTCTCCTTTTGTTTACACAGCCAGTGGTACTCTATGCATTCTGTCCTGCATCTTGCCTTTTTCATTTAACAACCTATTTTAGAAATCTTCCCATTGCTGTACATAAAAAGATTTAATACCTCATTTGAAGGAGGCACCACAATGATGGACATCTGTGTTGTTTCCAATAGTTTGCCGTTGAAACAACGTTGCAATGGAATAACTTTGTACATGTCATTTCACATGTGTAAAAGGTGTCTATTGGGGAAATTGCTAGAAGTGGCTTTGCTGAGTCTGAGGGTCTGTGCATTTGTGATTTGATCAACATCGTCAAATTATACTGCCACCAGCAATGTATGAAAGTGCTTGTTTTCCCGTAGCTTGGTCAATGAACTATTAGACCTGAGATCTTTAGCCATCCAATATGTGAAAAACTGTAACTTTAGTTTGCATTTGTTTATTGTATGTGAAGTTGAGCATCCTTTCAGAAGTTTAAGGCCTACTCTGTCCTGTCTGGGTCAGAGTATGCCCTTTTATTTTATTTTTAGTTTTAGTTTTTGAGACAGAGTCTCGCTCTGTCACCCAGGCTGGAGTACGGTGGCGCAATCTCGGCTCACTGTAACCTCTGCCTCCCGGGTTCAAGCGATTCTTCTGCCTCAGCCTCCTGAGTAGCTGGGATTACAGGAGCACGCCACCACGCCCGGCTAATTTTTTTTGTATTTTCAATAGAGACGGGGTTTCACCATGTTGGTCAGGCTGGTCTCGAACTCCTGACCTGATGATCCGCCCGCCTCAGCCTCCCAAAGCGCTGGGATTACAGGCGTGAGCCACCGTGCCCGGCCCTCAGAGTATGCCCTTTTAAAAATCTGTGGGTACACGTAGCCAACTGACATTTTAAGACAAGAGGACCCACAGACCCTCTTTCCACAACGCAGCCCGGGACCTGTCTGTCTGCATCAATAGTGCCTGGCTTTCGGAGCTAGAAAACAGCACCTGCGCGTGGTCGAAGCCTGAACCTCTACTTACAGGTGCGGAGCTTCCGGCTTGCCAGGGGAAGGAGCCCGCCCCTCCCGGCTGCGTGCACCAGCGCAGCTAGTCACGTGACGCCGGGGGCGGGGGCAGATAGGAGGTGCCTGCTGTCATCGTTCCGTGGGCCCTGCTGCGGGCACGCTCTCGGCGCATGCGTTTTTTATGCGGGATTAAGCTTGCTGCTGCGTGACAGCGGAGGGCTAGGAAAAGGCGCAGTGGGGCCCGGAGCTGTCACCCCTGACTCGACGCAGCTTCCGTTCTCCTGGTGACGTCGCCTACAGGAACCGCCCCAGTGGTCAGCTGCCGCGCTGTTGCTAGGCAACAGCGTGCGAGCTCAGATCAGCGTGGGGTGGAGGAGAAGTGGAGTTTGGAAGTTCAGGGGCACAGGGGCACAGGCCCACGACTGCAGCGGGATGGACCAGTACTGCATCCTGGGCCGCATCGGGGAGGGCGCCCACGGCATCGTCTTCAAGGCCAAGCACGTGGAGGTGAGGCTGGACCGCGGCCGGCAGCCTGGCGGGGGTGTGCCCCCGCCACCCTCCGGCTAACGCTCTAAACTGTTTCGGTTCCCTTTTTACATCCAGTACAGTTTTTAAAACCTACTCATATTCTAAACCTACTTTGGGCCGTTGCGCTTCCCTCCGCACAGCTGGCTTGGTCCCCTACCCCAGCGGCTGGGTCCCAGGCTAGTCCTAGACCCCCGAGGAGGGCCTCTGGCCGAGCCGGGGGCGCGTGTCTCTCTCTCAACCACCTTCCCCTCACCCACCTTCATCTCTCTTTCCCAGCCGAGGGTGGGCTGGCAGTGTCTGCCTTCTATCCTGCAGACTGGCGAGATAGTTGCCCTCAAGAAGGTGGCCCTAAGGCGGTTGGAGGACGGCTTCCCTAACCAGGCCCTGCGGGAGATTAAGGCTCTGCAGGAGATGGAGGACAATCAGTATGTGAGTAGGGGAGGGGGGGCATGGTATTCTCACCCTCAGTCGCTCGTTCCCACTTCTTTGTGCCTTCATTTTCCCAGCTACGCCTTCACCAGCTTTCAGGGATTTCCTCCCGCTGTCACTCACACACACTGCTCATTCATCTGCCTCCTTACCCCCTTTTGCCCTTTTTTGTCCACTTGTTCACCTTTATTTACCTATTTCTTTCATTTCTCACACATTCACTCTCATTTGCCTACTTATTTCTTAATGTATTCATTCATTCACCGACTTTTTTTCTCAAAACATGTAGTGATTTATAATGTAACTAGCACCTATTGAGCTCCCGATGTGTTCTGCAGGCATTATATACATTGTCATTTTGAGACCTCTTTACTACTGTACAAGGCAGGTTTCCAGATCTCTGTTTCTCAGGTGAGAGGAGGAGGTTATGTCACCAGCTCTTGGGCCCTCCGTTAGTCAGTAGAGGGTTTGGCCCAGGTTTGATTGAGAGTCCATTCTTCCCTTGGGACCTCCCATAGGCTCTACCCTGTGTTGGGCACTGGTGACACAGAGAAACCAGCTCCAGCCCAGCTCCTGAGGACTTAAGTGTGCTAACAAGAGACAGAGGCAACAGGGCCCACCTAGTGTGGTTCGTGCTGTGATAGGGTACCGGGAGGGGCTGCTGGAACACGAAGAGGGGCATCTTTCACCCCTAGTGTCATTACTCTTTTGGTGCTCTCTCTCACCCATGTCGAAATAGGGAATGTATTTGACTCCCTGGAGAGTTAACAGGGTTGGGTCTCTGTGATCTGGAGATATGCATGATATATTGGATGACAAAAGCATGTTATAAAATTTTGTGTCATCTGGGTTTTGTTTGGAAATATTATATATGTGAATGTGTATTTGTGTGTGCCATATCTGTTGTAAAGTCTGGTAGAATACACTCTAAGATTGACTGTAGGATTTTTCTTTTGTTCTTTTTCTGTTGGATTTTATGTCTTACCTGAATGTGTGCATGTGTTTTGATCTGTTAAATGGTTGTGTACTACCTGAAAAATCCGAAAACAGCAATCAGGCCATTTTGATTTTTTGAGGAAGATAAAAGGGCTTCCAGACAGCCATGTGTGGGATAGGTGGAGAGATCCATAAGGAAGCTGGTGATATGGTCCCTACATCCAGTTGGTCAGCAATTCTGAAGGTTCTAACTTTAAAACATACTCTAGATTTGCTCCTTGCCCAAGTCATCATCACCACTCATCAGAATGACAGTGGCAGCCTCCCCACTGCTCTCCATAGCCACAGTCCGGAGGGCTTTGTCAAAAGTGTAAGTTAAGTCATCGGCTCCCCTGCGTAAAAAGCCCTGGTGGCTTCTCTTCACACTTAGAGCACTATCACCATGTGCCCACCTCCAGCTGGCCTCTCCCTTTTCTCTCATTCAACACAACTTCTTAGGCATCTCTCCAGTGACCAGCACCTATCTAGGGTCCAGGAGCACAGAACAAGGCAGACACATCCTTCCCTTAAACAATCTCATGTACTCACATCCCTCTAGCCTCCTTCTGTGCTGGCGTTAGGGCCTTGCACTTGCTTTTCTTCCTGCTCAGAGCTTTATCCCAGATCCCCACAAACTGGGTCCTCATCTAGCCCCACCCCACCTAAATAAAGAAGTATCCTTTTCTCCACTCACAGAATCACACTATCCTCTTCTAGTTCTGTTGATTTTTTTTCTTTTTTTGATACAGGGTCTCACTCTGTCACCCAGGCTGGAGTGTAGAAGTGCGATTTTGTCTCCCTGTAGTCTCAACCTCCTGGGCTCAGGTGATCCTCCCACCTCAGCTTCCCAAGTAGCTAGGACTACAGGCACGTGTCACCATGCCTGGCTAGTTTTTTGTATTTTTTGTAGAGACAAGGTTTCACCATGTTGCCCAGGCTGGTCTCAAACACCTGGGTTCAAGCCATCCGCCCACCTTGGCCTCTCAAAGTACTGGGATTACGGGCATGAGACGTCATGCCCAGCCCCCTTGTATTTTGGTTCCTGTACTTACAGAATCTGAATATATCCCTTTTATTCATTTATTTGTTAAACTGTTTGTCCTTTGTGCTGTGAGTTCATTAAGAGTCCTGTCTCTCAGCTCACTCTCTGTGTAGCCTGGCTCCTCTGACAGTACTGGCCTCAGTGTTTGTGATGTGTCTGTAGCTGTCCCAGCACTGGGAAAGGTGGGATTCCTGGTGTCCTTTCCTTGGTGCTGGGATTCGGTGGTTCTAGAGGAAACAGGAGGAGACCTGTCCATCTCATGTGTGACCATCCAGATGATTTTCAGGCGGGTAGGCTGGGTGGGCGGACCAGATGGTGCCACTAAATGACCTTTTTTAGACCTTTTAGTGTTCATGGAGAATTAGAGTGGGGGCACACCTTATCTCAGGAGAGCAGAGCAAATCATGAGCATCGAGCTCTCTGATTCTTAGCTCAGGTCCACGTCACCTTCTTTGCTTACTGTCTTTTTGGATACAGGGTCCTCTGTCAGGGCATGGGCTGGGGTCTCAGGGTCACAGAGAGGGTCTGGTGACTTGAGTCTGGGGGCTAACAAGATGTCCTGCCCACAGGTGGTACAACTGAAGGCTGTGTTCCCACACGGTGGAGGCTTTGTGCTGGCCTTTGAGTTCATGCTGTCGGATCTGGCCGAGGTGGTGCGCCATGCCCAGAGGCCACTAGCCCAGGCACAGGTCAAGAGCTACCTGCAGATGCTGCTCAAGGGTGTCGCCTTCTGCCATGCCAACAACATTGTACATCGGGTCAGTCTCAGCATAGGCCGGGCATGGGGTCTGGGGAGCTGACTTGGCTTGGGGATGGGGCTAGCCCTTGTAAAAGGTGTGATAAGAAGTTGGGACAGAGCTGGTCAAGGCCTCCAGGTAAGTGGCCAGGGCATGGCCCTGGAGGAGGTGGGGACCGGGGCTGACCTGAGTGGTTAGACTGCCAAGCCCGCTTGTCCCAAGGTCCTATGGGGGATTTGGAGGGACTGATGCTTCTTTTGGTACTCCCAGGACCTGAAACCTGCCAACCTGCTCATCAGCGCCTCAGGCCAGCTCAAGATAGCGGACTTTGGCCTGGCTCGAGTCTTTTCCCCAGACGGCAGCCGCCTCTACACACACCAGGTGGCCACCAGGTAGGGAGGGCCAGATCCCTTCCAGTCTTCTCCATGGGGAAGAGATGCTTCTGGGCCTTTTCTCCAGACATTGCTTGTGGGGCTGGGGTCACCTCCCCAGGCATCCTTTTCTCAGCCCAGTGCCTGCCAGCCCTCTTCCTCGCAGGTGGTACCGAGCCCCCGAGCTCCTGTATGGTGCCCGCCAGTATGACCAGGGCGTCGATCTGTGGTGAGACCCCTGTGGGTGGTCAAAGGGTAACATGGCTCATGGATTTCTGCTAGGCTCTGAGGTCTCTGAGCTGTTTGGTGGTCTTTTCCCTGGTGGGAGTTTAGGCTTCCTTAAGGGTGTCTTCCCTGGTTGGGGTATTCTGAGCACTTTGGGGTTGGGGTTCCTCACTATGATGTTTTCGAGCTGGGTAGGGGCCAGGTGGGATGAGAATGGTGGTCCCAGGTGGGAAGCTTTCTGGGCTAGATGGGGAGGTGGTCTGAGCCGATATGTGCTGGAGTTAGATCCTAGGATATGGCATCTCTGAGCTGGTCAGAGGCCTGTGTCCTTGGACATGAAAGCTCTGAGCTTGTTTTGCAGCAAGAAGATAGTTGGCAGTGCCCATGGGTCTGAGATTTGGGGCAGGTTTGCAGGTCTGCCCCAGAAGTGTCCTAGAGCAGGAGTCTCCGAGAAGTCTTGGAACAGCTGGGGCTTTGCTCTGGGTTCTAGGGTTGAGGGCTTTGAGGGTTCAGGGACTGGGCCTCTGGACGTGAGGCTCCAGGGCTGGCTTGTGGGGCCTTGCCCTGGAGTGCAGTGTTAGAGCTGCTCTGTGGGTGGGTCTGTGGTCCATGGTGGGAGATCTCTGACCTGCTTGGGGCTCTGTGTCCACAGGTCTGTGGGCTGCATCATGGGGGAGCTGTTGAATGGGTCCCCCCTTTTCCCGGGCAAGAACGATATTGAACAGCTTTGCTATGTGCTTCGCATCTTGGGCACCCCAAACCCTCAAGTCTGGCCGGTTTGTAGGGGCCCTTGGTGAGGTGGGTGTGGGGCAGGTTTACTCCACTCCCAACAGCAAGTAACCACTCCCTCCCCTGAACCTTCTCTCTCCTGGCCCCAACCCCCCTTGATGGACAGGGACCACTGTCCTGGCCCAACTCAGGGCTTCCTCCTTCCTGCTGTCATTTGGGTTGGGGTAGATCCTGTCCTTTGTCCCTTTTCACCCCAGTACACACATGTGCAGTGTCTCAGCAAGCTGTGCACAGAGTCGTCATCTGAGAGGGCAAGGGGATGGATGAAGGAATACAGGGGTGGGTGAGTGAATGAATGATGGGTCAGGGAGACACATGGATGGGAGAGCACCCCCCATGTGAGTGTGTGTTAGGGGCTGAGAGTTGACAGCAGAGAGCATGGCAAGGGTCGGGAACTACTCTCATTGTACCCTGTTCCTTCTCCCTGGCCCAGGAGCTCACTGAGCTGCCGGACTACAACAAGATCTCCTTTAAGGAGCAGGTGCCCATGCCCCTGGAGGAGGTGCTGCCTGACGTCTCTCCCCAGGCATTGGATCTGCTGGGTCAATTCCTTCTCTACCCTCCTCACCAGCGCATCGCAGCTTCCAAGGTAGGGGGAGAGGCTGTAGTCTCTGCTCCTTCAGCTCCCCTCCCCATCACCCTGGTACTCTGTACTTGGTAGCCATGTGACCCCATCACATCAGCGACCCTCAGAACCTGTGATTGGCATGGACCAGCACCAGACATCTGGAACCCAGGGGACAGGGGCCTTGGAGCAGGTGTGCCTCTCATGAGTAGACCCCACTGGACATCCCCAGACTTCCCCTGAGGGTGGCCCATACGAGGGGCATGCCCAACTCTCAGGAGAGCGCGTGTCCGGGAGTGCAGGTTTCTGGGCTGCCCCTGACCCTGTGGCAGATACAGTAAGAGAGTCACTGGGGACTCATTCCTTTATTCCATTAGCAAGTATTTTCTGCACATCTGGCACATGCAGGGATTGTCCTGGGCCCTGCACAGATGGTAAACAATCAGTCCTACCTCCGCGGGGCACTCCTGGTGGTGAGGTAGCTCCAGGTCCAAAAGGTCACAAGAGGTCATGTTCTCCAGCTGTGGGAGCCCCAGGAGAGAGGCAAGGCCGACTTTGGGGTCAAGCAAAGCTTCCTGGTGGAGGGCAGGTTTAAGCATGAGATGTTTGAGGAGGTGTTCGCTGAAGAGAGAAATGGTGGGCAGAGGCCTGGAAGAGAGGACCCAGGAAGGCTGGTTATGGCTGGTAGGCCTGGGAGGACGATGACCACAGGAGCATGGGCTGACAGGTGTCAGGGTGTCTCTCAGGGGTCCCTGTCCCCTCCCTGCACTCAGCACCAGCCGCGTGTGTTTACATACGCCCTCTTGGTCTCCACTGTCAGCAGCTCCTGTGGGCTCTGTGTCCACAGTGTACCCAAGCCGTGTGACCCTTATCTCTTGGGTTGCCTCCCAGAATCTGGGTCTCCCCTCATCCCATTTAATCTCTTCTCCACCTGGCAGACAGAGTAACTTTATCCAAGTAGAACAGGACACATTCCTTCTCTGCCAGGGCCCTCCTGTGGCTCCATCTCAGAGGAAAAGCCAGGGTCCTTTTTGTGACCCACAGATGTCGTATGCTTGGGTGCCATCACCTCATGACGCTGCCTGCTGTTGTGCCCTGTGCTCACTCCTCTCCAGCCCCAGGGGTCAGTACACTTTTGTCCCTGGCCTGGAGCCTCATGTCCCACTTGCTTATGTCTCAAGTCTTGGCTTAAATGTCACTTCTCAGATGGCCTTCCCTCATGACTCTTCAGATCTGCAACCTCTCTCCAGGATTCCTCATTCCTCTGTCTTGCTTTCTCTCTTCCACTGCACTAATCATTATCTGACATACTGTGTATTTTACTTCATCTTGTTTATTACCCCCCACCCTCACTTATGTCAGAAAAACAGAGCTTTTGTCTGTTTTATTAACGGCTATGTTCCCAGCTTCTGGAATAGTGCTTCAGACATAGTAGACACTCAGAAAACACCCAGACACACTGAGTCAGCTGAATGCATAGATGAAGGAACATCTGCTTGAGGCTGGGGACAGGGAGGTGACTAGTTTCCTTCTGCTGTTCCTTACTTGCCACCCTCAGGCTCTCCTCCATCAGTACTTCTTCACAGCTCCCCTGCCTGCCCATCCATCTGAGCTGCCGATTCCTCAGCGTCTAGGGGGACCTGCCCCCAAGGCCCATCCAGGGCCCCCCCACATCCATGACTTCCACGTGGACCGGCCTCTTGAGGAGTCGCTGTTGAACCCAGAGCTGATTCGGCCCTTCATCCTGGAGGGGTGAGAAGTTGGCCCTGGTCCCGTCTGCCTGCTCCTCAGGACCACTCAGTCCACCTGTTCCTCTGCCACCTGCCTGGCTTCACCCTCCAAGGCCTCCCCATGGCCACAGTGGGCCCACACCACACCCTGCCCCTTAGCCCTTGCGAGGGTTGGTCTCGAGGCAGAGGTCATGTTCCCAGCCAAGAGTATGAGAACATCCAGTCGAGCAGAGGAGATTCATGGCCTGTGCTCGGTGAGCCTTACCTTCTGTGTGCTACTGACGTACCCATCAGGACAGTGAGCTCTGCTGCCAGTCAAGGCCTGCATATGCAGAATGACGATGCCTGCCTTGGTGCTGCTTCCCCGAGTGCTGCCTCCTGGTCAAGGAGAAGTGCAGAGAGTAAGGTGTCCTTATGTTGGAAACTCAAGTGGAAGGAAGATTTGGTTTGGTTTTATTCTCAGAGCCATTAAACACTAGTTCAGTATGTGAGATATAGATTCTAAAAACCTCAGGTGGCTCTGCCTTATGTCTGTTCCTCCTTCATTTCTCTCAAGGGAAATGGCTAAGGTGGCATTGTCTCATGGCTCTCGTTTTTGGGGTCATGGGGAGGGTAGCACCAGGCATAGCCACTTTTGCCCTGAGGGACTCCTGTGTACTTCACATCACTGAGCACTCATTTAGAAGTGAGGGAGACAGAAGTCTAGGCCCAGGGATGGCTCCAGTTGGGGATCCAGCAGGAGACCCTCTGCACATGAGGCTGGTTTACCAACATCTACTCCCTCAGGATGAGCGTGAGCCAGAAGCAGCTGTGTATTTAAGGAAACAAGCGTTCCTGGAATTAATTTATAAATTTAATAAATCCCAATATAATCCCAGCTAGTGCTTTTTCCTTATTATAATTTGATAAGGTGATTATAAAAGATACATGGAAGGAAGTGGAACCAGATGCAGAAGAGGAAATGATGGAAGGACTTACGGTATCAGATACCAATATTTAAAAGTTTGTATAATAATAAAGAGTATGATTGTGGTTCAAGGATAAAAACAGACTAGAGAAACTTATTCTTAGCCATCCTTTATTTTTATTTTATTTATTTTTTGATGGAGTCTTGCTCTGTTGCCCAGGCTGGAGTGCAGTGGCACAATCTCGGCTTACTGCAACCTCCGCCTCCTGGGTTCAAGTGATTCTCCTGCCTCAGCTTCCCGAGTAGCTGGGACTACAGGCGCGTGCCACCACACCTGGCTAATTTTTGTATTTTTACTCAAGACAGGGTTTCACCATGTTAGCCAGGATGGTCTTGATCTCCTGACCTCGTGATCTGCCTGCCCGGGCCTCTCAAAGTGCTGGGATTGTAGGCGTGAGCCACCATGCCCAGCCCCAGGCTCCCTTTATTTTTAAAATGTTTATTTTATGCTTCATGTGGATAAACTCTTCTGTGAGCACTCAGGGTGACTAACACTGCTACAGATGCTGGCCTTCAAGCACTTAGTGGAGAGAGAAAACATACTCAACCCTCGTTCTTGGCTTTCAGGAAAGTCTGATGTTTTCATGATATGGCCTCTGTTTATTTCTCCAGCCACATCTTCTGCAGACTGTAAGCTTCTAAGAGAACTTCAAAGAGAACTCTAAAATGTATATAACATTTGCAAGTAAAAGGAGAAAAAATGATTTATCGTGCATACACAAACCAAAAATCTGGTGTAGTTATTTGATATCAAATAACAGAGGCCGGGTGCAGTGGCTCATGCCTGTAATCCCAACACTTTGGGAGGCCAAAGTGGGCAGATCACCCGAGGTTGGGAGTTCGAGACCACCCTGGCCACCATGGTGAAATCCCATCTCTAATAAAAATACAAAAATTAGCCGGGTGTGATGGTGCATGCCTGTAATCCCAGCTACTTGGGAGACTGAGGCAGGAGAATCGCTTAAACCTGGGAGACAGAGGTTGCAGTGAGCCGAGATCGTGCCACTGCACTCCAGCCTTGGTGACAGACTTGTCTCAAAAAAAAAAAAAAAAAAAGAAAATAGATTTTAAGGCAAAGAGCTGTTATTTAATATAAGATACAATTTCAAGGCAAAAATCATTACTAGTGATAAACACATTCAGTTCTAATTATATTCAGTTCATTGGTAAAATTTTTCAAATTTGTACGTACCTAATCTCAAATATTATCAATATTAGAAATGAATAGGATTCAAAAGACTAAGGATATTAGAAGTAACTTTATACATGCGAAATTTTGGTAAAATTGACAAATCCATAGAAAAATTCGACTTGCAATAATAAAAAACAAACCCCTGAAGTGTCTTAAAACTGTTAAAAAGGAATTGAACCTCCAAATTAAAATATTTTCATTATGTAATCTCCAGGCCCAGATAGCTTCACTACTAAATTCTACCAGTCAATCACTTAATAAATGGACAGTGTCACGATTCCAGAGAATACAGGAGAAAGCTTACTCAGCTTATTTTGTGACACCAGCAGTAGTCTTGATACTAAAATTCAACAAGGACATTAGAAAAATGAAAATTATATAATGATTCTTGTGTTACCTTTCAAAAATAAAGGAAAAATCAGCCGGGTGTGATGGCTCATGCCTGTAATCTCAACACTTTGGGAGGCCGAGGTGGGAGGACTGCTTAAGTCCAGGAGTTTGAGACCAGCTTCGGCAATACGGCAAGACCCCATCTCTACAAAAAAAATTAGCCAGGTGTGGTGGCATGCGCCTGTAGTGCCAGCTACATGAGAGGCTGAGGTAGGAGGATCGCTTAAGACAGCAGTGAGCTGTGATCACACCACTGCACTCAGCTTGGGTGACGAAGAGTGAGACCATGCCTCCCCATAAGGGGTAGCCCCCACAAAACAGGAGTGTGGTCCTCCCTGACCCTTGCCTGGCCAGGCTCTTCCCAAGGCTGAGGCCCCTAGTGGCATGAGGGTCTCCAAAGAGCCTGGGGCCACAGGCCTTGCTCTGGGAGCCCCAGGAGCTCAGGGTCTGGCCAGCCTGTCCCCAGCCCAGGACAGACCACCAGTTGTTTGGTGGTTACTGCAATGGAATTCAGTCCCAAACCTCCCCATAGACCCTGACGTCAGGGCCCCTGGTTCCCACAGTACTGCTTCGGGCAGGAATGCTGGGCCCCCATCCCTTCAGCATCTGCCCTGGCTACCTCCCGGACCATGGACAGACTGGCCCTGCAACCCCACTGGGGCCCATCATCAACCCCTGCCTAGCTTTCTGAAGATCCACAGGAAGAGCCGAAGACACCTCCCCTTCACAGTGGCCCATGTCCTATCCCTGTCAGTTTCACTGACCTGCATGTTCTGGAAGGAGCCAGGACAGCAGCCTACCCCGCAAGCTGCCCAGAAGCCCCGGATGGCCCCTCAGCCAGCTGAAACCACCGTCCACTGGGAAGATGGCTACTTGGAGGCCTCTGGAGGGGAGGGGGTGTGGCATCCTCATAGCTCTGGCCAGCCAGCAGGATGTCTTGTGTCCTCATGCTGACCTCCTGTGGGACAGAACTCCCTAACACGGCACAAGGTCCAGATCCAGAGGGGTTTGATCTGGCCTCAACCCGAGCCTGGGGCCCCCAGCAGCCAAGGTGATCACCAAAGGGACTGAGCCACCTGTAGCTCTGACCAGTACTAGAATCTAGCCCAAGGTAGGGCGAGCCCTCTCAGAGCAGTGCATGGCTACTTGGGACCTGTGCAAACCCCAAAAGGCCAAGTCAGTGACCTTAGGGGGCCTGAATAGCAACCAGTCACCTTGGCGATGAGGCTGCAGGAGTAGGCAGGCCAGCCACCACCCTCATTCATACAAGGAGGCAGGGATGGCCAGGCTCCAGGACCTGAGTGGTCACCTGGTCACCCATGAGAAAGAGCCCTGAGGCCAAGCGTGGTGCTGGGCCCTCCTGCTCCAGGTGGTAGGACTGGAGGAAACTGGGCAGGCCTGGGCCCAGGAGACTGCGTCCCTCTATCTGCCATCCTTGGCAGGTCACGGTCCCCAAAACTCATGAAATGTGGCCTTACTCAAAGCAAGGAGGCTTCAAGGTGGGGACCAGAGTCCCCAGTCTTGGTTCACCATTCAAAGCTTCCCTCCTGGGGACAAGGGATGCTCCCCTGGCCTCATGCCCACCCCTCCCCACCCCCCACATATTGGTTAAAAGACGATAAATTGTTTATCATTATGACTCATCTGTTCTTGGGGCACCCAGAGTTGTCTGCAAGAAGCATCAGACACCCTGGAACAGGTGAGAGAAGAGGGTGGCACAGCCCATGCTGCCTGACCTGCCTCCCCCTTGCAAAGGCTATAGTAGGGCCTAGGGCCATACAGAGCCAAGGCTCCCATATACTTCATGTAAGACCATCAGGAGGCCTCAGGAAATCTGAAGCGGGGAGGTCAAAATTCTCTGATTGCCCACTCAAATGTCCTAATCCCACATCTCAGGGTCTTGCTCTTTCCCTATCTGGGCCTGACTTTTTAAAATTGCCATCGACCATGAGGCTGCTTCCCTTCCGCAAGCCAAACAAACCACCTACAACCATGCTCCTGCCAAGATGTACAAGAGAGGTTATACTAGAACCTAAGGAACAAGGGGGTCCCAAATTGGATGATCTCTGGGAAACCCGTGGGGCAGTTACAGTTCTTACTAGGGTCAGATTATGGTATCTCCTTCAAGCCATCCCCGCCTTCTGTGCCTGCCCCTGATCTCCACCAGTGGCAGGTACCCACCCTACACAGGGATTTGGTGATTGTGGAATCAGGTTCCCCTGAAAGACAATCACCCTATTCCATTAACTGTGGTTTGGGTTCCAAAAAATAAACACCACAGCCTGGCTCTGTTGGATGTGGATGCTCAAATCTCCCTAACCCAGGAAGCACTCATGCTTTAAAGGGACACTTCAAGGAGGTGACAGGCTTGGAAGGAAGATTAATAAGCCACTTAACTATTAAAGTTAGTCCCTAGGGCCGGGCATGGTGTCTCATGCCTGTAATCCCAACACTTTGGGAGGCCGAGGTGGGTGAATCACCTGAGGTCAGGAGTTTGAGACCAGCCTGGCCAACGTGGCAAAACCTTGTCTCTACTAAAAATACAAAAATTAGCTAGGTGTGGTGGCGTGTGCCTGTAATCCCAGCTACTCAGATGAGGCAGGAGAATTGCTTGAACCTGGGAGGCAGAGGTTGCAGTGAGCTGAGATTGTGCCACTGCATTCCAGCCTAGGCAACAGAGCAAGACTCCGTCTCTAAATAAATAAATAAATAAAGTTAGTTCCATTTTGCTAAGAAATACTTCTCTCTTGTTCCCACTACTGAATGGACCTCCTCAGTCAGCAGCAACAAGCCTAAGACTTTTACACTATTGGTGGGTGGGTTCCCTGTGGGAATCGGTCAGCCTTCCTCTATCCAGTTGAGGTGGTAGATACACCACTGTGCTGCCTAAGACAAGACACTGAAGGGTGCCAGCCTGTCGGGACTGACTTGGGTAAGAAGGGATGCTGATTCCTACCATCTCACCTTTCAGTTCCTTTAAGCCTGTGCTTAAAGCTGTTACTGATGACTGGACTTATTATAGATGATACAAAGCTAAACAATGCTGTTCTCTTCATTACAGCATCTCTACCAAATATTGTCACCTTAATGGATGACATTCAAAACAACATGGGTAAATGGTTTAGAGTTACTGCACAGACTTGGCTAACAGGTTTTATTCACTAAAATTTTTTCATGACAGCCAACCACAATTTGACTTAACCTTTGAGAGTCAACAGCACAGCTTTACCTGACTGCCTGCACTGTGGTGAAAGGCCTTTACTTACATCTGGACTTTGCTAAGAGGACCCCGATGCTTGCCCCACACTTCCCCCAAGAAACTTAGCTTTGGCATCATATCAGTGACATCCTCCTCACTGGTCCTGACCAAAACTTTGTTTCACAGGTCATCACAGCTGTGAGCAAGCACCCCACTGAGGGGATGGACAGTTGCCCCACATAAGGTGCAAGACCCCTCCTGACCTGTTAAAGTGTTGGGCTACACCTAGAACTCAGAGAGGTAAACTATTCCCAATTTGGCAAAAGAGAATCTCCTAGCTCTCCAACCTCCCACATCAATAAAGGGATTCAATCAACACTGGGATTCTGGCACCAATACATCCCTTCCTCCCATATTTCTTCGTATCCAGTCACCCACAAATTTTCTGCTTTTTAGTTATCAAAATTGAAGCCCTTACTAGGGCAGAGCCCATTTACCCTATGAACCAAGATTCCTATTATGCCCTGGGTAATGGAAAAAGCTTACTGTAAAACTGGATCAGCAACAGAAACCTTCTTACTACAATGGAAATGGTATTTACAGAATCAACTCACATTTAGTCCTACTGGAGTGTAACATTCCATGAGAAAATAGCCACATACCCTGCCACTGAGGTCAACTTGCCAAAATCCTGAAAATGCCTCTGCCTCTTGCTTAGTGGGGACTGGAGGGAGGATGGTCAGCAATCTCAAAACAAGAGAACCAATGGCCTCTCATTACTGATGAGGGAGCACAGGGCATAAGGAATTCAGACCAAGGAGAGCTACAGCCTTTAACCCCATTCAGACACTCATTCCATATGTGCATTACTCCTAGCAATAGATACGCCATTTTCCCAAGGTTTCTATCTTCATGAACTCTTGGTTAATGGCTAATGAGCTAACTACTTGGTTGGGACTTTGGCAATATCAGAGCTGGAAAATACAAGGCCAAGATATTCAGGGTAAAAAGATGTAGGGAAAATAATCATTATGAGACAGTATAGGAAAGAGACTTGGTCTTTGTAGACCGAGGCTCATGGGGCTCACATGTCCAGGCATATTCCCTCCCCTACCTTCTTGCCTCCCTTAACAAGCTGACCTAAGTCACATAGCAGAAGGGAAGCCTCTCCTAACTTAGCTGATCAGGCTGAATTCTTAACCACAAATAGAAGAAACTGTTTATTGCCTTAAGTGATGTCTCCCAAGGTTGCTAAAAGCCGGACTCTAGCATTCCTGATAAGAACCTGACCATATTCCAAGTTTACTAAAACAAAACTCTGGCATTCCCTATGAGAATTGGACCAGATCCAGTTGGCTGAAGACAAGATGGACTTCAGCACTGACCTTTCACTGAGTTTTCCTCATAATCTCACTGTAATACGAAAATCTCTGCCCAAATTGGGGCTTATCTACCATTTTCTAATTATGCAATGTATGTTAGGGCATGACACCCCACTGTACAGGCACAAAGAAAACTGCCTAAACAGGCTTCTGACAGAGCAGGAACATCACCATCTTGGACAAGCACCACCATTTTAAAATTCCCCTTGATCAGAAACCACCTAAATCCAAAGGGCATCAGCTAAGGTCAGCATGACCATAAATCACAAATGACATCTCCAACCAGAAACATTCCAACCCCTAAGATAAACCCCTCCCCAACCAGACACATGCCAGCCCCGAGATAACCTCCCCTCCAGCTGGAGACATTCCAAACCCCGCAATAAACTTCTCCTCCACACAGAAACATTCCAAGCCTGTGATAAGCTATCTTGCCCTAAAACACTTAAATACTCTTAGTCTGTAAGAGAGAGTGCTCCTGACTGAAATCGGCCAGAAACCCCTCTCAGGTTCATTCTCCAAAATAAACCTGTCTTTGACTGTTGAGCCACTTTTTGTGTTTCTTTCCTCTTTCTTTAACTCTCACAGCTTCTATGTCATTCCTTTCTCTGCCTCAGCTTCCTTAAAATGACAAGAGCTGAGCCCTTTTTGGCTGTAGCACTGGGGTCCTTTTCCTGGGCACTGCTCCCTTGCTTTGATTGAGCTCAAGCCCATTAAAACTTGCCTGAGAAAAATTACTGTTTGGCCTGGTATTAATTTGTATTTACTCGAGAGCCAAGATGCTGCACTAACACTTACAGTGGCTCCCATTCTGCCTACCTTGATGCACCGTACCTTGGCTCATACCAGACAAGACATGGAAGAGGCATGACACAACACCAAAGCTGATGAACTAACCATAGCATACCAGCAGATAAGCCTCTTGAAGGAGGCAGAGTCCTAGAGCTTTGGGATGAGCTACCCTATCCCATGCAAGGGCATGTAAGAGGAGAGGTCAGGGCATTTGGGCATCATGGGGTTACAAAAATGAATTATTATTTTTTATTTTTCTTTGAGATGGAGTCTTGCAGTGTCACCTAGGCTGAAGTGCAGTGGTGCAATATCGGCTCACTGCAACCTCTGCCTCCTGGGTTGAAGCAATTCTTGTGCCTCAGCCTGCCAAGTAGCTGGGACTACAGGCACGTGCCACCACACCTGGCTAATTTTAGTATTTTTAGTAGAGACGAGGGTTTCACCATGTTGCCCAGGCTGGTCTAGAACTCCTGACCTCAAGTGATCCACCCGCCTCTGCCTCCCAAAGTGCTGGGATTACAGGCGTGAGTCACCATGCCCGGTCAAAAAGGAATTATTAACAGAGGAGTCAACCCAGCAGAGACACATTTATGCAAGGTTATTAGGGACTGTACCATGCTAGAAATTTAGATACTGGGTTCACTGCCTGGGAGGAGAAATTCACAGGAAGGCCATTATCAGAACTGGCAAATCAACTTCAAAGGGCCTCCCCCTACAGTGACAGGAGCCAATGAATATGCTAAGGGATATCTACACAGGCCATCCATTTGCTTACCCATGTGAGGCAGGAACCTCTACTAATGTCACAATGGGTTACCAAAACAGCTTTTACAGCCTTTGGGTGTGCCACAAGTTACACAGTCAGATCAAGGCTCTTCTTGTACCACAAAGCAAATGCAACGATGGGTATTACAAAGTAACATTACAAAGTAACAGCAGTGGGTATCATAGAAAGATATAATGAGCTTTTAAAACGGGGGCTACTGAAACGATGTAGATGACAATGGTGACCTGAGTCATCAAAATGCTGCCTCTAGCCAGGGATGGTGGCTCACGCCTGTAATACTGGCGCTTTGGGAGGCAAGGTGGGTGGATTGCTTGAGCTCATGAGTTCAAGACCTGCCTGGGCAACATGATGAAACCTCGTCTCTAGTAAACATACAAAAATTAGGCATGGTGGCATGAGGTCTAGTTACTCAGGAGGCTTAGGTGGGAGGATGGCTTGAGCCCAGGAGGCAGAGGTTGCACTGAGCTGAGATTGCACCACTGTACTCCAGCCTGGGTGACAGAGCGTGACCCTGTCTCAAAAAACAAAAACAAAAAAAGCCAAGATGGTGTCCCAAGTCCTAATTACATTATATGAACTCTGCACCCCCTAGGGCATAACTACACAATATTTAAATTCACAACCAATGAGGGACTATCAACAAGAAAGGCTGCGACCTCTGCCCGTGACCACACTGGCCACAACGTAATTACAGTTTTCAGGTACACAGAAGCACTGATATGGCTGCACATGGCCAAGAAACCACTCGACACTTTTACCTTCCCCTTCTCCCTCATAGAAAACCCACAGCCTAACCACATCCCCCTTGATCCTGCCGCCCACATACATATAATACATATGTGTGTGTATACACATGTATATATGTATCTATTCATGGTGTGTATGTGTGTGTGTGTGTAAAGGAGAGGCTGGGCCGGGCACAGTGGCTCACGCCTGTAATCCCAGCATTTTGGGAGGCCGAGGTGGGCAGATCATGAGGTCAGGAGATCGAGACCACCCTGGCTAATGCAGTGAAACCCTGTCTCTACTAAAAATACAAAAAAATTAGGCAGGCATGGTGGCACGTGCCTGTAATCTCAGCTACTCGGGATGCTGAGGCAGGAGAATCACTTGAACCCAGGAGGCAGAGGTGCAGTGAGCTGAGATTGCACCACTGCACTCCGGCCTGGGCGACAGAGCAAGACTCCGTCTCAAAAAAAAAAAAAAAAAAATGAGGCCACTAAGATATTTTGTACTTGAATTACAAGTATATTTAAACATGAGGGTGGTAGATACGTCATGGTTAAGTAGGAATATACAAGCCTCTAGTCGCCTTGGTGTGTGCATTCTGATTGTTAGATTTTTTTTCTCTAGGATGCTGCAAACACATTTCAAAGTATAACCATGGAGTTATAGTATCAAAGAACTTAAGATTGAAAGGGCCTGTGGACATTATCTAGTCTGACTCTCATATTATAGCCTCAGAAAAAAATGAATGCCTACGAATGGAAACGGATTTGCCTAGCAATCCTGGAAAGAGCTGGGAACAGAACTTGACCTCTATTACACAGTAATAAAAATATTAATGGAAACAACAGTCATCACAAGAGCTAGTACCATTTTAGGGGTGGCTGCAATATGCCCTATATATATGTTATCTTATTTAATCCTTAAAAACAATATTTTAATATAGGTATTATCCTCATGTTGAATTTAAAAAATGAGTTTTTAAGTCTAGGAACATACAACTAATACATGGGAAAACCTACATTTAAATTGAGTTTTCTTATAGATACAAAATTCCATGTATTTCCCACTATTATTTTCACCTTAATTTTAATATTTATTATTATTTACTCATGCTATTAAAACTGTAGAAAATAATTGAAAATGATATCAATGAGAAGAGAACAGGATTAAGGCAAATATAATATGTATTTCATGATCAGTATCTGAAAGATCTCTAAAATAGCTCAGCTTTATTCTTGCCTCCAGGAGAATCTGTAAGAAAATAACACGTGCACTGCATATTACCACCTCAAGTTGTAAAGAAATAGAATCAGCTGGGAAAAAAATCAGCGCATTATTCTCTCTTTTGTAGGAGGTTTTGTTTATTATTTTAGAGGCAGTCCATTTGTGTCCTCAATTATCTAGTCCTTTTTTTTCTTTTTTGGCTTGTCCCAGTAGCCACTTCTACTGCTTTCTTGGGTCACAGAGAGATACAGAAGGAGACCCAGGTGTGTTCTGTCTGTATTGGATGTTTCAGATGAACTCGTCCCCTATGGTGGCACAGCATCAGTCACCACAATGGCTTTTGAGGAAAATAGCCAGTTGTCTTGTGAAGCTTTACCAAAAATCTCTTCAGGGCTGCTTTTTCTCTATCAATCTCCCTGATCTGGATGTCTAAAGCCTTCTGGATGCTTTGGATCTGAATCCTGGTTCTCCTTTCCTCTCCAAGGTTGTTCACGAAGGCCCTTCGCAGGTACAGGGAATCTCCTGCTTTGAAGGCGCTCTTATTCGTTACGAAGCCCATGCCACCTGTGTTCACACTTTGGTGGAGGATGTTCAAGACAGGACAGTGAGGCTGCCTGTAAATGTCTCTGGAAAATGATTCTCCTGTGGTTTGGAATATTATAACCACAGCACCATGGGAACAGAATCTTGGAGCTGAGTGGCATCAGAGATCCACTTAGCCCAAAACCCTTACATTTACTAGTGAGAAGATTTTAAGCTTGCAGCTGTTCTTAGTGTAAAAATATAGATGAGTGCATTGATAGACCAGAATGGCCATAAGGATGCTGACTGCCATCCTGGGCTTCTACTTAGGCTGAAAGGTAAGTGCCTTTCGGTCCTCATAAATCAGGACCAGAATGTTTATGGAGAGAAAAAACTAGAAAGTTGATTCAATAAATTTGTTTAGTTTCAGAAGCAATTCTTTATTCCTTTATGTGTATGCATCCTTGAAGTTGTTAAATAATTAAGATTGTGCCATTTGTCTAGGTTTGGGGTTACACTTAAATTAGATAACTTTTTCATGAGGTATTTAGTTTTCATATAAGAAAGAACAGGAAACAGAAAAATACACGTTATCTATTCTTTTGCTCAAAAAGGAAACAAGAAATCTAAACGAAAAACCAGTAAGATTAGAGAGACAGGAAGAGGCAGGGTAGATAGGATGGGGGAATGGGAGTAGAAAAGGAGGAATAGGAAGAGGGATACCTTTTTGAGTGTACCCTTTACCTGTTCTTATATTTAGAAACAAGCTAATTTTTCATGTGCTCAAAAATAATTAAGGAGTGGGAGGGATGCTACCCTAAACTACTTTATGTGTATTCTAAGATTGTGCAAAGAAGTAAATACAATATGGATAATGAGGGCCGGGTTCTCTCTGTTGGAGAAGGAGCTATAAATAAGAAAGGAAGAAGGTTAAACTATACCTGTGGTGCTGAATTGGAATTGCAGATACCAGTATAAATTTATGATTCTACGAATCAGTATGAATCTGTAGTTATGTGAATCCATTATTACATGAACCAGTATGAATGAATGGTTCTATGAATCAGTATGAATTCTTGTGAAGAATGGCCCACTAGACCTTCTGGCCTTCAAAGGTACCTTAGGAGTTGGGATTTTGTGACTCTTCCTCGCATGAATTGAGCCCCATTTATTCCCAGCTTCAGAATTATTTCTGAAAAATTCAGAAGACAGGTTTTATGTCTCCTCTTTGGGTTTTATCTCTGACTTTCACCTAAGTCTTGATTATGTTATTTTATTCCTTTAAAATTCATCATGAGCAGATACATGTCAAATTCTTCCTGCTGTCTTTAATCAGGAGCAGAAAATCGGAGCAATGTGTCCTTCATGTCTAGGAAGGGGCATTTTTCTTCTGACAGGATAATTTTATTAGTTTTCAACTTTCAACTATAGCCTTTGGAAAGCGTCAAAAGACTTAGTATTCATATTCATGTCACTAACTAGAAATGAATGTACTTACTGAGAGCCCAATCAGGCCCACACACTTGGAAGTGACATCTCAAGAGACCTTTCCAGACAGGACACTCTGGCAGAGATGACCAAGCTGGCACGAGGTGTGGAAATGAATGTTTGGACAGAAAAGACTTGGGCAAGAAAACCCCTTCAAATCACTGAAAGGCTGGCCTGTGGAAAAGGAAGTAGACACTGTGCCCTGACCGCAAAACCAGGATCAGCAGATGGAAACAGCACATTACTGCTCAGGGCCAGGAGGAATTTCCCCAACTTCTAGAGGTGTCCACTGATAAAATAAAATCATTGTCACTGGCGATGTTCAAACTGAAACTGAAAGATCATCACAGGGGTGTATACAAAGCAAGAAGCTAGATGGTGTCACCTCCTTTGGAAATATCCTTCACCGACCTGACATAGATGTGAACTATGCCCTGAGGTGGACTCCTCTGAGACACCCTGAGCACTGCCCTGCTTTGGAGGATGTTTGAAGAGTGGCCATGGCCTGGGAGGATCTGGGCTGCTCTCCCACAGGCTGTCAAGTCTAAAGTTTGCTAGTTTTCATGCAGGTGAATGTCAGTACATATATGCAGAAGACATAAACTTGAACATATAGCAATACAAACTGTCCAAAGTAAAAGAAAAACAAAAGACTGAAAATAAAGAACAGATCATAAGTGACCTGTGGGAAAACTTCAAGCAGCCTAAATACAAATACCTGTAGTCCCTGAAGAAGAGGAGAATGGAAGAGAAAAATTATTTGATGCAATAACGGCCATAATTTTAAAAAATTGGATGAAAACTATAAACTCACAGATCCAAATAATTCAATGAAACAGAAGAACAAGAAACAAGAAGAAAATAAAACCAAAGCATATCATAATAAAATTTTTCACTACTAGTGATAAAACAGCCAGAGAAATAATATTACATATAAAGGAGCAATAAGAATAACAGAAGAGGCCAGGCATGGTGGCTCTTGCCTGTAATCCCAGCACTTTGGGAGGCCGAGATGGGCGGATCACGAGGTCAGGAGTTTGAGACCAGCCTGGCCAACATGGTGAAACCCCATCTCTACTAAAAATACAAAAATTAGCCAGGCATGATGGTGTGTGCCTGTAATCCTAGCTACTCAGGAGGCTGAGGCAGGAGAATTACTTGAACTCGGTAGGCGGAGGTTGCAGTGAGGCGAGATTGTGCCACTGCACTCCAGCCTGAGCAACAGAGCGAGACTCCATCTCGAAAAAAAAAAAAAAAGAATAACAGATTTCTCCTAAGAAACAAATTAAACTAGAAAAAAACAAAAGCACCATCTTTATAGTATTAAAATTAAAAACAAAACAAACTGTCAACCTAGAATTATATCCTCAACAAAAACTAATTTTAGAAATGAAAGACAAGGATAATCACTTTTTTTCAGAAAGGGAAAATCTGAATGAATTAATCACCAGCACATGTGCCCTATAAGAAATGTTACAAGAAGTCCTTCAGGCAGAAGGAAAAGGATGCCATATGGATATATGCATCTTCACAAAGGAATAAAGAACACTAGAGGCCGGGTGCGGTGGCTCATCCCTGTAATCCCAGCACTTTGGGAGGCCTAGGCGGGCGGATCAGGAGGTCAGGAGATCGAGACCATCCTGGCTAACGCGGTGAAACCCCGTCTCTACTAAAAATACAAAAAATTAGCTGGGTGCGGTGGCAGGTGCCTGTAGTTCCAGCTACTCGGGAGGCTGAGGCAGGAGAATGGCATGAACCCGGGAGGCGGAGCTTGCAGTGAGCGGAGATAGCGCCACTGCACTCCGACCTGGGCGAAAGAGCGAGACTCCATCTCAAAAAAAAAAAAAAAATACTAGAGCCGGGCACAGTGGCTCATGCCTGTAATCCCAGCACTTTGGGAGGCCGAGGCAGGCAGATCACGAGGTCAAAAGATCAAGACCATCCTGGCCAACATGGTGAAACCCTGTCTCTACTAAAAAAATACAAAAATTAGCTGGGTGTGGTGGCATGCACCTGTAGTCCCAGCTACTCTGGAGGCTGAGGCAGGAGAATCCCTTGAACCCAGGAGGTGGAGGTTGCAGTGAGCCGAGATTGTGCTACTTTACTCCAACCTGGTGACAGAGTGAGACTCCATTTCAAAAAAAAAAAGAACACTAAAAATAGTAAGTATGTGGGTAAATATAAATGATATATGTTTTCTTATTTTACAATTCTCTTTGGAAGACTTTCTAAAGCATAGTAATAATACATCGTGGGGTTTATGATATCTGTAGAAGTAACATATATTGTAATAATAGCAAAAAAGCCAATAGAGTAGAAATGGAACTATACTATTGTAAGGTCCTTATGCTATCACATGAAGTAGTATAATATTACAGAAAGTTAGTGACGAAGAAGTATAAACAAACATAGGGCAACCACTACAAAAAATAAAAAAGACAGTTACAGCTAATAAGCCAACAAAAGAGATAAAAATAAAGCTAAAACAATTACTCATTCCAGAAAGAAGGAGGAAGCTGAGAACCCTGCATAGAGTTGCCCAGCTCCTGGCCCTGAACAGGTCCTAAGGGAGGGTGAGTGAAGGAACTATGGGCAACACACTCCTGCCATGGGCTTCTGGGATCCTATAGCCACAAGAGATGCCATGGCCCCACAGTGGGGTCATGCCCGGGGAACTGCCAGAGAGTAACCAGAGGCAGAGCTCATGCCTGCGTGGAGCCAGAAGGTTTTGTGTGCAGGGCAGCTGCAGCAAAACACAATCATAGGTGCCCATCCTCCAAGGCACTCCGTCTTGCGCCGAGTGGCTCTAGCCCCTGCTCAATGCTGGGCAGGAGAGAGCAGGGCTGTCTTTCCTGTGGGACCAGGGTGCATCTGACCTCCCCCGACTCCCCCTGCCCCCTGCTCAGCATCTACTGGCCCCTCCTAAAGCCTTTGCCTGGCTGCTCCTGCAAGAGCATGCACAAAGCACAGCCTCCACTGCCTTGCCTGGGAACACTTTGGCTCCCCCAGCACAGCCAATGCTCAACTCAACAGGACAAAGCTGCAGGCCCAGTCCCAAACCGCCAGGGTGTGAGAATATAGCTCAGGAGTATTGAGCTGAGATCTGTGACTGGAGCTTGAGCAAGAGAGGAGCCTCCACTTTCAGAACACTGAAAAGAGTGCGGCACAGGTTCATGGGACAGTGTGGGAGCTAGGCCTGCCTCCCCCTGTAACACTGGTCTAAAAAGGATGCAGCTTATTTGCCAGCTGCAGCCTCTGCCCAAGGGTGTCCCAAAGCCTAGAGCACCTAACAACCCAAAGATCTAGTGCAGAAGGCTTGGGACAAAACTAGCTGGCTAGGCCAGCTCCAGGGCAGACACTAGGAGACCCAGTCTGGGTAGCACAAGCTGGGTGGTTCCCACAGCCATCTGCTGGGCAAAAAACCCTGGGCCACAGGTGCCACACCAGCTGCACACCCACAGCAACACCACCCTCCCCAGGGATCCTCTACCCTTGACCCAGTGCATCCACAGACACCTGCAGACATAACCCACAGCCTGCTTGGACTCTGCCAAGCACAGAGGATCAGTGGGCCCTTGGGGAGCTGCAGGTCTCCTGGAGTCCTAACCTTCAGTTCAGGCTGCCCCTAAGGGAGGCAGGAGCGCAGCCTGCCAGAGCCCCCCTTGGGGCTAAGGAAACATGGGGGCAATGCCAGTGATTGGAGGAGCTTCCCTAAGGCCTGAGAATGCACTTAGTGAGGGGGTCATCTCTCACTGCCCCCTCCTCAGTCTCCCCCACCCAAGAGTACTGCTGCAAACATGCTAAAATACAGAGGAGGCAGGTGGCTGAGAGCCTATCTGCTGACCCTTACACTTTAGCACCATCTACTGGATTATGGTTTTAATTACACCACCAAACGAAAATGCCTTCAGCGCACATCACCTGTGAAAGCCAATGCAGGTGTCTAGCCACAAATAAAGATCCTGTAGGAAGCCTTGGCCCTCTGAAAGCACCTAGAAACTAAACCTATCAACTATACTCAACATACCGCACAGTCAAACCTTCAATGGAAATAAACATATAAAAACAAAAAGCCACATCCAATGACAGCAATTTCAAAAAGACAAAGGAACATAAGCCCTCTCAGATGAGGATCAGTACAAAACGCTGGCAATTCAAAAAGTCAGAGTGTCTATTTACCTCCAAAAGATCACACTAGCTCCCCAGATTGAAATGGCTGAAATGACAGAGAATTCAGAATCTAGGTGGCAAGGAAGCTCAACAAGCAGCTAACAAACATATGAAAGAATGTGCATCATCACTAATCATCAGAGAATTCCAAATCAAAACCACAATGAGATACTATCTCACAACAGTCAGAATAGCTATTATTAAAAAGTCAAAAAACAACTGATGCTGGCAAGGCTGTGGGGAAAAGGGAATGCTTATATGCTACTGGTGGCAATGTAAATTAGTTCAGTCACTGTGGAGAGCAGTTTGGAGATTTTTCAAAGAAGTAAGAATTGAACTACCATTTGACCTAGCAATCCCATTACTGGATATATACCCAAAGGAAAACAAACCATTCTACCAAAAAGACACATGCATGCGTATCTTCATTGCAGCATTATTCACAATAGTAAAGACATGGAATCAACCCAGGTGGCCATCAACAGTGGACTGGATGAAGAAAATGTGATACATATACACCATGAAATACTATGCAGACATAAAAAAGAATGAAACTGTGTCCTTTGCAGCAACATGGAAGCAGCTGGAGGCCATTATCTTAAGTGAACTAATGCAGAAACAGAAAACCAAATACCACGTTTTCATTTACAAGTGGGAGTGAAACATTAGGTACAAATGGACATAAAGGTAGGAACAATAGACACTGGGGAACACGAGATGAGGTATAGAGAGGAGAACAAGGGCTGAAAAGCTAACTGATGGATACTATGCTCACTTCCTGGGTAATAGTCAATCATACTCTGAACCTCAGCATCACGCTATATACTTTTGGAACAAATCTGCGTATGTACACCCTGAATCTAAAATAAAAGTTGGAAAAAAAACCCCTACTCATTCCAAGAGCAGGCAGAAAAAGACAGAAATGGGAATGAACAGAAGATGGGACAAACAGGAAGCAAACTATTACAATGGTAGAATTAAGCTCAGTTATGTCAATAATATTAAATGTAAATGGCCCATCTAAACAGCCCCATTAAAAGGTAGATATTGTTCAATTAGATAAAGAATTAAGATTCATCTCTATGCTTCCTATAAGAAAAACACTTTAAATATAAAGATGCAAAGAGGTAAAAGTAAAAACACAGAAAATGATATACCATGGTAACACTGAGCAAAAGGAGCTATAGTGGCTAAATCAGTAACAAAGTAGACATCAGAGAAAAGACAATTACCAGGGTTACAGAGAGTCATTTCATAATGATAAGGGGTCAACTAATCAAAAGTTTATAACAATTGTATATATTTATGTACCTAATAATTTCAAAATACATGAAGCAAAAACATATAGGATTAGAAGAAAAAAATTAAAAAATCCAAAGTTATACTGGGGAGATTTCAATACCTTTTTCTCAATAACTGATAAAATAAAAATAGACAGAAAACCAGTGACAACATAGAAGACTGAAACATTATCGGCTGGGCGCGGTGACTCACACCTATAATCCCAGCACTTTGGGAGGCCGAGGCAGGTGGATCACCTGAGCTCAGAAGTTTGAGACCACCCAGGGCAACATGGTGAAACCCCATCTCCACTAAAAATACAAAATAATTAGCCGGGTGTGGTGGCGCATGCCTGTAGTCCCAGATACTGGAGAGGCTGAGGCAGGAGAATTGTTTGAGCCCCTGAGGCAGAGGTTACAGTGAGCCAAGATGACACCACTGCAATCCAGCTTGGGCTACAGAGTGAGACTCCATCTCTCTCTCTCTCTCTCTCTCTCTCTATATATATATATATATATGTATATGGGCCATTTACATTTGATATTATTGACGTAACTGAGCTTAATTCTACCATTCTAATAATTTGCTTCCTGTTACCATATACCATTGAAACACAATGTATCAATGTGTGTGTATATATATATAGTATCAATGTATATATGTGTGTATATATGTATCAATGTGTATATATATACAGTTTATGTATATATAAACTATATATATAAACTTGCTGTAATATTAATACTCTACCCAATAACATATGTTCCTTTAAAATGCACTAATAAGATTTCCAAGATAGACTGTATTCTTGGCCATAAAACAAGTCTTGATTAATTTTAAAAAGATTTAAATCATATATAGCAGACCACTGTGAAATCAAAGTAAAAATCAATAACAGTATCTCTAGAATATCTCCAAATACTTGGATATCAAACAGCACACTTCTAATTAAACCATGAATCAAAGATATCAAAGGGGAAATTAGAAAGTTTTTTTTTTTTTTCCTGAGACAGAGTCTCACTCTGTCACCCAGGCTGGAGTACAGTGGCATGATCTCAGCTCACTGCAACTGCCACTCCCAGGTTCAAGCGATTCTCCTGCCTCAGCCTCCTGAGTAGCTGGGACTACAGGCACCCGCCACCATGCCTGGTTAATTTTTGTATTTTTAGTAGAGACAAGGTTTCACCAGCTTGGCTAGGATGGTCTCAATCTCCTGACCTCGTGATCCACCTGTGTTGGCCTCCTAAAGTGCTGGGATTACAGTGACAATCAAAACACAATGTATCAAAATTTGTGGAGTGCAGACAAAAGGTCTGTATTAGAAAAGAAAGCTCTCAAATCAGTGATTTCAGCTTCCTACCTTAAAATACTAGAAAAAGATAAAAATGGATTAAGGACTTACATGTAAGACCTGAAACTGTAAAACTCCTGGGAAAAAAGTAAAGAAAAAGCTTCATGAAATTAAATCTTGGCAATGATTTAATGGATTTGACACAAAAAGCAGAGGCAACAAAAGCAAAAACAAACAAGTGAGACTATATAAAACCAAAAATCTTCTGCACAGCAAAGGAAATAATCAACAGAGTGAAAAGGCAACCTACAGAACAGGAGAAAATACTTACGAACCATACAACCAATAAGGGGTTAATTTCTAAAATATATAAGGAACTGCTATAACTCAATAGTGAAAACTCAAATAACTCAATTAAGAATGAGCAAAGAACTTGAACAGATATTTTGCCAATGAAGACATAAATGGCCAAGTGTCTGAAAAGGTGTTCAAATTCATCAATCATTAGGGAAATGCAAATGAAAACCACAATGAGATATCATTTCTGTATTAGTCCATTTTCACACTGCTATGCAGAAATACCTAAGACTAGGTAATTTATAAAGAAAAAGAGGTTTAATGGACTCACAGTTCCACATGACTGGGGAGGCCTCACAATCATGGTGGAAGGCGAAGGAGGAGAAAGTCATGTCTTACATGGCAGCAGGCAAGAGAGCGTGTGCAGGGAACTGCCCTTTATAAAACCATCAGATCTCATGAGAATTATTCACTATCACGAGAACAGCAAGGGAAAAACCACCCCCAATGATTCCATTACCTCCCACCAGGTCCCTCCCACAACATGTGGAGTTTATGGGAACTACAATTCAAGATGAGATTTGGGTGAGGACACAGCCAAACCATATCAATCTCATACCTGTTAGGATGATTATTATTAAAAAAAACAAAAGATAAAAGTGAGGTTGTGAAGAAATTGGAACTCTTGTACACTATTGGTGGGAATGTAAAATGGTACAGCCACGATGGAAAACTGTGGAGATTCTTCAAAAACTTAAAAATGGAATTACTATGTGATGCAGCAATTGCACTCCTGGTTATATATTCAAAGGAGTTAAAATTATGATCTCTAAGAGATATCTACACACCCATGTTCACTGCAACACTATTCACAATAACTAAGATACAAAAACAACCCAAATATCCACTGATATATGAATGGAAAAAGAAAATGTAGTATATATATATATATACAATGGGATACTGTTCAGCCTTAAAAAAAAGAAAATTCTACCATTTGTGACAATATGGATGGACATAGAAAACATTATGCTAAATGAATTCAGTCACAGAGAGACAAATACTCCATGATTCCACTTAAATGAGGTATCTAAAATAGTCAAACTTATAGAAGTAGAAAATAGAATAGTGGTTGCTAGGGGATAGGGGAGGGGGAAATGGGGAGTTGCTGAATGGGTGTATAAGGTTACAGTTAGACAAGATGAGTAAATTCTAGAGACCTGTTGTACAACATAGTGCCTACAGTCAACAATATGGTATTATGCACTTAAAATTTTAAGATCTCATGTTAAGTGTTCTTACCACATACACACAAAACAATAAACAAATAAACAAAAAGCAACAAAAGGACACAAGAAAACTTTTGTAGGGATAGTATCACGAGAATATGCATATGTTCAAACTCATTAAATTGTACACATTAAATATATATAGTTTTTAATATATCAATGATATCTCAGCAAAGCTGTTAAAAAATTAAGCTGACATACACAATAAGCACAACAAATTGGAAGAGAATATGAAAGTTAAATAAGCCAAAGGGAAAGATAAAGAAAATAAGCCAAAGGGACAGATAAAGATTAGTAACCATGAAATAGAAAAGAGAAAAAATATAAAGAAATGAATTAAAAATGGTTCTTTGAGATTAATAAAGTCATAGATTCTACAGATATTCAAAGGATATAAGAGAATATTAACAACTTTATGTTAATATATTCAACAACTTAGATGAAATTCCTTGAAATAGATAAATTACCAAAGGGCACTCAAGAATAAATATATCTATTAAAAATTAAACATAGTTAAAAACATACCCACAAAGAAAACCCTAAACATATATGGCTTCACTGTCAAATAGCACTATATATTTAAGGAGTAAATAATGTTGATTATACACAAACTCTTCTAGAAAATTGAAGAGGAGGAGACATTTTCCAACTTACTCTATAAAGCCAGTGTCTCAGTCCATTCAGGCTGCTATCACGAAATAACTTATACTGAGTAATCTATAAACACAAGAAAGTTATTGCTCACACTTTTGGAGTAAGGATAGACCAAGATCAATGTGCCAGCAGATTCAGCATCTGTCAATTCCTCATCGATGGCACCTGCTATGTGTCCTCACAAGGTGGAAGAGGTGAATGAACTCCCTTGTGCCTCTTTTATGAGAGCGCTAATCCCATTTATGAGGTCTCCACCCTAACGAAATAATCATCTCCTAAAGTTCCCACCTCTTAATACTATTGCATTGGTGGTTAGGTTTCAATGCAGTGAATTTTGGGGGAAACACAAACATTCAGACCACAGCAGCCAGCATTACTCTGAAACCTTTTTTGGTTTCAGAGCAGATATTACAGGAAAATAGATATTACAGGAAAATAAAACTGCAGATGATAATCCCCACCATGCACACAGACACAAGAATTATCCAGTTAATAAAAATGTAGCTAAATGAATCACACAATATATAAAACAGTTCATACATGATGACTAAATGGGGTTTATCCCAGAAATACAAGGTTGCTTTAATTTTGAAAATCAATTAATATAATGTGCCATATTAACAGAATAAAGATGAAAAATTCTATGACCATGTCCGCAGATGCAGAAAAAGCATTTTACAAAATCCAATATTAATTCCTGATTAAAAACTCTCTGGAAACTATGAATTGAAGAAACTTCCTCAACCTGATAAAGTATACTGACCAAAAACCTGCAACTAACATCGTATTTAGTGAAAAAATGCTCTTCTTCCCACGCCACAGGAGGACTTCCCAGCGCTCGGCGGCCCCCGCCCACCCCGGATGCCGCGCCCCCAGGCTTCAGCGCTGTGGTGCTCCTGAAGGGCACGCCTCCCCCTCCCCCACCAGGCCTGGTGCCCCCAATCAGCAAGCCGCCCCCCGGCTTCGCTGGCCTTCTGCCTAGCCCCCAACCCCGCCGCCGCCACCACCACCACCACCACCACCACCACCACCACCACCACCACCACCACCACAAAAGCACCCAGGCCGCCGCCTGCCCCACGGGCCTACCTAGTCCCCGAGAACTTCTGGGAGAGGAAACTTCAGCTCATCCAGTCCATCAGGGACTTCCTGCAGAGCGACGAGGCCCGCTTCAGCGAGTTCAAGAGCCACTCAGGGGAGTTCAGACAGGGCCTGATCTCCGCAGCCCAGTATTACAAGAGTTGCCGGGGTCTGCTGGGGGAGAATTTCCAGAAGGTCTTTAATGAGCTGCTGGTCCTGCTGCCCGACACGGCCAAGCAGCAGGAGATCCTGTCTGCACACACGGACTTCGGCAACCGCGAGAAGACTCTCAGCACCAAGTCCAAGAACAACAAGAAGAGTGCGTGGCAGGCCACCACCCAGCAGGCGGGCCTGGACTGCCGTGTGTGCCCCACCTGCCAGCAGGTGCTCACGCATGGCGACGCCAGCAGCCACCAGGCGCTGCATGCTGCCCGGGACGACGACTTCCCCTCCCTGCAAGCCATCTCCAGGATCATCACGTAGCTCCTGCCAGCGTGGCCAGAGCTATTGCACCATGAGCGTCCTTCCTCCTTCCTCTCCGGGCTGCCAGGCAGCCAGGTCAGGCCCGGTGAGGCCACCTGGCCTCTTGGTTGGCCAGGCCCACCAGGAAGTCACCAGGACGGTCCACCTGCCCTGTTGGCACACTCAGGCGGGAGTCCACCCCTGCCTCAGTGGTGGGCCAGTCTCGGTTTGCATTCTTGTGCTTTTGGGAGGCGCCAGGGGAGGGAAGGGCTGGGATGCTGGGACCTGTTGTTGCTGGCAAAGCCAAAGGTCACAGTGGCCTGATCTGGGCCCTCCCGAAGCTGAGGGCTGCAGCCCCTGCGGCCTCAGAGCTGAAAGCTGCGGCGCCACTGGTGCCAGAGTCAAGATGTCACATATGTGTGTTGTGTAAACAGTTGGCTGTTTCGTGCTTCAAGAATGTTCAGGATTAAAAGCAGACAAGAAATTGTGCTACTTGAAGTTGAATCTTTTTATGAGACAAGCTGAATCTGGGATCTCGAATTGCCTCTGACCTTTTATAAGACATTTTATCTTCAAATAAATTTATTTTGCAATACCACACACACACACACACACACACACACACACACACACACACACACACGCTCTTCTTCTAATATCAGGACACAGCAAAAATGACCACCCTTTCATTCTTATTCAACAATGTATTAGAGATCCTAGCCATTCTAGCCAATAAAAATAAGATATAGAAAGTGATCTTATTTAAATGGAAGAAGTAAAATTCTTTAATTTGAAGATTACATGTTTTATTTTTATGCAGAAAATTCTATAGATTCAACAACAAACTACCAAAACTAATAACTGAGTTTAGGAAGATCACAAGACATAAGGTCACAAAAATCAATTGCATTTGTATTCATTAGCCAAAAAACTGAATTTAAAAATGTTTAAGTACAATTTATAAGGTACCAATAACATATAAAATATTAAGATGTAAAGCCAATTAAGTATATGCAGGAGATATACGTTGAAACTACAAAATAGTGATAAAAGGAACTAAAGAAGACCTAAATAAATGGAGAGACACATGTTCATGGTCAAAGACTCAATATTTTTAAGATATCAATTCTCCCCAAATTGATCTACAGATTCAAAACAATCTCAGTAAATCTTTTAGAAGGATTTTTTGTATGTATTGACAAGATTGACAAGATGATTCTAAAATTTATATAGGAAAGCAGGTAACCTAGAATAATCAAAACAACTTGAAAAACCCAGTGTTTAGCCGCCCTGCCATATCCATTCTTTTGCCAAATTATTTTCTTTTTTTTCTGTTTTTGAGACAGAGTCTCGCTTTGTCACCCAAGCTGGATGTGCAGTGGCGCAATCTTGGCTCACTGCAACCTCCGCCTCCCAGGTTCAAGCTATTCTCCTGCCTCAGCCTCCCAAGTAGCTGGGACTACAGGCACGTGCCACCACACCCAGCTAATTTTTGTATATTTTTAGTAGAGACAGGGTTTCACCATATTGGCCAGGCTTGTCTTGAACTCTTGACCTCAAGTGATCCACCTGCCTCAGCCTCCCAAAGAGCTGAGATTACAGGTGTGAGCCACCGCACCCAGCCCCAAATTATTTTCAATGCCACTTTGGTCATATATAAAATTTCCTTATGATTGTGATTCTGTTCCTTAGCCTGTATTCTCTTCTCTTATACAACCACTATCTTTGCTCTATTATCACCTATCAAATTTATTATAAACTTAAAACATGCCCTCTCTGTGCTAATTTTTGCCTTGTTCTCCTTCAAAATTGTCTTGGCTATGTTTGGCCCTCTTATCTTTCATATAAAATTTAAGATATTTTTGGAATTTCCATAAAAATCTGTCATTATTTTGACAGAAATTGTATTGCATATATGATCATATTTGAAAACCAAAATCTTTATGTTACTGTCTTCCCATCCATGATCATCTATCATAACTTTATTCAGTTTTTCTTTTAATACCTCTGACTAAAGTGTTATATATTTTGAACAGTCTAAATTTATCATGCCATGTATATAATAGATTGATCATGTGTTTGTTATTCTAAGTATCTTTTTAAAAATCTACTTAATGTAACTTTTTGCTGGTATTTAAAAATGCAACTGATTATTCCTGGTATGTTTTCCTCTGACTACTTTTAAGATCCTCGTTGTCTTTAGTCCTCCCCATCTTATTATGTTTTTTTTTTGAGACTGAGTCTTGCTTTGTCACCCAGGCTGGGGTGCGGTGGCGTGATTTTGGGTCACTGCAACCTCTGCCTCCCAGGTTCAAGTGATTCTTGTGCCTCAGCCTCCTGAGTAGCTGGGATTACAGGTGTGTACCACCATGCCTGGCTAATTTTTGTATTTTTAGTAGAGATGGGGTTTCACCATGTTGGCCAGGCTGGTCTCGAGCTCCTAATCTCAAGTAATCAGCCTGCCTTGGCCTCCCAAAGTGTGAGATTATGGGCATGAGCCACCATGCCCGGCCTAAGATGTGTGCTTTTTATTTCACGTTTTTAATATGTTTTTGTGCCCTATGTTCTTAATACACTCTGAAGCACTGTCAGTCTTCATCTCACACCTAGAGTTGCTGTTTTCCCAGGCTCCTCATTTTTTCCCTCAAAGCTACTCCTTTTCCTTTGCTATCTATCATTTATACAATGTCCAGAGTGAGATTTTTAAAATGCAATTCAGATAATATCATGCCCCTGCTTAAAAGCCTGGGAATGATTTCCTTTGCATTTAGGGTTCTTAAAAAAATCTTTATAGTAGCTGACGAGGCCCAGCCAATGTCCACACCCTTTCTTTGGCATCCTCCTTTGTTTTGTGATTTAGTCCCACTGACCTCCTTCAAATTCTTTCCAAAAAATTCCTGTCAGGCCATTCACTCTCTGGTCTGTTTGGGCCACTGCTCCTCACTCACCGTACCTGCCTCATTTGTCTTTATTCTTCATGTTGGAGCTAAAGTATAACTTTCTTAGGTGACTTTCTCCATGGAACCTACTATTATAACTCACTGTCCTTGTTAAACTCCACATAACACCCTGTTTTTCCTTTATAGAACCTACTGCATATTGTGATTATATGTATATTTGTGATTACTAATTTGTTTCTTTCTCCTTCCTTACCACAAATCTTAAGACAAAAATTAGCCTTTTAAGGCCAGGCATAATGGTTCATGCCCGTAATCCCAGCACTTTGGGAGGCTGAGGCGTGCCGATTATGAGGCCAGGAGATCGAGACCATCCTGGCTAACGCGGTGAAACCCCGTCTCTACTAAAAATACAAAAACATTGGCCGGGTGTGGTGGCAGGCACCTGTAGTCCCAGCTACTCAGGAGGCCGAGGCAGGAAAATGGCGTGAACCCAGGAGGCAGAGCTTCCAGTGAGTCGAGACCGTGCCACTGCACTCCAACCTGGGCGACAGAGCGAGAGTCCGTCTAAAAAAAATTAAATTAAATTAAAATTTTTTAAAAATGAAGAAACAACCAGAGAATGGAAGCAAGTATTTGCAAACTATGCATCAGACAACGGATTCATCCACAAAATATATAAAGAATTCAAACTACTCAAAAGAAAAAATACAAACGATCTTATTAAAAAAATCTACCCAAAACCTTTGTCCCCCACCATTATTTCCCTACACCTTCTTTTCCCGACCACCTTTGACCCCCTCCCTCTGGCCACCCTTTTTCTTCCTCCATCTGCCCCCAAACTTCTTCACCATTTTTCTCCACCATCATTTCACAAAGCCTTCTCTACTCTCCTGCTCAACACCCTTTTCCCCATCCACCGACCCAAACCCTTTCCCCACTGTTTCTTCCCACCGTCTTTTCCTCTTATCCCTGGCCACCCTCTTTTTACCCCTCCCGCATCACACTCTTTTGCTCCTTCATCTAAGCAAAAACATTTTCCCCCGCCTTTTCCCAAAACCTTCTCCCCACTCCTGCTGCTCACCACCGTCTTTTCCCCCTTCATCCACCCAAAAACTGTGTTCTTCATCGTCTTTCCCCCCGTTCCTCCTTGCCATTTCTCTTTCCCTTCTCCATCTACCCAAAAACATTTCCCCCATCTTTTCACAAAGCCTTCTCCCCACTGCTGCTCATCTTCCTCTTTCCCCCCTCCATCCACCCCCCAAAACTTTCCCCACCATCTTTTCAAAGTCTCCCCCCTTTACCACTCGTGCTCTTCTTTCCCCAATCCTGCTTGCCATCCTCTTTTTTGTCCTGTATCTACCCCAAACTATTTTCCCGTCGTTTTCCCAACCCTCTAATCCCTGCTCCCTCTCCCCACCCTCTTTCCTCCTCCTCGTCACTCTCTCCCCCCTCCATCTATCGAAACACTTTTTACCCACCGGCTTTCTGCAAAACCTTCCCTCCCTCCCGCTCCCCACCCTGTTTTTCCGCCTCCATGTACCCAAAAACTTTTTTCCCCACCATCTTTTCGCCGCCATCTTTTTGCAACCCCTTCTCCTGCTAAGCTATCCTTTTTTTCCCTTTGGCATTAACTACCCTCTTTACCCCCCTACAACTATCCCAAAACTGTTTTCCTTCTTCTACCTCTCCAGCCGCGCCATCTCCATCGCTGCCAACAACCGCAGCGACGCAAGCCACGCTCCCGCGTCTCCAGCCTCCAGCATATGGCCAGTGACTCCCGATTCCTAGTCCTCTACGCCGGGATGCGACCACCTCGACACGTCAGTACGGGAACCTGAAAAGACCAGATTTCTTTTCAGCATCATTTATATACTGCCGTTATGCCCACGGAGGATCCTGGACTGCATGTATTGATTGGATGAGAAAAAAACCTCCAGGCTTACTCTGATTGGACTTCATGATCATGTTCTGATTGGATGAGAGCAAGTCTTAACAACCAACCACAGCATGAAAATAAAGTCCAATCAAAGTAGGCCTAGAGGTTTTTTCTCTCATCCAATCAGAACGTGTAGTCCAGGAACCGCTTTTGCATAACTTCAGTAGATAAAGCATGCTGAGGTCATGTCAGGTCATTTCAAGCTCTTCTGTGTCGAGCTAAGGAGCTGCTCTGTGCCCGGCTTACAGAACTGGAAGGGGTAGCCACCTTCCGCCTGATGGAGGCTGGAGAACGGATGGAACCTGGATCCCTGGAGCCTGGGACACTACCTCGCTGCGGTTGGTGGTGGCCACAGACCAGTAGGAGGGCGGCTGGCAGCGGGAGCTTCTTCTGCCGGGCTGGAGGATTAGGAGAAGGAAGAGGGAACGCCACATGCTGGAGGCTGGAGCCTGTGCCACCGTGGCTCACCTCGCTGTGGTTGGTGGCAGCTCGCCTTGCTGTGGTTGGTGGTGACGTCGGAGACTGCAGCTCGGCCACAGTGGTAGAAATGTGTTGGGGTAGGTGAGTGTTCCGGGGCTGCCCTGTACGTCTCTGGGGGTAAGGGTTGGGTGTCCTATTGGGGCTCACTGCTAGAGGCTACACTGCCTGTGGTAGTGGTCTGGTTGGGGGCACTCTCCGGGGTTGCATTGCTGGTGGTGGGGCAGGTTGACTGGCTATCTGGGGCTATGCTGCCCGCGGTGGCAGGAGTGGTGGCGGGAGGCAGGTTGTGTACACTAACGTGTACTGCTGGTGGCTGGGGAAGGGTTAGGGGCGCTATCTTCTGCTGCACTTCCCGCAGCAGGGGGTGGGTTGGGTGGAGTTACCCAGGGCTACAATGCTGGCAGTGGGGGGTGGTTTAGGGGCGTTGTTGGGTGCTGTACTGCCTGTGACTGGGGGGTGCGCCATCAGGAGCTGAACTGCTGTGGTGGAGTGGGGGGAGGCGGGTTTGGGACGCTATCCAGTGCAGCAACACCTGTGGCTGGGTCAGATTGTGGGCACTATCGGATGGTACACTCCCTGCGGTGTGGGGGGAGTGCTTTGGGGGGGAGTATTGGGGTTACATTGCCTGAAACTGTAGGGTGTGTTGGATGTGCTATCTGGGGGCTACACTGCTAGTAGCAGGGGGCAGATTAGGGGTGCTACGGGGGCTACACTGCCAGCGGTGTTGGCGAGCTGAGGAGGTGGCAAAGGCAGCGACAGCAATGGCCTCCTTCTGCCTTCTGGTGGCTTCCAAGTAAGGGATCGTTCTCCTCTTGGCAGACTCCAGACTCTAGAAGGAGATCTTCTCCTGCTTGAGCTAGATTGCACCGCAGGGCCCCCACACCCACTGTGGTTTCCTGTCTCGCCCTCATGCTCTGTGTTGCAGAGACCACCTGGGACTACTGGGCAGGGAGTAGGCACCACGGGGGAAGTGGGGGACAGGGCACTGTGGGTGGAGGCGTCAGGAATGGGAACCAGCCCTTGGGTGGGGAGGGCTGGCTGGGTCTGAGTTTCTCCTACTCAGGCTCCCCGAGGAAGGCAGCCCTGGCGGGCCCAGTAATTCCTGGCCGGGTGGACCTGGCCAGGGGCTGGTTTCAGTGAAGGCACTCACTCCCACCCCAGGCCCCAGTTCCTGGCCAGCTCTTGACAGAAGGAGAGGCTGGACTTTGGAAGGTGGGTGTGAGTGCCTTCAATGAAACTGATCCCTGCTACCCAGTCACCAGTGTGACAAGGTGAGGCTCTAACGGTTCCACTCCCTGAATCCTGTTTTGGGCTTTTCGGGCTTGCCTGCCCAGCTGCTCCAAGCCAGGCTGAAGGAGGAGAAGGAGGAGTTGCCTGTGGTATGGTTTAGCCTGCAGATGACGTGGTTCTGCAGCTTGCCTCATGTGGTTGGTGGTGGCGATGGAGACTGCAGCTCGATCAGAGCGGTAGGAGGACACCCACGGGGGCCAGGTGGTAGGAGCCTGGTAGGGTGGGCTGGTACATTGAGGGCGACGGTGGTTGTATTGGCATCGGCGCTAGTGGTGGTAGCAGTAGGAAGTCTGGGGGCCGGGAAGGGGGAGTAGGAGCACTGCAGGACCCATCCCGTTCTGGGGTGGGGAGGAACCTGTGGGTGCTGTAACGAAGGCCTCGGTGGCAGTGGTGGTGGTACACCTAGGGTCTTACTCTACTTGATTGTAGTTTGTCTGTGGTTCACATCACTTTTTTTTTTTTTTTTTTGAGACAGTCTCGCTCTGTTGCCTAGGCTAGAGTACAGTGGCACGATCTCGGCTCACTGCAACCTCCGCCTCCTGGGTTCAAGTGATTCTCCTGCCTCAGCCTCTTGAGTAGCTGGGACTACAGGTGCCCACCACCACACCTGGCTAATTTTTGTATTTTTATTAGAGATGGGATTTCACCATATTTGCCAGGCTGGTCTCAATCTCCTGACCTTGTTATCCCCCCGCCTCAGCCTCCCAAAGTGCTGGGATTACAGGGGTGAGCCTCCATGCCCAGCCTATACCACTTCTAAAGTTTCTTTGCATCATCTTAACTCTTTCCACCCATAATCACAAGTGAATGACAACCAAACACTTAATGACATGTAGATATTTATTATTTAATAGAATCCAAAATAAGTGCATTTTATGAATTAAATAAACAAAACACTGAAAGGTTCATTTCCATTTTTCTGTTAAAAGCTTTGTGCTTGGCCAGGTGTGGTGGCTCATGCTTGTAATCCCAGCATTTTGGGAGGCCAAGGCAGGCAGATCACCTGAGGTCAGGAGTTTGAGACCAGCCTGGCCCACATGATGAAACCCTGTCTCTACTAAAACTACAGAAATTAGCCAGGAGTGGTGGCAGGCACATGTAATCCCACACACAGCAACCCCATTACTATACTAGGGGTATACCTCAAGGAAAATAACTCATTGTAACAAAAAGATGCATGCACATGTATGTTCATTGCAGCACTATTCATAATAGCAAAGACATGGAGTCAATCCCGGTGCACCAAAGATAGATTGAAAATCCAAGGTAGATTGGAAAATTCCATATATATACCATGGAATACTGTGCAGCCATGAAAAGAACAAAATCATTTCCTTCGCAGCAACATGGATACAACTGGAATCCACTATCCTAAGCAAACTAACGCAGAAAGAGAAACCAAGTGTCTCGTTTTCACTCATATGTGGGAGCTACACATTAGGTGCACATTGGCATAAACATAGGAACAATAGACACTGGGAAATAAGAACGGGGAGGGACAGAGTGGGCCAGGGTTGAAAAACTACTTCTTGGGTCCTATGCTCACTACCTGTGTGATGGGTTCAATTGTACTCCAAACCTCAGCATCCCTCGATATACCTTTGGAAGAAACTTACACAGGTACCACTTTAATTTAGAATACAAACTAGAAAAAAAAAAAGAAAAATTTACTATAAGAAATTTTCTGTAAGTAAATATAAATTTCTTTTTAAGAAAAAAATTACTGAAGTAAAAAAATGGATTAAACTTTTACAAAGGACAGAGTTTTGCTAAGAATTTCAAAGCAATGCATTCATTGCAAAATATGACTTTAATTGTTTAACTTTTCTTCTTTTTTTGGAGATGGAGTCTCGCTCTGTCACTAGGCTGGAGTGCAGTGGCACGAGCTCAGCTCACTGCAACCTCCGCCTCCTGGGTTCAAGCAATTTTCCTGCCTCAGCCTCCCGAGTGGCTGGGACTACAGACATGCACCACCACACCCAGCTAATTTTTGTATTTTTAGTAGAGTCGAGGTTTCACCATGTTGGCCAGGATGGTCTTGATCTCTTGACCTCATGATCTGCCCGCTTTGGCCTCCCAAAGTGCTAGGATTACAGGCATGAGCCACCGTGCCCGGCCATTATTTAACCTTTGTACTAATAAAACACCACCTTTCTAAAATTATGTATATCCAATAGACCAATATTATCTATTTTTGTCAGATTACTCTAAACAGCATTGCACAGATACATCCTCTATTATCTAAACTTAAAATAAGCAGGAATTTTACTTTATTTATGTGATTACTTTTCTTTTTAAGCAAACTTCATGTTACGTCTAGTCCCTAAAAATACTAAAGGCCACATTTTGTAAGTGATATATTATTCTCATGATAATGTCTCTTGTTTAACTTAAACATTATTATTTTTTTAACGTATTTTAGATGGAGCCGGACTGTGTAGAACAAATAATTACAGAAACAAAGAAAAGTATGTTTCCAAAATTTATTAATTAAATTTAGGTTTATTTTAGTAATAAAGTGTAAATAGCAAATGGCATTCCTTTTCATTATTGGGTTAGTAGATACTACGTTCAGTATCTTTTCCTTACACACATCTAGTGAAAGATGTGAAAACAAAAACTTTCACAGTGAAGAGTATACTCATGTACCATTAATTCATCATGTCCGATAGCTTAAAAAATTCCCAAGAAGTGTATCCATCTCTTTTTTACTGGCTCTACAATTTCTTCACTTTTGCCATCCTCATGGAACTGTCAGCCAGCACGTTGAAAGGATTCTCTGAAAACAAAGTCATCATCAAGTTCTCTGGGTTTTGGTAGAGATTGAAGACCAACAGACCTCAGACTCATTTAGAAGTACTTAGTTGAGGAAAAACCCTTCATAAGCAGTCGCTTGACAGGTGACATTTTAAATCTCCTGTCATTTACTGTGCCATTGGCTTACATCTGTTCTCAGGAAAAGTTCCAAAATTTTCACCATGAAATAAAAACACCTGTGTCAATGTAATTGTTGTCAGGTTACTCAGCCTTATCTCTCGCCGCTTACCGCACTCTGCCCTTTGCTCTAGCACCAAAGTGGGCGGAGTAGAACTCTGTAGGGCTCTTCCTCACCTCAGGCTCTTTGCCTTCGCCTCGTCTCTCTATCTGGCAAGCTTTTCCTTGTCCTTCAGGTATCAACCTATTTATCTGCTCCACAAAGCCCATGATATTGACACAAAAGTGGGGTAGATGTCCCTTCTGTGTTTTCCAGTAGTGCCCTGCTTTATACCTGTCATAGTGTCTATGACTCTATACGGACATTGCCTGCCTGTCTGTTGTTTTAGGTTATAGCATATGACTGTTGAGAGGTGGACCATGCCATCTTCATATTGTAATTCCAGTACTGATTCTAGTGCCTTAGCACGTGGGTGTTGAGTACATGAATAAAGAATGGAAAAGCTGTGATATTTAACCACAATTAGAATTAATGCCATGCGTTAATTATTTAATAGTAATTTTGTATTGTAATCGTACGTACATATTTCTCATTCTTTTTAACTCTGATAACGTTCTCAACTCTTTAGATTTTAAACTCACAGTTAACTGAAATGTTTTGGGTAAAGAACATAATCCTTTCTTTTTCTTTCCAGCTTTTGCTGTGTTGGGCACTTGCTCCCATCTGCTTTCTTCTCTAGAATCCACTGGTAAGCCACATCTAATAAAGAGAATATTTAACCATAAAATCTTAAGGAAAAGTTGTGTGATTTAAAAGATCATAAAACTTTATTACTGGGCTATTGACATGAAATTTTAATTGCTTCTCATAAAATATATAACATCACAATCTTTACTAAAGTAGAATATTTTCATATCATATGTATGATGAACATTTATTATGGTATTTTAAATGATGTTTTTTAGCCCCCTTAAGTTTTAAGTGGATCTTGCAAATGAACACCAGTATTATGGAGTTTGACATACTCAAATTGCCCAAATGTCAGCTGTTTAAAAAGCCAAACAACCAAGTCATCCTTGATACTTTAGTAAAGGTCATCGAAGCCTTCTTTGCATTTTACAGGTTTTATTACTATATATAGTAGGAGACTTAAAGAGTACCTGCCAGGTTTGTCCATACTAATGTTATGAATTTCTTTTTGTAGTTCAACCGTATTTTGTGTGGAGATACTTTGAGGCTCTGTAAATATCTGGTTACTCCTAAAAACCCACTAGATTCGGTATTTCATTGATGTCTTGTCTTTGAACAAGTATTACTGTGATGGTTGCCAGATGATTATTTTCGTATTCTCTTGTTTGTTCTACATGGAGAAATAAAACCAATAAATAAAGGAGAAGGGAAAGCTCATGATTCTGGTGCTCCAATTCCCCAAGATGAGGCCAGTGGTAGACATTTCTTTATGTCTGACTTTATGTCTTTTTGATTTGTCTCTGTTACTCTTGTCAGCACTTTTTTACTTTCTGGCACAAGATGTTCCAAACTAATCTTGTATTTTCTCTGTTCCAGCCCTAGAATGAGTAATTTTTCTTAGAAGCAGAGTTGGAACCACTGAGGAAGCACAGGTGAGCCCTCCCCAGCACACACTCGCTAGTCCCCAACAGAAGAACTGTTGCTGCATCCATTGAGGTACCAAGAAACTAGCAAAGGGCCTTCTGGCTGTCTGGGGACAGTCCTCATGTGGTCCCTGGCTCAGCCTCAAGGGTTCTGGATTAATTTGTCTGCAGCCTCTGTGCTGTGTCTCTAGATCGGGGCTCTGTGGGAAGGGCAGTGGGAGACCCAGCAGCACAGGGTGTCTCGTCTGCCAAATGTCCCTCCCTTCTCCCACTCTGACACTCAGGAATAGGGTAGATGGCATGTCCAGGCAGTGCCAGGCCACCTCATTGTCTCCTTTGAGATGGGCCCAGAGGGCCTTGGGGGGCGAGTGTGAAGCTGGGTACCTGGAGCCTGAGGCTGACTGTCCTTCCTGTGTCTTGGAGGAGAGGCCTTGGGGCCCAAGAAACCCCCCCGGGCCTGATCTCTGGGCACACATGCAGGGAGGGAGGGTCTGTGGGCTGACTGGGGCATTGTAATGAGACGTTGAGCACCACTGCACAGGGGCCTCGTCAGTGGATCATGGTTAGAGATGACCTAGCCATCAGGACCTGGTCAGTTGGGACCAGATCAGCAGGGACCTGGCTAGAGGGTGGCCTCCTCAGTGAAGGCCTCACCAATGGGGACCTGGTGACCTAGTCATTGGAAGCCTAGTCAGTGGGGACCTGGTCAGTGGTGGCCTTATTAGTGGGGTCTGATCGGTTGGAACACAAACAATAAAAAACTGGCCGGTGGGGTCTATTCAGTATATTAGGGGTCTGGTCAGTGTGGGGCCTTAGTGGCTTGGAGCCTGGTCAGTGAGGGCCTGGTCAGAGGGGGCTCGGTCAGCTGGGGACTGATCCATGGAGAATTGTTCAGTGGGGGTGAGGTGAGGGGCAACCTGGTAAATTGTGGTCTTATCAGTGGGAACCCAGTCAGTGGGGTCTGGTCCGTGAGGCCTATTAATAGGGGCCTCTTCCTGGTTATGGAGACATGGCCAGTGGGGACTTGGCCAGTGGGACCTGGTCAATGGAGGAGTGGTCATTAGGGGCCTTGTCAGTGGGGATCTGGTTTGGGGGGCGCCTGGTCAGTAGGAACCTGGCCAGTTGGCCGCTGTGTGACCTTAGGCAGGGGGTTTGTGGAGCCTCCTTGCTTCCATGTGTAGGAAGGTGAGTCAGGGCACCCTGGAGCGTTGCTGGAAAGAGAATGTGAGAAGATGTGTTGAATTCAGCACTGCTTGGCAGACCTCCAACTTTACACACAACCTGGGTTCCACCTAGAGAGGGTACCAGCCCGCTCTACTCTGCTCGGCGCCCCTCCTCTGTCTGCATCCCCAGGACCACACTCGGTGGGGAGGGCAGAGATTGGGGAGCACCTGTGGATTCTCTAATCCTGGCCCTGGGCCCTGGTGGTGATAGTGATGAGGACCTGGGTGCACCTGTGAGTGGAGCAGCTAGGCCAGGCCAGAGAAGCAAGACAAATACACCCATATGCACATAGACACATACATGCATAAACACATTGCATGCACACATGTGAGTTCAGGGGATAGAGGACACTGATTCTGGGCCCTCTTGACCCAAGCAGGCTCCCGTTGTGGTGTGTTGTGTCACCCCACGATGTCACTGTTGCTGAGCCCCCATTGCCTATGTGTTGTGGAGCAGTTAGAGACACACAGCAGTGTCTGTGAGTGGCTCTGCATGAAGGGCCATTTTCTAGGTGAGAGGCACACCTCAGCACATCTCACTGATCAGACTTACGTGAGTGGAACCTGCTCTCTTCTCTTCTTCCTGGCTTAGGGACAGTCGCTATCAGGTGGATGGTTTTGGCCTCTGGGCAGCTACTGAGGGTAAACCCTGAGCACTCACCAGGTGCCTGTTCTGTGTTGACAGTCATCTGATTCATCCTGGTAGCAATTCCATTCTGCATCTCCTCTGGACACCCACAGGACCACCAGAACAACACCATCATGGCCCTGTCACCAGGCCCAGTTTGGCTCCATGATAACCAAGACGCAGGTCCAGAGACAACCGCCCTGCTTGATGCCTGCATCTGACCTCCCTTGGTGGGTAGTGATGAGCACAACATGGAAGAAGCCAGGGCAGCTTGTGGCCAGCTGCCCTACAGCCCCAGATGGCTGGGGACAAGGATTCCAAAAGGATGATTTTAGAGCTGTAGGATTGAATGACTGGCCTGCTGGGTTTTGGATGTTCATGTATCCTATGAGTCCCATCGGTGTTTGTTTTTCTTTCAGGCAATTTTTCTTCTATTGGCTGGGAATGCTTACCCATTGCCTGTACAATCATTGTACCTTGGAAGTAGTTAACTTGCTTTATAATTCAGAGGCTCATGGGCAGAAGGGACTGTATCCTTGTCCCAGATAAAACTTTGGGCTTTGGACATTTGCTGGAATGAGTTAAGATTTGGGGGACTGTAGGGAAGTCATCATTGTATTTTGCAACGTGAGAAAGACATATGAGATTTGCATGGGCAGGGACAGAATAATATGACTTGGCTCTGTGTCCCACTGCTGTGAAATTGTAACGGGAAATGTTAAAGGTGGTGGGGGCTGGTGGAAGGTGATTTAATCATGGTGGAGAGTGGAGGTTGGAAGGTGGGGGTGGTGGGGAGAATTGGGGGGAATTATGGTGGGGTTGGGGGTGAAAGGCAGGGGTGGGGGTAGATCCTTCACAAGTAATTAAACACCATCTCCTTAATGCTGTCCTTCTGATAGTTCTCGTCATAATTTCGTAGCTGTGAGATTGAATACTGGTCTGCTGGGTTTTGGATGTGCATTGGGCCTGTGGTCCCATTTGTGTTATTTTTCTGGGAAATTTCTTCCCTTTGGATTAAGAAAGCTTACCCAATGCCTGTACCATCATTGTACCTTGAAAGAAAAGAACTCCATTTTAACTTCAGGGACTCATAGGTAGAAGATACTGTAGCCTTGTCTCGGATGAGACTTTGAACTTCTTATAGTTGAGTTGATGCTGGAATGAGTTAAGGCTTTTGGAAACTTTTGAAAAGGCATGATTGTGTTTTACCCTGTGAGAAGGACATGAGATTCGGAAGGGTCAAGGTCTGAATAATATGGTTTGGCTGTGTTTTGCTAGAAAAACTCATGTGGAATTGTAATCCCGAATTTTGGTTGTGAAGCCTGGTGGGAGGTGATTTAATCATGGATGGGAGGTGGGTGGAGGTGTAAGGAGAAAGGGGTGGGGAGGAGTACGCTGGCTGTAGGGTGGTGGGAGGGTGGTGGGTAGTAGGAAGGGGGAGTAGCCTGCTGCACAGGTAGAGGCTCATGGAAAACCTCTACTAGGGCAGTGCACCTGTGGCTTTGCTGCTCTCATGGCTGGGCTGGTGTTGAGTGCCTGTAGCTTTTCCATGCAGAGGGTGGGAGCTGTTGGTGGGTCTATGACTGGGGTCTGGAGGATGATGGTATCCTGTGTGGGAGCTCCAAGCCCATATTTTCCTTCCGCACTTCCCTAGGAGAGGTTTTCCCAGAGGCTCTGCCTCTGCATCAGGCTTCTGCCTGGAAACAGTGGGAGTTGGGGGTGGGGGGCGAATCCTTCATCAATGGTTAAGCACCATCTTTTTGATGCTGAGCTTGTGATAGTGAGTTCCCATGAGATCTGGTTGTATAATAGGGTGTGGCACCTCTTTCCTCTCTCTGTCTTGCTCCTACTCCTGCCACATGAATCATCTCATTGCCCCTTGACATTCTGATATGACTGGGTGGCTTCCTGAGTCCTCCCAGATTCAGAAGCCACTATGTTTCCTTACAGCCTGCAGAATCATGAGATTCTTTATGATCATAGAGAAAATTAGTACTGGAAAGTGGATGTATGAAATGTCTTCAAGGCCTTTTCCCTGTTGTCTTGGCAATCAGCACTCAGCTTCTTTTCATTCAAGTATCTGAAGCCTTGAATTTTCCCCCTGAAAATGGACTTGCCTTCCTTTACCACATTGCCAGGCTGTGACAAAGATAGGTGATAAAGTAGAAGCAGGTTCAGAAGGGGGTAGCAGACAGAGGTTGGGAGAGTTTGAAGGGCTTTGAAGACAGGAAAATGAGGAAAAGTTTGGATCTTTGTAGAGAATTGTTAAATACTTGCGATCAGAAGGCTGACAGGAAAATGGTCAGTGAAAGCCAGACTTAAAAGGTCTCAGATAAAAATGAGGAACTTATTGGGAACAGAAGCCAAGGTTACCTTTGTTTTGCTGTAGCAAGGAATGTGGTGGCACGGTGACCCTGCCCTGGAGATCTGTGAAACTTTAAACTTGAGGGTGATGACTTAGTACATATTTGGTGGAATGAACTTCTAGGAAGCAAAGCTCAAGAGGTGTCCTGTCTGCATTGAACAGCCTGTGCTCTGATGTGTGACTGAGGAAATGACCTCTGGATGGGACTTCCATTAAACAAGTCCCAACTCTTACATTAAATAAGAAACAGAACTCAGAAGTTTGGAAAATTTGCAGCCTGGCCAAGTGGTCAAAAAGAAAATCTGATTTTCAGGGAGAAAATTCAGGAAGGCTTCAGAAATTTGCATAAAAAGGAGCCCAGTGCTAATAGCCAAGACAATAGGGAAGAGGCCTTGAAGGCATTTCATAGAACTTTGCAGCAGCCCTTCCTGTCACAGGCCCTGGGGCCTAGGAGAGAAGAATGGTTTCCTGGGCCAGTCCCATGACCCCCCTCTATGTGCAGCCTCAGGGCACTGCTGCCTACATCCCTGCAGCTCCAGCTCCAGCCATGGCTGAAAATGCACAGATGCAGCTTGGGTCACTGCTTCAGAGAGTGCAGGCTAGAAGCCTTGGTAACTTCCTCATATTGGTAAGCCACTGGGTGGACGGATCTTGAGACTAGAGGCTTGGAAGCCTCTCTGTAGACTTTGGAAGATGTATGGAAATGCCTGGGTGACCAGAAAAAAGCATCCCAAAAAGGCAGAGCCTCATAAGAAACCTCTACTAGGGCAGTGCAGAAGGAAAATATGGGGTTGGAGCCCCCACACTGGAGGCCACCATCATGCAGACCCCAGATTCGTAGACCGACCGATAGCTTGTACCATCAGTCGGGAAAAACTACAGGCACTCAACACCCGCCCAGCCCATGAGTGCAGCCGTGGGGCATAAACCCTGCAAAACCAAAGGTGCAGAGCAGCCCAGGGCCTTCAGAGCCCAGCCCTCACGTCCCTGTGCCCTGGATGTGGGACAAGGTTTCAGAAAGGATGATTTCGGAACTGTAGGATTGAATGACTAGCCTTCTGGGTTTGGAGTTTCATGGGGCCTGTAAGTCCTGTGTTTTGTTCTTTCTGGCAGAATTCTTCCTTTCGGCTGAGAATGCTTACGTAACATTGCCTGCACAAGCATTGTACCTTGGAAGTAGTTAACTTGCTTTATTGTTCAGAGGCTCATGCACCTAAGGGACTGTAGCCTTGTGTCAGATGAGACTTTAAGCTTTGGACATTTGTATAAATGCTGGAATGATATAAGATTTGGAGGGGCTGTAGAGAAGGCATCATTGTATTTTGCAATGTGAGAAGGACATGAGATTTGGGAGCCAGGGACAGAATAATAAAGTTAAAGGTGGGGCCTGGTGGAGGGTGATTTAATTATGGTGGAGAGTGGGGGTTGGAAGGTGGGGGTAGGGAGAATGAGGGGATTATGGTGGGGGTGAGGGGTGAAAAGTGGTGGTCGGGGGTGGATCCTTCACAAATGATTAAACACCACCTCCTTATTGCTGTGCTTATGATAGTGAGTTTTCTTCATGATTTTGGAGCTGTGAGATTGAATGGATACTGGCCTCCTGGGTTTTGGACTTGCATTGGGCCTGTGGTCCTATTTGTGTTTTTTTCCTGGGAAATTTCTTCCCTTTCGATTGAGAAAGCTTATCCAGTGCCTTTACCATCATTGTACCCTGAAAGAAAAGAACATCCTTTTAAATTCAGGGACTCATAGGCAAAAGGGACTGTAGACTTGTCTCAGATGAGATGTTGAACTTTTTACTTTTGAGTTAATGCTGGAATGAGTTAAGACATTTGGAAGGAAACTTTTGAAAAGGCATGAATGTATTTTGCTCTGTGAGAAGGACATGAGATTCTGGGGTATCAGGGTCAGAATAATATGGTTTGGCTGTGTTTATTTACAAAACTCATGTGAATTGTACTTCTTAATGTTGGAGGTGGGACCTGGTGGGAGGTGATTTAATCATGGCAAGAGGGGGTTGGGGTTGGAAGGAAAAGGGGTGGGTAGGGTGGAGAGTAGGTTGGCAGTAGGGTGGTGGGAGGGTGGGGGGTAGTAGGAAGAGGGAGTAGTCTGCTGTAGAGGCAGAGGTTTGTGGAAAACCTCTACTAGGACAGTGAACCTGTGGCTTTGCAGGCTTCAGCCCCCATGGCTGCTCCCATGGGCTGGGCTGGTGTGGAGTGCCTGTAGCCTTTCCATACTGAGGGTGCGAGCTGTTGGTGGGCTTATGAATCTGGGGTCTGGAGGATGGTGGCCTCCTGTGTGGGGGCTCCAAGCCCATATTTTCCTTCTGCACTGCCATAGTGGAAGTTTCCCAAGAGGCTCTGCCTCTGCAGGAGGCTTCTGCCTGGCAACAGTGGGTGGTGGTATGGGCGGTGGTTCCTTCACCAATGGTTAATCTTCTTGATGCTGATCTCCTGATAGTGGGTTCTCTTGAGATCTGGTTGTATAACAGGATGTAGCACCTCCTTCCTCTCTCTGTCTTGCTCCTACTCCTGCCATATGAAATATCTCATTGTCGCTTGGTCTTCTGGTATAGTTAGGAGGGCCCTGATCAGTGTGGGCCTCGTCAGTGGACCTAGTCAGTTGGGACTTGGTCAGTGAGGCCTATTTATTGGGGGCGTGGTCAGCAGGGGTCTGCTTAGAGAGGGTCTCATTAGGGGGATCTAGTAGTGGGGTCTTGGTGAGTGGGGACCTAGTGGCAGCCACTTGTTTGGTGTCTGGTCAGTGTAAAACTAGGCTGCAGGACTTTGTCAGTGGAGACCTGGTCAGCTGGGGCTTAGTGGTGGCCTTGTCAGCATGAGCTGGGTCACTGGTGACCAGGTCAAGGGGTGCTATTCAGTGGAGGCCTGGTCACATGGGACCTAGTCAGCAGGGCCTGGTGGCCATGTCCTCATCAGTGAGGCCCTTGTCAGTGGGGCCCTGATCAGGGCAGCCTGGTCAGTGGAACCTAATCAGTGGGGGCCTGTTCAGAGAGAGCGTGGTCAGTGGTGGCTTTTGTAGCACTGGTCTGTGGGTGACCTGGTCAGCAGGGATCTGAGCAGTGGGTGCCCATTCAGTGGGGCCTACTCACTAGGGTCATAGTCAGAAGTATCTGGTCACCTTGGGCCTGCTTAATAGGGGCCTGGTCAGTGGCAGTCTGTTCCCCGGAGGCTTAGTCAGTAGGACCTCATCTGTGGGGCCAGGCAATGGGGTCATGATCGGTGGAACCTGATCAATGAGGCCTTGTCAGTAAGGACCTGGTCAGTGAGGCCCTGGTGTGTAAGGTCGTGGTCAGTCAGTAGGGTCCTGGTCACTGTGGGCCTGGCAGCAGGGCCTGGTTAGTGGGGCATGGTCATGGGGTTCTAATCAGTGAGGGTGTGGTCAGGGAGGACCTGATGTGCGGGATCTGGTCAGCAGGGACCTGGTGCGGGGGCTGCTGAGCACTGCTGGGAGATGCCAGGTGCAATGCACGTTATCACAGGCCCTATGGACAGCTCAGATGGGCCAGTGGTGCCCAAAAGCCCAGTCAAAAGTGGACAAAGCAGGTGTTTGGATGGACCTGGGAGATCTTGCTCAGAGATTTTGACAGGACAAAGGCAAAGGAAGGGCCAGAGTAGCCGGTGAGATGGTCACAGTCTATGGGCTGCACGGGATGGAGGAAGCCAGGGAACAGGCAGGGTGGGCAGCTGGGGTGCAGGGAGAGGCAGGTACATGCTGGGAGGTCAGATCCTGTCAGTGCTGTGGGGGCGTCAGGTGGGGTGGTCTCCAGTTGCACCCTCAGTGCACTGGGCAGGTCTCAGCCCAGGCTCCCTGCACCCTGGTCGAGTGATGGCGGTCGCTCCCTGAGGGACTTCCGTCGGGCCCCAGCCACCCACCCTGGGCAGTGCTGTCCCATCTCAGGACTGGACTTTCTCAAATCCTGCAGAGGGCACAGCCTCCAGCCCAGGAGGGGCAGCCCCATGGTGCAGCCCGAGCTCTCCATGGGCCTGGAGCATCCCCTGCCAGCCCTGCGCTCCCTCTTCTTCCAGGTCCCGCGTTTCCAGTGTCAGCCAGCAGGGAGGCCCCGTCCTCCCTTCCCTATGTGTCTCCTGGGCAGAAATTTGTGGTGGATTGGGACAGGGATGGTGCTTCCCTCAGGCCCATTTAGGGAGGGGACTGACTCCCAGCCTGGCACGGGTCCTCAGCTCTGCCTTGGTTGCCTTAGAGTGAGAAGGATCATTCTTCATGAAGGTAAAGGTAAGAGACTGTCCGTGCTGTGTGGGAGGCTGGTCTAGAGATGGAGGACTTAACAGTTCCTCCCAGTCTGTCAGGCCTGGGCAGCACCGTCCTGTCTCAGGACTCAGAAAGTCCAGTCCTGCGATGGGACGGTGCTGCCCAGGGTGGGTGGCCGGGGCCTGACAGCAGTCCCCCAGGGAGTGACCACATCACCCAGGTGGGGTCCAGAGAGCCTGGCCTGAGACCTGCCCAGTGCACTGAGGGTGTACCTGGAGCCCACTCCACCTGATACCCCCACAGCCCTTGCAGGCTCTGACTTCCTAGCAGGGTCATTCACTCATCTGGGGCAGGGGAGTTCGCCGCCCTCAGCAGCCTCCATGAAGGCCGTCCCCCCAGCCCCCCGCCCCCCACCTACACATGCACAGAGCTGGAAGGTCTATCCCCACCACCACTCCAGAGTGCGAGAAAGGGAGAGGCAGTGGGATGGGGACTCTGTGCTTCACATGTTGGCTGAGCTAAGAGGGCCCATCTCCATCCCAGCCTTTGTCAGGGAGAGAAGGGGCTTCCCAGGGCAGACATTATCTATTCTTCACCAGGATACCCAGGGTCAAGACTTCTCCCACTTCTGAACTCAGGGTCCAGCACTCTCCCACCCAAACTTCCACTATTTTGTGACACATGAAGTTATTTGGCTGTGGCACTTCCTGGAGCCTGCATGGAGATGTTCAGCCCTGTGACATCTCTGCAAACCTTCTCCCTATAGTTGCATAAAGTTTGAGGTGGACAGTAAGTAGTGGAAAGATGGGTTGAACCTTATTTCAGAGTGGGATCTTCATAGGTTTTTCTCATCTTGTTTTTAGAATTTTTTGTTGTTTGTGTAAAGATGGTATTACGGAAACATAAGGTTCAGTGAAGGAACTCAGGATGAAGGTGGGCTTACAGCACCGCTGTCAGCCTCCCTCCATGTCCTGTCGCTTCTAGAAACCAAGCCCACACCAAGCACAGCACAAATAAAAGCCATCACCCTCTTATGAATAAAAAACCGTATATATTGTGGAATATTAAATGTTCTGCGTGTACTAACATGAGAGAAAATACTTTTCCTCTACATAGAGTGAATTTTTTCTTGGTGACTTGTTTTTCTCTAGGGAAGGCTAAAAAGGAATTTGTGACTGACCAAATTAGATACCTCCCTGAAAAAGACAGTGCCTTGGTCAGTGGTGATGGTGGCTGGAGGCACTGGGTGTCTTCGGCCGGTGCTGAGGGGGACTGACTGGGGATACAGCTTTCTTGGGGAGCAAGAGTTGGGGATGTCGCAGGCCCCATTGCTCATTGTTGCACCGGACACTTTTCAAGGGCTGCTGATCTCTGATTTGTCTGTCTCTGTTGGGACGACTCTGGTTCTTGAGAGTGGCTTGTTGACTGCTGGCTGCATAGCTCAGCATTCTGCTGTGGTCTGAGTAGAACGGGTGTCTGTGGTTGCAGGGAAACCCACAGACTGGGGCTTGAAACTGCTGTCTTTGCTGATTTACCTTCGAGGCATGGCGCGCATGGCAAAGTGACATGTTCTCCTCCGGTATCTGTCCAACTGCTGTCATGAGCCTCTCAGCTTCAGCACTGCTGCCGTACACGCATGATCTGTTTTTTACTGTTTTTTGGCTCTCAGCAGTGACTGGTGCTGGCTTCCTTTCTTTCTTTGAAAAAATCGTCTCAAAAAATTGCTTGATGTTTTCTCCAAAGTGGCTTATTGAAGGAGGCTGTTTCTTTGATGGCAGTAGCTGGACGCCTTCATTCTGACGGGTGTCTTCTGTTTTTCTGCCTGGGGTAAGTTGAGGAGTCCTCAATCCTTGAAACATTTCTTCATGTTTTTCTAAGTTGGGCTTCCTAGAGTTCTCCCTCTTGTGAGTAGGGGGAAACATTGGGCTTTGGCTCTTGCATGAGCCTTGACAGTTTGGGTTCCTGGGCTCCTTGTGCCCCATGTTACTCCTTCTGGCTGACATGAGGTCACATAGCTCCTGGGAAGCCTGCATGTTCCCAGTAGGCGTGCTCTGGAGATGGCCCTGGGGCACTTGAGAAGCCAAATTCTCTGAAGCATGGGGCACAACAGATGCTTGCCCATCTGGAAGGAGCACAACAGCGGCAGAAACTTGAGGCTGGGTCTCTGACTTCGTGGCCATTCCAGGCTCAAATTCACTAACAGCCTCCTCCATGAGACACAGCTTTCTTGGGTCTTGGGAGACAGACATTCTAGGGAGTAGAGAGCTTTTGCTGGCGCCTGGAGCCTTGAAACCACGCACATCCTCACTTGTGGCTTGGAGGTTTGCTCTCATACAGGTTCCCAAGGGGACTGTGGGTTGTGGCACTGCCTCCCTGGTCTCTCCAGCCCTTGAAGATTGGGCTCCTAAGCTCCTGCTCTGCTGGGTGCTGCCTTTGAGGCTGTATGTGAGGGGCTTAGATGGCCACCTGCCCTCCTGTCCAGCTGTAGGAGCCTTCAAGGACCCATGATCATTTGAAGATGGGATCCCTCGCGGGGCCCTCTGGAACTGCTTACATGCAGGTGAGGAGGCCTGAAGCCTCTCTGGCATGTGAACAGATGGTTTGGTCAGCACTTGCTTTCTCAGACTTGCCATTGGTGGCTCTCCAAGGAGCGTGGCCACCTCAACTTTTGAGCCAGCCCCAGATTCGCAGGTGTCTGAGGAGGGACCAGCAAGCTGTATAAGGGACAAGGATGAAACCTTTTCCAGTTGAAAGCACTGAATGGGCTTGAGGACCCTGAGGGGTAGACCCCACCTGTGTTTGGCCCAAAACCTCACAATATGGGCTTCCAGCACCTGCTGAGTACACAGCTCAAGGAAGGAAAGCACCTGGGCTGTGTTTACACAGGCTTTCCTACTTTTCGGGGCTGCTAGATTGCTGGTTTTCACGTGGGTGTTGGATACGGGAAAAGCCTGGTTGACAGCAAGCCAGGATCGACGCACACTCACGGGGATCAAGCCCTCGTTGGTCTGGCCCAACTTTCTGCCCATGTGGGCTTTCAGGATGTTTTCTATATGATTCCTCTCTGTGCGTCTTAATAAATCACTTCCTGAGTCACTCCTCAAGGGCTTCCTCAGGTTCCTTTCTGACTCCTCAGAGGTCGCCCCCAGAACCTTCCCTGGGAAGCTTTCCATGCCCCTGGATAGATTTTGTGGGGTCTCACCCAGAATTTGCCCCAGATGTGGGCATGGGTCCCTCTCTAGCTGGAACTTCACCGTCTGTGCCTCCTTGCTGCTTTCACCTGTGGACGTGGAGGACTGCCAGGGCCTGGGTTTGCCCTTGGCCTGACTTGTCCCTGGCAATTCATCCTGAAGCTGCATCAGATCCAGAGACTCTTGGATCCTTCCACGTTGCCCCATGTATTGCTCCAGTTGTCTCCAGAGTTCAGGACTGACTGGAAAGTTCTCAGGCAGAATGGATGTCAGTCTTTCCTGGGGAAGGTTAGGAGTGGAGACACTAAAGACGTCCTGAGATTTTTGGACCCTAGAGGGTAAAGCCAACCCACCTTCTAGTTGTTTCCTCAACAAAGGCCTTTCAGGGTGCTGAGTTTCAGGTAAGGAGAGAGCTTGCACTTTATTCTGCGACGCAGGGCAAGCTACTCCAGTGTTCTTCATCGGGGATAGAAAAGCAGGAGATAGGACTGGGAAAGAGGATTGAAGATGGGCCTGAGCCTCGGCCTGAGCCATAGGTGTGGGCCGGAATTGGGGTGTGGATGAAATAAAGGGTTGGGACTCAGGCCCCAGATGGGACAGGGGCTGGGCCTGGAAAAGCAGTGGGGACATTGTGGTGTCCCTTTGGCGGGAAAGATGATCTTGCTGGACTGACGAGTTGAAGATGCACCAGGTTTTGGTAGTCTCCTGCGACCAGGAGAGGGCAGAAACTTGACTGTTTGAGCCGCCAAGGCCTGAGATGGCTGGGACAGAAGCCGCCAAATCCTCACGTGGAGACAAGCTTTGAGGGACGGTGTCCAGTGGAAGTGCCACTGAGTCACAGTGAGATGGTGTTAACAGAGTGGAGTCCCGCAGGGGAGGAGGAGTGAAGCCTTTCGGAGGAGGTGGAGAGCAGGCCAGAGGATCAGGGGTGTGTGGTGGGTGAGGGAAAAGTGCAGGTGGCTCGGGTGAGGGGCGTTCTAGGAGAAGGGAAGGTTCTGGTGGCTGGGAGGCACTTAGGGAGGAGACTGAGGTGGTCATTGGGCCTGGTGGTGGGGTGGAGGCCAGATCCTGAGGATGCTTGGTTCGAGGATCCGGGGAAGCTAACGGGGAGACAATGGGAGCAGCATCTTCCATAGGCTCATGAGAGGACCGGGAGGCTCCATCAGGTGTTCTTTTGCCCACCTCACCTGGCGGGTCTGGACCAGAGAGCTGACCAAAGTCACCTTTTTCAAGGTGTGGCCCCAGGAGGCTGCAGGAGACAGGAGGCACAAGCTGCAGCCAGGAGCCAGATGGGTTCGGAGGGCAGAGTGGGCGCTTGGGCCACAGCCCCTCCACCACGCCACACCCTCTCCACCACGCCACACCCTGACCACCCAATTCTCCTGCTACCCCTCGCCCCAGGGCTTTACTCCCATCCTCTGTCCCCCTGGTCTCCCCATCCCAGGTCAGCTCCAGGCTGCCTGTGGCCCTGGGGTCACGTCCCAGCCCTGGTAGGAAGGATGCAGGGAAGGGGAAGTGCCTCACCTCTGCAGTTGTGAAAGCAGGTCCCAAGTCTCCTCCAGGCCTCTCGGGCACTCTCTACAAGCTGGAAATCAGACCGGGTTAGGGCAGTGAGGGAGGGGCTTGGGATCTCACAGGAGGCTGAGTGTATGTTTCTTTAGGGAAGACCATGGGGAATTAGACCCTGGAACCCACCCATCTGTGTCCAAAGCCACATGGCCCCGACGGTAATAGCAAGGCATAGAGGACAGGGCTTTGTCATTCACAAAGGGCTTCCACACACAGACCCTCCACCCCCACGGTCCTCACAACTGCCCTGTGAGGAGAAAGGACTGGGGTGGTCTCAGAGAGGAATCAGCCTTAGCAGAGTTGAACAGCTGTTCCCAGGGAGCGGGAGGCCCCTCACCCCCCTCCGCATCCAGGCAGGCATTGGTCTCCCCAGGACACACACACTGCCCCCTGCTGGGTAACGCTCAGTCCCTGGCCCACCATGGCTTCATTCCGGCGGCACAGAATCTGAGAAGGACCCAGGGTTCTGATTTCCTTCCTAGGAGCCCCCACCTCAGGTTTTTTCAACTGACTTCTTCAGAGTCAGTTCCCTCCCGGACAGATGAGATCAAATTAACTCTAGTGTGCCCTGGCAGAGCCTTACCTCTCAGACTGTGGTTTTTCATCCTGCCTCTGGGCCTCCCCCTCCGCCCTGTTGGACACTGGGAGACAAGATGACGCTGGGAGACAAGATGACGCTGGGAGACAAGAAATGGCGAGGAGCTAGGACCGGCTCTCCCTCTCTGCCCCCAGCCGCAGCACGCTGCACTCATGAACCGCATGGCTCTGTCTGTCTTGCTCAGGGAGCTCTGTGTGCTTTCTCCCCTCCCACTCATGTTTAAATGGATGATAAACTGCTTTTCTTAGAAAAACAGGAAGAGGGGGTCGGGTGCGGTGGCTCACGCCTATAATCCAAGCACTTTGGGAGGCCGAGGCAGGTGGATCACCTGAGGTCAAGAGTTTGAGACCAGCCTGGCCATGGTGAAACCCCATCTCTACTAAAAATACGAAAATTAGCCAGGCGTGGTGGCGGGCGCCTGTAATCCCCAGCTACTCAGGACGCTAAGACAGGAGAATAGCTTGAACTCTGGAAGCAAAGGTGGCACTGAGCCGGTATCGCTTCATTTCACTGCAGCCTGCACAAAAAACAAAATAAATAAAAATAACACACAAACACACACGCACACACACAGGGATTTTCAATATGAGGTCCACCATGGACGCCATCAGTCCCTGTTCCTCTGCTCCAGGAACACCCAGGCTCAGGCCCGCAGGCACCACTGAGCTGTCAGGTAGCATTCTGCTTGCCAGGAGACCAGAGGAGATGCCAGGCCCCGGTGGGAGGCCCTCGGGGGCCCAGCACAGGCCCCATATCACCCCACACAGAAGAGGCTGGGTCCCGAGCCACCTGCCCCAGGAAGGGACTGATGAGCCAGGGCTCAGGGCCTGGCCTCGGACAGAGACCTCCCGTCTCATGACCAGAGACCTCCCCCGTCTCATGACCGGTCCTGGCCGCTGAGCCCACGGGTTTGATTTTGCCTTCATGCCTCCTGGCTCCCCCACAGATGGACTGAGAGCTTGGGATGGAAATCCCAGTACACGATCTACCCCTACCAACCCCTGGCTGCCCTGCCTCTCCCTGGAAGCATGCTGTTCTGGTCTCTCCTGAGACTTCCCATCGCAGAAGTCTCCACTGGATTTGGAAAGGTGGAACTAATAATAAAAAGAAAGAAGAGAATCAAGCTCTGTGGGTCTGGACTGAGAGCTCCTTACCTTTCTCTTCCTAGGCGATGGTGAGGGTGGGTTGTCACAACGGAGGTAAGAGAAGTAGGGGAGTAATAGGAAGAAGAGCCCCAGGGCAAACACCAAGGTGAGGAAGATATCCAACACCCATGGTGTGGAGCTGGGGGTGTTTAGTGATGAGGCACTAAGTAATTTTAGAGGAAAGGGAAGATTCTCCATGTGAATAGGCGCATTGCTTTCTAGCAACTGAGCTCTGGGCATCCTCGTGGAGACTAGGGACTGGGGCCCAGGCCCGCATCACAGAGCTGGGGCTTCACATCACAAAGGGCTCCTTTGTTGGGGAGGGGCAGTAGGAGGGGGAGGCCGAAGCACAGCCCCTCCCCACCCTCCAAGCCGGGGATCCCTTCACCCTCCCGCCTTCCAGATCCCTCCTTCGCACTAAGTTTTGTCAGTGATAGAACTCAGCCAGTTTTCTATTCTTTCTCCCTGGAACACAGATATTACCTGGTTCCTTTTATCTATTGGAGTCGGTGGCTTGAGGTTACCTATTTCATAGCCTTTGAAAATCTGTAGTTGACTCTGAAATTTTGGCTTATGTACCAGGGATTTTTATTTTCAGAATCTCGTTCGTCCTCAACTCCAGCTTTCCCACACAATGTTTTTGTCTTCTGTGAATCCAGGGACAAAATGTAAATTTCTTTTACTCTTATTTAGTTTTGCAAATTTTGAATAGTAAGTTTTAAAAAATTATTTCTATCTCACTTTCCTTTTTTTTTATTTTTTTTATTTTTTTGAGACGGAGTCCCTCTCTGTCGCCCAGGCTGGAGTGCAGTGGCGTGATCTTGGCTCACTGCAAGCTCCGCCTCCCGGGTTCCAGCCATTCTCCTGTCTCAGCCTCCTGAGTAGCTGGGACTACAGGCGCCCACCACCACCACGCCCTGCTAATTTCTTTTTGTATTTTTAGTAGAGACGGGGTTTCACCGTGTTAGCCAGGATGGCCTCGATCTCCGGACCTTGTGATCTGCCCGCCTCTGCCTCCCAAAGTGCTGGGATTACAGGCATGAGCCACTGCGCCCATCCTTCTATCTCACTTTGAATCAAAGGGACCTACCCACATACAATTAAGATTTTTTTAAAATTCTATTTATGTACTTATGTATTTATTTTAAGTTCCGGGGTACATGTGCAGGACCTGCAGTTTTCCTTTCTTTTTGAGATGGAGTCTCACTCTGTTGCCCAGGCTGGAGTGCAGTGGCACGCTCTTGGCTCACTGCAACCTGTGCGTCCTGGGTTCATGCCATTCTCCTGCCTCAGCCTCCCGAGTAGCTGGGACTACAGGCATGTGCTACCACGCCCGGCTAATTTTTTGTATTTTTGGTAGAGACTGGGTTTCACCGTGTTAGCCAGGATGGTCTTGTTCTCCTGACCTTGTGATCCGCCCGCCTTGGCCTCCCAAAGTGCTGGGATTACAGGCGTGAGCCACCGTGCCGGGCCTGCTGTCTTATTTTAATGTCTCTCTGGGCTTGATAATTTAAAAGGACTGGCATTCCTCTGATAAAAGTTTTTTTATTTTCTCATTTTCCATCAATCTATCCTGTTCAGTGAAATATCGGTTCATGCCTTTAGCCCATTTTCTAATTGGCTTGTTTTTTCTTGTTGTCGTTGTTGACTTTTGAAAACTTTAAACAATATTCTAGATATGAGCTCCTTGTCAGATATGGTTTATCAGGTGTGGTTTGCACTTTTCTTCCAGTTTTTACCCTGTCTTTTTATTAACAGGCTCTTATGCAGGGCAAAAGTTTTAAATTTTGATAACATCCAATTAATAAATTCTTAGAATTGATTGTGCTTTTCTGGTGTCATGTCTAATAATTATTCATCAAGTCCTAGGACCTGAAGAATTTCTCATTAAATTTCATATTTTTACATTGAGATATGTGATCTTTTTTTTTTTTTTTGAGATGGAGTCTTCCTCCATCTTCATATCTGACCACCATTGGTATCTAATTGGTTTTCTTATTGTCTACCATCCCCAGGTGATATCTGATCACTCTGGCATGGCTTCAGCAAGAATTCTGTGAGGTCAGTTTAGCCAGATACCCTCCTATTAGTAATTTTCCATACACTACCACCCCTCCACCCTGCTCTGTGGCTATAAAATTTCTATTCAGAGGGAAACCTGAATATATGGAAACTGGAGATTACTGCAAGACCCTATTGCAGTAATCTCTATATCTATTGCAATAATCCCTCTGAATAACGTTTGTCTTACTATTTTTTAACAGGTGTCACGAATAGTTTTTTCTATAATACAGCTCAACAAAACAAGTCTGAAATAGAAGAATAAAGTGGGAGGAATTATTCTCCCCAATTTTTTAACTTTTTACATAGCTACAGAAATCAAGACAGTGTGGTATTGGCAGGGGGACAGACAGTTCAATAAAACAGAATTGAGAACTCAGAAATAGTTCCATACAAGTACAACCAACTGACTTTTGAAAAAAGTGCAATATCAGTTCAATAGTACAGTGGTTCTGGAGCAGTTAGATACCATAGACAAAACAATAACCTCAATCTAACCTCATGTCTTTATTAAAAAAAAAAGGATCAGCCGGGCGCGGTGGCTCATGCCTGTAATCCCAGCACTTTGGGAGGCCGAGGCAGGTGGATCACCTAAAGTCAAGAGTTTGAGACCAGCCTGGCCATGGTGAAACCCCATCTCTACTAAAAATACGAAAATTAGCCAGGCGTGGTGGCGGGCGCCTGTAATCCCCAGCTACTCAGTACGCTAAGACAGGAGAATAGCTTGAACTCTGGAAGCAAAGGTGGCACTGAGCCGGTATCGCTCCATTTCACTGCAGCCTGCACAAAAAACAAAATAAATAAAAATAACACACAAACACACACGCACACACACAGGGATTTTCAATATGAGGTCCACCATGGACGCCATCAGTCCCTGTTCCTCTGCTCCAGGAACACCCAGGCTCAGGCCCGCAGGCACCACTGAGCTGTCAGGTAGCATTCTGCTTGCCAGGAGACCAGAGGAGATGCCAGGCCCCGGTGGGAGGCCCTCGGGGGCCCAGCACAGGCCCCATATCACCCCACACAGAAGAGGCTGGGTCCCGAGCCACCTGCCCCAGGAAGGGACTGATGAGCCAGGGCTCAGGGCCTGGCCTCGGACAGAGACCTCCCGTCTCATGACCAGAGACCTCCCCCGTCTCATGACCGGTCCTGGCCGCTGAGCCCACGGGTTTGATTTTGCCTTCATGCCTCCTGGCTCCCCCACAGATGGACTGAGAGCTTGGGATGGAAATCCCAGTACACGATCTACCCCTACCAACCCCTGGCTGCCCTGCCTCTCCCTGGAAGCATGCTGTTCTGGTCTCTCCTGAGACTTCCCATCGCAGAAGTCTCCACTGGATTTGGAAAGGTGGAACTAATAATAAAAAGAAAGAAGAGAATCAAGCTCTGTGGGTCTGGACTGAGAGCTCCTTACCTTTCTCTTCCTAGGCGATGGTGAGGGTGGGTTGTCACAACGGAGGTAAGAGAAGTAGGGGAGTAATAGGAAGAAGAGCCCCAGGGCAAACACCAAGGTGAGGAAGATATCCAACACCCATGGTGTGGAGCTGGGGGTGTTTAGTGATGAGGCACTAAGTAATTTTAGAGGAAAGGGAAGATTCTCCATGTGAATAGGCGCATTGCTTTCTAGCAACTGAGCTCTGGGCATCCTCGTGGAGACTAGGGACTGGGGCCCAGGCCCGCATCACAGAGCTGGGGCTTCACATCACAAAGGGCTCCTTTGTTGGGGAGGGGCAGTAGGAGGGGGAGGCCGAAGCACAGCCCCTCCCCACCCTCCAAGCCGGGGATCCCTTCACCCTCCCGCCTTCCAGATCCCTCCTTCGCACTAAGTTTTGTCAGTGATAGAACTCAGCCAGTTTTCTATTCTTTCTCCCTGGAACACAGATATTACCTGGTTCCTTTTATCTATTGGAGTCGGTGGCTTGAGGTTACCTATTTCATAGCCTTTGAAAATCTGTAGTTGACTCTGAAATTTTGGCTTATGTACCAGGGATTTTTATTTTCAGAATCTCGTTCGTCCTCAACTCCAGCTTTCCCACACAATGTTTTTGTCTTCTGTGAATCCAGGGACAAAATGTAAATTTCTTTTACTCTTATTTAGTTTTGCAAATTTTGAATAGTAAGTTTTAAAAAATTATTTCTATCTCACTTTCCTTTTTTTTTATTTTTTTTATTTTTTTGAGACGGAGTCCCTCTCTGTCGCCCAGGCTGGAGTGCAGTGGCGTGATCTTGGCTCACTGCAAGCTCCGCCTCCCGGGTTCCAGCCATTCTCCTGTCTCAGCCTCCTGAGTAGCTGGGACTACAGGCGCCCACCACCACCACGCCCTACTAATTTCTTTTTGTATTTTTAGTAGAGACGGGGTTTCACCGTGTTAGCCAGGATGGCCTCGATCTCCTGACCTTGTGATCTGCCCGCCTCTGCCTCCCAAAGTGCTGGGATTACAGGCATGAGCCACTGCGCCCATCCTTCTATCTCACTTTGAATCAAAGGGACCTACCCACATACAATTAAGATTTTTTTAAAATTCTATTTATGTACTTATGTAATTTTATTTTAAGTTCCGGGGTACATGTGCAGGACCTGCAGTTTTCCTTTCTTTTTGAGATGGAGTCTCACTCTGTTGCCCAGGCTGGAGTGCAGTGGCACGCTCTTGGCTCACGGCAACCTGTGCCTCCTGGGTTCATGCCATTCTCCTGCCTCAGCCTCCCGAGTAGCTGGGACTACAGGCATGTGCTACCACGCCCGGCTAATTTTTTGTATTTTTGGTAGAGACTGGGTTTCACCGTGTTGGCCAGGATGGTCTCGATCTCCTGACCTTGTGATCCGCCCGCCTTGGCCTCCCAAAGTGCTGGGATTACAGGCGTGAGCCACCGTGCCGGGCCTGCTGTCTTATTTTAATGTCTCTCTGGGCTTGATAATTTAAAAGGACTGGCATTCCTCTGATAAAAGTTTTTTTATTTTCTCATTTTCCATCAATCTATCCTGTTCAGTGAAATATCGGTTCGTGCCTTTAGCCCATTTTCTAATTGGCTTGTTTTTTCTTGTTGTCGTTGTTGACTTTTGAAAACTTTAAACAATATTCTAGATATGAGCTCCTTGTCAGATATGGTTTATCAGGTGTGGTTTGCACTTTTCTTCCAGTTTTTACCCTGTCTTTTTATTAACAGGCTCTTATGCAGGGCAAAAGTTTTAAATTTTGATAACATCCAATTAATAAATTCTTAGAATTGATTGTGCTTTTCTGGTGTCATGTCTAATAATTATTCATCAAGTCCTAGGACCTGAAGAATTTCTCATTAAATTTCATATTTTTACATTGAGATATGTGATTTTTTTTTTTTTTTGAGATGGAGTCTCGCTCTGTCGCCCAGGCTGGAAGTGCAGTGGTGCCATCTCGGCTCACTGCAAGCTCCGCCTCCCGGGTTCACGCCATTCTCCTGCCTCAGCCTCCCGAGTAGCTGGGACTACAGGCACCTGCCACCATGCCCGGTTAATTTTTTTGTATTTTTAGCAGAGACGGGGTTTCACCTTGTTAGCCAGGGTGGTCTCGATCTCCTGACCTCGTGATCCTCCCGCCTCAGCCTCCCAAAGTGCTGGGATTACAGGCATGAGCCACCACGCCCGGCTGATCCTTTTTTTTTTTAATAAAGACATGAGGTTAGATTGAGGTTATTGTTTTGTCTATGATATCTAACTGCTCCAGAACCACTGTACTATTGAATTGATATTGCACTTTTTTCAAAAGTCAGTTGGTTGTACTTGTATGGAACTATTTCTGAGTTCTCAATTCTGTTTTATTGAACTGTCTGTCCCCCTGCCAATACCACACTGTCTTGATTTCTGTAGCTATGTAAAAAGTTAAAAAATTGGGGAGAATAATTCCTCCCACTTTATTCTTCTATTTCAGACTTGTTTTGTTGAGCTGTATTATAGAAAAAACTATTCGTGACACCTGTTAAAAAATAGTAAGACAAACTTTATTCAGAGGGATTATTGCAATAGATACAGAGATTACTGCAATAGGGTCTTGCAGTAATCTCCAGTTTCCATATATTCAGGTTTCCCTCTGAATAGAAATTTTATAGCCACAGAGCAGGGTGGAGGGTTGGTAGTGTACGGAAAATTACTAATAGGAGGGAATCTGGCTAAACTGACCTCACAGAATTCTTGCTGAAGCCATGCCAGAGTGATCAGATATCACCTGGGGATGGTAGACAATAAGAAAACCAATTAGATACCAATGGTGGTCAGATATGAAGATGGAGGATTCTGACTAAATTGCCTTGCTAGGATTCTTACTAATATTGGGCAATTTATAGACAACACAAAAGCCCAAAAGCCAGGGTTTAGTTGACAAGAGAGTTCAAAGGAGTATGGCTAGAGTCTGGTTATGGAGAGAATTTTTGTCAGCTGGCTGGGTCTTCCAGAGCTATGTAGAATAAAAATGATGAGCACAGACATATTTTCCTTCTTCCCAAACTGAACGGGAAAGCATTCAGTCTCTTTCATCTTTTAGTTTGATGTTAGCTGTAGATTTTTTTCTAACTTAAAAGTTAGAAAGTTTACCTCTGTTCCTAATTCCTGAAAGTTTTTTTTTCATTATAAATGGGTGTTGAATTTTTTCAAATGCTTTTCCTGCATTGATATAATCATGTAATATGCTTATCTTTAGCTTGCTAATGTGGCAGGTTACACGAATTGATTTTTGAATACCAAAACAGCTTTGTATTCCTGGAATAAATATCACTTGTTCATGGTTTGTAATTATTTTTATATGTTGTTGAATTATTTTTGCTATTATTTGGTTGAGAATTTTTTCCATCTATATTCATGAAGAATACTGATTTATTTTCTTCTTCTGTCTTTAGCTCTGATATCAGAGTAACTAACACTGGCCTCATGAGTTGGAATATCTTTCTATTGTCTTCTTTCTATCCTTTATTCTGGAAGAGACTGGATATAATTCGTGTTAACCTTTAAATGTTTGTTAGAATTCTCTGATCTAGCTATCCAGGCCTGAAGATTTCCTTTTCAGATGTTTCAAATTATGACTTCAGTTCTAAGTCTATTCAACATAACTATTTCATGTTGTAAGAGAGAATTTGTGGTTTTTCAAGAATTAATGCATTTCATCCATGTTGTGAAATTTATGTTTGTAGAGTTGTTTGTAGTATTCTGTTTATTCTTTTGATTTCGTCATGGTCAACAGTGGTATCTCCTGTTTCGTTCTTGATATTGATATTTTGTGTCTCCTCTACAGGCTTGTCAATTTTATTAACATTTATAGAACCAGCTTTTGTTTAATCGGTTTGTCTCTATTTTTCTTTTTACATTTTATTGAGTTATTTTCTTATCCTTATTATTTCCTTTCTTTCACTTGCTTTCGGTTTATTTTGCTCTTCTTTTTCTAATATGTGAGGGACCTTGGTTATTGCTTTGAAATTTTTTTCTTTTCTAATGTAAGCCCTTAGTGGGCTACATTTTTTCTTTTTACATTTTATTGAGTTATCTTCTTATCCTTATTATTTCCTTTCTTTCACTTGCTTTCGGTGTATTTTGCTCTTCTTTTTCTCGTACGTGAGGGACCTTGGTTATTGCTTTGAAATTTTTTTCTTTTCTAATGTAAGCCCTTAGTGGTATACATTTTTTTCTCACCACTGATTTAGCCACATTCCACAAATTTTGATATGTTATGTTTCACTTTCATTCATTTCAATGTATTTTAAAAATTTGAGACTTTCTCTTTGAACAATGGATTATTTAGCATGTGTTTTTGCGTGTTTGGATATTTTCCTTTTATCTTCCTGTTACTGAGTTCTAGTTTAATTCTATTGTGTTCAGAGAACAAACTGTATGATTTCAATTGTTTTAAATTTGTTGAGATTTGTTTTATGGCCCAGGTTAGTTCATATCTTGCTAAGTGTCCCATTGACACGAATAAAATGTGTATTCGGCTGCGTTTGCGGTGTTATGTAAATGCTGATTAGTTCCTGTTGGTTAACAGTGTTGTTGTGTCCACAGAAGCATTGGAGAAAGACTGTAACCTGAGGTGACAGGCTTTGATTGTGTCCTGGCTTAGTATGATGGGACACACCTCTGCTTGCTTACTTTCCTTTGGACAACCCTCAGCCCCTCAGTCTCTACATCGCCTCAACATTGCCGCCCACAGGCCAGAGTGTCTACATGAGCGCCGCCATACTGGCGCTCAGCCTAAGCCGCAGAAACAGGAGTGTGTTTGGCAAAGCGCCATGTTGACTACTGGCAACCTTTGGCCACGAAGACTGCTGAGCTTGCACACACCCAGGCAGCACTGTAAGAAGTACCTCTAGGCCTGGGAGGCATTGAGAAAAAGGAAGTGGGTCCTGTTCTGGTTCTTGCGACTGTAGTCACCGCCCGAGGCAAATGACCACTGTCCTGAGAGGACGTGGATGAGGGCAGGTGAGTAGAGGGATGGCAGCATCTGTGGACTGAGCAGGAAGAATCTCTGATGTCTGTCCTGAGCCCTCCGGTCAGTGATGGGGACGGTCAGTGGATGGAATAGTGGAAGTTGGAGCGATCTCTGATGGTGGATCTGAGGGAGGAGTGAGGGGGCACTGAGGGGTCTCTGGTGGTGGATCTGCAGGCGGAGTGAGGACGGACTGGGGGTCTCTGTCTGGTGGTGGATCTGAGGGCGGAGTGAGGGCAGACTGTGGGGTTGTGGGGGAGGATGACTGTGGGGACTTAGGAGGGATCTGAGGAGTGAATGATGCACATCTTAGTTTCCTCTCTTTTATATGTACCGATCTGTTTATATTTTCGTTTCTGTTTCATTATCATGATATATTTTGCTAAAGATTTAAAGAATATATTACATAGAATTGCATGTTTCCATTTCCATTTTGTTCTCTTTCATATCCAGACTAGTAGCTCCTTTATCATTACAGTTAGTATATTTATATATCATTCATTTTTCTCTCTGTTTAAAAAGAATCAAGTGTTTGAAAGGTTTATCTATTTTATTGGACATTTTGAAATGTCCGATAAAATACTCCCTACTCTTTTAGTATTAATTTTTTTCTCTTTTTCTTTTCAGGTACTTTCTCTTTTTTCCACTTTTCGATGTAATTTGTTGTTCTTTTCCTTATTTTCTTAAGTTTTATGCTGGATATATTTAGGGTTGTAAAGTTTCTTTAAGTACATCTTTATCTATGAAATGCATAAGTTCATCTTGATGTTTCCCTTTGATTCTTAGTTATTTGGGAGAGTTTCTTCATTCCCAAATTATTAAAGTATGTTTTAGCTGTTTTTTATTTTATTGTATTGTCAGAAAATGCAGACTATCAAGTCTCAACTTTCAACAATTTATCAAGATTTTCCTTGAAGCCAAGTTACTCAATGAACTTTGTTCAACAGATATAAGAGAAAAATTATATTTTGTTGTATGGGCCAAAATTCTCTTTAATTAAATCTTGCTTGTTGCTATTTTTCAAATCTTTATCTTTACTAATTTTGATCTACTTGTTTCATATTCTGGAAGAGATACAATAAAAATCACTTTTAATAGTTCACTTTGCAGTTATATGTGCTTTTTTGCTAATTTTATTTGTGCGTCTGATGGACGGGCATACATACACTTAATGGTTAGTGCATTTTTTGTCCTTTTTCATGTATTAAGTGGTATTATTATAGGATCCCTTTTTTCAACCAAAAAGAAAAAAGAAAAACACTTTTTAACATTGAATTCCACTTTGATACTCACATTGCCATCCTTGTTTTTACTTTTATTGCATTTGGATGATGTGTCTTTGCCCAGAGCTTTATTTTATATCCATATTTGTCTGTGTCAGATTACCTATTTGTTTACAATAGATACTTTTGTTTTTTTCTTTTTTAAAAAATTTTATTATTATTATACTTTTAAGTTTTAGGGTACATGTGCACAACGTGCAGGTTTGTTACATATGTATACATGTGCCATGTTGGTGTGCTGCACCCATTAACTCGTCATTTAGCATTAGGTATATCTCCTAATGCTATCTCTCCCCACTCCCCCCACCCCACAGCAGTCCCTGGTGTGTGATGTTCCCCTTCCTGTGTCCATGTGTTCTCATTGTTCAATTCCCACCTATGAGTGAGAACATGCGGTGTTTGGTTTTTTGTCCTTGAGATAGTTTGCTGAGAATGATGGCTTCCAGCTTCATCCATGTCCCTACAAAGGACATGAACTCATCCTTTTTTATGGCTGCATAGTATTCCATGGTGTATATGTGCCACATTTTCTTAATCCAGTCTATTGTTGTTGGACATTTGGGTTGGTTCCAAGTCTTTGCTATTGTGAATAGTGCTGCAATAAACATATGTGTGCATGTGTCTTTATAGCAGCATGATTTATAATCCTTTGGATATATACCCAGTAATGGGATGGCCAGGTCAAATGGTATTTCTAGTTCTAGATCCCTGAGGAATTGTCACACTGAATTCCACAATGGTTGAACTAGTTTACAGTCCCACCAACAGTGTAAAAATGTTCCTATTTCTCCACATCCTCCCCAGCACCTGTTGTTTCCCGACTTTTTAAGGATCACCATTCTAACTGGTGTGAGATGGTATCTCATTGTGGTTTTGATTTGCATTTCTCTGATGGCCAGTGATGGTGGCATTTTTTCATGTGTTTTTTGGCTGCATAAATGTCTTCTTTTGAGAAGTGTCTGCTCATATCTTTTGCCCACTTTTTGATGGGGTTGTTTTTTTTTTCTTGTAAATTTGTTTGAGTTCATTGTAGATTCTGGATATTAGCCCTTTGTCAGATGAGTAGGTTGCAAAAATTTTCTCCCATTCTGTAGGTTGCTTGTTCACTCTGATGGTGGTTTCTTTTGCTGTGCAGAAGCTTTTTAGTTTAATTAGATCCCATTTGTCAATTTTGACTTTTGTTGCCATTGCTTTTAGTGTTTTAGACATGAAGTCCTTGCCCATGCCTATGTCCTGAATGGTATTGCCTAGGTTTTCTTCTAGGGTTTTTATGGTTTTAGGTCTAACATGTAAGTCTTTGATCCATCTTGAATTAATTTTTGTATAAGGTGTAAGGAAGGGATCCAGTTTCAGCTTTCTACATATGGCTAGCTAGTTTTCCCAGCACCATTTATTAAATAGGAAATCCTTTCCCCATTGCTTGTTTTTCTCAGGTTTGCCAAAGATCAGATAGTTGTAGATATGCGGCGTTATTTCTGAGGGCTCTGTTCTGTTCCATTTGTCTGTATCTCTGTTTTGATACCAGTACCATGCTGTTTTGGTTACTGTAGCCTTGCAGTATAGTTTGAAGTCAGGTAGCGTGATGCCTCCAGCTTTGTTCTTTTGGCTTAGGATTGACTTGGTGATGCAGGCTGTTTTTTGGTTCCATATGAACTTGAAAGTAGTTTTTTCCAATTCTGTGAAGAAAGTCATTGGTAGCTTGATGGGGATGGCATTGAATCTATAAATTACCTTGGTCAGTATGGCCATTTTCACGATATTGATTCTTCCTACCCATGAGCATGGAATGTTCTTCCATTTCTTTGTATCCTGTTTTATTTCATTGAGCAGTGGTTTGTAGTTCTCCTCGAAGAGGTCCTTCACGTTCCTTGTAAGTTGGATTCCTAAGTATTTTATTCTCTTTGAAGCAATTGTGAATGGGAGTTCACTCATGATTTGGCTCTCTGTCTGTTATTGGTGTATAAGAATGCATGTGATTTTTGCACATTGATTTTGTATCCTGAGACTTTGCTGAAGTTGCTTATCAGCTTAAGGAGATTTTGGGCTGAGACAATGGGGTTTTCTAGATATACAATCATGTCATCTGCAAAGAGGGACAATTTGACTTCCTCTTTTCCTAATTGAATGCCCTTTATTTCCTTCTCCTGCCTGATTGCCCTGGCCAGAACTTCCAACACTATGTTGAATAGGAGTGGTGAGAGAGGGCATCCCTGTCTTGTGCCCATTTTCAAAGGGTATGCTTCTAGTTTTTGTCCATTCAGTATGATATTGGCTGTGGGTTTGTCATAGATAGCTCTTATTATTTTGAAATACGTCCCATCAATACCTAATTTATTGAGAGTTTTTAGCATGAAGGGTTGTTGAATTTTATCAAAGGCCTTTTCTGCATCTATTGAGATAATCATGTGGTTTTTGTCTTTGGTTCTGTTTATATGCTGGATTACATTTATTGATTTTCATATGTTGAACCAGCCTTGCATCCCAGGGATGAAGCCCACTTGATCATGGTGGATAAGCTTTTTGATGTGCTGCTGGATTTGGTTTGCCAGTATTGTATTGAGGATTTTTGCATCAATGTTCGTCAAGGATATTGGTCTAAAATTCTCTTTTTTTGTTGTGTCTCTGCCAGGTTTTGGTATCAGGATGATACTGGCCGCATAAAATGTGTTAGGGAGGATTCCCTCTTTTTCTATTGATTGGAATAGTTTCAGAAGGAATGGTACCAGCTCCTCCTTGTACCTCTGGTAGAATTCGGCTGTGAATCCATCTGGCCCTGGACTTTTTTTGGTTGGTAAGCTATTAATTATTGCCTCAATTTCAGAGCCTGTTATTGGTCTATTCAGAGATTCAACTTCTTCCTGGTTTAGTCTTGGGAGGGTTTATGTGTCGAGGAATTCATCCATTTCTTCTAGATTTTCTAATTTATTTGCGTAGAGATGTTTATAGTATTCTCTGATGGTAGTTTGTATTTCTGTGGGATAGGTGGTGATCCCCTTTGTCATTTTTTATTGCGTCTGTTTGATTCTTCTCTCTTTTCTTATTAGTCTTGCTAGTGCTCTGTCAATTTTATTGATCGTTTCAAAAAACCAGCTCCTGGATTCATTGATTTTTTGAAGGGTTTTTTGTGTCTCTATTTCCTTCAGTTCTGCTCTGATCTTAGTTATTTCTTGCCTTCTGCTAGCTTTTGAATGTGCTTTCTCTTGCTTCTCTAGTTCTTTTAATCGTGGTGTTAGGGTGTCAATTTTAGATCTTTCCTGCTTTCTCTTGTGGGCATTTAGTGCTATAAATTTCCCTCTACACACTGCTTTGAATGTGTCCCAGAGATTCTGGTATGTTGTGTCTTTGTTCTCACTGGTTTCAAAGAACATCTTTATTTCTGCCTTCATTTCGTTATGTACCCAGTAGTCATTCAGGAGCAGGTTGTTCAGTTTCCATGTAGTTGAGCGGTTTTGAGTGAGTTTCTTAATCCTGAGTTCTAATTTGATTGCACTGTGGTCTGAGAGACAGTTTGGTATAATTTCTGTTCTTTTACATTTGCTGAGGAGTGCTTTACTTCTAACTATGTGGTCAATTTTGGAATAGGTGTGGTGTGGTGCTGAAAAGAATGTATATTCTGTTGATTTGGGGTGGAGAGTTCTGTAGATGTCTATTAGGTCCACTTGGTGCAGAGCTGAGTTCAGTTCCTGGATATCTTTGTTACCTTTCTGTCTCGTTGATCTGTCTAATGTTGACAGTGGGGTGTTAAAGTCTCCCATTATTATTGTGTGGGAGTCTAAGTCTCTTTGTAGGTCTCTAAGGACTTGCTTTATGAATCTTGGTGCTCCTGTATTGGGTGCATATGTATTTAGGATGGTTAGTTCTTCTTGTTGAATTGATCCCTTTACCATTACATAATGGCCTTTTTTGTCTCTTTTGATCTTTGTTGGTTTAAAGTCTGTTTTATCAGAGACTAGGATTGCAACCCGTTTTTTTTTTTTTTTGTCTTCCATTTGCTTGGTAGATCTTCCTCCATCCCTTTATTTTGAGCCTATGTGTGTCTCTGCACGTGAGATAGGTTTCCTGAATACAGCACACTGATGGGTCTTGACGCTTTATCCAATTTGCCAGTCTGTGTCTTTTAATTGGAGCATTTAGTCCATTTACATTTAAGGTTAATATTGTTATGTGTGAATGTGATCCTGTCATTATGATGTTAGCTGGTTATTTTGCTCGTTAGTTGATGGAGTTTCTTCCTAGTCTCAATGGTCTTTACAATTGGGCATGTTTTTGTTGTGGCTGGTACTGGTTGTTCCTTTCCATGTTTAGTGCTTCCTTAAGGAGCTCTTTCAGGGCAGGCCTGGTGGTGACAAAATCTCTCAGCATTTGCTTGTCTGTAAAGGAGTTTATGTCTCCTTCACTTATGAAGCTTAGTTTTGCTGGATATGAAATTCTGGGTTGAAAATTCTTTAAGAATGTTGAATATTGGGCCCCACTCTCTTCTGGCTTGTAGAGTTTCTGCCGAGAGATCTGCTGTTAGTCTGATGGGCTTCCCTTTGTGGGTAACCCTACCTTTCTCTCTGGCTGCCCTTAACATTTTTGCCTTCATTTCAACTTTGGCGAATCTGACAATTATGTGTCTTGGAGTTTCTCTTCTCGAGGAGTATCTTTGTGGCATTGTCTGTATTTCCTGAATTTGAATGTTGGCTTGCCTTGTTAGATTGGGGAAGGTCTGGATAATATCCTGCAGAGTGTTTTCCAACTTGGTTCCTTTCTCCCCATCACTTTCAGGTACACCAATCGACGTAGATTTGGTCTTTTCACATAGTCCCATATTTGTTCGTTTCTTTTTATTCTTTTTTCTCTAAATTTCTCTTCTTGTTTCATTTCGTTCATTTCATCTTCCATCACTGATACCCTTTCTTCCAGTTGATCGAATTGGCTACTGAGGCTTGTGCATTTGTCACGTAGTTCTCGTGCTGTGGTTTTCAGCTCCATCAGGTCCTTTAAGGACTTCTCTGCATTGGTTATTCTAGTTAGCCATTTGTCTAATCTTTTTTCAAGGTTTTTAACTTCTTTGCAATGGGTTCGAACTTCCTTCTTTAGCTTGGAGTAGTTTGATTGTCTGAAGCCTTCTTCTCTCAACTCGTCAAAGTCATTCTCCGTCCAGCTTTGTTCCATTGCTGGTCAGGAGCTGCGTTCCTTTGGAGGAGGAGAGGCACTCTGATTTTTAGAATTGTCAGTTTTTCTGCTTTGTTTTTTCCCCATCTTTGTGGTTTTATCTACCTTTGGACTTTGATGATGATGATGTAAAGATGGGGTTTTGGTGTGGATGTTCTTTCTGTTAGTTTTCCTTCTAACAGTCAGGACCCTCAGCTGCACGTCTGTTGGAGTTTGCTGGAGGCCCACCCCAGACCCTGTTTGCCTGGGTATCAGCAGCAGAGGCTGCAGAACAGCAGATATTGGTGAACAGCAAATGTTGCTGCCTGATCGTTCCTCTGGAAGTTTTGTCTCAGAGGAGTACCTGGCCCTGTGAGGTGTCAGTCTGCCCCTACTGGGGGGTGCCTCCCAGTTAGGCTCCTCGGGGGTCAGGGACCCACTTGAGGAGGCAGTCTCTGTTCTCAGATCTCAAGCTGCGTGCTGGGAGAACCACTGCTGTCGTCAAAGCTGTCAGACAGGGACATTTAAGTCTGCAGAGGTTTCTGCTGCCTTTATTTGGCTATGCCCTGCCCCCAGAGGTGAAGTCTACTGAGGCAGACAGGCCTCCTTGAGCTGCGGTGGGTTCCACCCAGTTCGAGCTTCCTAGCCACTTTGCTTACCTACTCAAGCCTCGGCAATGGCGGGCGCCCCTCCCCCAGCCTCGCTGCCGCCTTGCAGTTTGATATCAGACTGCTAATGCTAGCAATGAGCAAGGCTCTGTGAGCGTAGGACCCTCCGAGCCAGGCATGGGATATAATCTCCTGGTGTGCCGTTTGCTAAGACTGTTGGAAAAGCACAGTATTAGGGTGGGAGTGACCCAATTTTCCAGGTGCTGTCTGTCACCCCTTTCCTTGGGCAGGAAAGGGAATTCCCTGACCCCTTGCGCTTCCCGGATGAGGCAATGCCTCACCCAGCTTCGGCTCATGCTTGGTGCACTGCATCCACTGTCCTGCACCCACTGTCTGACAATCCCCAGTGAAATGAACCCAGTACCTCAGTTGGAAATTTAGAAATCATTCATCTTCCACATCGCTCATGCTGGTAGCCGTAGACTGGAGCTGTTCCTTTTCGGCCATCTTGGCACCCAACAAGGTATGTCCTTTCTATGCCAATTTTGCTGAGGGTTTTAAATATAAAGCAATGTGGGATCTCCCCAATGCTGGATTTTTTTTGGAATAGTGTCAATAGAATTGGTATCAATTTTTTTTGAATGCCTTACAGAATTCAGCTGTAAATTCATCTGGTCCTGGACTTTATTTTTCATTGGCATTTTAAAAATTACTGTTTCAATCTCTCTGTTATTGTTCTGTTCAGAGTTTCTATTTCTTCTTGGCTTAATCTAGGAGTGTTGTATATTTACAGGAATTTATTCATCTCCTCTAGGTTTTCTAGTTTGTGTGAATAAGGATGTTCACAGTAGCCTTAAATTATCTTTGGTATTTCTGTGGTATGAGTTGTAATATCTCCTGTTTCGTTTCTAATTGAGCTTACTTGTATCCTCTGTCTTCTTTTCTTGGTTAATTTCACTAATGGTGTGTCCCTGTTGTTTATCTTTTCAAAGAACCAGTTTTTTGTTTCATTTATCTTTTGTATTTTTTTAATTAATTTTTTTTTTGTTTTAATTTCATTTAGTTCTACTCTCATCTTCATTTTTTTTTTTTCTGCTGCTGGGCTTGGGTTTGGTTTGTTTTTGTTTCTCTAGTTCCTTGAGGTATGATCTTAGATTATCTATTTGTACTCTTTCAGACTTTGTGATGTAGGCATTCAATGCTATGAACTTTCTCTTAGCACCACTTTTGCTGTATCCCAGAGGTTTTGATAGGTTCTGTCACTATTATCATTCAGTTCAAAGAATTTTTAAATTCCCACCTTGACTTCATTGTTGACCAGAGATCATTCAGGAGCAGGTTATTTAATTCCCATATATTTGCATGGTTTTGAGGGTTCCTTTTGGAGTTGATTTCCAATTTTATTCCACTGTGGTATGAGAGAGTACTTGATATAATTTTGATTTTCTTAAATTTATTGAGACTTGTGGCCTATCATATGGTCTATCTTGGAGAATATTCTATGTGCTGATGAGTAGAATGTATATTCTGCAGTTGTTGGGTAGAATGTTCTATAAATATCTGTTAAATACATTTATTCTAGGGTATAGATTAAATCCATTTTTTCTTTGTTGACTTTCTGTTTTGATGACCTGTCTAATGCTATCAGTGGGGTACTGAAGTCCCCCAGTATTATTGTGTTGGCATCTATCTTTTAGTAGACTGTTGGAGTCAACTTACTAATATTTGTTTGGGAGTTTTGCATCTAAAGTCATAAGGATTATGTGTCTGTCTTTTTTTTAATGATGTTTTTATTTGGCTTTGGTATCATATTAGTGCTAGACTCATAGAATGAGTTAAGAAGTATTCTGTACTCTTCAATTGTTTAGAAGAGTTTGAGAAAGATTAGTGTTAATTCTTATTTAAATGGTAGAATGCTCTGATGAAGCCATGTGACCCAGAACTTTTCTTTGTTTTGAGATTTTTATTACTGATTTAATCTCTACTTGTTATAGGCCTGTTGAGATGTTCTATTTATTTGAGTCAATTTGGTAATTTCTATGTTTTAAGAAGTTTGTCTCTTTCACTAGGTTATCTAATTTTTTTGGCATGCAATAGTTTATCGTATTTTCATATAATTCTTTTTATCTCTAAGTTAGTAGCAAAGTCTCCACTGTCATTTCTGATTTCAGTTGTGTCTACACTGACAATTGCCAAAGGTTTTGTCAATTTTTTGATCTTTTCAAAGATCAATTATTTCTTTATTTTCTTTATTTTTTCAGTGCTCTATTTTGCTTATTTCCAGTCCAGTCTTTATCACTGCCTTTTATTTGCGAGCTTTGGGTTTATTTTGCTCTTCTCGTGTACATTTCTTACAGCATAAAGTTATTTAATGTAGATATTTACATCTACAAATTTTCTTCTGATCACTGCATATAATAAGTTAAAATATGTTGTGTTTTCATTTTCATTTGTCTTTTAACTGTTCTCTAATTTCCTTGTGATTTGCTTTTGTGTGTGTGTGTGTGTTGTTTACTTTTCACATATTTGTGAATATTTTTGTTTTTCTTCTGTTACTGATTTTTAACCTCCTGTTGTGTTTGGAGAAGATACATTGCATATATTTATCTTTTTAATGGATTGAGACTCACCTTGTAGCCTGACATGATCTGTCCTGGAGAATGTCTTATGTGCACTTCAATATATATTCTACTGTTTTTGGTTAGAGTGTTCTGTTTAACTTTCCTATATGTATACCACTGGTCCCTGAATTAACAACTTTTTGACTTTACAATGTTTCAAAAGCAATATACATTTAGCAGAAGCCGTACTTTGAGTATCCATACAACCATTCTGTTTCATTCTGTTTTTGACTTGCAATATAGTGTTCAAAAAATTACATGAGATATTCAATACTTTATTATAAAATAGGTTTTGTAATAGATAATTTTGCCCAATTGTAGGCTAGTATAAGTATTCTGAGAGGGATTAAGGTAGGTTAGGCTAAGCAATTATATTTGGTAGGGTGGGTTTATTAAATGTTTTTCTCAACTCACCATATTTTTAACTTACAATGGGCTTATTGGGAAGTAGCTCTGTGGTAAGTCAGGAAGCATCTTTAGTTGGTTTATTGTGTTGTTGAAGTCCTCTCTTTTCTTACTTTTTTTCTGTCTGATTGATCCATCTATTATTGAAAGTATACATTGAAGTTGACAACTAGTATTGTATAATAACCTATTTCTCCCTTCTATTTTGTCAATTTTTTCTTCACGTATTTTGAGGGTTTATTAAGTGCGTATATATTTGTAATTGTTATGATACTGCTCTACTGAACCTTTTATTAATATTCAATTCCTTCTTGTCTCTTTTAAACTTCTTAAAGTCTATTTTACGTAATACTACTATAGCTGCTCACTTTTTGCATGTAATATCTTTTCCCATCATTTTACTTTCCACCTATTTGTGTCTTTAGATATACAGTGAGTCTCTTATAGATAGTGTATAGTTGGATTATGATGGTTTTGTTAGTCATTCTGCCTATGAATGTTTCTTAATTGCAGAGTTTAATCCATTCACATTGGAAGTAATTTCTGCTAAGAAAGGGATTGCTTCTGGTACTTTGTTATTTGATTTTTATATGCCTTATAATTTTTACTACTCCTTTCCTTTATTACTTACTGAGTTTGTTTTACTTGAATTTTTTTTCCTAGTGAAAGTCTGGATTTTTTCATTTCCTTATATGTATATTCTATAGGTGTTTTCTTGGTGGTTACCATAGGGTTCAATTTAGCATCCCAAAGTTATAACAATATAATTTAAACTGATGCCAACTTAACTTGAATCACATGTAAAAACTCTGCTTCTATACACCTCTATCCTCATGTTCTGTTTTGATGGCATAGATTACATCTTTACATATTGTATGCCCAATAATAAAGATTAAATTTATCAAGTCATGTATTTTGTCTTCTGAATTCTATAGAAAATAGAAAAGGTGAGCTATAAACTAAAATCAGAAAAACAAAATCACCTGTTACAACTGACTGTATATTTTACTTCACCTTAATTTCTTTACATTGATTCAGCATATGGTCTATCTTCCTTTCATTTCAGCCCAAAGGACTCTCATTAGCATTTCTTGCAGGGGATGTCTAGGGGTAATGAGCTCCCTCAACTTTTAAAAAAAAATCTGGGAATATCTTTATTTCTGTCTCATTTTAAAAGTAAGACAGTTTTTCTAGATACAACACTGTTGAGTGACTCTCTTTAAGCATGTTGAATATGTCAACCTACTGACTTCTGGTTTCTAAGGATTTAATAGAAATTGGCTGGCAATCTTAATGAGAATTCCTTGTATGGGGTGAGTCACTTCCCTCTTGCTGCTTTCAGGATTCTTTCTTTATCTTTGTCTTTCAATATTTTGAGTATAATGTGTCACAGTAGATGTGTTCCTGAGTTTATCCTACTTGGTGTTTACTGAGATAGTTTGTGTATTTGTTTCTTGCATAAAATTTGGGAATTTTTCAGGCTTTATTTCTTTAAATATTTTTTCTGCTCCTTTCTAACTCTCTTATCCTTTGGGGATTCCCACAATGCATATGTTGGTCTGCTTGCGGGTGTCTCCTAGTCTTCTTAGGCGCTATCCACTTTTCATTACTCTTCTTTGCTTTCTGTTCCTCCAACTCAATAATTTCAGTTGTGGTTTGCTCAGGTTTACTTCTTCTTTCTTCTGCTTGCTCAAATCTGCTTTTGAATCCTTCTAGTATATTATCATTACAGGTAGTATGCTTTTTAGATATACTTTAGATATACTACTTTAGATATACTACAGGTAGTATACTTTTTAGATATAGGAAGAATTTTTTGGTTCCCCCTTATAATTTTATATCTTTATTAATACACTTATTTTTTTCAGGCATAACTTTTTTAGTTGTTCATGTCTTCCTTAACTCTTTGAGCATCTTTAAGACAACTGCTTTAAAGTATTTGTATAGTGTGTGTGTGACATCTGGGCTTCCTCAGGTTTTGTGCTGATTTATTTGGTACCATTCATGGGTTGTAATTTCCTGTTTTGTTGTATGCATTGCTTTTTGTTGTAGTTGTTGAAAACTGGACATTAAAACTTATAATGTAGGAACTCTGGAAATCAAATTTTCCCCCTTTTTCTGTGACTTGCTGGGCTTAAAAAATGTTATATGATGTCTCTGTGTTGGGACTAAATCTGAGTTGAGAGCTTAAGGTCTTCATCAGTTCTTTTCTGGGCCTGTTTCTTTCCTTTAGCATTCATGGTAGCTTCCTCAATTTCCCACATATGCAGTTGTTTCTGAAAGTTCAAAAAAACAGGTGTAGCTGCTTTAAATCTTCTAGGAGACATTTCAGGTGAATGCAGATTGGAACAGTGGTGGCTAACCTCCATGCCCACACCTCAGTGATCAGAGAAACATTCCACAATCTCAACACAGAGCCCTGATATTTGCAGGGACAAGATTTTATTGCCCACCCTGGCTCCAGCAAGCTCCCTTGCCCCAAAATGTCAGTTATGACCCCTACAGCTGCCTGACATGGGACTGTGGTTGGGGATAGACAGCTGCCACTGTGCTGAAGGCTGAAATAGAGCCAGCATTATCATAATTTAGCAGCCAGTCTGTTCCTTGGGAGTTGCAAGTGTTCACATCAACTACAGAGTCCCAAAATATTCACTTCAGAGAGTCCCTTTCAGTATAATTGTTGTCCAGGAGGAGAGTTGGATTCCTGGTGGGTGTGTCCTATTCCACCATTTTTCTTGACTTCACTCCTCTAAGGATCAATTTTAATAGAAAAGCATAATTATTCTTTTTTTTTTTTTTTGAGACTCAGGTGACTCTCCTGCCTCAGCCACTAGAGTAGCTGAGACTACAAGTGTGCACCACCATACATGGCTAGTTTTTAAATTATTTGTACAAATGGGGTCTCCCTATGTTGCCCAGGCTGGTCTAGAACTCCTGGACTCAAGTTATTCTCCTGTCTCAGCCTCCCAAAGTCCTGGGATTACAGGCATGAGCCACAGGGCCCAGCCCATAATTAATCTTTGAAACATATTGCTTTCTCTGTATTGGAGGACCTTATTTACTCCTCTTTTATTAAATTTAGGTTTTCTATGTCTCTTTTTATTGGCATCCAGAAATAAATCTTTGTAACCTAGACAAAAATTTTCATTTTGATTAATCCGAAAATTACATTACACTCACATCCTTGTCAGTCAAGTATTTATGTGGCATTTGGTCCTACTTTGTGGGGTGACTGTAATCACTAGCTTTGCCATTACTGCCTTTAGAGTGTGAAATAACTATATATGTATGAAGGTCTCTGGGGAGAGAACCTATGCTCTTGCCATTCTCATTTACTATTAGAGCAACAACAGTTTTCTGGGGATAGTCAGCTCAAACGGCTTCAAATTCTTAGGCAGTAACTCCATGGTAAAGAAAATAAGTGGATAAATATAGATTTCAGTGTGAAAAGTCATAGATTTACCTTTTGTATTTTTTGTTTTTTTTTGAGACAGGGTCTCACCCTGTCACCAGGCTGGAGTGTAGTGATCACAAAGGTATCACACAGAGAATTTTAGGCTGATGCAGCTCTTCTGTGTAGTGTTGGGTGGTGGACACATGTCTCTATGGGTTTCTCAAAACCTACCACATGCTACACCATACAAACTCATCCTTATTTTTCTCAAATTAAAAAAAAAATAAACCAGAATGTCAGAATATTTTAGGAGGAAAAAGAAACTGATTAAAGACACTTTAGAAAATTTTGATTGGATACTCTAAGACTAAGACAAAACAAACTTTATAGAAACACTCTAGTTGGTAATTTTATCACAGGGGCAAATGATAATTCTGACACTAGGTGAGAACAAACGAGTAAGTCAGTTGTAGATCATGTGAGCTGGAGTTGTCACTGTTGTGGAGTGACTTTTTCTTGCAGCATTGAGAAATGTTTCTTTCCCAGTAGTGTGTTAATTCTCCCCAGAATTCTCACCAACCTATTCAAGTATTTTTAAAAATACTTGCTCTTATGATTTTAAGACAAAAACACATCTGTTTTCAGCCCAGTTGGAGAAGCCTCATTACTATCACATCCTTTGTGTTCTAACTGAAACCCTGCACATAAAACAGCAAACGAGCATGGGAAATGTTGGAAAAGTATAATAAGGATGACAGACTCCCTGGGGAATGACACAGTGGTACATTCCTTGGGTTTCTTATTCTTCTCATCTGCCCTGGAGAGAGTGCTGCAGAAGCCTCCAACCAGAAACCACACCCAGCAAAACCAAACCCAACACAAACCCAGCTGTCTCAGCCAAAGAACCTGGAAAATAATGGCCTGGCAAGAAATACGCACCTGACTCCAGCCAAACACCAATGGAAAAAACCCTCAAACACCATAGTTCATTGGAGTCAAGTGCGGAGCTGATGATCCACTTCACTTCCACCTAGTGGAAGGAAGCAGCAGCGCTCTGATTCCCTTGCCTGATGGTGTCCATGGGGCCAAGGAGGGAGGTAAATCTTCTCTCTTCACCTGGCAAAAGAAGGTAGCATTCTGATATTTCTTTCAGGTGATGTCAACAGACCAAGTAGGAAGCTCTTCCATTTCCTGTCTGACAAAAGCAGACTGTTCTACAGTTCCTTTGCCAAGATGGTGTCTGGTGGTGCCAGAGGCAAGCTTAGCCTCAAACTCCTCAAACTCATGCAGCAACGATGACATTGACTGAGGCAGGGTGAGGTAGGCTAGTGTCATCCTCCCCACCCTGATGTCACTGGAGACCAGCAGGAAGCTGAACCTCTGCTGCCGCCTAAATCAACCACACTGACAAGGTGTAGCATCTAGGCTAATTAGTACTCCAATTTCCCCCCACTCCCGGTGTCAGTAGGGCCCAGTGGTGAATTAAACCTCCATACTGACCCAGCTGAAATGAGACTGAGTGAGGTGCTACCGGCAGGCAGTTATTAACAGGAATTCCTTTGAACCAAATGCAAATCTTGAAAATCTCAGAAAACAAAAAAATAGCAGTTATAAGAATGAACCAATTGGAAATTATAGAATTAAAAAATACAACTGAAATAAAACTTTACTGGGTAAGCTTAATAGTAAAGGGGAGAAGACAGAAGATAGAATCAGTAAACTTCAGGACATATCAGTAGGATTTACTGATTCTAATCTGAACAAAAGAGAAAAAATAGATACAAAACAAAACAAAACAACAGAGAACAGCCTCAGGGACCTGTCAGACAGCATCACAATACTGAGTATATGTATCATCAGGGACCCAGAAAGAAAGCAGAAAGAAATAGTGGGACTGGAAAAACAGTCAATAAATTGATATCTGAAAACATCTTAATTTCGACAGAGACAGAAATCTACAGAATCAAGTAGCTGAGTAAATCCTAAATAAGATAAACCCAAATAAATTCATACTGAAACATATCATATAAAAACTTCTGAAAACAGAAGACAAAAATTCTTGAAAGCCTGCCCCCAATCTGAAATAGTGTAGGACACAAGGAAGTGTTCCAACATTTTTTATGTCCTGAAAGAAAAGAACTGTTAGCAGCAAATTCTATGTCCAGCAAAAATAGCATTCAAAAAGGAAGGAGAAATAAATGCATCCTTATGTGAAGGAAAACTGACACAATTTGTTTTTTACCAAAACTCCTCTTAAAAATGTGAAAAGTAAGTCACCTAAACAGAAATCAAATGATATCAGAAGAATGATTGGAACTTCAGAAAGAAAAGAATAAGAGAATGGGAAAATGTAAAAAGATATAATAAGTTATGCATCATCTCAGAAGTTTTCAAAATCATATTTGGTGTTTTCACAAAAATTATAACACTGCTTGTTGCAGCATCCTGTGTATTAGATGTGTTACTCAGTGCAATTCTATTTTTAAAAACAAGGTGGGTGTAAAGGGAGTTACATGAAAATAAGGTTTCTACACTAGATGTAAAGTGGTAAAACATCAATATCAGTTGACTGTGGTCGGTTACAAACGAATACTGATCATAAGGTAAAGATAGAAAATAATGTAGAGATGTACTAGAAAACTGTATAAAGAAATAATTATGTAATCCTAAAACTATTTAAGTAACTCACAGGAAGGTAAGAAAAAAGAGCAAAGAAAAAGAGAATGAACAAACAGAAAACAAATTATAAAGTAGAACATCTAGGCCTTAACATATATATTACAGTTATCTTAAATATAAATTGTGAACATGTGTCGATTAAAAGACAAGGAATGTCAACCTGGACAAAGAAACATGATTCAAAAATACTATGCCACTTATGTCAATTGATGTAGAAAAAGCATTTCCAAAGTATAGCACAGTTTTATGATAAAAACTTTCAGAAACCTACAAATAGAAGGAAACTTCCTGAACTTTATCAAGTGTATTTATCAAAAACCAACAGCTATGTGATACATAATGGTGAAAGACTGAATGGTTTTCCCCTCAGGGTGGAAACAAGGCAGAGACATCTGCTCTCACCTCTGCTATTTAACAGAGCACCGAAAGTTCTAGTCAGCACAATTGGGCAAGAAACAAGTAAGGCATACTGATTGAAAAAAAAAGAAAGAAGGAAAACGGCCTCTATTGCAGATTACACGATTGTCTTTGTAATGTCTCCGGGAATCTAAAAAAGTCTTGTAGAAATAATAAGTTACTTAGCAAGTTCACAGGATAAATGATCCATCCTACAAAATTCATCATATTTCTATAAACTAACAATGAATGTGTGGAAACTGAAAATACCTTTACAGTTGCTCTAAAGAAAATACTTAGGCATAAATCTGACAAGATATGCAGGATCAAGATGGCAAAAATTACAAAATCTGCATGAAAGAATTGAGAGAAGAACTAAATAAATTCAAACATACCTTACTAATGGTTTGGAAGACTCAAGATAGCAAAGATGTCAATTCTCTTTAAATTGATGCGTAGACTTAATGACATTCATATCAAAACTCCAGCTAGATTTTTTTATGCACATAAACTTATTTTAAGTTTATATGAAAAGGCACATGATATTGGTGGAGAGATGGACACATAGGTCAGCAGAACAGAATACAGAACTCAGAAATGGACCCAAGCAAATATGCCCAACTCATTTTTGAGAAAGGTACAAAAGCAATTGAAGGAGGAAGGATAGTCTTTTAATCAAATGCCACCGGAGAAAATAAACATTTATAGGCTCAAAATCTCAGTGTAAACTTCACACTTTATACACTAATTAACTTGAAATGGTTTGCAAACTTAAATATAAAAGGTTTTACCATAAACCTTTTAGGAAAAGAGATTAAAAAATCATTGGGATCTAGCTAAATAAAAAGTACTTTCTTACATGTACCTTTTAATGATTTTTTTATTTTCAGTAAAAGATCAATGTGTACCTGTACTTATTCTAAAAAAGAAAAATATTCAATATGCTTTTCCAGGTTAATAGACAAATGAAATAGATTCATCTTTCTTTATGAACCCATAGTGTATCAGTGATCGAGCCATTATTGTTTTCCTGAGAGGAAAACTCTCTTTACGCTCATCACATTTTTGGAGCATTAGGAGTGGAACCAGGGGCCTTAGGTGAGGTGGACATGCTGCCAGTGGAGGTGAGCAGGAAGGAAATTTCCAAACCCAAGAACTGGCAGGCCTGGCAGAAACTGCTGGAGAGAGAACAGTTACTCAGGCTTCAAGATATGTGTGTATATGTGTGTATTTATAACTGAGGTTGAACCGTTACGCAATAAGAATGCAGTCCTATTTTTCTACCCTCTCTTTTCTAACATCTTTCAAACAGATGATGTTTTGTAAGATTTTCAATTATTTTCAATAATTTAAAAAAATTTCCAACAGAACGAATATGCATGCCGAATTATTTATCAATACCCTATTTTACACGTGGTTGTAAATAAGCAACCCGTTTTATAGATTCAGCATTTTGGATGTTAAGGTAAAAATATAGCTGCTCCTCATTTTTAGAAGAGTGGATTTACAATATGTGTGTCGGTTGGAAGTTGTATATTTAAATTACTTAAAAATATATCCTCTTTGGTAATAGTTTTTTAAAATGAATTTGTGGCACATTAGAATGTTTTGAAGCAAAATTTGTTTTTAGTTTGTATTCTCTAAACATCAGAAATTTACGTTGAAGAATTAAAAAACTTACAAGAATATTCATATTTGACCTATAAAATAAGTAACTTGGAATAATTTGAATTTGGAAATTTCTTTATACCACTAAATTTGAAGTATCGATGCCATTTTATTTTTACAGATTTTCCTTGACACATTATATTGGCTACTGGAAAGAGTTAAGACCCTTTATGAAAATATGATTTTAGTGATGCAACTTATGTATGAGGTAGATTAGGAAGCATTGATTCCTGTGCCCATTAACTAAGAAGATTTTATGAAACAATTTATAACAGGGGCCACAGTCAGTACCGGGAGTGTGGTCAGGCACGCCTCCGTCCTCACCGGGCCCACCAGAAGCTTTCAGGGTTCTGGGAGAAACGTGCCCAGGTGTGGAGAGGCTGTCACAAGGGAAGAAGGGCCAGGTTGGGGAACCCAGCACAGGGGACCTGGCCTCATAGGGGAGTCAGAGAAGGTTTTCTGAAGAAGCTGTGTCCAAGCCGAGATCCTTCCTGTTCCATGTGCTCCAGCACAAGGCCCACAGGAGGAGCCCTGTGAGCAAGACCAATCTAGACCAGCCGGGTTTATTCCCTTGGCAGTGAGGGGGAGCATGGCCTGAGGGGCTAAGGGCGGTGTCAGAAGCACAGCGTCAGAGGAACTCTTACCGTTTCCATCATGAATGATTACAGTTTGATATCAGCATGGGGGTTGTAATTGGGTGATCTGGGGAAGGGTCTGCCAGCGGGTTGGGGGGTCGCTCTAAGTTGGATGTCGACTGATAGAGGAGGCTTTTCTATTGTTCAGTTTCTCAAGGAATCTTACCTAGAAGAGGGCAGAGGGCTGCCAGGAGAAAGCGCTGCTGGGAATGAGGTAGATGCCGCTCATTTTCACCAAGTGCAATGCTAGGGATTTTAGGGGGTGGCAAAGTGACCTTGATATATTTTCTCTGTGCAGGTCTCTGTTAGAGTCACCTCTAAAATCTCCGTGGGGATCTCTGTTGGTTTTGAAGGGTCTCTGTGTGAGTCTGTGTCAGGGGTTTCTGTGGGGAGTCCTTCTGGGGGGTCTTCATGGGGGGATCTCGGTCAGATTCTCTGTTGGGGTCTCTGGGGGTCACTGTGGGGAATCTCTGAAATCTCTATGAATGTGGGGTCTCTGTGGGAATCTTTGAGTTTGGGGGTGTACATGGGGGTCTCTGTGGGGCTCCTCTGCTGGCGGGTTCCAGGATCCTGGGTCCCATAGATGTTGGGCCCACACTGGAGCTGCCCAGGTCACCACCCCAGACAGGACTTGGCTCCAGCAGTAGCCTGGGCACCCAAAGTGACACCAGGGCCTTTTCCAAACAGGTCCCCAGCATGGGTCCCGCCACGCCTGGGTACAGGCCTGTCCCCTTGTCCTCAGCCTCCACAGCCCCTGCAGGTGCAGAGCTCTCCCTGGGCAGAAGGCCCCTGGGCAGAGCCCTCTGGGGAACCAGCTCCTGCATTTGCTCCTGCCTTCCTTGGGGATGGACAGGAGGGACCCAGCACCAGGACGGAGGAGCCCAGGACTGTGCCCTGCGGGGACTGTCCCTGCCAACCATGTGACCAGATCCTCTGAGCCCCAATGTGTCCCCTGCCAGCACCTGGGCTTGGAGCCATAGATGTGCTGTGTAACCAGGCCAGCCCTTGCCTTCTGGGTCCCTCTCCCCTGGGAGTGGCACTGACCACCTTTGCTTGTCATGGTCACCAGACTATGAGGACCCTGGTTACAGCTGTGGGCAGCTTGTGGGTCCTGCACTTGCGAACTTACGTTCGTCTTCCCTGATTCTTCTCACGACCTCTCACCCTGGGCCTAAGGTCTCCTCCTGCGGTTCCTAACCACAGAGTCCCACCAGAGGGGCAGGCAGCAGCCCTGGGTGCCTCCTGAAACAGACACCCCACACTAGTGGGCTGGGAGACTGCTCTGGAGAGTGAGGCAGGGGACACCAGACGCAAACCCAGGGGTGTTAACAAGGCTGAACCAAGTGCTGGTGGGGCCCAGGTCCATCCCAGAACTCAGCAGGTAGGGAGGGGTCTGGGGAGGGTGTCATTTCTTCCCCACCAGGACATCTGAGAAGGAGCTGTCCCTTCTCTCACCCAGGGCCAGTACAGGACACCCCCACATTCCCAGGCTACCACGGGGCAGGGAGGCTGCTGGGATCCATCACTCCTCCAGCCTGAGGGGAGCCTGCCACCCTCTCAGTCCATAAGGCCCTTGCAGACCCAGCTCCGACAGCAGCACAGAAGTTACCTTAGTGAGAACGAAGATGCAGTGAGCCAGAGCCCGGGTGGGGTCTCCATAGGGTTTGCTGTCCTTACACGTCCTGAAGGCTCTGGGTCATGATACAGTTTGGAAACCAGACATGGTTTCTCCCTGGACAGGGAGAAGAGGGGGTCCTCCACGTCCCTGCCAGCCTTCTCCAGGCCCAGCCATTCTGGAAGCCGCACTCAGAAGGGGCAGATGCTGTGCCCTTTCCTGCCCCCTAGCATGGCACAGACAGAAGCCACGCCCTCTGCAGGGAAAGCAGGTATATTGGGAACTTCTCCGTGAACGTCATGAACACATGGCGGCTGTGATCACCCACGCAGGACAGGTTTATTGTGTAGGCATCAGTTTTATTTGAGTAGAACCCCCTGTCTCCCCCAGGAGACATGCAAGAAGACTGGTCTAGTTCAGGAGGCAAGACACCTCTGTGCAGACATCAGTTCCTGCAGCTGTGGATGGGGGCCGCCCGAGGTGCTTGCCATTCTTGGCCTGTGGTGGTGGGGACCAGCTGGGGACACAGGCTCCCTGGGAGGTGGGGCCCAACTGCTGTCTCTGTCTCTGATGCCCCTGTTTTTGACAGGACAGTGGTGGCCCTTGGGGGTGGCTTTAGGGCTGCAGGCCAGAGCTCTCATCTCTCTGCTACGTTCTTGGTGGCAGTGACCCCTGTGGCAGCAGGAAGGCACATTCTCCTGGGCGCGGAAGTCACCTTTGTGGCGATTGACCTCTGAGGGACCTCGTCCCCACTGAAGCCCCAGTTTGTCCACCAGGATTTGTCCCACAACTCTGCTGATGGTCCAGGCTTTGTCAGCCATGCAGTCCATAAACTGCCTTGGTGGGCCAGACCCCCAGCTCTGGAAAGCATCTGCCCCAGGCTTGCCTTTCTGCAGGACATCTTCCCACCGTGTGCCTCCTTTCCTGGGGTGTAGACCCTGTGGATGGTGACTGATCTTTCTCTGGAAGTGGCTTTCTGGTGGTGTCTGTCCCTTCTCCAGCTGAAGCTGGTTGTATTTCCTTTCTTGTTTGTCTCCTATTTCCCTGGCTTGGGCAGGGTGGCTCCTCCCACTGGCTTCAGAGGTCCTGGGTCCCTTGGACCTGTGTCCCTGCTCCCCTGTTCTGGGCCTCCTGTGGGCCTCGCCCTTGTCCGCACAGCCCAGCGTCTTCTGACTCTTCTGTGGGGCCTTTGCTTTTGGGCTCCCAGGCTCCTGCTGCCCTGGACTGTCCCCTCCCTTCCATAGGAGGGCACATGGCCCCTGGGAAGCTGTCATGTTCTTACCAGACACACTCTGGGAGGTGGACAGAGGGGCTTGAGTGGGCAGCCTGTCTGCGGCAGTGAGCATGTCCATGTGGCGGCCTGGAAGGCACAGGCCTGTGGCGCCGTCCTGGAGGAGGATGCCCGGGGCACGGCCTGGCAGCTGCTCCTCTGAGTCCACCTGCACTATGAGCGCAATCTCACTGACCACCTGCGCTTTCAGGTGCAGCTGCTCTGGATCCTGAGCAACACAGACTGAAGACGCTGAGGGGTTACCAGTGGTCCCCAGAGCCCCTGTGCTCCTCAGATCCTCCTGAACACTTCCCGAACTTGCCCTCACACTGGCTCCCAAGGTGACTTCCCAAGTTGGGGGCTTCTCCCCCACTTTCAGTGCCTGCAGGGCATCTTCAGCCCTTGCCCACTGGGACCCTATGCTGAGCACTTGCAGGGCTCTGCTACTACAGGGGTCTCCTGGGGACATGCTCTCACTCTCAAGCCATGCCTCGTTCCCAGCCATTTCTGAACCCATACTCCCCTCTAGTCTGGGTTTGGGTTTCCCGGATTCCAGGACAGTCCTGCTCTGCCAGGTTCTGCCCACAAGGCTGCATGTTGGGGGCTGAGAACACCCCCTGCCCTTGTGTCCAGTCGGAAAGGCCTCTGATCGCCCATGGGTATCAGCTGACTGGGACCCTCTCGGGGGCCTCTGGACTCCCTCCTGCTCAGGCGGTGGGGCAGCGAGAGGGCCACTCACGGTCGGGACTGACTTGCTTGTTGTTCTGTTGTCTCCTGGACCATTCTGAGGACGTTTTCCCAGGAAAATGGGAACCTTGGGTACAGATTCAACCCGAGATACCCAGGAGGCCCAGGGGGTAAAGGTGGATTGTGGGAAGGGCGGGGCCTGAGCCTCACCTGACCAGACATTTATGGGCTCCAGGGACTGGAGGTCTGTACCCCAGCTGTGCCTCACACAGAACCTTACAAGATGTACTTCCAGTATCTGCTGGGTGCAGGGATGGAGGAAGGAAAGCTCCTGGGAGGTGTTCACGTGGGCTTTCCCACCCCTCCAGGATGCCAGCTTCCCAGGTTTCCTGTGGGTGTCAGACTTGGGAACAGCACATTTGGCCATGAGCCAGGAGCGACGCACAGGCATGGGGATCCAGCCCTCTTTGATCTCCCCTACCTTCCTGGCCAGATGGATTTGCAGCTTGTTTTCCAGATGCTCCTTGTCTGGGTCCCTGGGTGTGGAACTTACTGATTGGTACTTCCAGGACCTCCGTAAGTCACCTTCTGCCTCCTTGTCTTCGTCCAGAGCCTTCACTGAGGTCCTTCCTGAGCCTTGATCCCGGCTTGGGTCCGGCCCTAGTTTGGACCCTAAGCACCCCTTGTCAGAGAACCTTCCGGAGCTCCTGAACCCGGTCTTCTGCACATCCTTCCTGCCCTTCCCTGCAAAGTCAGAAGGCTGGGAGGGCAAGAGGGCCTGCTGCGTGTCTTCTGCCTGACTCTGGGGCCTCCCTGGGAATTCCCCATCAGGCTGTAGCAGGTCCCCAGATGCCTGCAATCTGCTGGGAGGGCCACAGGACTGCTCCTGGTGGATGGCATTCCTTCCTTGCCACCAGTGCTCTGGGAGCTCAGGGCTGGTGACAACCCCGGGAAGGATGGGGGCTGACTTGGGGCTCCAGGAGGCCGGCCTCTCTTGGGGAAGGTGGGCAGTGGGCTGGCTCAGAACAGCCTGAGACTTTTTGAGGAGAGAGGGCAAAACCCTCTTCCACTTTGGTCGCTTCTTCAAGGGCCATTCAAGATACTCCTTTCCAGTGGGGATGACAGACTGTGTCCTCTCCTGGGATGTAGGGTAAGATGCCCCACAGCCCCTAATCTGGGGTGGAGAAGAGCACCCCAGGCTTGGGACAGGGGGTGAGAGGTGGGCCTGGGTCTGGATCTCAGCCAAAGGTGGGGGCTGGGACTGGGGCCAGGCTGGAGTGAAATGTTGGGGCTGGGCCATGTGGTGGGGCTGGGGCGGTGCCTGGGAAAGCTGTGAGGATGCCTCAACCTCAGGTTCACCTGGAAGAGAAGTGGAGGCTTTATCCAGTGGTACAGAGTGTGCATTCTGTGAGGAAGGGTTCCTAGAAACCCAGACTGTGGTCGCCAGGGACTCGCTATTGAGAGAGGGGAGGTCCCAGAAAAGCTGGCTGCGTTTCTGCTGTAAGTGGTTCCCCACGGTTGTGGCATCAGAGACTTGCTGAGGACGGGGCAGCTGCTGTGGCTGGGTTGACACGTTCCAGAAGGGATTTAGGGTCGTGATGTCCCACTCCTTCCCCAGTGATGTCATGTGCGGGTGGTCGGCCCGTTTTCTTTCTTTCTCCTGCCACATCTTCATCAGTGCTCTCTTGGCGATGAGGGTCTCCAGCAGCTTCTGCACGTCAGGGTGGATGAATGTGCAGCCACCTACCTCCATGTGCTTGGGTGTGGGGTCTCCCCAGAAGGAAGCCTCTGAGGTGTGGTCGGGAAGATGCCGTGGCTGGGATTTGCCATGTGAGTAGGTGGAGAGGCCCCAGGTGGTGGCAGCCTCCCTCCAGCAATAGAGGTCCCAGATGGGATCGCTGGAGCACCCCAGGCCAGAGATCACCCTGGTTGGAGGAGGCAGCACCTGGTTGTGTAGAGGGGAGCTCTGGGGGACGGGGCATGTTGTGGAGCCACACTGAAGTCCAGCCAGGCTGGAGTCGGGTGGAGGTGGAGAGGAGGCCAGGGGACCATGCGGCTGTGGTGAAGGAGGAAAAACCACATGTGGCTGGGTTGCAGGGCATTTTAGGGGAAGCAAGGGCTCTGGTGGCCCGGAGGCACTCAGGGTTGAGTGTGGTCCAAAAGGCTCTGAGAAGGTCATCGGGCCTGGTGACAGGGTGGAGGCCAGAGGAGCTGGGGGAGCTGGTGGGGACAAGCTGGCAGGAGACGGATCTTGCATGCATTTCCCATGCGGCTGGTGGGCCTTAGCAGGCACTGGTTTACACACGTCCCCCAGGGGGTCTCCACCTAAGGGCAGGTGGGAGCTGCCTTCGCCAGCGAGCTTCCTCAGGTGGCTGCAGGAGACAAGAGGCACAAGCTGCAGCCAGGGGTAGATGGGGCCGGGAAGCTGGGACGGGTGGGCACCTGGGGCCCCCGGTTCCTCCACCTCCCCAACTGCTGACTTCATAAAGCTCTGCCTAAGCCTGCCCCAGGGCTTCAGTCCCCTCCTGTCCCCTTCCCGGGACCTCCCCCTCCCAGATCACCACCAGGCCGTAGGGTTGCATCAGAGGCCCTGGTAGGAAGGAGGACAGGGACAGAAGGGGGAAGCTCCTCACCTTTCCAGAAGGTAGTTCAGGTCCCGAGTCTCCTCCAGCTCCCTCAGGAGGATTCTGCAAGCTGGAAATCAGGAGACAGGGTTATGGTGGAGAGGGCGGTGCCTGGGAACCTCATGGAGGCTGAGTGGATGTCTTTTTAGGGGACACCATGGGGGACTAGACCCTGAAGCCCTCGCATCTGTGTCCGAGGCCACATGGCCCCAATGGTGACAGGAAGGTTTCCACTGTGCAGCACTTTGTCATTTGCAAAAAGTGCTTCCACGTCCACCCCCTCATCGGTGTCACAACCATCTTGTTGGGAGAGCAAATGGGTGGTCTCAAAGAGGAGTCAGCCATTGCTGAGGTGAACAGCTGTCCACATGGACCTGGAGCCTCCCTGACCTCCCCCCATATCCAGGCAGGCCTTGGTCCCTTCCCCACACCGCCCCCTTATGGGCAATACCGGTCCCAGGCCCGTGGCTTCATTCCCGCAGGGAATCTGAGGAGGCCGCAGGTTCTGATTTCTCTCCCAGGAGCTTCCCTCTCAGGCCTCTGCAAATGACTTCCTCAGGGACAGGCAAAGCTCAGTTACCTCTGGGGAGTCCCGGGGGGCAGCAGAGCCTCACCTTTCAGAGCTGAGATCTTCCTGCTCCTGGACCTCCCGCTTCTCTCCCTTTGAGGCTGAGAGGCAAGAAAGGATGAGGGGCTGGGACCAGTTCTCAGTCTCCTCTCCCCAGACCAGCTGCACACACGCAGTGCTCATGAGGGACACGGCTCTCAGCCTCTAGCTCAGGGAGCTCTGTGTGTGCTTTTTACTCATGTTTACCGTGAATGAAATGTTTTCTGTTTTCCTTCTTAGGGAAATGCAAGGAAGGGTTGTCTGTGTGACTCCAACCTGGCTGTCCCCAGTCCCTGCTCCTCCGCTCAAGGAACACCTAGGCTCAGGCCCACAGGCGCCTCTGAGCTGCCAGTAGGATTCTGCTTTGGATGAGAATGGAGAGGAGGCCAGGGTACCATGGGGCTGTGGTGAAGGAGGAAAAAGCACATGTGGCCGGGGTGCAGCCACAGGCGAATCCAGGCTCTACTGGGAGGCTCTCAGGAGCTCAGCACAGCTCCCAGATCACACCCAGATCATACAGAGGAGGCTGGGCCCCCAGGCACCTGCCCCAGGAAGGGGGTGATGAGCCAGGGCTGGGGCCTCTCCTCCCACAGAGACCTCACCCCTCTCCTGACCCGGTCCTTGCCACTGAGTCCAGTGTTGGTTTTTGCCCTGACGCCTCCTGTGCACCCCACAGATGAGCTCGGGATGGAATCCTCTGCCCACTCTCACCCCTGCCTGCCTTGCCCTTCCCTAGAGGGATGACGAGATTTCCCATCACAGAAGGGTCTCACATTGCTTAGGAAAAGTGGAAATGAGGGGAGGAAAAGAAGAGAGAATCTTTCTCTGTGGGGCTGGGCTGAGGACTCCTTACCTCCCTGCTGCTCCTCTTCCTCCCGGGCGGGGGTGAGGGTGGGTCACTGTGGACGTAGAGGAGCAATAGGAAGAGGAGCACTAGGCCACACACACTGGTGAGGATGAAATCCATCATCCAGGGAGTGGAGCTAGGGCTCAGCCATGTGGCACTAGGGCTCTTCAGAGGAAAGAGCATTTTCTCCATCTGAAGTGCAATGTCGTCTCCTGTGCACTCCACAGATGGTCTGGGAGCTGGGGGTGGAATCCTCTGCCCACTCTCAACCCTGCCTGCCCTGCCCTTCCCTAGAGGGATGACGAGATTTCCCATCGCCTTCAAGCAACTGAGCTCTGGGCATCCCCTTTGGGACTAGGGACTGGGGCCCAGGCTTGTATCACACAGCTGGGGCCTCCTCCTCACAAAGGGCTCCTGGGGGTGGGGGAGGGGCAGTGGGAGGAGGAGGCTGAAGCACAGCCCCGCCCTCAGCTCCCAGCCCCCAGTCCCTCCACCCTCCTGGGTCCCCCAAATCGCTCCTTCCCACTCCAGCTGCTCACCCTGTCAGAGACAGTCCTCAGTCCATTTTCTATTCTCTTCCCCTGGAACACAGGTGTCACCTGGCTCTCCTTGTACCTTGGAGATCTAGGCCTGAGCCCACCCATTTCATAGCCTTTGAAACTGTGAAATTCTCCTAGGAATTTAGGTGGTTTCTTAAGGATTATTTCAGAATCTCCTCTGTTTTTGTAATTTTCCCACACCTTACATTTTCTACTTTCATCAACCCAGAATAGAACTCTTAAATTTACAAAACTAAAAAGTATAAAAATTACAAATAATTAAACCTCCAAATGACATTTTTATATTAGGAACATAATTTTGAGTTACCGAATTATGGAGCTTGCTGTAAAAAAACCTCAAACACTTTGACAAATTATTTTCAAAACAATAATTAAGCCTTTACTTATTTTCTTTAGATCTTTCATATGTTGTCCTGATCCATTTTTTCTTTCTCTGCCCCAAATACAGTCCTCACTTTCCTAAGTTTTGGAACATGTGTGCTCCACCATGAGCCAGGAGTGGTTTGGGGTGATCTGAGGTCCAGCTCCTTTGGGTGGAGAGCGGGACTGGGCATTCCGTGCCAGGCTCAAGTCCAGTGTTCAGCAGACTCTTCTGAGATCACTCGTGTCCTCCGTACATATTCTTTTTTTTTTTTTTTTTGAAACGGAGTCTCACTCTGTTGCCCAGGCTGGAGTGCAGTGGCATGATCTCGGCTCACTGCAACCTCTGCCTCCTGGGTTCAAGCGATTCTCCTGCCTCAGCCTCCCAAGTAGCTGGGACTACAGAAGTGTGCCACCATGCCCAGCTAATTTTTGTATCTTTAGTAGAGACCAGGTTTCACCATAGTGGCCAGGCTGGTCCTGAACTCCTGAGCTTGTGATCCGCCCGCCTCGGCCTCCCATTTGTATTCTCTGCTCCACAGTGTGTCCTGTTTTTCACCTCCTGCCTGCTCCAGACCACTGGGGCCTCATGTCTGGCCTGTACCTGATAGGGAGCATACTTTGAGCCCTGGAGGAAATGTTCTCATTATACTATTAGACATCTTTTGGGCAGCAGAAACTCAGGATTAGAGATTGCACTTTTTAATCACTATGTGATACATTTATTTAATACTTGAAAAGTGGCCTTGAAAATCATGTATATCTTTGTCATGCGTTCTATATAGCCTCAATGGGAGTGAGACCATCTGAGTCTATTTGGGTCTGTTCTCATGAACATGCATCTTCAAGAGCATATCTGCTTCATCTACTGCTGCTTTTATCTGTCTACAGTCTCTTCCTCCTTTATGAGATTGTCACTGGGGAGGCATGACAGTCCCTAATGTGGTCAACTGGGTTAACTGGCAAGAGTGGAGACCCCAGTGACGCCTGCTAGGATCACTGGGAAGTATGGGGGTCCTAAGTTCTACTTCATTTGCAGGGAACTGAAGCCTGAGAAGTGGGTCTCATCTTGACCTATGCAATTGGGCTTGGGCATGCAAGGAATCGCCTCCCAACAAGCCACTGCCAGGTCAGTAGGTGCGCTCTGTGTGAGAAACAGGAACTGGAGAGCAGAGACAACTGGTCGCATCAGCTCCACATTTAGGGAAAAGATTTGTTTTAGGTTCCATTCCTCCTCAAACCTGATGTTCGCCTTTCTGGATAAATGAGAGGACCATGTGGGTGTGGGGGTTCCCAGTCTCTGGTGGGCTGTGTGCATGTCTCCATCCATGCACCTCTGTTCCCTCCACAGACTTCACTGCAGGGTTATGCTGTTCATCCAACCATCCACCCACCTGCCTGCTGCAACGAGGGCGAGGCTTCCCAGTGCCAGCCCCTTGCTCCTGCTGCTGCAGGGGAAATGAGCCTCAAGGCCCTTCCTTGACAAACCCCCCCCCCGCCCCGCCAACCACACACACTTCCAGACACTGTGGTGCCCACAACAGAACCCTGGGGGCTTTTGAGGGACACCACACCTACCTCGGAAGAACTGGGCCTCTCATCTCACCTGGGCGAACCTGGGTGCCTTTTGCCTTCCTGCCTTTGTCAGTCCGTATTTTACTACAGCCAATTGCTGTTCCTCATGGTGACTGTAGAACCCTCCTTCCCGCATACCACAAGCCCCTGGTCCTCAGGCATCTCCAGGGTCCTGGGAGTCTTCCTGGGCTCTGGTGTGGACTGGAGTCACAGCTTTGGTCTCACTCCACGTTTCCTGCAGGGAAGCAGAGGAAAGGGGAAGAATTCCTTAGAAAATGAGAGTGAATTTCTCTTAGGAAGAACAGCTTTTCCCCCCATAGTCTCTGATCATCCTTAAGTATTTAAAACAAACAAATACACCCACACAGGCATTTCCCATCGTGAAGCTTAACTTCCTGCAAATATCTCTCATGTTGCATACACGTGAAATTCGTGCACCTCAGCTGCACAGCCTTATCATAGTCAATGTCTGAATGTCTCAGTAGAGACCTTGAGGTACATTTCAGTGTGTTTTCATTGTCAGCCTTTGTGGACCCCTGTGCGCTCCTGCTTCCCTAATTTCCGCATGAGGAAAACGGATGGGGGAATACGGGCTGGCAGGGGAGTGCTGCGAGTGTGCATCTGGTGGGCAAGAAAAAATGATCATCCTGCTGACAGTCTTCCTTTGGACTTCATAGTTAATCTAGAAATCTACTTGAAGAACAGTGGAAACAGTACAGATTATTGATTCTATGAACCCTTTGGTACACATAAATGCTTAGGCATCCAAATTTTATAGTTATTATGCAATTATACATACGGATTATAGGAAGACAATTTTTTATATGATAAAAAAGATAATCTTAGTTATACCAACAGAGTTCTTGGATAAATTGTTCTTGTTGACTGGGCGCAGTGGCTCACGCCTGTAATCCTAGCACTCTGGGAGGTTGAGGTGGGTGGATCACCTGAGGTCAGGAGTTTGAGACCAGCCTGGCCAACATAGTGAAACCCTGTCTCTACTAAAAATACAAAAATTAGCCAGGCGTGGTGGTAGGCGCCTGTAATCCCAGCTACTCTGGAGGCTGAGGCAGGAGAATTGCTTGAGCCTGGGAGGCGGAGGGTGCAGTGAGCCAAGATTGTGCCACCTCACTCCAGTCTGGTGGACAGAGTAAATTTATTTCCAATTTATACATATTTTCTATCACAGAAGAATTTGCTGCATAGTTAACTCAGTAATCACCAAAATCAAACAAATGCATCCTTAATTAGTTGAACAAAGATCTTTTATTGGAGCTATAACTCAAACTCAAGGCTACTGTATTGCCAAATAGCAAGTGGCTTAGGTGGAACTAAGAAACAGGAGCATAGCAAGGAAACTGGTGGTTACAGTGGGAAGTTATTTATTCACTTTATATTTACTTATGCAGCACTTATGAAGGATCAAGTACAGTGCTAAGTACCTTTAAAATGCAAATCTTCGAATACTTAAATAATAAAAGCTGAAGCTTGGCATAAATAATGTATAACTGTAGGGTCTGAAGCACAAAGGGGCATCACTAGCATGTCTGGAAAATAGAATTACTGTTAGGCATGAGTCAAACTGTAGCTCTGCATTTTGATGAATCATTCTTACTGGCAAGTTCCTACTGCATTACTTTTCACCAAAACACATTGTGCACTTACCATTTCTGAAGAGGCCATGCATATCAACTCTTTGCAGTTTCAATCAAATTTCTCCTGCCTCTTCCCCATAGTTCTACAGAACCTCTCAACTATGTGTCTTAGTCCATACAGACTGCTATAACAAAGCACCATAAATGGTGTTACAGGACCAACGGATGCATATGCCCGCTGTACAATAACAGAGCAGTAACACCAAGACAGCAAGATTTGTAGCAGAGAAAGAGTTTAATGATCACAGGGATGGAGCAAGGGATGAGTGGAGACCCCCAAACCCATCTTCCGGAGGAGTTCTGAGCTGGGGTTTTTAAGGAGATTGTGGAGGGTGAGGGATAGAAGATTGAGGTTGTTGATTGGTCAGGATAAGGAGGATGAAACCATCAGGGTGTACAAGCTGTGTTCTTCGGTGAGTCAGCTCCTGTGGGGTCCTTCAGACCAGCTGGCATCAGTGGTTCCATTCGTATGCAGGACCCAACAGAGTCCCTCACCTGGAAAACATAACATTTTATAATGTTCAAGTTGCTGCCTATAGAGCAGTGATGGGGACTGTAATCTTTTGACGAGGTCTCTGTGACTCGGAGGCAATTGGCACGAACAACTATGAGGAAAGGGGTCAGAGAGCAGCTGCCCTCATGGTTTACGCTGAACGTGCTGCAAGCTTAGCTTATTTTCATTTCTCCCTCTCCCCTCCTCCCTAATTAATTTTATAACGTTTGTAGGGATGGATTCAACAGGGTGACTTATAAACAACAGAAATGTATTTCTCACATGTGGAGACCGAGAGGTCCAGGATGGAGACACCAGCAGATTTGGTGTCTGGTGGGGGTCTGCTTTCTGGTTCATACATGACTGACTTTTCTCTGTGTCCTTGTGTTGAAGAAGAAACAACTGAGCTCCCTTGGGCTTCTTTCAGAAGGGCACTAATCCCGTTCGTGTGGACTCCACCCTCATGCCCTAATCACTTCCCAAAGGCCGCATCTTCTAATACCATCACCTTGGGGGTTAGGATTTCAATACAACAATTTAGGAGGAACACATACATTCAGCACCTTGATTCAAAGTTTAGTTCCCTAAAAACGTCCTTGTGGAGAATTTCAGAGAACCCTAGAGTAAATTTCCACAAGTGCATCATTCCATTTCCCTTTGTAACTTCTGTTAAATCACTTAGTGGCATGGGCTTGGTGGCAGAGTCATCTACTGTTATGTCTAACTCTTTTATGATATGGCAGATCTCTGGAGAGCAGGAGCTATTTTGGATAAAACGTCTGTTCAGGTTCAAGCAGCATCAAAGAACCTTGAGTTTCTGTGAACCTAGGCATTTTCTTTTCCAGGCAAGGCCCTATTAGGGTTGGAGACCTTTGAGAGAGACCCACAACAGAGACCCCCACAGCAATCCCTCCAAAGACCTACACAGAGACCCCAAAGAGATACCCAGAGACCCACACAGGGAGCCCCAGAGACCCACAGAGACCTCCACAGAGATCCCCATGGAGACCCACACAAAAACCTCCACAGAGACCCCACAGAAATTCACACAGAGACCTTCGGGAGAGACCCACACAGAGATGCCCAGAAACTCACACAGAGATCCACTAGTGACCCCCACACAGATCTCCACAGAGATCCACATGGAGAACCCCCAGAGACCCATACAGAGATTCCCCCACAGAAATCCACACAGTGACTCCCAGAGACCTGTAGAGACTTTTGAGAGAGGTGCTACAGAGACTTGAGAGAGACCCTTAGGGACTTATAGAGACCCCCACAGAGATCTCCCAGAGACCCATGCAGCCACCTCCACAGAGAATCCCAAAGAGACCCTGAGAGACCTACACAGAGACCTGTGAGAGAGGCCTCCACAGAGACTCACATCGAGAGACCTCTGACTGAGACTCAAACCAAGAGGGAACTCGGAGACTTAGCACTGAGAGCTCCCCAAGGACTTCCAGGAGACCTGGAGATGAGCACAAGGTCTTTCATGCAGAGACCTCCCACGGAGAGCGCGTCTCTCAGCACCACCCAGGCATCTCCCAGAGCTCTCTTAGGAAGACATCACGCAGCCTCCTGGACCCTCCAGAAACCTCACAGACTCCCTCAGAGACCACACAGGGAGTCCTCACACGAGAGACCTCCCTCACAGAACTTGCACAGAGACCTCCCCAGACACCTTGCACAGAGACACCAGGCAGTGACCTCCCACAGGGACCACACATGGTCACCAGGTGCTCACACAGTGACCTCCCACACCACCACCTGAGCACAGACCCATAGACCTCCTCACAGAAGCCTGGCCCAGAGCTCTACAGACTTCCAGAGAGTTCCCCACAGAACTCACCTCAGAACACACAGAGACCTCATATGGGATCTCTCCCAGAGACCTGTCACTGAAGCCTCCCCGATTAACACCTGGGGCCTGGATCTCTTCTAACCAGCCACACCCACCGACCTTGGCTTCTGATCCCTACAAGTCCAGCAGTAGGAGGGTGGGGGGATGGAGTAGAAGGGCAAGAAAAACACCTGTGTTGGGCACTGGGCTGCCAGGAGCCCCTGATAGTAGGGGCTCAGCCAGGACTTCATAAGAGCATTCTGTGCCACTGCCAGGGGACTTGCACCTGCCCTTGTCAGGGAAAGCACTTCCTCTGGCTGGTCCCCATAGTTACCCTATCAACCCCCTCATCATCAGGCAGTACCCTATCTGTAGCCATCCTCCTCCCCTTAGATCCTGGCTTTGAAGCTGGGCCCGCTTTTGCTCTAACCTGGTGGTGGGGGAGCAGTTACTCCTAATGCAGTCTCTTCTCTGCTGCTGCTGGCACTTCATCCTGCCCTATCCTCCGGGATGGCTGGAGGATGTTTCCCCAAAAGCCAGGGGAACAAGGGCAGGTTCTCAAAGTTGGTCCCTGGATGCCCCTTGTGGAGACAGGCACAGAGATACACAGAACACCAAGAACACTAAAAACCCAGGCTCCCCTCCCTCATCGTTCCCTGTGTTGCTGCAAATGCTCCATGCACTCGCCTCCCGTCCAGGTCCTGCCTGGGTGGTCCAGGGCCTCCTGTTGTGTTAAGCCTTCCAGCTGCTATAAAGCAATCTAAATTCATAAAAGTTTTCTTTCCATTTTCAATTAACTTTGTTGCCTACTTATACCAGTTTATTTAAAAGAGCATTTGTGGTCTCAGGAAAACAGAACTCAGATATAAGTTTTTCAAATTTTATATAAATTTGGAAATGTAAAGACTTAGGCTTAGCTATTGTTGCTTTTTATGTAATATTGGCACTTACTTATATAGATATTTGCCAATTTCTCTCCCTTTCCTCTTCACAAAAATTAGAAGATATGTTTAGAATTAGCTGTGAACACAGTTCAATGTGCTGTGGTAAAGAGTCCCTGCATGCCCCTCTCTGCCTGGGCTGCCCCTGCCTCCTCTCTAGGACCATCTATACCTCCCTATTCTGCAGACAGCTAAAGCCCTCTGGGCCAACTCCAGCACTGCAGACAGCATCCATTCTTAGAGGTTATAGACTGTGCCATTCTGGTGGTTAGAAGTTTTGAACAACATTCATGCTGATCTGTACAACATTCATGCTGATCTGTCTTTGTTTAAAATTTTGATATTTTGAAGTTCATCATGGAGTTTTTGCCTAAATTTGTATTCTTGGAAATATTGCATTAAAAAATTATTTATCTTGACTAGCAATTTTTTTACTCCCCTTAAATTATGCACATGACTCATTTGATTCACTGTAGTCTTTGCCCATCTGCATGTGCCTTAGTGTTCAATTTTCACATGGATAGAGCTATTCACTGTTTCATGGAAAGCATTAACATAGTGAGAATGGTGTCAGGTGCTGCTGGACACACAGACTGTGATATTGTAAAATATGTATTTGGTCTTTGACCCTGTTTCCTGGCATACAACTCTTAAAATCCTTAGCATCTCCACAGTGATGTCTTTTTGTATGTTAATGAGTTGACTGGTGGCTGAAGGCCCCTAGGTAACTTCAGGATGAGACAGGTCCTGGAAAGACCAGGGCTGGATTAGAGGGTTAAGACTTTCAGCCTCAACCTCCTGTGAGGGGAGAGGAGCTGAAGGTGAGGTGATCATCAATGTCCAGTGGTTTAGTCATTCATGCCCACATCATGAAGCCTCTGTAAAAGCCCAAAAGGTCAGGGTTGGGAGAGCTTCCAAACAGCTAAACCCTGGGAGGTTCCTAAAGGATGGTGCACCCAGTGAGGGCATGGAAGTTCCACGCCCCTTCCCATACTTCACCCTACATGTCTCTTCTCTGTATCCTTTGTAATATTATTTATAATGTTGCAGAAAATCAGGAGGGCAAGAGAGACCTCCGGGTAAAGCAGGAGAATCTTTATTGAGTGCACTCAGACCCAGCAGACTCAACGTCCAAAGACTGGGCCCTGAACAATGACAGGGTTTTGCTTATATACCTACTCATAAGTGGCACGAACACGAATGTACAGAAGCAAGGCAAAGGCAGTTAATCAAACTAAGACAGGTTCATAACTGAGGTCTACGTATACTCCTTGCTATGCAGTCCAGATGGTCGTTATCCAGACTGGTTCAAAGGAGTTTCTCAAAGACTTATCTTGCGACCCCCACCATGGCATCCAGCTGGCTGCAAGCTAGACCTGCTCAGGCATGTCTGGCGACCTTTGCTATACTGCTTAGATGAAAAAGCAGGAACCTACGATCATTAAATATAGGAAAAACAGGAACTCATAAAACTTACAGAGCAAGGAGCAAGGTATAGTTACATAGCAGAGGGGATGGGATTTAAGGGGAGGTTTACTTACACTCAAAGGAGAGATAGGAGAATGTGATCTCCTCATATCCTTATGTTGAGGGAGTGCTGGGAGAGTCTTCAGAGCACATTCCTTTGAGCTCTGGCCCTTAGATAATGTAATCAAAACTTTGCCTGTTATTGCCTTTGAGATGAGCCAGCCTAACACAGGCAGCTTGTTTTTGCCCTTTTAATTTTTATTTCTCTTTTCTTTCTTTAATATCCCACCTCAGTAATAAACCAGTAAACATAAGAGTGCTTTAGAATTTACTGGGGACAGGCTTATAGTTGCCCTAAAAGGAAGTGGCTCCTACAGAGGCTTGAAAAGGCTGGGCTCAGGGTCAGGGCTTGGCCTCCTTTGCTGTTGAGCTGATCTGGGTGGAGTTTTCCCTGGGGTTGGGTTGGTGGAGTGTGGGTGGAGCCCTTATTTTGGGGCACCTGGGGAAACCTTTGCTAGTCTGCCACATTCCCCCATAGGAGCCCATACATGCCTGGACTCAGGGTGGCACGGGACATGGGGACAGGTTTCGGCAACCACTCTTGCCCACCGATCAGTCTTGCCCACCGATGCCCACAGGCGTTGGAAGCAGGCAGCACCATGTCCATGCCCAGCTGCCAGGAGTGAATTTTCACCAAGGTCTATGTAGATGGAAGCATTCTGCTCCCTACCAAATTCATTCATCCATCCTTCACTCATTCATTCATTGATGACCAACAGATCTTCACAGAGTGCCTGCCATGCTCTGGGCCCTATTCTAGGCACACTGCTGAAGCTGCTATTCTAGAACATTCTGATTCTCAGCTCCTTCTGTCTCACCTCCCCCCACCTCGCCCCTGCCACCCATCACCCTCACTCCTTCCACCAGCTCACAGCACCCTCTTCAGCAGAGGCAGCCCCAGGAACATTTCTGAGAGACGGTGGAGAAAGCTACAGGGAGGTTCCGTCTCCTTCTCCTTCTGATCCCTTTCTCTCTCTCACCTCTGTTTCTCCCACTCCCTCTCTGTTTCTCTTCTTTCTGCCTCTCTCCCTAACTGTGTCCACCCCCTCCTCCTCTCCCCATCCCTCTCCTTTCTTCCCTCTCTCCTCCTCCTTCCCCTTCTGATCCCTTCCTCTGGTTCTCCCTCTTTCCAGATCTCTGTCTCCCTCCTCTCTGTCTTTCTCCCTTCTCTGCTTCTTCTCCGGTCTTACAAAGACACACACATACACACAGACACACACTCAGAGAGACATACACACAGAGACACACACACCCCATAGCTGTCATCGCCTGAGGTAACTGCAGCAGACATGGACCCGATCTGAGGCTCTGCGTTTGAGGGGAATGGAGAGGCCCCTAAGATGCTTCTGAGAGTGTGGCCCTCGTGCCCATCCCTTCTCATCTCCATTTGCAGCACCACCCTTTCGGCACCCCCAGCAGCCTGGACCCTGGGGCTGGGAGGAAGGTGGGGCTGTGCTGGTGCATGGGCTGAGCCCTGCTCAGGAGGCAGCATCAGGAGGAAGCTGTGTCAGGAGAGTGGTCTATGTGAGCTGGGGCTGTGCCCAGCACAGCCATCACCAGGGACTCTAGAGATGTTTGTGGGTGGATGGGATGACGTGGCCAGCTGCATCTTGGCAGGTGAGCCTCACCATCCCTCCCATGATGGCCCAGCTCAGCCACTGACCACTGGAGCCTGGGAGGAAGGAGGCTCCACTTTGCTCCGACAGACATCATTGCAGGCCTGAGGTTGTTCTGGTGAGGACAGGACCCACATGCAGAAGGCACAGGACTCTTCTCTTCACCTCCTGTGGTGAGCCAAGCCTCAGGCCAGTGCCCAGCCAGGGGCTGCCTGTGTGCCAGGCTGGTCAAGGCAGCGCCTGGAGGGGTAGAGCCTGGCTGGCCCCATGGGGGCAGACAGGCAGGAGCCTCCATCTGGGAACGAAGGCCCTGTGGGATCTGAGCTGCTGAGCCAGGCGGGCTCTGTTTCTGTTCCCATGGCCACCCCCGCCCCCAGGCCTAAGTATCAGATGCCAGGATGGAAGGCAGCCAGTAAGCACTCCCGGCTCAGCCTCCCTGACGGATTTGTCCAGGCTCACATGAGACCATACAAGGCAGTCCCAGCAAGCCTAGCTGGTACATCCTTCTCTACCTTCTTGGGGGATGCAGGCCCCTGCATTTCATTATCTCGGCATCAAAAAATAAGCGAGAACAGCTCTGCCTACTTCTTTTGTGGGGGAGAAAAGTGCTCAGAAAACTGATCCAACAGCATGGCTTTGCATTTGAGCGGCTCTGCCAACTTCCAATGATTATTTGAGGAAGCCAGTGGTGGGGAAGTTGGTGCCCTATGTTGAAGTGGGATGAGGCTGGGGCCTGGGATGGACTTGAGGGATGGCAGGTGGCAGAGCCAGTGAGGGGGGTCGGAAGGGTCCCTCTGGTAGGCCCAGTGTGACCTGTGGAAAGGAAAGAGGCAAAGCAAAGCAGCCTTCGCCAATCTGACTGCCAAACCTAAGTGTTCTATGTTGTGCCCTGCAGGGCTGGCACCATTATCCAATAAAGCCTCCATTTAAGATAAAGCAGTTGACCTGTTTTGAGAAATTTGATACATGGCAAAGCTTTCTGAGACACCATCTGAGATTTAAGATTGGAAATCTCTGCATCAGCCTGTCATTTTGTAACAACGGTCGTCAGGAAATTTCCTGTAGACCCTCCTTCTGTGATATGTTGAGGTTTCAAATGGAATTGGGTGGCAGGTTGTGGTTGTAAAGATATGTAGCCAGATTGGCTGAGGTAGGAGCCACTCTCCCAAGCTCCTACATCCCCCAGTGAGGGCTAAGGGGAGCTTCCGTTTCTCATAACAAAAGAAAAACTTCAGCCAAGTTAAATTTATAGGAGTTTAATTGAGCAATGAATGATTTGCCTTATTTGAACATGGTTCGAATAGTTGGCTGCATTTGCTTGACCAAAACTTGGTGATTGGCGCAAGTGTAGGCTATGATCTGTTTACACCTCCGCTTGTTGTAGTTCACAATGTACAGAGAAACCCTTAGGCCGAACTTAAATATGTAAGGAGGCAGCTTCAGGCTAAACCTGATTTAACACCCATAACAAGCAAACTGAAGGGACTCCGAGGCCCCAGAAGGCAGAACTGGCTGGAAATCCAGCCACCTTCAGCAAAGTGTTAAACAAGTGAATGGATGACCGATGCTGATTGGTTACCAAAGACAATCACGATATTTGGGGGACATCTTTGGTGAGGGTTTCTTGGGAGAGAACAGCCTGATGTCAGGCCCCTGGAGGAAGATAGCATCCTGCATGCCCCGAGGAACCAAGCAAAGGTCGGGATCTCAGATTCCATCCCAGCCCCACTCAGCCGTGGGCCTGCGGCTGCTCTGCTCTCCCTGGGAACCTGGACTATGGTTAGGGGCATGGGTGACAGGGAAGGGCCTGACCATACCCTGCTCTGGGGTCACGCGGACCCTCCCCACACCCTCCTCAATACTGAGACAAGGACACATCCCCAGCCTCTGCACAGACCTGGCGGCCTCACCCTGCCCGCCCCGTCTAGAACAGTGGACCCCTGGGCCTCCCAGTTCTCCCTCAGCCGCCGCCCTAGCCCTGGGGTTCTCTCCCCAGCTCCAGGTGCCTGCAAGGGCTGCAGGCTCAGGGTCCGCTTCTCCCACTGGAGCGGCAGCCAGGGAGAGGCTCTGTCCCCCAGCTTAGCTTTGTGCATCTCAGAGCTGGGAAGAGGCTTGCAGAACCAGTGGTTGTCCAGGAGCAGGAATGTGCTTCCTAGGCCAGGCACGGTGACTCACGCCTGTAATCCCAGCACTTTGGGAGGCCGAGGTGGGTGGATCACTTGAGCCCAAGAGTTGGAGACCAGAATGGGCAACATGGCAAAACTCCGTCTCTACTAAAAATACAAAAATTAGCCGGGTGTGGTACACACCTGTAATCCCAGCTACTTGGGAGGCTGAGGCAGGAGAATCACTTAAGCCCAGGAAGTAGAGGTTGCAGTGAGCGGAGATCGTGCCATTGCCCTCCAGCCTGGGTGACACGGCCAGACGCCTCAAAAAAAGAGAATGTGCTGCCTCCATGGGAAAGGCTGGGCTCTCTTTAACCTCTCCCAAAAAGTTGTGTGTGTGTGGAGTGTGGTGTATGTGGTATGTGATGTGTGGTGTGTGGTGTGGGTGGTGTGTGTGTGGTATGAATGTGTATATGTGGTGTGTGTGTGATGTGTGAGGTGAATGTGTGTTGCATGAGTGTCGTGTGTGTGTGTGTGGTATGGGTGTGGTGTGTATGGGGTATGTAGAGTATGTGTGGTAGAGTGTGGTGGGTGTTGTGTGTGGTGTGTGTGCTCTGTGTGTGGTAAGGTGTGTGTGTGGTGTGTATGTGGTGGGTGGTGTGTGTGGTATGTGATATGTGTGGTGTATGTATGTGGTGTGTGTTTGTGGTGTGTGTGTGGTGTGTGTGTGGTGTGTGTGTGGTGGGTGGTGTGTGTGGTATGTGATATGTGTGGTGTATGTGGTGTGTGTTTGTGGTGTGTGTGTGGTGTGTGTGTTGTGTGCTTGTGGTATGTGTGGTGTGCTGTGTGTGTGGTGTGTGTGTGGGGTAGGATGTGTATGTGGGATGTGTGTTGTGTGTGTGATGTGTGGTGTATATGTGGTGTGGTGTGTGTTTGGTGTGTGTGTGCAGTGTGATGTGTGTGTGCAGGTTGTGTGTATGTGTATGTGTGTGTGTGTGTGTGAGAGAGAAGGGAGGTTAGATTTGAGGCTCAGGGACTCATGTCATAAGTGGTAGCGTGTCCCTGGATGGACATGGCTCTGGCTATGTGGTGATGGTAGGGTTTGCGTCCTCCTGACCCACCGTCCTGTGATCCGGAAGCGCTGCATCAGGGTCCCAGCCCTCTTTGATGTGGGGCAGCCGGGCCTCAGCCCTCCATGGCTCTCCCTGGGGGGCATGCAGGCGCTGGGAGACTGAGCTGGGAAGGAGGGCACCTGGCCCTCTCCCTCTTCCCCTCCTCCCGAGGTGAGCTGAGGTTAGGGCCCTGCCTGGCACCGCTCCTCTCCAGCAGCTCTGCCTGTGTGTCTTGCTGCAGAGGCTCGCCCCGTGGAGGCTCATCTGCTCCATCCAGCCTCTGAGTGAGGAAGGCACTCCCTGTCCCTCAGCCATCTTCTCTCTTCTCCTACAGATGCACTGGTCTGTAAGGCACTGTCTTCTTGACCTGCCCCAACATGGGCTAAGTTTTGAAGGGAAAGGAGGCCTGCAAATTTGCAGATGTGAGTCAAGATACACCAAAATCATCTGGTGCCTTGGGCCTTGGTTCCTAAGGAATGATATCTAGAAAAATAACACAGCACTGACTACTGTGGCTTCTGGCACTGGCAAGGCAGGAGGCAGGGGCTTTGTGAGCCTGGCGGGCCAGAACTGGGCATGTGGACTTTTTATCTTATCAGGTCACAGCCACGGAGCTGGCCTGGTCCATAAGTGGACAGCTGCCTGTACCACGCAAGGTTTCACTTCTAGAGAGGCAGGGTCCTGGCAGAGGGCCTTGGGCCTGGCCTTGGGGAGGGAGAGCCCTCACAAGCAGTGCCATCCCTCAGGTGCCCAGTGGGGTCAGAGGAGGGTCCTAGCCATGTGCTGGTGGGCTTCAGAGGCCTTGGTGGGCAGGTGGGGCAAGGATCCAATTGTAGACAAAGAGCGTTTTCAGTATCCTTCCACCCAGGGGGCATAGGGGCCTTCCAAGAATCCAGGTGTGTAATTGGGGCAGTCCTGATGGGCAGGGCCAGGTCAGCTCCTCCAGGCTCCATTTTACACGCAGGGCCCAGGGGGCATGCGGACCCTTGCCCTGGATTCGGGGGGTTCCCACAGGCTCCACAGCCAAGCCCTGGGCATGGTCTCCAGTTGGCTTAATATAGAGGCAGGAGAAGGCTTCCCTGGAAGGCGAGTCTTAGGTCTGAGAAATTCCACAACAAGGGGCAATGGGAACAGCGAGGGAGATGGGCAGGAAACGGCTGCTCACAAGCGTGTGGGGACCATGTTCTACACAGAGACCCTGCTCGATCCAGAAAGCTCTGAGAGGACACGGCACTTAGGGGCTCTAGAGGTTGGCATGTGCCCTGGAGTTGTAGAGGGCACACTCTCAGAATGGATGTCTTGCTCAGGGAGCTCTTCCCCTGACTGTGATCTTAGGTCATGGAGGTGAGCCACAGGCGTTGACTGGCTGGCAGTGCCTGAAAGCAAAGCCCAGAAGAGTTTCCCCATCAACCTTCCTTCTCTCAGATCCCCCAAGTCTGTGATGACTTTGGAAGCACTGGGTCCTAGGTTCTGGAAAGGTTATTGTGCCTGGGATAATTGCTCTACGGACCAAAGCTTGGCGCCTCAGGTGATCTGCCCGCCTCGGCCTCCAAAAGTGCCGGGACGACAGGCATGAGCCACCACGCCTGGCCGAAATTCAGTGTTTTAAGTTTATCAGCCTCAAATACATATATACATGTATTTCTCAGTGTCGATGCATGGGAAGCCCAAGCCACAGAGGGGCCCCAGGCAGGTGCTCTGGTCAACAGCTCAAGATGAATGTCCACCTGACACCAGCATCTGTGGCCAGCCATGTGAGTGAGTCCTCACTGATGTCCAGTCCAGTCAAGCCTACTGATGTCTCCAGCACAGATAGAGACCTCTATGTAAAAACCACGCAGCCGAGTCCAGGCAGATGTGCAAGATGTTTCTTCAAAGCCGCTGGGTTTCGGGTGGTTTGACAAAAAGAACTGGAACAGTCTGTTCACTGCATCCGCCCCCTCAGTGGTTCCCCTGTGTCCAAACACTCCACTGGGCAAGCTTCATCACCCAAACCCTGGATGCAGTTGCTTCCTCGGGGTCTCTAACCACAGGGTCTTGACTCAGGGTTGCTGACATGCTAGTCTCTGCTAAGATGCTCACTTCACCTTCTCATACTGACTGCTGCTCTGACTGATGCCTGCATTCCCTTCCTCCTGGAGGCCCTCCCTGATGACCTCCTCTCTCTAACAGCTGCAGCTCCTTGAGGTCAGGGCCTGTCTCTTCCACTGTGGTGATGACCTGCACATAGCAGATGCTGTATAAATTCAAGTTATATCAAACCTAGGTCCCAATCAGTACAATAGATTTAGCTTTGGAGTCTCCCAAATCTCCCTGCTACCACACTGGCTATTTTCATTACGAAATCCGAAGAATTTCACTTCGGATGCCACACTTGTCATTTTAGGTCAAAAAGTGTGAAATTTTGGCAACTACTCAGGAGGGACCCAGGAGAGTCCAGCATGGCATGTGGTCCAATCCAAATGGACCTGGGCGGAGCCTGCTGGAGGCTTTGTGAGCTGAGACCCCACTGTGTACCTGGTTACCCTCCTCTGGGATATAGAGTCTATTCACTAAACACTTCCACTTATTGTTTATATTTCTTGAGGGGGAACATGAGATTGTGGAAAACACACAGATGATGAAACTATGTGCTTTTTAAGCCAGTACAATGTGGGAAGTTTTTCCTATTTATTAAGAAATTATTCAGGGATAGGGCAGCTTGGTTTAAATGCAGCCATAGATCCTCATTTCTGGTTCTCTCATCTGGTCCTCCACCTTCCAAAGCCAGCACACCACCTTTGAAGCTCAGCCTCAAACCCTGGAGTTTATCCCTTGTCCCTTGAGGACCCAAAGACAAACAGCCTTGGCAATGCCCTAGTGCCCTGTCCTGCCTCCACTGCAAAGACCATGGGTTTCCTTTGTCCTCATAGGTCATTTGTCAGTTTTTTCTCCAATCAAAGATTGGGTCAGACATAGCCGCTGGGCAACTGACATGAGATCTGCATATCTGTAAGTAGAAGAGCAAGAAGGCCACCCACTCTTCCTCCTAGTGAACCTGTGGCACAGCAGTTCCATCTTTAGAGCTCAATTACATGCTTGACTACACTACCAAACGTCAAAACATCAAAAACAGAAAGAAGCCCCTCCACTCCAAGTGAAATTAAGTTTTATTTAAACAGGTAAAATTTTTTCCATCCTTTTAAAGCAAAAAAGAAATCTAAAGTCATTCAGTGAATCAATAATGCAAAGCTGGTTATAGCAGTAATCAAAATAGTGGTAACATTTACCATTACGAAAGCGTCACAGAATTCAAATCACACTTGAATCTTCAGTGATTCCAGTGTGCATCCCACATGGCAGGGGCTGGTAGATTTCAGATGAATTCCTCCCATGTATGTGCCATCCCCAGTCAAGTCCTTCCTCTTCACCATCCATCAGCTCACACAATAGGAAGGCTGGCCAGCATGGCGATTCTGCAGTTGTTATTCTGGTCTTTGGCCATCTTTATGTAGCCACGCATGTCCCAGTCTTCACTCCAGCTGAAAGAAAAGCAGGTTTTCTGTTGCAGTGAAAGAATAAAATCCACTGGGCTGTTAACAGGAAGACCCAACTTAAACAGTGTGCGAGAGGCCACAGGCTTAACAGAAAGAATCAGGAGAGGCCAATGTTTTTGTTAATCATTTATACATTCTTGAGTCATAACCTACACATAACTTCTATCCTATCTGTGACCTTTTGCAGAACTGCAAAATCAGAGGAAGAAAAATAATTGGATGTTTTTCAGCCAGATATGTTTCAAGATTTAGAAAAATTTCAGAATGTAGCAATGCAAAGGTAAAAATATTACACTGATACCACTTGTGACAATATCCTAACTGTATAATCAAACGTTAATATTCTGTGTTTAACCTAAATAGGATAAAGAGTCTAAGACCTGTGTGCAAAATACTGATTCTAAACAAAAATTCCCTTTTGAATTTCAAATAGAAGTATTTTTGGCAGTTTATACCTGGTCTTCACCAGCCAGTATTTATCTTTATTCAATTCTGCTCCTTCATAGCCATAGCCAGCCACCAAAAGAGCAAAATCCATTTTTATACTGCTGCACTGTGGCTCAAACACTTGGGCGAGTAAAAGGAAGGCTGGGGTGAGAAGCTCTAGGAGACACCTGACAGTAACCCACCCTGTCATCCAAAGGTATAAAGGCATCTCTAAATTCAGTGAAATGACACACATTCCAGATAGAACTTAACAAGAGTATCTACTGTTATCAAGGCTCTCATCTAAAGCTAGCAGAAATACAAATTTGCATAAATCCTTTTGTCGGCCGACAAAAGGAAATAGGAGGCCAATACTATTTATTTCCAGAAAAATAACCAGTTCTACCAGGCTCATTTACTAAATAAACTTTCCCCCACTTAAAATCAGCAATATCTTTATTTACTATCAAATTGTGATAAATATTGTGATTTACTTTGATACCCTCTAACCTGTACCTCTTATTTGATTGTATTGATTAACCTTGATAATGTTTGATTTCGTCTTCCATCAAAATTTTGAAATAAAAATTTTATTCTGCTTCATCTCATTCAGTTGCTTACAGTAATTATACTAAATTTGTATAACTTGAGAAACATGAAATCTTTAGTCATATTCTGCCATCCGAGAACACAGTCTCATTCCATAGGATCATCTACTATTTTATATATTGCAGTAAATTTTATTAGTGTCTGATTTTTCAGTTTTCTGAAGTTTGTAAATATTCTATAATAAGTCACCTTTGCTTTTGCAATTTGTACAACAAAATTTTATTTTAAGCAAATCATTGAAATAGTATGAATTTCATGAAATCAAGGTGGTCCACCTTTGCTCATAACAACCCTTCATCTCCTGCCTTCTCCTTGTTTCTCTACTCTTCCTTCCTTGTCCTACAGCACTAGGATCAAAACATGTCCATGCAGCCACCTTATATTGGGTCCCAACAGAAAGTAGTCCCCTGAAACTCAAGCCAAACGCCACAGGCAACACAAACAGGCTCGCTGGGTGGTGCTGGCAAAGTCTGGGTCCAGGTCCTGTCCAGGGTGTACTTACTGAAGCAATCTGGCTCCATATGTCTTGCAAATGATTTCAAAGCAGCTACAAATCCCTAGACCCAGAAGCCCCAACATCTGGAACAAAGAGCTTATTTGAAACACGAAAATTGTTCCCTGACCTAAGGGAAGAGCAGCAGCCTCCTCAGCAGTGAGCCAATCTCTCCAGGTCTTTCCATGGAAGGCCCAGGCTCTTCCCGGCCCTGGAGGCAAGGAAAGTTCTAGTGATCTTGCAAAGGCCCCTTCATCCCTGCTGTTTGGTGGACTTTGCTTTACCAAACTGGGTACAAAGGTTTGAGTAAATTAGCACATGATCGAATCACAAGAACTGGAGCTTCAGGTTTGCAAAAACCAGCATGAGCACAGCATGGAAAGATGTAGCTTCTCCTGATGCAGGAAAGGTGAGGCCTAAAGCTCTGATCCCACACGTGAGGACAAGAGACACTGTGGAAAGTGGAGAGACTAAGAATAGACATATGAATCTAAAAGTTACACCACTGATCTAAATATATTAATAGCCCCATTTTTATATCAAAAAGGCAACAGATAACTCCCTCACATTGGTATTTCAACAGGTATATTCAACAGGTATATACGTCAGCTGCTACTAACGTATTATATATGCCTACAAATTCAAACTTTTTGACTCCAAGTAAAAATAGAAAATTTATATTGTGACTCTGAGTACCCCCATATTTATAAGTGAAAACAAAAGTTTTATGAAATAATGCTTGATGCACTCTCACATATTCAATTCTATTCTACACTATTTCATTCCCTTCCATTTCATTCCATCCCACTTTTGAAAAAGAAGGTCATGGAAGGCCTAGCAAGATGGCACATGAGAGGAGGTTAATGCCTGTGTCCTCCAGAAAAAAGGACAAAAACAGTGACTAAACAAGTTCATTTGGACTGGAGTGTTTGAGAGAGAACCCTGGACAGCAGGGAAGAGACAGAAAACCTGAGGGTCAAGGAAACCGTTAGGGGTGGCCAAATAAAGAGGAAAGCAAAATAGCCTGCTTCTGCCACACAGTCTTCCTAGTTGGGATCAGCTGGGAACAAGAAGACCATTTCCTCAGTGGGAAAAAGGTAAGCAAACAAACTCCAGCAGGCCCATTAACATTGTGGACACCTGCATTCTTTGTTGCTGGGAACTCCTTTAAGTGCCCACAGATTCTCAGCTCAGTTTAGGGAGCTGCTTGGTGTCCACAGGGCTATACTGCCCCAGAGGAGGAGCCCACATACAGCACCACCTAGACGTCCAAGCCATAGCTGAGTATATTCTGCTCCACGAACTAGTGGTCACTGCCTCCTTCCATTCCAGAGGCTACCCTGTCATTACAATAGGATTCTCCAGGAAAGCAGCTATTGCTCTCTATGTCCTAGAAACAAACTCTCAAAGAGGTTTGCCTTCCACATCCTAGTGACTGCAACACTCTTAACTGTGGACTGATTTCTTGTGCCATCGGTGTGCTCACCACCTGGGCCTGTTGCTTCCAAGAGATCCGCATCTCAAGCCTGCAGAGCAGCCCCAGTAATCCACAGCCAGGCGAGTGTTTCCAGGGGAGTCCCATCTCAAACTGGTGAACCAACCCCTGTGACTCAGTAACACACTCACTAGCTAGGCATGCAGCTTCCTGAGACCGCTGCCTTCCCCCACAACCCCCGATCCAGAGCAGGAAAACAAACTGCACATGCTCCTGCAGCCTAGGTCACCAAGGCACTCACAGGTATCACCAAAATGGATACTAGCAAAAGAAAAAAAAATGGCAAGAGAAAAGCACAGATACTACACTACTGTGTCCTCCTGGAACTAAAGCAGATGCAGCCCATCCAACTGACACCCTAAGATACATCTCCAGGTGAAAGTCTTTCTCTACATAAACTACTCTATACAATTAGAACAGGTAACCATGTCAACAGTCTCATAAATATAAACATAGGAGATAAGAACATGAAAATGCAATGAAACTTGACACCACCAAAGGTGCACAATGATTCTTCACAAAGTTACCCTAAATAAATGGAAATTTTCAAATTGCCTTAAAAGGAATTTGAAATATTGATCTTAAGAAAATTCAATGAGATACAAGAGAATACACATTGAAATCTTAATCAAATAATAATAAAAAACAAGCTATAACCTGAATGAGAAATTCAACAAAGATACAGATATCATTTAAAAAAACAAACCAACAGAAACCTTAGGAATGAAGTACTGAATGAAATAAAAAGTACAACTGAGTGCTTCAGTGGCACACTAGATCAAACAAAAGAAAGAATTTCTGAACTTGCAGACAGGACTTTTGAAATAACCCAGCCTGAGGGAAAAAAGGAGAAAGAAAAGAATAAAAGGAAGCAAAGAAAGCCTATGAGACTTGTGCCATGGCATTAAGATAACAAATTTTTGCAATATAGAAGAGAAACAGAGAGAAGAGACAGATAGACACAGAAAACTTATTTAACAAAATAATAGCTGAAAATCTCCCAATTCTTGGGAGAGATATGGACATCCATGAAGCTTAAAGGGTCCCATACATATTCAACCCAAAAAGGCCTTTTCTAAGGCACATTATAATCAATTTGTCAAAAGTCAAACACAAAGAAAAACATTCTAAAATTAGCAAGAGAGAAGCATCAAATCACAAGTAAGTAATTCTCCTTTAGACTATCAGGAGTTTTCATAGCAGAAACCTTGAAGGCTAGGAGAGATTAGGATGATATATTCTAAGTGATAATGAGAAATCAGTTAGCAAAGAGTACTGTACTTAGCACAGCTGCCTATCACAAATTAAAGAAATAAAGGCTTTCCCAGACAAGCAAATGCTTATGGAATTTGTCACCATAAGACCAGCTTGACAAGAAATGCTTAAGGGAATGCTTCAATCACAAGTGAAAGAACAATAACTACTAGTGCAAAAACACAGGACACTATCAACCAGTTAAAAGTAAATTCACATTCAAATGGAGAATTCTACGTTACTGAAATGATAGTTCTTAATAAATACCCAATACAGAACAATATAAATTGAGACAAAAAAGTGCAAATTTTGTGCATTGACAGGGGATGTGGGGGGAGTACAGCATGTTTGTGTGTGATCAAAACTTTTTATCAGCTTTAAATAGTCTATCATAACTACAAATTTTTTAATGTGAGCTACAGTGTAACCCAAGAGAAAAAAATTACACCAGATGTGTCAATGAAATAAAGGAATCAAAGCTTATCAGTACAGAAACTCACCAAACCATAAAGGAAACAATAAGAGAAGAAACAAAAGATCTACAAAACAACCAGAAAACAATTAACAAAATGACAGAAGTAACTTCTTGCCTTTTAATAATATATTTGAATATAGATGGTTTCAATTCTCCAATAAAAAGATGTAGAGTGGCCGAATGGTTTTTCATACCTGTTTCCCTAGTCCAGACACCCAAGAGTATGTCCTCCTCTTGGGCATAAGCAAATCTAGAGTTATATTTAGGGTATCATAAAGTGTGGTGAAGAGTGGACCGAGCTGGCATGCTCACAACAACCAAATTACGTTGGTCATATTTTAATCCAGTACATTGATCCACTATTAACTTGTAAATAATGTACTTGCTTTCTAGACCATTCTAGGAAGACCAGAGAAACAGACTTTTATCTATATGGTATAATCCACTGGCGAATTTCTTTTAGGATAGACCAGAGCTGATCTAGAACATAATCGTTACATATTTGGACGAGTCGAGAGAGAACCCACCAGACGAGAAAGAACATCTGGGCTGAAAGGCTCCATTAGAAGAGCAATGTGGAATGATGCTGTGCTGGCAACTGGTAGTCCCTGCCCTACATCTTTGCAGAGGACTGGAGCCCAGAGTGGGCCATGGTCAACTTATATGTTGAAGTGAAGACCTCCTTCTAGGTGTGCATGTGCTTATTACAGATATGCCACCATGCTAAGTACCCCCGGGCTACAGGAAAAAATAAGAATACACGCTGTATCCATGATCAGGAGGCACACAGGCCAGAGCACCAGCTGTGGAATCGCACAACCTGGGTTCAAAGCCTGGCTGGACCATGACCACCTGGATGACCTAAGGAACGGTCTCAGGCAAATTTGTAAGAAGAAGTGGAGACCCTGCCTGCCAGGAAGGGATGTGGTAAGGGGCAGCATCCAGTCAGGTCAGGGTACCGCGTCCTCTCCTTGGAAGCCTGCACAGCGAGCCTCGTGGCCCTTAAGGCCACGGCAGCCATGGAGAAAGTGGGCCTGGCTCCAGGTGGCATAGAGGCACTGGAGAGGCCCCCGGGGAGCCTGGCGGGATCTGGCTGGTCCTGCGCTCTGCTTCCAGGTTCTGGCCCTGTAACCCAGGGGAGAGGGCTGGCCAAGACAGGGCCACTGGGTGTCAGCCAGCACCTGGGCCAGATGCCAGGCGGGAAGGGCTCTGGCAGATCAGCCCCACACCCTCCACAGCATCACAGGGGGGCCATCCAGGGCCACACACCTGCCCCCAGGAGTGGGACGTCCCTGAGGCTAGAGAGTCCAGCTGGACCGGTGGAGGGGCCTTGCCTTTTGCCCTTTGACTCCTCTTGTAGGCACCCTCGCTGGGCTCCCGCTCACTCCTCCACACCCTGGCTCTGTCACCAGCCCCAAGGTGATGTTATAAATTCCCAGGTGCCCAGTGGACACCTGGCCACGGAGAAGTGGGTGACTTAGGAGTATCCTCTCCACTTCTGACCCTTGGTTTCGTCTGTGCACAACTCGCTCGAAATGGGCAACTCACTAAGCATATTTTGTTCCTGGTTCCGCCGCAGGTCTCAACCACGCCATCGGCAACCTGCTCTTCTAAGCGTATGTTGTTACTGCTTCCACCGCATGACCCAGCAACACCACCGGCAATGTTCTCGTCTAAGCATATGTTGTCCCTGCTTCCGCAGCAGGTCCCGGCCACACCATCGGCGACATTCTCTTCTAAGCGTATTTCGTCCCCGGTTCCGCCGCAGGTGCCGGCTATGCCATCGGCGACTTACTCTTCTAAGCGTATTTTGTTCCTGGTTCCGCCGCAGGTTCCGGCCACGCGATTGGCAACGTGCTCTTCTAAGCGTATTTTGTTCCTGGTTCCACCACAGGTCCCCGCCATACCATCAGCAACCTGCTCGTCTTGTCCGTGAGGCCTTCCCAGCTGGCTGGGCTCACCCCATGGCTCCTGCACCTGTGCCTGCCCTGGGAACCTTGGGCTGTTACCGATTCCTCTTCAACCCTCGGCAACATCTTGGGCCTTCTTTTCCAGCCAGGCGGTATGGCGCCCCTAGGAGGCTGTGTTTTCTCCCTCAGAACACGGGCACCCCACTGAGGGTCCTGCCTTCTGTGTTCTGGAGCCCCCCCTCAAGGAAGAAACCCGTGCTGTCTGCTCGCAACTCCAGGATGTTTGGACACCTCAGCCCCGTGAGGATCCCTCATCTCAGAGGCAAGTTTAACCTCAGACTTCCTTCATTAGATGAGCAGGTGATCCCAGCCAGGCTTCCGAAGATGGAGGTGAGGGCAGAAGAGCCCAAAGAAGCAACGGAGGTCAAAGACCAGGTAGAGACCCAGGAGCAGGAAGACAATAAAAGGGGCCCCTGTAGCAATGGGGAAGCAGCCTCCACCTCTAGGCCCCTGGAGACTCAGGGAAACCCCACTTCCCCCCGGTACAATCCCAGGCCCTTGGAGGGAAATGTCCAGCTCAAGAGCTTGACAGAAAACAACCAGACTGACAAGGCCCAGGTACATGCAGTGAGTTTCTACTCCAAGGGCCATGGAGTCGCCAGTTCACACAGCCCTGCTGGAGGCATTCTTCTCTTTGGGAAGCCTGACCCAGTTCCAACAGTGCTCCCTGCCCCAGTTCCAGGCTGCTCCCTGTGGCCAGAGAAGGCGGCCTTGAAGGTGCTGGGTAAAGACCACCTGCCCAGCTCTCCAGGTTTGCTGATGGTGGGGAAGGACATGCAGCCCAAGGATCCTGCAGCTCTTGGATCAAGTAGGTCTTCTCCACCCAGAGCTACCGGCTACAGGTCCCACAGGTCCCGCAAAAGAAAACTGTTGGGGCCACTGCCGCAGCTGCAACCAACCCCTCCCCTGCAACTGAGGTGGGATAGAGACGAGCCGCCCCCACCCGCTAAGCTTCCCTGCCTATCTCCTGAGGCACTGTTGGAGCTGGGTCAGGCTTCCCAAGGGGAAGGACGCCTCCAGCAAGGCAACATGGATAAGAACATGGGGATGTCCAAGAGATGAAAACAGCTGCTTGAGGGGAGAAAGAAGACATGGCAGGGCAGGTGTGGTGGCTCACGCCTGTAATCCAGCACTTTGAGAAGCCCAGGCAGGTGGATCAGAAGGTCAAGAGATTGAGACCTGAGGAGCATCTCTGCCTGGTCCCTGCACCATCTGGGAAGTGAGGAGCGCCTCTGCCCAGCCGCCTCACAGTCTGGGAAGTGAGGAGCACCTCTGCCCAGCCGCCCCACTGTGTGGGAAGAGAGGAGCACCTCTGCCTGGCCACCGCCCCGTCTGGGAGGTGAGGAGCACCTCTGCCCAGCACTCCCCCCGCACCCCCCATCCCACCGCCTGAGAAGTGAGGAGTGCCTCTGCCTGGCTAGGCACCGCCTGGGAAGTGAGGAGCGCCTCTACCTGGCCGCCTCACAGTCTGGGAAGTGAAGAGCACCTCTGCCTGGCCACTGCAGCGTCTGGGAAGTAAGGAGGCCCCAGCTCAGCAGCCACCGCATCTGGGAGGTCAGGAGCACCTCTGTCGGGCAGGCCCACTGTCTGGGAAGTGAGGAGCGCCTCTGCCCGGAACCCAACTGTCTGGTAAATGAGAAGCGCCTCTGCCTGGCCACCCCACCATCTGGGAAGCGAGGAATGCCTCTGCCCTGCCCGCCTATCATCTGGGAAGTGAGGAACACCTCTGCCCGGCAATCCCGCCATCTGGGAATTGAGGAGCGCCTCTGCCCAATCCCACCGTCTGGGAAGTGAGGAGCGCCTCTGCCCTGCCCCCGCAAGGTCTGCGAAGTGAGAAGAGCCTCTGCCCAATCCCACCCTCTGCCAAGTGAGGAGCGCCTCTGCCCTGCCCCCACACCATCTGGGAAGTGAGGAGCGCCTCTGCCCTGCCACCGCCCCTCTGTCTGGGAAGTGAGGAGCACCTCTGCCCAGCAGCAGCCACGTCTGGGAGGTCAGGAGTGCCTCTGCCCAGCTGCCCCACCATCTGAGAAGTGAGGGGCGCCTCTGCCCGGCTGCTGTGCAACCGTCCAAGTGTGAAGTGACAGCCTTGTGTGTGATCTTTCTGCCCTCCCCAAGTTTGCATTTTCGACATTAAAGTTTACTTTTATTTATTTATTTATTTATTTATTTATTTATTCATTTATTTTTAGACGGAGTCTCGCTCTGTCGCCCAGGCTGGAGTGCAATGGCATGATCTGGGCTCACTGCAACCTCCGCCCTCGGGGTTCAAGCGATCCTCCTGCCTCAGCCTCTTGAGTAGCTGGGATTGCAGGCCCGCACCACCATGCCAGGATAATTTTTTTTTTTTTGTACTTTCAGTAGAGACAGAGTTTCACCATGTTGGTCAGGCTGGTCTCAATCTCCTGATCTTGTGATCGACCCGCCTCGGCCTCCCAAAGTGCTGGGATTACAGGCTTGAGCCACCACACATGGCTAAAGTTTACTTTTTAATTAAAAAAAAAAGAGATGGAGACCATCCTGGCCAACATGGTGAAACACCGTCTCTACTGAAAATACAAAAATTAGCCAGGCATGGTGGCTCCCTCCTGTAGTCCCAGGTACTTGGGAGGCTGAGGCAGGAGAATGGCTTGAACCTGGGAGGTGGAGGTTGCAATGAGCCAAGATCGTGCCACTGCACTCCAGCTTGGCGACAGAGCGAGACTCCGTCTCAAAAAAAAAAAAAAAAAGTAAGACATGGCAAACTGCAGTGCCACCCAGCCTGCCCCTGCTGTCTCCACACCTGCTGAGACTCCCTGCCCCCGGCCACTTACACTTCATAGATCCCAGCTCCTCCTCCTACCTCTGACTTGGCCCATGTGGCTGCTGGGCCCCTCACCCTGCCTGTCCCTCCACCTTTGCCCACACCAAGAATTGAGTTAAATTTGATATCCATAATTCCTAACTCTTCCCTGGCTCTTCCCACTGACCTTGCCCCCATTTTGGGGGTTCCACCTAATGAGAAAGGAGGCTGCCCTCATTCAGCTGCAGTTTCAGTGCGTCTGACCCCTGCCCCACACCTCCTAGCCCCGCATCTTTCTCCTTCCAGCCTCCCTTCAGATGGGAGCCTCCTACACCCATATGTGTGCATTCTTCTCCTCCTCTTTCCTCCCTGACTCCTCTCCCAGTCCCTTCCACCGGGATCCCTGATATCACCCATCAGCAGATGAATTCCACAGCAGCCATTTCCACCATCACAGCAAGGGCATCTGACCACCTGACCTTGCAGCCTCCTTTAGGCCCTCAGCTCTTTGCTATGGACACGACTCCTGCTGTGATTTTCAGATCTTCACCAAGCTCCAGAGTGAGCACTCTTAATTTCCCAAATTCAGTGCACAGTAGAGGCACCCTGGAAAGACATCAGCCTACGTCTGCCCGGCTACATTCATATTCTCCAGCCCTGCCCCTCAGCCCACACTTGGGGCCCCCTGATGGGCAGCAATGAAAAACCTTTGTCCCCGGTGCCCTGTTTTTCCGAGCCTTCCCATCAGGGCTCCTCAAGGCACCTCCAGTTTAGGGAGCAGCGCCTCTGCAACATCCTCCTCCAGAACAGATGGTGCGATGGGGGACGGCACCACAACTGCTGTGACTGAACACAATTAGGGTCCCCACTCAGAAAGAGCACCTGAGACCCACTGGTACACACAGGTGGTACGATGGGGAACAAATAAGCAGCAAGTCTCCCTCTACATATGGTCCCCATGAATGGACACTGCTCCTGGAGGAAGGGGCTCAGCCCCTCGAAGTTAAATTTAAGCTGCTCTCTCCTTACGGAAGCCAGAGGCCCAAAACCTCAAAGTATGTGTGTGTGTGTGTTGGAGGGTGTGAGGCTGATGAGCCCAATCAGAACCACAATGTATTTGAGACATTTCCCTCTGGACAGAAGCAGCAGCCAGCATGTGTCATCATCAGCTGTGCCCTCCCTAGCTTGACTGTTCATCTGGCTGACCCAAGCCCCCAGCCAGGTTTCTATTCTTTGCACTGGCAGGATGCCCGCTATTTACAGGTGCCCCCTTCCCCTTGTCCATTTACTTTGATGGGCCCTTCTCTCTCCTGATTGTGTGTCTTAAAACCTTATTCTTGTTGCTCTGCCTCTGCTCATGTGTGTATATATTTTATTATATCATATATTTTAATTTTTATTAAATATTATATATAAATTATATGTAACCTTAAAACTAAAGATAAAGAATGTATGCATATAGATATCTTGCAACAATAAAACCTAGAGAAACTTGCAGATCAACAAATATAGGGGCCTCATAAAATTCAAATGACAATTTTAATGTAATGGAAAAAAGGCAGAACAGTCACTCCCCTCCGCCGTGAGAAAGTGGCACTCCCTGCCCACGTGCAGACTCTCCTGACACCCGCCTGTTAGCGGCCTGCTTTGCAGTAACTGGATGCTTCCACCACTTGTCCTTATGTAAGTTACACAGAGGCTTTCTTTGTGCATCCTGTAATGAAGTCTTTTGGCCTTCACTTGGTGAGAACACAATATTTCATATTAACTCCCTGTGCATTCTTTTTTTAAAAAAATATTTCTCCATAACAAAGAAAATGTCACTCCCTGGCACCAAAAAAACTGTTAAATAGATAAAAATACAGGCCTTGAGAGGATATGGAAGCTCTCTGTTACGTCAATCATCCAAATGAATCAAAATATGTTGATCTTTATCGGTTATTCCACATGTCCAGCAATATGACCCTGTAGGCACCTCATCTCCTCCATTAACATTTTATTTACAAAATCAGACTTCAGGCCAAAGCTGGCTATGCTTTGCTAACCCCTGTTCTAGTACAAGAGACATTCAACAACTAATTACAGAAATAACAACTGCTAAGTGCTATCAAGTAAAAGTTCCCAATGCTTAAAACTCTCTAAGAGTAGAGATTTAACCTATGCAGGGAGATCAGATTGCCCTGAGGGAGTGAGTCTTAGATTTAATGTAGTTAATTAGTCAGGCGAGGGCAAGACTACTCCAGATGGAGGAAACCACCTGGGGAAAGGGTTGGGGCAGAAGACAGCCTGGCAAACCCAGTCTGAAAGAGGCTTATGGAGTGGGAGCAGGAAGAGTAAGAGCCAGTGCCTGTGAGCTCAGGCTGAAAACAGCAGGGAGGCCAGCCCTGTGAGGTCCTGTGGGTCTTGTGAGGGAATCAGGTCTCTGTTAAATACAGAGACTGTGGCACAAGAAGTAACATGCTCAAGGCTGCACAGCCTGCACAAGGGAGCTGGAAGCCTCCTCTGTTCACCTCCAGACTCAACTTCCATATTCTCTTTGTGTTCATTTTGGTTCTAGGCTTGCCCAGTGTCTTTACAAGTTTCCCTCCCCGCAATTCCAAAATCTTTCAACAAAACGAAAAGGAAAGGGAATTTTGTCTGCACCTAGGCTATCCTATAGTGGCTATCCTATAGGATCCTATAGGGGTTCCTATAGGGGATCCTATAGGGGATCCTATAGGATCTAGAGGACTGGGGAGAGCTGTGTTCCCGCTTCTCCTTTCCTCTCTAATGCTCCCTTATATGGAGTCTTAGCAAAGCTTCCTCTGTCCTCGATGTCAAAGGAGATTTCAGAATATCGCCTGGGCTCCTCTTCCTGTGTTGCCATGCCCTCTGAGTCTCGCCCTGCCCACCTCTGCACTCTGTCCTCATTGTCTCACTTCCATGCTCCTCTTGGGGACACTTGCACAGCTTGCTGCCCCGTGAATGCTCCATGTCCCCTTTTCAGTTCCAGGTTGTTCCTCTGCTGGAAGAGCACGTGCCTCGCCTGGCCTCTTTGTCTGGACACCTTCTTTTCTTTAAGAATCCACCCAGGAATGGCTCCTGACGCTTCCAGGTCTGCAGAAAGCCATCCCCGGCCCCTTCCTCACCCAGCCTGAGCGCTGTTCTCCCCTGCAGTGCCCACACAGTTCCCGGTGTGAACGGCTGACATCCCGTTCACATCGGCCTCCTGTACTGCACCCTGAGCTTGTGAGCTCTGTGACAGCAAAGGGCTTATGTGAAGGGCGTTTGGCACCTTCCACATGGAGGTGAACCCATTTACCTTGTTAATTCCATTTGCTCCCACCTCTTAGGTACCTGCATATTTCTATCCTTCAGATTTCCTAGCACTGGGCCTTATAACAGCATTTCTTAAAATGGGGTCCCCAGTCCAACAGCATCAGCATCACATGGGAATTTGCTAGAAATGCAACTTTTGGAGCCCTCCTTGGACCTCTGGGATCTAAAACTCTGCAGGTAGGTGCAGCGTTCTGGGCTTTCATAATCCCTCCAGCTGACACTAAGGTGGGCTAACGTTTGAGAACCACGGCCTCCCAGGAAGTCATTGCTCATGAGATTGTTGATTCCCTGAGGACAGTAACTGGTTATTTTCAATCTGGAAAAGAAAAACAGTAACTGAGGAAATGATAAAGAAAACTTTTACTGTAGAAGAAGAGTTTTCTGACTTGATATTTCAAATATGTGACTTCCAAAGAAGGCCTAGCTTTGTACATTTAAAAACAAGGTTGATTCTGTCTGGCTCAGTCTACCCCAGATGTGGTTTTGCTGAAGGGCAGGTGTTTGGAAGAGATAGCCTTACCAGGTGCCCTCCATTGCTCAGATTCTCTGCTTCTAGGATATTCTATGTACTATGAAATAAACATAGGCTAGAGAGCAGGGCATGATTGCTAGGGGAGTAAAAAGATGGTTTCTGCTTTGCAGGATGAAAGTATTCATGGATGGATGGTGGTGTTGGTTGCATAAAAATGTGAATGTATTTAATGCCACCAATCTGTGCAGTTCAAGATGGTTAAAATTATCAACTTTATGTTATTTATGTTTTACCACATTTTTAAAATAAAAATAAAAAGATAAAGCTGGAACCTAAAAATGCCCAGGTAACAATAAAGCTGGCAGAGTAACGTATAGGACTACCCATTGTATTTAGAGCAGCCCAGCAAAGCAGAACCCCCAGAGAAACGGGGGATAAGAAAAGTGAAAGATTGTTATTTCCAAAATAACCACCTATAAGGTGGTCTTCCTAGTGGGAAGTGATTGTTCCTTGGCTCTTTTGTTTGTTTGTTCGCAGGGTTTTTGTTCAGTTTGAATTCATATATGGGAGGATGTCATAGTCTTTGCAGGCCTTTGGATTCTTGAGAACTTAATCAGGCCAAGCTGTTCATGAGTAGTAGGGTGCTCAAATTCATCCTTCCAACAAGGGACTGTTGGGTACCAGTATGGTGCCAGCCCCGTGCTGGCAACAGGGATGAAATGCCCAGTGAGGGCCACATCCTGGCTCACCTACCAGGCCATGGGCTCAGCTCCACAGCTGCCTGTGAAATTTGCTTTCAGGAGCAATTTGTAGAGATTGTAGCTGAGGTTTGGGTGGCAACCTGAGATGCAGTCCAACTTTGTCATCACAACCAAAAGTCACTTGATGAGAGGCTCCAAACAACACCTGGAGCCCATGACCCAGCAACTTCCAGATGTTGAGTTGGGACAGGGGATGGGCTTGTCTGCTCCAAATGAATGCCCTGGCCAGAAAAAGTAAACTAGGGAGGCACTCTTGAAAGAGGGTGTTAAGGAGCAGTGAGCCCCCTTCCACCTCCACCAGGAAACGTCCCCAGGACAGACAGCTGCTGACCTTTTTCTGGAAGCTCTGGGCCTCAGAAGGTTGCTGGTTCCTGCCTACTTGCTCCCAAGGCATATTCTTGATCAGAAAGGAAGGAAGTGCATGGGCGTGGGGAGGAGGGGCAGGGAAGAAGTCACAGGAATGCCCACAGCAGAGGTCTGTGGGGACGCTGGGCTATCCCTGGTGGCAACACTCTTGGGGCTGGCGCTGGGTGAGGATGGCCTCACAAGCACCCTATGCTGTGACTCCAGCCCCCAGGATCCTCCTCAGGGTACAGAGAAGGAGCTCAGTACCCTGATACTGTCTTTTCCCATTGAAATCACAGAATTTTACAACTAAAGAGAACTTCCAGATGATTTGAGTCAACCACACTCTTTTGGGGGCTGGAAGCAGAAATGAAAAGATTTAGACAAAATTACACAGTTCAATTATTAACAATTCGGACTAAGTGTAAGGCCATCTGACCACAACTGAGATCCCCTGATGCTACTCTACTAAGTGTATTATACTGTGGTGTGTATGCATGTGTGTGTGCACATGTGTGTGAATATGTGTCAGGAGTACATGTATATACATGTGTATTGTGTAAGGGTGTGAATATGTGTGCATTTGGGTATCTGTACATAAGTGTATGTGTATAGGTGTGTCTTGTGCATACATGTTCATTTGTATAATGAGTTTGTGTGCATGTACATGTGTGTGTATTGGGCATGTGTGTAATTCTATGCGTTTGTGGATGCACATATATGTGTATTTGTGTGTGCTTAGCGAGGGCTTCGCTGGCCATAATGGCTTGTTTTTCTGGCCAAGAGACTTGATTCTCCCTGATTCAGCCTTGAGTGTGTATTTCCAAGGATCAGGGTGACTAACCAGGACATCTGGAGAACTTTCTTCTTCTCTGCCCCACCCATCCTGCCCATTCCATTCTCGGGTGTCAGAGGCTGAGGCTCTGGCCCCTGTGTGAGCCCCACAGGAGGTCTTCAGAGCCCTCAGGTTGCCTCACAGCTGGCAACCATTAGCATCTTTCTGTTTTCCAAGAGGGTGAGCCAGGGCTGCTCCTGTCAATGACAAGATGCTGGGACCTGGATTCATGTGCAAGGAGAAACCAGGCACTGAGGGGCTGAGGGTCCAGCTGCTGCTGGGCTGGGAGTCAGCAACCTCTGTGCTTCCAGGGCTTACCCTTCCTGGCCATGGGCAGTGCCCCTTGGCTTTGCGGCAATTTGAGGCAATGAAAGTTTTTATTTCCTCTAGCTGCATTTTCTAGATATATTTTAATGTAGCTGTAATCATACAAAATGTTGAATTTTTTGTCCTGCTTTTAAAAAGATTTTAATCAGGTTAGATTAGAACCAAGCACTTTGGGAGGCCGAGGCGGGTGGATCACCTGAGGTTGGGAGTTCGAGACCAGCCTGACCAACATGGAGAAACCCCATCTCTACTAAAAATACAGAATTAGCCAGGCATGCTGGCGCATACCTGTAATCCCAGCTACTCGGGAGGCTGAGGTAGGAGAATTGTTTGAACCTGGAAGGCAGAGCTTGCAGTGAGCCGAGATCGCGCCATTGCACACCAGCCTGGGCAACAAGAGCCAAACTCCGTCTCAAAAAAAGTAAATAAATAAATAAAAACGCCTAATACTTATTGAAAGTATAAGTATAGAAAAACTTTAATTATGTTAATTATGAGATTTTTAAACTGTATTACTGGAGAAAAGAGACCAAATCTCCTCGTAATACTTTTCTTTATCAATTTATTTAATGATAAAGATGAACATAAGCATTTGTGCAATTCAGTGTTTAAAGTTTGCCAAGGTATATGTATACATTTTTCCCAGAACTGATGCTATGAGAAGCCCAAGCCATGGAGAGGCCCTAGGCAGGTGCTCTGGTCAACAGCCCAAGCTAAATGCCCAGCCAACACCAGCATCTGCGGCCAGCCGTGTGAGTGAGCCTTTGCAGATGTCTAGTCCCGTCAAGTCCTACAGATGTCTCCAGCACAGATAGAGCCTACAGATGTCTCCCCATGAAACCACACAGCCAAGTCCAGGCAGAAAATGTGAAAGATGTTTCTACAAAGCCACTGAGTTTCTGGGTGGTTTGTTTTACAGTAATAGAGTAATAGAAAACCAGAACAGTAATAGAGAACCAGAACAGTCTGTTCCTGCACTCTCCAGTGGTCCTCCTATGTTCAAACACTCCACTTAGCAAGCTTCATCACCCAACACCTGGACCTAATCACTCTGCAGGGTCTCTCACTGCAGAGTCATTTCTCAGGGTTACTGATGTGCTAGTCTCTGCTAAGATGCTCACCTCTTCACCTTCCCTTAGTGACTGGCTGCTCTGGTTGATGTTGGCTTTCCTTTCCTCCTGGAAGCCCTCCCTCATTACCTCCCTTTCCCTAACAATTCCAGCTCTTTGAGGTCAAGACCTCTCTCTTCCACCATGGTGATAACCTGCATATGTTGGGTGCTGCATAAATTCTAACTGTATCAAATCTAGGACCCAGCCTGCACAGTTAAGGGATTTACCTTGGGAATCTTCCCAATCTTCTTGCTAACATGGGCTACCTTTATTATAAAATCCAAAGAATTTCACAGTTGCCACTTTTGTCATTTTATGTCAAAAAGATGGTTTTAGCAACGACTAGGGAAGGGCACATAAGAGTCCAGCATGGCACATGATCCAATTCAGATGAACTTAAAAGGAGCCTGCTGGAGGCTTTGTGGGATGAGACCCCATTGTCCACCTAGTTTTCTTCCTGCAAGATTATGGCGTCTATTCACTAAACACTTCTAACTATCTTTTATATTTTTTTCAGTGAGAACACGAGACTTTTGAAAAAACACAGACGATGAAACTATGTGCTCTTTCAGCCAATACAATGTGGGAAGTTTTTCTGTTTGTTAAAATAATTCAGGTCCTTACAGGGTAGCTTGGTGTAAATGTGGCCACAGACTCTCAGTTTGGGTCCTCTCATCTGGTCCTCCACCGTCTAAGGCCAGCACACCATTCCTGAAGCCCAGCTTCACACCCTGGATTTTACCCCTCATCCCTTGAGGACCCGAAGACAAACAGCCTTGTCAACGCACTAGTGCTTTGTCTCACCTCAACTGCAAAGTGGCCATGGGGTCTTCACCAGCAGCTGGGGAGGATGCTCCAGAAACTGGCCCTGATAGCTTTGCCCTGTAACTTGACTGGATTGCAACCACTATGGGTGAGATAAACATGATCTCTAAGGCTCTTTTTCAGTATTGAAATTACATGTATGTCTGATCACTTTAAAGAAAAATGTGAATTTTTTCTTTATTAAAACAATTTTCCTTTGTCCTTATGGATCATTTGTCATATTTTGCTTCAATCAAGAGTTGGGTCAGACACAACCACTGGGCAGCTGACACGAGATCTGCACATTTGTTACTAGAAGAGCCAGAAGGCCACCCACTGTTCCTCCTAGTGAACCACTGGCAGAGCAGGTATGGCTTAGAGCCCAGTTTCATGCTTGACTACTGATATGGTTTGGCTGTGTTCCACCCAAATCTCATCTTGAATTTTAGCTCCCACAATTCCCACATGTTGTGGGAGGGACCTGATTGGAGGTAATTGAATCATGGGGGCAGGTCATTCCCATGCTGTTCTCATGATAATGAATAAGTCTCATGAGATCTGATGGTTTTATAAGGGGAAACCCCTTTCGCTTGACGCTCATTTTCTTTTCTTTTCTGCTGCCATGTGAGATGTGCCTTTCACCTTCCACCATGATTATGAGGCCTCCCCTGCCATGTGGAACTGTGAGTCCATTAAACCTCTTTCTTTTGTAAATTGCACAGTCTTGAGTATGTCTTTATCAGCAGCGCAAAAACAGACTAATACAACTACACAAAAAAGTCAGTGCATCAAAACAGAAAGAAGCCCCACCAGTACATTTGAAATTACATTTTAAACAGGTAAAAATGTATACATCCTTTTAAAATGAAAATACAAAGTAAGTGAATCAATAATACAAACATGTTTATAGCAGTAATAAAAATAGAGGTAATATTTACCAATGTGAAAATATCACAGAATTCCAATCACACTTGGATCTTCAATGATTGAAGTGTGCATTTCACACAGCAGGGGCTGGTAGATTGAAGATCAGTTCCTCCTCTGGATGTGCCATCCTCAGTCGAGTCCTTCCTCATCACCATCCATCAGCTCACACAGTTGGGTAGCTGGCTGCTGTGGTGATTCCACAGTTGTTCCTCCGGTCTTTGGCCATCTTTATGTAGCCATCCATGCCCCAGTTTTTACCCCAGCTGAAAGGAGAGCAGGTTTTCCATTTCAGAGGCAGGATAAAGCACGTTGGGTTATTAACTTAAACAGTGTGCCAGAAGTCACAGGCTTAACATAAAGAAACAGGAGATGCTGATGTTCCTGTTCATCCCTTATAAATTCTTGAGTCAAAACCTGCATATCACTTCGATCCCACACCCAAAACTGTGACCTTTCATGGAACTGCAAAATCAGAAACAGAAAAAGGATAGGATGTCTTTCCAGCCAGATATGCTTCAGAATTAAGAAAATGTTCAGAATTTAGACATGCAATGGGACAAATACTATATTAATATCCCCAGCATGCTTGTGACAGTATCTAGATGTTACAATCAATCATTAATATTCTGTGTTCTGCCTAAGGGGGATGAAGACTTCTGGGATTTCAGAAATGTGATTAAGGGCTTGTGGTATGTAAACATTGATTGCAAAAAAGGATTCCCTTTTGAATTTCAACTATAAGTCTTTCTGGCAATTTATACCTGTTCTTCACCAGCCAATATTTGTTATCCGAGTCTGATCCTTCATAGCCATAGCCAACCACCAGCATAGCATGATCCAGGCCTTCAGAGTCACAGCGTGGCTCAAAATAAATTTCCGAGAGAATAAAATGAAGGCTGGGTGAGGAGTTCCCGAGGACACCTGAGAGTAACCCACCCTGTCACCCACAGGGAGGGAGGCAACTCTAAAATCAGTGAAATGACACACAGTCCAGATCGGGCTTAACAAGATCTATTGTTATCAAGGCTAGGGAATTAGGCTGTCATCCACAACTAGCAGAAATAGAAATTAGCATAAGTCCCTCATAAAAAAACTTTCTTACAGGCATAAAAGACCACTCATTTTAAGCTTGTAATTCTACTCTAGAATATCAATCTTAAAAATAGCACAGAACACCAAAATCCTTGAATCAAAAGGCTCTTTTCAGATTTAATCACAAAAAAAACTTTGGAAAAATTCTAAGAATACAACAATTAGAGAATATTTAAGTAAATTAAACTATACATAACATAGCTATTTATAAAAAGTTATGAAGTACATGTATTCATGGACATACGTTCAACGTAATATCAAATGGAAGCATTAGGTATGATTATTGCGTGTATAGAGTCCATCATGCTGGTATGTCATGGTGGTTTACTTTTTTTCTGCAATAATTTCTATGAAGAAAGATGCTTACCTTTTTTTATAGAACTGGAAGGAGACATGGCTTGCATCAACAGCAACAGAGATGGGCCCCACAGTTGCCACTGCCTTCGCCAGGTCCTTCTCCCATGAAGGTATGTCCACAAAGCCAGTGTCATTAGCAACAGAATACTTGGGATTGTACCTACAGGTTTTAACCTTTTAAAGGTTAAGAGGGAGGAGACTTGATTACTACCATCCTTCTCCTGGGGAACATGAGTCGGAACCACAACACTCAGCAGTTTGCAGCATAGAATTTCCAAGTCAACACTCTTACAAATCATCCAAGGAAGTGAAATGTAATTATTAATAGTTAATTTGAAACGGAAAATTAGCTCAGTTCTCTTCAGTGAGACCCCTAGGTTTACTTTCCATAAGACATTTTTCACAATGGAGATGTGTATTATATGTAGAATGGTTTGTATATTCTCCATGTTACATAGAAGCAAGAACAGCTGCATGTTAACCATGTAATCACAGAACTGTGCAAAGGCTATAATTTATAATGACAATACTGACAGTTTGCAGATAGAGATTCCACCATCTAAAATGGGAATTCTGAAAAGTGTCTGTTATCTCTGAAAGTGTCCCAGTAAAACAAAGCAGGAATGGCAGCAAGAAAAGGAGCTCCATTTACCTTTCCTTCATATGGATAGGAGGCCTCAGAGTCCAGGTCTCCGTTCTCCTCAACATACCAGAAGGAAGTATCCATGAAGCCACCATTGCAGCCCTCATTGCTTTGAGGACCAGAGCTACCAGATTCTGCTCACTCAGTGAGATAAGTTTGCCTGTTTTCTAGAACATCTGCCCTTCCAGCATACCAGTTGTACTAAAAGCCCAACAAGAGCCACAATGACCCTGAAAAGAGAATAAAAAAGCTGATATCCACACACACACACACACACACACACACACACACACACACAGAGCAAGACTTTTAACAACAGCTCATATATCTAAATACTCCTTTAAAAAGTGAACTGCATGTTGCAGCACAGTCTAGCATAGCACAAATGTCAATTGCTTCTTGGCTTTCCTGGGGTGATGGGAGGTCTGAACCTAACACAGTCTCACCTGATCCTTCACAGGACTCATGTAGCCTTTCTCTCTCCAGTTCACAGATGTGGGGATCTCAAGAAGCAGACGTTCCTGGAACTCTTTCCCCTTCCTGTGCTTCTGGTATTGAAAACCATTCATCACCTGCCTGAATTCTTAATTAGTCTTCAAGGAAAAGTAAATAAAATGTTAAAAAGCAAGAGATTGATTTGGTAAAGAACTGAGGAGAGGAAGCACAGAGTTCAGCAGTCCACAGCACACTCACCATGTCTCCAAAGGCGTTCATGGCTGTTGTGAAGCTGTGTTTCCCTTGGCTGTGTTCCTGATTGTGCTGCTCAATCATCTTCATGTTCTCCCACACTGCTCTCCTCCATCCTTCTTCATTCTAAAGACAAACATGTAACTGATGCTCTTTATTTCTAATTAAAACCCAGCCTATGCTAACCAAGTGAATCTTCAGACAGAGATGTAAGAGTAACCATGGCAGGGGAAGGCTTGACACCTCTGGGAGATGTTCTCCAAGCTGAGACACAACAAGGGTGTATGCCCATATCGTGCTCATAATCGGTGCTATTAAGTTATTGCATTAGGTTATTGGTAAGAGCTGGCATCTAGAAGCTACTTTCTGGCCGTATGATCCCAATAGCAAGGTCCATCTCTCTGGGGTTCCCCTGGACAGTTTCAGATGCCACCAACCATGCCATATAATCTCTTGTGCTTTGCCTTCCACTTGGTCCATTGTTCATCTAAACTGTGGTCACGTGTTACAGCAGCTGAGGCAATAGGCAGCCAGGAAGAGTGAAGGGTTCATGTTTCAAAAATCTGGGAAGGGAAAAGAAATGAGGATCTGATTAGACTAATCCGAAAAAGTCATCTTACTGCCCCCTGAGAAACTAGGGCCACCATGATAGAATAAAAATATTTAAATTATTCTCCCATGCATTTACCTAAGGACTGTGGAAGAGGCCAAGGATCTGGTTGGAGAAAAACAAGGCAAGTGGAAGTATTGGATGGACTCACCAAAATGAAAAGCAGCCTGTCCAGAGCTGTAGGAGCTGAAACAGTTTTATGGGATGATAATTTAGGCTATGAAAAGGATAGGAAGGTACCTTATGGGCGAGAAGTTAAAGGCAACAACCAGGAAACTAGGAAACCGTTGGCCCAGGTTTTGTACCAATTGTGCTGAGGTCATCCAGGCAAAACCTCACTAATGAAGACATCTAATTTCAAGAAGGGACAAAGGGATCCCCAATAATTGGGAAGTCACTTCACACTTTGTTCTTGGCTAATGCATAGCAGAAGGTGAAGTATGTTTTCCAAACACCCCTTGTAACGGAAACAGTTCTTGAATGTCTTCCCAGGAGAAACTGGGAAGGAGAGCACCTATCTACCGCCGCTCCCGCAGTCCTGCAGTCCTGCAGGGGCCAGTCCTGCCAACACTCCAACTCCCCTCATAGAGCATAAACCCAATCAGGTGGCCGAACCGCCAGAAGCCAGAGTCCCCAGTGTCCGCGCCCACACAGGGGTAGGCAGCTTCCCAGGCTTTGGGCTGGGGACCCAGGCCAGGTCCCCTGCCTCTTGCTTCCACCCCCCGCTCATGCTCACTGTGGCCCCAGGAGGTGGGTGGTGGTGCAGGGAGCAAGCGGCGCCTCTGCCTGATTTGCCCGGGTCGAGCCTCCCTGTCCCACCCCACCAGCCCTGGGAATACTGCGGCCTGGCACTCCTGAAAATCCCTCACTCACCGAGCTGAAGGACTTGCTGGGTCCCTGGTGGCCCCTGTCCAATCTCAGCCCACTGGGGTCTCAGCTGCAGTAGCCACAGGTGGACAGGCACAGTGGGCAGGTGCCGAGTCCAGGAGTCTCCCGTCGCCTAAGGCCGCCCGAAAGCAGCTAATTGACTTCTTAAGGCTGGGCGGGACCTTCCGGCGGGCTGACTCCTAGCCTGTGGAGCGGCTCAGTCCACTTGCCTCAGTGGAACCGGGGGGAGGGGAGCTGGGGGCTACGAAGAGAAGGGTCGGAGGTCTCCCTGGAGGGTTCGGATCAACTAAGTACCTTATTTAATGCCCTGGGCCGGTGGTTCATGAAAAGAAGTTTACAGGAGCCCTGTGTGCATTTTCAGCCTAACCCTGCTTTTCCTTTAGGCCTAGAATTGTTTATTAAAATCTCCTGCAGGGCCGAGAGCCAGAGGACTCTAGCCCAGTGGTTCCTGTTTAGTCCACAGCAAAGAAGGGGCCGGTTGGAAGAACTCACAGCCCGCAGGCAGAAGCCTTATCTCCCAATTAAGGGTATAGAAGAATCTGGGCATGTTGCTGGTGGCTCATGCCTGTAATCCTAGCACTTTGGGAGGCTGAGGCAGGCAGATCACTTGAGCCCAGTAGTTCGAGACCAGCGTGGGCACCCTGGCGAAACCCCGTCTCTACTAAAAATACAAAAATTAGCCGAGTGCGGTGGCCTGCGCCTGTGGTCCCAGCTAGTCGGGAGGCTGAGGCACGAGCATCCCTTGAACCCGGAAGATCGAGGCTATAGTGAGCCGAGATCGCACCACTGCACTCCAGCCTGGGCGAGAGGAGACCCTGTCTCAAAAACAAAACAAAACAAAAAACAGCAAACAAAATACAACTGGTAGGAAAACGCACCCTCAAAACACATGATGAGATGGTCAAGACCAGACCCTAGGAGGGTGGGGACTGGCTGGGTGGGTATCCAGAGACCATGGGCGCTTCATAATGCATTGTTTCCAGTCTCCTCCACTCAGCGATTCTTCTTCCCCTGAAGTCTTGCATTAAGTAAGTGAATGAATCAATCATCAAGAGTTAATGAAGCTCTGACTTTGTACATATTGTCCTTTGCTTGGTACAGTTGGGGACTGCCTTAGAAACAATCTCCAGGTAACTTTTCCAACTGCTTTTGTGAGGCCCAGTTTTCCATTTTAAAATCTAAGATTAACTCAGTAATCTTGCTTTTACAGCAAGTGGGCATGGAGCCTGACGGATATATTTAAACTAAGTTATGGACAAGCTGCTTGGTGCATTAGATAGCACAGGAGATAACCTTGTGGGACATCCCACATTCGTAATATCCACCCCTAAGTCTATAATCAATAAATGCTTGTTTGGAGGCCATAGAAACTCTTCTCGAGATCTGACCTGTGTCTTCTGCCATCTACCTGATTTCTCCCCATAGAGTAGGAAAACACTGTGTAGGAGATACTGTGAATAGAAATATGAATATAGGCTGGGTGTGGTGGCTCACGTCTGTAATCCCAGCACTTTGGGAGGCCAAGGTGGGCGGATCACCTGAGTTCAGGAGTTTGAGACCAGCCTGGCCAACATGGCGAAACCCCGTCTCTACTAAAAATACAAAAATTAGCCAGGTGTGGTGGTGGGCGCCTGTAATCCCAGCTACTCAGGAGGCTGAGGTATGAGAATTGCTTGAACCCTGGGAGGTGGAAGTTGCAGTGAGTGAGATGGCACCATTGCACTCCAGCCTGGGCAACAGAGTGAGACTGTCTCAAAAAGAAAAAAAAAAAATTACAAAAATTAGCCAGGCACGGTGGTGGGCGCCTGTAATCCCAGCTACTCAGGAGGCTGAGGCAGGAACAACTGCTCAAACGTGGGAGGCAGAAGTTGCAGTGAACCAAGATCACACCACTGCACTCCAGCCTGGGCAACAAGATCAAAACTCCATCTCAAAACAAACAAACAAACAAATAAATAAACAAGAAGATGGATATGTTGATAGAAAAATAAAAGACATGAAATATACAACCTACAAAATAAAAATGATCAATAAACTCTAAAAAGTTTACCTCACTCATAAAAATAGAAATTAAAACAAAAAAGAGGTCTTTTTTCCACCAAACTGATGAAGTTGAAAAGACAATACTATCTTGTGTTTGCCAGAATAAATTAAAAAGAACCCTCTTATCACTGACGGTAAAAGTATAAATTTATGCAACCTTTCTGGAGGAAAACTTCAATATGTATAAAAAGATTTTTTACCCAGTAATTTAATTATTTGGAATTTCTGTTGAGAAAACAATCAGAGAATCATGTATTTATGACCTAGATTGTTAATCTCAGGTTGTTTTGTTTTTCAAAAAGTTAGGAGCCATCAAAAGGATAGTAAGGGAATATTATAAACAACTCTACACACATAAAATTGATAACTTAGATGAAATGGACTAACTTCTCAGAAAGCACAGTACTCTAACTCACCCAATATAAAATAGATAATTTGAAAGACTAGGTTCAGGGCTCAACTATTAGAAAATAGAATTCAAAAAAGAAATCTCCAGGCCCGGATGGTTTCACTAGAAAATTATACTAAATGTTCAAAGGTTATTCAATCTCTTCCAGAAAAGAGAAGAGGAAGGAACATTTTTCAATTCATTTTATAAAGTCAGCATTACTCTGATACAAAAACCAGACAATGATAGTAAAACTGACCCAATAATCTCATAGACTGTTCTTTCGGATAAACATAGAAACTGACCTTTCTGTTCTTAAAGCTTGAAGCTTACATTTGTTTTATATGAATTCCTTCCTCAGGAAAGGAACTTCAGACCTCTCAAAAAGAGTATTAGAGAACTGAAAGTCACCAGATCACCACATCCTGACAATGAGAAGCCTGGAGCCCTCATTCCTCATTATTGCTTCCTTTCCCCTCTCTAGTTCCTGTATTCTTGCACATTGTCACATTTCTTCTCTGTTATATAAACCTCTAGTTTTAGTCTGTCAGGGAGATGGATTTGAAACTGAGCTCCCCCATCTTCTCAGCTGCAGCACCCAATTAAAGCCTTCTTCCTTTGCAGTACTTATTGTCTTAGTGATTGGCTTTTTGTGTGGTAAGCAGCAAGGCCTAGACCAAACCCCTGGTGTTTTGGTAACAATAGTTCCAAAAAAACAAAAACAAAAGACTACTACAGACCGGCTGGGTGCGGTGGCTCACGCCTGTATTCCCAGCACTTTGGGAGGCCGAGGTGGGTGGATCACGAGGGCAGGAATTCAAGACCAGCCTGGCCAGTATGGTGAAACCCCATCTCTACTAAAAATACAAAAATTAGCCAGGCGTGGTGGTGAGTGCCTGTAATCCCAGCTACTTGGGAGGCTGAGGCAGGAGAATCGCTTGAACCCAGGAGGCGGAGGTTGCAGTGAGTCGAGACCGCACCACTGCACACCAGCCCGACAACAGAGCGAGACTCCATCTCAAAAAAAAAAAAAAAAAAAAGAATACCAAAGACCAAGATCCCTCATCAATAAATGAAAAAACCCTTAACAAAGTATTGAGAAGTAGAATTCAACAACACATAAGACAAATTATACACCATGACTGAGTGGGATTTATTCTGGTAATAGAAGGCTGGTCCGGTATTCAAAATCAGTCAGTGTAATCCACCATATCAACAGGCTAAAGAAGAAAAATCATATAATTATATCAATTGATGGAGAAAAACCACTTGAACAAATTCAAAACTCATTCATGACTTAAAAAAGAAACTCGCTGAAGTGGGAGGATCACTTGAGGCCAGAAGTTTGGGACCAGCCTGTGCAAAGTAAAAAGACCCTATCTAAAAAAAAAAAAAAAATTAGCCGGGTGCAGTGGCTCACATCTTAATCCCGGCACTTTGGGAGACCAAGGCGGGTGGATCACGAGATCAGAAGATTGAGACCATCCTGGCTAACACAGTGAAACCCCGTCTGTACTAAAAATACAAAAAATTAGCTGGGCATGGTGGCACACGCCTATCGTCCCAGCTACTTGGGAGGCTGAGGCAGGAGAATCACTTGAACCCAGGAGGCAGAGGTTGCAGTAAGCCGACATTGCGTGACTTCACTCCAGCCTGGGCAACAGAGCAAGACTCCATCCCCACCCCCCCCAAAAAAAAAATTAGCTGGAGAGGTGGGTGGTGGTGCATGTCTGTGGTCCCAGCTACTTGGGAGGCTGAGATGGGAGGATCGCTTGAGCCTAGGAGTTGGAGGCTGCAGCGAGCCATGATCACACCCCTGCACTCCAGGCAGAGCAACAGAGTAAGACCCTGTCTCTGAAAAAAAGAAAATCTTAGAAAACAAGAAATAGAGGAGGAGCTTACCTCAACCCTATCAAGTACATCTACAAAAATTTATAGCTAGCATTAGTATTTAATGGTGAAAGAGTGAATGCTTATCCTCTAAGATCAGGAGCAAAGCAAGGATGTCCTCCTTCACTACTGTTACTCAACATATGTAACCCTGGAAGTCATAGTCAGCACACTAAGGCAAAAAAAATAATGGAAGGGAAAAAGATTGGAAAGCAGGTAATAACATTGTCGTTCTTTGCAGATGTCATGATGATCTGTATAGGAAATCCCAAGGAATTTACAAACAAAAAACCAAAACACTCCCTAGAATGAGTGAGTTCAGCAAAGTCACAGGACACAAGATCAACATACAAAACCAACTGGATTTCTATATATTAGCAATAAACTAATTCATAATAGTAATTAAATTTAAAATATGTACTTTAATCACTTAAAAAATGAAATAGTATTATATAAATCTAAAAAACGTTTGTAGGATTCTTATGCTGAAAAGCACTACATGTATGCATGTATATATTTATGTGTGTGTATAAACTTGCATATATATGTATCTGTGTGTTTGTCTGTATTAATTAAATGCAATGATCATGGCCCAGATTGTGTTACATGGTGGGAAAACAGACATGAACAAGACGGAGTGGGTACCTCCCTTCAGGTTGCTTACAGTGTAGCTTGGAAGTCAGACACTAAACCCAAGAATGAAAATGTGTTGGGAGCTTCAAAGAAGTAGCCCTGGATGCTCATGGCATCAAGCACCTGGAATACCAAATCATGAGGTCAGAGCATAGGGGTGAGACCATTCAGATTTACAAGGCTTCTAACTCTACATCACCAGAATGTCCTCTAATTCTAGATATCTGGAGGAGAGAGGCTGATTGGGCCATTCTAGGTCAGGACTCTCTCTCCTACCCCATCAAGAGTGTGTGTGTGTGTGTGTGTGTGTGTGTGTGTGTGTGTGTCTGTGTGTTTGTGTGGTGGGAGGCGTGACTCAATATAAACGTAGCAGCTAAGAGTTCTAATTTTGGATAAGGGGGTGAGGAAGAACCATTTGCACTGGCTGGATGCACCAAAGGCTAGAAAAAAACTAGAAAGAGGACCAAGATTTAAAGAACCAGAGGAAGAGGAGCTGTGGGGAAGAGAAGCAAATGAGGAGCATCCACAGAGTCAGAGAGAAAGCAGAGTCAGGGCTTCCTGCTGTTGAGTGAGTTGTGCAGCTGTTCCAACTGCAGTAGATTGTTCATCTCAGGTTGTTTTTTTCTCAGAGTTCTCCCACTGAGCCATGAAGGTGACAGTGCTATGTGCCTCAGATAGCTGTTGAGTGTGCAGAGTGAGACGCTGCACCCTCCGCTCAGTGATCTGAGTTGTGACTATCATGGCTCAGGAGTGCAGCTTACGATTTTAGCATCTGGGAGTGCTTTTCTTGGCAGGCTGCAGACACATGCGTTTGGAAAATAGGAAGAAATCCAAAAATGGCCTTTGCCATAGCTCAGCTAGAATTGTCGGTAACGTGGCAACTCATTTTCTCTGGATAGATTTGTGGCAGCTTAAAATTCTAAGAACTGCACTTTCTTCAGTGGTTCAAGGAGATCTGAATCCCATGCCTCTGACAAAGGGTTCTCTCCTGAAACAATAACACACCGTGTTTCTCTCCTTTCTTCCACAGACCTCAGAGGACAAGCCTTCTGAAAGGGATGCCCTGCAGCCTGGCTGCAACATTGTGACCATAGTTTATACACTGTACAGTAGCACAACCCTGGTGGCTCTCTCCACAGGGCAAGGGGTGGACCTCTTCATGCTTGACTTGGTAGGTACAGAATATGGCAGCCTCTGGGCTTGGGGACTTGATGGGCCTCTGTGCTTTAATGCTAGTCCCCTGGGATAATTTCCTGGTCATTCCTAATACTTGTTTTTGGGGCCAGAGAGTCTGAAAACCTAGTTTTGGGAGCCAACGCCATCATCAGAAACCATGAAGGGCCTTTGTCCCAGTGAGGGAACCCGGGGTAGGGGTGTCCTGCAGAGTCAGTTGCATCAACTCAAGCCCTGTCCTTAAGGAGTTCATTTTTCAAAAATGCACTCGATCTCTTTGGTTTATGAGAACTCCATGATTTAAGAATCGTAATGCTGCGAATTTCCAGACAGAAGCATGAATGCTTTAGAGCAGCATCATCCCATAGAATGCTCTGTGAGTTTTGCTTTTAAATGCTGGATGCCTTGTTTATCACTTGTGAAATGCTTTGCCAAATACACTGAGGTCTTGTGAAAACTCAGATAATGTTGACCAATGACGACTTCAAAACCCCTTGTGTTCACTTAGATGAAAGGTCTGTATTTAAATTTAATTTAGATTTACAGATGTTATTGAGCATCTACTACATCCCAAAGCACCATTTCAGGCAGTGGAGATACAACATTGATCAAACACACATGCCAGCCCTTGTGGAGTTCACATGTCAGTTTGTATGTGGAGAGAGGGGGATTGCAAATTTCAAAATGAAACAGAGTTAACAAAACAGGGTTTGCAGTATGGAAATCCAGAAACTTTTCAAATCTTTTCACCTATAAACCCATTAGACCAAGGCCCACTGCTGTGTCAGTTTGCTAATGCCACAGTTTCCCTTTATTTTCAAAGAAGCTGGCAAACCCTCAGAAATTCTATGGCTTACACATATTACTCTCAGACAATAAATTGCCCTTTCTACAGTTGCTATAGAGTAACAGCTAACATAATTCTTAATAAGTTGTAGGAATGTAGGTACCTGTCCTAGGGAATTTACATCTATTAATGCATTTAAACATCACAGCAGCCCTGTGAGGTAGGTCCTACTATTATTCTCATTTTCAGATGGGGAAAGTGAGGCACATAGAGGGTGAGTAACTTGCCTGAGGTCAAGCTAGTGACTGGTGGTGTCAGGAGTCACACTCCGGCAATCTGTGCTTTAACTACTAAACCAGACCGAATTTCAAAAACAACTGCTCTTGAGTACAAGTAAAATATCTCCAAGAACATTCTGAGCAGTTCTAAAGGCAACGGGAGGTGCTTTGACTCAGGTACTCAACTCAAGGATTCCCAGGCAAAGACAGAGCCTCTGCTTTCTGCCCTCAGTCACGACAGCAGGGCCCAGTCTGGACATAGGTGGGCACGAGAGCTTGTCAGCATAACAGAAGGAAGAGATGAACCATAGCATAATCTTTCCTGATTTCTGTGTATTATCCTGAAACCCCTTTGGATCACATCACTCTACTATAAAGGACATTTGAGCAAAGACCCAGTGCACAAAGCTTAGTGCCTGTTTGGGATGTTGACGTCCAGTGGAGATAGCTTGTGGCAGTTGTCACAGATAGAAATGCCATGGAGGGCAGTCAGCAGTGATGGAGGCAGCATTCCCTGGTGGGTCAAACTCAGCCTGTGAGGTCTGTGGGTTTGCAGACCTGATGATTTGATTTTGTCAGAACACACATATTGTTCAGGCACAGAGAGACCACCTCCTGTTAACCAACTCCCCATTGTGGGATAAAGCTCAATGTCAAAGCATTCATTTACAGATTCTTTGTTTCTCAGTGACAAGGATCTGGTGCCCGATCATCAGGGACCCTCTTATCTGAGTGTATGAGAGCTCATATTAAAAATCAGCAGTTGGTGACCACACAATCAGAACAAAGGGGCATATTTTCCAGGTTAATAAAACTGTGGAAACAACATTCCAGGGGCCTGAGAGTCCCTGCCCCAGACCCAGGAGCGGATCAACCCAAGGCGTTTTCACCCACCCTGATGCAGAATGAGCTCCTCTGTTCAGGTGGAGAGTGAGTGCCGCTGTTTAAATGACAGCTGCGCATCTCCATGCTCTTTGCTGAAAAGCAAGAGCAAAATCGACCCCAGCTCAATTAAGTGAAAGGAGTTACTGCATTGATGGTGATACGAGAAGGGGGCAGGGAAATGCTGGGAGGAAAAGGGCAGGGTCCTTGGTGAGGGCTCCACCCCCGGGCCTGTGCCCACGGACCTAGGTGAGGACAGGCATTTCTGTTTCAGTGCCCAAATGTTGTATTTCTCAAGACCACCCTGGCCTGCCACGCCCCCATCCTGTGCCTATAAAAACCCCGAGACCCTGGCGGGCACGCACCCAAGCGGCTGGACTTCAAGAGGAACACGCCGGTGGAAGAACACACTGGCATCTGCCATCAGGCCATTGACCTGTGGATGGCGGAAGATAAGGCAGGGCGTATAATTGAGCTGACTAATGCAAGCCGCCTATGGACGGATGGCTAAACTGAAAGAGCACTCTGTAACACACGCCCCACTGGGGCTTCAGCTGTAAACATGCACACCTAGATGCTGCCATGGGGTCGGAGCCCCACAGCCTGCCTGTCTGCATGCTCCCCCTAGAGGTTTGAGCGGCGGGGCTCGGAAACAGCAAGCCACACCCCCATCACATGCCCTGCGAGGGGGATAAGGGAACTTTTCTCGTTTCATTGGGAAAGCAGAGGACCTTGGCTAGGAACGGGCAGGGCTAGAGGACCAGGAAGCAGAAAGCATGGCAGTAGTCCTGCAACACGGCCACTCTGTCCTGGACACCAACTCCAGTGCTGTGCCTGTCTCTCAGGTTTCAAATCCCATGGAGGGGTATATAATTTTTAAGCTAAGGCACGTGCCTGGCCTTGGTCTAGAAGAGGCCCAGATACGGATCTTTCTAGACTGACATCCCACTCTTTAAGGGATGTCAGGGCACTTTTCAGAAGTGGAACTCAAGGCTGGTCTGCTCCAAAGCAACAGATGTCCACAGAGAGTTAAAGCTCATGAGACAAAAACCATCACGTGCATGCCTGTAATAAAAAGAAGTTCGATTTACTGGGCAGGGGGAGTGCACTGCAGAGGAACCACGGGGTTTTGCTTGGTGATTCTAAAGAGGGTTTGAGGAACAGAGGGTCAGTCTGGATTGGATATTGCCTGGAAGTGGGTGCAATTAATGATTAGTTATCTTAATAATTTTTAGTTAGGAGCCAGGGAGATTAAAGTGAAGTCATTGGTAAAGAAGCAGTTGTCAGTCTTGTTAGCAGAAGAGAGGAATGTGTAGTTGTTGAGTCTCCTAGTCACCATCTTATTTCAGACATGGACAGCATGGCCTTCCTTCTTTATATTCTGGGAATATCTCTGATGTTCCTTGGGAAACTCTGGGCTAGCTGTTAGCTGTAAGCTGTCATTTTGGAGTTTCTCACTTTCTCAAAATCTTGAACATTAATCAAAATGAATCTGGTTTCAGGCCCTGACTTTACCCCTAGTGACTTAGAGAGACATCAGCATTTAAGGTGGTGTCTGTTGTGAGCTGATCACACTTTTAGTGACTGATGTCACCAGAACTAGATAAAGGGGTGTCTGAGGGATGCCCTGCAGGTATTGACCATGGTGGCTATAAGAGGGACTGGGCACAATTTTATTAATAAGTCTGAGGATTCCTTTAGATTTTGCCAACTTTTTCTTTATGCCAGGCGAACAGTTTCCAATTGAAAGAACCTCCTCTTTTCCCCGGGTAAGAGTAGTTGGGATACCAGAAACTTTTAATGGTTTCTGAGATTGAATCATTAACATAAACGAAATAACTGGACCACAAATTGTCAAAATGCATCCCTCACACATCAGTACAACTTCTCCTCTAATTGTTGATGGCCCAAGTCTTTCTGAAAACATTAATCTGGGGGTGAGAACTTGGGAGATAAACACAGTCATGTTCTTTATAAATAAGGAGCCTCCCTGACAGTAGAAATCACAAAGAAAAAGAAAGAAGACCATGGGCCTCTTCCCTTTGAATTGTCTTCCCTCTTGCTATGTTACTGCTTGAGCTTCCTTTGTGGGCTCCATATTGTCACTGTTCTTTCCACCACTCATAAAAACACCACGGGGCAGGCTCCAGAGTGACCACAGCTAGGCCCCAGCTCTGCCAGCTGTGGGCTTCTGTTTCCTGGCGTCTCTCTTCTTCCTGGCATCTCTCTTCATCTCTCTAGGCTCTTGGTGAATTTGTACTGGTGGAAAAAGATGTCAAGATTAGTAAGAAAGGAAAGATTTACAACCTGAATGAGGGCAATGCTAAGTATTTTGACAGGGCCGTCACCGAATATGTGCAGAAAAAGAAATTCCCTGAGGTGAGTGAAGAAAGCCCAGGTGGGTCGGAGGGAAAGTGTTGTCTCTATGGGGTCCTGTTTGGGTGGTGGCTTCAGGGGGCCTTGCTGAAAGAGGTTGGAGCCACTGTTCATAGTTCTGGACAGTATGAGAATGGCAGACTCTGCTTTTCTTCATAAGCAATCAGTATCTTTTATAGCTAAAATTTACATTCTAAAGGTAATACTTCCCTTTACATTTAAGTTGTTCCAGGAGAAATTGTTTGTAGCAAAAGTTAGGGATCACACTTGCAAAATTCAGAGCTCAGGCCAGAACCTTTCTTAAGTCATTTGTTTAATCTAAGCTCCAACCTGCAGATTCACTCACTCAGTTGCATTTGCTTTTCGAAGGAATAATTACACAAGAGAACTTCAAAAAGTTCATGGAAAAAAATGAAATTAAAATATAACAATAAAAAATACAAAATTTATTTCTCAACATAAGCTCCATTGAGCTCAAGACACTTTTGTAAGGGTTTATACCAGCCACTTAGTCCAACCCTAAACCCAAGGTCCTGGGAATTTAACCCTGCCAAGGCAGTCTTTTTTATGTTATTTGCTCAAGAAAAATGGATGCCCTTTAAAGGTTTTTTAATATTAGAAAACAAAAAGAAGCCAGAAGGAGCCAAATCAGGGCTGTAATTATATTCCATTAAAACTCTTGCAAAATTCCCTTGTTTATTAAATTAATGAGAGGAATGAGCAGACCATTGCTGTGGTGGAGAACTCTCTGGTGAAACTTTCCTGGGCTTTGTCTGCTAAAACTGTGGCTTTCTCAGAACACTCTCTTAACAAGCATATGTGGGCCAAGGAGCCAACATCTCCCCAGTGTTGTGAAAATGAATGGCCGTGATTAGTCAAGGCCAAATTGTATCCTGCACCTTCAGAGGCTCTTGCTCTCCTCCCTCAAGTTATGCCCATCTATAGTTATCCATCCATCCATCCATCCATCCATCCATCCATCCACCCATTCTTATATCCCTTCATGCCTCCCTCCCTCCTGTCTATGTATGTATGTATGTATGTATGTATGTATGTATGTATGTATGTATCTATCTATCTATCTATCTATCCATCCTCCTTCCTATCTATCTATCTATCTATCTATCTATCTATCTATCTATCCTTAACTGAGAGATTTCTCACAGTTTCCTTTCCAGAGCAAAGGTAAGTTGAAGAGTAGCAACACCTCCGTCTGTTATGTGGAGTCATTCTGGGCTTAAAAACTAGGAATTTAGGGATATAAGTTCTATCTCTAGTTCCTGGTAGTTCATTGTGTGTCTTCTGAAAGATTCTTTCTGTATTTAAATGTTTTGGTTTCATGACTTAACATTTTCTCCAAATATAAGAATTGTGTTTGTTCATGTGTAACACATGGAAGGTGCCAAAAAAAATAAAATGTAAACAAAAACCATGTGTAAGTTTCTTCACTCTCAGTAACCCCACTGTGAACATCATCATTCATCTCTCTAGGTTTTGTTTTCTTGCAAATGTGCTTACATAGTTATCAAATGTAATCCACTTATAAATACAGTTTTTAAACCTGCATTTCTACTTACATCTACTTCATGAGTATTTCCTAGTTATTAAAAATTCTTCAAAAGCACATTGCTGTACCATAACGTATTTAATCATTCTCAGGTTGTTCTACACTTAGTCTGTGTCCAGCTTTTCACTCCATAAAAAAATATTGCAGTGAGCCCCTTTGTACCTCGTCTTTGCTGATCTGAAAATTCCCTCAGAAGGTATTCCTAGAAGTAGGATTTCTGGTAAAATAGAATTGTGGATCCTCACCTTAGTCTTCACTGTTAAGTCAGGCCAAGACGTTTCATCTTGGATCCAATAAAGGGCTAGGTAACTAAAATACCCGAAGACTTGGTAATTTCCTGCCTGTAGTGTGGTTTCAAGGGATGCAACTAGAGGACAGTATAATATAATGATCTTCATTGTAACTATGAGTTGGATTTAATAATAATAGTTAACATTTACTGGGTGATTAATATGTGGTAAGCCCTGTTTTAAGTGTTTTACACGTATTAACTCCTTTATTCTCATAACAACTCTTGGAGGCAGGTACAGATGGGGAAGATAAGGCACAGAGGGGTTCAATTACTTATCCAAGGTAAGTGGCTGAGCCAGGATTCAAACCCAAGCATTCTGGCTGCCAACCCATACCGTTAACCACGACATGACCCTGCTTGGAAACAATCAAATGGGGAAGAACCCTCACCTCCCACACACTAGGGTTGCAGGGCTTAGGGCTGCCTAACCTGCAGGGAGATAGCACCTCCTCCTTGCTGGCTGCAGAGTTTCTGCCTCCTTCACCTTGGTTCCTTTTCCTGCTTTATGGGCTGTGTGCCTGCTGGGTATGGGCAGGACAAAAGCCCAGATGAAGAACACACAATTCTGTATCTGGAAGGGAAGAGGAATATGTATCAGGCTGTTTTCAGGAATCTGCTGGAAGGGGAATGGAGGGAGGAAACGAATGAGAAAACACGGCTTCAGGGGTTTGGTATTTTGTGTTCTCATATTTGTTTTTGACAATTGTTAGAGCATTAGGCTTGCCTAATTAGCAGTAATAGTTCCTTACATTTTTCACAAATTCCACCTGGTGCAATGCCAGATGTGATCTATAAAATCAGAGTTCCTAGAGATGACAGGTATAGTGGTAATGAATTCCCTCAGTATTTGCTTTTCTGCAAAGGATCTTATTCTCCTTTGCCGATGAAGTTTAGTTTGGCTAGATATGAAAGTCTTGGTTGGAGTTTCTTTTAAGAATGTTGATCATTCCCTGTGACTCATGGGAAATGGACCTCTGCTGAGAGGTCCATTGTTAGTTTGATGGGCTTCCCATTGTAGGTGACTTGACCCTTCTCTCTAGCTGCTTTTAACATTTTTTCTTTCATTTCAAGCTTGGAGAATCTGATGATTATGTGTCTTGTGGATGATCTTCTTGTGAAGTATCTTACTAGGGTTCCCTGCATTTCCTGAATTTTCTATTGGCCTCTCTAGCTCAGTTGGTGAAGTTCTCATGGGTGATAACCTGAAATATGTTTTCCACCATTCTCTCCATCTCTTTCAGAGACATTAATGAGTCATAGATTGGGTCTTTTTACATAATCTCTATTTCTCAGAGGTTTTTTTTTCATTCCTTTTTATTCTTTTTTTCTTTATTCTTGTCTGACTCTCTTATTTCAGAAAGCCAGTCTTCAAGCTCTAAGATTCTTTCCTCAGCTTCATCTATTGTGCTATTAATACTTGCGATTGCGATTAGTGTGTTTTTCAGCTCTATCAGGTTGATTACATTCCTTTTCATACTGGCTATTTAGTCTGTCAGCTCCTGTATTGTTTTGTTGTGATTCTTAGCATCCTTGGATTAGGTTTCAACATTCTCCTTAATCTCGATGATCTTCCTTCCTGTTTGTATTCTGAATTCTATTTCTGTCATTTCAGTCATCTCAGCCCAGTTCAGAACCCTTGCTGGAGAGGTAATGCAGTCATCTGGCGGAAAGAAGGCACACAGGCTTTCTGAGCTGTCAACTTTCTTGCATTCATTCTCATCTGTGTGGGCTGATGTTCCTTCAGTCTTTGAAGTTCTGTCCTTTGGATGGGTTTTTTTTCTTTTATCCTATTTGATAACCTTGAGGGTTTGATTGTGGTACAAGGTGGGTTCAGTGGACTGGCTTTGTTTCTGGAAGATTTTAGGGGGTCAAAGCTCAGCTCCCAACTTCTGGACTGCATGCTCTAATTCTGGACTTCTACTGGGCTGACTTTGTTCCCTGTCTCCTTGAGGTTAGGAATCCACTGTGCTGGAGATATGGGGGTTCTCCCAGATAGCTGGTCACAACACTTGTATGGGTGGTGCCAGCCAAAGCGCTTCATAGGGTGGTGGCAGTGGAATCTGTCCTCGTTTGCATGTGCCACAGCAGTGGCAGTGGCGCTGTGGCGGGGTGCATGCTTGTCCACTGTGGTGGGGTGCTAGTGGGTGCTAGGTTGCCGGCCTCTGTGCAGGTGTTCACAGCAGTGGCAGAGGCAGCATGGTGTCAGGAGGAAGGGCACCCCAGCTGGCGTCTTACATGTGTTTGCACTGGTGATGGTGTTAGCATGTGGGTGGGGTGCTGGTGGGTGCAGGAGTGTGTGTGTCCTCTGTGTGTGTTCCTCTGGGTGGCAGTGACCACTCAGGGTGGATGTGTGTCCATTATTCTCCATGCCTAGTTTCAGGCTGGTGGTAGCTTGGCACAGGGGTGGGGCATTAGTGGGGGCAAGGTCTACCCATACACATATGCTCTGGCAAAGCCATATGGGGGGTGGCTTGGGCAAGTGTGTGCAGGCAAAGCAGCACAGGGGAGACTGCAATGTGGGGAGGGCATTAGCAGGTTGGTGTATGTCTGTGGGGCTACTCTGCTGGAGCTCTCTGCTGGTCAGGTATGGTCTGCCAGCACAGGAGCTATGATGTGGGGCCCTAGGAGGTACCCTCTGTGGGCACCCAAGGCTGCATTGCAAGCAGGCATGGCCAGGCTGGGGCCCCAGGAGAGACCAGGAGACTGAGGGGTGCTCAGGTCGGACTGGCCCTGTCTCATGGACCACCCCGTGGTCAAGAAGACAAGAAGAGGATGGGCTTTAGGTAGGAGTCGGACACCACTTCCATCATAACAAGAGGAAAGGCAGGATATTTACTCAACACCTGGCAAATAAGGAACATGGTCCCATCTCCAGGAAGCTGCAGTCTGGTTGGAGTGGCAAGACATTACAACAAAAAAAGAATAATTCAGTGTGCGATAAGCCTACAGGGACCAAGTGCTGTAGTATTGTGTAGGCATTTACAAGAAATACTTCAAGTTATGTTTCACTTATGTCTATAAATCAAGGAAGGTTGAGGTCCCTTAGGAGGCCTCATTGGCTTTGTTCAGAGATTTCCCAGGCTTGGTTTCCATCTTAACTTATTTTAATGATTTGTTGGTAACACACACACACACACACACACACACAGTTTCTAACCAAAACACCTTGAGAGGACATCAGTTCACATTTGATCTTACTGGCATTTACTCCGTTCTTGATCCATTACTCAGTCTAGTTGTGTTCAGGTCTTTAAAGCCTGGAAAGGTTATTTTGCCAAAGTACTAGTTTTGAAGCTTACTTTGTTTGTCATTACTCATGACTGATACCATGCTGAGTTAACCCCAAATATTTTTGGAACACAAAACACTTGATGGCTGCCCTAAGGAATTTGCTGTCTCCCTGTGCACTGTCAGAGAATTATCAGATTAGAGAAAGAAATCATAGATGGATCACTGAATGGGGAAAACCAAACCTGCCTCAGGGAGCAACGTAATCATATTGTCATGACTTACCTCTTATACCTACTCTAAGGAACATCATGACCTTTGACATATTTCTCTCTGGTCAAACATCCTTTTTATTACATGTGTGAGTAGTGAAATCGCAGTTTACAAATAAATTGTTTTATTTCTTTAAATAATTGCTAAAGGTGTTTAAGATTTTGCCACGTATAAACACTGCATGCAGTAAGAGAAGAGTAGTCATTATTTAAGGAAGTCTGCTTCTCAGAAAGCTAAAACTATTGTGAACCATAGTGATTCAAGCAGGAGCTTCAAGGAGCTACCAAACAACAGTTGTTCATATAGACTTTCTTTCTATCTTTCTCTTTCTTTCTTTCTTTTCTTTCTCTCTTTCTTTTCTTTTTCTTTCTTTCTCTTTCTTCCTTTCCTTTCCCTTTCTTTCTTCCTTTCCTTTCCCTTTCTTTCTTTCTTTCTTTCTTTCTTTCTTTCTTTCTTTCTTTCTTTCTTTCTTTCTTCTTTTCTTTCTTTCTCTTTATTTGTTTAGCTGCTCTCTTAAGATTGCTACAGGATATTGTCTCTTACTTTAAGTAGTCCTACATTTAATAAGTCCAACCACATGTCGACATTTGAGGGGCTCATAATGAATGAAATGCACAATTGTATAATCTTTTCAATTTCTACACTAGTGGGTGGAGGATAGGGGGTCAGGAATGTAGAGGTCACCCCAACTGGATGTGTGACCCCAGAGCAGGTACTGACTAATCATGAAGGCCACTGAATTTTGTCTCTTCTCTTTCTGCCTTGTAGGACAGCAGTGCTCCCTATGGGGTCAGGTATGTGAGCTCTATGGTGGTGGATATGCACCACATCTTGGTCTACAGAGAAATCTTCATGTACCCAGGCAACAAGAAGAGCCCTCAGGGCAAGGGAATTCTCCTTTGTCCACTGGCTGTGCATCCAGTCAGGGAGCAGGAGGAGCTCTCTCCTCTCATGCCTGCTGTTTGGCTACTGCACTGCTGCTCCTTGGCAAGTCTGTGTGGTGGGCAGGGGAAGAGAAACCAGCTCTGTTTCCTTTGAGTGAGCCTCCAGGCTGTGGTAGGTTTGAAGGAGAAGGCCGAAATTATGTGACTGGTGTTTCTTACTGTCCTTCCCCTCTGGCCTCACACCCATCATTCACCATGAGCCATCTGTGTGTTTTATTTGCCACAGGCTGCGTCTGACTTTTAGCTTCAGCATCTGATTAGGGATCATAGACCCCATAAGGAATCTAATGAAATTTATCAACACACTTCCCAGAAAAATGCAGATAAACATACATGTTACATACACATTACATGTTTAGAGGGTTTACAGATGCCCTGAAGTCTACCCAAGAATCCCCCAGAGAATTCCCAAAATCCAGAATAAGAACTTCTGCTCAGAACTCATCAAATATGACTGTAAACGTTGTTCCTGGAAGGTCTAACTGCAACTCAGCTCTATCCCATATCAATTAATTGTAGGGTAGAGGCCAGCGGCAGAAGTTGTAACTGACAATTTATTTGCGGGACCTGTGGCTGGCAGCTCTGGGTGGAAAAGATTTCCTTGATGCAAGAGCTGAAGGCTCTTCCCCAACATCAGCAAGCCTGGGGAGCTGAGCAGGTGGTCTTTATCCTGCACTTCCTGGGCCACCTTCTCTGGCAGCAGGAAACAGACCCGGGCGGGATCAAGGAGCACTGTTGGAGATGGGTCAGGCTTCTTAAGGGGAAGGACCCCTCCAGCTGGGCTGTGTGAGCTGGGGACAACATGGCCTTCCCAGCAGGAACCCACTGGAGACACCTGGGCCTTGTCAGTCAAGTTATTTTCTGTCAAGCAATTGGGATAAACATTTCCCTCTAGGGGCCCCGGACTGCACCTGAAGGAACTGAGGTCTCCCTGGGTCTCCAGGGCCCTGGAAGCGGATGTCCTGCCGAGAGAGGGGGCTTTTCTTGTCCTCCTGCTCCTGGGTCTCTACCTGACCCTCCTCCTCTATCACTGCTCTGGGCTCTTCTTGGGTCCTCACCTTGGTCTTATTCGGCGGCCTGGCTGGGATCGGAATCAGCTTCCTAGCCCCAGCCACCTGCTCACGTGGTGAAGGCAGTTAGAGAGTGAACTTGCTGCTGGGAGGAGGGATCCTCACCGAGCTGGGGTGTCCCAACATCATGGAGTTGCCACTAGACAGCACGGGTTTCTTCCTTGAGGGGAGCCCGCAGCCCACAGCAGGCAGGACCCCCAGGGGGGCGCCCGTGTCTGGCGGGAGAGGACACGGTCTCCTAGGCGCGCTGTAGAAGCTGACTGGAGAAGGCCCGCGACTCTGCTGAGGGTTAAAGAGGAATCGGAAAGGGCCCGGGGTAGACGTGGGCGCCACAGGGTGAGCCGGGCCAGGCTGAGAGGACTCACGGGCTATGGGAGCTTGTGGGCGACGGTCCGGCAGGGGCCTGCGGCGGGAACAGGGACAAAATATACTTAATAAATTGCCCATTTAGAGCAAGTTGTGTGGGTACAATGGCGAGAAAACGGTCAGTAATGGAGACGCTGCTCCGTAGTCGCCCACTTCTCTTTCTCCAGGCGCGCACTGGACGGCTGAGCGATTGTGAGGCCCCAGTGGGGCTGGTGACAGAACCAAGGCGCGCCGAAGCGCGCGGCAGCACCCCCGCCCTAGGGCGCCTACCAGAGGGGTAAAAGGGCAAAAGAGAGAGCCCCTCCCCCACCACGCCCGCCTCCGCCGGGCCCAGCAGGACTCTCTAACACCTGGGGACATCCTGCTGCTGGGGGCAGGTGTGTGGCCTCGGATGGGTCCCTCTGTGGGGCTGTGGGGTATGCGGGCTGACATGTCAGAGCCCTTCCCGCCTGGCGCCTGGCCTGGGCGCTGCCTTGGCACCCAGTGGCCTTGTATTGGCCGGCCCTGTCCCCTGGGTTACAGGGCCAGAACCTGCTGGAAGCCGAGCATGGGGCCACCTGGATGCTACCAGGCTACCCCACGGCTGCTCCAGTGCCTCTATGCCGCCTGGAGCCAGGCCCACCTTCTACATGGCCACTAGGGGCCACCAGCCCCGCTACGAAGGTTTCCAAGGAGAGGACGCGGTGCCCTGACCTGACTGGATGCTGCCCCTTACCACATCCCTTCCTGGCAGGCGGGATCTCCACTTCTTTTCACAAATGTACCTAAGACCTTTCTGCAGGTCATTCAGGTGTTCATGGCCCAACCAGGCTTTGAACCCGGGCTGTGCGATTCCACAGCTGGCGCTCTGGCTTGTGTGCCTCCTGATCATGGATACAGCATGTATTCTTATTTTTACTGTAGTCCTGCGGTACTTAGCACCTGGCATATCTGTAATAAGCACATGCACACCTAGAAGTAGGTCTTCACTTCAACATGTAAGTTGACCATGGCCCACTCCGGGCTCCAGTCCTCGACAAAGATGTAGGGCAGGGACTACCAGTTGCCAGCATAGCACCATCCCACATTGCTCTTCTAATGGAGCCTTTCAGCCCAGATGTTCTTTCTTGTCTAGTGGGAAGGATCCAAGTATGTAAAGATTATGTTCTAGATCAGCTTTGGTCTATCCTAAAAGAAATTCACCAGGGGACTTATTCCATATTGATAAGAAGCCAGTTTCTTTGGCCTTCCTGGAATATGTCTAGAAAGCAAATGTGTCATTTATTTGCAAGTTAATAGTGGAGCAATGTATTGGATTAAAATATGATCAACACAATTTGGTCATTGTGAGCATGCCAGCTGGATCCACTCTTCACCACACATTAACACCTAAATATAATTTCAGATCTTATGCCCAAGAGAAGGACATACTCTTGGGTGTCTGGACAAGGAAAACATGCGTGAAAAATCAACGATTCTTCTTAGATCCCTCAGGCAAGTGAAGTCATGGAGCAAACCACGACCCCATAATTGGAGAGACAGAGTAATACTAAAAATCACAAGTTACAGCCTCAGAAACCCACAGGTAGAGACCTCCACAGGAATAAGCAACTGGGTGGGGAAAGCAAAGTGCAACTGACAAATTGCTTGAGGCCCAGTGTGAGCAAGGCTGAGAGTTAAAACTCTTAAGAGTTCCCAGTCATAGAGAGGCCCCATGAGCTGTAAAGCTTCAATAGCTGTACTGGGTTCTGAAAGTGAAAAGGTGTGAAAAATTGCATTTCTCTAATGATTAGTAATGTTGCATTACTCTGGTGGTTAGTAATTTTTTCATTTTTGCTGGCCACTTGCATGTCTTCTTTTGAGAAGTGTCTGTTAATGTCTTTTGCCCATTTCTTGATGAGGCTATTTGGTTTTTAATTTTGTCTTGTTCAATTGTTTACATTCCTTATAGATTCTGGATATTAGGGCTTTGTCAGATGCTTAGTTTGCAAATATTTTCTCCCATTCTGTAGGTTGTCTGTTTGCTCTGTTGATAGTTCTTTTACTGTGCATAAGCACTTTTGTTTAATTAGGTCCCACTTGTCAATTTTTGCATTTGTTGCAATTGCTTTTGAGGATATAGTCGTAAATTCTTTGCCAGTGCTGATGTCCAGAACGTTGTTTTCTAGGTTTTCTTCTAGGATTCTTATATTCTGAGGTCTTACATGTGAATCTTTAATCCATAGTGGTTACTTTTTGTATATGGTGAAAGGTAGGGGTCCAGTTTCAGTCTTCAGTATATGGCTAGCCAGATATCTCAGGAACATTTATTGACTAGGGAGTCCTTTCCTCTTTGCTTATTTTTGTCAACTTTGTTGAAGATCATATGACTGTAGGTGTTCAGCTTTATTGTTGGTTTCTCTATTCTGTTCCATTGGTCTGCATGTCTGTTTTTGTGCCAGTACCATGCTGTTTCGGTTACTGTAGCCTTATAGTATAATGTGAAGTCTGGTAGCATGATGCCCCTGGCTTTGTTCTCTTTGCTCAGGATTGCTTTAGCTATTCGGGCCCTTTATTAGTTCCATATAAATTTTAGAATAGTTTTTCCTAGTTCTGTGAAAAATGTTGTTGATAGCTTGATAGGAATAGTATTGAATCCATAGATTGCTTTGGGCAGTATGGCCATTTTATCAATATTGATTCTTCAAATTAATGAGCATGGAAAGTTTTTCCATTTGTTTGTGTCATCTCTGATTTCTTTCAGCAGTGTTTTGTAGTTCTTGTAGAGATCTTTTACCTTCATGGTTAGATGTATTCTTACATATTTATTTATTTGTTTTTGACTATTGTAAATGGGATTGCTTGCTTTATTGGGTTTTCAGCTTGTTATTGTTAAATAGAAATGCTACTTATTTTGTACATTTGTATTATATCCTTAAACTATATCAAAAGCATTTATTAGTTCGGGATTCTTTTGGTGGAGTCCTTAGGATTTTCTAGGTGTAGAATCATATAGTTTGACTTCTTCTTTTCTTATTTGGATGCCTATTATTTCTTTCTCTTGCCTGATCATTCTGGCTTGGACTTCTTGTTATATCAATTTTATCTGAAGTTTTAAAACAATTTATTAGAGACAGAAATAAACATATCTACAACATTAGTAATAATTGCAGACCAGGGGTTACGGACCATGAGAATAGTCATTTGAAACTTTTTGTTGTTGTTGTTGTTGTCACTAACTGGCTTTTTCTCATCCATGCTCAGGATATGCATTGAGGACTCTTCATCTAATAGCCCTGACCCACGCAGAACCTGCTCCCAAGAATCAAGCTCAGGCTTTTTGGCCACTCAGGTTCCAAGAAAAGCAGCCTTATGGACTCTCTCAAGTGTGGGCTGCTGAGGAGCTTTCTCAAAAGGTGAGGTCCTGACTCTCCTCTCTCTCCCAACTACAGCAGATTCCCATCTTTGCACCTGGCTCTAAGCTTGCAGGTGGAGCCCAGATGCTGGCACCTGTCTCTCCAGGATGTCTTGGCTTCTACACTGTCTCCCATCAAGGTCTAGGAGGAGGAAGGGTTTTGCATCAGTCCTTGGCCTATGGCTGACACAGTGGCTTTGGTGGCTTTCAACTGTGGTCTAGGCTGGCTGGTGACCCTGTGTGCACCCCTTGTTTTCCAGCAATGGCAAACTGCCCCAGCAATAGCAAAAGAAGGGCTCCACTGAAATCACAGCCACAGACACAATGGTCCATCATCGTCACTGTGCCTGTTGCAGAATTGCCTCATGTTCTACTCAGGCTCTGCCCTTAAAAACAAAGCTTGGACTCACACAGTTCCAAGCATAGCACAGATCAAATACTGGCATCAGGAGGAATCCTCCCCTCTTATACCTTCTTCCTGGAATGCTGCAGGGTGTTGCAGAAAAGGAAAATGCAGTGGAAAGGCTGGAGAGAGAAGGCCAAGGCTGGGAGGTACACGATGCCCTGTGCAAGGGCTCCCTTGAGTTCTTTCTGGCCTGCAGCCTCCATAAGCATAAAAAACCTATACCCAGACTGTGAGAACATAGTGTGAGGAACTGCAGCGTCATGTTGGAGCTGGGCCTCCCCAGAGCCGTGCTGGAGGTGTTTGTGGCCCTGTCCTCCAACTGGAGAGATGGCCTGGGCATGAGGCCAGCAGGCCCTCCTCACCTGGGTAGTAAAGTCAGCCAGGTAGCAGGATCCGCCTCCTGAAATAATTCATTCTCTGCCCCCAGCCTTTGGTGACAAGCTGAAGAACCCACTCCAAGTTGTCCTGCTGGCTTCCATGCGGACATCATGAATGTTCCTGAACCAGCTGGAGGCGAGTTTGGATATGACAGAGATACATCATTGCTGAAAGGGATCAGGAGTAGGTGAGGGTCAGGTGCTGGGTCTCCAACCCAGGGGCAGGCTCTTATCCCAGGGAACTGAATCAGGGCTGTGGAAACCACAACAGGAACAACTTGAACCAGGAAAAGAATTAAAGGCCTTTCTTGCTTGCTTAGCTTTTTTGTTGTACTTTTCATTTTTATCAAATCAATGAATTCACATAACAACGAGTTAAATGAGTGAAGAGCATGTGATGAAAAGCAGCTGTCCTCCCTCTTCTTTCTCACCTCCCAGCACCATGGCTTGGTGGTGACTTCTTTAATTATTTTAGCTTTCACTGCTTTTCATGATTATTGTGATAACACTAATCAGTATTTCTCAAAATATAAGTTGCAACCCACTACTGGATCATTAATTTCATTTAGGAGGTCATGTCCAGCTCTTTTAAAAATTTTAATTGATACATAATATTTATAGATATTTACGCGATACGAAGTGATATATCAAAACATGTATACATAGTGTGATCATCAGTTCAGGGTAATTAGCATACCATCACCTGGAACATTTATCATTTCTTTGTAGTGATAACATGTAAACGTCTCTCTTTCAGTTACTTTGGAATATACATTATTGAAAACTATAGCCACTCTGCTGTACAATAGGCCACCAGAGCTTATTCCTGCTATCTAATTATACTTTTGTACCTGTTAACCACTCCCTCCCCAGTCTCTGGCAACCACTGTTTTATTTTCTACTTCTATGAGATCAACCTTTTAGATTCCACATATAAGTAAGATCGTGTGATATTTGTCTTTCTGTGTCCGGCTTATTTCATTTAATATAATGTCTTCCAGGGTCACTTATGTTGTTGGAAATTAAAGGGTTTCATTGTTTTTAGTGGCTGAATAGGATTCCATTCTGTGTATATACCATATTTGTAACAATCTATGTATGCATTGATAGACACTTAGATTGATTTCATTTCTTGGCTATTGTGAATAGTACTACAATAAACATGGGAGCGCAAATATTTCTTCAGCATACTGATTTAATTTTATCTGAATATACACCCAATAGTGGGATTGCTATATCTAGTATTTCTGTTTGTAAGAAGGAAGGAAGGAAGGAAGGGAGGGAGGAAGGAAGGAAGGAGAGAGAGAGAGAAAGAAAGAAGGAAAAGAAAGAAAGAAAGAAAAAAGAGAGAAAGGAAGGAAGGAAAGAAAGAAAGAAAGAAAGAAAGAAAGAAAGAAAGAAAGAAAGAAAGAAAGAAAGAAAGAAAGAAAGAAAAGCTCCAGGTATTAGAGCCTGACAAAAATTCATGCTGAGCCTAAACTTCCTAGAGACAGTAGTACTGAAACTGATATATCTGCACAAATGCCAGGGCTGAATGAGTGACACAGGCATGTTACAGCAAAAGGCCAAAGCCATTTGTTAATTTGTCCACAGTTAAGAAACTGACAGACTTAAACTACCATATAAAATGTTACACGTAAATTCTATAACAATACTGTGCTAGGTACAAGATTTTTACATTTTTTCTTTTAATAAAAAAGCTTTACACGAACAAGCCATTAGCTTATTTTAAGAAAGAAAACAAAAAGTCTGAGGGCTTTGTTTTAAATTAGCTTAAGCTATAAGATATATATATATATATATATGTATATATATGTGCGTGTGTACATATAGTGATACATATATAGTGATATATATAGTGATATAGATATCTATATCACTATATATATCACTATATAGTGATATATATGTATATACGTATATATGTATATATTTGTGTGTATATATAGTGATATATAGTGATATATATACCACTATATATGATATATATGTATATACGTATATATGTATATATAATATGTATATATATGTGTATATATATATCACTAGATTTTCTTTTGCTATCCTCTTTCTGAAGTTTTTGGATCCATTCTTCAATTCACATTCTAAAATACCTCTATTAGCAGGGTCTTCACTTAGCACCAGTTAGGTGATTATTGTGCAAACACAGTAATAATTGCTGGGATGCATATAAAATGCATCAAAAATTGCTATATGTAACAATGAGATCACTCATGCCAACCCCTCCCCACTGAAAACTACATAACCTCTTACAGAATGTTAGTGTTCCAAGTCTTAGTGTAACTTGATCTCATAGTGAGCTGCTTTCAATTCTTTTGATTGACAGGTTCAGTTGTTTCTGTAAGAGGCAGTTTTCTGTCAGCATCTTAATACGTAGTTCATTTCCCACTGAAACATGAGACAGGTAATTTATTTCCAGTAAGTTTGATTGTTTTCTTTTTCTCTTTTTTTCTTTTTCTTTTTTTTTGAGTTGGAGTTTCACTCTTGTTGCCCAGGCTGGAGTGCGATGGCACGATCTTGGCTCACTGCAACCTCCTCCTCCTGGGTTCAAGTGATTCTCATGTCTCAGCCTCCCAAGTAGCTGGAATTACAGGTGCCCACCACCATACCTGGCTATTTTTTGTATTTTTAGTAGAGACAGGGTTTCACCATGTTGGCCAAGCTGGTCTCAAACTCCTGACCTCAGGTGACCCACCTGCCTCAGCCTCCCAAAGTGCTGGGATTGTGAGCCACCGTGCCTGGCCAATTGTTTTCTTATAAGCATTAAAAATGTCTTAAAGTCCTCTTTGGCTTTTCTTGATGACTTCCCTTGCAAATGTTTATGTCACTACTACCACTAACAGCCTGAAGCACATGGTGGAGCTGCTATTTTATTTCTCACATGTCACTAGTCCATCATTTTCATAGTTACAAGAAGGGGCAATAGCTGAAGGTACACTGACAACCACTACGTGGGTAACTGTCTCATTTCCATCTGCCGGCTTTTCTTCTTTCAGCTGCAAAGTTTTCACATCATGTTCTTGTGTTCTTGCCACTGCTTCTGAGTTAACCTCTGGCCCCTTTATGACCAAACTGATAACTAGAGGATGAGTCTGGCCAGATGCCTGCTGAGTAGGCACTGAGAGTCTCATTACAGGTGTACCATGGGCTATTGAAACAAACAAGGGTAAGTGCTCTCACAGCCAATGGTGTTCCAACAATGTCAATGCTTCCTGATCCAGTTAAATTTGACTTTGTCTGTAGTTGACAAAGTCAAACTGTGTAGCTGGGATGGTAATAATTTTGACAGGCTGCATGGTGATTTTTTCTTGGTTTTCAGTAGAAGCTGTCATCATAGTAGGGATTATCTGAATGACTACCTTTGGAGAGGTCGCTGTTGTTGGATTAGTGCTGGTTATTAATGGTGCACCTGCATTAACTGACTGAACTGCCACAGTTGAAATGTTCTGACCCAATGATGTCATTACAACAGGTACTTGCATTGCCACACAAACTGTCCTTGGAGCTGCTGTTGCTGATACAGATGCAGTGGTAGTTGGAAACCTGCATGAAGCATCGTGACCAGGGGAAGTGATATTCACGACTCTAGCTACACTCTTCTCTGCTCTGGAGAAGTTTATGGGGGATGAATTTTTTCTATCACAAACAGAGGATGCTGCTTTCAGGAGACTTTCTGCCGACAGTGACACTCGTTCCAATGATTTTTTATCAGTAGCTCCTGCTAAATTTTCATTACAGATTTCACTTCTGTCATCATCTGTGACCACTATGGTTTTGGGCATATCCTTAAACTGATATACAAGCCTCTGTCCTTCAACCTTTGCAAGACTTCCCTTTTGGTAGCTTTGCAATAATTCCCCTTTGGTAATAGAATCTCAAAGCTCATTCCATAGTTTCATAGTTCATGTTTGGTTTGTTCTTATGCTTTCCCCAAAACTTGGAGACAGCCTTTGAATCCACCAGCCTGAATATGCCTTTTTCTCTCTGAATCCATTTAATATAGAGGGGACAAATATTTTTATCTTTAAGTAGATCTAAAAGAAACTCCCACAAATATATTATGTTTCCTTTTCCTTCTCTCATCTTTTTTTTTATACCTGACTCAGGAGACCCACTGGAAATTGGTGATTGTTGGGTCTTTGGTTTACAGCCAATTTTTTTCCTTTTCATTGGTTCATGGCTATCTGGTGATGTAGGAATAGGAGAGGTATCCGTTGGTTCAGACCCCTCAGTTGACACCTCCACTACAGTTTCTGTAATGATATCTGGCCTCATAGCAACATGGATAAATTCAGGACTTCTTGAATCCCTCAAGTAGGTGGGAGATTTCATAGGAAGCAGGGCTTCAGTAGCTTCAATTCTCTTTTGGAGTCATGTTCAAAATAATCTTGCTCAGGCCAATGTCTTAAAGCATTTCTGCTGTTTTCCTCTAGTAGTTTCATATTTTGGGGTCTTATATTTGTGTCTTTAATCCATTTGAGTTTATTTTTCTATCTGGTGAAGGATAGAAATCCAGTTTCATTCTGTGTGTGCACATCCCGTTTTCCAAGCACCATTTGTTGAAGAGTCTGTCCTGTTCGCAATGTGTGCTCTTGGCACTTTGCCAAAAATCAGTTGGCTGTAGATGCATGGAGTTATTTCTGGGCTTTCTGTTCTGTCCCTTTGGTCTATTTGTCTTTCTTTATGCTAATGCCATCCTGTTTAGGTTATTATAACTTTGTAGTGTATTGTGTATTTTGAAGTCAGGCAGTATGATGTTTGGAGCTTACTTTCTTTTTCTTCTTCTCCAGACTGCTTTGTCTATTTGGGGTCTTTTTTGGTTCCATATGAGTTTTAGGATTGTTTTTCCTATCTCTGTGAAGAGTGTCACTGGTATTTTGATAGAGATTTCATTGAATCTATAGATAGCTTTGGTTAGGACTGGCGTCTTAAAAATATTAGTTTTTCTAATGCAAGAACACAGGATATCTTTCCATTTATTTGCATCCGCTTAATTTCTTTCACCAATGTTTTATACTTTTCAAACCAGAGATCTTTCAGCTCCTGGTTAAATTTATTTTTAGGCATCTCGTTTTTTTGTAGCTATTTTCTATGGAATCTTTTTCTACATTTTCTTTTCAGATAGTCCATTATTAGTGTATACAAGTGCTGCCGATTTCTGTATTTTGTCTCTGTATCCTGCAACTTTACTGAATTCATTTATCTTAACAGGTTTTTTTGGTAGAATCTTCAGCATTTTCTGCACACATGAGTATAAATCTAGAGAAAAGTAAACTCTCATACATCATTAGTGGAAATATAAATTAATAAAGCCACTATGGAGAACAGTTAGGAGGTTCCCCATAAAACTACAAATAGAGCTACCGTACAAATCAGTGATCCCACTGCTGGGTATATACACAAAAGAAAGGAAATCAGTATATTGAAGAGAAATCTGCACTCCCCAGTTTACTGCAGCACTGTTCACAATAACTAAGATTTGGAGGAAACCTAAGTGTCCATCAATAGATGAAAGGGTAAAGAAAATGTGGTGCATATACACAATGGAGTACTATTCAGCCATAAAAAGGAATGAGATTCTGTCATTTGCAACAATATGGATGGAACTGGAGGTCATTATGTTAAGTGCAACAAGCCAGGCACAGAAAGACAAACGTGGCATTTTCTCACTTATTCATGGGATCTAAAAATCAAAACAATTGAGCTGATGGGCATAGAGAGCAGAAGAATGGTTGCCAGAGGCTAGGAAAGGTAGTGGGAGGGGATTGGCAGGGGTGGGTGGGGATAGTTAATGGGTATAAAAAAATAGTTACAAAGAATTAATAAGACCTACTATTTGATAGCACAGTAGAGTGACTATAGTCAAAAATAAAGTAATTGTACATTGAAAAATAACTTAAGAAGGATAATTGGATTTTTGTAACAGAAAGGATAAATGCTTGAGGGAATGGACACCACATTCTTCATGATCTGATTATTATGCATTGCATGCCTGTATCAAAACATCTCATGTACCCCATAAATATATACACCTATTATGTACCCACAAAAATTAAAAAACTAAAAATAAAAGAAAAATAAAAAGAGATGCATCCTTTGGTCCCTGAAGCACTGAGGTGCTGCCATGAGGTGCAAGGACTCCTTGTGGCAGCCACAGCTGGAGTGAGGTGGATGGAGATGCTGGTGATGGAGAGTGGAGTCCTGGTGAGCTGCAGAGAAGGCCGCTGGCACCAGTGCTGGCGAGATGCCTTATGCTGGGGTCAGGGTGGCCTTAGGCCAGGTTCTGCCTCTGCCCATCCCAGTTGTGTGAGAGGCTGGTGGAGATCAGTCTCCCCACACCCATTTCTCTTCCTGGGCCCATAGGAAGACTACATTTCCCAGCCTCTCTTGCTTTTTGTTGAGGGCCAGGGGTTTTGTCAAATGGAGTGGGGGTAGAATTACACCCAAGGCTCAATCCTTCATCCTCTCTCTTCCCTTCTGAGCCACCTCTGAAGCCATGCATTTAGAGACAGGGTCACGACTCAGCAGGAGCCTGGAGGCCTGAGCCACTTACCCTGTTGCTATCAGCCTGGCATGGGAAGGAGAAACAAATCTTTGCTGTACTAAGCCACTGGGGTTTCTGGCTTATTTATTGCTGCAGCATAATCTATGCTATCCTGACTGGGGTAGATTGAGCTTGGCAACATTTTTAACCTCTCTGAGTCTCCCTTTCTTCATTTGCAAAATGTTAATTGTAATATCTGTTGTTGTACTCAAGGCCAACTTTGCTGTATGTAACAGAAACCCATTCATTTTGGCTGAAGCAGAAAGGGAATTTGTTGGAATATTTCAGGGGACTCTCATGAAATCCAGCACCTACTGCCTTCCTAGCCTCGAGGACACATCCTTCACATCCCAGCATTGTCATCCAGTCCACTGTGTCTCTGTGTCTCACAGCAAGTTCCAGAAGAAAAAAATCTGATTGTCTTAGTTTGTGTCAAGTCAGCTGTAGCCAGAGACCAGGGTCACATAAGACAAATGTGGCCTGGGGTTTTCTTATGAGCAGGGTGCACTTTTCTGTTAGATGGGTATCAGGAGGCAGAGGGATTACTGGTGCCATTTGTAAGGAGTCATCTCTGCCCTGTAAAGAGATCCAAGGGAAAGCCTGCTACTTCTGCCACCATCCAGCCCAGCAGTCGACCCCTTTCAGCCATATTTAAATGTTAGACATTTGAGTTATCCACATGGTCTGAAATTGCAGCTGGAGACCTTTCAGCAAATCTCAAAGTTCTTTCAGGGCACACAACAGCGTGGACACACAGAGCAGCTGAAAGGCCCAGAGGGAGGGAGAGTGGTGTCCACTGCACAGTTATTTCAGCGCCACTGATGCATTGGTGAGCACAAAGCTATTTATTTATGGGCTTGCTCTGCTTGGTAGAGATCCTCACAGGCCTGAGATGAAGTAGTAAGGACGAAAGGAGTCTCTGAACAATAGGACAGTCTGATGGCCGTTCATAGGGCGGCACCTCCACCCGAAGGCTAGGATCTGGGCTGTGACTCTAGAGTACTAGCGGAGGGCACATTCTCTACTAGCAAAACTCTGCTAGGATACTTTCCATGCACCCCGTCAAGTGATCCCAACATACGTTTTTGCATGAAACCTCAGCATTCCTGCATACAGCATGGCAGACACCTTTGGGGCATCTGCTCAGCCCATGATCCCCATCTCATACAAAAGAAAAAGGACGTGACCATCATCGCCAGGAAGGTGCGTCCAGGGGCTGCAGTGCCCCTGCTCGCCATTAGATGATGCTACTAAGCCAGAAACAATCTGTTTTTCTTTAATTTCTGGATTTTTCCTCTATTTCTTAGTATTTGTTTTCTAGAAACAATGGATTGCCACTTTTCTAGTTGGAAATCTTGAGCTGTCTAGTGAAAGAAGACTCTACAGTAGGACAGTGATTCATTCAGGAAATAGTTCAGAGTGATGTACGGAACCACTTCAGTGGGCGGTTGTTCACGGCTGTTGACTTTATCTGTCAGTGGCTTGAACATGTGGAGTCCAGTAAAAACCAGAGTTCCTGGGAAGAGATGTAAAACACAGCCTCGTACTCTCACCCCTCTTCTTGTTTCCACTGCCACCCTCACCCCACATTTTGCAAGGGGGTTATGGTTCCAGCAGAGATTTCTTCATGCCTGATGAGCTGTTAGACTACTCTAGAAAGGAAATCACGAGGATCCTGTGCTCTTGTTCAACACGATGGTAAAGTTGGTTAGTGCAGGGCATGGCTAGGGAGGGACCGTATTCACTATGGGTCCATGAATAGCTTTTTATTTGCTGGCGGTCAAAAGGTTCAACCAATGTTCAGCAGCAATATAGTAACACAGAATAGATGCTATTCTATTTGACCCAAAAAGTTGGCTGAACTCCTTAGGAGTCACGAGCACACTGGCCCTGATATTTCAATGAACTATGAAACAAAGCACTGACCTGCCTCTCTCTCAAATAGAATAGCATCTATTGGGCTATTTGCCCTTCTTTTACACATTGGAAATTGGGGACAAGAGGCTATTTCTTTGTGATCAGCTGGAAGAATGGAAAAGGTAAAGTAAAGCCAAATTTATTTAACCTCTGCTATATGCCGGGTACTGTGCAAGGCACTTTTACACTTGTCTCACACAATTTAAGCCACATCACCCCTATTATTTTAAACTTTCAACTTCAGTTGACATGACCCTTGTTTCTCTCTCCTGTCTAATCTACCATTGTCTTCTACCATTGGTCTGAATTACACAGGTTTTCATGCCAGCTCTTGAATACTCCACACCTGCTAATCTCTCTGCCTAAAACTCTCCTCTCTAAGATGAGCGTGGTGGCTAACGCCTGCAATTCCAGCGCTTTGGGAGGCTGAAGTAGGAGGATCACTTGAGCTCAGGAATTTGAGACCTGCCTGGGCAACATAAATCAAAATACAAAAAATTGAAAAATTAGCTGGGCATGGTGGTGTGCTCCTATAGTCCCAGCTATTCAGGAGGCTGAGGTGGGAGGATTGCTTGAGCCCAGAAGTTCTAGGCTGCAGTGAGCTGTAACCACACCACTGCACTCCATCCTGGGCAACAGAATGAGACTGTCTGATAAAAAAAAAAAAATCTGTTCTCTGGGTCTCTCTGTGTGTCTTCATTCCTTAATGCTAGTCAAGACTGTCATCAAATGTGACCCCCTTCATGGGTCACCAGCCCCTCCAGCCTGCGTAGGTTTTCTTTAGGGCACACACCACAACCTATTTGTGTGTGTGCTGGCCTGTGTGCTGCCTGTTCTCACACTAGAATCTCAGTTCCAAGAAATCAGCCTTGCTGCCAGTATTGCCGCCCCCCTGTAATCCCAGTGCCCTGAACAGTTCCTAGCATATGCTGGAAGCTCAACAAGTATCTGCTGAATAAAAACATGCATGAGTGGGCTAAATCGGATCACTATGGGATACATTAGATTACTATAGAGATGTTGGGGAATTTCTAAGTTTATAGATTATCAAACTTTTTTTGTCTGCCTCTGACTGAGCATGGAAAAAACAAAACAAAACAAAACAAAACAAAACAAAAACAGAAACAAAGCTCAAATGAGACTAGGCTAATACTCGTTGGAAAGTCAGGGAAAACTAATTTGAGTAGAGGGAGAAATGACCCTCATCTCACTTGAAGTTTTGTCACTGGTGTCTAATGAGCCAGGGGCTCCAGCCCCCATCACTAAGGGCTCTCTCAGGACCTTGCACACAGGCGGCTGTACAAAGGACCCAGGGACTTCCCTCCATGGCTGGAGCTGCCTGTGACAGCAGAGTGGCTAGGTGTAGGGATGTGGGTCTTTCAAGACCCCACCCACTTTATCTTCTCGTCTTCACATTGGACAGGCGAGTTGTCCAATACAAAACCCAAAGGAGTATTTTTATGTAAGCTGACACACCCTGCCTTCTGTAAGTCATGGTGTTTTTCGATAAGGATATGCCATGGTTCTCTTATCTTTTTTCCATGTGGTGTTCTCTGCTGCACACAGCCCTGACAGCGCAATTGTGCTAATGGGAAGATGTGCTGACTGGGTGGTGCTTCCCTCTCTGATTTAGAGGAAATACATGGTCTGCTTTGACCCACTGGATGAATCTTCCAATATTGACTGCCTGGCCTCCATTGGAACCATCTTTGCCGTCTACAGAAAGGTGAGTAGACAGGCAAAATGTGAGGAGGGCTGACATTTCATGCGTCCCTCCTGGAGTGGTCTCTGGAAGGTTCCTAGGCTGAGAGTCACGAGTTTGGAGTCCTCATCTCTGTCCCCCTACTAAATAGAAAAGCCACTGCAGGCAAACCACAAACTTCTGTCTTCCTAAGCTCCTCATTAGAAGAACTGAATTGGTGATTCTCCCTGTGACTACTTTCTGTTGTTCCTGGGGCGATACTGTAGAAGGACAGCCGGGATCTTGTTTTGAAATCTGGATGCAACACCAATGTCAAACATAGTATTAGGTTCCAGGGGGCATCCAAAGACCCACTCTGTTTCTTCTTTCTGCACCTCACCTCTTAACGGCATTCATTTTCTTTTGCTGCCAGAACAAATCACCACACACTTAGAGGCAGCAAACAACACTTGTTGATTGCCTCCCACTTCTGTAGGTCAGAAGTCCAGTCGGCTTGGCTGGGTTTTCTGCTTAGGGTCTCCTGAGTACAAAATTGAGATGACAGCCAGTCTGGCTCCTTATCAAGAGGCTCCAGGGGAGAATTTGTCTCCAGGCTCATTTAGGTTGTTGGCGGAATTCAGTTCCTTTCTGTGGTGGGATCAAGGTCCTCGTTTCATTGCTAGCTGATGGCCAGGGTCCTTCTTGGCTGCTGAATGCTGCCCGTGTTCTTTGGCTTGGTAGCCCTTCATTTTCAAAAGCAGCAGTAGTTAGTCAAAATTTTGAATCTCTGACACCACCTCCCCGTCTTGCCTCATCTCCCTTGTCCCTAGCCAAAGGAAGTTCTCTGCTTATAAAAGCCAGTTTTATTAGGTTGGACTAATCTAACCAGGATGACCTAGTGTGATCTTCCTATTTGAAATCCGTACGCTGATTACATCTGAAAACTCCTTGTTGCCATGTAATGCTTGGTATTCACAGACTCTAGGGATTGGGGTATCTTTGGGGCCATTCTTCCTACCCGGAAACCCTAGCAAACAAAGCAATGAAAGAATGAAGCACAAAAGCACGGATTTATTGAAACCAAAGTATGCTCCACGGAGTGGGAGTGGGCTTGAGCAAGCAGCTCAAGAGCGCTGATTGCAGAATTTTCTGGGGTTTAAGTACTCTATAGAGGTTCCTATTGGTTACTTGGTTTACACCCTATGTAAATGAAAAAGTGGCCTGCAACCAGTCTGATTGGTTGTGGAAGGCAACCAATCAGAGGCTGAAGTGAAGTTACAAAGTTACATCCTATGCAAATATCTGATTGGTTTCACTTCAGCCTCTGATTAGTCCCCTCCTGAAACCAATCAGCATGCCTGTGGTCCCAGCTACTCGGGAGGCTGAGGCAGGAGAATCGCTTGAACCTAGGAGGCGGAGGATGCAGTGAGCTGAGATCGTGCCACTGCACCCCAGCCTAGGTGACAGAGGGAGACCCTGTCTCAAAAACAAAAAAAAAAGAAGAAGAATAGCTGGATGCAGTGGCTTGCTCCTGTAATCCCAGCACTTTGGAAGGCCAAGGTGGGCAGATCTCTTGAGTTTGAGACCAGCCTGGGCAATGTGACAATACTACATGTCTACAAAAAATACAAAAACTAGCTGGGCGTGGTAGCATGCAAACGTAGTCCCAGCTACTGGGGAGGCTAAGGTGGGAAGATCGCCTGAATCTGGAGAGGTTGACACTGCAGTGAGCTGTGATCACGCCACTGCACTCCAGCCTGGACAACAGAGCAAGAACTCATTAAAAAAAAAAATCCTACATGCTAGATCAACCTCCTCAAGTTGTTACAAAGCTCACAAATTTAAATAGAATTCATGAACAAAATGTTTTTCAGAGGGAGCTAACCAATCAAGCCACAAATGAGAAATTTTCCTCAAAATATCAATACTCTAAACACTATGGCAAATACTGTTCCTCCTATCAACAAACCAAAATCACATCTACAGGTGACTGATTTTCATTGACTTCAAATAATTTCGGACCTAGTGGCATTCCTCAGCGTTCAGCTTTCTTTCTCCTCTTTTCCTCTTCGATTCAGTCCTTCAGATGCAGAATTTTGTGCTCCTTAGTTCAGCTAAAACCCAGGTACTTGTCTCATGACCAGGAAAAATTAGGCACATGGACACATTGAAAGGTGAGGAGAGCAGAATTTATTAAAAGAAAGCCTCAGTGAAAAAAAAAAAGGGGGATCCTGCCAACAGGCTCCCACCTCACAGACTGAATACCAGGCCACCACACACGAGATGAAGAGTACAGGCTTCTCCCCGCTGCATAAGGCGTAAATTCCTGGTATCTCCACCCCCCCTTTCCCCTAGTGCAGAGGCCAGCCCTTAGTCTGAGCCACTCCACATTGTTTTATTTCCCTTACTGCGCATGTGTTAAGGGAAGGAATTTTTCACCGTGGGCATGTTTAGGCAAGCCCCCTGTGCACAATGACCTGGGTGGCATTTGGCTGTCTCCTGTCTCTATTATTTTCTCCCAAGTTAGCAGGTTTATCTGAGCGGTGTCCTTTCTGTCTGCCTTGATCCTTTCCTCACCACCCACTTGCATTTGCCCCCTCTGTCGTTCAGTGCATTTTCTCCCAGGATGCTCTGGCCACACTGACCAGGTGTCTCTATCTCTGCTGCTTCTCTTTTGCTTTGTTTGTTTGTTTTGTTTTGTTTTGTTTTGAGATGGAGTCTCATTCTTGTCCCCCAGGCTGGAGTGCAGTGGCACAATCTTGGCTCAATGCAAATTCCGCCTCCTAGGTTCAAGAGATTCTCCTTCCTCAGCCTCCCAAGTAACTGGGATTACAGGCGCCTGCCACCATCTTTTATATTATTAGTAGAGATGGGGGTTTCACCATGTTGGCCAGGCTGGTCTCGAACTCCTGACCTCAGGTGATCTGCCCGCCTCAGCTTCCCTAAGTGCTGGGATTACAGGTGTGAGCCGTCACACCCAGCCAATCTCTGCTGCTTCTCTTTACCCTGAATATTGTTCTATGTTTTCTTGAACCTGTGAACTTCTTGTGAATGTTAAATACTAAGAGCTTCTCAAAATGAGACCCCACATTCTAAACAGAATCTATAGTCAGGATTCTAGGGAAGGTCAGCTTGCTCCCACCCCCGGAAGCACTTTGCTGTTGAAGGCGTTGTCTATGGAGCATCGAGGTCACTTGGGGCATTGGAAAGACATTCAGGGAGGGAGTTACTAAGTCTGAATTTCTGGAGTTTTTTTAGTAGAGGAGAATGATGGGTCTTTGGCCATCCTTCTTCCTTTTTTTCCCTCCTGTCTAACAAATTTTGTATCTTGTGATCAACGTCTCCCTAACCATACCCCAATCTCAGGGTAAGCACCATTCTACTCTCTACTTCTATGAGTTCAACTCTACTAGATTCCACGTAGAAGGGAGACATTTAGTATTAATATTTCTCTTTCTGTGTCTGGCCTATTTCACTCAATGCGTTGCCCTCCAGGCTTAGCTGTCTTGTGGGAAATCATAGCATTTCCTTCTTTTTTAAGGCTGAACAGTATTCCACTATGAATATATGCCACATATAAAAACTCATTCATCCACTGATGGACACGTGAAGTGCATATGAATGCTTCCAGCATCTGTGGAGCTGTGAGGACTTGGTATCCCCGTTACCTTCAGCAGAATCTTCTAGACTCCATGTTCAAGGAGCCCCTTGAGGTTGTTTACCTTCGTCATCCCTCAGTGGGCTCTTGACTTTAGCGTCTGGATTAGCCATAATGGGATGAATTGTTTGCCAAGCATTGCTAATCACAGTCTGTCTTCCTTGTGGGTGAACATAAATCCCCACACAAATAACTGCTTGGCACCTGGGCACACCCGGTACTGGAATTTGGTTTTTGAAAATGACAGCTGTCACAGCGGCTTCTTTGGAGAATGCATCGCTGAGGATTGTGGTGGGAGTTCAGGAGCAGACAGTGCCTGCGGAGGAAGCCAGGAAGGGGCTGACCTGCAGTTCTGACTCGGGTCACCTTGAGCAGGAGACAATGGGGCACGTGATGTGGGAGAGGGAAGGGGAAGAAGAGGTCATTCACCCTTCAGAGCATCTTAGGACCATTTTCTTCCTTTCCATGTCCTTTCTCTTGATATTTCTCGGTGTTTCTCACTGGATGCCTTTGGGGATTTGGGTGAGTAGGAACTCCTGTCCTTACAGGATATTTCTTGTCTGTGGCTGCCAAGCATCTAACATGCTAGCATCCCCTATAGCCCCATATTGTGAAAACCAAAACAATACCTACACACATTGTCTGATGCCCCCTGGGTTGCTGCCATACTCTGCAAGAGCCACTGTGGAGCTGGATCAGAGTAGATCTCACACAGTGGTGGGGAGAGGTCTGTATCCGGAAGAGCTGAAGGAGGTGGCCATGTTATTTGGTTTCCAAATGGGCCAAATGAGCAAAAGAAATACTTTCTGTGTTCCCGGCTCTCATCAGTTGACATTGCCTAGGAATGTGTTTTTAAACTACATTTGCTAGAGAATCAATGGGACTGGGCATCTGGAAAGAAAACCAAAGTCTTCTTGTTTCCCTGGACCAATGGAGGATGGGCAGGGGAGAGGGACTAGCTGTTTTCATTATTAGACAGTGCAGGGGGCTGCCCCATGGGAAATAGGACCTTGCAGACAGGGCATTCCAGGGGCCCAAGTGAGCTCCCCAAATGGGTGGGGCAGGACAGCATTGAAGGTGACTGAGGCCAAGGTTGGAGTTCCCGGGGAAAGAAAGAACATGGGCCAGGGGCTGATCTGTGTGGGATCTACTCTGAAAGTTCACAGGAAGTGAACTAGGGCAGTGGTGTGCAGGAGCCTCCAGTGATGTCCCTGAGAGCCGTGCATGTCTTCCCAACTCAGTGACATCACACGGGGTACTTGAAATCAGCCAGGGTGGGAGCATTTACACCACAAGAATCAGCAAATGCTACAGATCGATGCCTGCCTGCCCACCAGAGGTAGCTGACCAGTTCACCATTGTTTTAGGGGTCTCTAATAGCCCCCACACCTCCACCCTGGCTGTAGGTACCACCTTATTGCAGAAGGAGGTTGCACCTTCTACTCCTCTGTGCTCACTGCTACCAATAAAACAAAGCCCAGTGCAGCTGAGGCAGGATAGGTAGTCAAGGAAATGGCCATGTTTTTGGGATGCAGCAACCACAGTTACCAGTGACCGTACAGCCAACACAGTAAGTCTTAGCATTTGCATTGTAATTGAGCTCACACAAGCAACGCTATCTTCAGTGGGGAGTTTCCCTTCTAGACAGCATGCACATTTTGATTTTACCTCTCCTCAAAATGACCCTTTGCTCATAATTGTAAAAAACATGGCCAGGCGCGGTGGCTTACACCTGAAATCCTGGCACTTTGGGAGGCCAAGGCGAGTGGATTGCCTGAGCTCAGAAGTTCAAGACCAGCTCGAGCAACATGGTGAAACCCTGTCTCTACTAAAACGACAAAAAATTAGCCGGGTGTGGTGGCGTGCACCTGTAATCCCAGCTACTCAGGAAGTTGAGACAGGGGAATTGCTTGAACCCCAGAGGCAGAGGTTGCAGTGAGCCAGAATTGTGCCACTGCACTCCAGCCTGGGTGACAGAGCAAGACTCCATCTCCAAAAAAAAAAAAAAAGAAAAAAGAAAAAAACCACCACTGGGTAGAGATTTAAGATGTTAATGAGACATGGGACATATGAACCAGCATGTACAGTTACTACACATGTGCACCCAGAAGACCACCCAGAACATGCTTATTAGCAAAACCTCTTCCCACCTCCCTATTAATAATCATGTAAGACTCCCATAAAGGGGGTTTCTCCAACAACGATCAATGCTGTCTCACCCTCTCACCCTAAGGAGCAGCCGCCCCGAACTCCCTCTCTCTAAGGGTGTACTGTCTCTTCTGCACCTAACTTTCAAAATATTCTTTCTCCTTTGCAATAAAATCACTCTATGCTTCATCTCCTTTGCTGTGTGCCTTTTGTTTAAATTCTTTTAAACCAAGAAGACAAGAACCGAGGTGTCACATCGGCCATCAACACAGCTATCCATATCTGCCTGAGGATGCTGGTGTTGCTTAGCCAAACCCAGTTCTCCTTCTAAAAGAAAGGAGGGACTCCTTCTATGACAGGTAGTGATGGGGGATGCATCTTGATTTTATATCAGCATCCATTTTACTACAGTCGCTGCAAGTCCCATTCTTATCGGATTTTAAAATAAGAGTTTCAGGAGTTGGCATATTTTTATTCTGTTTGATTCTCCTTCTAATCAGATTTTCCATGAGCTGATATTAAAAGTAGTGTGCCTTTACTTCATCAGATAGTGAAGAAAGGTGCCCAGGAATATTTTGAAAAGTGAAAAAAAAAAGGGGGAGTTTGCCCAGAATGAAAAATTCACCACCTGCAAGCTGCATTTGCATAATTAAGAGTTGCTGCTCCATCCATGGGCTCTCACTACACCCTGCCACGTGGGCGGGGCCACATTGCCTCTCAGCGCTCTTATCTGGCCTTCCCAGACCGTGGATGGTCTCCTCATTAGCTTGCAGATGTTTAGTCCTCTTTTCTGATGAGAAAAATGAAAATAAATTGCCACAGTTGGTGCTGGAATAAAGGAAACTAGAAACTAGGAGATCCACCAGGGCTTCAAAGAGCAATGCTGTTACCAAATAACACTGATTCACTCATGCACTGAAAAGATATTCCCAGTGTCTACTGCATGCCAAGAGCTGTTCTGGGCACTGCAGAGACCACGGTGAACAAAATCGGCAGAACCCAGCCAGGAAACAGATCAGAAAAATGCCAGATAGCATAAGTTGAATCAATGGGTGATAAATAACAGCCTACAACTCACCACCTGCTTCTGTAAATAAAGTTTTATTGAGACACGGCCACACGCTCTTGTCTACGGCTGGTGTTCATACATGGCAGAGTTGAGTTGCCACAGAGACCATCTGGCCCTCTACAGAAAGGGTTGCTGCCTCCTGGGGTAGGTGCCATGCAGGGAATTGAAACAGGATGAAGTGAGATGAGAGGATGGTGGAGTCTACTTTCACCTGGCTGATGAGGACCTCTCTGATGTGACACTGAAACCAAGACCTGAAGGGCAAGAAGAAGGAAGCAGCCCGAGGAAGGGCTGGAGGAAGACAGAGGAATAGGGAGTGCAAGGGGCCAGGTAGTGAAGGGTTGGAGGAGCTCAAGCATAAAACAACAAAGAAGGAGGGTAACTGGGCTAGGGCCAGAGGATGGGCCTGGAGGTGCAGGCAGAGAACGATGCGCGAGCGATGTGACCCCGACGACGTGACCCCGACGACGTGACCCGAGAGGTGGCACGGCTTTATAGACCTTACCTGGGGGGTGAGGAGACTGGGTTTGGGCCAAGTGTGTTAAGCTGGCTGGTGCGAGATCTGCCTTAGGTTTAGGAATTCCCCCAGCTGCTCAGACTGGAGCCTCGGGGTCAGGAGGTGGAGCAGAGGGACCTGATAGGAGATGATCTTGGCAACCAGGGGAGATGTGACGGTGCTTGGACTGGGGCTGTCCAGGCTCTATTACTTAGTGAGCCTTGGGCAAGAATACATGTGGGACCCTCCATAGGAGCCAGGCCCAGTGGGAAGGACCTAGGGAGTCCTGTAGCTGGTGCTCACCCGGGTTCCAGACGCTGTCCACAGAGCCTGTCATTTGACTGCCAGGATCTGTGCGGTCCTCTCATGAGCCCATTTCAGAGGAAAGTAACCCAAGGCTCAGAAGTTCGAGGTGGGTCTTCCCAGGCGAGAGGAACACAGCAGATGGGGGCCTCCCCTACAAGCTGCAGTGCTCTGTTGAGTATGAGGAGGGGAGGGGGGACATTGACTGTCATTTAAAAATCAGGAGATCACACCTAAAAATGTGGATATTTGGCTTCTTGTGGGAAGCCTGTTCCACACTGGATGCACCTTCCTCCGTGGTGCTGGGTAGCGGGGAGGCGGCAGCTGCTCCACTTAGAGGGACACAGGCTCTGATTTCATGATGTTCTCCACCTGCACTCCAACTCCAAGAGTCAAGAGTCCCTTGGAACAGGAGAGAGACCTCAGAAGCAGGTCCTGCCCCTGGTGTGAAATTCTGCTCTGTGATGACATTCCCAACCAGGGGAGAAGGACAGTACCCTGCGCAGAAATGCATTGGAGTGTGTGGGCCCTGGTAAGGTCATGCCTAGTCAATGTCAGAGGCAACATTCAGTCTCAGAGCTCTCTAGCAAAGCCATGCAGCCTCTGGGAGGACCTGGCAAGAACAAGAGATGTGTGCAACCCCATGGAGGCCCCCATTGCTTAATGCCCAGGTGGTCCATTGGCTCCAGAGGGGTAGGCAGAGTGTTATCCAGTACCTGGAAATAAGGAGCTTCACCTACAGTTAAACCAGCATCTGCCTGAGGCTGTAAAGAGGCAGGAGGCCGTGCACACAGGCCCCATAGCACCTTTTCCTCCTGCCCGGTGTGGGGAAAACTTGACCTGGGGTGTGCACCTGCAGCCTTGAGTCTGAGGGAGCCCTGGATAGAAGGCACAGCTCAGCAGCTGGACCCAGAGGTGGATGGGAAGATGCCACCAGAGAAGATGCCACTAGCCCTGGGCCAGGCAAGTCAACAGTCACTTGATGCTCTTAGAGCCTGTGCATCAGCACCAGACCACACCCCACAGGCAGGGGACTCCTGTTCAAGTGGCATGAGACCAGCTGGGGTGCTGCACAGAGCACGCCATGGTTGCTGGATGAAGTAGTCCTGGGAAGATGTAAAGCTTCACCCTTCAGAAATATTTGAGAGCAAGGAACATACTGAAACATTGAAAGAAAACATTCCCTACATCTGTATCTCAGCATCAACTATGACTTTCTGTCTCTAATGAATAGACAGAATCAGAGTCCATGTGCATTTTGTTCTCTGGAAAGTTGGTGTCCCCTGAGCTCCCCGGAGCAGAACTGGCTGTGGCAGCAGAGAGAGGAGAAGCTTGTCCTGGGCCCCCAGATCCTGCCCTCGAATTACAAAAGTAATTCCAAAGTGACATTGTGGAATATTTAGAAAATTCAGAGAAGTAGAAAAACCGTCACTAACAAAATTATTGAAGGACATAAAATAGTAGATGAAAAAAATGGAAGGAGATTGCTATCCCTGATAGCAAGATAGGACTGGATGTTTCAATTTCTCTGAGTTATATAAATTTAATAGAGTTCCAGTTAGCATCTGAATGGGACTAAGGAGATTGAGTTTCCTATCTTATAACTTTAATAGAAGAATAAATAAAACATTATAAAGGCTCTATAATCAATATGATTAAATAAGTTATAGGAACAGCCTAGAGAGTATAGAAGTCAATCATAATATCTACAGAAATGTTATAGAAAGCAAAATATGTTATTTCAATTTAATGGGGAAAATGTTTGTTTGATAAGCGATCTTGACACAGCTGGCTATTTGCCTAAAGGTAAACAACGTTGAACTCCCGCTCACTACAGAGCATAAAGATAAATGGATTAGAGCTTTTCACCGTGAAATGATACAACAATCTCTTGAATGGAAATTTGGGAAAACTTGTTTTTAAAATGACTTGGAAGTTTAGAAACCTTTTAAAACCCTAGATATGTTTAAAGAAAATGTACATATTTGACACACTTTTAAAAAAAGACTTTCTGGCAAATATATTCCACAAAGTTACAAAGTGAAATAGACCTGGAAAAAAATATTCTCAATGCATTTCACAGCTAGAGGGTTACTACTACCCATAATATTCAAAAAGCTCTCCAAAATTAGTAAGAAAAGGGCAGACATCCCAGTGGAAAGTGGTAACGCGTTCTCAGAAGGTTCCTACTGCCCAAGCCTGAGTGTCAGCTCTGGGCCCCTCTGCTGTCCAGCAGGGGCCACCTCCTGTTATGGGCCCCCCTTCCAAAACCCTGCACTCCCGACAGCAGGCGCTGGATCCAGACATGCTTTTGGAATTCTCGGGAAACACAAAGGGAGTAGTCCGGCGAGGCCTGGGAGGAATCTGTCACAGAAACCAGGGGCGGTGATCTAGGAACTAACAGTGGTCTGTCTGTGAGGGCCCCTGCACTTCCCCACCAGGTCTGGATTGGGGCTGCATTCCTGAGGCAGGAGGGAGTGTCCCTGGAGATTTTTGAGCTGGGCTGTGGCATGATCTGCTGCTTCTCAGATACCCCCCACCCAACCCCTAAACTCCTGAGCTCAGGCAGGTGGAGCCCACCACGTCAACTGCACTCACCCCTGAGAATCCTGTTTTGGGAATAGGGAGTGGAATTTAGTTGATATAAAAGGATTTGAGAGGGGAGTGTGGAATTAACGGCGCAGTGCAGGGCATGGCATGTGTGGTTTCTAATCAGGAGGTGCGTCAATTATATGAATCTGTAACATAGGCTGATTTATTTAACCAACTTAAAAGGTTAGAAAATCATTTCAAGCTAATTACCAAGAATTGGTCTAATTTGAAACAATATTTCAACAACAGTCCCCATGAATGCTAATTTACTGGTCAAAACCCACTCTGACATTGATGATGATACTCATGCTCTTTTCCTCTTTTTGTTCATAAAGTGGTCATTACATGAGTGAAACAGTCACAGGAGGGAGAGACAGCGAGGGAAGAAAGGAGGGAGGGAGGAAGAAGTGAGGGAGTGAAACATTAGGAGTTGGTGAACATTAGTTGATTGAGTGACTGAGTCCACAATTCCAAAAACATTCTTGGAAGACTCAAAATCTGTTTAATAGATTTCCAGTAGAACTGAAGAGCCTCTATAAAACCTTATATTTGATAAATTGATTCCACTTGATGGTAACTAAAATAATAACTGTCCCAGTACTCAAGCATAAACGTGCTTATTTGTTCACCAAATCACCTGCAAGGCACCTGAATGAAAGATGTCCTCTCCACCGCAGCTCCGCTCAGGGCACCCACAGCTGCAGGTGAGTTAACCTGTCCTGCCCTGCTTCTTCTAGGTCTGCCCTCCCATGACTCACCTGTGTGAGAAAATCATCTCCATGCTGCCTTCCTGGTGGAACCTCAATGGACCCAACCAGCTGATGTCACTGCAGCAGTTTGTGTGCGAAGTGCAGGACCAGCTGAACCCTCTGGTCATCCAGGGGTACCCCAGGTGCATTGCTCAGCAGCTCCACAGTGCAGGCGAGGTGAGCCCCTAGTAGTCCAGGCAGGAGGCTGTGAGGAGCACCAGGAACTCACATCTGTCCCAAATTCCAGTTCTTGGAGGTGGTATGAGCCTTGGGAGGCAGTGTGGAAATGGGCCAACTACTGATAATATTTCCAGACATGTGACAATCACGTACAGCCTCAAGTGACGCTCTGAACTGCAGTTCTCGGCTCACCTTAGAAGCTGTCATTTTGTCTTGTGTGTTGCTTTTGTTTCCAGTGCCTGATAGTTTTGGAGTGCAGTGCCCGCTGCCCTGGGTGACTGGGTCCCTCTTCGCTCCCCCTGGGCACCTGGTACTAACCTGCTATTACTGGCAGCCTTCAGGATGGCTGCTTTCCATGCGGTGTGGAGTTACCAGCTCCAAACAGGCCTCCTGGGTGCAAAAACCATTGAGAAAAGGCAGTAAGGTGTTCTCATGGAGACAATGTTTGGGGGACCTAAGGCAGAGAATGTGTGCGCAGACACAGAGGGTAATCATAATTCAAGGAACACATTCAACCCCCCAGCAAGTGATTCCTGGAAGAAATGACCCAAAATAGGAGGCTTTGCTCCAGTTGTGTGACATTCAACACTGGGGTGCGGTTTAAAAACCCAGCCATAGAGCAAAAATGCAAAACCAGTTATCTTGTAGAATGTTCCTACTTGTGGATTTATCTGTCTTTTCCCAGTGACATTTTAAGTTACCCTTCCATAAAACTAACAGAACAGTTGAAAGCAACAACTATCCAATGCTGTCACCAATTATAGTACCCTGAAAGGAGAGAAAGAGGGAAGGGAAGGGGAAAGGAGGGGAGGGGAGGGGAGGGGAGGGGAGGGGAAGGGAACTAACAAAACTAGGAAAGTTATAGTGGTAGAACAGTGGTAATTTCCTTCAATGGAATAATTTAATGTTAGGAAAAATAACCACCCAGTGTTCCTCTGTTTCCTCCATTTCCCTGGACTAGTGATAAGTTCACCATGGGCCACATGACTCTAAAGGTTTATTGCTGTGTTTTGTTTGCTCAAGAGCCTTTGCTCTTTGCTATGCATAGAAGTGCAGGGAAAGCCCTCAGGCCCCATCTCATGACATATTTCATGACCATGTTTATTCCATCCCTTGAACACTGAAACTTACCCAAGGCCCCTGCGGGAGGGCCACACTTTAGGAAACACAGTCATTCTGGTTGCTCTTAAAATAAGGGCACAGGATCTAAGAGTCAAGAGGAAATGGGAGGTTTCTCAGTTCATCCAGAGCATCACCCACCATGAAACACAGGGGCCAGGCAGTCTGCTCAAACAGTCCCAGGGATGGAGAATTGGAAAAGCAGATTTTAATTCCTACGTGAGCTGACACTTGCTACCTGTATTTCTCGTCCCTTGTTCTGTCTTCCAGGTTATAAAGAAGCCTTGAATCCTCCTCCACGATACTCGCTCCACTATTTGTTAGCCCAGCTATGATGCTGCTCACAGATTGTTTTCACTCCTAAAGACAGTGGCGCAAGGCAAGGTGACCTGGAGCCAGGCCATCCTGAGTGTCCACCCAGCTTCCCAGGAGCCTGTTGGAATTTGGAAGGACATTTCACCTGTCTGTATAGAGCCTTGTTTTTTGTTGAAAGCCAGGGGCTCAAAACTTGTGTTTTGGAATTTAAACTCTGAACGTTTGACTCTTTTACTTTCCATTTATCCTTTAATAATCCTAACAGTTCCCAAGATGAAGGCTACTTCTGGCTGAATCAAGGACAGGTTACCAATAAGAAAGTCAACAAGAAATGAACATTATTATTATCTTCATTCCTGTTACAATTAAGGGGCTAGGGAGAGGAGAGTGGGGAGTTAGTGCTGAATGGGTTAAGAGTTTCAGTTTTGGTTGAAGAGAAAGTTCTGGAGATGGAAGGTGGTGATGGTGGCACAGCAATGGGAATGAGCTTCATGCCACTGAATTGTACTCTCAAAAATGGTTAAAATGGTCAACTTTATGTTATGTCTATTTTACCACAATAAAAATATTAAGTTGGTTCCCAATAGGCAGGTGAGTAAGAAAAACTTGCCACCCCTTGGAGAGAGTACAAGAGGCTGGTGCGGTGGCTTATGCCTGTAATCCCAGCACTTTGGGAGGCCAGGGAGGGCAGATCACCTGAAGTTGGGAGTTCAAGACCAACCTGACCAACATGGAGAAACCCCATCTCTACTAAAATTTCAAAATTACCTGGGCGTGGTGGCGTGTGCCTGTAATCCCAGCTACTCGAGAGGCTGAGGCGGGAGAATCACTCGAACCCAGGAGGTGGAGGTTGCAGTGACCCAAGACCATGCCATTGCACTCCAGCCTGGGCAACAAGAGCGAAACTCCGTCTCAAAACAACAGCAACAACAACAACAACAACAACAAACAGAGTACAAGAACAAGTTGGGCCCACCAATAGTGTGAGCTTTCCCAAGAACAGTGGTGATAGCCTGGGAGACTGGTGAGCATAACAAGGGTGCATCCAGGTACCTGGTTCTAGCGTGTGAATGTGGCAAGCCAGCCTTGACTTCTGCCTTCCCAGAGTGTTCTAGAAGGTGAGCTCTGAGAAAGCAGGGGTGAGCTCTGGGTCTTGCATGCTGCAGCCAATTATCTGTCAGTCCTTGCAAACTTTGTAGGCTGCAGAGTGGTGCCTGGAGGGAGATCCTGCAGGGCCCAAATTTTAGCCGGCACTCAACTCTTCAAGCTGTGGGCCCTCAGGGCTGTGTCTGTCCACCCTATGCAAAGCCTCTGGATGGGTGATCCTGGGCACTAAGTCTTGATTATTCTAGGAATGCTGTCTGTCTCAGCCTTGATGGGATTTGTACCTAGATTATGCAGATCCCTCTGAGTTCATTGAACACTCCACCATGCAAATTGTAAGGCATCAGCCAAGAACAGCTACCTCTGTAACAGCAATGTAGAGAACTCATGGGGGAGGAGGATGGGGTGTGGGAAAGAAGGTCACCAGCCAGGAAGCATTACCCCATGGCTGAGTGCACGTGACCGATGAGTGAAAATGCCCTAACCCATCAAAGAGACTCTGACACTTTCTTTTCTATGTTTGTTAACCTTTATCCTTGCTAGTGCCTGAATAGAACTGGACATTAAAGTATGGCCATGGGAATTACAGCACAAGCCTAAGGAGAAATTGTAAACTTAAATTCTCCAGGCCTCATCAATCATCTGTCATTTCCTTTCATTTCCTGGTATTTCATTAGAAAGGAACTAATTAGCTCCTTTCTGTTTCACCCATGCTGCCCTTGAGCTCAGTTACTCCACCACAACTTCCCAGAACTACCACATTCCTTTATCTTTTTAAAACAAATTTGGATTAAATGCCACCCAAAAAAATCTAGTCTTTTTTATTCTTCAGGGAGCCACTCCTCCTCCCCATGGTTGTGAGGCGTCCTGGGGTCTTCTGAGCAGTCTGTCTTTTGCTGCCTTTGGTCACTTCAAGATGTCTGACCTGCCTCCCCACCCTCCATGCCAAGCCTGGCTGTGGAAATAATCCAGATCCTATGTGCTCTAAGCCCAGCCACCAAGGCATGAGTGCAAGCAGGCTACAGCCCTCGGCCTCCTGCAGAAACTCCTGCCCCTCTCGCAGTCTTGGGGACAACTATTCTCCTCTCTTCCTCCAACCGCACTAGGCCAGGAACAATTAATTTCTTGATAACATTGACCTCTCAGCTTATAGGGGAGGTTTTCAAATTGGCTCCTGCGTTTGGAGAATGTTTTACCGTCTTCAGAGCTTGACTTTCAGGACCATTGTGGACACAGAAGTCTATTTGGGAAGAATAGACTATTTGACCTATGGCTGAATATTGATTTTTTTATTTGCATGTCTGTTGTTAAAATCCTTGTCTTAAGTCAGAATTTTAAAAATCAGTTGATTTTTAAAATCCTTTGATCTCTTTCAGTGCATCATACATATCTGGGGGCACAAAAAGCAGAAACAACAGGGGAGAAAGCAATGAGGATGGGAGCTGGTTTGGCTAGGAAATCCCAAGGGCACAGGAACTTCTTAACCCTACATCGAACCACAGAAGAGAGCTCAGCAGAGGCAGCCTGTTGACATGGCTTCAGGTCATGTTTACAGCCTCGTGTCCCTATCTGTCCGTCTCTGTTCTAAGACCTCCCAGGTCTCAAGAGCTTATCACACGCCCTGTTACTTTCCTGTGTTTTCTGACAATTCTGCCTAAAATCTTCAGTGGTATGTCTTAAGGCAAGACCCAACAGTGGTGTTTCCATGAGATAGGGGCACTATTAGATTCCAAAACACCTTTAAGAAGAATAATAGTAGCTCTATTCTGGAGTTTTTTTTTGGTAACCACACTTATCTCTTTAATCTTCAAAATACCCACAGAGGTAGGCAGTTTAATTCCCCTTTTACAAGTGAGGAAATGTTGGCTCCATAAGTTTTAGAGACTTGCTCAAAGTTACATGCCTGTGAAGAATCTGAACCATAATTTATTCTCAGAACTATTTAATTCCAAAATCAGCAGTCTTAATTACTCTTTATTTGTTCATTTGATTATTGTCTGTCTCTGCCTGTCAACCATGGTGCTTATAACTTGCCTGACATCACATACATCCTAAATAAATATTTGTAGAATAAATGAATACTATCTCCCCTGAAAACCTAAGGACTGGAAGCATAATGGTGGCACTGCAAGCCACTGTTTTGTTTCGTAGTCCATTGAATTATCAGAGCCAGTGTCCTTGTGGCCCCTAAGGAGTCCAGACAAATCTGTGGCTCTCTGGTACAGGAGTGGAAATTCCTAGTTGCCCTGCAGAAACAATTCATGTTGAGACTTTTTAAGGACTTTATTCTTTTTCTGTTGTTTTTGTAAATATCTTGCACACTATATCAACCAGCTCAACTTATTACAAAGCTGAAAAATGTAAGTAAAGTATAAATCATAAGCAAACCCTTGTTCAGATAGAAGGAAAATTAAGTCTAGCCTCAAAAGATGTTTTCTTTCCCGTAATATCCATGTATTTAATACATATGGCCAGCATTGTTTCTTCTATCAGCAAACCACAGTCACATCTATAGGTGTCTGACTTTCATTGACTTCAAATGATTTCTGACTTTGTGGCACCCTCAGCATCTTGTCTCATCCCTCCTCTTCTCCTCTTAGATTCAGTCCCTTCTCTTGAGTTGGGAGGTTGTCTGGACAGTGTCTTTGCCATCTGCACTGCTCCTCTCCCCAGCCACCCACGTGCATTTGCCCTGCTGTCCTTCAGTGCATTTCCCCCAGGATGCTCTGGCCACACTGACCAGGTGTCTCCGTCTCTACCACTTCTCTTTCCCTGAATGCTGTCCTGTGTTTTCTGGAGCCTGTGAACTTCTTGTGAATGATAAATACCAAGAGCTTCTCAAAATGAGACCCCATGTTCTAAACAGAACCTGCAGTCAGGATTCCAGGGAAGGTCAGCGGGCTCCCACCCCCAGAAGCACTTTGCTGTGTAAAGCATTATGTATGGAACAGAGAGATCACCTGGGGCCTTGGAAAGACATTGAGGAAGGGGGCTACCGGGTTACCAAGTCTGAATTTCTGAAGATAGTTATACTAGGGATGAATTCAATGTAATTCATGAATTATTCATGACTCTCTAGACAGGTTAATGAATGTTTCTTTTAGCCCCTCAGGACTGGATCTCTGAATTGGTGGGGAGCTTCGTGAGAGAGGTCAGGGGGAGTTGGGAGGATACTGATGGAAGTGGGGAGGCCTGCGGTCACCCTGAACTTGCTTGTCTAAAAGTGATGAGAAGGCCTCACCCAAATGCAGGAGCCATGACCCTGACCCATCACTGCCCCACGTTATAGGAGACAGGACTTGACCATCCTCCACAGGTCAGAGCTATTGTCAATCAAGGTGACAGTGCAAGATGCGTTCCCACTCCTGACTCCACCCAATTGCTGTAAATAGAGCCCCTGAGTGCTGTTAGCTTATTTCGAAACGGGGAGACAGTTCAGCAAATGTTTCATCACACTTAACATTTGCTGAAAATACTAACACATTCCCCACTCAAAGATGAGTCACCGTAAGTAACTCAAGGGCACTAGTCCTGCTCTCCACATAAGGGAATATTGGTCCTGAGTAAATGGGACCATATTTAAAGGTAACAAAAGGGATAACATGGGAGATGATGGTGGGATTCGTATCCCAATGACTGCTTTGAGTATATTCTGGCTGGCCAGTGGGTTTCAGTTCCCTTATCTAGACAAAGAAATGCTCCTCATGACTGGCAAAAGCAGGAAAAGTTTTTATCATCAGCTCTATACCAAGGCTGCCGAGCCACTAGAGTGGTCTCTAGAAGACAATGTCATCAGCAATCACTGTTAGCAAGGAGCTTGCTTCTGTAGTGCTGTGTTGTTGCTAATAGTTTTTGTTACAGCAACTGCAATGTAGAAGACTTGATTCAGGGAAGGCAGAAACCGAAACTCGTGCCTTTGAGAAGGTTATGAGCAATGAAGACCGTTAACACCCACCCTCTGCAGGAGGAAGCTGGAAATGGCAAGAGGCACCGCCCATGGCTAGAGCCCCAGCACATGGGTCATGACTCATACTGTGCAGGTCAACTATGGGCCCTGCTTCCTCAGGCCTTGGTTGTGGATCACGCCCTTGATTCTTCCCTTTTAGATGCAGCCCAGTTGCTATGATGCTCCTTGAGTCAATGAGCTCTTTGGCTTGAGCAAGGAAATGGTCTGGCTTCACTTCCAAGAAGCTGACAAGCACCCAAAGGTCTTTTTTCTTTTCTTTTCTTTTCTTTTTTTTTTTTTTTGAGACAGAGTCTCACTCTGTTGCCCAGCCTGGAGTGCAATGGTGTGATCTTGGCTCACTGCAACCTCTGCCTCCTGGGTTCAAGCAATTCTCCTGCCTCAGCCTCCCGAGCAGCTGGTATTACAGGTGCCCACCACCGTACCAGCTAATTTTTGTATTTTTAGTAGAGATGGGGTTTCACCAGGTTGGCCAAGCTGGTCTCGAACTCCTGACCTCAGGTGATCCACCTACCTCAGCCTTCCAAAGTGCTGAGATTACAGGCGTGAGCCACTGTGCCCGGCCCGAAAGGCTTCTTTAGGCAGGTGACAGGACACGGGCGTATCCTGCAAGTGCTCCTAGCAAGCTCTGGGTTTTTGAGCCAGAGGCTTGGGGTTTTCCAGCTCTCAACCTAACATCCCCAAATGTTTGTGGTCCAATTCCTCCATGAAAAACAGGGTAAACACGCCACCCCTGCCAGTGGAGAATGGGTTCCTAAGAGCTGGGAGGCCCGAGTCAGATCTTGAGGCTCTTCACCAAGCAGATGCTGTTGAGCAAAGCAGCAACTTTCTCTCTCTCTCTCTCTCTCTGTCTTTATGTTTGGGAAGGAAGAGCCATCTCAATAGTTTTTCTCACAATTTCCTTTAAGGAAATTGTCTAGGACTCAGTGAAGCCTCAGACCTGTAGAAGATATGAACTGTTCCAAAGAACATATCTGGATTCTGCAATCTGAAAAGCTAGGACCAAGGCAAATGTAGGTACCAGTCGTCAGGAAGTGAGTACTGAGCATGTTAGGAAGAAATTTTTCAGAGGAGGGAAGCAAATAGTGAAGGAGACTCACCCCACTGTTATTCAGAATCATTTCAACTGCCCTCAACTTGTATCCTGTCAGATGGAGGAGGGTAGCCAACCTTACTCTTGAGGCTGAATCAGCCTTCTCTTTGGGCCTTAAAAATAACACTCATAAGAGAATGTTGTTTGTCCTCCCAGCCCTGCAGAGATTTGCATCCATGAGGGAAGCATGGCTCAGTTATAGGCAGACATCAGCACCGTGTGGTTCCCTGCTCTTCATCCACCTCAAGGGAGCATCAGGCACCACACATCTTTACATCTTTGTCTATTTGCTGAGACCCTGTGAGTGTAGCATCAGCAGGTTTTATAAGCCAACCAGTTTCTTCTCATTCCTCTTCACAGAATAAGAAAACTGGAGCTTAGAGAGGTCAAGAAGTTGTGCCCTGATTCTCACACTGGAAGGAAGCCCTGAGAACCTGCACCCATCCCCACCTGGCCTCCCTCACCTACTTGGGAATAAGCCCAGGAAACACAGGCTGATTCTGGGATGATGTTGGAGAGGCCCTACATCCTGCAGGCACTCCCTACTCCACGGTACCCAGTGAGTCAAAGGCTTCTAGAAAGACATTTAGTCACTCAAAGCTGCTGCAGATCCCAGTGTCCAGGGAGGAACTTTCACTCTGGAAAACAGGAGCTCATTTCCCTTTGAGGAAATCATTTCTTTAGGATATCATTTCCAGCCACCACCCAGGATCCTGAGCAGGTGCTGCAGCTCCCAAAGCACCACTGGCGTGAGAAGGTCAAACCTTACAAATACCATGTTATTGTTCCTGTGGAGGACTGCTTCTGCCAGAGAGAGTCCTATCAATACCTCCAATGAGGTGTGACCTTTTTACAAAATGACCTCAACATTCTTTACTGAATGATGACTGTGTGGCCTCTCTTATCTGTTTTTTAAATTCCTCCTGTCTATCTTAAATTTCACATCTTTTGACCAATACCTTCTTAACGACCCACTCACAAGTCCCATGCAAACACCATCCTACTCTCTACTTCTATGAGTTCAGCTTTTTTAGATTTCACATATAAGGTCGATCATGCACTATTTGTCTCTCTGTGCCTGACATGTTTCACTTAACACAATCTCCTCCAGGTCCATCCATTTCACGCAAATGACAGGATTTTCTTCTTTTTTAAGTCTTAATAGTATTCCATGGTGTATATACGTCACCTTTTCTTCATCCGTTCATCTGTTCATGAACACTAAAGTTGACTCTGTATCCTGGCTATTGTGAAGAGGGCTGCAGTGAACCTGGGAGTGAAGATAGCTCTTCCATGTACTGGTTTTCATTCCTTTGAAGATAGAACCCGTTCTGGGACCTCTGCATTATTCAGTAGTTCTATTTTTTGAGGAATCTCCACACTATTTTTCCATTATATGTGTAGTAATTTGCATTCCCTATATCCCTATTATTATAGGTCAAACACAAAATACAATGGGTTATATTTTAGGTCCTATTGAAACAGTCTCAAGACATGTATACCTAATTTGATAAGTTTGGGAGCATAATTCAATAATATAAGGAACTGTATCTTCGCTTTTAACATATATGCTTACCCACCACAATAACATTATAATTAATTTCACCAATTTGGTAACCTGGCTCATGGGAAGAAAGAAATAAGTGAGATTACCTGTGCATCAAATCCTTGAATAAATATTTTCTTAAATAACCAACACCTCTGGAAAGATTCTATCTTTGACCCCATAATAAAGGGGTATAAGATTAGCCCTACTGGCTGGGCACGGTGGCTCACGACTGTAATCCCAGCACTTTGGGAGGCCAAGGCAGGTGGATCACGAGGTCAGGAGATCGAGACCATCCTGGGCAACATGGTGAAACCCATCTCTACTAAAAATACAAAAATTAGCTGGGTGTGGTGGTGGGTGCCTGTAGTCCCAGCTACTTGGGAGGCTGAGGCAGGAGAATCACTTGAACCTGCGAGGCGGAGGTTGCAGTGAGCAGAGATCGCACCACTGCACTCCAGCCTGGGGGACAGAGCGAGACTCCGTCTCAAAAAAAATAGGTTAGCCCTACTACATGCAAATGTTTACATATCTCATTTAATCTTCACAACGATCCTGTGAGGAAAGTAGAATTGTTATGCCCATTTCCTGAGTAATGAAACAGGCTAAGGGGAGGTGTGCAACCTGCCCAAGACCCCAAAGCTGGAAACCATGGAATGGCTGGTCTCTCCCAGTGCTGCCTCTGCCACATCCTCCCCGGCCCTGTCCCTGTGCTCTGGGTGCCTGCAATGATTAAGGGCAGATGTGAAGAGGGAGCACAGGAGGGCTTTGACAGAGGTGTTTCAGGAAGAGGAGGCAAGACCCGCTGCCTAGAGGTGGGGAATGATGTTTCTAAGTAAAGCAAAATCAATACACAGAGGGCAAATTCATTATCCACTGATATGCCGTTCTCAGCTTGAATAACTATTTTTGTTTCAACTTTTGAAACATTGCTTAGCTTCCCAACTGCTTGATGTGGCCCCATCATCTTTGTGAAAGTGGAGTAGCCTCTCCCTATACAGTTGCAACTCTTTCCCACCTAAGGTCCAACACTTCTCATTTATTTTAATTTTAAAGAAATATAGAGCATTGTAAAAAAAAATTTTCCAAACAATAAAAAAGTAACAAATATGAAGGAAAAAATAAAATGTCAACCAGCAAATAATGTTTTACTTTTTGTGGAAAAGAAAAAGAGAGAATACGAAGGCATATATGTGTTTGTTCTCAGGTGCATAAATAAATTCTAGAAGGACACCAGGAAGCTAACAATAGATCCCAGCAATTTGGGAGGCCAAGGCGGGCGGAGCATCTGAGGTCAGAAGTTTGAGACCAACCTGGCCAACATGGTGAAACCCTGTCTGTACTAAAAATACAAAAAATTAGCCAGGCGTGGTGGCAGGCACCTATAATCCCAGCTACTCAAGAGGCCGAGGCAGGAGAATCACTTGAGCCCTGAAGGCGGAGGTTGCAGTGAGCCGAGATCACTCCATTGCACTCCAACCTGGGCAGCAAGAGCAAGACTCCATCTCACACACACACACACAAATAATAAAAAGAAACTAACAATACATGTTGTACGGGTGGGCTGGGGACTGAAGTGCATAAAAAGTTTTTACTGTCCACCTTCTTGTATTTTGGAGATAGGGATTTAAATTATGTGACTTTATTTTCTATTATAAAAAATTTTTGCCAAAATAAAAAAACTGATTCACAAAATAAAACATAAAGTAAAAATCAGTGTTTCCAACACTGTTCCCATTCCTTCCCATTGCAAAGATAATGGTTACTATTTTAATACATATGCCTCTAGGCTTTCTCTGTATATAAACCTATGTTCACCTATTAAAATACATAGACATAGTTATTTTATTCTATTTTGACTTTTAATGGGATCATACTATGTACATTGTTCTGGAATTTGCTTTTTGCTCTCAGTGGCATATGAAGGATACATTTCCATGTTTATACCGATGGAATCATAATTAAATTTTCCCTATTGATAAACACCTGGATTTATTTAAAAATCTGTGAATATGTGACATTTAATATTTATACTTCTATGACTATTTTTATGAGATGAAAATGGATTTGCTGGGGCTGGGAATGTTTCCCTTAAAAATAATGAACAATTCCAAGTCCAAAGACAAGAATATCACATCCCTTTATAACAGTAAACAAGAGGACTCATTCCTGCACACTCTCACAAACTCTAAATATCAGCAACTTCTACACTTTTGAAAAAGTCAATGATTTGAGATAGAAAGAGATCTTGATTTGCCTTGCATCTCATGGGCCCTAAGAGGGCTCAGCTTCTGCTCCTGGTGTGCCTCTCTTGATGCTCACATCTGAGAACAAAGAGGGGCCATAGCTGGACTCCATGGAGGGGGCGTGGCTTCCCCTCCTCAGTCCTTGACTCAGAAGATTTCATCACATCACAGGAGGAGCCATGAGACATCAGTGTCATCTAGGACAGAGGTGGAAAATGGAAATGCTGGGGCGGAGGGGCCTGCAAGAAAGTGCCCATGAATGCTGACGGGAGTCTGGAGAGGCAGTGAGTGTACCCTTGCTAACTGAAAGGTACACTCCTTACCGAAAAAAAAAAATCACATTCCAAAAAGTGGTCACAACGGTACACCTATCCATGGAGCAGAGTTGGCCACCAGCTACACGCCGATCTGAAACAGTAGAGTCTGGTTGTCCAGAGAAATATATGTAAATGTCAGATTTTGGCTTCTATAGAAAAAAAATCCCTTATGTACAAAATTCTAATTTTTAACTAATTTTTTTCTTGTTTCTTGTTATGTTAATTTTAAACTTTCAAAATGAATCTTAATTTTTAGAAAGCTCATAAAGTGCTTATTTTCTCCTCACCTAGACTGAAAATGGAAGGTAATAAAAGAGTAATGATGAGTTTTCCAGGAAGCAAATATTAGGAATTTGCTTATCTTTATTTTAGTATTTATCTATGTGCATATAGATACATTTGGAGTAAAATGAAACTTAAACCTAGTATTACATTGAATGACTTGAAATGGCTATTTCGAAGGTCAAAAGTAGTCAAATGTCAGCAATGTCTTATTAATCAAGGAAAAGCTAACCTGCATTCTTGTTAACTCCACAGCCAATTTATGTTAAAATGTCCAGACCTTTCCGCAGGAGGTGGGAACAATACCATTGAAGAGCTAAGACTCTTGTGAATGAGTTTGGTTGTTTTATGATCTGATTCAGGCTCTGGCTCCATCTCTCTGTTGCTTTGATTACCAACTGGGTGGGAGTTGTGGTAGCAGTTTTGGTAGCAGCCTCAACCAAGGCAAGCAGCTGTGTCTCTTACATGAAGTGTCTGCCTACAGGGGCAATGTTTTCCAAAAGTTTCTTCCTCTTCAGAGAAGCCTTTTTGGCTCTGATTGTAAATAGTGACTAGGCACTGACAGTCAAAACGTTCTGTGTTGCTCTGAGGTGTGAAACATCACCTGTTTGGTGAAGTAACATCCCATAACTGCTACACCTGGGCCTCTCCAGCCAGATGATTCCTCATGTCATGGGGCCATTTGTCTTCATCGTGATCCTCATCCCCACCACTTAGCATCTGCAGAGCCTCCTCGATAAGATGACACTGCACTTGATGCTTCCCAGAATACTAGGAAGATGAAGAGTACAATTGATCCAGTCATCTGTTGGATGTGTACATTTGAGTATGAAACAGAGCTCAAACATACCTGTAAATCTGAGCCTATCCAGCCCACACGTGGTTGAATAAACTCATTGCACCTCACCAAAGAGTTTCACAATGGCTATTTCTGTTGCAACAGAGGATGAAGCACATGCTCTTTCCAATCAAAAGATGTTGAGAAAGGCTCCAGGTCTCCTTGGGGATCCCAGAATCAGACTGAAGATTTGGAAGGGCCTCTGTTGACCACTGAGTCAACCTCCCCAGAACACTTTTATAGAGCCCTTGACCAGTGAATAACCATCAAGTCTCCAAAGATTTGGGGAATTTTCAGACTCCAGGGAAAATTCCATGGATTAAGAGGTGGGATTTTTGAAGACTTTCATAAAGAAATTCTCAAATCAAAACACACTTGAAATTATCATGAGAAGACTAATATACAATTTTGTTCCAGTTGGTCGTCCTTAATAAAAGTGATTTCAGGTGGGCATTGGGTTGAACCAAGACCATTATCTTCCATTGTTGCCATTTGATTTCAAATTGTACCTTGCTGCTTTATATCCTCTTTAGTTCTATCTTGTACCAGATAGAGGCAGAATAGAAAGAAAATGGGTTTTAACAAAACCTATTCGTGCCAACTTGAATAGTAAACACCTATCTGAGGAAAATCTCAAACTTCCTCTAAGATTTCAATAGGATTCTCCAGTTCATAGGCAGGTTATGTGTCTCCAGTGTGTGGCCAATTGTTGTTTAGGAAACAAGATGTCTTTTCCACTGGAAACCCTGTTGGGAAAAGAAAGAGAGATCAGACTGTTACTGTGTCTATGTAGAAAGAAGTAGATATAAGAAACTCCATTTTGTTCTGTGCTAAGAGAAATTCTTCTGCCTTGAGATGCTGTTTAATCTGTAACCCTAGCCCCAACCTTGTGATTGCAGAGACATGTGCTGTGTTGACTTAAGGTTTAATGGATTTAGGGCTCTGCAGGATGTGCTTTGTTAAAAATGTGTTTGAAGGCAGTATGCTTGGGAAAAGTCATTGCCATTCTCTAATTTTGAGTACCCAGGGACACAATACACTGCAGAAGACCACAGGGACCTCTGCCCAGGAAAGCCAGGTGTTGTCCAAGGTTTCTCCCCATGTGATAGCCTGAGATATGGCCTCGTGGGAAGGGAAAGACCTGACCATCCCCCAGCCCGACACCTGTAAAGGGTCTGTGCTGAGGAGGATTAGTGAAAGAGGAAGGCCTCTTTGCAGTTGAGATAAGAGGAAGGCATCTGTGTCCTGCCCGTCCCTGGGGATAGAATGTCTCGGTGTAAAACCCGATCGTACATTCTATTTACTAAGATAGGAGAAAACCGCCTTATGGCTGGAGGGGAGACATGCTGGCGGCAATACTGCTCCTTAATGCACCGAGATGTCTGTGTAAAGTCAAACATAAACCTGGCCTATGTGCACATCAAGGCACAGCACCTTTCCTTAGACTTATTTGTAACACAGAGATCTTTGCTCACATGTTTTCCTGCTGACCCTCTCCCCACCATTACCCTATAGTCCTGCCACATCCCCCTCTCCGAGATGGTAGAGATAGTGATCAATAAATACTGAGGGAACTCAGAGACCAGTGCTGGCGTGGGTCCTCCACATGCTGAGCGCCAGTCCGTTGGGCCCACTTTTCTTTCTCTATACTTTGTTTCTGTGTCTTATTTCTTTTCTCAGTCTCTCATCCCAACTGACGAGAAACACCCACAAGTGTGGAGGGGCTGGCCCCCATCAAACCCTGCACCAAATTCTGCATTTTCTCAGTCTTTGTCTTATAATCCATCCTTCCCAGCACGCTGAAACATGAGACACACTATATAATCAATGAACAATGCATAGGTGGCATAAAATGCCTTGCAGATATACAGTTCTTTAATTTCTGACATATCCGCATGTAGTAGATAATGAATATATTATTATTTATATTTTTCTATGGGAAGATCAGAAGCACAGACTGTTCAAATTACTTGACCAAGGGCACACAAGTAACTTTCCTTTTGTGTTTCAATTATACAATTGCTTCGTGATTCTTTCTTCACGTGGTTGTTGTGAGGAGTGAATGGAATCAAATCAAGTCTGTGTGGAAAGTGCATGGGATGTGGCTTCTTAATGCAGGTTGACTATTGCTAGCATCTATTATTTGTGGTAATGATCACAATGATGATTAACATTGTTAAGAAATAATATCTTGAATTAATGATAATAATAAAGTTGAAATTAGAACTCTCCCTGCGAAGGACATGGAAATTACAGCAGCAAATTCCATCACATTTTGCCTATAAAATGAGTTAATCAGTAAGTTGTGAAGAAATGCACATGCTAATTCACTACAGGTAGGAGCACACAATGAAATCACATTTTTTCAGCAAGTAGATGTATTTCAAAAAATTAGTTTTATAGTACTATTTGCACATCTCTATAAAGATACACATGCAAAGATATAAAGTACAGTATTATTTGTAAATGAAACATAAAAAAGTTGAAATACTCATCAAGAAGAGAAAAGGAGATTGTTAAATGAATTATGATAGGGTCAACAATGGAAAACTCTAAATGTATTGACAAAGAAAGATGTCCATGGTATAGTATTAGATCTAAAATAGAAGAGTTTTGCGGTAGCTCACTCCTGTAATCCTAGCACTTTGGGAGGCCAAGGCGGGAAGATCACATGAGGCCAGGAGTTTGAGGCTGTGGTGAGGCATGGTTGCACCACTGCATTCCAGCTTGAATGAAAGAGCAAAACCATAGCTCAAAAAATACAAGTGAATAAGTAAAATAGAAGAGTTTATATTCCTTGATACCACTTATGATCCTAGACATTTTGCTATAACTTTTGATGGCAGACAGAAGATGGATTCTTCACTCATTCTGTTAACATGGATGTTGTGCTTCCTGAGAAAGAACACTAGAGTGGTGATAGTGTTTGAGTTGACACTTCAAAAGCTACAGACTTCTAAGAGCTGCACCATTCTTGTGGTGACCTGTTCTCCCTGAGTGGGAACATCAGCCCTTGATTTGGAGATCTGCATCAGGACTCATTGTGCTGGGGCCTGCAGTTCCACAGTGCGGTGATGTGACTCCTTGGAAATGGAGACCAGATACCAGGTTACCACAGGGTGAGCTAGAGCAGAGCCAGGTGACAGATGGTGGGCCCTCCTGATTAGGACAGAAACCCCTGCGTCAGTGGGGCACGTTCCATTGATGATGAAAGGGAACCAGGTAGCCCTGGTCAAATGTCTTTTGAGACAATGTGTGAACTTTTATGTAAAGCCTTTCAAGACTTCTTTTTTCTTATGAAATCTGGAGAAGAGGAAGTAGCCACACTTTCTCAGATTCCCTCTACTAGGGGGATGGAATGGCTACAGAGAAACCTCACTACTCAGGGACCCATAAATGAAAAAACTGCCCAGAACATTAGTTCAATGAGGAGGAAAGGAGGTGCAAAGTTTATACGTCATTCAAAGGGGAAATTGATTCCCATCTACCGCCCAATTTGAGAAATGCATCATTAGGCCATCTCATTGTTGTGTGACTATCATAGAGTGAACTTACACAAATCTAGATGGTAGAGCCTTCTACACATTCAGGCTTCTCCAGCACAGGGAATGTCTCAGTGTTGGTTCATCATTGATTCCTCAGCACAAGACCTGACTTAAAGAGACTCAATAAAATTTTTCAGAATGAATGAATGAAAAAACACTGTTGCCTGAATCCAGCCATGGTGCTACCACGATCACAAATTCCCTGCCCTTTTCACCCCAACATTTCATCCCCCATTCCTGGGTGGAACAGAGTGGAGACTGCAAAGGAGGAAATGGGGTCAATACCCAGTTCCACAGCTCTGGCTAAGGGCTGGAGGTTAGGGCAAAACTTAATCATTCAAAGCCTGGTCTCCTAGGCCAGTGTCAAATGAATCAGGCCTAAACTGATCAAGACCCTCTGCCTCACCCCTACCCTCTCTTCTCTAGTGGAATTGGGAGAATATTTGACAATTCTATTACCCTTCTTGCAAGACTTCAAATCCATTCGTGGTTCCATATGGAATTCCCAGATGAGAAAGCTTTTGAGGACAATGAAGTTAAGAAATGGAAGAAACCTGGCAGGCGACCTTCCCAAATGAGAAGGAATCAGCTCTTTTGGTTTATGATGTTTGAGGGTGTTTCCCTGAATCAAGTTAAACACTTCTCTAGTGCATTACAGTAGGATTCTAGATGAGAAGAAATGGTCAAACAATAAACATGGTCAATATACAGTATCTCAATGTCAACAGCATTTATTGCAGTATTTGTGTGCCTTTGGATTTAATGTCATTTCTCAAGGATATGTCCATTTCTGAGAGAGGATTTATGGAATGGCTGGTATATTAATACTCATATTATCTCAATTAATTCTTAACACAACCTTATGAGACTACTGGAATTATTTACATTTTATTGTAGGGTATGTCATTCACCAAATTTTATGCTTACCAAAGATGAGGATGAAATTATCTACATTCCAAAGTCAATATAAGTTGGGTAGTATATTGGATCAAAGTATACTGATGTTGCTTCTATTGGTTTCTCATTTTTCCACTGAATCTTTTAATGCAGACAGGACTGTAATGTAGAAAGGTTTTAAAATAGAAGCTTTCAAATATTCTGTAATTTTGGTTATCAAAGCTTAGTATTTCCAGTAAAATATTATTTTCCACTCTCTCATCCATCTCAATCAAAATAACAAATTAGAAACAAAGCATAAATAATTTTCACTTCCTCTACAATCCAAAAGAAAAGCCAAAGAAGTAAAATAGAAATGAATGTTCAGACATACCAATTCCCCTCCTGTGACTATACCCAAGAAATTGATAAGCATATGTTAATGCAAAAATGTGTGCACAGGTGTTCCTAGCACATTATTCATAATAGCCAGAAAAGTGAAAGCAATCAAATGTTCATCAATTGATGAACGGATTAATATTCATGCAATGGAATATATACAGTGTATTCATGCTCTGCAGTATTTTCAGTCATAAAAAGGAATGAAGTACTGATGCGTGCTATAATATGAACAAGCCCTGAAAACGTTATGCTAAATAAAAGCAGCCAGACACAAAAGATCACATATTTTATGATTCCATTCACATGAAAGGCCCAGAATAGAGAAATCTATAGAAGCAGAGTGGATTATGCAAATGAAGGTAGAGGGAATTAGAACTAACTGTGGGCTATAGTTTGAATTTTTTCTCCTAAATTCCTGTTGAAACTTAATCCCCCATATGGCAGCATTGAGAGATGGGCCATATAAGGGATGATAGGATCATGAGGGCTCTGTCCTCAAGAATGGATTAATCCATTCATGGGTTAATAGATTAATGGGTTATCATGGGAATGAAACTGGTATTTTAATAAGAAGAGAAAGACCTGAGCTACCATCTTAGCACACTCAGTCCCTTCACCATGTGATGACCTGTGCCACCTCAGGACTCTGCTGAGATTCCCCACTAGCAAGAAGGCTCTCACCAGATGCACCTCTGTGACCTTGGACTTTCCAGTCTCCAGAGCTGTAAGAAATAAATTTTGTTTCGTTAGGAATGACCCGGTGTTAGACATTCTGCCGTAAGCAACAGAAAACAGACTAAGACACTGATTAATAAATACAGGACTTATTTTTGGGGTGATGAAAATGTTCTGGTGTTAGATAGTGGTAATAGTTGCATAAGACAATGAATACATTAAAAACCACCAAATATTTTGAGATGATGAGTTCTACGTTATGCAAAGTATATCTCAACAAAAGAATGCTATATACAGGCATGCACTGCATAATGACATGTCAGTCAAGGACAGACCACATATATCATGGCCAATGGTGGTCACATAAGATTATAATGAAGCTAAAAACTGCCTATCACCTACTGGCATCATATCTGTGGAAACGTTTAGTGCTGCTTACATATTTGTGGTGATGCTGGTGTAACAAACCTACTGTGCTGCCAGTCATATAAAAGTCTAGCACATACAATTGCATACACTATATAATACTTGATAATGATAATGCACAACTATGCTGTTGGATTATGTATTTACTATACTAGACTTTTTATTCTTACTTTAGGGTGTACTCCTGCCTGTAAAAAGAAAATTTTAGATATAAAACCACCTGAGGCGGTTCCTTCAGGAGGGATTCCAGAAGAAGGCATTATTATCACAGGAGATGACAGCTCCCTGTGTGTTACTGCCCTTGAAGCCCTTCCAGTTCAGTAAGATGTGCAGGTAGAAGATGGTAATAGTGATGACCCTAACCCTGTATAGGCCCAGGCTAATGTGCATTTGTGTCTCAGTTTTTAAAAAAAATTTAAAAAGTAGAAATAAAAATTAAAAATTGTAACAATAGAAAAACTATAATAGAATAAGAATATAAAGAGAACAATTTTTGTATGTCTGTGCAGTGTCTTTGCATATTAAGTTAAATGTTATTACAAGAGTCAAAAACTTTTAAAAATTTAGAAGTAGATAATAGAAAAAAGTGACAGAAAGTTAAGATTAATTTATTATTAAAGAAAAAAAAAATTTTTTTTTTTGAGATGCAGTCTCACTCTGTCACCCAGGCTGGAGTGCAGTGGTGCAATCTCAGCTCACTGCAACCTCCACCAACCTGGTTCAAGCAATTCCTGTGTCTCAGCCTCCCGAGTAGCTGGGATTACAAAGGCATGCCACCACGCCCAGCTAATTTTTTTTGTATTTTCAGTAGAGACAGAGTTTCACCACATTGGCCAGACTGGTCACAAACTTCTGACCTCAGGCAATCCGCCCGACTTGGCCTCCCAAAGTGCTGGGATTACAGGTATGAGCCACCATGTCTGACCAAAAATATTTTTTATAATTTAAGTGTAGCCTAAGTGTTGAGAGCAGGCCCCCCAAAATCTGGCCATAAACAAAATCTCTGCAGCACTGTGACATGTTCATGATGGCCATAACGCCCACACTGGAAGGTTGTGGGTTTACCGGAATGAGGGCAAGGAACACCTGGCCCGCCCGGGGCGGAAAACTGCTTAAAGGCATTCTTAAGCCACAAACAATAGCATGAGCGATCTGTGCGTTAAGGACACGCTCCTGCGGCAGTTAACTAGCCCAATCGATTCCTTTAATTCGGCCCATCCCTTTGTTTCCCATAAGGGATACTTTTAGTTAGTTTAATGTCTGTAGAAACAATGCTAATGACTGGCTTACTGTTAATAAATACGTGGGTCGATCTCTGTTCGGGGCTCTCAGCTCTGAAGGCTGTGAGACCCCTGATTTCCCACTTCACACCTCTCTATTTCTGTGTGTGTGTCTTTAATTCCTCTAGCGCCACTCGGTTAAGGTCCCCCAGCCAAGCTGGTCACGGCACCTAGGTATACAGTATATAGTCTACAGTAATGTACAGTAATGTCCTAGGCCTGCACATTTACTTCAAAGTCACTCACTCACTGACTTACCCAAGGCATCTTCCAGTCCTGCAAGTTCCATTCATGGCAAGTGCCCAATACAGGTACATCATTGTTTATCTTTTAGACTGTGTTTTATTGTACCTTTTCTATGTCTACGTATGTCTAAAAACATAAATGCACAGTATTGTGTTGCAATTGCCTATAGTCTTCAGTACAGTCACATGCTGTACAGGCTTGTGGCCTACCATCTAGCCTGAATGTGTAGAAGGCTCTACCACCTAGTGTGGATGTGTAGAAGGCTCTACCATCTAGATGTGTGTAAGTTCACTCTATGATAGTCACACAACAGTGAGATGGCCTGATGATGCATTTCTTAGAACATTTCCCTGTTGTTAAGTGACAAATGACTGTATTTTTTTAAAAAATACACATTAGGTGAAAATCAGTCTCTGTGTCAGTTTGGTGAGTGGTGAAGACAGAAGCTTCTGTGCTGTGAGAGGCTCAGCTTGCAGATGCACCTGCCCTCGGGGTTGCTGCAGAGGAAGGGCATCTCCCTTTGTGAGTTCCTGCAACTCCTGGAAATTAAAGCATTACTAGAAAAGTTCTCTGCCATGATGGTGATGATGGTGATGATAGGAATAGCTAAATAACTCCTAGGTACAGGCACTGTTTTGAGCATTTCACATGTGCTCTTCATGTCATCTTTACAACAAACCTATGGCAGTGGTTCTCAAACTTCAGCATGCATCAGAATCACACAGAGGCTCCTGAAGACTCAGATTGCAGGGCCCATTCTGTGAGTTTTTCACTCAGTAGGTCTGAGACAGGGTTGCATAATCTGCTTTTCTAACAAGTTCCCAAATAGTACAGGTGCTACTGGTCAGAGAACCACCTTTGAGAACCACTGCCCTAGGAGATGAGGGCTCTTTTATGCCCCATTTTACAGGTGATGGTGGAAGACACTTCTTTCTTCCTCCAACTCCACCAAGTCATTGACAATTAATTCCTTGACGACATTGTCCTCTAGGTCAAACGTCCCCAACCCCTGGGCTGTGGACCTGTACTGTTCCATGGTCTGTTAGGAACTGGGCCATGCAGCAGGAGGTGAGTGGCAGACAAGCAAGCATGACCGCCTTAGCTCCATCTCCTGTCAGAGCAGCTGCAGCATTAGATTCTCATAGGAGCATGAACCCTATTGTGAACTGTGCATTGGAGGGATCTAGGTTTTGTGCTCTTTAGGAGAATCTCAGTAATGCCTGATGATCTGAGGTGGAACAGTTTCATCCTGAAACCATCCCCCCAGTCTGTGGAAAAAATGTCTTCCACAAAACCAGTCCCTGGTGCCAAAAAGGTTGGGGACCACTGCTCTAGGTTCATACAGTAGCTTTTTAGATTGGGTCCTGCAATTTAGAAAACCTTTTCCTCTCTTTTCAATCTTCACTTACTGGACCATTGTTAAGTCAGAAATTCTGTTTGGGAGGTCTAATGCTGAACACCAATTCTTTCTTTTTCTTTGCATTCCTGTTGTTAAAATCCATAGTCTGTGAGAAAACAATACCCCTCGCTATAGAGGGGAAAGGTCCCTGTAAAGAGAATACAAAAAAGATTTTAAAAAATGCATCACTCCCCTTGCATTATATACACCACAGGTCTGTAGGCATAGGGCCGGGGTCAGAATCTGATACTCTCCTCTCCCTTCCACCCCACCTGCTCCAGCACCTGCTCCACGTGAAATAACTCAGATGTGGGGAAATCTTCTGCTAGAGAAAGGGGCGGGTGGTGGTTCCTACCAATCCGAAATAATCAAAAAGCCAGAATCTAGTTAAAGAAAGGTTGAGGACTCCAGCCAGGGACACACTTCCAAGTTTCTTTGGGGAGTGCTCAAGGGAACAAAAGGGAGGTCTAAGTTTTTAAAGAAAAACAAAAGGTTTAATCAGGAGAGGGAGCAATTATAAAAGTTGTTCGTCAGGAATTCTCATTGGTTTACAGAAGTAATGTTGGTTAGTGACTGGCTACACATTGTGGAACTATAGATCGTGTGGCATTTTATGGCTACTTGGCATCAGTTAATCTAGAGCCTGCAGAGCAAGTGTCTTCCAGAGATAATTATTTGGCTCAAGGGGAGTGGGACATGACTGCTGTTACGTTTTAAATGCCTTTTTGGGCCTAATCATTTAAAGGGGCTCTCATTCATTGGGTAAAACTCAATGGAGAGTCACAGAAAACAGAAAGTGCTTTTGAGGAAGTTTTGAATGGAAGCAGGACATGAGAGTTGGGAACTGTGTGTTGGGGAATGACCTCCTGACTGGGGCCTTGGGAGGGGTGTGGTGTCTTGGTTGCTGATCCTGTGAACTGTGGAGAAGGTCAGGTTTAGCATAAACTGTTCCCTGTGGTCCTCCTGCAATTCTCCTAATGACTGTCAGCCCTCAGTACCAGGGTCCCATACACCCCTGCAGCACTGCATTCCCTTTTGTTGGAGTTCCACCTCCTGAGACCAAATCCTGGCTTCCTCACTGACTAGCCCTGTGCCCTTGGGCAAGCTCCGTAACCTCTCTAACCTCACTGTACTCATCTGTAAAATGGGGATGAGGGTTATTCTGATGATCAAATGCCATAATACACGACAAGGCAAATGCGATGCTTGACACGTAAGTGAGCAGTGTGTTCCCAGTTGACCACTGGTTTCAGGTGGACAAAAACAGGTACAGTGAGATTTTGGGTGAGTCTTTGGGGGTTTTCTCCCCGTTTTTCTTATTTATCTATATTTTTGTTTTGAATAATGATTACTTGTTGTATTTGTTTTTTTACCTAAAAAATTATTGAGAAGCAACAGATAAAACTGCTGGAAGGATGAAGGGTAAGGTCCTCTAAGAATCCTTGAAAACAGCCACGAGCAAGTTACTCATTGGAAGCACTAATGGAGGAAACCAAGCCACCTCAGTGGCAGGCTTAGTGCTCTTGGACAAGGTGGAGGGAATGGGAGACATTATTGGTTATAAACCAGAGAGCTGGTAGGTTAATTGTTCTATCTGGTAAACATTTATGGAGTCTGCATTTGTATAACAAATCAATGGCTTTTTCATCAAATTATGAACAGGTGAGGACATAGAGACTGGAGTTTGAGGGCAAATGTTCACTCATGACTGTTCTACGCACAGTTTACCAGGGCGTCACAACAATGGTCAGTCCAAGAAAGTGATTTTTGATGTGCTTATTATGTTTCTGAGAATATGCAGGAGAAGAAGGGGAAGAACAAAAGTTTCCCAGATGGGCCACCAGTTGGCAAGCTTACATTTTAGCCAGAAATTATGCCCACCATTGACCTATTTCAGTGTGTCCCCACATATATAGAGCTCAACACACAGAAACAAGAGAGTAAGCAATGATCATGGGAACTGGTTTGGCTGAGAAGAGCATAGAAGTATAGAAGTTCCTTAATCCTACATCAAAGCATAGAAGAGTGCTCACCACAGGCAGCGTGTTGACATGGCTCCAGGTCATGTTTATGGCCCTGTGTCCCTAATCTGTCCATCTCTGCTTTAAGACTTCAGGTGACCAGCCCCGCCCTGCACCCCCCTCCACTTGTCACATGCCCTTTTACTTTCTTGTGTTTCCTGACCACTCTATCTAAAATCTTCAGTGACATATCTTACAATATTATCCCAACAAGGGTGTTTCAGTGATACCGGGGCACGCTAATCTTCCAAAACATCTTTAAGATGAATAATACCTAGATGGGATTTAGGCTCCCATCTAAAGCTAGCAGAAATACAAATGAGCATAAATCCTTTTGTAAAAACTTGCCCAGAAGCATAAAAGACCACTCTTGGAAAGCTTGTTACTTCACTCTAGTATGTCTAAGGTACAGAACACTGAAATCTTTGAATCAAGGGCTCTTTTCAGATTTAGTAACAGAGGTAAATAAATCTTTGGAACAATTTGAAATATCCAACAATTGGAGAGAACTTAAGTAAATTAAGCTATATAATAAATAACAATTCATAAAGCGTTATGAATTACTTGCATTCATGGGGTTATGTGCCCATGAATATAAATACTTCATAACGCTTTATGAATTGTTATTTATGGCTTGGTGCAGTAGCTCACACCTGTAATCCAAGCACTTTGGGAGGCCGAGGCAGGAGGATCACCTGAGGTCAGGAGTTCGAGACCAGCCTGGCCAACATGGCAAAACCCCATGTCTACTAAAAATACAAAAATTAGCCAGGTGTGGTGGTGTGCACCTGTGATTTCAGCTACTTGGGAGGCTGAGACAGGAGAATCACTTGAACCCAGGAGATGGAGGTTGCAGTGAGCTGACATCATGCCATTGCACTCCAGCCTGGGTGACAGAGCAAGATTCCGTCTCAAAAAATAATAAATAAATAAATAAATAGTTATGCATTGTATGGAAACATCAGGTAGAAATATTGCATGTAGGCCGGGTGTGGTGGCTCATGCTTATAATCCCAGCACTTTGGGAGGCTGAGGCGGGCAGATCACCTGAGGTAGGGAGTTCAAGACCAGCCTGGCTAATATGGTGAAACCCCATCTCTACTAAAAACACAAAAATTAGCCGGGCGTGGTGGCAGGGGCCTGTAATCCCAGCTACTCAGGAAGCTGAGGCAGGAGAATTGCTTGAACCCAGGAGGCGGAGGTTGCAATGAGCTGAGATTGCGCCATTGCACTCCAGCCTGGGAGACAAGAGCGAGACTTCATCTCAAAAAAGAAAGAAAGGAAGGAAGGAAGAAAGAAAGAAAGAAAGAAAGAAAGAAAGAAAGAAAGAAAGAAAGAAAGAAAGAAAGAAAGAAAGATTACATGTATAAAATAAACTATGTGAAATCTACGAACCCAAATATTTACATTGAATTTTTTGTACCAAATAGTCCATCCTGCTTGTGTATCATGGTGGTTTTCAATTTTTCTTCCTCAATGTCTACAAAGAAAAACTCTTACCTTCTTTTTTTATAGGACCAGAAGGAATCAAGAAGTCCATAAACAACAGCAGAGATGCGCCCCACAGTTGCCACAGCCTTCATTAGGGCCTTCTCTTCCACAGGGAGTATTTGCATGTACCCAGTGTCATTAGTAGCAGAATACTTGGGATTGTACCTACAGGCTTTTTCCTTTTAAAAGTAAAGGGGGAAGAGACTTGATTACCACCATCCTCCTCCTGGACAACATGAGTTAGAACCACAATGCTCAGTAGTTTGCAACTTAGGATTTCCCAGGAAATGAAATGCTATTTGTTGACTTGAAACTAAACATTAGCTCAAGTCTCTTGAATGAGACCCTTAGGCTTACTAGCCACAAGAAATTTTTCACAGTGGAGAAATGTGTATTATATGTAAAATAGTTTGTATATTCTCAATGTTACTATGTTTGGATATTCTCTATCTTATATGTTCTTGCTAACATATAGCAAGAACAGCTGTATGTTAACCACATAATCATAGAACTGTGCAAAGGCTAATAATTTATAATGACAGCACTGACAGTTTGCAGATATAGATTCTACCATCTAAAATGTGAGTTCTGAAAAAACTGTGTGTTACCTCTGAAAGCGTTCCACTTCCCAAAAGCAGAGCTGGAATGACAGCAAGATAAAGAGCTCCACTTACCTTTTCTTCATATGAAAAGGATTCCTCAGAGTCCAGGCCTCCATTGTCGGCAACATACTGGAAGCAAAATAATGGTTCTCCAAAAATGCAGCCAACATTGCCTTGAAGCCTAGAGCAGTCCACCAGGTCTGCACACTCAGTGAAACTAGTTTCTCAGTTTTCCTAACATCTGTCCTTACAGAGCCCCAGCTGCACTAAAAGCATAAGAAGATGCACACTTACCATGATAAAAGAATAAAAAAGCTGTCATTCACAAAGCAAATAGCAAAACTTTGACAACAGCTCATCTTTCTGAATACTATGAACTGCAAGTTGTTCTACACTCCACTAAAGCAAAGAGGTCGATCACCTCTTGGCTTTCCTGGGGAGATGGGAGGTCTGAATCTGACACTGTCTTACCTGATCCTTCACAGGAGTCACGTAGCCTTTCTCTCTCCAATCCACAGATTTGCGGATGTCATGAAGCAGAGGTTCCTGGAGCACTTTCCCCTTCCTGTGCTTCTGGTTTTGAAAGCCATTCACCACCTGCCTGAATTCTTCACTGGTCTTCAAGGAAAAGGAAATAAAATGTTGAAAAGCAAGAGATTACTTTAATAAAGAACCGAGGAGAGGAAGCACAGAGCTCGGCAGTCCACAGCACACTCACCATTTCTCCAAAGGCGTTCATGGCCATTGTGAAGCTGTGTTTCCCTTCCCTGTATTCCTGATTGTGCTGCTCAATCATCTTCATGTTCTGCCACACTGCTCTCCTCCATCCTTCTTCATTCTAGAGGCAAATATGTAATTGATGCTCTTTATTTCTAACTAAAACCCAACCCATGCTCACCGAGTGAATCTGCAGACAAAAGTGAAAAAGAAACCATGGCCAGAGAAGGCTTGACGCCTCTGGGAGATGTTCTCCAAGTCAAGAAACAACAGGAGCCTATGCCCACATCGTACTCATAATTGGTGCCATTAGGTTATTGCATTAGGTTATTGGTAAGAGCTGGCCTCTAGTAGCTACTCTTTGGCTATAATCTCCAAACACCAAGGACCATTCTCCCAGGAATCCCTCTGGATGGTTTCAGGTGCCACCAACCATGCCATATAATCTCTTGTGCTTTGCCTTCCACTGATCTAAACTGTGATCAAGTGTTAGACTAGCTGAGGCTAATCTCAGGCAAAAGACAGCAAGGAGGAGTGAAGGATTCATGTTTCAAAACCTAGGAAGGGAAAAGAAATGAGGATCTGATTAGACCAATCCTAAAAAGCCATCTTACTGCTACCTGAGAAACTTTGGCCACCATAGTAGAATAAAAATATTTAAATTATTTTCCCATGCATTTACCTAAGGACGGTGAAAGAGGCCAAGGATCTGGTTGGAGGAAAACAGGGCAAGTGGAGGTATTGGATGGACTCACCAAAATGAAAAGCAGCCTGTCCAGAGCTGTAGGAGCTGAAACAGTTTATGCGATGATAATTTAGGTTATGAAAAATATGAAGGTACCTCGTGTGTGAGAAGGTTAAGGCAACAGCTAGGAAACTAACTGATCTAGGTTTTGTACAAATTGTACTGAGGCCATCCAGGCAAAACCTCACCAATGGAGACTTCTAATCCCAAGTAGGGACAAAGGGATCCCCAATAATTGGGAGGTCACTTCACACCTTGTTTTTGGCTAGTACACAGCAGGAGGTGAGCTATGTTTTCCAGTCTCCCCTTCTTGCAGGAAACCTTTCTGGAATGCCTTCCCAGGAGACAGTGGGAAGGAGAGCACACACTGCTCCCGCAGCCCTACATGTCGCCAGTACTGCCAACACCTCATCTGCCTCTCCAAAACCAGGGCTCCTGGCTGAGCTCCCAGGCCAGGTCCCATGCTGCTTGCCCCCACCCTCTGCTCAGGCTCACTGTGGCCACGGGGCATGTGCGGTGGTGCAAGGAGCAAGGGACATCTCCACCTGACTTGCAGGGGTCGAGCTTCCCTGTCCTGCCCAACCAGCCCTAGGAATACCATAGCTCAGCACCCCAGAAATGCCCCCACTCACAGAGCGGAGGTACTCGCCGGGCACCGGGGTGGCCCCCGTCCCGTCTGTACAGGCACAGTCGGCAAGTGCAGGGTCCAGGGGTCTTCAGTCCTCTGCGGCCGCCTCAAGGTTGCCAGTTTGACCTCTAAAGTCCCCCACCAGGATGCCACCCAGGCGGCTCTGTCCCCACCGCCTGCCCGCACTGTGATTGGCTGAGCCGCCTCTGGGCGTAGCCTCAGGGCACTGGGACGCAGCACCATGCAGCTCAGTCCCAACCTGTCGCAGGACCCGGCGCGCCTGCCTAGAGGACCCGAGGCAGGAGTTGGGGGCGGGGAGGTGGAGCTGCGCCATCCAGGGGCTGCCGAGTGGAGGGTCGGAAGTCTCCCTCTAGGGTCTGGATCAACAAAGCACCCGACTTAATGCGCTGGGAGAGTGATTCATGAAAAGAAATTTAAAGCTAGCCCTGTGTGCATTATCAGCCCAACCCTGCTTTTCTTTAGTCCTAGTTCTTTACTAAAATCTCCTGCAGGGCTGAGATTTACTATAGTCCAGTGGTTCCTGTTTAGTCCACAGAAAGGTGGGGCCGGGTGGAAGAATGCAGGGCCCGCGAGCAGAAGCCTTCTCTCCCATTTAAGGGTGTGTGCAGCTGAGCTTTAGTAGAATCTGGTAGAGAAAGGCACCCCCAAAACACGCATGCAATGGTCAAGACCAGACCCTGGGGAGGGAGGGGACTGGCTCGGTCTCCAGAGACCGCGGGCGTTTGTCGTGCGTCCTTTCCAGTCTCCTCCATTCGGGGATTCTTCCTTCCTTCAAGTCTTTCATTAAGTAAGTGAATGAATCAGTCGTCAATAATTAATGAAGCTCCTCTAACTTTGTGCTCATTGTCCTTTGCTTGGGACAGTTGGAGCATTGCCTTAGAAACTTAGAAATGTCCAGGTAGCTTTCCTAACTGCTTTTCTGAGGCCCAGCCTTTCCATTTTAAAATCTAAGATTAACTCAGTAATCTTGCTTTTACAGCAAATGGGCACAGAGTTTGACAGATATTTTTAAAAAATTATGGCCAAGCCTCTTGATGCATTAGGTAAGAAGGTAGCTGGCTGGGCGCGGTGGCTCACACCTGTAATCCCAGCACTTTGGGAAGCCAAGGTGGGCAGATCACTTGAGGCCAGAAGCTCGAGGCCAGCCTGGCCAACATGGTGAAACTCCATCACTACTAAAAATACAAAACTAGCCTGGCTTTGTGGCGGGCGCCTGTAATCCGAGCTGCTGGAGAGGCTGAGGCAAGAGAATCACATGAACCTGGGAGGCAGAGGTTGCTGATCTTGTAGAATGTCTCCCCAGATTCCTAATCTTCACTCCTGAATCTATAATCCACAAACTTTTCTTTGAAGGCCAGAGGATCTCTTCTCGAGATCTGACCTGTTCCTTCTGCCATCTGCCTGATTTCTCCTCCTACAATAGGAAAGCACCACATCCGTGGATACTGTGAAAGAAAAATGAAGTGATTAACAGAAGCAATTGTGGCCTCCTCCAATCAGAAATGAGTTGTATACAGAATTCTTACATGCTATTTTCTTTTTCTATCTTAGCAATGATCCCAAATAAAGATCAGACCCCTTATTCAGAGGGTGAGTTAGTTCTCAACAGTAGAAGTTGGGTCCTCGGTGTATCCTGTGGATTTGAGGGGGAAAATTGGAATTGCTTGGGACCATAGCTGCAGGTCTGATTTGAGGACAATGAGACAGGACAGAGACCAAGACAGAGAGGCAGCCACTGCTGCAGGGCTGGGCGTGGGAGGGGAGAGAAAAACAGGACACAAGAAAAACAAGTATAAACCTCCAGAGTGCAGTGAGATATTAACAGAAGTTCCAAAGTTTATATTGAAAAGATTCCTCTGGTTGGGGGTTTTGAAGGGATCGTATAAGGAATTGGGGATTATTCCTGATTATTATTGATTATTCAGTTTTATTTCCTTTTCATGGTCTCAAATATTTTTAAAAAGAATGTTTTACCAATACCACATGGTCTCACTTATAAGTGGGGGCTAAACATTGAATGCACATGGACACAAAGATGGGAACAATGACACTGAGGGCTACTTGTGGTGGAAGACTGAGAGGGGGACCTTGATTGGAATGCCGCCTGTTGGGTACTCCACTTACTACCATGGTGAGGGGATCATTTGTACACCAAGCCTCAGTGACATGAAATTTTCCCATGCAACAAACCTGCACACTAATCCCCTGAGCTTAAAGTGGAAAAAAAAAATGTTTATGTGTGTTTTTAGAATTGGTGAATGACACAAACTATACATCTAACAAAGGTCTAATATTGACTCTGTAAGGAATTTAAACAACTCAACAAGCAAAAACCAAATGACTTCATGGAATAATGGGTGAAAGATATGAATAGACACTTCTCAAAAGAATACATACAAGTGGCCAACAAACATATGAAAAAGTGCTCAACATCACTAATCATCAGAGAAATGCAATTCCAAACCACAATGAGATACCATCTCCCACCAGTCAGAATGGCTTTTATTAAAAAGTAAAAAAATAACAGCTGCTGGGGAGGCCATGGAGAAAAGGGAACACCTATATACTCTTGGTGGGATTGTAAATTATTTCAGCCACTGTGGAAAGCAGTTTGGAGATTTCTCAAAGAACTTAAAACAGAACTACCACTTGAACCAGCAATCCTATTACTGGATATATATCCAAAAGAAAACAAATCATTCTACAAAAAAGATACATGCACTCACACATTAATTGCAGCACTATTCACAATAGCAAAGACATGAAATCAACCTAGTTGCCCATCGATGGATTGGATAAAGAAAATGTAGTACATATACATCATGGAATGCTATACAGCCATAAAAAAGGAGATCATGTGCTTTACAGTAACATGGATGCAGTTGGAGGCCATTAACCTAAGTGAATTAATACAGGAACAAAATCAAATACCACACATTTTCACTTATAAATGGGAACTAAACTTTGTGTACTCATGATCATAAACATGGCAACAATAGAAACTGGGGACTACTAGAGGAGTGTGGGGGATGGTAACAAAGGCTGAACAACAACTATTGGATACTATGCTCAGTATTTGGGTGACTGGATCCTTCATACTCCAGACTTCAGGATCATGCAATACATCCAGGTAACAAACCTGCACATTTACCTTCTGAATCCAAAATAAAAGTTGGAAAAAAATCACATTTACCCCATAAATATGTACACTATTATGTATTCACAATAATTAAAAATGTAAAAAAAAGAAAAGCCCATCAATTCTCCCCAATCTAACCTAATGAAAAAAAAGTATCAATCACCACCTGCTGTTAATATGATTGTCTACCTGGAAAGCCTAAGATAATCAATTAAAAATTATTAGAACAAAAAAGAATTTAGAAAGATGTCTGAACATGCATAAATACACAAAACAATCACTTTCCCAATTACGCATCAATAATCAACTTAAGTATATAATAGGGGAAAAAGCTCCTCCTTAAACAATTACAGAAATGTAAAATGCTAGAAACAATTCAATTACGAATACTGTACATTTCTCACAATGATTATAGAAGAAGATCAGGGTAGAAGACTTCTGGACCGCAAGACTTACATTTAAGATGGGCCAGTACATCCTATGTTCATTTATAGGTTTAATTAAATTCTAATACAAATTTTAGTGGGAATTTTGTTTATATCTAAAAACGATTGGTAGAAATAATAAATGAAAATAGTCACAAGTATTTTTAAGCTGTGTTGATGGGAATGTTTTTCTTTCAAAGAGTAAAATATTTTTAAATGAAGTGGATCTCAACTGGGTTTTTGCTGAGAATTAAGTTGGCCATTTATATCAAGTAGTTTTAACTTTATAATCTGGTAATTCTGCCTTAATTAACATAATAAAAAATTTTCAGAGGTGCAGATAATTTTATGTAGAATGATGTTCATCATTAAGATATTTGTAATATTGTTTCTAAAGTTTCCAGCAATTGAAATTCATCAAATCGATGGTGATACATTTTTAGTTAGAATACAGTTCAGTCATTGCAGTTATGAAGAATCTTTAATAACGTATGCAGCATATTGTATTCTCCAAAGATGGCTGCAGAAATCTCTTCCAGCCTGTATGCTGTTCTGTACTGTGACGCTCCTGCTTGTCTTCAAGAGGTGGAATCCATTTCTCCATCTTATCAAATGTGGCTGGGCTCCAATCCACAAAATCATGAGCAAAATAAATTGTCTTAAACCACACACACACGAAGAATTGGTGAATGAATGAACTTCATTATTTTAATTCCTGAGATTGTTCACTGAAGCATTGTCACCTGATTTAGTATTAAAAATCTGACACTGAATTTATCATAAATGATAAGGTGCAAGTCTTTTGTCTCCTAGACATGATCAAGCAAGGAAACACCCAGGAGGCACAGGGCAAAATGCCCTCCCAGAAGCTGGTGGGGTAGGAAGATGCTGAGGCCCAGTCTGTTTCCAGCAGCATACATTCTGTGTGGTGACAGAAAATGTTTTGTTTGACCAGACTTTAGTCAGGCTTCTTAATGTTGTGCTAGACTCATCTATGCACTTCCTTGTGAAATTTCAGTTTTAGCAAAGAAACCTGCTAAGTCAGTTTAGCAAGAATCCCCATTCTTCATATCTGATCAGAGTCCTCAGCCTCCCCCATCCTCCAGGTGATGTCAGATAGCCTTGGCTTGTCCTCAGCAAGAATCCTGTTAGGTGAGTTTAGCCAGAATCCTCCCTTACCCCTGATGTTTCCACATAGTCATTTCCCATCCACTGACCCCGCCCCCCACCCCACCCTTTTCCTTGGCTATAATTTCCTGCTTGCCCATGCTGTATTCAGAGTTGAGCCCAGTTTCTCCTTCTCATTGCAAGACTTCCTTCCAGTGGTCCCTATACCTACCTCAAGGACCTAAATAAATTATTTCTTATCATTCTGTAACAGGTATCATTTAATAATTTTTTTTTTTGAGATGCAGTCTCAGTCTGTCACCCAGGCTGGAGTGCAGTGGCATGATCTCAGCTCACTGCAACCTCCGCCTCCTGGGTTCAAGCGATTCTCCTGCCTCAGCATCCTGAGTAGCTGGGACTAGACACGTGCCACCACGCCCAGCTAATTTTTGTACTTTTAGTAGAGATGGGGTTTCACCATCTTGGCCAGTATATATATATATATTATATTATATATTATAATATTATTATATATTATATATTATAACATTATTATATATTATATATTATAATTATATATTATATATTATAATATATAATTATATATTATAATATTATTATATATTATATATTATAATTATTTCTGCTCTTGATGGGCATTTCAAATTTTTTTGTGTTTCATTTAGGAACAATACTGCATTGAATATCTTTGCACATGTATCTTTTTCAATGTGTGCAGATATAATTACCATATTAATCCCTAGAAATGGATCAGCTTGCTGACAAGAGTTATTCCATTGTGTGCTCATGCCTGCAGTGAATGAGGATGCCCGTTCCTTCTCAATTTATAAACTAACTCATTTTATATGCAAAATGTAATGTAATTTGTTGCCCTAATTTCCATGTATTTGGGGGAGCGTTCTAACTTCAACCTTATTATTATTATTATTAATTTATGATATTATTATTTTCCCCATCATGTTTACCAACATTATGGTCATTGCCATAAATAATTGATGCTAACAATAATCACCCTGCATTGAGGACCCACATGCCAGACCCTTCATTAATTTAATTTCCTTTCCAGACTTGATTTAATTTCCTTCACTCCTCACAACTACCATCTGAAGAAAGAATCAATCACTAAGCCATTGTATAATTGAAACACAAAAGGGAAGTGATTTGTGTGCCCTCAGGCAAGTAATTTGAACACTCTGTGCCTCTGATCTTCCAATAGAAAAATGTAAATAATAATATCATCCTTACCTACTACATGGGGATGTGTACTGTCCATCTGCAAGGTATTTTTGACACTGGTGCATTGCTTGTGTGATGACATGGTGTACTTCCAGTTTTAGTGTGTTGGGGAGAAGAGAAAATAGGAGGAAGACTGAAAAAAGGCAGAGTCTGGTGCAGGGTGTCCAGGGAAAATATGTCTTGTTATCCAAACAGCAAATGGCCACACACTGAAGACACACAACCTGCCTATGAACTGGAGTGACCCTGTTGAAATCTTGTAGGAAGCGTGAGATGCTCCCACGACAGGTGTTCATCCTTCAAGCTGACACAAATGGGTTTTGTTAAACAGTGTTTCTTTCTATTCTGGCTCTATCTGACACAAGATGGAATTGAAGAGGATATGAAGCAGAAGGAGCAATTTGAAATTAGAATGGCCACAGTGGAAGAAAATGGTCTTGGTTCAATACAATGCCTGCCTAAAATATCTTTTAGTAAGAACTACTAACTGGAACAAAATTGCATTTTATTCTTCTTATGATAATTTCAAGTGTGTTGTGGTTCCAGAATTTCTCATCTCTTCACCCACAAAATCTTCCCTGGGGTATGCAAATTCCTGAAATCTTTGAAGGATTGGTGGTCAGGGATTCTGTAAAAGGATTCTGGGGAGTTCGACTCAGTGGTTAACAAAGGCCCTTCCAAATCTTTAGTCTCATTCTGGGATCCCCCCAGGACACCTGAAGCCTTTCTCAACATCTTTTCATTAGAAAGACCATCTGCTTCATCCTCTGTTGCAACACAAATAGCCATTGTGAAGCTCCATGGTGAGGTGCATTGAGTTTATTCAACCATGTGTGGGCTGGATAGACTCAGATTTAGAGGTATGTTTGAGCTCTGTTTCATACTCAAATGTACAGATCCAGCAGATGACTGGATCAGTTGTGCTCTTCATCTTCCTTGTATTCTGGGAAGCATCAGAAGCAGTGTCATCTCATCAAGGATGTTCTGCAGATGCTAGGTGGCGGGGACGAAGATCTTGATGAAAACGAATGGTCCCGTGACATGAGGAATCATCTGGCTGGAGAGGCCCAGATGCAGCGGTTATGGGATGTTGCTTCAGCAAACAGGTGATATTTCACACCTCAGAGCAACACAGACCAGTGTCTAGTCACTATTTCCACTCAGAGCCAAAAAGGCTTCTCTGCAAAGGAAACAACTTTTGGAAAATATTGCCCCTGTAAGCAGATACTTCATGTAGGAGACACAGCTGCTTGCCTTCCTTGAGGCTGCTACCAAAACTGCTACAAAAACTCCCACCCAGTTGATAATCAAAGCAACAAGGAGATGGGGCAAGAGCCTGAATCAGATCATAAAAAACCAGACTAATTCACGGGAGTCTCAGCACTTCGTGGTATTGTTCAAACTGCCCTGCGGAAAGGCCTGGACGCTTTAACATAAATCGGCTGTGGAGTAGACAAGAGTGCTGGTAAGGTTTTCACTGATTCATATGACATTGCTGAAATTTGACTATTTTTGACCTTCAAAGTGGCAAATTCATGTGGTTCAGCTTAATAAAAGATTTAAGAATCATTTTACTCAAAATGAGCCTAAATAAACATAGACAAATGCTAAAGCAAAGATAAGCGAATTCCCAGTATTTGCTCCCTGACAAATTTATGATTCCTCTTACCTGAAATTATCCATTTTAGGTCTAGATGAGGAGGAAAGAAAGCACTTTATGTGTTTTCTAAAAATTAAATTTTATCTTAAAGTCTTAAATCTAAGACAAGAGATTAACTTAAAACAAACAAAAGTTAGTCAAATATTAAAATTTTGAACACAGAGGATTTTTTTTTCCTGCGGAAACCAATATCTGACACTTAGATGTATTTCTCTGGGCAATCAGATTCCACTGTTTCAGATGAGGGGTACAGCTGGTGGCCACATCTGCTCCCCACAGACAGGTGATATTCAGTCTGCACCACCATGACCAGTTTTTGAAGTGTAAATTCCTTTAGGTAAGGGGTGCACCCCACAGTTAACATAGCCCTCACTGCCTTTCAACAGACCCCATCAGCATTCGTGGGCACTTTCCTGCAGGGCCCCCACAGCATTTCCATTTTCCACCTCTGTCTTAGATGAAACTGATGTCTTATGGCTCCTCCTGTGATACGATGACATCTTCTGAGTCAAGGAGTTGGGAAGGGAAGCCACGCTCCCTCCGTGCAAGTCCAGCCTTGTTCTCAGAGTGTGAGCAAAAGGAAACACAAATCAGGAGAAAATGCTCAGTCCCTCTCATAACCCAAGAGATGCGAGGCAAAACAAGATCTCTTCTATTTCAAACCACCAAGTTTTACCAAGGTGTAAGCTTTGCTGATTTTTAGGATTGGTGAGAGTGAGCGGGAATGAATCCTCTTGATTGTTGTTGTAAAGTGAGGCAATTTTTTTGTCTGGTGACCTGGAATTGTTCATCCTTTTTTTAAGGGATGCATTCTTGGCCCCATCAAATTCACTTAGAAATAGTCACATAAACATGAATATTAGATACTTCATTTATTCAAACATTTACAAATAAACCTAAATATTTACCAATAGTGGAGCATTGAATTATAGTTCCGTGGTGTAAACATGGAAATGTGTCCAGTATATACCACTGCATGCAAAGAGGAAATTCCAGAACAATATGCATAGTATGATCCCATTGAAAGCCAAAATAAAATAAAATAACTATATCTATGTATTTTGATATGTAGACATAGGTTTATGCATAAAGCCTAGAGGAGTATATATTAGATTGTTAACAGTTATCTTTGGCAATAAGAAGTAGTGGGGGCTGGGTGTGGTGGTTCATGCCTGTAATTCCAGCACTTTGGGGGACCAAAGTGGAAGCCTAAGGCCAGGATTTCAAGACTAGCCTGGTGAACATTGCAAGACTCTGTCTCTACAAAAAAAAAAAAAAAAAAAAAAGAAAGAAAGATCAGGCAGGACTAATGACATGTGCCAGCTATCAGGGAGGCTGAGGCAGGAAGATCCCTTGAGCCCAGGAGTTCAAGGCTACATTGAGCCGTAATTGCACCACTGCACTCCAGCCTGGGTGACAGAGAGAGACCCTGTCTAAAAAAACAAACAAACAAAACAAAAAGACTATTTTAGAGACACTAATTTTTACTTTATGTTCTTTTTTGTGATTCAATATTTTTTGTTTGAATATAATTTTTTATAGTATGGAATAAAGTCACATTATTCAAACCTCCCTCTCCCAAATACATAAGAGTACAGTAAAAACTTTTCATCCATCTCAGTCCCCAGCCCACCGATACGTCTATTGTCAGTTTCTTATGCATTAGTCTAAAATTTATTTATGCTTCTAAGAAAAATAGAGACAGATATTCTTATTTTCTTTTTTTTTCCAAAAAAAGGCAGCACATTATATCCTGCTTGGCACTTTGTTTTTCTCTATTCAACAATATACTTCATACTTTATTATTGTTTGAAAAAAATTTTCAATGATATGTATTTCTTTGAAATTAAAATGAATGAGAAATGTTGGGCTTTAGGTGGGAGTTGCAAATGTAGGCAGGGATTTCTCATCTTTTACAAAAATGATGAGGCCACGTCCAGCAGCTGGGTAGCTAAGCAATATTTCAAAAGCTGAGACAAAAATAGTTATTCAAGCCAAGAAAGATGTATCCATAAATTATGAATTTGGCCTCTGTGTACTGATTTTGCTTTACTTAGAAACATTATTCCCACCTCCAGGCAGCTGACCCTACCTCCTCCTCCTGAAACACCTGTGTCAAAGCCCTCCCGTGCTCTCTCTTCACATCTGCCCTTAAGCACCGCAGGCACCCAGAGCACAGGGACAGGACAGGGGAGGATGTGGCAGAGGCAGTGATGGGAGGGACCAGCCATTCCGTGGTTTCCAGCTGTGGGGTCTTGGGTAGGTCACACACCTCCTCTGAGCCTCAGTTTCATCACTCAGAAAATGAGGATAACAATCCTACTTTCCTCACAGGATTATTGTGAAAAATAAATGAGCTATGTGAACATTTGCTTATAGTAGGGCTAATCTCATATTGCTTTATTATGAGGTCAAAGACAGAATCCTTCCAGAGGCCTTAGTTAGTTAAGAAAATATGTATTATTAGCTAAAGCATACCTTACATGGCCTCTCTGTGAGAGCAAGTTTGGGCATCCTCGCAGAATGACACCTATGTTCCAAGAGCAAGTTATCCCATGCAGCAGGGTGAAGTGCGTAGCACATTGTTATGCTCCATCCTCAGAAATCATATAACTGACTCTCCCTGGACTCTATCAGGGGCAACCACCAGATTCTACCAGGTTTAAGAGCAGACACTGAATTTTGACAAAAGTGCCAAGAACATACAATAGGGAAAAGATGGTCTCTTCAATAAATGGTGTTGGGACAACTGGATCGCCACGTGCAGAAAAATGGAATTAGATCCTCATCTCTCACCATACAAAACTTCCCTCAAAATAGACTAACGACTTCAACATAAGACCTGAAACTATAAAACTACTAGAAGAAAACATAGAGGGAAATCTACATGACACTGGTGTGGGCAATTAGTTTTTGGATATGACTTTAAAAGCATAGGCTACAAAAGCAAAAATAGACACATGGAATTTCAACAAACTAGAAAACCCTTGCCCAGCCAAGGGAGCAATCAACAGAGTGAAGAGACACACTATGGAACGGGAGAAAAATATCTTTAAACCATTCATTTCACAAGGAGGTAATATTCAAATGTATAAAGAACCCAGTTAACTCAATAGTAAGAAAACAACTAAACTGAATATAAAAATGGGCAAAATATCTGAATAGACATTTCTGAAATGAGGATACACAAATGGCCAATAAGTATATACAAAATGCTCCACATCTCTAACCACCATAGAAATGCAAGTAAAACCACAGCGTGATATCACCTCACACCTGTTAGGGGCCATTATCAGAAAGAGAAAGACAACAAGTGTTGGAGGGAAAGTGTGGAAAGGGAACACTTGCACGCTGTTGGTGGGAAAGCAAAGTAGTACAGCCATTGTGGAGAGCAGTATGGAGGTGCCTCAAAAATTTGAAATTTAAACCACCATATAACCAGCATTCCCACAAGTGGGTATTTATGCAAAGGAAATGGAATCTATTATGCTCAAGAGCTATCTGCACTCTCATGCTCATTGCAGCATTATTCACAATAGCCAAGATATGGAACCAACATAAATGTCCATCAGTGGACGAATGGATAAGAAAATGTGGCATACATATGCAATAGAATATTATACAACCTTAAAATGAAGGAAAATCAATCATTTGAAACTACATGAATGAGCCTGGAGGACATTGTGTTAAGTGAAATAAACCAGACACACAGAAACAACTACTGCATGATTTACCTTATATGTGAAATCTTTAAAAAGCTGAACTCATAGAAGTAGAGAGTAGAATGGTGCTTACCCAGGGCTTGCAGGGAGGTAGACTATAGGGAAATGCTGGTCAAAAGAAACAGAATTTCACTTAGGAGGAATTTTTAAAAAATCAAAGAGCCCTCTCCCTCTCCCTCTCCCTCTCCCTCTCCCTCTCCCTCTCCCTCTCCCTCTCCCTCTCCCTCTCCCTCTCCCTCTCCCTCTCCCTCTCCCTCTCCCTCTCCCTCTCCCTCTCCCTCTCCCTCTCCCTCTCCCTCTCCCTCTCCCTCTCCCTCTCCCTCTCCCTCTCCCTCTCCCTCTCCCTCTCCCTCTCCCTCTCCCTCTCCCTCTCCCTCTCCCTCTCCCCACGGTCTCCCTCTCCCTCTCTTTCCACGGTCTCTCTCTGATGCCGAGCCGAAGCTGGACTGTACTGCTGCCATCTCGGCTCACTGCAACCTCCCTGCCTGATTCTCCTGCCTCAGCCTGCCGAGTGCCTGCGAGTGCAGGCGCGCGCCGCCACGCCTGACTGGTTTTCGTATTTTTTTGGTGGGGTTTTGCTGTGTTGGCCGGGCTGGTCTCCAGCTCCTAACCGCGAGTGATCCGCCAGCCTCGGCCTCCCGAGGTGCCGGGATTGCAGACGGAGTCTGGTTCACTCAGTGCTCAATGGTGTCCAGGCTGGAGTGCGGTGGCGTGATCTCGGCTCGCTACAACCTCCACCTCCCAGCCGCCTGCCTTGGCCTCCCAAAGTGCCGGGAGTGCAGCCTCTGCCCGGCCACCACCCCGTCTGGGAAGTGAGGAGCGTCTCTGCCTGGCCACCCATCGTCTGGGACGTGAGGAGCCCCTCTGCCTGGCTGCCCAGTCTGGAAAGTGAGGAGCGTCTCTGCCCGGCCGCCATCCCATCTAGGAAGTGAGGAGCGCCTCTTCCCGGCCGCCATCCCATCTAGGAAGTGAGGAGCGTCTCTGCCCGGCCGCCCATCGTCTGAGATGTGGGGAGCACCTCTGCCCCGCCGCCCCGTCTGGGATGTGAGGAGCGCCTCTGCCCAGCTGCGACCCCGTCTGGGAGGTGAGGAGCGTCTCTGCCCGGCCGCCCCATCTGGGAAGTGAGGAGACCCTCCACCCGGCAGCCACCCCGTCTGGGAAGTGAGGAGCGTCTCCGCCCGGCAGCCACCCCGTCCGGGAGGGAGGTGGGGGTCAGCCCCCGCCAGGCCAGCTGCCCCGTCCGGGAGGGAGGTGGGGGGGCCAGCCCCCCGCCCTGCCAGCCGCCTGTCCGGGAGGGAGGTGGGGGGTCAGCCCCCCGCCCGGCCAGCCACCCCGTCTGGGAGGTGAGGGGTGCCTCTGCCCGGCCGCCCCTACTGGGAAGTGAGGAGCCCCTCTGCCCGGCCGCCCCTACTGGGAAGTGAGGAGCCCCTCTGCCCGGACAGCCGCCCTGTCTGGGAGGGAGGTGGGGGGGTCAGCCCCCCGCCCGGCCAGCCGCCCCGTCCGGGAGGTGAGGGGCGCCTCTGCCCAGCCGCCCCTACTGGGAAGTGAGGAGCCCCTCTGTCCGGCCAGCCTCCCCGTCCGGGAGGGAGGTGGGGGGGGTCAGCCCCCCGCCTGGCCAGTCGCCCCGTCCGGGAGGTGAGGGGTGCCTCTGCCCAGCCGCCCCTACTGGGAAGTGAGGAGCCCCTCTGCCCGGCCAGCCGCCCTGTCCGGGAGGGAGGTGGGGGGGTCAGCCCCCCTCCCGGCCAGCCACCCCGTCTGGGAGGTGAGGGGTGCCTCTGCCCAGCCGCCCCTACTGGGAAGTGAGGAGCCCCTCTGCCCGGACAGCCGCCCTGTCTGGGAGGGAGGTGGGGGGGTCAGCCCCCCGCCCGGCCAGCCGCCCCGTCCGGGAGGTGAGGGGTGCCTCTGCCCAGCCGCCCCTACTGGGAAGTGAGGAGCCCCTCTGCCCGGCCAGCCTCCCCGTCCGGGAGGGAGGTGGGGGGGTCAGCCCCCCGCCCGGCCAGCCGCCCCGTCCGGGAGGTGAGGGGTGCCTCTGCCCAGCCGCCCCTACTGGGAAGTGAGGAGCCCCTCTGCCCGGCCAGCCGCCCCGTCCGGGAGGGAGGTGGGGGGGTCAGTCCCCCGCCCGGCCAGCCGCCCCGTCCGGGAGGTGAGGGGCGCCTCTGCCCGGCCACCCCTACTGGGAGGTGAGGAGCCCCTCTGCCGGGCCACCACCCCGTCTGGGAGGTGTGCCCAGCAGCTCATTGAGAACGGGCCATGATGACAATGGCGGTTTTGTGGAATAGAAGGCGGGGAAAGGTGGGGAAAAGATTGAGAAATCGGATGGTTGCCGTGTCTGTGTAGAAAGAAGTAGACATGGGAGACTTTTCATTTTGTTCTGTACTAAGAAAAATTCTTCTGCCTTGGGATCCTGTTCATCTGTGACCTTACCCCCAACCCTGTGCTCTCTGAAACATGTGCTGTGTCCACTCAGGGTTAAATGGATTAAGGGCGGTGCAAGATGTGCTTTGTTAAACAGATGCTTGAAGGCAGCATGCTCCTTAAGAGTCATCACCACTCCCTAATCTCAAGTACCCAGGGACACAAACACTGCGGAAGGCCGCAGGGTCCTCTGCCTAGGAAAACCAGAGACCTTTGTTCACTTGTTTATCTGCTGACCTTCCCTCCACTATTGTCCTATGACCCTGCCAAATCCCCCTGTGCGAGAAACACCCAAGAATGATCAATAAAAAAAAAAAAAAAAAAAAAAAAAAAAAATCAAAGAAAAGTGGCCATATAGCCATCACTCGATAAAGAGGTGTTGAGGTCTTTTGGTTAAAAGGCCACATGGAATTGAAGTTATCAGTACCATTATCTCTGGGAGAAGCAGTCCTCCACAGGAACAATAACATGGTATTTGTAAGGTTTGAGCTTCTCCGCAGTGGTGCTTTGGGAGCTGCAGCACCTGCTCAGGATCCTGGGTGGTGGCTGGAAATGATATCCTAAAGAAATGATTTCCTCAAAGGGAAATGAGCTCCTGTTTTCCAGAGTGAAAGTTCCTCCCTGGACACTGGGATCTGCACCAGTTTTGAATGACTAAATGTCTTTTTAGAAGACTTTGACTCACTGGGTAACGTGGAGTGGAAAGTGCCCGCAGGATGTAGGACCTCTCTAACATCATCCCAGAATCAGCCTGTGCTCCCCGGGCTCATTCCCAAGTAGGTGAGGGAGACCAGGTGGGGATGGGTGCAGGTTATTGGGGCCTCCTTCCACTGTGAGAATCAGAGCACACCTTTATGACCCCTCTAAGCTTTAGTTTTTTATTCTGTGAAGAGAAATGAGAAGAAACTGGTTCTGAGTCATAAAACCTGCTGATGCTACATTCACAGGGTCTCAGCAAATAGACATGGATATAAAGATGAATGGTGCCTGATGCTGCCTTGAGGTGGATGAGGAGCAGGGAACCATGTGGTGCTGATGTCTGCCTATAACTGAGCCATGCTTCCCTCGCGGATGCAAATCCCTGCAGGGCTGGCAAGGCAAAAAACATTTCTCTTATGAGTGTTCTTTTCAAGGCCCAAAGAGAGGGCCAATTCTGCCTCAAGAGTAAGTAAGAGTGGCTGCTCCCCTCCACCCAACAGGATAGAAGTTGAAGGTAGTTGAAGTGATTCTAAAAAACCAAACTTATTTGGAATAGGAAGGAAATTTTTTAGAAACCAAAAATACATACTCTGTACAGTGATTCTCAGCTGCTTACCATGTGATTCACTTGTCTGAAAAAATAAGTTAATCTGTGTGATTTCTTTATTTATATCAGATAAAAATGTATATGCCACTTATTTTTAACTCAACAATATATCACATTCATTTCTCTATGGCAATACATATATAGATCTATGTTATCCTTTTTAAAACATTACTTATGTATTTATTTATTTAATTGATGAGTAAAAATCATATATATATGATATAAAATATGACGCTTGTGCAATGGCTAAATCAAGCTATTTAATATTTACATTAGCTCACACATATTTTTGTGATGAGAGCACTCAAAATCTACTCTCTTGGCAATTTAGAAGTATGTAATATATTCTTATTAACTGTAGATAATTAATGATCTGTCTACAGTCACCATCATGGTACAGTCACCATGATGTACAACAGATCTCTGGAACTTGTTCCTCCTGGCTGTGATGGCTACATAGGATTTCTTCATGTGGACATACCTATTGGTAGGCACTCAGCCTATCTCCAGGAGTATAACATTTTTCCAATTATAGATTTGGACAGTGATATACAAATATTCTCCCATATTTGTATTGCTATTGCTCTAGATTCTTGGGGGAATTGCTCCACCAATTAGTATACTATTTAAAACTTCTGTAAAGATTTCCAAATTATCCTCCAAGAAATCTGAACTAAATGACACTCACAGTGTGGGTCTTCCCCTCCTCCTGCCATCTTAGCCAACCCTGGATGGATCAGTGGAGAATTTACAGATTCAAATTCTTATAGGGATTTCTCTAAGGTAGAAGTCAATTCATTATGAAAATTGTTACCTTTGTCTTCAATATTTTTTTAAAAATGGTTTAGCACCATCTGTAATGATCTCTAGGGGATAATCGATTTATAAAAATATAATCCTGTGACAGTACACTTTTTCCCAAGGGTGGCCGGATATCAATCAAAGGAAAATATTGCTCCTTTTCCACCTTATCTCTCCATATTATACTATATGCAGGTTCAATGAAAACAAATTTTGAATGTTCTCAAGAAAATATCAGCTGGTGTCAATCTTCCCTTACCCTCCAATCACATGATTGTTCTTTCCAAATGCCTAAACGTGATTGGTTATTTATTGTTAAAACCCCAGTGTTTTAGTTCATAAATCAGATTATTGAGCAATAACTCCACAACTGCAGGCAGTAATTAGGGGCATGAGAAGCCTACATTGTTGCCATATGCATATTACCCAAAACATTGACCCTTTCCCAGTGCTTGAGATGACAACTGCAAGGAACTGAGGGGGCTTGGGGGATGAGGAGGTTGGGGTCAACAGGAAAGGCTGCAATGGCAGTAGCAAAAGGTCCCACAAGCCATCTCTTTTGCAGGTCTCTAGGATCATAACCATCTGCCTATCATAGCTGAGGATGAGGCATGAGAGGTCATGCAGCCCTGACCCAAATATGTGCACTGGGGTAAGAGGGAGCTAAGGCAAGAGGGTAAAAATGGAAAGTTTGTGAGTGGTGAACAGTTGAATAAGGTAAGAGAAGGCAATGGATCCTTGAAGACTTGACTCTAAATTGGTCTGATATATTCTCTGCCTTGTGAAGGAGTCCTAGCACTAAAAAGTCTTCAGGTGGGGATTCATAATTTTGTATTCACAGACCTCTTGGATTCATGGAAAGATTTCATAAAGCCTGTATTCATCAGGGTTCTCCAGAGAAACAGAACCAACAGGAAGTAGATAAAGGAAGAGAGATATAGTTACAGATAAATGTATTATTAAGAATTGGTGGGCTGGGCGCAGTGGCTCATGCCTGTAATCCCAGCACTTTGGGAGGCCGAGGCGGGCGGATCATGAGGTCAGGAGATCGAGACCATCCTGGCTAATATGGTGAAACCCCATCTTTACTAAAAATACAAAAATTAGCCAGGTGTGGTGGCGGGTGCCTGTAGTCCCAGCTACTCGGGATGCTGAGGCAGGAGAATCGCTTGAACCCTAGAAGCAGAGCTTGCAGTGAGCCCAGATCGCGTGACCACACTCCAGCCTGGGCGACAGAGCAAGACTCCATCTCAAAAGAAAAAAACAAAGAATTGCCTCACATGGTTATGGAAGTTGAGAAGTCCTAAGATGTGAAGTTGGCCAGGTAGACACCCTGGCAAGCCAATGGTATAGTTCTAGTCTAAAAGCTGACAGTCTCAAGACCCAAGAAGAGTAATGTCCCAGCTCACAATCAGGCAAAAGGAATTTCTTCTTACTCATGGAAGGGTCAGCCTTTTTGATTCATTCAGGCCTTTCATTGATCAGATGAAGGCCACCCATGCTAAGCAGAGCAATCTGCTTTCCTCAGTTTACTGATTCAAATGTCAATATCATCCAAAAACACCTTCACAGACACACTTAGAATAAAGTTGGAACACATATCTGGATGCCCCAGGGACTAGTCAAGTTGACACATGAAATTAACCAGAACAATTCAATTCTGCCCCTTGTCAACTTGGTGCCCATATGCATCTCCTGAAACCATACTCAATCTTCAAAGAAAGATAATCAGAAGGTCATAATTCTGATTAACCTGATACATACAATTGACAATGCACTAACCGTTTTCCTAGAAGACAAGGTAAGGTCTTTGAATGATGTTTCCTCTTTGATACCATGTAGCTTAAACACTAAGATATGAAATTAATTATATTTAAACACTATTATATAGTTGGAACATCTTATGTTACATGACTAAGGAATAAGAGAAAAAGAAAACAAACATATTTTATATATATATACACACACACACACATATGTGTGATAAGTAAACACACACAAAGTTTGTGTATTTGCCAATTCTACTAAAGACACACACAAAACGTTCATTTTAAATCTTTGAGTTTAGGCTTGATTTAGTGACTTGCTTACAATGAAAAGCATATGGCAGAAATAATGGAATGTCTCTTTTGAGCTTAGGTTACGAAAGACTTCAGCTTCTTTTTTGGTTGTTCTCTCTCTCTCTTTTGGACTGCTTTCCATAGGGAAAACCAACTGTCATATCATGAGGCAGCCTCATAAAGGGGCCCATGTGTTAAGAGACTGAAGTCTGCCAAAAACCACGTGTGTGAGCTTGGAAGCACATCCTGCAGCACCAGTTGAGCCTTCAGATGAAACAGCAGCCCCAGTCTGTAGTTTGACTGTAACCTTACAGACTGTGAGGCAGAGGCATCCAGCTAAGTTGGGCCCAGCTGCAATTACAAACTGATATAGCCATTCAGGTTTTTAAGGTTGTTTTTACCACTTCATAACCTGCCTACTCCTGACTTATACAATGCCTCCCTCCATGTATTCCCCAAAATATAGACATTCACCGAAGTCCTTCCTTGACCTTTCTTTCATGTTAACCACTTTTATAATATCAGCTTCCAATTCCATGTGGATGGATGACTTTGAAATATGTATCTGTTAACACTGAATTCTTTCCTGACTGGGCTATACTTCAAACTTTACATTTTTTTTTACTAGACCTACCTAGAAATCCTCTGGTACTTCAAACTTTACTAAAGACAAAATAAATGGTCTTTATCTTCATAACTGTTTTGCTTTCTGGGTTTCTCTTTTCTTTTCATGATATCACTTTAGCCTTGGCAGTGAAGTCACTGATATCATGAACAGAAGGGAGAGATCCAGGAAGCAAAACAATTATGAAGATAAAAACCGTTTGTTTTGTCTTTAGTAAAGTTTGAAGTACCACAGGAATCCCTTTAAAATAAGTTGTAACATCTGACATTTGTCATTTGTAAAATTAATGAGTATACTTTTTATGCTATCACCCAAGTCAATGAGAAAAAAAAATTACAGTAATATCAACTCAGGAGTGACTAACATGGATATTAAGTCATTGACCATGGTCAAAACCTTTGCTACTAACAGCCAAATAGGCTACTCTAGACTGCACCTTTTTAGGTTGTCTTGTGGTATTCATGAACTGTAACCATTTTAAGATGTTAAAAATTAAATCTTTCTTATGTAATTAAAAAAATAATCCTATAAACTCTTAAAAAAATCTTTGAGACCATAAAGAGGAAATAGACCCATATAATTAGGCATTCCCCATTCCCTGTATATGATCCCTTCAACATGCCAAAACCAGGGCAATCTCAATATGAGATTTGGAAGTTCTGCTGAGTTACTAAGTCCACTCTGGTACTTTATGTTTGTTATTTCTTGTGTCTTATTCCCTCCCCCATTAGTTGCTGCCTCCCTGACTTGGTCTCATTGTCCTCAAATCAGACCTGCAGCTACGGTCCAAAGCATCTGTAAACTTCATCCTCAAATGCACAGGATCCACTGAGGACCCAACTTGTACTGCTGAGAACTAACCTACCTTCTGAACAAGGAGTCTGATGTTTCTTTGGGATCATTGTTAGAATGCCAGATAAAATAACATGTAAGAGTTCATTGTAGATCACACAGTCTGATCCGAGGAAGCAATAATCCCTTCTTTTAAATGCATTTTCTAGTCACAGTGTCCTCTGTCCAGGTGCTGATCTCCCACTCTAGAAGGAGGAATCAGCAATGGCTGAAGGCACAGGTCTCCCAGGTTCACAGTCCCACTGCCGGGCAATTAAAAAGCCTTGGTACATCACACTCTGGGGACTGTTGTGGGGTGGGGGGAGGGGGGAGGGATAGCACTGGGAGATATACCTAATGCTAGATGACGAGTTAGTGGGTGCAGCGCACCAGCATGGCACATGTATACATATGTAACTAACCTGCACATTGTGCACATGTACCCTAAAACTTAAAGTATAATAATAATAATAATAATAAATAAAAAAGAATAAAATAAAATAAAATAAAATAAAAAGCCTTGGTGTTGGGGTGTTCTGCCTGAGTGTTTCCTTGGCCAGCATCCCAGATTTGTGGTTCACGGAGCAAGGTCCATACAAGGTCACCATTGCCAGGCTAATTATTGTCTACACTGGGGATGTGGCCTGTGAATCCTCTAAATCCACCCACAGTGCACAGTACCCTACTCCTCATGCACACTTCCAACTTCCAAATTTCTATGTGCTTCATGTAGAAAGTTACTGACATGCAACACTCAGGAGTAGTGTCAGGGATGGTTGCAAGACTCTGCGGAAGTGAGTAGAATTTGATTAAGAAATATGTGAAGTGGTAAACGAGTGAGTTTTTCCCCAAGTTCAAAGGGATAAATGAAACTAAATAATGATTTGAATGATATAAGAAACATGTTTTAGTTATATCAGAAGGACAAACAAAACTGTTACATATCCCATCTCCCCAACCAAAGCATCTTGAGGACAGAGACTTTGTTTTACAGTGTAGGGGTCCCCAGTATATGATAGACACCCAGTAAATACCATGGCAGAATGATAATTAGGCTAAGAGAAGAATTGTTGCTAATTTGGCTACAACTCCCCGGGACCCTGGCACTTTGCCCACAGCTCAGTGGGTCTCAGGTGGACTTGGGGAATTTCTCCTGCCCCCAGGACACAGGAATCCTAGACCCTCCTTGCTATCCTAGAGATGCTTAGAAGTGCCTCAGGGAACTTAGAACTCCTGTGTTCTTTAGAGAGTCCCCATCATCAGAAGCTAGCCAGTGTCCTCAGCAGCGGTCCTCTAAGGCCTCACCACTCCATTCTCAGGGGCCTGGTGGATTCTGGAACTCTGCCAGAGTCCTGCAGGACAATGCAAGAGGTCCATGTGGGTGGCATCTGGGCTGGCAAGCCACGGGCCACCAATCCTGCCTGAACCCATCAGTTTTCAAACACAGGGAGCTGGGACCTTCTTCTGCTGCCCCTCTCCCAGGGAACCATGGAGGGACAGTGAAGAGAAAGAGAAACAGCTTGAGGTGTGTGAGATTACTGGTACAAACTAGCATGAAGGGTATTTAAGGTAAGACTCAACAAAATATCTAATCTAGTGATATCAAGAATAACAGCATAGTGGCCGGGTGCGGTGGCTCACACCTGTAATCCCAGCACTTTGGGAGGCCAAGGCAGATGGATCATCTGACGTCAGGAGTTTGAGACCAGTCTGACCAACGTGGAGAAACACCATCTCTACTAACAATAGAAAAATTAGCCAGGAGTGGTGGTGCATGCCTGTAATCCCAGCTGCTTGGGAGGCTGAGGCAGGAGAATTGCTTGAACCCAGGAGGCAGAGGTTGTGGTGAGCTGAGATCATGCCATTGCACTCCAGCCTGGGCAACAAGAGCGAAACTCTGTCTCAAAAGTAAATAAATAAATAAATAAATAAATAAATAAATAAATAAATAAAAGAAAAGAAAAAGAAAAACAGCATAGTACAGTCATCTGGGACAATGCTGTTGCATTTCCCCTAGCATCTAAGGAATTTTTAGGCATTGCCACACCAGGCAACAAAGCCTTTCTGAAGTACCATGGGGAGTTGCCCACTCAGCAAGAATAGTTTGATCATTTTGCCCAATGATGAAAGGGAAGAAAATTGGGAACTTCTCTGAACTTGCATTTCTCGCTTATATTTTTTATTTTTCTTTTGGATTGTAGAAGCAGTGAGAACTATTTATGCTTTTTCTTTTTCCTACTTATTTTGATTGAGATAAATGGGGAAGTTGATAAATAAGAATGTTTTGCTGGAAATACTAAACGTTGATAACCATAATTACGGAATACTCCAAAGCTTCCATTTTAAAACCTGTTTGCATTTCAGACATGTCTGCACTAAAACAGTAAGTGGAAAAAAATGACAAACCAATAGAAGCAACAATTCCAGTGCCCTTTGACTTTATGAGTTTCCTACTCAATGGCAAAGGTTTGGGAAGAAGATAACTCAAGTCTCATTTCTGGTATGCATAAACTTTGGGCAAATTACTTTCAGTCTCGAAGGCTTGATTTTAACCACTATAGATGTGTATAACAGCAATGACCTCATAATTTTGTGTTAAAAATTAAATAAGATACCGTGAGTGTTGATATAATCACCCATCTCCAGAATTCCTCCTTTGAAAATAGACACACAATAGAACATTCTGTGACCTTAGAAAGGAAGGAAATCATGTCCCGTGCTGCCCCATGGATGAACCCTAAGGCCATTGTCCTAAGAGTAAGAGCATGGTCACAAAAAGGAAAATATTGTGTGAATCTACTTATACAAGTTATCTAAGGCAGCTAAGTTCATAGAAATAGAAAGTAGAGTGGTGATTAGTGGGAACTGGGATGGGGAGGAAAACAGGAGTTGTTGTTTAATAGGTGTAGTTTCCATTCTACAAGATGAAAAAGTTCTGAACATCTGTTTCTCAACAAGGTATTCAATTTTTTTATTCTTGTTTTAGAGGGATTTAAGGTACCTTTGGGATCAAAAATTTTAGGAGTACTGGAAAATTGGTGGTCATATAATTCATCCACTTATGAAGAGCAGGAATATTCTAATATCCAGCACACTTCTTACTTCTGTCTGGATTATACCTCCTGCCGTGTAGCAGTTAAGTACTTCCTTTCAACAAACATGCACCATTTGTAGTGCCAGGAAGGAAATACATTTTCTCTTCCCTCTTAGGTTCACTGACTGGGAGGCTCTGCAAGTTTGACTCACAAGAGACAGATTAACAGGAGAAAATAATAGAAAGTTTACTAATATTTTACATACACAGGAGTTCACAGAAAGGAAAGGAAAGTCAAAGAAATGGCTAAACTCAGAGGCTTATGTGCCATTTTAACAAAGGAAAGAAGATTTGGGCTTTGAGGAATGATTAATTGTGGAAAAGTGACTAGGAAAACTATGTGGGAACTAATGGATTATCCTGCTTATTTAGGGAGGCTTGTTTATGCAGACTTATTTTGGTGTTGGCTCTCTGTCCCTGGTGACAAGTGTTCCCTCTCCTCATCCTGGTACAGGAGAGGGGGAAATCCATGCCACCTTAACAAAGGGAAATTTATGCCCGGGTTTTAGGCATCCGAGGGGAGAGCAGAGAAATAATCTTCTATCTATTGATTTTTAGTTTCTTTACACTCAAAATAATCCTTAAAATGGCATGCTCTGGGGCAAGGGGGGTGGAAGGGGAGGTGTCATGGTCGTTTTCACGAGCTGGATGCTGATTCTTCTTTGAATGCTCGCTAGTGTCCTTAAAATGTCACCCCCACCCGCACCCCCAGGCTCAAGCACAATATTCCAGACATGACACCATGAAATAGGCATTAACAGCACTATTTCCTCCTTTATCTTGCTTTTTAATCTCATTATTGCAAACTTTTAAAGTGTCCAAATCACGTTGATAACCATCTCAAAGTGACCAGCAACCAAAAACTAAGACTTTTTTTTTTAAGGACACTACTAAACCATTTCTACTTTTTTCTTGTAGTTGCATCACATGAATATGGCTACATATATTTTTGTTTTACTTTTGTTACTTTTTTATTTTTATTTTTTCTGACTCTTTGGCTACATATATTTTTAGATAAAATTTGACACACATACATATATTTAATCTCAACATAAGGCTTTACATTTACGCACAGTAAATTTTATTCTATTAGTTTTAAACTTTCTAGGGTTTGGAAGTCCTCTTCTTTCTGCCTTTCTGTTTAAAATCCTGATTCTTTTATTCACGGTGCATGCCCTCTGTCATGGGCATTTGTTGTTCTGCCTCCCTGGTGAAGCCATCCTGGTTTCCTGTGGAGATTGCTTTTCACAGAGCAATCCATGTGCTGTAGCTGAGGTGACCATCCCTCTCATCCTGAGGCCAGCATGGGACCCAGGCAGGGCCAAGCAGCACCAGCCCAGACACAACTGGGAAACCCACTTTCCTCCAAGGAGGATAAAAAGTGAGCCTGGCTGGGAGTGTGTGCAAAACAGAGGACAGTAGGTCCTGAAGGTGGGAAGAGATGGAGTGCTGATGACGATCTGTGAGCCCTGCATCCAGCCAGGTCTGTGCCACCCAGGTCCTCCTCTTGCATAAGTAGCTTCAACATTGGTTTCTGTCTCTTTCAGTCAACAGACTTGTCTTATAGAGCATCCCTTCAATGGTCACTGAAGCTTCGACAAATCATTTTCTTATAGGAGGGGCTGGTGTTAACAAGGGGCCCAGGGAATTAGTTCCAGAGCTGTGTTTCCCCAACAAAAACAGTTTTTGTCTTTCATGTTTGTTTGGGTGGCTTAGTGGGGTGGGATGGATTTTTGTGTGTGCCCTCAAGCACATCTACAGTGAACTCATGTTTTACAAAGTTGCCAAGAACAAACATTGGGGAAAAGACAGTTTCTTTAATAAATGGTGCTGGAAAAACTGAATATCCATGCAGAAAAATGAAACTAGACCCCTATCTCTCACTATATACAAAAATAAAATCAAAATGGCTAAAATTCGAAACCTGAAACTATGAGACTACTACACAAAAACATTGGGGAAACTCACCAGGACGTTGGTCTGGACAAAGATTTCTTGAGTAACACCCCACAAGCACAGGCAACCAAAGCAAAAATAGGCACATAGGATCATACCAAGTTAAAAAGCTTCTGCACAGCAAGGAATACAGTCAATAAAGTGAAGAGGCAACCCATAGAATAGGAGAAAATATTTGCAAACTACCCATCTGATAAGGGATTAATAACTAGAATATATAAGGAGCTCCAACAATTCTATAGGAAAAAAGTCTAATAATCTGATTAAAAAATTGGCAAAAGATCTGAATAGACATTTCTCAAAAGAAGACATACAAATGGCAGGCTGGGTGTGATGGCTCACGCCCATAATTCCAGCACTTTGGGAGGCCAAGGCTGGCATATCACTTGAGGCCAGGAGTTCAAGACCAGCCTGGCCAACATGGTGAAACCTCATCTGTACTAAAAATACAAAAATTAGCCAGGTGTGGTGGCACACGCCTGTAATCCCAGCTACCTGGGAGGCTGAGACAGGAGAATCACTTGAACCTGGGAGGTGGAGGTGGCAGTGAGCCGAGATCACGCCACTGCACTCCAGCCTGGGCAACTGGGCAACAGAGTGAAACTCCATCTCAGAAAAGAAGAAGAAGAAGAAGAAGAAGAAGAAGAAGACATACAAAAGACAAACAGGCATATGAAAAGGTGCTCAACGTCACTAATCATCAGAAAAATGCAAATCAAAACTACAAGGTGGTGTCATCTCACCCCAGTTAAAATGGCTTATATCCAAAAGACAAGCAAAAACAAATGCTGGAGAGGATGTGGAGAAAACATAACCCTTGTACCCTGTTGGTGGGGATGTAAATAAGTACAACCACCGTGGAGAACAGTTTGGAAATGCCTCAAAAAACTAAAAATAGAGCTACCATACGATCCAGCAATCCCATTGCTAGGTATTTACCCAAAAGAAAGGAAATCAGCATATCGAAGAGATATCTGCACTCCCATGTTTGTTGCAGGATAGCCAAGATTTGGGAGCAATCTAAGTGTCCATCAACAGATGAATGGATAAAGAAAATATACATATACACAATGGTACATATACACAAAGCACTACTATTTCAGCCATAAAAAAGAATCAAATCTGTCATTTGCAACAACATGGATGGAACTGGAGGTCATTATTTTAAGTGAAATAAGTCAAGCACAGAAGTACAAACTTCACATGTTCTCACTTCTTTGTGGAGCTAAACATTAAAACAAGTGACCTCATGGAGATACAGGGTAGAAGGATGGTTACTAGAGGCTGGGAAGGGTAGTGGGAGTGTCAAGGGAAGTGGGGATGGTTAATGGGTACAAAAAAATAGAAAGAATGAAACAAACCTAGTATTTGATAGCACAACAAGGTAACAGTAGTCAATAATAATTTACTTGCATGTGTAAAAATAACTAAAAGAATATAATTGGATTGTTTATAACACAAAGAAAGGATAAATGCTTGAGGAGATGGATACTCCATTTACTCTGATGTGATTATTACACATTGCGTGCCTGTATCAAAATATCTCACATAGCCCATAAATATATACACTTATTATGTACCCACAAAAATTACAAAGTAAAAAAGCATTTAAAGTACCTTCAAGCTTCCTGTAAGCGTCACCACCATATTCATTCAAATGACTGATAAATCTCATTGAGAGATCCAGTCAAGGACACACCCCAATTACTTGCCACCAGAAACCAAGTGCAAATTGACAGTAACGAACACTGTTTTATTTAACTGTGCCTTAGCCTTCTTTTGTTCAGGAAATCTTTTTAGCCTTCATGTTGTAAGATTTTCTCTTTAAAGTTTCAACAAAACTTCAGAAAAATTTATCCCCTTAATTTATTCCTGTTATTAAAACTTTCTTTTCTAAGTATAAGTGGGACCTTAAACCCCATTACCAAATCATTATGGTGGGATTACACTACAGATTCCAATGATCACAAGAATACTGTGGCCAGACACAGTGGCTCATGCTTGTAATCCTAGAACTTTGGGAGCCTGGGAAGTGGAGGTTGCATTGAGTCACGATCACGCTACTGCACTCCAGCCTGGGTGACAGAACCAGAAACCCTATTTCAAAAAAAAAGAACACTGCTTTCCCACCTAATAAGTACTTTTAGAAGTTACATTAGGAAAACTGACTGTTCTCACAAGGGTTCTAGAACCCATGAGTTTGAAAATTGTCTTTAATATGTATTAGGTTTGTGCAAACATAATTGCGGTTTTGCCATTTAAAAGTAACGACAAAAATCGCAATTACTTTTGCACCAACCTAATACATTGTCAGAAACATTTGGGATAAACTTAATATATAATAACATGTAGTATGTTTATATTAACATATAATAATGAGCAGTTTTTTAACTTTATTTTTGTTTTTTATTTTTCTTTTTTTTTTAATTATTTTAAGTTCTAGGGTACATGTGCACAACATGCAGGTTTGTTACATATGTATACATGTGCCATGTTGGTGTGCTGCACCGGTTAACTCGTCATTTACATTAGGTATATCTCCTAATGCTATCCCTCCCCTCTCCTCCCACCCCACGACAGGCCCCAGTATGCGATATTCTCCGCCCTGTGTTCATGTGTTCTCATTGTTCAATTCCCACCTATGAGTGAGAACATGCAGTGTTTGGTTTTCTGTCCTTGCGATAGTTTACTGAGAATGATGGTTTCCAGCTTCATCCATGTCTCTACAAAGGACATGAACTCATCCTTTTTTATGGCTGCATAGTATTCCGTGGTGTATATGTGCCACATTTTCTTAATCCAGTCTACCATTGATGGACATTTGGGTTGGTTCCAAGTCTTTGCTATTGTGAATAGTGCCGCAATAAACATACGTGTGCATGTGTCTTTATAGCAGCATGATTTATAATCCTTTGGGTATATGCCCAGTAATGGGATCACTGGGTCAAATGGTATTTCTAGTCCTACATCCTTGAGGAATCGCCACACTGTCTTCCACAATGGTTAAACCAGTTTACAGTCCCACCAACAGTGTAAAAGCGTCCTATTTCTCCACATCCTCCCCAGCACCTGTTGTTTCCTGACTTTTTAATGATCGCCATTCTAACTGGTGTGAGATGGTATCTCATTGTGGTTTTGATTTGCATTTTCTGATGGCCAGTGATGATGAGCATTTTTTCATGTGTCTGTTGGCTACGTAAATGTCTTCTTTTGAGAAGTGTCTGTTCATATCCTTCACCCACTTTCTGATGGGGTTGTTTGATTTTTTCTTGTAAATTTGTTTAAGTTTTTATAGATTCTGAATATTAGCCCTTTGTCAGATGGGTAGATTGTAAAAATTTTCTCCCATTCTGTAGGTTGCCTGTTCACTCTGATGGTAGTTTCTTTTGCTGTGCAGAAGCTCTTTAGTTTAATTATGAGCAGTTTTATAGCCATAGACTCCTATGTGCAAAAATGCATATTCTTGACCCTTCCCCTGTCTCCCATCCCCTACCTCTGTGGCTCAGGGACTCACACCCAAAGGTGACTTCTCTGCTCTCCTTTCAAATCCTTCTCATGTTCTGAACCTTCTCTAGGCTGGGGCAGAAACTGCTGTCTTTTGTTCATAGAATAAACTCCTTTAATGCTCTTTGTAATTTATTTATTTGAAATAGTTGCTTTATAAATCATTGCAAATGTCATAATTGTTAGCAATTTATCAAACTGTAGTTAACTGGTGCAGTTTGTTGAGCATATTTTATAAAGGAAAAGAAAGGAAATGCCAAAACCCTGGTAAAGTTGTTTTATTGCAGCCCAGGAGAACTAAGATTTGTTTCTCAGACACTTAAATCAGGCAAACAAAAACAGGTAAAGAGTCCTGAAGCCCCCATCTGAAGCACTTCATCAGTAGAAATAGTTTGATAAGTAATGTCACCACCCAAGGGGTTCACCTTGCCCACTGTTTAGACAGAGCCAATTTCTCAAGACAGGGGAATGGCAATAGAGAAAGAGTAATTCACAAAGAACCGGCTGTGTGGGAGACCAGAGCTGTATTATCACTCAAATTAGTCTCCCAGAAGAGCACTTGGGGAGCATAGTTTTTAAGGACAACTTGGTGGGTGGGGAGAGGCCAATGAGCCAAGACTGCTGATTGGTCAGAGAAGAAATAATAGGGAGTCGAAGCTGTCTTCTGTGCTGAGTCAGTTCCTGGGTGGGGCCACAAGGTCAGATGAGACAGTTTATTAATCTGGGTGGTGCCAGCTGATTCATTAAGTGCAGGGGCTGCAAAATATCTCACGCACTGATCTTAGGAACAGGTTAGGGAGGGTCAGAATCTTGCAGCCTCCAGCTGCATGACTCCTAAACCATAATTTCTAATCTTGTGGCTAATGTTAGTCCTGCAAAGGCAGTAGTCCCCAGGCAAGGAGGAAGTCTGCTTTGGGATAGGGCTGTTATCGTCTTTGTTTTAAACTATAAACTAAGTTTCTCCCAAAGTTACTTCAGCCTACACCCAAGAATGAACAAGGACAGCTTGGAGGTTAGAAGCAGGATGGAATCAATTCAGTTAGATCTCTTTCACTGTCTCAGTCATAATTTTGCAAAGGTGGTTTCAGTAACTAGACAGTCTTTGTATTCAAGAGAATCCACAACATGTGATGTTATAATGGAGAGGCTTACCCTCTTCAGATTCAAAGTTGGAAGGCTTTGGTCATTTAATTTTAATCAAACTAGTGCTTTTCAGCCACAGTATCTTCACTCTGGCATAAGCAGTCTTCTTCACAATGTATTTTTAATAGCCTCACATTCAATTTTAAGACAAAGCAATTTTCATACTAGGTGCATGCCACATGCCCTTGCTGCAGCTGCTTTTCTTGACAAGTTATGAAGTAGTTCAAGGAGGTATGGTTAAGGCTGTATTACTGAATAGTGCTGTTGAGTACTACACAATTTATTTTGTCTTGTTGCAGCCTTTTGTTTCCAATTTTCAGTGACTGCCGCTATGAAATCTGAAACCAAAAATGACATTATTAGGTTTGCTTTGTTTTGGACTATGATTTAGTAGCAATTGAGGTTCCTGATTTTAACCCCTTGGCAGCAAGATCCAAGCTCCCTCATTTGCACGTTAACACCTAAGTGTCAAGGGGTTAAATAACCAGCACGAAAGAGACTGCACTTTGGATTGTAGCATTTGGCAGAACTGAAAGGAAAGGAAGTTGTGCTGTGCGTTGAAGGGGTCGTGGGCAACATAAAGATGACACCAGGAAAAGATGCAATGTCACATGACATTTTCATAGTCTTGTGCATACCCTGCATCATCACCACCATAATTTACCAGATCATTTGTCATGGTGGCTTTTAATCTCCCTCCAGGAACCATACCTTTGTTCTTCTTTTTGGCTTGGCTTTGCTTGCTTCTGTTTTTCACTTCAAAGCACAATGTATTGAGAACCTTTTTCAAGTCATCAGTTTCCAATGACATACACACATCTCCAACTAAGACTTCCAAAAAACTGGCATAATATAGTGACTTTTTATTTTGTGTAATTTTATCTTTTAGTAACTTTCCAAACTCTGTAAGGTCATCCCTTGAAGATGGGTTTACAGCATCCGATCCATATACAGTAGTCTTAACACCAAAAGTTGCCTTTGCTAATTCCATGTCTGACTCTTCCTGTGATTTCTCCAGCTGCGGTTTATCTGCTAATTGTTCCTCTGGTGTTAGCAGCTGGAGTTCTTCAGGTTCTTCTAACCCCTTTTTAATTTCTTCCTGCCCTTTCTTCTGTTGCCGTTCTTTCTTTTATCTTCTCTGTTAGTTTTTTCTTTTCTAAAATGTTTATTTCTGCTTCCTCTTTTTTCTTTTTCCTGTCATCACCATCATCCCAGTTATCCCAGACGTCCTCATCCTCGTCCTCTTCCTTGCTTTTGCAGCGGTCCCCCACCTCCTTCACGGGGCTTCCACAGACAATTTTTCTGCACCCCAGGAGTCAGAGTTCCTCTGCCGTTGCCAGAATTAAAAAACAAGCAAACGAACAACAAAACAAAAATAATTTTTTCGCTCTCAATGAGTCTGGTCTTCTGAAAGTCAAATTTTTTTTAGCTATTTAGAATATTATCTCTGCTGCAATTTTCCCCTAACATTATATTATGCAAATATTCAAACATACAATAAAGTTGAAAGAATTTTTACAGTGAATACCATATATCTACCTCCAAGATTTTATCATTAACATTTTAATCTTTGTTTTAATTCACATCTGTAGATCTATTTTTGCCTCTATCTGTCCATTAGTTCATGTTATTTTTCACGTGTTTTCAAGAAATTTGCAGGTAGTGCTTCCTCCTAAATACTTTAGCGCGCATATCATTAACAAGGGTTTAATACTTGTTTTAAAATCCTAGTTTTACCATAAAATTTACATTGATTGAAATGCACAAATCTGAGGTGTATGTTCTTTGAGTTTTGACAATTGCATATACCAGTACGACCCAAGTCCCTATCAAGACATACAACTTACTGTTATTCCAGAAAGTTCTCTCATGCCCCTTTCCTGTCTAAAGCACTGCTATAATTTCTTTTGTGTAGTATCTCATATTTTTAATGTGCAATTCTATGAAATTAGAGCAATTTGTAAAAAAATTAGGTATTCTTTGTTTGTTTTTAAAATTAATAAACATAATTTTTAAGAGCTAAGTTTTGTTCCTATCAAAATTGGGTGGAAAGAACAGGAAGTTCCACGCCCTTCTTCTCCAAACCCCTACAACCTCTCCTCCTCCACCACTATCAACATATGCACCAGAGTAGTCCATTTCCTACAGTCCAAGAACCTACAGTGACTCACCATTATCATCCAAAGTTCATAATAAACACTAGGGTTCACTCTTGGTGTTGTGCATTCGATGGGTTTTGACAAATGTATGAGGACATGGATTCACCATTATAGTATCACACAGAATAGTTTCACTGACCTAAAAATCTTCCGTGCACTCCCTATTCAGCCCTTCCTACTTCCTAATCTCTGGCAACGATTGATGATTTCACTGTTTCCATAGTTTTGCCTTTTCCAGAAAGACATATAGTTGGAATACAGTATGTAGCCTGGATTCTTTCATTAGTAATACACATTTAAGTTTCCTTCATATCTTTTCATGACTTAAGAACTCATTTCTTTTTATGGCTGAATAATATTTCATTGGCTGGATTTACTACATTTATTTATCCATTCACTTACTGAAGGACTTCTTGATTACTTCCAAGTTTGGGCAATTATGAATACAGCTGTTATAAATGCTCTTGTGCAGATTGTGGAGTCCTAATTGGGAAAGGGTAGTCAGGCTGGCAGGATGGAGGGAAAGCAAAAAAAGAAAGCAGATAAGCTATGAGTTTGCCTTTTCTTCATGGTCCAGGACGCACAGTCCTCCTGCACAAATAACTTACAATCTTCCTGCACCCAGCTATCACCAGACCCTTGGCTGATAGAAAAATGCAAATGAGCTCACTGCAATTTTGGCGTTATCAGCACTGCACAAAGCCCACTTCAGCACCCAGCACAAACACCATTCCACAAAATCCGTGGTAAGCTTTTGTCTCCTGGCAGTCAGCTCCTCTCTTGCTGCCCTGCCTGTTGCACCCTTGCAACATGTGTTCCTACTTTCTCTAGTAAATCTGCCTTTCTTTACCTACAATTGCCTTGGTAAATTCTTTTACCACCTGTGCCATGGCCCAGATAGTCACCACTCACCATTATACAGGTTTTTGTGTGGACACAGTTTTCAATTCATTTGGGTAAATACTAATGAGTGGGATTGCTGGATTGTGTGGTAAGAGTATGTTAAGATTTATTTTTTTAAAAAACTTCCAAACTGTCTTCCAAAAAGGTTGTACCATTTTGCATTCCAAACAGCGATAAATGAGACTGTCTTTCCTCCACATCCTCACCAATATTTGGCATTGTTGGTGTTTTGGATTTTGGCCATCACGGTATGTGTGTAGTGGTATCTCATTGTTGTTTTCATTGGCATCTCCATGATGAAATATGACATGGAGCATCTCTTCATATGCTCATTTGCCACCCATATATTTGGTAAAGTGTCTGTTCAAGACAATTGTCCATTATGTAATTGGGTTGTTCTTCTTATGGCTGAATTTCGAGAGCCCTTTTTATATTTTCTTTTCTTTTCTTTTTTTTTTTTTTTTGAGATGGAGTTTCACTCTTGCTGCCCAGTCTGGAATGCAGTGGCACTGTCTCGGCTCACTGCAACCTCCACCTCCTGAGTTAGTTCAAGCAATTCTCCTGCCTCAGCCCCTGGAGTAGCCGGGATTAAAGGTGCCCACAACCACACCTGGCTAATTTTTTGTATTTTTAGTAGAGATGGGGTTTCATCATGTTGGCTAGGCTGGTCTCAAACTCCTGACCTCATGTGATCCACCTGCCTTGGCCTCCCAAAGTGCTGGGATTATAGGCGTGAGCCACCGTGCCTAGCCTATATTTATTTCCTTTTTTAAAAAGTTTTATTTTATTTTAAGTTATGGGATTCATGTGCAGGATGTGCAGGTTTGTTACATAGGTAAATGTGTACCATGGTGGTTTGCTGCACCTATCAACTGATCACCTAGGTATTAAACCCAGAATCCGTTAGCTATTCTTTCTGATGCTCTCCCTCCTCCCACCCCCCTGACAGGCCCCGTTGTGAGTTGCTCTCCTCCCTGTGACCGTGTGTTCTCATTGTTCAGCTCACACTTATAAGTGAGAACATGCAGTGTTTGGTTTTCTGTTCTTGTGCTAGTTTGCTAAGGATAATGGCTTCCAGCTTCATCCATGTCCCTGCAAAGGATGTGATCTCATTCCTTTTTATGGCTGTATAGTATTCCATGATGTATATGTACAACTTTTTTTAATCCAGCCTATCATTGGTGGGCATTTGAGTTGATTCCATGTCTTTGCTGTTGTGAATAGTGCTGCAGTGAACATATGCATGCATGTATCTTTATAATAGAATGATTTATATTTTGGGGGGTATATACCCGGTAATGGGATTGCTGGGTCAAATGGTATTTCTGGTTCTAGATCTTTGAGGAATCGCCACACTGTCTTCCACAATGGTTGAACTAATTTACATTCCAACCAACAGTGTAAAAGTGTTCCTATTTCTCCACAGCCTCGCCAGAGTCTGTTGTTTCTTGACTTTTTGATAATCGCCATTCCAACTGGCATGAGATGATATCTCATTGTGATTTTGATTTGCATTTCTCTAATGATCAGCGATGTTGAGCTTTTTTTCATATGTTTGTTGGCTGCATAAATGTCTTCTTTTGAGAAATATCTGTTCATGTCCTTTGCCCACTTTTTAATGGGGTTGTTAGTTTTTTCTTGTAAATTTGTTTAAGTTCTTCAAACATTCTGGATATTAGACCTTTGGCATATGGATAGATTGCAAAAATTTTCTCCCACTCTGTAGGTTGTCTGTTTACTCTGATGATAGTTTCTTTTACTGTGCAGAAGCTCTTTAGTTTAATTAGATCCCATTTGTCAAGTTTTGCTCTTGTTGCAATTGCTTTTGATGTTTTCATTATGAAATCTCTGCCCGTGCCTATGTCCTGAATGGTATTGTCAGATGTTTCTTTATTTTTTAATTTTTATTTTATTTTATTTTTTTTTGAGATTGAATCTCGCTCTGTCACCCAGGCTGGAGTGCAGTGGTACGATCTCGGCTCACTGCAAGCTCTGCCTCCCAGGTTCACGCCATTCTCCTGCCTCAGCCTCCCGAGTAGCTGGGACAACAGGCACCTGCCACCACGCCCGGCTAATTTTTTGTATTTTTAGTAGAGACGGGGTTTCACCATGTTACCCAGGGTGGTCTCGATATCCTGACCTCGTGATCCACCCGCCTTGGCCTCCCAAAGTCCTGGGATTACAGGCGTGAGCCACTGTGCCTGGCCCAGATGTTTCTTTTGCAAATATTTTCTCCCAGTCAGTGGTTTGTCTGATTATTCTCTTGACTGTCTTTCATGGAGTAGTTTTTAATTCTACTAAAGTCCAACTTATCAATTATTTATTTCATGGATTGTACTTTAGTATTATATCTAAAAAGCCATCGCCATACCCAAGGTAATCTAGATTTCCTCCTATGTTATCCTCTAAGAGTTTTATAGTTTGGTGTTTTACATTTGGATGTATGATCTATATTAATTTTGTGAAGCATGAAATGTCTGTGTCTAGATTCATGTTTTTGAAAGTGGATGCCAAGTTGTTCCAGCAAAAAAAAAAAGACTATCTTTTCTTCATTGTATTGCCTTTGCTCCTTAGTAAAAGATCAGTTGACTATATTTACGTGGGTCTGTTTCTGAGCTCACTTTTGTCCCATGGATGATTTGTCTATTCATTCTCCAAAATCATTCTTTTTTGTTTATTGTAGCTTTATAGGAAGTCTGGAAACCCTGCAGTCTATGTCCTCTGAATTTGTTCTCCTTCAGTGTTGTGTTAGTTATTCTAGATTCCTACCTCTCCATAACAAATTTAGAATCAGTTTGTTCTGCAAACAGCAGAACTAATTGCCAAACTAATTGCAAGAATTTTGATTGAAATTGCAGAGTCTATAAATGAAATGGGAAAAAAAATAAAGTCCTGCTAATATTGAGTCTTCTTATTAATTAACATGAGATATCTTTTTAGCTCTTTGATTTGTTTCATTAGGGTTTTGTCATTTTCCTCATATAAATCTTATACATTTGTTGTTAGATTGATACCTAATTATTTCATTTGTGTGGTGCTTGCATAAATGGTATTGTGTTTTAATTTCAAATTCCACTTGTTCATTGCCGATATATAGGAAAGGAAATGACTTTTGGACATTAATCTTGTATCCTAGAACCTTGCTGTAACCACTTATTAGTTCCAACAGGTTTTTGTTGATTCTTCTGGATTCTCTAGGTCATCTGCAAACAAAGACAATTTTATTTCTTCCTTGCTAATCTATAGACATATATTTATTTTTCATGTTTTATTGCATTATCTAAGACTTCCAGTACTATGCTGAAAAGGAGTGGTGAAAGGGGACATTTTTGCCTTGCTCCTGATCTTAGTAATAAAGATTTTATTTTGTCAAAATCACGTTATCTACAGGTTTGTTATAGATGTTATTTATCAAGGAGAGGAAGTTCCCCTCCATTACTAGTTTGCTAAGAATTAGCATTACTTTTTTTTTTTTTTTTTTTGAGACGGAGTCTTGCTCTGTTGCCCAGGCTGGAGTGCAGTGGTGCGATCTTGGCTCACTGCAAGCTCTGCCTCCTGGGTTCATTCCCCTGCCTCAGCCTCCCGAGTAGCTGGGACCACAGGGGCCCACTACCACGCCTGGCTAACTTTTTGTATTTTTAGTAGAGACAGGGGTTTCACCGTGTTAGCCAGGATGGTCTCGATCTCCTGACCTCGTGATCCACCCACCTCGGCCTCCCAAAGTGCTGGGATTACAGGCGTGAGCCCCCGCGCCCGGCCGAATTAGCATGACTTTTGGATGCTTGGAATTTTCCACTTACTCTCTACCTTCTCTGTCTGTTGTTGCATGTTGTCATTTGATCTATTAGCCCTTATCATAATAGTCATAGTTATTTTAAATTCCTGGTCTGATGTTTCTGACATTCATGACATATCTGATTCTGGTTCTGATGCTTGCTTTGCCTCTTCTAGTTGTGACTTTTGCCTTTTAGTATAGCTTTTAATATTCTTTAGAAAGAGGGTTATGGTGTACCAGGTAAAAGAAACACTGGTAAATAAGCCTTTGGGAATGCGCTGGAAATATGTAGAGGGAGGAGAAGTATTCCTTAGTCCTATGAGTGGGTCGCAGTCTTTTAATCAACCTAACCATGTCCCTGGGCTGTGGAATTCACAAGTGCTTCTCGGGTTTTCCATTTTTAGGTGAGACAGGATGGCTAGAGTGAACTGGAGTTGATTATTACCCTTCTCCATATGGAAGGCTGAAGCAGGCTGCAGCTGGGTATTTCCATCCCCCAGTTCAGTTAGGTTTTGATGAAACCCCAATAGGTCAGCTTTGACTTAAAAAAAAAAAATGGCTAAGCGTGGTGGCTCATGCCTGTAATCCCAGCACTTTGGGAAGCCAGGATGGGAGAATCACTTGAGGTCAGGACTTCAAGACCAGCCCGGCCAACATGTCTCTACTAAAGCCCGGTCAAACTAAGCTCTACTAAGCCCGGTCAAACTCTGTCTCTACTAAAAATACAAAAATTTGCTAAGTGTGGTGGCGCGCGCCTCTAATCCTAGCTACTCAGGAAGCTGAGACATGATAATCCCTTGAAACCGGTAGGCAGAGGTTACAGTGAGCCGAGACCGCACCACTGCACTCCAGACTGGGAGACAGGGCAAGACTCCGTCTCAAAAAAAAAAAAAAAAAAAAAAAAAAAAAAAAAAAAAAAGTTTTTCTTGAGGAGAGGCCTCGTTAAGAAGAACAGAATGCTCTGGCATATTTTCAAATCATGACGCCCCCTCCCGCCCCACCACACATACCTGAATCATGAGGGAATTTGTCTTAGATTTCTACTTTGAGAACCTGGTAGAGCTATTGGAGCTCTACAACTTGAGGAGCCCCTCTAAGGCACAACTCCTAGAATTTTAACTCTCAGACTTGTCCACATGGACCTGTGGCAATTCCTCAGTTACAGCTTGGTTTTCCTTACTAAGCACTTGTTCCTGTGGAAATCTCTGCTCATAAATTTCTCCTTCTGTAAGCTGTGATTCTTGACATTCATTTCTCTAATTATTAAGGCAGTGGTTTGCTGTGTGTCTTCACTTGTCTGATGATTCTAAGAAGAGTTGTTGATTTTTCAATTTGTTCAGCTTTTTACTTGTGAGTGGATGGTTACAACTTCAAAACTCCTTCCACGTTGTAATGGAAACAGGAAGTCTCTGCTATGGTTTTTCAGAAGAATTAACCACCCAAAGCTCGGGATTTGCTCTTGCTCCTACTTATATTGGACTTCCCTGAGTGTGGGTGATTAGTAATCTGTTGTTCTTCCTGAATATGGAGGAAAAGGAAAGGGATGAAAAAGCCACAGAAATGGCAGTTCTGTTAAGTGCTCAACATGCTGCCCCAGGTTGGGATGAGGGGAGTGTGCATGGTTGTGGGGAGTGGGGCAGCTGAAGGGAGCAAGTGTTCTGGAGTTCTGAGCAGAGTCACTCTGCGTCCTCACTAAAGCAGTCTCATTAGAACACTGTCCCTGGTCTATCCCCTCATTGTCCATCCCTCCTTAAGCGCTTAGCAAACCCCCCTCCCTGTTTCTCTTGCCAGGGAATGGTCAATTGGAGCCAACAGCCACCATCCTCAGAGAGGTTCTGTGTGACTGAGAGGTGCATGGAGCACCCTGGAGTCCAGCTGGGCAGTGCTGCTTCCCCACGCCTGTGCTGTGTGATGGACCCTCTGAGCAGCATCTGCACAGATCTCAGGAACATCAGTCCCCAAATGGGAGACTCGCCTTCATCAAGTTATCTAAGGACCCTCTGTTTCTCCACCTCTTCCTCCTCCTCCTTCTTGTCAATTCTTTAACTTTTTTCTTGAACTGCATACTTTTGGAATCTGTTATCTTGTGAAAATAATGAAGGTCCATTACCTAAAAATTGAAATAATACAGCGCAAAGAGAAACTGCCCTCTCATGCCTTTTCCAAGATATGACAGCTATGAACGCTTGAAATTGGGATCAGATGGCCCCTGCTTATACCTACTCTGACCGTGGAGGGTGGCCTGTCCCTGGTGTGTGCCCTGACTGTCCCTGGGCTCCTTTGAGACCTCCCTAGTGCTGCACTTACCCATGGGTCTGTGCCAGGCTTTGATTTTTCAATGGGAACATGAGCTACAGAGGAAGGGGTCATGAGTATTTGCTTCACTTTTGTGTTGGCAGCACAGCACTGCCTCATAAATGGTGCCCAATGAATACTTGTTGAAAGTGTAAATAAAACAATCTTAAACATGTGAATTATGGAATGTTTAAGCTGTATTACTGGAGAAAAGAGACCAAGTCTCCTGGAAATTATTTTTCTTATTAACTTATTAACAAAGAGATAATCATGAACATTTGTGAAATTCAGGGTTTAAAGCTGTATATATACACCTTCCAAGTTGGCAAACTTAAAACACTGAATTGCACTATATATGTATTTCCCCCAGTATCAATGCTGTGGGAAGCCCAAGCCATGGGGAGGCCCCGGGCAGGTGCTCTGGTCAATAGCCCAAGTTGAACGTCCAGCCAGCACCAGCATCTGCAGCCAGCCATGTGAGTGAGCCTTTGCAGATGTCCAGTTCACTCAAACCTGCAGATGTCTCAAGCACAGATATAGACCTCCACGTGAAAACCACACAGCCAAGTCCAGGCAGAATCATGTGAAAGATGTTCCTTCCCAGCCATTGGGTTTCTGGGTGGTTTGTTTTACAGTAACAGAACCAAAACAGTCTGTTCACTGCACTCCCAGTGGCTCCTTTATCCTGAAAATCTACCTCTTGACCAGCTTCATCTCCCAACACCTGGACCCAGTGACTTTTACTGGGTCTGTAACCACAGGGTCTTTTCTCAGGGTTGCTGATGTGCTAGTCTCTGCTAAGATGCTCACCTCTTCATCTTCCCTTATTGACTAGCTGCTCTAGCCATCTGCTTTAACTTCTTCCTGGAAGCCCTCCCTGCTAACCTCACTCTCCCTAACTGTTCAGCTCCTTGAGGTCAGGGTCTGTCTCTTCCACAGTGGTGATGACCAGCATGTAGTGGGTGTTGTATATAAATTCCAGTTTATCAAATCTAAGCCCCAACCTGCACGAGGGATTTAGCCTGGGAACCTCCCCAAATCTTGCTACCCCTGGTGACTTTTATTACAATACCCAAAGAATTTCACAGATGCCACATTTGCCATTTTAGGTCAAAAAGTTTGAAATTTTAGCAACTACTCGGGAAGGGCACATGAGAGTCCAGCAAGGCATGTGGTCCAATCGAGATGGACTTGGACAGAACCTCCCGGGGGCTTTGTAAGCTGAGACTCCATTGTACACCTGGTTACCCTCCTCTGTGATATGGAGTCTATTCATTGGACATTCTCATCTGTTCTTTATATTTCCTTCAGTTGGAACAAGAGACTTCTGAAAACACACAGGTGATGGAAGTATGGGCTGTTTAGCTAGTGCGATGTGGGAAGTTTTTCTATTTAAAAAAAAATAAATCAGGTATTTTCAGGTAGCTTGCTCTAAATAGGGCAACAGATTGTCATTTCTAGCCTCTCACTTGTCTTTTATTTTCTGAGGCCAGAGCACCACTTCTGAACCCCAGCCTCAAACCCTGAAGTTTATTCCTCATCCCTTGAGGACCCAAAAACAAACAGCCTTGGCAATGCACTAGTTCTTAACCCACCTTGACTGCAAAGTGTCCACAGGGCCTTCACCAGCAGTGGGCGAAGATGCTCCAGAAACAGGCTGAGACCTTTGCCCTGTAACTTGACTGAGATGCAACCACTTTGGGTGAAATAAACACGATCACTAAAGTCCTTTTCTAGTATTAAAATTATATATATGTATGTTCACTTTTCTAAAAAGTGAATATTTTTCTTTATTCAAACAATTTTCCTTTGTCCTCATAGATCATTTTCAAATTTTGCTGCAATCAAGGATTGGTTAAGACATAGCCACTGGGCAGCTGACATGAGATCTGTACATCTGTGACTAGAAGACCCAGAAGGCCACCCACTCTTCCTCCTAGTGAGCCACTGGCACAGCAGTTATGGCTTAGAGCCCAATTATGTTCTTTATTACACAAAAATTCAGTGCATCAAAAATAGAAAGAAGCCCCACCACTACATTTGAAATTAAATTTTATTTAAACAGGTAAAAATTTATACATCCTTTTAAAAACGAAAATGCAAAGTCAGTAAGTGAATCAATAATATAAACCTATTTATAGCAGTAATTAAAATAGAGGTAACATTTACCAGTGTGAAAATATCACAGAATTCAAATCACACTCGGATCTTCAATGATTCGAGTGTGTATCCGACACAGCGGGGGCTGGTAGACTGAAGATGAATTCCTCCCATGCATGCGCCATCCCCAGTCAAGTCCTTCCTCATCACCGTCCACCAGCTCACACAGTGGGGTAGCTGGCTGCTGAGGCAATTCCACAATGGTTTCTCCGGTCTTTGGCCATCTTTACGTAGCCACCCATGCCCCATTCTTCACCCCAGCTGAAAAAAGAGCAGGTTTTCCATTTCAGAGAAAGAATAAAGCCCAAAGGGTTATTAACAGGAACACCCAACTTAAACACTGTGCCAGAGGCCATAGACTTAACAGAAAGAATCAGGACAGGCAATGTTCCTGTTTATCCTTAAAAAATTCTTGACATAACCTGGACATAATTTCCATCCCAGCCTCCAAACTGTGACCTTTCACAGAACTACAGATCAGAGACAGGAAAACAATAGGATGTCTTTGCAGCCAGATATGCCTCAGAATTTAAAAACTGTTCAGATTTAGATACACCTTTATACAATGGAACAAATACTATATTCATACTCCCAAGATATTTGTGACAGTTTCTTACTTTTATAATCAAACATTAATATTATATGTTCAACTTAGACTTCTGGGGATTTCAGAAGTATGCCTAAGGGCATGTGGAACTGTATCCAAACACTGTTTGCAAATAAGTATTCTCTTTTGAATTTCAAATGTAAGTATTTCTGGCAATTTATACCTGTTCTTCACCAGCCAATATTTATTGTTATCTGATTCTGTGCTTTCAAATCCGTAGCCAACCACCAGCACACCATGATCCATGTCTTCACTGCTACAGTCTGGCTCAAAATAAATGCCTGGGATGGTAAAATGAGGGCTGGGGTGAGAAGCTCCAGAGGACACATGACAGTAACCCATCCTGTCACCCACAGGGAATGAGGCATCTCTGAATTCAGTGAAGTGACACACATTCCAGATAGTACTTAACAACAATAAGAAGGCCAGGGATTTAAGCTCTCATTTACAACTAGCAGAAATAGAAATCAGCATAAATCCTTCATTAAAAAAAAGCTTTCCTAGAGGAAAAAAAGACCCCTCTTTGTAAGCTTGTAATTCTACTCTAGGATATCAATCTAAAAAAATAGCACAGAACACTAAAATCCTTGAATCAAAAGGCTCTTTTCGGATTTAATAATAGAAGTAAAAATCTTTGGAAAAATTATAAAAATCCAACAATTGCAGAATATTTTAAGTATATTAAACTACACAGTAAATATAGCTATTTATAAAAAGTTATGAAGTACTTATATTCATGGAGATATACGCAACATAATGTCAAATGGAAACATCAGGTATAAATATTGCATGTACAGAATGAACAACTATGATGCTAAGCACCTAAATATCTACACTGAACTTTACTTGCAAACCAGAGTCTATCATGCTCGTATGTCATGATACTCTTTTTCTGCATCAATTTCTACAAAGAAAAATATGCTTACCTTCTTTATAGAACAGGAAGGACTCATGACCTGCATCAATAGCAACAGAAATGGGCCCCACAGTTGCAACTGCCTTCATCAGGGCCTTCTCCTGCTTAGGGATGTCCACAAAGCCGGTGTCATTAGCAACAGAATACTTGGGATTGTACTTACAGGATTCTTCCTTTCAAAGGTAAAGGGAAAAAAAAGACTTGATTACTGCTGTCCTCCTCCTGGAGAACATGAGTTAGAACCACAACACTCAGCAGTGTGCAGCTTAGTATTTCCAAGTCACCACTGTTATAAATCATCCCAGGAAGTGAAATGCTATTAGTTAATCTGAAACTGAAAATTGACTCCAGTCTCTTCAATGAGACCTCTGGGTTTACTTCCATAAGACATTTTTCACAATAGAGAAATGTGTATATTTAGAATGGCTTGTATATTCTTCACGTTACATAGAAGCAAGAACAGCTATATGTTACCCATCTAATCACAGGATTGTGCAAAGGCTAATAATTTATAATGACAGTACTGACAATTTGCAGATATATATTCTGCCATCTAATATGTGAACTTTTTTTTTTTTTTGGAGACAGGGTCTCATTCTGTCACTCAGACTGGAGAGTGCATTTGCACAACCACCTCCCACACTCAAGCAATCGCCCTACCTCAGCATAGCTGGGACCACAGACGCACACCACCACAGCCGGCTAATTTTCGTTGTATTTTTGATAGAGTCAAGGTTTCACCTTGTTGCCCAGGCTGGTCTCAAACTCCTGAGCTTAAGCCATCTGCCTGGCTCAGCCTCCTAAAGGGCTGGGATTACAGGCGTGAGCCACCCCACCCAGCCCTAATATATGAATTCCGAAAAAGGTATCTGTTATCTCTTAAAGTGTCCACCTTCCAAAAGCTGAGCTGGAATGATGACAAGGAGCTCCACTTACTGTTGCCTCATATGGATAGGATTCCTCAGAGTCCAGGCCTCCATTATCCTGAACATACTGGAAAGCATAATCCATTAGGCCACCATTGCAGCCTTCATTGCCTTGAGGCCCAGAGCAGTCTACCAGATTCTGCTCACTCAGTGAGATAAGCCTCCCAGTTTTCCGGAACATCTGTCCTTCAAGAGCACCAGTAGCACTAAAAGCCCAACAAGAACCACACTGACCCTGAAAAGGGAATTAAAAAAAGCTGTCATCCACAAAAAAAAAATAATAAGACTTTGACAACAGCTCACACATCTGAATACTGTTAAAAAGTGAACTGTACATCACTTTAAAGTCTACCAAAACAAAGATGTCAATCACTTCTTGGCTTTCCTGGGAAGATGGGAGGTCTGAACCTGACACTGTCTCACCTGATTCTTCACAGGAGTCACGTAGCCTTTCTCTCTCCAATCCACAGATCTGGGGGCCTCATAAAACAGAGGTTCCTGGAACACTTTCCCCTTCCTGGGCTTACGGTTTTGAAAGCCATTCATCACCTGCCTGAATTCTTCACTGGTCTTCAAGGAAAAGGAAATAAAATGTTGAAAAGCAAGAGATTACCTTAGTAAAGAACCGAAGAGAGGAAGCACAGAGCTCGGCAGTCCACAGCACACTTACCATGTCTCCAAAGGCGTTCATGGCCATTGTGAAGCTGTGTTTCCCTTCCCTGTATTCCTGATTGTGCAGTTCAATCATCTTCATGTTCTTCTCCCACACTGCTCTCCTCCATCCTTCTTCATTCTAGAGGCAAACATGTAACTGATGCTCTTTACTTCTACCTAAAACCCAACTCATCCTCACCAAGTGAATCTGCAGACAGAGATGGAAGAGAAACCATGGCAAGGGAAGGCTTGACACCTCTGGGGATGCTGTTCTCCAAACTGAGACACAACAAGGATGAATGTCCACATTGTGCTCATAATCCACGCCATTAGGTTATTACATTAGGCTATTGGTAAAAGCTGGCCTCTAGAAGCTACTCTCTGACTAAAACTTCTCAACAGCCAGGACTATTCTTTCTGGGGAAGTTTCACTAACCATGCCGTATAATCTGTTGTGCATCGCCTTCCACTTGGTCCACTGTGCCTCTAAACTGTGATCAAATGTTAGAGTAGCTGAGGCAATTCCCAGGCAAAAGGCAGCAAGGATGAGTGTAGGATTCATGTTTTAAAACCTAGGAAGGGAACAAAAATGAGGATCTGATTAGACCAATCCTAAAAAGCCATCTTACTGCCCCCTGAAAAATTAGGGCCACCATGGTAGAATAAAAATATTTAAATTATTCTCCCAAGCATTTACCCAAGGACTGTGGAAGAGGCCAAGGATGTGCCTGGAGAAAAACAGGGCACGTGGAGGTACTGGATGGACTCACCAAAATGAAAAGCAGCCTGTCCAGAGCTGTAGGAGCTGAAACAGTTTATGCGATGACAATTTAGGTTATGAGAACGGTATGAAACTACCTTGTGTGTGAGAAGCTTAAGGCAACAACTAGGAAACCGGGAAACGGTTGATCCAGGTTTTGTACCAATCGCAAAAAATCCAGGTTTCGTGCCCAGGCAAAACCTCACTAATGATAAGGTGGGATTCCCAAGTAGGGACAAAGAGATCCCCAAGAGTTAGGAGGCCTTCACACATCTTCCTGACTAACAAACACCAAAAGCTGAGATAAGTTTTCCAATCTCTCCTATTTATTTATTTATTTATTTATTTATTTATTTATTTATTTTTTGAGATGGAGTCTTGCTCTGTGGCCCAGGCTGGAGTTCAACGGCGCGATATCGGCTCACAGCAACCTCTGCCTCCCGGGTTCAAGCCATTCTTCCTCAGCCTCTTGAATAGCTGGAACTACAGGCGTGCGCCGCCTCGCCCGTCTAATTTTGTATTTTCAGTAGAGACGGGGTTTCACCATGTTGGCCAGGCTGGTCTCGAACTACTGACCTCAGGTGATCCGCCCACCTCAGCCTCCCAAAGTGCTGGGATTACAGGAGTGAGCCACCGCGCCGCCCCAACCTCTCCTTAAATGAAACCTTTCTGAAATGCTTTCCCAGGAAAAACTGGGAAGGAGAGCACGCACTGCTCCCTCCTTCATTCACTTGGGCCTGTGCTGCCGACACCCCAAACTGCTCCCCTAAATCAGGGACGGGGTCATATGGCCGCACGCGGGAAGCCAGCGCCCTGCAGCCAGCTTCCAGGGCTCCAGGCGTGGCAGGGCCGGGGACATGACGCCTGCGCCACACACTGGCTGTAGCGGTCAGAGGATGTTTGCGGTGACGCCAGCAGGAGTACCGCTGTCTGGCGTGCGGGGACTGAGCTTCCCTGTCTGGCCGGGCCAGGCCCTGAGTCGGCGCGGCGCGGCCTGGCTGCGGTACCTGTGTCCACCCGGCTCGGAGGCTGGCCTGCCCGCTCAACCAGTCACGCGCCTCCGCGGGGTCCTCAACTGCCCTCCCCGGCTTCCCCACCTCAAGGCCAGCAGAGTTCGGGGTAGACGCTCTCGTTGCCAGGGCTGGTGCACACCTACTCGACCGCGTCCTCTCTTCCAGTCCCTGTCCGGCCACAGCTGGGCCTGGCCGGCGGCGCTTTCCTGCTGCGGTCGTAGCTGCGCAGGCGCACTCCACGGATGCCGCTCAAGGTTGCGGAGGTCGCGGTTCTGGCCCAGCTTCGCCTGACTCTGCTTCTAAAACCTCGGGTCTGGGTTCGGCCGGCACCGCCCCGCCGCCTGGCTGCGCTGCGATTGGCTGTGCCGGCAGCTGGGCGGGGACTCTGGGTGCTCTGATCCCTGGCGCGGTTCGTGGCTTGTTTACTGACTGTCCCAGAGCTGGGCGTGCCTGCCTCAGTGGACCTGGAGGAAGCAGAGCTGGTGCCCCGGGGCGGCGCAGAGTAGGGTCGGGCGTCTCCCTGGAGCGCTCGAGTCAACTAAGTACACGACTTACTGCACTGGGCGAGTGGCTCCTGAAAAGACGTTTACCGCAAGCCCTGTGTGGACTGTTTCAGCCTAACCTTGCTATTCCTTAGTCCTGGAATTTTTGGTCCGCAGAGCCGAGAGTCAAGTGTACTCTAGTCCAGTGGCTCCTGTTTAGTCCACAGCAAACGTGGGGCCGGGTGGACGAACGCAGAGCCCGCGGGCAGAAGCCTTATCTCCCACTTAAGGGTGGGTGCAGCTGGGCTTTAGAAGAATCTGGTAAGGAAAGGCATCCCCAAAACACGAGATGCTATCGTCAAGACCAGACCCTAGGAGGGAGGAGACTGGCTGCGTCTCCAGAGAGCGCGGGCGTTTTGTCAAGCATCCTTTCCAGACTCCTCCATTCAGGGATTCTTCCTTCTCCCACGTCTTACCCAAAACCAACAGAAATGAGTTATTTACAGAAACATTTGGTTGACAGGAGAAAAGCAGTTGAGAACATTAGAAGCTGCTTTTATTCGCCCACTCTCTAGGCTATGGATTATATCTTCCTTGGTAACCAAGTCGTTCTCTTGAGATTTAAGAAATTTAATGACATTTAATGTCAGGATTTAAGATACAGAGAATGGAGAAATGTTGTAGATAGAGGAAAAATATGTATCTTAATCTGTATAATGTAGATATTAATTTATGTAATTAAGGATTTAAGGAACAAAACCCACAAACATTCTAAACTTTTGTCATTTCATTTTTTATTACATAAAAACATTCATTGTAGAAAATACCTTTCGGGGAAAAAAATAATTACCTCTGCCTTTACCCCATAACCTTTTCGTATGCATATTTTGACTTTGTTAAAAATGAACAAAGTCCATTGATTTCTATTGAAGATTAAACTGATAACTCTTTTAGAAGCACAATCACCTATAGTTTTTTAAGTGGTAAAATATACCTCACATAGCAAGTACCATTTTAACCAACTTTGAGTTCAGTAGCATTAAGTACCTTCACATTGTGTAACCATTACTACTGTTTATTCCCAGAGCTTGTTTATCTTCCTAAACTGAAACTGTATCCATTGAATAATAGTTCCCCATTCCCCCTCTCCTAGCTCAGGTATCTACCATTATATTTCCTGTCTGCAGGAATTTGTTTACTATTTTGGAGATTATTCCTCTTTTTTTTTTTTTGAGACGGAGTCTGGCTCTGTTGTTCAGGCTGGAGTGCAGTGGCGCAATCGCAGCTCACTGCAATGTCTGCCTCCTGGGTTCAAGTGATTCCTCTGCCTCAGCCTCCAGAGGAGCTGGGACTACAGGCGCGCACCACCACGCCTGGCTAATTTTTGTATTTTTAGTAGAGATGGGGTTTCACCATATTGACCAGACTGGTCTTGAACTCCTGACCTCGTGATTCGCCTGCCTTGGCCTCCCAGAGTGCTGGAATTACAGGTGTGAGCCACCGTGCCCGGCCGATTATTCCTCTTTTTATGCATTGCTTCTCTGGAGAACCAGTCACAATGTGTAGAATACAATCTAACTGTGATATCTGTCCTAGTCTCTTTTCTGTTGCTAATAACAGAATACCTGGAACTGTGTAATTTATGAGAACAACATTTATTTCTTACAGTTTTCGAGGCTGGGAAGTCTGAGGTCCAGGAAGTGTATCTTGTGAGGGCCTTCTTGCTTGTGGGGATTCTTTGCAGAGGCCCAAGGTGGTGTAGGGCATCACAGGGCGAGAGGGCTGAGTGTCCTAGCTCAGGTCTCTTCCTCTTCTTTTAAAGCCATCAGTCCTGCCTGGGCGCAGTGGCCCACACCTGTAATCCCAGCACTTTGGGAGGCCGAGGCAGTCAGATCACTTGAGGTCAGGAGTTTGAGACCAGCTTGGCCAACAGGGTGAAATCCTGTCTCTACTAAAATACAAAAATTAGCCAGGCGTGGTGGTGCACACCTGTAATCCCAGGTACTTGGGAGGCTGAGGCGGGAGAATCACTTGAACCTGGGAGGTGGAGGTTGCAATGAGCCGAGCCGAGATCACGCCACTGCACTCCAACCTGGGTGACAGAGCGAGACTCCATCTCAAAAAAAAAAAAAAAAAAAAAAAAAGCCATCAGTCCCATTCCCAAGATAACCTGTTGGTCTATGAACCCATTATTCCATGAATAGATTAATGTATTCATTAGGGAAGAGCTCATATGTCCTAATCACCTCTTAAAGGCCCCACATTTTAATGCTGCCACATTGGAGATAAGTTCCAACAAGAGTTTTGGAGGGGGCAAACAAGGAAACCATAGCAGTATTTAAATTTATTATTTTATGAAATAAAAACAATATTTCTGTGGTGTTAGGTAACTGGAGTACCTACGTCTGCCTTGGTTCTAACTTTGCAGATTTCAGGATCACAAGAAGTTCATTGGAACAGCTGAATGTTTCTACCGGGGGCTTAGAGCTCACTTGGTCCTTCATGAGTTCCTTACTGGGGAGTGTGAGAGAAACTGCTCAGATGGCCTCCCCTTCCCCAAATTTGAAAGAGAAAGAGAGAGAGTTGTGAGTGAGTGGCTTTGCTCTCCAGCACTTGCTTAGTGAAGAGCCTCAGAATCTGGACTGTGGCCTCCCAGTTCTGAGGAACCCCATTCGCCACCAGGAGGGGTGGCATGTTCACCCCGTTATTCAGGAAGGAATTGGAAAACAAACAATCGAGGGTGTGAGGTCAAGAGCTAGAAAATCGCAAGCCTCTGGCACCTGAGCCAGGGCAGATGCTGGGAGCACCTGCAGGATACTCCCATATTCTGCCACCTTGGTACTTATCAGCCTCTGAGAACTGAAGCCGGACCCTTTCTTTGCTTGAGCAGAAGATCAGACCAAAGAGCTCATTGACTCAAGGAGCATCATGGCAACTGGGCTGTACCCGGAGGGGAAGAATCCAGGGTCTGATCCACAACCAAGGCCTGAAGAAGTGGGGCCTGTACTTGACCTACCCAGGGTGAGTCATGACCCAAGTGCTGGGGCTCTAGCCATGGGTGGTCCTTCCAACCATTTCCAGCTTCCTCCTGCAGAGGGGCTGGTGTTTTTCTTCATTTTCCATAACCTCCTTGGGAGCACAGGCTTTGGTTTCTGCCTTCCCTGGATCAGGTCTCCCACAATGCAGTTGCTCTAACAAAAACTATTAGCAACAACATAGTACCACAGAAGCCAGCTCCTTGCTAGCAGTGATTGCTGATGATATTGTCTTCTAGAGACCATTCTAATGACTAGACAGCCTCGGTGCAGGAGGAGCTGTTGTCGGTCATGAGGAGCATTTCCTTGTCTATGTAGAGGAACTGAAACCGATGTGGCCAGCAAAATTTACCCAAAGCAATCACTGGGATACTCATCACACCCTCATGGCCCATTGTATCACTTTTGTTCCCTATATATGTGGTCCCATTTCCTCAGGACCAGTACTCCCTTATGTGGGGAGCAGGACTGATGCCTTGAGTTACTTATAGTGACTCGTTAGTTGGGGGATTTGCTAGTATTTTCATCAAACTTGAATCTAGTGAAACATTTGATTGAACTGGCTTCCAAATTGAAAATAAACCAACACCACTCAGGAAACCTATTTACAGCGAGAAGTCAGGAGTGGGAATGCATCTTGCACTGTCACCTTGATTAACAATAGCTCTGACCTGTGGGAGGACGGTCCTCTCTCCTGTAACAAACATAGGGTAGTGATGGGCCAGGTCCTGCTGCTCCTACATTCTCATCACTTAGATAAGCACAGGCAGGTGACTGCAAGCCTTCCAGCCTCCACCAGCATCCTCCAGTTCTCCCCTGACCGCTCTCATTCATATTCCGCACTGATTCAGAGGTCCAGTCCTGAGTGGCAAAAAGAAACATGCGTGAGCCTTTCTAGAAATCAATCAATCATTCATGGATTATAGTGAATTCTTCCCTACTAAACACATCTCCAGAAATTCAGGCGTAGTAACTCCCTTCCTGAATGTCTTTCCAAGGCCCTAAGTGACATTGATGTTCCATAGACAATGTCTTACACGGCAAAGTGCTTCTGGGGGTGGGAACCTGCTGACCTTCCCTGGAATCCTGACTGCAGGTTCTGTTTAGAACATGGGGTCTCATTTTGAGAAGCTCTTGGTATTTATCATTCACGGGAAGTTCACAGGTTCCAGAAAACACTGGACAGCATTCAGGGGAAAGAAAAGGGGCAGAGATGGAGACACCTGGTCAGTTTGGCCAGAGCATCCTGGGGGAAATGCACTGAGGGACAGAGGGGCAAATGCACATGGGTGGTGGGGAGAGGAGCAACGCAGATAGCAAAGACACTGTCCAGACAACCTCCCAACTCAGGAGAAGGGACTGAATCCAAGAGGAGAAGAGGAGGGATGAGGCTGGGTGCTGAGGCATGCCCCAAAGTCTTTGAAGTCTGAAAATCAGACACCCGTAGACTTGATTTTGGTGTCCTGATAGAAAAACAAAAACAATGCTAGCCATAATTTTTAAAGGCTTTCATATTTTGGGAAATAAGCTTCTCATTTGAGGCTAGATTTAGTTCCTTCCCTCTGAAACATGTTCAATTCATGATTTCTACTTAATTCAGATTTTCTAGTTTTGTAACAACTTAAGCTGGTTGATCTAGCTTTGCAGGCAGGCAGGCAGGCAGGAAGGAAGGAAGAAAGGAGGGAAAAGAAGGAAGGAAGGAAGGAAAGAAACAGTAAAAGAAAAAAAAGGAAAGAAGGAAGGAAGAAGACTACAAAAGTCTCAACATGAAGTGTTTCTGCAAGTAAACAAGGAATTCCTGCTTTTGTACCAAGGACTCCATAGTTGTCTGGACTCCTTAGGGGCCACAAGGCCACTGGCCGTGATGTTTCAGTGAACTGTGAAACAAAGCACTGACCCGCTGCTGTTCCACCATGATGCCTCCAATCTCTGGGCCTCGAGGGAAGATAGTATTCGTTCATTCTGAAAATACTTATTTAGGATGTACCACTTGTCTGGTGAGTGGTGAGCATGATGGCTGACAGGCAGACACAGGCAATAATCAAGTACACAAGTAAAGAGTAATTAAGTCCGCTTATTTTGGAATTAAATAATTTGGAGTTCAAGTCATAGTTCAGTTTTTGACAACCATGTCACTTTGGGTGAGACACTTAAATGTATAGAGCCTGCACTTCCTCACTTGTAAAGGGGAATTAAAAATGTGGGTATTGAGAAGATTGAAGCAGATAGGTTAGGTAGTGCTTAGAAGGCAGTTCCAAGCACACAGCTACTATTCTTCTTACAAATGTTTTGGAAGGTTAGAGTGCCCCTGAATCATTGAAACACTCTTATGAGAGCCATACCTTAACACATATTACTGAAGATGTTAGATAGAATTGTCGAAAAACACAGAAAAGTAATGAAGAATGTGACAAGCCCTTGAGACCTGGGGAAGGCCAGTCAACTGAAGTCTTAGGACAGAGCAGAGAGAGATGGATTAGGGATATAGGGCCATAAGCATGATCTGGAGCTATGCCAACCCACTATCTCTGGTGAGCTCTTTTCCATGGTTTGATGTAGGGTGAAGGAGCTCCTGGGCCCTTGGAGTTTCTCAGCCAAAACAGCTCCCATCATCATTGCTTTCTCCCCTGTTGTTTTTTGGTTGTTGAGCCCAAAAGTGTGTGATGCCTCGAAAGAGGTTAAAGGTGGGCATCACCTCTCCCTAAAATGCAAGCTTAACCGGCAGTGGCCCATCTGGAAGGCTTGTGTTTTTCTCCTTCTTCTCTTGCATATTCTCAGAAACATAATAAGCACATCAAAAAATGACTTTTCTTGATTTCTAGCCAGAAAAATCAGGACTTCCTTGACTTTTAGTGGACTGACCATTGTGTTGTCCTGGAAAGCCAGATGTGGAGCAGACAGGAATGAACATTTGCCTTCAAACTTCAGTGTCCTGGCCTGTTCGTAATTTGATGAAAAAGGCATTGATTTATTTAAAAAATGTAGAATATGTGAATGTTTAATTACCAGATAGAGCAAGTAACCCACCATCTCTCTGGCTTATAAACAATAATGGCCCACATCCCCTCCACCTTGTTCCTAGAGCACTAAGCCTGTCATTGAGGTGGCTTGGTTTGGAAATTTCCCTTTGAAATTTCTAATGAATAACTTGCTGGTGGCCGTTTTCAAGGATTCTCAGAGGACCTTAGCCTTTTATCCTTCCAGCAGTTTCATCTGTTATTTTTCAATAATTTTTTAGGTGAAAAACAAATAAAACAAGTGATCATTATGAAAAACATAGATAATACAGATAAGCAAGACAAATGGGGGGAAAATACCCAAAGACTCACCTAAAATCCCACTGTCCTTGTTGGCCTCCTGAAACCAGTGGTCAACTGGGAACACACTGCTGACTTACGTGCCAAGCACCACATTCGCCTTGTTGTGTATTATGGCATTTGATTATCAGAATAACCCTCATCCCCATTTTACAGATGAGTACAGTGAGGTTAGAGAGGTTACGGAGCTTGCCCAAGGGCACAGGGCTAGTCAGTGAGGAAGCCAGGATTTGGTCTCAGGAGGTGGAACTCCAACAAATGGGGATGCAGTGCTGCAGGGGTGTATGGGACCCTGGTACTGAGGGCTGACAGTCATTAGGAGAATTGCAGGAGGACCACAGGGGACAGTTTACGCTAAACCTGACCTTCTCCACAGTTCACAGGAGCAGCAACCAAGACATCACACCCTCCCAAGAGTCCCAGCCGAGAGGTCATTTCCCAGCATACAGTTCCCAACTCTCACCTCCTGCTTCCATTCAAAACTTCCTCAAAAGCACTTCCTGTTTTCTGTGACTCTCCATTGAGTTTTGGAGAAATCTTATCTTGTCCCTGGGGTTCTGACGCAGGTCACAGAGCAGGTGGAGGGTGGGATGGAGGGGAGAATACTCACAGTCTGACCTCAGTCTCATGCCTGCAGACCTGTGGTGTATATAACACAAGGGGGGTGATACTTTATTGTGCAAATATGATTTTTTTTCCTTTTTTGTGTTCCCTTTTCAAGGACATCACCCCTATACAGACAGGGATATTGTTTTCTCACAGATAATCAGAATTTTAACAATAGGAATGTAAAGAGAAAAAAGAATCAGTGTTCAGAATTAGACTTTCCCGATAGATTTCTGAGTTCACAATGATCCAAAAGCCAAGGCTGAAGAGAGAGGAAAAGATTTTCTCAATTCCTGGAGCCAGTCTGAAAACCTCTCTTATGAACCTAGAGGTCAGTGTCATCAAGGAATTAATTGTCCATAGCTTGGTGGAGTTGGAGAAAGAGGAGAGAAGAGTCACCTCCCAAACTTGGGGAGCAACAGGGGTTTTCTGCAAGAGGCTGAGGGCTGTAGCCTCCTTGCACTCATACCTGGGATGGCTGAGCTTAGAGCATGTGGGCTCTGGAATATTCCCACACTCAGGCTTGCATGGAGGGTGAGAAGGCAGGTCAGACAGGTTGGGATGACCAAAGGCAGCAAACGCAGACTGCTCAGAAGACCCCGAGACACTTGCACAACCATGGGAGGAGGGGTGGCTCCCTGGACAATGAAAGAGACTAGATTTAGGGGAGTGCGATCCAAGCCAAATTTATTTCAAGAAGATTAAAGGAATATGATAGTTCTGGAAAGCATACTGGAGTAATGAAGCCCAATAGCCGGGGTACTGCATGGGTGAAACAGAAAGGGGCTAATTAGTTCCCAGAAAATGGGAGGAAATGGTCAAGTGTTGATGAAGCCTGAAGTTTACAACCTCTCCTTAGGCCTATACTATAATTCCCATGGCCACATTCTCATGTTCAGTTTTATTCAGGCACTAACAAGGACAAAGGTTGACAAACATAGAAAAGGAATGCTAGAATCTCTTTAATGGTGTGGACATTCTCTTCATCAGCCTCATGAACTCAGATTTGGGATGATGCTTCCTGGCTGGTGCTGTTCTTCCCCACACCTTGTCTTCCTCCTAGCTGACTTCTCTGCATCACTTGCATGGCGGAGTGTTCAGGGAACTTGAGGGATCTACACACTCTATGTACAGACCTCATCCAGGCTGTGCCAAATAGTATTTTAGAATGGTCAAGGTTTAGTGCCCAGGATCACCCATCCAGAGGCTTTGCAAGGGTTGGACAGACATGGCCCTGAGAGAGCCCATGGCTTGATGAGCTGAGTGCAGGCTGAAGTTCAGGCCCCACAGGCCCTCCCTCTAGCAACTCTGAGCAATCTACATAGTCTGCATGAGCAGACAGATAATCTGCTGCTGCATACAGGACAAACAGAGCTCACCCCTGCTCACTAAGGCTCACCTCCTAGGATGCCTCCTAGGCAGGCAGAAGTTAAGGCTGGCTTGCCACACTCACATTCTAGGACCAGGGACCTGCACCTGCCCTTGCTACGCTGACCAGTCTCCCAGGCTGTCACCACTGCCCTTGGAAGAGCTCACACTGCTGATATTCCAATCTCCTTTCTTGCTCTTGCCAAGAGGTGGCAAGAGGGTCTCCTTATTCACCTGCCCACTGAAAACCAAAATTTTTTTTTTATTATAGTAAAATAGACGTAACATAAACTTGACCATTTTCACTATTTTTGAGAGCGGCATGAAGTTCATCGCATTGTTGTGCCACCATCACCGCCATCCATCTCCAGAACTTTCTCTTCATCCCAAACTGAAACTCCTAACCCATTCAACAGTAAATCCTCATATCCTTTTCTCCTAGCCCCTTAATTTAAAATGGATAAGGATAGTATTTTTGAAATAATAATGTTTATTTCCTGTTGACTTTCTTATTGACAATCTGCCCTTGATACAGGCAGAGGTATCCATTGTCTTGGGAATAGTTAAGATTGTGAAAGGGGAAATGGAATGAAAAAGAGCCAAATGTTTGGGGTTTAGCTTCTATTAATAAAACAAAATTTTTGAGACCCTGGCTTTCAGCAAAAAGCCAGTCTTTATAAACAGAGGCAAATGTCCTTCCAAATTCCAACAGGCTCCTGGGAAGCTGGGTGGGCACTCAGGATGGCCTCGCTCCAGGTCACCTTGCCTTGCGCCACTGTCTTTAGGAGTGAAAACAATCCATAAGCAGCATCATAGCTGTGCCAACAAATAGTGGGGCGGGTATCGTGGAGGAGGATTCAAGGCGTCTTTATAGCCTGGAAGACAGAACAAGGGATGAGAAATACAGGTGGTAAGTGTCAGCTCACGTAGGAATTAAAATCTGCTTTTCCAATCCTCCATCTCTGGGACCATTTGAGCGGAGACCGACTGACCCTCATATTTCATGGCGGGTGATGCTCTGGCTGAACTTCGAGACATCCCATTTCCTCCTGACTGTTGGATCCTATGCCCCTATGTTAAGAGCAACCAGAAATACTGTGCTTCCTAAAGTGTGGCCCTCCCGCAGGGACCTTGGGTAAGTTTCAGTGTTCAGGGGATGGAATAAACATTGTCATGAAATATGTCATGAGACGGGGCCTGAGGGCTTTTCCTGAACTTCTATGCATAGCAAAGAGCAAAGGCTCCTGAGCAAACAAAACACAGCAATAAACCTTTAGAGTCATGTTGCCCATGGTGAACTTTTCACAATTCCAGGGAAATGGAGAAAAATGAAGAGCACTGGGTAATTTTTTTCCCCTAAGATTAAGTTATTCCATTGAAAGGAATGTTAATTATTCTAGGACTGTAACCTTCCCACTTTCTCTCTCTCTTTTGTTTCCTTCCTTCCTTGCCTTCCTTGCTGCTTTTTTTTTTTTTTTTTTTTTTTTTTTTTGCTCTGTCTTGCTCTGTTGCCCAGGCTGGAGTGCAGTGGCACAATCTCGGCTCACTCCAGCCTCTGCCTCCCGGGTTCAAGTGATTCTCGTGCCTCAGCCTCCCCGGTAGCTGGGATTACAGGAGCGTGCCACCATGCCTGGCTAATATTTGTATTTTTAGTAGAGACAAGGTTTCGCCATGTTGGCCAGGCTGGTCTTGAACTCCTGGCCTCAAGTGATCTACCCGCCTCGACCTCCCAAAGTAATGGGATTACAGGCGTGAGCCACCGTGCCCCGCCCTTCCTTGCTGCTTTAATTTTTTTCATTTGGAATTTTTTTCTCTATTTATTAATTTCTTTCTTTCCTTCTCTTTCTTTTGGGGCACTATGATTGGTGACAGCATTGGATAGTTATTGTAGTTTCTGTGTTCTTTGCAAAACAAAGTGTCAGAGTGTCAGTCCTCCATGTTCTTTATAAAAGTTTGCTATTTCATAACATTCCCAAAGTGTGGGAACCACTGGCAATAGCAAGGCGTCTCAAGGTTTAAGAGTCAGTTAAAAAAAAAAAAAAAAAAAAAAAAAGGCGGCCAGGCACGGTGGCTCATGCCTGTAATCCCAGCACTTTGGGAGGCCAAAGTGGGCGGATCATGAGGTCAAGAGATCGAGACCATCCTGGCCAACATGGTAAAACCCCGTCTCTACTAAAAATACAAAAATTAGCCAGGTGTGGTGGTGCGTGCCTGTAGTCCCTGCTACTCAGGAGCCTGAGGCAGGAGAATCACTTGAACCTGGGAGGCAGAGGTTGCAGTAAGCCGAGATCGCACCACTGCACACCAGCCTGGCGACAGAGTGACAGAGCAAGACTCCATTTCACAAAAAAAAAAAAAAAAAAGCTACTCTTTATTGAAAATAGCTTTAAGGGGCAGAGAGAAGTTATAAGATTCCTTTTTATTTCTCATTTTCAAATAAAAAATGAAAATAGTAATTCCAAAATGACAAGAGAGAATCTATTCAAGCGTTTAGTGTACTTTTGCCTGGCTTATGGAGGGATAAGATAAAAATGTCACTGGGTGAAAACAATGAGATAAATTCACAGCTGGGAACATTGCACAATATCACCAGTGTTGCATGTTTGCTCAGTAGCTGGCTGTTCTCCATGTCAGCAGGATGTATGTGGCTTGTTTTGACTCCAGGTCCTCCAGGAGTATGTGTCCAACCACCAAGGTGGGCAGCAGAGTTTGGAGGCCAAATCCTTTGGTACCTGGAGCGGGATAGCAATGGAACCACACAGAGAATGGCCCAGAGCACTGGGAAGGGTGCCTTCTCAGCAAAAGGCACCTGCACAGAAATTCAGCCCATAAAGCCAGGCAGAGAAGGACATGAATGACAATTGGATAATGAGTGTTGGCATTAAAAAGCATTTAAAATAAGTCACTAGACAATTAAACTTGCAATGTCAGAAAATCTTACAGCTTATGTATAATCAAATGAAACTAAACTTGATAGAGTGTTCACCAGATTTGACAGTAATCTTTAAAATTTATGACATTGCCTGTAATGGGTTTTGAAGCTCAAAGTTTTCTAAACTGGTAATAAATGTAATTATTGAGTAATTAATCTCTTGTGATGGTGGAAAGAATGAATTTTTTCCGTTCTTGCTAAAAGAGTAAGATTATAAAAGCTGTTATATGTAGCAAAAAATTTGGTAAAAATTATTATAAAGTGTGTTAGCCATTGATTAATAAAATAATGTTTTTCTGGAAGAAAAGAAAACCAGATAGAGTGCAACATAAATGCAAAGTTTTGCTCAGCAATTAATGTTTTCTCTTTTTGGATTTTAATTGTTATGTGCCGACAGCCCAAAAAGCCACATATATCATGTCCAGTCCGAAATACAGAAAAAAATGTGCATAAAGATGTTTAGCCCAGCTTTGTTTTCAACAGGGAATAACGCCTGAGTGTTTCACAGTAGGGAATTGGGATATGACAATATTATTATAGCATTTTGCAGCCGTTAAAAGGAATGTTTCTGAAAAGCTTCTAATAACATTGTAAAAAAGCTGTGTCATAATCTTCCGTTTAAAAAAAGCAGGGTATAAAATTGAACACTTCATATGATTTCAGCTACATTAAAACATGTCTAGAAAATACAACCAAAGGGAATAAAAACTTTCATTGCCTCAAATTACCCCAAAGGGAAAGGGCAGCCCATGGCCAGGAAGGGCCAGCCTCAGAAGGACTGAAGTTGCTGACTTGTGCCTACGGCGGCAGCAGCTGCTGGTTTCTCCTTCCATGTTAATCTGGGTCACAGAATCTCGTGATTTACAGAAGCAGCTCTGGCTCATTCTTGGGTGACTGGCCTGCCTTCTTGGAAGACAGGATGATGCTCATCAACGCTGGCTGTGACGCAACCTGAGGACTCTGCAAACCTCCCGTGGGGTCACACACTGGGGCAGAAGCCCCAGCATCTGAGTGTCCGCTTTGAGGATGGAGCGAGTGGGATGGGTGAGGCAGAGAGGAAGAAACTTCTCCGGATGTCCTGGTTAGTCACCCTGATTGTGGGAAATGCACACTCATGGCTGAATCAGCAAGAATCAAGTCTCTTGGTCAGAAAAAAAAGCCATTATGGCCTAAGAATCTCTCATGACACACACACACACGACACACCACACACACACCACACCCCCCCCACACACACACCACACACACACCACACACCAAACACACACACCACACACCAAACACATACACACCACAAACACCACACACCAAAAACACACACACCGCACATACACACATCACACACACCACACACACCAGATACACACATGCACACACCACACACACCAAACACAACACACACCACACATATACACATACATATGCCACACATATGCGCACACCCCACACACACACCACACACGCACACACCACACACAACCATACCACATGCACACCACACACGCACACACCCTACACACCTCACACACACACCACACACACATCACATAAACACACACCACACACACCCCCACACACACCACATGCACACACACCACACACACAAAGCACACACACATGCACACACATCACACACACACATATATGCACATACCAAAGACACAGACTTACCCCCATATATACATGTGTATACACATGCGCAATACACATATACACATGTGCATATGCACACTAACTCTGCTACACATATGCACATGACACACGCACATACATTAATATACATGTACACAAATGCACACATTTATGCACAAAATACAGATGCATACACCTGCATATCCGTGTACTCTCATGACACACACATGCACACACACATACAGACTGCAGTGTAATATACTTAGTAGAATAGGATGAGGGGCCCTCAGTTGGGGTCAGATGGCCTGATGCTTAGTCTGAATTGTTAATAATTGAACTGTGTAATTTTGCCTGAATCTTTTCATCTCTGCTTCCAGCTGCCAGAGTGCGGTTGACTCAAACCATCTGGAAGTTCTCTTTAGTTGTAAAATTCTGTGATTTCAATGGAAAAGATGGTATCATTCATCCAGAGCTCACCTGAGCTCCTTCTCTCTACCCTGAGGAGAATCCTGGGGGCTGGAGTCACAGCATAGGGTGCTTGGGAGGCCGTCCTCACCCAGCACCAGCCCCAAGAGTGTTGCCACCAGGGATAGCCCAGCGTCCCCGAGGACCTCTGCTGTGGGCATTCCTGTGGCTTCTTCCCCCTCACACCCACACACTTCTTCCCTCCTTTCTGATAAAGAATCAAGAATTTGCCGTGGGAGCAAATAGGCAGGAACCAGCAAGCTTCTGAGGCCCAGCGCTTCCAGGAAGAGATCAGCAGCTGTCTGTCCTGAAGGTATTTCCAGGGTTCCTTTCTGCTCAGCGGAGGTGGAAGGGAGCTCACTGCTCCTTAACTCTCCCTGTCAGAGGTGCCCCTGGTCCACCCTCTCTGGCCATGGCATTCATTTAGGGCAGACAAGCGGTTCCTGTCCTGAGTCAACATCTGGAAGCCACCAGGCCCTGGGCTGGGAGGATTTGGAGCCTGTCATCAGCATGTGACTTTTGGTTGTGATGCTACAGTCTGACCTCACCCTCAGGTTGCCACCCAAAGCCCAGCTATGCTCCAGATCGCTGAAGATTGCCCTTGAGAGCAAATTCCTCAGGCAGCTGTGGAGCTGAGCCCTGAGGACTCAGTGAGCCAGGGCTGGGCCCTCACCCTCACACTATTCCTCATAAACAGTTCAGTTTAAGTTCTCAGGAATGCATAGTCCTGCAAAGACTGTGGCGCTGGGTCTCAAATACGAATTCAAACTAAAAACAAAACCCTCTGCCAATCAAAAGAGGAAAGAAGCCAAACAGAACTCTCACTTCTTCCCCCTCTGAGGACCACTTTAAAGTTTTTTTTTTTTTGAAATAACAAATATTAAATTCTTTAAAAAGCAATCAATCCCTTTTCCTGTTCCCCTTTTCTGGGGGGCTCCGCTTGGCTGAGCTGCTCTAAATACAGTAGGTAGTCTTGTACATTACTCTGCCAGCTTTATTGTTACCTGGACATTTTTAGGTTTCAGCTTTATCTTTTTAGTTTTTTTTTTTTTTTTAAAGAAAACTGTGGTAATATAGAGAAACACAAAATTTACTACTTTACCCAACTTGAACTGCACAGATCAGTGGCATTCAATACATTCATATTGTTGTGCCATCATCACCATGCCCTCCAGAAACTTTCTTCATCTTGCAAAACTGAAATCATCTTTTAATTCATTCATTCGTTTATTTTGAGATGGAGTCTCGCTCAGTCGCCCAGGCTGGAGTGCAATGGAGCAATCTCATTTCACTGCAACCTCTGCCTCCCGGGTTCAAGCAATTCTCCTGCCTCAGTCTCCTGAGTAGCTGGGATTACAGGCGCCCCCTCACCACGCCCAGCTAATTTTTTTGTATTTTTAGTAGAGACAAGGTTTCACCATGTTGGCCAGGCTGGTCTCGAACTCCTGACCTCAAGTGATCTGCCTATCTTGGCTTCCCAAAGTGCTAGGATTACAGGTGTGACCCGCCACGCCCGCCTCCATCTTTTTATTCTTTTTTTTTTTAGACGTAATTTTTGCGCTTGTTGCCCAGGCTGGAGTGCAGTGGTGCGATCTCAGCTCACTGCAACCTCTGCCTCCTGGGTTCAAGTGATTCTCCTGCCTCAGCCTCCTAAGTAGCTGGAATTTCAGGCACACACCACCATGCCTGGCTAATTTTTTTGTATTTTTAGCACAGACAGGGTTTCACCATTTTGCCCAGGCTGGTCTTGAACTCCTGACCTCAGGTGATCTGCCCACCTCCGCCTCCCAAAGTGCTGGGATTACAGGCATGAACCACTGCACCTGGCCCATCTTTTTACTCTTAATGAAAGCTTCCACTTCTAAGCTCAGATCTGCGCACTTCCCTCTTGGTTTTACAGCCCGGCTATTATCTAGCCATTGTTTATGCAAGAACAGCCACGCTGGGCCCCTCACTTTGGAGTGACTTTTCTGTGGTCACTCTATCAGGGCTTAGTAAGACCAGTGTGGACTCTGAACAGCGACAGGGCCAAATATAGTTTTATGATTTTTGTGAATCCTGTAGTTGTCACCCTAACAGCTTTTCTACAAAATAGACCAGCAAAATTTCCACCAAGTTCTGATTCCTTTTAGAAGGTGTAGGGGTTGAGATTTTGGAACCCATTGCAACTCCCACAAATGCCTTCAAGCCCACACCGTACTGGCTTTGGGTCCCTGGGATACTTTTGTCCACACTGGAGACCTCAGGCACCCCAAGGTGGCCCAAGTTTGGACGTGGTACCCAGAGGCTGTTACACTATAGTAAAGAGGTGACGAGGAACATGGCAACTGAGTGCATTTCACAGCAACTCTAAGAGACAGGGTCCCATGATTGGCTTTTCTTTCTGACTCCTAGAATTTGCACCTTTTGATTCTCACTATGGACACAGGAGGTAAGCTATGGTCTTGTTTCCTCCCACCTGCAGGGGAGAGAGCCAGCTGCATACAGTGGGCAGTGGCCAGTTTCAGCCTGACCAGAGCTCCTGGTACAGAAGCTCCTGGTACAGACTCCAAACTGCCCCCTGAAGAGTGCCCCAGGGCATTTCCCAAGATGGGGCAGTGAGTTGAGTGATCCTTAAGCTCTTGACCTTTGGGTTGCAATGATTCCTGACTGTGGTCCCAACATTTCAGGAGCCCGGGGACCCCACAATCATATGAACAGGTGCCTGTCCTAGGACTTGCATAAAACAAAAGCACTGGCTGGGTATTGTGGCTCATGCCTGTAATCCTCTCACTTCAGGAGGCAGAGGTGGGAGGATGACTTGAGGCCAGAAGTTTGAGACCAGCCTGGGCAACATAGTGAGATCATCTCCTTAAAAAAAAAAAAAAAAAATTAGCCAGGCACGGTGGTGTGCCCTTGCAGGCCTAGCTACTCAGGAGGTTGAGTTGGAAGGACTGCTGGAGCTCTGGACTTTGAAGCAACAGTGAGCTATGATCATGCCACCGCACCACAGCCTGGGTCACAGAAGCCAAGCCCTCTCTCTCAAAAAAAGTATTAAGACTTTTGCAGTAACTCAAATGTGTCTCCCCAGCATCCTCCCTCACCTTTCTTCTACTAACAGAACCCTAGTCTTGGGGAGAACTGCTTCTCCCCCAACAGCTCATTGGGTGATGAGGCCAATCCTAGTAACTCTGTCTTTTCCAAATTTGCACAGGGATAGCTATGTGACACAAGCTAATCGAATCAGAGTCCCACTCTGGGATTTTACATATAGATGCTGCAAGAGACAAACCCCTTCTCTCTGGTTTTTAGCTTACCTGCCGCTATAGGAAGCAGTCTTTTGAAGCAGGAGAGAGTGAAGCCAACACTCAGGAAGGAGCTGAGACAAGAAAAGGAGTTTCCGCTCCTTAAGGCGACCACAGTTTCCCTTTCAGTCTCATCCTTTGTAGACACACCTATGTCTAGTTTTAATTTTATTCATCAGGACTTCTTTTCTCATTATGAAAGTTAATCATGTTTATTGTGGACAACTTGCTTGAAACATAAATGAACTATAAATGTAAGAAAGGCACGAAGGTCTTTTTGCTGTAGGTTTTCTCTTCCTCCTGGTGCCATCCCCATCATTTTTGTGTAGAAGTCGCAAAGCTTCCTCTGTTCCCTGTTGCCAAAACTAAAAGAGTCAGTTTGGTTTTTTGGTTCACCCGAGAAAAATCTAAGGGGCCTGTTTTATTTACAATGGGAAGAAATGTGAAAATTATCTGAACTCTTTTCACTTTCCCACACCATTCCTAATTTGAGTAATAATCGGCATCTCAATAACCCTGAGAGTTGAGGTGTAATGATTTTCTAGGTTTTGGACTGGGTTGTCCTGCTATGTGGGGTGACAACAGTAAAACCACAACAAGTAAAAAGAAATCCTTTTGAATTAAAGATCAAAAAAACTAATGCAACGAGCAACAGTTTATTTATAAAAAAAGAAAAAAACAAACAACTTTTTAACGACATTTTATAGATTAAGTAAAAATACCAGTATTAATATATATGTATATACATAGTGCATATATATATATACATATGATATAACATTAACATTACATGCTTCTCAGGACAGAAGAATTAGGACATGTTCCCTCCTATCAATTTAAAACTCGATCACAATTTAAAATCATGGAAGAAAACTTGCTTCCTTTATTTTCTGCTTTTAGACTTCAAGTACAGGAAGTTATGAAACCAGGATCTAAATGTGGAAACCATCTGCTATGCACCAATTATAAGGGACTGCCACAAATGATGAGTCAGGGGTCTTCTGAATTCTTACATAGGTCTCTGTAACCCTACAACTGTGTCAACCTTCTACCTGAGATGAGAGGGAATGATGAAGCATGACAGTGTGTAGGTTTCATGTGGACGTTCACATTGACATTGGAACAAAAGCAAACGGAAAAATGTCTTCCTAGAGCAACAACACTGATCATAAAATCACCCTGGAGGAGGATTCCCTTCTCCCCTTTCCTTGCCAAACAAAACAGAAAAACTGTCAGAAAACAATACAAAACAAAACTCAGGGTGAAGCACCTCTGGCGATGATCAGCATACAGCAAGGGACAGAGAGGTAGCGTTTCCTTGGTGACAGCTCCTGGCTGACTCCGATGATTTCAAACACACCCTCTTCTGCAAAAGGCACTCACATATTGTCTGTTTATAAATCATACAGTGGGATTCCATACATGGGAGTTTCTCCTACAAATATAAAAGAGATAAGCTGAGGAAATGGTATAACAAAGAAAAGCGTATAAGAAATACACATTTTGGATAAATATGCACTTTTCTTTTTTAAAGGACAATCAATATAGTAGTTAAAAAAAATGTCATTGAAAAGTTAGGAATTCCAGCAAAATTATCAGTAAGAAGCAAGGTACTGGAGGATGAGAGATGGAGTCCAAAACACTGAGAGGAGGTACACTAGCTTTTCAAGCGGCCAAAGTAAAAGATCTGTTCTGCTCTTAAACTGCAATGACCATCCACAGACAACGGAATGAGACGGGGAGGGAGGTAGCGGCAGAGAAACAGGTCAAGCCGGAGGGAGGAGTGGCATCCCCCTGGCTGTGGGTGCAGGAAGAAACACCCTCAGCATCTCCAAAGGGAAGGATGGGCTACATCACCCCCTTGCTTCTGCAGTCCAAACAGACCCTGCCCAAGCCAGAGGCTGCCCTCACCGGGATACAACAGAGCTAATGGAATTGTAAGAGGTGCCGCTGTTGCAGCTCGAGGCATAGGCCTCCTGGCCATTGCCATCCAGGTTGATTTTGAACACAGAGGATGCCTTCAGCAAAAAGTCTGCGGCATCCCGGCGACCCAGCTCCCTCAGTTTGGACATGAGGGTGCCCACTGTGCTCTCAGGGTAGGTGGTCCATTCCCGCAGCAGGGCGTGGAGGGGGCTGGGGAGGAAATCCTTGGGAGCCCCGTTACTGGTGTTGTACTTTGCCACGAGGTCAGGGAGGCCTAAGTTCATGGCGAGAAGGCACCAGTCCTTCCCCAGGGGGTCGGGCGGGTCCAGCAGGCGACTCAGTTTCCTCCGAGTGAGGAGGTTCAGGTCTGATGCATGGATGTCCATGCCGAGGCTGGCCTGTGAGTAGACGTCGTGACACCCGAAGCACATGATGCTGCTGAAGCTTTCCTTGTACCCCCCCATGGTGTTGGTCAGTGAGGTTTCCTTCAGAGTCTGTGCCCGGAAGAAGTCCCGTGGCTGGTAGATCATGACGGGCTCATGGTGCTCCCGCAGCTGCTGGGGGCTCAGGTAATGCTTCACGGTCAGGAGCCCTGGCAGCGTGGTGGCCATGACGTTCTCAATGGTGCTGCACACCGAGTCCAGCAGCAGGCAGCACTTGATCTTCTCCGTCTCCAGGCCGCGGACCTGGACCTCAATGCCCTGGCCGTGGTTGACCAGCAGCACCAGCAGCTCGGCCCCACGGTTGGCCAGCTTGCAGCCATTCACCCACAGGCGGATGTCCGCGTCGCCCTCTGTGCTTTGCTGGTGGATCCACCGGCACAGGTTCACCTGGACCTTGTGAAAGATGCCACATGGGAAGGGGGTGAGGTGTTCCACGGGCACGATGCGCACGCCACCATACACCATCACCTCGTCCTCCTCATCAGCCCAGGAGCGGTGCAGGTTGTCTGTCTTGATCAGGGCTGGGACGTCCACCATGGTCCCGCTGCTCAGGTCCCGGGCGCAGATGTCCATGGCATCGAGGATCTGCAGCAGCTCCTCCACGTCGCTGTCGGGCACCAGGCGCTGGATGTCCTCCACGGTGTAGCGGCCCCGGTAGTGGTGCAGCGCCCGTGGGGTCTCCACGGACAGCAACTTCCCCAGGACGTTTGTGCAGAGCCAGCGGGGGTCCAGGAGCAGCACGTCCTGAACTGTTTCACTTTGCATGATGTTGATCTGCGGGGGGACAACAGAAAGTCACGCTTAGGGACAGAGCCCTGGCCAGGTGCACCAGCCACTTAGAGCACTAAAGGGCCTGATGCCGGCAACAGAGGCTGAGCAGATGCTCTAAGGAGTGACCCAAGGCCATTCCACGTGGATGCGTCTCAAAAACCAAACACCGAGTGGAGAAAAGCAGCTTGAAAATGTCAGAATAGAGATTCTGAAAAACAACTCCCCTGAAGTCTTCAAAAAGGCCAGCGAAATGAAAGAAGAAAAAAAAATGGGAGATGGCAACCAAATGCAATGAGTGATTTTAGACTGGATTCTGAATCCCAAAATAAGTACATAAATAAAAATAGCTTTAAAAGAAATTATTGGGACCAGTGGCAAACCCTTGTATGAGGATGATATATTCAATCATAGTACTATATTAATGTTATGTTTCTGGAATCATCAATTATATTGGGTTATGTGGGAAAATATCCTTCTCCTTAGGAGATATAGGCTAAATTATTTAGGGAAGAAATGTCATCATGTCTGCAAAATAAATAAGTAAATAAATAGAAAGGAAAGGAATCGAGCAAATGTAGCAAAATGTCAACAACTGATCAGCTTAAATGTAGTAGGCTGGGCACCGTGACTCATGCCTGTAATCCCAGCACTTTGGGAGGCCGAGGCGGGTGGATCACTTGAGGTCAGGAGTTTGAGACCAGCCTGGCCAACATGGTAAAACCCTGTCTCTTCTAAAAATACAAAATTTAGTTGGGTGTGATGGCTTGTGTCTGTAGGCTGAGGCAGAATCACTTGAACCCAGGAGGCGGAGGCTGCAGTGAGCCGAGATTGTGCCACTGCACTCCAGCCTTGGCAACAGAGTGAGACTCTATCTCAAAAAAAAAAAAAAAAAAATTAATTAATTAATTAAAAAAATAAATAAATGTAGCCTATATGAGAGTTCATGGTACTATCCTTGCAACTTCTCTAAAGGCTTGAGAACATTTTCAAAAAAGAGTCAGAACATTCTATTATTATACCATTATGTGAATGTTTAACACACACACATAGAAAAGGCCTGAAAGGATATGCTGCCATGATAATAGTTGGCCTCCGAGAAGGGGAGAGAGGAGTGAGACCAGAGATGATGGCCCAAGGGGACTTTAGCTTTTTGGTTGTGTTTATTTCTTAAAAAAATAAAAAGAAAGGAAAAAAAAGTGACAAAAAACAGAAGGAACTTTCCCTTTATGGAAGAGTTCTGCTTCCTTTCTTGGAGAGTGGCCATCGCCCTGGACTCCCTCACTTGGAGGCTCTGACCCCACCGGTGACCACACAGTAATTTCCTGCCCACAGTCTGGCTTAAACCTGAAAGATGCCCCCTGTCTAAGAGTCTATTCAGAATTGAACCTAGGTTGAAAATTCCTGGAGGGCAGAGCCAATATTGATCTAGTTCCTGATACAGCATTTGCTGGAATACCATTTGCAGTTTGGTCCTAAACACTGCTCATCGCCTCAGGCTCAGGAAAGACGAAACTGTCCCATAGTGGAGGAGAACAGGGAGCTAAGACAGTCAGCTAAACGTAGTGTGGGACCCTGGGCCAGAAAACAGAGTCAGAAGGGCCACTGGGGAGTTCTGAAGATCTGCAAATTAGATACGGAAGGCAGGTCTGGAGGAGGCCCGGGGCCAATCAAAGTCGGGCCACACAATGTAGTTCCTGCTGCCTAATTACCCTCCTTCTTTACATCTTCATTTACTTACTAAACTCTCAAGGGCAAGCAGGGATGTAATGACAAATAAAGGAGACTATATGATATGATCTAGAAAGTTGCTGGTCTACTACTAGAAAGCAAGGGACTCCTGTGCCAAAGGAGTTTAGAATTAGAATTGACACATTTTTTACATCCAGCAGTATCTTGTCATCTAAGATGTGGTCCTTCACCTGTGTTCTTCCTTGGATTCAATCACTTTAAAGTATTCCTGGATGAGTTGGCAGATTCTCTGGCCATTTAACTGGGAGTTTAAAGGCTGATGAAATTACTGCCCGGCGACTCCAGTTTTCAAGGTCACTGGCTTGTGGATTCAGGTTTAGTTTCAAGAAATTTGTATGACTCATACAAACTGGCTATAGGGCCAGACCTGGCACCTGAGATTGGGGAGGTAAGCATCTGGCTTTTAATAATCTCAGAGCTGCTTTTAGTTGCAATATTCAGAACCGCTCTTCTTGGCCCACACTAGTTCATGTAGGCTCCCAATTTCACATGGTGGAGAAACACGAAGGCACTGCCCCCGTTCCTGGGACAGGCATATGATGCCATTAGAACAGGGTTTCCAAACCGCGCCCTGGTGCTCAATGTCACAGAACCAGAGCAAAGCCTCCCATTCTCAATCATTTCTGCTGGGCATTGCTTGCTAGAGTTTTTTAATGTGCATCTTTAATTATGATTACTCTGTGTATCTGTGCACCAGAGTTCTCTGTCTTTGTATCTCCAGACATTGCCTCCACAAGGACACCTCACTGCCTTTTCTCAACTGTTTTCCCACCCAGGAGATCTGTGTGGAGCTGATGACTCCACGCTGATACAAAGAAGCCATCCTGAAGGCTGCCAGGAGTAGCAGATTAAGTTCCTGGTGCCCAGGGGGAGTGAAGAGAGACCCAGTCACCCAGGGCAGTGGGCACTGCACTCCCAAACTAACAGACTCTGGAAATAAAAGCAAAACACGACAAGACAAAATGACAGCTCCTAAGGTGAGCCGAGAACTGCAGTTCAGAGCGTCACTTGAGGCTGTGTTTGTCACACGTGTGGAAATGTTGTAGGTTAGCTGGACCATTTCCACACTGCTTCCCCAGGCTCACACCACTTCCAAGAGCTGGAATTTGGGACAGGCTGAGTCCCTGGCACCTCTCACGGCCCCCTGCCTGGGCTCCCAGGGGCTCACCTCGCCTGTGCTGTGGAGCTGCTGAGCAATGCGCCTGAGGTCCTCCTCGCTGGCCAGGGGGTTCAGCTGGTCCTGCACGTCGTACACAAACTGCTGCAGCGACATCAGCTGGTTGGGTCCATTGAGCTTCCTCCAGGAAGGCAGCGTGGAGATGATTTTCTCACACAGGTGAGTCATGGGAGGACAGACCTAGAGGGGGCAGGGCCAGACAGGTTAACTCACCTGCAGCTGTGGGTGCCCTGAGCAGAGCCACAGTGGAAAGGACACCTTTCATTCAGGCGCCTTGCAGGTGATTTGATGAACGAGTGGGTTTTTTTGTTGTTGTTGACGTTTTTTTTTCTTTTTTTAGACTGGGTCTCGCTATTGCCCAGGCTGGTCTCAAACCCTTGGGCTCAAGTAATCCTCTTGTCTCAGTCTCCTGAGTAGCTCCGACTACAAGTACACACCACTGTGTCTGGCTAGTTTGTGTTTTTTGGGTTGAGTACTGGGGCAGTTGTCTTTTAGACTTGCTTTTAAGCCTCATCTATTGCTCAAATATAAAGTTTTATAAAGGCTCTTTAGTTCATGTTAAATAGATTTTGAGTCTTCTAGGAACGTTTTTGGAATTGTGGACTCAGTCACTCAATCAACTAATGTTCACCAACTCCTAATGTTTCACTCCCTCACTTTTTCCTCCCTCCCTCCTTTCTTCCCTCGCTCTCTCTCTCGTGACTGTTTCACTCAGGCAATGATCACTTTATGAACAGAGGAAAAGAGAATGAGTATCATCATCAATATTAGAGTGAGTGTTTACCAGTAAATTAGGCATTCGTGGGGACTGTTGTTGAAATATTGTTTCCAATTAGACCCATTCTTGGTATGTAGGCTGAAGTGGATTTTTAACCTTTTAACTTGGTTAATTAGATCAGCATATGTTACAGACTCACGTAATCCACATACCTCTGAATTAGAAACCACATAAGCCACAGGCTACACCGTGCCATTAATTCCGCACTCCCCTCTCAAATTCTTTTGTGTCAGCTAAATTCCACTCTGCATTCAAAAACAAAATTCTCAGGGGTGAGTGCAGTTGATGTGGTGGGCTCCACCTGCCTGAGCTCAGGAGTTTAGGGGTTGGGCGGGGGGTGTCTGAGAAGCAGCAGATCATGCCAGAGCCCAGCTCAAAAATCTCCAGGGACACTCCCTCCTGCCTCAGGAATGCAGCCTCAATCCAGACCTGGTGGGGAAGCACAGGGGCCCTCAGAGACCACTGTTAGTTCCCAGATCACCGCCCCTGGTTTCTGTGACAGATTCCTCCCAGGCCTCACCGGACTACCCCCTATCTTCTGATGATGCCACAGTGGGACCCCAACGAGGATATCTGGTGTGAAGGGCAGGGTTTTCTGGAGACAGGAAAGGGTTTCCCGAGAATTCTGGAAGCACATCTAGAACCAGAATCTGGTGCGGGAAGCACAGCATTTTCTTATTAGCAAAGCAGTTAAAAAAAAAAAAAAAAAATACACCCAGAGGCAGCTTCAAAGGTAAGAGAGGGAGACAGGCATCTGCCCGCATTTGTCCTCAGGCCTCGGCAGCAGGAAGACTCCAGAGTGAATGCCACCACTTCTCCACTGGGACGCTCGCCCTTTTCTTACCAATTCCGGAGAGCTTTTTGAACATTACGGTGTGACCATTTATCTGTCCAAAGCATTGAGAATGCTTTTTCCCAGCCTATTTCACCTTTCAACTTTGTTTACTTAATTTGTTTGCTAGAAAAAAATTTTAAAAATTTTTACATTTTCAAACAGGTATATTTTCTTTTAAAATTTCTAGGGTTTTAGATCTTGGTTTAACAGGTTCCCTCAGTCCCTAGTTATTTTGAAAATACACTCTCCACAATTTCTATTCAAGGTATTTATTGTTTCATGTTTTTACTTAAAAGCTTTAATCCATTTATTTTTGGACTTTGTAGGGTGTAGGAATCCAACTTTATTTCCTTCCAGACAAATAGCCAGTTGTGCCAGGTTCATTTATTAAATAATCTTTACCCCATTAAATTCAAATGACATATTTATTTTCCATTATATTTCTAAAGATATTATGATTTACTTCTATACCCTCTAAGCTTTTCCTCCTATTTAACTGTATTGATTATCAGGGGCTTTATAATAGGTTTAATGAATTTTTCCATGGAAATTTTAAGATAAAAATCCCAATCCCCTCAACCCATTCAGATGCTAACTGAAATTGTATTACATTTATATAACTAGGGAAAAATAAAATAGTCATATCTTGCAACCCAAGAATACAGTCTCATTCCCTTTGTTCATTTATTCTTTTCTGTCTTTCAAAAAAGTTTGTGACTGTTTTTCTACTTTTCTGAATTTTCTAAATATTCCACAATAAGTCACTTTTGAATTTTTTGGTTTTTTCCCAAAATTGGCCAGGCATGGTGGCTCACACCTGTAATCTCAGCACTTTGGGAGGCTGAGGTGGGAGGAGCACCTGAGCCTAGGAGTTCGAGACCAGCCTGGGCAACATAGTAAGACCCTGTCTCTACCAAAAAATCAAAAAAATTAGCCAGACATGGTGGTGCGTGCCTATAGTCCTAGCTACTTGGGAGGCTGAGATGGACAGATTGCTTGAGCCCTGGAGTTCAAGGTTACGGTGAGCTATGATCACACCACTGTACTCCAGCCTGGATGACAGTGTGAGATCCTGTCTCTGAAAAAATAAAATAAATAAATAAAATATTGTTAAAGAAACCAATAAATCGGTAAGAATTTCATAAAATTGAAGTGGTCCACCTTGCCCATAATAACCCTTCAGCTCCCATCATCTCCTTGTTTCTCTATTCTTCCTTTCTTTTCCCAGGGCACTAGGATAAAGACATGTCCAGGCAGACACCTCTTACTGGGTCCTACTATGAAGCAGTTCCCTGAAACCAGAGGCAAACCAGGAAGGAAGTACAAAGGGGTCCAGGCTCTTTCCATGGTGTACTTACCGAAACAATCTGGCTTCGTATTTCTTGCAGATGATTTCGAAGTACCTTCATGTCCTTTGACCCAGAAGCCCCAGCATCCAGAACAAACAGCTTATTTGAAATGTGAAGATCATTTCCAAACCTAAGGGAAGAGCAGCAGCCTCCTCAGCAGTGAGTCAATGTCCCCAGGCCTTTTAATGGAGGGGCCAGGCTCCTACTGGCTCAAGAGGCTGGTAGGAGGGAAGGAAAGTTCTGGTGTCCTTGCAAAGGCCCCTCCCCATCCCTGCTGTTGGTGGGCTCTGCCTCATCACAGTGGGTGCAGAGACTTGGGGAAACTGGCATATAGTCTGAGTCATAGGAGCGGGACCTTCAGGTTTGCATGAAGCAGCAGGAGCACAGCATGGAAAGATGTCAGCTTCTCCCGAGGCAGGAAAGGTGAGGCCTAATGCTCGCACCTTACAAGTGAGGACAAGAGATACTGTGGAAAGTGGAGGGACTAAGAATAGAGGTGTGAATGCAAAAGCTACATCACTGACCTAAAAATATTAATAGAAGCCCCATTTTTATATCTGGCAACAGATATAGTGTCTCAAGACAATAGATAAATGTCTCAAGTTGATAATGCAAGATCAGAGATACTAGCATATTATAGAAAGCTGCAGGTTCAAACTGTTTTGATAGACTCTGAGTAAAAACATATATTTTACATCATAATCCTGTACATACCCATACTCATCAGTGAAACAAACGTTTTACAAAATAATACTTGACATCTGATCTATCCTATCCTGTCCTGTCCTTTCCTGTCCTATCCTATCCCATTCCATTCCATCCCATTTTAAAAAGAATTGGCCACGACTTCCTAAATGAATTTTAAGACTCACTAGTAGGTTGCAACTTATATTGTAAGACATACTGATTAGTGTTTCTGAACACTGAATACTGAGTACTGAAATCTAAACAGCTAAAAGAAGTCACCTCCGGGCAGTGTTGCTGGGAGGTAGAAAGAAGGGGGTTGCTTTCATCACGTGCTCTTCATTTGTATTTGATTTACTATGTGGATTCATTGTTTTAATAAAAATGAAAAATAAAGGTTGTGCATCCCTAATCCAGAAATCTGAAATGTTCCAAAATCCAAAAACCTTTTGGGCAAAGACAAGACATGCAAAGGAAATGGTTATTAGAGCATTTCAGATTTAGAATTTTTGAACTAGGATGTTCAACTGCTATGTATATGTACATATATTAAAATCCAAACAAATAAGAAATCAGAAACACTTCTAAAGCCGATCATTTCCAATAAGGGATACAAGACCTGTACAAGAAAAGAGTTGACCAAGAAAGAAAGACCTTTAAAACCTTTCTCTGGTTCATGAGACTTCCTTTGTACTTTTCACACCTCTGCTTCAGTTCTCAGGGAGAGGAGGCTACCCGTGAGCTGGAGACTAAGTGGCTGCCCCTCACCTGTTCCTAATCTCTTTCAGCAACGATGTGTCTTTGTCATATCCAAACTCGCCTCCAGCCGGTCGAGGAACATTCATGATGTCAGCGTGGGTGGCCACCAGGACAACTTGGAGTGGGTTCTTCAGCTTGCCACCGAAGGCTGGGGGCAGAGAGGGAACTGCTTCAGGGGGTGGGTCCTCCTACCTGGCTGCCTCTCCTGCCCAGGTGAGGGCGGTGTGTTGGCCTCATGCCCAGGCCGACTCTCCAGGTACAAGTGCAACATGCCACAGAGATGAAGGCCCCACGCCTGCTGTGCACTGTGACCCTAGAAGGCCCCAGCATGGCCAACGACAGGATAAGCCTATCTCCTAGGCCACAAGGAAAATTGCTCAAAGTGGACCAGAATGACTAAAGGCAGTTTCTCAAGTCTCCAAATAGCCCCTACTTACAAGGAGAGGGAAAATTTAACCTGTGACAAAAGGGATGCCGCTTACAAGACCAAAGAGAGACGCCTGAGTGCAGCAACACCACAGAGATGGGTCAGAGGTAAATGACCTGCAAGTCACACAAAGAGCCTCCCACTTCGGGGAGTGTTTAAAACAAAGGAAAAAAAGGACAAAGAAAGAGGCAAAACTGGCAGTACCCAGAGGGGCATTAAGCCCAACTCCTTGTATTATATGCTTTTCCGGAAAGAAAAAAAATTGACTGCTGAGTATTGCATTTCACCAGGGAAGGCTGCTTCTCTTGTTGTGGGCAAAGACCAAAGGAAGTTTATTTCATGTTATCCTCTCCTCTAGGAATAAAGTTAAGATAACACATTCAGTCAACATGCTCCCTTTCTTCATTTCTCTCTCTTTTTTTTTGAGACAGGGTCTCACTGTGTCACCCAGGCTAAGTGCAGTGGCACGATCTTGGCTCACTGCAGCCACAGCCTCCCAGGTTCAAGCAATCCTCCTGCCTCAGCCCCTGAAGTAGCTGGGACTACAGGCACATGCCACCACACCTGGCTAAGTTTTTGTATGTTTTGTAGAGATGAGGTTTTGCCATGTGGGCCAGGCTGGTCTTGAACTCCTGAGCTCAAGGCATCTGCCCACCTTGGCTTCCCACAGTGCTAGGATTACAGCCGTGAACCACTGCACCCGGCCTCTTTCTTTGTTTCTTAGTGGAATTACAGGATGAAGAACTGCTCATTCTGCTGACTAATTCTGTACCCTTTAGGTAAAGGTGCAGTAGCTATCCAAGCAGGGATTCCATTTTGCACCCAACATACAATGACCATGGCTCTCAAGTGTAGAAAAAAAGTGAGAAATGCCTCTCAAAGGATTGTTCAAAGTGGGCCTTTGAGGCAGGAATATGCAATCATGAAACAAAAACAGCCTGCAGAATACCACGAACACTTGAGCCTCATGAAGCTTCTCAGAGTGGAAGTCTCCCAGCAGGAAGGAGAAAGGAAGTTGGCTCAGCTGTTAGCCACAAACGGTGGGATCTGCTCATGGCCTGGTGCAAGGCCAGCAGCAGCAGTGGCAGGAGCAGGGCAGAAGCCTGGAAGGAGGAGGCGATTCCTGGCCAACCACAGGTAGGACATCACTGGCCTGCAGGGACTTAGCTCACCTATGGGTTCTTCAACTGGGACAAGGGACTTCAGGAAACTGAGCCAGAAAATCACTTGGTTCAGCTGGATCTCATAGGGCTCTTCTAGACTAAAGACAACAACATGGATTGACGTGGGATCATTTGCAGCAAAATAGTCATAACAGCAGAAATACACAGGATTTCCAGAGAACTCCCACACGCTGAAATCGCCAACTCCTACAGAAAAAGAAAAATGATAACAATCGTGAAACACCACTAACCAAATTTCAATCATAAATTCTCTTAGCGTTCCACGGATTCGAAGTAGGCATAGTGATACTTATGGCATTCTTCTGTATGTGTATACATCTTGTTATGACTTGGGTATGGTTTGTTCCCCACTAAAACTCATATTGAAATCACTCAGTGAGGTGATGTGGGAGGTGAGGCCTGGTGGGAGGTGTTTGGGTCCTAAGTGCAAATCCCTCCCAAATGGCTTGGTGCTGGTGGGAAGGAGTGAGTGAGTGAGTGAGTGTGTTCTTGCTCTTGTGAGAGTGGATTAGTTCTCATGGGAATGGATTAGGTCCTGAGAACGTGGATTGATGTAAAGCAGGTTTTTGTCCCTTCCCGTGTGTCCACTTACCCTTTGACCTTCTGTCACATTTAGACCCAGCTCAAAAGCTCTCACCAGAATCAAAGCAGATGCTGGTGCCACGCCCCTTGAACTTCCCAGTCTGCAGAGCCATGAGCTAAATGAACCGCTTTTCTTATCAATTACCCTGTCTCAAGTATTCTGTTATAGCAACACAAAATGAACGAAGACACACATCTACTGACGTGCAGATCGACTTGTGTCACGCGTACATATCTACAGCATGTATATCCATGTCTGTTTTTCTACTTATGTCTGCACCTGCTTAACTCTTTCCCTAAGTACCTTCATTATTATGTGTGTGTATATATGTATCTATATCATGACTACTTCTAATACCCTGGAGTGCTACACACACACAACATGCATGTACACATATATGTGCATGCCTGGGTGCTTACATGGAAATGTGTGTGTGTGTGTCTGTATACATATATATTTTGTATTACTCCCCCTCAAATATTGGTGTATTAAAAAAAAGAGAGAACCACCTGGGGAAAAAACAAAGATCCATCAGGTCATATTACGCAGAAGTGTGAACACCACATCCATAATAATAATGACACGGTTGTAGGCTCACATATCCTTAATACAGACACTCCACCTTCACTTGCAGAATTTACTCCTGACAAGGAAGGAGCCGGGGACAAACTGCCCACATTAGGTTTGTGATTCCCAAACTCACAAAGTCCCATAGAGGATTAATTGAGAGAAGGTGGGTGAAAAGATTTTGTGTCCTGAATAAATATACATGAATTTTGGAACGTGCCAGGGTATAGGATATTGAATGTAACAGTGACTATGAAAAGTCACCTGAATTTGGCTCAACAGGGACTGACTTGGCCAGGTGACTGAGGGCCCTGTCCAGGCTGCTCAGAAGAAGCAAGAAGCATGCAGGGGTGTGAGATGCAGAGCTCAGCAGTTCTGCCTACACAGGAGGTGCTTGGATCTGGGAGGAGGTGGGGTCCTTCAGGCAGGAAAGTGTCAAGCAGGGGTCAAAGGTTGTATGTGGGGGCAATTGCTTTCCCATACTGGAGCTGTGAAGGCTGCCCATTTCCCCAGAAATATCTGCAGATTAGATTCCACCTGGAGCTCCCAGGACTCCCGGAACCTCCAGTGGACCTGAGATGCCCCCTCTCTACACTGCCACATCCTGCCAGGACTGTGGCCGCCCACCACTGGCCTCTGGGGCGGCCTGGCCAGGGCCACTTCCATTACAGGATTTGAAGGCTCCCTTCACCTCGTTTACCCCTCAGTGCTTACTCTGTACCCAAAATCCTGCAGTCAAGATGCACTCTGAGATCTAAAGGGTTTTTCTCAGACTTGTAGTGAAGCAGGAGGGACCACCCTCCAAAGCTGGCTGCTTAGGCCAAGCATGGAAAGTTCTGGTACCCAGAAATTGGCTCTTGGAGTGTGGGGTCCTGAGGTGGGTTGCGGCTGGGGCTGTGAGAGATCAGATGGGAGCAGGGCCTGGGGTCCCAAGACAAGTTTCTCTTCTCTCTGTGCTGCCACAGCCAGCTCTGCTCTGGGGAGCTCAGAGGAAGCCCAACTTTTAAGAGAGCAAAATGCACACAGACCATGAACTCCCGCAATTTTTGCCCCTGGTGCAGGGGGACCCTTCACCCATGTGGGCCCTGAGATTAGCTGAGGGAGCTGCCTGGAGACTGCATGACAGTATTGCTCCAGAGAGGGAGCTCAGGCTGGCTCCCACGCACTCTCTGAGTCCGAAGCAGCTACAGTGCGGCACCATTTGTATGTTCCAAACACCCGTAGACTGCATCCTGCTCTGTAGCCCAATGGCCTCGGCATCTCTATATCCCTAGAGCCCCACTGACATCTCTGCCTGCAGCCACCACCTTGGCTGGCAGCTGCCACCAAGGTCTAGGCATAACCCATTGACAGAGACCCCACTGTCCCTAGCAGAGTAGTGGCTGTGCATTTTCATCTGCCCCAAGGACAGAATCCCCTGTCTGCAGCCACTGCTGCTGTGTCCACTGAGTCTAAAGTATGTGCAAATCATACACTCCCCAGCTGGCCGCATATGGCTGCTGACAGTGAAAGCAGGACCACTCTTCCCAGTAGCAGAGCCACAGTGCAGCCACTGCCTCCCTGACTCAAGCATTTTGCCAGAGGCTGGGGATCACATGCACCACCAGGGGACCTGACGACAGGCCTGCTGAGCTTGACTTCACAATCCCCTAAGAGCCTGAATATGCTGTCTGGGGACCTGGGGATCACCTAGCCCAGTCCACCACCACTGGCACCTGAGCACTCCTCTTAGTGGCCTGAGGTCACGCCCATCCAACCTACCACTATCATCACAGCTGGCACTCACCTGTATATGCCACCTGCAGGGCTAGGTACTGGCCTGCCTAGCCCATTGCAGCCACTGCCAACATCAGCACAGATTGCTTGGGAGCCAGAGGGCTGTCTCATTATGACTACTGCCATCACTCACACCACGCCTGCTGCCCAGGGAACTGAGAACCTGACTACCCACCTGGCCCACTGCTACTACTACCAGCACTTGAGCAAGCTGTCTGGAGGCCCAAGAATCAACCTACCTGGACCCACTAGTATCAGTACCAGCATATACCACCCTGGGGCCCAAGGACAGGCATGCTCAGCCCACCACTGCCACCACTAGGTTCTGAGGACTGGCCCACGTGGTATCCCCATCTCCAGAAAAACTTTACCACAGCCTCCACTAACAACCATACCCTAAGCCACTGAGAAAATTACAGGCACCACTGGAGCTGCTTACAGCTGAAAAAAAATCGTATGGCCACTATGCTACTGCATGCACCCAGAATCAAAGCCAAAGTGCCCTACTCAACCAACACCATAGACACATCTTCAGGAAAATGCCCTCCCCTATGAAAGCAAGTTCAAAAAGTTCAAAGAAGTGACTATTATACCGGATGCACAGATATCAATGTAAGGACACAAGAAACATGAAAAAGCAAGGAAATATTGCACCTCCGAAAGAGCACAATAACTCTCCAGCAACAGATTCTAATGAAAAATAAACCTATGCAATCTAAAAAAAGTACTCAGAATCATGACATTAAACAAGTTCAGTGAGGTACAAGAGAATCCAGAAAAACAATACAAAGATATCAGAAAAACAACTCAGAATATTATGAGAAGTTTACCAAAGAATCAAAATAGAAATTCTAGAATTGAAGAACTTCTTGAATAAAACAGAAAATTTATTCAAAAGCTGCAACAATAGACTAGATCAAGCAGAAGGAAGAATTTCAGAAATTGAAGACAGGTCTTTTGTAATAACCCAATCAGACAACATTAAAAAAATAAAAATAAAAAAATAAACAAAACTCTTGTGACATATGGGACACCATAAAGCAATCAAATATTCAAGTTTTTGGTGTCCCAAAGGTAAAGAGAAACTGAAGGAGATAAAAAATCTATTTATTAAAATAATTGTTAAAAACTTTCCAGGTTTGGCAAAAGATTTGGAAATCCAGATGCAGGAAGCTGTAGAGCTCTCCAAACAGATACAATCGAAAAAAGGTCCTCTCCATGGCACATTATAGTCCAATTGTCAAAAGTCAAAGACAAAGGGAAGTCTGAAAACAGAAAAAAAAAAAAAAAAAAAAAAAAAAAAAAAAAAAAAAAGTCTAGTCACTTACAAGGGAACGCCCGTCAGACTCACAGCAGATTTCTCAGCAGAAATTCTACTGGCCAGGAGAGAATGAAATGCTATATTCAAAGAACTGAAAGAAGGAAATTGTCAGCCAAGGATACTACAGACAGCAAAGTTATGCTTCATAAGTGAAGGAGAAATAAAGTCTTCCCCAAAAACAAGACAAGCTGGGGGAAGTGATCATCACTAGATCAAATCTATAAACAATGCTTAAAGGAGTTCTACACCTGGAAGTGAAAGGACAATTCTTTCATCATGAAAACACACGAAAGCATAAATCCACTGGTAGAGGAAACATATTAAGGAAGAGAAAGGACTCAAATATTACAACTACAGAAAGCCACCAAACCACAATGATAATGAAGGAGAAAGGAATAAAGAATATATGAAACAACAAAAAACCAATTAATAAAATGACAGGAATAAACCCTCACATATTAACAATAACCTTGAATGTATATGAATTAACTTTTCCACCTAAAAGATACAGACTGGCTGTTTGACTAATAAAACATGGCCCAACTATATGCTGCTGACAAGAAATCCATTTTATCTATAAAGATACATATAGATTGAAAGTAAAGGGATACAAAAAGATATTCCATGAAAATGGAAACCAAAAGTGAGCGAAAGTTGCTGTACTTATATCAGATAAAACAGACTTTAAGTCAAAAAAAAAAAAAGAAGGTCATTATATAATGCAAAAGGGATCAATTCAGCAAGAAGATATAACAGTTCTAAACATATATGTATCCATCACCAGAGCATGCAGATATTTACAGCAAATATTATTAGATCTATAGGAACAGATAGACTTCAATACAACAATATTTGGGGAATTCAACACCCCACTTTCAGCATTAGGCAGATTATACAGACAGAAAATTAACAAAGAAACACTGAATTTAAACTGCCTGTTAGACCAAGTGGACCTAACGGACATTTACAGAACATTTTATCCAACAGCTACAGAATACGCATTTTCTCATCAGCACACAGAACATTCTCCAGGATAGAACATATATCAGGACACATGAAAAGTCTCAACAAATGTAAAAAAAATTGAAATCATATCAAGTATCTCCTCAAACCACAGTGCAGTAAAACTAGAAATTGATAACAAGAGGAACTTTGGAAACTGTACAAATACATGGAAAGTAAACAACATGCTCCTGAATGACCACAGGGTCAAGAAAGAAATTAGGGGAGAAATTTAAAAAAATTCTTGAAACAAATGAAAATCAAAGCACAAGACCAAAACCTACAGCCAAAGCAATGCTAAGAAGGAAGTTTATAACAATAAACACCTACGTCAAAAAATCAGAAACGTTTCAAATAAACAATCGAATGATGCACCTCAAAGAACTAGAGAAGCAAAAACAAGCCAAACCACAATTTAGCAGGAGAAAAGAAATAATAAAGGTCAGAGAAGAACTAAACAAAACAGATACTAAAAAAATACAAAGAACTGATGAAATGAAAAATTGTTCTTTTATAATATAAACAAAATTGCTAAACCATTTGCTAGACTGACCTAGAAAAAAAGAGAGAAGACCCAAAAGAACAAAATGAGAAATGAAAAGTAAGGTATTACAACTGATGCCACAAAAATACCAAAGATCATCAGAGGTTATTATGAACAACTATACGCTAACTGGAAAATCTAGAGGAAATGGATAAATTCCTAGACAGATAATTTACAAAGATTGAATCAGAAAGAAATAGAAAACTAGAGCAGACCAATAATGAGTAATGAGATTGAACTGGTATTAAAAAGCCTCCCCAAAAAGAGAAGTCCAGGTTTGGATGTCAGAAGAACTAATGATTCTCCTCAATCTATTCCAAAAAAAACTGAAGGGGCAGGAGTTCTCCTTAATTTATTCCATGAAACCAGCATTGCCATGATAACAAAACCAGAAAAGAATGTAAAAACAACAACAACAACATCATCATCATTATAGGCCAAGATCCCTGATAAACACAGATGCAAAAATCCTCACAATATACTAGTAAACCAAATCCAACAGCACACAAAAAAGATGATACACCACAATCAGGGATGCAAGGATGAGTTGACATAATACACCACATCAACAGAAAGAACAAAAGCCATATCATAATCTCAACAGATGCCGAAAAAGCATTTGACAAAATTCAACATCCCTTCATGATAAAAGCTGTCAACAAACTAGGTATAGAAGGAACATATCTCAACATAATAAAGGCCATACATGACGAACCCATACCTCAACATAATAAAGGTCATACATGATGAACCCATAGCTGACATCATACTGAATAGAGAAAAGCTGAATGCTTTTCCTTTAAGATCTGAAATAAGACAAGAATGCCCCCTACATCACTCCTATCCAACACAGTACTGGAATTCTTAGCCAGAACAATCAGGCAAAGGGAAAGAAATAAAAAGCATATAAACTAGAAAAGAGAAACCCAAATTGTCCCTCTTTGCAAGTGATATGGTCTTATAACTACAGAAACCTAAAGACTCCACCAAAAAACTCTTAGATCTGAGAAATAAATTCATATTAAATAGGTAAAGTTGCAGGATACAAAATCAACCTACAAAAATCAGTAGCCTTTCTATACATCAAAAATGAACTAGCTGAGAAAGAAATCAAGAGGGCATTTCCATTTACAATAGCTGCAATAAAAATAAAATACTCAGGAATAAATTTAACCAAAGAGGTGAAAGACCCCTACAAGGAAAAGCACAAAACACAGACGAAAGACACTGAGAGGACACAAACAAATGCAAATACATGCTGTGGTCATATATTGGAAGAATCAACATTGTGAAAATGCTCATACTACTCAAGGCAATCTACAGATTCAATGCAATCCCTATCAAAATACCAATGTCATTTTTCACAGAAATAGAAAAGACAATCGGAAAATTTGTATGGAAACAAAACAGTGGCCAAACAGCCAAAGCAATCCTGAGTGTAAAGAACAAAGCTAGAGGCATCTCACTACTTGACTTCAAAATACACTGCAAGGCTATAGTAACCAAAACAGCATGGTATTGATATAAAAACAGACACATAGACCAATGGAACAGAATAGAAAACTCAGAAATAAATCCAGGTATTCATAGCCAAATAACTTGACAGAGGCAATAAGAACACATACTGGGGAAAAGAACACCCTTGTAAATAAACGCTGCTGGGAAAACAGAATATCCATATGCAGAAGAATGAAACTGGACCCCTGTCTCTCACCATATTCAAAAATCAACTCAAGATGGATTAAAGACTTAAATGTATACCCTAAATTATAAAACCAGTAGAAGAGGACAGGCTTCAGGACATTGGTCCTACAAAGATATTGTGGATAAAACCTCAAAAGCACAGGTAATAAAAACAAAAATAGACAACTTAGAGTGTATTAAACTAAACAGTTTTTGCACAGCAAAGGAAACAATTAACAGAGTGAAGAGACAATTTGTAGAATGGGAGATATTTTGCAAACTATTTATGTGACAAGGGATTAATATCCAGAATATACAAGGAACTCAAACAGCTGAACAGTAAAATAACAAACAATCCCATCAAAAAGTGGGCAAAGGTCTACAGTAACCAAAACAGCATGGTACTGGTACAAAAACAGACACATAGACCAGTGGAACAGAATAGATAACCCAGAAATAAAGCTGCACACCTACAGCCACCCAATCTGCGACAAAGTTGACAAAAATAAGTAATGGAGAAAGGACTCCCTATTCAATCAATGGCGCTGGGATAGCTGGTAAGCCACATGCAGAAGAATGAAACTGGATTCCCACCTTTCACCATATAAAAAAAAAATTCAAGATAAATTAAAGCTGTAAATGTAAAACCTCAAAACTATAAGAATCCTAGAAGAAAATCTAGGAAACACCATTTTGGATACTGACCTTGGGGAAGAATTTATAACTAAGTCCTCAAAAACAATTGCCAACAAAAACAAAAATTGACAGGTAGGACCTAATTAAAGAGCTTCTGAACAGTAAAAGAAATTGTCAACAGAGTAAACAGACAACCTACAGAATGGGAGGAAATATTCACAAACTATGCATCCAAAAAGGCATAATCTAAGATCCAGAATCTATAAGGAACTTAAAGAGTTGAACAAGTAAAAACCAAATAACCCCATTAAAAAGTGGGCAAAGGACACGAACAGACACTTCTCAAAAGAAGACATACAAGTAGCCAACAGACATATGAAAAAAAGCTCAACATCACTAATCATCAGAGAAATGCAAATCAAAACCACAATGAGATACCATTTCACACCAATCAGAATGGCTATTACTAAAAAGACAAAAAAACAAGAGATGCTGGTGAGGGCGTGAAGAAAAGAGAACACCTATACGTTGTGGGAATGTAAATAAGTTCAGCCACTGTGGAAAGAAGTTTGGAGATTTCTCAAAGAACTTAAAACTACTGTTTGACCCAGCAATCCCATTTCTGGGTATATATCCGAAAGGAAACAAATTGTTCCACCAAAAAGACACATGCACTAGTATGTTCATTGCAGCACTATTCACAACAGCAACGACACGGAGTCAACCTAGGCGCCCATCAATGGCAGACTGGATAAAGACAATATGATACATATACATCATGAAATACTATGAAGCCATAAAAAAGAAGAAAATCATGTCCTTTGCAGCAACATGAATGGAGCTGGAGGCTATTATCCTAAGTGAATTAACACAGGAACAGAAAACCAAATATGGCATGTTCTCACTTATAAGGGGGTACTAAACATTCGGTACTCATGGATGTAAAGATGGCAACAATAGTAACTGGGGACTACTAGAGGGGGTGGGAGGGAGGGATCATTTGTACCCTAAACCTCAGCATCATGCAATATGACCAGGTAACAAATCTGCACAGGGACCCCTGAATCTAAAATACAAGTTGAAAAAGAAAGGAAAACAAAAATGAGCAAGAACCTGCATAGAAATTTCTTAAAAGAAGACATACAAATGGCCAACAGGTAAATGAGAAAAATGTTCAATATCACTAATCATCCAAGAAATGCAAATCAAAACCACAGTGAGACACCCTCTTACACCAATCAGAATGGCTATTATTAAAAAGACAAAAAAAAAATAGCAGAAGCTGGCAATGATGCAGAGAAAAGAGAATTCTTATATACTGTTGGTAGAAATATAAATTAGTACAGTTATTATGGAAAATAGCATGGAGATTTCTCAAAAAGACTAAAAATTGAGCTAACATATGATCTAGTAATTCCACTACTGTGCATTTTTCCAAAGGAAAGGAAATCAGTATATCAAAGGGATACGTGCACGCCCATGTTTACTTCAGCACTATTCACAATAGCAAAGATACGGAATTGACCTAAGTGTCCATCAAGGAACAAATGAATAAAGAAAACGTGGTATACACATAACAGAACACTATTTATGCACAGACATAAAACAGAATGAAATCACGTCATTTGCAGCAACATGGATAGAACTGGAGGTCATTATGTTAAGTCAAATAACCCAGGCACAGAAAGATAAATACTGCATGTTCTCATTCACATGTGGGAGCTAAAAAAGTTGATTTTATGGAGGTAGGGAGTAGAATGATAGATACCAGAGACTGGGAAGGCTGTGTGTGTGTGTGGAGAGGGGAATGAAGATAGGTTGGTTAATGGGTACAAACATGCAGTTAGATAGAAGAAATACATTCCAGTGTTCAATAGCAGAATAGGGTGACTATAGTTAACAATGCGTTGTATTTTTCAAAATAGCTAGAAGAGAGGACTTGAAATGTTCCCAACACATAGAAATGATAAAAACTCAAAGTGACGGACACCTCACATAATGTGACTTGATCATTACATACACATTCTATACACGCAATGAAATATCACACGTACCCCATAAATATGTACAAATATTATTAATTTACTCCACAGTCATTTATCAAGCACTTACTGTATGCCAAGTGCTTTACTAGGCGCTGACAATACCCCAGTGTTTAATTTCACTGTTTAGGGATGGTAGCCAGCCATGCTTCAGTCCTGGCTCACTCTGAATATCAGTCTGTGTTGGATTTCCTTCTGGAAGTGACAGATACAGCTCAGGACAAGCTCCCTTTAGGGATGACTTACAACCCTGTTGAAGGGAAACCTGAGGTCCTTCCCTTGGGGCAGGCAGGGCATACCATTCAAATAAGCGTTCTGGATGTCGATGGCCTTGGTGGACTGGTCATCGGCCGAGCAGTGCGGGTGGTGGGTCGGGGCCACAAACACCTCCAGCATCCCTTTGGTAAGACCCGGCTCGAACATCATGCTGCGGCTCCTCACACTCACGTTCTCGCAGCCTGGGTACAGGTTGTTGATGCTCACTGAGACTGCAGGATGGAAAGGATCACATGAGTACTCGATGGGGGCAGCGTGTGCCTGTCTCCCTCCCAGGCTGGCCCTGAGGTTTCCTTTTCTGGAGCACGCCTCTGTCCCCACCCCAACTCTGGCTTCAGGCTGAGTGTGTCTGCCCTCACACGTGCAGGGCAGCAGTGTTCCCAGCAAGGCTGTGGGCTTTTCCGCTTGCTCTACCTCCCCACAACCTTTTCTGCCCCGCCCTGTTGCCCGGGTGGCTGGTCCTAGGGATTGTGTCTCTAGGCTGGCTTGCCATGTGATTTCTGCTTAGGGTCAGCCAACGGGAGGCTGTGGAGAGGGTGGGAGGGCAGAGGTCGGGTTTCTTCCCTTCTCACTTCCTGCTACTTTGCTGATACTCGCAGTCTCTGTCTTCCTCCAGCTCCCACTGAGCGACTTCTCTCTCTTGCACATGAGATTATTATTGCAGGTTAAATGGAAAATGATTTCAGACAGTAGCAGGCCATAGCATTAAATAATGCTGAATCACACACTGTGAAAGCTACTCCTTTTTGAAATTCCCTTGAAGGCCTTTCAGTTGTTCTTGCAGCGAGTCTCCACTTGAGGCCTTCCGATTTTAGCATTTCCTCAACACCTGCTCATCTTCCCTTTTAATGAAGAGGGTGTGGGCATTGGCGTTTAGCGGGATTTTATTCACATTGGTTGCTGTTCACTGCATTTATTTTTACTTATGGCAGTGACACTGGGTTCCCATTTATGATAGGGATATTAACTTTCATTTTCAAATCAATGTATTTTAGTACATTTTAAAAAGTGAGTCAGTTTAAAGGAAACATTATGTAAACAATGGTGAACTTGTGGGTGTTGTACGGGAGCTGAATAACAGAGTCTGGGTCCCCTGCGTTTAGGCATAGAGCCTGTGCTTCCTCACTGTCTCAGTTACTCACTGGCCTGCCCTGCTCCCCGTCTCTCCCACCAGGCTTGTGCAGGCAGAAGCTGCCTTTCTGGTCAGGGCTGTGACCCAGGGCCCACAGAGAGTGCTCTGTAAGAACTTGGTGAACGAATTGCATTGGAGAAGGGATTCATTGATCTTAACTGCAGTACCATTGGTTTACCATTAATACAATAGACATTGCGAGGCACTAAAGAAGTGACCATTTCACCTGGGTATCTGACTTTAAAACAGGCGATCCAAACACCAAGGTAATCCCTTACTTAAAGACCAAAGAGTTAAGACTTTGGACATGGATAATGGGGGTATCCAACGGAGGGGATGAGGAGAAGAAAAGTGGATCCTAAGGGCAGGATTAGGTACAGGGAAAGGAGAAAGGGCACTAGGAGGGCAAGATTTATTCTTAAAAACACCAACACATATTCTATTTCTGTAGGAAAGTTGGCAGATAGGAATGTAAATAGAAAACAAAAGCAAAATGATGTAAGTCTTGATGTCAACATAGCTGCCATTTTAGTGTATTTCTCTGCATATTGTTAATCCCAGCCTGCAAAAGCTGCTGGGTTGCCCAAGAATGGGTCTGTCCACTTCCCTGTGACCTGGAATTTGTGTCTGGGTGCCTGCCTGTCAGGAACAAGCCTTCTTTTAGTGGCATGTGGCCCTGTGCTTAATGAGAGCAGACGTTGGTAAATGGCAGTCATTCCTGCTCCTCGGTGACAGTTTTCGTTGGGAGGATAAAAGGTTAGGACAGGCTTTGTACAAGGTGTTATGAAAACAATAATTTCATGGGGAAGCACCGAAATCCCAGGAAATCATTTTTGTTAGCTACTGCCCCCTGGCGGTGTAACGTGACGGCTCCCAGGAGACCCACTTTACCTGGTCACCGGGAATTCCTCCCGCAGGCTCCTCTCCGCGGGAATAGGAATGGCTTCTTCAAATACTCTTCCTGGACATTCATGCCTCCTATGACCTTGGATGTTTTCCTTCCCACAGCTCAACAGCCACAACCCTCAGTGTCCCCACAGCTGAGTGATGTGTGCAACAGAAAACTTCGAGGGGACCCCGTCCGGTCTCCTGGCTGGGAGCTCAGCCTTGGCCTCCAGCGTTCTCAAGAGAACGGCAGTGGAAAAGGGCCAAAATTCTAAAAGCAAACTTCTTGCTGTCTGATGATATAAATGTTGCCATGTAGGCATCTCTCTCATTGAAGGGAAAAGGGCCTGACAATTCTAGGAGAGGTCACTGGTGTCCAGAGCCCTGGCCTGAAAGAGACCCCAGCACGGCCTGCCAGGCACGAGCAGTGCCCCCTGGCAGGTGACAGTGTTGCTGCTTCAGGAACCAGGCCCAGTCCCTGGAGGCATGCTCAGGAGCGGCAGTTCCTCGGGTGTCTAACAAAGCCACGCTGCTCCGTTGGCCCCCAACACACATACCCTCTGCCAAAGTCCAATCTCCCCAGGCCGCCCTCGCGGTGCCCTGTGCTTGTGCCCTGCTCTGCATTTCCCGGGCGCTGTCTGATGCTGATGTACAAGCTGTGAGGGCAGCAAGTGCCTGGTGACCCGCCCAGTCCAGGGATGGGGGCATCTTGTCTGTCTCATCCACCTCCAAGTCCAGCTGCCGAGCTATGCCTCCTGCCCAGGGATCCCTCAGCCACCAGGCTTCAGGGGCAACCACCAGCGCACACTTCCTCCACCAGGGGCAGGCGGCACTGACTGTGGGGGCCCAGGGACCAGGACAGCTGCCTCCTCCCCAGACCCCACGGCTGGGCTGAAAGCAGCTGGTGTGCCTGCACCTTAGGGCTCTCATGCAGAGGGGCTTCTGCCCCCGCGCCAGGACCCCCTCCCCGATCCCTGGCTAAAGATGCTCCCCCCATGGTGGGGCGTGCAGAAAAAGGGTCACCCAGAGCCACCCTTCACCAGGAACCTGCTGCAAAGACCAGACACAGATACTGAGGAGAAGCAAGGCCATGGATACCTCACCTCTGAGGCCAAGGGCAGAGCCACAGGTGACTCCCAGGACTCCACAATGGGGGCTCCTGGGCATCATCTGCACACCCACTTAGGCCTTGCAAACTTTCCAGATCATGAGCTCATGACCTCTCTCTCTCTCTCATATCCCACCCTCCTAACCACAGAGGTTCAGGCTGCAGTGCCCTTAACCACAGCAGGAGCGTGCTGCCTCCCTCTAAGGGAGCAACTGAACCCCACTTAAATCCTCAACTAGAGCAGAAATCACACTGGAGGCCAGGTGCGGTGGCTCACGCCTGTAATCCCAGCACTTTGGGAGGCCGAGGCAGGTGGATCACAAGGTCAGGAGTCTGAGACCAGCCTGGCCAATATGGTGAAACCTCGTCTCTACTAAAAATACAAAAGTTAGCCTGGTGTGGTGGCATGCACCTGTAGTCCCAGCCACCTGGGAGGCTGAGGCAGGAGAATCACTTGAACCCAGGAGGCGGAGGTTGCAGTGAGCCGAGATCACACCACTGCACTCCAGCCTGGGCAACAGAGCGAGACTCCATCTCAAAAAAAAAAAAAAATAAATAAAATAAATTTTTTTCTTTAATAATAAATTAATCTTAACCTTCTGTCACATTTTTTCCATTATCTACTTTTAAATTTTTTAAAGTTTTGACTCTTTTGTAATAACATTTAACTTAATATGCAAAGACAAAAAACAAAAAAATCACACTGGAAAATGGAAAGGTGTGCCTGTGAATTCCTTATGCAGGGTGTTATTGACAAGCACTGGCTCAGGCACCAGATGTTCTGGGATTTGCCACCTGTGCGCCTCAGAGAAGCCAACTGACCCCTCAAGGCTGCAGGGAAATAGCGGTAAAAACACCTCGGAAGCTGTCACTTGGATTAAATGAGGCGTCCTTCAGACCATATTTCTTCCAGTTCCTGGCACACAGTACTCTATAAATATTGACATATGTATCAGCAATATAATAATATGAATTATAACTCTGTTTTGGTTATTCTTTCTTCTCCTCATTTCAATTCTATAGCTGTGTTCAGAGAACAGAAGTTGAAAAGGGAATATAAATCTCAGCCAACTCTCCGCAGCTACCCATGCTCCCCAGCGTCCTCCCTCACTGAGGGGACGTAAGAGAAACACAAACTTTAGCATCAACCTGGGGAACAGACCTGGCTCTTCTGTGACATCATATACAGAGAATGAATCAAGGCACAAAGCACAAAACTGTCCTGGTTTAGGAAACTCTTGGAAGGTCTCTTATCTTTCCACAAACTCACTCGCTCTGTCTAAAGGAGGATTCAGTTGGAATCACACCCAAGATTGCATCATTTTCTCTTGCTCACTGCCAGGTGTTTCGTGACAGCCCCCTAATGTGAATCAATAACCCTGTCTGTGGAAGGCCCGGAAGGCAGCAAACGTTCCCAAGGAGGGTGGATGTGACCAGAGAGACCATCCCTGAAAACCACTAAGGAGCCTCTGGAAACCTCTATCCAACCTTGAACTGAGCAGGATGGTGCTTCCTGGAAATCCCTTTTTGTTGCTCTATGTATCTACAATACTGGGTCTGCCTGTAGCACTCCAGAAAGAAGGATAAGGGTTGAGGACCCTTCTTGGGCTGCTATTGGATCTGTGCTATGCTTGGACTGTTTGAGTTTGAGCTCTTTTTGTCTCTAAGGCCAGAGCCCTGAGTAGAATGCAATGCAATTTGCAACTGTGTCCCCAAAGCTGACTGTGCAAATTCTGCAGTTTGCACATTTATGAGGATGGACCTTTGTGTCTGTGGCTGTGATTTCAGTGAGGCCCTTGTTTTGCTACTGCCAAGTCAGTCTGTTACTGCTGGACAACAGGCAGCACACACAAGGCTACCAGCCAACCTGGACCTGAAAACCACTAAGGCCACAGGGTCCAGTATAGGCCAAGTGACCCAAACACAACTCCCTTCCCCCCTAGACCTTGAAAGGAGAGAGTGCGGAAGCCAACACCTGCTGGAGAGACGGGGCCAGCATGGAGGTTCCTACCTGTGGGCTTAGAAGCCAGGGGTGAAGGTGGGAACCTGCTGGAGTTGGTGGAAGACAGTCTGGGCCGACGCCTTCTGAAAAAGCTCCTCAGCAGCCCACACTTGAGAGATTCTACAAGGGTGGTTTTCCCGGATCCCGAGTGGCCAAACAGCTTGAGCTTAATTCTTGGCTGCAGGTTCTGTGTGGGTCGGAGCTGCTGGATGAAGAGTCCTCGGTGCGTATCCTGAGCATGGATGAGAAAGAGCCAGTGAGTGACAGAAAAAGAGGCAAATAATGATTCTCAAGATTCCTAATCCCCGGTGTGCAGTTTTTACCCATGCTGAAGATATGTTTCTTTTTTTCTTTTTTGAGACGGAGTTTCACTCTTGTTGCCCAGACTGGAGTGCAATGGCACGATCTCAGCTCACCGCAACCTCTGCCTTCTGGGTTCAAGCGATTCTCCTGCCTCAGCCTCCCGAGTAGCTGGGATTACAGGCATGAGCCACCATGCCCAGCTAATTTTGTGTTTTTAGTAGAGACAGGGTTTTTCCATGTTGGTTAGGCTGGTCTCGAACTCCCGACCTCAGGTGATCCGCCCGCCTTGGCCTCCCAAAGTGCTGGGATTACAGGTGTGAGCCACCGTGCCTGGCGGTATGTTTATTTCTATCTCCAATGAAAACTTTGAAAATTCAGGTAAAATTCACATAACATCAAAGTCACCATTTTCAACTGTGAAATTCAGAGGCTTTTAGTGTATTTTCAGTGCTGCAGGACCATCACTGCTGTCTCCTTCCAGAACATTTGTGTCACCCCCAAAAGGAAGCTCTGTACCCGTGAGCAGTCACTTGCCATTCATTCCCCTCTTTGCTCAGCCCCTGGCAACCATAGAGATGTTTTCTGTCTCTAAGAATCTGCCTATTTCCATTGCATTTTGATGCATGACAAGTTGGATGGAGCAACTGTGAAGCCTTCAATGTGTGTGTGTGTGTGTGCGCGTGTGTGTGTGTGTGACCCCCACACTTTATTTAGAAATTTATCAGAAAAACATAATTGGATGGCCCAAATGTCCACTTCATAACTGTAGGTCTGGAATAGGAACCTTATCTTACTGTTAAATAGCTACTAGCACTTTTGATTTAACTTCATGGCAATGTCACCTGTATGTGAGTATTAAAAATATCTACCATCACTTTTGGTTTCAACCACATGACAACCTAAGAAGCCTAGGAACAGACCTACAACAAATCGGGTGCGGTGGCTCACGCCTGTAATCCCAGCACTTTGGGAGGCTGAGGCACATGGATCACCAGGGTCAGGAGATGGAGACCATCCTGGCTAACATGGTGAAACCCCGTCTCTACCGAAAATACAAAAAATTAGCCGGGCGTGGTGGCGGGAGCCTGTAGTCCCAGCTACTCGGGAGGCTGAGGCAGGAGAATGGTGTGAACCTCGGAGGTGGAGCTTGCAGTGAGCGGAGATCACGCCACTGCACTCCAGCCTGGGTGACAAAGTGAGACTCCGTCTCAAAAGAAAAATAAATAAATAAATAAATAAATAAATTTTAAAATATTAATATATTACTAAACACATAAAATAAAAAGGATAATCAAAAATTTACCCTAATCAATTAAGAGGCTGAAAGAAAATGGAAAGCCAGGAGATGAAGAAAGGTAGAAGCCTTCGATTTAATCATGAAATAGGATCAGCCCTGTCTGACCAGCAAGAGCATCTGTCCCTCTCTGTGTGGAGGTGTCTGGATCCTTTAGGGCAGTAATGGGACAAGAGGATGAGAGAAGGGGCACTCCAACGTACAAGCTCCATGCTGCAGAGGGGGCTGGGAACACAATATCCTCATTACTTTCTTCTTTTTCCATCTGATATGGAGAAGCAGGAGGCTCCACAGAATGAAATAGTTCGCTACTCACTCACTCCTTCATTCATCAACCAGCATTTAGGGAGGCCCTCCAACCCCATGCTAAGCGCAGTGCGGACAACAGGAAAATCTAGATTCAGCCCAGATCCATGGTCTTGGGGAGATACAGACATGTGAACAATTTCACATCTAATACCAAGTAAGAGCTTTTAACAGGATAGTGTAGGCAAGGCGTTCAGTGCACCCAAGGGAACCTGCTCAAGGTTTACGTGATGTGGCTCTGACCATGCCACCCTGGTGTCACACCCCCTCACAGGCCACCATCCCTTCCCACCACTCCTGCCCTGCTCCCTAACAAGGACCTGTTTGGAGCCGTGAGGTGCAGCCTGAAGCCTCTTCCTCACCCTTACCCAGGAGGACCCCCTCTGCTTTAACCTGCTTTGTGGGTTCCCACAAACCCACAAAACCTGTCTTGCCTGCCATCTCCTCCTGGTTGCTTCTTCCCACCATGTGTGGCTCTCCATGGTGACCCCCGACCTGTAATTATGGGGTGCTCTCCCTTCTAGACCAGGAGCCCATCTGCGGGGACAGACGGAATTCCCAGCCCTGGCAGGTGTAGAATCGCCATAAACCAGTGTCATATAAATGACAGAACTCAGAGGGACCCACGCAAGGGCACCTCCATGTGATCTACACCTGGCGGGACCATTCCTTCAGTTCTAAATCCTGGGAGGCGCTCACTTACTTCTGATCTCCTGATCTCTTCCAGCAGCAAAAGCCAGTGTTACTTTTGCTGTTATAACTGCATTGCTACAATCTCATACATAACTCTCCTGAAGGCTTTGATTTTCCTATTTCCATTTGCAATTCCTAAGCCAGGACCAGACTTCCTCAACAGGAACTATACTGACCCCTGGTGGGCACTGTGGAAATCTGAGGTGGCATTTTAGTTCCCACAATGTTGAGGGGATATTCCTGCAGCCAGACGCTGGGTGTCCAGACACCCTGTAACAAAATGCCCCTCACAGCGAAGAATTCTCCTGGGTCCCCTGACTTCTGAGCATCTGATGAGCATTTATATAGGGGAAAAGCCTGTTTACAATCATCTGAGCTGAGAACTTAACTACATTTTACACATCATCCACAGGGTTTTGGGGGCAGTATTTAATATATACTGAGTTATCCACGAATGCTGCTATTTTATAGATTGGCAAATAACTACACTTTGCTTTTTTCCTTTTATCTTTGCTGAGTGCTGTCTCCGATTTCTGGACATCAGCTCAGCACGCTGCTGTGGTGCTGGAGCTGCCATCCCAGCCCTCCAGTGTCCGTGGGCGTCTGTGGGGGTTGCACTCAGTGATCCTGTGCGTGAGTGCAGGGACCTGCTGGGTTTCCCAGCCTCCTCCTGCCTGTGTCCTAGCACATGCATGCTGACATCCAGCATATTTCACTATGCGCATGCTCCCACAAGGTCTGTGTTATATTACAGTTAGGGCATGCTACTGATCTTTTGAAACTATCTGTGTAGTAGGTGCGTCCCTGTCTATAAATTCTACAAGGGAGCGTGACACAAGGTGTGTTGTAAAATGCTGGGGCAGCTGGGGTGGAGGCCACGGCACCAAACCATGATCTGTAGAACACGAGGTGGTCTGTACTCTGGTGTTTTCTTCTGACCTCAAATCCCAACAGGTTCAGAGACAGAGCACCAAAGGGAAAGGAAAGGACTGGGGGTCTTGATAGCAATGTCCCTGACTGATTACCTGAATCAGCAAAAAAGCTGGACAGATTCTATTATGAGGAGTTACTCATTGGGGGTGGCACCTGTCAGGCTGGAAGGAATGGGGCTCTGAATTGTCCCCAGCGCCACGTGCACCAGGTGCGCCCATGCTGCCGCGCTGCCACCGACCCTGGAGCAATTCCACCTCCCAGCCTACTCCAGCCTTCCGCAGCAGCCCTGGGTCTTCCTTGTGAGTCCAAGGCTATACCCACACCATGCCATGCATGAGCACCTGAGCTGCGTCCACTGTGCTGAGCAGTGGTCACCTTCCATGGTGAGCATCCCACAGGGTAGATGCAAACTTCCCCATCTATTCCCTGAACGCAGCTCCTGCCACACAGAGATTCTTGGTACCGGCCCGAGTCTGCTTCATCTGAGACCAGGGGAAGGCAGAAAACTGCTCCTGGTTAAATCCAGTCACTGGATCCCGGGTGCCCCCATTTTGGTAAAGAAACTGTGCCATGAATCTGCCTGCAGCTCTTTCTTCCTGTTTTGTGCCTGTGGATCTTGACACTTTGAGCTTCAGCACACACGTCTGTCCTGTCTGCAGGAATGGGGCAAGCTCATTCCTTCTGCAGGAATCCCACAGGCCCTTCCACTCTCAGGAGACTCGAACCATGGTCAACTACAGACACCGCTGCCCCTGTGAGAGGCTTCTAGAAGCGACTGAACCTGCAGGCTGACTTGCTCCTGTGTATGAGGGCAAGCTATGCCTGTGACTTCCCTGTACTGACAGTCCAGCTCACTCCTTCAAATTCCACGCAGGGCAATGCTGGTTCAGAAGCTCCTGGCAATCTGCCTGTTTCATGGGCCAGCACAATAAATGGAGAAGGAGGGAGGAGGCAGCAGGAGGAGTTGAGACAGATGTGTTTCCTGTCTGCAGCAGTAACTTCCACGTGCACGGCGCCTTCCAGCTCATGCTATGCCTTCACTCACATTCCCTATGAAAACCTCCAAGGAACCTTTGTGGTTAATGCCATCCTCCTCCCTTTCGGATGAGGAAATTGAGGCTTGGAGAGGCCAAGGCACTTGCCCAAGGTGACAGAGCAAAGCCAGAACTCACTACCAGGTCTTCCTCCCACTGCTGGACACTGAAAGGGAGGTGGCAGGTTCCTCAGAAGCAGAGGAGACAGGAACAGACAGGGATGTGCACATTGAAGGTGAACCCCACAGCACTGAGGACCATCCAAGGAGGGCCCCTCACAGTGCATCCCACTCGGAAGGCACTTCCTGAATAGGGCACCCTTTGGAGTGAAATATTGGAGTGCACCTGTCCTTGGTGCACCCCCTTCCCCTCCACCAGGAGCTGTCAGCCTTGGCCAAGATGTGCCCACTCACCCTTCACCAAGTCTTTGGGAAGAGAGGCCAGGAAACTGCGCTGATCTAGACTTACAGAATTCACCATCATCTTGAAAGGCAAAGAAAAGCAAAATATCCTCGGGTATTTCCCTTCACAAGAAAATCTCAGCTGATCCTGGCAGATGACCCCTCGTCCTGCTCACTAAGAACCTTGGGGAATCTAAGCACATCCGAATATATCTCCCTCATTGGTGGAGGCACGTTTTCACGTTTCACTACCAGATGGCGGGTAGGGACGGGTTGTGGCGCAGAGGCCTCTCCCTGGGAAAGCAGCTTTCATCCACGTAATGATCTATCTCCAACTCAGAGAGGGCTCCAGGCCAGGTCTAGAAGGTGCTAGGAAGACTGATTTATTTGGAGGGGGAGTTCAGTAGTCCTTACACAGTGTGTGTTTAACACAAGTTACAAGACAACCCTGAGACCTGGCTGGCACGAAGCCCAGGCTGGTCGGGCCCTCCCTGGCTGGGCCAGGTGGGAGCCATGTGCAGCCAACACCTCTAGGGGAGAGGAGAGGGGACTATGGTGCCACCGACATTTTTGGCTCATGGTTTGAAGTGCTCTCCAGTGTGTGTCCCCTAGGTCTGTGGGTGTGGCTGGAGGGTACTCAGGAGACCTGGGGCATCCAGGGTGTGGGCAAGACCTCCTGCAGTCAGGGCGAGACCAGGCTGGGGAGAGGAGGAGGCAGAACCGAACTCCAAGGAGCGCAGAATTCTGACTCAGAACCTTCCAGGTGGTCATAAGGGTGTGTGTGTGTGTGTGTGTGTGTGTGTGTGTGTGTGTGTGTGTGTGTAGGGTAGAATGTATTTACCTGTATTAGCTCTAATCACATCCTTTAAATATTTACACAGGAGTAGGAGCCTCCCTGGTATTCTTGCCCAAGGCTCACTAAGTAATAGAGCCTGGACAGCCCCAGTCCAAGCACCGTCACATCTCCCCTGGCTGCCAAGATCACCTCCTATCAGGTCCCTCTGCTCCCCATCCTGACCCTGAGGCTCCAGTCTGAGCAGCCGGGAGAATTCCTAAACCTAAGGCAGATCTCACACCTGCCTGCACTTGGCCCAAACCCAAACTCCTCACCCGCTGGGTAAGGTCTATAGAGCTGTGCCGCCTCTCGGGTCATGTCGGGCATTGTTCTCTGCCTGCACACCCAGGTACATCCTCTGACCCTAGCCCAGTTACCCTCCTTCTTTGTTGTTTTATGCTTGAGCTCCTCCAACCCTTCACTACCCGGCCCCTTGCACTCCCTATTCCTCTGTCTTCCTCCAGCCCTTCCTCGGGCTGCTTCCTTCTTCTTGCCCTTCAGGTCTTGGTTTCAGTGTCACATCAGAGAGGTCCTCATCAGCCAGGTGAAAGTAGACTCCACCATCCTCTCATCTCACTTCATCCTGTTTCAATTCCCTGCATGGCACCTACCCCAGGAGGCAGCAACCCTTTCTGTAGAGGGCCAGATGGTCTCTGTGGCAACTCAACTCTGCCATGTAGGAACACCAGGCACAGACAAGAGTGTGTAGCTGTGTCTCAATAAAACTTTATTTACAGAAGCAGGCAGTGGGTTGTAGGCCATTGTTTGCCACCCCTTGACCTGACTTACACATTTTTCTTATCGGTTTCTTGGCTGGGTTCTGCCGATTTTGTTCACTGTGGTCTCTGCAGTGCCTAGAACAGCTCTTACAGTAGACACTGGAAATATCTTTTCAGTGTGTGAGTGAATGAATGTTATTTGGTAACTGTGTTGCTCTTTGAAGCCCTGGTAAATCTCCTAGTTTCTACTTTTCTTTCTTCCAGTACTGTTTTCTCCCTAGCAACTTAGCTTTCACTTTCTCATCAGACAAGAAGACTAAACATTAGCAAGCTGATGGGGAAGACCATTCACGGTCTGGGAAGGCCAGATAAGAGCACTGAGAGGCGATGTGGCCTTGCCCATGTGGCAGGGTGCAGTGAGACTGCACGGATGGTGCAGCAACTTTTAATTACGCAAATGCAGTTTACAGGTGGTGAATTTTTCAATCTGGGCAACTCCCCAATTGTTTTCATTTTTCAAAATATTCCTGGCCACCTTTCTTCACTGTTGGGTCTTAGGTTTAGTAAAAGCAAACTACTTTTTTTTTTTTTTTTTTTTTTTTTGAGACAGAGTCTTACTCTGTCACCCAGGCTGGAATGCAGTGGCATGATCTCAGTGCACTGCAACCTCCACCTCCTGGGTTCAAGCGATTCTACTGCCTCAGCCTCCCGAGTAGCTGGGACTACAGGCACACACCACCATCTCTGGCTAATTTATTTTAATTTTAATTTTAATTTTTTTTGTAGAGACGGGGTTTCACCATGTTGGCCAGGCTGGTTTTCAACTACTGACCTCAGGTGATCTGCCTGCCTCAGCCTCCCAAAGTGCTGGGATTACAGGCGTGAGCCACCGCACCCAGCCTACTTTTAATTTCAGGCTTACGGAAAATCTGATTAGAAGGATGGCCAAACAAAATAAAAATAAGCCAACTCCTCAACCCCCTTGAAATTCTTATTTTAAAATCAGATAAGAATGGAACTTGCAGTGATTATAGTAAAAATGGGTGCTGATATAAAAATCTAGATCAACCCCTTTCCCATAGAAGGGGTCCCTCCTTTCTTCTAGAAGGAGAACTGGGTTTGGCTGAGCAACAACACAGTCCTCAGGCAGGTTTGGACAGCTGCCCAGGGCTCTGTTACTGACTGAGCGCAAGGAAGTAGAAGGTACAACTTCCCTCTGTGATAAGGTGGTACCTACAGCCAAGCGCGGGCTCTCAGGGACCCCCAAAGCAATGATGAACCTATCAACAACCTTTGGTAGGGAGAAGCAGACTTCATCTCTAGCATTTGCTGATTCCTGTGGTGCAAATGCTCCCTCCCTGGCTGATTTCAAGACTCCCATGTGATGTCACCAGGTTGGGAAAACAAGCTCGGCGCTCAGGGACAGCACCAGAGGCTCCTGCACACTACTGCCCGAGTTCACTTAATGTGGAGGTGCGTCAGAGTCGATCCCATGCAGCTCAGCCCTGCCCCAGGTTCCTTCTTCCCCAAGAGCTGTAGCCTTGGCCTCAGCAGTCTTCAGTCTCCTGCCCCTTGAACTCTCCAGTGATCAAAACAGCCAGTCCCTCTCCCCTGCACATCTTCCACTGCTGCGGGCAAACAGGATGATTTTGGTTCTATTTCCAGATGCCAAATCCCATTGCTTCCCTAGCAAATATAGTTTAAAGACACATTGCTAGGCAATGTCAACTGATGAAAGCTGACAGCGTAGATAGAAAGTATTTCTTTTGCTCAATTGGCCCATTTGGAAACCAAATAAAATGGCAGGCAATGTAGGGCCACCATCCTCAGCTGTCCCAGATACAGACCTCTCCCCAGGACAGCGCTTTGGATCAACCTGCAGTGGTTCTTGCAGAGTGTGGTAGCACCCTAGGGGTTGAGAGAAAATGTGTGGAGGGATTCTTTTGGTTTTCACAATATGGCTGTAGGGAATGCTAGCATGTTAGATGCTTGGAGGCCAGGGACAAGAAACATCCTGCAAGGACAGGGCCTCCCAGTCACCCAAACTGCCAACAGCACCCAGTGAGAAACACTGGGGAATATCAAGGAGAAATGACATGGAAAGGAAAATGGTCCTAAGATGCTCTGCAGGGTGAATGACTTCTTCTTTCCCTTCCCCTCCCCGATCATGTACCCGATTGTCTCCTCCTCCAGGTGACCCAAGTTAGAACTGCAGGTCAGTCCCCTTCCTGGTGTCCTCCACAGGCATTGCCTGCTTCTGGGCTCCCCACAATCCTCAGCGATGCATTCTCCAAGGAAGCTGCCGCGACAGCTCAGTCATTTCCAATAACCAAATTCCAGTACCGGGTGTGCCCAGGTGCCAAGCAGTTACTTGCATGGGGATTTATATTCATACACAAGGAAGAAAGACCGCAATTAGCAATGCTTGGCAGACAACTCCTCCCATTATGGCTAATCAGGGGCTAACGTCAAGAGCCCACTGAGGGATGATGAAGACAAACAAATTCCAGGGACTCCTTGAACACAGCATCTAGAAGATTCTGAGGGAATTAGAACCCTGGGCCTCCCCATGGGAAGGAGATCCCTGTGCACTACAAAGCAGGTGGCTCAGCACAGGTACAGCAGCCAGTGTGGAAAGGACATATCCCATCAGGCCAGGAATCTGCCCTGGAGCCCCCCGAGCCCATTGATTAAAAGCAGATCACAGGTATTTCCAGGTCAGGTCAGGACCTCAGGTCTGCACTGATTAGTATGTTGCTCACCTCTTTGAATCCAGGTTTCCTGCAGCAACATTCCCCTCTGTAAACCTTTACAAACTGTGTGTTGTAAAATCACAGTGCCCACCACACACACTGAGCGCTCAATGGTGGCTGTCATCACAAATGACACTCAGGGTGCCCAGCCACAGGGGCCACTGCTGCACCTCACAGCTGTTCCAGAGTGGTCTGCGGGGTTCCAACAATAACAGGAAACACGTGGTGCTTACTGTGTGCAGGCAGTGTGCAAGGGACATCATCTACATCGACCCATCCAACCCTTATCACGGTCGTGGGAGGTAGCAGCTGACTCAACCATTTGACAAGCGGGGACACTGAGGCACAGAGCTGTTGAACAGCTTGCTAGCTCACCTAGCTAGAGCGTGGCGGAGCTGGAGTTGGATCCCAGGCCATCTGACCTCCAGTCTCTGCTCTTAGGCACTACTCTGTACTTTGCTTCTACATAAAGATGAGGGGGGACTTTTCACTGGACTCTGGGTGCTAAGGGGGATGTTGTCCTTTAATTAGGGCATTAAGATGACTATTCTGACCAGGTGCAGTGGCTCACGCCTGTAATCCCACTGCTTTGGGAGGCCAGAGTAGGAAGATCACTAAAAGCCAGGAGTTAGAGACAGCCTGGGCAATGTATTGAGACATAGTTGCTAATACAAATGTTAAAAATTAGCCAGGTGGGTGTGGAGACACGTGTCTGACGTGCCTGTAGTCCTAGCTACTTGGGAGGCTGAGGCAAGAGGATCACCGGAGCCCAGGAGTTTGACGCTGCAGTGAGCCCTGACTATGCCACTGCACTCCAGCCTGAGCCGCAGAGCAAGACCTCATCTCAAAAAAAAACAAAGAAAAAAAAGGTGACTATTCTTTTCCTTGACCTCTCCTTTAGAGAAAAAGACCACAGGATAATGGTAAAACACAAAATAATATTTTGTATTTTATAGTTTTTTCTATTTTATAAACTATAAAATATATTTTATATTTTTGTATTTTGTATTTTATAGCTGTAATAGTTCACTTCCCATCTCTTTTAAAAATCTAGGCACCAAAAACAAAGGTACCAATGGATAGAAGAAAAGAAAATCCCAAACTGAGACAGGGTGAGAGCCCACCCCCAGAAACTCAGAATTCTAAATGGGAACAAGCCCCTTTCACTGAGGATTTGGAGGAAGCGCCGCAGCAAGGTGCTTTGCATCTCTACTCCTCACTATGCCAGTCATCTAAGCAGGCTGCAGATAACGGGGACAGAGGACGGGAGAAGGACCTTCCACCCACCACCGATCCGACCATCCCCGGCTAGTGCAACACTGCTCTCCCTCGGTCCTTTTTCTGAGCATTCCTTCACTGTTTTCAGACTCGTCCAAACAGTGGGTTTGCATCTCGCACAGTAAGCTACTTTTAAGTCAAAGAAGGGACCATTGCTAAGGGGGCATGGGCAGCAGAACACAGCACAGCCCACGAGACGCCTCCTCCCTCTGCATGAGGTGGGTTTCCCGAGTGACCTGACAGGGTGTTGCAGGTCACCTTGCTGCAGCTGAGTGTCCGCCTCACAATGAGCTGACTGCAGGTCCCCCTGGCCCCTGCTCTGTAATACAGTTTCTTAGATGGTAAACAGCACTCGAAGTTGAGAGTGAATGTGGTAAGCGGATTTCCAGAGGGCGGTAGTGGTGGAAGTGCTGGCGCTGTGTGAGCTGAGCCAGGGCATCATACACCTGGGAGGGCACAGCATGGGGACTCAGGGATGCAAGCCAGGTGCCAGGTGCTGCAGGTGGGTTTGCAGCCTCTCTGTGTGGAAACCTGAGCACACCTGACCAAGCAGGCTTATGCACTCGGTAAAGCTATGAGGCCTGTCGAAGAAGCCTTTCAGCCTTCCTTAATAGTGTTTCTTCCTACTAGTGGACCGTAATAGAGACCTAATAACTAACAGGAAAAAGAAATTGTGCTCTTTTAGCCTGTGCAAAAACCAGACTTCTCTTCTCCTTTCACTATCAATGGATGCTGCCTGGGTAATGGATGTACACCAGCCTAGAGGCGTGAGATTCTGTGCCCAACGTGTCTGGTTTGGCTGGTCCTCTGCTTGAAAGACAGTGAATTTTAAACTTAGGAAACTCTATGAAAAGGCTCATTCTTGAATGGTAACCACGACTCACGGGATCTCCCTTGCCCCTGCTTGTTTTGCCTGTAAACGAAAAGGTTTCCCTTGAGTTTCTAGTCCAAATTCGCTGGCATAATGACACAGTCCATAATGGTACAGAGTGAGAAATCACTGAGCCCATAATGGTAATTTATGAATTTCTGGTAAGAACAGGTGAGTAAGGCTAGGGAAATTTTACCTGACTTGTCTCTTTCTGGACTTTCCAGGACAAAGGGGAGACTGAATCGCAGCTCTCAGAGTTTATTAACATCTGCTCAGTGCCTCTGAGGCCAGTTCTCAGAATCCAAAGCAGAAGGGTGTGAAAATCAATCACCCATGATTTTACCCCTGCCAGGTCAACTCCAAGGGGTTTTAATATGCATATATGAAGTGTGTCTCTCCAAGTCTATATTCTGCATGAGGAAAGAAATTATCCCAATCTGTGGCCCCCCCCTGCCCCTGGCAAGACCACAGGACATGTATGAAAATATAAACTTCAGGGGCTGTGAAGGTTATGACCTCAGCACTTCTCCCCAGGCACTTCTCGGTCTATATGGCAAGAACTTTGTGGGATATCTGGAGCATATTTTGGACATTATCTTCTCAGCAAGCACTTAAACCAAATGAATTATCATTTTATTTCTAGATAGTTTGTGGTTTTTAAAAAAATGATTACCATTGTTATAACATTTTAAAAAAAATACAGTAATTAAATTTTTTAAAATACACTAATGTTTAAAGAAGAAAATGTTGAGTATAATAGCAAAATCGAAAAACATCACTTGTATCATTTTCTTTCTATGGATTTTAACATAGTAGAGATTATTACCTATATACAATCTGTCTTCTGCTTTGAAGCCCAGTGACCCCCCCCCACCCCAAGCAATAAACTCCTATTAGTAAAACTTCTTAAAATATTTAAAAGGCCAAAGCCATTCTATTCTATGGCTGTAGGACCCTTTACTAGACATTATCGTGGGTTATCTGTGTTTCCAATTTTTATTACTGTATTATAAATAATACTGCAGTGAACATCTTTAAGCATAAAACAGAGTTCCTAGATTAAAGGGTATGGCTATTGTGAAGTCTCCTGACACAACTGTCATGTTGTAGGCTGGAAAGGGTGCACCTGCCTTTACTTATTTTTGTCATGTTTCTTTAAGCCTCAGAGCAACAATGTTTGATAAATAGGAGCTTAACAGCCATCTTGGAGCTCAAACATAAGAAGGAAAGAGGCAGAGTCAGCGTCCTCATCCCCCGCTACTTTGTGGGAGTGGTTTATTATAGAGAGAGTGGGAGAAGGAAAACCAGGCACGGCAACTGCAAACATGCTAAATGATTTCCAAGTCCAAATAGAGAAGAAAACAGATAGGGAGCTGATGCATTTATACCGACTGACATGTAAACCACAGGACAGGGACCACTGTTCCTAAAACCTGGCTGTCTAGAGCCTCATTTTGCTCATTCTCAAATAAGGAAAAAGACTGAGACTTTTTCACATAAACACAGGTAGAGAACTTCAGACCTATAACAGAACTTCTCACCTTTCGAAGTCTTGCAAGGAGACCTGCTACGTGCTCGTGCTGTTCCGATCTAGCAAGATCTTCTGCCGTCTTTCCGTCCTGTTGGAGAAAAATGCATTAGTTTCTTTTCTCTGAAAAGGAGAGCTGTGTGTGTTCCATACGCCAATTCCGTGGGTCTGAGGCAGAAACAAGCATAGCAGGTGTGAGAAGCAAGCCAGGTGGACAAAGAGCACGTCTCGGTGTGTTTCTCTGGCTGTGCAATCCTTATTTCACTTGATTGTCCAGGACAGGAAGGTAAGACGCAGGAACAAAGCACATGTTGGTGTCTTCCTGTCCAATAGCGACACCTTTCAGGTCCACAGGTTTAATCACAACTCAACAGCCTCCTCAGCTGGCTGGTTCCTCCCTGTCCTGAACCCCTCTCTCCAATCTCCAATCAGGCAGACAGTAAAGATTCTCATCAGGTGCCAAATTCTAGTTAGTGCAAGCTACTGTGTTATAATCCTTACAGGGACAAACCCAGCCCTTGCATGATACCAGCTCCTGGTAATTACTGTGCATTTCAAAGGAAATACTTAGTTTGACAGGCAATTTTGATTGAAAGATCTTTTGGTGAACAGAAAACAAGGAAATAAGAGTCCACAGCACTTTTATGCTTGCTTTTTATTTAGAGATTTTTCATAGGCTGCAGTTTCACACTGAATAAATTTGTTTCTGTATCTACACCATGAACATACACGATGACAGCAAGTATTTATTGAACACCACCTCATAATATGTGCTCGACCCAGCTCTCAGTGCTCTCTGCAAGCCTCAGTCCTTGAAGTCACCCCTGAGAGGCAGAAGCTGTCACTGTTCCCCTGCCACTGGGGAGAAAAGGGACATGTAGGGGCTGTTCTGTTGCAGTTTTAGAGATCACTAAAAATTCAAAAGTAGAAAAGATGAAAAGCAATTTAAAAAAATGAAAATGAATGTTTTTTTTTAATAAAAAAGTAAGGATTTGGTTTATCTATCAATGTGTATCAATAACAAAGTTGCATCCTTGTAGAAGCTTAGGGATATCCGAAATCTACTTAACAGCAACCTCTCAATTCCTCAACCCAAGTCACTCCCAGAGTCATGCCTGGGGTCCCATTCAGACACTGTTGCTCAATCTTGCCAACACTGACATTTTGCACCAGGCAATTCTCTGTTGCTGGGCCTGTCTTGTGCCTCTTAGGAATTTTAGTAGCATCTCTGGTTTCTACACACTAGGTGGCAGTAGCACCCCCTAACTCCCAGTTGTGACAACCAAATAGGCATTGGCAATTGCTGGGGGAGGAGGCAAAATTGCCTTGCTGAGAACCACTGCCTTAGGCTGCCGGTTGAAGCCCAGGTGGCTGCTCCAGTGGAGGCTTGCTGTGCAGTCAGAACTGCCCGTCTCTCTGTTCCCTTAAATTCCTGAAATATCCCCCAGTGGGCAGGCCAGGGCTTCAAGCTTGCTTTGGGGGTGAATTAGGTGCCTTATCAGACACTGCATCTCCAACCAGGGATCCATGCCAAATGCTCTAGTTTTTTTGTGGACACAAGAAAAGTCCATAAAGAGAAGGGGTTCTCCATTACACTCTGGAATCACCTGTAAAACTTGAAAATATCCTGTCGCCCAGCTCCCACACAGACACTGCTGTCAGCAGTATGGGGTACATCCTGGGCTCCCAGGTTAATTCTATTATGCAGCAAGGTTTGGGAACCACTGCCCTAGTTAGAAGAAATCTGAGCCTTGACTGAAGTTTCCTGCCCCCGACACGTCTGAACAGGACGTTCCTCTTGCAGAGCTCAGACGCGCACAAAACACAGGCAGAGGCCTTTCACCGACAGGATGAACTCTCCACTGTTCAACCTCTTCAAAGTCAAGAGAACCACCATCAACAATACTTCCTCACAGCCAGGCATGGTGGCTCATGCCTGTAATCCTAGCATTTTGGGAGGCTGAGGTGGGTGGATCATCTGAGGTCAGAAGTTTGAGACCAGCCTGCCCAACATGGTGAAACCCCGTCTTTACTAAAAATACAAAAATCAGCCAGGTGTGGTGGTGCATGCCTGTAATTCCAGATACTCAGGAGGCTGAGACATAAGAATCGCTTGAACCTGGGAGGCAGAGGTTGCAGTGAGCCAAGATCGTGCCACTGCACTCCAGCCTGGGTGACAGAATGAGACTCCATCTCAAAAAAAAAAAAAACAAAAACAAAAACATATATATATATAAAATAAAAATGTTTCCTCACATTTGCACTGCACTTTACAGCTTGCAAAACATGTTGCTCTAAAGGACACTATTCAGACTTTCAACAGAAATGCCTGGCAGTGCAGGAGACAGTTTGAAGTTGGGAGAAGACCCAGTTTGAAGTCCTGAACCCACCCCTCACCGGCTATGTGGTGGGTCACTCAGCCTTCCCAAGCCTGGGTTTCCTCATCTGCAAGATGGAAAATGGCACCCTCCCTGCACAGGTTCTTGAGCAGGTGAGAGAAAACCAAATGGAAAGAACCAGCACAGTGCCAGGCACAGAAGAAGCAAGCAGTGTTGGAAATTATTCACAGAAGAGCTGAGAATTGCCCTAACTACCTGGCCTTCTGTCTGAGAGGGAAAGGGGCAGAAGTCAGATCTCTGCATTTTGGTCTTGGCTCTACTGGACACCCCGACGGAGGCTGCAAAAGCAACACTTACACTTGCTGCCCTCCTCCTTACCAACAGGGCTCATGGACTCAATGAAGTGCATGCATTGAAAAGATATAGAAAGATGGCCAAGTGTCTCAGCACTCAGCTGTCCATCATCTCAACGTGAGCCCTGGGGACCAAGTGGCTGCAGAAGGGTGAGTTGGGTCCAGAAATCACGGTGTCTCTTGTGCACCAGCAGCCCACAACACTACATTCTAGACTGTGGGCAGTGATTCCCAAGTTGGCCCCATGACATAGAAAGAAATCCATGGAAAGGTGAAAGGCCACTTCACTTATTGTGTTCAAGAAGCCGGAGCCCCACAGGCCAGCCAGTTTTAGGAGCCTGCCCTTCACAGACATGCTGCTTATTGACGTCTGGGGAAATGCTCACAGTCATGACTTCTAGTGACACGTGTAATATGCTTCGCAAAGGAACAGATGGGGTTTCAACTGGGGCAAGCATTGACAGGGAAACCTATTTGTGTATCCCCAGTGAAAAGATGATCTGAAAGAATGTGCACAGTCATTTAAACATCTTTAGATAGTGTTGGGGAAAATATGGATTTTTTGTTAACCTACAGAATTATAAGGGCTCATCTACTTAGCACTCGGTCAACAAACACTCCATGTCCTGCCTGGACTATGGTGCCATTCATTTTTTCCTTCCTTCCTTCATACTTTCATCTAGCAGGTATTTACTGAGTGCGTATTATGCACAGGGCTATGGATACAGCAGTGAATAAAACCAACAAAAGTCCCTATTTTCATGGGATCCAGAATCTAGTGGGGAGAGCCAACAAGAAACAAATAGGTGAGTAAAATACAGTAGGTCAGGTGGTGATAGGTGCTATGAAGAAAAATGGGGCAGGGGAGATGAGGGGCAGTCCTGGGGGTGGGGGAGGGATAGGATTTAAAATAGGGTGGTCCAGAAAGGCCTCCCTGAGAAGGTGAAGCTCGAGTCAAAACCTGCAGAAGGTGAGAGACCAAATCACATGGATACCTGGGGAAGAGCCACTCAGGCCCAAGAATAGCAAGTGCAAAGGCCCCCGGGCGGTGGATGGCCAGCACTTTTGAAGAACATCAAGGAAGCTCATGGGGCTGATGTGGAGGGAGACGGGAGGAGGCGGAACAGGAGATGGGGGTCAGGGAGGCAATGTCAGGGGCAGATCCTTGGGGAAGCCCCCATTTGAAGGGCTCTGATTCCCATGAGAAGTTGCTAGAGCATCTGAGCAAGGAGGATGAGATCTCACTTACGTCTGACCAGGCGGCTGCGTGGGGACCAGGCTGTGGACAGGTAAGGGTGGAAGCAGGGAGCCCACTTAGGAGGCAGCAATGAATTCCCAGTGATTCCTGCCCAAGGGCTCACTCCTGCTAGGAGAAATCCGGATACGATTCCAATAGAGCAAGGAAGGCGAAGGGACTACCAGCCCACAGGGGCAAATCACACACACCGGAGAGGCTGGAACAGAGGAGGTTTCCTGGGCTGGAGGTGAATGTTGATGGATGAGGAGGAGTGGGTGCCACGGAGTCTTCCCCGAATGTTATGGGCTGTGTGCCCACATGCCCGTAGCGGGCATTCCAAGTCTCTCTCTGAAGGCAGAGCGCCATCAGGTACCCTCAGGGCAGAAGTGGGCAGAGAGATGTGTGCCTGTGTGTGCTGATGCTGTGGGCACACTATGCGCAGGGGGTGAAGGGGGAAAGGGGAGCTCCAGGGTGAAAGAACAGCAGGTGACAACTCCATGATGGGGGAGCCGGCAGGGGCTTCCCAGGACCCAGCCACAACTGAAGGGGAGAAGAGGGGAAGGGGAGGCTGGGCAGAGGCTGCAGAGTTCACATCCTGAAGGCAGAGGAGCCCCAGGTGGAGGTGAAAGTGGAGCCCACTGAGTGGCTGGCATTTCTAGAAAGATAAACGTGGGGCTGGGATGGACTGGTCCCAAGGGGCAGGAGGCTACAGTGCAGGGGTGGGTGAAGAGTCCGACTGGTCTGGAGGAGACTAAGGTTAAGGGTGACGCCCTTAACCAGGTGGGGGCTGGAGAGGCGGGTGCTTCGTGGTCATGGAGAAGTGGGAGGAGACTTAGTAGGCTGCCGGCTAGATGCAAATAGGTGAGGAGAGAGTAAGAAGGGTTTCCATGATCCTGGGCAGAGTGACAGACAGATGCGGAAGCCCTTTGCAGAGGCTGAACACTGGGGAGGAGGAAGCACAGAACTGGAGGGAGGGACCCTGGTGTGGGGGGGCCGAGGGCCTCTGAAGGTGCTGTGTGAGGCTGGCACTCAGGGGCAAGCAGGGACCAGAGACCTGAGCATGGGCCTCAGTGTTGGACAGCTGCAAGTCTGGGGGCCAGAGAGGGCCAGGGGGATGGAGAGGGAGAAGATGGACCAGCAGGAAGCAGAGGCCTAGGGAGAAGCAGGACGCGGGGACTTTCTCAGCCCAGGCAGGATTGTCAGGGCGTGCCAAGGGTGCCCAGTCCTGGGGATATCCAGTGAAAGAGGCTTAGGGGCAGCAGCTGGGGCTTGGGTGGAAAGATAACAAGGAAGCAAAAGGAAGAGCTGGCTTCAAATCAGGGAGGGGCTCACAGTGGGCGGGAGCGGAGGCAACAGCTGGGCCAGGTTCATGGGGCCTTTGGGGTGGCTGGGAAAGTTCTATTCTTGACCTGCGTGGAATTCAAAGGTGTTTGTCTTATGGAAACCCACTAAGCTTTATATTGGTTTATGTGCTTTTTTCTATCTATGCTTTCTTTTATAGTAAGACAGTTTAGAAGGAAAGCTGTCAGGAGGTGAGTGGGGACTCTGCTGAGGGTTACGTGGAACGGAAGGCAAGACAGTGGAGGGTGCAGGAGTAGGGGAGGCAAGGACAAAGTGGGGACAGGACGTGCAGACTTGTTCAGGTCCCCCTGGCTGAGGACTCAGCGGAGAGGGAAGGTGGCAGCAGGGGGCGCTGGTGGTCAAGGGTGGTTCTGAAGGAGAGGAGGATGGAATTGCTTCTGGAGGGTAGGAGGAAGGCGTAGGTGCTGGGCCTTCCAGGAAGACCAGAGGCCCCTCCCTAGGCCTTGACTCAGCTTGAAACCTGGGGAGTAAGGATGCGCTGTGAGGGCACAGAAGGAAAGCTTTGTATAAACCAAAGAATGTGAAAAATCTCAATAATTTAAGAATACTGGAAGTCCTCGCCAGATCAACTAGGCAAGAGGAATAGAGGCATCCAAATTGGAAAAGAGGAAGTCAAATTATCCCTGTTCACTGATGATATGATTTTATATCTAGAAAACCCTGAGGATGTCACCAAAAAATTCTGAGTTAATAAATTAATTCAGTAAAATTTCAGAATACAAAATTAACATACAGAAATCATTAGAGTTCCTATATACCAATGACGATCCAGCCCCAAATCAGGAAGGCAATCCCATTTACAATAGCTACCAAAAAAAAAAAAAAAAAAAAAAAAACTAGGAATATATTTAACCAAGGAGGTGAAAGATCTCTACAAGGCAAACTAAAAAACACTAATGAAACAAATTATAGATGACACAAACAAATGGAAAAACATCCTGTGCTCACGGATGGGAAGAATTAATATTGTTAAAATGACCATACTGCCTGAAACAATCTACAGATTCAATGCAATCTCCATCAAAATACTCACCTCATTTTTCACAGAATTAGAAATAACAACTCTAAAGTTCATATGAAACCACAAAAGGTCCTAAATAGCCAAAGCAATCCTAAGCAAAAAGAGCAAAGCTGGAGACATCATATTGCCTAATTTCAAATTACACTAGATGGCTATAGCAACCAAAACAGCATGGTACCCACATAAAAACAGATAATGGAATAGAACAGAATAGGGAACCCAGAAACATATAGCCACATGCTTACAGCCAACTGTTCTCTGACAAAACTGATAAGAACATACACTGGAAAAAGGACACCCTTTTCAATAAAGAGTGTTGGGAAAGTTGGATATCTATTTGCAGAAAAATGAAACTGTATCCTTCTCTCTCACCATTTGCAGAAGTCAACTCAAGATAGATTAAAGACTTAAATGGAAGATCTTAAATTATAAAAATACTGAAGGAAAACTCAGGGAAAACTTTCTAAACATGGGTCTAGGCAAATAATTCATGACTAAGACCTCAAAAGCATACGGAACATAACTAAAAATAGACGAACAGGACTTAAACTAAAAGCTTCTGCACAGCAAAAGAAATAATCAACAGAGTGAACAGACAACTTGCAGAATGAGAGAAAATATTCGCAAACTCTACATTCGACAGGGAACTAACATCCAGAATGTACCAGGAACTCAAACAACTCAACAAGAACAACAAAAACCCCAAAATAATCCCACTTAAAAGTGGGCTAAGGACATGAAGAGACATTTTTCAAAAGAAGACAGAAAGCCCACAAACATGAAAAGCATGTTCAACATCACCAATCATCAGAGACATGCAAGTTAAAACCACAATGAGTATCACCTTAACACCAATCAGAATGGCCATTATTAAAAAGTCAAAAAATAACAGATGTTGGAGAGGATGCAGAGAAAGGGGAACTTTTATACATTGTTGGTGGGTATGTAAATTAGTACAACCTCTATGGAAAACATAGAGAAATTACGCACAGCAACTTCTCAAATGACTAAAAATAGAACTCCCATTCATTCCAGCAACCCTACTACTGGGTATCTACCTGAAGGAAAATAAATCATTATGTCAAAAACATACCTGCACTTGTATGTTCACTGCAGGACTACTCACAGTAGCAAAGGTAGGGAATCAAACTAAGTGTCCACCGACAGAGGACTGGACTTAAAAATTGTGGTATATATACACAATGGAATACTACTTGGCCATTAAGAAAAGGAAATCAGCCTGGGCGTGGTGGCTCACGCCTGTAATCCCAGCACTTTGGGAGGCCAAGGTGGGCAGATCACAAGGTCAGGAGATCCAGACCATCCTGGCCAACATGGTGAAACCCCGTCTCTACTAAAAATACAAAAATGGGCATGGTGGCTTGCACCTGTAGTCCCAGCTACTTGGGAGGCTGAGGCAGGAGAATCACTTGAACCTGGGAGGCAGAGGTTGCAGTGAGCCGAGATTGCCTCACTGCATTCCAGCCTGGCGAAGAGCGAGACTCTGTCTCAAAAAACAGAAACAAAAACAAAAAAATAAAAAATAAAGAAAAAAGAGAAGGAAATCATGTCCTTTGTAGCAACATGGATGGAAATGGAGGCCGTTATGCTAAGTGAAACAACTGAGACACAGAAAACCAAATATCACATGCTGTCACTTAAAGTGGGCACTAAATGATGTGTACACAGGGAAGAAGAGTGTGGAATGATGGACAACGGGGACTTGGAGGGGTGAAGGGGAGGGAAGCGCGTGGAGGATGGGAGTTTGTTTGATGGGTACAATGTGCTTTGCTCCAGTGATGGACACACTGAAGACCCTGACTTCACCCCAGTGTAATATACCAGTGGAGAAAATTGCACTTGTACCCTATGAATATATACAAATAATAAATCAATCAATAAATTTATTGACAGGTATGATAATATTTGCATATCTTGTGCTAATATATTATTGAAATTCATTTCCTGTTTCTTTTTCCTTCTTCCATGTGGCTGCTAGGAAACTTAAACCGAGGGATGTGGTGTGGTCACGTTTCTGAGGGCGACGCCCCCAGTAATGCCCTCCAGTCTGGAGGGTCTCCCCGGCCCTGCGGAACCCTCCCCTGGCTGCCCACGGGAGAGGAAGCCCCGGTTCCCTGCGGGGAAGGCCGGGCCCACCAAGCTCTGCTCACCCTCCCATCTCCTGGGCCTCCACGCCAGCTCCAGACATTGTGCTCCCACCGCAGGAGGGCACTGGAGGCCGCTGAGCTCCGGTCCTGAACAGGGCAGGGAGATCCTCCCGGGACTCTGTCCGGCTGAGGACGGGGCCTGGCCTGCAGGTTCCAGCAATGCCTCCCGCAGGGGCGCCCCCAGCCCCTGTCCACGCCCTCAGGACCCACTCCTTCCTGTCACCACGCGGTCCCATTCAGTGACTGTAATTGACGGCTATGACTCTCAGGTCAGCATCCCTCTCCCATTTCCAGAAGTCTCCTGAGGGGCGCGTGCCTGTCTTGTCCCTCTGGACTCCCCGCTCTCACTGTGCCCCCGGTGTGTGCGGAGTGACTGCGGGTGCGGTGTGTGCAGAGTGACTGAGGGGGCTGCAGAATGAGCGCTGCGGGTGCGGCTCTGAGGTTAGCTCTGGGCACCGTGGGAGGGGCCTGGGGACAGAAGACGCTTTTCCTGCGGTGGCAAGCGGGAGAGCAAGGAGGTGCACGGAGGGACCTGAGGAGGAGCCAGGCGGGGACCACTGATACAGATGTCGTGGGCAAGGGCAGAGGGGCCCGCGGCTCACGGAGGGACCCTACAGAGGGGGCCGCACATTTCAGCAGCCCCAACCCGCACTGCGGGAATCAGCAGCGTCAGCTGCTGGCATCTTCAATAATGGCCTGGCTGGGTCTTTCATGAGGCCACACATAGGACAAAAATATTTCTTCGTCTTGAAAATGCATATAAATGCTCTATTAGGGAGTAACTGGAACCTGTGCCCAAGCATGGCTGGGCAGGGCTTGACAATGGCCAACAAGATCTAGCAAGTCAGGCACAGCAGGGTGATGTGGGTATGGTGTGTGCGTTTGCGGTGGGTGACCAGGTGCCCTAGAAAGGGGCCTCACCCCATGCGGAGTACTGGTAATAACTGGGCCTGCAGAGAAAGCACAGAGCTGGGCCCCCCACTGCACAGATCAGACCTATTACTTCTGGGGAGGGAATGACATCCCAGTAACATGAGTGCATTCGGGGAGGCGACATCCTAGCCCCAGCGGTCAGCAAACATTTTCCGTCAAGGGCCAGGCAAGTAGGTGTTTCGGCTCTGTGGCCCATATGGTCTCTGTCACAGCTGCTCAGCTCTGACACCTGGCGTGGAAGCCGCCAGGGCCAATACAAACCTTGGGCATGGCTGTGTCCCAATAAGACTTCATTTACAAAGACCAGCAGCGGGATATGGCCCGTGGGCCATGGTTTGCTAACCTCTGGATGATCTCCAGGAAATGAGGCCCTCTTGGTCTCCTCAGAGAATCACCCTCTGTCAGTAAAGCTCTCATCTGTGAGTCCAGGACTGTCCCACAAAGACTGGACAGTCAGCCTACTCTCAGGCCAGCAAACACTCGAATGATATTATTTCACTGCAGCCATAAAATTGCAACCATACCTCATTAGCTGATGCATTTTCCTTCTTGGGTATTTCATGAAATGTGAATCAAAGGGTTTCCTCAGCAGGGAGGTGCTAGGTCTGGCATCGGGAGCAGGGAGTGAGAGAACTGAAGAAATCTCACTTAAAATACTCCACAGGCCTAAAGCAATGCCTGACTCTTTAAGCAACTCCTGCTTACGGCACCTGGCAGCCTGGTCTTGTGGGGTAAATGTGGAGACTGCACCCAACACCCACTGAGGATTCTTCCTCCCCCAGCTCCTTCTAAAGGGCAGGGGCTCCAGCACCCTGGGGCAGAGGAGCATTTAGGAAGGGGAAGTACACACACCCCACCATGCAGGGGCCCTGGTGTGTGACATGAAAAACAAAAAGGCCAGCGGGAAGCAGCGGAATCCCTGGCAGAGCAGGGTGTGGTGAGATGAGAAGAGGACGAACATTAAGGAGACATTAGGCTGGGCATGTGTAGGCGAATGTCTATGTTACCGCAGTGGAGGAGCTATGGCTGAACAGCAGCCTGGCTGCTTCAGAATGCAGAGTTGCCATACAAGCCCTGTCCCTCCTGCCCTGGAGGCGCCAGAGGCTCCCAGCAGCTCCCTCCTTCACGAAGCCCTGTGGGCACTCACCGTGGTCAGCGCCTCAACGCTGGCTCCCATCAGACAGAGATACCGGACCACGTCTAGGATTCCGTTGTTGGCCGCAAGGTGCAGAGGCGTTCGCCCATACTGGGAAGAGAGAAAAAAGGCCAAAGGTCGTTCTTCTCACGCAGTTGCTGAGGATGACATTCCGGAGACACAAGGTTAAGGAAGGGGTCAGGGCCCACCAGAAAGGAGGAAGGAGCCATCTCCCTTCTCCTGAAACTTGCTCTCCACTGGGGCAGGCCAGCCAGGCAGAACCTTTCCAAGTACTTTGCAATTAAAAGAGGAGCTTCAAAATACAACTTCAAAGATAACTTAAGTAAGTTTCCTGCTGTGCTGGCCTGAAAGAGACAGGAGTCAAGGGCTCAAGGTCCAGAGTTCCAGCAAGATCTGCACCATAGTTCAAATTTAGACACAGCCAGGGAAGAAGACATGGAAGACAGATATTGAAGACATCCTAATTAGTGAAAATACCAGGACAAGCCCATAAGCCTTGTTTGTGCCTATGGTTCCCAAATTGTGTGCCAAGGTAACCCAGGGAACTGTACTGAATTCATAGGGGTGCCCAGGAATATCTAAAGTTTTTGATAAGAAACATGGTTCTGAGACCAGGTGAACTACTCGCTTGAAGAGGTGCAGAGTGTCATCATTAGACTGCACCACCCTGCCTTCCATGACATCATGTCTCTCACAGCGGGGGGTTGGTAGCTGCCCTGAGAGGAACCAAGAGTCTTGAGGAAATCACTGTGGACAGGAAATGAGGCCGTGTCCACTCTGAGTCCAAGGTTTCAGAAGTGCAGTGCCCAACGGGAGCACTCATCAGATTGTACGTAATGTGGTCATGGAAGAAGGAAAAGAAAATATTAGTTTTCTTTCCGTTTATGTGTATTATCTTTCTTAGCTGCTGCTAAGCTGTTAGGACATAAGCGGTTACTAAGTTGTTTGGACTGAACCACTCAATGAACAGAACTGTTAGGGATTTCTTTTGATCTAGGGGAACCATGAAAAAACTAATTACTGAAACCCTGAGGATGTTGTGAACTGAGAAAGTTTGGGAATTTTTTTTAATGCTATGTATTTTTAAATATCAGTTTTTGTTATAAAGTTAACACATGCTCTTTTTAAAAATCCAAGCAACCTAGAAAAACATAATACAAAATAAAAATCTTCCTTCTCCCCTCCCCCCTTACTCTCAAGCTCCCTAGCTCAGAGCTGTCCCTGTTTAACATTTTTGTCCATTTCCTCCCAAGCTCTTATCTATGAATCCTCAACAGGAGAGAAATAATTTAAACAGCCGAGATGTGGTCATAGCCCACCTCCCACTCTGTCCCTTGCTTTGTCCACCTAACAGTAGATTGGGAACACTTTTCCATGCCTGTAACGGGAGGGATCACATTCTCGTGAATGCCTGAATCGCGTCCACTGTGTGGCTCTCATGATTCATTCAGCCACTGAGGCGGGAGGCTAGGCAGCTCCAATTCCCGGCTAGTGTAAACACTGCTGCAGTGTGGGATACATTCATATTTCTTTATTATTATCTTCTGCAGTAATGCAGAAAACAGATATTAAGCTTTCAAGCATCCTAGAGTTCACGTGAGAAGGAAAAGGGAAAGTTTTGAAGACTGGGTGAAATGTTTAGAAGATGCAATGTAAGGGAGATGTAATTTTGGTTGTAGAATGCACAGTTTTCTAGAAGGGAAGAAAGCTGAGGAAGAGAGTGTGATGAAGAAAAGGGCAGAGGAAACGGCCACTGTTGAAGGGCCCAGGTTGGGACAGAATGACACCAAACCCCTTAGCCTTAAATTCCAGGTCTGCCACACCTGGACCCAACGTCTCCAGCTTCATTTTCTCCCTTCCCCATAACCCCCTCCCTAAATACCTACCCAACACCCGCCGTGTGTCAGCGACAGCCCACGGCAGACACACTGGCTTCCCTTGGTGGAAAACAGGCTTCCCTCTTCTCCATCTGTCAAAGCCTCGATCATCTTAAGTGATCAACTCTGAAAAGCCTTCCCTGATTTCTTTAATATCTGAATTGTTGCTTCTGTGTTTCTGGAGCACCTTATGCCCATCACAGCAGCAATGACAACATGAGATGCTGCTACATCTGAATTTGAGTGTGTCTAAAAGTAGCCTGAGGGCAAAGCCATTCACCTTGGCATCTACGAGTTCCTCCCTCTGCGCTGGGCACAGTGCTGCCCTGGAAGGGCCTCGATAAACACCTGACAGGCAGGGAGTCCTCTCTCATCCTCCCAGATGTGTGCGTGTGCACAGCGTGCCTTCTGTCTGTCCTTATGGGAAGCACCGACTTAAAGAGGGACAAATGGGTAAGGGCCATGCATTCTGCGCCATCTATTCCCTTTCCTTTCCGTGCTTTCTAACACGGCAAGTTAAACGGCCACTCTCCTGATTTCCATATGAGAAGGAGGAAGAATGCAGAAATGTCTGTTTCACTGCATTAGCGTCAAACATAGCCATGAGGTCCTGTCACATACTGGTGACAGGGTAGGATTTGAATGGCCATTTTTATTTCTGGAGGAACTTAATTCAGATAAGGAAAAGGCAAGACCACGCAATGGAGAAAGAGCAACAGCCTCCTTGTAGAATGTGGATGCCACCCCACGCTCACAATCAGTTACTTGAGTGAGTCTCTAGAAAGCTGGATGTGCTTTGGTAGGAAGCGATGCCTTCTGTTACGTACCTGTGCTTCTTTTAAGCCCTTCTAAAGCCCCCATCACCTTTCCTTTAAAAAAAAAAATAGCAAAACAAGCCTGACAGCAACCCTTCTGAAGAAGCTGTGAGATCCCCAAAGTCAGGGTGTGCTGATGATGGGAGCATCAAAGCCAACCTGGGGAGCCTGTCTGCGGGGGCAGAGATGCAGAGCTTGTGTGGAACCAGCACACTTCTGTCCAGATGGGCTCTGAATTACGGGTCTGAATTTTGCTGCTAATTCCAAGGGGTTGAAACTGGAACTGATGATTTTCACATCAGCTGAGCTTCATTCAATGACAAAATCATCTACAGAAGGCCCTCTATGTACAGCTGCTCTGCCACAGACAGTGATTACACAAGTTTATGTCAGCATTTATCGACTTTACTTATAGATATTTGCAGCCTGAAAAATGTGAGACTTTTCCAGTAAATAAGCCAGTGGTTTCAAAACATGAAAGTCTGGGACTGTCTTGTGGATTTTTTGAAGAGTGTATTTAACAAGTGAAGTTGTACATTTAGGTATGGAGTGAAACTGGGAAGAACACATTCCCTGTTGAGGTTAGGGCAAAGCACCATGAGATGCTCAGCTCCTCCTCTCTCCTCTCACAAGGGGAGAGCTGATTCTAGATGCTGCACACATAGTAGACCCCTGGGTGCACAGTGGGAATGTCTACAGAGAGTCAAATAAGTGCAGATGTCCCTTGAAGCTGCTTTTGATTCATTTAAAGAATCCTAGATGGAAACCCAAGGTCTTGATGCTACTTCATATTACACTTGGCTTTCCCCTTAAGCCACTTACACAACTGACTTGGCAAGATTAAAACGGGACAAACTAAGAAAGCAACCAGCAGCTAATGGCTAAAACCTGGGATACTGCCCTTCCACACAGTCTCAGAATGTGAAATTACCAATTTCAATTTCTGCTTGAGTTAATCACATAACATGCAAAAGGAATAAGTGTACATAAAAGTATAACTTTCCAGCTGTTTCAGATATCCTTTTACCTCCAACAAACCATACTAGAATCCTACTGGCATTGTATATGCCATTGATAAACATTTCCTGAAATTAAAAAATTAATTGTGCTTGGACTTCATTTTTAGCATAATCGTAATGGCATAATGCTTGTCTTTAATACAGCTACAGGGCCAAAATCACAGGAATCTGCAATAGTCTGTGTTGTTTGGTAATGAACATCTATATGGAATTCAGAGAAAAGGGAAGGTGCTGGCTAAAATCTAGAAGTCAACATTTTTTATGAACCTAAAAGCACAGTTATTTTCATTTCTCCATTTTTCACCAAATGATAGCATCTCTTTAGTCTTACCACATTTATTTAGCACAAAAAACGGTAGTAGGAACTTTTGCCCATAAAACTCTCAATGCGGAAAGCTAAGCAGAAAAATATAGGGCCAGGTGTGATGGCTCATGCCTGTAAACCCAGCACATTGGGGGGCTGAAGCGGGCAGATCACTTGAGGTCAGGAGTTCGAGACCAGCCTGGCCAACATGGTGAAACCCTGTCTCTACTAAAAATACAAAAATTAGCAGGGCATGGTGGCATGAGCCTGTAATCCCAGCTACTCAGGAGGCTGAGGCATGAGAATCGCTTGAGCCCAGGAGGCAGAGGTTGCAGCGAGCCAAGATTGGGCCACTGCACTCCAGCCCAGGTGACAAGAGTGAGACTCTGTCTCAAAAAAAATAATAATAATGATAATAAATAAAATAAATAAATAAAATAAAAAAGAGAAATACAGTCCTGGGATCAAATCTTAATGTCACTAGACATTTTCCTGAAGACTTAGTGCTCTAGAAAGATGTTACAATTTTACCATGCTTCTCTGATTCCTCTACAGAGCCTCATGCTCACATGCATGTACACACACACACACATACATACACACACACGGGATTTCCATCAGTGTACACTGAGTTATGCAAAAAGTACTTATTATAATAATTTTCTGTTTATCTATGAAATTATTCAAAAGTCACATGTAAAATGCAACTTAAGATGGCAAAACGCTATAAAAAAGTACATGTCCATATAAGTAATATTCACTTTCAACAACAAACACATGCAAATAGAAACTTGGCCAAAATCCAGGATCAGGTGGGAGCACACAGAATCAGGACCCAGGATTGGGGGGATGGACACAGAATCAGGACCCGGGTTCAGGTGACAGAACACAGAATCAGGACCCGGGATCGGGGGGATGGACACAGAATCAGGACCCAGGATCGGGGGGATGGACACAGAATCAGGACCTGGGATCAGGTGAGAGAACACAGAATCAGGACCCGGGATCGGGGGGATGGACACAGAATCAGGACCTGGGATCAGGTGGGAGGACACAGAATCAGGACCTGGGATCAGGTGAGAGGACACAGAATCAGGACCCGGGATCGGGGGGATGGACACAGAATCAGGACCTGGGATCAGGTGGGAGGACACAGAATCAGGACCCGGGTTCAGGTGAGAGAACACAGAATCAGGACCCGGGATCAGGTGGGAGCACACAGAATCAGGACCCGGGATCGGGGGGATGGACACAGAATCAGGACCTGGGATCAGGGGGATGGACACAGAATCAGGACCTGGGATCAGGTGGGAGGACACAGAATCAGGACCCGGGATCAGGTGGGAGGACACAGAATCAGGACCCGGGATCAGGTGGGAGGACACAGAATCAGGACCTGGGATCAGGTGAGAGGACACAGAATCAGGACCCAGGATCGGGGGCATGGACACAGAATCAGGACCTGGTATCAGGTGGGAGGACACAGAATCAGGACCTGGGATCAGGTGAGAGAACACAGAATCAGGACCCGGGATCAGGTGAGAGGACACAGAATCAGGACCCAGGATCGGGGGCATGGACACAGAATCAGGACCTGGTATCAGGTGGGAGGACACAGAATCAGGACCCGGGATCAGGTGGGAGGACACAGAATCAGGACCCGGGATCAGGTGGGAGGACACAGAATCAGGACCCGGGATCAGGTGGGAGGACACAGAATCAGGACCCGGGATCAGGTGGGAGGACACAGAATCAGGACCCGGGATCAGGTGGGAGGACACAGAATCAGGACCTGGGATCAGGTGGGAGGACACAGAATCAGGACCCGGGATCGGGGGGATGGACACAGAATCAGGACCTGGGATCAGGTGGGAGGACACAGAATCAGGACCCGGGATCGGGGGGATGGACACAGAATCAGGACCTGGGATCAGGTGGGAGGACACAGAATCAGGACCCAGGATCGGGGGAATGGACACAGAATCAGGACCCAGGATCGGGGGGATGGACACAGAATCAGGACCCGGGTTCAGGTGAGAGAACACAGAATCAGGACCCGGGATCAGGTGGGAGGACACAGAATCAGGACCCGGGATCAGGTGGGAGGACACAGAATCAGGACCCGGGATCAGGTGGGAGGACACAGAATCAGGACCCGGGATCAGGTGGGAGGACACAGAATCAGGACCCGGGATCAGGTGAGAGGACACAGAATCAGGACCCGGGATCAGGTGGGAGGACACAGAATCAGGACCCGGGATCAGGTGGGAGGACACAGAATCAGGACCTGGGATCAGGTGAGAGGACACAGAATCAGGACCCAGAATCGGGTGGATGGACACAGTTGGAAGCTGTAGGGATCCTGTTCTCTGTGCATACCTTGTTGGAGATGTCCAAATTGCAGTTTGCTTCACAGAGGGCCACCACGATAGGCATGTTGCCATCTTTACATGCCACATGGAGGGGAGTATTGCCGTGCCTGTCTTGATAATCGACGAAACACCCTTGGCTGAGGAGAGTCTTGATTACCTCCATCTGACACCGTCTTACAGCCAGATGAAGGGCAATGTGTCCGTCCTGGAAACAAACCCCAGAGATCATGAGAGCTTTTCACTTGGGCATGTGGCCTCCGTCTCTTCACCTTTTCTGCCGCCATCGAGTGAGGTTTAATTGGCAACAAGATCACTACTAAAAGCCCTAGTGGAGGATTTAAATGAAGAAACTTTACTCCTATAGCAGGGGTAAGGACTGGGAGGATGCGGAGCTTTACATATTCCTCTCTAAATAATCACAGCCTAAGCTGAACACTAGCTTGATTCATTTAGGCTTCAGCAGTACAATCAGATAGAACATAAGTAATTGTTGATACTCCAATGGCCTCTTTAATCAAAGCATTTGTAAAACACTTTTAAAAACATTTGCCCAGCAATCTCTGCCAATTTCCTAAATAGAGAGCCTATTATTTTACCTTGCACCAGGAAAAATGTGAAAGTATTGTGAAATAACTTGCTCAAGGGCTGTCATATAAATGAGAAGCAGATTTAACATGTGTAACCTCTGCATCCCATGAAAAACCAGCCCGGGCATTCATTCTACCTATTACAGAATCCCTAATGAATAGATGTGTTGAGTTTTAGGAGCTGGGTGGAGAGTTCTGAAACATTTCTAAAACCTACTGTGCTAGGGTTTCTCAGCCTCAGCGCTATTGGCATTTGGAGCTGGGTGATTCTCTGTCGAGGGGGCTGCTCTGTGAGCTGCAGGATGTTTAGTAGCACCACTGGCTGGGATCGACGAGATGCCAGTAGCAACCCCCATCTCTAGCTGTGACAACCAGAAAGTATCCCCAGACATTATCAAACACCCCTGGGGGCAAAGTCGCCCCCGACCCAGAACCATTGCTCTATACAAAGAAAATAACTTCACAAAGGGCAGATATTAAATTAACTACAGAATCCCAAATCTAACCGTATATAGCAACATCACAGGCTTGTTTTAAGTACAGATCACAATAAAAACAGATGAGGCTGAATTTGTTTAATTAAACCTGGTCTAGCATCGAGATTGCCAGACAAGAGTGGTTTATTGTCTTTTTACAACACAGCGGATGATAGAAATAAGTAAAACATCTATTTCTTTGTTTATCTAAAAATTAATAGCGTGTTGCCAATGTCAGTCCTCAATGAGAATTGTCTCGGATTCAGTGAACATCACTGTACCTGCTCTAAAGCTAAAAAAGCTAAAAATTATTTAGAGACCAAAGTCAATTGATCAACTCATGAATTTTGTTATATGCCATAAATTAATATTAACTATTAAATACAATATAGAAAAGTTCACAGAATCTTTGGAACAGAGAAGAGACGGGGTAATTACAGTTTGCTGCATTCAAGTTTGTTATCTTAGGGAAACAAACTGAGGAGTCTTGTGGTCCCTCTAGACCCCTAGATCACTTCCCAGTGCATATGAGTCTTCCCCCATAAGGCACCTTGTCGCAAGCATTAAGGTCGGCTCCATGTTCGGCCAGACACTCCACGATGTCGTGGTAGCCCCTGGCAGAGGCTGTCAGGAGGGGCGTCTCTCCTTCTCGGTTCTTGATGTTCACGTTACAGCCGGCTTCACAAAGGGCTTTGGCCACAGAGTAATAGCCGTGCCAAGCAGCACAGTGCAGGGGGGTTTCTTCTTCCTGGCCAAGGAGACGAGTACAGAGAGGAGGAGAACACAATAATGAGAAACAAAGTATAAAGCAAGGTGAGAGTCCCTGTCAAATTTGGCAGAAACGCAACCAAGGCAGCAGAGGGAAAGAGCTCATAGGTATTGGAGTGAAATATTAATCTGGAATAAAATAACAACATGAGTGTGAGCCACCAGCATTAAGAGGTAGATCTGATGTCTCTCTTTCATTAGTTTTCCTTCCTCAACACTTGTGTGTTTGATGAATTTGGCTTTCTCAAGCATATGACTGACAATTGACTTTCGGGAGCCCGTTGAAACCATCGGCCCTGCTTGTCTGAACAATAGAGCCTTCGTGCAGGTGCATTGCAGCATCTTTCTAATAAGTGCCTCGCTGACTTTATCTGAAACTACTAACAGTAGGTAACCACTTCCCTGAGCATGAATTCTTCCAGCAACCTTAATGCCTCTAGCTTTCTGTCATGTTTACAACACAAGGTGAGTGGTAACAGTATTGTTGCTTTGGCAAGAAGGTAATTAGGAGAGCCACACTTGAACAAGTCAAGGGAAGTCCTTATAGACCGTGAGGCCTGTATCTTCAGGATCAACATCGCTAGATACATATATGCACCGATGAGAGGCCATCCTAGTGCGGCGGTGGTTACAAAGGTGGACTCTGAAACCAGACTGTGTGTGTTCAAGCCCCAGCTCTACCACTTCTGAGCTTTGTGAGCCTGGGAAAGTTACAGAAACTTTCCCTGTCTCAATTTCCTCATCTCTAAAATGAGAATGATAACAGTAATCCACCTCATAGGGCTGTTCAGCAGATTGAATGCATGAATGAATCAAGTGGTTAGACCTGATCCTGGCATTAGCACCTTGCACACCTTAGCTAGTACTTCTGTTTGAGTCCCTGCCCCTTGAGCCTTGCCCTCTGTAGGGGAAGACAGAAAGCCTAGCTTGGATAAAACTCTAAAGGCCCCGACTGTACCATCTGGCTGCCTGTACATTCATGTATAGAGCAGAGGAAGGGAGGATGTCAGTCACGACCCACCTTGTCCTGGATATTGGGATTTGAGCCGAAGCTGCACAGTAACTGAGCCACGTCAGCATGGCCATAGCGAGCTGCCACGTGGAGGGCCATCTCTCCAGACTGCAGAAGAAAAGGAGCCGGTGATTCAGAGCCACATCTGTGAGCAGGCTATGGAGACCAGAACCCAAGGCCTACACCCAGGCCTGCCTGGTTCCACTCTGTCCCCTTTGGTTCCACCCACCCACCTTGGGCAGATGCCCCTATAGTGGCTAGGATGGGGACCTGAGGTTGGGGTGTCCACCACACAGTGAGTATTAAGCCCACATACTTGGCTCATCCTGTGAAGTGCAAACAACTCAGGAGAAGGCTCTCCCTTTTCCATGATAGCTGTTCTCAGTCTTCTTTATGTGCTGATACTTCTAGCTGTGTGATTTTCTCTTTAAACACAACACTCTCTTTTTACTATTGGGTTCATCATTCAGCAGTTACTTAAATGAACAATTTTATTTATTAATAAGCTTCTCATTTCATTGCCTATGATTAGAAACTTATTTTCTTATATTCTCAGAGATTTTCTCAGAAATTTTAAAGAATGTCACTATTTGCCCATGCAATAACTTTCTGTGAATTAGTAACAAGTGCAAATCCTTTAAGATACTTTACTTCTATCCACCCCACAGAAAATCATCAGAATAAACAAATTTTAAGAAGACAAAACAAGATATAGTGTTGCCACCTTCCAGAAAACTGCCATAATAAATGCGTGTCTCTGATATGAATGTTACCCCTCAGATATGGTGCAGTGCACAACCCATGCAACTGCATGTGGCAGCTTGACTAAACGTCAAATTAGTCTGCCAGTACTGGAAGCAGAGAAGTATTGTACAGTAGAATAAATAATGGATGAGTAGGTAGGAATTCCAGGTTCAGGTTCCAGCACAGCCAATTAATTCACAGGATTGTTGTGTGAACTGAATGAAACACACACATATGAAAACAAGGTATCTTGATAAATCAGTAACTTTTATAACACCGTTGTGCCAAAAAAAAGCCTTACTTTATTACTTTATGTGCATTGTCTCATTAATATCTTCTAGTGTCTGTGATTGTCAGGTCAGCACTGTCAGCCACTTCAAAGAAGAAGAGAATAGGAGAGATCCGCTTAAAAGCACAAGGTTGAGTCAGGAAGAAAATCGAATCGAGACCGAGGTCTCTCTCTGGTTGTCTGTACTAGAACTTTGAGGTTTTTATGTTATGGGGATTATAATTCAATGCGTGCGTATTATGGCAACTACCTGAAAGATTTTGACTTAAGGCTGATTTCAGTATTAGACCAAACCACAGGCAACAAGACATTTCCAACTTAAATGTTCTGCAGGTGAATTCTGGTCCTGATTCCTTTCCTTTGGGTCCCGATGCACACGGTAGGCCAGCACTCACACTCACATGCATCCATTTACTACCACCTCATGTTCCTCCTAAGAGAAGTGGCCTTACCTTGTCTTTCACATCCAAAGGGCATTTGTTCTCACTGAGAAATTTCAAGGTATCGACGTGGCCATGCCGAGCAGCCCAGTAGACGGCATTGGACCCGCCCTGCAGGAAAATCAACCTGGGGTCACATTTCTAGGGAGCTGACAGCACCAGATGCATGCATTCCTCAGACTCACTGTTATTTCCCTTCCTGTGTGATGACAAACCCCAGAGGAGCAACTTCCCAGAGGAATAAAACCCTCATTCTATTTTACACCTTTGACAAATGTACCGTGGTTACACAAGATGCTAGCATTAGGGGCACCTGGGTGAAGCGAATGATGGAACTCTCTGTACCACTTTTCCAACTTTTTTTTGTAAATCAAAAATGATTTCAAAATAAACAATTGCTTATAAACAATTATTTTATGTTTGTAAACCCTCATCTCCCCTCTCTGGTTAGGATTCCCTTACTGCAGAGGGCCAGATCTACTCCACTTACAGCTCTGCTGACGTCTGCAGAAGCAGGCAAACAAATTTCTGATGAGAATAATTAGATAACAAAACTTTTTCATGTGTGACATCTAACATTGTTGAGTAAATGTGATCGGTAAGAAGTAAAATCTGGGTAGTGTACAAAGAAATGCTGATGTCAAGCAGCAGCGCCAAGGGGAGGATAAATGATAAATGTTTGCCTCTTTAACCCATGTGTCAGGCTGTACCAAGCTGTTTAAAAGCAGCTCATCTTCCTTTACAGGAAACTGAGAAACAAGTTAGGACATAAATTTTTTTCCTCTGTTACCCCTATGATTAAGAGACACTTGAAAATACTTTAAAATTCAATTCATTTCAATAAAACAATTATGACCTTATCCTGGACATCGATTCTCGAGCCTCTTTTAATGAGCAACTGTAGTATTTGAATATTCCCACAGCCAGCAGCAATGAGTAATGGAGGTGTCCCGTGCTAGAATAGGCAAGAAAAAAATTACTAATTTTCAGGTTTGGTAGGAAAGGAAAAGCCCAAACGATGATTGCTGTTACCACACACCTTCCCCTGTCTCAACAGACATAGAGCTACCACTGCGTGGCAGGAAGAGAAGACAGGTGGAAGGGTATAAAACCTTTCCTTCCCCTTTTGGATTCTCATCATCAGGGACATTTTCATTAGCAGGATGAGAAGATCTAAAATTTCATGGGTAGAGATACAATACGTGAATGAAGGAAGGCCCTCAATGCACAAAGACCTTATTTGTAACTCAAATCACTTTCTAAACAGAAGTGATTTTCCCCACAGTATGGAGCTTCCAATTGGAAGGGAGAATGGAGAAGCAGATGGGGTCTTTCCTTGGATATGGAAGGGCAAGGTCGCTGTGACCCACCCCTCCAGTATGCGGCAGAACAGAACCAGACCTTGTTGGGTTGGTTAACATCATAGTTGGATAATGAGCCCAGAAGGTGCTGCAGGCCTGGGACATTGTCATCGTTGATGGCATGGATGATGGCTTTCATCACAAAGGAGTCTTCCTCATCCTTGAGAGAGACAGCCAAGATGGAAACAGAGTTACATTGCTAGCCATGCTTTTCTTACCAACATAAAAGAAACCTGTGCTCACTTGTTAACAGGGGCATTCAGAGGAAAGTAAGCCATTTACTCCCCAAATCCATACAGTCATGGAGGGACCTAGGAAGGAATTTTTGCCCCTTCCATGTTGCAAACAAGCACTATCTACTCTTTATCTGGGCTTTAATATCACCTGCAGTATAGCCCAGAGACACAATGTCCAAGATCCAGATTTCAAATAATGATGATAAGTAACCCTTTGTGTTTATCTTAAGAATCTGTCAAAACATAGTTCCTAAAACCACTGTGAAAATTTTTAGGTATAACACAGACTCTCTTCCTGGATAAGGAAAAAGAAAAGCCTATTGCAGCAAAGAAATGATACCTTTGAATAAGATATTCTCAATTTGCAATTTTTCCAATTACAGAATTGTTTTCTGATCACTTGAATTTCTTCCATTGCTAGGTATAGAATAACACGGCAAAAATCTCTGAAAGCTGGTCCCAATTATAAAAAACAGAAAAATAAAAATTAAAACAATAGGCTCTAAATAAAGAAAATAAAGGCTAGAAATCAGAAAACTGATGCATTTCTAATTACAAAGGAAAAATAACTGGAAGAGTAGTGAACAAAAACTGGAAAAATCTTTGCCACTCTTTCAAAATTCACATTAAAACTAAGGAATTAGCTAGAAAAATCCTAAACAAAATTTCTGAACTTATAAACACAGAATTATGACCACTGGAATTTCAAATCTGGAAAAGTTAATCTACAGAGGCTGAATCTCTGCTTGTGGGGGAGAATGGAGAAAGCATTTCTCTCCATCTGCTTTCTCTTCTCTATAGATCTGAATCCAAACACTTTTCATGTGGGTTTTAGTAATATTTGTATAAAATGCATGTTTAAGAATGCTTTTCTATCACAATTGAAGTCAATGACTAAGAGGCGTTTACATGAAAGTGCAAGTCAAGAGAAATGGGGAAAACAGAAGGAATAAAGCAGATTGTTATGACTCATCCCCATGATTAGAATATGGAAATAAGGGAATCTGACCTCTGGGAGGGTATCTTTCCACCTGGAGCTCCTACAAGACCCTTGGTCCCTCTCCTACCCTAAACTTTTCACTGTGACACATGTATTGTCTCTCAGTTGAATATTCAGTGATTTCAATTTGCAATCTTTAATCATTCTCATTATCTTACCTAGAGTCACAGTTTTTATCTTTTCACTGGTTGTGCAGCCACCCTCTAACAATTCCCAAACAAAGCCTCCTCTTCTCTCTCTTCTCGCCCTAATCTGCTTCTCTTTTGCTTTTTTTTTCAAACATCTCCAATCCCATTTCACTCCACAAGGCTAGATGTGAAGCCTCAGTGAAGCTACTAACTTAAGGAGAAAAAAGGGGAGCTTGGTGTTTGCAGTTCCCACCCTGAAGTACTTGGCTCCACCGGGAAAATGCTGACTATTCAGTTAAAGGGGCAGGGTAGTTCCCGCAGGACAACCGTGGCTGCCTTGTCTGGAGTCCCCTTCACCTCCTGACTTAACAAAGCCCCGTTGTTTGATTGTCAGGGGAAAGTCTTGTTGAATTCGGACACTTCCACTCGTATCTGAAGAGCTTATCTGTGATTAGGTTTCAGTTTGGATTAGAGGGGAAAATAAAGAAAATAAAGGCTAGAAATTGGAAAATAAATGCATTTCTAATTACAAAGGAAAAATAACTAGAGAGTACCGAACAACAAATTTGATAAATCTTTGCCACTTTGTCAAAGTTCACATTAAAACTAAGAAAGTTGGAGTTACATTCAAGGGCCTTGGGCAGTCAACACCAGGCCAATCATGCAAGCAGGTTTGGCCTTCTGGTCTGCTAGGAGACACATCAGCAAGCAGCACTGCATTCTCCCTGATTCTCTGGTGTGGGTGTGTGGGAAGGGAGTGGCGGCTGTCTGCCCCTTCTGTGCTACTGTTAACCAAGATTCTTCTATGTCAGTGGCTACAGTTCATGAAAATTAGGATAAGCTCTTTTCTCTTCTGCTGGCTAGCCTCTCTTTTACCAAAATATCAGTGCGTGTGTCTCTATGTGTGTGCATTTGCTGTGCATGTGTGTATGTGTGTGTGTTGCGGGGGTGGTCTGTGCTTATGTTTGCATCGAGGTGGAGGGTAGTGTTAGAGGTATGGGGCTATGAGGGGGGACAGCACCATCCAAATCAAAGAGAAAAAAAGAGGAAAGAAGCAAGAGGGTGCATCAATCAGCACCCCCAAACCCCTCCGAGGGGATCAAGAATAAGCTTGCCATTTCCACAACTTCAGGTTCCTGGGAGGTTGAACAAATAGAACAGCTTGGTCATTCTGAGTACCCAGTGCTAAGAAAGGAGCACCAGGGCTCACGGGTTTGCTTACCAGAGTATCATCGCTTCTGGCAACACTCATGTTACTTCTGGACAGGAATGACCTGGATAATCTTTGGCACAGTGATATCAAGCGAACGGATTGCTTTTTTTTAAAAAAAAAAAAAAAAAAAGGGAGGGCGGGGAGGAAAAAGGCAGGGTGAGAGGAGGAGAGACAGCTTATGTAACAATTGTCAAATGAGTACAAACGACAAAGCCTGCGAGATCGTGTTCATTGCTATCAGCACACACTCTCCCAGGGTGGGCAATCCTACAGCAGAATGGGTTGTATTTGCTTAAAGAATAATTTTAAAGGTCTTATAAATCAAGACAACAGGATATAGAGATTCTCCTTCCATGTTTCATTATTGAACTACAGAGCTGGACACCCCACATCCTTTCTCTCTCTATATTTTCTTCTCTGCTGTTTGGAGAAGGTGATCTGACCCTTGCAGATCACCCTCAGAGAAGCACAGACTGCAGGGGCCTTGCTCTGTGTCCTTTGTGCCACATAAGCAGTGATGGTAGACAATGTGATAACCAAAACGCAACAGCTGTTGGAAGTGAACAGCTGGGGGACCTCTTAGTCTATAGAACAAACATCTCTGCATTTACTCTCTAAGGCAAAAGTACAGTTAAAGAATGAGAGCGAGAAAGAGAAATGGTTGCTCTCTCTCTATTTTAAGCCTAATTCTAAGGACTTTTGGGAATCTAGTGCTGTGGTCTTCCTCATCCCTACCACGGCACCCCAAAATTGGTAGGTGTGAAAACGAGGTACATTTCTGGCCCTGAGCTGGGAAGACACGGTAGGTACCCACTTCCTCTAGGTTTGACATGACCCTGGGCACAGGAAACCATCCCATCACCTTCTTAGCCCTGAAGTGTGATTTGTTCCAGGAGGTCTGCAATGCCTTCAGAGCAATGTCCTACCCAGCCCCTGTGGAGGCCATCCACACTGAGGAAGGAGAACAGGCCACCCTGCAAATGCTCACGGCCCCACCCCACCCCCACTCCAACCACTCACAGATAAAGGCTGGGCTGAGAGACCCACTTACCCAAGGTACAGCACAAATGTAATCTCATGCTGCTTACCACAAAGAATGAATTTATTTAAAATGTGGCTTGTAGTATTAGAAAAAAATTTCACTATAATTTTACAGTGCTGCTATAAAAATTTGCACTGAGAATAGTTTTGATGAAAACAACACAAAATTACATTTAATGGTATCAGTTAAAGTGACTAAAATATTGTTTTTGCTTGTTTTTCAAAATAGAGTAATGGTGCAGAACACTACAGGGTGGATTAAAAAGAGGAAAGGATGTATCTTCCATATTACCAGTATCAGAGGAGATGCACCCTGACCACACACTACTCTACACAGGAAACAGAATTTGTTAATCCCTCCACAACAAACAATCTTACTTTCCATTTTTTCCGGGCTGCAAACTTCTTGAATTTCTCCATGTTTACTGCTGATGCTTTTCTACTAAGTGCCTGTTGTGTATCTTTAGGCTAAAATAAAAATCCAAGAAAAAAAATTAAAGCTCTCAAATTATGAAAATGTGTTATATGACAATTTTTTGAAACATCTCCTTATTCAGGATGCTTACACATTCACCTTATTAAATTAGCATAAGAAGTTGGGATAACATGGAATACCTAGGCACCTAGTCTTAGCGGGCTCACTCTTCTATCTCAGGGTTTCGTATCATCCATGGACACTGGGGAGAAGTAGAGCTTGGGGTCAAACTAAATCACAACTTTCCACACTGATAGTTTGGGAATGGCAATATTCATGGTGAGGCTATGTTATGAGGCATTTGAACTTGGGTATCATCAAGTAATGTAGAGCTGAGAGGGATCTCAGAGGTCAGCAAAGTTAGTTTGGCCTATAGCAGGAGAATTCCTTGTATTGTATCTTTTTCAGTAGATGTATTTAGCTTTTGTCCTCCACCTCTGGGAGGAGGAGACACCATAGCTGGCTAGGAGAACCCAGGTAACTGCTGGGAACTTGCACAGCAAAGCTATTTGCCCCCAGAGCCTGATTCTGTGATGTTCACTTCTTTATTTCATGATTTTATTCTGTAACTATCATACTTTCCCACCCTTAGCCCTTTCTGCCCTGGATTGAAGATACTTTAATCCAAATGTCAACCAGGCCAGGCAGGTAATGTAAAGGTGTAATGTTCCAGGGCGCCCTGTTCCCTAGCACCAAGGCACCTGTGCCACTTCCCAAGGCCACGTGGAATGAGGGCTCAGTGTCAGCAGATCTTCAGATTTCCCAAGAGAAGCTGGAAATCCAGATTTGATTGATATTTACATGCTGGAATCAACATAAAATGTTAAATACACTGTTTGGGCCAACACCCCACAGGTCACTCCAAACACAGTTGTCGAGTGGGCTTGACCTTCTTCAGTTCCTGCTCTGTGCTCGCTTATTCCTCTCTCCCCACCTCTGGGATCATTAGTATACAGTCTAACCTGTCAGCTTTTCTTAAGATACGATGCAAATAGCAAACTTAACACTCCAGGTGTGACCTGTGGTTAGCAGTACTCTATGATACATGAATACCAGGGTGCCCAAACCAATCACATAGAAAGTGATCTAAACAGTTTCGTAATATGCAACTCACCTTGATCCAGGGATGCTGCAAACTATCTTGAATTGTCATTCTCTTCCTTGAGGGGAGGGGGAGAAGAAAAAAAATGCTGTGACCATAGCAGCAAATACTAAGGTTGTTTTCATGCTGGCTGGGCCTGCCAAGCAGATACTGTGGAAAATGCAGTTCAGGGAAGAAAGCCAAAAACAACATCGGTCTTTTTGTGATTATTTCACTGTGCCTGCAGGGACTGACTGAGTGGGGGCAGAGGGCCCTGCTTGCATTTTCTGAAGCGTTTCACATGGCATGCTGCCCTTTGGCAGATGAAGCAAGCAGGGTCTGAGGAACGTGGCCCTGTGCATGGAACAGACACAGGCTCTGGGCTGGCTGAGGCCGTGGCCAAGCACCTTTCAGGAACGTGGACACTCACTTTGGATCCTTGACCAGAAGTCTTCTTATGAAATCTTTGGCTAGGGCACTGGTATTACTGAAGTATTCATCCTCAAATTCGTAGTTGACAGCGGATACATTTGCTAACGTTTCTTGCTTAGTGTCTCCAAGAAATGGGGAGGCCCCACTTAGGCTGTTAAAAATAAAGTTGGGCATAGAACATTAATGATGACCCCTTGGTGTTGTCATTTTGCTCCTATAACATCTGGAGTGTGGAATAAGATTATAATCTGGTGCTCGAATAGTCACAGTTTGATTATATTTCATAGGGCTTTAACTGTCAGGAGCAAATGCTTCAGCTTCAGGCAAAAGGATTCACTTAACAAGTTAATCTGGAACAGCGTCTGGTAGTTTAAAGGAAACCTGTTTTCTCGGCAGTGATGGACAGCTATGCTTTCTTTCAGTGATTATGCTACAGTTTCTGATGACTCATTTCAAATTAGGAGAACATGTTTAATTAGTATAAACTAAACATGTTTTGGGGGTGTAAAATGAATATGTTTGCATCAAAAGCATGCATAAGCTGAAGAGATCAACACAGCACATTTAATGGTTAATTAAACCTATGGTCTCATAGAAGAGAAGAGAGTATGAGTTGTGAATTCTGATACTTACAGGATATAGGTTATTACCCCGATACTCCTAAAAACAACACAAAACAAACAAAAAAACATGTCAGAAGAATAGTCAAATAAATCAGAAAGCAAACAACACCAAGGACATACTCCTTACCACATATCTGCCTCAAGACCAAGAGGTTCATAGTTGACTATCTCAGGAGCTAAGAGGAAACAAACACTCATTTAGCTTGGGAGGAAGCAAACTAACCGATTCTATCTTCATGCAACAACCAGGAACATGTAGCAGGGAAAGAATCTTCTAGCAGGGGAGGTTTGCCAGAATAATGTTTATGAGACGTAAATGACCACAGGAGCAAAGAAACTTACCGACAAACTCTGGAGTCCCAAATATGTTTTTAAATTCATTTCCAAAGTCAATTTTATGGGCCAACCCAAAGTCAATGATCTTGATCCGAGGTTTGGGGACATTTCTATCCAAAAGCATTATGTTCTCAGGCTTGAAAAAAAGAGAGAGATAAATAAAAAGCTATGATATGTTATGCTGAGGACAAGATGGCAGAATAGTTCTTCTCTCCAAAAAAAAAAAAAAGGCCAAAAAGTAGGGAAGAAAGGGTGGTTGGAAGAGAACAGCAGGAAAATACATGTCTTGCTCTAGGTTCTCCCTGAAGCAGGCCTGAGACAAGGATTCGGATGCAAGTGGGTTATGTGGGAGGGGACACCAGGAAACACTTGGTAGAGAAAGGAGATACAGGAAACAGAAGGAAGCTGCTACGAGGTGTCCTATCAAGTGGGGGTAACTGGGGGAATGGGAGAGGAAAAGGAGAACTCAGTGTTATTCCAATTGTAGCAGGAGGGAGCTGGGGTCTTTATCCACCATTTCTCCATCCTCCATGGCTGACAGTTGCTTCTGTGGACATTTTTCTTTTGCATTTCCAGCTCCCAGGGCCAGAAACAAGATGCCAGGAAGAGTCACAGGTATTTGCAACAAGCCCTCTGTTAGGATGTATATGAGTGTGTGCTTTTGCACATTGTTTGTGGGGCCAGCAGGGACATGAATGGGACATTGACAGCTCTGCTACAGAAGAATGGGGAAAATCCTCCCTCCTCTGAAATCCTATCCCAGCTCTACTGGTCTGAATCAACTACTCGGATGGAGCACGCGCTGCTTTACCAGACCACCTCTTCCTGCCTTGAACTGGAACTTCCCACCATTGCCACTTCCTATTGCTCCTGTCGTGTCTTCCCTTCCCAAAGAGACCACACCTCTGTCATGGCTGGGAGGACGGCTTACATGCCCTTTCATCTCCAACAGCGTCCTGCATCCAGCCAGGCAAATGCCCCAATTAGCCAATCTGAGTTTGGTTTGCTTGATTATTGGTGACAGAGTCAGGCCATACGCCTTTGCATCACTCAACACATTTTCTATCTTAACATGCCCAGAGCCACAGAAGGAACCAGTGCCAGTCACTAGCTGCTGGCTAGAGCAGCCCCCTTACTAAAAAACCTGGCTCCTAAGACCCCTTGTATTCTTTACCAAGAATTCCAGAATGTAATCAATTATCATTAAGCCTCTATCCCACAAAAAGGTTAGCCATCCCAGTGGGGGGCATGTATCCTATGCTTGCCGATTTATAGTGATATTTCTGTTTGTTAAACTGGTACAGGAAAATCATGTAACTCTTTCAGATGCCTCAATTTTTCTTAGCAGAGAAACAACCAAGGCTGTGATCTGCACAAGCTTCTATCTGGCTTACACTTTGAAACGTACCTTAAGATCAAAGTGGGCGATTTGAAGGGAGTGCAGGTAGTAAACACCATTAAGAATTTGTTTGAGAAATTCAGTTGCTTCCTCTTCAGTTAAAGATTCCTTTTCAGCTAAGAAGTCAAACAGCTCGCCACCTGCAACGCTGAGAACCCGGAAGCAGAGGTTATTGGTAACAACTCTGTTTCATATTGATTCCTTCTCTCATAGACTATTGGTGCGCTCAAACTTCAGACAAGAAAACAGCATAAAGACTATGCTGAAACCGCCAAGCATGGATTCAGAATTCTCTGTGCAGGTTGTTGACAATTCTGCATTCAGACACATTTGTGCTTGAAAGCACTTGGGAACCATTTTCCTAAGGTTCCGTGTTCACAAATGAGAGGAGGGGCAGAGATGAAATGCTGTGAAGAAAATATCAGTGTATCTTGAAAACATTTTAATTAAACATACTTAGAGGTGATGTCTTAACTCTAATGACGAGAAAAAAATCTGCAAGCCAGCTTTGTACAGAATTTATAGTGTATATCTTCTTATTTCAATTAGAGAGTACCTGAAAAGTTCATAACTTGCATGTTTAATTAATTCTTTAAAACTCAAATTCACAATATATGGTCTGATAAGGGTTTTTTCCTCTCTTGTCTAGTATTGGTTTGTATGTAAATACTAACACATTTATAAAAATCACATTTAGTAGCCTGGGCGCAATGGCTCACACCTGTAATCCCAGCACTTTGGGAGGCTGAGGCGGGCGGATCACAAGGTCAAGAGATCGAGACCATCCTGGCCAACATGGAGAAACACCGTCTCTACTAAAAATACAAAAAACAACTGGGCATGGTGACGTGTGCCTGTAGTCTCAGCTACTCGGGAGACTGAGGCAGGAGAATCACTTGAACCTGGGAGACGGAGGTGGCAGTGAGCCAAGATTGTGCCACTGCCCTTCAGCCTGGTGACAGAGCGAGACTGTCTCAAAAAAACAAAAAAAAAGAATACATTTACAAAAAAAGCAAAATGTATGTTGTTGGTTGCGGATTTTTTTAGTTTATTTCTCTGTCCAGACTGTAAGTGGGTGGAGGGGAGTGGTCAGAACCTCCCACCCCAGCTATTGGCTACTGCTGTATGCCCCACTCCCCGCCAGAGCCAGGCACACAGCATGCATTCAAAACTTTATCAGGTGGATGGACGAACAAGCTCCCCTAAAAACTCCACGATAGCGATGAATGGCAAATAACAGGGAAGTTTTAATAAGAGTTTTTATAAGTTAATCTTTATCAAGTTTAACCATATATTCACAACATAATAATTAAGTGCAATTATGCACAAACTGCTGTATTCATTATCTCTCTTAGGGCAAGAGCGCTCCCCAAACATTATACCTTCCACATCTACATCCATTCAGAGTAAGAAAATTGGTGCTCATAAGATCAGATAAGAATGACAAAAAAGCTGTTTTCTTAAAAGTTTCAGATCCCACATGCCTTCACCCTCCAGGTCAGTGTTTTCCTTAGCACGGTCTAGAGTCCATGGGTATCAGAATTATTTGAGGATGCTTTAAAAATGAAGATTCTGAGCCTCACTTTCAATCTGCTGTGTGAGGGCTTCCAAGAATGGTGACCAGAAAACTCAGCATCTTTAACAAGCACCTGAAAAACTGAGACCATTTTCCCACGTCTTAATTCCACGCTCCTGCTGCAGGGCCTCCCACTGGTTTACGGGGATGGTGGAGTGACTCTCCTATCCCCAGGGGCCTGGCAGAGGTAGCCACACCCTCCTGTGAGCAGTCCACAGGCCTCCCCTATCCTCCAGGGGACACAGCAGGGCCTGGGCCCAGCCAGGACATCCAGGAGTCCAAGCGAAAGGTGTCCTACATGGACCCTGCCTCAGCAGTGGCCTTGCTCTCCTCCTGACCCTTCCCTGCACTCCCCACCCTGCTCTTGGGAGATGCAGTCTGCCCCCACCCTCTCCCCTCCCAGGTGTCCTTGGCCTCACAGCCCCCACACTGTCTGCCCACGGAACAAGGCAAGGCCTCCCGCTTCTCACTTTTGCATCTTATTCTTAAAACAAACAACGGGGAGAGAAAATCCTTCAACTATAGGGGGGAAAAAGTGGGAGATTGTGAACCAACCTCACCCAAAGAAAGCTCTCCCATCACACCTGGGTCTCCAGCCCTGGCTTCTGTGCTCTCTGGGGCGCCCCGCACCACTGGGCTGACTCAGGCACCGTGGCCACGTGATGTGGAGAAGTCAAGTGCCTGCATCCAGTCCAAGTCTTAACTTCTGCCACGCGCTCACCCTGAAACCCGGAAGGTTACCCCTTCTCTTGAGCCTCATTTCCCCAAAGAGGAGTCATAAGACCTCTTCCCTTGAAGGTTATGAGGATGAAAGGTAATAGACATGTGTAACTGGCAAGGCTGGCACGTGGGTAAGGTCCAGCTTGCGGGAACGAGTGTTGTTATAAAGAAGGCCACTGTCACCCCTGTAGCATACCACTGCTTCCTACAGGATCCAATATGAAAGCCCCTTCCTGCCCGCTCCTCCTCCTAAAACTGGTCCATTGGTTGAGCCTAACCACTGTGCTTCCCAGGAAGAAGGTGAGGGGAAGGAACTGAAACTTCTGCTGTGAATGTGGTGCCCAGCCGCCGGCTTTCTCTCCGTGGCCCTCTTCAGGGCCTCCCGAGCCCACCTCACTCGCATTCTGCTTGTGTTGTCTTAGAGTACAGAGATGCATTTTTCAGACAATGAGAAACGTCAGGAGTTTGGCTGCCTGGTTGGGGTGAATCTTCCAGCACCCACACAGCTGGCGCAGTCTGCTGGCCCTGAGTCCTTTCCAGGGACTCCACTGTCCAGCCTTCTGGCAACCCCATGCTGCCCTGGCCTCAGGCTTTGCCCGCTCTTCTCTGGCCAGCTTTCTCTCCCTCCCTGCCAACCTAAGCTTTCTTCAGACCCAGGATCTCCTTCTCCTGCCAGCTCCGTCTTCTGTGAGGCAGGATGGCAAAAACGAGGGGACCATGGTTCAAATCCTGCCAGGGCCTCCAACCTTGCTGAGCCTCTGACTCCCCTTCTATAAAATAAAGGGTAACATCATAGCTTACGGAGTCATCCTGAGGTTCCAGGACATGTAGCGACCCTTAGTGCTCAATAAATGCTGCTGTCTTTCTTCCCATGTGGCTTCAAACCAGAAGTCCTCCCATGGCAGCAGGGGTGTGCAGCAGGTTCTTTGGCGTTGGGGTGGGTAGAGCCCATTCCCGAGGTGTCACATTCCCACCATGGCCATCTCAAACTCCCTCCCCACGTGATGTCAGGGACCGTGGGTGGAGTTGGGGAGGGACAGGCACTGCAGCGGTGACCTGGGTGAGCTGGGATTGACACGGCACTGCCGAGCAGCCACCTGGCCTGCCATGGTGTTCCACATTTTTCCGAAGACGGTCTGACAGCATCTCATCCTCATGCTCTTCTGCACCGTGATTGTGCCATCCTCCTTCAGGCAGTGGGCGGCATCTGTGGCTCCATCTCTTGAATCTGGGCAGGCCCCATGATCACTTTGACCAATGGCACAAGTGATTTTGCCAGCCCTGCTGTGGCTTTTCATGGACTGGGGGCCTCCAGGTCCCACCTCCTGAAGCCCTCAGGTAAGATGCAAGAAGTACGACGATGCCAAACCACTGTGCCACGTGGAGAAACCCAGGAAGAAGAGATGTCCTTGGAGAACAAGGCCAAGGAGCCTCGAGCAAGGAAGGCACCTTAGAAGGGGACCCTCCAGCGCAGCCGAGGCCACAGAGGTCAGAGACTGTCCATTCAGCAACTGATCAATGAGGGAACATAACAGGGCCTGCCAAACTTCCATCAAGGGCAGATCCTAAATATTTTAGGCTTTGCCAGCCTTGCAGTCTGTCCCAACTACTCAGCTCTGCTAATGTATCATGAAAGCAGCCACAGATGACATGTACATGATGGGTGTGGCTGTGTTCCAATAAAACTTTAGTTAAAAAATAGGTGGCAACCTGGGTTTGGCCTATAGGCCATAACTTGCTGATCCCTGATATAAAGACTAGGTCATCACAGCCCAACCTGGGGCAACTCTCAAGGGTCATTCTGGCCCCAGAACTCCCTGTTGGCCAACTGGGGCTGCCACTAAACCCATTCCTGCCCCCTTCTCCTCTTCTCCAAATCTTGATCCTAAGTATAGTTCTTAATAAACACCATGCACACTCTTCTCCATCTCAGAGTCTGCTTCCCAGGGAACCCAAGCTACACCCCACTGGGTCTGGGATAGTTTTTTACATAGCCATAGAAGGCTAGAACATGCACCATCTTGAACTGGGCTTGTTTACTAGGCTCAGCCAATGGAAATTAGGCTTGCCCTTCTCTGGCCTGGTCATCTCGTGCCTTATTCAGTATTTGCGTCCTCAGAAACTCAACTCCACAGGAGTAAGGACAATGAATAACCCTGGAACCCCAAGAGTTAGGGACCAGGACTGCAAAGTGTAGTGACTGATCAAGACTGGGAGAAGGAGAGCACTAGTTGATCCTCTTAGTTTTCATCATTGACCCTTCTCACAAGTCCCTGTTCAAATCTCAACTTGTTATGAAGCAGTCCATGTCATGGCTGTCCAGGCAACCAAGTCCTTCAGTTAGACATTAGAAAGGTTAGGAGAGTCCCTATCCCACTAGGTCAGGACTTATCAACTGATGCCCAGAAGGCCCTATGTATTCACTCCATCCCCCCTCACCCATACGCACATATACTCATCTTCCTTCATATCTACATATGTACACATCCCCTTTCATCCCTACATACCCATCCCCCTTCATCCCTACATTTCCTTCATTTCTACATATGGACTCATATTCCTTCATCCCTACATATGTACTCAATCTCCTTCATCCCTACATATATACTGATCACCCTTCATCCCTACATATATACTCATCCTCCTTCATCCCTACATGTACACTCATCTTTCTTTATTTCTACATATGTACTCATCCTCCTTCATTCCTACATATATATTCATCTTCCTTCATCTTACATATATACTCATCCTCCTTCATCCCTACATATATACTCATCCTTCTCATCCCTAATGTATACTCATCTCCCTTCATTTCTACATATGTACTCATCCTCCTTCATCCCTACGTATATACTGATCACCCTTCATTTATATATATATATATATACTCATCCTCCTTCATCCCTACATGTATACTCATCTTCCTTCATTTTTACATAGGTACTCATCATCCTTCATACCTACATATGTACTCAACCTCCTTCATCCCTACATATACACTGATTCTCCTTCATATCTACATATATACTCATCCTCCTTCTTCCCTACATATATACTCACCCTCCTTCATCTCTACATGTATACTCATCTTCCTTCATTTGTATATAGGTACTCATCTTCCTTCATTTCTACACAGGTACTCATCCTCCTTCATCCCTACATATATACTGATCACCCTTCATTCCTATATACATACTCATCCTCCTTCATCCCTACATGTATACTCATCCTCCTTCATCCCTACATGTATACTCATCTTCCTTCATTTCTATATATATTGTCATCTTCCTTCATCCCTACATATATACTGATCACCCTTCATTCCTATATATATACTCATCCTCCTTCATCCTTACATACACACTTATCCTCCTTCATCCCTACATGTATACCCATCTTCCTTCATTTCTACATATGCACTCATCCTCCTTCATCCCTACATATGTACTCATCCTCCTTGTCCCTACATGTATACTCATCTTCCTTCATTTCTACATGTGTACTCATCCTCCTTCATTCCTACATATATACTGATCACCCTTCACTCCTATATATACCGATCCTCCTTTATCCCTACATATATACTCATCCTCCTTCATTCTACATATATACTCATACTCCTTCATCTCTACATACATACATACCCATCTGGTATTTTATATATATATACACACACACATACATATATATATATATATTTCTACATATATACTAATTAACTTTCATCCTTACATATATACTCATCCTCCTTCATCCCTACATATATACTCATCCTCCTTCATCTCTACATATATACTCATCTTCCTTTATTTCTACATATATACTCATCCTCCTTCGTGCCAATTCATGAAGGCAGATGTTTTTGCCATGAACTCTGCTTATAAAATCTTCAGTAATTAAAATAATTGAAACTAAATGATTTCAGCAAATGTTTGGGAGCATGATAAGCATTGTTTGGTAATTTATTCCCTGTTTGGCCCCCAAATCTCTGAAGGTAGAAAATGACTTGAGGATTTTTCACATGCATGCTGAGAACCAGAACTCAAATGCTCACCATGTTGCTGAACAGCAGAATCTGGTTAACAAGGGAATCAATAAAAAAACCTTGCACTTTTTCTCTTTGTTCCAAATTCTACAATTGGCTTAGGAGAAGGGAGGCTGATGGAAGGAGAGATGAGCAGTCTGTGCAGCAGATTTAGAAAGCAAGTTAACCTCCTTTATTAGGGCTTTGAGTCAGTGTTTTAAATTATGGCTTTATCAGGGAAATCGTGTGAAATGAATACTAATGAACATTTGCTGTTTTCACCAAGAGAGCTGGAAAATACCATGGTTCTTTCTCCTCCCAACATGTCTTTTACTACCACCAAAGCCTCCCTAAAAGTTGGCCACGACAGAAGGTATTTAGGACATGTCACTACATTAAAAACAAAGTGGGCCTTTTAATAATGCAGGAGAAGGTATTGCAAGATTCCATTTTCTAAATTAAAACATTCTGGAGGGTTCCTGACTTTTGCTAGGAATTGCCCAAAATATAACAAGACTTGATTTAGGATCCGCTTTGGTTATCATCTAAGCTGCAGAGGACCCCTGTCTACATACTAATTACCCCATGAGGCCAATTTCAAGGCAAACATTAGGATTCTTCAGAGTGGAAGAAATCAGGCACCAAGTATGCTCCCCCAGGGCACACCTTCGAGGCCTGGCTCCTAGGTCACAAAGCCCTGGGAGGCAGAGGCGCCAGCTCCAATTCTGGCCTCAAGGGGTGGGTGACTTGAAGAGATATAAGGAGGTCATATCACCTCTCTGGACCTCACCTTTGCTCTATGTACAATGAGAGGGTTGAGTAACCAGGTTAAGTGGTTCTCTAACCTTAGTGCACACAACAATAATTTGGGAAATCTTTTTAATGTAATTTCCTGGTACCTACTTCCTGAGTGAGGCCCCAGAATCTGCATTTTAACAAGACTCTGTTCATCCTGAAGCAGAGATGACACGCAGATAAGCTCATTTCTCAAGGCCCTTCCAGCTCTGGTATTTTAAGATCCTCCGATCTGTGTGCAGATGTGGCAGAGCCTCGGTTGTGTTCCCACCATACTACCCTGTTTCTTGCAGGCCCACAACTAAGGGGCATTTCCCAGCTCCTCGAATCCAGGACTACTTCTAGCCAGTAAAATATGGACCAAAATGATGTGTGCCATTTCAGATGCGGTCCCCAAAACATCCGATGTAATCCCCCACCCACACTCTCATCTCTCTCTTTGGCCACCAGAACACAGGTGACCCAGCACAGGACTCCAAGAAGGACCAGGGGGCAGCAAAGGCTAGGTAGAAGGAATGTAGATCCCTGAGTCACTGCCTGGAGGAGGTCATCAACCTACCCTATCTGCATGAGACTTTGAGTGAGTGAGAGATAAATCCTATAATGTTAAGCTACCAGATTTTGTGGTTGTCTTCTGTCTGCTTTAAATAATAAAACTATTTAATCACAAGTAATAATGTAATACATTTTATAAATTAAAAGAAAGTGACCAATGCAAAGCACAGAGCATGCTAACTGTTGCAGTTATCTATTGCCATGTAACAAATCTCCCCAGAACCTTAGGCTTTAATCATGACAATTATCTTATGGGTTGGGAATTCAGGAAGGGTTGGCTGGGCAGCTGTGGCTTAGGGTGTGTCATGGGGTTGTAATCAGACAATGGCTGATGCTGAAATGGCAGGGGCACTGAAGCAGCTCGGGGGCTGTCTGGGCACCTCTCTCCTTGTAGTCTCATGTCTCTGCGTGGTCTCTCCATCTGGGCTAGTTTGGGCTCCCTCATAGCACACTGGCCTCAAGATAAGTGGACTGTTCACAGGCACGTCAGGGCTCCAGAGCAAGTGTCCCAGCACGCAGGTGGATGCTGCCTCAGAAGTCACACAGCATCAAAAGGGCCTATCCAGATCCAAGGGAAGGGGGATTTAGAATCCAGCTCCTGATTTCAGGTGTTTGGCCCTATAGGTAGGACAGCAGATAACACTGAAGCCATCTTTGGAAAATATAATGTCAAACTGACTATGATAGAGGAACTGAAATTTCCAATTTTATTTGATCCTAAATGTATACTTTGAAAGAGTTAGGCCCAGGCATGGTGGTTCACACCTGCAAACCCAACACTTCGGGAGGCCAAGGCGGGGTTGCTTGAGGCCCCAAGTTTGAGACCACCCAGGGCAACACAGTGAGACCCCCATCTCTACATAAAATTTTTAAAAACATATTCAAAAAACAATAAAAAATAAAAGGGTTAGGTAGGTATAGGTAGTGTATTAGGTTGCCGGAGCCACACTAACAAAGTAGCACAAATTGGGTGGCTTAAAATGACAGAAATTTCAGGTTACAAGTCCAAAATCAAGGTGTCTACAGAGCCATGCTCCCTCTAAAGCTTGGAGGGGAATCCCTTCTGGCCACTTCCCAGCTTCTGGGGCTTTGCCAGCAATCTCTGTGCTCCTGGGCTTGTAGACGAGCATTCCCATCCCCGCCTGCAACTGGCACTTTCCCTGCGTCTCTCCCTGTAGACCGCCCTCCACACACGTCTGTGTCTGCATCCACACTCCCCCTTTATGAGAACACCAGTCATATGGATTAGGGCCCACCCAAGTGCCCTCATTTTAACTTGGTTACATCTGCAAAGAATGTAACCAATGAGAAGAATGATCTCTTTCCAAAGAAGATCACACATTCTGAGGTCCTGGAGGTTAGGACTTCAACATTATTTTTTTGTGGGGGAGTATCCAATCCAACCCATAATAAGTAATAACTCCTTGCAAGCTGCAAGCAAAATATTACAGGTTGGCTAAAGCAATTCAGGAAATAAAGAGAAGCAAGGAAAGGGGAAGATAATTAGAATCCACTGAAGTGTTTTCTTAGCCTTGCATTTGGATTCCCCTGTGAAGGAAGGGCTCATTCATGTACTACTATAAAAATGTTTTAATTCAGGTCAGAAAAATGTGGATGAGAAATATATATCTGGTGCTCTCCTTGGGGTTTAAGTAACTCCCCAAGCATTTTGAGATGATTCCTCCTTTACCGTAACTATCCTGGTGTATACAGCGTGAAGGAGTGAGGTGGTCCCCAACTACCTCTTGGCTTTGCCTCTAAATAAACCAAGAACTACAACTCAATGCTCCGTCATCACCACTGTGTTGAATGTTCTTTCCTGTTAATTTAGGGGAAGCCTTGAAGGGTGTTCACACGCTCACCTCTCACATTCTAATTTCAGTTCCTTGGGTCACTGGAGGACTTTGCTGAATGAAAACTGAAGCTGGGACACAGGAAGGGGAAGAAGGAACACAGGGCATTCCTTTCTGCATTTGTCGAACCGGAGTGAATTTAAGGTTGGAAATAGATTCAGGGGGTCAGAGACATTTTTTGCTTCTATGCTCTGTTTCCCTCAAATTAAATGAATCATATCAACGAAGTTCCTAACCTTAAGGCCTCCTCTGAATTAGCCCTAGCTTCTTTAAATCCAAAATGCAAGCTGTATCTGAATATACAAGTTCTGTCTGTTTTCACCTCAAATTCAAGTTCAAGTAACAACTTAAAAGGAGCCGCATGGATTCTCATAGAACAGCATGCATGCGTGGCACTCAAAGCTCATGGGGGAGGGGATCTTTCCTTTTACCCAGGGAGGTTGTGTGAAAGCAGGAAGGAGCCTCCTGAAGGTACCTAGAACAAACCCCTATGGGAAGAACATGGCTCAAGGGTTCAGAGGCACTGCAGGCAGTAGCCTGGTTTGCATCGGGCTCTGTGTCCTCAGAGAGGTTAAGTTACTTTCAGAGGCACAGTTTCCATGTCCAGAAAATGGGATATTAGTTCCTATGCTTCTAATGGGATTGATGAAGAGAACATGGCTAGGATATGAGCATCTGGCACATGGCAACGGTGCAATATTCCCCGCAGCAATCCTTGGCCTGAACTCCTCACAGCCATAGGTGAGAGAAACCCTTGAAGCTTCTGTGAGTGCCTCTTGCCCAGGTCCTAGGTTTACAGGCATGGGATTCTGATGTGGACCTCATGCTAATGACAGAATAAGGCCCACACTCCTGTGGTTGAAGAGTAGGGTTTTGCTGAAACAGATGGACATTCCTGGGGCCAAAAATCTGGGGAAGAGGTTGGCTCTTAGACAGGAAACAGGTAAGCTGGAAGGTGGGCCATGGCTACATGGGAGAGGGGACACTCTGTCTGCATCTTTCCTTTGGGTCTAGACACAGTGGAGTTTAGACATTCCTGAGAGCTGCCGGGGGCAAGGGGAGAGGGAGCAAGCAAAGGGGGTGGGTGGCTGGGCTGAGCAGGGAGGAGGTGTTGGCCATTCCAAGCTTGGCACAAGAACCCTGCGATTTATAAGCAACACCGCCTACCTACTGTGACTCTATTTTCCTCCTGTCATTCTCAGCTCTCAGTAAAGTCTTATTTAAAATTCTTCAGTTGTCCCAGCTGTGCAATAATAAATTAAGCAAAAAGCATTTTCCTGCTTAGGCAAGGGTCAAGGGGACCTGAGGCCAGGATGGAGATCACAGACGTGATGAGAGAGGACCCTCAGGAGCAAGGTCAACCTCATGGGCCGAGGCAACCACACCCAGACACCCCTCTCCATGTGGGCGCCTCCCCATGGCCAACCTGCTGGGTCTGAACTTGCTGAGGAAGATAGTAGGTTCCTTTACAGCCACTGTTCTGTTTGGAAATAACTGAACTTTGGCTTGGTCTCTTAAAAATACACTGACCTTTAGAAAAATTTAAACATCCAGCTATAAAACTGAAGCTGCTTCTGAACATCTCCCCTCCTCCCCAGTACTGGCCCTCCCCATCCCTACCTCCCCAAAAGCATGCACTATCACGAGTATGGTGTACAGCCCTCCGGAACTTTTTATATGAAGTCTATGCACCATATGGCATTGTTTTATGTACATTTTAAGAACATAAATGACATCAGAGTCTATGCATCAATCTGCAATTTGCTATTCTACCTCAGCAATACCCATTGCTATTAATCTCTTGCATCCTCATCATTGTAGCTTAATGTTCACCTGAAGGTCTAGATAAGAGTTTATTTAGTCATTCCCTAACTGATGGTCTTTACATCCATTCCAAATTTTCACTATCACAAACTAGAAGGCAATGATTCCCTGTGCACCTGACTACTCCGAGGATGTGACAGGTTTTCTAGGCTCTAGGATATCTAGCCCAGTTTGGAATTTCTGGGTCAAGGTGATGCTCGGTTGCAGGCTGGGCTGCATAACCTTATATTCCTCCAGCAGCAGTTCATGAAGTTGCTTTGGCTTCGCGTCCTCACTTGCTTGTTGTTGTTGTTGTTGTTTTTTGTTTGTTTGTTTGTTTTTTAAAGAGACAGAGTTTTGCTCTTGTTGCCCATGCTGGAGTGCAGTGGTATGATCTCAGCTCACTGCAACCTCCACCTTCCGGGTTCAAGTGATTCTCCTGCCTCAGCCTCCCGAGTAGCTGGGATTACAGGCGTGCACCACCACGCCCAGCTAATTTTTTGTGTTTAGTTGAGACAGGGTTTCACCATGTTGGTCAGGCTAATCTCAAACTCCTGACCTCAGGTGATCCACCCACCTTGGCCTCCCAAAGTGCTGGGATTACAGGTGCGAGTCACTGCAAATGGCCCTTGCTTGGTATTATTACTTTTACCAATCGAATAAGTGGAAAACATGAACCAATGTTTTATCATACACTCCCCTGCTTAGTGGCAAGATTGGTCATCTGTCATGTTTAGTGGCTGTTTGTACTTGAGTGGGTATAAACTGCGTGTCCACATCCTTTGCCCATTTTCTTACTGAACCATCATAGTCATTAACTTTAATTGACTGATGGGTACTCCTTACATATTCTGGATACCCACGCCTTGATCTCACATATTCTAAATGTTTTCTCTCAATCTGTTATTTGCCTTCTAACTTTGCTTAAAGTGATGTTTTGTTAAACGGATGTTTTAAATTTGAATGCGGTCAAACTTATCAATCTTTCTGCAGAAATCAGGATTTTCTAAACCAAATGTGAGAACAATAAAATAGCATGTGGAATTTAGCAGCTGTGTGGCCCTGGGCAAAGTACTTAATCTTTCTGGGCTTGTGGATGTTAACAATGGCTGCCTGTGGGCCCAGAGCAGCAGATGGCATCTCACAGAAGTCTCCAGCACTACTGTGCCTACCCAAGACCCTGCAAGTCTCTACACTGGGAGCTACTCGAGGGCAGCGTTATATACTGATGATCGCCTGAGCCCATCACAGTGGAACCTGGGGCTCCTGAGACAGCTGACCGTGTGCATCTCCTCCCCACTCTGCATTTAGTGATGCTATGCTGGCAGCTGGAGACTGGCCATGTGGTAGCATTTATACCACAGAAATAGGCAAACATTACCAACCAAGGCTCTCTCCCCTGGGGAGCCTGTTGTTAGAGCTTTACCAGCACACCATAGACTTACAGTGTCCAAGGCACAGCATCTGCCTGTATGGCCTTCAGCTGAAAGCTGCTGTTCCTGCTGATGGACAACTCTTAGTTAGAAAATTCATTCCTATAGCGACCCGAGATCTACCTCTGGTCACATAGGTGCTGATTCTGCCTTCTGGGACAGCGATTAACAAACTGTTTCTGTGAGAGGCTTCCTGGGCCATACACTCTCTTGCATCTGTTCAACTCTGCTATGTATTCTATTTTGCTTTCATTCTTCCACCATTTGAAAATGTAAAAACATTTTCATTTCCTTCTTAAGGACTACACATATGCAGGTGATGGTCTCGGGACCACCGGCTGTAGTTTGTCAACTACTCAAGAACAATGGAGGTCACAGAACGCCAACCACGCTGTGGCCTGCACAGTCACCCTCCCACATCTGAAGATGGTTATCACATGCTCCCTGGGTGTTTTCTTCTCAAGCCTAGGGTCCTGCCATTGTTGCTCTTTAAGTCAATTCCAAATAAAGGTGATTTAGGAATGCTTATAGAATTCGCTTCGCTAGGCCTCTGGCGCTGTGGTGGGCATTGATGTTACAGGTACAGTTGATGGCAAAAAATGGACACAGAAAGCTGACTCGAGGTCAGTCGGGTGCTCTGGCCAACTCAGGAGTGTCACAGGATCTGGAAGAAATCAGGGGATAAGGGTCCTGTCCACTTGCTGGCTGAGTAATCCAGGGGAAGACACTTAACCTTTCTGCACCTCTGGTAGAATAAAGATGGCTGCAAACCCTTTGGCACTACCCATTGAGAGCTGTGGTCTCTTTTGCTGCATCGCCTTGAATCTGAGCAAGTTCTGTGCCTGCTCGACCAATAGAATCTGAAAGAAGTGATGCTGTGCCAGTTTCCAGATCCAGGTTTTAAGAGACTGGCAACTTCCATGTCCTGTTTTGGAGGACCTGACCTTAGGTCTCAGCTGCCATGCTGTGGGAGAGCCCAACTAGCACAGTGGAGGAGCACAGGTGGAGTGGAACCAACAGCCCTGACTGAACTCACAGCTGACAGCCAGCACTACCTTGTCAGTCATGTGGAGGACATCTTGGAAGGGGGTCCCCTCTGAGTGATCTGCAGCATGTCAGGGGCCATCTAAGTAGGGAATCCTCTAGCCCCAGGCATCTGCTCCAGCTGTGGCTGCAAGGAGTAGGGAAAAGGTGTCCCTGCTGAGCCTTGTCCTAATTTCAGATTTGTGATCAAAACAAATGACTGTTGCCACTTCACATCAAGAAGCTTTGGAGTGCTTTCTTTTGTAGCAATAGAATCTCAGAACCCTGCCTCCTTGAGCTTTTGTGAGGATTAAATGACACGATGTATATAATACACCCGGCATATAAAAAGTGCTCAGTGAATGGCAATTATCAGTATTCAGAAAAAATAAAGCTGCTTGAGTTCCCCTCCCAGTCCAGGAACAAAGTGTTACCTCCTATCTGAGGGGTTTTGCTCCTCAGGCCCAGCTTTCTACAGAGGTGGATGTTTTTTCACCGTCTCTACATTAAATGAGCTCAAATGAAAGGCACTTATGAGCAAGGGCATGGCACACAGTCCTTGCACAGGAAATGTTAGCTCGATCCCCGGCACAATCCCTTCCTCTCAGGAACCCAGAACCTTTCATAAAAACTATCTTGTCTTACACCTCCACTCCCAACCCACCCTCTAGCCCATAGCGTCACCACTGCACCCGGTCCCCAATGTCTCCTAAAATTAACAGGCAATTTTATTCCAGTTCCTTTGTGTCCTGCTTGATGATGGGGACGGACTGTCGCTACCAGCACAAAAACCTTATGTTTCAGGGATGTATGCCTCGTGCATGAGGGACCAAACCTGTTAGCTCTGCCAACTGTGCCAAGAAAAGAAAGATCCACATTTGGAAATACTTTGGGATCCCCAAAAGGTCTCTAGCCTCAAAAATGTGGTCTTCCATAGGCATGAAAGACTAATCTGTGAAGCTGCATTAAGGTCCAGCCTGTGTGGAAAAGGAAGATTTTTAATGTAATCACTTTCATTCATAAGTGAAAAAAGCAAAACCATGACTTTCTTTTAGCATCCAAGAAGGAAACAGAATGCTGGATTGGTGAAAAGAAAATGCACCATGATTTATTAATACCAGCAGGCCCAGGAGGATGTGGGGCCAGACCACTTTACTCAGCTGTTAAGAAGGTGGAAGTCATTACCAGCACAGCATAATAAACAATTGTGCTTTCAAGTCCTAGTGGGCCCCTTATGTGATTACCCAACCCACTGACTCAAATGATGGCATGCTCAAATTCAGGGCCAAATGATTGAGTGGCAGTTTGCTGAGGCGCGGATTTTCAAACAGGAGGCTGCAGTTCTCAGCTTGACATGGAATTTTTAAAAAGTCCTTATTATTTATTTTTTTTTTAGAGATGGAGTCTCACTCTGCCGCCCAGGCTGGGGTGCAGTGGTGCAATCTCGGGTCACTGCAACCGCCACCTCCCGGGTTCTAGCAATTCTCTTGCCTCAACCTCCCGAGTAGCTGGGATTACAGGTGCGCCCCACCACACCCGGCTGATTTTTTGTATTTTAGTGGAGACAGGGTTTCACCGTGTTGCCCAGGCTGGTCTTGAACTCCTGAGCTCAGGCAATCCACCTGCCTCGGCCTCCCAAAGTGCTAGGATTACAGGCGTGAGCTACAGCACCCAGCCTATTTTTTTCTTAAATTGAGGAAGCATTATGTGGAATATAAGGAGGCATTTATAAAACAAGCCAACAAACCAAAAGCAATCTTTTTTTTTCCTCTCTTCCCCTTTCAGGGAAGAGAATCTACCTTCCCTCTACCCACTGAATACATCAAAATGACTGGAGTTCTTGAAAATGTGCTCTTGGTTCAGAGACTTGGTTTGTAAGAGACAACCTTCAGGAGAAGACAACCTTTAGTGCTGTTTTGTGAGGTACCGGAGCCTGCTGCTCAGGCAGCAGGGTGACACTCACACCCTGCAGGGTGTCTGGTGTAGGAGGTTGTCACACCTACGAAGGATTCACAGAAACCACAGCCTCCTACCCCAACACTGGGCATTGGCTCAGTTTCTGATTCTCTGCTTGCATTTTTGTTTCCACAGGGGATAGGGAGCGAGGGCGCATGGGAAAGAGAAATGGATGGGGGAGGTACCATAAAAATACTCCAAAGAAATGAAATCAGAATTTGTTAAAGTTCCCAGAGACCTTTTAGAAATGAAAATGGTAGAGGCCATCAACTCAGAGAAATAAAAAAAAAAAAAAGTGCAAGGCAGCCAGCATGAAAGCCATTCTAGAATGGTGGCTCAATGTGCATCCCAAGTCATTCCATGGGCCCAAAGGATGCCCTTGGAGAGAGGTGGTAACGTGTGAAAAAGGGCTCTGATGTTGCCGAGGCTCTACCGAGCCCAGTGTGGATGTGGGGGAACTGCAGATTACTGGATTGGTGATGAGAGGCTGAGGGTCTAGAGTCACCCAGGCCACAGTTCTAACAGGCAGGAGAGGGTAGAGAGGGGTGCTCAACAGTGTCCACTTCAGGTGAAGTTAAAAACGAATTCAGATGAGAAACTATTAGCATGAGAGAAAAAAGCCCAGAGTCAGAGTGGATCCTCAGCTGCCTGCATCAGGAATGCAATTGATTTCAAACCCAAAGCAAGAGGCAGACTCCCTAATGTTCAACATCCAAAGAACTGCAGACCACAGACCACCCTGAGCTCTAGATTTCAAGAGAAACACAGAGTCTGGAAAATACTCAGAAAATGGCACACCAACAATGGGAGTGATACACACAAGGAAGACGATGAAGACTCTTTCCTCCCTGGGAAGGCCAGGGAGGCTGGAAGATGCAGAAATGCTTACTGCAGATGGCTACAGGAATGGAGGAAATCTGGACTAGGTGGTGCAGGTGGGAAGCCCACCAGCCTCTGGGCACGGCATCCCCCAGTGCAATGGCCGAGCCTGACAACCGGGTCGCTGTAAACGGGATGTGGGTGTGTAGAGGCACAGGCCTCTCCCCACACCTTTGGGTATTGCATGGGGCCCTGGAGTATCCTGCTGGACCTTCCAGGTGATCATCTCCAGCCACAAACAACCTCAGCCATTTACCCCAGCACTCAAAGTAAGTGGTCATGACCAATGCATGCTGTCCCAGGGTAGGAAAGGGAGGGAATCCTTGCTCCAGGCAATACTTGGAGGAGGGAGGGTAGAAAGGAAAGTGCCTGACAGACAAACTATAGCTCCATCCTCCAGTGGACACATGGAGATTCCCGGGCTGGAACTAAAGAAAGTGCTCAGGCACAGAGAAACAAGACACTTAACAGCCAGAGTGGCCGCAGCACATGCCAAGTCTCTGGTTGCTTTAATGGCTTCAGCCCAGGCTTTGGAGACCCACAGAAATAATTAGGCCAATCAAAAGTGGGGCAAACGGAAAAGCAGGGGCCTCCAGGCATCTCTTCAGCCTGGGTAATTATAACTGGCACTGGAACAAAAGGCGGCCAGAGTAAACCAAGCAGGGAGAGCCATAGATGGGTTTTTTTTTCCAAAATCAATCTGCCTGGGCTAGTTGAAAACAAGGGAAGGCTATTATCCAGGGAAATACAGACCACCACCAGCTCCTCCTCCTCCTCCTCCTCCCTGTCCTCTTCCTGGTCTTCCTCCTACCTGTCCTACTCCCAGTCCTCCTCCTCCTCCTCCCTGTCCTATTCCCGGTCCTCCTCCTCCCCTTCCTCCTCCCCTCTCCCTCCCCCTCCCCCTCCCCCTACTCCTTCTCTTCCTCCTTCTTGACTGGGCTTAATTCTCCCTGCCCTTCCATGACCTGGAAATCCCAGGACAGAGGACCACCAGCCCATCAGAGGCACACAGCTGATCCGAAGGATGTGCTGCCTGTTCTTTAGCCACCTTGAGACATGGAGAGCCGCAATTTTAACAGGCATAGAGCAGAGCGATTCTTCCCTTAGTCTGAGGAGGGGGAAGAAGGGTTTGAGGAGGAGGAAGCGATGGAAAAGGGGAAAGAGCTGGAATTCACTCAGCAGGTGCTAAGGCTGTCACACGTTTTCTATCCCAGTTTCCCTCTTTGAGCTCTAAAACACCTGGCCCTGAGAGGAGAGGGAATCAGAGACCAAGGAGGGGCACGAGCGGAGGGGCACGAGCAGAGGGTCTCCACCGCCCACCTGGGGAGAGGGCCAGGGAGAGGGTGGCCTGAAACCCCGCTCTGCTGGAAGCAGGGGCTGAGAGCAGAGATCTGCCCCCACCAGAGGCCTCTAAGGAGAGCAGATGAGGTTCAGATCTCCTTTTCAACAGCATCGTCTGTCTGGGCCCATGCATGCCAGAGTAAGATTGGGGTGAGTGCCATGGAGGATGCTGTAATGGGTAAAGGAGACTTAGGATTGTCTGAAGAGCTCATCTTCTGAAGAGCTCATCGGCTTTCTTTCCTTCTTTGCAGAAATATGCATTGGCAGCTGTTACGTGATGGGCATGACTCTACCAGATGACAACGACAATCAGCAGCATTACTTTCAACCGCCCACCTCTGACTGTCATTGGCCTCTAGCATAACAATGCCGGCCATATAATAGGTTCTCAATGCCTGTCCCGTGGAGTCCCATCGACTGTCCTTCTATTGAGCTCGTTCCCATCCCATGCATCCAGCTTGAACACATGGTCCTGCGTCTCAATCCTCTCAGGCCCAGGGTGGAAATCAGCCCTGCTGACAAACTGCCCCGTTCTCATGAGAGAGGACTACTTAGAGTATGGCAGGTCACGTGCAAGGCAGAGCCTTCGGGAAGCAGTGCCTGTGGCTCTGTTTCCTCTCTTCACCCCACTGTCCTTGCCATGAAAAAGCTCCTCATTGCGGTTCCTCAGAGTCCTTACTGTTGTTTCCCAGCCAGTCTCCCTGACAGAATTCAACTTCAACCACTTTCACTGGGCACTGACAGTGTGCTAGCATGTACATCCTCTCCTACAAGGTTGGCACAGAAAAATAAATCAGTAAAATACTGGCACATCCTCAGGAAGCTCACAGTCCACTGCAGGAGAGACACATAAATGTTTAAAATACAGTACAGTATGTGCTATAATCGACACACGCCTAAAAAGTGAGGAAAACACAAGTACAAAAACAATTAAACCTAACTGGAGTGGGTAGGAAATCCAGAGAGGGTGACATGTGAGCTGGGTTTTGATGGATGAGTAGGAGTTCTACAGGGGAACAGGTGTGATCTGGCAATGGCAAGACATTCTCTGTGGGTGGAGCATCAGGGCAGAGGCAAAGTGGGGTGGAAGAGACATGGATGAATATGGGGAGGGGCCTGGACACAGGTTCAAAGGCTCTGCACCACTCTACCAATCATGGACCTCATTCAGCGGGCAGGAGGGAGTCATCCAAGATTAAATCTTTCTTGATATATAATTCACGCACCATACAATTCACTCTTTTAAAGTGTACCACTCACTGGGTTTTAGTATTTTCAGGGTTATGCAACCATCCCCACAATCTAATTTTAGAACATTATCACCCCCAAGAGAAGCCCTGTGTCCATGAGTAGCCACCCTACTTTCCCACCACACTCCCACCTGCCCTCGGCAGCCACGCAGCTACTTTGTGTCTCCACAGATGTGCCTACTCTGGACAGTTCATGTCAATAAAATCATAGGGTGGGTGGTCTATTGGGTCTGGCCTCTTTCACTTAGCATGTTTTCAAGGTTCATCCATGTTGTCACAGTTATTTTCCTTGCCAAGTAACAGCCCATTGAATGGACATACCATATTTTGTTCACTAGCTGAGGGACATTTGGTTAGTTTCCACTTTTTGGCTAGTATGAATAATACTTCTACCACTTTCATGTGTAAGTTTTCATGTGGAAATATATTTTCATGTCTCTTGGGTACAGTCTGAGGAGTGGAAATGCTGAGTCCTATGAAAACTACGTTTAACATTTTGAGGAACAGACAAACTGTTTCCCAAAGTGGCTGGAACAATTTACATTCTCACCAGCACTGTTTGAGCATTACAATTTCTCCATATCCCCACCAACACTTGAGATTGCCTGTCTTTTTGATTAGAGCCATCCTAGTGGGTGTGAAGCGCCATCTCACAGTGCTTCTGAGTTATAGATCCTACTGACTAATAATATTGAGCATCTATTCATGTGCCATTCACCAAAGATTCTTCAGCAAGAGAAGCAGCTGTTTTGTAATGAATCCAGGGGTGAGCTCAACAGGAGAGAAACTAGAGGATGCTGTAATAATTCAGGAAGAATTCTTGAGATTCTGGGCCAGGGCCAAAGTAAGAGAATGGTAATAAGGGAAGACTCAGAAGCTCTTTCTGTGGCAGAGCCTGCAGGACATCACGGAAGACTAGATGTGTGCCACAGTGGAGAATAGGGGAGAAGAATGAAGCAAGGAGAGCTCCAAGCTTCCCAGTCTGAGCAACCAGGAAGATGCAGATGCCATGGACTGAGCTAGAGAAGCAGAGGGGAGCAGGGACTATGGAGGGAATGCTATGAGTCCAGTTTAAGACACGTGAAGTTGAGGTACCTGGGGAGACCCGTCTTGGAGGAAATGTCGAGTAGGCCACTGGAGAAGCAACTGTAGGGCTCCAGAGAGACCTAGAGACACATCTGTAGGGATTACCAATTGATTAGGAGGTGACAATTGAGTATCATGGGCTGCATACAAATTAATACACTTTGCAATAAATATAAGAAAGTTTTGGCAGCACCCTTTCAGTGGCAGTAGTGGAAATGGAAGGTAGATGAAAGTGATCTGAAGGGGGAATGAGAGTCAAGGAAGAGAAGGGAGTGAGTATGGATTGCGTCCTGTCTCCAGGAAAACTCTTCCCATTGCATCCATTATAAACGTGGATGTCAAGGAGCACCAAGACCACTCGCATCCCTTCTGAGATGGATGTGGCACCCAAGGGGTAGAAGAGGTAGGTGGTGTTGAGCTTTCCTGCTAGGCAAGTGGCCCTGGCAATGGAAAGCTATCACCTGCCAAAGAGCCAAGACTTCTGGCCCTCACCCTCCATGTCTCTACCTCCCCATTCCAATAAGGAAGTGGAAAATAGGAAAAACAAAAGGGGATCATGCTTCCAAAAAAATGTACTCCCTTTTAAAGAATTTCTGATGGGCAGAAAGTCTTTGAGAAAAGAGGGCATGAGATCAAATGGACCCTAACTATGCAGTGACAAATTGTGCATTTTTCAGTGGAAGGATGCCATTGGGGAAGGGGGACACCGGGAAGTTTGGGTTGTAACTACTTAGCTACAGCATCAGGACTGAAGTGTCATCTGGACTAGAGAACCAAGACAAATCTCTTTGAACCCAGAGTGAAGTTACTTTCTCCCTGCCTCTCCAGATCTATGCTCCAATCTCCTACATCCACTTCTGGGTTTAGGGAGGCTGCTCATAGAGACTGAATCAAAAGGTTCCCTTGAAAACAGGACACTAGTTTGGTTTGGCCAACAGGTAGCCCCACAGAAAAGGAGAACAGTTTCCAGCCATGTGGCCGTGGATTTGGCTGAGGCCCTCTACTGAGGCTCAGCTTGTGTTATGCAGTGCTCTCCAGGAAGTTATCCATTCCAGGGTCCTCACACCACTCCCCTGTTTTACTTTTCAGGCCCAAGGGTGATGACAGCTCCATTCTCAGAGGGTGCTTCCCCATCACTTATCATGTTCTCCAAACCTTGCACACATGTTTGTTAAGTCTCAAATTTCCCTGTTTGTGTGGGCCGTCTGTTTCCTGGTAGGACCCAAACTGACCCAAACCCTGATACTCAAGAGGATGGGGTACTTTGCTCTTTAGGAAACTCAGTCAAGAGTTTTCTGAAGCTCATGCAAGTAAATCAACGTTTCCCCCCAAAACTGTCCTTCTCCCTGGTCAACTAACTGGTTCTTGAGCCACACGTGACTCTTTTTCAGATCCTGCTGTTCTTCCTGCTCTATCTGGACTTGACATCCATGTATTGGGCCAAGCACAGTCTTCAGTGCTGTGGGTGCCAGAGTAGGACGTAGTCTTGCCCTCAAAGAAACATATGCAAGGGGCATATAGGCACATGCCACTATCACACCAGAGCCCCCATGAAGCCATCCCACTCCTAGGCTTCAGCAATCCCACTGGAAAACTAGAACATCTTCTGCCCACCCCCAACTTCATGGAAATGCTAAGAAATGAGGGGCAAGAACAATGCAGCCACGCTAGAGAAGGAAGCAGAAAGGTGAGGGGCCCTGGGAGGCCAGGTTGGCTTTCAAAAGCTTCTAAATCACTGCTTTCAAATGGAGGAGGAGCAAATGTGTCTCCAGAACCACTGGAATGTGAAAGTCACTCTCAAGAAGGAAGAGCAAAGCTGGCCAACCAGCCCACAGACAATGGGGCCTTGCAGGCAAAATCCTACAGTGGCTTAGCAGAATCCTAGGGCTTAGAAAACTCAAACAAAAGAATTCTCTCTCCAAGAGGCTACTGTCTGAGAATGAGCATCTCTCTACCGGCTCCTGTGACCTATATGTGGACAGAGGGGGCACAGCGTTCCTTACCTGCAGGGTGGTAACACCACTCTCCTAGAGTTGCACGCAAGGATTAAATGAGATCATTTCAGGGAGGCGCCCACTGTGGCTGACTCAGAAAGGTAAAGTGAAGGGCAGTTTCCCTTTTCCTCCAAGGAAAGCCACTCAGTTGTTTAACCATATCCTCTCTTCAGGCAGTTTGGGAAGACCCATGCCTAAGTGCAAGTGCCTTAAAAGTAGTGAACGTTCTACCCTACATTTTTGAAATAATCAACTCTACTTGAATTTTCCTATCAAAATATTAGGGGAAACGTCAATGACACTTCTGTCGTCCAGGGAAGACCAGGTCCTTGAGCCCATTTCTATGTAACTCTGTTAATTGAATAGTGTTTGCATCTCACAGTAGCCATGCTCGGTCACTGCCTTCATTCAGAGGCTGGAAATGAAACTGACATTTCAACACGGAACAAGCACATATTCCCAGCGGTCCCGCTGGATCCCTGATGTTCCTCATTTGCATTGCAGTAATTTTGACAATATTAAAAACAAGTTACACACAGGGAAATAAAGAGTTGTTAAATAGAAGAAGGTGAGGTAATACTTGGTTATCTGGAAATACAAATTAGGAGGAAAAAGCAGTATGAGGTTGTTCTTGGAAGTATTTGCTTGTTAAACCACATTTTGCAAGGACGTGAGGCAGAAGGGGATGCTCTGAGGGGCTCAAGGACGTCTTGGGAAGACTGTCACTGACCTGCTTGCAGATACTGATCTAATAAAGCAATGCTCTCATGACCTGTGGCCTAGGCACTCTCCGTCTTGGAGTACCAGCTGGAGACGAACCATCCCCGGCTGCCTGTCTCCAACCCTCACTCCAGTCACCATCCCAGAATTCTGGGCACAGCAAGACCTGGATGTGGACTCCGTATGACCAGAGTGGGGGAAAGCCAAATGGAAGGTTTGAGTGGAGCCTGACCACCAAACAGGCAGTCCCAGGGCCTGGAAGGGACTTGGCTCTGGGTGGAGAGAGGCAGCTGCCTGGCCAGGATGGCGGCAGCCACAGTGCCGGGGAGCCCACGACAAGGATGGGGAACATACTGGAGCAGCGAAGAGAGGGAACTGGGCAAGAGGCAAAACCAGTACCTGTGAGGGGACAGCTAAAGCCGCAATTCCACAAAGTTCTCTTCCATTACACCCGCTTGATGTGCAGGTTGGGGAAGCAGTTGGCCAAAACAGGAAGAAGAAGATATGAGATCAGGGAGAGTTTCTAAGAGGAAGTATGAACAATTTGCAGGACCTGCACCACCCCAGAGAGTGATGCAGAAGAGTCTAGTCCCTGGGAAGGAGTCTAAGAATAGTCACCTGCCTGGAGCTGTGACTAAGCAGCATTGCCTCAGTTTCCCAAACTTTAACCACGATCATGGGTCTTTCTTGGAGATAAACAGAGATTCCAAATATTACTTATAGCTCATGTATTCAGCATGGAGAACATCATGGCAGATACTAAAGTTATGACTATATCCTAAAAACTACAGATCTATGAGCTCACAGATACCACATAGGGTTTGTTTGTAAGACTCCTATTGTCTCACTTTTTCTTAAGACCGTGCAGAAATCAAATAATCCACTTCAGTGAGTGAAAATACCTATTTAATAACATTAAGGGAACACTTTTCAACTGAACTGGCAAGAAGTGAGAGTATGGGGGAAGACACACACAGGGTTTTCTTTCTCAAGAGAATGCCTGGATGGAAAATAACCTATTTTACATGATTTAGCTCTGCTTTGAAAGGCAGAGACTGCTGCCAAATGCACTTTACTTCTCTGCTCTTGCCTAATAGTAGGTATCTGAGGAGCGGGATGCCAGAAGTGGAACCCACAAGAGCTCTTGAAATTACCTTTGTGAATAAAGACAAAAGTTCAAAAAGTCAAAAGAGCTGGCTCGAGCTCAGAAAAGAGAGAACAAATGTGGCAGCAAAAGAACGCATTGAGGAAGTCTGAGTGTGTGCTATTGTGGTTCGTGAGCGCCCAGAGAGAAGCAGAGACAGGGAGACTGAAGGGCTCTGTGCCACACACCCCATTTATCAGCTTCCCTAAGTCCCGACCACCACATTCAGCTCTGTACAATTTTTGCCACTTTTAAGATCCTTTGAAACTATCACTTTAATCACTGCATGTGTTTCTTCAAAGGCTCTTGCGATTCTGATCTTGCTGACCAAGGCACCATGTGTTCGTCTACATACATGCACCACGCTGACATACAATGAAAAACAAAGTTGTATTTGTATTCTGATTATTTTGCATCTCAGTTTGGTTATGAGAGAGTGAGCCAACTGAACCGTGATCCTACATAAAGTGACCTAATATTGCACAAATGTTTGAATACAACTTAGCAGTTGTTTGTGATGGGCAAACTGAATTCCAGAAATTATTAACTTAGCCAAAGTAAAACACAGAGCTAAAAAGGAGTTGTTCAATAGGCACAGCATTTCAGTTTTGCAAGACGAAAAGGTTCTAGAAATCTGTTGCACAACAATATGCATAGAATTAACACTGCTGTACTGTGCACTTAAAAATGGTTAAGATGGTAAACTGTATGTTGTTTTACCATGATTAAAAAAATCAGCAAAATTTACCTTTTTAAATATAAAAAATGCATTATTCACTCCACGCCCTGCACTTGGCTACAACCATAGCAGACTGCACTAATTAAATGGAATTTCCTGTCACAAAGAAAGAGAGAGAAAGCTAAATGGGGTTACTCTGTTTTAAAGATGTGCTTCGAAATGGAAGCAGAACAAATAAGGGGAGACATTTAGGATTGGAGAACCAAACTGGCTTGATTTCTCTGGAACAATCCACCATGCCAATACTTACTTGGCCATCTTAGCACTTTTACTTTATAATTCTTAACATGGTAACCTTTCAGACATGTGATCCAGAGCTACTCAGGTGACCATCCTGAAGCAGGCCAGAACCTGGTGATGTCCATTTCTTCCTTATCTTATGTTAGACTCCAAACCCCCACCCCCGCTCCAATCCTTCTCTGCTCAGGCTATCTGCAGGGAGTGAGATGTATGTATTGCGTCATTTTGCAGTTACCTGATGGCATTACCATAATTAGGCATTATGTTTTGTTTTGTTTCTAACTTGCTTATAGAATTTTAGATCAACATGCGAGTAGGCTCCCAGTCCAGGAAATCTAGTTTCTGTTAACTGGTGCCTCTGTGTTAGTTTCCTAGGCCTGCCCTAACAAAGGACCACACATGGGGTGGTTTAAAACAACAACCTGCTATCACATAGTTTTGGGGGCTGGCAGTCCTAACTCAGTACGTTGGTAGGGATGGTCCTTCTAAGGGATCTGAGGATGAATCTGCTCCATGCCTCTGTCCTAGTTTCTGGCAGGTTCCTTGGCGTATAGATGCTTCACTCCATTCCTCTGTCTCCACAGGGCCTTCTTATAAGGACACCAGTCCTATCAGATTAGGTTCTCTGTGCTATTCCAGTATGACCTCATCTTAACTAATTACATCTAAAACAATCTCATATCCAAAAAGGTCATGTTCTGAGATACTATGGTGCTACGGTTTGAATGTTTGTCCTCTCCAAAACTCAAGTTGAGATTTAATTGCCATTGTAAGAGTGTTGAGAGGTAGGGACTTTAAGAAGAAATTTAGGCCATAAGGGCTCCTCCACCTTCATGGGTCAGTTTAGTACCTTTAAAAAAGGGCTCCTGGGAGTGGGCTCTTGCCCTCTCTTGCCACGCGATGCCTTTTGCCATGTTATGACAGTAAGAAGACTCACATCACATGCAGCAAAATGTACTTCCTGCCTCCAGCACTGTAAGACATAAACTTATTTTCTCTATAAATTACCCAGTCTGTGGTCTTGTTATTGCAAAACCCAAAATGAACTAAGACAGGGACATAGCACTTCAACATATCCTTTTTGGGGAGCACAGCCTCTCAAAAGATGAACCCAGACCAGCAGCATCCGCATCACCCGGGAATCTGTTAAAAATGGAAATTCTGGCTTTCAAGGTTAGGAAAAAAGGAAAAATTGAAATTCTGGCTGGGCGTTGTGGCTCACAACTGTAATTCCAGCAACTTGGGAGGACAGGGTGAGAGGGCTGCATAAGCCCAGGAGGTCGAGACCAGCCTGAGCAACAAAATGACACTGAAGCTACAAAAAATAAAAAATAGCTGAGTGTGGTGCCACACACCTGTAATCCCAGCTACTCAGGAGGCAGAAGTGGGAGAATCACTCGAGCCCGGGAGTTCAAGGCTGCAGTGAGCTATGATTGCACCACTGCATTCCAGCCTGGGTGACAGAATGAGACCCTGTCTCAAGAAAAAAACCAAAAAGTCAATTCTGAGCTGGGCCCAGTGGCTTACACCCCAGTCCCACCTACTCAGGAGGCTGACGCAGGAGAAGCGCTTGAGTGCAGGAGCTTGAGGCCAGCCTGGGTAACATAGGGACACCCCGTCTCTAGGAAAAATAAAATTAAATAAAAATGCAAACGCCTAGGTCCCACCCCAAACCCACTGAATACAAAACTCTGGAAGCCTGTCAAATAGTCAAACAAGCCCTTCAGGCAATTCTGATGCATGCTAAAGTTTAAGAGCCACTGTTTTAAACTGTATATTTTTTAAAAAAATCATTTTATAATGCTAAGTGTGCATCTTGCCCTTCCCATAGAATCACTAACCCTTTGAGGCAGTCTTTCTCATGTTACTTCTCCTATAGTAGTGATCAACTTATTGCTTACATAAAACAGGCTAGAATTTGGAAGTCTGTGCTAGATAAAGTATGTGCTCACATACTTACAAAGTATGTGCTAGATAAAGTATGTGCTAGATAAAGTATGTGCTTACATAAAACAGGCTAGAATTTGGATTGTGTACAAGACACACAATCTTCAGATGTTTTATTTTGTCTGTTCGTGAATACTATGAACTGACTGCCAATATTAAAAATCTAGATTACAGACTTTTCCTGAAAAAACTGGAAGAGCTGACAACACTGAATCCAAAATTACACACAGGAACAATCAACTGATTGGTGGCTGTCCCTTCGGGGTGGGGCCTCAGGGCTCCAGTGGGCCACAGTCTCCACGGCTGGTGCATCCCTGACACTGAGGCTTCATGGAGGCCAACCATCCTCATTTACATTGTATGCCTAGCCCCTAAGGGCACTTGGGTTTGAACAATGGCTGGGCAGACAACAGCTAGACAGAAAAATGCATAACTATCCACAGACCAAAATACCTAGCTGTTTCTGAGCAGCAAGTTTAGGAATGGAAAGCTAGAAGCCAGGGCTGCTGAGGAACAATGCCACACACTTTAGAAATAGCATCGACTTTAAGTTCTGTGAGTTTGGCTTCGCCCTTCACCAGATAACAAGGCGAGTTATGAAACGATTCAAGCACTGAAGGTGAAAGTTTTGTAGTGGCTTGCCCGTGTGATGATGTGTGGGTGAGCTGCAACACAGTAAGAAGAAATTTTGGTATTGGCACGACTTCATTAGAGAACAATGGGACGTGGAGGACATGAAATCCGAAATCGTGATTTTAAGAAATCACATTTGCCTCCTTCAGGTATATGCTATGCTGAGCTGCAATGACAGATCCTCTGTGAATGATTCTCCAGTGAAGCAAGTAGGGGAAAAACATATGCCTTTAAAGCGACTTTCAGGCTTGCAAAAATGGTAAAGGGCAGATCCTGGACTGGGATTTGACAACTGCACCATTAATGCAGATCCCAAATAGTTTCTGTACAAAGGACAGCAAAGATACCTTTTTGGGTCAGTGGCAGTGGTTCATGAAATACCAAGAGAAGGGGTAGTTTGGGATGTTTATTTCAGTGGGAAGGATGGGCATGGAGTCTGGAGGACAGAACTCACATATATAAGGTAGAGACAGGCACAAGTTTTCAACAAGGGGACCCGCTTCATCACTAACCCTCAGAGGAAGTTCGACTTGCCGTGGACTTCATGTCAAAGCAGTAAATCCAAAAACTATATCCACACGGAAACTACTGAACCAGAAGATTCAGACACACAGCCACTATTACCTCCTGGGGTTATATTCTGACAAGTTCTTCATTTTGATTCTCTCCCTAACCACCCCTGTACTTCAGCATTCTTAAGAAAGAAAAGTGGAAATGGAATCTGTCACTGATGACTAAAGCTTCTGTTAAAGACATTAGAATTTAGGATGATAATTTTCTCAAAGGCAAAGACGACTGTTTCTCCTGGACAGATTTAATATTTTCAATAGTCTATTAAAAATTATAAAACATAACCTCCAAAACAAGTATAGCAAAAAGAAAAAAAATTATAACACACCTCTTCAAGGTAACGTAAATACATAAAAAATGGGACAGACTTCCAAGATAATAGTAAGGGTGCACTTTCTGTTCTTAGGTACTTAGTGCCACTGTATTATCAGGGTTCTCCAGAGAAACACGCATCATACCGTGCATATGCATCCTACGCATCATATGCATATATAGGAATTTGCTCACATTATTATGGAAGCTGGCAGGTCCCCAAATCTGCCAGGTGAGTCGGCAAGCTGGCAACTCAGTAGAGCTGCTGGTGTAGTTCCAGCCCAAGCCATCAGGCTCAAGACGCAGGAAGAGCTGATGCTTCAGTTTAAGTCCAAAGGCAAGGAAAAGCCGGTGTCCCAGTTCAAAGCCACGTTAGGCAGGAAAAATGGTCTCCTACTTAGGGTCAGCCTTTTTGTTCTATTCGGGCCTCCCGCAGATTGACGGAGCCACCCACATTCCCGAATGTGTTCTGCTTTATTCAGTCTACTGATTCAAATGCTAATCTCACCCCAAAAACATCCTCACAGAATAATGTCTGACCAAATATATGGGATCCTCATGGTCCAGTCAAGTTGACACATGAAGGTAACCATCACAACCCCTCAGATGCCTGGGTGGTGAAGAGGCAAAAATAGTCAGCTCCTAGGGGACACTAGAATTTATGAAGAGCAAATAACCAGGGACCTGTCTAGCCCTGTGAAGGATGTGGCCAGCTCCTAAGGGCCCTCCCGCTCACTCCATCTAAAAGCTGTTCCTAGTGAGATCGCTCAGCTTTCATTTAGGGTCATCATGCAGTTAACAATGTAAAGCTGTATGCCAAGATGCAACTATTAGAAAGCCTACAATTGAAAAACAGTACAGAGCCCCACTGGTGGAGCAATCGGAATTCTCATCCATTGCTGCAGGGACTGTAAAACGGTATGCTCACTTTAGAAGACAGCTTGGCAGTTTCTCATAAAGTTGAACATACATTTACTACACGATCCAGCAATCCCAAGATCTCTAGGTATTTACTGAAGAGAAATAAAAACCTATGCCCACACACAAGTCTGTATGGGAATGTTTGTAGCAGTTTTACTCCTAATTATCAAATACCAGAAACAACCCAAATGGGTGAATGGTTTATAAAAAATCCATACAATGAAATACTACTCAGTAATAAAAACGGACTCACTCTTCATGCACAAATCTCCAATGCATTATGCTGAGTGAAAGAAGCTACTTTCAAACACTTGCATACTGTATGATTCTATTCACTGGACATTTTCAAAACAACAAAACAGTAGTGATATGGTTTGGCTCCGTGCCTCCATCCAAATCTCATGTCGGATTATAATTCCCAATGTTGGAAGAGGGGCCTGGTGGGAGGTGAATGAATCATAGGGGTGAACTTCCCCCTTGCTGATCTCCTGATAGAGTTCTCAGGAGATCTGGTTGTCTCAAAGTGTGTAGCACTTCCCCCTTCTCTCTCTCTTCCTCCTGCCGGTCATGTGAGGATGGCTCTTGCTTCCCCTTTACCTTCTGCCATCATTGTAAGTTTCCTGAGGCCTCCCCAGCCATGCTTCCTGTACAGCCTGCAGAACCATGAGTCAATTGAATCTCTTTTCTTCACAAATTACCCAGTCTCAGGTCTGCCTTTATAGCAGTGTGAGAATGGACTAATACAAACAGTGATGAAGACCAGCTCAGGGCTTGCCAGGGGTTAGGCAGTAGAGGGCAGGCATGAAGGGGTAGTATTAATACAAGGGGTACTGGAGTATGTAGGGGTATGGGAACTGTTCTGAGTCCCAATTAGACTGCTGGTTACATGATTTACATGTGTTAACTTTCATAGAATGACACAACCCTCCTCCAACACTATATTTGCTGTATTATAAATAAAATTTTTACATAATCAAATGGTAAAAAAAAATAATTGTATGCCACCCAATTTAGGCACAGAGTAAATGCACCTAATGGGAACTATCTATGAATTGGGGTCAGACAACAGATGTTGAATGCACAATATGTACACGCAGAGAGGCACAAGAGGGGCAGTGACTCATAGGCATCGCTCAAATATTTTAGTATGAAATGAGGATAAGTGGCATTCTTGAGTCACTGGGCACAACCTGGGAATTATCTGAAAAGGCAGAATAGTTGTGATTTGTTATGTTTCTTTTTCCAGGCACTTTGTATGCACTGTCTTAAGGCAGGAAATGTAGGCTTAAAGACAAGAAAGGATTTGCCCTGGATTTTGATCCCAGTTCTGTCTGGTTCCCCAGCCCCCATCTTCACTCTAGGCTGCTGTCTCCCAGGAGCCACATAAAGCCACAGTGAGGATTACACCATGATTTGTCCTTTTTCCTCTGTTGTACCCTAAGCAAGTCCTTAATCTCCTGGCCCCTTAAAGCTCTGTTCTTCCTTTAAAGCCAGAGTTCTCAGTTACGAGGGTGGGAGGGTACAGGGGAAGCAGGAGATTTTGCCCCCAGGGTACATGTGGCAATGTCTGGATATATTTTTAGTTGTCACAACATGGGGGAAGAGTGCTACTGGAATCTAGTAGGTAGAAGCCAGAGATGCTGCTAAACATTCTACAATGTTTAGGACAGCCTGAAGGAAGAGTGATTCAGCCCAAAATGTCACTTGTGCCAAGATTGAGAACTGCTGATTTGGAAGGGGGGAGAAAGGGAGGAAGGAAGGAGAGAGGAAGGGAGGGAAGGAGAAAAAGGAGGGAGGGAGGGAGGGAGGAAGGAAGGAAAGAAGGAAGGAAGGAGAGAGGGAGGGAGGGAGAGAGAGAGGGAGGAAGGAAGGAAGGAAGGAGAGAGGGAGGGACAGGGAGAGAGAGGGAGGAAGGAAGGAAGGAGAGATGGAGGGAGGGAGAAAAGGAGGGAGAGAGAGAGGGAGGGAGGGAGGGAGGAAGGAAGGAAGGAAGGAAGGGGAGACGGAGGGAGGGAGAGAGGGAGAGAGGGAGGGAGGGGGGAAGGAAGGAAGGAAGGAAGGAGAGAGGGAGGGAGGGAGAGACAGAGGGAGGAAGGAAGGGAAAGAGAGAGAGGAAGGAAGGGAGGGAGGGAGCATATTAATGTCATCTACCAACCAGCACAGTGTTAGGTATTTAAAAATTCTTATCTCATTTATCTCCCCATAAACCATCTGAGATATTATTAACCCCATTTTATGGTTAAGAAATTTGTAGCTGAGACCCATAAAGAAATGTGCCCAAATCCCAGTGATGAGACAAGATGCTGTGGGGACCGCAGGCACCTGGGATTGCAAAGTGGAGGTACCTGCAGGGTGGCGCCTGGGAGCTGGCCTGGCAGCTCTGCCAACCTTCTCCTCTGGTCTTGAAAATCTCTTCTTACCCCTAAGGTATCTGCAAAGAAGGAGGCCGTTGGATCGCAAAGAAGGGGACTGTTGGATGGGCAAAAGGGCAAATCTGAATTCAAGAGGCTGAATTCAATGGATGGAGCCTGTCATCACTACGAGCCACTGAGGATTGGTTTGTCCTCAAATCTTCTTTGGTTCCATCCGCCCCTCCTCCCTCAAGGCACTCACATCTCGCCTCCATCCCAAAAGCCCGGAGACAGAGCAGATGTGCGCCCCAAGCTGGCTTCCTGTCCTCTCTCGCCAGCATGTGCTGATGGACTCAGCCACAGGGAGTGGGGCCCCACTCAGCACAGCAGGCAGGAAGCTGGGGACTGGAGGGGTGGGAGAGGGAGATGAGAAACGCCACAGAATAACCTGCCGCAATCAGTTTCCCATAATAACATCCGACGGGCATGGCTTGCCTGAGAAAATCAGCAACTTGCTTTAAAAACAAGTCCTTTTTGAGTGATTCTGGCTCAATTTTACCCATTCATATAATTAGTGTTGATGGAATTAACAGTTAAAAATGGGGTTCGTGCATTTAAGATGGAGGGGGAAGAGATGGGGGAAGAGATAAAGAGAACAGAGGAAGAAAGGCAGAAAAACAAACAGAGAGAGGAAAGGAATAGAGTGAGAGGGGAGAAGGACATATGCTTGAAGCTTAACAGGAAACTCAGAAAACAGATGTGCTCACGGCAAAGATGAACCCCAGAAAGTGGTGAACCGCAAGACTGGGAGACCCTCTTGCAAACTGGGTGGAACCACAGTGATGGGAGTTGCTCTTTAGAGTTTGTTCTAGATCCCTGCAGCTGGGTTTCAGGTCAGGCAGCACGGCATTGTTCTCACACACCTCATACAGCAGAACCAATTCCTGATCCCTCTCTCGGGCTCGCTGTGGCGTGGTCCAGCTGGAACGAAGATGCCAGCTGACGCCCACCACACCCTCTCCCCAGCCTGGCCCAGGCGGCACTCACAGTTCCAAGATCAGGATGACGTCCGTCTTGTTCTCATAGACCTCGTGCAGGGTGATGACATTGGGGTGCTGGATCTCCTTCAGGATGCTGACCTCCCGCTCGATGTCCTCGCGGCTCACACCCCGCCGGCTGGACTTAGTCCTCCTTTTCTTGATGAATTTGGCGGCATACTGGAGGCCGGTGCTTTTCTCACGGCATTTCTTCACAACCGCAAACTGTCCACTGAAAAGAGAAGATGGAGGATTCTTTATCGTTCATAAAAAAAACAGGATTTGAGTGAGGATGTGGCATGGTGCAGAGGGGGACAAGAGAACTGTGAATAGGAAAGTTCCAATTGTGGAAAGTAACAAATTAGGTAGGGATGTTTCTTATCATCATTCATTTACACTAAGCCTGTTTCTTTATAAATAATGCTGCAAGGAATATAAACTTTTAAAGTATATTTTATTGAAAGAGTGATCATGTCTCCATTTCTGTCCTCTCCTCCTTCCCTCCCACTTCAGGTCCTGGGACAGCAGCAAGGAGCTCTGTGATCTGACCTCACTTCCAGCAAACTCTTTTCCTGCACGTCTAGTCTCTGAGCCTGAAAAACGAGGGATTGAGACCAGGGAATCGGTAAAAAAAAATATATATGAAGTCCTGCCTTCAACAACATATTTCTAGCACCAATATTAACCAATTTAAATACACAGAACAGAAAAAGGTCTATTATTTTGTTTATAATTAAGCGACTGATAAGTCATATGTACCAAATATTTGTTGGTCACTTCTCCAGCATTATCTCCCCTCTCCTCCCGTCTCAAGGTATTTCTACCCAGGGATCTTTGTGGTTTTGGGGAAGCCGATTCCACCCCCAACTGTAAATACGGATCATGTGACCTAGGCTGAGCCAATCAGTCCACTCCATTCTCCTGACCACAATGCCAAGTAAGACCCTTCAGAGGATGCAGAGACACAGGCTTTCTGAGACTCTTTTCTCTTTTGAGTGTGACAGAACCCCCCCCTCAAAGCCGCTGCCAACTGTCTTGGGACCATGAGGAGAGCCACTCTTAGTTTGAAGACAACCACTGCAGAAGCAGAGCCAGTAAAAGGAAAGAAACCAGGTCTGCAGTGACACCATGGAGTCACTGGATCAGCCCCGGCCTGAAACCATCTGCCTGTGATGTTTCAGCGACATAAGCCAATAAATTCCTTTTATGGCTCAAGTCAGTTTGATGGGTTTTCTACTTCTTGCAGAGGAAAGCACCTTAAACATCACAGCAAATAACCAGATTCCCTTTCCCATATATTAAAGACTGTAATAATAGAACTTGACTCAAAATAATAAGGGGTAGGCAGTAAGTGCGTGAGACGGTGAGAGGTACACAGGCCCCACTGATAGTCAGCGGAACACAACGGAAAGACCCTCCCGGCCCCATGCTGGTGCCCTTCGTTCTTCCCTAGTGCCCAAGGAAGGGTCGATTCACCCATCACAGGATCTGTATGTTTCTTGGTACCTGCTGGATAACTGCTATGTAAAGAATTATCACAGGTATTTTTAGCTGGCTTTATCCTCACACGAAGACAAAAGCCAGAGAGAAAAGCAAATTAAGGATAATATTTTGATGTTAAAGAATGGATACTTTAAAACGTTACTCATTTACTTTAGCAGTAGGAGGCCAGTGAAGAAGGAACACAGAGAGAAGGATTATCTTTATAGCCGTGTCAAATTTTTTGCATGACAGGTTGTTAATACCCGCTTTGTCCCTGCAGCAGGATAGCTGAGAAGCTGAAGAATAAATCACACTGGAATGCCAGCACCGACTGCCTGTAAACTCGCTACCTTAAACAATTACGGGGTCTATGTAATGACTTCATTACAACCAAAATCCAATTTCTCTGAGGAGTAAAAACCTTCCCTCTATTGTGGGGCGGAGGGTGGCAGAGATGGGGCATACGGAGAGAAGAGGGAAAAGAGCTTGAATTCAAAACACAGTCAGCTGCTTCCTTTAGAGTCCAGGCCCCTCCTTACAAAGATGTTATTGTGTCCCCACCAGGCAGATTCAAAAGGACCCAGGATAGGGAGGCCCAGCCCAGCCCAGCCAACCAACAACCAAGCTGACAGTTCCAGAGGCTGGGCCCATTCATACCTCACACATGGCCAAAGCAACTTGTCTCAGAGACTTCCAACTCAAGGCACACTCAGTAGTTTCAATCATGGTGCTTTAAAATTCAAAACTAAAAAGCTGAGAGAGAGAGAGAGAGAGAGAGAGAAACAGAGAGACAGAGAAAGAAAAACCGCTTTGGGAGGCCGAGGTGGGTGGATCATGAGGTCAGGAGTTCGAGACCAGCCTGGCCAACATGGTGAAACCCCGTCTCTACTAAAAATACAAAAATTAGCCAGGTGTGGTGGCGCGTGCCTGTAATCTCAGCTACTCAGGAGGCTGAGGCAGGAGAATTGCTTGAACCTGGGAGGTGGAGCTTGCAGTGAGCCGAGATTGTGCCACTGCACTCCAGCCTGGGTGACAGAGCAAAACTCCGTCTCAGGGGGAAAAAGAAAAAAAAAAGAAAAAAGAAAATCCTTCTGGCAGGAGAGTCACAGAGAATTTCAATGCAAGCCTAGATACAAAAACTGTTCCACGTGCGTTTTCACCTCCAAATGTTCTATATTGGAAGTTTCTCCATTTTATTTATGGGAAGATGGTAAGTAAAGGCAGGTTAGCCCTGATGGCAGGATGAAGGCAGGTGCTGAATGTCATGTGTGCTCATGCCCGAGGGAACTGTGGTGCCTTCGTTTACAGCAAAACCTGGGGAATGGACTCTGTCACCTGACAATGGATCCCTCACTCACACTGCAGGGTCCCCATACGAAAAGTGCTGGCTGGTGAGGAGGGGATAAGAGCTGGTGGGTAGGAAGGCTCTGTGTGGATGCTGGGGTACTGGCTAACCCTGACTGCAGAGAGTAAAATGAGGGTCTAGAATGAGCTTGGGAAACTTGTTCTAGACCTACTGCAATGTCACCTCTTTTAAGATACCGTTCCCTATTCTTCCCTGACACCCCTAACAATCTATTCCCTTTCCTCCAATCTGCCATATCCCTGAGTCGAAAGAGCACCCCATACCCCTCAGGGGCACCTGCTGTTTTCTGCCCATTCTTGCCTTTCCCACCCTCCCAGACTGCCAATGCCTGGGGGACAAAGGGCTGCCAGGCTCATCTTCACATCTCCTGAGGCCCTGGGTGCAGACCTACTTCATGTAGTCCATGCACAATGCACATATGCTGCAGCTGACGCCTGAATCTATAACCCTGAGAACCCGAGGAGTTAGACAAAGTGTTCTGCATTATAGTTCAACAGAATTGTGTAACGGCTAGAAGCCAGCTGTGTAACCCAAGGTTTATTTAGGACTTAGCCACTCTAGGCCTCAGTTTTCTTATCTGTAGAGTGGGCATAATAAGTGCCTGTCTTGGAGGGAGTAGGATGAAATGAGCGCATGAAGTGTTTAGGACAGCACCTGACCATAGGGAGTCTTCAGTAACTGTTAGCTATTATTAATCTGCGACAACTGGAGTTATTTTCATCAGCACACTGTTGCCCCAGTCTCACAGTGATGCAGTATTACCCCCCAAGTACCTACCTCTCATGACTGCCAGAGAGAAAAGAGCCCTCATAGGACAAAAAAAAAAAAGCCCATGACAGGGCTGTCCTGTGCTAACGATGTATACAACTATTGCTAAATCCTCACTCCCTTCCTCCTTTTGCTGCCTGTCCCCACCCAGAGGGTGTGTTGCCACTTATAACTGCTCAGGCAGGCTGGCCCTGGCCTTGGGAGCTCAGAGTCACAAGCTGAGCCAAAGTGCCAGCAGCCAGGCCCACCTGGGGGCCTCTGGGAGCCTTTGTGTGTGATGGGTAAGCCTGTAGGGCATTTCCATAGCACAGTCTCCTCAGGCAGCCAGCAAACTGTGAGGACAGACTCCTGGAGGAGCAATTCTTCCCTAATCAGAGTAGTTTGCTTTGTGAGGTCTAATTTGAATTGGACTGTTGGTGAATTGCTGCTCCGATCCCTTCCTTCCTGGGCAGCTGGGCCTGGACCCGCTTTCCACCCTGGATCGGGACTCCTTTGGGGGGACAGTTCCTCTTCACCCAACCTCTGCCTCCCCAAAGACAACAACAACTTAAAAAAACAGCTTGTGTGTTTACTTTTCTGGTGAGGATTCCTAAATCGTGTGCCCTCAGAGGAATACCATGATCCAGCTTCAAGGGCGAGCTCAGACAGACCAGGGAGCAAAGCGAATGCACATAAAGCAGCAAGGCCACTGCCACAACCACGCTGGGGGCGCTTGTCCCTTCTGCCCCCTCCTCACACCCATGCACTGAGGCCAGTCAGTAATTAACAACGATACGGATGGCTGCATTATTAATTAATTACCATTAATACAGCTGGGGCTGTTCAATGGATGGGGGAAGGTAGCTTTTTACTGGAAAAGAGAAATTCTTTGCATGCTATGACATTTAATTTTGATAAAGCAGTACAAGTGATCCTTATTATTAATGGATTTTGTACTGGTGAATTCACCTACTTAGTAATTTTTTTTTTCTTTTCTTGAGACAGGGTCTCGCTCTGCCGCGCAGGCTGTAGTGTGGTGATGCAATCACAGCTCACTGCAGCCTTGACCTCCCGAGCTCGAGCAATCCTCCCACCTTGGCCTCCAGAGCAGCTGGAACTACAGGAGCATATCACCACACCCAGCTAATTTTCTTTTTTTTCTTTTTTGCAGAGATAGAGTCTCGCTCTGTTGCCTAGGCTGGTCTAGAACTCCTGGGCTCAAAGCAGTCCTCCCACCTCGGCCACCCAAAGTCGGGGAATTACAGGCATGAGTCACTGCAGGAGGCATAAAATTTATTTGTAACCTCCAAGTCAATATTTCTGGCACTTTCACAGTCACTTGTGGACATGCACGGATCGTGGAAAATTGGAGAGGATCGTGGAAAATTGGAGAGGCTGCTGCACACGTTCCTAGCTGAAGTCAAACAGCTGCCTTCTTGCTTCGGCTCTCACACCATAATCGAGTGTGCTCTCCGCAGCCCATTTAGTGTCATGTTTTTTATTGGTAATTTCACTGTATACAATGACCCCCAAGTATAGTACTGTGGGGCTGTCTAGTGTTTCTAAGCACAACAAAGCTGTGATATGACTCAGGGAGAGACTATGTGTGTTAGATAAGCTTCATTCAGGCATGCGTAATGTGCTGTTTGCCTTGAGTTCAATGTTAATGAATCACATATACATATACGATGTCTTTAAACAGAAACACACATAAAACAAGGTTGTGCAAAAATGACAAAAATGATTTGACCAGAGACTCACAAGAAGGTAACCCTGGATTTCTCCTAAGAGCAATGGTTTAGTGTTTGCAGTGAATTTCTAGAGAATAACTCTCACACATAATGAAAGTCAACTGTACACCAACTTTTTTTCCCCAAAAAATGCACTAAAATTTTCCATCGTTTAATAACTGACAGAACAGTCTGTTGCATTAGATATAGACATCACATTAATTTTAATATTAAAAACTTTCCACTAAATGTAATAAACATTTATTAACTACTCATGGTCAGATACATACAAAGATAATGAGACACATTCTTCCTTTAATGAGTTTTATATTAAAAAACTTGATTCAAATGTAATCACCAATTTTATTAAAAAGAGGAAACGCACGGCGAAAAGGAGCAAGCTTCATAAAGAACAGGCTGACATCTAATTTCTCTGTCTGACTCACTGATATATTTAATCTGACTACTACCTCTGCAGTCACTGAAGAAACTGTAACCAGGATCATATGCAAGGCTCTTTACACATATTTCTTTATTAATAATCACAACTCCATGAGATACACATCGTCATCTCTTCTGACCAATAAGAAAATCAGGTCTCAGGGAGATTTTTAAAGATTGTCCCAAATCACTGAGCGAGTAAGTTGCATAACTAAGAAATGAACTCAAACTCAAGTGTATTCGCCTCCAAAGCTCCAGGTACTGAGCCCCATTGCTGTGTGGACCTCGTACATATTATGTTTGTCATACAAGACATCTCACTGTGAAGTTACAGACAGACTCCAGCATCACTCTAGGAAAGTGTTTTGTGAGGGGAAAGCAAAGGGCAGGGGTTTGTGGTTAAATCTGTTTGGGTCATATTGCCTTCTCCTCCCAGTTGAAGACTCACAAGGTGTTCTAATTAATTAAAACCTTTGCTTTAAGATGCTCTGAGATGCCATGCAATAAAAGTACAACATGTTTGTGAATTCAGGAAGCATTCTAGTAACAATCAGAAAGAAACCCAAGTTGATTCTCAAGGTCAAGGCACAAGGATGGCAGCATTCCTGTTTCTGTAGGTCTTCTATAGTTCCTGGTGCCTTAAAAAGAAACCTGTTTAACTTTTGTTTAATCCAGTCAGTTCTTACTGTCAACTTTATTTATTTGTGGGAGGCTCTGTTCACATGGGAGAATGAAGGTGTGGATATACAATGTCAGAGAAGACGCAACATTCAGAATGGAAGGAAAAAGCATAATCTGACTGGACATGACAATTAATGTCTCTGCTGCATAAGCTGGTGCCAAGCCCAGGGTCTAACCTTTTCATTGCTGGCCCTGATCCAGACATGCCATTAGAACAAGTTCTCACCTGGAGCAGGTGAGTGCAGATCAAAAAAAAAAGTGACGAAAACAGCATCTCCTTTTTCATGTTTTTACTTTAAATATGCATCTACCGAATACATATGCAGTTAAAAATTATTTATGGTAACTAGTATTACGATGAATTCTCTATATTAATGCTGGAAACAGATCTGGTTTAAATCTAACAGCTGACACGTTCCATCTTTACGCTCCTCCCAAGTCTTTCCAATATGGTTTCTCATTAACACAAAGTAATTTCTACTTTTGAACTCGTTATCAAATCCCTGGCTCGGTTTTAGTGGTGGTTTATGGGTGATCTATTTTTGCAGAAGACTTTTGCTGCCAGAGTAGCAGGCAGCTTGAATTCTGCCAGAATATTAGAATTACAGGTTGTAGGTAAGGGGTGAGGAACAGAAACGGTTTCTCAAGGATGAGTTAACATCTGATAATAGTTCACATTTACAGCAGGAGATAAGACCCTGAGGGTTTACAGACTAGAGGAGAGACAAGCATGAAATACTTCACTGTGGGAAGAAGAAAAAAGGGGACGCAGTTGCTGTTGCAGAGAGGGTGCAGTTAGGAAACCCCTGCCCAAGCTGGCCTCCTAGGCTGTGCCCTGAAGGCTGAGCGTGAGTCAGGAGTGGAAGAAGGTGTGTGTTTAGGGACAGGGTTTCCGAGAGGAGGAACAGTGTGAGCAGAGGCAGGAAGGCATCAAAGAGCCTACTTCGTATTTCTAGAGGAAGAGAGGAGCGGCAGGGAGGCGTCAGGTCAGACACACAAACAGGGCCCTGTGCAGATGGAGCAATGTCAGCCCCAGCTCTGCCAATAACTTGAGAAAGCAGGAGGCCTCTGTGAGCCTCAGTTTCCCCATCTGTGCAAGTATGATGACAACATGAAATGAGGACATGCATGTGAGCGCACACTGTTTTCTCTAAACACATCAAGCACATGGAAAGGATGAAAATTACCAAGCTGTCTAAGCTTCGTGAACTTCTCAGAGAAGCCAAGAAGACAGGATTTCAGGAGCTGAAAAGCAGCACCAAACTTCTCCTTGACATTTTTCTATGCAACAACTTTGAAATCTAAATGTTAAGTCTCTACATTTTCCCCCCCATTGGAACTCAACAAAGCTATTTTCATTTCGGATGGAGACATATTTGGTTTGCCTCCTTTGGTCCTCAAAGGCCCCTACAGCTTTGCTTAGATGCTGAAGCTTTCAGCTGGAAGTAGGTGATGGGAAGCAGACAGCACCTTCCAAAGATGGATTCAGCTGTCTTTCTATCCCACATGCTCTCTTGAGTGTGACCCTCCAGTCTCTAACCCTTGAATCTGAGCAGGCACCAGTAACTTGGCTAACCCACAGAATGTGGCAGAAGTGATCCTGGAACTTCCGCTTGAGTTCTCAGAAGCTCCCTCTTGGAAGCCAACCAACAAGCTGGGAGAAGCCCAGGCTGTGTAGAGAGGTCGCATGCAGTTGCTCCTGCCCGCAGCTCCAGCTGAGCTGACAGCAGCTGTGAGAGGCCAGGCACGTGCGTGAGCCGTCATGGACATCTGGGCCATCAAGTCTTCAGATGGCTATAGGTCCAGCCAACCTCTCAATGCGACCACCTGAGAGACCCAGGCAAAACCCCCTAAGCTGGGTCCAGGCAGCCCACAGAAGCACAAGAGTTAAGAGATCATGATAAACTGTTATTTTCAACTACCACGTTTTGGAGTGGTTTGTTATGCAGCAATGGGTCAGCAGAACAGCACTGAAGAATCTGGGATGGTGGGTTTAACAGATCGCCCCAGAAGCTGTGCAGAGGAAGGATTCGACACAGAAAGTGACTAGGTCACAAGCAGCCTCACAGGAGAGCATGGGAAAGGAGTGAGGGTGTCCAAACCACCCTGAATGCAGGCCCTGTCCCAGGCTCAGAAAAACGGGCCCTCTCATCCCATCAGCACGCATGGACTCACTTTTCAAGTTCTCTGCTTCTCATCATGGCAACAATTTCCCACCTTTCAAGGAAAGTGCTGCATCATTTAGGAGGGACCTCAACACAAACAACAAAACTCAAAGACCCTCACTGAGATGCCTTCAGTGTTCTGGCTGGGCAGGGCTTATTGCTGGCCTCCAACTTTACCTTCCCCAGTCTCTGCGGTGAAGCAGATCTCCACCCTGGGAAACACACAAATCCCAAATGCTATACATGATCCAGTAAATGCAGCTACCTAATCTTCCTCCTGCCTGGTGTGAATGCCCAGTGCGTATCTATACTGACTTCACCTTTAGCAGAATGCGTGTGAAGAGGAAACACTCTCCCTGCACCTTCAGCGGGAACCCCTTCTTTGATCCTAACCCCAACATGTTCACGGATTTCAGCACAGGATGAAGGCAAACCCTGTATGGGAACTCAGTACTTCAGCACCAAGTGGTACACAATTCCCTTGGAATGTAGCCCACACCTGGAGTTATTCTCTTTCTGCCCTTCAAGAAGCTACGAGGCAGAGGAAAGCAATACTTTTTACCAAAAAAAAAAGCAAAGCGGTGATTTTTAAAAAATTATTATTATCATGAAAAAAAAGTACAACCCTCCAAAAACTATTTTAAACTAATACAAGGGCTCGGTTAAATGGGCTGTGATTTGTAGAGCAAGCAGCTCAGGTTGCCACGGCACCAACAGGGAGAAGCAGAGTTTACTGAGGGGATAAACAGCAGTCCGTCACCCTGGGAACCAGAACAACACACAGAGGTAGGAAAGAGATGCAGAAAGAGAAGGGCGAACAGCGCAATGGGCCAAGGAGAGCAGAGGAGAGGTCGGTCCCTTGGCGAAAGCATCCTCCCAAGGACAAGGTCTCCTGGAAGACTGCAAAGGAGAAGAAGGTGGCATAACCGAGGACCCAAGGCCAGCGTGGGTCGGGCTCCACGCACTGGTTTGGTATTGCACGTGGGGACAAGGAAACCAAATATGCTGAGAGTCAGGTAGCTCAAGATACCTCTTTATCATTAAGAAATTTACAAACCAGAGCGGCTGAGGATTAAACTGAGGGGAGATTAGAAAGATAGCAGTGGGTGCCTTCATTCACTCCCCCTTGTTCCTATGATACCTCTTTGCAGGAGGAAGGTCCAAGATCCATCTGGAAGAATATTTCCCAAAGTGGGTCTCTGGAGCTCATATAAAGAGATGCTGCTTGGAGAAAGGGAGTCATGGCCAAGCAAGTTTAAGCAAAAGTAGGTAAACAGAGTCACAACAGGGTGCTCTATGCAGGACTCAGCTAACTGGCCCTTTCCACGAGGGGCAATAGCATTCGGCATTTCACATGGTTTGGGGTTGCTGTTAACCACAAAACCTTTTTCCTTCCTTACATATTTTTGGTTTTGAAGCATTCTGAAGTCCAGTTTTCTTGGGAAGGTGTGCTTTGGTCCTCTCTCCCAGTTAAACGGGCAGCTTCCTGGAAGTGGACTCTATATTCACTGTTTCCTTTGCATTTTCAACACTTTCAGATTATTCCCTAAGGCAGGATGCCAATCACAGTGCCTGCTCCTTCATGGTCTGGAAGAACCAAGCACAGAGGTGGAGGTGGGAGGTGCCCAGGTGGATTCAGACCTTCCTGGGATTGACCCATTAGAAGGGTGTGGACCAACTGACTCAGGCCTGGGAGAGGAGGCCACCCACCTCCTCAGGCCTGGTGCTCCTTCTGCCTCCTTCTGGCTACTGGTGAAAGGGCTGCCTAGAGGCCACAGGCAAATCTATGATGGATTCAGCCCTCTTCACCACTTGAGACTGGCAAAGGATTTGGAGTTTTTCTTTTATTTCAGGCAGGCAGTGGGGCTGGGTATTTTGGGTGGCAACTGAGAGCAGATGGACTGGGTATAGAGAGCACAGTAAATACTGGCCATGACAGCTACCTCCAAGGAAGAGCATGGTGGTGACAGGAAGGAGCCTGGAGCCTGGCAGACTCCTTAGAGCAGAGTCCTGAGCCTAGAGATGCACCACTGCCTTCCTCTAGGCCCAGTTCCTTCACTTTCTGGGACTCACTGCCGTAGTGAATCCTACATGCTTCAGATATGGTCTATGACTTCAGGAATTTACTAACAAGACACGTCAGTGCAACAGACTTGCAAGTGCCCAGTGGGCGGTGTGCAGAGTCAGCAGGGACCCTGGCTCCAGCTAAAGGATACGTGAACTGCACCCACTTTACTCAGCACCATCCCTAGGACCTAACACAGAACACCTGCCTGCTGCTTGCTGTTTGTTTGTGTCTGTAAAGCCACAAGGGAAAGGAAGGAAGAAAGTAAGTGTTGGGAAAGCATAACCTGATACAATCTAAACAGGGCCTTTGGTGGATCAGACAAAACAAACAAAACAAACAACAACACTCCATATGTTTTCTCCAAATATAGTAAACCCTACATCAGAATCATAGCTGAACTCTGAGTCCAGTTTTATGGAGACTAAAATGCCCTTATACAGAAAGGGTAGCTACAGATTACTGTTATGCCAGGATTGGCTGCTCCATTTCAATGAATGCTGACCACACTGGATGACTGGAGGTCAGAGCTTCCTGCCCCAAGACCCCAGTTGAGCCCCCTGGCTCTCGAGTGGTTCTGGTCAGCTCCATGTTTGATCACTTTGACTTCACCATTCTATTGCCCTGAGCCAATCCCATCATTTGATCATCCTGACTTTGTCATGTAATCCCCTTTCAGCCAGTGGGTCAAAGTTAACTGGACCATAAGGAATGATTTGTTCTCAACTTGGCAAGCTGCTCTCGGCTGAAAAAAAATTGACAAAGAAGGCAGGAGGTTCATATAACTTCATGGGGAAAGAGAAGACAAACAAAAAGCTAAGCTGAAGTTCCTTATTCCATGGCCAAAAGAAGAAGAAGAAAGTCAGATATGTTCAGGGTGCTAAGATTCAATACGGGGAAGAACCAGCTAAAGGGAAAGAGAAAGGACAGAGCTTGGTAGTCTGACGGCATAGGTCATTACCATGCAAATACTCTACTAAATTGCCCAGATTAAAATACGAATTGTGAGATACTCTCCTCCAATATTCACCCTGCTCAGTTCTGGAGCATGAGAGGAAGAACAAAGAAAGATGAACAAAGAAAGATGTCTAAATATTCACATGGTTTCTCCTCTTGATTTAAGTCAAGATACTATTTGCCTGCATGTTTTTAAAGGGTAGGTTTGGGACCCTCTGTCATGCTTTGTCATTGGAAGAATTAGCTCCACCTTACACTGGGAAGTCTGCTCTGAACTGACGAAGAGTTTGCACTCAGTGTCTTGGGAGAAATTCAAATATTCCTGGCACTGGCACTATGTGGCATTTAGTGCAGTTGGGTGGCCAACATGCTTGGGAGACACCATTCACAGGTCTGTCCTGCTCTGGAGACTGAATACAACTGAGGGTAGCCAAGCTTCTTTGGGGTCTTCCGTGTCTGGGGTTGCAAGAGTCACAGGCCCAGGTCTCAGGGAGGCAGTGAGTGGCTGTCTGGCTGTCAGCCCAGCAAAGAAGAATCCTTTTTACAGTGCTCTAGGCCAAGCCATTTCCCATGATGTCTACAGATCTGTCACCTTGGCTCTGAACCAAGTGGGGACTCACCTCGTGGAGGAAGTCTAGGGGGAGGAGAAAATGGGGAGGGGACCGCAGGGTCACTTCAGGGCAGGCAAGAAGAGGCTGGCAGGGAATGGCACTGCTGGAGTTACCTGAAGTGACAGCCACTCAGATAAAACTGAAAGATGATAAGTTAAAAAGAAACCGGAGCTCCCGGGAAGCCTGAGTATTCTCTCAGTGGAAGCAGAACTCCCTGGAAGTCAGCCACGAGGCTGACCTCACCCCCGCGGCCCGATCCGAGCAAGCATGCAGCTTATCGTGAGAGCCAGGGCAAGACTGTATCCACCACGGCCAGGACAGTAAAGAGACTGATGGCGTTAACTCTCGGAAGTGCCACTTTTGAAGAGAATGTGTCACTAATTAAGTCTCAGGTCAAACACTAAACAAAATAAAATACAATTTGTGCGAATGCGGTTTGGAGTTGGTATCTCCTGAAGCAGGGATTGTAAACCCAATGACCTTTCCATGGAGCACTGCTTCCAAAAAAGTGTGGAATATGACTTCTATGGGATATGAAGTGATCATCACTGGGGGGCTTTAGAAGCTCTGTGGATGGAAACATAATCCCCTGGCAGGGAAGGGGGTGAAATGGGAAGTCCACTAGTGGGCGAGAAGGAGGAATGACCTCTCCTACAGCCCATGCTGTGGTTGGGTGGGAAGCCCTTCCTCTTGCTGGGTTTCCTCCTCATCATCTGCAGTGGGCTGGGGGCTAAGGAGCTCTGTACCCCTCCCAGCATGGGTGGCCTTGGACCCTGCAGAGCTGGGGTCAACATGGTCTTGTCACTTGGATCAAGAGGCTGTGCTTGTCTGCAGTGATACGGAAACACTGAGGTCAGACAGCCTGGCCTGTTTAAAGAATCCACCATGCTCAGCATAATGGGGCCTAAAGGAAATGGTGGCAATGGCCCTGGAGCGGAGGACGGTCTACCAGGGAAGCAGGGATGCCTCTAGTTACACGTGTATCACCACAGGCCCCCTGTTTAGACTTTCTACTCCAGGGTACTGACTTCCATAGGGCTCTGCAATGCCTCCAGAAATGAAGGCAACTGGACTTCCAGGTGAAGAGATTGCTTCATGGTGGAGGTAAGCTCTGAGCAGAAGTGGCTGGCTACAAAGCTGTACAATCTTAATAAATCAAAATCTGCAGCTTACTTTCCACTTAATGGGTGCATGAATGCAAAATAACAGAACTCATTTTTCCAGCTACTTCATCATTTGTTAGACATGAGATAGAAGAATTGGTTTGTTGAGTTTACATTTTAATTTCCTTCATAGTGACCCACCAATGCATTAGCTTTTAAAAAAATTTTTAATCACCCTGGTATATAGGATTCTTTCTGAAAAATTGATACCACTTTTGAATCCCCAGAGCCTAACATAGTATATTGGAGAAATTTTTAGTATTAATACATGTTGACTCAATGCTTTATGGGTTCCTAAATTTATATGCTGACTACCTATCTGTTTAAATTGTTTCCACTGACTTTCTGAACATGGAAAAACAATTGCTCCAGCATTGAAAAACATCATGCAAGATGTCCATCATTTGCTTTAAGACCATCCTGGCCCAGGGCAGTCTACATGCATTTACTTTTCTCATTTACTGGGCTCTGATTATTTTACTAAGCCCCAACTGGCCCTGTGGGAGCTGCCTACATGCTTTCAGAAGCCTAAGGGACAATCGGTGTATTTCAGATCCTGTACATTCATCTGAAAAGCAAAAGTACAGGACGGACCTCACATGGGCCATTGACAAACTTCAGGGCAATTCTGCTGGTCTCCTAGAGGCTAATTGCTTTGACTAAGCAGTTGCCTTCAGCCATAACTTCAGGTAACTGGGTAGATTCCCTAATTGGAGCATAACCTAAATATTTTGTAAATAAGAAGTTTTCATAGTCATCAAGTAATTTGTAATTGGCCCTTGAAAGGATAACGCAGTTTGTTAACTCCATGAGGTCAGATTTCTAAAAATTGGGAAACTGGAAAGTAGGACTCAAGGTCTTGTATGAATACAACAGAATGGCACAAATAGATGGGGTGCAGTGGCTCACGCCTGTAATCCCAGCACTTCGGGAGGCTGAGGTGGGAGAATTCCTTGAGCCTGGGAGTTCAAGACAAGCCCTGGCAACATAGTGAGACCCCATCTCTATAAAAAATTTTTAAAAATTAGCTGGGCTTGTGGTACACGCCTGTATTCCTAGCTACTTAGGAGGCTGAGGTGAGAGGATGGCTTGAGCCCGGGTGCTACAGGCCACAGTGAACCACAATCATGCCACTGCATTCCAGCCTGGGTGACAGAGTGAGACCTGTCTCAAAAAATAAAAAAAAAAATTTTTTAAGTAGCACAAATTATTCAGGAAGCCTCAAAGAACTGAGAATTGGAAAAGAAAAAAAATTCCAAAACTTAAGTTCAGTTCTGAGAAAGATGGACGGAAAAGGGTTAAAATGGCTGATCAGAGTTGAAGGTGGAATAGGAATATAGGACACAAAATTAGGCAACCCTTTTAGCTTCCTTTTTCTTTTCTTTTCTTTTCTTTTTTTTTTTTTTTTGAGGCCAATGATCTGCACTTGGGAAAGCATCAGGAAAACACTGTTAAGGTGGAACCAAAGCTTGAAGTAAGAAAAGAGATAATAAAAGATTGCCTGTTAGGTATTTTTTTTAAAAATTCGAGTCTCCACGTCTGAGTAAGTTAAGTCACAGTGTGGCAGAAGCAATCTCCTATCATTGCTGGCAATCATAGGCAAATACTAATGCGTGAAGCCATATTGATGTTCAAAGGGAACCAAATTGGAGCCCTCTCCAAGATTAATTGGCTTATTAATTCCTAGAAAACGTCAAGAATCAACTTTTGATCTGATGAATTAGAAATACTTAGCAAATGGTCAATGAGTAGCAAGAACTTTCCCCTTGCCCCAATTGGGTCATAAGAAAAGTAGAATGGAAACGGATATAGATTTTAAAAGTGTTTTGATGTCACCGAGGCCTGTGACCTCATTTTTCATGATATTTTGGTGGATGAAATGTGAATCACCATATGGTAGATTTTGGTGAGTGGAGTGCAGGCTCCTGTATTTATGCTGTGTCCTCAATAAGGTATTTTTCAGGACATCCTGGCCCTGATACTTCATTCAATATGTCATATGGAAGCATCTTTATCACACTTTTGAATGGCTAAGACAGCCAAAGAGGAATGGCTAATATACTCACTGACAGAACTTGGAATCTAAATTCTCCCAAGAGGCTGAATAATCAAATTTGCAAAAGGAATAAACAGGAATTTCTGTATTTGGGTTCAAAGAAATGAACCTCACAAGTACAGGATTGGGGAGGCCTAGCACAATAGCAGTTCATATAAAAAAAAAAGTACTTGATGGTGCTAGCTGACCTGTCTAGTGTCACAAATGACACAAGTGTAATCTCCCTGCTGATGGTGTGAATGCAGCCCCTCGTGAGTTTAAGGGGTGCTGTGCTCCTGTGCTCGAGTCTGGGCCCTTCACTTAGTGGGAAAGATGCTGATTATATGCATGACAGTCAAGGGAGGACAAGCACAATAAAGAAGGTTTTGCTTCTGGGCATGAGAACTGTCCATATCGGAAAGGTGGTGAGGGAAGTTAGACATCTGCCATGAATTCACAAACGTGTTTCAGTATCAAGTGGGAGGCTGGACTATGGTCTCTAAGAGTCCTTCCAACCTTAAGATGCTCTGTACTGGCCGGTTGCGGTGGCTCACGCCTGTAATCCCAGCACTTTGGTAGGCCAAGGTGGGAGGATCACCTGAGGTCAGGAGTTCGAGACTAGCCTGACCAACATGGAGAAACCCTGTCTCTACTAAAAATACCAAAAAAAAAAAAAAAAAAAAAAAATTAGCCGGGCGTGGTGGTACATGCCTGTAATCCCAGCTACTTGGAAGGCTGAGGCAGGAGAATCACTTGAACCTGGGAAGTGGAGGTCGCAGTGAGCTGAGATTGCACCACCGCACTCCAGCCTGGGCAACAAGAGCAAAATTCTGTCTGCTCCCCCCGCCCCCCAGAAAAAGATGCTCTGCACTAATCTGGATGGTTCTCATGGAGATTTTCATTTAGTGCACTCCTCATTTAATTAAAAGCATACATAGCATTGAGTAAAGTAAAAATCCTGTAATAGACTTCTTCTTCATGCATTTTCTGAATCTCTGTGATCATGATGTTTCCAGACTGAAACTTAAAATAAATCCATATTTCCATCAACTTCTCTAGTCTCTATTTGGAAATATATTTTATGCATCTGTGCCTTCTGAGTGACAGAGAGTATCTACAATCTGAGAGGAAATGCACAGTTGGGAGAAAGAATGCTGGATGCTGCCCTCCTCTGCCATTTGCCATCTGTGAAAGCTGATCCTCACAACCTTTGCTGAGTCTCAGCATGGTCATTTGGGAAATAAAACAAAACAAAACAAAACTGAATTGAATAATGCTTAGCCTATAGGGCAGCTGTAGCACTCAAAAGAGATAAAAAGGTATGATTATGTTTTAGATACTGCCTGCTACCACACAAATATACTGTTAATATTTGGAAGGGCTTAAGAGACATCACAGCTCAGAATAGAACCGCTGTGTCTATATTCAAGGATCCCTAATAGGTTTAGGTCAGTTTCTAATAGGGAATGGAAAGGAAGGAAAGGATCCTTTTTCAACAGGATTCAGAAACCACCAATTCAAGTCTTCCAAAACTAAAACTTAGCATAAATATCCAGACACACAAAATTATTTTAATCTCCTGCGTGGCATTATGACTTATGCACTTTGGAGGCAGAGGGCTTGCTTTTATATCCTGGCTTTGCCATTTACTAGCTGTGTGATCTTGGGCAAGTTCCTCAACCTCTCTGTGACTCAGGTACCTCAATGATTGACAAACAACGTATTAACCATATCTTCCTTAAAGGGCTGTTGTAAAGATTAAATGAGTTATACATGTAAAGCTCTTTCAACAGTGCTTGATATGTAATAATATGATTACTATTATTGTATATAGTTGCTTAAAACCACCTGCATCTTTTAGGCATGTGCCAAAGCTCATACATTGTTCTATTGGGGAAAATAAGAGAAGGCAAAAACTAAGCAAGCTCTCCTCTACTGTTTTCTGAAGAAGCCATCTTGAGCGAGGGCTGCTGAATGGCTCTCCATGAAGGCTGCTGGCTTAGGGACACCTCGGCATGTGGCAGTGGTTGTTGCCCTTTCACTTAAAACTGATTACGCTTATGAAATACTGAAGTATTGATGGTGAAGGAAAGCACAGGAACAAAAATGACCAATTCCCACGTCTTGGGCCCTTGAGTAACATTATTCGGATGTCTTTCTGGCCTTAGAAGTGGATGGTCAAATTTTGTGGGTAACCTCACCCTGGGATAATTATAAGTTATTGCTCCATCTCTTGGAGAGCCACAGAAAAAAGACTCTAACTGAAGCTGTTTGAGGCTGTTTCTAATTCGAGCTTGCATGAATTCAAAGGAGCCTCAAATTTCTCATGCTGACTTTGAGGCTCTGATCATGCAAGACCAGTACTTATTCTATATAAGAAACACACGGTGAGCATGCTCCTGAGAAATGTTCAATGTTAGAAAACAAAGGTTAAAAGTAAAATTTAAATAACCTAAGGGAACAGAGAATGATCTATTTTTTCTTCCGTTATTATTAACGTCGATGTAAAATGCTGCTGGCTGCCTTATATGAAGGCAGAGAACATGGCGGAGAGTTTCCTGCCAGGGAAGCTGCCTGCCAGCTTCCAGACTGGCCCCATCTGCCCAACTTTGATGAACTAGGCAACCTGTACAGCGATTAGAACACATCTCCTGCTTCCGAATCTCACCTTTAGGTGAGGGAGAAGAAGGAGTTTGATCTTGCTAAGGATATAAAAATTTAAAACACAGAACAGTGTTCTACATCTTCTCCTCTCAGCAAACGCTCACTGGACAGGTGGGTGAAATTGATTTACTCAGCCTTGGTCCTTGGAATTCCAAGTTTCTCTTGTTAATGTTTAATTTATTGGCTCAATCACTAAACAATGTTACTTAGAGGTTTTTTACTATTAGCTACGTTTAGACTATGATAATAAGATAGGTAAACAAACTGAAGAAAGTGACTTTTAGGACACTCGAATTAACTTTCCAAATGCTGGCTGTCACAGATTCAGAAGAGTTAATGTTAGTGATTCAGAATAAAACATATGAAAATGAACTTCGCACTGGTTCCAAAATTCTAACTTCCCTCAGACATAGGCAAAAAGAATAAAACTTTACACAATAAAATCTATGAAAACTTAGTCTGATTATCTTAAAGTTGACTTGATATACATTAATGTATTTAAGCACTAGTGTCAATTATTTGTTTAGATGACGTGTCCAATAGTGTTTTATCACAGGAAGTAGGTTATAGTTATGTAATCTTCAAATTACATAATTACATAAGTATATACATATATATAACTATATGCAGAGTATAACTGTATGCATATACATACATTTAAATTTTAAGCAATAATCATTTATAAATTAAAACAATGACTTACTTTGAGACAGAGTAGTCCATCAGAAATATAATACAAGCCACAAATGCAAACCACATGGGTAATCTGAAATTTTCTTCTCTTTCTTGGAGACAGGGCCTCACTCTGTTGCCCAGGCTGGAGTGCAGTGGGGCGCTATCTCAGCTCACTATAGCCTGGATCCCCTGGGCTCAAGTAATCCTCCCACCTCAGCCTCCCAAGTAGCTGGGATTACAGGTACACGCCATCATATCTGGCTAATTTTTGTATTTTTTGTAGAGGTGGGGTTTCACCATATTGCACAAGCTGGTCTCACACTTCTGGGTTCAAGTGATCCGCTCGCCTCGGCCTCCCAATGTGCTGGGATTACAGGTGTGAGCCACCATACCCAGGTATAATTTGAAATTCTCTAGCAGTCACACTAATAAAAGTAAAAAGAAACAGGCAAAATTAACTCTAATATTTTGTTTATCCCAATATATTGAATGTTATGATTTAAGCATGTAGTCAATAATGAAAATGATTATGATAGATTTTGCCCTTTTCTGAGTGTTTGAACCCCAGTGTGTGCTTTACACACACACAGCACATCTTGTTCAAACCAGCCCTACTTCAAGTGCTCGATGGCCACAAGTGGCCTGTGGCTGTCATGTCAAACAGCACAGCTTTAGGCTAATTTTATAGCTATAATATAAAACTAGGACATAGCTTAATTATTTATAGAAGGGAACCAGAAGAGATAGTTGTGAAGTCACTCAGATGAACCATAGCTAAGTCAGCACATTAATCATTGGAAGATAAAAGGTATGACTGTTCACCTTATTAGAAGAATAACAGAGACCAAAATTAGCTTAGAGACCCAGACTGTGTATTCTGGATAATTTTCTTAAAATGATGTGAATACATTTCCAGCTCGTAATTTGTGTGCACTAAGATAGTTTTCTTTTTAAACATATTCTGCTGTTTGGAGTACAGAAGCCAAATAGACAACCTACATGCTACAATAAGCATTTGTGTACTTGAAGGCATCTACAAGTCTCCATTCAGCCCTGTTTAGCGAATTCCTGTTAGTATAACCACTGGTTCAGGCAGATGAGCTTATGGCTCCAAAAGGGCAAGCATCAAGATTTCTGTGGTCTGGGAAATGACTTTTTGGATATGACCCCAGAAGCACAGGCAACAAGAGCAAAAATAGACAAATGGAATTACATCAAACGAAAAAGTTTCTGCATAGAAAAGGAAACAATACACACAGTGAATAGATTACCTACCGAATGGGAAAAAGTGTTTTGAAACTATACATCTGATAATGAGTGAACAGTCAAAATATATACATGGTACTCAACTCCAAAGCAAGAAAACAAATAACCTGATTTTAAAATGGGCAATGGACTTAACAGACAACTCTCAAAAGAGGATATACGGCTGGACGCAGTGGCTCACGCTTGTAATCCCAGAACTTTGAGAGGCCGAGGTGGGTGGATCACCTGAGGTCAGGAGTTCGAGGCCAGCCTAGCTAACATGGTGAAACCCCGTCTCTACAAAAAATACAAAAATTAGCCAGGCGTGGTGGCGGGCAACTGTAGTCCTAGCCACTCAGGAGGCTGAGGCAGGAGAATCAGTTGAACCCAGGAGGTGGAGACTGCAGTGAACTGAGATCATGCCACTGCACTCCAGCCTGGTCAACAAGAGTGAAACTCCATCTCAAACACACACACACACACACACACACACAATGAGCTATCATTTCTCACTTGTTAGAATGGCTGCTATCAGACAAAAGACAAGTGTTGGTGAGGATGTGGAGAAAAGAGAACCCTTGTACACTGTTGGAGAGAGTGCAAATTAGCACAGCCATAATGGAAAACAATCTGGAGGTTCCACAAAGAATTAAAAATAGAACTACCATATGGTCCAACAATCCCACTAGTAAGTATATATCCAAAGCAAATGAAATCAGTATGTCAAAGAGATGTCTGCACTCCCATGTTTATTGCAGCACTATTCACAACAGCCAAGATATGGAATCAATCATCAGTGGATGAATGAATAAAGAAAATATGGTAAATATACACAGTGAAATACTATTCGGCCAGAAAAAATGGTAAGAGAAATGAGTTCAAGAGAGCTATTTTACAACATGGTGACTATAGTTAATAATGTAATGTATTCTTGAAAAATGCTAAGAGAATGAATGTAAAGTGTTCTCACCACAAAAAATGATAACCATGTGAGGTAATGCATACATTAATTAGTTAAATTTCATCATCTCACAATGTATACATACTTCAAAACATCATGTTGTACACAGTAAATGCATGCAATTTTATCTGTCAATTTAAAAAAATAATTTAAAAAAGATTTGTATGTAGCATACTAATAATACAGCTACAAAAATGTATCCAGCCCCAATATTAAATAAAAATAGAGATTATGATTCAGCTGATTTTAAAAGTGTGGTCCTCCTTGGGAAGTGGATTTTCTGTATGATCTTAATTATTTCATAGTTACTCTCACCTCCACCTCCAACCCCATGAACTGAAGAAAGAAGGGCAATGATAGAGAAAGCATGGTAGGCTGAAAGGTTCCAATGAGGCTGAAGAGTTATCATGGTGGAAAGGGTGGACTAGTCAGTGGCAAGGAGGTGCTGTGAGTATGGCTGCCTGGAAATGAAGGTTTGGGTGGAGTTTCTAGTGACAGCAGTGCAGTAGAGGAGAAGGTGGCTGGAAATGAGGAGGTCAAGGAACTCCACGGTGGGGTGCAGGTTATGACAGTGGGGAGATGAAGGGGAAGGCCGCAAGCTTAGATTTTCACTGCTCACAGAAGTCTGCTCTTTCTCTATGCATGACATTTCTTAAACTTGGGGTCAATTCATTTCTTCTCCACTTTCAAGTGATCACAGTACTGATATTCATTATTTCCCCTTGCTTGTCAAAGTTGTAAGAATTAGCAAGCCTATTGCTTGGGGCTCGTTACATTTGCTGTACGCATTTGAGGGTAGAGTGCTGAGTGCTCCTGCCTAGTGGCAAGTTTAAATATGCTGAGGAACAACTGGAGTCTCTACCTGCATTCCCAGTGACTGCTACTTACATTCATTGATTTACTAACCCACTCAACGAGTGTTCCTTGAACACTCATGTGTCAGGCATAGTATCATGGGAGGGGGTTTTTCTCAAATACCACAATAAAGGGGGAATCTGTAATAATGAAATATTATTCTTCCCTATCCTGGCTGTGAATTACAACCTCTTAAGAGTCTTTCTCCTTATTTACCATTTCTTTGCCTATTTCCTTCATTCTATTAATAACAGAAAGAAAAACGGCATGCCATTTTTAAAGTGGCCAACTGTATATACCCTTGACCTGGAGAAGACAAATCCCGAGATCGCAGAGGTCAACCGCTTCTTGACAAAAGATGAAGGAATCTGGGGTCTCAACTTACCATGCAGCAGCTACTGCTGCTGCTGCTGCTGCTCCTGTGGTTCTGATCACCCAGTATCTCAAGGTCTTTTATGGTACAGTGACCCCATTAGAACTAGGGAGAACTGGCTGGGCGCGGTGGCTCATGCCTGTAATCCCAGCACTTTGGGAGGCCGAGGTGGGGGGATCACGAGGTCAGGAGTTCAATACCAGCCTGGCCAAGATGGTGAAACCCCGTCTCTACTAAAAATACAAAAATCAACCAGGAGTGGTGGCACACTCCTGTAGTCCCAGCTACTCGGGAAGCTGAGGCAAGAGAATCGATTGAACCTGGGAGGCGGAGGTTGCAGTGAGCCGAGATAGCACCAGTGCACTACAGCCTGGGAAACAGAGCAAGATTCCATCTCAAAAAAAAAAAAAAAGCAGGAAAATTGGCAAAGTGTGACCATAGTAAGGAGAAACACTTCATGGCCATCAGTAAACATAGCAGAAACAACTGAGGAGGTGCGTCAGTCTCAACAAACTTGCCAACTGCTCCTGACCACGTTTTAAGTCTTGAGCACCGTATTGAAGAGCAGTGAAGACTGTCATTCAATGTCAACCATTACTAAGCTCCAACAGGCTAGACGCTTCAGTCCCAGAGACGCTAATGATCGCTGTTTCTCTGCTGGCTTTTTCATGACATACCTAGCCTTTTATAATAATTCATTTCACCTCCAACTCCACTTTGCTTTCACCACTTGGTACAATCAGAAAAGAAGCCAAAATTCTAGCAACTCTTTCACAATTGTTTTACGTAGACCCATTTCAGATCTCACTAGCTACTCCAGCTCATTAAAAAAAAAGACCGGAGGAGAAGGCTCCACCTGGTACGGGGCCACATTCCAGCAGAGTACAAAATCAATCTTTGTTAAAAAACATAAAGTTGATCATTTTAAGTGGTATATTTGAAGGCCTCCTGGATTTGTTTTCTTTTTAAACCTTGGTTATTTTTTGTAGAGCACCAAACTCTGTATGTGAGGACCTATTCAAATTAAATTTCAGTTAAAATGTCTTACTACATTAAGCCCGAGTGTCTCAAATTAAAGAAAATGAGTGGGAATAAATGTTTAAAAATACATATGACCTCAGGGCACATGATCTACTCCAGATGAAAGGCATGAGATGAATTGCTGGTTTGTTCCCCGGTGGCAGACATCTTCCTGTGTAGCAAAGTTTCTCCAAGTTTCCAAATCAGTCCAGTCCTGGAAGTTTTAAGGCTGACTCTGTTTTGTAGGCTGGTCATGTGACCACATTGCTTTTGACCCAGAACAGCTTATCTTCCACAGGCCAGAAGGGAACTAGGGTAGTTAGGGGGGAAGAATCAGATTCCAATTTACAACCCAAACGAGCTACAACTACACACAAACAGCTGAAATGGGCTGCAAAGCCTCCAAAACCACAGGCTGTGGAGCCATATTCTCTAATTATTGGTCATGATAAGTATGCAATTTTAAATCCATTTTGATTTCAGGATATTGTTGTAAGTAAAATTAACTAAGTTTTTTTTTTTTTAATTACAGCTTGATTCCATCATCATGGCTTGTACTCAGGCAAACCAGAGTTTATTTGCCTACAAAGAGACTTTATTTGCCTATTTACTTAATATCAGGATGTTCAAGGGTAACGCCTAGCCAGGTGCCATTCATTGCTAGTCCTTGTTCCTCCCCTCAGAAGGGAAAATGAAAACAAAGGCACAACTATGCAGTTTGAGGAAAGCAGTGTGTGTCCAAGGAACAGAGGTGTCCATGCGTCTTCCGAAGCTATGGACTTTTGGAGCTTAGTCTGAACAGCTAGGGAAAGAGTGTGCAACAGACTTTTACATGATGATTTTGAAAGTGGTTAAGGAGACTGAAAACAAGCGGAGAGAACTCAGATAAGTTACGCGATAGCTATCTAACTGGGTCACGCGTTCATTCTGCTAACTCTGTAGCTGAGTGGGAGAGGGTTTAGTGGTCCCATGGAGTTCCGTGTAATTTACATTTCACGGTAGTGTCAATGTCAAGTTGTACAAAGGGCACACGTTAAAATAATGATCAAACATTCACATTAAGTGTCCCCACATGCTGACAGACCCATACTCAGAGCACTGCTTCTCCTTAAAACTTCAGAAAACCTCTTTAGAAGCTTAACCGCTCGGTCCTATGTGGGAGACTCGTATATGTCTTCTTTACAGGGGCAATTTAATCACTATTGGGATATCACATAAGGCCAAAGCGATGGGAGCTTTAGAGCAGGTAGTAAAGTCATACAGAGTAGGAGCTGGTATTAATCTTTGTATTTGGTCTTATGCTAGCTGTAGATATAATCTTGTATACAATAAGTGCTCAATATCCAAAGAACTCAACTATGAAGCAAGAAATTCCTCCAAAGCTAAAGAGATAAAGGATAGAATTCATTACTGTGTTGTCTGCTATGGAGATATTTTCCAAACAGAAAACTAGGGCAAGTTGTCTAAAAAGTAAAAATATATTTATGAGAACAAAATATTTGAGATTGCTTTGCACTGGGAACCACCCGCATGTAGGTTTCCAGTTGCCATCTCTGGAAAATCCCTTTTACCATAGAAGGTAACTATTCACAGGTCCCAGGGATTAGGAGGAGGATATGTTTGGGGGTCACTATCCAGCCACATCCCCAAAATGAGCTAATCATAATGACATCCCTTTTTATTTATTTATTTTTAAAAATAGGAACTGAAAGGAAATATCAGGAAGAAAGAGCACACAGGGCAGTTTCATCAATGACCGTGAAGTTCTCTGACCCACAGTTAAAGATTTTCCCTGCCTGCCTCCTCAACTGCTTTATCTGCTGTAACCACTGCCATTAAATAATGAGGCCTTATATAATGACATGATTATTACATGTCAAATTTAGCTCCATGGACTGTTTTTCATACAGTCCAGCTTCAATGAAAACAGCATTCTCTATATACCAGTGAGTCCCCACCAAGCCACCACTTGGGCTTCCAGACACTTAACACACATTCCTGTGTTATACATCACTGCTAAGCTTTAGAAAACCTTGATCCACAAGTGGTTACTTCCTAGTAGTAGGTTGGATAATACTACTTAATACATTTTTATTGGAGGAATGGATGGAAGGATGAATGAATGGATGGCTGGATGGAAGGATGGATGAATGGGACAAAACATATTCAGGAACCTTTGGAATAAAAGTAAGGTGATCATTCATTCCTGCAGCTGATTTCCCTGAATTGAAAAAAACAGAAATAGATGAATCACTTTGAAATAATAGAAGAGAATGTGTAAATGTGTGGCCAGAGTAGAAGATTTCAATTCTTCTTTCTGCTCTTGTCCTTCCCAGCTTTTCTACCTCCCAAGTGATGCTCAGTTCTGGGTGCCTCTGCTATTATTCCCAACGTAGAGCAACTAGGATGTAAAGGTGCCAGAAGCAGCTTTAAAACTATGATGGATCTACCATTTCCCCACCACTTTTCCGGCACAGAGCTTCTTCTGGAAGGGTCCCAAAGCTAAAGCTATTAACCTGCATGGCTTTGCCACTGTGTCAAGCTAGGATGACTGCAAGATGTTAAATGAAAGGGTGGAAATGTGCTCTTCCTCTTCTCTATCTGGGTAATGCACACTCAGTTTGAAAGGAAAGTATGCAACAAGTCATTCACCGCTTCAATCAAACATCATTTATCAAGGAGGTCCAAGAAGATGGATTCTCTGATTATTTTAGTGAGAGGCCCTCAAAGACTTCCCTTTGTGATGCACTGAAGAAGTGCACTTGAGTGAGTGTGTGTGAAGCAGGTGGGGAAATGTGTGCATCAGTGGGGAGGGGGTGCTGTCTCACCTTGGAATAGATTATATATACTTCGGTGAGCCTGAATAATTTAACTTTGCAATGCTATGTGTGCCTTTTGCTGCAATATCCCAGAGCATTTATTAAGGGCCTTTATGAGGGTGTCATCCTAAATGCCACACTGGTCTAGGCTGGTGTGCATGGCACAAAGAGGCTAAATGGTACAAAACATTAGAGATGAAGCCCAGATACAATAAAGATGGAGCAGCAAGAGCAGAGCTGAGAAGCCCAGATGGCCTCAAATCCCAAGATAAGACGAAAATCCCCAAACTAAAGCTGTCAGACATTGAAAGATAAACATGACTCTGAAAGATGAGTAAAAGGAAGATGAAGACACATGGGTGTAGGAATCTGTGACCACATTCACAGAGAGCTGCTAGAGGTCAAGGGCACGAACACTTGGCTCTGCAAAGTGGCAAATGGGATTGTTTTCTGGTTTTGTTTGGGTTTTGTATTTTAAGATAATAGCCAACTTTAGCAAAAGTACAAGGAAACAGGCACTGTCTTATTCAGAGTGGGAGTAAAGACAACACAACCCTTCTGGAAACAAATTTAGCTCCATGTAACGAGAACCTTTAAAATGTTTATAACTTTTGGCTCAGTGCATCTACTTCTAGCAATCTATCCTAAGGAAATAATCAGAAAAGCAATCAAAGATTGCTTTACAAGGCTATTTGTACCCATCATGGAAGAAAAGAATGACATTCACCAGAGGAAAACAGTGGAGCTAATTATGATAAATCTACATAGTACAATCTGATGCCAGCTTTGAAGATGAAATTAAAAATATATCATGCATTATCATAATGTAATATTCGGTTAAAAATGCAAGCTATGCAACTACATACATCCATATGATCCTAATTTTCTATTAAAAAGGACATATAGATGCAAGGCTGCAAGCTAATACAGCAAAATGTTAACATTTAATGGGATCTTTCGGGGGATGGGATTACTAGAGAGTCCTATTTTCTCTTTCAAAGTTTTCTATGTTGTTTTCAAACTTTCTACATGAGCATGAGTTACATTTAAAATCGGAAGAAGGCTGCCACCGAAAAATATCAGAGCACCAGCAAATGAGGTAAAAGAAATGGAAATGTTCTATGGCCTGTGGGTAGCTTCTCGCGCCTCATCCCTGTCATCGCCTCTGAGCACCTGTTCCAAAATAATTCTTCCTCCAGTTCCAATCCCCAACCCTAGGAAGAGGGGAGGGGAAAGGGAGAGAATGAGACAGAAATTCTTTAGAGCAGAATTTTTCGATCCTGGTTACACACAGGAATCACTGGTGGAGTCTTTTTTTATTTTTTATTTTTCCTGAGACAGAGTCTCGCTCTGTCACCACACTGGGGTGCAGTGGCACAATCTCAGCTCACTGCAACCTCCGCCTCCCGGGTTCAAGCAATTCTCCTGCCTCAGCCTCCTGAGAAGCTGGGACTACAGCCCTGCATCACCACGCCCAGTTAACTTTTGTATTTTTAGTAGAGACGGGGTTTCACCATGTTGGCCAGGACGGTCTGGAACTCCTGACCTCAAGTGATCCACCATCCTTGGCCTCCCAAAGTGCTGGGATTACAAGCGTGAGCCACTGTGCCTGGCTCACTGATGGAATCTTTTAAAACATCCTCGTGCCTGGGCTCTGCCCCAGACTCATTAAATCAGTATCTCTTGGGGGGGACCCTGGCTTTCGTATTTTAAAATGTTCCTCAGGGAAGTCTAAGATTCAAGGAGGTCTGATAACTTAGATGTAGAGACTAGTAGCTCTCAGATGTTAGCACTCATTCAAATCACCTGAAGTCTAGTTAAAACACAGACCGCTGGGCCCCACCCCGAGTTTCCAATTCCGTTATGTCTGGGGTGGAACCTGAGAATCTGCATTTCTAACCAGTTTCCAGGCGATGATGAAAATGATGCAGGTCCAGAAACCACACTTTGAGAACCACAGTTGTACACACACAGCTTCTTAGGTTTGCCTCGTTGATCTTGAGTTCCATACCAGATTCCCGTATATATTTGAGGGACAAACCAGAATATTATCTCTTCCCCAAACACTGAGCAGCAAAGTTTTGATCCAAAGAAGGCAAAAGGACAATCAAGGCAGAGAAAGGAAATGCCCATTTATGGGGCAGCTGCAGGTTGCTGGGCACTGGGCTGGATCCTGTGTTTCCATACCCTGGAGCTCACCTCGTGCTCACAGCAGTGCTATAAGGAGGGCACTGCCATTTCTATTGTAGGACAATTAAAACCGAGATCCAGGGCCAGGCGCGGTGGCTCACGCCTGTAATCTCAGCACTTTGGGAGGCCGAGGTGGGCAGAGAGCACTTGAGGTCAGGAATTTGGTACCAGCCTGGCCAACATGGTGAAACCCCGTCTCTACTAAAAATACAAAAATTGGCCGGGTGCAGTGGCGGGTGCCTGTAATCCCAGCTACTTGGGAGGCTGAGGCAGGAGAATCACTTGAACCTGGGAAGCGGAGGTTGCAGTGAGCCGAGATAGCGCCATTGCACTCCAGCCTGGGAAATAGAGAGAGACTCCGTCTCAAACAAAACAAAACAAAACAAACAAGATCCAGAGAAACACAGTAATTTATCAGTAACAGGCAGCTCATGAGGGGCAGAGGCCAAAATGCAACTAAGGCTCACCAGTCACCCAAGCCTGCTTTCCTTCCTCCAAGAACAAACACACTTGACAAGATAAAACTATCCCCAGAAGCAAACACGCGCCTGAAGAGACATGATTTAGATGACAGTACAAAACATAAGAGCAAATATAGGAGTCCACTGCGCTTTGCTTTTTATTCTTATAATTATTAGCACAGATAATGAAGTAACACACTCACTACAGGAAAACATCTGCTCAGCTTGCCTTTAGCACAAACTCAAACACATTTTCATTAACTCTGACCCGTGTGTGTGTACGTGTGTACGCATGTGTGTGCATGCGTGTGTGCACGTGTGTGTACGTGTATGAAGAATGAACTCATCAAAGTCCACCCAAGTTTGGAATGCTGAATGCTAACATTAAAGAGATGCTCACACTGAGACATCTGACTACCGCTAACCTGAGCTTGTTAGAGAAAAAGCAAAACATTGAACCACGGAAGGCATTTTCTTGGGTTTCAGGACTTCGCTGCATTCACAGCCTTCCTCCCAGGCATAGCTGGGTCTGTCGTGGGCCCCATGAGGTATAAATTCTATCTGTACCTTCTGTTCCACCCTTGACTTCCCTTGCCAGGGAGCACCTTAGTGCCTGAGAATGCGAGGGTTGTTTTGTTTGAGTTTGGGATGATTAGGTTGAAGGAAATTATTCCTATTTTTCCACCACTCTTCGTACACTCTTTTCTAAAGGGAATACTTTGTGTTTGCTGTTAGGTCAAAAAAAAGTCGGGAGGGAGAGATAACGTTCAGCCCACTTATGAGTCTTCATCTGTACAGAAATTTGGACAATTTCCACTCAGCCCTGCACTAGCTCTCAAAATCTATTTGATTCTCAACATTTAAATAATATTGATGCCACTCCTCAAATTACTCCTTTGTAACCTCCATGGAGGTACAGTGACATGCCTGGGACTTCCAGCTCAGGGCTTTGTTTTTTCGAAATCGGGATCTCAGAAACCACACGCTCCTTAAGGTTTCTTGCCCTCACAACACCCCATAAAGCACCCAATGCTGACACAGACCCATGCACTCCTTCTGGTGCTGAGGCGAGGCCCATTTTTCTACTCCTGCTGTGATTGTTATTGTGAAGCTCTTTGCTGGGCTCCAAACACACGTGCACATCCCCAGCAAGCTGAGGCCAGCACGAGATAACGGCTATGAATGTATGCATCTTGCCTTTTACCTTTATTTTATTTTATTTTATTTTATTTTATTTTATTTTATTTTATTTTATTTTATTTTATTGAGATGGAGTCTGTTGCCCAGACTGGAGTGCAGTGGTGCAATCTTGGCTCACTGCAACCTCCACCTCTCAGGGTCAAGTGATTCTCCTGCCTCAGCCTCCCGAGTAGCTAGGACTACAGATGCACACCACTACGCCTGGCTAATTTTTTTGTATTTTTAGTAGAGATGGGGTTTCACCATATTGGTCAGGCTGGTCTTGAACTCCTGACCTCAGGTGATCCACCTGCCTCAGCCTCCCAAAGTGCTGGGATTACAGGTGTTAGCCACCACGCCCGGCCTTGTTTTATTTTTTTGAGACAGAGTCTCACTCTGTTGCCCAGGCTGGAGTGCCGTGGCATGATCTCAGCTCACTGCAACCTCCACCTCCCAGGTTCAAGCGATTCTCCTGCCTCAGCCTCCCAGTAGCTGGGACTACAGGTGCACAGCACCAAGCCCGGCTAATTTTTTGTGTATTTTTAGTAGAGACGGGGTTTCACCATGTTGGCCAGGCTGGTCTCAAACTCCTGACTTCAGGTATTTGCCCACCTTGGCCTCCCAAAATGCTGGGATTACAGGCGGGAGCCACCGTGCCTGGTCACCTTCTACCTTCAAATTTAGATGACTGCCAGCAGTTTTCTCCTTGTATTTGCACTCCATGCCAGCTGTAATTAATTAAATTATTAAGCCATGGTTAATTAATATCACCTCTAAGGGCCAGCTCTGCCTCCTCTTGGAGGAACGATTAAGAGATCCAGCATGACTGCAAACTTCCTGTGATATATATAAAATGGCTGGGAAGCATCTGTTGGAAATTTTTGGGCCAAATCCAAACATTACCTAGGTTTGAATGACCTTAAGACCCCAATGAGGTGGAGACGGTAGTTGTTTATCCCAATATTTGATCTTCACTGTGTCTTGGGTCCTAGAATTACCCATTTTTAGCTGAGAATCTGGCATTTGGTATAAAGACTACTTTTGCTAGTCTTCCTTATGGCCACATAACTAGCTAGCTGTGGCCATGTTGTTATGTTCTGACCAATAGAATGTAAGCAGAATTATGGTGTGCAATATCCAAGGAATGTCTTTCATGGGAAAGGACGTGACTTTCTTTCTCTCTTCTTTCTTCTTGCTGGGTGGAATGAAGATGTGATGGCTAATGCATGAGGAATCATCTTGGCCATGAAGTCAAAGTCTCATGCTTAGGATAGCACAGTGGCATAATAAAAGAAGCCAAAGTCTTTGATATCACAGAGCTGCCATATCAGCCTAGACTCCTTCTATATGATATAGAAATAAACTCCTATTTCTTTAAGTCATTATTATTTGAGGTTTTCTGTCACAAGCAGCCCAAACTAATCCTAAGCATTCAGTAATGAAAACATCTCTAAAGAAACCTTCAAAACTCAAAATAATCAAAGATGAGCTCTCATTAGAATTATAGAGATAAGGGGCATGAAATCAACCCTGCAAGAGCATTTCTCACAGCTTGGTCAATTCCTGGACACTTGGAGTATTGGAGCTTTAAAGAAGTAACCAGACAAGATCAGAGTCCTGAGGTGACAGGACACTGACATAAAGTGCTGACTGGAGTTGAAGCCACTTTCTTCTTCCAGAAGTCTGATCCTTGGTGGTCAGGAAGAGGTGGCACAGCACAGCCATGTTGGGAAAGCCCTCAGCTGTGCTGTCCTTCTCTGCAAACACACCAAGCCTCCTTCAGAGCTACATATCCCCACTCTTACAAACTCACCCCTCCCTCCCTCTCTGCTCCTTCTCCCATCATCTCTGGATGTTGTATTACTGTATCACTGTGTGCAATGAACAGAAAGCCAGTATCACCATCTCTCCAGGGAGCAGGGTTTCCATCCAGGAGAGACAGAGCTTTAGTGCCTATGAGGAATGTGCAGTGCACGATGGGCTTGCCTGGAGGAAGACCTGGCTCAGGTTACAAGGTAGGAAAGGAAGCTCATTCCCCTTGGCATCTGAGGTGGGTTGTCAGCTGTGGCAGATGTCAGCAAGAAGGAAAGACACAAACTTGTACACACCCTTCAGCACATGATACCATTTGACATGCAGTCAGAGCCATTTAACATGCAGTCAGAGGTATTATGAGGAGGGAAGGTGTTCTGAACCCCAGAAGGCTGGGTGCTGTCCGTGTGGCCTTGCAGAGATCACAGATACGCTTAGAACCCCAGTTTGCTCAGTGTTTTGTATAAGCGAAACTCCTGTCTTCAGAATCAGCATCTGGAAGGTGGGAGGAGAGCTGTGTGTTTCAGAATCTCAGCCAGGCTTGGCAATATCTAGCTTAGAACCTCACCACCCAATGCATTCTGTGGGCCGCAGCATGGGCTTCATCTGGATGTGTGTTTTAAATGCAGAATCTCAGTCCCCACCTAGACCTACAGTGTTAGGCTGTTCTTGCAATGCAAGAAAGAAATACCTGAGAATGGGTAAATTACAAATAAAAGAAGTTTAATTGGCTCACGATTCTGCAGGCCGTATAAGCATGGCACTGGCATCTGCTCAGCTTCTGGGGAGGCCTCAGGGAGCCTTCACTCTTGGTGGATGGTGAAGTAGGAGCAGGCACTTCACATGGGGAGAGCACAAGCAAGGTGAGGGGGAGGAACCACACACTTTTCAGCAACCAGGTCTCACCAAAACTCACTCACTATCACCAGGACAGCATCAAGCCAGGAGTAACCTACCCTCATGACCCAAACACCTCCCACCAGGCCCCACCTCCAACATGGAGGATTGCAATTCAACATGAGATCTGGGTAAGGACAAATATCCAAACAATATCGCCTACTGAATTGGAATCTGCCTGATCCTCAGGTGACTCATAAGCACATTGAAATTTGAGAAAAGCTGGCTCCCATCTATAACGGCACGACTTCAAGGAGAATATAATATATTTAGTAGCCATTGTCATAGAACCCGGTCTAAATACTTGCTCTTCATTTGCTTCATTAAAAGAAATAGAGACCTCTTACTATGAGGATTGAAAGTGTTAATGTATAAAAGGCATGGGGCAGTGTGATATGTTAATGAATGCCAGCTTTGTTTTTGCTGCTACTACTATGATCATTAGCTGCTATATTCATCAGTCTAGATTTACCAAAACTCAAGAGAACCACTGAGGGATGGGAGTTGCCAATGCTGAGCAAGTCTTTCTATTTGTGACTTTTTTATTCCCAGCCCTTGGCATGACAGAATCCTCCCCAGTGAACAAAGAACTCTTAAAAGGTGGCCTTGGCTGATCCACAAAGGCAAAAGAAAACACAAAGCCCTGGAAGGAAGATCCCTGGGACTCCACGGTCTGCAACCAAAGAGCTGGCTCAAGCCAACAGCAAGGCCAACCACTTAGCCCCTCAGAAGGAGAGAGGCCTCCAACCCCCATGTCCCCATCCCAGGGGACACAGAGGCACCACCTTTGTGTGAGAGAATAATCAAGGGTATCCCCCAAAACTCCAAAGGCCCCCAAGCTCTCTCATTGGCACGCACGCACTGCCCGCAGATCACTGTTTAAGGAAAGTGTGCAAACGCTGTTTACATGGCATCAGCTGAAGGTGGACTGCTGGCAGACGGATGGGCAGCCGCAGGATGCAACCATCCATTTATGTCACTGGAACGTTTGCAAGGAGACAGATCAAATGGGAGAACCAAACCCTCTCTGTTCCCTTTTCCCTCTCCGCCTGCTTCGCTTCTGGTGTGTGTGTGTGTGTGTGTGTGTGTGTGTTGGGGTGTGTGTGTGTGTGTGTTGGTGTGTGTGTGTGTGTGTGTGTGTGTGTGTGTGTGTGTTGGGGGGTGGGGGATGGGGCCTAGGCTCTGGGTCTCTTCACAAGAAGTCAGGTTCCCCACAGAGCCAAGTTCCCCTCATGTTTAAGCTCCAGGAGAAACCAGCCCATGATTACAATTTCACAGGCAAACACCAGCAACAGTTCAGATACTTGCTCCAGGGTTCCCAGCAATGCTGACTCTGCAGAGAGAAACAGAGAGCAGAAGCCTGGGGTCTCCCATCTTGTCCTCAGGTAATGGCTTTTGTTCCCAGGGTACAATTAAGTCACTGTTCCCTTAGTGTGTGTGTACCGAATACACAATGCCTTCTATTCTCAAGGCCTAAAGAAAACAGGCGTTGGCATGAGGCATCCACATTTTCTTTAATGAACTAAACAGCCCAACCTGAAATTCAAGTGCTAAACTTTCAAGAGCAAACAAAAAGCTCGTGTTCCAGTCCAGTTCACTGAAACCAAGTGACTTTTCTATCAGCCTCAAATCCTGGGGGTGTTTACTTACTTATTCTTCTCTTATCAGCACAGTTAGGGGTCAGTTCCACATGTAAGCAAGGGAAGCAAACTGAGCATATGACACTTCAGATGGGAAGAAAAAAATCTCTGAGACTCTTACTCGACACCCTATGTGTTTGCAAATGGTTTCTCTCCCCTCTCTGCTGTTCCTGAAATCTGGGGAATCAGGCATTTTGAACAGCTGAACAGGCAATTCAATCTTTGGAATGAAATCTTCTAAATCACTGCTATGAATGATGACTCCTTCCTATAAAGAATTCCCTAAGAAGTGCACGCCTGGGTTAAGCCAGGTTTTCACTCCTCAAGCAGTCCCTTGTTTGTAGGTGTCACATAGACTACAGTTCTGCAGAGGAAAACATGTATTATTTACGAGAGGTACAACTGGCTTTTTGGGTTTTTTTTACATACAAAATAATGAAAAGAATGGGAAAGCTCCTGTCCCAACCTGGGGGTAATATTCTTCAAGGTAAAGCAAAGTATTTGATGATATAAAAAGAGGCATCTGGCAGATTTACATCAAAGCCATTTTAAGCTGTTATAAAATTAGTTCCCTAAACATAATTTTTCTCTTCTTTGCTAATGGACAACTTCTAGTACCTCTCTGTGTTAATAATTAGACAAAGCTGGAGTCAGAAGTGAAGTTTCTATTAGACAGAGAGGCATAAACAGAGTAAGAATGAAGTGTGTCTTGTGTACATATGGGAGGGAAAATGAGGTTCAAGAGTCCATAAAAGCTTTAGTAATATTTGATCAGCAGTGTTTGTGCCTTCTTTTTCCTGGACTGCAACTAACATAAATTTTTCTCTTATCAAAGTGATTAAAAAAAAATAGAAAGTGACTCAGTTATGCAAACTTCAAGATAAGGTGTAAAAGAATCTGATGCAGGAAAAAACACACATTGCTTTTGTCTTATAAGCATTTCTAGCTCATTAAGACTCAGAAACACAAATATAATAAGACCAGAAATAAAATCATGACATTCGGAAGTCTAGAAGTAGTAGTTTATGGTGATTTCATTAATCAGAAAATAATACCTAAAACTTTATTTACCAATTTAGTGAAAGTTGTTTTCTGAAGTCTTAAAAATAAAGGAAGAGGACAAATAGTTCTCAGCCTTGCATTTACAGCTGTTTGGCACCACTTCTATAAACCACCCTTCCAGCCAAGAAACTTAACACAAGATTAATGGACTGGAAGACCTCTCGTAGGGAAAGCCTGGGTTTAACCAAAAGGCACTGCTACACACCCGGATGCACCCGCATTGACACTGACAGGATCCAGTTCTGCACCCACTTCCTTTGAAAAACATGGCCTATCAGCTTGAATTCTCCAGCAGTGAGAACTTAGGTAATCACACGTTTTGAGCCTAAACTGACATCCATTTCAAAAGATCGATTTTCCATCCAACTGCTTGTCAAAAGTAGGACACTAAAGTATTTATATGTATTAATTGCAAATTGAAATAACCTATCTGCGTATTTCTATATGGGCACCTGCGATGAAGCACATAAGTCAATGATCACCTGAGTCTCGCTGGAGGTAGAGCTTTGAAAAATACAGGTTCCTGGGCTCCCCCGTGAACTCTGGATTCAGTCCATGGGGCAAAGCCCAGCAACCTGCATTTTAAAGAGCTCCTGGGTGCTTCTGATGCACAGTGAACTCTAAAACTCACAGACTGGAGTAGTAATTCTCAACCATCGTCAGTGGGGGAGGGGAGCTGTTGAAAGTCCAGATGCCCTCACCAGACTCCACACCAATTAAGTCCTAATCTCTGAGGCTGAGCCCAAGTACAGGCAGTGTTTAAAGTTCAGAGGGATTCCCCAACCAGCCAAGGCTGAGAACCACTGAGGTTAATGCAAAGGGATGCTACTTATTAAAAAAACACACGTGACCTGGAGAATTTCCTCTATCAAGAGAATCTGCCTCGCCCCACACCTCCAGTATTTTTTAATCACTCCTACTAAGTTAGCTGGATTCTGTATTCCTCTAAAATTCCTTTCTCAGTATAAAGTCTGCTCATCACATCAGACCACCACACATCTGAGGACAAGAAATGAGTTCTTTACTGTGGAGAGCTCCCCTTTCCCACCCAGGGAGTAAATGATCAAGGCCTGCAATTTGGAAGTGGACCAGTTTTGCAACAGCCCCAACACTATATGGCTCAGAGACCCATTACCCACTCTGCAAGGATTTTTAGAAAATGATTTGTAATAACTTGGGTGCATCACACAAGGTACATGTGACAGCCTTCCCCTTCCATATCCTAGTGGGTTGTCACCTTGTGCAGAGAGGACGGAGGAGGCACGGTCAGGCTGCAAGGTGACGCCACCCACACTGCATCCCACCTTCCCACTCTCTTTAGCCAACATTCCTTGAAGCTGGGGGACCCAGAGCAGGCACAAGAAGATGACTCCATGAAAAAACATCTCCCCCACAGAATGCATTAATTAGAAGCTAAATTGCTTCAACAAAACTCTTTTCAAATGCAAGTACCATCAAAAGAAGCCTATTCACCAAGGAGTGTTGCTTTAATCCACTGATCACAACTGGAGTGTTGTGTGGGATGGTGTCTGTTTGATCCAGAGCAATGGGCACAGTGTTTTGAAAAGAACTGAATCCACTGTCAATATTTTAAAACTCTGATTCCCAGCAATGCATGAAGACTTGGAAGAGCTGGCAGCGTTGGCCCACGGCCTGCAGGCAGTCAGCGCCCAATGCATAGCGACTGCCCCTTCAGATGGCCCCGTGCGCTCCAGCTGGACACAGGCCCGCAGCTCCCCGGTGCCTTATGCCTGGGTGGCTTCACTCCTCCTCACTGCTGTCTGCAGAGCCAACTCTTCTTTCATCAGTAACTCACCCTAAAGGGGCAGAGCTGGTGACAGCTTTGTAATCACAGTTTTGGTCTTCTACTCATTTAGCCATGAGACCTTGGACCGTCTTCTTGGAGCCTTAGTTTCCTTAGCATTACCATTTCAACTGAATAGTGGCAGCCTTTTTGGGGTGTCTATAAATATTAAAAGAAACTGAAAGTGAACACGAAAGCATTTGGAAATGATGGAGCAGTATGCCCATGGAAACGATCGCTAGCCAATCCATTCAACACAGCAACTCAGAACCCTTGAGTCATGCTTGGGAGGGACGCCATGGAGGGAGGTCCGGTGGGGTGGGGCTCACAGACTCATTCGGAGGCAATCTGAGGAATCCAGGTGGTAGCCCTATGAGTGCAACAACTCCATCTCCAGCACTGAGAAAAGCTTAATCCTAACAAGGGCTCCTACCATGGCAAGCGTGCCAGTGGAAACCAAGAGGCTATAGGTTCTTGAATTCAAATGAAGAGGCTACAAAAAGCATCCTCACAACCGAGCCTAATTCCCTGGCTACTTCCAGTCTGACCCCGCAACTCCAATTGTGAGCGGGGTCTACTGATCCACACCTGGTCTTTCTCTAACAGGAAGAAACACAGGAGGATGGAAAGACATCGAGGAAGGGTGAAGACAGTCACTTATTTCTTCCCCACGCCCCATTCCCTTCCCTACCCCCATTCCCCCACAGCCTGTATCTCCTCTCCCTATATTATCAGTTAAGTAGGATATTTGCATTTTGGCAGGATTTCCCTTTTCCAGGGCCTATCAGCTGAGTCGAGGAGACAGCAGATGGCCTACTACACAGCTCATTTGAGTACATATTCGAGACAATAATCAGCTACAGATTGACTTGGCACCAGCCACCACGGGAGGAGAGGCCAAGCATTTCTAAAGTCCACCAGGTTCCCATGACTTTGCCTTCACTTGCTGTGCCAACAGAAAGAGAATATTTTAATCTCACAATAATTTGTTTTGGAAGGAACTCTAGATTTCATGAGCAGTCCATCTATATCTTCAGATTAACTGCCAACGTGAATTCTGGGGAGCTTCTCTCTGCATTAGCAACCCTTCATTAATGAGCTTTCTTGCTATTTTTCTTTGCAACCAGGCACCCGAATGTATAGTTATCAGTTCATGCTCTTTCCATAGTGATTGCAAGGAGGGACCTGCCAAAACCCCCTGTATGCTGTGATAAAATTTCTGTTTCATCAGTGCAATGATGTGCTCAGACAAAGAAACACGGTTGGCCTGAGATGACCAGCTTGTTAGTGTTTGCTGCTTTCCTTTCATCCTTCCAAGAGTCCAACCAACGTGTCCAACCCATCCTTGTTCTTCTCATTCCGAACATCAGTCAGTCTACAATTTTGCTTCATTTTGTTTTTATATTTAGTATTTGTCACAATCAGCCAGGTTTGGTCTAGGCTAGTTCTGTAGCCATCACTACTTACAAAATTGATTCTCCTCACCTTATTTTTGGTAGATCCTTTAAATAACCTGAGCTTACTTATTTAGAAAATTTCCTTACCAATAACTATTTACCTCCCTCCACTTTTCCTCTTTCATTGGAGCATTTGGGGCATTGCTTACAGCCTCAATTTTTGGAGGCCCTACTTTGTTGAGTCATATCATCTTGGAGATATATAGATTCTACTTTCCTAAAGAACAAGAATGGCTTAATAGTTGACTACCAACTCTATAATGACATAGCTGAGATGCAGTTCCAAGAACTCTTAATAGAATGCTGAGGGCCGGGTACAGTGGCTCACACCTGTAATCCCAGCACTTTGGGAGGCCGAGGCGGGTGGATCACAAGGTCAGGAGATCGAGATTATCCTGGCTAACATGGTGAAACCCCATCTCTACTAAAAATACAAAAAAATTAGCCGGGCATGGTGGCGGGCGACTGTAGTCCCAGCTACTTGGGAGGCTGAGGCAGGAGAATGGCGTGAACCTGGGAGGCGGAGCTTGCAGTGAGCCAAGATCGTGCCACTGCACTCCAGCCTGGGCCACAGAGCAAGACTCCAACTCAAAAAAAAAAAAAAAAAAGAATGCTGAGACAGAGAGACAAAAGGTTCAAATCTCAGCACTGCCACTAAATGCTGTGTGACCTCAGGCAAGATGCTTAACTTCTCTGGGTCTCAGTTTCATCACTGGCAAAATAAAGGGAATAATGCCTACCTCTCAGGGTTCTTGGAAGAATGAAATGAGATAATACATGTAAAGAGCTTAGCACAGTGCCTGCCATATGGTAAAGATAAATGTTCGTGTACAACTAGGAGTAGCGAGTAGCAATAATAAAAATGATAGTAGCAGTGGAAACAGGATGATAAAAAGAAAGAGTGAAAAACGGGGAAAAGAACAGTAAATTGAAAATGGTAGGTCTGGGTTCAAGCCCAAACCTCAGATTTCAAGAAGTCGGATTTGAGTTCCTCATCATTTTACTTCTCTTCTAGGCAGAAAGAACATCACAACATTCAGCCTTCTTTGGAGGTCCAGAAATTCAGAAGGTAAATTCCCTTCCATCTGTAACCTGAGTTAGTGCCATACTAGCCATTCTCCTATTAGCCTGCTGCAATGACCTGTAGTGAGGCACTTCACCTCTCCTGGCTTTACTTTCCCCAACCATAAAATAGGGGGCATTGGAAGACATCATCCCTCGAGCTCCTCTGCTTTTGATCCTGAGAGCTGCATCCTCAAGTCAGATTCTGCTCTGGACAGAGGATGGGGTTGTGATTCTTCAGCGTTTTGCTTCAACCCCTCAGAGAAGCTCCCAGAGGCAAACTTGTCTCCCTGAGTTCTGTCTCACGTTTTTCTTTCTCTACAGCCTCGACACTCGTTTTTCATGCTCTCAACTGTTTGCCCTCCAGGCTGCCAGGACCTCTGCAACATATCCTGGGAGTCACCAAGGAGCTGTGGTGGTGCTTTCTGGAGCATTCGTGACCTCGGGCCCTTTGAGCTTCTGTGTGAAAAGTCTTTCTGGGAATTTCCACAGCACACTGCCTGCCAGCATTCAGCAAATGTGGATAGGGTCTTCCTGGTTTTCACTGTGTTTTCCCAGACACAGTGAAACCCACTTGCCTTCAGCCAAAACCAATGAAGAAATGAAACCACAGGGCTATCAGCTCTTCCTCTTCAGAAATCCAAGAGTCTTTATTGCTTCTACCACATAAGAAAGTTGGAATCAGAATAGCCAGTGGCACTGGCTGTGGTTTGAATGTGTTCCCCAAGTTGATGTGTTAGAAATTTAATCCCCAATGCAACAGTGTTAAGAGGTGAGACCGTTAAGAGGTGATTAGATCATGACGGCTCTGCCTCATGAATGAATTAATGCAGTTATTGTGGGAGCTGGTTCCAGATTAAGAAGATGAGTTTACCTTGCTTCATCTCTCTCTCTCTCTTTCTTTTTCTCAATCTCTCTCTCTCCCTTCCTCCCTCCCTCCCTCTTGCTCCTTCCTCCTCTCTCTCTCTCTCTCCCCCTCCCTCCCTCCCCATCCCTCTTGCCTTCTGCCATGAAATAACACAGTAGGAAGGCCATAACCAGATGCTGGTGACATGGTCTTGGACCTCCCAGCCTCCAGCACCATATGCAAAATAAACTTCCATTGTTCATAAATTACCCATTCTCACGTATTCTGTTAGAGCAGGAAAAAGTGGACTAAGACAGAAACCCTCATTTCCCAGTTAACAAAAATGGGCCTTAAGTGGTGAGTCATTTGTCACACATGTCTCAGTGAATGGGACAGCCAGGACTGGTCAGCCATACCCCCTGACATCACATAGTAGTTATTCTCTATGCCTTGTCACCCAATAACCCACCAAGCATACTGTGTGCCAGGATCTGAGTCAGGGCCCAAGAGCCAGTAGAGAGAAAATAGACTCTTTTCCTACAGAGGTCAGCATCAGACTAAACTGTAAACAAATCAGCAGAGTGCAATGTAGAAAGTAAAGTGCCAGTAACAGAGATGTGTATGGAGGGCACCAGAGGGAATCCGGAGAAGCACCTGGGTTTTGAATATAGGAAAAAGAAGCTCCAAGGAGGAAAAGGGGAGACGGGCATCCTAAACTAAATAAAGAACATATCCAAAATGGCGCCAAAAACTATGCCATTGTGGCAAGAAGGTCTACGCGGCTGTCACAGAGGGCATGAGCAGGGAGTGGACACTGATCAACCATTGGGCACGAACACACCACTCCAACCTTAGGGGCCCAAATGGCAATCATTCACATGCTCACAACTCTGTGGGTTGCAACATGGGCTGGGCTCAGCTGGGCAGGTCATCTCCTCCTCCTGGTGCTGGCTAGGCTCAGCCACATGTCTGCAGTCTGAGAGGCGGTGGGGTGGGAGGTGCTGGCTGGTGGGCTGACAGCCTCACCTGAACATCTGGTGGTGTGTGCTGACTGATGGCTGGGCCTCTCACTTCACATGGCCTCTTATCCTCCAGGAGGCTTGACAGAGCATCTTTACATAAAAGCAAAGTGTCCCACAAGAGCAAGGTCTAACCTTGGACATCACACATGTCTCTCTGCAAGACTCTGCTGGGCAGAGCAAGCCACAAGGCCAGCCCCAATTCAGGGAATACGGGGAGTCAAGCCAAGATGCAACAGGGAGGCACAGTTCTCTGAGACCATGAACACTACAACCCATCCCAGAGTGGAAATAAATAGTGTTAGTGCAGGTGTTCACACTGTATCTTTCAAATGGGAGTGTGAACCACTTAAATTCAAAAGCATTCAAGGAGCTTAAAAATCATATTCATCTTTGTGCCCTCAATTGCTACTCCCATATTCTTCCTCATACAGTATGTGTTTAATAAATTTGTGTGGATTGGTTGACTAAATTCTGACAAATGCATGTACTTATAAACTTAGAAATTGGAGTTTACCAGGAAAGAATGCCGGAAGGTACAGTTAATAAAGAACAAAAAGTCTCTTTTGCTTACAAAATGCTTCCAGACAACAGAATAGAAACATGAGCATTTCACAAAGAGGGGCCCAAGATCTGCCCCTGAAATTCACCAGTACCAAATCTCTAGGCGGATCATCACCCTCCTTCCATTGTCCAACCTTCACTCCAAATCACATCATTTGTCATGAAGAAAGTAAAAAAGTTTAAGAGGTCAGCACTTGTTTGAGGTTCTATAAAAAAGCTGAGCAAGTCATCATGCCTGGGAAGAATCCTCTTTAAATCATTCCTTAAGTTTAATATAAAGCAAATTGTCTTTGCTCTGCAATAGCAGCAGACTTTTGCTTCAATCTGTCTTCCAAATTTGGGCACCTGACATGCTATTATTTGATGAATTACACTTGGCAAGGTTTATTTATTTCCTTCTGGACAGTGTGCTTTAAATTAAGCAAAACAGTATGTCAGGTGGTTACATGGACAATCTCAACTTCTTTCAGGTGTAAATAATGTAGAGCCTTTGAGATAGCAAATGACTCAATTCCTAATACTCTTTTCTATAAAAATATTATAGAATTCTCTATTTAAATAACTACTGTGGCAGTGACAGTCATCAAATATTTCAGGGTCCTCTCCTTTCAGCATGAGGTAGGAGGACACACCCATGCTTTCACATTGAGTGTGGCCATGTGACTTCTGGCCAATGAAAGTGGGCTCAACTCCTCCTGTTGGTTCCCGACGAAAGCCTCAAGACCCAGTCCTTAATTTGTGACAGCCTCTTCCTCACCAATGTGATTGCAACTTTCCACACAGTGGAGGCTTCATTACCTTCAGTCCTGGAGTTACGACACAGGAGGACAAGGCTCCAACTAACTCACGTTCGCTATTGGGGTTGTTTGTTACAGTGGCATGACTTTGCCCATCCTAACTCAGTATAACTATGATGAACATATAGCTCAACTGCTGTGTCTTCGTTCCATCACCTGAACCCCAAGAAGGTAAACACTGAAGACCACCAGGTAGATACAGAACTGCAGGAGGCCTGCCCTGCACAACCCCCTTCCCTCTCCCCATGAGAATCCCCACATTACTCAGGGCAGCGATGCATCTCTTCTCCATGCTCTGGGGTGGAGTGAGGGTCCCTGTGGCCCAGTCTGGATGATGAGAAGTGTGCAGAGCCCCTTGCAGGCAGCTCACAGGGATGCCCATTCAGGGGGCCAGTAAAGCTGGAGTGCACCCCCTTTTGCTTCCCTTCCCTTCTCCTTGCTTGAACCCTGGGCATGGTGGATGCAGCTCTGGTTGACACCCTAAGGAGGGGGGCAGAACCCAGGGAGCCTGGGTCTCCAATGGCACTGAGGAGCTGCCAGATAAGCACTGTCCACACACAGCCCCACTTCTGGATGAGAAGAAAATGAACCTTTAACTTAAGTAAACTGCTGTCTAAGGGGCTTCCATTTCTAGCACCCAAATGCAATGCCTATCAAACTTCCATGGAGCAGGGGAATCCCCCAGGGCAGGTCTGGGGAATTTCTTTATTCAATGGGAAGTTAATGACCCAGAGAAATAAAAAATCAATGAAAGGTTTCATTAGAATAGAAATTCACTCTGGCTAACATATTTGGTGTATTTTTTTTTTCTTTTGAGACGGAGTCTCGCTCTGTCGCCCAGGCTGGAGTGCAGTGGTGCCATCTCGGCTCACTGTAAGCTCCGCCTCCCGGGTTCACGCCATTCTCCTGCCTCAGCCTCCCGAGTAGCTGGGACCACAGGCGCCCGCCACAACGCCCGGCTAATTTTTTGTATTTTTAGGAGAGACGAGGTTTCACCGTGTTAGCCAGGCTGGTCTCGATCTCCTGACCTCGTGATCCGCCCGCCTTGGCCTCCCAAAGTGCTGGGATTACAAGCGTGAGCCACTACGCCCGGCCACATATTTGGTGTATTTTGTAGCAATGATTGGGGAGGGCATAAAGGCTCAACTCTTGCTGCCCAAAAGATAGGAAATAAGCACAAACGGCTCCTCATCTAATATATTATTGGTTCCGCTATTTTAATTTCATATTTTATTTTGGGGAAAATGAAGGGAAAGGACAAAAAAGTAAAAGACAAGGGCACTCAAATGTCCACTGATGGATGAATGACTACATGACATGAGATTTATACACATAATGGAATAGAATGCAGCCTTTAAAAAGGAAGCACATCCTAGCCAGGCGCGGTGGCTCACACTGGTAATCCCAACACTTTGTGAGGCCGAGGTGGGTGGATCACCTGAGGTCAGGAGTTCAAGACCAGCCTGGCCAACACGGTGAAACTCCGTCTCTACTAAAAATACAAAAGTTAGCCGGGCGTGGTGGTGGGTGCCTATAATCTTAGCTACTCGGGAGGCTGAGGTAGGAGAATTGCTTGATCCTATAAGGTGGAGGTTACAGTGAGTGGAGATCATGCCACTGCACTCCAGCCTGGGTGACAGAGCAAGACTGTCTCAAAAAAAAAAAAAAAAAAGTACGTTCTGACACATGCCTCAACGTGGATGAACCTCAAGGACATCATGCTAAGTGAAATAAGCAGGTCACAAAAGCACAAATATTGTGTGATTCTACTCATGTGAGGTATCTAAAGTAGTCCAAATCACAGAAACAGAAAGTAGACTCATATCTGCCAAGGGGTAGGGGAAGGGGGAGTTTGTGTTTAGTAGGCACGAAATTTCAGTTTTGCAAGATGAGAAAGTTCTGGGGAAGTGTCACGCAACAATGTGATATAGCTGACACAACTCAGTTGCACGCTTTAAAATGTTTAAATGGTAAATGTAATGTTATGTGATTGTAACCACATATTAAAATAAACTTTCAAATAAATTTTAAAGTTCCAAGGGCAGGCTGGGCATGGTGACTCACACCTGTAATCTCAGTACTTTGGGAGGCCAAGGCAGGCAGATCACTTGAGGTCAGGAATTCTAGACCACCCTGGTCAACATGGCGAAACCCCGTCTCTACTAAAAAAAAAATACAAAAATTAGCCAGGCGTGGTGGCATGCACCTGTAATCTCAGCTACTAGGGAGGCTGAGGCAGGAGAATAGCTTGAACCCGGGAGGAGGAGGTTGCAGTGAGCCAAGATCGAGCCTGGGCGACAGAGCAAGACTCCGTCTCAAAAAAAAACAAAAAAAGAAAAAAGGAAAGAAAAAGATTCAAGGGCAGAGGAGGGAAGAGGAGAGAGGAGACTTCATAAACCAAGGTGGGGAGACAAAAGAAGCGGATGGAGGCAGAGGAAGGGCAAGATAGGGGGCATGAAGAATGGGGGCCTTTCTGAGGAGTGGGCACACGAGTCTGGTGACACTGGGTCACTCACTGGGGCAGCAGGCATCAAAGGTCCACACCAGAGTCCTTTCCAACACCCGGGACTATTGTAGACATTCGCCTGCTCACTGGTCTCAGTTCAAAAAGAACCATGCAGCAATTCTTGGAGTTCAGACATTCTCACAGCCTGAGCTGCTTAGTACCTAGGAGGGGCTCAGCAAAGATCTTTCAAATCAATCAATGATCAAACAGTGCTAATCAAGTCCAAGGCGTCCTACATCCTGCTTTTGAGAGCGTCCTGGGAGGGCCCTCAGCTGCAGGGAAAGTCCACCACAGTAGCTACTAGTCACGGTGCTAGTGAAATTTAACTAAAATTAAAGAATATTAAAAATTTACCTTTTTGGAAACACTAGTCCCATTTCACATGCTCAACAGTCACATGTGGCTAGATGTTACCACACTGGGCGGCACAGAACATTCCCATAATTGCAGAAAGGTCTATGCACAGCATTGGTGTAGATGCTACCCTACCCTACACTACCCTGCCCTGCCCTACCCTACCCTAGCCTAGCCTACCCTAGCCTACCCTAGCCTATCCTGTAATAAAAAGAAGCATACCTGGGGCATTAGAAACTCTAGAGTACTAGAGATGACACATTACCTCTACCTTAATTTCTTCATTTGTAAAACAAGGATAATATTTCATCTAACTTATAGGGTTAAGTAGATTAAATTAGATAATACACGTCAAGCACAAAATCCCCGTCTCAGAGTACAGGCTCTACGAATGCCAACTGTCATTTTGTTGGGGAGAAGGAGGAGATAGCTGGTGCATGCATGTGCACACACATGCACCTGTGATTTCTTACAGAGAGAGACCATGACTTACCCTCCCCTCCCCCAGAGTGGGAACAGTTTTCAACAAGTGACTGGAATGGGTGGTACCTCCCTGATGCCCCACTGGGTAGAGGCCCTGTGGGCAGGTTCCAGGCAGTCTGGTTTCTCCTTTCCCACCTGCCTAACAGGAGTCCGCCCACATGGAGCATGGGAATCATGCTTTCTGCACGTGGGAGCCCAAATGGGTAGATGCAGCTCACAGAGCAGGCTCTAACTGAGCCCCCATGTGGCTATAGCAGGCTGTCCAAGGAATCCAATGAAGCAATGAAGGGGTCTGCAGACAGGAACTACCAAGTCAACAAAAACTCCCTCCATCACAGCCCTTCCCTGCAATGACAAGTCACAAACAGCAGAAACCAAGAGACCAGCTAGTATCGAGGAATTGTTCGTTTTCGTCGAAAGGGACGTTGGTGTGCAATGACCACCTTACAGCTTGTGTATCTGTACTCACACGGCTGTGTGTGTGTGCATATGTGTACTTATGTATGTGGAGCATATTATCAAGTGATTCTGAGATCCTGTATTCATGGAAGATTTTTAGTTGCAAAGCTTATTCGACTAGATCCCTTCATTCTTTTTCATCTTGCTTTATTTATTCTGTCCCGTTGATCTGTGGGTATATCCTCAGGGGTGCAATGCAGTCCAGTGGCCTGCTCTTGACAAAAGAGCATGATCCATTTTGGTAAATAGCTCCTGGGATGCTTCAGGGAGAGGTGCTGACAGGCCAAGATGCATACCCACTGTGCAGTAACATGTGAGTCCCTAAGAGAGTCCATGACCACCATGTGAAACCAGACAGACCACAAGCTTCTGGCAGCTCTCAAGGGGCTGGCAAGATGACAGGACTGTGACAAGCTAACTGCCCATTACCACACTGGGCAGGACCTCACAATGCTGCTGATCAAAATTAAAATGAAAGATTTATTATGGCTGAGCAAGTAAAAGAAGGAAAACATCCAAAAGATTCCAAACTGACTTATCCAACAAGAGACACGCCTGGCTAAAGGATTCGGTTTTTGTTTTTTGTTTGTTTGTCTTCAGACGGAGTCTCACTCTGTCACCCAGGCTGGAGTGCAATGTCATCATCTCAGCTCACTGCAACCTCCGCCTCCCAGGTTCAGGTGATTCTCAAGCCTCAGCCTCTCAAGTAGCTGGGACTACAGGTGCATGCCACCACACCGAGCTAATTTATGTAATTTTAGTAAAGACGAGGTTTCACCATGTTGGCCAGGCTGTTCTCGAACTCCTGACCTCAAGTGATCCACCCACCTTGGCCTCCCAAAGTGCTGTGATTATAAGCATAAGCTACCGCGCCCTGCCAAGGATTAGGTATTTTTTAAAATCCAACACATTTTTCTTTTAATGGATCACTTCTCAATGAGTAATGTTTTAACAGGAGGGGGGTTCTGTAAGAGATAGAAAAAAAATCTAATGGCTTTGTCCCAAGATCATTTGTCAATAAAAGCTACTGACCATTTAATATTATTTTAAATTCATAATTCCTTAATCGGCATGGTTTTAGAGCTCACAAAAGATGTTTTGAATCACAGGAAGAAAGCTGTATTTTCTTCATGAGATTAATAATCTAATTTGGAAGGACGAGGAAGGCAGTGGGTGAAACGTAGAAAGAACACGACAGGAAGGTACAGGACAAAGGGTCTCCCCTGACAGGGCCATGGTGGGAAATGAAGATGTGGGTTTCCAGACTCTTCTCAGATGGATCTGAGCATTCCTCATGGGGCTGCCTGGATGGATGTGTGGCTGCCAGGTAACACTTGCTTTGAACAAAGGTTCTGAGCCCAGAGGTTTGAAAACCACTGGCCTTACAATGCCAGACACTGAGCTTCGAGGATGTTGAGGAAGAGTTGCTCCTCCCTTCCCGCAACACCGCCAAGAGGGAAGGGTGAGGGGAAGGGCCAGGCTGCCTTCCTCTTTTCTGTTCTTTATGAGATATGAATCCCTAGAGGCCAAGGGGAAAGCCGAAGGTCAACTGCCCACCTCCGCCAAGGTTCCTGATAACACATCTCAGAGAAGCTCCTCTCCCACCCACAACTGCAGGACTGGCTCTTCAAGGAACACGCCCAAGGCAGCCCAGGAGGCCTGGCCTGCAAAGGCTCTGCCCAGCAGGCACAACTCATGTCTATTCTCACTCCCTACTAGAAACAAGGACCAAGAAAAGCAATTCCAAACCTGAGGAGAGCATTCCTTCTCCTGAGGGTATGGGCTGAGGAGCCACACAGGCCTCGATATGTTCTCCAGCGAGCTCCTGGAGCGAGAAGTACCACAGCCTTGTACCATGATCACAAGTGAAAGACCTCACCTTTCAGAGACCAAACCCTGCTCTGTGAAAGGGTAGCTGAGGCTACTCCACAGAGTTTCAGCAGGAGACCGCCATCCTCCCCATGCTCTGCCAATCCCCCGCACTCCTCCTGACATTAGCATGATGGGGCCAGGCTGTAGCATTCACTGATGTGGCCAGAATACTAACCCATGCATGGCTTCCCATGACACTGAATAAATCCATGATTCAAAGACAGCAAAAGGAAGCCCCTTTGCCCGTGACGGGCAGCATGCACAGTGGGTACAGGTACACACACGTGGGCACCCTCCCCAGCTCTGTGAGCTTTGACAAAGGAAGCTTGGGCAAAGTACCTTGCCTCTCTGCACCTGTTTCCTCCTCCATAAAATCAACATAATACTTGTACCAACCTCACAGCGCTGTTGTGAAGATTAAATGAGGTAACACAGGAAAAAGCACTTAGAACAATGCCAGCCCACACAGGTGCTGGGCTGCATAAGTCATTATTAACTACATGTCCACCCAAAATGTCCTTCTATTTTTGGGTCCTGCATCACTGATGAGTTTCGGTGACGGAGATTAGAATACAAAAAAACAGTTCTTCATATGCCCCGGGCAGTAATTACCATGGTGGCATTTACTCTTGCTTCTTCCTTCATAATACCTCATTTTCTCATTCGTCTTTTTAGGAATAAAACAGAAGCTACTGACAACACGTACTAGTGACTACTTCCATTCCTCTAAATAATAATTTTCCCATGCAATTGTTTAATCATATTGATATGGAACTCGCCTAGCTTTTAGTTAGCCGGTAATTTGTTAACAGTGTGCTCTTGCATGACTGCATATTTGTTCTTAACGATAAGCTTTAAAGTGCTTCTGGCTGCAGTGGCTTACGCCTGTAATCCCAGCACTTTGGGAGGCCAAGGCAGGCAGATCACCTGAGGTCGGGAGTTCGAGACCAGCCTGACCAACATGGAGAAACCCTGTCTCTACTAAAAATACAAAATTAGCTGGGCGTGGTGGCGCATGCCTGTAATCCCAGCTACTCGGGAGGCTGAGGCAGGAAAATTGCTTGAACCCGGGAGGCAGAGGTTGCAGTGAGCCGAGATCACACCATTGCACTCCAGCCTGGGTAACAAGAGCGAAACTCCATCTCAAAAAAAAAAAAAATAACTAAATAAAATAAAGTGCTTCATGATAAATAAATTTCACTTTGTTTTTTCTGTTGTTGTTTGTGTTACTAATACTTCTTGAGGAAGTATATCAGATAGCCCCAGGGTGTCATTCTCATCTAGTCCTTGTGTCTGTGACAGAGAAGGAAAAGAGAGAAGGCAAAAGGGAGGGCAGATATGTTGCTTAAGAGGTCAAGACAAGGCTTAGCTGGGACCTAATTGTCTGACTTAATGTCTGCTTAAGAACGTGCTGTATTATGGAAATGCCCTAACGGGACAGCTAGATCAGGAACTGGGTTTTCTGGGACCATGAGGTTTAGAAATAAGGAACTTCCTTTGCTGACAAAAAGGGATGTTATGTAAACCCCCAAGTCCTTAAGTCATAATACTGAGGCTGCCCTTGAGGGCAGGGTGATGAGACCCTGGTGCACACCCACACAGCTTTCCCCACTTCTTTGCTCAGGACTCTTCAGAGGTCCCTGCAGGGTTCCTCCATGGTTCTAGAAAGTTCCTTGGCACTAAGAACCCTCTCCAGAGATCAAGGGGCCTCTACAACTGATACCATCATTAGATTCTCACTGTAGATTGTGGCAGAGAACTTGCCACCAGAAGGGCTTCCCTTTAATGACCTCCAGGAGAACTGGCTGAAGCCAAGGGCAGAAGCCCTGACACTCTCAGACCTCCGGTGGGGGTGGGGGAAATGGCTACACGGCCTGGGTGGGAGACAGCATCAGCTTCCTCCCTCCCGCCAGAGCAGTCAGGCCGAGGCCAGCTGATGGCACTTTGCTCATTTGGGTCCAGGTTGCCATGGAGATCAGCGATCTCCCTAGATGCCTCCTGACTATAGGAGCAACTAGCGCATTACTGCCGAGGGATCTACATGAGCGCCCTAAGTCCTACTGTGGAGAGGGCCTTCCTGTGGAAGGCTCCTAAGGGTGGTCCCATCCATCTTCTGGCTTGAGTCAAAGACAGAGTTCCAGCATAGTCACTGTTATGTCCGGAGGTAAAAATTCTTTAAACTGAATTTCCTAGATGAAGTAAAGACTTTTTTTTTTTTTAGTATTACATTTTATTTTTACTGCTTCTTCCAGTATTGCACAATCCCATAATTATTGCTATTCAGCTAAAAACATGCCTCGAGGCATTGCAGAAGATGAGAATAATAATTTTAAAAACTGGAGTCAGCAACACGAACTCTTGAAAGCACTAGTATAAAAGCATTCAAGAAATAACTTCCTCTGGCTTCCTTGGACTTGTTTAAGAGATTACTAATGGCAAAATCAAGTGGAAATTTTAATGGATCAGTAGGTCTTTATGAACTATAAGTTCCCCAGATGAAAATCAAAATGCTGCTCGTGATGTATGCCTTAGAACAGGATTGCTGACCTAAGGTCTGGGAACCTGCTAAGGCTGTGGGCTTATGCACTGAGTATTTGAGAGCATTTTTCTGAAAAGGGGAGCACATAGCTCTCAACTACTCTCCAAGGGGGTCCCCCAAATGTTAAATTTAGAGTTTGCTTAGTTGACAGCAGAGTTTCCCGATCGGGTTCCCTTTTGTTGTTCTAGTGAACAGGTAAAAACTCAGTGAAAGGCAGACTGGGAATGTTCTCCTGCCTCCCTTTCTGCCCACAAGCCACATGTCTCATCCTTTTTCTTCCGCTTCCTCTCCTTATTGCCCTCATCTGTGGAATATTGAAAATAAATATTGAGGCCGGGCATGGTGGCTCACGCCTGTAATCCCAGCACTTTGGGAGGCCCAGGCGGGCGGATCACTTGATGTCAGGAGGTCGAGACCAGCCTGGCTAACAGGGCAAAACCCCGTCTCTATTAAAAATACAAAAATTAGCCGGGCATGGTGGCACACACCTGTGATCCCAGCTACTCGGGAGGCTGAGGCAGGAGAATCACTTAAACCTGGGAGGTGGAGGTTGCAGTGAGCCGAGATCGCACCACTGCACACCCGCCTGGGCAACAGACCGAGACTCCATCTCAAAAAAAAAAAAAAAAAGAAAAGAAAAGAAAAAGAAAATAAATATTGAGCACCCTAAGCACCAGACATAGTGCTCAGGGCTTGGGATACAGGGACAAACAAGACACAGCCCATGTCCTTAAGGAGCGGAGAATCGGATAAAAGAAAAGATCCCATGAATGGTTAACTGAATGCACATATTAATTATCAAGAAGCATATGCACAGGATGATGGCAAAGGCAGAAAGACTGCTGTGTAGATACCAAATATTTCCAATCACCCAACCCCCCCCACATGACAGACACAAGTCAAGGAAAAAAATACTCAGGTCTGATGAGTGAGATTTTGCTTGGTTTACTGCCTAGCTGGCCAGCTGGAACTTAAATATCAACAATATCAGGACCAGAACAATGTGTCTTCTCAAAAGTAGATTTAAATTCAGAGACAGAAAGTAGAAAGGTAATTGCCAGGGGCTAGGAGGAGAAGGAAATGTAGTTAGTATTTAATGGATACACAGTTTCAGCTTGGGATGACGAAAAAGTTCTGGAGATAAACGTTAGTGAGGGCTGCAACACAACGTGAATGTTCTTACTGCCACTGAACTGTGCACTTAAAAATGGTTCAAATGGTAAATATAGCCAGGCTCAATGGCTCACACCTGTAATCCTGACACTTCGGGAAGCTGTGTGGGAGAATCGCTTGAGGCCTGGAGTTCTAGAACAGCCTGAGCAACGCAGAGACCCCATCTCTACTAGAAATCTTAAAAAAAAAAAAAAATTAACGGGGTACAGTGGGGCATGTCTATAGTCCTAGCTACTTGGGAGGCTGAGGCAGGAGGATCACCTAAGCCCAGAAGCTGGAGGTTGCAGTGAGCTATGATTGTACCACTGCACACCAGCCTGGGTGACAGAGCAAGACCTTGTCTCCAAAAAAAAAGAGGTACATTTTAAAGCACGTGCATTATACAACAATAAAATTATTTTAATTGATTTTTTTTCTGTCTGTACTTGATAAAAAGAGATGCCACAACTGCCTATGTCTGCCCAGGTGCTAGAGAAAATTAGTGTGTGGGCCACAAGTTTCACAGCTCTAATGTACATTAGGTTCTTCCATATTTTCCAGAAAGTGGTGCCCCGTCACTGTTCAAGCTGGCACACTCCTTCCAGCTGCAGATATCCCTCCTTCCAGCTGCAGATATCCCTCCCTTGTCCTCTTTAAGATGGGGTCAGCGGGGTTGGGACTGAAGTCCTAGGTACAGAAAGCCCTGGGCTGTAATGATCTAGGCAGACCAAGCCTCACACTCCCTCCTGAGGACTTCCTGCCAAGCAGTATCCCCTCCCTACTTGCTGGCCTTGCCAGGCTCTGGGCTCCCTACTGGCTCCTGGAAGCTGTGGGACCCCAGGCAGGGCCCTGCCTGGGCTGAGAGGCACAGTCTCATGTTTCCAACACCAGCAGCCTGAAAGGTGAGCCAGCCTCGCGAGGCCTGCTGGCTGGTTTAGAACTTGATCTTGGTTATCACAGGGACTCCTCACCCTCCAAGCCCCTCTGGCTTACTGGCAGCTGAGATTATTCTAGAGTGTAGTTGTTGATCTAGATTCCGGCTGCCCACGGAGGCATCTGAGACTCACATCTGCTGCAGGCTAGACTTTCACGTGTCTATCAGCAGCGCCCGCCCCTCAGAGATGACAGCACAGGGTGATGCTTATCTTCGGGTCTCTCCTCCTGGGCTCTACGGTGACTCTCTCCGGCTTGGTTACAGCTTCTCCATGTTGCTGTATCAGGACCTGCACTTCCCTGAGAGAGTTCATGGGCCCCTCACCTTCCCTTGAGGATGAAGGAGGATGTGGCCCTGGGCCAGACCCCAACTCCCACCATGGGCCCATAATGGGTCCCTGGATCCCTTCTCTCGCCCTTATCCTCAAAAGCTGCTGTCCTGTCCTTCATCCACTGTCACTACTGTCCTGGGAACAGGACCTTCTCCCCAACTCCCCACTTCCTTACTGGTCCAGGTGACCGGATCTCAGCCTTTAAGGACTTCATCACCAACCTCAAAGGGAAACCAACAGATTGGCTTAAAATCTAAATTAACAGGCTGCGCACGGTGACTCACGCCTGTAATCCCAGCACTTTGGGAGGCCAAGGTGGGTGGATCATAAGGTCAGGAGTTCGAGACCAGCCTGGCCAACATGGTGAAACCCCGTCTCTAGTAAAAATACAAAAATTAGCCAGGCGTGGTGGTGGGCGCCTGTAATCCCAGCTACTCAGGAGGCTGAGGCAGGAGAATCACTTGAACCCAGGAGGCAGAGGTTGCAGTGAGCCGAGATCGCACCACTGCACTCCAGCCTGGGCGACAGAGCGAGACTCCGCCTCAAAAAAAAAAAAAATTCAAATTAATAGATGTGATGATGTTGCCCAGTTTTAAGAAGCAGGATCTGTGGTTTGTAGCTACTGTCTCCACCAGACTGAAGCAGCACTGGGGAAGAGCCATCCCGGCTGCTGGCCAAGGTGGGGGGACCCAACAGCTTGGCCTTCTGCCTTCAGAGGACCATCCTTCCACATGTGTCCCCAGGTTAGCCCCCTCCCCGGGGTCAGGGTATGTATCCAAGAAAAATAAAAGCACACGTCCACAGAAACACTTGTGCAAAAATGTTCCTAGCAGCTTTATTCACGACAGCCAAAAACGGCACCCATCAACAAGCATGGCTTGGTACAGCTTGGCTTAGCTGTAGTCCATTTCTAGAATGGAGCACTACTCGGCAGTAACAGCAAACCACTGGTACATAAAACAACCCAGGTGCTGCTGTCATGGGTTGAATTATGACCCCCTCAAATTTGTATACTGATGTCCTAACCCCCAGTACCTTATTTGTAAGGTAGCTTTATTTGGAAATATGGTCATTGTAGATGTCATTAGTTAAGAAGGGTTCATCCTGCAGTAGGTTGCACTCCCAATTCAATATGATGGGTGTCCTTAGGAGGACCATAGGTCCTTAGGGGGAAATTTGGACATAGAAAAGCAGAATGCCATGTGCAGACTGGAATTATGCTGCCACAAGGCAAAGAACTTCCAGGAGCTAGCAGAGAAGCCTGGAACACATTCTAAATGACACCTTGATCTTGGACTTCCAGCTTCCCAAACTGTGAGGCAATAAATTTCTCTTGTTTGAACTACACAGTCTGTGGTATTTTGTTATAACAGCCCTAGCACACTAATGTGGCTGGCAACAGAAGTCTTGCACAAAATAATAAACACATTCTAGGATCTCATCCACATGAAGTTCTTGAACAGGTTAAACGAACCTATGGTGAAAAAATCAGAACACTGGTTTCCTTTGGAGGGATGGGGGTGGGAATGATTGAGAAGGGGCAAGAGAGAACTCTCTAGGGTGACGGTTAATGTTTTGTGATTATCCTGACAGGGGTTCATGTTACCCAGGGAATGCAATTGTCAAACCTCATCAAAGGACGTGCTTAGGACTTCTGCATTTCACTACATATAAACTTTACCCGACACAGAAAAAACCAGCAACAAGCACCGAGCTCTAGGAAATGACACGCATGACGAAGCCTTAAAAGGATGAGGTATACAGACACCTGCAACTTACTTTGAAATGCATAAAGTAATGAAGATGGCGTGACAGAGGGAAAGATAAAAAAAATGTTCATTGTGGATCTGGGTAACAGACAGATGGGTATTCATGATACTTTTTTCCCCCACTTTTCCATATATTTGAAATTTTTCATAACAAAATGTGGAAAAACATTAACACTGATCATGGTTTCTTTTGGTGCTCTGCTACGAGTTGTACAAGTGCATTGCTGAGGCTCTAGAAGGCACGTCATAAAAGCAATGTAAAAGGAGGGGCGAGGGGACATTATTTTGTGCTGAGATGTGTACTCTTTGTGATGAGAAGTGTTCTTCATTCTACATTCTTTGTAAAACTAATTTAAATTGTGTGAAATGCCTAATTAAAACAGAATAAGGTTTGGGTGATACTAAGAATTTTTTCGTCATTTCAGAGATAGTGAGGATAACCCATACCAACAAACTACATTAGAATGAAATCCCCAGCAATCTCATTACTATATAACCCCCCCATACAAATTGTTCTATTATAAAGATACACGTATGGGTATGTTCACTGCAGCACTATTCACAATAGCAAAGACATGGAATCAACCCAAATGCCCATCAATGATAGATTGGATAAAGAAAATGTGGTACATATACAACATGGAATACTATGCAGCCATAAAAAGGAATGAGATCATGTCCTCTGCAGGGACATGGATGGAGCTAGAGGCCATTATCCTCAGCAAACTAACACAGGAACAGAAAACCAAACACTGCATGTTCTCACTTGTAAGTGGGAGCTGAGTGATGAGAACACACGGACACAGGGAGGGAAACAACACACACTGAAGCCTGTGGGGGATGCAGGGAGGGAGAGCATCAGGAAGAATAGCTAATGGGTACTGGGTTAATATCTAGGTGATTGGATGATCTGTGCAGCAAACCACCATGGCACACATTTACCTATGTAACAAACCTGTACATCCTGCAAATGTACCCCTGAACTTAAAAGTTAAAAGCCAAAAAAAAAAAAAAAAAAAAAAAAAAAGGAATGAAATCCACTCAGTGGGTGGTGAATTACCAAAAGGATGCATTCTTTACAACCTACTGTGGAGGGTGGATTTTGTCCATAGCCCCACAAAACAGAACCAGATCTTCAAACATACACAGGAAGACTCGGCTGAGAACCTCAGGTACAGTGCAGCGCAAATCTTCAGTGCACGCTCACCAGGAGCAACATCAGTACTGTGTTCCCAAGACAGCAGCCAAATCCATGCAACACTGGTTCAGAAATGGTTATCCCAAAGAAAAGATACAAAATAATAACAGTGCCATGCTTTCCTCTTTGAGTGAGGGAAGAAACTCTGAACACAAAATTTAGTTGTTGTTGGGGAATCCAGTGTTTCAGCATTAGCTCAAAGAAAAGAGTATCAATCAATTCCACTTTTCAGTAACCAAATGTTTTCTATTGACTACCTTACCAAACTTATATGTTGCAAGAGAACAGACCCAGGAACAGGAGAAATGTAGTCCACAAAGTGGTGAAAAAGAGAGAGAGAAAATATAGGAGAGAATCATCATTCCCATTTTACAGATGGTGATACTGAGGTTCAGTGTTCCACGTCACATAGCTATTTAGGGGGAAAACCAGGGGTCTAACGCAGGCCTTCTGACTTTGGTCCTGGTGAGAAAAAAAGATTGATGTTTAGGAAACAGCTTTGCCCCTCCAAGCCAAGGGGGCCTTGCGAAAGGTAATGGTGAAGCACACAGCCTCTGCCACCAAGCTGGAGAGTGAATCCTGATTTGCTGGCTGTGTGACCTCAGGCAAGCCTTACTCTTTGTGCTGCATTATTGCTGCCTAGAGAAGTTAGCATAACAGTGTTCATCTGACAGAAGCCCCAGTGAAGTGCTTAGAATAATGCCCGGCCCTGTACATGCCGAATGAATCCAGACCTGTGCTTCTCAGCACTTCCGCCACCAGCTGGGTGAGGTAGGTGACTCACTTTATGTGTCAACCTGACTGGGCCCTGGACACAGATATGTGGCCAAACATTATTCTAGATGTTTCCGTGAAGGTGCATTTACCAGGAGATTAACATCTAAATCAGCAGACTCTGAGTAAAGCCAACCACTCTCCCTAATAGGGGTGGGTGGGATCATCCTATCAGTGGAAGGCCTGCAGAGGGAATTCTGCCAGCAGATGGCCTTCAGAGTCCAGATGAGGCCTCAACTCCTCCCCGATCTCCACCCTGCACCCCCACCCCTGCCCCGACTACCCCAGCAAATTCTGGACTTGCCACCCTCCACAATCACAGAAGCCAATTCCTTAAAATCAATCCCCTCCTCTACACACACGCACACACACACACACACACACACACACTCTCTCTCTCTCCACACACACTTATGGTTCTGTTTCTCCGGAGAATCCTAATACATGTAGCTATTTAAATTAGTCTTAAATTAACTAAAGTCCACAAAAATTAAAAATGCAGTTCCTCAGTCTTACTATCTGAGTGCTCAGTAGCTACATGTAGGTAGGGGCTACTGTACTGTTCAGCACAGATACAGAACATGTCCACCACTGTGCAAAGGTCTTTTGAACCGTGTTGATCTAGAGAAGGAAATGCATCTTTTCTCTGGAAGCCAGTAACAGGTTTGTGAAGACAACAGTGGAGTTCTTGGCATCATCATCATCATCATCATTAATACAACATCAGGATTTTATTGATTATTTTTATATCAAATTATTATTATTACTACTATGTTGGGTTTTCAAAGCCTTCTACAATTTTTTTGTTTTTTGGGACAGGGTCTGGCTCTGTCACCCAGGCTGGGGTGCAGTGGTCTGCTCTTGGCTCACTGCAACCTCCGCCTCCCAGGCTTAAAGCATCCTCCCACCTCAGCCTCCTGAGCAGCTGGGACTATAGGCGCATGCCAACACACCCGGCTAATTTTTGTGTATTTTGTAGAGACGGGGTTTTGCCATATGGCCCAGGCAGATTTTGAACTCCTGAACTCAAGAGATCCACCCACCTCAGCCTCCCAAAGTGCTGGGACTACAGGCATGAGTCACTGTACCAGGCTGATTTTTTTTTTCTTTATAAAGCTAATATGGAATGCAGATTGCTCTAGGCAGTGCAGCCTCTTCTAACGTCATCGGAGTCCTCTGTTAAAAGAACAGGTAGGGAAAACAAAGAGATGAGATGGAAAGGAGGGAGAACGGAATACAAGAGAGAAAAGAGAGCTGGGTAGAGAGAGGATGGGGAAAGACAGAGAAAGGCTCATTCGTCTTGTCACCCAAAGCCAACATGCTGTCTCTGGATTGATCCCACATCTCTGTTTTCTGCATGTTTGATGCTTTAGCATTGAGGCCTTGTTGACCCTGGAGGCACTGCCCCTCCCAGAACTAGTGGATTCCTAGAAACTGTAAACTCACCTGCCCATCTTTCCTATGCAGACCCAACCAATTCAGAGCTCAGACCACCCACCCCTACCTCCTATGGGCCACAATTCTGCCTTAACCAACCAAGGGTCAGATGCCAGGCAACCAGGGACAGTATCTACCTCCCAGAGCCTGCTGAAATTCCCCAAACTAGCCAGCCCTAAATCCTGTCCATTCCTTTCTGCAGAAACCACAGTAGAGGCTCTTGCTCTCGTTTTCCCCTCACTCCCACTGCCTCCTGACGGACCCTGCTGCTTCTTGGGGCCTTGCATCACATGGGATGCTCCTCCTCTTGGGAACTGTGAGATCTTTTCATTGACGGTCATCTCCCAGATCTGTAAGCTTCACCATATCTGAATAAAACCTACATTTTAAAATGGTTTTGCTCCACCACCACCCAATCTCACCACAGGAAAGCTCAAGTTTATTTAACTGAAAATCAACTTCCCAGCCAAGGAGCTGGCTGGACTCTATGACTCAACCCTCTATGCTATGGGAAGTACTGAGAATCTGTACTGCAAAAACAAAAACAAAAAACAAACCCTCTTCTTTTACACTTTCTGAGGATGCAACAAAATGGTCTTACAGAATCATGAGCAATCACTGAAATATAGCATCTTATGGAACTGATGAGACAATCAGATGAACCCCTTTATTTTAAGGCTGAAATGTGGCCAGGTGTGGTGGCTCACACCTGTAATCCCAGCACTTTGGGAGGCTGAGGCGGGTGGATCACCTGAGGTCAGGAGTTCGAGACCAGCCTGACCAACATGGTGAAACCCCTTCTCTACTAAAAATACAAAATTAGCCAGGTGTGGTGGTGCATGCCTGTAATCCCAGCTACTTGGGAGGCTGGACAGGAGAATCGCTGGAACCCGGGAGGCAGAGGTTGCAGTGAGCCAAGATCCCGCTATTGCACTCCAGCCTGGGTGACAAGAGCAAAACTCCATCTCAAAAAAAAATTTTTTTTAAAGCTGAAATGCCTCACCGAGGCTCACCAGCCGAGGCAAGCCTAAGCATTCTGACTGATGTCTGTCTAGTTTGCCTATTTTCTTCTAGTACCTTCCATGTTCGCCTAAAATTGAAACTAATGAATTACTTAGAGTTCTTGCTTGTGGTCTACTGATCCTCTAGTATTATGTGTATTTTAATTAAAGCAGCCATTACGATCTCTTCATCCCAAGTAACTGCCAGAGCTGAGATTAACAACAGTTTAGCTGTTGGTTCAGGAACCCTTTCTAAAGCTCATTACGCACTTCCTAACCCTGCACCCGGGAGCCTGGTTTGCAAGGAGAATTGGGGAGATCAGTCAAGTGGAGGCCTCAGATTTTCTGAATAAAAGGTGTTAAGCACTTTGGCAGCTGGTCTGACAGCCTCTGCTCTTCAGGAGTTTTGTACTTGCTGCAAAGTGCAGGGATAGCTGATGATAATCTTCCAGATAGGAAGGCAAATTTGAAAAGCCATCCATCAAATTCCGAAAGTAACCTAGATTGTGTGGGGACAACCACCAACAGTACTGAAGATGGGCCTGTCCTCAGGTCCAGAGTGGCCTTGTCTGTGAGAGGGTGGGGACTGGGCTGCAAAGGTGCATGGAAGCAGAGCTGTGTCCCTACCTCACCTTGCTGGGGTAGGGAATGGGACCAAATTAAAATCTTCACTGTTCAATTTCATCCTCTAGCAAAATGTCTTTCTTCCTGCATTTTGGGTACTCGTAGGAAAATTAGCTTTATGTCCGTCTTAAACATGCCTTTTAAAATGATCGTTTTCCAGCTGTCCCTTGTTCCCAGTTTGAAGTCTTACATGCATAATCCATCTCACCAGTAAGAGCCCGAGAAAAAGGACTGTAGGGACCACCCAAAGCCAGCTACCAAAAATAAATGTTACAGCCACTAAAAATATCACAAAAATAATAATTTTCAGAAAGCTGCATATTGTGTTTGCAAGGAACATTAGAAAAATTTTCTGGTGTATGTGTATACTTATATGCATATTTACGTGTACATACATTAATGTACACAAGTGTGTATGTATGCATGCATACACACATACACACTCACATATATTCTCATGTACTATATATTCTTCACCATATCTATAACATTTTTCCCTGTTCATCCATGCAATATCTAAAAATGAAAATTTGTCATTGTCAAAAAGCATTTATTAACTGAAACTCATGACAGAGATTTGAGTGAGTGGAGTTATGGGTGATTTTTCTCATGTTTCTAAAATTTAGATAATGAATTATGTTGCTTGTACAATTTGTAAAAGTTAAGCTAACATATTTATATACTTATTCATGTATGAAAATTTGTCATTGTCAGAAAACACTTATTAACTAAAACTCATGACAGAGATTTGAGTTAGTGCAGTGATGGGTGATTTCTCATTTTTCTAAAATTTAGATAATGAATTATGTTGCTTGTATAATTTGTTAAAGTTAAGCTAACATATTTATATACTTATTCATGTGTGTTCCTCTTCTGAAACGTTAACTGAAATAATTTCATAGATTGAATCCCTGCCTTCCAGAGGATTATATATTTACAATTTCTACCTTTATTATTTCAACATGTTTGTTTTTAAATATGACAGACTGCTAATTAAGGCCACATGAAATCTTCTGAGTCCTCAATCCTTAAAACTATAGCATAATACTATAATAAACAAAATCCAAACACACAAGACTACAAAAACAAAAAAGAAAAAACAAAACCCTCTTCTCTTACACTTTTTGAGGATGCAACAAAATGGTCCATCTTACAGAACCATAAGAGATCACTCAAACATAGCAAAGATAATGCATTTAATGTAGATATTTAAAAAGTGAGTCTTTTACATTTTTCCCAAGTTTTTATTACCTTATCCAGCTCACAAACTGTACTGCCAAACAATGCAATGCTTAATAAAGCAACTATTTAGAAAAACCTCAGATAAGGACAAATATTAATTTGCAGAAGGTTCCATGAAATGAAAAAATAATCCTGAGTCATTTTGGCTGATTGTGTTGTTTTTACTAACTACATAAGAATCCACCTATCTACCTCTTCAGAGAACATTTATTAACAATGTATTTTAAAGAAACTGCACTCAAAATGATTCATAGTCATATTCAACTATTATTAGGCAATGGAAATTATGTCTATGAAAAGTGTTCATTTGTAAGTGATAAGCACTGAAACTCAGACATAGGCCCATTAAGGAGGCTATTATAATTTTGTTTTTGTGTGAAGGTCTCCTTCTTGCCTTTTCTCCTCTACTGTGGTAAGAGCAATTTTCTTATCAGATCATCTGTTTTAGACATTCTTAAGCAGAACTATCACAGCCCCGACCAAGAATTACATGTTGTTTTGCACATAAATGTGAAACTTTAAGTAGCATTTTTATATGTTCTTTTATTTTAACATTCTCTAACTTGCTCTATACAACATGTCCCATATTTTAAATCCCTACTTATTAAAATAATTCTTATAAAATGTCCCCAAACTTCATTGCAAAAGCAATAAAAATTTGTTTTCTAATGTCACCCATGCAGTCTATAGTACGCTAATTAATGGTAAAAAGACATGCTACCTATGAGCCAAGTTACCAGAACATCTATTTATGATCGTGATGCCATTTCATGCATGTCCATGAACTCTGTCCTGGGGAGTGTGAGGCATGCATGTGGGCATCCCATTGCTGAAGGCCCAGTGAGGGGTTCCATATTGACTCCAAAGCCAGACAGATCTCTGGGCAATGGCAAAGGCATTAATCTCGGACTCAGACAGACTTGAGTTTCCCCTTCTCACTGGCCGTTTGTCTTTAGGTAACTGAGCCACTCAGCCACAGCTTCTTCATCCTTAAAATGGGAATGATCTTTCCTACCTCAGAGGGTTTGGTGAGCCTTCCGGAAGTCACTGAGTGTAAGCCAACCAGTACCATAGGTACTTGGTAAATACTGATTTCTCTTACAAAGCAGAGACCATACATAGGAAAAGCGAGCCAGAATCCCTATGGCACAGGACAGCTCTGGTAAGGTAAGGAATGATGTGCATGCTGGTTACAGTGTCACACTGAAATGCTGACCACAGGGTCAGGGATGCCTGGCTCACAGCATGACTTTATTCCTTACTCTGTGTCACTGTCAGCAAATCCCTCAATTTCCTCATCTGTAAAATGGGCATGATGGCATCAGCCTCTTAGGGATGTTGTGATGATTCAGAGATGATCTATAAGAAGCAGTGCTAAACACTGACACTGTCTGACCTGTCTTCAGTACTCAGGAAATGTTACCTATTATTGTTCATACGGAATTTCCCACCTTAGAAAACTCAGTATTAATCTTTCACTGCTAATCTGGGATTAAATTGAGCTAAATCATTATGAAGTCCTAAAGGTACAGATGAGTAGGAAACTTTGCTGACCCTTAGGAAAAACCCTGTAAGCTATTTTTATCTAAATAAGTCCCTGACTTTTTCTCATCAGAACCGAGGGTTTATAATTCCTGCTGCTGTCATTAAATTCAGGGTCTAAAACAATCTGAGGATTTCTATTTCTTGAAAACTGTATTTTGATTCTGTGTTGCTATCAATACCATTTTCAAGATGAACAAAGGCACTCACTGATCTGAGACCCAAACAAACAGGAAAAACATAAATAGGCATGGCCTATATAGACATGTGATAGACACAGAACAGGAAAACATGCATCACATTGGGTAATGGTAATGGCTGTACAAGTCACCATAATATCTGTTGCTATATAATACATAAATAGTGGTTCATGAAAACGTATCTTTGAGAAGTTCTACCTCTTCTTAATTGTTGTCTTCAGTTTGAAAATAAGTCTCACATTTCCTCCTCTGCATTTCTCCATTGGTTGACTAGAGTGTTTTTCTCTGAAAGCCACATGATGCTTCTAGTTGGACAGAGTCTAAACTACAACAGCCTATAAAGTCTTTCTCCATCTTTTTTTTTTTTTTTTTTCCAGACAGAGTCTTGCTCTGTTGCCCAAGCTGGAGTGGAATGGCACCATCTCCACTCACCGCAATCTTTGCCTCCCTGGTTCAAGCAATTCTCATGCCTCAGCCTACCGAACAACTGGGATTACAGGCACACACCACCACATCCAGCTAATTTTTTGTATTTTCAGTAGAGACAGGGTTTCATCATGTTGGCGAGGCTGGTCTCAAACTCCTGGTCTCAAGGGATCTGCCCGCCTTGGCCTCCCAAAGTGCTGGTGTTACAGGTGTGAGCCGCCATGCCAGGCCCTCCATCATTCTTTAAAGTGCTGACAGAAGAACCACTTACAGTCGGTTTGGACATAAACTACATAGGAACACATAAGCCTTTCCCACCAGTGGAATAAAAGTAGGAACCAATATCCAATGTTTACTAAAAAGATGTTCTATTGAATGTTGCAATTTTGTATTTTCTAAGAATGGTTTTGATAATGTGTACAGAATCAATAATATTACTGTTTGAGGAATCTGAAGTATTTTCATAAAAATGTGATAAAGTACAATAATGTTCCTGATAATTATTTCAAATTACTTTCATTCCTGTGTGAGGCTTAGATTGGTAAGAAAAACTCAGAACACATTTCTGTGGTATGTCACAGTCCAGATGAACTCGGGGAAAGAGAAAACAGTTTGGTGTGAGTTGGCTAATTCAACAATTATAGGTCAAGTATATGTCAGCCCTAAAAGTTAAAAGATAATTAGATGCAGGTTCCCTTAAGAGACAGGTAAGTGAGCAACTACGCTGTGGTATGATGTATATAATAATGGAATTATTTACTGTGGTCACACTGATAAGCCTATTATCAGTTATAATTATTTATCTTGGCAGACTGATTTCACAGCTTTCAGGAAAAGGTTACCTCGTAGTTCCCCTTTACTCACAGGGGATCCATTCCAAAACCCCTAGTGGATGCGTCAAACCATGGAAAGTACTGAACACTGTATCTACTACGTTTCTTCCTATATATACAGACCTGTGATGAAGTTTAATTTATAAATTAGACATGGTAAGAGATTAACAACAGGCCAGGCACGGCGGCTCATGCCGGTAACCTCAGCACTTTGGGAGGCTGAGGCGAGAGGATTACCTGAGGTTGGGAGTTCGAGACCAGCCTGGCCAACATGGCAAAACGGCATCTCTACTAAAAATAACAAAAATTAGCCAGGCATGGTGGCACAGGCCCGTAATCCCAGCTACTCAGGGGGCTGAGGCAGGAGAATCACTTGGGCGCGGGAGGCAGAGGCTGCAGTGAACTGAGATGGTGCCACTGTATTCCAGCCTGGATGACAGAACGAGACTCTGTCTCAAAAAAAAAAAAAAAAAAAAAAAAGAGATTAACAACAATAATTAGCAATAAATACAACAATTATAACAATATACTGTAATAAAAGTCATGTGAATGTGGTCTCTCTCTCTCTCTCAAAATATCTTCTACCACATATCTTCGCAACCTTAGTAAATAATTTTTTTTCTTTCCTTAAGTCGAGAACTTCCACCTTCTCACTTAAAGGAAGCACTTGACGGCTTCTTTTTGGCACATCCGAATTGCCGGCATCACTACTCTCGGGCTTTGGGGTCATTAAGAAGTAAAATAAGGGCTCCTTGAACACAAGCACTACTAGACTACGACAATTATTGATACGCAGAGGGCTCCTGAGTGGCTAACAGGCAGGGAGTGCAGACAGTCAGCGAATGTAGACAGACATCGTGAATAGCTGGACAAAGGATGCTTCTACTCTCGGATGGTATGAGACAACAGGAGATTTCATTGCTCTCCTCAGAAAGGTGTGAAATTTGGCTGGGCCCAGTGGCTTATGCCTGTAATCTCAGCACTTTGGGAGACCGAGGTGGGCAGATCACCTGAGGTCAGGAGTTCAAGACCAGCCTGGCCAACACGGTTAAACCCCGTCTCTACTAAAAACACAAAAATTAGCCAGATGTGGTGGCAGGCACCCGTAATCCCAGCTGAGGCAGGAGAATCACTTGAACTCGGAAGGCAGAGGTTGCAGTGAGCCGAGATCATACCACTGTACTCCAGCCTGGGTGACAGAGCGAGACTCTGTCTCAAAAAAAAAAAAAAAAAGTGAGAAATTTAAAACTTATAAATTGTGTATTTCTGAAATTTTCCATTTAACATTTTCATATCGAGGTTAAATGTGGGTAACTTTAAGCTCAGAAAGCGACACCAAGGATAAGAGAGGACTACCGTACTTAGCTTTCACAATCACATAAAACCCATGTCTTAAACTACACATCCGTACATATTAAACTTCAGTAATTGCTTTAATATAATACAATTCTTATCACTTTCAGAAGACTTAATTTAAGCTAACATACAAAGAGTTTTCATAAAGTCTACGTATATAAGATATATGTAGCATCCATATGTTTATACATAATATATGTAGTACATATATTTTTATATATGTAGGCTTTTATGAAAACTCTTTGTATGTTAGCAATAAAATTAATCTTAAATTAGTTTTAATTTAATTTTATATTTTAAACTATATATGTTTAAATATAAATAAAATATTTTAAGATATATTTTAAATATATAAAATCCAGTGGGGCTGTTTAGCAGATCTCTTAGCATCCAAATAAACTTACTGTCTAACAAACACAAAGATTCATCACAGCCAATGACACAAAAACACTTAATTTTTAAAACTCAATAAATTTTTTAAAAGCCAATAGTTTATAAAGCTTAATAATTCATTATGGTTTTGTAATTTAATTTTTTAAGTTACAAGTAACATTTAATGTCAAGCAGATGAGGTTTTGTTTTTTAATCTGTTACAATTTTCTTTTTCATATGCGGGCAATTCCTATGGAATCAGCCAACAAGAAAACAGCTGGGCAGAAAGTCATTCCCATCAATACTGGGTCTCACTTATTTCAGTATTTTAAAAGAACTGTTCAAATTTTTGTTCTAACAACCCGTCTCAAAGACAAATGAACCGTGTTGTTGAAGATTTCAGTGGACTTCAGTTAAAGGCCTTTCAAAGTGAGAAAATAATAGAATCTTAAGGCGAATGGAAGGATATAGCTTTTATGTATATAACATGAGCACAGATCTGCAAAATAAACCAAAATAGACATCTACACACACTCGGACATCTACAGATATGCTTGGGAAATGACTGAATATTTACAATGATTTTCTTTGGGAGTGGAATTTTTGGTGATTTTTTTTCTTCCCAGTTCCCCACCTCCAATGGCCATTATTAGTTTGATAATTAAAGGGAAAAATCTTTCTTTAAGAATAAATGGACTCCAAGAGGGCAAACCCCCAAGTCATTCTTTAGTGCCATTATTTAGCTCAATTATTAGACTATACTTCAGTGGGAAATTAACATCTTAAATTTCCTCTGAAAAGATTCCACAACTATTGTCTTGGTGAATTCATTTAAACAATGACATTGAGATTGTAGCTTTAACTTTAATTAGAATCCTTTTGACCTTAAAGTAAAAATGGGAAGATACTGAAGTCTTCAAGCCATCTGCTGAGTTACAAAGCATTTTGGGCCCGTAAAACAACTGTAATTCCTAAGGGATTTTGGATAAAAAGCTGGCAGCCACTACTTTTGTAAATGAGAGCACATTGTGACTCCTCTCAAACCCCCGCTTGCCTCGGGCCCTGCTATCTGATGTTTATAGCTTTAGGGGCTTGATTTTATGAGGATACTCCTTCCTGCCCAGAACCAATCTGGTCCTTACCAAGATTTTCTTCTAACTTCACAGCTGCACACTTCACACCATCTGCTGCTTCCAGAAATCCTTCTCCATTAAGAACAGATGATAGGAAATGCATCCTCGCTGGCATTCTCGAATGCTCCTGCAGACACACTAACGCGCACACACAGATCATATCATATATGCCACATACATATATCTACTTACCATGTATGCCGCACACACTACACATCTACACACATGCCAGATACTCCAGACATGCACACCATATTCCACATACACACACATACACCATGTATGTCACATACTACACACATGCACATCTCATCCAAACTACACATACAAAATACACAAGTATACATACACATACCACATTCACAACACACCACACACAAAACCCCACACCATACCCAGAAACATCTCCCCATACACCCAGCCCATCAAGCAGAGCTGGCTGACTGCGTACACACTATGTGATGGGGGATACTGATGCACTACAGAGGGCCTCCAAAACACATGAAAACCTCATAGGGGCTGGATGCGGTGGCTCACGCCTGTAATCCCAGCACTTTGGGAGGCCAAGGCAGGAGGATAACGAGGGCAGGAGTTCGAGACAAGCCTGGCCAACATAGTGAAACCCTGGCTCTACTAAAAATACAAAAAATTAGCCAGGCGTGGTGGCAGGCGCCTGTAATCCCAGCTACTTGGGAGGCTGAGGAAGGAGAATCGCTTGAACCCAGGAGGCAGAGCTGCAGTGAGCCAAGATTGGGCCATCGCACTCCAGACTGGGTGACTGTGTGAGACTCCATCTCAAGAAAAAAAAAAAAAAGAAAACTTCATGTCTCCAATATCAACTTTTTCAAGGTAAAATTTAATCTAAAACAACTATTACTGCTCTGATGGTAGAACTAACACCACTACTCCACTAGAAAAATATAAAATAATCAGGTTAATTAAAGTTCTTCCCCATTGTTGAATTTTGAATAAATTTATTGTTACTGTGCCTATTCAAGACAATAAAGAATTTAAATAAGAATAAAATATTCTCAAAGAGAATATAATTTGCCCTAAAGGCAAATAACATAGGAAAAGTAGCTATAAATACGCAAAAGAAACAAGATAATCCTAGTAAAATTTGAGTCTGACATGGGTAGGGGTGGTGGGGTAAATCAGCTCCCTGATTTATTTATTTATGCAATAACAAATAAAGCACTTAAATCAGTATTTTAAGTGCTTTAATTTTTATTGTGTTATTTATTGGTTAAGTTAAAATTATTATTCCCCATAAGATTTTTACAATTCCCACATGACTTGCAGATTTTTTTTTTTAACTAATTGTCAAAATCTTAGGCTCTTGGCTTTCAAAATCAGTACAGACAGATAAGAGCTTTAAGTATTTCGCATTTCCCCAGAGGAAAAAGTCAGCATCATAAACCACATGGGTCACATGCTCACGCACATGGTGTCTTAAAAACACCTTCACTTGCAGATAGGCACCAAGACTTACACCTTCTACCCTCGCCCATCCTGAGAACATGTTTGGGAGCTCTCTGCGCTTTGTGGGTCCAAGAACAAACCAGAAAACCCAGACATCTCACACTAGTACCTCTGCTACATGTCCTTAACCCAGAGGCTGTAGCTTTAGGGAAGGGGCTGCTTTGAGGACACCAAACTGCTCCTGAGCTCCTAGAGCTCGCAAGGGCTGTTTTGAGCAATATACTAACTTAGAAAACAAGAAAGAACATAAATGAATCAGCTGGCAAGCCCCATTTCACTTGGGAGGCGGAAGAGGCTGGGGACAGGTATAAATGACCCTCTTTGAAAAATCAAGTATCATTTTGTTTCTCACTACCAAGGTAACAGTCTGCTGTGGAAATTTCAGAAAACCGATGAGCAAATGGAAAATAAAAAGCACCCAGATGTAATCCTCTGCCCAAAGATAAGAACCTTGGGCCTTCCGGTTTACATCTGTGTCACCTTTTTTTCCCCTCTTACATACAAACATATTAAGTTGCCTTAACTCTGTGTCTTGGGGGAAGGATATTACTATACCGTTGCCTACTTTATTTAAAATAATATATATTTATCTAATGATTTTGCAAAGAATTTATTTAGAAAGTTTATGAATCACCATAATCTAAGAGATCTTGAATTATGTTCCTATGATAAAGAGAAATAAAATACTGGTGGGCTATATATTTAGGTTAAGTAGGGCAGAGACTAAACTTTCTTGGAGAAAAAAAAATCACATTTATAGACAGTATTACATTAAAGGAACATTATATATTTGATATCAAAGGAGACCTTCACACATGAGAACCCCAAATTAGGATCCCATACAGACCAAGTTTCAAATGTTCAGCTGTTTTTTAATCACACTCAAAGCTTAGCAGGGCTTATAATTTTTATGTAATTCAATATCAAAAGACAGACTAGTTTCCCATAAAATACTAGAATTAAACACTAAAATAAATCTAAAAAACACTAGTGTGATAGAGCATGCTCATAAGCATCTCTGTGCTGATTTTCTGCTTGATGATGCCTGGAGAACAGTAATCCCCCCATCCTTAAAGAGAACGAAAGGGGGGCTAATGGAAATGCAGTTCTCAAGCCAGAGGTGACACCAGAAACAGGGGCCATTAAAATAGACAGAGCTTGGCAGGATTTGCCTGGGGCTAGAAACACACAGAAAACAGAAAAATGGATGGTCTCTGTGTCATCTGTGTATCCATTTCCACCACGGGCTTCAAGAAACTAAGAACTGATGGTGAGGATTTCTCCTTTAATCTTCTGAATAATGCCTTCCAGAAAGTGCTCTTCCTATTGATAAACACATTTGCACACATCAAATCAATTACAGAAAATAAATCAAGAATCGGACGGGGTGGCTCATCCCTGTAATCCCAGCACTTTAGGAGGCCGAGGCAGGCAGATCACCTGAGGTCAGGAGTTCGAGACCAGCCTGGCCAACATGGCAAAACCCCATCTCTACTAAAAATACAAAAGTTAGCCAGGCGTGGTGGCACGTGCCTATAATCACAGCTACTTGGGAGGCTGAGGCAGGAGAATTGCTTGAACCTGGGAGGCGGAGGTTGCAGTGAGCCCAGATCGCGCCACTACACTCCAGTCTGGGTGACAGAGCGAGACTCCGTATCAAAAAAAAAAAAGAAAAGAAATCAAGAAAGGACACCTCACACTTTAAAAATAAGGGTATCTAACAGGAAAGCATTTAAACCATTCACTCTACCTGTCCCAACAGTGCTTACCTAACAAGAACACTGCAGATGCATAAAATGATTTTTGCTGATCCTCAGGTTGGAAATGGAATCCCAACTAAGGCATCCTACTAATAACTCAAAATAAACTCAATGGAAAGTAAACATCTATGAAGTATCTGCCTGGGAATCAGCATTGTATGTAGGGCCTTCGAAGATCCAATGAAATGTCCAGTGTGGTACCCCTGCCCTTGAGAGCAATGATTGGGAGAGGCAGAAATTGTCAATTTCAAAACTGTCAAGCCAAACCAATTGGAACAGCATGGCAGCGTTAAAAAAAAAAACAAAAAAAAAAACTGTCAAAATGAGCCAACTGCATTTTGGCCATATGTGTGGCATATCGCACATTGCACATATATTGAAAAGTATGCCTAATGTTTACCATGCATTTTTTCCTAAGAATTCATGGCAGCTTGCAAAATTAAAAAAAAAAAAATCGCAAGAAATTGGAATAATAATTCCCACAGGATCACAGTCTAAGAAAAGTGTTTTTAAAATTGCAAAGCATTATGCAAATGTATAACTAAATGGGCCTAAAGGACAGGAACCTGAGAACTGCTGTTAGAAAATGAGTGGACTCGGCCAGGTGCAGTGGCTCACACCTGTAATCCTAGCACTCTGGGAGGCCATGGTGGGCGGATCACCTGAGGTCAGGGGTTTGAGACCAGCCTGGCCAACATGGCGAAACCCCGTCTCAACTCAAAATACAAAAATTAGCCGGGCATGGAGGCATATGCCTGTAATCCCAGATATTCGGAAGGCTGAGGCAGGAGAATCGCTTAAGCCAGAGAGGCGGAGGTTGCAGTGAGCCCAGATCACGCCACTGCACTCCAGCCTGGGTGACAGAGTGAGACTCCATCTCAAAAAGGGCAGGGCAGAGCAGGAAAAGAAAAGGAGTGCACACATGGACCAATTAGAAATTGTTCCTATCATAAAAAATTTCTTTGACTGTCAAAAGGTTCCTCACTGGTCCTTCAGGTAGCAGGTTGCCTACGTCTTTCAAAGCTCCAGGAGCCTTCTCTGCTCATCTCTGCTCCCCAGTGGTGGCTAGCACCCCACAGGAGCAGGTGCCTTCCAGCCTGAGTTGGCCTGAGGTCTTGGACCTGTGCACCTGGCTGATGCTGCCTGTGAACACATGAACACTCCTTCTCCTGCCCCTGGATGCGGTCTGAGAGAACATAAATGTGTTGCAAAAGTTAAAGGTGTCAAAGACTTCAGCATCTTTACTTTCACAATACTGGTCTGGTGCCTAAGCACTGGTAAATGTAGTTCTCCCAACAGTTTCTCAAAGCCTGCATTACTTTATGGACAATTTCATTCTTTTATTTTTACATATAGATATGCATACATATCCACACACACGCATGTGTATATATATTTTATGTGCATGTACACAAAATTTACAATGTGTGTGTGTGCATACACAGGCACACATATTTTTTTAAGCCAGGCCTTAATTACATTATATCATTCTGCTTGTTCCCATCTGCTTTTAACTCCCACCTTTTATTCCATTCAGGAAATGAAAATATTCCACACCCTTCAGACTAAGCCTAATTAACAGTGGAAATAAAAGTAACCTATTGTTGAAATGTACTAACATCTGTAACTTATTCTGAAATACATAAAAACTGAGATGGACAGATGATTGTACAGAGAGGCGATAAAGGAAATGTGGCAAAATGTTAGTAATTACAGACTCTGGGTGGAGGGCAAATTGGCGTTCCCTGTACAGTTCTACCAACTTCTCTGTATATTTAAAAATTTTCGTAATAAAATGTTGGAAGAAAAGAGGGAGAGGTGAGAAGAGGAGACATGAGGTTTTTTCTTCTCTCAAAGCATCAGCTGGCTCTATTATGAATGCCTGGCTCCTTGTATTCAACAGTTTACACATTTCTTTCATTGTCTAGCATTTTCAGTTTTGCATAGGGGGTATAAAAATGCTATCAAAATAAGAATTTCACATTATAATATACATGAAATGAATACATTTTAGATTTTAGAATTTTCTTAAAAAACATAGGATAAAGGCACAACATGCCTACCCTAATGATATAAACCAGGGGTCAGCAAACTTTCTGCAAAAGGTTAGAGGATAAATATTCTCAGGTTTGAGGGCCACATGGTCTCTGTCACCATGACTCAACTCTGCCATTGCTGTGCAAAAGCAACCAGAGACCAAACAAATGGGCATGGGTGTGTTCCAGTAAAACTTTATTTATGAATACTAAAATCTGAATCTCATATCATTTTCATGTGGCACAAAATACTGTTCTTTTTAAAAATCTTTTCCAATCATTTAAAAATGTAAAAACAATTCTTAGCAGAAGGACTCTATAAAAACACAGTGGGCCAGATTTGGCCTTGGAGTTACAGTTTACTGACCCTTGAAGTAAACCATAGGGCCTTGGCAATGTGTGGCACCAGTTAATCATGGCACTGTGTGATTGCCAACATGAGGAAATCAAAGAGTGGCATTAATCCCAATTTGGCCAGAAAGAAGAGATCGAGCCTAGCTTAGCACTAAGGCCTGTTCAGGAACGTGTTTGTTAGTAATGATGATGCCTCTTAAAAGGCAAAACCAAGAGTCAGGCCCATAAGCATTAAGCATTTCCTAGAACACATTAATATCAGCCCAGGGGGCACATGGAGGGAAAACTACTGCACAATAAGGAGGCCCCTGGGGATTTCTCTGAACTCATCCCCACCTCTCAGACTTGCCTCTCTTCCTGCATTCCAATATTCTCTAATATTCTGTGGACATTCCTTTATGTTCACAGGAAACAATAAGACACAATAATTGAACTTTCAGGCAACCAGCTTTTTAAGCTATGTACAATAGACAGCACCTGTATGAAATCCTGGGCATAATTCTGGTTGTGACAGTTCAATGCCCTACACTGGGGAGAGGACTGTTTTTTCTCAACATTACACTGAAGTGACAGCTCCTCTGCCTTTTTCTACTCATCCTCAGGTCAATATTGCAGCACAGGTTTGCACCAGTCTGAGACACGCCAGTCTTTGCTGTGCAGTGAATGCCCTCTTACCCCCAACTTCTCCCTTCACCACCTACAAAGGCTTCAGATGGACTCACTGTCCTAACTATTCTTCTTTCTATTTATTCTGGTTCCCCAAATTACAAAGTATACTCTATGAAGAAAACACAGGAAAGCCCCAAGGGAAAAATCACGTCCATTTTCAAATATTGTTTCTTCTTTGAACGACCAGGCCTGAGGCTGGTGGCACCAGTAATGAACTCCAGCCAGCTACTGGCAGTGAACATCGGGTATGGATAGACCAGCCCTCTAGTCAGAGGGGACTCACGCACAAGCTATGACCCACACTGCAGTGGAAACGAAAAGCTTGCTGAGCCCACTGCGTGCAACAATGCAATGATCAGAGCATTTTATCCTTAAATAATATTTTTGACCTAGATCTCTCCCCCTAACCCCTTCTCACTCCAGAGAAGGAATTAGATAGATACTTTAAAATATATCCATGCTTCCACTTGACTATCCAAAGGGTAAGCATTTCCTGAATTCACTGGTCTGTTTTTAAAAGGCCTGGCGCTAATGCTCGGCTCACAGCTGCTCCATCCCCCTGGGAAAGGAAGTTACTTAAAATCTTTGAAGAAGAGACCTGCATGAATATGGAGAGGTCACTGGTCTGGCCCCAGTGACTACCTTTGTTCCAGTGAGGATGACCTTCAAAGGGGCCCTTGGGGGTTTCTTTGGATGTTTGTTCCCACCTGCGACAAGAAGGCTCCCCTCTGTGCATCCCTCATGTGGCTCCAGCACATGAAACCCCAATGTCACAAAGGGAAATCGGCTCAGTCTGTCCCATAATGTCAGAATTCCCTAGATGGTGGGGTTTAAAAATTAAATAGCATGTCTCTCTTTTTAAAGAACTAACTTCATATTCTTCAAACAGAAAGAAATTATTCTGAAATTTCTGAAGAAGTACAGTGGATAAAAGAACTTTTCATCCATTATTAAATCTAAAAGGGAGTGCATGGGACTGCATATTAACTTCCTCTTCCAATTTCAAAACGGGTTAAGGAAAGTAGACATAAGATTTGACCCTTGGAGACACTGAGGTTGTTAATGTGCTTAATATAAATTCCCCTTACAAAACAGACTTGAAATTAACTTGCACATTTAAAATCAAGCTACCCTACAGAGGGCTAGATGTAGGAACTGGTAATACAGCCTGTGTTGGTTAGGCAGTGTCTTTGAGATTAATACTAAAAGTTACAAGATCTCTCAACTGCTTCCCCAGGACTTCTGACGACCAAATCAAAGTGGCAGGCTCAGGGTCAGCTTATTCCTCACATTCTGGAAAATAGTGGAATAATAACAATAGAACATAATGGGAACCATATAAGTTCTCACTGGGGAAAAGAGAGGGGCAAGATTAGGCTGTGCTTTTTCCATTCCAAATCCCAGAGGGGGAAAGCCTAAATAATAAAAACAGGACTGCGTTGAGGACTTAGGCACATTCTCTCATTTCGTCTGCACAGATATCTAAGGAAGTTCTCATTATCTTAATGAGGAAGCAGGGGTTCTGAGAAGCTTGGGCGGGCGGCATTAGGGAAGTTAGGGAGGCATCAGCTCCTCCTCTGCACCAAGCATTCTTATGAATCCCAAATTTAAAGGCCCAGAGGTGAGTAGGAGGAAATTTAGAGCAGATGACCACAGAACAACAGAACAGGTCTGACCTGTTCTAGGGGCAGGTGACAGGGACTCGCCTCCTGGCATTCTCCCAGCCTAGCCTGAGCCCCTTGGGTCTGGTGGCTTCTTTGCTCCAGGCAGCCTCAATGCAGTCAAGGGTCCTTGCAGATAAAGGCACGTCCACTGCATTCCACGTACTGTTAAAGCTCTGTCCCCTCCTGTGCAACCTGGGCCTTCCCTCCACCTTTGCAGCCAAGAAATAAACACAAACTGATAATCCAAAGACTGTGCCATATATCCCCCAGAGCATGTGGTATACACTCCATAACTTTTTACTGAGCATCTACTATGTGTCAGGCACTGTTGTAGATGCTCAGGATAAAACAGACACCAAATCTCCTCAAAGAGTCACAGAATAAATGATACCCTTAATTTTTAATTTAAAAGATAAATTAGTAAGATCACGTTAGAAATACCTTAGAAACTACTAGGTACTAGTGTTACTGGAAGCGAATCTGTATGGGTCTGCAGCAACCTCAATTCTTTTCTCCTCAAAAGAAAGAATTCGACCAAGGGGGCCTAAGGCAGAAGAGACTGAGGCAAGTTTTAGAGCAGGAGTGAAAGCTTATTGAAAAGCGCTAGAGCAGAAATGAAAGGAAGTAAAGTACACTTGGAAGAGGGCCCAGGAGGCGACTTGAGAGATCAAGTACGCGGTTTAACATTTTGACTTGGGGTTTTACATGTTGTCAGACTTCTGGGGTCTTGTGCCCCTTCTCCCCTGATTCTTCCCATGGGGTGGCTGTCTGCATGCTTAGTAGCCTGCCAGCACCTGGGAGGTGAGCACACACAGTGTGTTTACTGGAGTCATACACATGGCTCCCTTGAAGCATTCTTCCCTTACCAGTTGAATGTCCCTGGAAGGTCATATACCAGGGTATATAGTGCGGCAGAAAATGGGGTATGGTGTGAGGTTGGAGGTGATTTTTTTTTTTTTTTTTTTTGAGATGGAGTCTTGCTCTGTCACCCAGGCTGGAGTGCAGTGGCGCGATCTCGGTTCACTGCAACCTCCGCCTCCTGGGTTCAAGAAATTCTCCTGCCTCAGCCTCCCGAGTAGCTGGGAGTACAGGTGCACACCGCCACACCCGGCTAGTTTTTTTGTATTTTTAGTAGACATGGGGTTCCACCATGTTGCCCAGGCCTGAGCTCAGGAGTCGGAGGTGATTTTTATAGGAAGGTCAGTTTGGCTTCACTGAGAAAGTGACATCTGAACAAACGCTGCAGGAGATGAAAGTTAGCTTTGTGGCTCTCTGGAGCAAGAGCATTCCAGGAAGAGGGATTAGAAAAGGTGCATGGTAGGCCGGGCGTGGTGGCTCACGCCTGTAATCCCAGCACTTTGGGAGGCCGAGGCGGGTGGATCACCTGAGGTCAGGAGCTCGAGACCAGCCTGGCCAACGTGGCGAAACCCCATCTCTACTAAAAATACAACAATTAGCTGGGAGTGGTGATGCACACCTGTAATCCCAGCTACTCGGAAGGCTGAGGCAGGAGAATCGCTTGAACCCAGGAGGTGGAGGTTGCAGTGAGCTGAGACATCACCATTGCACTCCAGCCTGGGCAACAAGAGAGAAATTTTGTCTCAAAAAAAAAAAAAAAGAAAGAAAGAAAAGAAAACGCACTGTAACAATAAGCTTCCAAATGGATAAGACATCAAGGTGCTTACGCACGCTCAAGTTCTCTCAAGTCTGATTCACATCGGCAAGTGTTTAAAGTATGCTGCTCTCTCACAGTACATTAGTATCAGTGTCAGTGCAAGTGGCTTGGTGCACAGAATTCAAACTACCTATATATGTATTGGTGTATGAAACATTGTGGGATGCATGTGTGCAATCAAAAGGTTTCTGAAATTTAATTTTCCATTTCAAAGTCAGTAGAAAGGAGGATTAATGACTTCGGCATTTTGGTCAGCAAACAATTGTTCGCAGACAAGGTCTCAGCCATAAGATTGCTTCCCATCCTAGGATTTTTCTCCTGGCTTAATGTGTGTGCTTCGAAGAAGTATTTTAAATGTCACTTGCAAAAAGAGGAGGATGTGAAATAAACACCTGGGAATAGTCCCAATAATCCGGCCAGTAACAGTTCAGAAAGAAGCTCAGTGTTTGGAAACTGTCCAAAGAAAACATTAGGCTTGTGTTTTGACATATTTGTTAATGGAAGACAATTTTGCACACACACCTATTTAAGTGATGTTTAAAGGCTTTAGGGATCTTTTGCCAGCTCACCTTCCTGATAGACCTAGATGCAGAGAGCATCTAATTCCAGGAACGGACCTCACCTCAGCAGGAGCAAGCTCTATTTTGTGCTCTGCTGGAGCCAGCTTGGCCAGCCCTGGCATTCCCTGTACAGCGCATGGTCATCCGTGTAAGGCCGGTGAGTAACAATGGAAGCAGAAACGTTCCCGTGGCATGGAGTTGCTGTTTCTAGACTTGCAGACCCAACAGGCCGCAAAGACTACTGGGCCTGAGAGGAAGGATTCAGTGTCAGAGAGCCAAGAGGCCCATCTCCTCCAAGCCCCTCAACCTAGCGCAGAAGATCTGAAGGCAAGCGATTAGCCCAAGGACGTACAATGCTCAAGAGCACATAAGTCAAGGGCAAAAGCAAGTGTCTTCAATGCCACCCTTGGGTGGTTTTACAGTCACTGGGAGACCAACACCTAAAGAGACAGAATGAATCTCTACACCAGGCTTTGCTCTTACAGAATGTTTATGGAATTTTGTTTCCATCAGCTAAATAATCACAATTAACAATGTCATGGGTCCTTCACCTTCAGGTGTCCTCTTTCACAGTCAAAGGCCCTGGGCAACTGGTTCTTTCTTCCCCTTCCTTCTTGGCCCCCACTGCTAATGGGAAGAAATTCTGTCTTACAATCCTCCAACTGTTTTTGAAGTAGAAACAGCATATGGGGATGGTTATGTTTGGGTTCTGAGTTTTCAGAGAAGTCCTTATAACATGTCTAATTGGCATCAACATCAAAGAAGGTATGTTGTTCACCAGAGAGAGGAGAGAATAACCAAGGATGGCTGAATGGTTAGCTGTCAATCAGACTTGGGCACGGCGACACCACCACTACCATCTCATCACCATAAAGGACCACTCAGTACACAATTATACAGGATGACTTGGGGGACGCTGCCCAAAAACCTTTGCCCTCAAAAAAAATACCAAATATACCTGGTTAGAATCACAATGATTCTCTAGAAAGCTTCCCATAGACTAATGGAGGGAAATAGATACCAGGAAGGCATTGGAAAAATCCAAATGTCATTCAGTTGGTGAGTGAACAGACTGTAGCATATTCATACAACAGAAAACTCAGCAATAAAAAAGAGATGAACTATTAACGTAGACAGCAATGTGGATGAATTACAAATGTGTGATGCTAGCCAAACTTAAAAGGTATATATGCCATGATTCTATTTCTGTGTCTGTCTTGAAAAGGAGACACTGCAAGAACAGAAAACTGACAGTGGTTGCCAGATGAAGGGAGGTGGGGAGCATTAACTCTAATACACACATGGAAATTTAGGGGATTATGAACTATTATACGTCCTGATTGCAGTAGTAGTTCCATGACTATGCATTTGTTAAAACTCAGAATTGCATATTAAAAGGTGTGAATGTTACTGAACACAAACTATACCTTTTTTCCTTCTGTTTTTTTTTTTTTAATTGTAGAGACAGGGTCTTGCTACATTGCCCAGGCTGGGGCTGAATTCCTGGCTGTAAGCGATCCTCTTGCCTCAGTCTCCCAAAGTGCTAGGATTACAGGCATGAGACACCACTCCTAGCATATAAATTATACCTTTAAAAGGAGCCAAAAAATCTAGTAGAAATCAGTAAAAGAGCAAAACCCAACAAAAATTTTAAATATTTACTGTTTCTTGGTAAATTTAATATTTTAAAAACAAACTTAAAGGGATACTCGATCTGCAGGCCTATAGCTCAACTGACTATTAAGCCTGGTCATGAGCTTCAGAGCAACTGAGCCCTCACCCCAGGCAGAAGGCAAGAGGGAGGGGAAATTAAGCTCCTCAGACATTCAGCACCTGCCCCATGCTGGGTGCGAGGAGCTGGGAGCGGCCACAGTGCCAGGTCTGAGAGAGCTCACAGTGGGAAGAGAGAGGAAAACATGGAGGAGGTGGAACCGAGGCCCTCAGCCCTAACAGGGCTGCTCTGACCAAAGAACCGCCTCAGGTTCTTTTTGGAAACTGACATTTTGGCCTTCGTTTATTCAACGCATTTTTTGTTGTTGTTTTTTCAAATGTTTATTTTATGTACAAAGAACTATCATGGTTTTTCATTGAGTATATGCCTTGGATAATCCTTTGAAGGAAGATCATTTAGTCCAACTTAATGAAACCGATATCCTTCGCGTACTGACGGAAACACTGGCGGCACATATTGAGGCCATATTTCCGGATCAGACCGTGCCGGTTGTTTGAACACACGCAACAAGAGCGAGAACCCTGGCCGAATTTTCGCGGGTGGCTCCAGTACAGCTGCTGGTGACCCATCTTGCTCTCAGGAGTGCAACGAGGTAAAAGCAAGAAGCTCTATTCAACGCATTTTTTAGGTAAGCACTGCATTGGGTAGGGTGAAAAACAGACGCAGAAAGTTCTGGTACTCATCCAAACACACAGGAAGACACAGTCTTCCACCCAACTGTTTGCACAGGGTCATCCACAGGCTCCTGAGGGGTACAAGGGACCCCAGGGAGACCTCAGGGTGCACTGTTCACACTGTTCGGTTTTTGTTTCTGTTTTTAATCTTTTTATCTCCATAGGTTATTGGGGAACAGGTGGTGTTCAGTTACATGAGCAAGTTCTTTAGTGGGGATCTGTGAAATTTTGGTGCATCCATCACCCGAGCAGTAAACAATGCACCCCATTTGTAGTCTTTTATTTCTCACCCCCTTCCCACCCTTTCCCTCTAAGTCCCCAAAGTCTATTGTGTCATTCTTATGCCTTTGCATCCTCATAGCTTAGCTCCCTCTTATGAGTGAGAACATACAATATTTAGTTTTCCATTCTTGAGTTACTTCACTTAGAATCATTGTCTCCAATCTCATCGGTTTACTGCAATTGCCATTAATTCATTCCTTTTTAGGGCCGAGTAGTATTCTATCATGTATATATACCATAGTTTCTTTATCCACTTTTTGATTGATGGGCATTTGGATTGGTTCCACATTTTTGCAATTGCGAATTGTGCTGCTGTAAACATGCGCATTCACACTGTTTGGGGTGTGAAAGGACCTGGCTGGTGTCTCCTGGGATTCTGCGAGGAGGTGGTTCTGGCAAGAAACCCACCCCGGCTCTACTGTTAGGCTCTGAGAAAGAGGAAGTTCAAGGGCTCAAGCGTGTGCTTCCCAACTTTCCACGTCAGCTTAGGGAACACACAGAACTGATCTCTATGTCCGCTGCAGCCTGAGGGAACCACCTGAGGGCCCTGAGGGTGAGGGGGTCCCAGACCCAGCATGGCTGGCATACAAGAGGTGCTCCCTGACTCTCAGGTCCAGCTGTGGGAGGAGAGATGCAGTGGGCCCAGAGACCTGAGGAACAGTTCCAAGGTCAGGGCATGCTGGAATGTGCAGGGCCTTTGGGCCAAGAGAAACAGGCACCCCTTCCCCCAGGGAGAGGCCCAGAGCATCAGTGGACTCCAGCCCCTCCTCTGTAAGAACCTCTATCGGGGCACAAATGGCTCATCCACCAGGAACGCCTTATCCAAGACACTAACTTGCCTCTCATGGGCTGTACCTGTTTCATCCACCTCGCTGAGTAGAGATACTGCAGACCATCTTTCAACATGTTTAGACAGTGCACTCACTAGCATGCCTGTGATTCTGAATATAGCAAACATAAACACCGTAAGGCTTGTATTTTCCTAGAGTGGGATTTCATCAGTCTAGCTCAAGCTTCATTTCTGAAGCTCTTCACTCCCCAGCTCACAAGAGCTCCTGGAAACAGCAGCTTTGCTGATTCCCTACAGCTACCAACAGTGCAGGAAATCTCCCTGGTTGAATCCAGCCAGCCCTCAAACCATGTTTTGATGAGCAAATGGTAACTGAGGGGCTCTGGAAAAACTACGCCTGGAGCCATACTTCACACTTCACACGAAAATAAATTCCAGGCAAATCACAGACTTAAACATACATAATAAGCCATCAAAGTACTAGAAGAAATTATGAGAGAATATTTTAAAAATGAATTTAAAGTGGGCTGGGCACGGTGGCTCACATCTGTAATCCCAACACTTTGGGAGGTCAAGGTAGGCAGATCGCTGGAGCCCAAGAGTTTGAGACCAGCCTCAGCAACATGGCAAAACCTCTTCTCTACAATAAATTTTTAAAAAATCAGTTGGGTGTTGTGGCTCGTGTCTATGGTCCCAGCTACTCAGGAGGCTGAGGTGGAAAGATCTTTTAAGCCCAGGAGGTCGAGGCTGCAGTGAGCCATGATTGTGCCACTGCACTCCAGCCTGGGCAACAGAATGAGACCCTGTCTCAAAACAAATAAACTCAGAGCGGTAAGGGCCTTTCTAACTGTGATACAAAACCCATAAAAGATTAAACGAATTTGATAAATCCGACTATTTTAAAAAATACAGCTGTCTGGGACGGTGAAAGACTTCTGGAGATGGATAGTGGTGATGGCTGCACAACCAATGTGAATGGACTTAACGCCACTGAATGTGCACTTAAAAATAGTTAAAATGACAAGTTTCACATTTTATCACAACACAAAAAAAAATCATGGGGAGAAAAGTACCAGAAACAATGCCAAAAGACAAATGACAACCTAGAGAAAAGATGTGCAAATCATAACATGAACATAAAGCTATTTAATAGATAAAGAGCTCCTACAAATTAATAAAAGTCTACAAACGTAGAGAAAAATGGGCAAAGAGTATGAATAGAAAGTTCAAAGCAGAGACAAATAGTTCTTAAACATACTTGAAAACATGCTTACACTTATTCATACTTAAAAATTGATGAAACTACACTTATCAAAGTAGCAAGAATCAAGCAGCTGTGAGACAGCGAAAGAAGCCAGCCAGCTTTCTCTTGTAGTTGGGCTGAAAACTGACTTACGGTCTATGAAGAGTAACTTGGTAACACATACAAGAATGACAGATGCATGTTCTCTTTCATCCAGCAATTCCACTTCTAGGAATTTACCTACAGATAGCTTCAACATTTTGTACATCAGCAATCATTGCAGAATTGCTTATAATAGAAAAATTAGAAAAGAATCCTAGAAGTTCACAGACAGAAAGGGTTAAATAAATGACAGTAAATCATAGAGAAGAAAAAGGCATGTCTTCCTATGTAGTAATGGAATGATTTTCAAGTTATGCTATGAGGTGAAAAAACAAAAAAGCCAAAGGCAGAACAATGTGTATAACATGCTACGATTTCAGTAAAAACATGAAAAAATTTATGTTTATTGTCTTAAATACACATAGAATATATATGGAATGATCTCAAGACTCACTAGAAGGAACTAGTCACTGGAGGGCAAGATACTGTCTTTGACTTTCGAACTGTGTGAATGTATTACATATTTCATTTTAAAAGATGTAAAGGGACCTGTCTGAGAAAAAAAATATAACTCTTGTTCTCCATAACTGGCCATTCTAGTTAAGTATTGTTGGTGACTACTGTCTTAGTCCATTTTCTGTTGCAGAATGGGCAATTTATAAATAAAAGCAATTTATTCAGCTCGTGGTCCTGGAGGCTGGGAAGTCTAAGAGCATGGCGCTGGCACCTGGTGAGCATCTTCTTGCTGCATCAAAACGTGGCAGAGGGCATCGCATGGCAAGAGGGCAAGAAAATGCTCACTAAATATGCTTGGGCCTCTCTTCCTCTTATAAAGCCACCAGTGGCACTCCCACGATAACGCATTAATCCATTAGCCCTTTCATCCACTAACCCACGTATGAATTAATCCATTCATGAAGGCTCTGCCTTCCCAATCACCTCTTAAAAGCCTCACCTCTCAACACTGCCATACTGGAGATTAAGTTTGAACATGAGTTTTGAGGGGATAAATATTCAAACCAAAGCAACTACCATAAGTCATCAAACTGCTAGATAAGAAGGTCTTCTCTTTCCTAAATGATGGGGAATAAAATTGCCAAAAGATTGGATAAAGCTGGAAAAAAAGTACACTAAATGAGATGTCATCCTTCTCCTCTTCTTTGTACCACAGTGCCCCAGTGCTGACATCCTAGCGGAAGGCAGGACATGGCAGCTGAGTTCTGACAGTGGAGACGGTCTCTGGTGCCCCTCCTTTCCTGTGATTCTTCAATGCCCACCCTGGACCTTGTCCTCATGGGATAAGAACTGGAGTCCCATGGACTGGCTCCTGGTCCCAGCTTTGAAACCTCATTCATCCATCTCACCAATATTCACTGAATCTCTAATCATACATTCAGCACCTCCCTGGGTCTGGGGCTAAAGACTGAATAAGACAGACAAGCACCTGCCTTTCCAGACCTTGACAATGGAGCTAGTGATGTGCTCCAGCCTGCCTGTGCTGGCTCACAAGAGACAACTGTTCATTTTTCAGGAATTTCATGACCTGGTTGCTAAACACAGACACCCTTAGGTGATACAGAATCCAACAATGCTTCAACCCCTGCAACAACACCAAAAGCTTAAAACATAGCTAGCACTATTGCAATCAGCAGTGCTGAAGCCAAAATGAAGCTCAGCTTAAGGAACATAATTTGTACAAGGTGAGAAATAGTCTAACAGTAGATCACATATTAGATTTAATGGTAATAAATTTACTAGGTAAAAAACTAGTGAATTGGAATGCAACTCTGTCAAACCATTGTCAGTCATAGGTTGGCCACAGTAAAAATCAATAAAAGCATTCTGTGAGCCTACATTGGCTGAATGGAATTTATAATAAAGAGTGCACATAGTTTGTTATTAGTTGTAAATTGTATTATATACCCTTTGTATCAGTACATGTATAGATATATGTGCATGTATATTTATACTGAGTATGTATATATACCTATGTATGTACGCACACAGGTATGTATGTATACACACACAAACATTTCAATTCACCAGTGCATTGAACTCTGCTGCCTCAAGCTTAACTTCTTTAAGCTCTGGTTTCCCAGTTTTTAAAAGAAGTATAGAAAACCACTTCCCACCTATCTTCGAGGGTCAAAAAGAAACCATATAGGCTATAAAATTGTTACCGATATCCTAATTCATCCCCCCAAAGTGGCGGATTTTTAAACACCTGCTTCAAACAACTTTCCCCTTGTCTTCCGGCTTTCAAGCACCTGTCTTCCTGTCTTCAACCTCTTTATTATCACAGGAAGAAGTGCAACCCAGAGAACAAGAGTTCCACAGAGCTGAAAACTGCTGTCTCCAGCTGTGCCTGTCCCTGTCTGAACAGGGAGGACTTGGCTCTCCAAGGTCCTTTCACAGCCTCACACCCCAGCAGTTCCTCCACTTCCTCCCAGAGTGCGAGGAGGCTAATTCACACCTTGTTGTGATGCTGGCAAGGCTCCTGAACCCTCAGCACCAGAAGCCTATTTTTCCATCAATCCGTTTACACAATTCTGGAACCCTCTGCTTCTTCTCCCTAGGTGCAACTCCAAGCTCTTCCTATAGAACTAATTTTAAGCCATAATTAAATCCTAACCTATTAGAACACATGATACACCTTTCTACAAGCATGAGAAGCAATTAAAACTTACCTGGGAAGAAGTCAATTCTATATTAAGACTTCCTTCTTCCTTTTGGAAGCTCCAATTTCCTTTTTTCTGTTTGTTTCCTTATCTTTATTAACAACAACAAAAAAAAGTCACAGCATTTCAGACTACTCAAACACACAAACACTAACAAAGGCACCCACAGTGACAGCCTCGTCCCTAGTGTCTGGATCAAAGGCCAAGCTGGAGAGCAGGTATGTCCTCTCGGCCCTATTCTCTCAGCATCCCATGGCTTCCCTCCCACCCCTACTTCACTGACACCCCTGAGAGCAGTTACAACTGTGCAGAAACAATGCCACTTTCGAGAAGGTTGGGCCCCACCTCATTGTCATGGAAAAAGACCAGATCCTGAGGAAAAGTCAGAAGCAGTGCTACCTCATTGCTTGGAGGATGCTGGGTGCTCCTGGGCCTGGCTGCCATCCCTGTGTCCCAGACATAGGGCAGAGAAAAAGGCAGAAGGACACTCCCCAATTGGCAGTACTGGGCAGCAGACAGAGCGGGCCACTGGTCACGTGACAGCCCCAATCCACCAGGCAGATGTCTCTGACATGATCAGCCAGACACTCCCAGGGAGTATGGCTTTGGTTCATAAAAGGTTTGGGTAAACTACTCTCCCAGAAATCATAGGAAATCAACCAATCATCCTCAGATTCCTGGAGCACCGGGGCAATACAATTGCCATTGGGTTGCAGCGAAGGGGGACACTGGTAAACACCAACCCTCCAAGAGGGCGGAAATACCACTCCTGTCTATTCCAGAGTACTTGGCATGGGCCAACAGCAGTCTTTTTATAGGGGCAACTGTGGAAACCTGAGAAGAGGAATGAAGGTAATGGTGCATGCGGGAGGTGCCTGCCATTGCTGCCTGCTCTCCAGGGCCCCTTGCTGAACCCAGTGATAAAGCTGGGGTTGGGACCAGGGGCATCGGCCGGGCCCAGAGCCCCAGCCCCAGGAAAGCAGACAGGGACAAAGGCCTAAACAAGCAGGACTGGGCACAGGGCCCCAAGCTAAGCTGCTCTTCCTCCTATCAGTCCGATGTTACTTACTCGACTTGGCCAAGGAGCACCTCTTGCGAAATCCTCTGTTCTAATCTGCTCAGAGCAGTGCTTCCTGCGATCTCTACTTTTTCTTGACTACACGTAAATCTTTTTTTTTTTTTTCCTGGAAAGATATTACTGGATGGATGCCTGTGACTCTTTTGAAGGGGTGGCTGATTTTACTGAGGGTGGAAGTTCATCTAACATTTTACAGCTGCCAAATACTGGGCGCGGGCCAGACTCTTCAGGCACCAACATGGATACCCACATAGCTGTGTAGACACTGATATGTCAGCAGAAACCTTTGTACATACGGTTCTACGCTACTCCACAGATACAGAGAAATAAGGAAAAAGTGACACTGCTAGAGAAAAGTTAAGCCATCTGGGCATGGTCAGATAACAGGCTAAAAAGACATTTGGCATAGTCTACAGTCATTTCCAGAAATTACCATCCTAGACCCACCTAGTAAACAGTTGTGAGGCTCCAATTTTCAAGCATCATTAAAAAAAGAGCAAGATTTGACAGGATTGACTGGCCGACATCAATGAGATTGACGATGGCAAAGGGTTAACATCAGTTTCCTTAGGTTTTCCCTTTTAAAGGGCAAATATGGCTGGGTGCAGTGGCTCACGCCTATAATCCCAGCACTTTGGGAGGCTGAGGTGGGTGGATCACCAGAGGTCAGGAGTTCAAGACTACCCTGGCCAACATGGCGAAACTCCATCTCTACTAAAAATACAAAAAAAAAAAAAAAAAAAAATTAGCTGGGTGTGGTGGGGCACGCCTGTAATCCCAGCTACATGGGAGACTGAGGCAGGAAAATCGCTTGAACCCGGGAGGTGGAGGTTGCAGTGAGCCAAGATTGTGCCACTGCACTTCAGCCTGGGTGATAGAGCCAGACTCCATCTCAGAAAAAAAAAAAAAAAAAAAAAACAACAACATAAACGGCAAATATTCCAGGGCAAACAACTGTGCTGTAAAAACGCAGGTTCAGCGACAGATGCGTGCTGCTTTCTTTCAGAAACCCACTACCCGTGCTATGGGGCAGATTGGGACCCAGGCACCCATGATCACTGGTGCCCATTTCCTCTTGTGTAGTAGAAATGCGGTCAACCACATTTTATTCCCACTAGACTCACCTTCCCATTCTGCTTTCAAATCTAAAAATATGACACTGGGACAAGCTAACATGGTAATAAGTACCAATAGATTTGGGGAAAATCATCAATGGGATGGAAAGGAAACAGCCATTTTATCTGAAGCTTACTCTACCCCAGCTAGCAGAGAGTGATCTGGGACCCACTTTGCACTTTTATGGGGCTGTCACCTCACAGGGTTATGCCAAGGATGAAAACGTGCACAACACACTATGCATCTTAAGGAACTTTTCGGCAATTCCTCAGTTTACCTTTAAAACTCACAGGAACCATGGCTACAATCCTTCAGTTCAGGATTTTGTAATTCTGACCAGTTAATGAAATGATCATCAGACAATAGGTGTTTCTGAAGGGTCTTGCAAGATGTGGGGAACAAAAGAATGATTACACTTTACGGGCTCACAATCTAGGAAAGATGGGCACACAGAGAGAGAGGTGGGGGAGAGAACAGTGGGGAGTCTCAGTGCTGGATGAATGTGTCAATGAGGAATTACCCCAGGAGTTTGCAAAAGGAGGACACTGCTTGAGTCTCAGGAATGCCTTCAGAGGGAAAATGGATTATAAACCCAGTCCACCGAGAAGAAGAGAGGCCCAGCAGATGGGTTCTGCAGATACTGACCACCTGCACCCCCGGAGGAAAGCAGTAATGTAGCAAGCCTGCTATCGGTGCCCACTAAGTGGATGCCCCTTCCTGGTTATTCTCCATCTGTCCCATCTGTCTGTCCTCCCCTGCCCCCAATCGCATTCTTCACTCTCCTACACACTGCACCACCCTGGGTGGCTCCCTGCAGGTGGTTCCTGTTAGGTTTGGCTAATGAGAGGCACTGGTGGGACTATGGGGGCAGGAAGAGAGAGGTTGTGATGTTTCTTCCCTGAAGTGGCATGTACTGGTGACCCCCCTCTATGACTCCAGTGCAGCCCTAGGCATGGTACAGGCTCCCCTTCTGCTGCCAGATAGTACGTACCTGACCATCCCATAACCTACATCCGGACCATCAGAAGGGCCCAGTTCCCTGCCAGCACCCTGACTGCCACACCTTCCTTTTGCACAATATCCTCCAAATCCACCCCTTCAAGCTTCTCCAATCCACCGAACCTAGCACATGGGAAAATGCCCCAATCGCAGGGTGCCTACATACTGTAGGAAGCATTCTTCACACCTCCTGCCAGGGGGCTGAAGAGCTAATTAAGCCATGTGGGCTGCCCCTGGCCACACACGCAGCATGCTAAACCATCCAGCCTGCTGGAAAGGCAGAAACCAGAGGCCTAAGAGAATAAGAAACAAGGAGTTACCTGACATTGAAGAAAAATTAGAAATCAGCCTGAAAAAAAAAATCACAGCTATTAGGCAGTTTAGAAACAATCACCAAGACAGCAAGCAGGATATCACCCTTGGGACAGAGCAGGGGGAAGCAAGGTCAGATAGCAATGGGAAGTTGCGGGGCCATGACTCATGACTCATGAGGCCTGCTCAGTAGGAAAGGCAAGGCAGAAACTCCGTGTTTGCCACGGCTGGACTTAACCCCAGGGAGAACGGGCCCGCTGGGAGAACCCGATATGGCCTAGACCACAGCTATGACCTGGCTGGCTCTTGAGCCCCAACAGTATGGATGCTGCAACGCTGGCAGTGTGCAAGAGGATCTGGAATCCAGTAGAGACACAAGGGAAAAATTGGAGTAATGCTGGAGACAGAATCCCAGCTTCCACACCAAGGAGAAGGGCAGAAGCTGGGGGGCGGCAAGTACAGCCAGAGAGTGAACTCCAAGTTGGCATAAAACAGCAAGAGGCCACATTCATCTGCATCCCTTCAGAGGCAGGGATGCGCTGACTGGGATACAAGCCCATAACTGTACAACTCTCTGCTTTGTGTTCTCCCTGGGGATTCAGCTGAGTGTGCGGTGAGAGCTGGGAGCTAGGGAAAGGGGGGCAAGGGCACCCGCTGACCACTGCAGGGAAATGGGGGGAGGCTGGTAAGACCGACCTGCAGGAAAGGGTCATTAGGAGTGGGCAGGAGAGGTCAGCAGGATGGACTCTGAGAATGGGAAGAAAACGGCAGCTACTTGCCCCGCAGCTCCTGCTCAAGAGCACCCTGGTGGAAGCTGTTACCCACGTGGTCCCCTTTGTTGATGACCACAGATCCACAGAGTTGGAAGGGATCCTCAGAGGCTATCAGCTCAATTTCCTCCCCAAATCGGCAATCTTTTCCTCAATATCCCCACCAGGTGGGTATTTAGTGCAAACACTGCAGTGTCCACCACTTGTGACCTCACTTGCAGTCTGCTCTGCTATTGGACAGCTGAGTTCTTCCTACTAAGCCAACCTCTGCCTCCTCATGGCTCCCACCACTGACCCCCAGTGCCCCCAAAACAAGCCTATCCCCATCCAAAAGACCATCTATGTGTGTTTTCATGGGCTTCAGAGCCAGAGAGGCTCAGAGCTCAATTTCAGTTCTGCCACTTACTCATTTCAGCATATTAAATTATTTAATCTCTTTAAGCCTTTGTTTATTCATCAATAAAACAGAGCAGGGCTTAGCAAATCATGGCCCACAGGGTAAATCCAGACCATTGCCTGTTTTTATTAGAACACAGCCACACCCTTTTGGACACATAATGTCTGTGGCTGCTTTTGAGTTAAAACAGAGTTGAGTTGTTGCAACAGAAACCATGTGGCCCACGAAGCTTACCATATTTACTATCTTTACATAAAATGTCTGCCAAGCTCTGAAATAGAGGATCCCCATAAGAGGCTAGTTTGAGGAATTACATGCAGTAATATTTACAAAAAGATGCACATGGTGCTTGACTCCATAGCTAAGTAAAATACATTATTCATGAGATACTCGGGTTCTCCAGCTTTTGCCTTCTTTGGACTCCCCCAAGTTTGTCAGTGTCTCTCCCAGAACAGAACACTCTCATGTCCCAGATGCAGAATGACCTCAGCAAAAACAGAGAAAACAGAGAAACCAGCAACTCCCATTGCAGACATTCAATTTCTATGGTATAGACAAAAGCTGTATTTTCTTCTTAATGCAGTCACGAGGATATGGGTTCCATAGACATTTGTAATTATCAAAGCTCTCAGACTCTTCTCCAAAAGGACACTGTCATGACAAGTCTCCCTGCTGCTGAATTTGAGCAATTGCTTTTTCTCTCCAACTTAATTGTCTGGCTTCATCTTTGTATCTGTTACATTTAATCGTGTCGGGCTTTGTTCAATCCAACAATTAATGCGAACCCTCCTTCCATCATTCATTCATGTCACTCACTTAAATGTTCAATTTGGGGCTGGTTCTTGTGCTCAATTCAATAACCAGAAAACAAGTCACAGACCTAGATCATGGGAGCTTCCAGTCTTAAGGAAGAGAATGACATTTGAAAGTAATTATACAAATAGGTATGGAATTGCAGTGGCTATTTGAATGGAGAGGGAAAAGTGATTCAACAGGGCTCTGACACCCACAAGCCTCACCAGCAGGTTCTCCAGGTCATACCCATTGTCTGTCTCAGCCCAGACCTCTGGGACACAGGAAACTACGCACTCCTGGGACAGTCCATACAAATCAAAGTACAACAGCAACTGCCCTAGACCTCACGCTCAGACCATCTGGCAGCCTTTTCTCTCCCCTCACCAGCTCTGGACACCCAAGGTCAATATCTTCTCTCATCTCATTCCACAGGGGTGTTTTCTTTGCCCACTAGGTGCAGGCTCCTCCTTCCCTACACCAGCTCTAGCCTCCTAAGCACATCAGTCAAGACTGATCTCTCTTGATCTTGTAGTCCTGTGGTTCTCTACAGAGGGTGGGGGAATTTTGCGCCCCCTCACACATTTAGCAATGTCTGGAGACATTTTTGGCTGTCATAAAGAGTGTGAGGAGGTGGCTGTTACTGGCATCCAGTGGGTAGAGTCCATGGATGCTGCTAAACATCCTATTATAAATATCCTATCCTAAAATACAATGCACAAGACAGCCCCCACAACAGAAAACTATCCAGAACAGGCTGTCACTAATGCCGAGGTTGAGAACACCTGGTTTAGAGGAAGCAAGGCGAAAAACAGGCATTGAACACATCGTATGAGCCAGCACTGTGCTAGACATTTAAAACTTCTTTAAACTTCCCTTCCAAGACAGTGACAGTAGAACAGGACACAAAATGAGCTGCACCACCCACCACCCAATTTCCAGACATGGCTTAGCAGCTTGGGAGTCCAACTACTGCTTCCAGCATTTTAAAACACTATTCAAGGCCAATCATCTTTCTGAACCTCGGTTTTCAAATGTGAATTACAATACCTACCTCCAGCTGCTGGTCTAGAGTTCCTAGCAAATCTTAGTTTCCTTGTCCCCATTTCTTTCATGTCTTATTTCCAGTTTTCTCCAAGGAAGGCAAGGGTAGAGACATACATACATACCCACACTTGCACCCACCTGCTTACATTTTTACGTCGTCCACAAGAATCTGAATGAAGGAATGAAACCTCCAAGTCAAAACGCTCTCCTTGGCTGAACTCCAAAAAACATTTTTCCATGCTTCATCTCACTTCCTATTTAGGCTTTCCAATACTGTTGGTTGTGCAAAAGTCTGTCTATCCTACATGACTAGAAGCTTGCTGAGATAGAGGGCCCTGCCCAACACTGCAGCAAGATCATTCAGATATTCAATTAGCCCTTGAGGAATGAATAAATGATGGGCAAATATTACGGTTCAAATGACAGTTTCGTTTAACAGCCTATTTATGGTACCTGTTTATAGCTTATTTGTTGTCTATTTGTTAGTTCTCTTGATGTTTTACCTAAATTCACCTTATAGACCCAATTTCCAAGTATTTTCCTTTTCAGATTTTGTCAGTGTTATGTTACTTTTACAAACTAAAGATACCCACCCAACAAGCCCAAAGAACAAGAAATAATTCTTTAAAAGAAAGCAGCCTCTCGGCCAGGCATGGTGGCTCATGTCTGTAATCCCAGCACTTTGGGAGGCTGAGGTGGGTGGATCACCAGCCTCTGAGGTCAGGAGTTCGAGACCAGCCTGGTCAACATGGTGAAACCCTGTGTCTACTAAAAATACAAAAATTAGCTGGGCATGGTGGCACACACCTGTAATCCCAGCTACTTACTCTGAGGCAGGAGAATCTCTTGAACCTGGAAGGCGGAGGTTGCAGTGAGCCGAGATTACACCACTGTACTCCAGCCTGGGCGACAGGGCAAGACTCCGTCTCAAAAAAAAGAAAGCAGCCTCTCACACAGCAGCCATGTTTCTTGAACAAACTGGACCCCACTCCAGGGGAACAGAATGAGTACTTAGACATGTAAGTGGGCATTTACCCGCAGCAGCTGGCAGGGCCTCACCATTCAGTACATCCTAACAATCCAGCCTTTCAGCCACCAACCTAATGGGCTTTTCTTGGCACGGACAGTTCTGGCTTGGCAAAACACTCATTTTCACATCTTAAATTGGTACATGTCACAACTGAATGGAGCTTCAGGATCTGCTGTCTGTCTGACATGCTGCACAAGGCTTCTCTTGGTCAGGGACTCAGGTGTCCACACTCATCTCAGACTCCTTTCTCCATAAAGATCCATGAAAAAAAAAAATCAATTATTTGTATCCCTAATCAAATTCCCAGTGTCTTATTTGGCCACTTAAGATGGCTTTTAAGCCAGGTGTGTTGGCACATGCCTATAGTCCCAGCTATGCAGGAGGCTGAGGTGAGAGGATCACTTGAGCCCAGGAATTTGGGGCTGCAGTGAGCTATGATCACACCACTGTGCCTGGGTAACATAGCAAGACCTTGTCTCTAAAAAAATAAACAAACAAATAAATAAAAGATGGTTTCTCTTGAAAAAGCAAGCTAGAAAAATAAAATCAGGCCGGGCGTGGTGGCTCACACCTGCAATCCCAGCACTTTGGGAGGCCGAGGTGGGTGGATCACCTAAGGTCAGGAGTTTGAGACCAGCCTGGCCAGCATGGTGAAACCCCATCTCTACTAAAAATACAAAAAATTAGCTGGGTGTAGTGGCAGGCTCCTGTAATCCCAGCTACTTGGGAGGTTGAGGCAGGAGAATCGCTTGAAACCAGGAGGCGGAGGTTGCAGTGAGCCGAGATCGCGCCACTGCACTCCAGGCCGGGTGACAGAGTGAGACTCCATCTGGGAGAAAAAAAAACAAACCACAGACACACACACACACACACACACACACACACACACACAAAAGAAAAAGAAAATCTACCTTTCAGGAACTGAAGCACACTGCATTAAAAACACGAATTTATGTGCTCACATAGTCTCAGGTTCCCTGTAACACCAGGATGATATCCCTCAAAGCATTTCCAAGCAGCCTTCTTGCTGAGCAGCTAACTCCTCCTGGCTACAGAGCGGCTTTTAGTTGTCTCTGCTTCCTTAAATGCATCTCTTCCCATCTTAACAGATCCTCCTTAACATGAAGCTTTTCCCTCCCTTTCCCATGGTGTCTTGTGGACTTTGAAAAGGGTATCCCTTGAAGCTCTGCGTTCAGCAGCCAACTTTCAGATGCACAGCTAAATTCCTAGTCAATATGTTTCTTAGGAACCCTAAGCATCATCTAATGAGCACATAATAAGGTGGACTCACCAAGAGAGCTCGGCACATAAACTGAGTCCAGTCGGAAGGAGGCAAGGATACCTAGAAAAATGGAACAGACAAGCAAAGGCAAACTTGGCAGAATGAGCCCACCAGGCAAGCTGAGCCAAAGGAGAGACAGGCAGAGGAGAAGAGAGGGAGGAAGGATGAAACTGAGGAGAAGTGAGCCCTCACCCGCACTCTGCCTGTGGGAGGCCAGGGCAGGAATGAATGAAGAGGTAGGACCCGGGAACACAGATTCAGAAGCATGTTATACTGTCGCTCTCCCTCTCTCTCCCGTTCCTGCTCTGTCTTGTTAAATAGCGTCCACCTCTCAAGCACTTACTGTGTGCCTAGTACTGTGCCAAGCACTTTATACATATCACAGACATCCTCACAACCACCTTATGAATTAGCCGTGATGACTATCCCCATTTTACAGATGAGAAAAACTAAATCTCACAGAAGTCAAGTGACTTTCCCAAAGTAACAGCTAATGTGTTTTGTGGAGACAGGGATTTGGGTCCAAAGCCCTGAAACACTGTTCTAATTTCTGCATATGTACCTTTATAAGGCAACGAAATAAACATGGCTTACCGTGCACTTAGCTGAATTCCAACCAACACCAGAGACAAAAGGCCATGTTCTCTACCCTCAGAAAACTCACAGTCCACAGGGGAAGCCAATAATCCCACGCATAAGTCCCCTGTAATAAGAATGCCAAGTGGCCAGTTATCTACTCCAAATCGTGAAGGAATACAGGAAATCAGAGCAGGAGCCTTCCTGGAGGAGTAGCCTAGGACATGCTCTGGAGAGGTTGCCAGGAGAAACCGGCTGGGCCATTTCGCATGTGTATTTCCTTCTCATTCTCCAGGTTATTATAACTTCTCTCAATGCAGATAAGCATTATCTGCACTAAAGAGAATGTTGCTTCTAAAAGACCTACAAAATGATGGTTCATATTAATGAGTAATATTCTTAAAACAGGATCTACTCATTCAATGCCCAAATCACACTGAACAAAACCAAGGGACTTCCTGCTTCTCCATGGCCACGAGGCTGACATTACCCTGTCTGCTCCATACGTGTCAAGCGTTATCTCTTCCAGCCAACGAAGGGGTGGGGAGGAACGCACAGACTGACAACGTTTCATCCTGTAGATATTCCACTTGTGCTAATTCACTTCCTCTCCCAAACAATTGAAACGGATGCCTGAGGCTGTATGTAATGGAATATACGATGGAGCCTGGGGCACACCCTTATCGATTCTAAATGGGCGAACTGTAAATATATTCTGTTTAGTCCATCTATAGTGACTTAGTCAGAAAAAGGGCAAAAGCGGCCTGGCCGTGAGCTCACTGGTGCCACTGCCTCCATGAATGGCAAAGGAACGGAGCAAGTGAGAAAGAGGCCTCCTCCATGTGCTGTGGTGCAGAAGGAAAAGAAACCGCGATCATCTGACGCCAGAAGAGCTCCCAGGAATGAAATCTGTGAAAGATTCTGGCATCACTCCCAGCAGTTCACACACTGACTGTAGAGACTTTGAATGGCAAAGCCAATATCTAGGAAGACAATTTTCTATATTCCCATCCCAAGTGCACAGAAGAAAACGCTGGCAGGATGGCCGGGCGCGGTGGCTCACGCCTGTAATCCCAGCATTGTGGGGGGCCGAGGCGGGCGGATCACCTAAGGTCAGGAGTTCAAGACCAGCCTGACCAACATGGAGAAACCCCATCTCTACTAAAAATATAAAATTAGCGGGGCGTGGTGGTGCATGCCTGTAATCCCAGCTACTCGGGGGGCTGAGGCAGGAGAATCGCTTGAACCCGGAGGCAGAGGTTGTGGTGAGCTGAGATTGCGCCATTGCACTCCAGCCTGAGCAACAAGAGGAAAACTCCATTTCAAAAAAAAAGAAAAGAAAATGCTGGCAGGCTGTGCTTTCAATTATACTGATTTATAGGCCAATGAAATATTATTTTAAGGTAATAAATAACTTTTTAGCGCTTTTTGCCTTACCAAATTCCTAAGGACAGCTCTTCTGTGTATTATATACCATTCAGCATCTCCAACATGAGCAGCACCCATTAAAAGTCTGTTCTCTACAGGATACGTATACCTGCAGCGCCTGTAGCTTTGTTTTTATAAAGCCAAACAGCTTGTAATTCCTAGTCTATTAAATATTACACTCCAAAGGTTGCAGCCTTTCATCACTTTCCCAGAGACACACATTTCTGCTGCTTACCCATAAACCACAGATGGCCTCAAAAATTGAGCTTTACACAGAGGAGGCAAAACAATTTCGAAAAACTTCTCAAAGGAGGGTGGAAATATCGGAACTGAATCAACACTAAATTCTGACCTCTTCTCTCTGCCTGTCCCATGGTATCCTTCCGCCACTTTTTTTCTTGCATTGCTTTAGGTGTACCTATCCTCTCTGAGGCAGCCCAGTCCTGGATAGACATATGAGGTGCTAGGCAGACAGACAGGCAGCTCAAAGGAAAATCTAATCATTTTCATGAATGGGGAAAAAAAAGAATGGCATTGATGACTTTCTCTACATGTCTTTTTCACCTGGAAAATTCTATACTGTGGGTCAGGTGTCAGGGGTTGTAGTAAGGTCTCAAAAATCCTGACAATCGTGGCCGGGCACGGTGGCTCACGCCTGTAATCCCAGCACTTTGGGAGGCCGAGGTGGGCGGATCACGAGGTCAGGAGATAGAGACCATCCTGGCTAACACGGTGAAACCCTGACTCTACTAAAAATACCAAAAATTAGCCAGGTGTGGTGGCGGGCACCTGTAGTCCCAGCTACTCGGGAGGCTGAGGCAGGAGAATGGCGTGAACCCGGGAGGTGGAGGTTGCAGTGAGCCGAAATCGCGCCACTGCACTCCAGCCTGGGCGACAAAGCAAGACTCCGTTTAAAAAAAAAAAAAAATCCTGACAATCTTTCTAAGGTGAAAAGGAAAAGTTGGACCAGTGCGGCGACTCACACCTGTAATCCCAGTACTTTGGGAGACCGAGGAGGGCAGATCACCTGAGGTCAGGAGTTCCAGATCAGCCTGGCCATCATGGTGAAACCCCGTCTCTACTAAAAACACAAAAATTAGCCGGGCGTCGTGGCGGGTGCCTGTAGTCCCAGCTACTCAGGAGGCTGAGGCAGGAGAATCACTTGACTCAGGAGGCAGAGGTTGCAGCGAGCCAAGAGCATGCCACTGCACTCTAGTCTGGGTGACAGAGCGACACTCCGTCTCCAAAAAAAGGGAAAAGTTTATACAGTTTCAAAAGTAAAAGCAATGAACTAAGACATAACTATTCAACAATGAAAAGTAGTTCATTTTTGTAGGTGAAAATTTATAATATCAACTGCACTTAAAATATTTGCCAGCCAGCCTCATTCATCACATATTTCCTAAATAAGAATAATCAGGCAGTTTTGACAGAAAAATAAAATGTGTCCCAAAAGAAGTCCGTACCTCGAGCCAAATTTCCCAGCCAAAACCCATCAGGCTTATGAATATAAGTGCCATCAATATAAACTTTTCACACTTCAGAGATCGGCAGTTTACAAGCATTCATTTGCTCAAACATTATGTTCTTCGTCCAAAGTTGTATGTGTTTATAAAGGGAAAAAAAAAATCAACAACATTCTCCCAACCTCCTTCCCTCCCCTCCCCACCACTCTGGCATCTCTAATTATATGTTAGGTTACTGAATAAAATTTTTCAAGCTCACAACTGAAACATCGAAAGGTAGTACATAAGGTAAAAGCCCCGTGAACACCAGATGCGGTGGCTCATGCCTGTAATCCCAACACTTTGGGAGGCTGAGGCGAGCAGATCACCTGAGGTCAGGAGTTCAAGACCAGCCAGACTAACATGGAGAAATCCTCTAAAAATACAAAATTAGCCAGGCGTGGTGGTGCATGCCTGTAATCCCAGCTACTTGGGAGGCTGAGGCAGGAGAATCGCTTGAACCCAGGAGGCGGAGGTTGCAGTGAGCCGAGATAGCGCCATTGCATTCCAGCCAGGGCAACAAGAGCGAAATTCCGTCTCAAAAAAAAGGCCCCATGATCACTTCTCAGAAGTAAGCAACATTATACTTCAATGACCACAGTGTGATCCATATGCCACACCAGCTGTCAATGTCACCTAAAGACCAAAGTGACAAACCCGCGTCACTATTGGACCACGCTTGTCAGGTATCTCCAGAGATTAGTTACTATCACATGATTGTTTTGTTTTGTTTTGGATTGGGACAGAAGATAAAACACAACTATTTTAGGTTTTAGATTTTTTATTTGTAAAAACCCACCCAGCACATTAACTCTAGAGCTGGGATACAACTGTACTTACCTAAGAAAGATTTAATAGTTAGAGAAAGTTAGTTTAAATCCATTTTAGTTAGATGATGTGGAAAATCGGAGTGTCAACTTCTTTTTTCTTCCACCTTCTTCTAACTGCACCTTTAAAAAAATTCGTTTATAATAGAATGTACCCAAAGTCATACACTGAATTTATTATAATTGTACTGTCATATAACCTCTTTCAAGGCCGAGAAAGGATGCATTCCATTTGTATAATTTACCCCAACAAACCAGAACAAAACAATTAAATATTATCTTCCACATAAAGTCTCAAACAATCACACACCAACTCTAAGCTAGCCAGACTAGTTGTTGCGTAAGGAAATGAGAAACTGTTGGTCAGTGGCAGGTAGGTGCACGGGTCAGAGACAAGACTCTTAGACATTACATAACTCAAAAGTTAAATAACAATGAAAGTGTTTTTGGAGTTTTCTAAAAAGGTAAACCATTAACTTGGGACTTGAATAAAACTACGCCACATGTTGACATCATTCCAAACTGCAAGGCTGAAGCCATTTGGAAAAGGAAAGAAGGTCCCAGTGTGTCGTTAAGGCCTGCGAAAGTTCTGAGCTCAAAGGGCAGACCCTGTTGCCTTTGGCTGGGCTTCAAATGAAAACCTTCCATGAAGGGTCTACTATTTATCCCTAACCATTTTCTCCATGCAGATGCTGAAATAAATTGGCGCCAAATGGCTGCCTACTTCACCTCTCTTAAATATCAACTTCATCTGGCTTTCAAAGATGGAAAACTGCCAAATCCTAAATAGCACAGATAATGAAATAGGCCTGGCCCTGGGTTCTGGGTCCATGTCTTGCCACCTTTTAATCAGCTGCCTGGAGAAAGCCACTTGACCTGTCTAAACACAGGTGGATAAAATGTGAAGGGAGGCAATGCTGGTCACTCAGCCTTCTTCCAGGTCAAAGTCCCGGCCAGGCACAGCGAGAGGCTGACGCTTATAATCCCAGCACTTTGGGAGGCCGAGACGGGCGGATCACTTGAGGTCAGGAGTTCAAGACCAGCCTAGCCAACATGGCGAAACCCCACCTCTACTAAAAATAAAAAAATTAGCCAGGTATGGTGATGCATGCCTATAATTCCAGCTATTTGGAGGCTGAGACAGAGAATCACTTGAACTGGGGAGGCAGAGGTTGCAGTGAGCCAAGATCGCCCCACTGCACTCTAGCCTGGGCAACAGAGCAAGACTTCGTCTCCAAAAATGCAAAAGGCCAGGCACAGTGATTCATGCCTGTAATCCCAGCACTTCGGGAGGCCGAGGAGGGTGACTCACGAGGTCAGGAGTTCAAGACCAGCCTGGCCAAGATGGTGAAACCCCGTCTCTACTAAAAATACAAAAAATAAGCCAGGCACGGTGGCAGGCGCCTGTAATCCCAGCTACTTGGGAGGCTGAGGCAGGAGAATCACTTGAACCCAGAGGGCGGAGGTTGCAGTGAGCCGAGATCACGCCACTACACTCTAGCCTGGGCAACAGAGTGAGACTCCGTCTCAAAAAAACAAAACAAAATCAAACAAACAAAAAGACACAAACAAACAAAGTCCCTGAGCTCTCTGGGGTACTCTTCCCCAATGGAAACCACTCCCCTCTTGTCAGAAGAGTGGCTTCCTTTGTCTCATAATCAGAAATAAATTTCTACTAAAATAATATTCACTTAATTTATACAAAATGTTAGGTACTCATGGCAGTTGGCTAGAATGAAGGATGAAAGTTCCTAACACATTTCCCTGCTGAGTCAGGCAATGTGACCTTGACCATGCCACTCCCAGATATCAGATATCCAGCAGCTCAGCCCCTCACCCCTAATCATCTGGAAAGAAGTGGTCTGGATTACAACTCTGCTAGGAGGGAAGAGAACAAGGTGGAAGAGCCAATGTTGCCTCTCCTGATATAACACCTGTATACAACTACAGTCAGCCCTCTGGATCTGTGGGTTCTGCATCCATGGATTCAACCAACCTTGTACCAAAAATATTCAGGAAAAAACTGCATCTGTACTGAACATATACAGACTTTTTTTTCTGGTTATTATTCCCTAAACATTATAATGCTACTATTTAGTTAGCATTTACATTGTACTAAGTATTGTAAGTAATCTAGAGATGATTTAAGATATATGGGAAGATTACATCAGTTATATGCAAATACTATGCCATTTTATATAAGGGACTTCAGCATTTGTGGATTCTGGTGTCCCCAGAGGTCCTGGAACTAATCCGCCATGGATACCGAGGGATGAGTGCACTGGAATTTATCTGGACATCCATCTCTGTAGGTTTCTTATGAGTTTTTCATGGCTTTGCAGAGGCATATACCAATGATATGGGGCCTTCAGTTTCCTCATTGGCCGGGGAGACACAAGCTGAGGGTAAAAGAGCATGGGGGACCAAGAAGTGAGCTTCCATGTTCCCTGGCTTCCCGACCAATAAGCACCTCCACCTACTCTGTTCCTGGCCCCCTTGAACCTAAATTTGATGCCTGCCCTAGTAATCCAGCAACACACTCCCAGTGCCAGCAAGCAAGCATTCAACCAAACTGCCACTTACTAACACCATCATGCTTTCCCTTCACATCCTGGAAAATTATTATTAGACCTTCCTAAAATGTACACACTTTTAAAATCACTAACCGTTGCCTTTAATCTATGTAGCTGAACTTTATCTCTCTTAAAACTTTGGACCCTTTCCTATCAGAGGAAACATCTGAGAGCATTCTGAGTCAAAAATGCTAAGAGGAAAAATGTCACATTCAGCACAGTCCTATAAGGATGCAGAAACCCACCGGTGGCCTGCGGTTCCCATTTCTGAAGAAAAAACATGCCAGAAAGTCTCTCCCCTTCTATGAGCCACACAGGGTTGCCATTATTCATAGGACTGACTCCTGCAATCCACAGTAAACCGGTCTAGAGAAGCACTTGGACTGCCAGGGCTTATGACAATTTCTTACTTCAATTAAAATGCCTATGGATTTTATGCCGAAAGGGGAATGTTTTAAACTTGAATTATTAGCTTCCAATGACCATCCAAACCAATGTAAAATATTTAATGCTCCACTTCATTTGTTTTGTTTAAAACTGATCTTGTGCTTGAAAATTTTGGCTGCTGTGCTCATTACTGTTCAGCCACAAAGAATGCAAAAACAAGAGCAGTTTTTATTTTGATGAGCGGCAGCCATTATATCCTAAGTGTTCATCTTCACCACAAGCCATCATTTGTTGAGGCCCTAATACATACATATTCTTTCAAGTTGCTTTACATATATTGATCCACTCAGTCTAGTCTAACAGCATGCATTTACTGAGCGCCTTCTAAGTGCCATGCATCAACCTGGGCATTAGAAATAAAAAGTGAGGAGCAAGTCCAAGGTAATGGCCCCATGGAGAAAGCAGATCATCAAATAAGCAGTTACTATGCAATGTGGTAAATGCTGTGATGGAGAAAACAGGTTATTAAAAATAATAAAAATGATATATTAGAGGCCAGGCACAGTGTCTCTGCCCTATAATCTCAGAGCTTTGGAAGGCCAAGGTGGGAGGACTGCTTGAGCCCAGGAGTTCAAGGTTACAGTGAGCTATGACTGTGCCACTGCACTCCAGCCTGGGAAACAGAGTAAGACCCTGTCTCTAAAATATATATATATATACATATACACACACACATATATATAAAAAACATATACATATATATATATTTTAGACACATCACACTTAGTAGGTGTTCAGTAAATGCATATCTACCTGTAGACTAGAAAGACAGACTGCATGTCAGATGTTTAAAGCCACGTCTGTAATTCTAACAACACTCTACCAGGGTAGGTGTCTCCCCACTTTCCAAATGAGCATTCTCAGGTTTTTCCACACTGCACACTGCCTCTCTAACAGTATCAGCATCAGCATCATCGTTTGCATCTTACATCCCCATTCTGGTCTCAAAATTACACTTGCCAAACTGCATTAGCTCATTGAGGCATGCATTAATCCCAATATTGATCATAGATACCAATTTGCAGGAAGTCTATGAAACCCTGCACACCATGGGGAGAAAGGACCACAACAACTCCAAACCACAGGGCACACCCCAAAGAAACTCACAAGCTGGCTGCAAAGAGTAATACAAGACTAATAAACATGAAACAGGATAAACATGTCACTGGGCAGTCTATGGTCATGGACAAAGAGAGTCTCAGAGAAGTCACTTGACTTTAAAAGGGGAAACTCATTGTGGAAGGATTCATTAAGGAAGTAGGACTTAGGTCTTAAGATCATATAAGGTCAGATGGTGCAATAGGAAAGAAGGCCAGTCCCTCAGGAAAGCAGTGTACACAGAGAGGTGCCCAGGAGGCTCACAGGTTAGGCTGAACGACGGCCAAGGGTGTAACTAGAGCCCGACAATGGGGCAAGTCAGCCTGCAGCTGCCCGAGGTGCCAACTGATAAGAGATGCTAGGGCATCCTGGGGCATTAAAACACCTCGGTATAATAGCAGATTTATAAGAACTCCTCCCAGAGACTATTACACATCATGGAGGCAGTTCTTTGTTCCGCCTCCTGGGACAGAGGGTGAGACCCTAAAGGGCCTCCAGGAGCCAAAACTGAAGGCCACCAAGCACCCTTCTAAAGATAACAAGTGCATCTGCTGCAGGGACTTGCTTCTGCTTGGAGGGTGTGCCAGCTCAAGGCCAGGGCTGCATTATTCAGAATCATAGTGGAGGCTGAATGCTGTCAGCAACCCTTCTCCCCATGACCCTTTTCCTATAAGGCATCCCCTCCCAAAGCTGGTAAACAGAAACTTAAAGAATATTGACTTGCCGGCCAAGTTATTAGCTTGCCTGGGGCACCCAGATGTCTCAGCCAGTCTACAGATAATATCTATATTTGTTTAACTCTCTACTGCTGATCAACTACTTTTACAAGTTAGATTATTTTTACAACAGCAATGAAAAAAGCACTAAACCTCTCATAGAGGAAAATCCTGAGTGTCAGAGTGGGTAAATGGCCTGTTCAAGAAAACTGGCAAGTTGCAGAGCCAGGTTTTGGACCAGGGTATCTGTCCAGTGGCCCATCTGCTCTATTACTGCTGCAGATGGACTGCTGCAATAGTTGCAATACTCTATAAAGTTCCTGACCGTTGACAGAGAGCTTTTACAGAAGTCTTAGGCAGTACACACAAATACGAACATTTTCAATTTTCCTAAAAGTAAAATAACATTAACAATAATACTTGTACTCTACTTCTTCAAAAACCCATCTTTCCTCCTGGCTATGTACTTTGTCTCACTACATTTATAAGGTAAGTGAATCGTTATTATTTAGATGACTGCTAAAGATATATAAGTAAAGTCTTTTTTTTCTTTCTTTTTTTTTTGAGACAGAGTCTCGCTGTATCACCCAGGCTGGAGGGCAGTGGCGCGATCTCCATTCACTGCAACCTCCGCCTCCCAGGTTCAGGCGATTCTCATGCCTCAGCCTCCCAAATAGCTGGGACTACAGGCGCGCGCCACTGCGCCTGGCCAATTAAAGTCTTAAATCTTAGATAATTTTTTTTGTATTTTTAGTAGAGACAGGGTTTCACTATGTTAGCCAGGCTGGTCTTGAACTCCTGACCTCGTGATTTGCCTACCTCAGCCTCCCAAAAGTGCTGGGATTACAGGTGTGAGCCACCTCGCCTGGCCAAGTAAAGTCTTAAATCTTAGATACTGGTCTACTAGTAATTCACTGCTTAGAATGACCTTGCATTTGTGCCACATATCTGCCCATTTCCATTTTCCTGCCACCAAACTCCTGCCTCCACTCCCAATCTTCCCTCAGTGACACGTGATGTCATATAAGCAGCATCTTCCTACATGTCCATTTTACATTAGGACTTGTTTTCAGGAAGTGGCTACATCCAAGGCAGACATAAAATCAGGACTTGAAAAATTTTCCAAAAAACAATCATTCACTCATTTTTTGGCAAAAACAATAGCAGTTATACAAGATAGATGAGTCTGTACATTTCATTTTTAAAAACTTCAGACTTCCAGTTTTTCAGAGCATTTCTTTAAAATTCCTAGGTCACACAAATTATTTAATAAACAATTTGTCAATTTGCCTTGCACAGTGGGGAGAACGTTATACACAAAAATGTACACTGAGCAAATCAAAGTGCTAGTGACAAATAAGTAAGCCACCTCCCTCCCCTCATCATCACGCCCACGAAATAAAGATCAAAAACTCCCTTCGCCAACCACAGGGAGGCCTCTTTTTCTATTTCTTTCTCATAACACATAATGGTACCAAAAAATCATAATGAAAATAAGGTCAATATACTTAATCCATAATATAATAATCTCAACTAATTTTAGTCATCTCTCTTTCTAACAACACTTAAACGATCAGGCCACACTATGCAAATCAAATTAAAATTTATTTTTTTGCTTTTTTCTTCCAGTCCCAAAGGAAAACTCCAAATACCACTCATCTTGCTGAAAACCACAGTAAAGTTATTTAATTCCAGTTAAACCAAATATTTCACCCACACACTCTTAAACTTTAATCTTAAACATATCCATGAAATGTGATGTTTGAAGAGCTTTCCTTATTTACTCACCAGATCATCAATATACAGAGAGCTCTTCCTAAGCACAGGCCCCCATCTATGTTTTCAGTCGATACTAAATATTTAGAGAAATACTCTGTTACAGTAACTTTTAAAAAAATTCTACACTATCATTTGAATTTTTAAAAAAATTTAGTTAAGCTTAGTTTCCATAATTCTCATTAGGCAATCCAGGATGTGGGTGTTTTTTAATTTCCTTTTCATGGAGAAAAAGGAAGCTTTGTATCAGGACATCAGATGTATATGGGAAAATACATATTTCAATGCACATATAAGTAAATACATATTTTGTTTGTTTAAAGATCCTTTTGCCTACTCCACTCACAATGTAAATACACCACAGTCAAATTCCATAAATTCAGTTTTAAATGTATGTATGAAAACTAGGTTTTCTACTAAAGTTGACCAGAGCCCAAAACACTCTGTCTAATACACAGTCAAAGGAAACAGCAATCAGCCCTTAGATGCCCCGAAAGAAACTATTCTTTGTTTACCTAGAAACTGAAAGATTTTACACTGAGAATCACAGCTGCTACAGCAATGGAGGTATGCTCTGAATCCAGATAGCCATATTAGACTCTCATTGATTTGTTAAAAATTTAACATTGTAAATGAAACCAAAGCAACCACCAACACCAACCAGGTAATTAAATTCCTGGTTGGAAGAAGTTTCAAAATCCAAGCCCAATGTCAACATCTGGCAAGTCTCCATTTACCACCTACCAATACTTGCTCAAATTACACTGAAAATTTAGATAGAGGGTAAAGTACTAAGATTTTTAAAACCTATTAATTAGTTTGTACCCTCCGTTTAAATCACACATAAAAGCTAACTCCAATTGCAATTATAATCTTAGTGTTTGTCCTGTTGTCACAGAAGGGCAAGGGCTGACAAGAGTTAGCACGGACAATTAAATCTGATTTTGTCCAGGGGACTGGATCAATATACTGTGCATCATAATCTAGCCCTGAACTGCTGCCTCTCCTCCACCCCCAGGCCCTTGGATCAGGCGGTTTACCGCTGGGTTAGTAACTCTTTTCTCTATGATTTGCGCATCTCCAGAAAGGGCGAGGGAGACGCCTGATTCAAACTGCATTTGTTTACCACCCAATGGCCCCATCGTTATGCATTTCCACAATCCAGGAGGGTACGCTTCTGGTACCCCCTTTACCTGCCAAGTTCCTCGCCGGTGTCGTAGTAATCATCCACGTTTTCCTGCCTGAACACGGTCATGATAAACTGTCACGCCTCACCAAAGCCCAGGGCACTTCAGCTCCGCTTCCCAGACCATCACCACCGCTCCTGCGCCTCCGTAGCCCCCTCATGCATCAGTCTCCAGTCCTTTTGAAGAAAAAAAAAAGGCAATAATAATAGTAAAATGGCAACCCCAAAAGGAAGTAGACCTCCCCGGCGCTAAGACCCCGCTCGCTGAAGACCGGGTCTCCGGAGCTGCCCCTCCTCGCGGGGTGGAGAGGAGCACCCTTTGTTAAAGCTGGGCGGCCAGGGACGCCCCCGACCCCTCAGCCCCGCGCGCGCGTGGGGCCGGGCACCACGGCACCCCGAGGTCGGCGTCCCCAAACGCTGGGCGGTCTGTTGGGATCAGAACCGGCTCCGGAAGTGACTGGCCTCCCCGCCTCCCCTTTCTCTGCACACATGCCCACCCAGCTTTCCCACCTCCAGGGACGCCGCGGAAGAATGAAGCCCTCGCCCAGACGGTACGCGCCTCACTGGGAGCAATCTCTCTCCAGCCTGCGGCAACGGTGGCACCCCCGCGCCACCTCTCGGCTCCCGCGCCTCTCCTAACACCGTGGCCACCCTCTCCCCTTCCCCGAGCGAGGCAGTCCCCAGAGCCACATTCCTGGCGACTCCCTCTCCGTTACCCGGCCGACCCGGCGTGCGGCCGCCCGGGGGAGCAAGGGAGGGAAGGGAGCGGCCCACCGAGGCGCAGCAGTTCGCTCCAGATCCTCGCGCCCCGACACAAAGCGCCTGGTCGGGCCGGCGCCACCTGTTCTCACCCGGCCCGCGGGGCTGGGGAAGCCTCCCGGCTGCGATCGCACTTCTCCCCGAAGCCAAGTTTCCCTCCGCCTTGGCCTTCCCAGTTGCTCGAGGCACTGCCCGGACAAACCCCACCGCGCCCTGGCTGGGAAAGCAAAAGCTGGCGCCGGGGGTCGGGGGGACCGGGGAGCCGCGCCTGGCTACTCACCCGGGCGCCTGGGAGCTCCCCCGGTCCCTCCGGAGCGCTGTCGGAGGCCGACCATAGGCGCCAGCGCCGGAGACTAGCCGGGGCGGCGGCGGGAACACAGCTAGGGAGTGAGTGGGGGGCGCAGATCCCTCCCAGGCGCCGGCCCCAGACCCTGCCGCTGCGAGTTGCCGAGTCCCCTCCGCGGAGGGAACAAAGTCCCCGGCGTTGGCTCGGTCCGGCTGTCCTCCTCACACTCCGAAGCAGCCTCTCGGCTCCTTGCCGCCTTTTGGGCGGAGGGCGGCCGGCAGGCGGCCAATGGGGACCCTGCAAGCGGGCTGGCGGCGCGGCCCACCCACCTCCGAGCTGCCCTGCCAGGCCGGCGCTGCGGGTTCTGCGCGGCGCTCGCTGCTCCTCCCAGCTCCGCGCTCCGGGCTCGCTGGCGCGCTCTACCGCGCACACCCCGCACACACCCACTCGCCCCACACCCACGCCGGCCGGGGAGCCAGTGCGTCCGCCCGGAACGCGGGCGCCCCACCTGTGACACATTGCTAAGCTGCCCTCTGACTGGGTTCTAGGGAAACACGGTTCTTCCGTCCCGAGATGTGTACTGGGATCCCAGCTTGTGCCGGGCACGGTGCTTGGTATGGGAAAATCACATAGAACAAAACAGATTTTTTTAAATCCCTGCCTTCCGGAAACCTGCATTCTGGTGGGACAGATAGATAATAAATATGTAAGCTAATTAATAAGGTAATTTTGGAGGATCAGTCCTACGTTTACCACGAAACAGGTTAATGGAATAGAGAATGGCAGGAAGGGAGCGTACCTCATTAGACTGGGTTCCTCTGCCGGACTGGTGTTGGAGCCGAGGCTTGAAGGCAAGAAGGTTTGCAATCTGAAGAAAGGGTTGAGGTCTCCGAGACCCAAAGAAGCAACAGAGACGCAGAGTTTATTTGCGCTATCCCATATGCTATTGGCTATTGTTGAGCTGAAATGTAGCTAGTCCCAAATTAATTGTGCTGTAAGTGTAAAATACACATTAGAGTCCAAGACAGTATGGATATGAGAATGAAAAATATCTCATGAATATTTTTATATTCATTACACTTTCAAATGATAGTATTTTGGATACGTTGGGTTAAACAAAATATATTATTAAAATTAATTTCACCTGTTTACTTTCTTTTTTTTGAGACGGAGTCTCACTCTGTCGCCAGGCTGGAGTGTAGTGGAGCGTGGCAACCTCCACCTCCAGGGTTCAAGTGATTCTCCTGCCTCGGCCTCCCCAGTAGCTAGGACTACAGTCGCGCGTCACCATGCCCAGCTAATTTTTGTATTTTTAGTAGAGACGGGGTTTCACCGTGTCGACCAGGATGGTCTCCATCTCTTGACCTCGTGATCCGCCCGCCTGGGCCTCCCAAAGTGCTGGGATTACAGGCGTGAGCCACCGCGCCCGGCCTCACCTGTTTACTTTTTAAAAGGTGGCCACTAGAAAATATAACAGTACCTATGTTGCTTGCATGAGATTTCTGAGGACTGTGCTGGTCTACACAAAGATCCCATATCCACTGGAGACCTCTATCCACTTTCTCTACTTCCCACCCCTTGCTCCCACCTAATGTTTGGGTGGAGACGAAGAAGGGTTGATTCCCCACATCCCACTGCTGGAGAACCCCAAACGGTGAAAAGCTCCTAAAGGGAAATCTATTTTACTGCCTAGAATGATGAAAACTGACAGATGAAGAGATTTCCGATCCATACCGTTGTTCAAATCCCCAGGCTTTCTAAACTGAGTTGGTTCAAATCTCTGTGGTTCAACAGAAATTTTCAACTGTGAAGATTTTGGCCTCTTGAAAACAAGGCAAAACAAAACAAAAGAATACCCCTCAGGCCTTATGTCAAATCCTAGTCTTTTTTTTTTTTTTGAGACGGGTTTTCGCTCTTGTGGCCCAGACTGGAGTGCAGTTGTGAAATCTTGGCTCACTGCAAACTCCGCCTCCGCCTCCCGGGTTCAAGCGATTCTCCTGCCTCAGGCTACCCAGTAGCTGGGATTACAGGCATGTGACTATGCCCGGCTAATTTTGTATTTTTAGTAGAGACGTGGTTTCACCATGTTGGTCAGGCTGGTCTTGAACTCCTGACCTCAGGTGATCCTCCCGGCTCGGCCTCCCACAGTGCTGGGATTACAGGCGTGAGCCACTGCGCCCAGCCAAATCCTAGTCTTAAATAACATTGCATTAATGACCCACAGGAAGGGCACACAGGAATCAAGGGGAAGTCCCCAAATTGGGAGATGGTATTAGCTTAAGCAGTGGGCTTGATAATACAAAAGGGTCTTGAGAGGTGAGAAATACAGTCAAAAATAACAACAACAACAAAAAAAGAGTGATTCATCTGGGAAAATGCAAATGAATACATCTGTTGGGAGAAAAAATTTAAAACACAGATGTTTGGGATAAACTTGGAAGGTGTTTATGGATGACTGCCATATGGGTAATATTTATTTTCTGCAAAATAAAAAATATATTGTCCGAGGCAATTAAAAGGACTGAATCTATTTGGCAGCTAGAATGTCTTAACTACCCTAATGGACAATGATGTTCACCGGAGATTATCTGGAGTAGTGAAAAAGAGCATGAAATTTGGAGTCACAAAATTAGATCTAGTATTGGTGGAACCATTTAACAGCTTAATAACCTTGGATGAGTCACTAACCCCCGAGCTTTTTGTGTACACCAATTTAGACAAGCATTTTAGAAAGGGGAAATGTGGTCATTTAAAAACATATTCACAAATTCTTTGACACTCCCCCAATCAAGAGGTGGAGTCTAATTCCCCTCTCAATAAATATTCACCAACCCTATCTGCTTGCTTCTAAGAAAAGGTAGTGGCAGTGGCACAGTGTAATTTATTTCCAAGGTTAGGTCATAAGGCATTAGAGCTTCTGCCTGCTTGCTTCTCTTTCTCTCTCTCTCTCTCTCTCTCTCTTTCCCTCCCTCCCTCTCCCCCTCCACCCACTCTAAAGCCTTCAGCTGTCATGATTACCCTAGGGCTGCCATGTAGAGACATGTGACAAAACCACAGAAAGAACGAGAGATGCCCAGAGAAGCCAGCTGTCCAGCCCCACCCTCACTCCCAGTTGTTTATATCTTCCAGTTCAAGTTCTGTGAGCAAAATCAATGACTTTTAATGTTTTAAGTCATTATTTCAGAGTGGTTTGTTATGTAGCAATAGATTATCTTCTTAAAAAGAAAAATTAAGAAAACTTTTCTCTTAACACATACCAGGTTCCAGACAGATGAAATAATTCTCTCAATTAATCTTTAAATAAATTAGCGGGGTTTTTATTTAATAAATAAATAAATAAATAAGTGGTTATTTCCACTTTACATGTAAACGTCTCAGTTTCATCACCTGTGAAATGAAGATGATTATAGACCCTTACATATTCCTTGGGTTTGTTGGGAGAATCTAAAGAGATAATGCATGAAACAGGACTTTGTACATTATAAAATACACCAGAATGTTGGATATTTTATTTTCTATCATGTCCCTAGCAAAAAGGACTCAGAGAGGCATCTCACACATAGAAGGCAACAATATAAGAAGCCACAAATTATGAGATGCCAGTTGAGAAGGACTTCTATAAAAATAATTATGATATGGACTATGGATTATAATAATGATGGCGATAATATTTTAAACAAACCCGACTGTAGATTTTAGAACATTATTTTACAGTCGTATTAGGGTAAAATAACCATTGCTATAAGACCCAACAAATCCCAGAGGTTTAACACATTAAAAATGTGTTACTTGCTCTCAGCACAAAGGTTTGCAGGGCATAAGCAGAGATCAGCTCCACAGTAGTCATTCAGAAACCCAGGTTTCTGCCATCTAATGAATCCATGCTCCTCCAGCGTAAGTTCCTCAGTTTATCCTTTCCATCTTTTGGCTGATGAGAGAAGAGATAATACAGGGAGGATTGCACTGAAGGTTTATGTAGGAGGTCAGATTTGAAGTCTGAGACAATCATTTTCTGGCAAGATGTTCTCAGCTCAAAGTGGACCATATTATCTCATTTCCACCTTTTGGTTGCTTTTTTGTAACATGGCTTTGGTTTTATCAAGGGCTAATATTTTTAAGAATGTTTCCCACTTTGGGAGGCCGAGGCGGGCAGATCACGAGGTCAGGAGATCAAGAGCATCCTAGCTAACACGGTGAAACCCCATTTCTACTAAAAATACAAAAAATTAGCCAGGTGTGGTGGCAGGTGCCTGTAGTCCCAGCTACTTGGGAGGCTGAGGCAGGAGAATGGGGTGAACCCGGGAGGCGGAGCTTGCAGTGAGCCGAGATGGTGCCACTGCACTCCAGCCTGGGTGACAGAGCAAGACTCCGTCTCAAAAAAAAAAAAAAAAAAAAAAAAAAGAATGTTTCTGCATTGTGGTTTCACCATTAAAGATTCTGTCCGTTACGCAGTTGAGAGCCTCTGATAGAGGCAGTCACATGACTGATTCCAGTTCCTCCCAGCACTGAGTGCTAAAAGTATTCATTTCTTCTCACCAAATCATATTTTCTTTTACCAGACAAAAGTACAGAGCTCATTCTGTTTCTCATTTTGCCTTGGATTCGCCAGAAAGCATGCGGCAAGCTCAGAAAGCACAAACCTCCATCTAATGCCCAATTTACCATCTTCTCTGATCCCGTCCATAAGCATTTCTTGAGTATCTAGTGTCCACCAAATGTTAGGGATACAGATATAAGAGAAACATTCTCTGTCCTCAGGTAACTCAGTCTGATGAGGGAGACGGATCAACAAATAGACCTGCGATTGTGCTAAATATAATCCATTTGTCACTCTACATCTAATCTACTCTCTGAGCCGTAAGATTATTTTAATGCATTCCTTGTCCTCTGGTTGCTGGTAGGTTTAGCCAATGGGGCACCTGACATGAGATGAAGGAGAAGGAAGGAGAGTGAAGCCAAGATAGTCATTCCTCTGCTCTCCTCCCTGCAAGATTGCCACAGTCCACAGCCAAACACAGGTTGCTGCTCCTCACCAGGTCCCGTCTTTTACCGGGTTTTCTCTTTCTGGGTTTTGGTAACCACTCTCTCTCCTTTGTCTTTTTGAGCCTAGGGTTGGTGCCAGCTCTGCTATTACTACCTTGGGTTCCTGCTCCATCCCTTATGGTCCCCCTGCACCTCTCCCACACCTCCCTGAATTGTCCTAATTTGAGCATTCCATCTCTGCCCTCTGGACCCCTGAGTGACAGCATAACGAGAAAGGAGCCTCAGAAGACGAAGAAAACAAGCAGGGAGAGTGCTTAATTCAGATAAGGGCCAGTGGAGGGTGAGGGTGGAGGGAAGGCTGGGATTTCAGGGAAGTTTCCTAGAGAAGCTGACATCTCATGAAAAATTTGAAAAGAGAATAAGAGTAAGCAGGATAAAATGGTGGACAATTGCGGTGGTGGGTTATTGGACAGTGGGGGTTGGAAAGGAGGGCATCTAGGCAGAGGAAAACAGCAAGGGTACAATCCTGGATATGAGAAAGACTATGACTCATTCAGGCATCTGTAGGTAATCACGACCAAGGCAAGGTAATGGCAAGAGGCAAGAGTGGAGAGGAGAAGAGTCTCTTCCATCATGCCCAGAACTCAGATGAGATGGAGGGGTGAACCAAGGTAGAGCTTGAAGGTCCTTGTCCATCATGCTCAGCATGTGGCTGTATCACTCTAAAGATAGTTAATTAATACTAATTTAGCACAGATGGTGGGTATAGAAAACTAATGAGATACTTTAAGGAAGTAGAAATCACAGGACCTGAGACCTTGGTACCTGAGGAAAAGGACACAGTCCGGGTGACACCCCAAGTTTTGGTTGAGTGATTAGGTACATCTTGCTGCCATGTAGGCTGAAATACAGGTAGTTTGGGGAGAGAAGATGAGGTCAGTCTTAGGATTACGAAGATTGAGTTACCCATGGGGCATCTAGATTATGTCCAGGAGATGTCTGGGAGATGGGTGATGGGTACCTGAGGGATGGGGAGAAAGTGAACCTGGTGTATATTCCAGGGGCACTGCAGGCATAGAAGGGGATGAGACCACCTAAGGACAGGGTGTGCAGGATTGAAAAAGAAGAGTACTAGTGGCAGAACCTTGGAACAGTAGCATATGAGCCCAGGCAAATACAGAGGGGCAAGAATGCCTGGCCAGTAGCTGGAGCTTGCCAGTTGATCTGATGAGCAGCTAAGGGGTTTTGTTTTGTTCGTTTGTTTCTTGGGCAGAGAACAGGTGGAGCCAGAATGGGCATCATCAACGGGTGGTGAATTAAGACTTCCTGCATATGGAGTGCCTCATTATGCTTCTGGCATACAGTATGTATCGCATCATGAAGATTTGCTGTCTTCTTGGTCTGGTAGGTCCCTAACTTCCTTATCTATGCTTAACACATCCTATGATTTTCCTTCATCCCATTTTTCTTCTTTTTCAGAGCAGAAATGAATATTCACAAACAAAATAGCAAATGCACATTACTCACTTCCTGCTGAGCTGTGAGTGATTTGCAGTATCTCTCAGATACCTTCTCCCAAGATTTCTCCAGTCTCTCAGCCCTTTTGTAGTGCAAGGTTTTAAAGATGAGGGGCTTCACATTACCTGCCTGGCCATCTGAACTAGGAGTTTTTGATCCCAGGTTTAAGCCGCCATCGCCTGTGTTTTTGCCTGTCCTCCCTAGTCCTACTTTCTCTCTGGCTCAGGTTATTTTCCCCCAATTTTCATATATTGAGCCCTGTGGTATTGAATGCATTAAATTCTTTGTAAAAACAGGCAGTGTGCAAATAAGCACTTACAAGTCACTGACCAGTGATCTGGCATTACAGGTTTACTTTTGCCTTTAGCCTAATTTCTTTTATGCCTGGACCAATTTCATTTAGGTTCTGTCACTACCTGAAGCAAAAGATTGGTAACACTAAACAGCATTTGCAAAACTCAAGGCTCAGAATGTCAATCAGGTTCCTAACTGAATTGTCATGGAGGTGCCTCATGGTAGTGTATGTGTCACTCATTTTGCTAGCATGTGCAAATTTAGCTTTTGTATAACATGTACACTTTTCTTCCTACAGGACTCATTGACTATTGAGATTTTATGCAGCTGGCTACCAGATTCTACATTCCTTGTAAGAATATTTGAATATATTAGTTGGCCCCAAAATAATGGCAAAAACCACAATCACTTTCACACCAACCTAATAATTAAAAAGGAGAATAAGACATTCAAAAGAGTTTCTTTCTGTTTTGTCAAATAAACATCAAGCAAGACAGAAAAATGTCACCCAGAAAGAAGCGGTCAGCATTATTCATCCATTAGAAATGGATGTACCAATCATAATTACAGATAAAATCTGAACTTATATCCACATTGATTTATTTTCTAGTGCTTCTAATTTTTTTCTCTTCTGATGACTAATGAACCTCTTTCAGACCATCCAACTTAACACCATTGATTTCTATTTATTTTCCTTTCAGCAAAAATTGTGGTAAAAATATTTTTAGTCAGTATCAAAATTCATCTTTTTGGGTTGGATAGGTATTAAATATTACAGAAGATTCAATATCAGTGAAAGCCTCTAGGTTTCCTGGCATGGTTTCATGAAATAAAAGTCCCATTACTCAAGCCAGTAAAGTGATTTACAGCCTTATTCATAGCACTTTGGTAGGATTTATAGAAACATTGCTTTTAAAAAAAGACAAACTTGCCATAAATTTTTCCAAAAGGTTCTGTCAGTTTGAAGATTTGCAAAGACAACAATAATCTTTGATCCATTCAATGCTGTATTCACATACCAAGAGCTCTAAATGTACACACCTATAAAATTGGTGCCTTCTGTTTATATAGACTTAATATGTCCAAATATACTCTTTTTTGACAACCATATCAAAATATGGGTGCAATTTAATGTGTTGATTAAGCATTTTCTACTATTTTCTCTCTCTCTTTTTTTTTTAAAAAAAATGTTTTTGACAATGTCTCTCACTCTGTCACCCAAGCTGGAGTGCAGTGACATGATCACCGCCCACTGTAGCCTCAACCTCCCAGGCTCAAGCAATCCTTTCTCCTCAGCCTCTCAAGTAGCTGGGACTATAGCTATGTACCACCATGCCTGGCTAATTTTTTATTTTCTGTAGAAATGAGGTCTCTCTGTGTTACCCAGGATGGTCTTAAACCAAGCGATCATCCTGCTTTGGTCTCCCAAAGTGTTGGGATTACAGGCATGAGCCACCACACCAGGCCTCACTTAATTATTTATTGAGTAACAAGGATGGCAGTGAAAAAGACACAGGGAAAAGACTGGGCGTGGTGGTTCACGCCTGTAATCCCAGCACTTTGAGAGGCCAAGGCGGGTGGATCATGAGGTCAGGAGATCGAGACCATCCTGGCTAACAGGATGAAACCCCGACTCTACTAAAAATACAAAAAAAAAATTAGCAGAGCGTGGTGGTGGGCCCCTGTAGTCCCAGCTACTCAGGAGGCTGAGGCAGGAGAATGGCGTGAACCCGGGAGGCGGAGCTTGCAGTGAGCCGAGATCACGCCACTGCACTCCAGCCTGGGCAACAGAGTGAGACTCCACCTCAAAAAAAAAAAAAAAAAAACAAGAAAAAGACCCAGGGATTTATGATGTAGAAGCACTGCGGTCACATGTTGTATTTCTTTAGACTCCTCTTAAAAAAGGATCTACTTGGGTTTTTTTTTTAATTTCCTGCTTACATTTCTTAGAATAAAGTCAGGAAGTGGAACTGCCTAACTACAACCAATCCCCTAATCCAGGGGGGCAAAGAAAGGCAAAACAGTTGAAAATGCATTGCCCATCTCTTCTGCCCACCTTCACTCCACCCCCTCCTTTTAGTCTACCTCACCCTCTTAAGCTTTAAAAAACACCCCTACAATCCTATCCAAGCTTTTGCACGTGTGATTAATTTTTCAAGTATTAACAGATTATTTCATCTATTACAAAGTTATAACTTAAATACATCTTTTTAAAAAGTTATATCTTAAATACATCTTTTAAAAATGTTTCTTGACTTTGGAGTAATTTGATTAGGCATTTGATTGTAGGCCACATCATAAGCTTTTAAGAAACTTGTAGGCTCCTTGAGCATTAGAAGTCTATGTCTTTTAGAAATTTGTGTCTTAGAGGGCTGGGCGCAGTGGCTCATGCCTGTAATCCCGGCACTTTGGGAGGCCAAGGTGGGCGGATCACCTGAGGTCGGGAGTTCGAGACCAGCCTGACCAACATGGAGAAACCCTGTCTCTACTAAAAATACAAAATTAGCCGGGCATGGTGGTGCATGTCTGTAATCCCAACTACTCGGGAAGGCTGAGGCAGGAGAATCGCTTGAACCCAGGAGGCGGAGGTTGTGGTGAGCCAAGATTGCGCCATTGCACTCCAGCCTGGGCAACAAAAGCGAAACTCTGTCTCAAAAAAAAAAAAAAAAAAGAAAAGAAAAGAAATTTGTGTCTTAGAATAACTCAAAAAGTTCAGGAGTGTGGGACTAGGCACACAGGGAATATTTAATTCTGGATTAATTGCTTTTTTTTTTTTTTTTTTTTGAGATGGAGTTTCCCTCCTGTTGCCCAGGCTGGAGGGCAATGGCGCGATCTTGGCTCACGGCAACCTCCACCTCCCAGGTTCAAGTGATTCTCCTGCCTCAGCTTCCCGAGTAGCTGGGATTACAGGCACGCGCCTACCAGCCTGGCTAATTTTGTATTTTTAGTAGAGATGGGGTTTCTCCATGTGAGTCAGGCTGGTCTCGAACTCCCAACCTCAGGTAATCCACCTGCCTTGGCCTCCCAAAGTGCTGGGATTACAGGCGTGAGCCAACGCGCATGGCTTAACTGCTTTTTAGTGTAATGAATTAACTACAATAACATCCTGATATACAGGTGGTCTTTACTTGTAACCAAAATACATTTCAGGAATCTTGAGCATTATGCAGTTCCTGGTATAACAGAAAGCTATTTTCCATTAAAGAATACAATAATTGGAAGCCATACTACTGACCAAGAATTTGGCATCAAATAAATCGTGGCAGTAAACAAAAATATGTCATGAAAGCCAAGGCTCAGCAACTATAACCTCCTTGGAAATACAAAGCAGTAAGATTATGCTCCAAGAATAATAAAAAGGGGCATAGAGACACTATACATATCCACCATAGCACTTCATTCATCGTTATAGTTGAGTGTGTGTGTGTACAAAATCACATAAAATGCAACTTTATGGTATTGTAAATTCTGGTTAAAATAGGATGCCGAGTAAAACAAACATGAATTAAACAGTTGACCAATAATTGTGCTGGCCTTCCTAGAGTTTGGAAGGACTTTCGTGTGGTAATTGGAATGGGCCAGGTCCCTAATATCTGTCCAAGAAATGTTGAGCTGATTCCCTTTTCTCTCTTAGAAAAGTTCCTTAAAGCAACAAGAGGCTTTCAAGTTCATTGTCACTGCTGGCGGATCCAAAGGATGGGATGAGGTACTCAGTGTGTTAGTTCCTGACATCAATGGTTGCTGCACAGAAAAGTGGTTTTTTAAGGATCTCGTATTTGACCAAAAAAACCCCCCTTCACTTTTGCATCTTCAATTTGTTTACAAACACTATTTATTATTAAAAATAAAAAAGGTCCCAGAAAAGAATAAACAAGAACCTTTTCCAGGTCATTGGAAAACCTTGAACCTATAATAGTTTTATGTATTTTTCATACATTTGCTGAGTGAGGCATACAAGAAAATCCAACCAACCTGATCTGTTCCCTTAAGACTCTGACAGAAACCACACAATGGAGGGTAAAGGGTGTTCTGAATCTGGCAGGATGGTGAACAAGAAACTCAAAAACCCTCTAGCTACAGGGTACTAGAAACATATTAATAACATAGAGCAAGCATCATTTAAATGTACATCTGCCTCTGAAAGAAAGTAAGGAAGAGGCGGGCCACAGTGGCTCACACCTGTAATCCCAGCACTTTGGGAGGCCGAGGCAGGTGGATCACTTGAGGTCAGGAGTTCGAGACCAGCCTGGCAACATGGTGAAACCCCATCTTTACAAAAATACAAAAGAATTAGCTGAGCGTGGTGGCACATGCCTGTAATCCCAGCTACTTAGGAGGCCGAGACAGGAGAATTGCTTGAACTCAGGGGACAGAGGTTGCAGTGAGCCAAGATCGTGTCATTGCACTCCAGCCTGGGCGACAGAGTGAGACGTCATCTCAAAAATAAATAAATAAATACGGAAGATACAACCAGCTCTGACAGCATGGGGGATAGGGTTGGGTTGGGTTTTTAATACCCAAGTGAGACAGGAGATGAGACTTTTAGCACTTTTGTCTCCAAAAGACAAAACTTTCAGTAAGAGGTAGCCTTGATGAAAATTTACCCACTTACGAAAACTGATAACAAAAAGCTGATCTGCCATAAAATCCATGAGAGTTTATATAACCTCAGACCTCATCCTCACACGGAATTGCGTTTAAAATTCACATTTCTTGATTGGTCCAAAATCATCTTAGTCGAATAAGTGTTTCTCCACTGGTGAACTCTTCTGGAGAGACCTGTCCTCATCTCACGCCAGGGAGAATAACCAAGCCCCATTGAAGATGAGCTCACAATGGAAGACTGCAAAACCTTTGAGGAACCAATGTAGCATAATTAGGTACAGCAGATTTAATAAATAACCAATGTACTTTCACTCCCACTAACTTCAGATAACAGGACAATTGGATAGAGACTGTAAAATAAGAATGCTTAAAATGATTAAAGACATAAAAGAAGGAATCACACTTAAAAATGTTAAAAAAGACAAAACTTAAAATAGTTGACAGCTTGTTAATGGTTAATTGACAGTTGTTAGGCAACTGTCAAGCAGCATGGATCACAGGAACTTCAATCCAAAAAGAGGTGACACGGCCGGGTGCAGTGGCTCATGCCTGTAATCCCAGCACTTTGGGAGGCCGAGGCGGGCGGATCACGAGGTCAGGAGATCAAGACCATCCCAGCTAACACGGTGAAACCCCGTCTCTACTAAAAATACAAAAAATTAGCAGGGCGTGGTGGTGGGCGCCTGTAGTCCCAGCTACTCAGGCGGCTGAGGCAGGAGAATGGCGTGAACCCAGGAGGCAGAGCTTGCAGTGAGCCGAGATTGCGCCACTGCAGTCCAGCCTGGGCGACAGAGCGAGACTCCGTCAAAAAAAAAAAAAAAAAGAAAGAAAGAAACAAAAAGAGATGACAAGTGGGAGCTGTGGCTCTCACATGTTTTGACTGCACTGGATTTTTCTCCATACACTGCATTCAACCGTAATTCATTTTAATGTCTGTCATTTCAAAGCAAGAATAAGGTGGAAGTGCACCCATTCCCAAGGAGAAATAAGAGATTTGTTTGGTTTAAAAAAGTGGACCAGGCTGGGCGGAGTGGCTCATGCCTGTAATCCTAGCATTTTGGGAGGCCAAAGTGGGCTGTTCGCTTGAGTTTAGGAGTTTGAGACCAGCCTGGGCATCATAGTGAGACCCTGTCTCTACAAAAAATACAGAAATTAGCCAGGCGTGGTGACATGTGTCTGTCGTCCCAGCTACTCAGGAGGCTAAGGTAGGAGGGTTGCTGAGCCCAGGAGGCAGAGGTTGCAGTGAGCCATAATTGCACCTCTCCACTCCAGCCTGGGCAACAAAGCAAGACTCTGTCTCAAAATAAATAAATAAATAATAAAAGGAAAAAAGTGGACCAGATATTCCTATGGAATTGGTTAGTGATTGCAAATTCTTACTGGGACCATCTGTATGCGTTTGAACAATTTTACACTTTAAAAATCACATAGTGCTTTTCTTTAATCAAGTTTTTAGAATTTTACTTGTATTTGGCCATATTTGAGTAGGTTAGACTTTAGGCTCCTATTTTTTTCCTCTCCAGACCAGTTTTGATACTGTTCCAGTCTGTTCATCTGTCTTTCTGAGAGTATCAGTACATAGATAAGCTTGTAGAACAAGCTGGAGACTGGAGTTGAGGAGACTTGGCTTCTATGGCTCACTGTACCATTAACTCTGCCATGGGGTCTTGAGCAAATGGCATAATAGCTCTCAATACCGATTTCTCCTTTTTTAATTTTTTTAGACAGAACTTTGTACGAGACAGATAATATAAGTAGGTAAGGTGGCAAACAAAACACATATGTGAACCAGATTTCACTGGTGTATAATGCCTACTTGACTGGATTTTTTTTTTGAGACAGGGTCTTGCTATGTTGTCCAGGCTGGAGCTCAGTGGCTATTCATAAGTACAATCATGGTGCAGTATAGCTTTGAACTCCTGGGCCCAAGTTATCCTTCTGCTTCAGCCTCCTGAATAGCTGGGAATACAGATATGTGTCACTGCACATAGCGAATAGATTGTTTTTTAGAGCAGTTTTAGGTTCACAGTATTATTGAGCAGAAGATACAGAGATTTCTTATATAACCTCTGCCCCCACACGCAGAGTCTCCCCCATGATTAATATCTCCCACCATAGTGGGAGTACATTTGCTCCAATTGATGAATCTACATTGACACATCGTCACCCAGAGTTCATAGTTTACATTAGAGTTCACTCCTACTAGGTACATTCTGAGAATGTGGACAAATTTATAATTGTAGCCACCATGATAATGTTATATATAACAGTTTCACTGCCCTAAAAATTCTCCATGCTCTACCCGTTCATGCCTCCCTCTTCTCTAACACCCAGCAACCACTGATTCTTTCACTGTTTCCATAGTTTTGCCTTTTCCACAATGTCATAGTGGAAATCAGAGTTTGTAGCCTTTTCAGATACACTTCTTTGACTTAGTCATAAGCATTTAGGGTTCCTCCATGGTTTTTCATGGCTTGATAGCTCATATCATTTTAGCAGTGAATAGTATTCCATTGTCTGGATGTACCACAATTTATCCATTCATCTACTAAAGGACATCTTGGTTACTTCCAAGTTTTGGTAATTATGAATAAAATTCCTTTAAACATCTGTGTGCAGGTTTTTTGTATGGACATACATTTTCAAATCCTTTGGGTAAATACCATAAACCTTGATTACTGGATCCTAGGGTAAGACTATGTTTGGTGCACAAGAAACTGCCAATCTGTCTTCCACAGAGGCTGAAGCATTTTGCATCCTCACCAGCAATGAATGAGAGTCCCTGTTGCTCCACATCCTCATCACAATTTGGTATCGTCAGCATTCTGGATTTTGACCACTGTAACAGGCAATATAGAGGTATCTCATTATTGTTTTAGTTTGCATGTCCCCGATGACATATGCTGTGGAGCATCTTTTGATAAGCTTATCTCTCCATCTTTGTCTGTTAAGGTCTCTGGTCCATTTTTTAGTGGATTGTTTATTTTCTTATTACTGTGGATCACTATTTCCTAAACTGTGTTCCATGGCGTTCCATTCTTTGACATGCTAACAGAAGTGATCTGTGAGCAAAAAAAAGCATTCCACGGTCAGATAAGCTTTGGGGAATTCTAAAGTAAAAAGAACCAAACAGTTTCTTTTCAACACAACTTCTCAGACCTTTAATAGGATATTAGGCAAGGGGGTGCTCCAAGGCAGGAATTTGGAGTGCCAGGGTTCCCTAACTTATTGAATCTTATTTTGTCCAGGGACATGAGAACAACAAGAAACACTAAATATTGGCAGACTACTTTGTATATCTTTCAGCTCCATGGTTCTGAATATAGCCACAGGGATACATTCTTGTTTATGTGCTATTTCTAAGGCAATTTAGGCAGATATAAATATAGGTAATACCACTTCTATGGAAATTATGACTGTATATACCAGAGTACTCCCAAATTTGGAAACTTTCTCTTAGAATATTAAGCATCCGTGGCTGGGTGCGGTGGCTCACTTCTGTAATCCCAGCACTTTGGGAGGCCAAGGCGGGCAGATCACGAGGTCAGGAGTTCGAGAACATCCTGGCCAACATGGTGAAACCCCGTCTCTACTAAAAATACAAAAATTAGCTGGGTGTGGTGGCAGGCGCCTGTAGTCCCAGCTTCTTGGGAGGCTGAGGCAGGAGAATCTCTCGAACCGAGGAGGCGGAGGTTGCAGCGAACCGAGATCACATGACTGCACTCCAGCCTGGTGACAGATGAGACTGCATCTTAAGAAAAAAAGAAAAAAAAAGAAAAAAAGAATATTAAGCATCCCTTAGGTCCAGCTCCTGTCTTGTTTTCTTCTTGAAACTTTTTCTCATATTTATAGTCTACATTGATCTCTCTTCTCTAAACTTCTATGACCCTTTAATTATTTCTATGCAATTAACCTCCTAAATATGTGTTCCTTTAAATAACCTTTATTATTCCATGTTTGATTGTCTCATCTCTCAAAACACACTGTTCTTCAGGAATGTGCCTTGTATTATTACTGCTCAGTGTCCCACAGCTGAGCAGAATGTTCTACATATGGGACACTTTTAAGTAAAACTGTCAAATAATTGTTTTTTTCCTAGATATTCCTTCCTTCCTTCCTTCCTTCCTTCCTTCCTTCCTTCCTTCCTTCCTTCCTTCCTCCCTCCCTCCTTCCCCCTTCCCCTCCCCTCCCTCCCTTCCTTTCTCCCTCCCTCCCTTCCTTCTCTAGCTTTTGATTAAAGATATGCTAATTGAAAACATAACAGTTCTATTTTCAGAGAGGATCACAGTAGTGCTAAATTAGATCCATTGGCTTCTAAAACTCACTGCAAGCTGTTTAAGAGCACCAATGCATAGGTGTTCCTGAAGGTGCAAACTTTATGGCACCTTTAAGTTATGCACCGTGACAAATTTTCCCCATGACCAATAAGCTGTGCACCTGCCGAGAAGCAGAGAAAAATGTATTTAATGATGACTAAATGCATTGTATTTTGACAGTGAAATAAACCATTTAAAAATATGATCGCAGCAAGGCAGACTTCTAAGCAGCATTGCAAATGTTTAACATATCACGTCCTGCCTTTGGAGTGTTCTGTAATATTAAATAGGATTAGCCAGGTGGATTTCTCAATATTCTGATAACAAGGCAGAGGCAACCAAATATTGTTAAAATCTGTCATCAGGTAAACCCAGGCCTTTCAATCTTCTAGCTATAGAGAACTGTGAGTTCTGTACAAATGGTAACCTAGAAACAGAAGCAACCAAAATACTTGAATTAAAATGATTCACATGATTGGGGAAAACTCAATACATGCTTTTGACCGAGGACAATCACTTTTAAAAGGAATTGCAAAATGTGCTAAATATAATTTAGTTGTACTCTGAAAACAAATAAATTACAAGAAAGCTTTTTTAAAATTTTTATTTTTAGACAGGGTCTCACTGTGCTGCCCAGGCTAGAGTGCAGTGGCTTAATCACAGCTCACTGTAGCCTGTGGGAGATCAACCTTGATCTCCCACCTCAGCTGCCCGAGTAGTTGGGATCACAGGTGCATACCACTATGCCTGGCTAATTAAAAAAAATTTTTTTTGTAGAGACAGGGTCTTGCTATGTTGCTCAAGCTGATCTTGAACTCGTGGCTTCAAGCAATCCTCTCACCTTGGCCTCCCAAAGTGCTGGGACTACAGGCATGAGCCACCACACAGGGCCAAGCTTTCTTTTAAAGAAAAGATTTGTAGAATTTTCTTCAAAGTGATATAGAGAGTGCTCTTGGAATTCTTGAAAGAGAGTACATATTGATGTGTGTGATAGAACATAACATCTTGTATTTAATTTATGGTATGTGTATCCTCTTAAAATCTTCCAAGTGTGGCTGAATGAGTTGTAGGAGAAATGGCAGAATTAACATCCTCTCAATGGCTGCTATGATAGTTTTGTTTAAAATAATTGTTTACAATTTTGTGTTGAAGGGCAATGTCTAATGCAATGACATGCAAGAAACAGTTTTTTAAAAACCACTTTATTGAGGTCTGGTTGACATAAAAAGCTGTACATGGGTAATATGTACATCTCAATAAGTTTGGGGATAAGCATACATCTCTGAAACCATTACCACACATGAAGGCCAAAAATAGAGGATGAGGCTGGGTGTGGTGGCTCACGCCTGTAATCCTAGCACTTTGGTAGGCTGATGTGGGCGGATCACGAGGTCAGGAGATCAAGACCATCCTGGCTAAGACGGTGAAACCCCGTCTCCACTAAAAATACAAAAAAATTAGCCGGGCGTGGTGGTGGGTGCCTGTAGTCCCAGCTACTTGGGAGGCTGAGGCAGGAAAATGGCCTGAACCCGGGAGGCGGAGCTTGCAGTGAGCCGAGATCGCGCCACTGCACTCCAACCTGGGCGACAAAGCAAGACTCCATCTCAAAAAAAAAAAAAAAAAAAAAAAAAGAGCATGATGCATTTTTTTTATAAGCTTTCATCGTCTTATTTAACACAGGATGTGTTTATCCTGGAGCAAGGCCATTAATTAAGTACCTGAAAATAGACAGCAAGATGCCGCTTTGCAAGGACATTATTCAATGGTTATAAACACGCAAATACCCTAATAAAGCATTTGTTAATTGGCACTGAAGGGTTATGCTTTGCCTATTATAAATAGGATGTGACCTCAAAGAGGTCATGTGAGGATCTAGCAATGGAAGTTTTCAATTGGTCCCTTTGCCTTTATGTATATAATTTCCCATTGTCCTGCCTTCCCCTGGAGGTGTCCAAACCAGTATTTACAGGGATGGGGATGTGATCCACCACTTAATTTTAATGGACAAACATATATGAGTTACATTTATGCTTTGGTCCCACGATAAGAAGATATGATTACCTAGGCGGACATTAAGTTTCTTTTCTAACATCACCTCTTGCAGTCTCATGTTTTATTAACAGTTATGACTGCTGAGGTCTTAACTTTCCCTGTTTCATGTTTTCTTCAACAAGACTCCTGTTTAATCCGGCAGGCAGAACATGAGGGGAGACTTCCTTGGAGCTGTCTCCAAAGGTTGTCCCGAGTGACAGAATGCTGTATTTGGTTTGGTTAAAAATTAAATGCCATGTCATTGTCAAAGTGGCAACATGACCTCACCACCTTCACAATGTGGGTGAATCTCTAAAAACTGGTGGTCCCTTAACATTGGTGAACAAGAGAAGTGAAAGGGGAAGTGAAGAAAGTACTACTGGAGTCGTCTTCCTGGGCTAAGAATGGTCACGTGGCCAAGGAAACTTGCAGTGGCCCAGCCACCACAGAAACCACACACTCCTGGGTGCTCTCCTGCCTGGTGTTACTCATGGCTCCAGAGTCCTGGGGGAGAGGGGAGAGAGAGAGATGCACTCTGATATCAGCTATGCTGTAAGAATCTCAGCCCGGAGCGGTGGCTCATGCCTATAATCCCAGGACTTTAGGAGGCCGAGGTGGGTGGATTACTTGAGGTCAGGAGTTTGAGACCAGCCTGGCCAATAGGGTGAAACCCCGTCTCCACTAAAAATACAAAACCGGCTGGGCGCAGTGGCTCACGCCTGTAATCCCAGCACTTTGGGAGGCCGAAGCGGGTGGATCATGAGGTCAGGAGATCGAGACCATCCTGGCTAACACGGTGAAACCCCGTCTCTACTAAAAATACAAAAAATTAGCCAGGCGTGGTGGCGGGCACCTGTAGTCCCAGCTACTCGGGAGGCTGAGGCAGGAGAATGGCGTGAACCCGGGAGGCAGAGCTTGCAGTGAGCCGAGATCCTGCCACTGCATGCCAGCCTGGGCAACAGAGCGAGACTCTATCTCAAAAAAAAAAAAAAAAAAATACAAAACCTAGCTGAGCATGGTGGTACACCCCTGTAATCCCAGCTACTCGGGAGGCTGAGGCAGGAGAATCACTTGAACCCAGGAGGCGGAGGTTGCAGTGAGCCAAGATCATGCCACTGCACTCCAGCCTGGGCAAAAAGCGAGACTCCATCTCAAAAAAATTAAAAAAGAAAAAAGAATCTATCATATTCATCTACAGATAACATTTTTATATATAAACATTCTAGGGGCAGAACTAACAAAATAGAATCATATCTATGCAAAGGCTTTTGTAAAATGTAAGGTATCCCGCATTTGCAAACTGCAGCTAATTACTTACCTTTACTCCTGCCGTCTCCTGTCTTCTCCATCTCCTTAAAGCTGGTAAAACTAGGATACTCCCCCTTCACCTCCTCTCTCACACCCCCACTCCAGCACCAGGCTGGGCTGCACTCCCTGAACTGTGAGTCTGTGACCCGGGCGGTCCTGCTGGGCTTCCAGGGGCTTCCCTGAGCTTCCTGGTTATCAAACTGACCTAGGAGAGGGTGCAGCAGAGCACGGGCCACACGCGACCCCTCTAGCACCCAAAGCCCCCAGGTTGGCTCCTGCTCTGTGTGGGCTGGCCCTTTGACAGCCTCGCCTTCAGTCTTATTTGCATTCTGTTGTGAAGCAAAGATTCATCTTCCAGGCCCTGTTCTCCCCATTGCCCCTGAAATGGGGGTCTTGCCCTGAGCCCTATCTTGGGATGGCAGCTCTGATACTCTTGCCTAGTTTTTCAAAGCCCTGCTCCCAGGAGAGGGAGATGTTTATTTTCCTGGGATGGTGCTGTGGTGTGGCCCCTAACCCAGGTCCCCTTCAGGGATTGCAGGCTTCACTTCCTCAGCTAGCTGTGGGAAGTGCTCTTGGGACAACACCCTTAGCTGTCAGCCCACTGTGGGACTTGCCCCAGCTGAAGAGAGCCTTCTGGCCCAAGGCCAGGTCCCCTAGCTGGAGCAGGCTGCATCCACTGGAGGTGGTCTCCTGAATTTGACACAACTCTGAATGGGTTATCGCAGCTCTAAAGCTCCTGGAGGGGTTGTCTGTAGCCTTCATCATGGCTGCTCCACTTTGCCCTCTGCCAATCCTATCTCCTGTCCTTCCCTTCCTCAAGTATTAATCCCAAGGGCACTCACTAATTAACCTCTTGCACACCAGTCTCCCCCAGACCTTGACCTCCAGATCTTCTGAAATGACAACCTCTGCTTACCTGTGTTCACATCTTCAGAGCCACCTGGATTCCTACCTGGATTGCCCACCTGGTTGGCCACCCACTTTTCAAGTAATTCTTGAAATTAGACCGAGTTCTATTACTTTAAATATGTAGAAGAAGATAAGCGTACTGAGGTTTTATGTACAAGCTGAAGGAAGCTTTCCCCCTGCATGAAAAGCAGAAATGACAATATTTTCTAGGCCTAACAGATCTTGATGCTGTATTATAGCTATTTTTTCTCTTTTGTTGCTTTGCAACAATTTTTTTCCAAATATACTTAGAATCCACTGACTTTTCTGGACAGATAAGGAGACCCTCTCTGTCAACTTTAAACTGTTTCTGCTTAGCCTGGCTGCTCTGGTTAATAAACATACTCTGAGTTCAGGACAGGCAAGGTAAAATGCCATGTGCAAAGGCAGAACAAAACAGCAAAACAGCAGAACTGCACTGACCAACATATACAATTATTTGTCAGCTAAAAGTATAATAATTTTTTTTGAGTCGGAGTCTTGCTCCGTTGCCCAGGCTGGAGTGCAGTGGCACAGTCTTGGCTCACTGCAACCTCTGCCTCCTGGGTTCAAGCAATTCTCGTGCCTCAGCCTTCCGAGTAACTAGGATTACGGGTGCCTGCCACATGCCCAGCTAATTTCTCTATTTTTAGTAGAGATGGGGTTTCACAGCGTTGGCCAAGCTGGTCTCAAACTCCTGACCTCAGGTGATCTCCCTGCCTCGGCCTCCCAAAGTGCTGGAATTATAGGCGTGAGCCACCATGCCCAGCTAAAATAATTTTTTGAAAAAAACTGCACCAACTGTCATTTTATCTTTTCTGTAATGATCCAGAAGGCACCATGAAATCTTGAAGAATTATGAGCATCTTTTATGGAAATTCCAGTTAACGGAGATTTGGGGCTGCTGGGATACTGCCGAAACCTGCTTTTAATGCTACACAGAGAGTGAACATCTATCACATTGATATTCTTGTCTCTGTGTTTAACTTGAGCTGTTGAATTGACTTTTAAAGCCATGCACTTTTGTCTACACTCACTTGTTTGAGAGGACAGTACGTTAACTAGATAGTGGGTTCTAGTTCTACCAAAATCTTTATGAATCTGGGTCACTTTGGCACAGTGGGAGGTTGGGTTGGATGTCAAGCCCTATGTCTATGATTTCTCATAGTTTGCTACATCAGAGGAATATCATTTTTTATTTTTAGAGATAGGGTCGTGTTATGTTGCCCAGGTTGCTCTTGAACTCCTAGCCTCAAGCAATCCTCCTGCCTCAGCCTCCCAAATTGCTGGGATAACAGGGGTGAGCCACTACACCCAACAACATTTTTTTTTTTTTTGAGACTGAGTCTCGCTCTGTCGCCCAGGCCGGAGTGCAGTGGAGCGATCTCGGCTCACAGCAAGATCCACCTCCTGGGTTCACGCCATTCTCCTGCCTCAGCCTCCCGAGTAGCTGGGACTACAGGTGCCCGCCGCCACGCCTGGCTAAGTTTTTGCATTTTTAGTAGAGACGGGGTTTCACTGTGTTAGCCAGGATGGTCTCGATCTCCCGACCTCATGATCCACCTGCCTCGGCCTCCTAAAGTGCTGGGATTACAGGCGTGAGCCACTGCACCCGGCATGGGAAATCTTATTAGGGTTTTAAAGTCAGGTAGTTTTGGTGAAGAGCCTCCTGAACTTTCACCTTCCACTCTGTAGCTTATTCTAGGGAGTAGATTCATAGCTCACCTTTTGACTGGCACCTATCCTGAATGACAGACAAGGCCTATTTATCCACAGTGTTTCCCTATGGAATATTTGTGTTTATTTGTTCTGCCTCCATAAAATGTAGTTTTGAACTTCCAAGAAGAAAGAGAAAAACAAGAAAATGAAACCTCACAATTATTTAGTGGGAGTTGTACACACTGTTATGGCCACAAACTGTCTTTGCGGGCAGGATGCTTCATTTTACATTTCGGCTCCCTTCCTGTATAAACATGAGCAAATTACTGAAATTACCTATACCTCAGTTTCCTCCTTAGAAAAATGAGGATATTAGTATCTACCTCATAGGGTTTTTGTGAGTTTTAAATGTCTGTATAGCCTGGAGCCTGGCATACAATGAATATAGATTTTATTTTTATGATCTGATTTGCAATATCATGCCCATCATATAAAATTATGAGGAACTGGATGATTACTGTTATATATTGTGGAGATATAATTAAGATAAAAATAATGACAATGAAAGGGCATCATTTAATTTTAAACAATTGCTAAATGATTATGCTATATTTCCTGTTATCATCATGATCATAGAAGGGAGATAGACCTGGCATTGACTCTAGCAGGAAGGTCTAGAGAAGAGATAACAAGTGAATAGATGACAATTTTATGAGCTCAAAGTGAGCTCAGAATTCATTCCTCAGCAAAAATAGAACAGTACAGATTTCTCACATACTCTACGTTCTGAGAGGAAAAAAATAACTCACTGAGAGAAAAGGATAAAATAGTGTAGGAGTATTTCAAAGTGGTCGGGGAAAGAAAAGTCTTCTGGTTGCTCCTTTGAAGTTAGATTGAAATGAGTCTATTCCCTACCCAAGAAAAGAAGACATGATTTGCAGTGTATATTTAATTTTTGCTAAAAATATGTAGCTAAGAGAAAGCCAAGGAAATATTTTCATTTAAGAGAAGCCAACTTTGGTGTTGTTTTCTGTGTGGGTGGAAAGTGCTGTGTTTTTATTCTTGCCAATCAATAACCAAAATTCACAGTCTCAATACACATTCCCATTCAATGATTATAACCTTATCTTGGTCTTTGGGGAGGCTAATGTTCAAAGCAGTCAAGTTCTCCAAGGATAAACGTTTCTTTCTCCAGTTGATGTGTGCATTTCCCTGATGGACAACCAAGAAGTTACTTCTACTATTCTACCAACATTTTTTACTGCTTGAAATTAAGCTGCATTCCACTCGGAGGTTGCATCTGAACATAAACTAGACCCCTTGACACATTCTCCTTGGTATGTTTGGAGCAAGGCCGGAGGCATGCCACATGCTGGGGTGGACAGAGCATAAGTTTAGAGTCAGATAAGCCAGGTTCAAATCCCAGTGCTGTCACCTTACAAATGAGTAAGAGGGGATAATGATACCTATCTCATGGGGCCTTTATTAGAATTAATGAGGTCATGTATGCGTTCATTAGGGAAGTATGAGTAGGGCCATCTGGAGATTTCACACTGCCTGAATTTGAGTTCCATTTCTATCACAGTTGTGTGACATTGGAAACACTGGGGTCAGTTGTCTTTATCTATAAAGTGGGGAGAATGATAGTTCCTGCCCCATTAGGGTAGTTGAGATGATTAAAAATAAATAATAGGCCGGGCACGGTGGCTCACACCTGTAATCCCAGCATTTTGGGAGGCCGAGGCAGGTGGATCACCTGAAGTCAGGAGTTTGAGACCAGCCTGGCCAACATGGTGAAACCCCATCTCTACTGAAAATACAAAAATCAGCCAGGTGTGGTGGCAGGCACCTGTAATCCCAGGTACTCAGGAGGCAGAGGCAGGAGAATCGCTTGAATCCAGGAGGCAGAGGTTACAATGAGCTGAGACTGTGCCACTGTACTCCAGCCTGGGCAACACAGCAAGACTCTGTCTCAAAAAAAAAAAAAAGAAAAGAAAGAAAGACTATATGACAGCGTACATGTGCTTGGCTACTGTTAATCAGTATTATTTCTTTTTGGTCTTCTCTATTGAGAAGGCTTTATTTCTTTGCTCTTTTATCATGGGGATTGTTTTCAACCATCTAAGTTTCCTTGACTTTTCATTCTCCTGAACTCCTGCAGTGGTTTTTTGCACCTCTCTGACAGCACTGTTCCCGTGGAGTAGTTATTTTTATGTGTCGGCTTTGCTGGGCCACAGTATCCAGTTACTCAAACACTTATCTAGGTGTTGCCATGAAGGTAGCTTGTAGATGAGGTGAACACCTACAATAAGTTGATTTTTTTTTTTTTTGAGTCGGAGTCTCACTCTGTCACCCAGGCTGGAGTACAGTGGCACAATCTCGGCTCGCTGCATTGCTCTGCCTCCCGGGCTCACGCCATTCTCCTGCCTCAGCCTCCCGAGTAGCTGGGACTACAGGCGCCCGCCACCACACCCAGAGAATTTTTTGTATTTTTAGTGGAGACGGGGTTTCACCGTGTTAGCCAGGATGGTCTCGATCTCTTGACCTCGTGATCCACCCGCCTCGGCCTTCCAAAGAGCTGGGATTACAGGCATGAGCCACCGTGCCCGGCCTAATAAGTTGACTTTAAGTAAAGGAGATTTTCCTGGATGACATGAGTGAGCCTCATCTAGTCTGTTGAAAGTCCTAAGAGCAAAAACTGGAGTTTCTAGGAAAAGAAGAAATTCTGCCTCAGGACTGCGGTGTCAACCCCTCCCTGAGTTTCCAGCCTGCCGGCCTGCCCTGTAAATTACAAACACAGCAGCCTCCACAATTGCATGAGCCAATTCCTTAAAATAAATAAAACTTTTCTTATCTGCTGCTGCTTCTGTTTCTCTACAGTGCCCTGATAATTACATGCCACCTGCTTATTTATTATTGTGATGATTATATATTTATTTATTATTGTTTTTTACTTTGCGTGAAAACATTAGTTGTATGCATCATTTACCCTCCAGGATAGGAAGATACTGGAGGGCAGGACACATTTTATAGATTTTCATGTCTGTCCCAGTTCGTGCCTGAGGGCTGTATCTGCTCCATGGTGGAATGAGGCCATAACTTTGTGTGCCCCAAGGTCACAGCTCTATATGCTCCCTGCGTCTGAGTTCTGCTTGGCCGTTTCCACATGGGTCGGTACAGTGTTTTTATTTTTTATTTATTTATTTTTATGTATTTATGTATTTATGTATTTATTTTTGAGATGGAGTCTCGCTCTGTCTCCCAGGCTAGAGTGCAGTGGCGCGATGTTGGCTCACTGCAACCTCCACCTCCCAGGTTAAGCGATTCTCCTGCCTCAGCCTCCGTGGTAGCTGGGACTACAGGCGCGCACCACCACGCTCAGCTAATTTTTTGTATTTTTAGTAGAGATGGGGTTTCACCGTGTTAGCCAGGATAGTCTTCATCTCCTGATCTCGTGATCCACCTGCCTCAGCCTCCCAAAGTGCTGGGATTACAGGCGTGAGCCACCGCACCCCGCTTGGTACAGTGTTTTTAAAAATTTTAAATTAGTTACCAATGTTTAAAAAAAGGAATATTTCACATAAAAATTTGGGGATTAAGCATGTAAAGTCAGTAGATTTGGAAACATCGAGCCCACATTCCTTCATGGCAACAGTTGGGTGGAGTTACACGGGGGTTGTTTGTCCAGACAGTTTTTTTTTTTTTTTTTTAAGTATATGTATATTTTTAGAGACAGCTTCTTGCTGTGTCTCCCAGGCTGGAGTCCAGTGGTACAATAGCTCACTGCAGCCTTGAACTCCTGGGCTCAAGGGATCCTCCCGCCTCAGCCTCCCAAAGGGCTGGGATTACAGGCATGAGCTACCAAACATGGCCTCTGGGTTCTCTTTTAAACGTTGTGGGAAGACTGGGCATGGTGGCTGATGCCTGTAACCCCAGCACTCTTGGAAGCAGGTGGATCACTTAAGGTTAGGAGGAGTTAGAGACCAACCTTCTGGTCAACATGGTGCAACCACATCTCTACTAAAAATACAAAAATACAAAATTAGCCAGGTGTCACGGTGCATGCCTCAGCTCTTCTGGAGGCTGAAGTGGAAGAATCGCTTGAACCAGGGAGGAAGAGGTTGCAGTGAGCGGAGATGGCACCACTGTACCCCCAGCCTGGGTGAGAGCGTGAGACTCTTGTCTCAAAAGAAAACAAAACAAAAACTCCTGAAAGTTGTGGGGGCCTAACAATCTGCAGGGCCCCTAAGACTATGTGTGTGTGTATATGTATGTACTTTTTAATCTAAATTATTTATAACCTAAACATTTCATTAAATAACCTAGGTTTCTATACCACTTACATTCCAGAGGGGGAAAATAAATACTAGAGGAAAGGGCCTTGAATGTAAAATTCCAGCAATGACAGGTTGTGACAGTGTTTTGGCTCAAATCCTCCAAATGAGACCAAAGCCTTGACACAATTGAATTGTTCATGGAAACCACAGATGCATTTTTATGGTACCAAGTAGATTTAAAGTTACTGTGAAAACTCAGGGCTGCTTTGAGTTCAATCCGGCGCCAAAGCAGCCATTTCTCATTTTCTATTTGTTTACTGTTTCTTTGGTCCTATTTGCTTTGCTTCACTGTGCTTAATGAAAGGATTCTGAAGCTTCCCCTGATTCATTTCAAATTAGAACCAGACTGAATTAACCTCCAGAAATGGACCATTATGGTCAGTCTCTGTGAAATGATTTAAGACCCAGAAAAGTTATATTTTCTGAAACTAAAAACTTGAGACTCTTTTTTTTTTTTTTTAGACAGAGTCTCACTCTTTCGCCCAGGCTGGAGTGCAGTGGCACAATCTTGGCTCACTGCAAGCTCTGCCTCCCGGGTTCACGCCATTCTCCTGCCTCAGCCTCCTGAGTAGCTGGGACTACAGGTGCCCGCTGCCACGCCTGGCTAATTTTTTGTATTTTTTTTAGTGGAGACGGGGTTTCATCATGTTAGCCAAGATGGTCTCGATCTCCTGAACTCGTGATCCTCCCGCCTCGGCCTCCCAAAGTGCTGGGATTACAGGCGTGAGCCACCGTGCCTAGCCGAAACTTGAGACTCTTTATTAAAACATTAAGCAGGCACAATTTCAGGCCTGTGTGCATGTATTATGGGCAATCTAAAGACAAGTGCCAGCCACATTCCTGGGTGGGTTTGCATCATAATGGAGAAACCAGAAGAAAGAAAATTGCCTACCATCTTAGCCTAGGAGTAACTACCAGGAGATAAAGGGTCCAACAGTGATGGACCCTCCTGGTTGGACAATTCTTAATCAAGGAACACTGGGCTCATGGCTGGGAGCCTGTCCCCACATCTGTTTGGGGCCTCTAGGGTCATCAAAGAGGAGCTGACAAGGGGTTTTACTGACCATCTTGTGAGATGTGCATGACAGTGGTACCGATTTAAATTATTAGGTGATGGAATTACTGGGCTTGTTTAAAAAGAAACTATAGGCCAGGCGAGGTGGCTCATGCCTGTAATCCTAGCACTTTGGGATGCTGAGGCGGGTGGATTGCCTGAGCTCAGGAGTTCAAGACCAGCCTGGGCAACACAGTGAAATTCTGTCTCTACTAAAATACAAAAAAATTCGCTGGGTGTGGCGAAGTGCACCTGTAGTCCCAGGTACTTGGGAGGCTGAGACAGGAGAATCACTTGAACCTGGGAAGCAGAGGTTGCAGTGAGCCGAGATCCAGCCACTGCACTCCAACCTGGGTGACAGAGCGAGACTCCACACCACCCTCCACCAAGAAAAGGAACTATAGTTAGCTGTTCCTGGCTATGTCCCTGTAGGGAAGAGAAGACTTTTCCTCTACCCACTGAGGTTCATGTCAGTTTATCCATGAAATCAACTGACAACAGGCAGATTAACAGGAGAAAAGGCATATAAATTTAGTATATGCACAGAGGCATCACAGGAAAAACAAAAAAGTAGCTATCTGAAAAGCCAGTGAGATTTAGGAGCTTGTATACCCTCTTCATATGGGAGAGGGGAGGGGGGATATTGGCAATTTAGGGGAGAGTAAACGGTTTTGGGGGAAAGATGGATAGGCCCTTGGAAGAACAGATGAGAGCTGGTAGCAAAGTTTATCTGGATGTGGAACTCACTTCTAGCCTCCTCTCCTGTGATAAGACTTAATCTTCTCTGGTTGATGAAACTCCCCAGATGGGGATTGATGACAACTGAGTTTCTTCTGGAGGATCTGTCTTTAGGCAGATAAGAGGAGTTTAGAGAAAGACTGCATTTTTATTTTTCAAGTGCCTTCAGCTGAAGGCAATCAATATACCAAAGCAGTATATTTGGGGGTGGCATTTTCTGAACTCCTTTGCTCCTGTCCCCTCAGCTGTACCATTTTAGCACGTGCACCTGCTAGCACTGCTGTCTCTTTGCCTGAAGGCTTTCTCTGTCTGCTGGAGCTCACAGCACATGGTAGGACAGAAGTGCCTGGGAATGAATGCATGTGCCCCTCCCAGCAGCTTTCAACGAAGGACTAATGGGAAATGGTGTATAAACAACCTAGCTCCCAGCAGTGTGCCCCTCCCAGCAGCTTTCAATGAAGGACTAATGGGAAATGGTGTATAAACAACCTAGCTCCTTCACCATGGGTGGGGGACAGAGCTTCCAGGCACATATTTCATATTATTTCCTAAAGTTCCCAGCAGGACTAAGCCCCAACTGCCCACAATGGCAACTGTTTCCTAACATACCCTTTACTGCCCTCCTTGCCTTCCCAGCTTCACTTCTTTACTCCTCTACCAATATTCTTGGGGATCTCCTTCCAAATAGACCACTTGCACTTGAACCCCAGTCTCAGGAAAGGCCTCTAGGGGAACCCAAACCAAAATAGTGTCTATTTTCCAAGTTTCTGCTTTGTCTGTAGAATAATACTTTGCGTGACTGGGTTGTCATATGTCTGTGTTCATTCATTTATTCATTGACTCATTTTCTTTCCCCAAAAGAAACAAATATATATTGATTGAGTGCCTACTTGATGCAAAATCACTGAGCCAGCTGCTGGAAAGACAGCGGAGAACAGACATAGGCCCCGCCTCCAGAGCAGCCTGTCCTGTAGGAATACAATGTGAGCTACATATGTGATTTAAAGAAAAAGAAGAAACTCAGTATGTCCAACAGACTGCCATTTCAATGTGTGCTAGGCCTTTGAAATCCTGGGCTCATTCTCCATTTGCAGCTGTGCTCTCTTTGAACTAGCCATGGTTCAAGTGCTTAATAGTCACATGTGATGAGAGGCTACTGGATAGAACAGCCTAGTTCTTAAAGTTTACTCTAGTGAGGATGGGGGCATCAGGTTCTTTAAGAGGTGATCAAACAGTCGGCGATCGGTCACCTAAACTGTTGGTTCTCCAACTTGGTGAGCATGCAAATGGCCTGCAGAGCCAATAAGAAACATGGAGTCCAAGAGTCATGGAAATACAGGGCCTGGGCCTTCATATTTCACCAAGTTCTCCAGGTGATCAGGATACACACCAACGTCTGACAACTGCTGCTCTACTTCACTCCCTAATCTAATCTCCCCTCTGTTGGTTGTTTATGTAAGGCACTCTTTGCCATCTTGTTTGCATCTTGGATATACCTAAAAAATACGAATGCTTGGGTCTCATTCTCAAAATTACTATTTAAGTGGTAAGAAGTGAGGCCCATCTATCAAGATATTTAAGATCTCCCCAGGTGGTTATAAGACACAGCCCAATTTGAGAACAACTGGCTTAAATTATGGCAGGTAATAAAACAACACATCCTGTTTAGTTTTGTAAAATATCATTATATGTAGGGGGTGCCAGAAGGAAGACTCTTGAAGGAATGGACACATTTTCCATCCCACAAGAAGTGATGATGAATATTCTTTTTTTTTTTTTTTTTGAGATGGAGTCTTGCTCTGTCGCCCAGGCTGGAGTGCAATGGTGCAATCTTGGCTCACTGCAAGCTCCGCCTCCCGGGTTCAGGCCATTCTCCTGCCTCAGCCTCCTGAGTAGCTGGGACTACAGGTGACTGCCACCGCGCCCGGCTAATTTTTTGTATTTTTAGTAGAGACGGGGTTTCACCGTGTTAGCCAGGATGATCTCAATCTCCTGACCTTGTGATCCACCCACCTCGACCTCCCAAAGTGCTGGGATTACAGGCGTGAGCCACCGCGCCTGGCCTATTATGAATATTCTTTACATTCATTCTGTTACTGGAAAGGGGTCCCAATCCAGACCCCAAGAGAGTGTTCTCGGACTTCACACAAGAAAGAATTTGGGGTGACTCCAGAGAGCAAAGCCAAAGTAAGTTTATTAAGAAAGTAAAGGAAAAGAATGGCTACTTCATAAGCAGAGCAGAAGCATGGGGTGCTCAAATGAGTATACTCAGAGTTGCTTCTTGATCATATGCTAAACAAGGAATGGATTACTCATGAGTTTTCCAGGGAAGGATTGGGCAGTTCTGGAACTGAGGGTTCCTCCCCTTTTTAGACCATATAGACCATTTGTAAACTGCCATGGTGCTGGTGGGAGTGTCTTTTAGCATCCTAATGCATTATAATTAACATCTAATGAGCAGTGAGAATGACCAGAAGTCACTTTTGTGGCCATGTTGGTTTTGGTGGGTTTTGGCCTGCTTCTTTTTTTTTTTTTTTTTTTTTTTTTTTTGAGACCAAGTCTCGCTCCGTCCCCCAGGTTGGAGTACAGTGGGACAATCTTGGCTCACTGCAACCTCCACCTTCCAGGTTCAAGCGATTCTTGTGCCTCAGCCTCCCAAGTAGCTGGGATTACAGATGTGTGCCACCATGCCAGGTTAATTTTTGTATTTTTAGTAGAGACTGGGTTTCACCATATTGGCCAGGCTGGTCTCGAACTCCCAACCTCAGTGATTCTCTTGCCTCAGACTCCCAAAGCGCTGGGATTCCAGGCATGAGCCACCACGTCGGCCTTTTGGCCTGCTTCTTTACTGCAACCTGTTTTATCAGCAAGGTGTTTGTGACCTGTATCTTATGCTGATCTTCTATCTCATCCTATGACTAAGAAGGCCTAACCTCCTGGAAATGCAGCCCAGTAGGTTTCAGCCTCCTTTTACCCAGTCCCTAGTCAAGATGGAGTTGCTGTGGTTCGAATGCCTCTGACATTTCTGCTCATCTCTGTTTTCTGACTTTTCTTTCCCAAGAGTGCATTACATTTGAAATAAAGATCGTAAAACAAAAGCCAATTAAAGAAACAATATAGAAGTTGGATCTAGGTTTATCTGAAATTTTTGTTTAGAAAAACCCTTAGGAAATTGGTGTGGCCAGTGAGCAGGCTTTTGAAGACTAGGCCAAATGTACGGCAGGGGGGCCTGACTACTGTCATTCCTGGACCAGGTCAGGTGGGCCTGTTGAGGTCCTGAAACCTACTCAGCACCTGAGTGCAAATGCATGATGCTTTTTGCTGGGTTTGGGCTGTTAGGAATAGAAAAGAAAAAAAAAATCCCGGCTGGGCACGGTGGCTACTGCCTGTAATCCCAGCACTTTGGGAGGCCAAGGTAGGCGGATCACTCGAGGTCAGGAATTTGAGACTATCTTGGCCAACATGGTAAAAACCCATCTCTACTAAAAATACAAAAATTAGCCGGGTGTGGCGGCACACGCCTGTAATCCCAGCTACTAGGGAGGCTGAGGCAGGAGAACTGCTTGAACTCAGAAGGCAGAGGTTGCAGTGAGCCGAGATCATGCCACTGCATGACAGAGCCAGACTCCGTCTCAAAAAAAAGAAAAAAAAAAAAAAATCTAAAATGTCAGGCATTGGCTTCAGGCATAAACCAGCTTGCATTTAAATTAAATATTGAGTGACTTTAAGGCTATAAACATTGATCTTCTCTTAGACCAGTCACATTTATGTCTGAGTAGTCAAATTTAGAGGTGCTAAAGTTTGTGTGTTTATGTAGATAATCCCCCATGCTTGACATCGATCTGAGCGCATTAGTGAGCCCAACCATTTATTATCGAAATGGAGCCAGGTCTCCTATTTTAGCTGCTCTGTAACACGGTGTTTCAGTGTATTCATGGAAGTCACATAAGGTGTTTTTTAAAGTTCACTTTGAAAAATTAAAATGAAATTAAGCTTAAACTGTTGCTATCTTTTAAAAAGTTGTCCAACAGCGACTTGATCTGGTCTTATGGAAATGACATATTTAAACCAGAGGAAGGGACAATATTTTCATTGTTTGGTTTTTGTGTCTTCGTTGGTTTTCAGAGCTATGTTTATGTGTTGCATTTTGCATTCCCTTCACGGTGAACTTGACCTGAAAATTTTTAGGGCAGCCAGGTGTTAAACTTTTTTTAGCACCATGCAAACTGGTTTCATTCTTCCAAAACAGGTTTTTGCTTTGGAGTATAAAATGACAAGGGAAATGCATGTAGCCAAGATCCTTATTTGAGCTCATTCGCACTGGTCTAGACCCGTCCAGTGAGCTGGGGGCAGGTCTTGAAGGTGTGATTTGCATGAGCTGATTTGCATCAGGCCTGTGTATTGTTAAATAAAAGATAAGGATGGTTATCTTGGCCTGGAGGAAAGAGAGAATTGGGAGGGTGTTTTGGTGCTGGGTCTCCACCTTCCTGGCTCTGGTGGAGACATTGGTGCAGACTGCCAATTTAAAATAGTCAAAAAGGTCAGAATCTAGTTTAAAGAGAGTTTATTCAAGTGCAAAAGTTAAGGACTGCAGCTGAGAAGACACTTCCAAGTTGCCTTGGGGAGTGCTTCGAAGAACAAAAGAGAGGCTCACATTTTGTTTTGTTTTGTTTTGTTTTTGTTTTTGTTTTTGTTTTTGAGATGGAGTCTCGCTCTGTTGCCTAGGCTGGAGTGCAGTGGCACTATCTCGGCTCACTGCAAGCTCCGCCTCCCAGGTTCACGCCATCCTCCTGCCTCAGCCTCCCTAGTAGCTGGGACTACAGGCACCCGCCACCACACCGGCTAATTTTTTTTTTTTTTGTATTTTTAGTAGAGACGGGGTTTCACCGTGTTAGCCATGATGGTCTCGATCTCCTGACCTCGTGATCCGCCCGCCTCCGCCTTCCAAAGTGCTGGGATTACAGGCGGAGGCTCACATTTTTTAATGAAAAAAAAAAATCAGGAGAAGGGGCTGATTACTAAAGTTGTTTGTCAGGAATTCTCATTGGTTTACAGAAATAACATTGGTTAGTGATTGGCTATACACTTTTCAACTATAGAGTGTATGGCATTTTATGACTACTTGGCCTCAGGCTCTAAGAGGTAATTATTTAGCTCAAAGGGGAGTGAGATGACTGCTGTTAAATTTAAATGTGTTTCTGGGCCTGATAATTTGAGAGACTTGCATTCCTCAGATAAAAGATTTTTCTTTCTCAAGACTCAGCTCCCTTCAGCTTCAGGTGACAAATTGTGGCCCAGTATCAGCCAAGCTTTCTCCCCAGTCTCCAGAGAATGCATCACCAGCTATCATTGAGGCTTGACACCATTGGGAGCATCCAAGAGAGTCTTGGGAATGGACTTTGACCTTCCTCTGATGGGCACCGGCAGCAAGGACAAGGTCCCCAAGTATCATCAGAAAGCAAAGAAAACACCAAACGGAAAGGAAGAGTGTGGGGTGCACCCCCTTGGAGAATGTGGCTGAGGCCAGATGTGAGAGTTCACAGGAGACACCAGCAGAAACACAGACATAACTTGTGACATTTTTCAGTGTTCTAAGACATGTCAGTTCAAGACTGGGCTTTCCCCATTCAACCACTCTACTCACACTCATGTGTGTTATAGACAAATTTAAACTGGAATCTCTTTGATTCCAGAAAGTTGATTTACATTGCAACAGAAATGCTTGTTTAGCTGAATAGGTCCCTAGGTAGTAAAGGGACTCCACACAGCATTATTTCTAGTGAAGTCTTTGATTCACAGAAAGATTCTTAGAAATCTTGCATCAGAGTGTAACAATAAAAAAGAAACTGTTCGGATTTTCATGCAGGAAATGCTCTTGGCCAGCAATCACCCTCAGGAAATTTTCAGAAATGCACGTGATGCCCAGAGAAGTGTTGTTTTGGGAATACCTAGTAATTAGTTCCAAAATCTTACCAAACAGCAGCACAGGCCTATAATTTCTATGTAAACTCAGCTCACTGTTTGAGTCATACTATGTTTCTTTTTTAGCTCAAGATTTGTCATCCACTACAAAAACCTCCTTTCGCTATACAAAATAGACAGCCACTCGAAATTGCTGGAGGGAAAAGCCAGTTTGCACAATGGGGGTGGCATGTTTGGGTGAGAAAACCAGAGACTCGGAGTCAGGAAATGCCAGTTCCTCCCTTCACTCCTGTGACCTAGAGCAAGCACCTTCACCCTTGAGAGTCTGGCCTTTCTTTCTTTCTTTTTTTCTTTTTTTTGAGATGGAGTCTCACTCTGTCACCTAGGCTGGACTGCAGTGGCGCGATCTCAGCTCGCTGCAACCTCCGTCCTCTGGGTTCAAGCGATTCTCCTGCCTCAGCCTCCCGAGTAGCTGGGATTACAGGCACCTGCCACCATGCCAGGCTAATTTTAATATTTTTAGTAGAGACGGGGTGTCACCATCTTGGCCAGGCTGGTCTTGAATTCCTGACCTCGTGATCCACCCACCTTGGCCTCCCAAAGTGCTGGGAATGTGTGAGCCACCACGCCTGGCCTGGCCTTCCTTTCTTGTAAAATGAGAGGGTTAAGTCCAGGTTCGTAGTCAATAACTACGTGTTCAGTAACAGATTCGTACCAGGGATTTCCACAAACTTTCCCCAACCCAATCACCACCACTTCCTTTTAGGACTAAGATTTTCAAGGTCTGCTTCAGTCTTCATAGCTTTACATGTCTGGGAACTTATGTCTTAAATTTTTTTGTAAGAAAATTATCCTGTGTGTAATGGAAATGGAAATATTTCTCTTGCTAACCTGATTTCAACCTGCTGAATATAAATATTCACATAACACAGCATTTATAAAATAAAAATCACTCATAAGTATATCTTTCAGCAGTAACCACAGTTCATATTTTGGTGTGGCAGCATCTAAACGTGTTTCTGTGGAGATCCACACACATTCATTTATCCTAGGGTATTTTCAGAAGTCTTCCTAGTCTCCATCTGCTTTTTTTTCTTGTTTGCCACATGTTATATGGATATCTTTCCATGTCAATATGAGATCGTTTAATGTCAAGAAATACAGATGAAGTCATCATTTTCATGTTCAATGGTTTGAGAACATTCCATCATGTAGTTAAATTATAATTTCTATAACTCTTCCCTATTGGTGGACATTGAGGTTGGTTCCATTTTTTTTTTTTTTTTGAGACGGAGTCTCGCTCTGTTGCCAAGCTGAAGTGCAGTAGTGTGATCTGGGCTCACCGTAACCTCCGCCTCCAGGTTCAAGCGATACTCCTGCCTCAGCCTCCTGAGTAGCTGGGACTACAGGTGTGTGCCACCATGCCTGGCTCATTTTTTGTATTTTTAGTAGAGATGGGGTTTCACCATGTTGGCCAGGTTGGTCTCGAACTCCAGACCTCATGATCCGCCTGCCTCAGCCTCTCAAAGTGCTGGGATTACAGGCATGAGCCACCAAGCCTGGCCTTTTTTTTTTTTTTTTTTTTTTAATGAAAACAAAGCTAAGAGGCCAGGCTTGGTGCTCATGCCTGTAATTCCAGCACTTTGGGAGGCCGAGGCGGGCAGATCACTTGAGGTCAGGAGTTTGAGACCAGGCTGGCCAACATGGTGAAACCCTGTCTCTACTAAATAAACAAAAAATTAGCTGGGCGTGGTGGCGGGCACCTGTAATCCCAGCTACTCATGAGTGTTAGGCACGAGAATGGCTTGAACCCAGGAGGCGGAGGTTGCAGTGATCCGAGATCGAGCCACTGCACTCCAGCCTGGGTGAAACAAAGACTCTGTCTCAAAAAAAAAAAAAAAAAAAAAAGCTAGTGTAAATATCATTGTTTATTCAATGCTTATTTTTCTAAACTCTAGCTATATTGGCATTATCATCCTTTGAGATTTTTATAAATCATCAAGCAAAAGATGGCATCTTGTTTTATTTTTATTTCTTGGACTACTAGCAAAATTGAACATTCTTTTATGTGTCTATTGAGTATTTTACTTTTTTCATTTGTAAACTGGCTATCTATACCTATTTCCCATTGTTTTATTGAAGTGTGAATATTTTTTTCCTCATTGCTTTGTAAAGATTACTTCTATATTAAGGGTATTCTTATGAGTTTTAATACAGACCATATACCTTCATTCTCAAATTACTCTCATTTTCAGTTAAAGTTCAATTCACCCATTAGCATATCATTTATATATTTTTTATTACTTTTATTTTTATTTTATTATTTTTTTAGATAGAATCTTGCTCTGTCGCCCAAGCTGGAGTGCAGTGGTTCAATCTCGGTTCACTGTAACTTCTGCCTCCTGGGTTCAAGCGATTCTCCTGCCTCAGCTTCCCAAATAGCTGGGATTACAGGCGTGTGCCACCACGCCCAGCTAATTTTTTTGTACTTTTAATAGAAATGGGGATTCACCATATTGGCCAGGCTGGTCTCGAATTCCTGACCTCAAGTTATCCACCCACCTTGGCATCCCAAAATGTTGGGATTACAGGCATGAGCCACCGCGCCTGGCCCTAGCATATCATTTATAAAATTAACATTTGAGGTATGTTGGAAAGAGGAAATTGCTATATGTGGAAGGTCGAATCTTATTTTCTATGATAAATTAATTTATTTTCAAAGTTCACATTTTTCTATTTCTTTCATTTCACTCCCACTTTCCATACAATACCTTTTCCTCAGCTCCCAGCTCCTACTTCAGTTCCCCAAAAGTGAGGCTATTAAGATGCTCACTGATTAGAGGATTTAAACATTTTAAAAGAGAAGTGGGTGGTGACGGCACATTATTGAAACTTGAAAGAGAGCCAGTGTGATATAATTTCACATCGGGAGCTGATCACTATGGCAACAAGGAACAGATTTTGAAAAATAAGTTTCAATATAATAGAATTAGGAGAGAAAAATTGATTAGAAAAAAACCTGACTATCTTTTGTTTTACTTTCAGCTTGTTTATCATATGCATCAAAAATCTGCATTAGCACCCAAGAAACGTGTTTCTGTTTCAAAAGCAAATACATTTTAATTATGTTTACATGGTATAAAGCCACAAAGCGGAAATGCTTTGTTTGTAATAATAGTGAAGTATCTCTTTGGAGTCTTTTATTTGAGAAGAAATAGTGTAATTTAAAATATGTGCATAACTTTGAATTCTTTTTTTTAACTTATTTTTTCTTTTTCTTTTTCTTTCTTTTTTTTTTTTTTTGAGACGGAGTCTCACTCTGTCACCCAGGCTGGAGTGCAGTGGCACGATCTCAGCTCACTGCAACCTCCACCTCCCAGATTCAAGCGATTCTTCTGCCTCAGCCTCCTGAGTAGCTGGGACTACAGACACGCACCACCACGCCTCGCTAATTTTTGTATTTTTTTTTAGTAGAGATGGGCTTTCACCATATTGTCCAGGCTGGTCTCAAACTCCTGACCTGGTGATCCGCCCCCTCAGCCTTCCAAAGTGCTGAGATTACAGGTGTGAGCCACCACACCCAGCCTTGCCTTAGCTCTTTGAACCACTGTGCTAGAAATTGAGTATACAATTAACCGTTAAACAACACAAGGGCTAGGGACACCACCCCTCCTCACAGTCAGAAATCTGTATGTAACTTTTGACTTCCCTAAAACTTAATTACTAATAGCCTGCTGTTGACCTTACTGATAACATAAATAGCCTATTGATACATATTCTGTATGTAATGTGTATTAGATATTGTATTCTCAAAGTAAACGAGAGAAAAGAAAATGTTTTTATTTTTTATTTTTTTGAGACGGAGTCTCGCTCTTTCGCCTAGGCTGGACTTCAGTGGCGCTATCTCGGCTCACTGCAAGCTCTGCCTCCTGGGCTCACGACATTCTCCTGCCTCAGCCTCCCGAGTAGCTGGGACTACAGGCGCCCGCCATCGCACCTGGCTAATTTTTTGTATTTTTAGTAGAGACGGGGTTTCGCCGTGTTAGCCAGGATGGTCTCGATCTCCTGACCTCGTGATCTGCCCGCCTCGGCCTCCCAAAGTGCTGGGATTACAGGCCTGAGCCACCACGCCCGGCCTAAGAAAATGTGATTAAGAAAATAAAATTTAAAAAAGAAAATCATAAGGAAGAGAAAATATATTTATTAAGTGGAAATGGCTCATCCTAAAGGTCTTCGTCTTCATCACTTTCATGTTTAGCAGGCTGAGGAGGAAGAGAAAGAAGAGGTGTTGGTCTTGCTGTCTCAGGGGTGGCAGAGGCAAAAGAGGTGGAGGAGGTAGAAGTGGAGGCAGGAGAGACAGGCACAGTAGGTGTAATTTTTATGGAAAAAAAATTCATGTATGCCTGGACCCATGCAGTTCAAACCTGTGTTGTTCAAGAGTCAGCTGTACAACATCGGGCAAACCCAGACATGGTCTCTATTCTCATGGAGTCTTTCATTCCATAGAAGATATTTTCCCATATCCTTAAATACTACTCAAGCAATGAATTCGATAGTACAACATTGCAGTGTTTGTATATGTATTAATTTATTCAAAGAATCTACTATTGTTTAACATTTAAACCAATTTTAATTTTTCATTATGATAGATGATTAAGAGCTTATTTGTATATTAATCTGAGTTTCTGGTTATTTCTTTAGGATTGTTTCCTAGAAAGAGAATTACTAGCTTAAAATACTTAAACCTGTTTCTCACCAAAAAAAACGTAAATGATAAAATCACAGTCTTCCAGTGAAAAGATCATCTTGTCAACAATACTATTTCTAGAAGTGCAGCATGGGTAACTAGGGCAATAAATTTCTTCCTCCCCCTCCCTGCCAGACGGAGTCTCACTCTGTCACCCCGCCTGGAGTGCAGTGGCGCAATCTCCACTCACTGCAACCTCCACCTCCTGGGTTCAAGCAATTCTCCTGCCTCAGCCTCCCGAGTAGCTGGGATTACAGGCATTCACCACCACGCCTGGCTGATTTTTGTATTTTTAGTAGAGATGGGGTTTCACAACATTGGCCAGGCTGGTCTCAAACTCCTGACATCAGGTGATCCGCCCACCTCAGCCTCCCAAAGTGCTGGGATTACAGGTATGAGCCACTGCGCCCGGCCATAAATTCCTTTATTATATTAGTGTCTCCTAAAGTTGATGTTGAGAGTAGACTTTAGCTTCAGAAAACAAACCAAAGTTGGCCGGGTGTGGTGGCTCATGCCTGTAATCCCAGCACTTTGGCAGGCTGAGGTGGGAGGATCACGAGGTCAGGAGATAGAGACCATCCTGGCTAACATGGTGAAACCCCGTCTCTACTAAAAATACAAAAAAAAAATTAGCCAGGTATGGTGGTGGGCACCTGCAGTCCCAGCTACTCAGGAGGCTGAGGCAGAATGGCATGAACCCGAGAGCCGGAGCTTGTGGTGAGACGAGATCGCGCCACTGCACTCCAGCCTGGGTGACAGAGCGAGACTCTGTCTCAAAAAAAAAAAAAAAAAAAAGAAAACAAAGTTTAATAAAACGTCAAAATTCAATACTACTCAATTAACATTAATTAACATACTACTAAATTCTCTTTGTAGAGAATGTCATCTTTGATAAGAAAGAAAGAGATGTCAAATCTATCCATTAAGGTTGTGTTTGAGGGAAGAACATAATCCAGTTTCGAAGTTAATTTGCTTCTTCAGGGGATTAGTCCCGGAGGTTAACAACGAAATTAGGAATGTCTGAGTCCAATGATCTAAGAAGCCAGTTATGAGTTGACAGCCTTACTGGTCCAACATCACTCATGACCATCGTTCCCTGTGACCAGTGGTGTCTGCCCCCACAAAAATGGAACGCCCCATTTTTATTTCATGGAGACTCTCATTTCTTCTGTGTTGTCATTTTCCAGAATGTAGACTATTCATAACAGAATGAATTGTATTTGTTGAAAAGACATTTTAATTACATTTTACAAATCGTTAGACCCACCAACATAGTATTCTACAGAATTTGCATTTGCAAGAACCCAAATTATAAATGCCACTTCCTTTTGCTTGGCTCAAAACGTTATCTACTCAGGGAGTATTTTTCAATTAACCCCACTTCTTCCTGAGGATGAAATTAGAAGAAAACTGTAAAAATGTTAGAAGTCTGGGGAGCTAGTCTTGGATCTGCATTTATGTGACCACAGGCAAGTCACTTATTCTTTCTGAGTCTGAGTTTCCTCACTTATGAAATAAGGAGTTGTTAGTAGATGATCTCCAGTGATGTCTGGTGGTCCTTCTTTACTTCTCATCTCCATACTACACATGCATGGTTTATTCTATTTTACTTATTATCATATGTTAATTTGTTAAAGATCATGAGAATCAGATCTGTGTATGTGCTATTTATAAATGTTGTCCATTTGCAACTTAAAGGTAAACTTCCTATGGAGAAGGATATCATACTCCTTGCCATGTTCTTCCTCTTCCTCCTCCCTTTCATCTCCTTCTTTTTTTTTTTTTTTTTTTTTTTTTTTTGAGACGGAGTCTTGCTCTGTCTCCCAGGCTAGAGTGCAGTGGTGTGATCTCGGCTCACCACAAGCTCCGCCTCCTGGGTTCACGCCATTCTCCTGCCCCAGCCTCCCGAGTAGCTGGGACTACAGGCGCCTGCCACCACGACCGGCTAATTTTTTGTATTTTTAGTAGAGATTGGGTTTCACCATGTTAGCCAGGATGGTCTCCATCTCCTGACCTCGTGATCTGCCCACCTTGGCCTCCCAAAGTGCTGGGATTACAGGTGTGAGCCACCGCGCCTGGCTCATCTTCCTCTTTATATGCTTTTTGTTCTACTCCTTGCCCTTCACCTCTTCTGCTTCTCCTCCTTCCTCTTTGTATGGCTGTCAGTGCCCTAATATGGCTTTGCCATGGTTTTGCCCAAAGTGAGGTGCCTAGAGGGGAACAGAGCTAAATGACCTTGGGTGAGACATTTAATCTCAATGGGCTTTGATTTTTGCTGGCCTCCCTTTTTAGCCCAAACTCTCATGACTCCCCTATACACACACACACACACACACACACACGCACACACACAGAGTGTGCCAACTAAAATCAATCCCTTTGCTCTCACTGATATCTGCTTCCTCCAAACTGAAGCTCAGCCTGTCCTGTGTGTTGCCCTCCAGCCCTCCTGAATCTCTTGAGTCCGGGCTCCAAGGCCTGGTTCACAAGCCCCCTGAGCAAGCCTTCCTTGATACTTCTTGCAGGCCAAGATTGCATTGTGATTTCAAACACTCACAAGCCTGCTCCCTTTCTAGCTCTAGCTGGAAACGTGTATTAGTAATTGACAAAAAAAATAACAAAATATTAAATACATAAATGAATGATAAAGGCATGTCTTCTAAACAAGACAAAGATCTCTCTTTAGGCCAGAAAGTAGGGCAGAAACACAAAGCATGGAGCAGGCTTCAAACTACAAGCCAGCTGATCTCTGGGACTGAAAGAACAGTTAAGTTTCTGCGGAATAATTAAGGTCAAAATACCCCATGAAAGGTGGGAGATGGCATCAGACACACTGCCTAATGCTGGAGAATACCACAAAATCCCTGGCCTGCAAACAGAGGCTGCAGGAAGTGCTGGTCCTACTTGGAAGGTAACATGGTTTGGATCTGTGTCCCTGCCCAAATCTCATGTTGAATTGTAATCCCCACATGTTGGAGGTGGGGCTGGTGGGAGGTGATTGGATCATGGGGTCAGTTTTTAATGGTTTAGCACCATCCCCCAGTGCTGTCTTGTGATGGAGTTCTCATGAGATCTGGTTTTCTAAAAGCATGTGGCACCTCCCCACTCTCTCATCTTTCTTCTGCTCCAGCTATGTGAAGTGGTGCTCCCCTTTTTCCTTCTGCCATTATTGTAAGTTTTCCTGAAGTCTCCCCAGAAGCCAAGCAGATGACAGCATCATGTTTCCTGCATAGACTGCAGAACAGTGAGCCAATTAAACCTCTTCTCTTTATAAATTACCCTGTCTCAGATATTTCTTTGTAGCAGTGCAAGAATGAACTAATACAGAAAACTGGTTACCAGGAGTAGGGTATTGCTATAAAGATACCTGAAAATGTGGAAGCTATGGAGCTGGGTAAAAGGCAGAGGTTGGAACTGTTTGGAGTGCTCAGAAGAAGACAGGAAGATAAGGGAAAATTTGGAACTTTCTAGAGACTTGTTAAATTGTTGTGACCAAAATGCTTATAGTGATATGGACAGCGAAGTCCAGGCTGATGAGGTCTCAGACGGAGACAGGAACTTACTGGGAACTGGAGCAAAGGCTGCTTTTGTTATGCATTAGCAAAGAGGTTGGCAGCATTGCACCCCTGCTCTAATGATCTGTGGAACTTTGAACTTGAGAGTGATGATTTAGAGTATCTGGTAGAAGAAATTTCTAAGCAGCAAAGTGTTCAAGATGTGGACTTGCTGCTTCCAACAACATATGCTTATATGCATGAGCAAAGAAATGGCCTGAAATTGGCCCTTATATCTGAAACTGGTCCTTATATTTAAAAGGGAAGCAGAGCATAAAAGTTTGGAAAATTTGCAGCCTGGCCATGTGGTAGAAAAGAAAAGCCCATTTTCAGGGGATCAAGTCAAGCCTGCTGCAGAGACATGCATAAGTAAAGAGAAGCCAAATGTTTATAGTCAAGACAATGGAGAAGAAAGCTTCCAAGGCATTCCAGAGACCTTTGAAGCAACCCCTCCCATCACAGGCCTGGAGGCCTAGGAGGACAGAATGGTTTTATGGGCCAGGACCAGCATCTCCCCACTATCCTGCACAGCCTTAAGACACTGCTCCTGTATCCCAGCTACTCCAGCTCCAGCTGTGGCTCAAAGGGGCCCAGGTACAGCTCAGCCTGCTGCTTCACAGCGTTCAAGCCCCAAGCCTTGGTGGTTTCCATGTAGTGTTAAGCCTTTAGGTACACAGAGTGCAAGAGATGAAGCTTGGGAGCCTCTGCCTGGATTTCAAGTTGTTTTTTTTTTTTTTTTTTTTTTTTTTGAGATAAGGTCTTGCTCTGTCACCCAGGCTTGAGTGCAGTGGAGTGATCTCAGCTCACTGCAACTTCTGCCTCCTGGGTTCAAGCAATTCTTCTGCCTCGGCCTCCCAAGTAACTGGGATTATAGACACCCACCACCATGTCTGGCTAATATTTTTGCACTTTTAATAGAGATGGGGTTTTACCATGTGGCCATGATGGTTTCAAACTCCTGACCTCAAGTGATCTGCCCACATCAGCCTCACAAAGTGCTGCGATTACAGGCGTGAGCTGCTGCACCTGGCCCTCTACCTAGATTTCAGAGGATGTATGGAAAAGCCTGGATGTCTAGGCAGAAGCCTGCTGCAGGGGCACAGCCCTCATGGAGAACCTCTACTAGGGCAGTGCAGAGGGGAAATGTGGGGTTGGGGCCAACACACAGAGTCCCCACTGAGACACTGCCTAGTGAAGCTGTGAGAAGAGGGCCACCATTCTTCAGACCCCAGAATAGTAGATCCACTGACAGCTTGCACCCTGTACCTGGAAGAGCCATAGGAACTCAATGCCAGCACATGAGAGCAGCTATGGGGGCTGAACCCTGAAAAGTCACAGGGATGGAGCTGCCCAAAGCTTTGGGATCCCACCCCTTGCCTCAGTGTGCCCTGGATGTGGGACATGGAGCCAAAGGAGAATATTTTGGAGCTTTAAGATTTAGTGACTGCCCTGCTGGGTTTTAGACTTGCATGGGGCCTGTAGCCCCCTCTTTTGGCTGATTTCTCCCTTTTAGAATGAGAGTATTTACCCAGTGCCTGTACTGCCATTGTATCTTGGAGGTAACTAACTTGATTTTTATTTTACAGGCTCATAGGCAGAAGGGACTTGCCTTGTCTCAGATGAGACTTTGGACTTTTGGGTTAATGCTGGAATGAGTTAAGACTTTAGGGGACTGTTGGGAAGGCATGCTTGTATTTTGCAATTTGAGAAGGACATGAGATTTCAAAGGGCCTAGGGGTAGAATAATATGGTTTGGCTCTATGTCCCCACCCAAATCTCATGTGGAATTGTAATCCCCAAATGTTGGAGGTGGGGCCTGGTGAGAGGTGATTGGATTATGGGGGCAATTTCTAATGGTTTAGCACCATCCTCCTAGTGCCATCTTGTAATAAGTGTTCTCACGAGATCTTGTTGTTTAAAAGCGTGTAGCACCTCCCCTCTCCCTCTTTTTCCTGCTCTGGCTATGTAAACTTGTGGTCCCTCTTTTCCTTCTGCAGTGATTGTAAGTTTTCCTGAGGTCTCCCCAGAAGCTGAGCAGATGCCAGCATCATGCTTTCTGTATAGCTTGCAGAAGAGTGAGCCAATTAGACCTCTTTTCTTATAAATTACCCAGTCTCAGATATTTCTTTATAGTAGTGAGAAAATGTACTAATACAGAGGGGCAGGGTTTATAACATTATGTACCTTAGGGCAGAATGCAGCAAATAGCTTCCCTCTAGAAAGGCATCCAGTAACTTGTGGGTGGCTCAATCTATGCATCCACGATATCCTCAATGCTATCTTAATGCAAGAGCCCAGAGATTCTCCTGTAAGATCTGATTCTTATTGCAGGCACAGGGGTGCCCTGTGGAGGAAACAGCAGAACTACTGGTGAGAAAGAGAGCATACTATATTGTATTTACAGTAGAAACTCCTGAGGATGATGAGCCCACAAACTCCAAGCCCAAAGCAGATGAAAAAAGCTAATACTAAAAAAGACAGGTTTTAGCACTGGGTGAGGAATTAACTCCCAAGAAAATGAAAATAATGGAGCAATCTGAAAATGACTTTAAAATAGGTATGTTTAAAATTATCTAAGAGATAAACGAAGAAATAACATTTATTTAAGTCTACAATAACTAAGAAAGTAAATATCACTTTTTTTGTTGTTGTTAGTTAAGGGATCCAAGGGTTAGAAAGATTAAGAAACAAGCTCAGTGTCCCACTGGTAATAAGTAGTAGAGCCAAATTTCACACTCAGGGCTGTCTCAAACGCTAAGTGTTGAACAAAAATCTGTGTTGCTATTCCCAGCAGTGTCTATAGGGCAATATGTGTTTGCATGTTTCAGACCATCTTGAAAGGAAGAAATACAACAGAGCACTTCGTTAAAATGACTTGGGTGTGCATAGGCTTGGCTCCTATTATAGGATGGGCTAGAAAACAATAATTAATTTCCTAAACTCCAATTCAATAAATATTTATTGAGAACCTACAATTTTGTTTAGCTCTCTGTTAGATGGCTTGAGGGTTGCCAGTGGCGGGGAAAGAACACAATGTAATTTGCAGTCTAACTGGGGAGCAAGGCTTGGGACTATGCACCAGGTTGGGGAAATGTTCAATATGGTGTGCTTATGTGGGAAAACAATAAGATAAGTAGCCAGTAAGATAATCAAGATTCCAGAGAAAAACAGTGGCCATTTGTGGCTTTCAGGTAGGGTAGTAAAGCATGTGCATGATTTAGACAGGGTAGATTTGAAAAGAGAGAATTCCAGGGAGCAAAAATAGTCCACTGAAAGGAAAGAGACCTGAAAAACAGAGGCATTTTTAGGGCCCAGTGAAGGTATCAGATTCATTTGAGAGAAAAGATTCCACTGACAAGGTACAAGAATACATGTGTATAGATCAGATTCAAACCATGTAACACCTATCCCTTGCTTAGCAACTATCAGTTATTCCTATAAATGCAGCTATAAGTAAAAATCCGTTAAAGAAGAAAAAATTTTCTATTAAAAACTTTAATAGAATTATATATATATATATGTATGTATGTATTTTTTAGCCAAATTTTCAACCTTTTTGTGGGGGCCACAATTATCTTCTCCTTGTATCCTCATGTGGCAGAGAGGAGAGAAAGAAAGAGCAGGCTATCATGTTTCCTCTTAAATGGGCACTGATCCTATTCATGAGACTCCACCTCATGACCTAATCACCTTCCAAAGGCCCTACCTCCTAATACCATCACCGTGAGGGTTAGGATTTCAACATATGAATTTGGGGATACACAAACATTTAGTTTGTAACAGCATATCTAGGCAAAGCAAGACAACTTGGGGTCATCCAAACATGGAACACAATCCTAAACCATCCCACTTGTGTGTCTCTGAGTAAACTCATGAGTATATCTTTGCCTGAACTGTAAGGTTCAGCAGTCTATTTGCTAAGTAGCAAATATGGGAGTAAAACATTTATGTTAGGAAAAAAGAAACAGTTTTTGATAAGTGAGCCTTTTCAAGAGTTTTCACTGTCAAATGCTGTTACCTGAACAGTCACTGTATGACATAGTCTGTCCTTGGGATTGTGAAATGGAGGGGGAGGTTTCTGGTGGGTTAACTCAGGTTCTCCTTTCTGTGACATAGATGCCGCTATCAAGAAATGCCTAATTCCACCCTGTGGAGGCTGAAGCAACTCCATCTTGGATGCTAATCTTCCATGTTGACTTCTAATTAACATTAACTCCAGTTCTAGGAAGACCTCTAAGATTTCCATTTTACCTACTGTTCCTTGTATAAGGGCAGGTACTTACTGGATATCCTACTCTTAGGTCAAACAACCTTGATGTTATTGTACTTCAGTTGTCCTACACATCCCTTCTGAATCGCCCTTTCCTTGTGTTATACAACGCTAGGTTTGGGGATTAACAGTGCGGGGATCTACCATCTTGTCTCACCACCACCTGATGCACAGACATGGCTTCTGTTCGTAAGGCCCTATTACATATTTCTTTCTGAGAAACTGGATCTGTCAGCCTCTTTCTTCAGCCTCTCAGCTTCCGGGGACTTCTGGGGGTAGGTTTGCATAGACCTGTCTGCTGTGGAGCACATCTTGTTTGAGCGTGCATCTCTCCAGGTAATCTACCATTATACATGAAGGCAAACAGGCAGCAGCCTCAGTCCGTAGAGACGGTGCGGTTGTTTTTTTCTGTCAACATCTAAACTGTGGGATATTTGGATTGCTTCACATAGTCATAATATTTGTGGTCTTATGGAAACTGTGTTACTTTTTCTGTGTATGACTTCCTTGGTAAATATTTTCTGGGTCTCTACTGATCTTGTTATCAGAAATAACGTAAAAAAATTTGCCAAGAACAATTCGTTTGTTATACTAAGAGTTGTTTTGGTTTGCTATGTAAACTAAGACAAATATTGACTTTACTTTTCAAATTGATACCTCCAGTATACATATGCCATTCCCCTAAAGGGAGAACACCTGCTTTGAGTAGTTATTATTAATCTATTTGGTTAAATAAAGGGAGAGCTCTATTAATAATAGTTGAAATTTCTTCCTTACTTTTTAAAAATTTAAACAGAGTGTGCTCATCAGTTATGTCTTTAAAATTAGCTAAGGGAAATCTCCAAATAAAATGCTGTTTGTTGGAAGCTCTCCAAATCAACATGGTTTTATTCGGTTTAAAAAAATTAAAAACAAAAAATATCAAAACTAACAAAAAACAGTACAAGACATGAAGTCCTCAGAGAGGGGAATAACACACACCAAGGGCTGTTGGGGAGTGGGGGGTGAGAGAAGGGAACTTAGAGGGCTAGTCAATAAGTGCAGCAAACCACCATGGCACATGTATGCTTATGTAACAAATCTGCACATTCTACACATGTATCCCATTTGTTGTAGTTGTTATTTTTGTTTTTTTTGAGGGGGGGAGGTTTTGAGATGGAGTCTCGCTCTGTTGCCCAGGCTGGAGTGCAGTGGTGCGATCTTGGCTCACTGCAACCTCTGCCTCCCGGGTTCAAGCGATTCTTCTGCCTCAGCCTCCCTAGTAGCTGGGATTACAGGCACCCACCACCATGCCCAGCCAATTTTTGTATTTTTACTAGAGACAGGGTTTCACCATATTGGCCAGGCTGGTCTCAAACTCCTGACCTCGTGATCCGCCCATCTCAGCCTCCCAAAGTGCGGGATTACAGGCATGAGCCACAGGGTCTGGTCTGTTTTGTTTTGTTTTAGAAGAAATAAAGAAAAAAAAAGAAATAGCCTGACATACTCTGTTCTCAGCTGTTCTTCAGAGATAATCCTATGGAATCTTTTGAGGCGAACAGTCTAATTGAGAATCTTTTCGCAAAGGTGCTTATAAACACCTTTCATCTCCATCAAAATAAAAGCAGATGTATTGTGGGGTTGAATTTCATGTTCACTGCTTAATTAAATAATAACTTAAGAAAAATGAGGGGGCTTTCCTATGTTTACTGATGCTCAAATACTCTATTAATCAATTAGCTTTCATCATTCTATCATTGATAATAAGGATGCTGATAATAATTAGTTATACAAGAGTGATACATGAAACTTAAGGAATTGTAGGCCATCCTCCCTACTGAGATGCTAAAAAGGTTTCTGGATCTGCCTAAATTAATTTAGTCTGAAATAACTATGGGCAGCAGAATAATTATATCCAAAGTGTTTGTGTCTTCATATAAATTATGTAGCTCTCAGACCTGGGATCCCTTGAGATTTGCATATTTTTGAATCTTAATATAGAACACAAATTTCACTTTAGTTTATACTCAGGAAGATTGCTTGAAAAATTTTTAATAATTAATGCATGAAAGCCAGGACCACACATGTGTATTAATGAGTAGACAATTATGTTAATGGACAACAACTTTCTATTATAATTATATTAATTATAAAATTTAAAAATGTATTAATTATACATTTTACTAGGAGGTAGCTTTTAGAAGTTCCTTTTTCGAAATAAGCCTCAACTTATTCCCATTTAACAGAACGAGGAGTAAAGTTACATGGAGCAAGTGACTTGCTCAAGGTCACAGAAGCAAAGTGGGATGTGGAATTCACAGCTCTTGAGGTTTGGTTTCTTGCTAAGTTCATCTCTGTTGCTTCTGGTCTGTTGCTTAGGAACAGTGGTGCTTCTTTACCCAATAGCATAATATCTGCAGAATGTGCTATTACCACTGTAGAGTTTTTAAGTGGAACTAAAATTCCCACTAAATCAGTTCTTTGAATTCTGTATGTAGAAAAAAAAATCCTCAGAAGCAATCACAATGTGAGGAGATTGCATTTTGTCAAGTTTTTTTTAAAAAAGAATTATTCTCCTAAGAACAAAATGTAGTGTCATTTTTCTCTTGGAATTCCCTCTTCTGCAGTATTTTTAATAAATTTATCTGTTTACGAGGTGATCTCAGTGTATTACAGTCAAAAGGAATCTGTTGCTCCTAGGAGAAAACAGTAACGAAAGAACTTTGGAAACAACAAGATAATACTGATAATAACTGATTACTTACTAAATACTGATACTGATTTGAACCTAGAACTGATTTGAACACCTACATGTGTCTATTAGGTTCATGACACTATCTTGGAATAGTGCAGTGGTTATCATCCTAAGCCGTGGAATGAGATTCAACTTCCAGTCCTGGCTGTACCCTTCATTATCTTGGGAATATTGCTCCAATGTTGTGTTCTTTTTTTTCTTTTTCTTTTTCTTTTTTCTTTTTTGAGACAGGGTCTCACTCTGTCTCCTAGGCTGGAGTGCATTGGTTGATCACAACTCACTGCAGCCTTGACCTGAACTCAAGCAGTCTTCCACCTCAGTGTCCTGAGTATCTGGGACTACAGGCATGCACTACCACACTTGGCTAATTTTTAAACTTTTCTAGAAACGAGGTCTCCCTATGCTACCCAGGCTGGTTTTGAACTCCTAGCTTCAAGTGATCCTCCTGCCTCAGCCTTCCAAAGTGCTGAGATTATAGGTGCAAGTCACCACACCCGGCCCACTCTGTTTTTTTCTTGACGCAAAGCAGGGAAAGTAATCACGTTTACTTTAGATTAGTTAGGAGTCAAATGACATAATGCATGTAAAGTGCCTAGCACTATGCCTGGCACACAGAAGGTACTCTATAAGTGTCAGCTATCATTGTTTTTGTCAATATTATTAATCGGAAATGATATAGGCATGGATTGGAGAGACAGCATCTGCATGCATGAGGAAGTTTCTATGCACACAATTTTGCAGCCTTTCAGAATTGGAAGGGATCTTTAAAATCACTGTTCAACCTCATCATTTTCTGATAAAGAAACTGATGTGGAGAAGGTCAAAACGATTCATTCAAGGTCCCCAGGATAGACAAAGCCAAAGTCAATATAGTCAGTGTGGTTAGGCTGTGTCAGCCTTCAAGTGAGAGTTGGGAGAGGGGTTGTGAACAAAGGCAGAGACCTGGGGTGAGATATATAATAAAACTGGGAATATAAAGCTGTATTCTGACAGGCCTTGAGAGCCAAAGCAGGAGAGTGTGTGTTTGTACTGGCATGGTGGTAAGAGCACGTTTTTCTCAGAAGCCGATTAGTTGCTATGGCTGCCAAGGGGTAAGTGGACACCATGGAACAGTGTAGCATGCAGAGTCCTGCTTATGAATATGTCTGACGGACAATGAAGAATGTAGATAGGGCTCAGCCATGGTAATAGGACTATGGAGCGTTTCAGAGACAGGCTCTCCCAGGGTGGAGTGCCAGAGAGGGCACTGCAGGGAGGTTGGAGGAATGCAGGTACCCGGGGACCACGTGGTCATGCTTGTCCATCCTGCTGCCACCACAGCCCGTTTATTAGGGCATTAGCCTAGAGAGGACTATCTCCAGACCCTGCTGGCTGCTTATCAGGGGAGGATCAGGGCAGGCCGCAGGCAGCTGGGTGCTCGCTACGAATAGTTGCAAAGAGACCAGGACTTAGAGCTATTAGCAACTATCAGGCACCAGAAACTTTTAACATTATAGAACCCAATGTCAGATGGTCTAAAACATTTTCCTAGTTGCCTCTTATAGGATGTGGCCTTGGAAAAGATACTTAAACACATACAAAACAACTAAACACAGACAATCTCTAAAATACTACGTTTTTACTTCCAGATCTTCATTTTTAGAATTTAATTCCTGCACTAAGCATTTTTTTTTTCTTTCTTTCTTTTTTTTTTTTTTTGAGATGGAGTCTTGCTCTGTCACCCAGGCTGGAGGGCAGTGGCATTATTTCCTTTCACTGCAACCTCCACCTCCCAGGTTCAAGCAGTTCTCCTGCCTCAGCCTCCCAAGTAACTAGAATAACGGGTGCATGCCACCAAGCCTGGCTAATTGTTCTGTATTTTTAGTAGAGATGGGGTTTCACCATGTTGGCCAGGCGGGGTTTGAACTCCTGACCTCAAGTGATCCTCCCTCCCTGGCCTCCCAAAATTCTGGGATTACAGGTGTGAGCCACTGCACCCAGCCGCACTAAGCATTTTAAGATGTTATGTCCACTCTAATCCATGGCTTTTCATCTATTACCATGCTGACTTTTCCGTGGTGAATGCTGTCCAATGGGCAGGTAGGAGGCACCTCTCTTGGTGAGGATGCTGGGCTGGATAGTCCTGGGACGCTAAAGCAAAGCAGCATGAGGTAGTGGAGCTGGGGTGGAGAAGAGCACAGAGGAGCCATGGCCACATGTGAGATGGCCATCAGCAACTGAGGGGCAGGGTGGGGATGGAGAGAGAATGACCAGTGAGATGGGGGCCAGGTAGCTGAGAGAAGAGCTGGTAAAGTGCATGAAGCATGCTGAGATGACACTTTTGGGACTGACTCTGCAAACGGAGGCATTGTATGGGTGCTTGTTCTATGCTGTGGTCAGATATGCCACAAGAGAAGCCAAGTGCTTCTTTCATTTGCCACTTGACTGCAGTTTTAATTTTTTTGTTTTTTAACACATTGTATTAGTCCGTTTTCACACTGCTTGTAAAGACATGCCCGAGACCAGGCAATTTACAAAAGAAAGAGGTTTAATGGACTTACAGTTCCACATGGCTGGGGAGGCCTTACAATCATGGCGGAAGGCAAGGAGGAGCAAGTCACATCTTAAGTGAATGGCAGCAGGTGAAGAGAGAGACTTGGGAAGGGGAACTCCTCTTTTTAAAACCATCATATCTCCTGAGACTCATTCACTATCACGAGAACAGCGCAGGAAAGACCTCCCCCCATAATTCAATCATCTCCCACCGGGTTCCTTTCATGACAGGTGGGAATTGTGGGAGTTACAATTCAAGATGAGATTTGGGTGGGGACACAGCCAAACCATATCACAGATAAAGACATTTCAGAGCCTTCCTCTTGAGAGTCTCTCCTGAAAATGACCTCTTTGGGCATAGGGCTATACTCCAGATTCTTCCTCCAGAATTAATCTTGGTTGCACATAGCTGGAAACCCCATTATGCAATTTAAACAAAATAGAGGTTGTTTTTCCTTTGGTATAGGAAAGATCTGGAGGCAGAGAGCCTAGGGCTGAGATCAGGCAGCTGAAGTTCTGATCAGCAAGCTGGGCTTCGTTATTCCTTCTCTTCCACAACCTTCCTACAGTCTTCTCATGGTTGCAGATGGCATCTGGTGCTTGACCCACTAACTCCGAATTTCCCTGTGGAATCTAGAAGGGAAAGTGGAAGAGCAGAGGAGTACCCTTCTCAACTGTCAGTCCCCTTTAAGGAAGTAGCGTGGAAACAACACTTCTATTGACATCTCATTGGCCACCCTGAGGAGCATGGCCTTCTGGGAAATGTAGTCTTAACGAGGCTGTGGCTGCCTGAGGTGTCATTCAGTTCGTTAGGGAGGAAGAAGGGAAAATGAATATTGCAGAGGCAGCTGGTGGTCTCTGCCACAGACCATCCCACCCCCCTGCAGTCTTTCATGTCTCTCCCTGCTCTATTATCAGAAGTTTCCTGGCCTGTCTATGATTCCCAGCTCTTAAATTTTTTTTGGTGGAGGAGTGGGAAGAAGCTAACATGTTAGAGTCTATGAGGGTTTAATATTTGTTATGAAAGGGTTACTGTATGGATGAACTTTTAATAGCATAATTTCAGGTATTTGCGGTAATCTGAAGGAGAAGAGACATTATGAGGCAACTACACTTTGCACATGGAAGGCCACACTGGATGTCACCTCCTCCCCAGGGTCCCACAGACTTGCTGGCCTCCCCTCGGCTCTCCATTGATTTTTCAGAGCTGGATCTAACAGAGCCTCCTCACCTCCAGTCTTCAAGCTGCTCCAGTTTCCAAGTCAGTGAGTTTTAACCCTGGCTTTACTTGAGAATCAAAACATACCTCTTTCCAAAATACCGTCACATGTGGCTTAATGACAAACATAGGTTCTGAGAAATGCGTCGTTAGGCAATTTTGTCATTGTGTGAACATCATGGAATGTACTTACACAAACCTAGATGGTATAGCCTGCTACACACCTGCATTACAAACCTGTGTAACATGGGACTATATTGAACATTGTAGGCAATTGTGACACAATAGTAAGTATTTGTGTGGCTAAACATACATAAACAGAGAAAAGGAACAGTAAAAATATGGTATAAAAGACCAAAAAAATTATAGGGCAGCCCCATTATAATTTTATAGGACTACCATCATATATGCAGTCTATCACTGCTCAAAATGTCATTATATGGCACATGGCTATTCATATATCTGGACTCCATTATAATCTCCAAGGTTGTATTGTAATCATATGCATTTTGAAAAAGCACCCCAGTTCATCCTGATGGGCATTCAGTGTTGAGACTACAGTTTTTGGACATTTCTGATTAATGTGGAATAGTTTTTGTTTTAATGCTTCAGACTAGTCCCAAAAATAAAAAATGGAGAGTTAGTTTGAGAATGCCTCCCCCCAACAACCACCATTTGCCTGACCAGGGAAGCCATGCCTGCTAGAAGATGGAATTCTGGAATTCTGCATCAGTAACTGAATCACAGAGCTGTGTAACTGAGGAGCTCCTCCTCTGATAATGGGGGTGTTTGTTGGAGCTGCCTGAGGGGATTCTGTACTTTGCTGAATCAGATTTTTCCTTGAACCCTAATTCTAACTTGGGTGGCTATCTTGTGCAGGAAAGAAAAAAACTTTCCCTCTACCCTCAAGTTTGTCGCTGGGTCCTTTATATTAAACTGACAAAGACCAATAAACAAGAGGAAAGGTTTATTTTTCATGCACATGGAGGAGGGCAGGCTTTACAGAAAAGAAATAAAAATCCCCCAAAGAAGTGGTTATGACATTTTAACAAAGGGTAATAAATTGTGATAACACAAAGGAAAAGGAATTTGGGCTGTGTGATTGTTAATTTTTTTTTTTTTGAGACCAAGTTTTGCTCTTGTTGTCCAGGCTGAAGTACAATGGTGTGATCTTGGCTCTCTGCAACCTCCACCTCCCGGGTTCAAGCAATTCTCCTGCCTCAGCCTCCCGAGTAGTTGGGATTACAGGCATGGGCCACCACACCCGGCTAATTTTGTATTTTTAGTAGAGACAGGGTTTCTCCATGTTGGTCAGGCTGGTCTTGAACTTCCAACCTCAGGTGATCCGCCCGCCTTAGCCTCCCAAAGTGCTGGGATTACTGGCATGAGCCACCGTGCCTGGCCTGTGATGGTTAATTTTAGGCTATATAATTCAGCAGTACTATTGGTACTTGAGTTCCCTAGGCTCAGTTGACAGAGGAAAAGAAGACTAGGGCCTTATGGAGGAGTCTGCACAATAAACAGGCACCTAAATTGTGCAAAAGGAAAGAGCTGTAGCACTTTGGCTTTCTTCTAGGACATCCTTAAAGACAATAATGAAAGAAAATCTTCACAATGGGCAGAACTGCAGGCGGTTCACTTTGCTTGAAAGGAGAAATGACCAGATATATGATTACACACTGATTCATGGGCTGTAGCCAATGGTTTGGCCAGATGGTGAGGGAATTGGAGAGAACATTATTAGAAAATTTGTAGCAAAAGAAAATGGGAGAAGAGGTATGTGGATAGAGCTTTCTGAGTGGGCGAAGGATGCAAAGATATTTGTGTCCCATCTGAATGCTCACCAAACGGTGACCTCAGCAGAGGAGGGCTTTAATAATCAAGTGAATAGGATGACCCATTCTGTAAATACCAGTAAGCATCCTTCACCAGACCCCCCTGCAATAGCTTAATTGGCTCGTGAACACAATGGCCATAGTGGCAGAGATGGAGGTTATGTATGGGCTGAGAGACATGGACTTCCACTCCTCAAAGCTGACCTGGCAGCAGAGACCAATACTGAGCCCCAATATGGCACCATTCCCTGGGGTGATCAGCCAGCTACCTGGTGGCAGGTTGATTACGCTGGAGCATTTCCATCATGGAAAGGGCAATGTTTTGTCATTACTGGAATAAACACTTACTCTGGATTTGGATTTACCTTTCTTGCTAACAAGGTTTCTGCCAAAACTACCATCTGTGGACTTACAGAACATCTTATCCACCACCATGGTATTCAGCACAACATTGTTCTGACCAAGAAACTCACTTCAAAATCAAAGAAGTGTGACAATGGGCTCAGACTCATGAAATTCACTGGTCCTATCATGTTCCCCACCATCCTGAAGCATTTGGCCAGTAGAACTATGAATGGCCTTGTGAAGCTACAGTTACAGTGCCGGATGGGTAACAATACTTTGCAGGGCTGGGGCAAGGTTTTCTAGAATGCTGTATATGCTCTGAATCAGCATCTAATATATGGTTCTCTTTCTCCCATAGCAAGCATTCATGGGTCTAGGAATCAAGGGGCAGAAGTGGAAGTGGCACCACTTACCATCACCCCTAGTGACCCACTAGCAAAATATTTGCTTCCTGTTCCCATGACTTTGTGCCTTGCTGGCCTAGAGGCCTTAGTTCCAGAGAAAAGAATGCTTCCTTCAGGAGACACAACAATGAGTCCGTTGAACTGGAAGTTAAGACTGCCACCCGACTGCTTTGGGTTCTTCATGCCTCTGGGTCATCAGGCCAGGAAGGGAATTATGGTGTTGGCTGGCATGTTGATCTTGACTACCAAGGGAAAATTCTACTACTACACCACAATAGAGGTAAGGAAGAGTATGTCTAGAATACAGAAGATCCCTTAGGGCATCTCTTAGTATTACCACGTCCATGATTAAGGTCAACTGGAAATTACAAGAACCCAATCTAAGCAGGACTATAAAATGGCCCAGACTCTGTAGGAATGATGGTTTGGGTCACCTCACCAGGTAAAGAACCATGACCAAGAGGTGCTTGCTGAAGGCAAAGGGACTGCAGAATTGGTAGCAGAAAAATGTGGTTATATATACCAGCTAAAAACGTGGTCAGTTACAAAAATGAGGACTACAATTGTCATGAGTATTTCCTCCCTATTTTGTAAAGAATATATATACATATATTAAGCAAATATTTTTGTTTTCATTTCTCTCTTATTCCTTTATCATATAACATATTTAGGCTTTATATTAGTAGTATCGCCATTGTTACATTAAAGTTTTTATATTATGAAATACCAAGAGAAAAATAGACATTACCTCCTCCTCTTCTGGAGAAAGATTTTTTTTTTAAAAAAAAACAAGGTCTTGCCCAGGCTGTATTGCAGTGGTGTGATCATAGCTCACTCAAACTCCTGGGCTCAAGCAATCCTCCTCAGTAGCTAGGACTGTAGGTGTGATATTGTTTGGGTCTGTGTCCCCACCCAAATCTCATGTTGTAATGTAATCCCCAATGCTGGAATTGGGCCTTGGTGGGAGGTGATTGGATCATGCGAATAGATCCTTCCTTCATGAATGGTTTAGCACCACCCTCTTGGTGCTGTCTTGTTATAGAGTTCTCACGAGAATTGGTTGTTCAAAAGTGTGTAGTGCCTCCCACTGTCACTCTCTTTCTCCTGCTCCTGCCATGCAAGACGCCTGCTCCCACTTTGCCTTCCACAATGAGTAAGAGCTCCCTGAGGCCTCCCCAGAAGCAGATGCTGCCATGATTCCTGTATAGCTTGTGAAACCATCAGCCAATTAAACCTCTTTTCTTTACAAATTACCCAAACTCAGGTATTTCTTTATAGCAGTGTGAGAACTGACTAATACAAGATACGTGCCACCATATCTGACTAATTTGTTATAGTTTTTTAGAGATGAAGTCATGCTGTGTTTCCCAGGCTGGTCTTTAACCCCTGGCCTCAAGCCATCCTCCTGCTTCAGCCTCCCAAAGCATTGGGATTGCAGGCATGAGCCACTGCACCCAACCTGGGGAAGGAATTTGTGAATTTTCAGTTGTATGCAGGATAGCTGCATCATGTTATGGAGAATTACTACCTTGTTCTCGTCCTTACTTGAAGATTAAGTATGGTTTGAGGAGATGGCTGTGAGTGTTAGGTTGACAAGGAATGGACTTGTGATGATAAATTCTAGGTGTCAACCTGACTGGATTAAGGAATACCTAGAGAACGGGCAAAGCATTATTTCTGAGTGTGTCTGTGAGGGTGTTTCTAGAGGAGATTGGCACATGAGTCAGTGAACTGAGGAGGGAAGATCCGTCCTTAATGTGGGTGGGCATTATTCGATCAGGTAGGGGTCCAGATAGAATAAAAAAGGCAAAAGAAAGGCAATTTTCTATTTCTGTTTCCTGGAGCTTCGACATGCTTCTCCTGTACTTGGCTGTCAGAACTCCAGGCTCATTGACCTTTAGATGCTAAGACTTACACCAGCAGCCACACCGTTCTCCAGCCTTTGGCCTAGACTGAGAATTACACCATTGGCTTCCATGATTCTGAGGCTTTCAGACTTGGACTGAGCCACGCTACCAGCATCCCAGGGTCTGCAGCTTGCAGATGGCCCATTGTAGGACTTCTTTTTTTTTTTGAGATGGAGTCTTGCTCTGTCGCCCAGGCTGGAGTGCAATGACACAGTCTTGGCTCACTGAAACCTCTGCCTCCCATGTTCAAGCAATTCTCCTGCCTCAGCCTCCTGAGTAGCTGGGACTGCTGACATGTGCCACCACACCCAGCTAATTTTTGTATTTTTAGTGGAGTTGGGGTTTCACCATGTTGGCCAGGCTGGTCCCGAACTCCTGACCTCAGGTGATCCCCCTGCTTTGGCCTCACTAAGTACTGGGATTACAGGCGAGAGCCACTGCACCCAGCCCCATTGCCCTGTTGTAGGACTTCCTTTTTTTTAATTATTATTATTTTTGAGATGGAGTTTTGCTCTTGTTGCCCAGACTAGAGTGCAATGGCGCGATCTTGGCTCACTGCAATTCTGCCTCCCGGTTGGGGTTCAAGCAATTCTCCTGTCTCAGCCTCCCGAGTAGCTGGGATTACAGGCACATGTTACCATACCCGGCTAATTTTTGTATTTTTAGTAGTGATGGGGTTTCATCATATTGTTTAGGCTGATCTCGAACTCCTGACCTCAGGTGATCCACCCACCTTGGCCTCCCAAAGTGCTGGGATTACAGACATGAGCCACCGTGCCTGGCCAGGACTTCTTAACCCCCATAATTATGTGAGCTAATTTCCCTAGTGAACCCCCTCTCACATGTCTATATACATAGTCTACTGGTTCTGTCTCTCTGGAGTTCCCTGCCTAATAAAGGCTTCTAGGAGTGGTACACTGTGGGAAGGTAAATATGAGAGCAAAACAATTGGAAGGTAAAGGTTATTTAATAAGGTTTGTTTATGCAACACATCTCGATGTGACTTTTTGTCTCCTGTTACAGAGTTGTTGTCTGTATTCTGGTACAGAGACAGGAAGTGGACTCCTCTACCAAAGGAAATTTATGCCCCACTTTTAGGCTTCTGGAAAGAGTGAGGGCAGAGAATTCTTCCTGTGTCTGCTATTTCTCAATTGCCTTTGGCTCAAATTAATCCTTATGCATGGCATATTATGACTCCCCTTACAACCAAACTTTGAGAAAAAGTAACTAAAGTTTCGAGAACCTGAACTTCAGGAATATTTAGGCTCTTTATAAAGTTTTTCTCTGACCTCATCTGCTAAAGATTCAAACTTGTGGAAAAAAGAGCCTGATTGATCCAGCTTGATGTGGTGTGCCAGCCTTTGGGGGTCAGTGTGGCAGGGCCTTCTGCTTGGCAGCTCCATCGAAGCCACATAAAACAGGATGGAGGCCGGGCGCGGTGGCTCACGCCTGTAATCCCAGCACTTTGGGAGGCCGAGGCGGGTGGATCATGAGGTCAGGAGATCGAGACCATCCTGGCTAACAAGGTGAAACCCCGTCTCTACTAAAAATACAAAAAATTAGCCGGGCGCGGTGGCGGGCGCCTGTAGTCCCAGCTACTCGGGAGGCTGAGGCAGGAGAATGGCGTGAACCCGGGAAGCGGAGCTTGCAGTGAGCCGAGATTGCGCCACTGCAGTCCGCAGTCCGGCCTGGGCGACAGAGCGAGACTCCGTCTCAAAAAAAAAAAAAAAAAACAAAAAAACAAAAAACAGGATGGAAGATATGTCCCAAAGAAAGAGGCATTCCCAGACACAAATAATAGATGTTCACTACAGTGAATTGTGGAATCAAGATAACAGGAAATGTGGTTTATTAGAATCAATTTTTGAAATTAAGTAGTGAAATTCCTATGTATGTACCAAAATATATAGAGGCTGGTTATAAACTGGCAAACTGCTAACATAATTTTCTTCTGTAATAAGGTAGGACACAATGTACCACTGAGGTGGAAGCTCTTGAGAACTAGGTAGCTGTGGCTGTGAACTATTTAAAGAGAACAAGAAATGCTGGGAGCAATGGAGTAGGATGGTTTCTTCTAACATCACTGGATATTTTATTTTATTTTATTTATTTTTTTGAGGCAGAGTCTCGCTCACTTGCCCAGGCTGGAGTGCAGTGGTGTGATCTTGGCTCACTACAACCTCCGCCTCCCAGGTTCAAGCAATTCTCCTGTCTCAGCCTCCCAAGTAGCTAGGACTACAGGTGCATGCCACCATGCCCAGCTAATTTTTGTTTTGTTGTTGTTGTTTTTTGAGACTGAATTTTGCTCTTGTTGCCCAGGCTGGAGTGCAATGGCGTGATCTCGGCTCACTATAACCTCCACCTCCCGGGTTCAAGTGATTCTCCTGCCTCAGCCTCCCAAATTGCTGGGATTACAGGCACGTGCCACCATGCCCGGCTAATTTTATATTTTTAAGAGAGACGGGGTTTCTCCATGTTCGTCAGGCTGGTCTCAAACTCCCGACCTCAGGTGATCCGCCTGCCTTGGCCTCCTAAAGTGCTGGGATTATAGGCATGAGCCTCTGTGCCCCGCCCAATTCTTGTATTTTTAGTGGAGACCGGGTTTTACCATATTGGTCAGGCTGGTCTTGAACTCCTGACCTTAGGTGATTCGCCCTCCCCGGCCTCCCAAAGTGCTGGGATTACAGGCCTGAGCCACTGCGCTCGGCCATCAGTGGATATTTTAACAGCTGTCTCAAACTTTGAAATTCTTGCTGCAAGACATGAAATAAAACTCAAAAACTTTAAGAGATTTTGGTTGAAATCCAGTATTGTGTATTCATGACTAATGGTTTTAAAATAACATAGAAGAGAAAATATTAAAGTATATTATATATAGTAGGGGTAAGAAATGTTTCATGTAATTTACAATTCAATTATATGTGTATATAAACTTATTTATGATATAAAATTTATTTTATAATGTAGGTAATAGTCAAAAATGCTTAGAAATCACTGAATGCCTTTGACTTGTAGTATGGGGCTAAAATAACTAAAATCCAAATGCACAGATTAACTCTGCAGATTGCTATTTTAACTTACAATCTGACTTGGTCTCTTACTGAAAATTAAGGCTTTTACCAGAAATCCCAGTAATTAGAATGAGAGATATGGCAAGATCTGAAGGATGTTTTTAAAGATCCTCCAAACTCTAAAATGCCAGCTATAGCATTTCTCTTGACTGGGGAGGCCACATCTCCTATGTAGAAGAAAGAGGATAATTTTTCACAAGCCCCATCTCTTACTGATGCTCTAAAAATAACAGGGATTCAAACACAACATGATCAGGGGGTGAAGTGCAAAACTCAAATGTCATATACGAAGAACCTGAAAAGATTCATAAATTTATGGCATTAAAAGTCTAGATATATTTTTTGAAACAGATTTTGGGAATGTTTCACCACAGGTAGGACTCAAAGTATTTATATGAGTGTATTTTACCAGAGATTCAGCATAAAGTGGGCTAGGATTAGCTCACCAGCCGTGGTTCTGCCAGTTCTCTGGGTTAACTCGTATAATCTTGGATTAAATGTTGGCCCATTAAATGACACAGAAAAACCATGAAGGGTCATAATCAGGAATAGTGATTACAAGAATTTGTGTAACGTATGCCGTCCTGGATCTTTTTACCTTTTCTTTCCCTGACCCTTGATATATCCCTAGGTAGAACCCAGAAAACTTTCCCTTTACTCCTGCCATGAAGATGATGTTAACAAGAGATGCAACACAATGTTTAAAAAGAGCTTTACAATCTGTTCTTGAAAGATCAAAAATCTGATGAAATTGACTGCAGTTGAAATGGGCTCCTTGATGTCAGTGTGGTTGAGAGAAGCCAGGGTGTCTGAGTCCAAATGACAGCAAAAGCACGGTGGATGTGGTCACTGAATTATGCAGCAGAGCAAGCACAGTGTGAAGACTTTAAGTGATTATCCGGCATTCATACATTTCTGGCTGTCATTTTTTAAATTGTGAGAATCTCAAGAATGAAACCCACAGGCAGCCCATGGCTGGATGGAAAAAACAAACTGGCTTAAACTATCACATTACAAAATAAGATTTCTTATTTTATTTATTTTTATTTCTTGAGACTGAGTTTCGCCCTTGTTTCCTAGGCTGGAGTGATTGGTGCAATCTCAGCTCACTGCAACCTCTGCCTCCCGAGTTCAAGCTATTCTCTCGCCTCAGCCTCCCAAGTAGCTGGGATTACTGGCATGTACCACCATACCCAGCTAATTTTTGTGTTTGTTGGCCATGCTAGTCTCGAACGCCTGACCTCAGGTGATCCACCCATCTCGGCCTCCCAAAGTGCCGGGTTTACAGTTGTCAACCACCACGCCCTGCCTAGACGACAAGATTTCTTAATCAATTCTACAATACGAGTCTGTTAAAAAATTCAGAACCATTTGAATGGAGGTGCAGCTGAGCACCATTGATGAAAGGCTGTGCTGTTACTACCTATGTCTAGTAAGTTCCTTCTGGCATCCCATTAAAATAACCGTGGCTATTTTATTGGGAGAAACTACTGGATATCAAGAAAGATTAAGTGAATTCTCAGGAATATAGAATGTTATTGTTGTTTGCTGAGCAGGGTGATTGGCCATATTCACTGAGTAGTAAATGGAACGCAAACTTCAATTTCTAGAGAAACTTTAGAGATTATGTTACAATTGAACACTTGAATCAAATGTCTAATGGTTCTTTATTAGAATATATTATTGCATTCTGATGTGTTTCTCAGTTTGGCCAGTGCAAAAAAAATCTGATTTTGTATAATAATGGTAAATAATACATTTAATTAGGTGGTAATTTCCATTGTGGATGATTGTCTGTATAGAATTTTATTATCGGAACACATTTATAAAGGTCTTGTACTTGGTGGGCAGTTGTTCAGCTGGTGTATTTGTTTTACATATTTTTTGTGTATAATGTTCAGTCAGATGCAGCCACAAGAAGAGACAGAAGAAAGGCTTAGTAAAGCAAAGTTTATTATACTCACAGGCCTTAGAGACAGAGGTATGGCATACTATGCAGGCCACATGGAAAAACACCAGGGCGGTCAGGAGGCAGAAGACTGGAGCAAGTGGGAAGCATTAGGCCGGAACCACTTTTTTTAAGAGATGGAGTCTTGCTCTGTTGCCCAGGCTTGACTCAAACTCCTAGGCTCAAAAGATCCTCCAGCGTCACCCTCCCAAGTAGCTCGGGCTACTGGCCTGTGCCACCATGCAGAGCCTTTATTGGGGTTTCTTGCAGGAATGATAGGGTGAACAATTTAGAGTTGGTTAGTTTGAATGACTTTGGCAGACCCTAAGCTACAGCAGTGGTCCTTAGTTGCCTGGTACCTGACCCTGGCATGATTAAAGCACAGGAATATTTTCTCCTGGGGTGTACTGGCCAGATAAAGGAAGTGCGACTCTGGATTGGTTAGTTTGCATATCAAAGGCATGCTCTGGGCTGGATCTTTTGCTGTCAGTAAGAATTGGCTACCCCAGGGAGAGACAGTCTCTCCCTAGCCAAAAATGTTGTTTTAAAGATGTCTGCTATGGTTTAATAGTTTCTCACAGTTCATGTGTCAGAAACTGAATCCCCAATGCAACAATGTCGAGAGGGGATCTTTAAGAGGTGATTAGGTCATAAAGGCTCTGTTCTCATAAATGGATTAATGCTGTTATCGCAGGAGTGGGTTAGCTATCACTGATAAAAGGATGAGTTCAGCCCCTTTCCTTCCTTTCTCTCTTAGGCTCACTTGCCCTTCCTCCTGCTACCATGAATGATGCAGCATAAAGGCCCTCATCAGATGCTGGCCCCTTGATCCTGGACTTCCCAGCCTCCAGGACCATAAGAAATAAATTGCTGTTCATTACAAACTACCCAGTCTCAGGTTTTGTGTTACAGCAACACAAAATGGAATAAGACAATGTCAAAGCATCATAATATACAAAAAGAAAAAAATATGGTATATATATTCATGTATACACAATGCAGCATTTTTATCCATTTCAATAAATTGAAAATACCAGAAATATTTCTTTTCACCTGACAGGGTCAGCAGTAAACATTTGCCATCTTCCCTCTAACTCTGTGTCACAGTCTAGTCCATAAAGAATGGAACGAAATCATCAATCTACCGTATTATACCACTAATGCCTGCACTGACATTATGCTGATAAGCCCTGGAGAATAAGCAGTAGTAGGTTCTCCAGTTGTTCTATTAAGACACACAAATAAAGGATGTTGCAAAATAACCTATGTAAAGATTCTGGAGCTCCAGTGGTTTGATGATTATTAAGTTATTATCTTTTTCAATAGGAAACACATGTTGCTGAACACTGTGTTTCTTACTACTAAAAAAAGAGGTGTGGCGCATCGTGAAGCTTCTTCACCATGGGTGTCCTATTTGGACCAATTTACCAAGTGAATCCCAAAGTTGTTGGCAGCTTTGAATGGAGCCCAGAATAAGATACGACTCTCCGTTGGGCTTGATTCTACTTTTGTCTTTTGGCTCAGAATATTCAATAGTTCCTGGAGTACCTGGAGTGTATATGAAGCTTGGCAAGTCCAGACAGGCAAATTACAACAGAGACCTTAAATATTATAGACCAATGTTATGTTCTCTTAAACAAGTAACTATTCTCCTTTAAGAAACAGCTCCTGACTTGCTACTGGGATTTACTTAAATGAATGATCATGAACTGGATACTGTCTGATCCATTCAGCCATGAAGTCAGGCCTTCAGTCATCAAGCATAAGAAGTAGTTATAGGATTAGGTCTAAGCCAGCCCTGATACAAATAGTGTTTGCATGACTACATGGTTCACACTCCCCATATACCTTCTCCTGCCACACATTTTACTTTTCTTTAGTCTGCACTTGTGACTGTATGAATGGCTCCCTATGACGAAAGATTTTCTAGAAACCCAACTTGATCCTATTCACAGATGTTTTGGCTTGACATGCCAGCTTCCACCAGAAGTGAGCAATTAAAGAATTTCAACCTGAGACTAGTGGGAAAAACTTTGAATAGTATATCTCTGTCTACTTGGCCTGGAAGAGCAGATTGAAGAAAAAGATTCTATTCCAATTTCTGGACAGTGGTTCTGGCCAGATGAGCAGGGTTTCAGAAAGAAAAAGATCTGAAGATTTGGACAAGGAGATTTGGAGAGGGCATGACCTTTGCAGAATGGGCTCATAGTGTGAGAATCTTTATGTCTCACTTGAATGGTGAGGGAGAACTTGTCTGGCAGTGCCCTGACCTTCACTGGGAGTTGGAGAAAAAGTACCCTCACTTGGGAGGGCCATAGGAGAGCATTAATCTCAGGGAAAGGCGTGAAGGTGGAGGCAATAATGAGTGGAGTCTTTGTGGACCAGGAGCTGCCAAAAGTGTTGGGAGGAAGGAGAAGAGCAAGGTTTTACATTGTTGAAGCACAATACAGTGTGGTGCTAACAGTGAGGGGAGACTCCAGGTTCAACACGGGACTTTGGGTTTTGATTGAGGCTGATCGAGAGGGAAGACATGGTGGATTTATTTGTCTGAGGGAGTTCTGAATCACAGAAGTGTACCAGAGAAGGTTTTATTTAATAACTAGGACTCCAACTGGGCAGGGAACTCTGGCCTCTAGAGAAGGACTCAGCAATGGACAGCCAAGGATCCAGGGAGGGACTTCAGTCTTGGGGTGGACCCCCTCTCCTCCCCTCTCCTCCCCCTCCTCCCCTCCCTTCCCCTCCCCTCCCCTCCTTTCTTTCCTTCCTTCATTTCTTTCTTCCTTTCTTTCCCCTTCTTTCTTTCTCTTTCTTTGCCTTCTCCCTCCTTCCTTCCTTCCTTCCTTCCTTCCTTCCTTCCTTCCTTCCTTCCTTCCTTCCTTCCTTCCAACAGGGTCTCACTCTGTTGCCCAGGCCGGAGTGCAGTGGTGTGACTATGGCTCACTGCAGCCTCTACCTCCTGGACTCAGGTAATCCTCCTACCTCAGCCTCCCAAGTAACTTGGACTGCAGGTGTATGCCGCCATGTCTGGCTAATTTTTGTGTTTTTTTGTAGAGAAAAACATGGTAAAACATGGTGGGCAGATGACTTGAGCCCCAGCTGGTCTTGAACTCCTGGGCTCAAGCCATCTGCCTGCTCTGACCTCCCAAAGTGTTGGGACTACAGGTGTGAGTCACGTGCCTGGCCCATTTTCTTCTTCCTTTTTGTTTTGTTTTGTTTTGTTTTGTTTTGAGATGGAGTCTTGTTCTGTGGCCCAGGCACAATTGTGCAGTGGCACAATCTTGGCTCGCTGCAAACTCCGCCTTCTGGATTCAAGCAATTCTCATGCCTCAGCATCCCGAGTAGCTGGGATTACAGGCATGCACCACCATGCCTGGCTAATTTTTCTATTTTCAGTGAGACTCTGTCTCAAAAATAAATAAATGAATACATAAATAAAATAAAATAAAAACATATGGCAGGCAATTTAGTGTATTAGAAAGATTATGACCCAGAGACCTGAGGTATAATCCTGGTTCTGCTATTAGCGAGTTAAACAGCTTGAAGTCACCTTTCTCTAAGGCCCTTGCTTTCTTCATCTGTGAGGGAATTGATAATTTCTGTGCAGTGTATCTTTAGCCTAGACAACAATGTAAAGTATATTTCCTGGAGCCATACAATGTGGAGGCCGTGCAGTGGCCAACTTCCTGCAATAGTGAAGCCCAGTGAGAACTGTGACTTTCTCAGCTTGGAATCAATGCAATCTGATCACCCTTGCCACAGAAGGTGTAATCCATCAGTCCATGGTGTGTGCTCGAAATCAGTGATGAAATGTCCACTGGGGAATTAGCCGGCCCTGCTGTAATGAGTCTTATGCATGCAAGATTGTAGTATTTGTCAAGTGGGAAGCCACAAATATAAATCTAAAAGGGAAGCAGAATGCTTACACATCTTCTGAAGTTCTAATCTCTAGAGGGGTTAGCCAATCAGGCTGACCCCTGGGTCCTGGACTTTAAGGACCCCCACAGATACTTTCTGGTAGGTTACAGAAACATCAAAGTAGGTAGTGGGGAAACACTGGGGCTAGCTGGTGCTGAGGAAAACAAGGCTCTCGTATCTACACATGTGAATTAACTACTAGGGATGGTTGCCTAGCAACATTATTCCCCTCCCCCTTCACACCATCTTTAGCTTGCTTATTGACTTCTTGTGACATCTCCACTTCTCTTCTCTTTTGATATTAGCCTGGTGTTTATTATGAATCAGATTTCAGTTAGTTACAGTGTGTTAAGAATGGTTTGTAGCATAAATGGGTAGAGAACAGATTGATTTTCTGGTAGCATTTGAAAAATATACTGGCCAGGCATCTCTTTAAAAAGTCAATGGCTCACTTTTAGCCATGTAACAAAAGTAGATATTTTGACAGAAAACCAAACACCGCATGTTCTCTCTTATAAGTGGGAGCTGAATGAGAAGACACACGGACATATAGTGGGGAACAACACACGCTGGGGCCTCTCGGGGATGGAGTGAGGAGAGGGAGAGCATCAGGAAGAATAGCTAATGGATGCTGGGCTTAACATCTAGGTGATGGGATGACCTGTGCAGCAAACCACCATGGCACACGTTTACCTATGTAACAGACCTGCACATCCTGCACATGTACCCTGGAGCTTGAAGGAAAAGTTGAAGAACTAAAAAGAATGAATGAATGAATGGAAGGAAGGTAGGGATAAATATTATTTTAAACAAACAAATAAAGAGATACTTTAAAATCCTGCCCCCTTATGAAGGTCCTATCCCATGCAATACTCTTCTGCTATCATACTTATAGCTAATGGTTAGGTGGATGTTTCTGGTTCTGTAGGGACCTAGCAATCTGTTGCAGGTAGACTTTAAGATCAGGTTGAATACAACTTTATTTGGTAAAATACTTAACAGCAGGGTTGTTAAATATTTTCTCCAGAAAAAGCAAAAACCAACCCCTAATTTAACACTTTTTTTTTTTTAAAGAGATGGATTATTGCTATGTTGCCCAGTCTGGTCTCAAACTTTTGGGCTCAAGTGATTCTCCCACCTCAGCCTCCCAAGTAGTTGGGACTACAGGCCATGCCACCACCACTGGTTCCTAACTTATAGAATTTGCCAATATCTGTGGTGCAAATACTCTCATGATGGCCAGTTTCAAGCTACCAATGTACTGTCCCTGAATGCAGAGTTGGGAAAAGATGTACACTGTCTGTCTTCATGAATTGGTATCTATCACAACCCTGAAATAATTCTAAAGCTTTCTGTTTAAAGCAGGAGAATTTCATATGTCTGTCAGTAATCCTGCAAACTCCATATCCCAAGAGGATTTAATTCAAAGGGTGAAGTGTTTAGAAAATAAAACAAGGCCGGGCGTGGTGGCTCATGCCTGTAATCCCAGCACTTTGGGAAGCCAAGGTGGGCGGATCACCTGAGGTCGAGAGTTAGAGACCAGCCTGACCAACATGGAGAAACTCTGTCTCTACTAAAAAAAATATATGTATATATATATATATATATATATATATATATATATATATATATATATATATATTTTTGTGTATATATATATATATATATATATACACACACACACACACAAAATTAGCCGGGCACGTGGCACATGCCTATAATCCCAGTACTTTGGGAGGCCGAAGTGGTTGGATCACCTGAGGTCAGGAGTTCGAGACCAGCCTGGTCAACATGGCAAAACCCTGTCTCTACTAAAAATACACAAATTAGCTGAGCATGGTGGCACATGCCTGTAATTCCAGCTACTTGGGAGGCTGAGGCAGGAGAATATCTTGAACCTGGAAAGTGGAGGTTGCAGTGAGCTGAGATTGCGCTACTGCACTCCAGCCTGGGCAACAAGAGTGAAACTCCATCTCAAAAAAAACACCAAAAAAAACAAAAAAACAAAACCCGAGTAAGTTCCATTTCACCAACTCACAGATATGATTAGCCTGAGTTTCCAGAAAAACAAGGAATGAAGGAGAGACTGCAATCCTGTACAAAGTGCCTAGAACAAAACAAGCACCAAATTATTCCTTGCAAAATGTCAGCCATATTTAAAACTGGCTCTTCTTTAGTTAAACATTAAAACTGAGTTTATTTAAATCACTTCTTAAAACTTAGTTTCATCCTAATCAACTCTGTTTATTCTTTTTGTATTTTTTAAATTTTCTTTGAGAGACAGGGTCTTGCTCTGTCACCCAGGCCAGATTGCAGTGCTGCAATCGTACAATCATAGCTCACTGTAGCCTTGAACTCCTGAGCTCAAGTGATCCTCCTGCCTCAGCCCACACACCCAGTCTATCTTCATTCAATCTGATGAATGGTGAAATGGTTACGTTTTCAAACACATTTTAAAACAATTACATAACCTATAAAATAACAAATATTCATCAGATAGTACCTAAAATCACTTTGCATACCATCTGTGGCATCTGTACAGGGATGTGTACCATGCTTTGTGAAACAATGCACCAAGTACGTGTTGGACATTATTATTAATATTTATCTTTGGAGGCTGAGTATTCAAAGGCTCCCTCCAATAATGCAGGTGGTAAATTCTCAGTACTATATTTAGATAAATCATCAGGAAACTTGACTCCCAATATCCTAAAAATCCTTTAGGAAAAGTCTGTCTGGCCTTTCTTTAAAGGTCACTGCTGCTAGGCAACACCTTTCTTCTGGGATGTGGACCACATTTCTTAGATTTTATTAAAGCACTTGTCTTGTCATGGGTGGAGGTGGGGGAACACATTCTGCTTCTATCTAGCATTTCAGTAGAGTCCTAAGCTCAGAGAGGACAACAAGATTCAGTTCAGAAGAGGTCACACATTTCCTCCTTCGTTTTGCACATCTGTGGGTGTTGTGTGCTATAGGCAGTGTGCAGTGGATTGGAAAATAAGGACCTCTGTGTTTCCACCTTTGAGCTGCTACCTACTCCCTGGGTAATCACTGGCCAGCTTCCCAACCGTAGGTCAGTCTCCTCTTGTCAAACCAGTTAGAGCAGGAGGCTGTCTCAACTGTGGGGAAGATCTGATTTCGGAAATGGAAGCTATTCTGCCCCATTCTCCCTCCTGAGCTGATCAATGGCAATTATTCACAACAATGACACATGGTGGGTCATTTTCTTTTAATTTATTGATTTTTAACCATAATGGAGAGAACTTCCCTGTTGCAAATCTGGAAGAGATGTTCTACGCTTCAGAATTGTCCATTTTTCTCCTTGTTTTAAAGGGGACTACAGCATTCCAACCCAAATCTAAATCAAAACCTAATTTCTTCAGGTGGTTAATTGAATCAAAAGAAGAGTTGTTTCTAATTACCAGCTGTGTCCTGATTGCAAGGTAATTTGTATTCATCCATGACTAGCAAATTCATAATGCATGAGGCCCTACACAGCCACTTGCCTTAATAGCCCTCATTTTAGAAAGCTGATGTCTTCAAGCCAAAGGATGCTTAACGCAATGTTTAGTCACGTTGAAGAGCCTTGATTGACTATTCCTGAAGTAAGCTTGTAGAAAAGGAAGTAGTTTCCTAATCCATCTCAGCTTCTCCTCCAATCCACTCCAGCTCCTTTCTGTCAACCACAGGAAAAGCATAAAGCTGGAAGGTACAGGAACACACTCATCTGCTGAGTCTGCTTTCACTGAGGAGGCTGAGACAGTGCATTTTCAGCCTTTCGAATATCAGCGGTGAGGGTCCTCTATGGTCTCACATTTTAGTGCTCAATGATTAGGATTTCTCTCTTGACCACAGAAACTGGACTTTCCAGTTCCTCAACAGAGTCATGGGAAAGATCCCATTAGGAAGAGGACTGTTGCCTCTGGCAAGATTTGACCACAGGTTTAGAGCAGGTTACAGTCATGGTTTCTACAAAGTAGGTTGTTCCTGGATGTAAGAGGTGGCCAGCCATCAGAAAAATCGAGCATAAAGAGGCCACATGAATACCAGTCATGCCAAATACACCTTGGAGAAGACTCTCAAGCACAGTGCATTTAACTTTTGGGGAAGTATGCCCTTTCTAGGAAAGGAATACAGTCTCAAGAATTCAGACTTAAAATCCTTTGGAGTGGGAAGAAAAAACCACAGTCTATGTGATGGAACGGGCTGGTGGTCCTTACATTACCTGGGTTAGACTTTACATTACCACCTAGCTTTGTGAATTTACACAAGTCACTTAACTTTTTTGAGTATCAGTATTCTAAGCAGAAAATGAATGAACGAAATATTTACTAAGATCCCTTCCAGCTCTATGATTCTGTGACTCAATTACTTACTTTCACTTCTAGAACCTCATTTATCCCTCCGAGCAGTTAACTCACATTTCTACTATAGTGTCTAAAAATTAATGATATCCACAAGATTAAACATTTCTAGGGTCTGATTCCACCCCCGCCCTGCCCCTGCCCCAAGCATTTCAGCAGGATTTTTATTATATATATATATAATATATATTTATATTATATAAATATGTATATATATTTTTTTGCTGAGATTTATTTTCTCTTCTGAGCTCAGAATTCACTATTGGAGCGTGTCATGAATCATGCCTTAACTCTCTTCTGCTTGGTCTTACCAATGAAAAATGGAAGATGTATACTGGCAGAGAAAGAATTTAAAGCTGGGCGCGGTGGCTCACGCCTGTAATCCCAGCACTTTGGGAGGCTGAGGCGGGCGGATCACGAAGTCAGGAGATCGAGACCATCCTGGCTAACATGGTGAAATCCCGTCTCTACTAAAAATACAAAAAATTAGCCAGGCGTGGTGGTGGGTGCCCGTGTTCCCAGCTACTCGAGATGCTGAGGCAGAAGAATGGCGTGAACCCGGGAGGTGGAGCTTGCAGTGAGCCGAGATCGCGCCACTGCACTCCAGCCTGGGCGACAGAGCAAGACTCTGTCTCAAAAAAAAAGTAAAAAGAATTTAATAAGCTTTGGAGTCAGAGAAACTTAGGTTCGAACTCCAGCTGAAGCACTTACCTTGCATGACTTCAGGCAATTATTCAAAACACCTTCTTCTTTAAGTAGAGATAAAATTTCTGAATTTCTTTTTTTTTTTTTTTTTTTTTTTTGAGTCAGGGCCTCTCTCACTGCCCAGGTTGGAGGGCAGTGGCTCAATCGTGGCTCACTGCAGCCTCAACATCCCCCCAGCTCAGGTGATCCTCCCACCTCGGCCCCCTGAGTAGCAGGGACCATATGTATGTGTCACCACACCCAGTTAATTTTTGTATTTTCTTGTAGAGACGGGGTTTCATCATATTGCCCAGGCTGGTCTCAAGCTCCTGGGCTCAGGTGATATGCCGATCTCAGTCTCCCAATGTGCTAGGATTACAGACGTGTCTGGCCAAATTCTTGAATTTTATGTAGAATTCTTAAGAAGATTAAATGGTCTTCACACCTTCAAAGCATTTAACGGCTCACTTATTCAAAACTCATCTCTCCACTCAATTTTTTGAGATTTCCCCAACCTCGTGATGATCCATCTTGCATATGAGTTTCAGTTTCTCTACCTCTTTAAATATTTTTTTATCCTACCTAAACTATTGATCACCATGGCCATAACATGAACAATTCATCATCTTAAATGCGTAATTACTAAAAATCAACTTCAGTATCCCAATATCTGACCACCACCTCCCATCCTCTACATCTCTAATGCCAGTGTCTTCACTCCAAAAATTCTTCAGTCTCAACAAGGCCTCTAATCCTTTGATCCTAGTGTATTTTCACAATCAGGCACTTTATTGCATTTTCATTTCCCTTACTAAGGTTAGAGTAGATGGTCCCTCATACTAATCACCTCTTGCACATTCCATGAATTTTGTAGGCCCTTTCTTCAATGGCTTACTCCTCTAGCAAACATGCAATCTTGATTAAATCCCATTCTCTGCCTCTTCTGTTCCTTCACTTGGGCAGATAATTATTGCTGGACAATAGCACACAATTGTGTTGACTGGTTCTTTTAAATTATTATTATTATTTTTTTGAGATGGAGTCTTACTCTGTTGCCCAGGCTGGAGTGCAGTGGTGCAATCTTGGCTCACTGCAACCTCTGCCTCCCGGGTTCAAGTGATTCTCCTGCCTCGGCCTCCCGAGTAGCTGGGATTACAGGTGCATGCCACCATACCCAGCTGATTTTTGTATTTTTAGTAGAGATGGGGTTTCAGCATATTGGCCAGGCTGTTCTTGAACTCCTGACCTCATGATCCACCCACCTCAGCCTCCCAAAGTGCTGGGATTACAGGCATGAGCCACTGCACCCGGCCAACCAGTTCTTGCTTTAGTTTCATGATCATGAATCTCAACTGTACGTTCAATGCCACCCAGGAACCTTATTGTTGGAACAAATAAGTTCCTCTTCAAAACTCAACTCTATGGTCATAAGTGATGTGGTCATAAATCCACCCTTCCTGTCTCCCTCCTTCCCCCTTTCATCACCCTGGCCTTCAAAGTTCTCATTTCACTACCTTATTTGGAAACAGTTTCAAACTTCCTTCTTTCTTGTTTTGTAAGTCAACCCTACCCCTTCCTCTCCCTCCCCTCCTTCCTTTGCAAATCTCATGTTTACCCCATTTGGAAAAGTTTAAGACTTAGCAAATTGGGTTAGCTTAGATTGTGCAGTCTGACTCCAGCCAATGGGGAAAAGACAGAAGCAGGAGCTGCCTTAGGAATAAAAACCTCTTCTCTCCTTTGTGTGATGTGCTCTTGCAATCACTTTGGACACAGGCAGCACCCTTTTGCAGAAGTAAATTGCCTTGATGAGAAATTTATGATCTAAGTGCAGGTTCTTCTTTGCGGCACCTAGCACCAATTTTCAACACTTGTTTTATTTATTTATGTATTTATTTTGAGTCAGAGTCTTGCTCTGTCACCAGGCTGGAGTGCAATGGCGTTATCTCAGCTCACTGCAACCTCTGCCTCCCAGGTTCAAGCAATTCTTCTGCCTCAACCTCCTGAGTAGCTGGGACTACAGGCGTGTGCTACCACGCCTGGCTAATTTTTGTATTTTTAGTAGAGACAGAGTTTCACCATGTTGGCCAGGATGGTCTTGATCTCTTGACTTCGTGATCTGCCCACCTTGGCCTCCCAAAGTGCTGGGATTACAGGTGTGAACCACCATGCCCAGCCACCCAGTAACCTTATTAAGCATCCCTAGTATATTAGTTTTTCCACTGTCTTGTTTGACCACTTCACACCTTCACTCCTGTCAGATCTTTCACATTTGTCTCCATGTGCCTGATATTCAACAAGAGGACATAGAAAGCCTTAAGCATGTACACACTCCCTTGTCTGGCACTGCCTCTGCCTCCACACACTCCCGTTGATTATAAAGAAGGAAGGCCAACACCTCCACTTTGCTCTTGGGCTTCATTTCCTCTTATCAGCTCAGGAGGTTTTCTCCTGCAGTTACTGCTCTTGCCCCCCTAAAACCTATTTTTTTTCAAGTTTCAGTTATTTATTTATTTATTTATTTTGAGATGGAGTCTTGCTCTGTTGCCCAGCCTGGAGTGCAGTGGTGCACCCAGCCTGGAGTGTAGTGGCGTCAACTCGGTTCACTGCAATCTCTGCCTCCTGGGTTCAAGTGATTCTCCTGTCTCAGACTCCTGAGTAGCTGAGATTACAGGTGCATGCCCCCACACCCAGCTAATTTTTGTATTTTTAGTAGAGGCAGGGTTTCACCATGTGCGTCAGGCTCGTCTCAAACTCCTGACCTCAGGTGATTCACCTGCCCCGGCCTCCCAAAGTGCTAGGATTATTGGTGTAAGCCACCACACCTTGCCAAGTTTCAGTTATTTATTAATCAGTGTAATCTCCAATAGATTACATCAACATGATTTCATGAATTCAGAGGATAAATATTTCCTGGTTAAGTGGAAAATTGTGAGGATGGCTTCTGGAAGACCTTCATTCTAAAGCAGCTTCATAGTGAAACATTTCATTTAGAAATATGGACCTTCTTTCTTCAGTTTGCTGTAATCCACATTCACTGAGTAGAACTTGTATTAATCATTGGGACCCAGCTTGTTCCAGGGCTCTGGGTTATTCTTTCTGTCCCAACTAACATTTGGATTGAACAATGCCAGACGCAAGACATACAGTGCTGCTCCAGTATCTCCAATAAATACAAAGCTCCAATAAATACAAAGAGGGTGATCAAGCTCGGATGCTTCTTGGCCTGACTGATGATCCGGCGGAGCGTGTTTGCGGCAGAGGACTCCGAACGGAAAGGAGAGAATCAGCCTGGCCATCAGGCCCCTGGGCTAAGTAGTATCTGCACTGAGACTGTGCAGATATCCCAAGTGTTAGGACCTATTTTGTGACAAGTATCACACTGACCCTGGGATATGAAGACAAATAAGTCAACATTCCTTCCCCAAAGCCCTAAATTTCCAGTGGTTAAGATCATATTCTCTTAGGGGAATATGCAAATTTCTATGTGAGCAGAGGTAGCTTAGGGTGTTAAAAGAAAAACTTTAAACAAATTATTTTGAACAGAGTTTAGCTGAGCAAAGAACGATTCTTGAATTGGGCAGCCTCCTAGCCAGAATAGGTTCAGAAAGACTATGGCACTGCCCAGTGGTCAGAGAATTTATGGACAGAAAAAGGAAGTGAGGCACAGGAACAGCAGGACTGGTTACAGCTTGGCCTTATTTAAACACAGTTTGTACAGTTGGCTGTCTGTGATTGGCTGAAACTCCACAATTAATACAATAGTAGGTTACAGTCTGTTTACACATTCAGATAGGTTACAGTTCACTATGTACAGAGGAACCTTTTGAGGTAAGGAGGCAGCTTTAAGCTAAACTTAACAAGGGATACATTGGGTTGAAAAGTTGGGGTGGGTGTAGTGAGGAGAGGCAAGGAAATAATTCCAGTGTTTGATGGAGATTTGGTAGGAACACTAAAAATCATCATTGTTTATTTGGAGCTAATTAAGCCATAATCATTAATAGTAATCTTACTCTCTTTTTATTGGAATTCTGGGCCTCTTTTTACTTTTAATAAAGTGAAATCCTCTTATTTGTGTGAGATCAGTCGCTTAACTTGGTAGGGGTTCTTGAACAAACCTATGGTCTGTTTTATGTGTTTTAATTTTTTTTTTCACTTTTTGTTTTGTTTTGTTTTGTTTTGAGACGGAGTCTCACTCTGTCACCAGGCTGGAGTGCAGTGGCGTGATCTCAGCTCACTGCAACCTCTGCCTCCCAGGTTCAAGTGATTCTCCTGCCTCAGACTCCCGAGTAGCTGGGACTACAGGCACCCGCCACCACACCTGGCTAATTTTTTTGTATTTTTAGTAGAGGTGGGGTTTCACCATGTTGGCCGGGATGGTCTCTATCTCCTGACCTCATGATCCACCCACCTCGGCCTCTCAAGGTGCTGGGATTACAGGCTTTTTTTTCACTTTTCAATAGGTTTACTCATCTTTTAAAATACAGAAGTTTTAAACTTTTATGAGGTTAAATTATCTATTGATTTATAATGTTGTGTTTTGTTGTCCTGTTTAACAACATCTTCCTTCTTCAAAGCATACTCTTCCATTCATTCCTTTAACACTTATTTTTGGAATGCCTACCAAGATCTAAGAATTGTTGTTGACTCCCAACATATTTATTAGGCAATCCTTTTCAGGCAACTTTCAATTTTCTTTGGGGAAGGGAGACAATAACATTTGAACAAATCCATTAATAATTCTGGATTATCATAGAGGCTTTGAGGGACATATACAGAGTGATATGATTGCTACCACCTGGGGAAGGAGTGAAAAGGCCACTGAGATAGGATGCCAAGGGAACTGAGGCCCGAAGGATGATGAGGACCATGTCCCACGCCAGGGGAAATGTCTTCAGGTGGAGGGAAGAGCAACGACAGTAGCTCTCAAGCAAGAAAGGGCATGGTGTGTAGCAGCAGCAGGGAGCAGATTGCTGTGGAGGGAGCTTTGTGAGCAAGGGGAATGTGTGGTGAGATGAAGTTGGGGAGACAGAGCACAGTCATGTAGGGCCTTATGTAGGACCCTGCTGTCCTATGTCCCCCACCTCCTAACCTGACTCCTCTGGAGAAACTTCCTTAATAAATCAAAGGCATGGGTGGGCACAGTGGCTCATACCTGTAATCCCAGGACTTTTGGAGGCCGAGGCGGGTGGATCACCTGAGGCCAGGGGTTCAAGACCAGCCCTGGCCAACATGGCAAAACCCTGTCTCTACTAAAAATACAAAAATTAGCTGGGCATGGTGGTGCATGCCTGTAATCCCAGCTACTCGGGAGGCTGAGGCAGGAGAATCACTTAAACCCAGGAGGCAGAGGTTGCAATGAGCTGAGTTCACACCACTGCACTCCAGCCTGGGCGACACAGTGAGACTCCATCTCAAAAAAAAAAAAAAAAAAAAAAAATCAAAGGCATGAATTCACTCAGTGTCCACTTCTGGGGAACTTGACCTAAGATGCTGGCCAAGTTAATTTCCCCACTAGGTGCAGGAATGATCCAAGGGTGGGAAGGCCCATGTAACATCACTGGAGACCACTGAGAAGCGGCTTTAGTGGAATTTAGACAGAAGCCAAATTGCAAGGATTAAGAAGGAAGAGGATATTGCAGACAGTTTGTCATTCTTTTTGGGTGGCCTACGCTTTCTGAAAACTCTTATTATGTTTGGGATATTTCTAGCCTTTTGCATCTTGCCTCACCAAAACAGAACTCAGAAAATTGAGATTCTCAGCCTCTCTAGCAGCTGAGATGCAGGAATGTGATGTATGCAGCTTCTCATCAGATACACCCATATTAACCACCTGTTCACAAACCAACAGCTTGAGAAAGAGACTTTCTTGTGGGATCTTTTACTACAGTTGACCCTTGAACAACATGGGGCTGGGGCAATGACCCCTGTGCTGTCAAAAATCCATGTATTACTTTTTATTCCCCAAAACTTAAGTAGTAATAGCCTACTATTGACTGGAAGCCTATATAAACAGTTGACACATATTTTATATATGTATTATATACTGTATTTTTACAATAAAATATGCTAGAGAAAAGAAAATGTCATTAAGAAAATAATAATAAGAAAATATATTTACTATTTGATATGGCTAGGCTTTGTATTCCCACCCAAATCTCATCTTGAGTTGTAATCCCCAGTTATTGAGGGAGGGACCAGGTGGGAGGTGATCGGATCATGCAGGTGGTTTCCCTCATGCTGTTCTCATGATAGTGAGTGAGTTCTCAAGAGATCTGATGGTTTTATAACTGTTTGGAAGCTCCTCCCTTGTTCCCTCTTCTCTCTCTCGCCTGCCACCATGTAAGACGTGCCTCTTCCCCTTCCGCCATGACTGTAAGTTTCCTGAGGCCTCCCCAGCCATGCATAACTATAAGTCAATTAAACCTCTTTTCTTTATAAATTAATCAGTCTCGGGTATGTCTTTATAGCAGTGTGAGAACGAACTAATACACTATTCACTTAGTGGAAGCGGATCATCATAAAGGTCTTCATCCTTGTCATCCTCATGCTGATCAGGCTGAGAAGGAGGAGGAAGAGGAGGGGCTGGTCTTTCTGTCTCAGGGGTGGCAGAAGCAGAAGACGTGGAACAGGAAGCAGGAGACACAAGCACACTCAGTGTAACTTTTGTTGAAAAAAATCCATGCAAAAAAAAATCCATGTATAAGTGCATTTCAAACCTGTGTTGTTCAAGGATTAGCTGTATTTTTGTTGGGCGAGTGGCAGCAGAAACTTTGGCTTTTTGAGCAACAGCAGTAGCAGTGGCCACAGCAAGGGAAATTTTGGTTCTTCTGCCCAGTCTTGTGGCCTGGTTTTGGGCATTCTTTTTGGAGACTCAACTTCAGCAACTCTGGTTCTCCAGCACTTCCAACAATATCTTTTTAATAAACTTCTCTTTGGAATACCTACAGTCAATTTTAATTGCTTGCAAACAGGAACTCTGCCTGAGAGAGTAGAGGATGAGAAATTGGAGCCATGGTGGGCAACCTTTTCAAAGTCACAGGAGAACAAAGAGAGTGCTAGTAGGTGGAGTAGTCAGCCTCTGAGTTGGCCCCCAATCGTTATTGCCTTTTAGTGTTCATGTACTTTTGTTGTGCCATGTTGTACCAGGACTGCTCTGTGTGACCAACAGAATACAGAGGAAATAACAGCATGTGACTTCCAAAGCTAGTTCGTAAAGAAATTATAGCTTCTGCATTGGCTTCATGAATCACACACCGTGGGATAATGCTAGCCACCATGTTATGAGAACACTCAGGCAGCCCTGTGGAGATGCTTACACAGAGAGGACTCCACTTGTCAACACAAATTTGCCAGCTTCGGCAGTGAGCTACCTCAGAAGTGGATCCTCCATTTCCATTAACCCTTCAGATACTGCAGCCTCAGCTGACCTGAATGCAACTTTTGACAGACCCCAAGCCAGAACTGCCCAACCAAGCTGCCACTCAATGCCAGACTCATAGAAACCATGGGAGATGAGAAATACTTATGGTTGTTTCAAGTCACTAAGTCTTGAAGCAATATATTATGCAGCAATAGATAACTAAAATATAATGCTTAAAGATGGTTTGTTTTGGCCGGGTGCGGTGGCTCAAGCCTGTATTCCCAGCACTTTGGGAGGCCGAGGCGGGCGGATCACGAGGTCAGGAGATCAAGACCATCCTAGCTAACACAGTGAAACCCCGTCTCTACTAAAAATACAAAAAATTAGCCAGACGTGGTGGTGGGCGTCTGTGGTCCCAGCTACTCGGGAGGCTGAGGCAGGAGAATGGCGTGAACCCGGGAGGCAGAGCTTACAGTGAGCCGAGACCGCGCCACTCCACTCCAGCCTGGGTGACAGAGCGAGACTCCGTCTCAAAAAAAAAAAAAAAAAGATGGTTTGTTTCTATAGGGCAGGAGAGAACTGAATCTATTTATAATAAAAAGAAGAGACAGGGCACATGTAGAGAACTGCTGATCTAAGGGAGAAGAGAACTGAGCAAGGTTCAGAGAGAGAAGGGAGGGAGAGAAGGAGGAAGGAAAAGAAGGAAGGGAGGAGGGAAGGAAGGAAAGAAGGAAGAAAAGAGAGAATGAAGGAGGGAGGGAAGGAAGGAGGAAGGGAAGAAGGGAGGGAGGGAAGGAAGGAAGGAGGGAGAGAAGAAAGGAGATCAAAGATGTAGGGATAGCCTTGGCAGGAAAGACAACCTGTTTTTTCTTGAGATAGGAATACAGAGGGAATGAGATAGATAGGTTAAGGATGAGCATAAAGAAGAGGGTAGATTGAGAGCTTCATCATCTCAGTAAAGTAGGAGTCAAGCAAGATCATTTGCAAGGACTGAGGTAGCCTGGGGTGAGGAGGTCTATTTTGTAAGCTTACATTTATTTAGTGTTTTTTCAACATTAACAATTTTTCTGGGGGCCAAAGCAGGAAGATTGCTTGAACCCAGGAGTTCAAGACCAGCCTGGGAAACATGGAGAAACCCCAGCTGTACACAAAATACAAAAATTAGCTGCATGTGCTGGTAAGTGCCTGTAGTCCCAGCTGCTTGGGAGGCTGAGATGGTAGGATATCTTGAGCTGGGGTTGCAGAAGTTGCAGTGAGCTGAGATCACACCATTGCACTCCTGCCTAGGTGACACAGTGAGACAGTGTCTCAAAAAAAACATTTTTTTTTTTTTTAGAGATAGGCTCTTGCTATATTGCTCAGGCTGGAGTGCAGTGGCTACTTACAGGTGCCATCAGTGTGCACTGCAGTCTTGAACTCCTGGGCTCAATGAACCCTTCTGTCTCAGCCTCAGGTAGATGGGACGACTACAGGCATGAGCCACTGCATCTACCTTACATTTATTTAGTTTTTATTTTGTGCAGGCATTGTGCTAAGGTCCTTCCATACATAATCCCATTTAACTACTCTACCAGCTCTACGAGACAAATGTCATTTTGTTAAATGATTCTTTATAGATGAAGAAGCCAATGCTAATGGGAAGTAGGGAAGCAAGAGGTAAACCACTTCTGTCAGAAACCAGACGGCAGCTCTTTTCACTCCCTACACCCTTTGAGTGGTTTACTTAAGAATGACTGTTGTGAGAAATTTAAAAAGTGATCAACAAGAGAATAGTCAAAGGAAAAGAAAAAAATGTCCTTCAAGAAAATACAGGACACTTGGCCTTCACAATTTCAACCACAAATATAGCCACAAGGATAAACCGACTTTTTCTTAGCTGTTTAAACTGGCTCTGTGCTATCCTCAGCCAGCCAGATATGTCAAGAAACACTTAGATTGGGCCTTGCGCAGTGGCTCACACCTGTAATCCCAGCACTTTGGGAGGCTATGGTGGGCAGATCACTTGAGGTTGGGAGTTGGAGACCAGCCTGTTCAACATGGAGAAACTCTGTTTCTACTAAAAATACAAAATTAGTTGGGCATAGTGGTACATGCCTGTAATCCCAGCTACTCCGGAGGCTGAGGCAGGAGAATTGCTTGAATCCGGGAGGCAGAGGTTGCAATGAGCTGAGATCGCACCATTGCACTCCAGCCTGGGTAACAAGAGCGAAACTCAGTCTCAAAAAAAAAAAAAAAAGAAAAAGAAAAAGAAATACTTAGATTGTTTTGCATGGTACATTTTAATGAAACTTTAGACATAACACCAAAATGTTATGCACATCCTAGTTTATTTTTTGGAAAGGTAAAGCTATCACGTCATTTTGTGGAATGGTTTGAGGAAGCTGCCTCTATTAATATCTAAGGCTCTACGTTAACATAACAAAAGATGATTTCTTCTTTGCTGAAAATGTCAGCTCTTGGGTTAGAAAGTTGATTTACCCCATAAGGAGCCAAAGAGTAAGAAAGCAAAATAATAAAAAGGCATGTTGTTTCTAAAAATGGAGTTGGCCAGGTGTAAGGCTATGATAATTAAAATCAGATGATACTGCAGCAAGAATTGGGAGCTCGGTGGGATAGGTCAGCTGTCAAACAGACTCCTTAGTGTGTTTTAGGAAATAATACATGATTAAGAAAACATCACAATGATTAATCAATTAATTAAAATAGTTCAAACTTAAAAGGGAGTAAGCATCACAGAAATAAAAAATGAAAAAGAAATGAATTATTCTGAAATTGATACAGGTGAAGGCCAATAGCATGCTCAGTCAGGAAGTTTCATGCACGTCCGTGTGAAGAGACCACCAAACAGGCTTTGTGTGAGCAACATGGCTGTTTATTTCACCTGGGTGCAGGCGGGCTGAGTCTGAAAAGAGAGTCAGTGAAGGCAGATAGGGGTGGGGCCGTTTTATAGGATTTGGGTAGGTAAAGGAAAATTACAGTCAAAGGGGGTTTGTTCTCTGGCGGGCAGGAGTGGGGGTCCCAAGGTGCTCAGTGGGCAGGAGTGGGGGTCGCAAGGTGCTCAGTGGGGGTGATTTTTGAGCCAGGATGAGCCAGGAAAAGGACTTTCACAAGGTAATGTCATCACTTAAGGCAAGGACCGGCCATTTACACTTCTTTTGTGGTGGAATGTCATCAGTTAAGGTGGGGCAGGGCATATTCACTTCTTTTGTGATTCTTCAGTTACTTCAGGCCATCTGGGCGTATACATGCAAGTCATAGGGGATGTGATGGCTTGGCTTGGCCTCAGAGGCCTGACATTCCTGCCTTCTTATATTAATAAGAAAAATAAAACAAAATAGTGTTGAAGTGTTGGGGTGGCGAAAATTTTTGGGGGGTGGTATGGAGAGAGAATGGGCGACGTTTCTCAGGGCTGCTTCAAGCGGGATTAGGGGCGGCGTGGGAACCTAGAGTGGGAGAGATTAAGCTGAAGGGAGGTCTTGTGGTAAGGGGTGATATTGTGGGGATGTTAGAAGAAACATTTGTCGTATAGAATGATTGGTGATGGCCTGGAAATGGTTTTGGATGAATTGAGAAACTAAATGGAATAACAGAAGGAGAAAAACAAGTATAAAAGGTCTAATAATTGGGATGACTCAGGATATCTGATTAGAGAGTGCCTAAGGAGATTCAGCATAGTCCTGCCAGCAAAGATTATTTATTTACTTCAAGAGTTAAGAGTGGCAGTTTGGGGACAGCACCAGGAGATATCAGCTGTGATGGCTTGGAAAAACAGTGTAAACCGGCAGTGTAAACAAGAGCAGGGCATGTACGAGTAGTTGAGAACGGTGAATAGGAGTATGACTAGACAGAAGATAGTAGGGATGACAAGTTTTTTGGGGCACAGTCTAAGTTGGTCTGGTGTCTGGAATGAGGCTGGGGCCTAATAAAAAGGAGCGTCTATACTGGAGCTTAAATGGGCTGTACCCTGTAGCATTCTAAGGACAGGCCTGAATTCTGAGAAGGGAAAGTGGTAAAAGTATTGTCCAGTCCTTTTTAAGTTGGTGGCTGAGCTTGGTGAGGTGTGTTTTTAAAAGACCTTTAGTCCATTCTACTTTTCTTGAAGACGGAGGACCGTAAGGGACATAAAGGTTTCACTGAATACTAAGAGCCTGAAAAACTGCTTGGCTGATTTGACTAATAAAGGCTCGTCTGTTATCAGACTGTATTGAGGTGGGAAGGCTAAACTGAGGAATTATGTCTGACAGAATGGAAGAAATGACTGCGGTGGCCTTCTCAGACCCTGTAGGAAAGGCCTCTACCTATCTAGTGAAAGTGTCTACCTAGACTAAGAGGTATTTTAGTTATCTGACTCAAGGCATGTTGAGTAAAGCTAATTTGCCAGTCCTGGGTGGGGCAAATCCTCGAGCTTGATGTGTAGGGAAGGGAGGGGGCCTGAATAATCCCTGAGGAGTAGTAGAATAGCAGATGGAACACTGAGAAGTTATTTCCTTAAGGATAGATTTCCACGATGGAAAGGAAATGAGAGGTTCTAAGAGGCGGGCTAGTGGCTTGTACTATAAGCATAGCCTGCCTTTGCTGGTGTGTGGCGATTAGGCCTGGTGGAACCACCATCAATAAATCAAGCGTGATCAGGGTGAGGAACAGGAAAGAAGGAAATTTGGGGAAATGGCGTGAATGTCAGGTGGATCAGAGAGATACAGTCATGGGGGTCAGGTGTGGTATCAGGAATAATGTGGGAGGCCGGATTGAAGTCTGGGCCGGGAACAACGGTAATTGTGGGAGACTCAACAAAGAGTGAGTATAGCTGAAGGAGCCGGGAAGCAGAAAGCATATGCGTCAGGTATGAGGAAGAAAATAGATTTTGGAAGTTATGAGAACTGCAGAGAGTGAGTTGAGCACAGTTTGTGATTTTGACGGCCTCTAAAAGTATTAAAGCAGCGGCAGTCGCTGCACACAGACATGAGGGCCAGGCTAAAACAGTAAGGTCAAGTTGTTTGGACAGAAAGGCTACAGGGTGTCGTCCTGGCTCTTGTGTAAGAATTCTGACCGTGCTAACCATGCCTAGGAGGGAAAGGAGTTGTTGTTTTGTAGAAGGTGCTGGGGTTTGAGAGATCAGTTGGACACGATTGGCAGGGAGAGCACGTGTGTTTTTATGAGAATTATGCCGAGATAGGTAACAGATGAGGAAGAAATTTGGGCTTGATTGAAGTAATGGGGGCTGTCTGTGAAGCTTTGTGGCAGTACAGCCTAGGTAATTTGCTGAGCTTGATGGGTGTCAGGCTCAGTCCAAGTGAAAGCGAAGAGAGGCTGGGATTAAAGGTGCAAAGGAATAGTAAAGAAAGCATGTCTGAGATCTAGAACAGAATAATGGGTTGTAGAGGCAGGTATTGAGGATAGGAGAGTATATGGGTTTGGCACCACGGGGTGGATAGGCAAAACAATTTGGTTGATAAGGTGCAGATCCTGAACTAAATTATAAGGCTTGTCTGGTTTTAGGACAGGTAAAATGGGGGAATTGTAAGAAGAGTTTATAGGTTTTAAAAGGCCATGCTGTAGCAGGCGAGTGATAACAGGCTTTAATCTTTTTAAAGCGTGCTGCGGGATGGGATATTGGTGTTGAGTGGGGTAAGGGTGATTAGGTTTTAATGAGATGGTAAGGGGTGCATGATCGGTCGCCAAGGAGGGAGTAGAGGTATCTTATACTTGTGGGTTAAGGTGGGGGATACAAGAGGAGGACACAAAGGAGGCTTTGGATTGGGAAGAAGGGCGGCAATGAGATATAGCTGTAGTCCAGGAATAGTCAGGGAAGCAGATAATTTAGTTAAAGTGTCTCAGCCTAATAAGGGAACAGGGCAGGTGGGGATAACTAAAAAGGAGTGCTTAAAAGAGTATTGTCCAAGTTGGCAGCAGAGTTGGGGAGTTTTAAGAGGTTTAGAAGCCTGGCCGTCAATACCCACAACAGTTATGGAGGCAAGGGAAACGGGCCCTTGAAAAGAAGATAATGTGGAGTGGGTAGCCTCCGTATTGATTAAGAAGGGGACGGGCTTACCTTCCACTGTGAGAGTTACCCGAAGCTCGGCGTCCGTGATGGTCTAGGGGGCTTCTGAGGCGATCGGGCAGTGTCAGTCTTCAGCCGCTAAGCCGAGAAGATCTGGGAAGGAGTCAGAGAGCCTTGGGCCAGAGTTCCAGGGGCTCTGGGAGTGGCTGCCAGGTGAGTTGAACAGTCCGATTTTCAGTGGGGTCCCACACAGATGGGACGCGGCTTAGGAGGAATCCGGGGCTGTGGGCATTCCTTGGCCCAGTGGCCAGATTTCTGGCATGTGTCGCAAGCTCCTGTGGGAGGAGGTTCTGGAGGAACGCCTGGCTGCTGCGGTTCAGGCGTTTGGAAGTTCTTGTGTGCTGGAGATGTGGCTGGGGTTTGTCTCACAGTGGAGGCAAGGAATTGCAACTTTTTTCTATTATTGTACACCTTGAAGGCGAGGTTAATTAAATCCTGTTGTGGGGTTTGAGGGCCGGAATTTAATTTTTGGAGTTTTATTTAATGTCGGGAGCAGATTGGGTAATAAAATGTATTTTGAGAATAAGACGGCCTTTTGACCTTTTAGGGTCTAGGGCTGTAAAGTGTCTCAGGGTTGCTGCCAAACGAGCCATGAACTGGGCTGGGTTTTTATATTTGATGAAAAAGAGCCTAAACGCTATCTGATTTGGGATAAAGAAAAAGGTGCATTAACCTTGACTATGCCTTTAGCCCCAGCCACCTTTTTAAGAGTAAATTGCTGGGCAGGAGGGGGAGGGCTAGTCACGGAACGAAACTGTAAGCTGGACCAGGTGTGAGGAGGGGAGGTGATAAAAAGATTATAGGGTGGAGGAGCAGAGGCTGAGGAAGTATTGGGACCTAGCTCGGCCTGGCGAGGAGCAGCCTGGGGAGGAAGGGAGAGGTCAGATGGGTCTATAGAAAAGGAAGATTAGAAAGACTCAGTGACGCTTGGGGTTGGTACTGAGGGGACAGGCGGGAGGGAAAGAAGGAAGATTTGGGGCGAGTTGCACTGGGCACAGAGACTAGGAAGGGACTGATGTGTAAAAGAATGACTGGACGTCAGGCACCTCAGACCGTTTGTCTATTTTATGACAAGGATTATTTAGATCTTGCAGGATGGAAAAATTCAAAGTGCCATTTTCTGGCTATTTGGAACTACTGTCGAGTTTGCATTGGGGTCAAGCGGCATTGCAGAAGAAAATAAGGCATTTAGGTTTTAGGTCAGGTGTGAGTTGAAGAGGTTTTAAGTTTTTGAGAACACAGGCCAAGGGAGTAGGAGGAGGAATGGAGGGTGGAAAGTTCCCATAGTGAAGGAAGCAAGCCTAGAGAAGAGAGAGTGGAGAAACTGAGGGAAGGGGTTTGGGGGTTTTTACTTTCCAGAAAAGTGGGAAAAGGTTGGGGCGCAGAGAAGAGGTCGGGGCGTGGAAATAAGGGATGGGGCGCAGAAATAAGAGGCCGGGGCACGGAAATAAGGGATTGGGGCGCAGAGATACGAGGTTGGGGCATGGAAATAAGGGATTGGGGCGCAGAGATATGAGGTTGGGGTACTTGCCCCTCTAGAAAAGTGGGACTTGCTGCTAAGAGTGAAGGAGAAGGGGTTGAGGGGTACTTGCCCCTCTCCCAGAAAAGCAGAGAAGGGGTAGAGACAAGGAAAGAAGGGGTTGGGGTACTTGCCCTGTCCCCGGAAAAGCAGAGAAGGGGTAGAGACAAGGAGAGAAGGGCTTGGGGTACTTGCCCTGTCCCCGGAAAAGCAGAGAAGGGGTAGAGACAAAGAGAGAAGGGCTTGGGGTACTTGCCCTGTCCCCAGAAAAGCAGAGAAGGGGTAGAGACAAGGAGAGAAGGGGTTGGGGTACTTGCCCCTTCCCCAGAAAAGCGGGACTTGCCGCTAAGGGTGAAGGACCAAGGCAGGCGTCCCTGCGTGGTCTGACACCCTTGAAACGTGGGTGTATAATCAGAGAGGTGTCCCTGCAATGATTAAACACCAAGGGAAGCCTGCCTTCTCAATCCGTGACCGGCACCGGAGTTTTGGGTCCACGGATAAAATGTGTCTCCTTTGTCTCTACCAGAAAATGAAAGGAATTGAAATTAAGAGAAGGGAGAGATTGAAGTGTGGCGCCAAGATTGAAAGAAGAAAGAGGTTGAGGGATAGTGAGGGAGGTTGGAGAAGAGAGTAAAAAGAGGCCGCTTACCGGATTTGAAATTGGTGAGACGTTTCTTGGGCTGGTCGGTCTGAGGACCTGAGGTCGTAGGTGGATCTTTCTCACGGAGCAAAAAGCAGGAGGACGGGGGATTGATCTTCCAAGGGAGGTCCCCCGATCCGAGTCACGGCACCAAATTTCATGCGCGTCGGTGTGAAGAGACCACCAAACAGGCTTTGTGTGAGCAATAAAGCTGTTTATTTCACCTGGGTGCAGGCGGGCTGAGTCCGAAAAGAGAGTCAGCAAAGGCAGATAGGGGTGGGGCTGTTTTATAGGATTTGGGTAGGTAAAGGAAAATTACAGTCAAAGGGGGTTTGTTCTCTGGCGGGCAGGAGTTGGGGTTGCAAGGTGCTCAGTGTGGGTGCTTTTTGAGCCAGGATGAGCTAGGAAAAGGACTTTCACAAGGTAATGTCATCACTTAAGGCAAGGACCGGCCATTTACACTTCTTTTGTGGCAGAATGTCATCAGTTAAGGTGGGGCAGGGCATATTCACTTCTTTTGTGATTCTTCAGTTACTTCAGGCCATCTGGGCGTATATACGTGCAAGTCACAGGGGATGTGATGGCTTGGCTTGGGCTCAGAGGCCTGACAGGAAGGAGATAAGGCTGCTCGCTATCAGCATGGTTATTCTGCCTTGTGGAAAAATATATAGTTTAATTATACCTTCCTTAATGCATCCTTCTAATTGTAAACACTACAGAAGAAATCACAAAGAAGGAGTCATAATTTTGACTCTATTCAGTTCAAACATATAAAACCTCGTGACTTTAAAAAACATTAAATGGCTAATGGCAATCAAGCGGAAAGAGCAAACGACAGAGAGTTAATAAAGTGAATATATGAACATCATTGATAGCAGTAGCACTCCAATAGCAACAGACTATAGGATACGGGATTCACTGGCAAAATAAAAATGTCAGCAAACAAATGGAAATGTCTTCAACCACACTTGTTATCAAAGAAATGCAAATGAAAACAATGAAGTGGTGATTATCACCTAAGAAACCAGTGGGTGGCTCATGCCTGGAATTCCAGCACTTTGGGAGGCCTGAGTCGGGTGGATAACCTGAGGTCGGAAGTTCAAGACCAGCCTGGCCAACATGGCGAAACCCCATCTCTACTAAAAATATAAAAATTAGCCGGGCGTGCTGGTGGCCGCCTGTAATCCCAGCTACTCAGGAGGCTAAGGCAAGAGAATCACTTGAACCTAGGAGGCGGAGGTTGCAGTGAGCTGAGATCACGCCATTGCACTCCAGCCTGGGCGACAACAGCGAAACTCCATCTCAAAAAAAAAAAACAAAAAACCAGGAAAGCTGAAAACGTTGGTAGAGAGGCTGGCAAGAGCATGGTGCCTGCTGGGAGGTGACTTACTGTAGATTCTCTGGAAAGCCATTTGGCGTTATGTATCAATAATCTGTAAAGTTCATACCACAGATGCCTGAAAATCTATATGGAAGAAATAATCAGAAAGTCAGAAAAAGATTCATATGCAAGAATATTAATCACAACGTTTTCTATATGGGTTAAGTATTCAAGAATATAAGAATATTTAAGTAAAATGTGACTTACTCATATAAGAATATAAGGTGATTAAAATCATATTCCTGAAGAATTTTCAGGGGCATGAAAATAATCATAATACATGAAAAATGAAACGTCATGCAAACTATTTATTTTATGCTCCCAATTATGTAAAATAAAGAATTCCATTGGAAACAGAGCATATAATGCTTGCAATTATATGTATATTTAAAAGTACCAAAATATTAAGTGTTTAACATATCAGGTGGACATTCAGGTGATTTTTAATAATTTTCTTCTCCATGGTTCTTCATATTTCCTGTAATGAGCATGAATGTTTTTTTTTTTTTTTTTTTTTTTTTTTTGAGATAGGTTCTGGGCTCTGTCACCCAGCCTGGAGTGCAGTGACATGATCTTGGCTCACTGTAATCTCCGTCTCTCAGGCTCAAGTGATCCTCCCACCTTAGCCCCCCAAGTAGTTGGGACTACAGGTGTGTACCACCGCACCCAGCTAATTTTTGTATTTTTAGTAGAGACAGGGCTTCACCACATTGCCTAGGCTGGTGAACTCCTGGCTTCAAGCGATCCACCTGCCTTGGCCTCCCAAAATGTTGGGATTACAGGCATGAGCCACCACACCTGGCCATGAATCACTTTTATAAAAGAAAAGCATTACTGGAAGTAAAACTTTTCATGATCTCTGAAGATGGTCCCCTGGCTTTCCTGCAGTCAATAGGATTCCAACCTGGGTAGAGAATTAGCCTCTTGATTTAGCATCAAAATTGCTTAAAATAAAGTGAGGATTCCCAACACATCTCAACTGTTTGGGGATCTTTTGAATGAGTTTCAAGTAAGTCTCAGTGAATTCTTTTTCCATACAAACTCAAGTAAATAAGGTGAGAACAGACGCCAATTACAGGGCCCTGGTGGCACAACCATAGCTCACTGAAACCTCCAACTCCTGGGGTTGAGCTATGCTTCTGGCTCAGCCTCCCAAGAAACTAGGACTACAAGTGTGTGCCCCTATGCCTGGCTAATTTTTATTTATTTATTTTATTTATTTATTTTTTTGAGATGGAGTCTTGCTCTTGTTGCCCAGGCTGGAGTGCAATGGTGCAATCTTGGCTCACCACAACCTCCACCTCCCGGGTTCAAGCGATTCTCCTGCCTCAGCTTCCTGAGTAGCTGGGATTACAGTCATGTGCCACCATGCCTGGCTAATTTTATATTTTTAGTAGAGATGGGGTTTCTCCATTTTGGCCAGGCTGGTTTTCAACTCCTGACTGTCAGGCCTCTGGGACCAAGCCTGCACCTATACATCCAGATGGACTGAAGGAAGCAAAGAAACACAAAGGAAGTGAAAATGGCTGGTTCCTGCCTTAACTGATGACATTCCATCATTGTGATTTGTTACTGCCCCACCTTAACTGAGTGATTAACCTTGTGAAATTCCTTCTCCTGGCTCAGAAGCTCCCCCACTGAGCACCTTGTGACCCCGCCCCTGCCCGCAAGAGAAAAACCCCCTTTGACTGTAATTTTCCACTACCCACCCAAATCCTATAAAACTGCCCCACCCCTATCTGCCTTTCCTGACTCTCTTTTCGGACTCAGCCCGCCTGCACCCAGGTGAGATAAACAGCCTCGTTGCTTACACAAAGCCTGTTTGGTGGTCTCTTCACACAGACGTGTGTGACACTGACTTCAGGTGATCCTCCCGCCTCAGTCTCCCAAAGTGCTGGGATTACAAGCGTGAGCCACGGCGCCAAGCCTAATTTTTATTTTTTGTAGATACAGATCTCACTATGTTGCCCAGGCTGGTCTTGAACTTCTGTCCTCAAGCAGTCTTCCCACCTTAGCCTCTTAAAGCATTGGGACTACAGGTATGAGCCACAGCACCTGGCCTCAGGCTCTGTGTTTCTGACAGGCTCTCAGGTAATGCTGATGGTGCTGGACAGCAAACTACAATTTGAGTAACAAGATAGAGTCCCTACAGGCCAGGCACGGTGGCTCACGCCTGTAATCCCAGCACTGTGGGAGGCCGAGGCGGGCGGATCACGAGATCAGGAGATCGAGATCATCCTGGCTAACATGGTGAAACCCCGGCTCTACTAAAAATACAAAAAAATTAGCCAGGCGTGGTAGTGAGCACCTGTAGTCCCAGCTACTCCGGAGGCTGAGGCAGGAGAATGAGGTGAACCCAGGAGGCAGAGCTTGCAGGGAGCCGAAATCACACCACTGCACTCCAGCCTGGGCAACAGAGCAAGACTGCGTCTCAAAAAAAAAAAAAAAAAAAAAAAGATGGAGTCCCTACATAAACCAAAAAGTCTTGATCATAAACCAAAAGATAAGTCTTGATAAGTCTTGATCAATTTAAAAGTTTATTTTGCCAAGGTTAAGGACATGCCTATGACACAGCCTCAGGAGGTCCTGATGACACATGTGCCCAAGGTGGTCAGGCTGCATCTTGCATTTATATGTTTTTTATATGTTTTAGAGAGACATAAGACATCAATCAATACATGTAAGATGTACATTGGCTTGGTCAGGAAAGGTGGGACAACTGGAAGTCAGGGGCTTCCAGGTCATAGATGCATTCGAAGATTTTCTGATTGGCGATTGGTTATTATCTACAGACCCGGAATCAATAGAAAAGAATGTTTAGGTTAAGGTAAGGGATTATGAAGACCAAGGTTTTACCATGCAGATGAAGCTTCAGGGTAGCAGGCTTCAGAGAGGATAGCTTGTAAATATTTACCAGACTTAGAGTCTGTTCTATCAGTCTCAAGGTCTGTGTTGACGTTAATGGTAATAAGGCATGTCCCACCCCCTCTTCCCATCATGAACAGAACTAGTTTTTCAGGTTGACTTTGGAATGCTCTTGGCCAAAAGGAAGGGTCCATTCAGACGGTTACAGGGCTCAGAATTTTATTTTTGGTTTATGCTATCTTAGAGGACAGCCCAACCTTTCCTGCTTACAAATATAAAAGATTTTGAAACAAGTTCATCAGCAGCATTAATTAGATGAGTAATGTGCATCTGGTGTCTGGGAGCCCACATCTAGGGAACTGTTCTAGGGTCATTGGGTCATTAGGAGATTAACAAATGACTTCATGGTGCAAGTGCCTTCACATGCATATGGGGATGTATGTACATCTTTTGAAACAAGTGTATTTTTGTGCATTTCTAGTGAATTTCTTTTAGGAAATTCTTGGGCATTATATTTCATCTTTCCTGATGGAGTTGCATTAGTGATCAAAAGAGCAAACCACCAATCCTTTCCCCTTGTCTTTTTTCTTTTTCTCTTTCACAAAATCTCTGGTCTCTGCATGTGTGTTCAGTAATAGGAGAAGCCAAGGCCTCCTGTGGGTCCTAGGAAATGCATTATCTACGCTAAAAATAGACAAGAGCCCATTGTCTCATGCAAAAGTAAATCCCACATACTAATCCAGCAGAAAGTGATCTAGCCTTTTTAAAGATTTATTAGTTTCTGATTTTCCTCTCTATGCATAACAATTTTTCATCTCATTCTGTGACAGATAAATTGAATTAAGTGAGAGTTGAAATAACTTCTTTTAAAGATAAATCATCTTTGTGTTACAAACCTTTGAGGTTTAGGAGGCCTCAAGATTCTTGAAGAATCAAAACATTAAGTGAGGAAGAGAAAAGTAACTGTTATTATAGAAATAGCTGCATTCCCAGCAGTGGTGTGCTGTAAATGTTTAACAACCAGCTCTCAAAAAACAAGAAACACTGCCAGGGGCTGGGGTGGGGAGTTATGAGGAGTGACTGCTAATGACTGTGTTTCTTTTTGGTGTGATGAAAATGTTCTGAAATTTGATGGTGGTAGTTGCATAACCTAATGAATATATTAGGAAACCACTGAATTGTACAATTTTAAATGGAAACAACAACAAATCTCCCTTCCCCCGAATATTATTTGCACGATTTGCTAATTTCCATAATGTAAATTCTTCCACTATTGCTGATTTCAACACCACTGGTTCCCAGTGTGGCAATTGTTTCCTAGCCACAGGGGTTTAGGAAGAAGGTGGGGTGTATATAGGATTCCCTCTCTGATTGCTTTTGCTAGCTTTTTTCTTGCTTTTTTTCTTTTTTTTTTTTTGCTTGTTTGCTTTTGTTGTTTTTTTCTGTCTTGAAGTGATCAAGATGTAGTGAAAGCACCCTGAGTGGGATATAAGTCTGAGATTCTTTCCTTTACTAATTCAAATATTCAGCCACACATTTAGCACCTCCTCATGCTGGGCTCTGTGCTGCGTATGTGCCGCAAATTCTAAGGTACCTAGAGTGACCCCTGCCACTGAAGAGACTACAGTCTAGTGAGGGATAGAAATATAAAAACACTATTGTAGAATGTGAGTGTGCATATGCCAGAATAGAAGTATGCGCACTCTGATTGAGAGAGTTACTTTCCCCCATGGAGGAGGAATAGTGGCGGTGATATCAGTGAATGTGTCAGATAAGAGATATCTATCTGACCTGGGAGCTGGGGAAGAGCACCACAATTTAAAAGAACAGCATGAACCAAGGCACAGAGGCACAAGAGTGACAGGGTGCTAAGGATACAGGCACTAATAAGTTGTGGGTAGCTCACAGGTTCGTAAGTGGCCAGGATGTAAAGTGACCAGAAAGATGGGCTTGTATGCTTTTCAAGTTTTTATGGGCCATGCTAAGGAGACTGCACCTTATGGTGCAGGAAATGGGGAGCCACTGAGGTTTGTTAAGCAAGGGAGAGACATGTGGAGATCTGCAGTATTACTTTTTGATGGTAAGAAGGATACATGGGTAGGAAAGAGAAGTGGGAATAAGCTGGAATTGAGTAGGCCAGAGAACAAGACTGTGTTATTCCAGGTGAGAGATGAATAAGCCAACAGTGTAGGGTACAAAGTGGAGGGGATGAAGTGGAGAAACACATCAAGATAAAATGTATAGAACTGATCATTCAATTGAATGTGCATGATGGAGCAGATGATGGAGTTAGGCTAATACAAAAGTTTCTATCTTAGGTGACCAGATGAATGGTGATGCCCATAAAATGCCTATGGATGGTAGGCACTGAGTGAATATTTGCAGAAGGTGGAACAAATATCTGGATCATAGAGGAGCAGCATGGTGTGATGGAAGGCACTCAGAGTGAGGAGTCAGATTAACTTTGCTTGCATCAGAGCATGGTTTGGTTACTTATTATAATCGTTGTGGGACTTTGAGCAAATTTCTTTTCTTTCTTTTTTTTTTTTTTTTTGAGATGGAATCTCACTCTGTTACCCAGGCTGGAGTGCAGTAGTGCCATCTTGGCTCACTGCAACCTCCGCCTCCTGGGTTCAAGCGATTCTCCTGCCTCAGCCTCCCAAGTAGCTGGGATTACAGGCATGTGCCACCACACTCAGCTAATTTTTGTATTTTTTTTTTAGTAGAGACGGGGTTTTGCCATGTTGGCCGGGTTGGTCTTGAACTCCTGAGCTCAAGTGATCCACCTGCCTCAGCCTCCCAAAGTGCTGGGAGTACGGGCATGAGCCACTGCGACTGGCCAAGTTTCTTAATCTCTCTGAATTTAATTTGAATCCATGTGTAGGTGAGAAGAGATTTTGTTAGTTAGTACTGGAATTATTTTACTTGGAGGGATTTTAAAAGCCTGCAGTTATTCCTAGTGCTGCCAAAGGGGAATACATTTATTAGATGAAATGGAATCAAAAACGTAGTGGAGGCAGAAATGTGTGCCCTGATCTATACACAGCCATTACAAATAGTGAAACAGTCTTATTTCTTGATATTTGGAGGATTTCTGGATACCCAGTGACTTCTGTTTGTGTTTAAAAGGTAGAAGAAGAAAGACTGATGCAGTTTAAATCTAATCGGAGGAAAAACTCCTGTGGCTCCTCAGTTGGTGTCCATGGAAACTTGATACAGCAGAGGGCCCTGATACCTGAGCTGTCAGGAGTCCAGAATATGTCTTGTTTGAGAATTCTGAGTAGTCACAAACTATCAGAACATGGGAAGGGGACCCGTGCCAGTTTCAAAGTAAAGCTGGAACTGAAGCTGTTAAATATGTATGTGGGAAAACTGAAAATGCCTTTGAAATAGGCAAAGCAGATTACTGGATGTCTTGTCCAGCATACTTTTCCAGATTATCTCTATACCTTCATTGTTTTTGAGCTATTTTACAACTCTGTAATTGTAGACAACTGATAGCAATGCAAATGATTCTTGTCCATAGGCATGCAAATACATTTTGTCTTGTGGAGAGGCAATTGACTCTCTCACACCCTCATGGAAAAACAAATTTTGCATCTAGTAAACAATTTCATTTGATCGTTTCTTGGGACTTACACTTGTGTCTGCTCTTTGGTTTCTCCTTTGGACTGCTTGCAACATCTCACTGGTTTCCTCATTAGTTAATGAGCTGAATAAAATTGGTGAATTCATTTTATATGAGAATCATGTTTTTACTCTTTAAAAAGGATGATCTGGCTGAGTGTGGAGACTCACGCCTGTAATCCTAGCACTTTGGGAGGCTGAGGCAGGTGAATCACTTGAGGTCAGGAATTTGAGACCAGCCTGCCCAACATGATGAAACCCCATCTCTATTGAAAATACAAAAATTAGCCGGATGTGGTGGCACACACCTGTAGTCCCAGCTACTTGGGAGGCTGAGGCAGAAGGATCACTTGAACCTGGGAGGCAGAGGTTGCTGTGAGCCAATATCCCGCCACTGTATTCCAGCCTAGGCAACAGAGTGAGACTCCATCTCAAAAAAAAAGAAAGAAAGAAAGAAAAAAGAATGATCAATTAATGAGCATCACAGTTACATTTTACACATTGAAAAACTAGGGTAAAAAGAAAGAATCCATCCAGCCCCAGGGTATCCTCAAGGTGCTGATGGAGGACAAATAATGATCCAGGGCAGAGGGAGGCTAGTAAGACTCCAATCTGGGATGCATTGTAGGTCCAGCTTCTACTTCCCCAAGGCCGGGAAAATTCCTCCTCATGTAGACCTTAATATATATATGTCATCAGATTTTCAGCCTTAACATGGATCATGAGATTTTAGTTCGGGATAGAACTGTGTTTCACTGTATTGAGGAGAAAGGCGTAAATGAATACTCTCTCTCTCCCTCTCTCTCTCTCATTCCTTCCTTCCTTCCTTCCTTCCTTCCTTCCTTCCTTCCTTCCTTCCCTCCCTCCCTCCTTCCTTCCTTTCTTTCTTTCTTTCTCCTTCCTTCCTTCCTTCCTTCCTTCCTTCCTTCCTTCCTTCCTTCCCTCCCTCCTTCCTTCCTCTCTCTCTCTCTTTCTTTTTTGACAAGGTCTTGCTTCATCACCCAGGCTGGAGTGCAGTGGCACATCATGGTTCACTGCAGCCTCAGTTTCCAGGACCCCAAGTGATCCTCCCACCTCAGCCTCCCAAGTAGCTGGCTGGGACTACAAGCATGTGCCACCACATCCAGCTAATTTTTAAATTTTTTTATAGAGACAAGGTCTAACTATGTTGCCTAGGTTGGTCTTGAACTCCCGGGCTCCAGTGATCCTCCTGCCTTGACCTCCCTGGTTATTATACTACTGGGATTACAGGCATGATTTGCTGCTCCTGGCCTGGTAAATAATACTGTTAAGGAGAGGGGAAACTCAACCAGGATTCAGAAAATTCTCTCTAAAGCAAATTAGGAAATTCATCTAATTTTTGATTGCCTTAAAAGCATGGATGTGTGTCTCCTCACGGCATAATGATGCACTAACAATACGTAGAAGAGATGGTCAATATTAGTGAGAGGAGGGCTTGTTTCTTACGGATGACCCGTTTAAAAAAATATACAATGATCCAGCTTTTCTCAGGATGGAGTCAGAAGGAATCTCAATAATTCCTATCACAAGACACTAACAGCATGAGGCAACCCTGCAGGAAACACAGAGAGTTTGCAAAGTCCTTCCTTGTGGCCTAAGGAAAATGACTTCTGGGTACTCAGGATAGCCCAATGTGATCAATCTTCAGAATATCAGCGTTTTCTTGGTAGTGAACTAACTGCACAATCCAGGTGGGGCAGGACGTCTGGGTGCTGAAGAATGGGAGCGGATGTAAGGAGCGCCTTGTTGGGGAAAGGAGAGATAAAGGCATGGAGGCATCAAGCATTGGGGTCTCTAGGGTGTAAGCCATGTGCGATGTGGCCAAATGAGTTCTTTTTTTTTTTGAGACCTTGTTTCACTCTTGTTGCCCAGGCTGGAGTGCAATGGCGTGATCTCGGCTCACCACAACCTCTGCCTCCTGGGTTCAAGCGATTCTCCTGCCTCAGCCTCTGAGTAGCTGAGATTACAGGCATGCGCCACCACGCCTGGCTAATTTTGTATTTTTAGTAGAGACGAGGTTTCTCCACGTTGGTCAGTCTGGTCTTGAACTCCTGATCTCAGGTGATCCCCCCTTCCTCGGCCTCCCAAAGTGCTGGGATTACAGGCGTGAGCCACCGCATCTGGCCCAAAGGAGTTCTTGAAGGAAAATTTATCTATTACAAAATAAGAAAGAAGCCAAAAAGGAAATAACAACAAAACAAATCTAAAAAAGGAAGAAAACACAAAAGATAAGTAGAATTAATGGAATAGTAAACAAAAAAACTTGATATTTTAAAAAGACAAATAAAAGAGATAAAGTTATAGCAAATCCAATTACCAAAAAAGTCAATATTAGAAAGGAGACATTTATACCACTGCAGGAAACAAAAATCTGTAAGAGAATAGTTTGTACAATCAACATATTTGAGAAAATGACTTTCTCGGAAAATGAAAATTGTCTTATTCCAAACCTATGCCCAGTTAAAAATCCAGAAACAACTCCCCAAACTGTGCAAGGTCAACATGAAAAAATGTTTTAGTTTTTTCCCGAAAAACACAAAATAGTAAATAAATATTGGAGCAATAGAGTGTGCTCTTAATGGGCTAAGTATTATAAGGATTTTACTATCTGCCAAATTAATCTATAAATTCACAACATTCCCAACCAAATATCAAGAGAATTTATAGGCAAAATAATTATACATTTCCTTTGAAAGGGATAACACAGAATAGTTATGAATACTGGAACAACAAGAAAACAGTAGGGGGTAAGGGCTCCCCCAACTGCCCCACCAGCCTACAATGGAATATAGCTGGGGTAATTCAAAGTATGGTGTTAGACTCAAAATACAAATTTAAACAAGTTGATAAAAAAATGTTGAGACACGAAGCTGTTTGGAAAGCGAGAAAATTAGGCTCTTACCTCATACTAGAAACAGAAATAAAGAGCCAGGCCTCAAGAGCGGAACCATGAAAGTATGAGAAGAAAATATTTTTATTTTTAAAATAATCTTTGGGATGGGAAGGCATCTGAAGAAAGATACAAAATCCAGAAGCCTCAAAGGAAAAGAGAATTAGAGAACTACACACAGAGTTAGTATGTAGGTTTGACTACATACAGAATTTTAAAAGTTTTGATGACGAATGACACTGTAAAAAGTTAAAACAAAACTGGCAGTTGAGGAGAAAATTATTAGTATCCAGGAAATATAAAAAGTTCCTTAAAAACAATAGAAAATACAAAAAAATAGATATGAGCAAGAAATATATGAAAGAATTAAAACAAATGGCTGGCCAGGCATGGTGGCTCATGCCTGTAATCCCAGCACTTTGGGAGGCCAAGGCAGGCGATTCACTTGAGATCAGGAGTTCGAAACCAGCCTGGTCAACATGGTGAAACCCGGCCTCTACTAAAAATACAAAAAAATTAGCTGGGTGTGGTGGCAGGCATCTGTAATCCCAACGACTCGGGAGGCTGAGGCAGGAGAATTGTTTGAACCCAGCAGGCCCAGGTTGCCCTGAGCTGAGATCATGCCATTGAACTGAAGCCTGGGTGACAGAGTGAGACTCCATCTCAAAATAAATAGAATAAATAAAATAAATTTTAAAAATGACCAATAAACAGATGCAAAAATGCTTAACTTTGCTAGTAATTAGAGGAGTACAAATTATAGTTGATAATTTGTGGGCAAGAACATAGAGGAGCAAGTATTCCTACTATTGATCAGAATTTAAACTGCAAGTTTTTGAAGGGCAAATTATTACAATTAAATTACTTTGATCTAGGACTTATACATCTAGCGGTTCGTCTAAAGAAATACCGGCATATGTACATGAATGTATATGCAAAGACGTTCACTGTAGCATTGTTAAATAAAGTAAAAAAAAAAATTAGAACCACCATAAATGTCCACCAAGATGGGGCAGGAGTAGCAGACATTAATGGGGAAGGAAAGTGTCCACTTCACATATTATTACTTATATTTCCTTGTTAAAATAATTTTTTTTTTAATGAGATGGGGTCTTGCTCTGTTGCTGGGGCTGGAGTGCAGTGACGTGATTGTGACCACATCTCAGTGCAACCTTGACTTCCTGGGCTTAAGTGATGCTCCTGCCTCAGCCTCCTGAGTAGCTGGGATTACAGGCATGTGCCACCACGACTGGCTAATTTTTTAATCTTTTGTAGAAATGGGGTCTCTCTATGTTGCCCAGGCTGGCCTTGAACTCCTGGCCTCAAGTGGTCTTCCCACTTTGGCTTCCCAAAGTGTTGGGATACAAGCATGAGCCCTCAGGCCTGGCCTAAACATTCTTTTAAGCAACAATGCAGGTGATACAGGAGTTAAGAAGAAATTACTTAGGCAGATAGTGAGGATAGAGGAGTTCTTGGTAAGGTTTTTCTTTTAATGAAAAGCAGCCCCAAATCATTTTCCTTTCTAAGTAAGAGCAGCCAGTAAAATTGGGCTGCAGACATAGATGCCGGCAGTTGTACCAATCATGTTCAAGATGGCGGCTCCATCTTCCCTTCTCTTTGTCAGCCACACGTATCATAAGGAGATGGTGCCGCCAAGGGGAGAGTTCATTTGCATAATAAGATTAGGGTGGGGAACCAGCCTTCCCCTGGCTATGTAAACGTCATACCTGATGGAACTACAAAATCCGGGGCATCTGACATCATCTGGTCCTTTCCTCTTGGAAGTCCCCTCTCTCTCACTACAGAGAGAGCTGTTTTCCTTTCTCTTTCTTCTGCCTATCAAACCTCCTCTCCTAAACTTCTCCTGTATGTCCATGTCCTAAATTTTCCTGGATCAAGAAAATGAACCCTGGGTGTTTACCCCACACAATGTAGCTGCTTCACAAACATATTTACTTATTTAGGTAAAAAAAAAAAAAAAAAAAAAAAAAAAAAGTGAAAATTATACTAACATATTTAAAAAGTTGTCTGTGGATAGTGGTATCTTAAATGTATACTTTTCTATATTATTCAAATGATCCACAATAAACTAGAATGATTTTTTTCAATCAGGAAAAGACAGATTCAACATATAAAATTTTGAGTACTCCATGTATTTACATTGATATGTAAAAAACATGATCGGCAAACATACTGGAAGAAGATAAACCTGTAGGTTGGCAGTGGTTGTATCTGGATGAGAGATATATTGGTGATTTTCTTTTGCTTCTGTTTTTCTTTCTTTTCCAAGTATTCAGTGATGTGCACACTTTTCTTTTAAACTTTAAAAATATTTATTTTTTTAAAGATGGTGGCCTATCATGGTGGCTCATGCCTGTAGTCCCAGCACTTTGGGAGGCTGAGGCAGGAGGATCACTGGAACCCAGGAGGTGGAGGCTGCAGTGAGACATGATTTCACCACTGTACTCCAGTTTGGGTGACAGAGCAAGGCCTTATCACCCAAATAATAAACAAATGAAAATAAAATGAAGCTAATGTAGGTGACCCTGACCATGTATGCATATGGCTATAATTTTTTTTAAAGCTATTCTTTTACAAATTACAAGAACCAGCATGTATTCAACACCTCTTCTAAAGAGAACAACAATCCGTCAGGGCTGTTGTCATGTTGTTTAATATGTGCTTGCTTCTGAGGGCCTAAAGAGAGAACACTTTGGTTTTTTAATAGCCACAATTCGGGTATAGGATTCAGAACAGAATTCTGACCTCCTACTTTATAGGGGAAAATGCCCTTAAAGACATAGCCTCCGGGATGACCAGATCATTAATTTTAGTTTAGTAAGGTCATGGCAGAGAAAACAAGCAGTGAACTCCATTTTAATTTTAGTGTATTACCATTTCTTGAAGTTTTCTTTTGGGGAATAATGGTTTTTAAGGAGTTAATGAAAAAGGAATTCTGATCTTTGTTTCTAATTCATTTTCTCCATTCTCATTTGCATTTTATTTGTTGAAGTCCTTGCTAAGCTACATCTGAATGAAACAAGAATTCCCTGGGGATAGGGATATTTACTCCTTATTTACACATCTACTTGCTGATAGAAAGCTGCACAGAAGGAGGAAACTGAGAATTAATACGGTTGCACATTTGCATTCTGTATCTCAATAAACTTTTCTAGCTAAAGGCTATTTTGAGGCTGGGAGCCGTGGCTCATGCCTGTAATCCCAGCACTTTGGGAGGCTAAGGCGGGCAGATCACGAGGTCAGGAGATCGAGACCATCCTGGCTAACACGGTGAAACCCCGTCTCTACTGAAAACACAAAAAAATTAGCCGGGCGTGGTGGCGGGCGCCTGTAGTCCCGGCTGCTAGGGAGGCTGAGGCAGGAGAATGGCGTGAACCCGGGAGGCGGAGCTTGCAGTGAGCCGAGATGGCACCACTGTGCTCCCGCCTGGGCGACAGAGCAAGACTGTCTCAAAAAAAAAAAAAAAAAACAAAAAAAACTATTTTGAGGCCTGGTGCGGTGGCTCATGCCTGTAATCCCAGCACTGTGGGAGTCCGAGGTGGGTGGATCACTTGAGGTTAAGAGTTCAAGACCATCCTGGCCAACAGGGTGAAACCCCGTCTCTACTAAAAGTACAAAAATTAGCTGGGTGTGGTGGTGCACGCCTGTAATCCCAGCTACTCAGGAGGCTGAGGCAGGAGAATCACTTGAACCCAGAAGGCAGAGATTGCAGTGAGCCGAGATTGTGCCAGTGCACTGCAGCCTGGGTGATAAAGCAAGACTCTGTCTCAAAAATGAAAAAAGGAAAGAAATTAAAAGCTATTTTGAGTAATTTTTTGGTGGCTGAGGACTAGAAGCACAGAGTCACTTGAAACTTCCACATGACTGCCTTGCATGTCACTGGCTCCTTGAACCATTTTACTACCTTCATTTTCTTTGTTAATATCCCAGAAACATATTTTTCATAAATCAAACTCTCCTTTTCAGAAGCCCTAGGCATTTTCAAAGCTGTAGCAAAATCAACCTCAAGATCTAAAGCCATTCTCTGTATCATTCATTTACTGCAGCCACAACCCAGGCCGAGGGAAATCTCTTTCTTTAGCTAAAGAGGCACCATTACCTAAGCTTCCCTAAGGCTCTTGTGACATAAAATGACAGGACTTTTATGAAAATGTGTTCAGTTTTGCTGAAGCATTGCCTTTGGCTCTTTTAGTCGCTGCAGTTCTGTGTTTGTTCAGCTGGAGAGGTCAAATAATTTGTTCTTCCAGAAGTTAATCATTGATGACAAATTTGCTTGGCTAACACACGCACTCTTTGTCGCAGACTAGCGCGGGAGAGCGCAATTTGCCTTTGTAAAAATGCTCATATTCTTCAATGTACTTTTTCTCCTATTTCATACACTAGCTTCAGGCCACTAGCTTTTCTCATCACCTTCTCTGCATCATCTCCTTCTGTCGCCTCTGGTCACCCCCTTTCCTCCCTTGTCAGTTAAAGACACAGAACCTGCCTTCACCTGCCAGGGCACATCAGGACTCAAACATGGATCTCATGCTTGACCAGAGGTGGATTTTCTAAGGAAGCTTGGCTTCAGGGCCCCTTGCTTGCACGGGGTCGTAGCAGTGTGTTCACACGATCATGCATTGTAAAATGTACAAATGCCAGATATCCTAGCCTCTCTACACACAATTATTCTCTGTTACATTGTTGTAGGACTTTCTCCTTAGTTCAGCTAAAAACAGGGTCCTTGTCACACAACCATGAAAGATTAGCCTCACAGACCCTTTGAAGGGTGAGAAGAGCAGGGTTTATTGGGTGAAAAGGAAAAAAAGGGAAACAGTGACTTTCAGCAAAGCGAGAGTCCTGCTAGTAGACTTCCTGCCTCACAGATTGACTCCCAGGTACCACCTGGAATAGGAGAGGCCAGGCTCCTCTCTCCTGCAAATGGCACCAACTTCCTGAGGCTCCACCCCAGTGTACATTCTTCCCAGTGCCCAGGCTGGTTGGATGTTCTCCGGTGATCCCTTTATACTCAGCTGTCTCAACGTCTGCCCTAATATGGTTGGACTTCGAGAGGCTGTGGACATTTTGGGGAACCATCTAAAGGAAAGCTGAGTTGGGGACACATCTAATTTGGATTTAGTGGAACATGCTTACTTGGTTTGCACTCTGTTTGTGCCTGGCTACTGTTCAGTTATGGCTGGCTGTCTTCTTGGAGAAATGGCTCCCAGGAACACTTCCCCCACCTACTCCCCTGGCATAGAGACTTAAGAGACATGAAAGGGCAGACCCAAGCATCTCACTGAGGGATGAACATGCATATGATAGCTGGTACCCTAACTGTGTGAGAGGCAGGGGAGAGGCATCGTCTGAAAGCTATGGAGCCTGAAGCCAGTCTCTGGAAAACTCCTCCAAATGGTAAAACTTACGTGTGAGGGAAATTTGATAGAAGTTTTGCCAAATCTGAACACAATCCCAAGAAACTTACATGACATCATCAAAAGCGGTTGTGATACTGAAGGAATCGTCTACACTACTGACTAATTATTATTATTTTTTTTTGATATGGAGTCTTGCTCTGTTGCCCATGCTGGAGTGCAGTGGCACGATCTTGGCTCACTGCAATCTCCGCCTCCCAGGCTCAAGCGATTCTCCTGCCTCAGCCTCCCGAGTAGCTGGGATTACAGGCATGCCATCACGCCCAGCTGATTTTTGTATTTTTATTAGAGATGGGGTTTCACCATGTTGGCCAGTCTGGTCTTGAACTCCTATCTCAGATGATCCAGCTGCCTCAGCCTCCCAAAGTGTTGGGATTACAGGCGTGAGCCACTGCTCCCAGCCTGACTTAAAAATTTAATCAACCAGGCTAGATTAAAGATATTTACTCTTATGTTGTATATTATGAAATCTTTATCATATGAAGAGATGGTCAAAAAGTATGCAGCCAACAATGTAGGAAGGAAAATCTTATTAAGATGTGTCAGGATTTTAATTTTTATTTATTTTTACATGATATTCCCCTGTATTTTATGATGTTCATGATTTTTTTTGCCAGTGTTTAAAAATTTGTATTTCGTTATGACTTCTGATTTCCCTCACATCTTTACCCAATTTTGTATTCTTTTTTACAAAATGAAGCTTGAAGGTGAAATCATCTTCTTCATCTTTTTAGGCTACCGTATTACAGGGCAAAGACTTTTATACAATAATTCTTAACCCAGATACTGGTAACTAATACATTTGAGGCTGGAGAAAAGTCCATAAATATTGGAAACTGCTATTATGAATCTGCACTCAGCTTTTTCTAGTTTCTATAAAATAAGATTTCAGCTTAGAGGACATCCATTCCCACATGCTAGAACAACACTCAAAAATCTCTAAAAATATAAAGCGATGTTCAGTAGGGAGGAAGCCATGTCATAAGAATAATTTGGCTGGTTCTTAGGAACAGTTAGTAACTAGGCACAGCCAAAATCAGTGTGTTTGTCTTCTAACAGATCATAATACCAGGTGGCAAAGAAAAAGACAGAAAGGAAATGCATGCAGTATGTTTCAAAGGGGGTTGTTGTGTTATGCAAAAGGCATAGATCCCAGAGGAAGCCATGTGCCCTCCCTACTGTTCAGATGGGGTTTGTCTGGCGCTAGGTAGCAGTAACCAGGGGAATAACAGATTGGTAGGATGTTCTCAAGGGGAAGGAATCTTCTGATGCCCCAAAGGGTAATGCCTTTGGAACATAAGGTAATTCAGATCTGATTATATTGCCGTGGTTCCCAAACTTTAGCACTGGCATCGTAGGGAGGAGGGCTTGTTGAAACAGATTCCTGGGACCTACATTCAGAGTTTCTGATTCAGTAAGTCAGGGGTCGGGCCTGAGATTTGCATCTCTGACAAGTCTTCAGGTAATGCTGATGTGTTGCTCAAGTTCCTCATGAACCTTTAGAGGTTGTATTTGACTTGTTGTTGATCTGCTTTGTTCAGATCTTGGTGTAACAAGGGAATCAGCCACCATCACCTGCATTTTGGCCCAGACTCAAAGGTGGGTAGAGGAGTGGAAAAGCATCAGTGGAAACAAGGGAAGGCTTCAGGTGTGCCCTGATTGCAGGCTGTTGGCATGGGAACTTGGAGGCCGGCTAACTAGAAGTGGAGCATCCTATGGGATTGCTTATGGGATTTACAATAGATGATATATATTTGGCTTTCTCCATGTGGTCCTAAGTTGGAAGTAGCGACAAAAATAAAAGAAGCTGTCAATTATTAATTAAGTCCTGATCACTTGGATTCAATTGTTATAGGGGTTATTATGTGGCTTCCTGGGCTGGTTGCAAGAGATAGTGATCTGAATTCCTACAAATTCTACTTATAGATGTACCTACTGGCTGGCTTCTTGGGCTGGTTACTGTAAATAATCAGTTGGCTTCTTGAACTGGTTGCTGGGATTGTGGATAAGAGTTCTATTTTTATATGTAGTCTGACCATCATCTGTTTGTGTATTCAGTCTCTCAGATGTCCAGTAATAGTTTCTTGCCTCAATGGGCAAAATCATATTGACGTTTACGATAGATGAAAACCAAGATCCTCTTTGTGCATCCACTCTCAAATATAGATTAAGCACCTAGTTTATGTCACATATGATGTCAGCACTGAACATAGTAAAGCAATTTCAAAATTATCTGCTTCATTTAAGATTTCTTTTGATTGCTACTTCATCATGGTTCTAATACGTCTTCAAAACACAAAACTAAACTATACTTTGCAGGAAAAATACATGAGTGTGATAATTTTTTCATAGAGAAGCAGAATGCATTGCAGTTCTAATATGATCGGGATCCATTTTGTTTTGCATGGAAGGGATGAGTCCTGTGAAACAGGGATCCATAAACTGGCAAGTCCTTGGTTTGGTGCAGAAAATCCTCACGATGGGAGAAATTAACCTAAAAATTAGGAACTCAAGCGGTAATAGGAACTGAAAAGGGACTCTAGCTAAACCCTGTTCCTGATAATTGAGTGAATCACTTGGCCTCAGCACTCACTTAGCCTCTACATTGGAAACACAGCAAGACCCAACCTCAGATTTACTCTGAAGGCAGAGAAGGAAAGTAAGACCATTGAGGTGTCTTCTAAAAGGGCACCATAGAAGTAAATGCATTCTTTAAGGCATGTTTGCTACATGATCCAGGAAAACATAGATCACTTGATAAGAGTTTAGGGAAATACAGTAGTCTTTTTATCTGCCTTCCCTGCCACCCCCATGCCTCAGCCCCGGGCTGCTTTCATCATTCCACACAGGATAATGATTTATCTTTCTGATTTAACCACTGAGCATCTTATTGCATGGAAGAGTCTGGTATTTTGTTACTTTTAAGAGTAATACAATACAATTGGTTCTGAGGGCTTCGCTTATTACCTTGCATTGTTTTCTCATGAAGGACTATGATTCCTCTTGTTACTTGTTTCAAAAATAGTTGGAATTACATATGAAGATAGCAAATTGCAAACCCTTTAGGTTCTTTTGCAGAGGTTTGCTACTAATAGTCTCTTTAGTGCTTTTCAGGGTGTAAAGAAAGGAACTGGTGAATGTCTGTGTTCTGTTTTTTAAGTCAGGGGAGCCAGGGGAAATATAATCTGTGGAAAAAAATCCAGGCCTCAGCTCGGTTGCTCTCTGCTGAGTCCTAGATCACGACCATATTATTGCCAGATCTTGATTGGAAGGATTAGACTTTTCAAAAATCAAATTTTCACATTCTCTTAAGACTTTTAGAAAGCCTCAACTTACAAATTGACAGATAAGGACTATTATTTTGCAAATTCAGAAGTCATTTCTCTTACTTGATGATGCTCTATGAGGCAAGGATGGAAGCCTGAGAGAAAAGTCACATAAGAATAGGACCCTTTTGTTAAAAAAAGATTTTTTGGCTGGGTGCAGTGGCTCTTGCCTGTAATCTCAGCACTTCAGGAGGCTGAGGTGGGTGGATCACTTGAGGTCAGGAGTTCCAGACCAGCCTGGCCAACATAGCGAAACTCCATCTCTAATACAAAAATTAGCTGGGTTAGGTCATGTGCACCTGTAATCCCAGCTACTCAGGAGGCTGAAGCTTGAGAATCACTTGAACCTAGGAGGTGGAGGTTGCAGTGAGCCAAGATCACACCACACTGTCTCAAAAATAAATAAATAAATAAAAAAGATTTTTTAACCTGGTTATGAAAGTAGTATGGGCTCATGCTCATTGAAAAGGAAAAAATACAAACAGGTAGAGTTAGATTTTAGAAACAGTTTTATCTAACATAGACCCTACCTGTATAATGTTTTGTTTTTCTTATTTTAGCATAACCATCTCCCCTATTTCATTAATATTTCTTCGCAAGTATACTTCTAGTGACTAAATAATATTCTCTTACGAAATTTTTATAATTTACTTAACCATTTGTCTATTCATTGAGGCTTAGATTGTTTCTAGTTTTGACAGTTACACATAATATTGCAGAGAAAACCTTGGTGTGTACATTTTTTTGTTTACAATTTTCATAAATTCCATAGATTTCCACAGATTTCATAAATTCCTAGAAGTAGATAGAGTCACAAAACATAAATACTTTTAGAAGTTTTGCTGTTTTTTCAGCAACCATTGAAACGATGATGTGATATTTCTTATCTTATTGATGAAATATATTGAACTCATTCTAAAAATAATGGAGGAAAAAATTGAAAGAGGTGCTATCCATTTTAACTGTGTAGCATTATATTAAGGTTAGATTGGGTAGAGTATTGGTAACTCCATGCAGAGGACGTCCACATGAACATTTAGTGAGCATTAAAAGTTTCTGCCATGGGCCAATATATGTGGGGCACCAAGAGCAGGAAAGAATGGTGGAAAGCCACAGCAATTAAGAGTTGAAGAGCGTCATTCCACATTCCCTTTATTTTCTGCCCATGTTTCAGCTGCATTGAGCCCTAGACCTGTTGGGATGACTCAAACTTTCATTTGCATGAGACCTGACACCTTGGTTGTTTCATTCTTATTGCATTACAGGTTGAGTATCCCTTATTCAAAAGGCTTGGGACCAGAAGTGTTCTGAATTTTGTATTTTTTCAAATTTGGAATATTTGCATATACATAATGAGGTATCTTGGGGATGGAACATGAATCTGAACATGAATCTAAACATGAAATTCATTTATATTTCATATACACCTTATACACATAGCTTGAAGGTAATTTTATACAATATTCTTAATAATGCTGTGCAGGAGACAGTTTGCTTACATTGAACCTTCAGAAAGCCAAGGTGTCACTGTCTTACCCACTCATGTGGACAAACTGTGGTTCCTTGGCAGTTACCATCATTCCTAACTAATGACTGCTACCAATAAGCAGACATTTTCTTACAGTTATTCACACATAAGTATTAAAGAGTAAGAAATATAACATACCATCAACACAGCAAAAAAAAAATAACGTGTTCTGGATTACTAAGCAGCACAGTAGCATCACCAGAATACATGGGGATGCTGAATAAACTGTGTTGTGTGCCTGCGTTTTGACTTCGACCTATCATGTGAGGTCATGTGTGGAATTTTCCACTTGTGTCATGTCAGAACTCAAAAATTTTGGAATTTGGAGCATTTCTGGTTTTCAGATTAGGGATGCTCGGCTTGTATCTCAATTTTTCATTGACCGGAAATATTGGATCAGAAAGTCTTAAGAGTGAGCCCAGCCAACCTCCTGGGGTCCAGACTTAGTGGTCCTCACATCTATTGAGCTGGAGCATCCCAGTGTCTCGCTGTCTCCTTGTCAGTACAGAGACCTCCCCCACTGCCTTTTGGGTTACTCGTGTGAAAAGCCTGGAATGGCCATGTGATAGTCTCAGCTTGTAATGTAATAGAACCCAAACTTTGTTTCCCTGGCAGAATAATTTTTTCCTTTGAGTGTTAGGACTTCCAAACATTTTGGTCCCAAGATTTGGGTGGAAAAATAAATCTCCCCTATCAAGTAATCTGGTATAAAATTGAAAGGAGCTGTTTGTACCTCTCCCCTTCTTTCCCAAGACTATGCATTCTGGCTATAGGGAAAGCTGAGTGAGGAAGGTGCACAGTTTCTTTCAAACATTTTATCCAGAAGTAAGAAATCCCCCAACGTATTCAGTGGGTCAAAATTCAGTAGCATACCAGAGCTAACTATAAGGGAGATTGGGAAATGTAGTATGACTTTGTGCAAAGCAGGCAGAGGGGTAAGTCTAGTGAATACACAGCATATCCCCCCACATCCCTCCCTTGCCTCGACCAATTCATTTTTGCTGCCCTATGCAGTTCTTCTTGAATATGTTTCAAAATTATGACAAGGTTCTAGTTTCATTAAGCATCTATTAAATTCATTTTTTAAAAAATGTTTGATTTGTTTCAGAGAGAAGACAAACCACTCTTCCATTTTTTTTCTTTTTTCTCTTTTTAAATAGAGATTGGGGGCCAGGCACAGTGGCTCACACTTGTAATCCCAGCACTTTGGGAGGCCAAAGTGGGCGGATTACTTGAGGTCAGGAGTTCAAGACCAGCCTGGCCAACATGGTGAAACCTCATCTCCACTAAAAATACAAAAAAATTAGCTGGGCACGGTAGCACATTCCTGTGGTCCCCGCTACTTGGGAGGCTGCGGCAGGAGAATCGCTTGAACCCTGGGAGGCGGAGGTTGCAGTGAGCCGAGATCACGCCATGGCACTCCAGCCTAGGCAACAGAGTGAGACTCTATCTCAAAAAACAAACAAAAAACAACAATAAAAAGACAAAAACAAAAAACAAAACAACAACAACAAAACACAACTAAATGGGGGGGGGGGTGTCTCACTCTATTGCCCAGGGTGGTCTCGAACTCCTGGTCTCAAATGGTCCTCCCTTCTCAGCCTCTCAAGGTGCTGGAATTACAAATATGAGCCACTGTGCCCAGCCTGCTGTTCCATTTTTGTCTAGAAACCTGGACACCATTGATTGCACTACCTATTTATTTTTAGTGGCCACATTGTAGGCTGTTGCAGATCCTTACATTTGAAATAATTAAAATTTTTGTTCTCAGGACCTAGGATTACTTCTCTAGATAATTAAATATTACTTAGTGCTGCCAGTTATGTTATGAAAATACCTTAGAAATGGGCTGGGTGCGATGGCTCACATCTGTAATCCCAGTACTTTACTTTGAGAGGCTGTTGTGGAAGGATTGCTTGAGCCCAGAAGAGTTTGAGACAGGCCTGGACAACATAAGAAAACTCTGTCTCAGAAACAACAACAACAACAACAACAACAACAAAGGTTAGCTGGGCGTGGTGGCATGTGCCTGTAGTCCAAGCCACTTGGGAGGCTAAGGTGGAGGGCTCACTTGAGCCCAGGAGTTCGAGGCTACTGTCAGCCATGTTTGTGCCACTTCACTCCAGCCTGGGTGATGGAGCAAGATCCTGTCTCAAAAAAAAAAAAAAAAAAAAAAGAAAAAGAGAAAAGAAGATTTTATCTTCTTTGTGCAGTATCCAGAAAAATTCAAAGTCAAACACTAAATTCAATGTTGTAAGTTGAGAGAAAAGTTTTTGTGTTAATAGCATGAGAAAAATGAGCAATTTTCTTTGAATGTATTCTTGGTATGATCTTCTGTAAGAACTTCCAGGTAATACCCCCTGGGTGGTAAGAATTCCTTAGCCAAGTCATGACTGAGTCAGAAAACCCAGTACAACCACTTTGCCACATGCTTCAGCCAGAGAGAGGGTGGGGAGGTATCAGCATCTGTTTATCAAGTGCTTCATGGGGGCTCAACACTATCGGGGAGACCAGAACCCCTGCACCCTAGGATGACAGCTGGTATTAAGAGTGAGATAGGCGGGGCACAGTGGCTCATGCCTGTAATCCCAGCACTTTTGAGGGCTGAGGTAGGAGGATCGCTTGAGCCCAGGATTTCCATACCACCTTGGGCAGCATGATCAAACCCCATCTTTACAAAAAATGCAGAAATTAGCTAAGTGTAGTGGTGCTGGCGCCTGTAGTCTCAGCTACTTGGGAGTCTGAGGTGGGAGAATCACTTGAGCCCAGAAGGTTGAGGCTGCAGTGAGCCGAGATCAAACCACTGCAATCTGGTCTGGGTGACAGAGCCAGACCCTGTGTCTCTGCCTCCCCCACAAAAAAAAAAAAAAAAAAAAAAGAAAGAAAAAAAGAAAAGAAACAACTTTGAGATATGCAAAGGTTAGACACAGCTTACAAAGTACAGATGATATACTCTTGTGCATATTGCTGGATTGTAACTGAGAGAATTCATGTGAAATATAGTAACTTTTAGAGAGCCACACATGTATTAGCTGATTTTTTTTTTTTTCAGAGGCAAGGTCTGGCTGTGTTGCCCAGGCTGACGTGCAGTGGCTATTCACAGGTGTGATCATAGTACACTACAGCCTGGACCTCTTGAGCTCAAGTGATCCTCCTGCCTTAGCCTCCCAAGTAGCTAGGACTACAGATGTGTGCCACTGCTCTTGGCTTTTAGCTGCTACTTTATTGTAAGACCCTAGTTGGCCAGACTCAAAATAGGCAAGTCCAGACTACTCTGGCTGTGTGCTGGGCACCTTAAGCTTAACCCTCCACATCTCCTTGGCCTTTTCAGGAGGTCCCCACCAGGTGCAGTTTGAGACCTCACCATTGGTTGTAAGTTTATTTTGCTGCACAGATGGAATTTAGGATAAGCCCTCAGCTATGTGATCTCTGAGAAAGTGTCTAGTGTGTGTTGGTGTAAGACACCTGGTATCTTTAGGCAGCATGAGTCCTTTGTAATTACTACAGGTTCTGCAAAGAACTATTACTCTTGGCAAGGACTTTATTGACATTCCCTTTAGCAAACAGAGACTCGGTGATGTTCACGGCCACCAGCTCTCAGGAAAGGCTGTTGTGGGCAGCAACACAGCTGGACATTCCTTTGCTTACTGATGGGAGATTCATAAGGTAAATGAAACTTGAGCACAACTTTCAAAAGATGGAGAATCTCATCATTGTCATAATGTATATTTTACTCTTTCAAATGATTTTATTAAATAACTTATTATGAGGTTTATAATGCCAGAACTTGGGCCTCTTATTTCTAAGTCCTGTGATCTTTTTGCTCAACCACACTGAGGTGATTTGGCAGGTGAAAAAATGTAGATAAATGGAAGAGCTTCTATCAATGGGAGTATGAGTGTGGAGACAGGATAATGAAAAGTTGTTTTTGAACATGCAGTAGAAACTGGAAACAGGAGAAAGTTGGTGGAGAATCACAATTACTTTGGAACGGGGTGCATTTATGTCTATGTGTGATGAAGAAGTCTTTGAGATCCATGACCAGAAATTTGGGTAAAATGCATGCAGAAACTATAGATGTCTTGTCAGAATTGGGAAGGTAGGCAACATATGAGAAAGATATTTTGGCCATTCAATCTGAAGGGGCAGTGGTGAGATGGACAGTCCTGTACAAAGTGGCAGTCCAAAAAGACAGGGAAAGGCTCTGGACTGAGTTTTCAGTGATGGGAAGAAGACCACTGGTATATGGGAGACTAGCTGGGGGAGGTGATTGACAGGGTGTGAGGAATCTCAATGATGACACCAGCCAATGGCTACTAGGGAGGGACATCATTGTGGTTGAATGGGAAGGATGTTTGGAAAAAAATAAAATCAATCTCTGCCAAGTCTTCCCATTATAAACACTGGCCTATGGTTTCCTCGTGGTGAGTGATCTCAACCCAAGAGAGCTCACAAGAAGATGTATCTAGGAGTGAGCATGAATGCAGGAAGAGAAACAGGTGTCAGAGATGCTTTGTCTCATCTGAGTGTGCTGAGAAGAAGGGACTGATGGCCAGAGTAAAAAGAAGCAGAGAAACCTATTTTTTTTTTTTTTTTTTTTTTTTTTTTGAGGCAGAGTCTCACTGTGTCGCCCAGGCTGGAGTGCAGTGACGCGATCTCCGCTCACTGCAAGCTCCGCCTCCTGGGTTCACGGCATTCTCTTGCTTCAGCCTCCCGAATAGCTCGGACTATAGGCGCCCGCCACCGCTCCCAGCCAATTTTTTTGTGTTTTTAGCAGAAACGGGGTTTCACCGTGTTAGCCAGGATGGTCTCGATCGCCTGACCTCGTGATCCGCCCGCCTCGGCCTCCCAAAGTGCTGGAATTACAGGCGTGAGCCACTGCGCCCGGCCGAGAAACCTATTTTTGATGTTTATATTTGGTGAGTGTTTCTTTTTACTGTTTAATCATGGTTTTGAAAGCCATAAGGAAGGAAAAGCATGGCAATGCTAATTGCAGTGGATTTAAGACAACGTCTATGTGTTCTTTGACACTTCTCCCATCAAGGACCTAATTCCCTTTCCTTTGGTCCTAATTAGTAGAATGTGTTAGAAATGCATGACCACAGAGGCTGGTCATAAATGGTGACACAGCATTCCCCTGGCTTTGTTTCCCAGGATACTTGCTCTTGGAGCCCACCTGCCCTGCTGGGAGGTGCTGGGAACACCTGGAGAGCCATGTGCAGCTGTGTGGCCAGCAATCCCAGCTTTGTTCCCAGCCAGCTGCCAGACCTGGGAGTGAGGAAGCCTTCCAGAAGACCCCAGCCTAGTCCCCATCTGACAGCGACCTCATGAGATATCCTGAGTGAGATCTACCCAGCCGAGCCCAATAAACCCATGAAAACATCAGAGGTTTTTCTCCTCTTCCTTTCTCTCCTCCTCCTCCTCATGAAAATTGCTGCAGTTTTATGCTACTAAGTTTGGGCTGATTTATTACACAGCAATAGAAAACTGAAACATCAATCAATGGCACGTTGTTAGAAATTATCAAAGGCAGTGGGCACGGCTTGTCATGCCTGTAATCCTAGCACTTTGGGAGGTAGAGGTCGGCTGATTGCTTGAGGCCAGGAGTTCAAGACCAGCCTGGGCAACATGGTAAAACCTTGTCTCTATAAAAATTAGCTGGGCTTGGTGGCATGCATGGGTAGGCCCAGCTACTTGGGAGTCTGAGATGAGGGATCGATTGAGTCCAAGAGGTCAAGGCTGCAGTGAGCCGTGATCGCACCACTGCACTCCAGCCTGGGCTACAGAGCAAGAGCCTGTCTGAAAGAAAGAAAGGATGAATGAAAGAAAGAAAAGAAAGAGAAAGAAAGAAGGAAAGAGTGAAAGAAAGAAAGAAAGAAAGAAAAGAAGGAAAGAAAGAAAGAAGGAAGAAGTTACCAAAGGCCCTATACTATTTCCTATTAATATTCCTTCTCATTCTCCTTTATTCTTCCTATCTCTGTAAGAAAGCACACTAATGATAACTCATATAGAGCTTGTGCAGAAGTGAGTTTTGACCAAGTGTTGCCCCAGGTGGTCCTTGATCATGGAACCTGGTAGGATGTGCTAGCAACTGTGACCAAGGCCAGGCCATGAAGCTGCACATCCAAGCAGGTGATGCTTCAGACTCTTTCCATGTTCTCAGAAGGGAAAGAGTGAGACAGTTAATATGTAGGTGGGTGTTTTGTTTTGTTTCTTAAACTAATTGTGATTCATGTGCTCTTGGCACAGTTTGTCTCCATGACTTTCACTGGACTCGGGGTTGGGTTTTGGGGTATCACTTACCAGTGTGCAAACACTGCGTTTCTGGGGGAGGAAAGCTCTAGATTGCAAGGGCGAGAAGCAAAGTGAAAAATCCTGCCCAAGTGAGTAATAATAATTGCTAACCCCCATGGACTTACTGTCACATTATTCTTTTTACATAATGTATATTTTACTGTGTGAGTAAGCTTCAAAGACTTTCAAAACCCTTTTTCTTACTTTAAATAGTGAATTTTACAGATCATTAAGTTGGTAATTATATAAAAGCCATAGCTATTCTGCATCTGGTATGGAACTCTTGGCAGTGCTCCCCTTGGGGATCTGCTCCACCTTTTGAGAATAGAACTCTTTGGGCTTCCTGAGAGTCTTGAGGAGCAGAGGAAGAAAGAGCCTTAGTGCAGTCCTCCGGAAGAACAGATGGGGCAGGAGATGCCTGCGGGGCTATGCGCCTCCAGAAAAATTATGGAAAACTCAGGGAGGGGCCTGAAAGGCAGCAGGACCTGGAGGGGCAGTGGATGGCACCCTACCAGCCTGCTTGGTGACAGGCATGGAATGGCTTTGAGATGTACGATTTTGAAGCTCTTGTCAGTACTTGTCACAGTCTAAAGTGAAGCAGCCCCTACTCTCCTCCCTTCAACCATTCTCCATTTCTTTCCCGCAAGTTTAGACAAGGACTAAGTCACTACAAGTGGAAAACAAAATGATTCCAGTAGTCTCTCCTTATCCAAGCCTTCACATTCTGCCCTTTGGGTTACTTTCAGTCAATAGCGGTCCAAAAATATTTAATGGACTATTCCAGAAATAACACAATTCATAAGCTTTAAATTGCATGTTGCTCTGAGTAGCGTGATGAAATCTCACGCTGTCCTGCCCAGGATGTGAATCATCATCCGTTTGTCCAGCATCTCCATGTTGTCTTGTGCTTCTCGCCCACAAGTCACTTAGCCGTCTGGGTTATCAGAGCACCTGTCGTGGTATCACAGTGCTGGTGCTCAAGTCATCCTGATTTTTCCTAACGAAAGCACAAGAATAGTGATGCTGATGATTCAGATATGTCAAAGAGAAGCTGTAAAGTCCTTCCTTTAAGTGAAAAGGTGAAAGCTCTCAAATTTATCAAGTAACTTTTATTACAGTATACTGTAATAGCTGTTCTATTTTATTTTTATTTATTGTTGTTCATCTTTGTGCCTAGTGTTACAGATTAAACTTTATCATAGGTATGTATGTATATGAAAAAACATAAAATATGTAGGGTCCAGTACTACCCATGGTTTCAGGCATCCAGTGGGGGTCTTGGAATATATCCTCTGTGGATAAGGGGTGACTACTGCAGTTCAGTTCCACATCTATGTATTGAGCACATATGAGGAGGCAGCCTATAGAGGAACAAAGATGAGCAACACGCACTCCCTGCCCTTAGATGGACCGCAACGGTGATCTCCATATAATGTGCCAAGGAGCAAGTGGAGGGCTACCCAATGCTGGGGTTACAGAGGGCCACTCTTACTGCTGGATCAATTGTAATGCTAGCTTGGAAACATTACGTGGTCCCCTCTTTGTCTTTTTCACTCTGTTGGTTTTATAGTCCTGTCTCATTACTTATTGCTTTTTAGGGCGATCTATACCATTTCTTAGGCATGTTGTAGATGGGAATCATACATGTAACTAAGTAAAAGATCGTATTAACTAGCATTTACTGAGGGCTTTCCATATGAGGGCTCTTATCAATATTTTCTTGTTCAATTCTCATGAAAACTCTAGTGAGAAGGTTCCATTATTATCCTTGTTTTATACATGTGGCCAATGAGGCACAGAGAGGGTCATTAATATGCTCAAGGTTACACAGCTGGCGCATGATAGAGCCAGGGTTTGGAGCTCACTTTCTGTACATTTGGCTCTAACTGAACACTGGTATCTTGTCTGATCACGAGATTTAACTGCTCAAGAAATAAACCCTTTGCTGGACTGATTCATTCTGAGCAAGAATGCTGTGCTCTTGAATCCTCTACTGAAAGGTCAAGACATTGGCATCTCCTGAGAGATCAAGGTCTCAGGGGCCTCTCCAGAGAAGGAAGCTGGGTGTGGCCTTATGCACATGGGTCAGGGCCCTCACCTTTCTCAGAGCATGGGACAAGGGGCCACGTTGTGCCCACCCTGAGGCTCTTTGGATTTTGGATCCGTAAATTTTCCTTTTTAGTGGACATCAGTATTTTATTTGTTCTTGCATGCCTGTTCTTGCAGTGTAAAGCAAGCCAGAACTGTCTTCTTTCCATGAGAATCTGAGCTAGCTTAGTCCTAACAGGCCACTGGACTTTAGAAAAAAATGTAAGACAGCTGAAATATGTAAGTTGGAAAACAAGGATTTCCAAATACCATGCCAGGATTTGCTAAGCATTCAGATATCCTGAGCCTTCAAAAAGAAAAAAGTTATTAGATGCCTGTGGTATGTAAGGTTTCCACAGTTATCTTCTAATTTATTCACACTGACATTCAAATTCATTTTCAAGGACTTTTCCATCTTCTGGTATTTATGTACGATTGCATAATGTTGATACATTTATGATTGCACAATATTATAAAATATTAACCAAAGTTTTCTTTTCCCAGTATTTCTTTTTTCTTTTCTTTGCATTTTCCCTTAATTAAGTGCTCACTACTTCTCAAACTGACTATGAATTGGAATCACCTGGAAAGTTTTTACAAATGAATCCTATCTGGGCCTCACCCTCAGACTGAGTAAATCAGTATTTGTTTAGGCCTGGCCCAAATATGGGTATTTTTGAAAAGCACTCTAGAGGATTTTAACGTGCAGCAAAATTTGAGAACCCCTGGAGTGACTAAACTTCTCATTTTCAGGGGGATTCTCCTGCGAAGGATAAAAATTCAAGGACGACAAAGAAATATATTCTTGGCATCTGAGCTTTTTGTTTTTGTTTTTGAGATGGAGATTTGCTCTGCTGCCCAGGCTGGAGTGCAGTGGCGGGATTCTCGGCTCACTGCAGCCTCTGCCTTCCGGGTTCCAGTGATTCTCCTGCCTCAGCCTTGTGGGTAGCTAGGATTACAGGCGCCCGCCACCACGCCTGGCTAATTTTTTTGTATTTTTAGTAGAGACGGGGTTTCACCATGTTGGCCAGGCTGGTCTTGAACTCCTGACGTCAGATGATCCACCCACCTTGGCTTCCCAAAGTGCTGGGATTACAGGCGTGAGCCACTGCGCCCGGCCGGCATTTGAGTTTTAACTGACTAGCAGGGGAGTAGAAAGGACACAGGACAAACAGAAGATATGGCAGAAATGAGAATGAATAACGGCAAGGCTTCCTTCTCCCACAAGAGGAAAAGGTGCCTTGGACTGCTAAGGCAGCCCAGAGGGGTGAAAGGAAGAACCAGAGGGAGAATGCCAGAGCTTAAGTATTTTGGGGTCTTGGAGACTCTCTTAGACACAAGGCATAGACCATACACCCGAATGGGGGACCAGGAGGGGCACCGGCCATCTGAACAGGTGCCTTCCTGGATAGACATAGAGAACACCAGATGCCACCTCCCTTCTATGCCTCATCCCTGGGCACAATACGGGTTTCCTAGAACTTAGATGACATTCTTGGAAAGAAAGAGAGAATATTGAATTTTGGCGGAGGAAAGGGAGGGCTCCGAATAGAAATTAGGTTGAATTATAGAAAATAAGAATGCATCTTACATACCTGATTCTGACATTTGTGCACACTGCATTTGGCATAAAAAAGAAAAACTCTCTTCCTTTGGCCCTAGCGATTCTGTTCAGCAGCAACAGATTTGCTCTTGACCACCTTGTTTTTGAGTGTAGTATGTTCTTAATAGAGCCCTAAAGAAACTGTTGCTTAACAGATGTTGAAGGTTGATACCAATCACCACTTTAATATTTGTGTACTCTACCAAACTGACCAAATTCCATTTGATGGCACTACCAAGTAATTCTGGGTTTAATATTCCATAATGTCATCCGTTACTATTATTATTATTTTTTCTGAGATAGAGTCTCACTCTGTCACCCAGGCTGGAGTGCAGTGGCACGATCTTGGCTCGCTGCAGCCTCTGCCTCCTGGGTTCAAGCGATTCTCCTGTCTCAGCTTCCCAAGTAGCTGGGAATACAGATGTGCGCCAACATGCCTGGCTAATTTTTGTATTTTTAGTAGAGACAGGGTTTCACCATGTTGGCCGGGCTGATCTCAAACTCCTGGCCTCAAGTGATCCAACTTCCTCAGCCTCCCAAAGTGTTGGGATTACAGGTGTGAGCCACTGCGCCCGGCCACTGTCATCCATTATTAGAAGCAATTTAATAAATTAAGAAGTCTAAAAATGAATTTTGTTTATGTATTAAATAAGTAGTATATTCACATTGTCTTAATCCGAGAGAGAGAGAGAGAGAGAGAGAGAGAGAAAGAGAGAAAGAGAGAAAGGTATGTAGTAAAAATCCTCTTCATTCAGTCTGGTTCCCTAGCTACCCAACTCCCTTCAGAGGCAACCGATGTTATCAGTTATGTGTCCTTCAGAGACAATCAATGCTCATCAACGTAGACGTGTAAACATTCTCTGATTTATTTTTCTTTTCCCTCATATGGCAACTAATGTAAATTGATCTAGACCTTGATTTCTATGTCAAGGCATGATGGAGTCCTCCATTCTTTTTTATGGCTGCACGGTATATCACTGAATGCATACCTCATGAGTTATTTCACCAGTCCTTATTGACAGTTTTAGGTTGCTGCCATTCATTAAGCATTTTTAAAAATAATTGCAGATCTGGGATCCTCTGAAGAGCTTCAACTCCTCCTCCTTCTCTAGAATTACCAATTTGATAATGATATAAATGTACAAATCTCAATTGCTATTATTTTGTCAGCATTTCAGCTCATTTAGAAAGGATTTTAATTTTATACATTAAAAGACAGTTTATCATGAAATCATTACATTTATACTCTTAAGCAGTTTTACGGGCTTTTTATTTTCCTTTTTTCATAACCCCATAAAATTTTTATGTTCCCAGTCCATTTTTGCTGGTCTTGGATAATGTCTGTTTTAGTGCTTTAATTTTATACATTAAAAGATAGTTTATCATGAAATCATTACATTTATACTCTTAAGCAGTTTTATGGGCTTTTTATTTTCCTTTTTTCATAACCCCATAAAATTTTTATGTTCCCAATCCACTTTTGCTGGTCTTGGATAATGTCTGTTTTAGTGCAATTGATAATACTTCAATATGCTATCATGCTGTTCTATGACTTCAAACTATAAATAAAGAACTTAGAAATATCATTAACAATTAAGTCATTTTCTATTTGAAAATTCTTGTTTTGGTTAGAATCACTTGCTTCAACTGCTGGAGAAGAGCGGCTGTAATGGCTAATACTGAGTGTCAACTTGATTGGATTGAAAGATACAAAGTATTGATCCTGGGTATGTCTGTGAGGGTGTTGCCAAAGGAGTTTAACATTTGAGTCAGTGGGCTGGGGAAGGCAGACCCACCCTTAATCTGGGTGGGCACAATCTAATCAGCTGCCAGCGCAGCTAGAATATAAGCAGGCAGAAAAATGTGAAAAGAGAGACTGGCCTAGTCTCCCAGCCTACATCTTTCTTCTGTGCTGGATGCTTCCTGCCCTTGAACATCAGACTCCAGGTTCTTCAGTTTTGGAACTCAGGCTGGCTTTCCTTGCTCCTCAGCCTGCAGACAGCCTATTGTGGGACCCTGAGATCATGTGAGTTAATACTTAATATACTCCCCTTTATATATATTTGGGTTCCATTAGTTTTGTCCCTCTAGAGAACCCTAATACGCTGGCTAAAAACAACACCCTGTCTTGCAGAACAAACACATCATACTTTCTATTATTTATGATTTTTCATAAATAAATCCAACTTATCAGCCTCATCAGGTTGATTTTTAAAATGATTTAAGCTATTTTCAGGCAAAATTGATGATACCCTCTGAAATGTAAGTCCTTTTCTTTGACTGTCAGGCTGTGTTTTGAGATTCCACGTTGGCATTAATCAGATTTAGAACTACAGAATCTTATTATTGAAATGGACATGAAGGTTACATGATCTGGCCACTCATGACACAACACACGACTGCTGTCCTCTTACCAGTGGTTGTCTTTAGTTGACAACTTTCTGGAGAAAGGGAATCGCCACTCTGCTAGGGAGATCATTCTGTCTTTAAAAGATTTTCCAAAATTTTATACTTAAATATAAAGATCTCCTTTTTAATCAAAAGAACAACATATCATACTAGTGCTCCTGGTGACAGCAGATTAAGCTAAAGACAACTGATGGGTGACATGAGTCTAAAATCAACAGAAATCTGAAAAGTCATGAAGAGAAGTTTTCAAGAGATGCTAATTTCCCTCAAACTTCATGTCAAAAATACCAGAAAAAGCATATTGTTAATATTTTTCTTTTCCTTGCCTACTCCTTGAAATTCACCCAAATGATCTTTTGAAGGCTAGGGAGGTTCGCTAATGTTTAAAAGCATCATCTTATTCTGAAGATAGTGACTCCATGTTGTGTTACTGTCCTTATAGCCTACAATACTATAAGTTAGCTCAGGGTAATGGTCACAGAGCTGGATGATGTCTAGGCAGCATTTAAACACAGCATTACTACAATTGATAAAACACTCAAAAATCTTACCATCTTCCAAAGGTAATATGGGCATCGTAATTCCAGTGATGCTGCAATTACACATGGTGCTCCATTGTTTTTGAGTGTCAATGATCCATCCTCTCTCCCTGCAAAATTGCACCTCAATTTCCCTTTGGAAAACAAAACTTCTATTGGGGATAATGCTGATGGGGACTGGTGTCCAAGGCATTTCCCATTTACCTACCATGAGGTAAACACGTGACCCAAGTTCAGTCACACTCTCCCTGTGGAAGTTGAGTGTTAGGCCGAGATTAAAAGCAATTAGTGCTCATTCATTCAAGGGTATTACCCCAGAGAGACTAACATTTAGCTCTTACTCCCTCATAAGATCTGTTTCTGGAGACTTGCTTCCCATTCTATGAGCCAATAGAATCTATTTTTACTTAAATTAGTTTGATCTGGTTTTGGTTGCTTGTAATCCAAGAACCCTCACAATTACAATGATGAAGGCAGGATGTTGCATGCGAATCATTTAAAGGCCCTCAGATCGTAGCTATACCAGGAATTCTATTTATTTTGTGAAGATTTTTAACTCCAACCAAAATGAAGTGTTGTTGGAAGGTTAATTATGGAACTTTGCACTGAAAATTGAGTTGGAAAAAAACCTATTAATAAGCAGCTCAAAATTGCCAAGCTTACACAAATATTTTGACAGATCTATACTTTCTGGATAGTTTAGACTCTCCTTGGGATGAGTTATCCAAGCTGTTGGTACTGCTGTTGTAGCTGGGAGATCAGGAGTGGTGTCTGGGCTCTCTGGCAGATTTCACAGTGATAGGGAAGAGCTGTCTACACAGCTTTGTCTGTTTTCTTTAATCTGGGTCATCTGTGCTCCTAGAACCCACCTCTAGATTTCATTCCAGACTTCAGAAACCTTTTTCATTAACTCTTTTTGTCATCTTTATCAAGCTCCATAGATAAGCTCAGTTGGTCTGTGGAGGCAGCGTGAATGTCCATTTGTAATTTTAATGTCTGAAATAATAGTTTTTGCAATAAATGAGAAGACTGACCTTACACTACTCTCTCTCTAAAATCCGACTTATTTTTTCAAGCACAGTAAAAAATCCCAATTTTGGGGGTGGGGGTTGGCAGGGGCTTACTCTGTTGCTGAGGCTGCAGTACAATGGCATGATTAGAACTCACTGCAACCTTGAACTCCTAGGCTTAAGTGATCCTCCTTCCTCAGCCTCCCAAGTAGCTGGGACTACAGCTGTGTACCACCATGCTCGGATAGTTTCTTTTATCAGACGGGGTCTCTCTGTGTTGCCTGGGCTAGTCATGAATTCTTGGGCTCAAGCAATCCTCCTGCCTCAGCATTCCACAGTGTTGGGATTATAAGTGTGAGCCACTGTGCCCGGCCCCAAATATTTTCGTAATGTTTTTCTAGTTGACCACATCTGGAAAGAATCCATCATACTCTCACACCCCATGATGGGTATTTTTCCATGCCAGGCTTGTTTACACTGATCCTGCACTGCTTTGTAATCCGGCCCTTATTTACAAACCCTACGTCCCCACATTGTTCCCTAGCTGGTTGAGGGCATGGATTTATTTTATGAAGGTTGCATCTCCTATGATGGTGGGCATGAATGAATGACATCTTTCTGTACCTCCCCCCTCACTTAATTCAAAAGTGTTGATGAATCCTATTACTAATTGGATGGCAGTCTGGGCAGTAAGGTTTAGTGCCAACAACAGCAGTAGAGGAGGCAATGTTCTGGCAGCATGACAGAATCAGGATGTCTCAGGCTGTGATCTTCAAGCCTCTGCTGCCTGCAGATATGTCTCAAAGTATGAATTAAAAATCATTGAAATTTGAAGACTTTGGGCACTCTCTTCTCCCGTGCAGCTCTTATCTTTCCCTATTGTCCTCTTTCCCGCACCCCCCCACCCCCAACCACATTTACACATTAATGTTCCTTGGAAGGCTGTGAAGCCATTTGAGTTTGGACCCCAGTGATGTTTCTGACCTTGATGCTGTATCTCCACATACTCTGCATACCTGCGTATCTACCTTCTACTCTCTGTATTTCTCTAGTGTGTGTGTGTGTCTGTGTGTGTGTGTAAAACTCTTCAACAGGAGTGATGCTTAACTACACACCAAAACAAAGCAAGGCCTTCCCTAAATATCACCAACTGTTGATCTTGAACCTAAAGTTGTCATGAGAGCAAGCTCGTACTTTGGAGCAGTGTCAGGCTTTCATGCTTCAGCCTCGGGATTGAGACATTTGCTCCCTAAATGTTTTACAGACATTTGCTCCCTCAATGATGCTCTAGTTTCTGAGGAAAGTAAACAACTTAAATAAAAATTATATTTGCAGAAGTACTTGTGGGATGAGCCAGGTGTCCAACAAAAGTGGAGAAAGGTGCTAAGCTCTAGAAATTTTGTAGCCACTGAAGTAGACATGCAGATGTGAGGCCAACTGACAAGCACAGCTTTTGAAACTGCTTTTGCAAATTTATGACTGAGACAGTGAAAGAGATCTAACTTAACTGACTCCATCTTGCTTCTAACCTCCAAGCTGTCCTTGTTCATTCCTGGGCATAGGCTGAACTAACTTTGGGAGAAACTTACTTTATAGTTTGAACAAAGACGGTAACAGCCCTTTCCCAAAGCAGACCTCCTCCTTGTCTGGGTACTAGACTGCCTTTGTAGGACTAACGTTAGCCACGTGATTAGAAATTATGGTTTAGGAGTCATGCAGCTGGAGGCTACAAGATTCTGACCCTCCCTAAGTTGCTCCTAAGATCAGAGCTTGAGATATTTTGCAGACCTTGCACTTGAGGGATCAGCTGGCTCCACCCAGATCAATAAACTGGCTCATCTGATCTTGTGGCCCCCAACCAGGAACTGACTCAATGCAAGAAGACAGCTCTGACTCCCTGCGATTTCATCCCTGACTAATCAGCACTCCTGGCTCACTGGCTTCCCCCCACCCACCAAGTTATCCTTAAAGACTCTGCTCCCCGAAAGCTCGGGGAGACTGATTTGAGTAATAATAAAACTCTGGTCTCCCGCACAGTCGGCTCTGCGTGAATTACTCTTTCTCTATTGCAGTTCCTCTGTCTTGATGAATCAGCTCTGTCTAAGCAGCAGGCAAGGTGAACCCCTTGGGTGGTTACACTTTCAGGAGAGCTCTGAATCATAGCCAGAGCTGTGTTCACCCAGGGATGAGCAGGCTGGGACATTCAGAGCCTCCTTGTGGCCTGAATTCCTTCCTTGGGTAGAGCTTGTCCTAAGACACCTCGTTTCTATCTCAAGTAGACCCTGAGGCTCAGATGAGTTCTAAGACAAGGTAAAAAGAGTCCAGGGAAAACATGAAGAGCCAGCAAAGATGGCAGATGGCTGTGAAAAACAGTAGCAGACATCCTCAGACAATCGCTCAGTGCCTCGGAATGATTTTCAGAGATGTAAAAATGGACTCAGAGACAAAGTAGAGAAGGAAGTGAGAAGAACCCAGAAAATAAGATGTCATGTTATTTGTTTATATATTTGTTTTTGAGATGGAGTCTCGCTTTGTTGCCCAGGCTATAATGCAGAGATGCGATCTCAGCTCACTGTAGCCTCCACCTCCTAGGTTCAAGAGATTCTCCTGCCTCAGCCTCCTGAGTAGCTGCGACTACAGGTATGCGTCACCATGCCTGGCTTATTTTTGTATTTTTATTTTTATTTATTTATTTAGTTAGTTAGTTAGTTACTCTGAGATGGAGTCTAGCTCTGTCACCCAGGCTAGAGTACAGTGGGACAATCTCAGCTCACTGCAACCTCCATCTCCCGGGTTCAAGTGATTTTCCTGCCTCAGCCTCCCAAGTAGCTGGGACTACAGGGCTGTGCCACCGCACCCGACTAATTTTTGCATTTTTAGTAGAGACAGGGTCTCACCACGTTGGCCACGCTGGTCTCGAACTCCTGGCCTCAGGTAATCTGCCCACCTCAGCCTCCCAAAGTGCTGGGATTACAGGCGTGAACCACCGCACCCTGCCTAATTTTTGTATTTTTAATAGAGATGGGCTTCACCATGATGGCCAGGCTGATCTCGAACTCCTGGCCTCAAGTGATCTACCTACTTCAGCCTCCCAGAGTGTTGGGGTTATAGGTGTGAGACACTGTGCCTGGCCAATGCCGTGTTATCTTAACACGTATCATATATGTATGTGTTGGCTGTTGGTAAAGGAAAGCCTTTCCTAATTGTTAAAGTCAAATACTGTGTTAGGTGTATTTGTTAATATTTTATATTTACATATCATCTCACCCATTGTATTTTTTCACTTGCTGCCCTCTTGAAAACCACCTGCAAAACACAGGTGTGGGAGTAATTGTAATCTTTCATGGAAGGGGACCCCCGCTCTAGATTCCCTCGCAGTTGTTCAAGGCAGAGGAGGCACTCAGCTCAGGCTTTCAGTTCTTATCTTGGAAATAGTTTCAGTGAATTTTCAAAGTGGAGGCTAACACCTGAATGACAGGCTCATTATTCATGCTTGGTTTTATCTCTTTTTATTTCCAGCTATGGGGACCCAGCAGAGGAGGCTCTGTCTCTCGGGAATGCACTCAGTGGGTTGGGTCCCTTCCCCGCCTGGAGGTTACGGCCCTTGTGCCACTCCCTGATTTCATTAACAGCGCTTGAGGGGACTGCGCCATTTGCACGTACAGGGAGCAAGAGCAGGTCACGTAGTTATATTTTATCCAGTGTTGCCTTTCTCTAAGGGCGACGTTATCTATTAACCACTTTCTCTCTGCCCGCATCCCTGCTAGGTGTTGTGAAAAGTAAAGATGTAAAATTTCTGAACAATTTAAAGCTACAGTAAACAAAACATTTTCTCTGTGGGAGGTGGGGTTGGAAGGAATGAGAGGGAATCCATGTAGATAATCTAATTCTGTTAGTGTATGAACATCAGTATGTGAGTTCTAATTCCATGCGCTTATAAAATTCTCATGCCAGAAATATTCTGGAATGTGAAAAGCCATCAATGTCTTTTGCCTGGGCTACTACAGTAACTTTATTTTATTTTTTTATTTTGATACATGGTCTGGGTTTGTTGCCCAAGCTGGAGTGCAGTGGCGTGATCTCAGCTCACTTCAACCTCTGCCTTCCGGGCTCAAGCGAGCCTCCCACCTCAGTCTCCCTGGGATTGCAGGCACACGCCACCAAGCCCTGCCAATTTTTGTATTTTTAGTAGAGATGGGTTTTTGCCATGTTGCCAGGCTTGTCTCAAAACTCCTGGGTTTAAGTAATCTGCCTGCCTTGGCATCCCAAAGGGCTGGGATTACAGGCATGGGCCACCACACCCTGCCCTGCAGTAAATTTTAATTGATTTTCTTACTTTCTGTCACTCCCTATGTGACACACTGTTCTCCATGTAACCGGCTTTCAAAAGCTCAGGAGGGCACTTTCCAGCACCTCATTCCTCCTGGGATGAAGAAGCCCCAGGCCTCATAAGCCCGTGAGGCCTGAGGCCACCCAGAGCCCACCCCACCTCCCAGCTCTTTGCCAGCCATTCCCTGCCACCTGAAGGCTTCCGTCCTGCAGGATGCTCTAGGCCTTTCCACACCATGGAGCCTTTGACCACATAGCTTCCTCTCCGTTCCTTGCTCTCCCAACTCTCCTCCTCCAACTTACTTAGTAAATTTCATTCTTTTAAAAAGTGTACTTGCTGGTGCTGTGGCTCATGCCTGTAATCCCAGCACTTTGGGAGGCTGAGATGGGTGGATCACCTGAGGTCAGGAGTTCGAGACCAGCCTGGCCAATGCAGTGAAACCCTGTCTCTACTAAAAATACAAAATTACCCAGGCGTGGTGGTGGGTGCCTATAATTCCAGCTATTCGGGAGGCTGAGGCAGGAGAATCCCTTGAACCTGGGAGGCGGAGGTTGCAGTGAGCTGAGATTGTGCCTTTGCACTCCAGCCTGGGCAACAGGAGCGAAACTCCATCTGAAAAAGAAAAAAGTGTATTCAATTGTCCCCATTCCAGAAAATTCTCTGTCCCTTCTCTCCTCCAATAACTGATTCTTCCCTTGTCTGTTCCCCCACAAACCTTCCCGTGCTACTTTTGGAGATCTCCTCTTTTATCAGAGCTAGTTGTTTATGACTCTTTTGGATGGTGGGGTATGCTTGTGTGTGTGTGTGCATGTAAGTGTGAAAGAGAAAGAGAGAGACAGGGTCAAAGAAGAAAGCATACGGCTTGGGGAATGGAGTACCGACTTTTCAGAACAGGAGAAATGCCAGGGAGACATGCCCTCAAAACCCACGACGGATTTTTCTGTTGGTGCCTGCAGCTTCACACTGCATTTCCTTACACCAACAATAGGTGACTGGATCTCGGAGGGTACAGTTGTCTCCCAGAAATTCCCTCCCTTAGTGGTGTCCTCCCTGAGGCAGGGACTGACTCCTACTCATCTGTGCCACCAGTCAAGGGCACAGTGCCTGGTCCCCAGGAGAGATGCGGCAAATGCTGCTAAAGGGAATGACCCAGCAGTGTGGAGCCTTTTCCTCCGCCAGCCTAGATCCTTGTCCCCAACTTTGCTACTGAGACCATCTCTCTCCTCTGCGCCTGGCTTGCCCATGGCTTGTTTCAATACCATTTGCCTGCATGACCTAGGCCATGTCTAACTTCTCCTGTGCCTCCACATCTGTCTATATGGTTGCTGGGTGAGTTTCAAACAGCCCAGAGCCTGATAACATTGAGTCGAGTCTGGATCTGTCCCCGTGGTGCTCCTGCCAACATGGAGGCAAGTGTGGAGGGTCAGCTTTTCTGCCACCCACGCTCTCCTTCTGTCCCGCAGCTCTGAGTTGCCTGTTTATGCATTCCTTTTCCCTTCAAGAATGTTCTTGACATTGTTTAATCTAATACCTTTCTTCCCAAAATAAACCAACAAAAGATGAACAAATCCGAAATATAGCCAAGGCTGCATTCTCATTGATGTAATGCTGTGTTTTAAAAAACAAGTCAATTGCTGTGAGGTCCTGGGTGAATTTAATCTCTTTGGCCCAATGCCTGATGCCCTGACATTAAAACCTTAGGCAACACTGATTAAAATCATAAGCTTGCTCAGATTGCGCTCTTATTGATTTTTTTTTTTAAGGTGGGCAACAAAAGGGAAGTTTGCTTGTTTTTTTTGGCAGCGTTCGTTGAGCACCAGAAATTGTGCAGGGTATAGAGCTGTAGAGTCATTTGAGGTAAGAATACATCATCTCTAAATGCTGAAAATCCAAGAGATAAAGACCGAATTTCTACGCCCTCCTTAAGCTGTCTCCATACTTGTTCTTGAAAGTGTGTAGGGCATTTCTTCATCAAAATTATAAACCTCACAAATTTTTAAGCATCAAGACCAGAGAGAATTGAATGTATTTCTAACTCAGGGAGGTATTATTACTGATTTCTTTGTGTTTGAATTTAAGTTAAATTTAATTTTTAAAGTTGTTGCATTAGTTAACCAAAAAAAAATAATAATAATAAAAAAATAAAAAAAAGGAAAAGACTCTTTTCTTTCAGTTCAATGTAGTTTACTCCTTATATGAGGAAAATAATCAGACTGGTACTATGAACAAAAAAATGCCTCAGAATTTGAAACACATACTTCATATGATTAAAGGGAAAAAATTTTAGAGCATATTTGTGAATTCAGAAGTGTATCAGTGTGTCTTAAACTTTATACTTGTTGCTAATACATTATAGTCATTCAGAATTTCAAAAATTAAAAACGTGGCTGGGCACAGTGGCTCACGCCTGTAATCCCAGCACTTTAGGAGGCCGAGTTGGGCAGATCACGAGGTCAGGAGATCGAGACCATCCTGGCTAACACGGTGAAACCCCATCTCTACTAAAAATATAAAAAATTAGCCGGGCGAGGTGGCAGGCGCCTGTAGTCCCAGCTACTCTGGAGGCTGAGGCAGGAGAATGGCATGAACCCAGGAGGTGGAGCTTGCAGTGAGCCAAGATCGAGCCACTGCATTCCAGCCTGGGTGACAGAGCGAGACTCCGTCTCAAAATAAAATAAAATAAACAAAAATTAAAAACATATTTGGCTGGGCGTGGTGGCTCACACCTGTAATCCTAACACTTTGGGAGGCTGAGGTGGGCGGATCACGAGGTCAAGAGATCGAGACCATCATGGCCAACTTCGTGAAATCCCATCTCTACTAAAAATACAAAAATTAGCCAGAGATGGTGGTGGGTGCATGTAATCCCAGCTACTCAGGAAGCTGAGGCAGGAGAATCACTGGAACCTGGGAGGCGGAGGTTGCAGTGAGCTGAGAGTGTGCCACTGCACTCCAGCCTGGTGACAGAGCAAGACTCTGTCTAAAAAAAAAAAAAAAAAAAAAAAAAAAAGTTTGATTTACTTGGCAACTGAGACTCTATGTTCTAGAAAATATTAAAAAGAAGATTGAGAGATTTTACTTCTGTTCAAGATGAAATAACAGGAACTAGACTTATCCTACTGCTTGAAATAACAAAAACATCAGACGAAAATATGTTTTTTAAAAAGGGCACTCAGTACATAGGGTATCAGATAATGAAAGATAATGATCCTGGAAATGGGAGACAAATGAAGGGTGCCCTACAATTGCCCCAACTTATTGTGTGGAAAAAGTTTCTAGTCTGCAGTGTAGGAAGAGGGAACCCAGGCAGAATCTAGTGGTCTTGTGTTGAGAAGACTTAGCTTCAAGCCTGGGGAAGCCAAGGTTGTTAGATTTCACAAGGCAGAGTACCAGAGAGGAAAGAGCTATGTAGGGAAAATTCTGCAAATTTGTAGTATTCCGTTTAGTATTAATCAGTGCATACATTTGAGGAAACTGGCTGGGGAAAGAGCTACCTAGAAGGATTAGAGGAAATAATGCCCAGAATTCACACAGAATTAAAACTGCCTGTTCCCAACAGCTACTGTAGACAACCGTCTAATGCATTTGAAAGTAAAAATACAAATAAGTTAAAAGTCAAAATGAAAAAAGAAATGCAATGCTAATGCTAGTTAAAAAACAAGCAAACAAACCCGGTAGTGACTAAATCGATATCAAAGTATACTATAAAGTAAAGAATATTCCCATTGATACTAAGATAAACATAGTCATTGCATAATGGTAAAGGTGTCAATTCATCAAGAGGACAACCAGCTCTAAACATTTAGGCACCAAAGACTAAAGCTTTAAATACTTAAAGCAAAATCTGATATAACTGTAAAGATAAAGAAAAATCCACAATCTCTCTCTTAATAATTGGTAGCACAAACAGACGGAAAATTAGTAAGGTTACAGAACACTTGAACAACACTATTACCCAACTTTTTCTCATTGACACCTTATCATGTCAGTAGCTGCTGCCTTCACTCAATGACAGAACACATTTCTTTTTTTCAAGTGTAGACAGAACACTCACCAAGTTAGACCATATTCTGAGCCATAAAACAAGTCTCAAAAAATTTGAAGGATTCATGTCATACAAAGTATCTTCTTTTACTAAAATGAAATGAAATTAGAAAGCAAACTCAGAAAGAAGATATTAGAATACTAATTGTCCCAACTAGTTCCAAGTATTTGGAAACTAAACAATACATTTTTAAACAATTCATTAGTTAAAGAAGATATCAAAAGGGGAATTGAAAAGTATTTTGACCTGAATGAAGATAAAAACAAAACATTAAAATTTATGGAACACAGCTAAAGCAGTACTTAGAGGGAAAATTATAGCACACCGTAATTACATTAGCAAAAAAGGTCTCAAATCAATGACCTCAGATTCCATCTTTAGAATCTAGAAAAAAAGAAGAGCAAGTTAAACTCAATTATGCAGAAAAAAGAAATAAGACCGGACTATAAATCATTGAAATAGAAAGCCAAAAAATTAGAGAAAATCAATAAACCCCAAAGCTGGCTCTTTGAGAAGATATTGATAAATCTCTAAACAGAATAATTAGAAAACAAACAAATAAAGGAGTGAGAGAGGACAGAAATTACCAACATTAGAATTTTAAAGAATTTATTGGTATTAAAAGCCTAATAAGGTAATATCATTAACAGCTTTTTGTCAAGAGTATTTGACAACTTAGATGAAAGGGACAGATTTATTCAAAGACACATTCTCACATAGCTTAATTAAAAAGAAATAGATTATCTTGAATAGACCTCTGTTTGTTAAAGTAATTAAATATTTAGTTAAAAAATCTTCCCATGAAGGGAGCTCCAAGCCTGAAGTCTTCACTTGTAAATTCTGCCAATCATTTAAGAAATAAATATCAGTTCTAAACAAACTCTTATAGAAAATTAAAAAGAGGAGTCTACTTCCCAACTAATTCTATAAGGCTAGCATTAATCTGATGCCAAAAACTAAACACAGAAATTTCAAGAAAGGAAAACTACAAACCAAAAACAGTTTTCTACAAAATTTTAACAGATCAATTCCAACAGTACATAAAAAGGATAATATATGTTAATCAAAACATTTTTTTAAATTTATTTTTAATTTTTGTTGGTTCATACTAGGTATATATACTTACGAGGTACAAGAAATATTTTGATACAGGCATACAATACATAATAATCACATCAGGGTAAATGAAGTATCTTTCATCTCAAGCAGTTATTCTTTGTGTTACAAACAGTCCAATTATATTCTTGGTTCTTTAAAAATGTATGACAAATTATCATTGACTGTAGTCACCCTGTTGTGCTATCAAATACTAGACTTTATTCATTCTAACTATATTTTTGTACTCATTAACCATTCCCCCATCTCCCCTGCTACTACTTTTCCCAACTTCTGGTAACCATCATTCTACTCGTTATCTGCATGAGTTTGTTTTAAGTTTTAGCTCCCACAAATAAGTGAGAGCATGTAAAGTTTGTTTTTCTGTGTTTGGTTTATTTCACTTAACATAATGACCTCCAGTTCAATCCACATTGTTGCAAATCACATGACAGTATATTCTTTTTTGTGGCTGCAGAGTACTCCGTTGTGTCTATGCACCACCTTTTCTTTGTCCATTCGTCTGTTGATGGACACTTGGGTTGCTTCCAAATGCTGGCTATTGTGAATAGTGCTGCAATAACATGGAAGTTCAGATCTCTCTTTGATATATTAATGTCCTTTCTTTTGGGTATATACCTAGCAATGAGATTGCTGGATCATATGGTAGCTCTATTTCCAGTTTTTTGAGCAAACTCCAAACTATTCTTCATAGTGGCTGTATTAATTTACACTCCTACCAACAGTGTTCCAGGGTTCCCTTTTCTCCATATCCTCGCCAGCCTTTGTTATTGCCTGTCTTTTGTATAAAAGCCACTTTACCTGGAATGAGCTATCTCATTGTAGACTTGATTTGCATTTCTCTGATAATGATGATGAGAATCTTTTTTTTTTTTTTTTTTTTGAGACAGATTCTTGCTCTGTTGCCAGGCTGGAGGGCAGTGGTGTGATCTCGGCTCACTGCAACTTCCGCCTCCTGGGTTCAAGCGAGTCTCCTGCCTCAGCCTCCCAAGTAGCCAGGACTACAAGCATGAACCACCATGCCCAGCTAATTTTTGTATTTTTAGTAAAGACGGGGTTTCACCATGTTGGCCAGGATGGTCTCGATCTCCTGACCTTGTGATCTGCCTGCCTCCACCTCCCAAAGTGCTGGGATTATAGGCATGAGCCACTGTGCCTGGCCGATGAGTGCCTTTTTTTTTTTTTTTTTTTTTTCTGAGACAGAGTCTCACTCTGTTGCCCAGGCTGGAGTGCAGTGGCACAATCTCGGCTCACTGCAAGCTCCACCTCCTGGGTTCACGCCATTCTCCTGCCTCGGCCTCCCAACTAGCTGGGACTACAGGTGCCCGCCACCATGCCTGGCTAATTTTTTTGCATTTTTAGTAGAGACAGGGTTTCACTGAGTTCGCCAGGATGGTCTCGATCTCCTGACCTCATGATCTGCCCGCCTCGGCCTCCCAAAGTGCTGGGATTACAGGCGTGAGCCACCACGCCCGGCTGAGCACCTTTTAATATACCTGTTTGACATTTGCATGTCTTCTTTTGAAAAATGTCTATTCAGATCTTTTGCCCCTTTTAAAAATTTGATTATTAGATTTTATTCCTAAGAATTGTTTGAGCTCCTCATATATTTTAGTTATTAGTCCCTTGTCAGATACATAGTTTGCAAATATTTTTTCCCATTCTGTGGGTTGTCTCTTCACCTTGTTGATTATTTCCTTTGTTGTGTGGGAGCTTTTTAACTTGATGTGATCCCATATGTCCATTTTTGCTTTGGTTGCCTGTGCTTGTGAAGTATTATCCAAGAAGTCTCCAATGTCCTGGAGAGTTTCCCAAATGTTTTCTTTCGGTTGTGTCTTTTAGTTTGAAGGAACTAATGGATTGAAGACTTAAATCTAAGACTTGATTTGATTTTTTGTATATGGTGAGGGATAGGGGTCTAGTTTCACTCTTCTGCATATGGATATCCAGTTTTCCCAGCACTATTTATTGAAGATACTGTCTTTTCCCCAGCTTGTGTTCTTGGCACCTTTGTTGAAAATGAGTCCACTGTAGGTGTGTGGATTTGTTTCTGGGTTCTTCCCTATTCCACCCCATTGGTCTATGTGTCTGTTTTTATGCCAGTACCATGCTGTTTTGGTTGCTATAGCTCTGTAGTATAATTTGAAGTCAGGTAATGTGATTGTTTCAGCTTTGGTCTTTTTGCTTAGGATAGTGTTGGCTATTCTGGGTCTTTCTTCATTCCATATACATTTTAGGATTGTATTTTCTATTTCTGTGATGAATGTCGTTGATATTTTGCTAGGGATTGCATTGAATGTGTAGATTGCTTGGGATAGTACAGACATTTTAACAATGTTGATTCTTTCAATACACTAACATGAAATATTTTTCCATTTTTTGGTGTCCTCTTCAATTTCTTTCATCAGTGTTTTATAGTTTTCATTATAGAGATCTTTCACTTCTTTGATTAATTCCTAGGTATTTAATTTTATGTGTGGCTATTGTAAATGGCATTACTTTTAAAATTTCTTTTTCACATTGTTCACTGTTGGCATATAAAAATGCTACTATTTTTTGTGTGTTGACTTTGTATCCTGCAACTTTACTGAATTTGTTTATCAGTTCTAATAGTTTTCCTGTGAAGTCTTCAGGTTTTTCCAAATATAAGATCAAGTCATCTGCAAACAAGAATAATTTAACTTTTTCCTTACTTGTTGGGATGCCCTTTATTTACTTCTCTTGTCTGATTGCTCTGGCAAGGACTTCCAGCACTGTGTTAAATAACAGTGGTGAAAGTGGTCATTCTTGTCATGTTCCAGATCTTAGAGGAAAGGTTTTCAGTTTTTCCTCATTCGGTATGATACTAGCTGTGGGTCTGTTGTATATGGCTTTTATTATGTTGAAGTATGTTCCTTCTATACCCAGTTTTTTGAGGGTTTTTATCATGAAGGGATGTTGAATTTTATCAAATAGTTTTTCAGCATCAATTGAAATGATTGTATTGTTTTTGTCCTTCATTCTGTTGATATGATGTATTACATTGATTGATTTGCATATGTTGAACCATCCTTGTGTCCCTGGGATAAATCCCATTTGGTCATGATGGATGATATTTTTAATGCATTGTTGAATTTGGCTTACTAGTATTTTGCTGAGAATTTTTGTATCAAAGTTCATCAGGGATATTGGCCTGTAGTTGTTTATTATTATTATTATTGTGTTTGTCTGGTTTTGCTATCAAGATAATACTGGCCTCATATAATGCGTCTGGAGGTATTACTTCCTCCTCCATTTTTCAAAATAGTTTGAGTAGGATTGGTATTAGTTCTTTAAATGTTTGGTAAAAATCAGCAGTGAAGCCATTGGGTCCTGGCTTTTTCTTTGCTGGTAGACTTTTTATTACAGCTTTGATCTTGTTTCTCATTATTGACCTGTTCAGATTTTGGATTTCTTCATGGTTCAATCTTGGTGGGTTGCATGTGTCTAGGAATTTATCCATTTCTTTTAGTTTTTCTAATTTATTGGCATATAGTTGCCAACTTTAAAGATCTAATGATGTTGATCTAATGATCTTTAATGTCCTGAGGGCTTGGTTGTAATGTTTACTTATCATCTCTGATTTTATTTATTTGGGTCTTCTCCCTTTTTTTCTTAGTCTAGCTAAAGGTTTGTTAATTTTGTCTATAAAAAACAGCTTTTGTTTCCTTGATCTTTTGTATTGTTTGTTTCAATTATATTTATTTCTCTGATCTTCATTATTTCTATCCTACAAATTTTTTGGTTTGCTCTTTCTTTTCTAGTTCTTTAAGATGAATTGTGAGGTCGTTTATTTGAGGTCTTTCTACCTTTTTGATGTACCTTTCACAGTTATAGCTGTGAACTTTTTCCTTTAGTACTGCTTTTGCTATCTTCCACTGGTTTTGAAAGGTTGTGTTTCCATTATAATTTGTTTCAATCAATTTTTCAATTTTCTTCTTAATTTCTTCATTGACCACTGGTCATTCAGGAGCATATTGGTTAGTTTCCACTTGTTTGTGTAGTTTAAAAAATTCCTCTTGTTATTGATTTCTAGTTTTATTTAATTGTGATCAGAGAAAATATTTGATATAATTTCAATTTTTTTGAATTTTTCAAAACTGGTTTTGTGACCTAACTTATGGTCTATCCTTGAGTATGATCCATGTGCTGAGAAGAATGTATATTCTGCAATCATTAAAGTGTTTTTTAAATATGTATAAGGTCCACAGGGTAGATGCATAAGGTCCATATAAGATTCATAAGGTCCATAGCGTAGATTAAGTCTGATGTTTTTTTATTGATTTTCTGTCTAAATGATCTGTCTAATACTGAAAGTGGGGTGTTGAAATGTCTGGCTATAATCATACTGGGGCTCTCTCTCTCTCTTTAGCTCTAATAACATTTACTTTGTATATCAGGGTGCTCCACTGTTGGGTGCATATATTTACAATTGTGATATTTTCTTGCTGAATTGACTGCTTTATCATTATATGATGACCTTCTTTTTCTTTTTTTATAGTTTTTGTCTTGAAATCTATTTTGTCTGATATAAATATAGTTAACTCTTTATCTTTTTTTGGTTTCCTTTTGCATGGAATGTCTTTTCATCCCTTTCTTTCAGTCTATGTGTGTCTTTATAGGTGAAGTATGTTTCTAGCAGGCAACAGATCACTGGGTCTTTTTTTTTTTTTAAATCCATTCTGTCACTATGTCTTTTGATTGGAGAATTTAATTCATTTACATTCAATATTATTATTGATAAGCAAGAACTTACTCTTGCCATTTTATTTGTTTTATGGTTGTTTTATGTTCTTCCTTCTTTCCTTCCTTCCTGTCTTTCTTTCAGTGAAGGTGATTTTCCTCTAGTGGTATATTTTAATTTCTTGTTTTTATTTTCTGTGTATCTGTTGTATGTTTTCTTTCCTTTTTTTTCCCTTAAAGAGCCAGCTAGAATTTCTGTGGCATGTTTTTTTATTTGAGGTTACCATGAGGCCTGCAAATAATATCTTATAACCAATTATTTTAAACTGATGACAACTTAACACTGATTGCATGAACAAACTAACCAGCAAAGAGAAAACTGATAAAAACTGTACACTATAACTTTGTCTCTCTGCTTTTTAACTTTTTGTTGTTTCTATTTCTATCTTATTGTACTATGTCTTGAAAAGCTGTTGTAATTATTATTTTTGATCAGTTCATCTTTTACTCTTTTTACTCATGATGTGAGTAGTAGACACACCACATTATAGTGTTATCATATTCCATGCTTTTCTGTGTACTTACTATTACCAGTGAGTTTTGCACCTTCAGATGATTTCTTATTGCTCATTAATGTCCTTTTTTTTCAGATCGAAGACCTCTTTTTAGCATTTCTTGTAAGACAGGTCTGATGTTGATAAAATTCATCACCTTTTGTTTGTCTGGGAAAGTCTTTTTTTTCCTTCATGTCTAAAGGAAATTTTCACTGCATATATTCTTCTAGGACAAAAGTTATTTTCCTTTAGCACTTAAAATATGTCATGCCACTCTCTCCTGGCCTCTAAGGTTTCTACTAAAAAAGTCTGCTGCCAGATGTTTTGGAGCTCTGTTGTATGTTAATTGCTTCTTTTCTTTTGCTGCTTTTATGATTCTTTCTTTACCCTTGACTTTTGGGAGTATGATTATTAAATGTCTTGAGGTAGTCTTATTTGGGTTTAATCTGCTTGGTTGTATAACTTTATTTTACTTGAGTATTGATTTCTTTCTCTAGGTTTGGGAAATTCTCTGTTATTATCCTTTTGAATAAACTTCCTACTCTGATCTCTCTCTTTACCTTCTCTTTAAGGCCAATAACTCTTAGATTTAAACTTTAGAGATATTTTCTAGATCCCGTAGGTGTGCAACATTTCTTTTTATTTTTTTCTTTTGTCTCTTCTGACTGTGTATCTTCAAATAGGCTGTCTTCAAGCTCACTAATTCTTTCTTCTGCTTAATCAACTCTGCTGTTAAGAGACGCTGATGCATTCTTCAGTATGTCAATTGCATTTTTCAACACCAGAATTTCTGCTTAATTATTTCAATCTCTTTGTTAAATTTATCTGATAGGATTCTGAATTCCTTTTCTGTGTTATCTTAAATTTCACTAAGTTATCTTATAACAGCTATTTTGAATTCTGTCTGAAAGGTTGCATACCTCTGTCTTTCTGGAATTGGTTACTGGTGCCTTATTGAGTTTGTTTGATGAGGTCACGTTTTCTTGGATGGTCATGCTTGTGGATGTTTGTCAGTATCTGGGCATTGAAGAGTTAAGTATTTATTGTAGTCTTTGTAGTCTGGGCTTGTTTGTACCAGTCCTTGGGAAGGCGTTCTAGGTATTCAAAGGGACTTGTGTTATGTAATCTATGTTTTTGGTCACTATACCCATATCTGGGCACCCCAAACCCAGTAATGCTGCGGTTCTTGCAGACTTGTAGAGGTACTGCCTTGGTGGTCTTGGATAATATCCAGAAGAATTCTCTGGATTACCAGGCAGAGTCTCTTGTTCTCTTCTTTTACTTTGTCCCAAACAAACAAAGTCTCTCTCTCTGTGCTGAGCTCCCTGGAGCTGGGGGAGGAGTGACACAAACACCCCTGTTGCCACCACTGGGACTATGCTGGGTCAGATCTGAAGCCAGCATAACATTGGATCTCACCCAATGCCTGTGATAATCCCTGCCTGGCTACTGCCTATGTTCACTCAAGGCTCTAGAGCTCTACATCAGTAGATGGCAAAGCAATCCAGGCTTGTTTCCTTCCCTTCAGGATGGCAAGTTCCCTCTGGCCTTGGGAAGGTCTAGAGATGTTATCTTGGAGCCAGGGTCTGTAGTCAGAAACCTTAGGAATCTACTTGGTACTCTATTCTACTGCAGCTGAGCTGGCATCCAAGCCACAAGACAAAGTCCTTCCCACTCTTCTCTCCTCTTTTCATAAGCAGAAGAGTCTCCCCCTGTGGCCACCACTACCCCAGACCTGCAATGAGTACTGCCTGGCCACCACGAATGTTCACTCTCAAGGCTCAAGTGCTTTTTAATCAGCTTGAGGTGAATGCTGCCAGTTCTAGGACTCTCCCTTGAAGGCTGTGGGCTCCCAGGCCAGGTCTAGAAATTCCATCCAAGAGCCAAGGCCTGAAATCAGAGACCCCAGGAGCTCACTCAGTCTTCTACTCCACTGTGGCTGAGCTTCTACCTAAGCTGCAAGACAAAGTCCTTTCTACTCTTCCCTCTCTTTTTCTCAAGCAGCAGGAATCTCTCCCCATAGTCACAACAGCTGGGAATGTGGTGGTCATGCCTAAAGTCAACACATTTCTGAGTCTCATCCAAAGCCCATGATGAGTACTGCCTAGGTATCACTGCCAATTATCCAGGGCCAAAGGGCTCTTTAGTGCACAGGTGATGAATCCTGTTGGGACTGGGCCCTTCCCTTCAAGACAGTGGGCTCTCTTCTGGCCCAACATGTGTCTAGAAATGTTCAGGAGCTAGAGCCTGGAATGGAGGCCTCAGGACTCTGCCTGGTGCCCTATCATATTATGGCTGAGCTGGCATCCAAGTTGCAAGACAAAGTTCTCTTTACTCTTCCCTCTTCTCTCCTCAAGCAGAGTAAAGGAATATCTCCCAGAGCTGCGAGCTGTACTGCCTGGAGCATTCTCTTTGCCTCTCCAGCTGGTGTCTCACTACATCATGTGCCCCCAAGTCCACTGGCTCTGAACCCAGCACAGTATCAGGACTTGCCCAGGAATTATAGTCCTTATGGCCTAGATTGCCTTGCAAGTTTATTTAGGACCCAGAGAACTTTAGTCCACAGAGGTGAGGCTTGCCAGAACTCACGTTCCAACTGTTCGGATGGGCAATTCCCCTCTGGTTAAGGCAGTCCAAATTCTCCTTCTATAGGTGCTGGCTGAGTGCTGCCCAGTGTGCTTTCTGCTGTCATAGAGCTGAACTGTGTTTTAATGGAAAGTCCCACAGTCACTGCACTTTCTCTCTCCCAAGCACACAGATTCTCTCTGTGCCACATGGCTGCTGCTGGAGGATGGGGGAGGGGGGCATTGGTAATTCAAGACTATCTTTTCTACTCTTTTCAGCATCTCTGTCAAGGATATAAAATTAAAAACAGGTACTGTGATCACTCACCTAATTTTTGGTTCTTACAAAGCTGCTTTTTGCATAGATAGTTGTTTGATTTGGTGTTCCTTTAGGGAGGATGATCAGTGAAGTCCTCTATTTGGCTATCTTGCTGTGCCTCCTGAAAAGACGTGATCAAATATTTCTTAATCCATGAGTACAACAAGGCTGGTTTAATATTCAAAAAACAGTAGATGTAATCTTCCATGTTGATAGATTAAGAAAGGAAAACTGTATGATCATTTAAATAAATGTCAAAAAGGCATTTGACAAAAATCAAAAATCAAAATAGAAACAAATTTTTTCAACCTTGTAAAGGGATTAATAAAAAACCTATGTCTAACATCATACTTAATACTTAGAGACTGATATTTCTCCCCAATATCAGAAGCAAGTAAAAAATGTCTGTCTTACTACTTTTATTCAAAATTTTTTCAAAATGTCAAGCCTTCGCAAAAGGCAAAAAAAAAAAAAAAAAAAAAGGAAAAAGGAATGAAACGCATGGTAGCAAAATTGGAAATGAAGAAGTAAAACTGTTAGTATTAGCTAACAATATGATTTTCTATATAGAAAATTCTACCAAATCTCCAAAATGCTGCTAGAACTGCTACTCTTACCTTAATAATAATGTGCTATTCAAAATCAATATAGAAATCAATATAAAAAGTCAATTTTATTTCTATGTATTAATACTAGCAACAAAAAACCCCATTCATTGTAAGTAAAGAAACAGCACAATTTACATAGTATAAAAAGGTACTTAAGAGTAAATCTTACAAAAGATACACCAGACCTGAAAACTACAAAACATTACTGAAAAAAAAATTAAAGAATGCTCAAATAAATAGATATACCATGTTCATGGATTGTAAGACTCATCTTATTGTTAAGATGTCAGCTCTCCTTGAATTGATCTGTAGTTTCAATGCATTTCTTTTTTTGTTTGTTTTTTGTTTGTTGTTTGTTTTTGTTTGTTTGTTTGTTTTTTGAGATGGAGTCTTACTCTCTTGCCCAGGCTGGAGTGCAGTGGCATGATCTTCGGCTCACTGCAAGCTCCACCTCCCGGGTTCATACCATTCTCCTGCCTCAGCCTCCCAAGTAGCTGGGACTATAGGCGCCTGCCACCACGCCCAGCTAATTTTTTGTATTTTTTAGTAGAGATGGGGTTTCACCATGGTCTCAATCTCCTGACCTCATGATCCGCCTGCCTCGGCCTCCCAAAGTGCTGGGATTACAGGCATGAGCCACTGTGCCTGGCCAGTTTCAATGCATTTCTACACAAAATTCCATCAGACTGTTTTCTAGAAGTTGACAAGCTGATTCTAAAATGCATATAGAAATGCAAATGATCTAGAATGTCTAAAACAAACTTGTAAGGGAAAAACAAAATTAGAAAACTTTCACTATTTGACTTCTGGCTTCTTCCCTAGATACAGTAATCAAGACAGTGTGTTCTTGTTGTTAACATGGACAAGTAAATTAATAAAACAGAATAAAAAGCTCAGAAAGAGCCCATCACTCATCTGGTTAATTCACATATTCAAAAATTAACTAAAAGGGAATCATAAAGCTAAATGTAAAACCCCAAACTATAAAACTTCCAGAAGAAAACATAAGAGAATATCTGTGTTATCTTAATTAAGGCAAAGCTTTCTTACAAAAAATATCAATAGCATGATTTGTAAAAGAAAAAACTTACGGATTAGACTTCATCAAACTTAAGACTTCTGTTCTTAGGGGAACAGATTTCAGAGAATGAAAATCTCTTTTTTTTTTTTTTGAGACAGTCTCACTATATCACCCAGGCTGGAGTGCAGTGGCACGATCTCAGCTCACTGCAACCTCCGCCTTCTGGGATCAAGCGATTCTCCTGCCTCAGCCTCCCAATTAGCTGGGATTACAGGCACCTGCCACCATGCCTGGCTAATTTTTTGGATTTTTAATAGAGATGGGGTTTTCAGGATGGTCTCGATCTCCTGACTTTGTGATCCACCCGCCTTGGCCTCCCAAAGTGCTGGGATTACAGGCATGAGCCACCACACCTGGCTGAAAATCTCTTAAATGAAAGATAGGTCATAGACAGAGAGAAAAATGTGTGCATATTATGTATTTGACTAAGTAATCATATCCATTATATATAAAAACTTGAGACTCAATAAGAAGAAAACAAAAAATTAATACAAATGATCAAAATATTTAAACATGTACTTAAGGAAGATTTATGGATTTATTTAAACACACAAAATGATGCTCAGCATCATTAGTCATTAGAGAATTGTAAATCAGCACAATGGATTATCACATGCACCTATTGAAATGGTTTAAAATTGACCACACTAATTATTGATGAGGATGTGAAATAGCTGGAACTCTCATACACTTCTGTTGGAAGTGTACAATGATACGGCCATTTTGGAAAACATTTTGGCAATTTTTTCAAAAGTTAAAAATATACATATTGTATGATTCAACTGTTGAGTTCTTATTTACTCAAGATAAATAAAATTATATGTCTATACAAACACTTGCACACAAATGTTCATAGTAGTTTTATTTGTAATAGCTCCAAACTGGAAACAACTAAAGTATCCATCAATATATGAGTGGATAAACAAACTGATGGAGCCACACAATAGAATCTAATTATACTAGTGAAAAAGGAGTAAGCTATTGATATACACAACTGTTACATGAAATAAGCTAGCCGAATATAGAGTACCTACTCTGTGATTTCATTTATATAGAATTCTAGAAAATGCTATCTAATTCATAATTACAGAAAGCAGATCAGTGGTTGCCTGGAAATGGGGATGGGAGAAGGGAAAATTGGAGAGGTGCAGGAGGGAGGGGTTATCAAGGGATACAAAGATTTTTTTAGATGAATGAGCTTATTATTTGACTGTGGTAAGGGTTTCACTGATGTACACATATGTCAGACTTATCAGGTTTTACACTATAAACATGCTCAGGTTTATTTTTTTTTGTTTTTGCCAATTATATCTCAAACTGTTTTAAGCAAAAGGCTATGATATAGGCTCTGGATTAAAGGAAAGAACTGACTTTTCTATGAACCAGAGACTTTGATCTGTGAAACCTTAAATATTAAAAATTTCTTATAGCCATTACAAGTAGCTAAAACAACCAAATATTAGAATCTGTTGAAAAATACTCATCAAAAATAATTACACTTTCAAAACATATGGGTGAAGGTACTGTGTGTACAAGATTTGTCCATTCTAAAATGTTGCCAGATAATTTGTTTTAATAGGAAGAAAGAATAATACAAATCTTGACATGATTTGATGGTGTAATAAATGTCATCAAAATTGGTTAAATCTTTTGAAAATTATCAAGAAACCAAAAATGTGAACTGCCATTGGCCAAGTAGTCATGGTTATGTGGTCACTAATACAATCAATGATAAAAATGAAATTGTTCTTTTCCTAAGAAAATGCATAGAAAAGATTACAGTAACTTTTAAAAACACTTACTTTAGAAGCATCTGGATTTTTAAAAATGAGTTTTTTGGCCGTCTGTAGTGGCTCATGCCTATAATCCCAGCACTTTGGGAGGTGGATCATGAGGTCAGGAGTTTGAGACCAGCCTGGCCAAGATGGTGAAACCCCATCTCTACTAAAAATACAAAAATTAGCTGGGCATGGTGTCAGGTGCCTGTAATTCCAGCTACTCAGGAGGCTGAGGCAGGAGAATCACTTGAACCCAGGAGGCAGAAGTTACAGTGAGCCAAGATTGTGCAACTGCACTCTAGCCTGGGCAACTGAGCAAGACTCTGTCTCACAAAAAAATTAAAAAAAAAAAATAAAATGAGTTTTTTGTTTAAAAAATACCCCAAAGTCATAATAAAGTTGACAGTTAGAATATTTTTTGAAGTGATGAATATAAATATAATCATTGTAGATTGAGTGTTGGATCTGGATATTTTTCTTAATTTTTATAATTCACAAAAAAACTAAAATAACATGGTTTATGTGAATGGAAATTACCACTATTTATCATATCTTACTCCCATCTACTATAGTATTTCCAGAGCCCTTAACAGTGCCTGGTGTTGATAGGCTTCAATTATAATTTTTGAATAAATTAATAGATTTTAGTGATTGTGAGACTGACCTAGGTACTTCCATCATTGTCTCCTACACTTTGATAACTTGCTTCTGAGAGACAGGTGGCTTTGCTTTCCTTGCTCCTTCCTCAATAAATTCCTCTGCTCCCTGCAATGAAGGCTTTCCTGCCAAGCCTGAGTTGTTCATCATTCTGATGGTTTGTCAGGAAAGCTGACAGCCTTCAGGCATTGTTAAACAAGGATTCTGAAACTTGAAACACAATGTGATAGATGTCTTGCTTACTTAGCACTGGTGGCCTTTCCTGTGAAGACTCAGAGATGATTAAAATGCTTATGATCACAGAAGCTGAAAGCAGGAGAAACGATGCTTGTTACAGTTATTTTGGACTTCCTTTTTGTAAACTTCTTGAGAGACAGATTTTTGTCTCTTTTCCTTGTCATGTACTTTAGGGAAAACAGTGTGATCTATCACACTGAAATTTTTGCCCTGAAGAAATCACAAAAATGCACTTACTATCTCAAAAGCTTTGTGATAACAGCAAGGATCGGCGTGTACTTTGAAACAGCATTTGGTTGACCTATTTCATTTCCAACATTAAAAAAAAAAAACATAGAGCCAAAAACATATTTTCCTTTTAGTATTTCTTAATTTATAAATAATTAAGCCAATACTGTAAATTTATTAAAATAGATTTTCAATAGTAACAGATGCCCTGGGGCTCCCGTTAGGCTTTATATTGCATTGGGCTTTCTTATAAAGACAGATTTTTTTTTTTTAATTCCATAAAACAAAAAGTACCCTTAAGGCTTAACCAAATTGGAAAAAAAAAACACTATTCTGAGAATGTAAATTACTTCACCTCTTAAACTTAAGCTAATTTGAATCTCACGATCAATGCATGAGTTATAGTGCAATATAGTGCTGGCCTTGGAGCCAGCAATCACACAGTCCCTCAAGGAAATACAAGCAAATTGTTAAATAAAGAAAACAATAAGATGGGAAGAAAATTGCTTAAATGGTTTATGAATATGCTGATTGTTGGCAAAGACTGTCTGATCTCACTGTTTATACATTGCATTATTCAGCTCAGGCTGCCTTTATATAATATCATAGACTGGGTGGCTTAACAACAGGAATTATTTCTCATGGTTCTGGAGGCTAGGAATTACTGATCAAGGTGCTGGGTGATTTGGTTCCCCGAGGAGGGCTCTCTTTCCGCCTTGAGGGTGACTGCCTTCTTACTGTGTCCTCACATGGTAGGGAGAGTTCTGGTCTCTCTTCTTCTTATAGGGACAGTAATCCCATCACAGGGTCCCCACCCTCATGACTTAATCTAAACCTAATTATGTCCTGAAGTTCCTACCTCCCAATACTATCACACAGTGGGTTGTCTTCAAAATATGAATTTTTGGGGGACATAAACATTTAGTCCATACATTCCATCCCTAGCCTCCACCCCCAAATTTAGGCCCTTGTATGCAAAATAGATTTATTCCATCCCAACAGCTTCAAACGTCATCTTAACTCAATACAACATTAAATCTAAACATCCAGAGTCTCTTCTAAATCAGATGTGGGTCAGGCTCGAGGTACAATTCATTCTAAGAAAAATTCTCTAGCCATAAACCTGTGAAATCAGGTAAGTTATGTGCGCCCAAAATACAATGATGTGGTAGGCATAGGATAGAAATTCCCATGCCCAAAGGGAGAAATAGACAAGAAAGAAGGAGTGATGAGGTCCAAACAATTCAAATTCCATTTCTTCCTAAGGTTTAAAGATAATCTCTTTTGGTTTTATGCTCTGCACTTCAGGTCCACTGGGGTAGTTGTTCTACCTCTTCTACTCTGCTGGCCAAGGATCGTGGTGCCGTCTCCAAAGCTCTGGGAGACTGCTGTCTGTCTTGTTGAAAGTGAGGCGATGCCCCACCTGCCCTCCTTCTCCCCCTGAATCTGAGGAGGCCACCCTAATGACTTCTGAATCACTTTCAAGGTCATTCTTCTTTGTCTTGAAGAATAGTGCATGTTCACAACCAAATAGGTCTACGGTGCAGTCCTATAAGATCTAAGAAGGCTGACAGCCTTTCTTCATTTCATCTTGTCCCTGTCCCCTTCAATCCAAACTGGCAGTGTTTCTGCTTGTTTAATCCAATAATCTCCTTATCAAGTCTAGCCATGCCACTGATGTTCTCTTCTGAACATGCTTTCTCATATTTTGCAACATGGACTCTTCCCAATCTTTCTGGTATTCTGTATCTTAACAGTTCCTTTTAAAATACATTTAAATATTCAATTTCATTGCTCACAAGTTCTACCTTCCATGAAACACTAGAACACAAACACAATTCATCCAAGTTCTTTGCCACTTTGTAACAAGGATCATGCTTCCTCTAGTTTCCAATAACATGTTGCTGCTCATTTATGTCTGAGACCTTACCAGAATGGTTTCTAGCATCTGTCTAAATCCATTTCTGCTGCTACAACAAAATGCCTTACCCTGGATAATTTATAAACTACAGCAATTCGTTTCTCACCGTTTTGGAGAGTGGGAAGTCCAAGATCAAGGTACTGGCAGATTTGGTGTCTGGCGAGGCTGCTATCTCTCCTCCCAAGACGGTGCCCTGTTCCGATGCCTTCACATGGTAGAAGACATGCTGTGTCTTCCCATGGTGGAAGGCAGAAGAGCAAAGGGCAGTAGGGCACTTCCTTCAATCTCCTTTATCAGAGCACTATTCTATTTATGACTTCTTGTTTTGTTTTTAAAATAAATTTTACTGTGCATATTTAAGGTATACAACATGATGTTATGGGATACATACAGATTGTAAAATGGTTTTATAGTGGAGCCAATTAACATATTCATATTCTCACATAGTTATCCATTTTTTTCCTTTTCTGTGGCAAGAGCAGCTAGAATCTACTAATTTGGCAGGAATCCCAAATACAGTACAATTTGATTACCTCTAGAAATCATGTTGTACATTAGTCTTCTAGTTTTGTTCATCCTACACGTCTGCTACTTTGTGTCCTCTGACCTACATCTCCCCATTTGCTCTTCCCTCAACTCCAGTAATCACAGTTTAATGCTCTATCTCTGTATTCACATATGACTTTTTTTTTTTTTTGAGACAGGATCTCACTCTGTTGCCTAGGCTAGAGTGCAATGGTGTGATTATGGCTCACTGCAGCCTTGACCTCCTGGGCTCAATCAACTCTCCCACCCCAGTCTCTTGAGCACCTTGGATTACAGGCCCACCCCCTGCATGCCCAACTAATTTTTGTATTTTTTTTTTTGTAGAGATGAGGTTTTGCCATGTTGCCAAGGCTGGTCTCAAACTCCTGGGCTCAAGTGATCTGCCTGCCTCTGCCTTCCAAAGTACTGAGATTACAGGAGTGAGTCACCACATCCAGTCCTCTTTTTCCTTTTTCTTTTAGATTCCACATGTAAGTGAGGAGATAATGCATATTTTTCTTTCTGTGTCTGGCTTATTTCACTTAGCATACTGACCTTCAGTTTCATCCATGTTGTGGTAAATGACACAATCTCCTGCTTTTAAATTTTTTTGTTTTGAGAGAGAGTCTCGTTTTGTTGCTCAGGCTGGAGTGCAGTAGTGTGACCACGGCTCACTGCAGCTTCAACCTCCTGCACCCAAGCAATCTTTCCACTTCAACCTCCTGAGTAGCTTGGACCACAGACATGCCACCACACCTGACTAATTTTTAAATTTTTAGTAGAGATGAGGTCTTGCTATATTGCCATGGCTGGTCTTGAACTCCTGGGCTCAAGAGATCCTTCTGCCTCAGCTGCCCAAAGTGCTGGTATTACAGACATAAGCCACTTTGCCTGGATCTTTCTTTCTTTCTTTTTGTTTGTTTGTTTGTTCTTGAGACAGGGTCTCACTCTTTCGCCCAGGCTGTAGCGCAGTAGTGTAATCACAGCTCACTGCAGCCTCAGTCTTCCTGGCTTAGGTGATCCTCCCACCTCAGCCTTCTGAGTAGCTGGGATTGCAGTCACAGGCCACCATGCCCCACAAATTTTTTAAACTTTTTGTAGAGATGGAATTTTGCCATGCTGCCCAGGCTGATCTTGAACTACTGAGCTCAAGCAATCCACCTGCCTTGGTCTCCCAAAGTGCTGGGATTATAGGCTTGAGCCACCACGCCCAGCCTATCTCTTTCTTTCTTAAGGCTGAATAATACTCTACTATATAGAATATTATTATACCTGTTGGCAATTTTTATGTCTCTTTTGGAGAAGTGTCTATTCAGGTCTTTTGCCCATATTAAAATTAGGTTATTTGTTTTTCTACTGTTGAGTTGTGTGAGTTCCTTGTACATTTTGAATATTAACTCTGTACCACATACATGGTTTGCAAATACATTTTTCCCAGTCAACAGGCTGACATTGTATTTTGTTGATTGTTTACCGTGCATAAACTTTTTAGTTTGATGTAGTCCTATTTATTTATTTTTGCTTTTGTAGCCTGAGCTTTTGGTGTGATATTTGAAAATTAATCACCAAGGCCAATATTCAGATTTTTCTCTATATTTTCTTCTAGGCATTTAGTAGCTTCAGATCTTACATTTAGGTCTTCTATCCTTTTTTTTTTTTTTTTTTTTTGAGACCAAGTCTCGCTCTGTTGCCCAGGCTGGAGTGCAGTGGCGCAGTCTTGGTTCACTGCAAGTTCTGTCTCCCGGGTGCACGCCATTCTCCTGCCTCAGCCTCCCGAGTAGCTGGGACTGCAGGTGCACCACCATGCCCGGCTAATTTTTTGTATTTTTAGTAGAGACAGGGTTTCACCATGTTAGCCAGGATGGTCTCAATCTCCTGACCTCGTGATCCACCCTCCCAAAGTGTTGGTATTACAGGCATGAGTCACCGCGGCTGGCCACTTTTATCCACTTTGAATTGATTTTTGTGTACGGTGTAAGATGACAGTCCAATTTTATTCCTTTGCATTTGGAAATCCAGTTTTCCCAGCATTTTTTATTGAAGGGATTGTCCTTTCCCCATTGTGTTCTTTTGGTACCCTTGTCAAAAATTAGTTGACTATATGTTTGGATTCATTTCTTGAGGCTCTCTATACACTTTCTCTGTTCTATGGGACTGCTTTTATGTCAGTATCATACTGTTTTGATCACAATAGTTTTGTAATATGATCTTAAATCAGGAAGTATAATGTCCACAATTTTGTTTTTTCTTTTTCAGAATTGTTTTGACTATTCAGGGTATTTTGTGTTTCCATATGAATTATAGGATTGTTTTTCTGTTTCTGTGAAGAATGCCATTGGGATTTTGATAGGGATTGTGTTGAATATGTATTTTGTTCTGGGTAGTATGGACATGTTAACAATATTAATTCTTTCAATCCATGAGCATGAAATATCTTCCAATTTACTTGTGCCATCTTCTGTTTCTTTCATCAATGTTTTATAGTTTTCAGCATATAAACATCTCACTTCCTTGGTTAAACTTATTCCTAAGTATTTTTTAATGCTATCATAAATGAAATTATTTTCTTGATTTCTTTTTCAGCTAGGTTGTAAGAAATGTTGTTAATCTTTGTATATTGATATTATATCTTGTGACTTTGCTAAATTCATTTATTCATTTAATTTTGGATATTAACTTCTTATCAGATATATGATTTGCCAATACATTTTCCCCAGTCCACAGGGACTGTACCTTCTGTTCTAACAGATTTTTTTTTTTTTCTTTGGTGAATTCTTCTGGGTGTTTTACGTATAGGTTCATGTTATCTGCAAAGACCCCCACCTATTAATATCATCAACTTGCAGCTTAAGTTCCAACATATGAATTTTGGAAGGACATATACATTTAAGCCATAGTAACATCCAAATTTTACCAACATTCTGTTAATGCATGTTAACATGCATAATTCAGCCAATTTCAGGATGAGATTCTGCACTGGGTTTTCAGCAATCTCAGCTCTGCAGCTGCAGAGGTTAAGGGTATTTTTCAGGACACAAAAGAAGCTTTCAGGTCATTTATGTGGCTCTTGAGCTAGCAATTTGAATTTCTAAGATGCATCATTCTCTTTCGCCACTTTGTCCAGCAACATTAGGAGTAAACAGCCAACTCATTATATTAATAAGATATGCAAAAATGTTCAGAAGTATTACATACACAGTTACCCAGCTCCTTGTTTTTTATAAGTGGTCGATTAGGAGTATTCAATAGAGGTATTTAGTGTATCTCTATTGACAGATCACATCGTAGACTATCAGTGTTCTCCTTAGTACTGAAAATAGAGTCATTACTGTCTATACATCTAATCAGTATATTCATTTTCTAGGTGGTAGAAATTTGATCTCCACTGTCAGTACATCTGAGTAATATTCTGTTATTAAATGAATGGATTATTATTTATATCATTGCAATGTCTTCACCAAGTTGTCACTTTATTAAAATTAGGATTCTTGGTGGTAGCCAAAGGCTTGCTTTTGACACAGGTTGGTTGCTAGGATTTTGTAGGCATACACACAGTAGTAGTTCAGTAATTAGTTATGGAGCACTAACTGGCTGAATTGTATCCCTCCCAGTTTTATATATTTACATCCTTACCCCAGTACCTCAGAATATGACTGTATTTGGAGATAGAATCTTTAAATAGATAATTACAGGTCATATTGGGTGGGCCCTAATCCAATATGACTGTTGTTCCTATAAGAAAAAGAAACGTGAACATAAACACACACAAAGAGATCATGGGAAGATACATGAAGAAGATGGCCATCTGCAAGCCAAGGAGAGAAACCCCAGATGAAACTAACCTGCCAACACCTTGATCTCAGAAAGCTAGCCTCCAGATTGTGAAGAAATAAATTTCTGTTGTTTAAGTCGCCTAGTTTGTGGTACTTTGTTATGGCAGCCTCAGCAAACTAATACACTAACACTGAACACTAGGAAATCATCCTGGGGAATCAAAATCATTGAACCTTGGAGTTGGACTGCCTGGTTCAGCATATCTTTTCTTTTTGTAGAGATGAGATCTTGCTATGTTGTTCAGGCTGGACTGCAGTGACTATTTACAAGCAAGATCATAGTGCACCACGGCCTTGATCTCCTGGACTCAAGTGACCCTCCCACCTCAACCTCCTGGGTAGCTGGGACTATAGATGCACACCAGCCTGGTACAATATCTTTGACATATAAAATATTCAGGCTCCTTTCTTCCAGGGATGGAACAATTTTGGTATTTCACAGAAGTCTCAGGCAAGGATATTCGATTTGTCCCTCAAACTCTGTAGACAATGTCCCCTCTGTGGGTATGTGGCTCTCCTGTATTTATTATCATCTGCTATTTCTCTTTTCTTTTTTCTCCTTCTCGGAGACATTCCCTCTACTTTCAAAAGTGAAGGCACAAAATCACTTCTCAAGTTGGGCCACTTAAAGCTGCTCCCAGCTGGAGAGCAATAACAGTATTTCTACCAACTGTGCTTAGCCACTCAATCCATATGTGAACATTCTAAGTACAGTGCACTATGGCAAGTTATATTATGGCTCATTCAATTCAACCATAGTGTTTTGTGTGCTTACTGTGTGCCAGGCACAGTGCAATGAAAGTGGGATGCAAAGAGGAATGAGATGCTATACCTGCCCTTACAGAGGTCAATTACTCAAATACCTCAAGGTACTCTGGTGATAGTAAGTGGGAAATGATACAACTGTTCCTGTGATTATTTATCAGGAGACTTAGTGAAATCACCTGGTGATGGATATTGAGAGATGGCTTTCCTCTGCCAACAGATGTACAAGTGTATACCTATATACACTTGCTTGTGTGTCCCTTGGAGCCCCAATGTGTCTTCCTTTTAAAAGTACACCAGAATAAGAGACAAGCTCAGAGAAAGGTAAACGCATAAATCTGCTCATGGAACCAGAATTTCTTACACATTTTCCTGGACCACTCTGGGTTTTATAATTTAAGAAGTTCTTTACAATGTTCTAGGTACTTAGCATGGCACAAAAGGGCACATTCTTTGCTCCCAATGCACTGCATACTACAATGTAGAGAAAACGGGAAACCTCTCAAACAAAGAGCCAGGAAGAGGCAGGAGCTGTGCTGGAGGAGCAGAGAAGTGGGAGGCAAGGCAACTGAGAGCCGGTACATTGTGCACCGTCTGGGGACATGCAGGAGGGGGAAGCAAGCCTGCAATTTTTTTTTTTTTTTGACTTTGGAAAAGGAATCAGGAGCTATTTCTTGGTTTGTGAGCTTTGCTATGGTTTCAGTTTGCCCTCAGAAGGTTGACAGTGTGGGTGGATGGCATTGTTTGGTTGTAAAGTGGGGCAGCAGTTGGTGAGTGGTTAATTTAAGAGTCACGCTCTGACAGAACAACCCATGTGTCCTTTCCCATATGCGTGGGGGAAAAGAGCCAGCACTGCATTCACTGTTGGAATTGACTCTGTGTAGCTGGGATTAGCAGCTCTGTTTTGCAGAACACAAAGATTTAGAGAGTTAAAGTAAATGCACCAAGGTAAAGCTGGGGACAGAGGTGCAATTTTAATTTAGTTTAGGCTGTGCATCTTCCACTGAAGAATTGTTTTGCTTTTATTTATTATTATTCTTTAATGCTAAAGAGAAGAGATTCAATGGTGTTCAGCTGAGGGGAGAAAGAGAGCATATTTGTGGCCCCCCCTGCACGGTCTGTGACTGGGTCCAAATTTCCCTGGGTCAGCTCCTTCCTGGAGCCACTCCTTTCTGCTGTGGCAACAAGGTCAGCAGGGTGACCCTTGTCCACTCACACCTGGGGCACAAGACTCCATGTTGGAGAACCTTCAAGATGGCGGCGAGTCACCTTGGTGACTGATAGGATGTAGGGCCCTTCTTGGAGGCTCTCCTCAGGCTAGGATAGGCTGTGCAAAGAAAATCCTGATTGGTCTAAAATGACTGTTATTTTGGGAACTATGCAGAGAGGTATATGACAATTACTGACTCAGACATTTTCAAAGTGGTGGGATTCTCTCTTCATGGTTTTGTTTGTTTGTTTGTTTTTAGACATAGGGTCTGGTTCTATTGTCTAGGCTGGAAGTACAGTGGTGTGATCATAGCTCACTTCCCCTCGAACTTCGGAGCTCAAGCGATACTACTGCCTTAGCCTCCCAAGTAGCTAGGACTACAGGAGCACACCACCATGCCCTACTAATTAAAAAAAAAAGTGTAGAGGTGGGGTCTTGCTGTGCTCCACAGGCTGGTCTCAAACTCTTGGGCTCAAGCAATCCTCCTACCTTGGCCTCCCAAAGTTCTGGAATTACAGGCATGAGCCACTGCATGCAGCCAGGATCCTCTTTTCAAGTTAATGGATGTGCTTTTCCCCCAGAGTCCCCATTACTATGTGCCCCCTTCCCACTGCTGCCTAATTTGAGAAACAGCTGGGGCATCCAATACCACCACTGCACAGAAAGATGAGGCCAGAGCCAGAGGGAAATGATGTTTTTCCCCTTAACTTTCATGTTTTCAAAGAAGAGGCTCTTAGAATGATATACAAAATAAAGAGGGCAACAGTCTTGTGCATCGTGGGCAACACAGTAGATTTGAGAGAACACAAATAATATGGGAACCAGGGTTTCCTCTTCTTCTTTCCACTAGGGGGAAAAAACCCCACAAAAACCAAACAAGCAAACTTCCTGGACAGAGAAGTGGAAAAGGAGAGAACTTCGTAAGGTCTGTAGGGAAAGCATGAGGCCCTAGTGAACCCTACGTATAGGAGTGCCATCAAAACTCAAAATCACCAGCCTCCCCCTCGAGCCAACATCGTCAATCACCAGCATCCATGTAGGAGCTAAGAAGCATCTGATAGCCACCTGTGTAGTGGAACAATGTGATCACACTTCCCATTGGCTTCTGGTGAGGACCGCATTTTGATAACGGTCACAACTTCACAGCTCATTTTGATATCTGTTCAGCAGGAATGTCACATGTTTGGACTCTGAGCCTTTTTAGTCCTCATTTGACTTAACCCAAGTGTAGAGTCTCTGCTTCCATTTTCCCCAGATGGAGAGTGGAGTCTGGGTCTAGACACCTAGAGAGGGCCATGGGGAAGGAAATAAGAGTCTCTGTCTTAGATTTGGATGGGCTGAGAGGGACCAACTGCAAAGGACATTAGGCTTTTCTCTCATCCCCTGTATCATCTTCCTCACATGAAGAAATTTCCACGGGTGCTTTCTAAGGAGCCACATTCCTCCAGGCACAAGAGTAGACAGACATCACGTTGCTGAGACATTGGCTCACCTGTTCCTGTTGCCCTCAGAGGGCCAGCAGAAATCTGTTGCTAAAGCTGGCTTTTGGCACTAGTGCTTCAACATTTTATGTGCTTAAAATTCCATCTGTGCATGTTCAGACATGACCAGAGTGCTTGTCATTTCTAGTTCAGCTCAGCCCTCCCAGGGCTTGGGCTTGGAAGAAGAAAGGTTTCCTCCCTCTCCCTCGTATACCTACTCTGCTTAGCAAGTAACTCCATCTGCCCCAGACTTGCAGCCTGGGACTTGTTGACAAACTTGGGCAGTTTCATTATTCCCACCCAGTACTTACTTGGAATAAGCCAGGAGCTGCTGGAGGAGCCCTGCTGGCTGCTGGATGAAGATGGAAGCCCTTTAGGGAATGGTGAGCTGGACCGGGTTATTGGTCACACAACCCAGGAAAGGAGTCACCGCTGGAGACTCCCTGGGAAGCCAGGACAAAATATCAGCTTCACTCATGTGAGCTGAGATCCTAAAATTCAAAGCACTGGATAACAAATGGAGGGGATGTATAGTGGGCTGGAGATGCACCACCCACATCCCCATTCACAGAGGACCTGCTGCCCGTGCTACTGGAGGTGATGTCGGCGGACAGTTCTCAGCTCTTGGTTCCTTCTGGGTGGCCTCAGCTACAGACAGCTGCCTTGCCCAAGAGCACACTCTTCCCTGTGTAGGGCAGCAAAATATTCCACACCCAATTATGCCATTTTGGCATAAGGATTATATTGAGCTGAAGACAGTGGAGAGGAAGCAGATACAAGAAAAGCTCTCTTCCCTTCTCCTATTTGGCTAAAAGCAGAATATAAATTTGTAAAGGTGTTTTCCTCTCCCTTTTACCGGGAAAGACAGAAATTAACCACCGAGACAAAACCTGTGTCAGTCCAGAGACGGCACCATGAGGGCTATCCAGAATTCAAGGATGGGAGCAGAGCTTGTTCTGGGCTTTGATTTAGGGAGAGAGGAGGCAAGGAGAAGGCATTCCGGGCAGGAGCCTGGCACAGATGGGGCAAGTGGTTAGTGAGGTGCTGATGAGGTTAGCAAGGGATGAAAAGCAGGTAGGGTTAAACCAAAGCTGGGCGAGGGGCCTCTTCGCGACCCTTCCCCACCCTGTGGCTGCTTTCTGTAACCACTGGCACTGTGTGCTCCAAATACTCTCATTCCTGCTCCTTTTCTGGTACCTTCTCGGAGTCTCAGCTGCTGCCATTCCCCTGTGCTCGGGCCTTCACCTCCTGGCCTTTTTCTGTGTGCTCACTGCTGGGGGAGCCCAGACATCGTGGAGGAGTCCCAGCCCAGTCCCTCATCGGCAAGCCTGCCTTCCTCACATCCCAGAGGGCATTTCCAGCTGCACAGATGCACTCCAGCTTGCACCACCGGCACCCTGAGGTCAAACTCCTCCTTCCCTCGAAAAAGAACTTGGCAGACTCCCACAATCTCATTATTTTTTCAGGCTCTTGAGCTGGAAGCCTTGGGTCATCTTCGCCTGCCTGCCTTCCCTCCATTCCTTCCTTCCTTCCTTCCATTTCTTTTCCTTCCTTCCTTCCTTCCTTCCTTCCTTCCTTCCTTCCTTCCTTTCTTTCTTTCTTTCTTTCTTTCTTTCTTTCTTTCTTTCTTTCTTTCTTTCTTTCTTTCTTTCTTTCTTTCTTTTTCCTTTCTTTTTCTCTTTCTCCAGTGCCTCCTCCAAACCATCACAAAAATCATACAGCTTCTTTCTTAGATATTTTTTCTTTTTCTTTTGTACCTCATACACCAGCCCTAGGGTACCTGCCTCAAATTCAGCCTGTTCCCTCATTCTTGTGCCCCAAGAAATTCATCAGGGAGGACAATCTAGAAATCTATCTCTCTCTATATATATTTAAGTACCTTTCTTTTTTAAAAAATTTTTATTTCTTATTTTCTTTAACTTTTAAGTTCCAGTGTACATGTGCAGGATGTGCAGGTCTGTTACATAGGTAAACGTGTGCTATGGTGGTTGGCTGCACAGGTCAACCCATCACCTAGGTATTAAGCCCAGCAGCCAATAACCATTCTTCCTGATGTTCTCCCTCCCTGACCACAGGTCCTAATTTGTATTGTTCCCCACAATGTGTCCATGTGTTCTCATCATTTAGCTCCCACTTACAAGTGAGAACATGTGGTGTTTGGTTTTCTGTTCCTGTGTTAGTTTGCTGAGAATAACGACTTCCAGCTCTATGTCCCTGCAAAGGACATGATCTTGTTCCCTTTTATGGCTGCATAGTATTCCATGGTGTATATGTACCACATTTCCTTTATCCAGTCTATCATTGATGGACATTCACGTTGATTCCATGTCTTTGCTATTGTGAATAGTGTTGCAATGAACATATGCGTGCATGCATCTTTATAATAGAATGGAAATATATTTTTCAATAACCTTCTAGGTGATTAATTTGCCCTGCGCTGAAGTCAGGATAGATTAGATTATGCTCCTGTAACAAATTCATCCTGAAATCTCAGTGGCTTAACATAATCAAGATTTATCTGTTTCTTATGCAAATTCCAATATGAGTAGGGCTGCCTCCTTCTTGTAGCTACACCACCTGGAATGGTTGGTGCCCAAGATGTTAAGACTGGGAAGCAGGAGCTGAAGGGATGTTTCTAAGGATCAGGACTGGAATTGGCTAGAACTCAGTTACATGATCTGAACCAAGCTGCAAGGGAGGCTGGGAGGTGCCCAGGGACTTCTCAGGAGGAGGAAACAGTCTGCAGACATCTGCTGTCTCTAGGATATATCTGGGTTTCTCTCTCTTCATGAGTATGGCTGTTCTCTGGTGTCCTGCAATGGCCTCCCTCACTCACATCAACTTATTGAGTCCTTGGTTCTTAGAGTTAAAAGAGCCAGGCACAGCATTCTCTTCAAGCAACACAGGGCAGAGAAGCAAACACCTCACGCTTGTTTGTCAGAAAGGTCTCCCGGAATCTCTGCTTTAGCTGCTTAGTTTGTTCTGAAATCCTCGGGATTTTCCCCCCAAGTTCTCTGGAATTTCTGGCTGATGAAAACACAACTTTCTGGGGGTTCTCTGAAGGAAGATCATCCTGTTGTGACTTCGGCTTTGGAAGATAAATTGAGTCAAAGCAAAGAAGAGCTTAGGGATGTGGACCAAATGTTGCTAGGGCAGGAAGTCCTTTAGATAGGCACAAACAACCACTTCTGAACAGTTTTGTCCATCTTGCCTGTTAAAGAAAAACAGTCTGTAAATATCCAGTCTAGTTATTCATGCTCTTTGGAAGACAGCACAGTGGGGCAGTGAAGAGTGGGGCTTTCTGTAATAGATTGCCTGGGCTTGAATCATAGGTCACTTCTTTCTAGTGGCATGTCCTTGGACAAGTTGCTTCACCTGATGAAGTCTCAGTTTTCTCATCTGTAAAAAAGAAGGAGCAATCATTCCTATCTCCTTAAGTGAGGTGGATATTGAATAAAATGATCACTGTTTGACTTAATGTAAGGCAATAGAAAGGAAGTTCTCACTAATGTTGTTATAAATCCTTGTTTACTCTTAAACTTGAACAACTTATCTCTTATTTTTGACAGCTTGAAAATGTTGATTTCAACCACACATTTAGGGCATTTACCTTAAAAAATGTACTCTGCACATTCATTCTTATAGACATTCTGTGACGAAAGAATACTGTCATCCTAGGGAAGGAGCAAGTCTGCTCAGGGTTGGCTGGGAGAATGGAGCTCCACAACAACTGTGGGAGAAAAGCATTTATTGCCCTTGCTACACATCAGTGATCCACGTTTTCCAAATTGCAAACATTTTATAACCATGCCTGAGGCCGGGATGAAGACTGCCTCTCAGATTGACCTCATCTGTAGTGCTTTCTGCTTTTGCTAGAGCCGGGGTGCATGGCCTAGGCCTGGTGCTGCCTCTGCTTTTGAGAATTAAATGGGAAGTATTGGGGGTGAGGGGGTGGGAGGTGTATACTCTAGGGATCCAAGTTATTGTTGCCACGCCCACTTGCTTTTTTCCTTTCTCTTTTTGATACCCCAGGTGATGGGAACAGCAAGGCAAGGTGAAATTAACAAAATGAAGGACTGCTTGTGCCTGGTCTACAAAGTGACATTGCTTAGCAGCAGGGTCTCTCTGTCTTTGCGGTGCATGGTGGATTTTTGTTTCTTCAGGCTTTGCTTTTTTTTTTTTTTTGAGATGGAATCTTGCTCTGTCACTAGGCTGGCAGGCAGTGGCACAATCTCGGCTCACTGCAACCTCTGCCTCCTGGGTTCAAGCGATTCTCCTGCCTCAGCCTCCCGAGGAGCTTGGACTACAGGCTTGAGCCACCATGCCCGGCTAATTTTTGTATTTTTAGTGGAGGTTTCACCATGTTGGCCAGGGTAGTCTCGCTCTCTTGGCCTCCTGATCTGGCTGCCTTGGCCTTCCAAAGTGCTGGGATTACAGGCGTGAGCCACTGAGCCCAGCCAGATCAGGGTCTGCTTTTTCATAAAGGCAATGCGGGTAGTGGGTGGAGGTGTGAGGGTCCTATATGGGCCATAAAGAAAGAGAACTGGGAGTCTGGGTGCAGTAATGGGGAAGATCTTACAGTGAGTAGATTTTGCTCTAAAATAAAGGAAACACTGGCTAAATTCTTTTCCTTGCAAGAGTTAGAATAGAACATGGTATGCAGGAACTGCTTCTGTTTTCTTGTAAAATAGTGCCAGCAAACTATTCAGGTCATTTGCTCGACAGTTTTTCTCTTAAAAAATTTAAAATGTTGGGGCCGGGCATGGTGGCTCATGCCTGTAATCCCAGCACTTTGGGAGACCCAGGTGGGTGGATCACAAGGTCAGCAGTTTGAGACCAGCCTGACCAACATGGTGAAACCTGGTCTCTACTAAAAATACAAAAAAATTAGCTGGGCGTGGTGGCGGGTGCCTGTAATCCCAGTGACTTTGGAGGCTGAGGCAGGAGACTTGCTTGAAACCGGAAGGCGGAGGTTGCAGTGAGTGGAGATTGCGCCACTGCTCTCTAGCCTGGGCAAAACTCCGTCTCAAAAAAAAAAAAAAAAAAACAACTTAAAATGTTGTTATTGTTAGTCAAAAAATTTCTTTTTTCTCTTAAATTTTGTTTATTTCTAGGGCTGCCATAACAAAGTGCAATATTCTAAGATTTTGTTTGTTAATTAACTTTCCAGTTCACAACTCACATTTCTTAACATTTCAAATGTAAAGTTAGCCTAGAACAGTTGTACATTCAGTACTATCAGAATTTACAAGCTTAATTCAACGACATCTAGTTTCAAATAGCTGCAGTACGTATTTTCTCTTTTCAATTATGCATTCACTCTCTATTCTGATTATTTCAAGTTATGCAAATCAAGCTAGAGAAGAGATTTAATTTAATCAACTGTGGGTTTGCCTACACGGATTTGAATATTAGCTGTCGTCTATATGTAAATGACAAGAGTGAAGAGAACCTGTTGCTAAGCACTGTGACCAATTCCTGATGCAGTCCTTGAAGGTTAACCTTGTCAGACTGTTAGGGAAACAAGAGCATAGGAGAGTCAGAGTCACGTCATTTGAAGTTCAGCTCCATCTTGACACTAATAAGGCACATTCCTTGCTGGTCACAACCCACAGCCCTAAGATGTTTACAGTTCAGAAAACAGCTTGATGATACCTGCAAGGACACACTCCTATGACAATGGAATGTCCAGATGTCCCAATATCCATAACAATGCATGCTTCTAAGGTAATTACACGTATGATTTGATGTATTTACACACTATATGACTAGGAGAGTTTTCTTTGAGTCAGCAAAAAATAAGCAATTTTGCCATGCTGTCAGCCCACCTGCACAGAGACATAGCTTATCTTTTGCATAGAAAAGACCCCCATGTAAGAAAAACAAAACAAAGATGAAGCGTTCCTCCTCTTGCTTTCTGAGGATCCCTACTCTGTAACTGCGTATCTTTCAATCAACTCTCTCTTCTCACTGCACTCTGCGACCCGCCTTACATTGTTTCCTGCGTGAGATCCAAGAACCCTCTTGGGGTCTGGATTCAGGACTCCCTTTTCTGGCAACAAGACCTCAAAGCCAGACTCAAAAAGTCAGATTGGTTGCGGGAGATTGCTCGGTGTGCTCTGGAGGAGGACACCTCCCCCCAGGTCCGGTGACTGGGGGGATTCTAAAAACCAGATGCTTTTTTAGACATCTGCCTGTCGTTTATGGTTTATGAGATAGAAAGATTGAACAGGAATATGAGAGAGGAGTGAGAGATCGTTTCTGCCTACAAAGAATTCTCCATTCACTCAAATGAAGCTGCGTTCTTTGCATTCCAGACCGAGAAAGGAGGCTAAGGTATCCATCCCCCGAGGAAAAATAGGAGACTAGATACTTGGCGCTGTTAGCAATCTGGGAGGAGCGAGAAACCTTCAAATCACACAAAGGGTCAAGAACAGGGAAATCATCAGCCGAGTGAGTTCTCAGCAGAGGACCACATGAGAAAGGTGGCCACCCCTCTAGCCAATCATAAACAGAAGACTCACTCCTTAAAGTGCGAACATGGCTCTTTGGTGGGGAGAAGAGATAAGAGGTGGATTTTTACGGGGTTTATAAACACACCATCAGCTCATCTTGAAGACGCAAGAGAAGTTTTCAGGCACAGATGTTGTTTTGCTTTAGGAAGCTAGCGATGTGTTCTTCACAGGAAAGCTGACCAAATCCCAGAATTAATTATTCATTGTCTCCTTCCCCCCTCCCCCCCACACTAAACTGGGTCAGGGAGAGAGTTTCATATTTGTGTTGCTGTTACAGCGCCAGCTCAGAAGTAAAATGATTGGCTGAGACTTGGAGCTTAACAATTAACGTTAAATACAGGCAGCTGGCTGTGTTTTGCTTAAAAGCCACAATCAAGGAATCTGGCAATCTGGAATTTTGTGATGGCTGATGCCTGTTTGTTTTTTTTCCCCCCCCATTTGCACAATTGCGAGTCTTCTGGGAACTTTTCTTTTACTGACACTATGGTTTTGCATGTTTAAAAAATTGGCAGACATCCTCGGAGGTAACGCAAGGTGCCTCGGTGCCATACACAGCCAAGGTGTGCAGTTCCGCGGCCGCATGATTCATAGTTCTGCTCTGTTTGGTAAAAACAAACACTGAAGACGCGTTATCAGTTTATTAGTACAATGTTTAATTGTGCTCTTTTTTTTTCTGTTCTCACTCCGTTAATTGCTCATAAATGGGAAAACAAAAAGGATTGAGTCCTTTTAGCGGTCGGGCTGCTCTGGAGGTGAACTGTATTCTATTGCTTCTAGGGCCACCTTGTGGACAACAAGTGTATTTAGAAATTAGACTTACAGGATGGATTCATTGGGAAAGCGTAGTAGACTGGTAATATGACTTTGGAATTCTTGGTTATAAAATCTAAGTATAATGATAATGACTTAGTTTTTATTAGAAGAACATTCCAGAAAATGTCCTAATTTAGGAAAGGCTAGTAATTGTGGCGAGTATGGAAATCTACCCATCACCATAAAATATATAATGATAATCCAGATTTTATATTTTATAGTTTATTATCAATCATCTAAATTTCCTTACAATTCTTTCATGTGCTGGGGGTGGAGAAAAACCCAGGAGAGAGAGAGAGAGCCTGTTTCTCAACTATCTCAGTATTTCAGATTTCTTGCTGTTTTCCTCACCCCGCTAGATGGCATCTGGCTGCATGAAAGAAGTGACATAACCTTGGGGTGGTGGGAGGAGATACTGTGTCCCTGAGCACCAGTCCTTCATCTGCTAGTTGCAGATGGGCTGGGCCTTCTATGGGTCTCTGCATGGAGCTTGTTGTGTGCAGCTGGTCCCTTCTGGCTGCATGTCAGGTAGGGGTCATGAGTCCCCATGTTCCACAGACCCCATAGCTTTGTGATCTTTGGTCAGCACAGCTAATCTCAGAACCTTTGAGGACACGTTTGTGGATCTTCTGCAGACCATGCATAGGCTCTGGGGCACCAGTAACATTTTCTCAGGATGTCTACGTAGATATCTTATTCACCATTGCTAGTCCTGCCATGTTGGATGTGAGGGTATACCAAAGACCCACTTCCCAAAGACAGGCTTGGGAGTTTCCAAGTTTACCCTAAGGTCGCAGAAAGGGATAGATATCAAAGACATTGGCAACCAACCTCTTCACTCTGTTTTTCTCTCTTCCCTCCCATGTTCCATCTGGGCTAGAAGAGGAAGGTTCTTCTCCTTTCTGTATATCAGAAGTTTTCCTTTCATCACATCTTGCATTCTTTCTTTCTTTTTTTTTTTTGAGATGGAGTCTCGCTCTGTTGCCCAGGCTGGAGTGCAGTGGCACAGTCTTGGCTCACTGCAACCTCAGCCTCCTGGGTTCAAGTGATTCTTCTGCCTCACCCTCCTGAGAAGCTGAGATTACATGTGTGCGCCACCACGCCCAGCTAATTTTTATATTTTTAGTAGATACGGGGTTTCACCATATTGGCCAGGCTGGTCTTGAACTCCTGACCTCATGATCTGCCTGCCTTGGCCTCCCAAATTGCTGGGATTACAGGCATGAGCCACCATGCCCGGCACATCTTGCATTCTTTCTATCCTATGACTTACAGCAAAGCAGCAGAATCAGTATTGCCAAGCTTCACTTAGATTCTTCAGAATTGTCAAAACGATCCTATTTCTAGAGACACAAAAATACAATTTGTGTAGTCAAAGCAGAAAAATCAACTCCTTTTGTGCATTCCTGATGTAATTATTCTAAATCCTCTTAGAGGCAAATGGATGCTTCTGGCAGATTGAGTGAGTATATACTTGGAAATGCAAATAGAAAAACACACCAGTATTTCTCAATAACAAAGCTATTGGAAGATGATAGCATTAAAGATATTATCTTCATTTTATTATGTTATTTTTATTAGTCCCCAAAATGCAAATATTTCATAGTTTGGATAATAACTTGGAAAGCAAATAATGCAGCCTCTGTATTATTTCTCTCCTGCTGTTTCTTTCCTGACTTGACCAAACTAAGATTGGTTGATGTTTGGTTTTGCATTATAACCTCCTTAGAAGATAAAGGCAAGGAGACTGGGAGAAGCTGGTGCATTTTAATAGGAGCCTATTGTAAAGACATGAATTTATGCAGGACAGCCTTCTTGCCAATCCAGTACCTACACCAAAACAATATTAGCCCCTTCTAATCAAAAAGGAATTTTTATTTCTTTAGGTCAGTAGTTTTTTTCCTTTTTTTTTTTTTTTTTGCAACTTCCACCTCCAGGGTTCAAGCAATCTCCTGCCTCAACCTCCCAAGTAGCTGGGATTACAGGCATGTGCCACTATACCTGGCTAAATTTTGTATTTTAAGTAAAGATGGGGTTTCACCATGCGGGCCAGGCTGGTCTCGAACTCTTGACCTCAAGTGATCCACCCGCCTTGGCCTCCCAAAGTGCTGAGATTACAGGCGTGAGCCACCATGCCCGGCCTAGGCCAATAGTTCTTAACCCGAAGTGAATCATGTCATTTCACTTGGCAAGCATTTTCTAAGCGCATTTTAGCCTTTGATTTAGATATTCTAATTCACTTGTTCTGAGATTGGGCCTACAGAGTTCTGAGAACATTCCTTGTTAGGCATCATGGCTGAGGTTTATGGTCTATCCTCTTGTAATCCATTCTATCGGGCACCATCTATTGCTTTGTGCCATCAATTACCTCTTCTTCGGTAATGCAGTGTCTTGGCAGGGTGTGAAAGGTCACTTTCAAACTATCAGGGCCTGATGATTCATACTTTCCCCAGAGTCCTCTGCATATCCTGGACACAACCGCTTTCTATTTATTCATGGAGTGCCCTGGGAGCCCCAGCATGTCAAGGGACACTAAGATTCCCTGACACTTCCCTTGGTTTACACTAGACTGGGAAGACTATATAGGCATAGAGAGCCCCTGATGGTCTGTAGGATAAAACCATTGAATTCCTGAAAGAAAATCCACCACAAAGGAGGAATAAATAGTAATTGATTAAACATATACAGTCATGTGCCCCTTAAGGACATTTCGGTTGATGATGGACTGAATATATGATGGTGGTCCCACAAGGTTTTCATAGGCAGGCCTGCCTTATACAGGTGTACCACTTTTTAAAAATCTTTCATGCCACATTTTTTACTATACCCTTCCTATGCTTAGATATGTTTAGATACATGAATACCTTCCATCGTGTTATAGTTTCCTACAGTATTCTGCATAGTCACCTGCAGTACAGGTTTGTAGCCTAGAAGGAATAAACTGTACCATATAACCTAGGTGTGTGGTAGGCCGTGCCATCTAGGTTTGCATAAGTACATGCTATGACGTTCACACAATGATGAAATTGCCTTGCAACACACTTCTTGGAATGTATCACCATCTTTAAGCAAAGGATGACTATACTAATTGAACATCTACTATGTGCCACATGATGCGTTGGAGATACCTGACAACAAATAGACAAGCAATCGCCATTTCCACGGGGCATGAGAGGGGACAGGCAATAAAAACTAGAATGGGTAAATACCCAAGACAATGTCAGATAGCAATAGGACCTCTGAAGAGTGGTGGGTGTAGCAGGTGAAGCAGCAGGGATCTGGGTGAAGGAGGGGAGCATGGGTGTGCTTCGGTGTGGGGCTGTGCCTCCCCCAGGGCAGGGCACCCCAACATCACCTCCTCCTAGTCCTGCAGCCTCACTTGAGAGTGCTGTGACTCTTAGCGGAGGACAGGTCCTGGGGCATAAAGGAAAGATTGGAGTTCCAAGGGATCCAAATGAAAGGGCTGTGGGACCTTTCTTTGAAAGGTGGACATAAGGGTTGACAGAGGCCAAGCTGCCTGGGAGAAATAAGTGGAGGTGTGGACACAGGCCCACAGCACGTGAAGGTTAGAAGTCTGCAGGAGATTCTTTTTTTTGTGTGACAAGGTCTCGCTCTGTGACCCAGGCTGAAATCCAGTGGTGTGATCTCGGTTCACTGCACCTTGGTCTTAAACCATCCTCCCACCTCAGCCTCCAGGGTAGCTGGGACCACAGGCATGCACCACCACACCAGCTAATTTTTTGTATTTTTAGTAGAGATGTGGTCTCACCATGTTGCCCAGGCTTGTCTCGAATTCCTGAGCTCAAGCAATCCACCCTCCTCAGCCTCCAAAAGTGCTGGGATTACAGGCATGAGCCACCATGCCTGACTTCTACAGGAGAGTCTAGCAGCGTGGACTGGAGTCGAAGGCCAGGACAGTGGTGGCAGGCACCAGGGCAGAGGGCTGGTGGGCATGGAAGACCTGGAACACTGGGTCTGCAGAGCTCCCCCTGAAATCATCCCTTGGCTCCCATTCGCTCATAATCTGAGCAAGAGAGACCCTAGAAAGGGCCGGGGGGCACTCGGGTTGTCTCTGTATACAATCCTAAGGACTCACATAGATGTTCCTGGAAATAGACAGCAGTCACTGCTAATTAGCTAGCTAGTGGGTGCTCAGAGTATGGAGACTGGTGTATGAGAGGCAATGTGATGGCAAAGTCAAGTTGCCAGCCTCTGAAGCCTGGCCTGTTCTTATCTGTCATATGGTGAGAACTTTGAGGGCAAAGATTCTTCTATTTTCACCACCATGCAAAGTGTCCATGATAGTAGGAAGCAGTAACTCAAGAAATACTTACTAGTTTCTATTTGACTGTTTTGACCTTGGGCTTTATTTTTATTTATTTATTTTTCCATCCAAGGAAGCATCAAAATAAAGGTTGGTGTGTAAATCAGATTGATGTGGGTAAATCAGTAGTTAATAAAATTAAGATTTTTTTCTTCTTGATTCACTTGCAAGCATGACTTGGATAATTTGCAATTATATCTCAGGAAGAATTAAACAATTATATGATGCAAATGAGCTTAAAATGATGCCCTTTGGGATCAAATGCACACAACTGCTTTATCGCTGGAGATTTGCACAGGATTTGTATTTCAGCTGTCTAATGCTAGTAACAAACCACCCTAAAATTTAACAGCTTAAAACAACAACCATTTTATTATCTTTCCCAGTTCTACAAGTTGATTGAGCTCATTTGGAAGAAGCTTCTGCTACACATGATTTTGGCTGTGGCTGCAGTAATTTTGGGGCTTGATTGGGTTAAAATGTCCCAAAGGGCTCATTCACAGAGCTGGCCATTGCTGTGTATAGTGCTGGCCATTGCCTGGGACCTCAGCTGGGGCTTAGTTCTCTTTCATATGGCCTTCTCCATGTGTAGGTTGGGGTTTTTCACAATATAGCATCTTGAGTCTAAGAATAGGCACCCGAAAGGAAGGAAGCAGAAATTGTCAGTTCTCAGAAGGCTGAACTCACTTAAGGCTGCCTTTGAAGGCAGTCCACTTAAGGCTGGACCAATTCTGTTGGTCAAAGAAGTCATAGAGCCAGCCCAGATTCAAGAGGAGATGAAATAAAACTCCACTCACTGTGAGAGTGGCACACATGTGCACAGGGGCCCCATCTTTAGATACTACCTACCACAATATGCAAAATATACTCATCTCCTCTCCTCATATTAGCATCATGGTATTGGCTCAAACAAAGTACAGGATCATATTACTAGCTTCAAGCATGGATAGGAATCCTTGAGTGCAGCTTCTCTGGTGTGGTTTCTTGAGAGAAAATTCCTCTAAACTAGAAAGACAAGTTATCTGCCCTGTATACAACCTCTCACATAAAATGTGAAAAAGGGACAAGATAAATGCAATAAATGCTCCCATTCAAAAAGTGGGAAAACAACAGGCCAATAGCTTTAACTAGTTCATAGCAATTCTGAAATCCAGCCAGGCATGTGTTGTCATTTTTTGAATCAGGATCTCTTTCATGGTTCTCTGTGGTTCTTGACTCAGCTCTCTAGTGACCTGTTCTTTTCTATAAGAAATTATCTATGCTTGCAGCTGAGTAGGAGACAGTCTCAATCTCCTTTCTCTTTATAAGAGGTTAAGGACCCAGAGACCTCTTTTCATTTTGAACCATCTCTGTATCTTTTAGACCAAGTTAATATAATTCCTTTAAAAACCTTATAGGTTTCCTGTGCATCAAATTATAATTCCAATCCCTTAGATAAATGCGACACTCAGAATTCTCCTTGAGACAGGAGCATCTAAACCTTGGACTGAGATTAAAAATGCTATAGAACAAATCCCTTAAGATTCTTGGAAGCCCTTCTGTCTTGGAAATGAAGAAGGTTATTGAGGCACTGTCTCAAATCTTTCTAAGGTCTTACGCCTGCACTTTTGATTTGAACATTTTCTCTGACACTATATTTTACTTGCAGCAACCTGGGTTTAATACTTGCCTTAAGGACATTTCTTCCTTTGAGAATCTTTTGTTGAGTCCTGAGTTCTCAACGTGTTTTCTAAATTCTGCTCTCAATCTGAGCAGTCCTTTTTTTTGGTTCATCTCTCTTTCCATTGGCTTCATAGTTTGACAGTGTTGTTAAATGTTCTACCAATATATTGTATGAGTTGCCTTTTCTTCAGCCTCCAATAACAATTTCCTCACTCTCCTTCCAGTCTCCTTTAGTGGTTTTTTGAGACCTTTCTGGCTCCCGCCTGCCCCACCCAGTCTTAAAGCCAATGTTGTATGTTTTTGGTTTCTGTTACAGTATCTCACTTCTAGATATCACGTTCTGTTTCAGCTATCAATTACTGTGGAATAAGCCAATTTAAAATACAGTAGCTTAAAACAACAGCCATCTTACTATTCCTAATTCTATGGGTGAAATGGACTTGGGGTCAGTTTTTCTGCTCCATGCGATGTCAGCTGACTCTGCAGTCTTCTGAGGGCTCGACTGGGAAGAAAGACCCAGGAGAGCTCACTCACATGTCTGGCAGTTGGTACTGCATGTTGGCTGGGAGCTGAGCTAGGGCTGTTTACCAAAGACCTTTGTTTTCCCCCATATGGGCCTTGCAATGTAGTTATTTAGGCTTCCTCAAAATTTGATGCCTCAGTTCCAAGAATGAATGTTCCAAGAAGGAGGTAGAAAGGGTCAGCTTAACTCCTGAGTTCAAAATTCACTTCTGACATATTTTATCCATCAGAGCAAGGGGCTAGCCCAGATTCAAAGGAAAAGAAGTACACTCCACCTCTCATTAGAGGAATGGATGTACATACAGGCAGGGAGAGTTGATAGCATGGTGGTCATCTTTGGAGACGACCACAGCTGGAGGATGGTGACTGCCTCTGTTAACAAGGAGTCACATGGAACTGGGTGCTACTTTTTCTTGTGTAGAGAAGACAAATAGCTCATTTCTAGAACTTTTCAATTATTTTCATATTTTCCCTTTGATTCATCCTACTCACTGAAGGCATGTTAATATCTACCATTTGCACAATTGAAATTTACTCTGTATATACTGAGAATTCACTATAAAAATGCATTTGATATTTCCTTCAGTTGGGCAAGATTCTTGGTAAAAAGTTAAAAAAATAAGAATTGAGGCCCGAAACAAAGTCTGAATTTAGTATTGATGTGCAGTATAAACTGTTGCCAAAGCATTTTTCTTTTTTTTTTGAGATGGAGTCTCACTCTGTCACCCAGGATGGAGTGTAGTGGCACGATCTCAGCTGGCTCACTGCAAGCTCTTCCTCCCGGATTCAAGCAATTCTCCTGTCTCAGCCTCCCCAGTTGCTAGGACTAAAGGCGCACACCACCATGCCTGGCCAATTTTTGTATTTTTAGTAGAGATGGGGTTTCACCATGTTGGTCAGTCTGGTCTCGAACTCCTAACCTCAGGTGATCCACCTGCCTCAGCCTCCCAAGGTGCTGGGATTACAGGCATGAGCCACCGCGCTCGGCAGGTACTAGAATTTTATTGTTGCATTGTTATGTAATAGGAAAGGAGGAGAAGGAAGGGGAGGAGAAGCGGACTACTTAAACGATCTAAAAGTCCACCCATGAGAGAATGGATGACTACTCTGTAGTAAAACAAGCAAATAAATCATTATATAACAATAAAAATGAATTAGAGCTGCAGGTATCAACATACAAAATCTTACCAACAATGTAAGAATCTTACCAACACGTAAAGAATTAGAATTGCTAATTCTAATACTGTAGGATTAACCCTGGACATAAGATCAAAATATAAAAACATACATACATAACAATGCGACAATAAAATTCTAGTACCTGCCGGGCGCGGTGGCTCATGCCTGTAATCCCAGCACTTTGGAAGGCCGAGGTGGGCAGATCACCTGAAGTCGGGAGTTCGAGACCAGTCTGACCAACATGGAGAAACCCCGTCTCTACTAAAAATACAAAATTAGCCGGGCGTGGTGGCGCATGCCTGTAATCCCAGCTACTAGGTAGGCTGAGGCAGGAGAATCGCTTGAACCTGGGAGGCGGAGGTTGCAGTGAGCTGAGATCGCACCATTGCACTCCAGCCTGGGCAACAAGAACAAAACTCTATCTCAAAAAAGAAAAAAAAAAAACAAAAATGAACTGGGTGTGGTGGCAGGCACCTGTAATCCCAGCTCCTCGGGAGGCTGAGGCAAGGGAATCGCTTGAACCTGGCAGGCGGAGGTTGTAGTGAGCCGAGATCGCACCACTGCACTCCAGCCTGGGTGACAGAGTGAGATTCCATCTCAAAATAAATAAATAAATAAATAAAATAAAATACATTAAAATTCTAGTACCTGTCTCCTTGTGAAAATGTGTGAGATTTTTCTTTTCCAGGATCTAGCAGGAGTGGAACTACTGTGTTGTGGAGACTCAGATATCTCTTATGCACAATTCATAGCCTCTTGGCCTGACCTACTTTTCCAGTTATTATAGTGGCAACCGGCTCTGTGAGAGCTCCAAGTGACTTTCCCTTGGTGTTCCCTGATCTGCCCCACCCCCTTCTGTGATGCCTGTCTCTTGCTTTGGCCTGGGATGAGGCATGAAACACTACAGACCATGCTCAGTGTTCATGCATGCACAGCCATGAAGCATGGCGGAGGCAACGCCACACGGGGCAAACATTTGACCCTGGGACATAGGAGCCAGTGGATAAATTCTTCCGCTTTGCACCCCTGGACTAACTGTCCTGTAGTGCCATTTGCATGGCTTCTTGAAGGGTGATCTCACTAGATCCAGCCACGGGAGCACTCTCTGCAGGTGGCCCCTGCCTCATTTCCCTTCCCTCTGTATTCCTGAGTCTCACTCTCATCACTACTGAGAGACCACCTATCTCTGGGGTGAGTCCAGCAGAGTCTGCCAGGGTTCTCTTCCTGCCATTGTGAATGTCCCCACATCCAAGTGGAGTAGAAGGAATGTGGTGGACTTGTGGGGAAACTGCTTATGATCAGTTGAGCTTTTGTGGCGGAAGTTACTCACACTGTAAATTCTACACCCAGGAATTTATGGAAATCTGGTCTTTAACTTTGAGTTTGGACAGACAAGTTTGGTGCTAGTGGAGATCCTAGTTTAGGGGTTGGTTTGGAGCAGTGTGAATCTACTAGGGATTTAGCTGAATATTCAGAATCAGGAGGTTAAAACAGATGTGAATCTGATGCCTATTGCTGGCTTGGATTAGTAGGCACCAGCCTCAGGGCACATGACTCAGCCAGCCCTGATTCTGCCTCCTCTAAAGCTAACATAATTTTCTGATAGAGTGTGTTGCATTATGGTCTATAATATTATTCATGCTACGAATACTTATTGAGAACCTACTGTATGCCAGATACTATTCTAAGTGCTTTAAAAACATTAATTTAATCCTCATGACGGCTCTGAAGTAATAAGTGTTATCTCATATGAGGAAATTGAGGCACAGAGGTTTAATAACTTACCTCAGGTCCCACAGTGGTCAAACTCTATTTGAACCCAGAAAGCCTACCCCTAGCCCCACACTATTAACCATTGGACTACACTGAGTCTTTTATTAGGTCTTCTTCTTCTTCTTCTTCTTCTCCTTCTTCCTCTTCTCCTCCTCCTCCTCCTCCTTCTTCTTCTTCTTGTTCTTCTTGTTCTTGTTCTTCTTCTTCTTTCTTCTTCTTTCTTCTTCTTCCTTCTTCTTCTTTCTTCTTTTCTTTCTTCTTCTTTCTTCTTCTTTTCTTCTTCTCTTCTTCTTCTTCTTCTTCTTTTCTTCTCCTTCTCCTCCTTCTTTCTTCTTCTTTCTCCTCCTCCTCCTCCTCCCCTTCTTCTTCCTTCTTCTTTGAGTCTTTTGTTAGTCCTTCTTCCTCCTCCTCCCCCTCCTTCTTCCCCTCCTCATCCTTCTTCTTCCTCTTGTTGAGACAGGATCTTGCTCCATCACCCAGACTGGAGTGCAGTGGTGCAGTCATGGCTCACTGCAGCCTATGTCTCCCAGGCTCAAGCGATTCTCCTTTCCAGCCTCCCAGGTAGCTGGGACTATAGGCATGCACTACCATACCTGGTTAATTTTTTCTATTCTTTGTAGAGGCAGGTTGTCACTATGTTGTCCAGGCTGGTCTCTGTCTCCTGGGCTCAAATGATCCTCCTACCTCGACTTCCCAAAGTGCTGGGATTACAGGTGCCAGCTACCATACCCAGCCAGTCCTTTCTTCCTTCCTCCCTTCTTTTATATTTTAATGTCCAAATTGAGGTATAACTAACATGGTAAAAAAAAAATACCCTTTTTAGGCACATCGTTCTGTGAATTTTGGAAAACACATATGCTCATGTAACCACCCCCAAAATCAAGTCATAGACATTCTCATCATCCCAAGGGGTCATTGTGCCTTTTCCTCTACCTAGTATCTGGCAACCAATGATCCATTCTCCTTCCCTGGAGGTTTGCTTTTTGGAGACTGTCACATGAATGGAATCCTATAGGACGTAGCGTTTTGAGTGGCCTTCTTTCACTTAGCATGAGATTCATTCATGTTGTTGCACATGTTAGCAATGTGTTTGTTTATGGCCGAGGAGCATTCCATTGCATGAATGTATAATAGTTTGTTTCTGCATTTACCAGTGGATGGATAGTTGTATTATTTCAAGTTTTTGATGATTATTAATAAAGCCACTGTAAATATTTATCTGCAGGTATCTGTGTGGACATATGTGTTTTCATGATCTTGGGTGAATACCTAGGAGTGAGATTGCTGGGTCATAAGTGAATGTTTAACTTTATAAGAGAAAGCTTTCCCAAAAACCCTGTGCCATTTTGCATTTCCATCAGCAATGCACAGGTTTTCCAGTTGCTATTATTATTTTTTTTTTTTGAGACAGAATTTTGCTCTGTCACCCAGGCTGGAGTGCAGTAGCACAATCTCGGCTCACTGCAACCTCTGCCTCCTGGGTTCAAGTGATTCTCCTGCCTCAGCCTTCTAAGTAGCTAGGATTATGGGCACCCACACCACGACTGGCTAAGTTTTGTATTTTTAGTAGTGATGGGGTTTCACCATGTTGGCCAGGCTGATCTCGAACTCCTGACCTCAAGTGATCCACCCGTCTTAGCCTCCCAAAGTGCTGGGATGACAGGCGTGAGCTACCATGCCCGGCCTTAAGTTACCCATTCTAATAGAGGTGTGGTGGTCTTTTTATGCATTTCGCTAATGACTAATGAGGTAGAGCATGCTTTCATGGGTTTATTTGCTATCTCTTTATCTTCTTTGGAATGTTTTCTTGTAAATAATATTTCATTTTCACTAACCATATGCTTATGAATACATATAACTTATTCCAACTCTACAAGTGAATGTTCATATACCATTCAAGTTTTTTATTTCCAATCATTATTGAAGATGAATAATAGTGTAGTTGTTAGGCACAGGAAGAAGGTTCAAGTTGCAGCTCAGCAACTTCCTAGCTGTGTACTCTAGACAAGTTGTTTGAAGCTCTGTGACTCTTTCCTCATCTGTAAAGTGAGGATGATAAGAGCATCTACTAGAAAGAGTTTTTGTGAGGACAAAGTGAAATGCCTCATGTGAGGTTTGTAAACAGTGCCTGACACATATGTAGTAAATGTTGCATAAGTGTTAGCTATCATCGTGATCTTTATTTTCATCTTCATCAACATCATCATCATTATCATCATCATCATCATCCGTGATTGAATTCAACAAAATGTATATGTATATTTTTACATATATAAATGTATATGTTCAACTAACATACATTTAGACAATTCACTCCTTTTAATCTAGTTACTGTAAAGAGACGTCACTTAACATAGGGGCCTCCAATTTCATGTTGCTGATTTCAAGGGCCCAGACGAACCTTTAAAACATTCTTTGGATTAAACAAGCATATAAGCTACTTGCTCCTCACAAACATCTTTAGGTGAATACACATCATTTTAATTAGGTAGAAATATGTCTTTGAGTTTTGTTGGGGACAGCTCAGTATTAAATTTCTGATAGGAAATTATGATGTTGTACGATTGTAATAGGATTTGAATTTGTGGACTAAATCTTTGCGCAAATAGATTTATACACAAACAATTTAATTTAATTCCATTAAATAATTAACTAATGATGTTGGTGACTATGGTGAACAGGACCTCTAAATGGGAGGATGTGGATATGTAATTACTCATTTTGTCCACTGAGAGGAGCCATTTCCATAGCAAAGATGGAACAAAGGTGAAAGGGAGATTGTGCTCACGACCCAATATTAACCTTAGTGTATAAAGTTACTTGTGCAGATGCCTGAAATCACTACGGTCCTACAATACTCAAATAAACCATGTTTTAAAAGTCAATACAATTAGCTGCAGTGATTTAAAACAAAAATCTGTTGAGTTTGGGTGGCAGTACATCTTCCCAGGGAGAGGTAAAGGGTAAAGATCATTTTTTTTCCTCTGTATCTCCTTCAGAAATACCCAGCACCAAATAAAAGTTAGTTGCAGGTAGCAATAGCAATAGAAATGTTTGCTGAGGGTTTGCTGTGTACTAAGTGTGTTGTAAACATTGGCTTATTTAATCCTCACACTGATTCTATAATGTTGGGAATAGTTGCCATCATTCCCATTTCACAGATTGGAAATGGAGGCACAGAGTGGTAAGTCAACCACCTGAGGTCACGGAGCTGGTAAGAAACAGGCAGTCTGGCTCTAAAACCCACGCTTCACTATGCTGTCTTTCAACTGTAAAGTCTGCAAGCCTTGGCTGAATGAGTGAATGAATGAATGATGGAGAAAGTGAGAGGATGAGACAGTGCAGACAGCTCGTCCAGGCCATGAAATCAGAAGTGTTTTCCCTTGAGACTCAGAGAGAAAAGTCAAAGTGGAAAAGTGGGCCCTCTGAACAGTTGCATGAACACAGCACAAATGTCAAAAGAGAACAGATAAGGAGGAACTTGTTTTGAATATATCTTAATATTGGAAATGATGTCAACAGTCCTTGGGGATAATGATCTTGGGGATAGTAAGAGAAGGTTTTGGCCTAGATGAAGTGAATATGGGGATGAGAAATGCAGTTTCCAGCTGGGCACTGTGGCTCACGCCTGTAATCCCAGTACTTTGGGAGGCTGAGGTGGGCGGATCACAGGGTCAAGGGATTGAGACCATCCTGGCCAACATGGCGAAACCCCATCTCTACTAAAAATACAAAAATTAGCTGGGTGTGGTGGCACACACCTGTAGTCCCAGCTACTCAGGAGGCTGAGACAGGAGAATCGCTTGAACCCGGGAGGCAGAGGTTGGGGTGAGCCGAGATCGCGCCATTGCACTCCAGCCTGGCGACGAGTGAGACTCGTCTCAAAAAAAAAAAAAAAAAAAAAGAAATGCAGTTTTCGTGAAAAATATGCTGTGTGGTACAAAACTGAACTGTGTTATGGTTTTATCTTTCCATATTTTATTAACATTTCAAAACTTGCCTCATCTTTCTTGACTGTCTTTAAAAGGTTTTTTGTTCCCCTTCTGCATTCCCCTCCCTCCTTTTTTAAAAAATTTTTTGCAGCTGTTTTCAAGCACTCTGGCTTTGTCATATTTTCTTGGCTTTGGTGACACGTGAACCCCAATTTGCCTGGTGATAAAAAAGGTCTCACAAAGAAATCCAAAAAGTTAAAAAAAAAGAAAGCTAGGACAATTTTTCCCACCTTAAAATGATTCTGCCACATTATATTCAACACAGAAAATATCAAAGATGAAAAAGTAAAGTGAATTATTTATAACTCAAAAGAGAGAGAAAATTTCTCTTTTTAGAGACTCTTCTGAGAAAGAATATCTAACATTCGGGGTGAGAGGTGCTTGTGGCCCTTGGAGAATCTTATGACCCATAGCTATGTTCACATTCAGATTTTTTTATTGGCTTAAAAAAAAGTATTTAGAAAAACTAACTTATGGAGACTGCTTGCTTTGCCAAGAGAAATGAGAGAACCCTATTTTATTACCCTTGTGAGTCATCTATTTTCTTGGTTCTGCAAAAAAAATTGTTATGAAACTCATCAAATATTACTTAGGAATAAAACCAGTGTTTGTGATTCATCTATAAAACAAATTAATTCACACAATTCAGTATAATCTTGACATCACGGTGCTGCAAAACAAGGCGTTGTCATTGAAAATCTGCCTGTTTTCAGGTATCAGTTGTTTATGCAGAAGCCTTTCTGGACCCTCTCTTGAGCTTTGTTTCAGCTCAGAATAAGAAACTCAGGCCGGGCACAGTGGCTCATACCTGTAATCCCAGTGTTTTGGGAGGCTGAGGTGGGCAGATCACTTGAGGTCAGGAGTTCAAGACCAGCCTGTCCAACATGGTGAAACCCTGTCTTTACTAAAAATACTAAAATTAGCCAGGCGTGATGGCACGCACCTGTGGTTCCAGGTACTCAGGAGGCTGAGGCAGGAGAATTGCTTGAACCCAGGAGGTGGAGGTTGCAGTGAGCTGAAGTCACACCACTGCACTCCAGCCTGGGTGACAGAGCAAGACTCTGTATCCAAAAAAAGAAAAAGAAAAAGAAAAAGAAAAAGTAAAAGACAGTCAGTCTGTCAGTCATTGGGTTGTGGTCAACTGCCTGAACTGCGTGGCCACCGAGCTGAAGGCTGGAAGGAAAGTGGCCTGTCTTGTGACTTATCTTTGATTTAGCAAGGTAGGGGCACCAGTGGCCAATGGGAACCCAGGAGAGTGGGGGCCAGAGCTCAGGAAGATCCCAGAGAAGAGGAGGCAGGTATCAGTTGCAGAGCGCCAAGAATCGTAACCAGAGAACCACATCCGTCAGCAAGTTCCAAAGGCATTGGGTGGGCCTGAGGAGGGTGAGAAAAGTCATCCAGAGCAGGCTCTGTGATCTGTGGAGCCACAGACACAAAACGGGCCACTGCTTGTAGGTTGTGTCCTTGCCACATGTTCTATGACTAGGTCAGGCGGGTTTAAGTATATGGTTGGCTGGAAACCACTAAGGCAAGAAAAAAAAAGAGGACATATCTATGTTATTAAAAAAAAAAGCATTTGACTACTTTAAAAAGAAAGTCTGCCTGGAAAATGGCATTGTCAGAAAAACTGAAGACACTCTCTTAAGAGATTAACCCTTGGTCTATGGAGTAGGAGGAAGGGGCTGGGCAGAGAAGAGGTTTTGGGTTGCAAAGTTTCCTCCATGTTTGCCTGCTCACCTGAGCTCTCATGGTCCCTAGAGATTTTCCCTTCACTTTCTTTCTCTGCCATCTCCACCCTTACTATGTTGAGAGGCAGCGGGTGGTGACTCAGAACCAGGGTATCCCAAGGCCCAAGCCTGGGTAGGGTAGCTGGGAGGGAAGGTTGGGGGAACCCATGTGTGTGGTAGGGACTATGCTTCTTTCATACTCTTACACTTTCAGTACATGTTGATTTCAACAGGCTAGGGTGGGCAAGTCTGGGAATCTATACATATATAAGTAATTCATGTATGTTTTGTCTATATAAGATACATATATAGATACATCATATATCTAGACTTATATAGATATACATCATATATCTGTAGCTCAAAGTATTAGTTTGTTTTCATGCTTCTAATAAAGACATACCTGAGACTAGGCAATTTACAAAAGAAAGAGGTTTAATGGACTTATTGTTTCACATGGCTGGGGAGGCCTCATGATCATGGTGGAAGGTGAAAGGCAAGGAGGAGCAAGTCACATCTTACGTGGATGGTGGCAGACAAAGAGAAGGAGCTTGTTTAAGGAAACTCCCGTTTTTAAAACCATCAGATCTCGTGAGACTTATTCACTATCAGAAGAACAACACAGGAAAGACGTGTCCCCATGATTCAATTACCTCCCACCAGGTCTCTCCCACAATACCTGTGAATTTAAGATGAGATTTGGGTGGGGACACAGACAAACCATATCACTTGATATACCATTTTTTGGTAGAAAATGTCCCCAAATATATTTCCTTTGGGAACCCACTACTTGGACATATTGGAGGAAGCCTGATATTGATCCATATTCTTTTCTGAGGACAAAGAGCCTAGCATTTTTTTGCATCTTTTTTTACTTCACCTGTGAAACAAGTTCACATTTTTCACATCTTAATGGAGCTTCCTTTTCCAAGAAAAGTGATTAACATGGATATCTTTAAAATCATAACAACTTGGGTTCCCCTCCTATCACACTGGGAACTTGAGGAAGATGTGTGATGTGTTTACAGCAGGGGTCCCCAGCCCCCAGTCCATGGACTGTTAGGAACTGGGCCAGGCAGTGGGAGGCACATGGTGGGCAAGCAAGTGAAGCTTCATCTGTATGTACAGTCACTCCCCATCACTCATATTACCACTTGAGCTTTACCTCCTGTCAGATCAGCAGTGGCATTAGATTCTTATGGGATCATGAACCCTATTGTGAACTGCACACGTGAGGGATCTAGGTTGCATGCTCCTTATAAGAATCTAATGCCTGATGATCTGTCACTGTCTCCCATCACCCCCAGATGGGACCATCTAGTTGCAGGAAAACAAGCTCAGGGCTCCCACTGGTTCTACATTATGGTGAGTTGTATAATTATTTCATTATATATTACAATATATAATAATAGACATAAAGTGCACAATACATGCAATGTGCTTGAATCATCCCCAAACCATCCCTCCACCCTTGTCCATGGAAAAATTGTCTTCCACAAAACCAGTTCCTGGTGCCAAAAAGGTTGGGGACCTCCAAGTTACAGGATACAACTGTTTTTATTATCATAGCAGACACTTACTACTGTTTTTCATCCTGCTTTATATATTTTTATTAATTTAATCCTCACGACAGTGCTATAGGGTGGATACTCCCCACTTTATAGATGAAGACACTGAGCTACTAAACGCCAGGCTGGCTCTGGGGTCAACTCTCTTAACCACTCTACCAGCCTGTCTCTCAAAATGAAAAGCAATTCATTTGTTTTATTCCCCTTTGTTTTTATACTAGAAAAATGAAATGCAATATCTCCTTCCAAACCTTCTGGAAAATTTGGATATTAAATCTTCTCAACTCAAGGAAAGGGAAACTAGTTTCACTTTGGGGAAGATTTTTGGGTCTAATGGGCTATCAACTCCAGTGTGAGAGTACTGGAAGAAAAATGAGTGTGAGGTGCAAATGCCTTTGGAAGTAAGAAAGGATCTTCAAGACAAAATGAGGTCAGTGAATGGGGGAAGCCAAGGAGGGAAACTGCAGAGGGGATGCATAGGACCTGGGACTTATCCAAAAGAAGTTGCTTGAGGAATAAGAGAGTTCTTATTCTGGGAAGATAATATGGTTTTGATCTGTGTCCCCACCAAATCTCATGTTGAATTGTAATCCCCATTGTTGAAGGTGGGGCCTGGTGGGAGCTGTTTGGGTCATGGGGGCAGATCCCTCATGGTTTGGTATTATCCATCCTCGAGATAGTGAGTAAGTTCTCTCAAATCTCGTTGTTTAAAAAAGTGTGACACCTCTTCCCTCCTGCTCTTGCTCCAGCTTTCACCATGTGAAGTGCCTGCTCCCATTTCACCTTCCGCCATGACTAAAACTCCCTGAGGCCTCCCCAGAAGCTGAGCAGATGCCGGCATCATGCCTGTATAGCCTACAGTACTATGAGCCAATTAAACCTCTTTTCTTTATAAATTACCCAGGTTTAGGTATTTCTTTCTAGCAATGTAAGAACAGCCTAACACAGAAGACTTGGGTGGGTGTTTGGATGTAGCCAAAGACAGGTATGAATGACAAAGTAGCTTGTCACTTCTGTGACTCTCAATGAGCCATGCCTCCTGGCATTCACACCCTTGTGCTGTCTCTTCCTCTTGATCTGATCCAGGTCTGTTAGAATGCTGGTAGAGGGGACCCAGTGCCAGGTGTGGACTTCAGCTTTAAGAAGGTTTGGCCATTTCTGATTGTGTATCTTGGAAGGATCGAACTTTGTGGAGAGAGAGAAGCCCATAGATTGCGTGGAGACTGAAGAACCCAGCCAACTGTGAGAATTGAGGCTACAGACTTCTGACTCCCATAAAGTGTCTCTGTCAGCCTTCAGCTACTTGAGCCGATCTAATTGAGGGACCAGATGTATGAGTGAAGAAGTCATCTTGGACATTCTAGCCTCGGCAGACATTGCATGGGACACAGACAAGCCACCCTCTGTGTGCTGTCTGAAATCCTGGTCGCAGAATCATGAGCAATGATAAAATGGTTGTTGGGAGAGACCAGCCACTAAGTTTTGGGTAGTTTGTTTCACAGCAATTGATAGCTAAACAAACAAACAAACAAACAAAATTCAGAAAAACCATGCATCATTTGCATGCCCAGGAGCTTCAGAGAAAGGGAGGCTTCATCTGCGCAGACCTAGCCCCTTCTCTTGATTCCAGCTCGGTGGATCTTAGTGAGATCTTCATTAGCATCCTTCATCTTACCTGTTGGTCACCTAGCTGTAGTGATGCCATAGACATTGCCTACATTCTCCCTGGTCACCCCATATAGACAACCCTCTCCTGCTCTTCTTGGGATATTCATAAGTGCAAACAAGTGGAGGGGGTGAAGACTTGTACGTCTGGTGGGAAAGTGTGGTAGTTCATTTTATGTTTTAACTTGGCTGGGCCACTGTACTTGGATATTTGGTCAAACATTATTCTGGATGTTTCTGTGAAGGTGTTTTTTGGATGACATTAATGCTTAAATTGGTGGATTTTGGGTAAAGCAGATTTCCCTTTATAATGTGGGTGGGTCTCATCTAGTCAATTGAAGACCTTAACAGAGCAAAGACTGACCACCCCCATTCCATCTTGTTGAGCAATAACGGATTCTGCCAGCAGACTGCCTTCAGACTCAAACTGCAACTTCCCTGCATCTCTAGCCTAGCGGCCACCACCATCAAATTTTTAACTCACCAAGCCTCCATAGTTGTGCAAGCCTATTTCTTAAAATGAATCTTTCTCTTTCTCTGTATGCATATCCTGTTGGTTCTGCCTCTCTGGAGAACGCTGACCAATAAGGATGGTGAGACTCCTTGCATATATTCTTTGTGTTGGTCAATAGAATATGCTCGAGACTGTCTAAGCTGGCACAGTAGTGAACGACTCTCTGTTACATGTATTAGAACAATTATTGGATTGAGAATTTGGAGCTCTGGGTCAGCCTCTGGCTCTGTTCCTCTCAATCTTAGGAAAACCAATCAACCTTCCTGGGCCTCAGTTTCATTAAGGCTATAGCTCTCAAAACTTTGTGTAATTTAAATATGGTTATTAGGATGAAATAACAATGGGGCCATTGTTACTGCAATAATGAGTGCTTAATCATGGCCCAGGTGGGGACCATATAATAAGCTTTTTAAAAATTTTTAATAAAGAGTTTTAAAAAGTGGGTATATTTTGCACTTTCTACTTTCTGCAGCTTAAGTTGTATGAGCTGAGTAGAAGTAGATTCTGGGGGTTACCATACTTAACCAATTACCCAAGGACATTAACTGGCACACCTGTTCACATTTACCCTTTTATGGCTTGAACTCAGAGCCAATAAAATTACAGTTTACCCAGTTCATTTTCATAATGCATCGATTGCTTTTAATAATACATTTTCTTCCAAGTGTCTGAGTGGACTGGGGATAATGGTCACTTCAGTGTCAGAGTCCACAACTTAAAGGAAAAGCCAATCCGATTCTCTTTTACTTAAGAGGCCTGACCCCTAGGAGATGGTGGCCTTTGTGCCTGGCCTGTTTGCTTTCTGGTTTTAGTGCAGGTTTGCTAGAGTGCTTACTGCTCTGTGTAAGCACGGTAGCCCCTCGGCCCTAGCAGAGCATTGAGGAGAAATGTGGTGGTTCTGTGCACTCCCAGAGCAGTGTCTCAGGTCATTAAGTGGTCACTGAGGAGGGCTGGCTTGGGTCACTTTTACGATATAAAGTAGCTGTGACCTGGAGCCTGTGAATACAGGAGTTTTCCAAAGTGACGTGGACACAGACTTTGCAGTTAACACTTCCTAAGTACTTTCTGACTCCCAGGAAGATCCCTTTGGTCTTGCTTGCTGGGATCCAGTCTCTGGACAAACACCGATGGTGGATTGATTGCTGCTGTAACATGTGGAGTTCAAGAACCACAGAGATTTAAGACTAGCAAGGCTGTGACCTTAGAAATCCTGGGTTTAGTGGTTTTCAAACTTATTTTGAACTGTGGAGCCTTTTGTTCAGAAGAAATGTGGGGCAGAGGCACAATATGGAAGGCAGGCAGAAGTCTGCACATCAGGTTGAAGTTGCCAAGGGTAGGGGGGTAAAGACCACTACCTCCTGGGGCTCCTCCTCAACCCTCACAAAGACCCCAAGGATGGAGCCTCTGAGGACCAGTGGTGTGGTCCAGCTTCTTCCTTCCACATATGAAGAAATTGAGGGTCTTCCCCCAAGCACTCAGTGAGGGAGTGGAGCAGACTGGGGTATTTCTTCCAGAGGCTTCTCCCTGAGGAGTCTCTCTACTGCCATCACTCTGCATTTACCCACAGCTTGCAAGAGTTGCAGCATTTTGGTTTATCTGTCCTGTTGTAAACCGTGGTAATGTCTTCTCATGATCTTCTGGAAACAGTTCTGAGGTCACATCTTCTTTTTGGAGGTGCTCTGGTAGAGGGACTGAGCCCCAGCCTAGGATTTGGCTGCTCCATGTCCTGGTCCTGCCCCGCTTACTGTGGAGCTTCACGTTGATGGGGAAGTTGCTTTCTTTCAATGGGCCATAGTCTCTTAATCTGGAAAATGAAGATCACAACATCTGGGATAAGAGTTGTATTAGCTTCTTGTTGCTGCTCTAACAAATTAACATGTACTGGATGGGTTGGAGCAACATAACTTGATTCTCTCATGGTTCCAGAGGCCAGATGTCTGAATGCAGTTAGTTTCACCGGCCAAAATCAAGGTGTTGGCAGACCCCCCAACTCCACCCTCTGCCCCTGGAAGTCCTAGAGAAGAATCCACCCCTGCCTTTCCCAGCTCCTGGAAGCTGCCAGCATTCCTTGGCTTGTGGCTTCATCCCTTTTCTCTCTGCCTCCATGGTCGCATTGCCTCCTCTTCTCCCTCTCCCTCCCTCTTATAAGAATACTTGTACTCGTGATTGCATTTAGGGCCCAACTGCTAATCCAGGATAATCTCCCCATCTCAAGATCCTTAACTTAATCGCATCTGCAAAGTCTTTGCAGTATAAGGTAATATTTTTAGGTCCAGTAGATTAAGACCTGATCTCTTTGGGGGCCATTATTCAGCCCACCACACCAGTCAACCTCAGGGCCCATTTTTAGCACTCAGGGGATGTGATCTATGCAAAAACGCTTTCTTTATGGCAAAGTTCTAGGAAATGCATTTTTATCAAAATAATGATAATATTTATTTCACTAGCAGAATATACATGAAAATAGCATAACAGAGAGACATGTTAATAACAATAGAAAGACAAATTGAGATTTTATGAGCGGTAGATTGGAGACACACATTCGTTCTCCAGCATTTATTGAGTTCCTACTGTGTGCCAGGGGTCTTGTAGCATCTTGAGCTCCTTTAGTAAATAATGCAGCCAAAGACCCCTGGCTTCATGGAACTTACATTCTAGCAATGGGACAGAGAATAAACAATAGACTTACTATTACATAAGTGAATAAATGTAGAGTCCCTTAGGAAGTTGGATAATGAATGCTTGGAAAAAAGCAAGAAGACAGTGAGTGCTAGTGGTCAGGGTGGGGTGGGCCAGGGGCCTCACTGAATGGAGATGTCTGAGCTGACCTGCAGGAGTGAGGGGTGCATGCCCACAGGCGCCTGGAGGAGGGTCATCCAGGTTGAGCATGGTTGTGAGAGACTGCAGTGGACATTTGTGAAAACTGTTAATGGGAATAAAACAGTCAATGCTCAATTTAAAATTTTTTTTTTTTAACACAGTTTCTCTGTTTGCCTGCTTCAGGGATCATGAACTCAAAGCCTCTAGAGGTCAGACACATCAGCAAGGCATGCCTGGGGGAGGCAATTGGAAGCACTAGAGATGGCTGAGAGGGCCTTACTCCACAAAGCCCGGGCTGTTCATCTCTGCAAGATGTAGATCCAGTGGCTGGGTTTCAGAAGGTGGAAGTCCAAAATTTTCATGTGAAATTTCCCAATTTTGAGATGTCAATAGCAATTCATATATTAAAATGGTGCACCTTGGCTGGATGTGGTGGCTCACGTCTGTAGTCCCAGCATTTTGGGAGGTCAAGGCGGGTGGATCACCTGAGGTCAGGAGTTCGAGACCAGCATAGCCAACACTGAAACCCCGTCTTTACTGAAAATACAAAAATTAGCTGGGCATGGTGGCATGCGCCTGTAATCCCAGCTACTTGGGAAGCTAAGGCAGAATAATTGCTTGAATCTGGGAGGCAGAGGCTGCAGTGAGCTGAGATTGCACCACTGCACTCCAGTCTGGGCAAGACAGAGAGAGAGACTGTCTCAATCAGTCCATCCATCAATCAATAAATCAGATGGTGCACCAAACTAAATATATTTGAGGGCCAGATTCAGCTCACAAGCTATCATTTTTCAACTTCCAGTTTATGAGATACATTCACCAAAATTCAGCATGCCTGCCTTATCTATGGTGGGTAACGATTTCCCCTAAGTTCAGCCTGAGGAACACAGAGTGGAGGAGACTGAGGTCTGCACCTCATCCTTGAGGTGATGTAGGGTGCACTCTGCAATGGGGGTCCCTGTTATCCTTCCACGAAGCTCTCTGATGTCGGCCCACCCTGGCCATCTTCCACTCTCATCCTTTCATGCTTGGGCTCAGCACTCAGCCTGGTCTTTGGCTGGTCCTTCTCATTTTGTTTTGTGTGCTTCACTTTATTTCATTTCTCACATTGTGAGAATCAGAAGGAAAGGAACGTTTCAGAATTCATTTGAGAGGCTTTTCCTTTTTTGAATTTCAATAGTTTTTGGGGTACAGGTGGTTTTTGGTTACATGGATAAGTTCTTTTTTTCTCTCTTCTTAAGACAGGGTCTCGCTGTGTTGCCCAGGCTGGAGTGCAGTGGCGCCATTTTGGCTCACTGCAACCTCCGCTTCCCAGGCTCAGGTGACCCTCCCACCTCAGCCGCCTGAGTAACTGAGATGGGATGACAGGCACATGCCACCACAGCTGGCTAATTTTTGTATTTATTGTAGAGATATGGCTTGGCCATGTTGCCCAGCAGGCCTTGAACTCCTGGGATCAAGCAATCTGCCTGCCTCAGCTCCCAAAGTGCTGGGATTACAGGCATGAGCCACCGTATCCAGCAGATACGTTCTTTAGTGGTGAATTCTGACATTTTAGTGCACTCGTCACCTGAGCAGTGTACACCGTACCCAATCTGTAGTATTTTATCCCTCACCCCACTTCCAACCTCCCTCTCCCCCTGAATCCCCAAAGTCCATTATATAATTCTTATTAGGTCTTTGCGTCTTCATAGCTTAGCCTCGGCTTAAAAGTGAGAACATACGGGATTGGTTTTTCATTCCTGAGTTACTTCACTTAGAACAATAGCCTTCAGTTCCATCCAAGTTGCTGCAAAAGACATTATTTCGTTCCTTTTTATGGCTGAGTAGTATTCCATGGTGTACATATACCACATTTTCTTTATTCACTTGTTGGTCCGCGGGCACTTAGATTGCTTCCATATCTTTGCAATTGCAAATTGTGCTGCTACAAACATGCATGTGCATGTGTCTTTTTCATATACTGATTGCTTTTGCATTGGGTAGATACCCAGTAGTGGGGTTGCTGGATCAAATGATAGTTCTACATTTAGTTCTTTAAAGAATCTCCATACAGTTTTCCATAGTGGTTGTACTAATTTGCATTCCCACCAGCAGTGTAAAAGTGGTCTCTTTTCACCACATCCATTCCCACATCTATCGTTTTTTGACTTTTTAATTTAATTATGGCCATTCTTGCAGGAGTAAGGTGGTATTGCATTGTGGATTTCATTTGCGTTTGCCTAATGATTAGCGATGTTGAGCATTTTTTTTCATATGTTTGTTGGCTGTTTGTATATCTTTTTTGAGAATTGTCTATTGATATCCTTTGCCCGCTTTTTGATGTAATTATTATTTTTATTTTTTTCTTGCTGATTTCTTCGAGTTTCTTGTAGATTCTGGATACTAGTGCTTTGTCAGATGCATAGTTTGCAAATATTTTCTCCCACTTTGTAAGTTGTCTGTTTACTCTGCTGATTATTTCTTTTGCTGTACAGAAGCTTTTTAGTTTAATTAGGTCTCTTTTTTTGTTGTTGCTGTTGTTGCGTTTGCTTCTGGGGTCTTAGTCATAAATTCTTTTCCTAAACCAATTCCAGAAGAGTTTTTCTGATGTTATCTTCAGCATTTTTATGGTTTCAGGTCTTTACATGTAAGTCTTTGATCCCTTTTGAATAGATTTTTGTATAAGGTGAGAGATGGGGATCCAGTTTTATTCTTTTACATGTGGCTTTCCCGGTGTGTCCTTTGCCCACTTTATGTTTTTGTGTGCTTTGTCAAAGATCAGTTGGCTATAAGTATTTGGCTTTATTTCTGGGTTCTCTCTTTTGTTCCATTGGGTCTACATGCCTATTTTTAATATAAGTACCATGTTGTTTTGGTAAGTGTAGCCTTGTGGCATAATTTGAATTCAGGTAATGTGATGCCTTTGGATTTCTTCTTTTTGCTTAGTATTGCTTTGGCTATGAGGGCTCTTTTTCCTTTCCATATGAATTTTGGGATTTTTTTCTAATTCTGTGAAGAATGATGATGCTATCTGGATGGGAATTGCATTGAATTTTTAGGTTGCTTTGGGCAGTATAGTCATTTTCACAATGTTGTTTCTTCCCATCCATGAACATGGAATATGTTTCCATTTGTGTCATTTATGATTTCTTTCAGTAATGTTTTGTAGTTTTTCTTGTAGAGGTCTTTCATCTTGGTTAAGTATATTGCTAGTGGTTTTGTTTTGTTTTTTTTTTCAGCTGTTGTAAAAGGAATTGAGTTCTTTATTTTTCTTTTTTCTTTTCTTTTTTTTTGAGATGGAGTCTCACTCTGTCACCCAGGCTGGAGTGCAGTGGTGCAATCTTGGCTCTCTGCAAGCTCCGCCTCCTGGGTTCACACCATTCTCCTGCCTCAGCCTCCCGAGTAGCTGGGACTACAGGTGCCCACTACCATGCCTGGCTAATTTTTTGTATTTTTAGTAGAGACGGGGTTTCACTGTGTTAGCCAGGATGGTCTCGATCTCCTGACCTCGTGATCCGCCTGCCTTGGCCTCCCAAAGTGCTGGGATTACAGGCGTTAGCCACCATGCCTGGCCTAAGGAATTGAGTTCTTGATTTGATTCTCACCTTGGTCGTTGTTGGTGTATAGCAGTGCTACTGATTTGTGTACATTGGTTTTGTATCCTGAGACTTTACTGAATTTGTTTATTAGATCTGGGAACTTTTTGGATGAGTCTTTATGGTTTTCTAGGCATACGATCACATCATTGGCAGTGACAGTTTGACTTTCTTCATTCTAATTTGGATGCCTTTTATTTATTGCTCTTGTCTGATTGCTCTGGCTAGGACTCGGAAGGCTTTTCATATTGCTTGATAGAGCAAGCATATATGAAAATACTACTTAAATTGCAAAGCACTCTATAAACGTTGGTTGTGGTTTTCACTGTGGTTGCCAGTAGATGTCTTGCTATTATTGTCAGCATAAATGGTAGATTGAACTTAGAGACCAGTTGTAATCTTTTTTTTTTTTTTTTGGTACCTTAAGGTGATTCAGGACTCACCCTGCAATGTGGGTTTGTGTAGAAATGGCAAGCTATCACCTCCTTTTTGAATAATTGCCCTGTTCTTCTAGTTGTTTTTGTTGAGCAAGGTGGCAGATACTACTATCCTTCTTCAATGTCTGGGTTCCTTCCGCTTGCAGACAGGAAGATTGTAACTCCCTACCCACTTGAAGTTAGTCATGGCCATGACTTGTTTTGAACAATAAAATATGAGTGGAAATGTCATGTGTCATTTTCTCAATGAGGCCTTTAATTGATAGTGTGCAAGTCACCATTCTCTTTTCCCTGCTTCAGCAAGGGTAGAAATGATTCGTGATATGGAGCCACAATGCTGAGCCATCACATGGGGGCCAGATATCCTGGAGACTGGCCCTGATTGTTCCTGCCACCAAGATTTGGGGGTTATTTGTTGCCATAGAGTAATGCAGTAATGCAGCCATCTTGACTGATACCTTTTTTTTTTCTTTTCCTTTTTTTTTTTTTTTTTTTGAGATGGAGTCTTACTCTGTTGCCCAGGCTGCAGTGCAGTGGCACAATCTCGGCTCACTGCAATCTCTGCCTCCCGGGTTCAAGCAATTCTTGTGCCTCAGCCTCCTGAGTAGCTGGGATTACAGGCGCGTACCACCAAGTCCAGCTAATTTTTATATTTTCTGTAGAGAGAGGGTTTCCCCTTGTTGGCCAGGCTGGTCTCAAACTGCTGACCTCAAGCAATCCACCCGTCTTGACCTCCCAAAGTGCTAGGATTACACATGTGAGCCACTGCATCCAGCCTGACACAAATTATGTATATGCAACTATATGTGTGTGTTAGGCCATTATTTAACAAAAAGTCACTACATGCTATAGAAAGAGCACAGACTTTGGAAGTAGACTTGGGATTCTGTCCTGGCCCCACTGCTTGTTAGCTGAGCATCCTCCAAGACTCAATTTCCTTTTTGTGAGATGGAGAAACAATGACTAGGACCAACTGTGCAAGTTAGGCATTATACAGCACCTTCAGGTTTGAAGCGTGTATGTCTCACTAAGGTGAGACAAGCAGGTGCCTGGGGCACAGAAGGTAGTAAGGTGCTTGCAGAAGGTAGTAAGGTGCTTGCTGTTCAGGCTTATGCAGGAGTTGCCATGCTGTTACAGATGACTGTCAGTGGTAGTCCCTGGAGAAAGATGAGAAGATGAAGCAGTCATGGCTCTGACCATTCAGAAGCTTATGGTCTCCTGTAGGGAGAGGGACTGATGTTTCTCTAGGTAAGCCCCAGAAGGTATGACAGATGTTCGAATGGCAGGAGGCACCAGGAGTGGTGGGAGGACCAGGAACAGATGGATGGCTGAGTGTGAAAATCGTGGGTATTCACCAGATGCAGGAGAAAAGGTGGGACTTTTCAATCAGAAGGAAAAACAGAAATAAAGCCACCAAGGGATGATGCAGCCTGGGTTATTTGAGGACAGGGACAGGTAGAAACTTGGGAAAGCTGAAAGCAAGGTTTGAAGTAAGGATTGGCATGGGGTGGGCATGGTGGGGATAGGAGTGGGTGGGTGAGATTTGAGGGGAGTGATGGGGGCTAGAGATTTAGGAGGAAGTCAGACTGATATGACAGAAATATTTTTTATTATTTTAAAATATGCATAGTCTCATGACTTTTGCAAAAGCTGCTTTAAGATTACCATCAGTCTTTGTTTCAGTTACTATCGCTGTGTAACACATCACACTGAAGTTTATGAGCTTAAAATAACCATTTTGTGATGCTCGTGGTTTCTGTGGGTCAGGAATTCAGCAAGGGAACCACGGAGACAGTTTATCTTTGCCTTACAAGGCCTGTTCATGAGCATATCTGGCGCCTGTCTGGGAGGACTCGAACATGACTGCAAGCTGGAGTGCATACAAGTGGCCTTTCCATGTGGCTTAAGCTGCCTTGTGGCATGGTCGGCAGACTTCTTATGTGGTGGCTCCAACCACAGGTGTTCTAGCAATCAAGGTGATTCTATCATGACCTAGCCTTGGAAGTTGTGCAGCATCATTTTGCTTCATTCTTTTGGTTACTTGTAAGTTACAAGCCTATCCAGATTCAAGAAGAGGAAACAAAGACCCCACCTCTCAATGGGAGCAGCATCCAAGTCACATTTTAGAAGGGAGGCAAATGGGAGACATTTTGCAGCCAACTTTGGAAAATACAATCTGCCGTAGCACTCACTTAATCGTTTTATGCAAATTATGCATTCTGCTAATCTCACTGAGTCTGATATCACAAGTGTATTTTCATGTGTCTAAATAGTGACCTGGCCGGGCGCAGTGGCTCACGCCTGTAATTCCAGCACTTTGGGAGGCCGAGGCGGGTGGATCACGAGGTCAAGAGATCGAGACCATCCTGGCCAATATGGTGAAACTCCATCTCTACTAAAAATATAAAAATTAGCTGGGTGTGGTGGCACATGCCTGTAATCCTAGCTACTGGGGAGGCTGAGGCAAGAGAATCACTTGAACCTGGGAAGCGGAGGTTGCAGTGAGCCGAGATCGGGCCACCGCACTCCAGCCTGGCAACAGAGTGAGACTCCGTCTCAAAAAAGAAAAAAATAAAAATAATAAATAAATAAATAAATAAATAGTGACCTACAGCGTCGACATTTTGGAGTGCTGACAGACATTATGGAGTGCTGACAGGCACTGTCTTCAGCTGCTTCTCCATTGTGAGTTCCACTGTGTGTGCCAGAGGGAGATGAGGGTTTGCCGGTGGTACTCAGTCCATCCAAGACCCAGGCAAAGGTTTCCTGCCAGAAGCTGTTCATCAGAGCACCCACTTCCTTCTGGAGCTTCAGGCTGCTCCACTCTGAATGGAGGGAGTAAACCAGTTGATATCCCAGCAATTCTTGATTTTCATTTACAAAGGATTGACCAGTGTTTTTTTCCCCCTTCAATCAGAGTAAGAAGTCATACTTTAATGAAAATTTCACTGCTAGCCCTGAATCGCCAACTTTTTAAGAAATTAATGCAGCTCTTGCCTTTCAGTTTGTGTTAGCTGTGGTGCTATGAAAGCAAAGCAAAGCAAAGCAAACCAAACCAAACAAAATAAAACCATTAGGGGCCAGGGGTCAGGCTGGGTTATCGGGGGTGTTTGGTGATGTCTTTTCAGTTGAGATCCACAGTTGTCAGCAAACTCCCAATCCACTTTGGACTGTTGTCAGTGAAGAAGCCGGAGGCAATATTTACCCCCAACCAGGCTGAATTACAAATTATTGGCTCAGCTAGACTAAACTAGGACTCATGGAAAAATCTCGCCAGTGCCTTTTAATAGCTGAGTCAGTTTAGAGGTTTGGATGCAAGATGATCAGTATTCTAGACATCGTACTTAGGAAAATTCCAAATTCAAATTCATTCGAATAACTTGCAACATAAATAACTGGATTTGCTCTTGATCTGTCCGTTCTTTCCAAGCACTATACCAATTATTTTGGCAGAAAAAAGAGCGAGAGAGAACATTTTATCAGTTCATTTTGCCCACTTTCACCTGACTAAATGCACTATGAAATGAACTGGAGAAGAGGCAATCCTTTGGCTTATTTAATCAGTGTAGAGGCTTAAGGTGTCAAGCAAAAGAATCCACACATGGCATGGAACTCTATACCAAGATTAGTCGCCATCCTAGATAGAGAGGCAAATGGCCACTGCACTTTACAGTCACAGATATTTCTGCTGTCATGTGATACAGGCATTTCAAAAAACTCTGAGTGATACAAAACTGAACACTAACGAAAACAGGGCTTATGTTTACCTCTACACCCTTGTAACTAGACAACAACAACAACAGATAAACAATCATAATGACATGTTAACACATTAAAAAAAAAACACACATTAGGCCAGGCGCGGTGGCTCACGCCTGTAATCCCAGTACTTTGGGAGGCCGAGGTGGGTGGATCGCCTGACGTCAGGAGTTTGAGACCAGCCTGGCCAACATGGTGAAACCCCGTCTCTACTTAAAAAAATTACAAAAAATTAGCTGGGCATGGCGTTGCGCACCTGTAGTCCCACCTACTTGGGAGGCTGAGGCAGGAGAATCGCTTGAACCCAGTAGGTGGAGGTTGCAGTGAGCCACAGCTGTGCCACTGCGCTCCAGCCTGGGCAACAGAGTGAGACTTCTTCTCAAAAATAAAGAAAAAAACAAAAGACACATTAGTTTCTAAAAAAATAAATACTGCTGTAAGACTTGCCCTTTAAAACAATGATGAAAGTAGCTTGATCAATGCGAGTGTAAGGAGGGGAGAGCCTGCTGACTTCTGGAGACTGGGGTGTAGCCTGCAGAGTTTGGGGAGAACTGAGCAAAGCACTGTTGTCATACAGAGCCTGTGGCCAAACTGAGTGGAGAGGAAGAACATGGGGGTGCATGTGCATCTTGTACAGTCTCATTTTCCTTTGTGGCTTGCAGCATTCAGCCCTATGAGTGTATCATACTTGGTTTTCATTTGTGTTCGACTTTAACACTGAGGACGAATCATGTTATTAATGCATGTAAGTCCTGGGTTGTATTTCCAATTATTCCATTATTTGTTAATTACATATGAAAGAGTTGATATACATTGTGCCAGAACTGGCTGGATTGTGTGTATGTTCAGGCATGACCTGGTTACAATTAAGGCCAAGGGAATTTGCAAGGAGTACTGGCAGGCTGAATATCTACAAGAGTGCCCCTGTAGTCTTTATTCCACTTTCTTTACATAATTTTCTCTCCTCTTACCCAGAAGAGAAACTCATAGATATCTTTTTGTATTGACTTGTATTTAGTATTATTTTATTTAAAAACTTCTCTCTTTTTAAAAAAGCATTAAATTCATATGTACAAGTTTAGATAGCTTAAACAAGGCTAATGAAAAATTTCAGGGGAAACAAATCCAGGCTCAGATAAACAGAGGATGTTTGGTTTCCTAGTTTCTCTTATTTTAGCCACTATTGGCAGGGGGAAATTATTATCCTGAAGACATATAGATAATGTAGGAAAAACAAAATTTTCAGCTTTTTTTAAAAAGCTATTTTAAGGCCTGGTAAAATTCCAAACGCGTTTGCTGTTTTTGGTTTAGTTTTTGCTGAACACTTTGTCTCTTAACTTCAGAATCTCGGTTCAAGGGAGGTTTAACCTGCACAACATGCTTCTGATTATTTGTATATAACTCAGCAAAATGGTGTTTGGTCAGAATTATTTTTTCATCTCTTTAATTTTCAATGAACCTCATGTTTTTTTCCCCCCATTTCCTTTCTTTGGCTTTAATTTAATAAATGTCTTTTTCATGAACAATAAAATGTTTGCATTTGGAGAGGCTCAAATTTTGTTGGAACATCAATATTCCCAAAGTGGGACATGATGCATTTCCCATAAGGAATGTTGGGTTGTTTAGAAGCTGGAGGTGTGGTTTGGAAATCTCTGGCTAGTTCTCTTATTTCTTGACTTGCCTTTTTGTTGGTGGTTCTTAAAGCTAATATGGCTGCTTTGGTATTATGAGTAACGGTAAGACGCGTGAACAAGAACAAAAGGCAATCCACCATTACTGTTGGTCTCCACTCCCTTTCATAAAAACATAAACTCAGTCTCTAGTGGCTACTTTAAAAAAGAGTACCCCTCAAGGAACAAGTTTCAAGAATCTGAAGTATTTTTCATGGACTAAGAAAGTCACGAGAGTATTTATGATCTGTCAACTCTGAGATAGTGTGAAAGTCTGTTGGGCAGTTTAGCTTATTTTACCTCCTTAATTCTTCTAAGTCTTTTATTTCGTTCTGCCTTCACTCTGCCTCCCTGAGTAAACTTGCTCAGCTCTTCCAGATTTTGTGACTCTGACAACTTGTCAGGGGGCACTTCACTCCCAGACTGCTGGGCTGGAGTGCTGTCCTCAGCAGGAGCCCGTGGGAGGACAGCTGGCATCCGAGGAGACCCGGGCAGGCCCATGGCTCCTCCAAGGGTCCAGGTCCCTGTGGGGACGGCCGGCTGACAGCCTTCCTCTGCAGAAGGCAGGATTCTGGAACTTGCTCTTGGGCCTCAGCTGTCCCTGACAACTTCTCCAGCAGCTTACATAATGTTGGTGAATTCAGGTGGGAATTCGGATCTGGGGGAAAAAAACCAAGAGAGCGAAAACTGGGAACATGGGATTGAAAATCTTGTCCATGAAAAGCAGGCTCATTTTTTCTCCTACCTATGAAACACATTTCCTCTGGATATTGTCTACACTCAGAAGCTAAAATCTGGAATCATTACTTGTTTGATTTACATGTACTTTTTAGCTTTAATTTATGATATGGCTTGCCTGGGTTTACACAGCATTTCCTTCAGCCTTCAGCAATGCTTCAACTAAATAAAATTAATAACTTGTTTGGCTTGTAGATTCATTGCCTGAGGTGGGTTGGAAGGTCAAGAGAAACAGAAGGAATGCAGTGATATAAAACTAGTTCAAGAATAGGATGTGATTTTTAAAAAACAACAGCTTTACTGAACTACACATACCATAAGATTCATCCCTTTAAAGTGTACAATTCAGTGGTTCTTTAGTCCATTAGTAAAGATGGGCAACCATCACCACTATCTAATTCCAGAACATTCATCACCAAAGAAAACCAGTGTTCTTCAGTCACCCTCCATTCCTCTCTCTCCCCGGTACAAATCTATTTTTGTCCTTATGGATTTGCCTATAATGGGCAATTCATATAAATGGAATAATATAATAGGTATTGAGTTCTTTCACTTGCCATAATGTTTTCAGGGTTCATCCATCTTGCAGCATGAATTATCACTTTATTTCTTTTTTACTGCTGAACCATATTTCATTGTGTAGATGTGCCACATTTTGTTATCCCATTATCAGTTGATGGACATTTGGAAACATATTTGGCTATTAGGAATAATGTTGCTATGAACGTTTGTGTACAAGTTTTTATGTGGCTGTAGGTTTTCCATTCTCGTGGGAACACACTTAGGAGTGGAATCATTAGGTCATATGGTAACTCTGTATTTAACCTTTTGAAGAGCTACCTGATTGTTTTGCAAAGTGGCTGCACCATGTAATATTCCCACCAGCAGTGTATGAGGGTTCCAATTTCCTTGCACGCTTGTTAACATGTTATGTTTCTTTTTAATTTTAGCTATGATAGTGGGTGTGAAATGGCATCTCATGTTGTTTTGATTTGCATTTCTTTATTGCCTAATGACTTTGAACATCTTTTCATGTGCTCGTTGTATATATTCTTTGGCGAAATGTATATTCAAATCCTTTACCCTTTTTAAAATTGGGTCATTTGCTTTTTTATTATTGAGTTGTAAGAGTTCTTTATACATTCTGGACACAAAGTCCCTTATGTGTGATTTGCAAATATTTTCTCCCATCCTGTGAGTTGTCTTTTCACTTTCTCGGAAATACCTTTGAACACAACGTTTTCTAATTTTGATGATGTCCAATTTGTCTTTTATTTTTGTCACTTGTGTATTTGATGCCCAATTGCTATGTTTTCTTCTAAGGGTTTTACAGCTTTAGCTCTTATGTTTGGGTCTTTAATCCATTTTGAGTTAATTTTTGTATATGGTGTGAGATAAAGGTCTCCTTTATTCTTTTGCTGTGACTGTCATCATCCTAGTGCCATTCTTTGAAAAGACTATTTTTTCCCATTAAATTGTCTTGGCACTCTTGTTGGTTTTTTTCTGGACTCTTGATTCCATTTCAGTGATCTATGTGTCTGTCTTTATGCCAGTACTACTCTGCCTCGATTACCATAGTTTTGTAGTTAAGTTTTGAAATCAGAAAGTTTGAGTCCTCCAACTTTTATACTGCTTTATTCTGAATCTCTTGCACTTCCATGTGCATTTTAGGATCAGCTTATCAATTTCTGCAAAAAAAAAAAAAGCAGTTGGGATTTTGATAGTGATAAAAAGACTTATTTTAAATGAAGAATAATGCAGAGATCATGACTTGATCACTGCCATTACATTTATCATAAACAATAAGAAAGCAGAATAATTGTGGAGTGTGAATGTAGTCAGTTGGTGAGTTTGAGTGAAGTGAGTTGGGGAGTGAATTATAAAGCATGCTTACAATCAGGGAGGTCTGGGCTCCTCCAGGGTGCTCCAATTACTGGAATGATTTGGGGTAATTTTTCTATTATCTTATCTGCGATCTTGAAGTAACAATGGGCACACTGTAGGGTGATTGTAAGCACCAAATCAGGTAAATTTTTCTTAAGCTCTTGGCACTGTGGCTGGAACACTGCTACCCAGTATATAGTAGCAATTTTTATTGTAATTGGATATTTCCCAATTCTGTTAAGCAAAAAATAAGAAGAAATGAGATGACATAGGTTATGATATAAAGGAGAATTCTTGATACTAAAGTGTGAATAGCTTATTAAAAGAAGACTTGGCCAGGTGTGGTGGCTCACACCTGTAATTCCAGCACTTTGGGAGGCTGAGGCGGGCAGATCACTTGAGCTCGGGAGTTTGAGACTAGCCCGGGCAACATGGCGAAACCTTGTCTCTACCAAAAATACAAAAAAAAAAATTAATTGGGCATGGTGGCATGCATCTGTGGTCCCAGTTGCTCAGGAGGCTGAGGTGGGAGGACGGCTTTGAGTCCAGGAGGCGGAGGTTGCAGTGAGCTGAGATCATGCCACTGCACTCTAGCCTGGGTGAGAGTGAAAGCCCACCTCAAAAAAAAAAAAAAAAAAAAAAAAGACTTGGTTCTTCACCTGATAGAATCTGAATAAATAGGACAGCATGTAGGGTGGACATTATAAGGCATACTACTTCCTGCGAAGAGAAGACTATAATAGTCCCATGGTTTTTAATTGGTAATCTAAAGTAGGTAAGGTCAAAGCTATTGTACTAAGCTGTTGTTTGCCTTTTCCACTCTTATCCTCTCAGACTGTACGGTGGAGTTTTCCAGTGGCTAGATGATGGGTGATGACATCATTGTTCTGATTGCTAATGGAATGTGTGTTTTTGTATTCTTGTGTTTCAGACATTGTTTTGTTATAATATCAAGTATTATACATATCAATAAAAAACCCTTCTGAGCAAAAGTTTTGGGTGTCCTCGACAATTTCTAAAAGTGTAAAGGAATTCTAGACCAGAAAGTTTGAGAAGGGCTGTAATAAGCAAACTTGGATAACAATAATAACAATATGTTTTTGAGCATTTTTCTACATGCTCAGCACTGGCTAAGTACTGGTTTTGTGTCATCTCACTGGAGCCAACAATTGATAAATCATTGTAGTATCTCAGTTTGGTGATGGGGAATCTGACCCTGAGAAGAGTTAAGTGAATTGCTAAGGGTCACATGCTGGTAAATGGGAGAGCTAGGATTTGAACCCATTGCACCTTTTTTCCTGGGATGCATGTTACGATTCTGCATCCTTGAAGATTGAAGGGATATTGAATTTTACAGAGAACCCCTGCTCTGGGATCTGAGAAGCTGGAAGTCTGAGTTATGCTCTGAGAACACATTTAGAATCCAATTTTGGATTATGACTCTAGCTGGTTGATTGGAACAAAAAGCTGAGACCATTATTGAATCCATAATATTCCCAGGGTTTTTGCTTTGACACTCCCAGCTCTTTCAAAGAGGGGGTTGTTGGCTGTTCTATGTTCTTTACCTCAGATTTATGAGTGAAGCAGAGGGAGCTGGCCAGCATGCTGTGAGCCACTCCACTGGGGCACATAAATCATGAGCTCCCTTCTAAGTGAAACTTGGGGTGAGAGAGTAGGACAGCCAGGAAGGTTGGGCTGCACCCCAGGACTCAGGTTCCTTTTGGTGCCAATGTCTCTACTTTTCACATTTAAAAAGAAGAAGAAGACAAGGGATAGCAAAGTGGGGTGGGGGTGGAAAGCTGTCATAGTCACTGTCAAAAAAAAAAAAAAGAATAGGAAAAAATATCAGCATTTGCATATTGTGAGAACTTCTTGATTTATACTTATAGAATGCTATGGATACCTGAAATTTACTCAATTAATTTCCAGCCATGAAAAAGCCTTTATTTTATTGCCATTTGTCATGTGTGTGATGCACTGGAGACCCCAAGGCTTGACTGGGCTCATGCCAAAAAGCCATGTGCAAATCCACCTTTGATGGGTGCACTTGCCTCACTGCCTCCAATTTCCTGACACAGAATCTGAAAAGCAAATAATCTGAGTGATTTTGAGATCCCACAGCTGGCTTATAGCACAGACATCATGCTATTTTCCTTTCGCTGATGTTTCAGATTTCTGTATTTTAAGGACTGGCAAAAACTTTTATAAAGGCGAATGGCTAGGAGGAATATAGCAAATGATTGCCAATTTTTTTGTTTTAGCAAGTAAATATATTAAGAAGCCATAACCATGATCTGATGTCAGCACTTCTTATAAGAAAAGGACACTTATGACTATTTTAAAGTCTTTTGAATAGCCTAAATTTAGCTCCATGCACTACTTTCTATATTTTCCTACCTTCTGTTATTTTAAGACAAGATGGGATAAACATTGCCAAAGGCCACTCTTTGTCCTCAGGATGATGTTTGGCTACTGCTGAGCTATACTTATAATTCAAGAAGGAGGAGCATTTCTCTAATGATAGTGATGTTGAGCATAAAAAATATACCTGTTGGCCATTTGCGTATCTTCTTTTGAGAAGTATCTATCAAGGTCTTTTGTCCATTTAAAAAATCATGCTATTTGTTTTCTCACTATTGAGTTCTTTGAGTTCCTTATATATTCTGGTTGTTAATCCCTTTTTAGATGTATAAGTTGAAAATATTTTCTTCTGTTCTGTAGGTTGTCTCTTCAATTTGTTGATTGTTTCCTTTGGTATGCAAAAGCTTTTTCACTTAATGTAATCCCATTTGTCTATTTTTGCTTTTGTTGCCTGTGCTTTTAGAGTCTTATCAAACCCATAATGAGATATCACCTTGTTCCAGCTAGAAAGACTGTTGTTAAGAAAACAACAACAGGGAGGGGTGGGATAATCTACACCAAATAGGGTGGAGTGTATGCTGCTTGGGTGATGGGCACACCAAAATCCACAAATCACCACTAAAGAACTTACTCATGTAACCAAATACCACCTGTACCCCAATAACCTATGAAAAAATAAACAACAACAACAGAAGATAACAAGTGATGGTGAAGATATGGAGAAAAGGGAAGCTTTACATACTATTGGTGGGAATGTAAATTAGTATGGCCATTATGGAAAAATGTATGGAGGTTCCTCAAAAAATTAAAAATGGAACTACCATATGATGCAGAAATCCCACTACTGGGTATAGATCCCCAGGAAATGAAATCCATATACCAAATATCTGCACTCTCATGCTTATTATAACATTATTCAAAATAGCCAAGGTATACCCTGAGTCAACCTAAGTATCCGTAAATGGAAGAATGGATTGAAAAATGTATATATACACAATGGAAAGTTATTCTGTCATAAAAATAATGAAATTCTGTCATTTGTGATGACATGTATGAACCTGGAAGACATGATGTTAAGTGAAATAAATAAGACAGAAAGTCAAATACTGCATAATCTCACTTATATTTGAAATCTAAAAAAAGAAAGATCTCATAGAAATAGACAATAGAACAGTGTTTACCAGAGACTGGGGAGAGAGGAGGAAGGACATAATGATGGGGGGACTGGTCAACAGGTACAAAGTTACATTTAGATAAAAGGAATAAGTTCTGGTGTCTTATTGCACAGCAGTATTACTATAGGTAATAATGTGTATTTCAAACTAGCTAGAAGAGAGGATTGTGAATGTTCTCATTACAAAGAAATGATAAATGTTTGAGATGATGGATATGCTCATTACATTGATTTGATCATTACACAATATATACATGTATCAAAACCTCACATTGTATGCCATAAATGTGTAATATTATGTGTCAATTAAAAATTTTAAAAAAGAAGGAGAAGCATAACCCTCCCATAGCCTCTTTTTTTTTTTTTGAGGTGATTTTTCCCTCTTGTTGCCCAGGCTGGTGTGCCATGGTGTGATCTCGGCTCACTGCAACCTCCACCTCCCGGGTTCAAGTGATTCTTGTGCTTCAGCTTCCCAAGTAGCTGGGATTACAGGTGTCCACCACCATGCCTGGCTAATTTTTTTGTATTTTTAGTAGAGACAGGGTTTCACCATGTTGGCCAGGCTGGTCTCGAACTCCTGACCTCAGGTGATCCACCCAGCTTGGCCACCCAAAGTGCTGGGATTACAGGCGTAAGCCACTGCGCCGACCTCCCCATAGGCTCTTTTTGTGCAGCATAGGGTGTGCCTTGCTTTCTGATCATTTGAATAGCAAGTGTGAATTTTAATGCTTGTATGCTGAGCCCCTAGGCATGGGGCCACAGCCAGTTGCCTAAGACACTCATGAAGCTATGCCTATGTTCCCACCTGGCCCAGGCTCCTGGCTACCTGTTGGGATGCTGAGAACCTGTGGGGAAGTTTCCATTTCATTTTCACTTGGATCCCAAACCTACATTGTCGCAATGGAGCAAAAAGTTAATACAACGTTGAATGCCTCCACTAATTGTCTACCTTCTATGATGAGAGCTGTGCAAGGCATCAAGGCTTTAGTTTCTGTGTAAGTTGAATTCAGCTGACCAGACTAGATATAGAGAAGTAAATGACCTTACTTGGATTCCTCCATGACCTCCCACAGCAATGATCATCAATAAGGTAGTTATAAATGTATTAGACTGGAATAGGTGAATGGGATTGTACCATTTATCTTTTGTGGTCAAAATGTGAAAAATGTCTCCCCTAAGCTGTTCCATTTACTCCCAAATCTCAGCAAATAAGCAACTGTCAAAGTGCAGACGACCAGAGACTGGGTAATTGCAGGCGACTGACTGACCAGTGTGGTGATCAAAGTCTCACTCCTAAATTCTGGATAATTTTAGGAACTCTTAGGCCTCCTTAGGGGAAGTGGGTACTAAGAAATTCTGAATTACCTGGGCTTTAGGGAATTTCCTAGAACCGTGGCCAACAGTAAGATGGTGCTACCCTGATCTGTGCATTCAGGACACTGATTCATCTTCACCATTCTAGACCCGGAGATTGGTCTACTTGCTTTACTGCACAGATCCTGACCCCCTCTGCCCTAAATTCCCCTATCTGGATTAGTTTTGAAAGCTCTAGGGTTAGTCTAGTCTTTCTGGGGAATGTTGAGGGCTGTTGTGCCTCACAGTGGCAATGTGGTTTAATCAGCTAAATTAAACCAAGCTAACAACTGTTTCCTGAGCACCCATTATGAGCAAGGCTATATGCACATCTCTCACTCTTGTCAGAGACAAGTACAGAAAAAAGTGGAAAGAAATGGGGACACATCCTTGGAAAGGGTTGAATTGTCAGTATTAGAGTTTTTACTTATTTAGCACATGATTTATTTAGCACCTACTATGTGTCAAGGACTTTCAATTGTGATTGCATTGAACAACACTGCCAGGTGAGTGGTACTCTGTCTCTCTATACAACTGGATTTCAGACAGGTGAGGTGTCTTGCCTGCATTCACATGGCTAATATGTGGCAGAATTGGAATGTAAGGAGATCTAACTCCAAAATGGACTATAGTATATTATAATGATTCTCAACCTCCATCAGACTCTGTCTAGGAAATAAACTGTGAAGCTACACCTGAAACCACCAAACCCATCTCAAACTCAATGATCTTTTACATTTTACCTCTATTTTTGTTGTTGTTGTAGCTTTTCTGGGGTTGTGCTGGTTATACCAACCTTATCTCAGCTACCTGAAGGATTGTCGTGCTGGAGAAGACGTGTGGAGACCCACCTGACCAAAGCTCAACTTCATGAACATAAGAGCTGGAGGAACTGCCTCTCAGACTGTCCAGCTTGCTCAGAAAAGTGGCCTTCCTTTGGCTGGGAGATGGGTAACCATTTTTTCTCTTTATTGCTAAAAAGGCCCATCAGGCTGGGATCTGCCTTCTTGAGCTGTGAATTACAATGGCAGGTTCAAAAGGCCTTCAGCCAACTTGAGTTTTGCAGTCAAATTAGATCCAATTAGAAGTCAGCCTGTAGAATGTGAGCCATTACTAAATTTTTAAAAATGAGCTTTGCCACTTTCTGGACTGTGGCTGTAGAAATATCTGGAGTTTTAATGATCTTCTCTGTCTATTAAAGGATCTGATAGACATGAAGTTTTATAAGGTAAGGACCCAAAATGGATCAGGTTTTTAATGCCAGAATTCCATTAGGCCTGCAATAAATGATAGAGTCAATCTATTTAGCAGACATATTTTTTAGGTGGTGAAACTAAGTAAAGTAATAAGACCTTTTAAATTTAATGTTTATTCCAGAGGCTGATGATTCAAAAGAAAATCTTTCTTAGTATGATGGTAATTTGTTTTTCTGCTGTATTTTTCTTCAGAGACCTGGTTACTTTTCTCTCTTCCCTGAGGGCAATAGTGCACTTTTTGCTCTTATATTATGTTGCTTTATGGGAAATAGGTGGGAAGCCCTTGCTGGCACTTTTTCTAGACTGAATTCTCTTTAATTCTGTTACCAGGGCCTGGGGGATGAAGCGAATCCCTCAGACAGCCCTTCACATCTGGTTCAGCCCTATCTGCTTAGTAATGGTCCCACCCTCTCTCATTAAAAGCATTTGATTTGTCCTGAGTATATTATTAGCAATCATAGGACTTGGTTCAAGATTGGATTGAGATAAGGGGTTGAACATATAGTTCTACCATCCTTCTAGTCCTTGAAGTGATTTTTAAAAGGTTGCTAAGAAAGACTAAGTCCTTTGATACAAGATTCCTTCACCAGGGAGCAGAAATGTTGATATACTCTTGCAACAGAAAAGAGTATAGGGTTTGGTTTTCTACAGGGTAGAGAATGTGGGGCACTGTGTGTCCCTGTAATCCCAGCCACTGGGGAGGCTGCGGTGGGAGGATCGCTTGAGCCCAGAAGTTTGAATCCAGCTTGGGTAACACAGCAAGACCTTGTCTTTAAGAAAAAAAAATTACATGTAATTTAAAAAATAAAAATAGGGACGGGCGAGGTGGCTCACGCCTGTAATCCCAGTACTTTGGGAGGCCGAGGCGGGCGCATCACGAGGTCAGGAGATCGAGACCATCCTGGCTAACACAGTGAAACCCCGTCTCTACTAAAAATACAAAAAAATTAGCCGGGCATGGTGGTGGGCACATGTAGTCCCAGCTACTCGGGAGGCTGAGGCAGGAGAATGGCATGAGTGTGGGAGATGGAGCTTGCAGTGAGCAGAGATCGCGCCACTGCACTCCAGCCTGAGCAACAGAGTGAGACTCCGTCTCAAAAAAAAAAAAAAAAAAAAAAAAGAAAGTTAGGGCCAAAGGGCACTCAGGAGACTGTCACTGCACAGGTAATCACCAGTCCAGTGACACTCCAAGCTCATCCATGTTTAGCTGCTTGGGTGCAGGTGAAGACTTAGTATAGTTGAGTTTAACCAGGATTGGATTTGTCAAGTGACTCTGACTTGAGATAAGACACAGGAGAGACGCATGGGGCAGCAGAGATGAAAGAGTGTGCATAGGCTGATGAGAATGACGGGCTCTGGGGTCTAGTCTGCAAAGGAAGAGAAGTGACAAAAGAAAGTGTTCAATCATCTGGAGGTCCCTGGGGGGATGAGGAGCTGTTGAAGATTGATGCTAAGGAAGGAGGAGACAGAGACAGAGGGTGAGAGCCTCAAATGGGAGATGCTGAAGGTGGTGCAGCTACGAGTCATGATGAGGTTCGGGGTGTGACCAGGGGAGCTGCTATTTGTACAGCACGAAGGAAGTTATCATTGTTAAGTTGGAGGACCAGGAACACTGTCCTCCTGGACAAAACAAAAAGCACAGATCAAACAGCCACAAAAACCTGTCGCCACCACCACTAAGACACAGTCATATGTGGTTTCATAGAAATGCTCCAAAAACAAAGCAATCCAAGAATATTAGAGATAAAAAGAACAGGCAAATTCTGGCCGAAAGAAAAATTAACCTAATGGTATCAATAGCTGATAAAAATAATGTCTGAGGAAAAAGCATTAGATGAGAAAAATAGTTTTTTTTTTTCTTTTGAGACAGAGTTTTGTTCTCATTGCCCAGGTTGGAGTGCAATGGTGTGATCTCAGCTCACTGCAATCTTTGCCTCCCGGTTTCAGGTGATTCTCCAGCCCCAGCCTCCTGAGTAGCTGGGATTACAGACGCCCCCCAACCACGTCCAGCTAATTTTTGTATTTTTAGGAGAGACAGGGTTTTACCATGTTTTCCAGGCAGATCTCGAACTCCCGACCTCAGGTGATCCACCTGCCTCAGCCTCCGAAAGTGCGGGGATTACAGGCGTGAGCCATCGCGCCCAAAGAAAAACAGTTATTTCTGTTTGATGAAATTGACAGTCCACAAAGAAGATGGAATTATCAAGAATCTTTATGTTCTTAATAATGGAGATTTGAGATATACAGACAGTCAAAATATTAGAGAAACAAATGAATTTGCAACCACAGTGGCAAACATTAGTAAATCAGAGACGGTCATGGTCACGATTCATAAACAGCAGTTTTAAGTGCATCTATTTAGGCAGAGACATTATGCATGCATATTTAACTTGCTCTTATTTTAGAATCTATACCCATTTATAAAAAGCAGCTACTGAATATGCATATTGTGAAAACAGCTAACAAAACTAAAGTCCCATCCACTATTAGAAGACAGTTCAACGTTTATTAATAGGTTGTTGGTTATTTCTATTACACCAAAGCTTAAGTCTTAAAATCTAAAAGCGAAGGAATAAAATCTGCTCCAGTAATTTAAAAGGATTTTGCATCCAACTTTGATTCAATTCCTGTTCATGTATAAGACACAAGCCTTAAGAGTCATTAAATTCCCATTTTAGCTGGTTGCCAGCTGTAAGTTAATATGCAGACTTTGTTGGCTTATCCTGCTCTATGCTACGCACAGTGCTTTGAGTGCTCTGTTTTCCTTGCCTTGGATTGCCATTCCATACCAGGATTCTCATTTCCTCTGCTCCTGAGTTTTGACTGGCATAATTTTGGAACTTAAAAAAATATGCATCTTCTGTTGTTTTTTCTCATAGCCTTCATTTACATTTTTGTCTATTTTGGATTTTTTTTCTGAAATGTTTTCAATGTACTTTATTTTCTGTTTTTATAAGCTTTATATAACTTCAGAAAAACATAATCCAAGACATATCTTGGTTAGAATAATAACCAAGAGGTTATTATTCATGTATTTATTTATTTACTGTAACATGGAACACAGTGACCTGCAGAGTAGACACTGGGTGTGGCTGTGTGTAGAACTGTCTTTAGAGGATATTAACTAGAGGTGACATTCCAGGGCTTTGCACCTTGGTGACTTGGTTAGGCAGGTGGCAGGATGCAGATGCAGAAAATTAACATGTATGTGCCACCTACCCTTTTACATCCAAGGCAAAAAGGATGAAATAGTTTATTCTCTCCTTCCATTAGCCCCCATTTCCTTGTTTTTTAAATTAATAGTACTTTATTACATTCAATACAATGTATAAATCTTTAAGTGTTCAGCACAATGAATTTTGACATTAAATATAAACTATATATAATATATAAAAATATATATAAAATATATATAATATATTAAAATATATTAAATATAAAACACTTCCAGGCCTGGCACGGCGGCTCACGCCTATAGTCCCAGCACTTTGGGAGGCCAAGGCGAGTGGATCACTTGAGGTTGGGAGTTTGAGACCAGCCTGACCAACATGGAGAAACCCCATCTCTACTAAAAATACAAAATTAGCTGGGCATGGTGGCACATGCCTGTAATCCCAGTTACTGGGGGACTGAGGCAGGAGAATCACTTGAACCCGGGAGGCGGAGGTTGCTGTGAGCCAAGATCACTCCATTGCACTCCAACCCGGGCATGAAGAGTGAGACTCTGTGTCAAAACAAAAACAAACAAAACAACACTTCCATCATTCTAGCAAGTTAACTCATGCTTCTTTCCAGTCAAGTGCTGTTATACAACTGACTCCAAGTAACCACTGACCTGCTTTCAATCCCTATAGATTAGTTCTCTATGTTCAAGGACTTAATATAAATGGAATAATATTAATACATATATATTCTTTAGTTTATCCTTTATTCATTCAGCATTTTTTTGAAATTTATCTATTTTATTATGTATATCAATAGTCTCTCATTTTTTTTGCTCAGTACTATTCCATTGTATGGATATACCACAGTTTGTCTATCCATTTTCCTATTGATGGATACCTGGGCTGCTTCGAATTTTTGCTTATTGTGAGTAAAGCTGTTATGTATGTACAGGTGTTTTGTGAACATAGTACATTCATTTCTCTTGGTATATAGTCTAGGTGTGTGATTGCTAGGCCATAGAGTAGATGAATATTCCCATTTATCAGAGAGTGGCAATGGGTTTACAAAATGATTGTACAATTTTCAGCATCCAGCAGCAATGTGTGAGAGTTCTAGTTTCTCCACAGCCTTGCCAACACTCAGTAGAGTTGGTTTTCATTTTTAGCCATTCTGGTAAGTGTGGAGAGGTATCTCATTGTGGTTCTGCTTTGCATTTTTGTGGTGACTAATGATGTTGAGCACTCTTTCTTATGTTTATTGACCATTTTAGTATCTTTTTTTGGTGCGTAGTGGTATCTCACTGCTGTTTTGCTTTGCATTTTTATGGTGACTAATGATATTGAGTACTCTTTCATATGCTTATTGACCATTTGAATATCTTTTTTTGTAAAGTGTCTATTCAAATCTTTAACAATTTTGGGGGGTTATTTGTGTTTTTGATATTTCACTTCCCTTTGAAGAGTTAATTAATATGCTTTAATCTAGAGCCAACTGCATGCCTGGTATTTCAAATTTGGTATCTTACTTAATAAATACAACAAACGGTTGAAGTCAGTGTATCACTTCCATTTTACAGAATAGGAAACCAAGGTTCAACTGATTGAAAACCACCCTCGAAGTTGAAACTTTCTAACTGGAAGCATTGGGACTCTGGTATTCATTTTCACCAGTTTTGCCTGAGAATAAGGTGGAAGGAAGATATTACGGGAGAATATTCACTATCCTTGAAATCGATCTTGACTTTTTAAAAATAGTTTTTAAAAAATATAATTTTAATTTATATTTATATATTTACAGAAAAGTTGCTAATATGGTACAGAGTTTCTATGTATCCGTTGATTGTATTTATTTATTTAAATGGCTATATTGAGATATAATTCATTTACTTTACAATTCATTCATTTGCAATGTAGAATTCAATGATTTTTAGTATATTCACATATATGTGATGTGCAACCATCACTACCATCCATTTTAGAACATTTTCATCACCCTTTAATTATCACCTCTCCACACCCCCATAACTCCTCTCAGCCTAAGCAACCACTCATCTACTTCTGTCTCTGTAGATTAACCTGTTCTGGGTATTGCATATGAATTGAATCATATAATATGTTCTCTTTTGTAACTGGCTTCTTTCGGTCCTGGCTTTTTTCAACACTTGTGGCATAAGACTGCTTGTAGTCATCAAGATTCTTGTCCTGCTCTTCCTGGACACTCTGTTGACCACATTTCCAGTCCTTGTAGTTAGGTGTGGCACACGTGTCTGAGTTCGGGTGAATGCAGAGGTGATGTGAGTGTTGTTTCTAGGCCGGGTGCTTTGAAAATCAATCTGAATGAAACATCCTAACGCCCATCCTCACTTTCTTTTCTCTTACTTGGGTCCCTAAATGAAAGCAAAACTTTCTCTTGACCTCTATTGGACAAATGTTTATTATGTTAAATTAGCCTCTGAGATTTAGAAGTTGTCTATTACACAAACTAGTCTTATTTACCTTTCCTCCTAAAACATCTCTAAAAGCCCATATTGTGGAATACTTCTAATGTATCAAGAACTCTGATTGTGCATTGTCTTTTTTTATTAAGGTGTCTTAGGTTGTCCACTCATCCAAGACCAGAAATGAGGAAACTTGATTCCTTTAAGATAGTGCTCTTGGCCGGGCGTAGTGGCGGGCGCCTGTAGTCCCAGCTACTTGGGAGGCTGAGGCAGGAGAATAGCGTGAACCCGGGAGGCGGAGCTTGCAGTGAGCCGAGATCCCGCCACTGCACTCCAGCCTGGGCGACAGAGCGAGACTCCGTCTCAAAAAAAAAAAAAAAAAAAAAAAAAAGATAGTGCTCTTGGATAATCAGCACACATTTTTGTTACTTCCAAGCAGTCTTAAAAATAGATTTTGTTCCTAAGCTTATACATCATATTTAGCTGAAAAGAGTCAGAGAGAACATTCTTAAGGAATAAGTCACATATATCTGAGACATTTATCAACATCCTTATAACAAATTCTTCAAGCTTAAGACTGATTTCACCATCTTTGCTCCATAATCTCCCTGCACATTGGAGGCTCCGTAGGAAACGCAAGGAACAGAGCTATGTACATTGCAGGGCATTTTGTGAATTATAAAAATCTGCTCAGTTCTAAAGATCAAAACTTCTACCCATCTGGGATGTATAAATCCTATACAGAGAATTTATGAGGGGGTTATCTTGAATTATGTGTTGGGTGTTGGGCTTGGCACATAATAAATATAAATGATCCTCACAGGACAGTAGATTAACATCCAGGGGAAAAAAGTCAGGCATCTGTGGAATTTAAGTGGGAAGATGCCCTACTCTTCTCAGACAGGAAAGAGCTTTCAACTCCCAGGAGATAGAACTCTGATCCTTGTTTTTAAGTCCCTTGCTAACTCCTGCACATGGGAGAAGAAGTGATTTATCTGCTCAGTGATTTGGAAAAGGAACTGTGTAAGTTCGGTTTGCCCCCTAGATCTTCTCATTTTCAAATCTTTCTGCCCACAAAAGGGTGCATCTCCTTTGTACCGTGCTGTTAGCTGGCAATACTGTAGGAGGCCTGTGGGTGGCCAGGTGCACCAGGGGCCAAGGAATGAGTCTGTCCAGCTCTGAAGGCTATTAGGAAGCCAACTGAGAGTAGACATCTAAGCCATGCCCTCCAGAACAACTTTGATTAGTAATAAAGTTCACACAAGTAGATTGAAACTCCTTGAAAAGGAGGAAAAACTTGCATAAAAGTTAAAATCTGCTGAAGATGGCATATAAGTAAGTGTTGTATGATGTGGGAAAGAATGCAATTATATCAGAAGTTCAGAGAAGTGAGATGCTGCTACAGACCGGAATATTCCTGAGGATCAAGCATGGCCCTGCAGACCATAGTACTCAGATGTGTTTAAGTTTATATACATGGAGACAAAAATGTTTCAGTTTTCCAGAAGTTATTTCTGGTCCCTCCACTTTTTTTCCCTTCTGGTTGTGATTTCTACGTGGCATATAGGAAATGATATAGTTAAATGCACAAAGAAAATCTAAGAATTTTGCCTGGATTCATAATTCTGTGTTCACAAATAATGATCTGTACTTTTGAAATTTCCATAGTACCTCAATGTCAAGGATGTGTCATCGACAGCAGCAATATAAGAGTTGACATGGGCTGTGCGCAGTGGCTCATGCCTGTAATCCCAGTACCTTGGGAGGCCGAGGCGGGTGGATCACTGAGGTCAGGAGTTCGAGACCAGCCTGGCCTACATGATGAAATCCCGTCTCTACTAAAAATACAAAAATTAGCTGGGTGTGGTCGTGCACACCTGCAGTCCTAGCTACTCAGGAGGCTGAGGCAGGAGAACCGCTTGAACCCCAGAGGGGGAGGTTGCAGTTAGCTGAGACTGTGCCACTGCACTCCAGCCTGGACAACAGAGAGGGACCTTGTCTCAAAAAAAAAAAAAAAAGAATGGACATGATCTTTAGTCTTTCTTGTCTTTACAGTCTTCACTATATGGTTTTTCACTATATGTTTCTCATCCAACAGTTCTTGCTCTGTAATGCATCATTCTTTAGAAAAGCAAGTAAGTCAACACTTTGTAAGACATCTTCATGAATCAAAAAAAGAAAGAACACATGCTGGAATAAAGCAAATAGTGAAAGTGGGCATTGCTGTGAAGCTTGGGCATGTGAACACAATAGATGGGATTGTGAAAGCTCTTTCTTCTTCAGATGGATGTTATCCTTCAGTTTGGCTCACCAAAATCTAAGTGACTTTATGGGTGTGCTCCACCACTCTTGGTTCTAATTTCCTTCCATCACCCAAGTGTTGGCAAACAACTGCTCAGCCAATCATAGTGACCTTAATATACTTTAAAGAAGCACATGGAGCCATGAGTGGTAGCGCATACCTGTAGTCCCAGCTACTTGGTAGGCTGAGGTGGGAGGATTGCTTGAGCCCAGGAGTTCGAGGCTATGGTGAGCTGTAATAGTGCCACTGCACCTCAGCCTGGGTGACAGAGCAAGGTACGTCCAAAAAAAAAAAAAAAAAAAAAAGCAGCACATTGAAGTAACCTAAAGTTACAACTTCGCTGTAGTGTTTCCCAGAACAATTCCCCAATATGTGTAATTAGTGTCACAACTGGGATAGGGGCAGCTTCACTAGAGGCAGAAGTGAGCCTTGTGCTGGAAGTCTTTGGTGTCAGGCTCTGTCCTTCTGATAACCATCCTGCATGTGTAGCCCCTCTTTCTCCTCCTCTTTGTGCTCTCAGCAGGCACTGAGTTGAAGCAACTTTAAGGCTGATTCCAATGTTGCTCAGAGAGCTCAGATTCTTGCCAATCACACAGGTGTTGAGTTTTTTGAGACCCTCTTACCCTGGGCAGGGTCCATTCCATCAGCTTCCTGAGATGGGCTTGCAGGAGGAGAAGGGGAAATCTTTGGTTTTCCTTAGTGTGGTAGCATCTTCCTTTAGATAAGGGTGCTTTGCTTATAGCCATAAGATCAGGCACACATGCCTTTAGGTTTATTGGAGAATATGGAATAAAATTTTAAACCTCAGAGATCAACAGTTTAGAGGCGTTGAAGCCAAAGGTATTTAATGGCTCATCAATATTCTTTAAACAAAATCTTAGATTGGGTCTTTCTATATTGCTCAGGCTGGTCTCTAACTCCTGAGCTCAAGTGATCCTTGCACCTCAGCCTCCTGAGTAGCTGAGACCATAGGTGTGCACCATTGTACCTGGCTATAGTATTCTCAGTAAAATCATACTTCAATTTTATTTAGATTGATTTAAAAAATAACCTAGATAACTTTTATCCATGCTGCCACTGGCCTGCACCTTAACCTGGATAACTTTCGTGATACGGCTTTGTTGTATTCCACAGAAACAAAGATTCACCTTCTACACATCATGCAATCTCTCCAAGTGTCTAGTTTCATGGAACTAATGACAATCTTTAAAGGACAGATATTTAAATAATATCTAAGGCATTTGTGTCAGACCTGGTAGTTGCTTATCTAATATTTTATTTTATTTTTTTTTTACTAACAGAATCATATTTGTTGGGTTGCCAATTAACCTACTACGTATATCTACATTTCCTAGTTCCTCTTCTGAGTAGAGGCGGTCATGTGATATAGTTTCAGCCAGGGATGTCAACAGAAATAACTGAGTGGGGCTTCTGGGAAAGGAATTCTAAAGGGGATTATCTCAACTGGCATGCAGTCTTTTGCCCTTGGCCTTCTATCTTCCTATTGCCTGCAATGGCCATTGTAATTGTTGGTTCTTCAGCAACCATCTGGGGACCATGAAGACAGCATAAGTTTGAAAACTGCGAGCTAAGGATAGGAGCCTGCATCCTGATGACATTGTAGAAATTCCACGCCAGTCATCAATGTCTCATCTCCAGACTTCTTTTAAGCCACTGTTATTTGTGTTTTCTGTTATGTGGTGTCAAAACTCCATTCATAACTGGTAAAATACTCAATTTTCAGATTGCTTTGCTTACAGGTAAAACAAAAATCGAGTGTCTGGCATGAAAACATTTGTTTTGAACAAAATAGTTTTGGCAAAATTCTAACTTTAAACATTGAGGAGGGGCATACCTATTTATTTATAAATCCTATATAGCATCAAGAAAGCCTAGAAGAAACATCCTTTTGTTTGGCTTAGTTGTCATTACATGCAGGTGAAAACTGATGTTAGTAGAACTTTCTCTGGGGGTGGTGATAGTGGTGTAATTTAGTGAAAAGAATAGGGGTTTTGAAATCTGGCATATTTGAGTTTTAATGTAAATCTAAACTCATTATTGTATCTTTCTAAGCCTCAGTTTTCTGATCCATAAAATAAGGAAGGTCTCAAGTTAAAAAGGGAGAATCTGCAAAATACCATACCAAAGGGAACCAGTGAATTACCTGGTACTATATATGATCATTTCCTTGTATTTGTGTCTTGTTTCTTATTCTTTCATCTAATAAATATAGATTAAGTATCTACTATATGCCAGGACTGTTTTGGGTGTTCATTTCTTTGACTCTGAGTTTGCCCTGAATGGAGTTATGGCTTTAGGGCTGAGTATTGAAGGGACTAATGCCATATTTATTTAGTTCATTGGCAGTAACCAGGGAGGAGTGAATTTCAGAGCTTCATCACAAGGTTCCACTTAAGAAACCAAATTGCAGTCTTAGTGGCATAGTGGTTTGGTGATTTTCATCCAATACCAGATGTAAGGGCTGGAGATGAGTCTGGCTGACACAGTCACTGTTTAGAAGCTGGAGTGAAACCTTGGAATTTCATCTGGAAAAAGTTGTACTTCTCCAGGAAACAGAGTGGGTTTTGGTACACAGAGACCCTAAAAACTGAAATGAAATGGGGCTCACTTCCTTGTGACTCTAGCCCCCATCATATGTCCCGCAGATGTGAGACCAAGTACTTGAAAATATTTGAAGTCAATGGATTATTTACAACAGGAAAGCACAGATTTTACCCAAGCCAGACCTTAAGAATTTCAGTCCATCTTTCCCAGTTACCTCTCCATGAAGTCGGTCAGTTGGGCTTTCAAATGGGCAGCAATTTAAGACTGTTCGTGAATCATGACATGAAACAAACATTTAGAAGATAGGCTTTGGGTAGGGAGAGGTGGAAAAGTACAGATACTTTACCTTGTCAAGAATTAAATTGTTATTCATTTTCCTTCTTTTATTCATCAGGACATTGGGCTCAAGGGACTTGCAATTGTAAAGAGTAATTATGATGGTAGCTCATATTTGCTGAACATTTTTAAGTGCCAGGACTTTCTCTGGTTTATTATTATCATGAACGACTGCCATTTAGGAAGACAAAACTTGACTTCAGCCTGTGCTTCCTTGGAAAGCAGTGCTCTGTAGTGGAAAGGATAAGTCATTGGCATCAATGAGACACGAATCTGAGCCCTCACTGTATGGCTTTGAGCACATTATTAAACATCTGTCAACCACAGTAAACGGTACTCTATTGTTCTCTCCATTTTTCATATGAGTAAACTGAGTCTGGAAAGAGTTGAGCCACATGCCCAAGGTCCATAGAAGAGCTGGGGCGGGGTGAAGGGAGTCCAGTACCTGGTTCTTTCCTACACACTGTTATCAGGTAGATGTTAGGGACCTTGTGGGTCATGGAGGGACAGGAAACATGCCCCCTTTTACACATGAGGAAATGAGAGCCCAGAGGGGTTGAACTGGCCATTCCAGTTACTACAGGAATCAGAACTGCAGCTCAGGTATTCCCCTCCAGAGAGGGCATGAGAGGGGTGTACATGGAAGAAAACTAACAGCTCACCAATATTTCATCTTCCATTTTTCATTTCCTGGCTCTGGAACATAAGTCAGGATAAGATCTGGATTAGATCCATTTTACCAGTTTCCCATATATCACATTTCGACAAGATTTATGGATGTTTTCTCCTGGGCTGGAGCAAACACGGGTGGATTATGAGGTTGTGTTTACATTTTTCTGCTATCTCAGGCAGCATTATGTTAGTCTCCAGCTCCTGGCTCTGTGCCACCTGGATAAGCTTTTGCCATTTGATTCTTTCCATTGTGCACACACTTGTCCCTTCACCTTCTCTGTAATCTCTGCACTTTCCTTTGTTATCAGTTACACGTTTTATGCCAGAATGGCTATGGTGTCATTCTCCTGCTTTTGTTTTCTGGTGAGTATGGAGAGATTCTCTTCTAAATAGCTTTGCGTACTGGGGGATTGACATTTGTGATCTTATCTCTCCCTGGATAAAAATACTCCTTCCTGTAGTCTCTCAATTCAGAGCTCATAGTCAGTCTTTTCTCTCCTAATAGCAAATGCTTTGAGTTTTTTAGAAGTTTGCAGAACACTTCCTTTAGATCCTCTATAATGCAGAAAATATTTTTTGCTCAGAGCCCCAGAATCATGTTTTGTGGAATTTTCTTTTTAAAAATAGAGGCCAGGCACAGTGGCTCACGCCTGTAATCCCAGCACTTTGGGAGGCCGAGGCGGGTGGATCATGAGATCAAGAGATTGAGACCATCCTGGCCAACATGGTGAAACCCGTCTCTACTAAAAATACAAAAATTAGCTGGGCGTGGTGGCACGTGCCTGTAGACCCAGCTACTTGGGAGGCTGAGGTAGGAGAATTGCTTGAACCCAGGAGGCGGAGGTTGCAGTGAGCCGAGATCATGCCATTACACTCCAGCCTGGTGACAGAGCAAAACTCTGTCTCCAAAAAAAAAAAAAAAAAAAAAAACAAGAGCCAGTGCCTTGGCTCTTGGCTTTTGTGTTGTTTCCTCTTAGGCCCTAAATGGTAACCAGACACAGACTCACATTCCATGGTCCTCAATGACGCCCTCTCCATTTCTCTTTTCCTCTTGAGGTTCATTATTTTCTCCAAATTAAAACGTTCTGGTTGGAATGAGTGAGAAGAAAGAGACAGGGCAGCAGGGAGCTCCAGTTGTGCAGAGGGATTATATCTAGGGGGGTCTTCCTTGCCGGTCTCTGATATGATTAATCGGCCGAAAAGAGCGAGGCTTTGTAGTTTGAGGAGATCGATTTTGAAAGGGTCTGCTCTTGTTACCCAGGACAGTAGGTTTTAAAAACAATTTTTAAGAATATTTTACAGACATTTCAGAGCTTCTGGCTTTATCCCTATGTGAAGCTGCTAGTAGTTCATTTGTTTGTGCATTCATTTGTTCTGCAAATATTGATTGCGTGTTACTGTGCATCAGGTACTGTGTTGGGCCCTGAGAACACTGGGGTAAGCAAAACAGACTGGCCCCTGCTCTCTCAGATCTCACAACAAAGTGAGGGTGACAGATATTAGGCAAATAATCACATGAATAAGTGACCATCTGCACACTGATAGAAAGAGAAGAGGGTCTCCAGGGTGTGCATGCTGTGTGCATGTCAGAGCAGGCTTTCTTCTGAGGAAGAGACTCCTGAGCTAAGATATGAAGAGTGAGAGTCTGTTGGGTGATGGTTGGGAGGAGGTTTTGGATGTGCTTTTGGTGGAGCAGGTCCCTGTTCCTGATAGAGGGAATGCTGTGCGCAGAGGCCACATGAAGGGATTAGCATGGTGCATGGGAAGAAATACACCTGGGCCAGAGAGGCTGGGTTTCTGAGTGTGAGAAGGTGAGTGGAACCACAGGGATCAGCGGGGTAGCCAGAGCCCAGCGATAGGCTTGGATGAAAGATTTAGTCTTTATCTTTAGGGCCACTGTTGGTTCTACACTGGGAAATGATACGATTAAGTTTGCATTTTAAAAAGATCACTCCAGTTTCAGTGAAGAGAACAGATTTTCAAAAGGCCAGAGTAGATTCATTCAATCATTCATTCACTCATGTATTCAAGAAACATTTACTGGGCTCCAACCATGGGGCAGGGACTTTTCTCTCTACAGTGGTGAGGGAGTTCCCGGCCTCCCAAAACTCATATCTAGTGAGTCAGGACAGATAGTAAACAAATACATAGTTTAAGAGAAAAGATAACTTTGATAGAGGTAAGTGAGTGCAGTGAAAAAAAAATCAACCAACAGGAATCCGACAGACAGCACGGAGGCACTATGGTCTATGATCTCTAGTTCTATTGGGTTTTCAGGAAATGCCTTCCTGAGGAGGTGAGAGTTTCCTCCCTAGACGCAGCATTACCCCCTCCCCCTCTTTTTTTGAGCCTTGCCTGAAGCAGAGCTGGCCACTTTATTAGCCCTTTACTTGCTAGTCCTCAGATGTGCTGACTGTGTACACGAACACTTCAATCCCCCCGATTTTCCATGGCCTTTATGGAAGTCAGAGTATTTGAGCTTGAAGGAGCTTTTAGGATTTTCTGATTCAACTCCATCATTTTATAGGACACTAAGCAGAAGGCCAGAGAGGTACTGTTCAAAGAGTGAGCGGTCACCCTGTCCTAGCATCCAGGCCATCTTGTCCTGGGGCCCAAGCCTCCTGGCTCACCATTCAGCACTCCTGGTAAGTGTGAGGCCACAGCTGTGCTCTCTGAGTCCATGGAGGCTGTTTCCAAGGTACTCTTCATCCCTGGGTGCATAGGGGACTCCAGATACCTGCAGAAAGTGATTAATGGTCCTTTCTTCCACCCTGGCATCTCCTAATGCAAAAATGTTGGACAGCAACCAATTTAATTTAGAATCCAGAAAATACCACTTTTTTTCCAACCTGGCTTATATTAATGGTATTTTAAAAATGCCCTGCAGCTCTGAAGCATATTTAAGACCATGAAAGAGCATTACGAAGCTTTTGCCCTTTACAGAGTTGCATGGAATGCTAAGTCCAGAAAGAAAAAAAGGGAAATTCTCTCTTTCCCTTTGGTTTCTTAAGATTTAAAACTCAATAAGCCATTTCTTATTTAAGATTTTGTAAAAATAACTATTTTTTCCCTGTAATTGAGTCTTGTTGCATGAGTTTTAATCTAGAACGTTGTTTTCATGGTTGAGTTGAAAATCCCTTTGGAAATCATGGTGAAACCCAAACTGAAATAGTGCTTATTGAACTAATAATTAAAGTTTCTTTACATTAGCTATCTTAGGAGATTTCTCCTCTTCTCCCTCCCCCCTGGTTTTTTTCAGAAACATTGTTCTGGGAGAAAAATCCCAGTTATCTGAATTCATCAAGTCAAAACCATAAGTCATTGAAGAAAGCATTAGGTGATAATTTTTATCCTTATGAAAAAGCATTTTATTTAATGAATTTCAGATATAGTGTAGTGCTAAATAAGTTTTTTTCTCTCCTTTTAATGAGATATGTGTTTTATGTTCTTCATTTTCAGATGAAGAAATTGAAGCCCAGAAAAATTAAGTAACTTGTCCAAATCCAAACAGATGAGTTAAAATCATGATGACTGTTTAGTGGCTTGAAGACATTTTGTGTAACATTTCAGCTTCAATAAGAAGACGGGAGCTTGGTGCAAGGATGTTTTACTGGGAGCCTACAGTGGAGCTCAGAAAGTCATGTTCCGGCTGGACGCAGTGGCTTATGCCTACAATCCCAGCACTTTGGGAGGCCAAGGCAGGTGGATTGCTTGAGCTCAGGAGTTCAAGACCAGCCTGGGCGACATGGTGAAACTCCATCTCTGCAAAAAGTACAAAAAATTAGCCAGGTGTCATGAGGTGCAACTGTGGTCCCAGCTACTTGATGGGCTGAGGCAGGAGAATCCCTTGAGCCCAGGAGGTTGAGGCTGCAGTGAGCCGTGTTGGAGTGAGACCCTGTCTCAAAAAAAAAAAAAAAAAAAAAAAGAAGTCATGTTTGAATATTCCTTTGGGGCTTTTGTTTCCTCATGTTTGCTCTCAAAACATCAGAATGCCACAGAAGTTTGTTAATTCTCTGGATCAATTGAGGAAGGAAAAGCATCAGCACCTCCTCAAGAATGCCATAGGAGGTGTGTGCTGGGATGCTCTGAGCTCTGCAGCAGTGATGCATGCAGCTGGAGATGTTGAAGGTCAGATGCAGGTGGTCAAGCATTTTAGTTTCCTGTGGCTACTGTAATAACTAAAGTGGCTGAAAACAACAGGAATTCATTATCTTACAGTTCTGGAGACAAGAAGTCCAAAATCACTTTCACTGAACTAGAATTGAGGTGGTGGCAGGACCTTGGTCCTTCTGAAGGCTCTGGGGGTGAATCTGCTCTGTGCCTCTCCCAGGTTCCAGAGGCTGCCAGCATTCCTGGGCCTGTGGCAACATCACTCCACTCTGTGCCTCCATGGCCTCATTATCTCCTCCTTTTCTGTCTGTATCAAATTTCTCCCTGCCTCCCTCTTATAAGGCACATGTGATTGCATTTAGGGCCCATGCAGGTAATCCAAGATGATCTTCCCATGTATAATTATTTGCTTAATCCACATCCGCAAAGAGCCATTTTCCTTAGAAGGTGACATTTACAGCTTCCAGGGATTAGAACCTGACATCTCAGTAAGCCATTATTGAGCCTATCATACTGAGCCTAGATCCCTCCTGTTGGCCTCATATATTCATGGAGGACAAAGGAAAAGGCTAAAGGCCAGAGACCAGCAGAAGAGTGCATTCTTGCTTTCCAGATTCGGGTGAACTGTCATAATCAGTGTCTGGCAGAACAAAAGACTGAGGGAAAAAGTTGAAGCAATGCAAAGCCCCAGAGTGACCACAATGGCATGATTACTGCTGAGTTTGTTTATGAGAGGAAAGAAAGCAGCCATGTTGGAAAGCCTTGGGCGGTTTTCATATCCTGGAAGTTATGTAGAAATAGCTGGAGAGGAATGCATCATTCAGGAGTGTAAAACAATTTCTTGTTTAAACAGACCCCAAGGCTTGAGTGGTTAAAAAAATTCCTCCCAGAGAGTGGAAATGAAAAAAGCCCTTCAAAAGGTTATTAATGTGGCCACTTGCAGACAAGGGAACACATCACGCGGAGTCTCTTGCTGATTTTACCCCATGGAGACTGGTTGTGGATGACGAACGATAAAATGGAAGCATCCAGCAGTGGTAACTTAATGTTGTGGTGGGGAATAGTTTTCTTTCCTGACCTCATTTGTAAGAAGGGAATGGAGGAGGATGAAGATGCCTCATTAGTGGAAACTATACACTCCTGTCTATTCACTTGCTGTAGATGAAAGAACACTCCAAGATACTGCTCCAAAAGGAACATTAGCCAAACTAGATCTTCTCTTGTAAATTTCAGAGGCATCTGTAGACATGGGTGACAGGGAAGCCTCCAAGCGATCAACTTCCCTGCCTTTCCAACACCTGAAAAGTGGCCCTGAGGTTTTCCATTGAGGTTTTCCAAATACAGGTTGCCAGTGCTTCTGAGTGTGCCCTGAGCCCTGGTGGTTGTTTTTAGGATAGAAAATACTTTTCTCTTACATGGCCACCTGCCCTCTCTCCAGGTTCTGGGGCTTCCTGAAGGCCCAACTGCCTTACCTCTTTTCTCCTCCTCAACCATCATACATTATTCTTATGACGAAGTATGTTCCAGAAATGGTGTTCAGACAAAAATTGTGACCAGGTTCGGTTATCCAACACAACACTGAAAGCTGCTGATTCTAGAATAGAGGTGATTAGGATGATCATTTATTTGGCAATGTTATGATCAAAGATGAATGAGTAGACTAGAAACTGTTTAAATGGCTTCTTCAGCACCCTCAAGTCAATGACTTAGAGCTTCTATCCTGTGTGCTGTGGGTCACTAAAATCTCTCCATCACCTGCCAGTTCCATTCTGTTAAATGTATATTAACAACTTTGGTATATCTTGTTAAGGGCTCTGCAGCAGAGCAATCCCTCTTACTAAACTGTTGGAGCACACCATTGCATACACATTTTTTCCCCTTTGCCAAAGGCAACTCTATCTAGGACAACTCCATTCCATCCATTCCAGGGCATGATGCATAGCAAAACGGAGCAGTCCTGTGACTCCATGCCCTGTCAGTGACAGCTCCAGACAAGACCAGACTCATGGACATGGTGGTGTTTGACCCTTTATTTCTCCCAGGGCTGCACTGTGGAAATATTATTCCTATTCTATCACATAAATGCCTTTTTATCACTGCCTTTTCAAATAACCAAGTAATTGAAGTGCAGTTGTCTCCCACATTATGTAGGACATTTTTACTAGCCTTGATTATATTTCCATTAGACTTGGTGTAGCTGACTTAGTAACTAGGCCTAGGACAGCAGTGATGGATTTGTCTGATGGTCAGTCATTGAGTGTGAACTCATTGAAACCTTCCAAATATTTGAAATTTTTCTAGATTCAGTTTGGACTCGATGTTTGCAATGAAGCCATCTTTTAAATTCCCTGCCCTAAAGTGACCTTTTACTCTATGAACAACTCATGCTCAACAGGGCAGAGACATAGTGTGACTTCCTCTCTTCTCTACAGCAGCATATTTACCTGCGAGAATGCCAAAGAACAGGCAAATTTCTGCCCAGTAGAGTGATTTTCAGTTGATCAGATTCAGTGGGGACACATATACCTCCTCATGGGAGAAACAGTGATGTCTCTGGAGGAGTGTTCACAGAGTAAAAAAGTATATTCAACATAATTAATTTTTTCTCAAAATAAATAGCAAGAAGTAGAGGCTTTCCAAATCTCCTAGATGATAAGGGATCATGGATAACAGAAAATAGAGTGGGAAAATGTTATGGGACAGAGCGACCGTATGTTCATGTGTCCCAGTTTATACCAGTTGTTCAGGAATCATTATTTATAGCACCCCTTTTATTCTTCAAGTATTTGTTTAGACATTAAATTATATGATTACCCTAGTTAAACAGAGCTTGGGAAGTACTCATCTGATAGGATCTCCAAAAAAGTTCCCGTGGAGTCCATTTTTGCATTGCTGTAAAGAATACCTGAGAGTGGGTAATTTATAAAGGAAAGAGGTTGATTTGACTCACAGTTCTTCAGATTGTACAAGTCTGGCACCAGCATCTATTCAGCTTCTGGTGAGACCTTAGGAAGATTTTTCTCACAGAAGAAGGAAAAGGGGCAGCAGGCACATCACATGATGAGGGAGAGAGAGAGGGAGAGGAAGCAAGAGAGAGAGAGGAGGGGTGTCAGATTCTTTTAAACAACCAGCTCTCCTGTGAACTAATAGAGTGAGGACTCACTCATTACCACAAGGGCAGTACCAAGCAATTCATGAGGGATCTACTCCAATGACCCAAACACCACCTATCAGGCCAACTTCTGACATTGGAGGTCACATATCAACATGGGGTTTGGAGGGGACACATGTCCAAACCATATTAGCTCCTAAAGTTGTCCTCAAATTCAAGGTGCAATGTTTGAGAAGAGAGTTTGTGTTAGCAGAATGGCTTCCCAGCAAAATAAGTTTTGGTCATGCATGTTTTACAGGAGAGATCAACTGTGTTTGGAAGAGATCAGATAGTGTTTATGAGCACACTGCATGCCATAATTCTGAAGAATCCAGAGGTAAAAGGTATTTTACAAGAAACAAATATAGTTCTTGTAATGGAAGCATTTAGATGTCACTATGAAGAGGAGTGATGGAAATTCATAGCAAATATAAGGTAGGAATAGAAATGCTCAAAAAATCTATTAGGTGCTTTTTTTTTCCTGACACTTTGGATATCTCCTCTTTAATAATGTTCTTAATTACCATTGTCTTTATATTGTACAAGGTAGACAAGTTGATTCTAACTTGGTTCTGGCTTCCTTCTTCTGCAAAGAGAGAGAGAAATAGCTGAAGGTGAAGCCTTGTAGGTTTGTTGCTCCTACGTTCATTTGGGTCACACGGTGGCTTCTCTCTTGATTATGTGGAGGGCTTGGATTCTTCTAGCCCAAATAAAACTTGGCCACATACCTTTGCTCAACATGCACTGACCTGGGGGAACAATATGTTGTAACACAAGTTGCAATTAGTCATTATTTTTTCAGTTCCTGTGTGAGAAACTATGATTTTAACAACCAAAACAACAACAGCAGCACCAAAACAAGATAAATGTGTGTAGCAAATTTCCTTAAATGAGCATTGCCAGTATATTTTTCTCTTGCTAAATAACCTCCTCCTGGATCTCAACATATTATTCCCCGCCCTCCCTCATTTAATTCAGAAATAAGGGACAACCCTTCCGCAGCAGCTGTCCAGAGACCACCACAGCCTGTGAGAGTCTCCAGTGGACAACGGTTGTCTGATTGAGACTCTTCCTGGTGTGCTCAGAAAAACCTGTACTTTTTTTGTTTCAATTAGTTTTATAGACATTTCAAGCTGGGGCCTGCATTTTTTTGTGGTAAGCTCACCCCTCAGCACTCCCCATGGGGCTCACTAACCTTGGCTACCTTCATCGTTTATGGGAGTTGAGCTGTGCATGCTTGAGACTGCCATTTGTTTCTTCTTGCATTGAAATAACTTGCTTTTCTCTTTCAGCAACCCTGGGGTTCAACAATTTGAAACTGCTTCACACCAAGAGCAGAGAAACTCGCTCTGTGGTTATCACCTCAGAGAGACACAATACCCAAAACCTGAGAACATTCGCCTTGTTTTGTTGGAGTCAACACATCTGCCAGGTTATCTGTCTTCAGTCAACATGGCTCATAGAAATCCATGCTGAATTATTTTTTAGGAAGTTCGGTTTTGTTGACGATGGAGTTAAATGTTATTCGTGTTAAAGTGAGTCTTTAAGAAGATGGCCGGCTGTGTTTCTACATAGTTTTGACATCTGTCTTCATTTCTCATTTTTCCTCTAAGATGTTCTGCACATATTTGTCAATTTCTGTGGTCTGACTCAGAGCACAGGAAGTGTGGGTAAGTATCAAAAGAAAAATTCTTTGAGAATTTCTTTTGCTCATTCCCTGTTCTTCTGGTAAATGAATGCCTGAAAAGAGAAGGCAGTCAGTTATCTCGGTTTGGTTCAGGGTAACAGGAAAGTTGCCCTGAATTAAACATTTCTGTCCTATTGGCCAGCTGGGGCACTTAAAAATCCCAATCTTTAGACCACACTCTCTTAATTGTGGCATGTGGGTTTCTAGGAGTTGTAATTAAACAGCCCACAGAAGGTGATTTTACAGTTTCAGCTTTTTTTTTTTTTTTGAGATGGAGTCGCGCTCTGTCGCCCAGGCTGAAATGCAATGGCATGATCTGGCTCACTGCAACCTCCGCCTCCTGGGTTCAAGCAATTCTCCTGCCTCAGCCTCCCAAGTAGCTGGGACTACAGGTGCCTGCCACCATGGCTGGCTCATTTTTGTATTTTTAGTAGAGACAGGGTTTCACTATGTTGGCCAGGCTGGTTTTGAACTTCTGACCTCAGATGATCTGCCCGCCTTTGCTTCCCAAAGTGCTGGGATTACAGGCGTGAGCCACTGCACCCGGCCTACTGTTCCAACTTTTAAGTGTGTCTTCCTCTCCTTCAGATTCAGGCCCTTTGGCCAAGGATAGTGACAACTGATTAAGGCATAACAGGCCTCTGTCAAGCTGCTAATCAAGTTATGGGGCAGTAGGGACCAACATGCATGATGCCAGCAGCAGCCCAGGAATCTACCCACAGGTTAACCTCAGACTCTTAGGAAGACGCTGGGGCGCAGGATAATACAAGGAAGAGGGAAAGGATAGTGAGAAGGACCTATGTCACTCCTTATGTAATTTTCCCTAGTGTTGTCCAAAAAGAGTGTAGACAGGGTTTGTAAAAATATGCACCTGAAAAACCATGAGTGCCTTTATCTGTTGTTTAAAATTTACTTTCAATTTTTTTGGTAACAACTTTATTGACATGTAATTCCTATACTCCACAGTTTACTCACTGAAAGTATGCAATTAGATGGTTTTAGAATATTCATTCACAGAGTTGTTCAACCATCATTTAGGAATTTGCTCGCCTTTCTATCCTGCCATTTCCTCTCTCTGGAATGTTCTTACCCCAGTCATCGACTCTCTCCCATTTCATCATTTAAGTCTTTGCTCAAATGTCACATCCAAGACGCTTAGTGCTCTTCCCTTACCAAAATCACCACTCCACCCATTCTCCTGCCTCCCTCCTGCTCTAGTGTCTGGACAGCACATCCCCCTCTGCCATGTTCTCGTTTGTCTCCTGCCTGTGGTCCTCAGCTCCTCCAGGGCAGGACGTTTGTCAGGACGTTTGCTGCTGCCCCAGTTTCTGGGCTGGTGCCAGACTAGAATTAGGGGCTGGGAGGAGGAATGGAGGGGGCTGGCTGGCTCTCCTCTCTGCACCCAGCCCGTTGGAGGAGGGAAAGAGACTGGAGCCCTAAACAGACAGGGCTGGCTCCCTACAACTTGCTACTGGGTTGGCCAGGAACGGATGCTGCTATAGTCACCAAGCATTGGCTGAGGTGAAGTGCGAGGAAGCTCAGCATGGGCCTATGGGAACTTGAGCCATATAAATTTCTGTGTGAGCCCAAGAAATTATTTGCCATCTCTGAATGTCTTTAAAATGAGGACATTGGATCTCTGGCTCCTTGTAGTTCTGACACTGGAGTTCTGATGGAATTCTTTGATCAGGTGTAATTGAACAAATGCAGTTAAGGTGTCCCGGAGTGCTTTCTTTCATGGATCCCATCTCTCCAGCTACCTTTGCCACATTAAGCTGCTTATATTTCCTCCCTCCTCTCCACGCCCAATACACATGCTTTTGTAAAGACAGAGTTTTCTAATGCCTGGGGTCTTAGATCTATACGGCAGGAGAAGGGCTAAATAGAAAGTGTGATTTGGGTGTGCTATTTGAGCTGGAGCTAAATTTGAGTAAAAGCTTTGTCTGTGAGTTTACAAACATACAATTAAGGCTCTCACAGTTATCTAAATCCATTTTCTTGCCTTATAATTTTATGGTTAGAAGCATTACAGTTGTTTTTAGATTTTCATTATAACTGCAGTAGCCACAGACGGAACCAAATAGTGTTTGTTTATTTGTGTGACAAATTATGCCCCTCAGCTAACTATACTGTGTAATTTGCATTGGGTGTGTGTTTTGTGAAAGAAGTATACATTGGTCTGAGGGTCTTTTCTTCTCTTTCCTCTATCTTCTTCCCAAAGCAGTGCTGATAATAGAAAATTGGAAAATAAAAGGCACATTTGTGTACTACACACACGCTTGACTTCAGATTCCACTCCCCACCATTGTAGCTGGGTAAACTTGGGAAAGTCAGCTTATTTCCTCAATTTTTTTTTCACACAGTGAACTTTGTTCTTTTAAAATACCTTATTTACAGATCATCAGTAGGGGAAGAGTAATTTAAAGTATTAGGAACTTCAGGCCAGGAGCAGTGGCTCATCCCAGCACATTGGGAGGCCGAGGGGGGTGGATCACCTGAGGTCAGGAGTTTGAGACCAGCCTGGCAAAACCCCATCTCTACTAAAAATACAAAAAAATTAGCCGGGCGTGGTGGCGCATGCCTGTGGTCCCAGCTACTAGGGATGCTTAGGCAAGAGAATTGCTTGAACCCGGGCAGTGGGCGTTGCACTCCAGCCTGGGTGACAGAGCGAGACTCCATCTCAATTAAAAAACAAACAAACAAACAAACAAATAAATAAATAAAGTATTAGGAACTTCAGTGTCACTTGAAGGTTGATTAGAAATGAAAATCATTTCTGATGACTTAGGTACTTCCCAGCTATGAAAACTCCTGTAGTTAGTCAACTCTGCCTCTCTGCTTTTTCTTTAATTTGTTATTTTTTTTATTGTGGAAGAATACATATAACATAAAATTGGCCCTCCTAACCATTTTTAAGTGTAGAATCCAGTGGTATTAAACACATTCATCAAGTTGTGCATCCATTACCTCCATCCATCTTCAGGACACTTTTCATCGTGTAAAACAGAAACTCCACACTCATGAAATAGTAACTCCCCATTTGTCCCTGCTTCAAGCCCCTAGCGACCGCCATTCTCCTTTCTGCCTCTCTGATTTTAACTCTTCTAGGTACCAGGTATAAATGGAAGCATACTGGATTTGCTTTCTGTGACTGGTTCTTTTCATTTAGGTTCATCTATGCTATAAGCTGTGTCAGAATTTCCTTCCTTTTAAGACTGGTTAATACAATATTCCATTGTGGTATATCTACACTGCATTTTGCTTATCTATTCATCTGTCAGTGCACGCTTGGATTGCTTCCATGTTTCGGCTATTGCGAAGAATGCTGCCATGAACGTGGGTGTACAGATATCTCTTTGAGGCCCTGCTTTCTATTCTTTTGGGGATATACCCAGAAGTAGCACTTCCATATCATATGGCAACTCAATTTTTAACCGTATGAGAAACCACCGTACTGTTTTCCACAATGGTTGTACCATTTCTTTTTTGTTTGTTTTTAACTTTTATTTTAGGTTTTGGGGTACATTGAAAGGTTTGTTACATAGGTAAACTCATATAATGAGGGTCTGATATACAGATTATTTCATCACCGAAGAATTAAGCCCAGTACCCAATAGTTATCTTTCCTGCTCCTCTCCCTCCTCCCACCCTCCACCTTCAAGGAGGGTCATTGGACATTGCACTCCAGCCCTGGAAACAGAGCGAGACTCTGTCTCAGTTTAAAATAAATAAATAAACAATGTATTAGGAACTTCAGTGTCACTTGAAGGTTGATTAGAAATGAAAATAATCTCCGATGACTTAGGTACTTCCTAGCGATGAAAACTTCCGTAATTAGTCAACTAATTGACTAATTACAGGGTCTGTTGTTTCCTTCTTTGCATTCATAAGTTCTCATCATTTTGCTCCCACTGATTTGCATTTGAGTTCAAACAAGATAATTTCTGAACTCCTATTGCAAATTGCTAAATGCTGTCTAAATATCTACTAGAGATGATTAGAATGATGGTTAATAAGTGCTATATTTCACATCAGGTTAAAATTTCTTCCAAGATATCTTTCTTTTATCTGCATGTATAGAATTTAGATCTTAGCATGAATGGGGATGAATTTATATCCATCTGTCATCTGAGATACTCTATGTGAACAAGGACCACTGTTGATCTGGCTGACCATATAAAATATCAGATAACAAAACCTTGAAAACTCATATTGGGAGTGTATGCTTTTGTCTAGTGCTTCTGGTCCTTTTAAGCAGCCAACAAATTTGCATTGAGACCTTGCTGACTGTGGGTATCGGTGATTTTTGTCCATTGACGATTTTATCTTTAGTTGCTACTTCTTTGGTTTCAAAGAACTACATGTGACAAAAAGTGGCAATGTCTTAGGAAGTGGTTAAGCTGAGTTTATAAAAAAGGAATTGAAAATATGTAAACATTTAAGCAATTTGAATTGATTAGGAACTTGGATGGGGGTAGTGCTTCAGTTTAATATAACTCAAGAGTTCTAGATAAATCATAATTCTTTAGATGAAGGCTAGTTTGTTCTGGATTCCTGCTGAGATAAAATGATCATAAATTTACAAGTAAAGAATAATGTAAATACCTTAATGTCAAAGTATTGCTTTACAGTTCATACAATACTTCTCAGTAAGTTGTATCCTGAGAGATCTTGTTTCTGCTACATACCAGCTGATGACCTTAGCAATGACCATCAGGCTGTGGACCTTAATTTCCCCCACCCCGGTAGGGTAAGAGGCGTGGTCTGGGCTCATCCTTCCAGCAAAGCTCTGTCTAGCTAAAAAAATCTACAACCCTGGTAACTTCCACTTTTATTCTCTCTGCTTTGTAGATTAGAAATCAGAGGAGGTGTGAGTCTCTCATGATTGGATAGACTGATTTAATTACAATTCTTAGAAAAATATTAATGCCTTTCTTCCTCCATTCCCTGTGTTTTGGGCTCCTGCTGTGAGTCGGGCCTTCTCTAGTGCTGAAGACACGGAGTGAAGAAGGTGGCCTCTGCCCTGGCCTTCTCCTGGGCTCTGGGGTGAGCCGCTGTCCTGGATTGCTCTGGACCGAGGGGCTTCCTGCCCAAACTGGGAGAGCCCCGGGCAAACTGGGATAAGTAGGTCACTCTAAGTGGGAGATACTGAGCATAAATGAGTATTTTTTTTTTAAAGTGAACAGTTTCAGACAATGACCAGTGTTCTGTGGGAAACCCTCAGGATAATGCAGTGCTGAGCATTTTGGGGTGGGGGTGGTGTTGGTGAGCTAACAAGGCCTCTGAGGAGACCACGGATACGCTCCAGGGAAGAGGGATAAGGTGGATGGAGACCTGGTGAGAAATAGAATGTTTGAGAAATAGATCAGTGACCAGGATGAACCCTGTGAGCAAAATCGTATGTTCTGGAGGGAGGGAGAGGTAAGGGCGTTGTGGGTCTTAGTAAGGACCCCATACAATAACAATAGCTACTGTTACCTTCTGGCACTTCACTTACTTCATTACAACCAATTCATAATCACCCATTTTACAGATAAGAATACTGAGACATAGAGGCTTTAATGAATCGTATCTAACGTCATGCAGCTTGCAGATGGTGAAACCGAGACTTCAACCCTGATGTTTTGGTGCAGAACCCACAGTTGTCCTTAACTGCACTCACCTGAGGGGAAGCCCCTTGGCCACCGCAAAGCTGTCCCTATCCCTCCAAACTCTTCATCCCCACCGCACTCACAATCACTCAGGAATAAAGACCAGCTTTGTCATTTGCAGTCGCAGTTTTCACCAAGCCAGTAACGGCACTGGGGGAGGCCTCTGCTGCTTTTGTGGCTTGGTTCCAGTGCTGAATGGGGGTAGTTATAGGATGGCTTAGAAATAGTCACTCTGCGTGTAATCAGGTCACTTCACTGCAAAAACATTTTTGTTTCCGCTTCCTTCCTTTTCTGGATCTTATCCAGGGAACAGTGTCTCTGACCTTCTAAGCCACAAAGGCCAGAGATAATGGGGCACAGCAGGTTGATGTCGTGAAAGGAGGGGAGAGTCCGTGGTCAGGATGAGTGTGTGGGCACACACACACACACACACGCGTGGGGAGACAGTCACTACCCAGGGTGTACGTCATAACGTATGCTTAGAAAAATACTGCTAAGAAATACACAGAAACTTTCCTAGTGTCGAATTCTCTTTTGTGTGTCTGAGATCTCCCTTCGGGCTCAGAGTAGAGTGGAGGAGACGGGCATTCACTCTGGGCAAGTACAAAGAAAAGCACGTGAAATTCCTCCCCTTCTTGTCCTCATCCTCATCCTTGCAGCTCACATCCAGCGCCGGCCTGGGCTTCTGTGGTCTGTGTTGACTCTGATTGCCTTGCCAGATGTATCGGCAGTGTTGAGACTGGATTGGTTTACAATTTCTTTCAAATCTGCTTAAGAATGAGAGAGACCTTTTTCTATAGGGGAAACATAATGTGTTCTACTTGATTAGGGCTGGAGGTAAAAAATAAAAGCTATATGGAAAATTCAAAGGATTTAGGTTTTTATTCTAAATTTTAAAACTTACCCATAAGAGATTCGATGGAAAATAATGAGCCCTAAAAAAATATTTTCCAGAATCAATCATGATTTTTTCATGCACATAATGTTGGTTTAAGGCTTGGGAATCAAGAGAAAAATGCAGAAGGAATGTCATATGTTTTGCTTTACAACTTTCTCTCCTATTGTTTGCGTTTCACACTTTCACACTCAAATCTCTCTTCCATTATTCTTTGACTTTTATAAATCTACTGAACATAAATTCTGTTTAATTATAGCATGGTTCACGTGTACTAGAGAGTTATGTTAATAATGAAAATGCTGTTGATTAGTAATCAAAGACAGATTTCGTAAACAGAGAAAAGGAGGCGAGGAAAGGTTTGGGGTTCAGGAAGGAAAGCCTAACTTCCTTCCTCACCATTCTCCCACAGCTGCAAGGTTTTCCAGGTTACTGTGGCCAGGTCGCAGCCCTGTCTATGCAGTGATGTGGGTGTTGTGCTCTCTCTTTTTTCTGGTAACAATTTTCCCTCCCTCCGTGGCCCCTGTGGACACTGATGTTTGTGTCTCAGTTGGCCCTGGGGTGTGGTGGTGCTGCTGTGAGGAGCACTGGTCACAGCTGGCCTGCATCCTCAGCAGGTCCCCAGGGGGACTTTAGGCAAACCACTTAACCTCTCTGAGCCTCAGTGTTCTTACAAAAAGAAGATGCAGTAACAGCCCCAAAGGGTGGTTAGAATTATTTTAAATATCTCATGTAAAATGCCCAGTGTACATCAGGTGTCCTGCCATCAGAGGGACTCAATGATTTTGATTATTATTATAATTTTAAATCTTGACTGTTGATACGAAGTGAGAAACAAATGAAGTCAAGGCCCCAGGGCACTGCGTTTGAGGCTGTCGGGGCTTGATGTGGTTCCAGGTGTGGCAGGAGTGCTGGGGATGAGCGGGTACCAGGCTCCAGCCTGCCCTCCCCTTGCCCCATCTTGGCACTGTGACGGCTGGCAGCTGGGTTCCCAATCAGGCACTGAGAGGCCATGTGTTCCTTTGTCATAGGGCATGTCCACCTCTGGTGTGTGTTTAGCCCCAGGCAAATCTTGAACTAAGTCTCAGTGTCCCGGGAAAAAGAGCACTGGACTCAGAAGTAGAAGAAATGGGGCCGAGTGTGGTGGCTCACGCCTGCAATCCCAGCACTTTGGTAGGCCGAGGCAGGTGGATCACCTGAGGTAGGAGTTCGAGACCAGCCTGACAAACATGGTGAAATCCTGTCTCTACGAAAAATACTAAAATTAGCCCGGCGTGGTGGCACATGCCTGTAGTCCCAGCTACTCGGGCCCCTGAGGCAGGAGAATCGCTTGAACACGGGAGGTGGAGGTTAGAGTGAGCCGAGATAGCACCACTGCACTCCAGCCTGGGTGACAGAGTAAGACTCTGTCTCACAACAAAACAAAACAAAACAAAAGATATAGAAGAAATGGGCCCTAGTCCCATTCACAAGTCACCTTGGGTGAGCCGTTTCAGAGCATGGGTTCCTCTGATAGAAAGTTTACATTTTCATATACGTCTTGTGGTTTCTGAAGGGAAGTTAAATGAGAGAATATGTATGTGAAAATACTTTGCCTACTCAAATAATAATATCAGTGATCATAGAGGTTTTTGTTTTTTTTTCTCCCCAGGGCTCAGTATTCCCCTACTATCTGCTTACTGCCTTTCCAGATCCTCCCTTAAAATGCTTTGCTCAAACCTGTTACATCTTCAAGTTTTTTCAGCTTTCTTGTCGCAGGCTCCATTCCTAATTCATGCACATAATCTGCCATGTGCAGACACAGGCACATACTCATTCAACTTGTCCCATAATCTTTAGGGTCTTGCTCCCTGTTACTTAGCCTGAAGAGTAGCCTGACAATATTTTCAGAGCTACTGATGGGTTGATGTAACCCAAGATTGCCTGTGGTAGAGAATACTGCAGACTAGGGTTTGGCCAATTTTTTTTCAGTCAGGGGCCAGGTGGCTAGGACAGAGTTTTGGAGCAGATGAGGGTTTTGACGCCCCCTCTCTTCCGCCCTTCCATGACTGAGTGTCTCAACCTGGAGGTGCGGGTGGGGCTGTGTAGAGGCTCCCTGAGGAACGCAGGAGGTTGTTGAGCTGTTGATTGGCCTGAGGTGGCTTGAAGGATGGAAATTTACAAGTCGGCCAAGAGCCTTCTCTCTGCCAAGGACTGATTCAGAGTTCAGGGATTAAGCCTCTGGCATGGGGATTAAATTGGGATCTCACATGCACAGATCCCACGGGCACCAGATGCTGGGCTGGGTCTGGCACACGCACTGTTGGCTCTGAGAAGCTCCTCAACCCCTTGTGGGCATCAAAGTAAAGAAAGAAGTGAGTGGTCCCCCTTTTCTGCATTTAGCCTTGATCTGAGATGAGAACATTCATTGGAAACAACCAAGGAGCATGAAGGAATTTCTTCCCGAGGCCAAGAGTGATGAAACGGCTGAGTGTTAAATTTTCAGTAGGGATACAGAGAAACATGGGCACAAAACTCAGTTTCATCCCCACGGCTCTGTTCCACTGGCTCTATCACGCTGCTTCTTGTGGGCCTGGAAAATGTTCCCCACTTTCCGAAGAGCTGTGTCTTTGCTCAACATCCACATCCCAGCAAACGGGATCCATTTCAAAAGAGGCTTTTGATTACTCATTGTCATTTTTGAACCTCTTGTTGCTGTCAGTCATCAGTAAACAGTGCTCTTAGGAAAGCCCTAAGTAGGAGAGGTTGAAGACGATGCTGTGGGCTGGCACAGCTTTTTGTTTTGCACATGCGGAAATTGAGACTGGGAGTGGAATGTGAGCAGTTCAGAGTTAAACAACTAATTCGAAGTGAGTTGAGAACTGGAGTCCAGTCCTCTGGGCTTCTGTTCCAGTGTTCATGAGACAGAACAAAACTGCTGCTCTGTAATGATAAGGGTCATGGGGTTACAGGCACCAGTGGTTGATGTGAAACTGTATCACAGAAAGAAAAAGAATTTATTTTTGCTTTTTGACCTTGAGAGGTAAAGAAGTTTTCCCCACCTCTTGTAGATCTAACCTCATCAAATCATACAAAAATCAATTTTTGTTTACTTGCATGGAGATTATCTTTTCGTACTCATGTATCAGTCAGCATAGGCTGAGTTACATTGTGGTAACAAATGACCCCCAAAGCTTAGTGATTTTCAAACACAAAGTTGGATTTTTCACTCCTGCTATATGTGTGTTGGAAGTTGCTGAGTTTCTGCTGCTTATCTCTTTACTCTAGGACTGAGGTGGACAGAACTCTCTCAATTTCAGGGTTGGGAAATTGTGAGCTGTGGCAGAATCTGGCCTGCTATTGTCTTTGTTAATCAGGTTTTATTGAAAGATAGACATGGTTATTTGTTTATGTACCGTTTTCACACCACCACAACAGGATTAAGTTGTCATAATAGAGGCAGTATGGCCCACAATGAAGATAATCTTTACTTTCTGACCTTTTACAGAGCAAATTGGCTGATCCCTGGTGTATCTGAAACATGGTGATCTGTGGCAGAAGGAAACGAGACAGAGCAAACTGTAGGCTGGTTCTCAAAACTTCTGCCCAGAAGTGACACATGGTCATTTCTACTCCCATTTCTTGCACTAAAGCAAGACATGTGACATGTGGCCCCTCTTGATGCCAACAAAAAAGGGGCAGGAAATCAGCTGATTCCAACATAATTTGTATTTTATTTGTATCTGTGTCTGTATTCTTGGTTGCAAACAACAGAAGTGTACTGTGTTTAATTTAAAGAGAAGGAATATTAATGTAAAGGTTATCAGGGAATCATGCACTTGAGAGGAAGGCTGAAGAAGGGGCCTCTGTGGGGTGCAAGGACACAGAGCCACAGTCCCACTGGAGGGACGGCCTCCGTAAGCTTGCCCTCTGGCATTGCCAGCAGTGGCCCTTCTCCACAGCACTGCTTGTATCTCTGAGGCCACTGTGAGTAACTTTAATTGAACTTTAGCCTGGATGTTACTCCTTCAAGATTCAAAGTGCTGGGTGGGTACTGTTTGTCGACCACCTTTAAAGCATGTGGCCATGTCCTAGCTGCTGGGAGGGTTGGGGAGATGAATAGCAAGACTTTTTCATCTTGGTAGGAGGAAGGGGCCCTGCTTTCCCTAGAGACTTATGAGTGGAGGAATCTCATCAACATAAGAGGCCACGCTAAGAAGCCTGGGAAGCCTAGGAAGCCCTGTCGTTGTTCACGCGAATGGTCAATTGCTTGCAGTTGGAAGCTGAGTGGGAAGTCTGGCAAACGTCGGTATTGCTTGTGCTTCAACTTCTTAAGTGACATTTTCCTACAGGACGCCTTCAGCAGGGAGCCTGGAAGGATCAGAAGAAGATGGGAGAACTTCCTTCCTGCTGGTCACTTAGGAGCCAGAATGACCTTTGTTACCTGGACTTTTCCTTTTCTCCTCCTCATCATTGTTCCATCCCCACTAAGACCTTCATTATTTTGGAAATATTAAGTTAGAAATCTAGTCATGGCCAGCATGAGAGAGGGACAGGGATGCATACAGGAATCAAACTGAATACATTTTGTGTTTTCATTCCCCGTAGGTACTTCTGCTGGTGTCAATCATTGGGACTGGATTATGTCTAAGCATCTTCAACCTCACAGGGGTAATTTGAAAAGTTGAGGAGGGGTTTGCTTTTGAAGAGATAAGCTCATATAATGCAGAATCCAGCCTTTATGGGGATCAGGGGGTCACTCCAACCATGGCCTTCACAAACGGCCTTCAACTGTACCCCTTGGGTTCATATCCAAGTGAAATTATTAGTCTAAATGATTGAAAGATAATAATATCTATTATACAATTAAAAACCTGTATCCCCTCCCAGATCATACACCTACAAATTCATGTTTTAAACTAATCTTCCATGTGGTGAGTGACACAATTATATTGCGTCATGCTTTTTTGCATTAAAAATATTAACTTGTGGCTGGGCATGGTGGCTCATGCTTGTAATCCTAGTACTTTGGGAGGCCCAGGTGGGTGGATCACAAGGCCAGGAGTTTGAGACCAGCCTGGCCAATATGGTGAAACCCCGTCTCTACTAAAAATACAAAAATTAGCCAGGCGTGGTGGCGCCTGTAGTCCCAGCTACTCGGGAGGCTGAGGCAGGAGAATTGCTTGAACCCGAGAGGTGGAGATTGCAGTGAGCTGAGATCATGCCATTGCACTCCAGCCTGGGCAACAGAGTGATACTCTGTCTCAAAAAAAAAAAAAAAAAAAAAAATTAACTTCTGGCCGGATGGGGTGGCTCATGCCTGCAATCCCAGCACTTTGGGAGGCTGAAGCGGGCAGATCACCTGAGGTCAGGAGTTCAAGACCAGCCTGACCAACATGGTGAAACCCTGTCTCTACTAAAAATACAAAAATTAGCCAGGCGTGGTGGCGGGTACCTGTAAACCCAGCTACTAGGGAGGCTGAGGCAGCAGAATCACTTGAACTCAGGAGGCAGAGGTTGCAGTGAGCCAAGAGCATGCCACTGCACTCTAGTCTGGGTGACAGAGTGACACTCCGTCACCAAAAAAAAAAAAAAAAAAAAAAAAAAATTTAACTTGTTTGATGCAAGTATTTTAACCTCAATTTTTAACCCCAATTTAGTAATCCTTTTCTGTGTGTGTGTGAGTGTAGAGCCTCAGAATATGGATGTGGCCTGGAAAATTCTTGGCCTTTAATGCTTTCCTATCTGAGCTGACTAGAGAGAAGAGATCTGGATTCTCTAAAGGACATGAAGCCCAGGAGCAGGCAGAGCTAGTGTGATGTTAGAATTGGGAGTCAGGGGTCTAAGGACTTGAAAGTCTATTTTTCAGGATTGAGTGTGGATGTGGATTACGAATGACTGCCTTGTACCCAGTCAATGGTCGAAGGCTTTCCAAAGTGCCAGACACTGGATGGCTTGTCGCTGCACTCATTTGGACATAACCCATGAAAACCATCTTTTTTTTTTTTTAATTATACTTTAAGTTTTAGGGTACATGTGCACAACATGCAGGTTTGTTACATATGTATACATGTGCCATGTTGGTGTGCTGCACCCATTAACTCGTCATTTAACATTAGGTATATCTCCTAATGCTATCCCTACCCCCACCCCACAACAGGCCCTGGTATGTGATGTTCCCCTTCCTGTGTCCATGTGTTCTCATTGTTTAATTCCCACCTATGAGTGAAAACATGCGGTGTTTGGAAAACCATCTTTAAAGTCTCCACTGGTTATGTCAAACATGTTCAAAAATGACTAAAAGAAGATAGTGTATCTGAAGTTGGTATTTTGTCAGCAGGTCCCCATGCTTTACGGATCGCATGGTTTTTGTAAGATGGTGGCTGGGCACTGGAGGCAGGGCTGGATCCCAGGGGTCAACAACGACGCAGCAGCCTTCCTATGGCTGTATAATGTGCCATGGCCGGGACAGGCGAGGGCAAGCTCAGGCTGACTAAGTGAGATCCCAGGTTCCCAGGTGGGAGCAGGACAGCTGACTGGCAAGACAGCCAAGGGTCCCAAAAGGAACGGAGTAGAAACAGGCAGGGAAAGGGGACCGCAAGGGGGCAGACTTTTCTTCCTCAGCTCCTCTTAGCTTGAAGGGCTGATACCACCATCCGGTTCTGGAGCCCAGCCGCCATTCAGCAGGCCCTGCCCACTTGCCTGTGGAGAGGAGGCTGGGGTTCACAGTTGGCAATCCAGTTTCTTGTTGGAACCAGGACCGTAAAACCATGCCTAGATTCCTTGAATTCTAGACCCAATTCCCCATCCCGTCAGCCCCTGAGTGGCATCCTGGGCCTCAGAATTACTTTTTCAGAACCTTATTGCTGCCAACCAATCTGATTTCTGTTATCTCTGAATCATCTTCTCCCATCTCCTCTGCAAAATCAGCCCTCCTCAAAGGCCAAGATTAAACTTGTCTACTCCAAAGGAAATGAAATCAGGATTTTTTTTCATATGAAATAGAAAATCATTTATTTACAGTATTTGTTTATTTTTTCTAGGACAAAGTGTAATTTAATTTAATTGAATGCCTTTTGTTTATGTTATGTTATTTTATTTATTTTATTTTAAGTTCTGGGGATACATGTGCAGGATGTGCAGGTTTGTTACACAGGTAAACGTGTGCCATGGTGGTTTGCTGCACCTATCAACCCATCACCTACGTTTTAAGCCCAGCGTCCATAAGCTATTTTTCCTAATGCTCTCCCTCCCCTGACCCCCCTCCCCAGCAGGCCCCAATGTGTGTTGTTCCCCTCCCTGTGTCCATGTATTCTCATTGTTCAGCTCTCACTTATAAGCGAAAACATGCAGTGTTTGATTTTCTGTTCCTGTGTTAGTTTGCTGAGGATAATGACTTCCAGCTCCATCCATGTCCCTGCAAAGGACATGATCTCATTCTGTTTTATGGCTGCATAGTATTCCATGGTGTATATGTACTACATTTTCTTTATTCAGTCTATCATTGATGGGCATTTGGGTTGATTTATGTCTTTGCTATTGTGAATAGGATTGCAATGAACATACGTGTGCATAATATCTTTTTAACAGAGTGATTTATATTCCTTTGGGTATATACCCAGTAATGGGATTGCTGGGTCAAATGGTGTTTCTGGTTCTAGGTCTTTGAGGAATTGCCACACTGTCTTCCACAATGGTTGAACTAATTTACATTCCCACCAACAGTGTAAAGGCATTCCTATTTCTCCACAGCCTCGCCAGCATCTCTTGTTTCTTGACTTTTTAATATCGCCATTCTGACTGGTGTGAGATGGTCTCTCATTGTGGTTTTGATGAAATCAGGATTTAAAAGAGATACCTGCACTCCTATGTTCATTGCAGTGTTATTCACTGTAGGAACCAACCTAAGCATACTCCAATGGATGGTTGGATAAAGAAAATATGATAAATATACACAATCAAATATGATTCACCCACAAAAAGAAGGAAATACTGTCATTTGCAACAACATGGATGAACCTGGAGGACATTGTGCTAAGTGAAATAAGCCAGGCACAGAAAGAAAAATACCACATGATCTTACTTATGTGAAATCTAAACAAATTAGATACATAGAAGCAGAAAGAAGAATTGTGGTTACTCAGGGCTGACAGTTGTGTGTGGAGAATGGGGAGATGTTGGTTACAGGGTACAAAATTTCAGTTAACAGGAATAAGCTCTAGAGATCTATTATACAACATGGTGACTATAGTTAATAATAATGCATTGTATACCTGAAAATTGCTAAGAATGTTCTCGCCACTAAAAAAAAATACATAAGTATTTGAGGTGATAGATATACTGATTAGCTTGACTTAGTCATTCCAGGATGTATACATATGTGAAAAAATCATTTTTTTTTTTTTGTTTTTTGAGACAGGGTCTCACTCTGTTGCCTAGGATAGAGTGCAGTGGTGTGATCACAGCACATTGCAGCCTTTATCTCCTGGGCTCAGGAGGTCCTCCCACCTCAGCTTCCCCAGTAGCAGGGACTACAGGTTTGCACCACCATGCCTGGGTAATTTTTTTTTTTTTTTTTGAGGCAGGGTTTCGTTCGCCATGTTGCCCAGCCCATGTTTCTCCAACTCCTGGGCTCAACAGATCCGCCTGCTTGGCCTCCCAAAGTGCTGGGATTACACGTGTGAGCCACCATGACCAGCCACATATTGGTTTTACACCATACATTTATATACATTTTCATTTGTCAGTTAAAAAACCCAGCTGGGATATAAGCTCATGTAACTGGGATCCATATTGAGCCCCTGTTTTATTCTCCTTTCTGTTTCTGTAGAGGAGCTTGACCGGAGAAAGAGGCTGAGAACTGCTTCTCTTACCAAGGACCTTCCCCAAGCCAGGCATCTCCGGAGATGGTATGGAGCCTGGGGTAGCTCGGCCAGGCCTTTGATCACCAGCGATGCCATTGCTCTTCCCCGTTTCGCGTCTGCTGTGGCTTGCTGCTGAGGCTGCTTTCAGACCTCTGGAATCAGAAAAGGAGGTGACTATATCAGGTAGCCCGCATTTGCCTTTTGTAAGAATACTTTTCATGCTCGATTCTTTAAAATGGTTCCCCCAAATATACATCACCTTGATCCCTATTCCATGTACTATACATGACTAAAGTTTTTGCCCTTCATCCCCACTCTAAAGGTGATTTATTTTTGTTGATAACAAATGAGATATTTTGGTTTGTCATTATCTACTTCATAAAAAAACAGAATGTTATTACTAATAAATTTAAATTCACAATTTTATTTCATTTAAAAAATGGCCCGTATTCAGTAAATCATCATATTTCACTGATGGAGGTAGCTGAGGGATTATCACGTCTAATCCTTAATTTTACAAATGGGGAAACTGAGGCACAGTCTTTGTACAAGCTACTTCTCTCTCCCTTAGTGAGCTTGTCAATTCTCTTCTATGAATTGCTTTTAGCTAAAGGATTAGCAAGTAAAACTATTTTTTTTTTTTTTTTTTTTTGCTGTGGCTCCAGATGGGGTCCAAAGAGGAGTTTCACAGTCTCTTCTGTCTCTTCTCTGGGTTTTATGGAGACTTACTTTAATTTACCCTTATGTGTTAGCCTCTTACGAAACTGCGTCTACCTTAAAAGGGCACAGGAAAGGGTGAAAAGTATTTTTAAAAGGCTAAATAACCACATAGAAGTCATGTAAGTTGACGCATGAGCCGGCGAATGGAATGATGATGTGGCCTTGGAGGCCTGATGGGTCCTCCCGTTGGCATGGTCCCTTCTGCTACTGGCGCTCCTGTGCCTGCAATCCAAACATCTGGGGCCTGGCCAAGGGGATACCGGGGGCTCGAGGAACATGAGGAGCTAAGAGGTGACCTGGGGTCCCGGACAGGCAGGCAATGAGGATGTGTGGAGTTGAGTACACGTCAGGGTGGGGGACTGACTGCCCATAATACATTTAAAATGGTGCATTTCAATTGGTGTTTGCCAATTCCTAGTTGTGGCTGTTTGGGGGAGGCTCAAGAAAATGTTTTCACAGCCCTTGGGGATCCTGTAATGAGAATCATGTGTAAACGGAACGTTGACGAAGCCACACCTGGGGCACATTGGACCCACGACAGACACTGATGTGGGAAAAGAGCCGGTACCTTTTGAACCTGACCCATTTTATGAGAAGATGCATATCAAAACAAACAAACAAAGCAACAACAAGAACACTGTGGAGTCTAAGATTGAGGTGTGGTGTCTTGAACAAAAGACAAAAGACTCAGCCACGCTTATGCTAAGAAGGAGAGCCAGGGAAAGAAAATGCTGCAGTCGCAGTCAGAAGGAAAAGACTGTTTCACTTTGGCTTCATGTGCATCCCCCAGAGGGACTATCATGTTACTTTCAAAATGACTGCATAGCAGATGAAAAATGATTCTCATCTGCCTATGGCTGCTGGGAGGTGGAGTGCAGTGCGGGACTCCTATGGGGATATTTGTGGCTCCTCACGTCTCCTGGACCCAGGGTACCAGGACAGTGGACATAAGGGACAATAAAGCTTATTTGAACAAAAATACCATCTTCAGATTCTGCATTCATCACACATTTTGTTCTCTTTGCTACTAGGATGTGGCAATGCAAAAATAATGTCCTGCTGGTCCTTCCAAGGATACCAGAGTTCTAGATTTTATTCTGTCTCAAATGTGGAGCCACTGGAGACTTCCCCATTCAAACACCGTCCTTACCTTGGCAGAAGGAGCCCTTTATGATGACGTGTTTTCTTCTTTTCACACGCTTTCCCACCCTCATACCTGGGCCCAGTTTACCAAATGAATTCAGTTCAATAAATGCCCTTACTTTTCTTATACCACTGCTCCTTTGCTGGTGCCATTTCCTCTTCTGGCAACCCCTTTTGCCCATTTTTCTGCTCAAAAACTACCTTCCACTTGTCTTGAGTCACAGCTTCCATGTAGTAGCCTGGGGCAGGTTTCCTTGCCATTGCTTGGCATCACAGTGTGCTCACCTCTGTCATAGCCTTCATTGTACCTGATGTAGTTACGTTGGGTGTTGTCTGCATGACCCACTGGACTCTAATCTCCTTGGGTGAAGGAAATGTGCTCGTTCATCTTTGAAACTCCAGTGATCAGTAACTTGGACAGCATCTAGTACATGATAGGTGCTCAATAAATATCACTGATAGGTTGAATAAAAAAATTTCAAGCTCATGGGCTGGTAAAACTCTACCTAATTGCCGGCTTTGGATAAAGACACGGAAAAAGTGATGCATACACAATCTAGTAAAGGTCACTGAATCTAAGGAAGAGAATCCTGGGGTCTTCTATGGTCCACACTGTCTCTGGACATCACTGGAAACAAAAGGCTTGCCAAACAAAATAAATATTTTTCCTCTTTCTTCTGCCTCTACAATCCTACCCATTCATAGCCTAGAGCAAGCCCTATACATTTAAGAAGTTTCCAGTGTCTGAGTTATTGCTCCCCACAGAACTAGAAGGGGATCACTTAAAGGCATGGGTTATGGGACTTCATGGTGGACTTGGCTGTATTGTTCAACGCAGTTTTGAGTTCTATCCTTGGAGTGCTTAGAGCCTGATTGTGGTACTACCAGATAAATTACAGTAATAGTTATCAAATTACCAAGAACTCCTGAACTGATGGCTGGTAATACCTTTGCAATCTTGTAGCTTGATTTTTCCACATTAATGCAAAGGAATAAATAATATGAAACTTTGGGCACTGGGACAATTTCTGTTGGTATCATAGGACTCTTTCGGTTGTAAATAAAAACCCAACCTTGATGGCTTAAGCAGAGGGTAAAGGAATTTATGTACTCACAGAGCCGAAAAATCAGAGGAAACTGGCTTCAAGCACAGGCTGATTCAGGGGCTCAACGAAATCAAGGCTATCTTTTCCAGTGGCTCAAATTTCTCTTTCCTATATTTGCTTTGTTCTCAGACACTATCTTGTGGCCTTTCAGTAGCTTCAAGGTCATTCTTCCCCAGTTCATATTAAAACAAGAGCCTGTAATCCCGGCACTTCGGGAGGCTGAGGCGGGCAGATCACTTGAGGCCAGGAGTTGGAGACCAGCCTGGCCAACATAGCGAAACCCTGTCTCTATTAAAAATACAAAAATTAGCTGGGCATGGTGGCACAGACCTGTAATACCAGCTATTCGGGAGGCCCAGGCATGAGAATAGCTTGAACTCAGGAGGTGGAGGTTGCAGTGAGCCAAGATAGCATCACTGCACTCCAGCCTGGGTGATAGAGTGAAGCATTTTTTTTTAAAGTAAAAAGAGAATGTTTCCTCCTAGAATCAGTAGTTCTAGTCCTGGGACTCATTCTGAGCAGGTGCCTTCCCTCACCCCACCATCCCTGTGGCTTTTGTAGGTTGAATGCCTTGATGGTCTAGACGTGTGACACTTGCTGCATTTATGAGACTGGAGGTGGGGCCCCACCCAAGTTCTGCTTCCAGAGGAGGAGGCAAGACCAAGACACCAAAACAAGGTATAATAGATATTGACGGAAAAAAACAATATATGTCCACCCTGTAAGATAGAGGTGTGGGCAGAGCTAGGCTATTCCCAGAGTCCATCAAAGTTCACATGCCACATCCTGATCACGGTCCAGGCCAGCCTTGTACAAAATATTTTCTTACTCAGTACTTAAAGTTTGAGAGATGGCTCTGTTACACGGGATAAAATAAGAATAAGCCCTTGATTAGAGTAAAGGGTGAAGGTACTTTCCATATGCATGTGAGATGCCTTCTTTTTGAACATCCATTATAACTCCTGACCATAGTAATACAAAGAGGATGTGTTCTAATGACTGCTTCTTTGTCAGAACTTCTTGGTCAGAAGCCAAGCAAGGAAATAGGAGAAGGTCTAAGGCCAGTGGCTCTGCAGGCAGGCAGCCCTGGGCTGGAGTGGAGAGGACTCAGGGCTGGAGGGAGGTGAGGGTGTAGGGATGAGCAAGCCTCTCTGTCCCCAATGTCCTGTTGTATCCAGGAGGGGCATCTGTGGGAGGGTCATGATTCATTCATTCATTCATTCATTCATTCATTCATTCATTCTTTCATTCATTCATCTGTCAAACATTTCCTGAGCACCTTCTGTGTACTGGGAATACCTTATAATACCCAACAAACTAAGTTTTCAATCAATGCTTGTTGAATAAATAGAACCTGGGGAAACAGCCTTTCACTTCACAACTAGAGATGAAAGGTTGAACATGAACTATCACTGTTAATGAGTGTTAATGAGCTTCTGCCCTGCTGTAAGTACTGGTAAATAGATCCTTTCTCACTGAATGGAGAGATGGGGTGGTTACTAAAAATCACAACGTTACTAGTAGTTAACGTTGGAGCTTCCTAGATGCTCCCATGCTAATTTCCTTTGTATCCATTATTCCATTTAATCCCCACGACAAATCTGTAACTTGTTACTATTTATTATCCTCATTTTACAGAGTAGGGAATGTAGGCAGTGAGAGGTTAACTAACCTCCTACAATCACACAGATATTAACTGATGGAGCCAGGGTCCTCTTAGAAGCCAGTCTGCTTTTAGAACTGGAGCCTTAGTGCTGGAGGGGCTGGGTGGGTAAGCAGGGAATAGGAGCAGAAAGACAAATGTCACAGCTTACCTAACATCATCTACCAGACAAATTGTTTATATTTAACGGAATCAGGCAGCTTCCACTGAGGGCTTTTGTGTTCCATCTTTTTTGTCATTGTATTTTAAACTCTTACTGTTGGCATCCAAGCGGATCAAAGCCAGGTAGACATCAAGCAGGAGGGCCTTGAGACAGGAGGATGCGGGGAGAAGAGAAGTGAAAAACATGTTTTCCTCTAACCCCGAAGAGTGTCTCCCTGCCTCCTGCCTTCCGTAGCTTCCTTCACCCTTGGGTGGAGATTGTGGAAATCCCTACACAGATACTTATTGCTTAGATTTGTTTTCACGAACAAAAGCAAGATGGCGAGTTTGGTCACTTGAGTTTTATCATGTCCTACACGGATGTGGGCAAAGAGGATTGTGGAATTAAGCTGAGACTTTAGAAAGCCCTTTCTATGAGAATGTTTTGACATCTGCCAATATACAAACAGAAACCTATGCAATGGCAATCACTGCTTCCTGCTGTTTCTGTAGTTATGCTGAGGGAAGCAGAGAGATGCTGATGTCTGCCAGAAGACTGTTAAGAGGAAATTCACACTGAAAGCAGCAGTGATAAGGACGTCTCTTCCCCTGTTTATTAGAAACAAAACGTATAAGAGAATTCTCCTCTGGAGGCAAGTTGTCGGTGTTTTTAGTTCTCATAGCTATATGGTTGCTAACACAACTAATGACAATCAAGACTTGGCTTGGTTTAACTGTTTTTGAAGACTGCAAATTCCTGCCATGTAGATCTGGCCATTGCTTGGAAGCAGCCTGAAAAGTTGCCATATGCACTGTTAGAGCTGCTGTTCCTGGAACTGTTAGGTCTCCATGTGAATTCCAAAATAATCTGTAGCATTTCACTGCTGGGAAGAAGCTCGGAGCTCTTGTTACAGATGGGCGTGACCCTAAATGTCCCAGTGCTTAGTTGACAACAGAGCTGGACCTAGATCGATGCTGTGTCTAACCCGTGCCTTCTCTCACCTCGGAGGTGATGCTTGACCTTGACTGTCAGGCTCCATCCTGTCAGGAGGAAGGATGGGAGCCCCTGCCCAATCATTGTGATCCTCAGACAGCTTTGACTAAATGATCCCCTATGTGCTATGCCGAATGCCTGATGGGCTCTATTTTGCCCAGGCGCTCCTTTCCACTCAGAAGCACTCTCTGGCTCTAATTTTAGTCTTGTAGGCTGCTGTGGACACACAAGTATTCACCACAGACTGAGCTAGAATTGAGCAAAAACTCCCATGGGGAAAATGGTCCTGTCTTGTCACCAATTCCCTGAGTCCTTCTGTTGCTGTCTATGTTCTTACTTATTTATTTAACTTTAATTGAATCTCATGAAGAGAAGCATCACTGTGCTATGGTGAAGGGAAGTGTCTCCGGAGTTCCGTTGCTTGGGTCTGAATCTAGGTTCAGCAATTTAACAGCAAGTTCCTTAGGAAAGTCCCTGAAACTCTCTATGCCTCAGATTTCCTCATCTATAAATCAGGATAATAATAGGAACCACCTTAAAGAAATCTCTGTGTACAAAATGAGATAAACATAAATAAAGTACTTAGAGCAGTCCCTGGCACAGAGTAAACATTCACTTTATGTTAATTATTATTATAGAAGTTATATAGACTATACATAGAGTACAAGTGCTTGAGCCTCTTTTCTGATGTGAATTTGGCTATTTATTTGGCTGTGGTATAACTACCTATACATATATCAAAAATGAATGAATGCCAGGCATCTGAGAGCATGCTTTCTCATTAAATTCCTCCATTCATTCACTCATACATTCGCACAACACCTATGCTCTGTGGCAGCCACTGTTAGGCTTTGAAGGCCTGAGAAAGAGCAAAATAGATGCTTCTCTGCACTCAGAGTTCACAGTCCAAAAGGGAAGATAGATAACAAGAAAACAATTACACCTTTTTTAAAAAATTAAATACTTGGGTAATTTCTATAAAGGAGGCAGGAAAAGGCTCAGGACAGTGCTAAGGTCTTCAGACCTGCTTCAGCCTGGGGCCGGGGAGGCTCAGGGGGGCTGACCTGTTGCTGTGTTCTGTCTGAGGGTAAGGCAGGACCTGTGGCATTTATCCATTGATCAATCAGACCCACTAAGGTCTTGGCCTTAGTAAACGTTCAGTAAACAGGGAGATATTGGTAGATTCATTGAATCTCATCCTTGAGTGGAAACTTCTGCTTCATCTGCTTTCAACTTTCTCCCACACTCCTTCACAGCCAGACAGCCCCAGATTTGGCCACTGCTGATTGCAGAGCAAGAATGCCCTCCAGCCCTCCACCTGGCCACACCTACTCAGGCAGGTTTAAGGGTCCCCTCTCACCTCTCAGGGCTGCCATTTCTCTATCCTCTGTCCCCAGCATGATCGATCATTGCCTCCTCTTGTGCCCACAGTAGGTTGCATTGACCTGGCATCTCTATCATAGCATTTTCCACATGACCTGAGAGGGGATGAGGGGTCTCTGCTAGATTTCACTATGGATGGGCTGTGTCTTATGTTTTGGTTATCTTGCTGCGTTACAAAGCACCCCAGAAGTTAATGGTTTAAAACCACAACCATGTAATAGCTCATAATTCTGGAGGTCAAGAATTCAGGTGAAGCCAGTGGTACAGCTCACCTCTGCTCCACTTGGTGTTGCCTGAGGTGGCTCAGCTGGGGCTGGAGGTGTCAACATAGCTTCATTCACATGTCTTGGTCCTGGCTGTTGGCCAGGACATCTCAGTTCTCCTCCATGCAGCGTGATATGGTTTGGCTCTGTGTCCCCACTGAAATCTCATCTTGAATTGTACTCCCACAATTCTCACATGTTGTTGGAGATCATTTGAATCGCGCAGGTGATTTCCTCCATACTGTTTTCATGGTAGTGAACAAGTGTCACGAGATCTGATGGTTTTATCTGGGGTTTCCGCTTTTGCCTCTTTCTCATTTTCTCTTGCTGCCACTGTGTAAGAAGTGCCTTTTGCTGCTCGCCATGATTCTGAGACCTCCCCAGCCATGTGGAACTGTAAGTCTAATTAAACTTCTTTTTCTTCCCAGTCACTTGTATGTCTTTATCAGCAGCATGAACACGGACTAATACACAGCCTCTGTCTCCAGCAGTGTCTTCATTCAACAGTCTACCTAGAGTTTTGTTATATGGCAGCTGGTTCCTAAAGAGGTGAAAATGGAAATTGCAAGCTTGCTTAAGGCCTAGCTAAGAAGTCACATATTGATACCTCAGCGAAAGCAAGACACAGGGCCACCTAGATTCAAGGAGAAGTGACATAGACTCCACCTTTTGACTGCAGGAATGACAAAGTCTCACTGCAGAAAAGGTTGAAGGAGGGGTGGATTACTGCAGCCACCTTTGGTAACATCTTATTTCTTTCTTTCTTTTTTTTTTTTTTGAGATGGAGTGTTGCTCTGTTGCCCAGGCTGGACTGCAGTGGTGCGATCTTGGCTCACTGCAAGCTCCACCTCTCAGGTTCACACGACTCTCCTCTCTCAGCCTCCCAAGTAGCTGGGACTACAGGCGCCTGCTACCACGCCTGGCTAATTTTTTGTATTTTTTTAGTAGAGATGGGGTTTCACCATGTTGGCCAGGATGGTCTTGATCTCCTGACCTCGTGATCTGCCCACCTTGGCCTCCCAAAGTGCTGGGATTACAGGCGTGAGCCACAGCGCCTGGCTGACATCTTATTTATTTCTAACAGTTAGCACACCCCTGGAACATAATAGTTACTCAATAGTAGTAAGATCTAGCATTTAATATCCTTCTTTTTTTCTAAGCATTTTACATGCATTATCTCATGGAATCCTCGTTACGCTTGGAGGTATTATTATTCCCATTTCACAGAGCAAATTGAAGCTTGGAAATATTAATCTAATTCTAGCTAATTAGCATTAGCTAATCTAATTCCAGTCTAGTTCTAGCTCCACAGTTTACTAGCTAAATAATCTTGGATAAATTGTCCAAGATTATTTAGCTAGTAAAGTGTGGAACTAGAATTCAGACTCAGGCAGCCTGGCTCCAGAGGTTAAGCATGTAAAGCCTCTACTGAAAGATCAGGTTTTTTGTAGTTTACTCCTCCATGGGATTATTGTATCACCATTATAGTCCTGTGGCTGCTTCTGCTGATTCCTTGTTCAGACCTGAGGGAGAGATATTGTACCTGATAGACTGAATTCCTTTGAAACCGGAAGGGACATGAACATACCCCGCAGGCTGGGCTCTAGCTGTGAACCTACTCCCAGCAACTCTTACCCTCTTGGGAGGGAAATACCTCTGGTGGCAGACGCCCTGCAATGGGTTGCCAAATGATTCTCAGTGATGTGTTGCCAACTGGTGGTGGAATTTTCACGTTTTGGTGAGATTTCTATAAAGTTTATGTTTATTCACTTAAAAGTTGTAAGATTTTGTCCTTCCTACTTTTTTGGGACTCATATTTCATTTTATGAAACTTTTTTTTTTTGAGACAGAGTCTCACTCTGTCACCCACGTTGGAATGCGGTGGCGCAATCTTGGCTCACTGCAACTTCCGCCTCCCGGGTTCAAGCAATTCTTGAACCTCAGGCTCCTGGGTAGTTGGGATTACAGACTTGTGCCACTATGCCAGTCTAATTTTTTTTTTTTTTGTATTTTTAGTAAAAGACGGGATTTTGCCATGTTGGCCAGGCTGGTCTTGAACACCTGGCCTCATGTGATCCACCAGCCTCAGCCTCCCAAAGTGCTGGAATTACAGACGTGGACCACCATGCCTGGCCCATTTTATGAAATGTTTTTGAGAGTGGATTGTAGATGTTTTTGAGTGAAGACACCTGGCAATCAAAATGTTGGCAGCCCTGTGTTCATTGCCAAAGTATGCCAACGTTAACATTCTCCTGGTTCTTTGAAATCCCAGAGTCTGAGAACCTCTGCTCCAGCAGAAAATGGGGGCAAGGTGATGGGGCGGTTAAGAACGAGGTGCGGAGGGGTAACACTGACTCTCACCACCAACCCGAGGACATTCGGAATATCACATTGTCTTTTTTCTTACTATTCTTTAGACTTGCTGTTACACGAGCAAGTTAGTGTTGACCATTGGATGGCATTATTTATAGAAAATGATTTCTCAGAAGAAGGTCCGTCATATTGTAAGTGCACAATAAAGGTGGAAGAGCACCATTATGGAACCCTATGAAATTCCTACATGTGATGAAGACTGACATTCTTAGAACTTTTTTTTTTTTTTTTTTTTGAGACGGAGTCTCGCTCTGTTTCCCAGGCTGGAGTGCAGTGGCGCATTCTCGGCCCACTGAAGCCTCCATCTACCGGGTTCAAGTGATTCTCACGCTTCGGCCTCTTGAGTAGCTGGGACTACAAGTGCGCCCCAGCATGCCCAGCTAATTTTTGTATTTTTAGTAGAGATGGGGTTTCACCATGTTGGCCAAGCTGGTCTTGAATTCCTGACCCCAAGTAATCTGCCCACCTCCACCTCTCAAAGTGCTGGGATTACAGGCACGAGTCACCACACCCAGCCTTAGAACTAATTTTTTCTAACTGCCCCGGCCAAGCAATTAACGTTCCAAAACCAGCTCCGTGAGGACAGAGATGTGGAGATGCAGAAATACCAGTGCTAGCTGAGAGCCCTGCGGATTTTCAAAACAAAGTCAAGTTATCAGAATAACAGGTCTTTTCTTTCCAAATCCTCAAGCCAGCTGAGGAATTATCCCTTGGTTCTCAAGAGTCCTGGGTAAAATATTTGAATTATGGCCAAATGCCACTCTTTTAAAGAGATAAATGAAAAACAAAATTATATCAGGTAAAGAATTTAAGAGTCTTAAATTGCATCTAGCAGAGGGGATTCTGGGAAGATGGCAGTGAGTAAACACCTCAGATGCCCTCCTTGTCTTACCTCTTCCCATCACTTACCATCTCTCCTGGGCTTGCATGTGGGCAGGACTGGAAGGGTATGATCTTCCATATTGACTCTGCCAGGAGCCAGAGGAGGCCAAGCAGGTGCAGAAATTTGCACCACTGGGTAGGAGTCTAGACATCCAGGGGAGGGCAGTATACCTCCGCATCCCCAGAGATCTGTGGCCCACAGACAGTATGTTGTGCCTCCCTTGTGCATAGTCCTAAGAGGACCTCTAGGCACCCCCCAGGTGTTGGAACTATGGGGGAAGCTGCCTAGTGTGCTAAGTTCCTACCTTCCCCTGAGCCTGGTTGAAGGCAGATCTTTCTGCTGAGCATTCCTGGGGAAAGAGAAGCTTTCTTCTGGTGCTACACAGAGACTGACACTCTGCCAGCAGGAACTTGCACCTCCAACTACTCATCAGGTTGCTACTGCTTAAGGTTCCCCATCCATCTGACCTGAGCCCTGAGATCGAAGGGAAACAGAAGCAGCAAAGAAAATCAGCAAGAACAAGGTGAAGTCCAAGTACAAGTGACTGGAGGAGTCAAATAAATCACAACTTGATCGATGAAAATAACACAAAATGAGACACTATGGAGTAAGAAAACTAATTTTTAAATGTAAATATTCAGTAGATCAGTGAAAGAAGAACAATGCTGTTAAGAAAAAAAAAGTATTGGCCTTCAGGATGAAATAAAAGAAAGACTTCAAAACAAAGAGCAAGGGGACATAAAGAAGTACAATTAAATTAGTAATAAAAATGTCATTGAGGCCAGGTGTGGTGGCTCACACATGTAATCCAATCGCTTTGGGAGACTGAGGCAGGAGAATTGCTTGAGGCCAGGAGTTCGAGACCAGCCTGGGCAACATAGCAAGACCCTATCACTACAAGATTGAAAAAATATTAGATGGACATGGTGGTGTGTGTCTGTAGTCCCAGCTACTTAGGAGGATGATATGGGAGAATCCCTTGAGTATAGGAGTTTGAGGCTGCAGTGAGCTATAATTGTGCCACTGTACTCTAACCTTGGGGACAGAACAAGATCCTGTCTCAAAAAAAGTCATTGATCAGTAATGTAAAGAAAACGATGCCTTACTGGACTTGAGTTAGTTGATGCAGTACTCAACTCTTGGTGTGTCAGGTAAGTGATAGTGTGTGCAGCAGACTTCCTGAGAACAGGGAAGGATATTGTAGTGCTAACCGTAACTCAGATATCATGGTGGTTATCTCAGAGCAAGAATGTATCAATCACTCCACGCTAGAAACAAGTATGCAAAGGAGACAGGAGACAAGTATGCAAAGACAGGCATTGCTCCTTTTTCATGTTTGATCTTGTTATTCTTTTTACTGGTATGGCAGGCTGTGCCCACTGACAGACATGAGCAAAATGTTCTGGCTTGATGCCAAGAAGAGGGAAACGTTGGCTAGGTATTAAAGAACCTTTTAAACAATGAACTGTTGAAAAACTAGAATGTATCATCTAAGCTGCTGGTTGAGATACCATCCCTTTCAATGTTCAAAGGAAGAACTGAAAACATTGAGCACAGTCAATGGCTTCAGAATGCCAGCTGCCAAGGTCATAAGCGCCCTTGCTTGGAAAATAATACACTCCCTGAATGTGACTTCGGCAGTTTTTTTCAGTGTTGCATTGGCTCACTGCAAAACTTATTAGCATATCATCAGCCATTTGACCGAGCTATGAATTTTCTTAAATTTAATTTTTGCAGTGGTTACTTGTGATAGAGCTTTGAGGTATATCTCTCCAGAAAGGATTGTGTGTATATATAATATGTACATATGAAGAAGGGTGCATATGGGTATTGTGGAAGAGACTACTAGCTGTCCACCACACTTATTCTGCCCATCTTTATACCAGTAAGTCCATAGTTCCCATCTTTCCTGCATTGAGATGTGGCCATGTGACTCAGAGCTCTCTATGGAATAGGAACAGAACAAATATGCACCATATTTAAACTTGATCCATAAAATCTTCACATTGACGCGTCTTCAAACCCCTTTTCATGCCTGCTGGCTGGATGCAAATGACTCTGAGGCCTTAAGAGAAGCCAGGACTGTAACGTGGAAGGAACTTGAGTTCCTAAATGCTCAGGTGGAGGAGAGCTGTGCACCAGAACCATCCGTGTTTCCTGTTACATCTGCAAGAACCAAGTATTGTTGTGTAAAGTCATTGATAATTTAGTGCTTATTTGTTATAGCAGCTAGTGATGGCCAAAATAAGATGGAAACTGTTGAACTGGCCATTGAATGTGCCTCACAGAAATTTTGTCTTGAAACACTTTGAAAATATTTTCCAAACACACATATTAATTATATGCTGTCTAAAAATAGGCTGCACTTTTTTTTCCAAGTGTGTCTTTGCACTCTCACATTCCTGTCCCCTCCCAAGACTTGATAGAATCAAGCAATTAGTTGGAAAGCAACTTTTCATATCTCATTTAACCGTCAACATTTAAATACCTGCCACATATGAGACCTGTGCTGAACTGTGGGATATAGATGTGGTCCTTGTTCTCTGCCTGCTTTCATGGGACTCCAACCTAACATTTTTCTGTGACATATACCCAGATAAGTGTCAACTTTGAACACCTTTAATGATAGAGGACCCTATTCCCTCAATAGTTACCCATTTGACTGTGAAGTAACTATAATAAGAATATCTTCCTGATAGTAATCCAGCAGAAATATCTGCTAATCGGACCCACTCCTAAGAGACATCCAAAAGTTTAAAACATTTTTCTTCCCATTAAGATTTCTCTTCTTCAGGGTAAACATATGGAGATCTTCCCCTCATTCCCAGTTGAACTTGGGTTTGAGGGCCTTCCCCACCTCCTGCAGGAATGGTCAGAATATTCCTGCCTACTATTTTATTTGAATCAATTACTTTTATACACTAGTGTCCCAGAAGGCCAGGGGACAGTCTCTCCCACCACGTTTCTTCTGCCCTAGCCTAGACCTCACCTCTCAGTCCTGGGCCACTACTAGCTCTTTTATTTTATTATTTTTTTTAATGTTTCTTCCCAATCCCTTTTTTTCCTCCAATTATTGACTCATCTTTCCCTAACAAATTAAATTTCCAAAAGCCTGAATTTCATAGTCTTACTCCTATCAATGGCTTACCCAGGTGCTGATTTTAACATGTAACTCGCATATATAAAACCTTGCAGTGGCCTTTTTTAGCCTGTACAGCTTTAAGTCTGGATTCTGTTCTCATTGTCCAGTGTCCCCCTGGGCATTGTAAGGAGGGGCTTTGTCCTGAAGACTGTGCCAAGCCTGCCATGGAGCTTGGATTTTGTTCCCCCAGCCTGTACTTCCTACTGAGGAAGGGAGTGTTCTGGGGGTAGACGCAGAGTCCCGGGTAAGAGAATCAATAGGGTCAACAGCACACGTCTCGAAGCATCAGTTTTTACTTGGAAATGTAGGCAAGGAGCTTTCCTTTAATATTATATAAAATTGCATAAAACGGTATCTCGTAATGTTCACACTAATATTTAACGTGGAGTGAGAGAATTTAGAGAGCATTTATTTTTGAGGAGGGCTGATTCAAGCCCTATCCCAGTTATATATTCATTCCTTTATGTCTTTGGATATTTGAAAGCTGCAGCTGTGTTCTTCAAACTGCAGGTCATGATCCATTTGTGAATTTATGAAATAAATTCTGTTCCAAAAAATGTGGAACAGAACAGAATAGAATAGACTTGCTCAGACAACCAGAGTTCATAGGTGCGTGTGGTTCAGAGTTGTTTGATTCAGTGACTCAGAAATGTTCTTAGGAACTCAGGTTCCTTCTGTCATCCTAAATTTGGTTGGATGTTCTAGTTTTGTTTTGGTTTTGGAGGAGATCTGCTAGGCCTCAGGACCATCTGGGTTTTCTGTGTTGCAAACAGAGAGCAGGGACCACATCTGTATCACAAGGTTCAGCACAGGCCCCAGATGTGGTAGGTATTCAAATACTGTTGTTTAAATGAGTTATGCCCAAGGTGTCTTTCTTTCTTGTTTTTTTTTTTGAGATGGAGTTTTGCTCTTGTTGCCCAGGCTGGAGTGCCATGGTGCGATCTCAGCTCATGCCAACCTCCGCCTCAAGGGTTCAAGTGATTCTCCTGCCTCAGCCTCCCAAGTAGCTGGGATTACAGGTATGTGCCACCGCGCCTGGCTAATTTTGTATTTTTAGTAGAGGCAGGGTTTCTCCATGTTGGCCAGGCTGGTCTCAAACTCCTGACCTCAGGTGATCTGCCCACCTCGGCCTCCCAAAGTGCTGGGATTACAGGCGTGAACCACTGCGCCCAGCCCAAGGTGTCTTTCCAACTAACTATTTGATTATTCTCTAAAGTCTTAGGAGAGGACAGGGATGTGAGAGTGCAAAGACACACTGGATATAAAAAGCACAGCCTACTTTTAGACCAACATATTAATTGTTTGGAAAATAGTTTCAAATGTTTCAAGACAAAGTTTCTACGGAGCATATACAATGGCCAGTTCAACAGTCCCTACCTCAGTTAAGATACTACTAACTGCTGTAACAAATAAGCACGAAACTGTCAATGATTTGAAGCAATCATTGTTTTGGCATTATCCTAAGGCTAGTTTCCTTCATTTTATTAACATGCTCTATACCAACTTATTTGCCCAACAGGAGAGAAATCTTGGCTTCTCGATTTTCTTTTAAGATTAAGGAATACCTTCTTAGGGTTTGTTTTAAAGAACTGGGTCTCAGTCAGTGCTACTCTTGAGCTCAGAGAAATTTCCTCAACAGGGAATGGAAGTGGTGGACATTGTGGAGTCACACCTGTCTGCTACAGCTAGCGAGGCTGTGTTATGCAGTATAGATTAGGGAGCAAGGCTAGAGAGAAGGGAACCATTTAAAAGGTCGTGGGTGTCTCCCTCCCAGGCTTGTCTACCTCCTGTTTATCCTTCAAAGCCTACTGATAACCCACTTTCTCAGTAAGATCTTGTCAAGTCACATCACTTCAGCTTGCACTGCTCCTACTGTCTCTGAATTTTGTTTACTATCTGAGCCATGCCCTTTGAACGCGTCTGTGTCCTAGCCCTTTAGGGTTTACATTTCTATTTTAAGATACATGATTGCACAAGTGATGTGGTCTACTTCCCTATACCTCAGACAGTGCCGGATCAGGCTGTTTTGATTGGGCTGATTGATTCTGGTGGATTATCTTTTCTGATACTGGAAGAATGTTAGAAACTTGACAGACTTGATTTTCTCTGTTTGAGGATTTGGGAGGACCGTGGAAAACTTAGCTCCTCCAGGTAACTTCTTCTAAGGGTGGACATCATTATGAGCAAGCTGGTCTTTGAGTTTAAGCAACATAAACACTTCTATCCCTTTTTTTGGTCATGATTGTTAATAGGTAAAATTTCTCCCAGTTATTCTGGAAGATGAGGATTCCATCTAATACATTTGATAGAGATAATGAATGAAGAATAATGTGGTATTTGTTTGGAATGTACAATTACAGATACTACCAACTAAGATATTAGAAGGTATTATAGGAATCATGAACATATTAAATGTTCATTTCCTATGATAAAATAGCCCTATGCAATAGTGTTTACTAGGACAATAGTGTTTACTAGGACCTGAAATCTTAACACTAATACTCTACTTAAAGTAAGACCTCTATGAGCCCTACTTCAATCTGCTGCAATTCCAAGTTCTAACAAAGTGAAGACACTTGGTGTTCAGGGAATTAATGATTTCCCCTGTGAGGAGTTTTAATCAGGAGATCTTGCCTTTGCACTCATGTGTGAACTAAAGTTCAATGCTGCTTCCTCCCTAATCCTTTACAGCCCTTGCTTTGATCAAAGTAAGCTTATATGAGTTCCAAAGATGGGTTCTGTAGAAAGGAAAGAAAATGTCTTAATTACTTATTTACCAGGAACTGTCAATTAATCCAATCAAGTTTGTGGGAATTTTGTTGCTTAGCTAAATGTCAAAAGGGAGACATTTTTAACAGAAAGGTGTTAGATGCGGCCCAGGCACTTGACTCAATTGGTGTATTAGTTGGAAATATATTTATCTACATTTATTTATCTATTTTAATTTTATCCCAAAGTCAAAGATCATATGTTTTTCTAACTGATTAGTGAATGAAGGGAACAAATAAAATAGAGCATGAAATGTGTTACATTTTGTATTCCATACTTCCTTGACAGATGGTTCTTTTGAATGAGAGAGAGATAGAGAGAGAGAGAGGTTGACTCAGTGGATGCCATTTGATATAAACCCAATTCCACTTCGGTAAGTCAGAAAGATAGGGAATACAGGGAACACCTGAAAAAATAACAGTTGCTACATTTATTGAACACATAGTCTTTGCTAAGCACTTACTTGCACTGACTCTGTTAATGTAAGAACTCTTAAGAGCCATCCATATCAGTATGCTTGGAATATTCCAGAATAAATATGTCCCTTAATTTATTTAATCTTTCCCACTGTTAAACATTTTAATGTTTTCCTAATTTCATTATTATACACAATGATAAACATTTTAGTGTTTTCTAAGTTTCATTATTACACACTAAATTTCATTATTACACACACAGTTAATAATGAAATAAATTTCATTATTACACACTAATTTCATTATTACACACTCTAAAATTTCATTACACACAGTGATAAACATTTTAGTGTTTTCTAAATTTCATTATTACACACTCGGCTGTCATAAGCATTCTTGTTCATGTCTGCAGGAGTTATCCTGGGACAGATACTGAGAAATGGAGTTGCTGCGTCATAAGACATGTGGTTTTAAACATTTCAAGACACACAGCCAAGCTGTAGTCCTCACCACATTATTGTCTAGGTTTTCCTCAATCACATTTAAAACTTTTTTTTTCCAATTCAGTCAATAAATTGCTGTCTCATCATTGCTCCTAGAGATATGGTAGACTAATATTTTGGAGAAATTCTAGAACAACATACTTTTGAGTGTTGGATAATGTATTATAACAAACAAAACCAAAAATCTCTTTTTTAATGGAGGACTGAACTGCCAAGAAAATCAGAAAATTCCTTGGAGACTAGAAACCAAAGGAATATATGAACCATAGGATAGGTTAGCTTGTATTTTCTCTGGGTATATTTCTCAGTCATAGGTGACCTCTGGCCTGGGTTTTAATGGGTCATATGCTCAGGAACCAGGCAAAAAAGAAAAGATGAGACTCTTTTTCAGTCAGAAAACACTAAAAGGTCACTCTTTTATGTGATAACTAGAAAAAAAAGAATCCTGGCCCAGCAGAGGGAGATGTTAGGGAAACTTCCTGTTTTGGTGTTAGGTAAAATGGAAAATAATTACATTTTAAAATTTCTATGAATCCATGGAAAATTAAAAGGATGATAAGGGAATACAACAAAGAACACTACAGTTACAAGTAATGTAGATGAAATGAACCAAGTCTTCGCAAACCACAAAGCACCAAAACTCACTTAAGATAAAATAGATAATCTGTAACTATTAAATAAAGTGAATTCATAGCTCAAAACCTTCTAAAACATAAATTTTCAGGACCAGATGGGTTCACTGTTGGTTTCTTCCAAACATTAAAGAAGTGACACAAATTTTCTAATTTCTTCCAGAAAATAGAAGAAGAGGGAATACATTCCAATTCATTTTATGGTGCCGGGCTTACTTTAATGCCAAAAGTAGACAAAGACAGTACTGAGAAAGAAAACCACAGGCCAATATCTTTATGGAATATGAATGCAAAACCACTTAGCCACTTAACAAACTATTAGTGAATCAAATTTAGCAATATATAAACAGAATAAAGCATCACAACCAAGTGGGGTTTATGCCAGAAATGCAAGGCTAGTTCAATACTTGAAAATTAATAAAATCTACCATAGTAACAGTATAAAGGACAAAATTCAATGATTATATCAATTAATGAAGGACAAAAACATTTAACAAACTTCAATATCCATTTATGATTTAAATCTCTCAATATACTAGGAACAGAAAAGAGGTAGGAAATGCAAGAAGAAATGCTGAGCAGAAAGCAAAATGTTCAATGTCTGGATAAAACTAAATAATCACTGGCTAAAACAGTGATAATAATGTCTAATTTGTGGATTAACAGTTCAAGATGGCACTAAATTGTAGAACAATAATTCTATATAAATTAGGAGCAGAGGGATTGTAATGAGAGCATACTAAATTTCTTGTATGACTGAGATGTTAATAAACTTAGATTTTGTGAAGTCAAACATTCATGTTAAAATTTCTAGAGCAGTCACTGAAAGTATAACAGCAAAGTGTATAATTTATATATTAGTGCAAGAGAACAAGGAGATAAGGAGAAAAACAATCTAAAAAAACCTCAAGGAAGGCAAGGCAGGCAATGATAATAATAGAAACAAAACAGCTATCAAAAAATCACTTTAAAAAAGAAAAATAAAATAAATGTTATAGAAATAACAATCTTCAAAATATGATTACAGAAATGTGTCTTAGTCAGGGGCTAGGTTGTACTGGGGCCGTAAACCACCACTATATATCTCACTGGGACCAGGTCCTAATAACAAATATTTATTTCTTGCTCATTCTTCATGTCCATACTGTGGGTTCAGTTTGGTCCCAGGCTCCCAGAGCAGCCTCTGTCCCGACATTGTCAGTTTTTGTGGCAGAGGAAAAGGAAATGAGGCAAAGCATTGCACCTGCCACCTCACTTCTCCCACTTTCCACTGGCAAGTTACATGGCACTGCTTCAGGTGGGTGAGGTATTCTCTCCTTCAGAGAATCTTCCTTCAAGGATGGAAAACAGAATTTTTGGTGAATCCAATCTACCACACAATAAAGCCAAACACGTCAGAAATCATATTGAATGTAAACGTATTAAACTCTCCATTTAAAACAGAAAGATCACTAGAAGTATTTTTTTTGTTGTTGTTGTTGCTTTTTTGAGATAGAGTCTGGCTCTGTCGCCCAGGCTGGAGTGCAGTGACGCGTTCTCGGCTCACTGCAAGCTCCGCCTCCTGGGTTCACGCCATTCTCCCGTCTCAGCCTTCCGAGTAGCTGGGACTACAGGCGCCCGCTACGACGCCCGGCTCATTTTTTGTATTTTTAGTAGAGACGAGGTATCACCGTGTTAACCAGGATGGTCTTGATCTCACTAGAAGTATTTTTAAAAAGTAACTTCTATATCTTTTATAAAAGTTCCACCTGTAACAAAAGCACACAGAAAGAGAGTCATAAGATGAAGAAAAAAATTAGTTACAGATGAATAGCAACCAAAAAAACAAATAAAACAGAACAAAACAAAAAAACAATCTGGAATGGCCGTATTAACATGAATCTAAACAGATCTGAGGGCAAGAAATATTAGCAAAGAGTCACTGTGCTTTGACAAAGATTAAATTTTAAATAGTATGGTCTTAATTATGTACATTAAAATACTTAATGCTGGTGGTCCCAGCTACTCAGGAGGCTGAGGTGGGAGGATTGTAAGCCCGGGAGGTGGAGGTTGCAGTGAGCCAAGATATATTTGGCAAATAATTTCAATTTTTGCAGTATTATGAAGGACTGCAAGGGCCTGAACTTGCCTGGAGCACCAGGAAAGGTCTCTGTGTGACGTAACAGGTTGAGTCTGAGGAAGCAAGGGGAGCAGAGGTGGGAAGAATAGAGGGCTCTTGACTGAGAGGAGAACGAACTTAAAAGATCTGAGAACCTAGGGCATAGCCATGTGTATGTGCACAATATAAGGTTGAAGTGGGAGAGATAAAGGGAAGAGAGGCACAAGATAAACGGAAACAGTGGCAAGGCCATATCAGGCAGGGTCTTGTGGTCCATGTTTATTTTCATTTTTTTTTTTTTGAGAAGGAGTCTTGCTCTGTCGCCCAGGCTGGAGTGCAGTGGTGTGATCTTGGCTCACTGCAACTTCCGCCTCCTGGGTTTAAGCGATTCACCTGCCTCAGCCTCCTAAGTAGCTGAGATTACAGGTGCCCGCCACCCCACCAGGCTAATTTTTGTATTTTTAGTAGAGAAGAAGTTTCGCCACGGAGGCCAGGCTGGTTTCGACCTCCTGACCTCAGGTGATCCACCCGCCTCAGCTTCCCAAAGTGCTGGGATTACAGGCATGAGCCACTGCACCCGGGCTCCATGTTTATTTTGAACCTTACCCAAGAGTGATAGGAAACCTTTTATTTCTAAATCAGAGGAAAGAGATGATCAGATTGACAATTTTCAAACAGCACTTTAGGTGACATGTGGGGAGCAGAGAAGGCATGAGTGGACGTGGGGACAACACATACCCCTTTTTCCATTGCCGTTCTATTTCCATGTGCTCTCTTTTCCATTGCATTAGATGTATTTTCCTAATTTCATTTTATCTAGAAAAGTAAAGGAGCTTTAAATATACATACAGTTATGTATAAATAACATAATACTGGTATTAATAATAATGACAATGCTAGCTACTATTTAAAGAACACTTACCACATACCAGAAGTAGTTCTAAACACTTTACGTGTATTAGTCCTTTTAACCCTCTGTCTCATGAGGTGGATAGTATTGGGACCCTTGTTTTACAGGAGGAAGTTCATTGCTTGGAGGTAACTCTGGGCATTTTGTCTCTACAGTCTCTGCTCTTAACCATCACACTAGATTGACTAGAATTGGGAGAAATAAGAGAACAACTGTTCGAATGCACTTATTCGAAACCATTCTCAAACTCAGCAAAGACCCAATGGACATAAAATGCTGCTCTGGTGTAACCACAGAGGTCAGGTGAGAGGATGACCTAGGTCCAGTGCTGGCCCAGCCTGCATGGCCGACTTAGCGCTGAGATACTACCGTGATCAGCAGACAGCCTCTTTAATACACTGGAACAAGGATTGAAGCAGACTTGAGAGGAGGTTTGTTTTTGAGTCTAGTTGTGTCTAGGAATATCAGATTATCTATTATCTTTCCTTGACTGTACCAAATGTTGATCTGGCCTAGAATGTTGTCCACTCAGTTCCTTCAACCATTCGGATGCCTGCTGGGCATGACTCCAGGGACTGAGGCCAATGCTGAGATTGTGTAGATAATTTCCCTGATAGCCATGGTTTAGACACTCATCAAATCACAGACCTGCAAATACACTGGGTGTACACAGAGGTGTACACACATTTACTCACTTAAATGACCCTACTCCTTCTGTGAACAAGGTTTCCCTAAGGCTTTGGAAGCCTCTGTCCTTTGGGAAGAGCTGTCTAAAGTCACTTCCCAGGAAGTTAAGAAACTGTTTGTGTTTATAGCCACTGCACTGTAGTCTACACACCCACTGAGTGTCTGCACAGGATCTGTGAGGTTCCATAAAGCTAGGGGGGTTCGCTGTGAGAAACTTTAGGCTGGGGTGGCTTCAGGCAGAAAGCACACTGTAAACATGGAAGTGGGGGCACTTCTTGAGGTGGCTGTTGTTTTAACATGTCCTTTGTTAATGTGGCTCCTTTTCATTCTCTGTTATTTTTCACTTCTCTCTTTCCATTGTCAGCAGGGCTACGGTCAGGGTCCTTTCTATGAACTGACTCAGATTAGCGTTGGCATCAGCCATGCTGTCTGTTGTGATTCCAAGTACACAATGATCATTGATGGGAGGCCAATGGCTTAGAAATGGATGGCCAGGAAAAATAATTACAGAGCACACTGAGCAATGTTGTTCCATTTCCCTTGTATGGATCTGTGAAGTACAAGTGGCTCTGTCTTTCTCCGAATGTCGTATGATGCATATACTAGGAGTGTGTGATCATTGCTTTGTTAGTCATTTCTTCTGTTTTTGCTAGGACTTTCAGTTCGGCAATTTCATTCAGTCCAATAATCAGTTAATTCAGCTGCTGGCCACCCCAAGCTCCACATTGCCTTCCAAGACGTCACTCCACACATGAAATGGGATACAGTGTGCCAGGTCATTGCCAGTTCAACTGCAAGAGGAAACTAGAATTGACTGCATTGACTTTGATAGTAACTCATATTACACGTACCCTACAATCTGCAAAGCACTTTAAACATAGATTATTTCATTTTCTTCTCTAAAAACTATGAAGAATATTCCAGAAATTTTTCATAATGACTTTCTCTAGGGAGTAAGAGTGTGGGGGCTATTACGTGTATCTCAATTGTGTTATTTTTCTTGTGCACATGCAATCTGTTTGTATGTGAAAAAGAAAAAAGATTTAAGAATATCTACAGAGAAAGAATGGCAAAGAATATGTGGCAAGTGTAGCAACTGGCGATTCTGGCTATGGTATATGGAATTCTTTGAACTATTCTTGAAAACTTTCAGTAAGTTTGAAATTATATCAGGATAAAAAGTGAATGATGACATAAAAATATTAAAAGCATGTAATTCTTGGGTAATGCTTAAAATGGGTAATTCCAATAAATTTGCTTGGAATTTCCCTAGGAATCCCAATAAAGCTTAGAATGCAGGCTTTGCTTATAATCATAGATTAAAATATAATTGAGTACACTGTAGGCTGAAGGAGAAGTTATTGTATAGTTGAAGCATGACATGAGCTTTTACTGAAATATAAAATGAAGCAAATTCTTTGAATTTTCTTTGTGTTCAGGTGTGCAATTAGAGGGTGACTTACTGCTTTCTTTTGAACATAGTATATTCCATATGTTAGAAGGTGATAATTACATTGTTAGATACCTATTCTATTTTTTACATACTGTAAAATTCATCTGTTTTAAGTGTATAATTCAACTACTTTTTACTAAATTTATAGAGTTGTTCAACCGTCACCACAATCCAGTTTTAAAATGTTTCCATCACCCCAGAGGGATCCCTTGGGCCCACTTGCAGTAAATCCCTGTTCCCTCCCCAGATCTAGGCAAATGCACTCTCTGTCTTTATATATAATCTGCCTGTTCCAGACATTTTACACAAGCGGAATCTTGCAATATGCGGTTTTTCTCATCTGGCCTGTTTCACTTAGCAGAATGTTTTCGAGGTCCATCATGACTATTTTTTCTGGGATTTTTCCCTTGGCATAAGAAGTTACACAGAAAATAAGCAAATACCTTACATTTACTTCCAGGAATGCAGAAGGCAAGCCACTAATACATAGTGACAAGTCTCTCACGGCTGAATCTGCATTGGCAAGTGCCCAGCCTGAGAATTTTCCTTGTCCAGAAGGTATGTTATTTAAAAAAAATTAATAAAACAAAAAGTTGGTTGAGTGTCTGCTATACCTGCCAGAATCTGGGAAGTTGTCACTGCTCTAATTTCTTAATGATGCAGCAAAGACCTTGAGAGTACAATGATGGAGACCCATGTAATGCAGAAGAGGATGCACAACCCACAGGGAGTCTCCTGTTTTCTGGAATCTACATTTCTTTTTCTTTTTCTTTCTTTCTTTCTTTTTTTTTTTTTGAGATGGAGTCTCACTCTGTTGCCCAGGCTGGAGTGCAGTGGCACGGTCTCAGCTCAGTGCAACCTCAGCCTCCTGGATTCAAGCGATTCTCCTGCCTCGGCCTCCCAAGTAGCTGGGATTACAGGCGCCAGCCACCACATCTGGCTAATTTTTGTATTTTTAGGAGAGACCGGGTCTCACCATGTTGGCCAAGCTGGTCTCGAACTCCTGACCTCAAATGATTCACTTGCCTTTGCCTCCTAAAGTGCTGGGATTACAGGTATGAGCCACTGTGCCTGGCTGGAATCTACATTTCTTAGAATTATAAGCTCTCTTTCAAATGTGGGAGTTTGTGGGCACAAACCCATTAGCAACTTTATTCCGACAAGCAGCAGAGTGGAGGAATTACTGTTTCTACAATAAAAAATAATGCAATATCTGGGACCTGACTCAGATATCTGTCTCTGAATATGTTTACTCCAAGAACAGCAGAGTGACTCAAAAGACACATATGTTTTGTGATAATGTCTTCTGGTACCAAATGTGAGATGTAAGGGAATGCCTTGGTTTCAAGAGAATATCAGTTTCAGAAAATATTGTATTTGATATAAATGTATACTGCAGATATAAAGTGTTTGTTATTATTTTTTAGTAATTTAAAGCATCGAGTTTACCAGAAAATGGAAAAAAACACATTAGGTTAAAGAGCTGAGTGGGTTAATTTTTCTTATCAGTTCAGATAGTTTGAAAATGAATTTGCAATGCACACTCTTTTCCTTAAAACTTACCAAAGTTTTAAGGTGCGGTGGCTCACGCCTGTAATCCCAGCACTTTGGGAGGCCGAGGTAGGTGGATCACCTGAGGCCAGGAGTTTGAGACCAGCCTGGCCAACATGGTGAAACCCTATCTCTACTAAAAATAAAAAATTAGCCGGGTGTAGTGGCACGCACCTGTAGTCCCAGCTATTCAGGAGGCTGAGGCAGGAGAATCACTTGAACCCGGGAGGTGGAGGTTGCAGTGAGCTGAGATCGCGCCACTGCACTCCAGCCTGGGCGACAGAGTAAGACTCCATCTCAAAAAAAAAAAAAAAAAAAAATTACCAAAGAATTGTAATTTTTTTGTAAAGAATTACAAAACATCTTTCTACATATGTCTGTGTAATGTTTACCCTTTAGGAGCTCCTCGTTAAGCTGCAGGTAGAGGTAGAACAAAAATCTCCTACAAGCATTTGTTACAACAGCTTCCGCAGAACGGAAAGTGAGGTTGATTCAACAGTGCTCTGAAGGGGAGCCTGCGGTGTTATCCACTTGCGCTTGCCCTTTCTTACTTTTTGGAACTCTCTTTCAAATTCTCATGTCTCTGACTCAGTCATAAATGTCGTCTATGAAAGTGATGAGGTTTTCACGTCATGCCCGGTTCCTTTGCGGAGTCTGTTCTGTGGCTGTTTGCTTGCTTTATCCACATCACACCTTCTAACTAAGTTGCTTAGGCTGTCACAGCATCATCCAGTGGTCAATTTGCAGTCAGGCCTATGATACTAACATCGCGTGTCACATGTCTTCATACCTGACACATGCTGGTGTGATTTTCAACATGAGCTATTTCTAAAATTGTGCAGACAATTCTGTTGTCCAGATGTTCCGGGTTTTCAGATGCTGCAATAAAAGCTATTTTACCAAATCTTATTTTTGTTTATTTGTTTACTTGGGACACCCTGATTTAGGATAAAAAAAGGTTTGGTAAAAAAAAATTCCACAGCATTTTTCTCAGTGTTTAAGGAATTGTATGATTTTCAGGGATGGAAAAATATTAGTCGGCATCTCTTAAGATCAGGTGTCTGGGCTGCAGATCAGAAGATGTAGTAGACAAATACGTGAAGTTGCAAGTCAATGAGAATAATAATAAAGGCATCTATGTTCAGTACAACTCCAGTCCCAGCCACTGGGACCTGATCATTGTCTCTGATGTGATAAAATCCGCACAGGTGAAGCTGACAAGCAGATGTCGGGGTACCCATGGCATCCTCTGCTCCACCCCATGACTAGTGCCCCAAGAGACTGCAAGACACTGCGTTGAATTATTCTGTCATCCACTTGAAAAGCTGGCTTCCTTCCCCAAAGAAACAGTCCAGCAAAATAACACACACACACACACACACACATACACACACACACACACACAAAGCTGGAGTTCATTGCTGTGGGGGACTGAGTGAGCTAAGGGATTTTAGGAGTAGGCAAACTATCCTATTCCCTGAAGGCATCACAGGATGGAGAAATAATGTTATAAAAGGCCTAAAATTGAGACTAGAAACTTGACACCTTAGAACTTCTACCATGGAATCTAGACTCTTCCACAGAAATGGATGTGGATTGCACCTAGATTCCCTCTTAAGCTTCATCATTAACTTGGAATTAGGTCCTAGAGGAGTGGGGTGTAGCTCCTGGCCCCAATCTTGCAATGGGGATTAGGATCTTCTTCCCATTAGTTTTTTTTTTTTTTTTTAACTTTTTTTATTTTGAGACAGTCTTGCTCTGTCGCCCAAGCTGGAGTGCAGTGGTGCGATCTTGGCTCACTGCAACCTCTGCCTCCTGGGTTCAAGCATTTCTCCTGCCTCAGTACCCCTTCCTGAGTAGTTGGGATTACAGTTGTGAGCCACCATGCCCAACCTAGTTTTGTCATTTTTAATTTTAGAGTGTCCCTGCCCTCCTTTTGCCCATATTTAATTTTTTCTTTCTGCCAGTCACTCCTCGTATTTACGAATTGTAGAGAATTATGCAGATGTGCTGGGCCATCATCATATCAAAGCAGCATCAGCACTATCATTACCGTCATCGTCGTTTGTTGTTGTTGTTACTTCATGGTGACAAGAAACAGCACGTGAAACAGCAGTCACTGCACAAGTACTTAAGGCTTGGGAAGCGTAAACTTGCGGGCACCCTGAGTAAACAGATGGCATCTACGAGCAGATGTTTCTACATGTGCTTCCACGTGCATATTCCCTGTTCCCCCGACCTGTCCTCTTGGGGAAACACCCGGAAAAACTATTAGCACAAACACAGCGTTTCTATCCTGAGTCCGCTTCAAACAGGATCCAGCTTTCCATCGGAATGCAGCTGTTATGGCTAGCTGAAGCAAAATCAGTCACCCTGGAGATTCAGTGATGAAATAACTTTCTCAAATTTCTCTGAAGTTGATAAAATTGAAACTCATCCTGAATTGGAGGATTGATAGGACTGATGACAAGTCAGTGTGTGTATGAGAGAGAGTGATTATTATTCACTTTGGGTAAGATTATAAGGGATCGTAGAAACTTAGCGGGGTGATAGTTTGGAAGAAAAGTAAAGGGAGCTACAGTGTTGACTCAGAATGGTTACAAATTGAAAACTTTTTAAGTTTTTTAGTTGAGTGGCCTGATAAAATGTAAGTCTTAAGAATACTATTCTGAAAAAATGCACATAGAATGATTCCAAGAGAGAGGGATTGGAGAAAACCAACAATAATGCAATTGCCATACCATAGTCCAGATGAGAGGTTCAGAGCCGAAGGACAGTGACGGAAACAGCTGTGAGTGACATCAGAGGCAGAATAGAACAGCACTTTCACTAACTGGGCACGTGGATGACAACAGAGAGGAGTGCATATCATAAACTTTTGTGAAGTTTATGTAACAGAAATAAGGAAGCTAGAAGGTTTTATGATGGTGAGCTTTGTTTTGTTTATCTTGATTTGAAGGTGTTGAAAGAAATCCATCTAAAAATATCCCGCAGGCATTTGGAAATTAAGTTTGGAGATCAGGAGACATGTCAGGCCAGAAGGATGGTTTAGGGAGAAGTCTGTCTAGAGAAGATAGCTGAAGAACCAAGGACGCGGGGTCTTGCCAAGGAAGAGCACACAGAGTCAAAAGGAAGATACTGGCCTTGCCACCTGCCTCATTTAGGGGGCAGAGGGTAGAGCTATGCCAGCAAAGTGATGAAAAAGGAAAGGTCATTAAGTAGAAGCAGGAACTAGTAGAAGAGAGTGTCCAACCCCAGGACCATTGTCAATAATTCTACCTTGAATTTCTCTTGGGCTTTAGATTGTCGACTCGTGTATAGGCCGGGCATGGTGACTCATGCCTGTAATCCCAGAACTTTGGGAGGCCGAGGCGGGAGGATCACCTGAGATTGGGAGTTCAAGACCAGCCTGACCAATGTGGAGAAACCCTATCTCTACTAAAATAAACAAACAAACAAACAAACAAAAATTAGCCTGGCGTGGTGGAGCATGCCTGTAATCCAAACTACTCGGGACGGTGAGGCAGGAGAATTGTTTGAACTGGAGAGGCAGAGGTTGCGGTGAGCCGAGATCGTGAATTTGCACACCAGCCTGGGTGACAAGAGCGAGACTCCATCTAAAAAAAAAATGTATAGATATGTATACATATGTATACATTCCTGTTTCATAAATTTTATTGGTTTTATGCTATTATTGAATAGGATCAAGTAAAATGTAACTTTTCCTTGAGCCATTGTTATCTTCTGGTCTTCTGTATTCTAAAAGATGAAACATACAAAGACAGTGTCACTTTTAAGTCAGCTGTGTCGAGGGCATGCACGGTGTTTGCTCCTCATCTAATCTCAGCTCCTTCCCTGTGGGGTGCTCCTTTCTCTCCATGCCATTCCTACAGATCCCAGGTCACATAATGGACTCCATCGCTGGGGCTGGATCTTCTTTGACTGGGAGCAAGGAACAACTTCCATATATAAAAGTCCACTTCTGAAAATCCTGATGTAAATAAAACTTCCAAAGACACTGTGTTTACTTCATTTTCCACCTTCTCCATTTTTCCTTTTACATTTCCTATCCCCATCTTCTCCCTCTCAAGAAAAGATTCCAAGAATTTTCAGGAGACTATCCTCTATTATCAGTTTTATTTTCTTTCTGTTGTACTTTTTTTGTTGACTTGATATTTTCTTTGGCTGATATGCTTCAGATTTTGTGATTTACTTTATTTTAACCTTAATAAATACACGTAGTGGGCGAACATGCAAGAAGCCAGGCCTCTGTCTTCCCGTATTTTTTTCTGGTCTGTAACTGTCCATTAAGGGTGGGTCCCATTGGTGTCTATGATCTCTCATGCTTCAGCAGCTTATATGACATTTTGTTTACCATGATATAAAACATGCATTCTCAAGAGGCTGTATTAGTCTGTTCTTGCATTGCCATAAAGAAATACCTGAGAGTGGGTAATTTATACAGAAGAGAGGTTTAATTGGCTCACAGTTCTTCAGGTTGTACAGGAAGCATGGTGCTGGCATCTGCTCAGCTTCTAGGGAGTCCTCAGGAAGCTTACAATCATGGTGGAAGGTGTAGAGGGAGCAGTCACATCACATGGAAAGTAAGAGTGAGTGAGAGAGTGAGGAGGGTGCTACACACTTAAATGACCAGATCTTGTGTGAACTCAGAGCAAGAGCTCTCTTATCACCAAGAGGGTGGCCCAAGACATTCATGAGGGATCTGCCCCCGTGATCCAAACACCTCCCACCAGGCCCCATTGTCAACACTAGGGATTACCTTTCAATACGAGATTTGGGCGGGGACAAATATTCAAACTATATCAGGAGCAGTATCATCTGCAAGGGGGCAATAATTAGTTCCCTAGTGGGAGTGAGAAAATATTAGTCTTTTATGTGTAAATATTTACATCTAGTACAGAAACTGATATGCAGTCTATCTGTGGTATTATAATTTCACTGGGGGATGATTAGAGAAAAAATGTCTAATAATGCTTTTAGAGGGAGATAATGAAAAAAAGATTCATACACACTTGTCTAAGAGAGAAATCACGGTTTTGTCATCAAAAGCTCTTGCTTAAGCCAAACATCATAAATAAATCATGAGACATGACAAAATAGAGGGGGAAAATAGGTACTTTCATCTAAATATTCCCATGTTTTCTGCGCTCTGGTGTGCTTTACACCACGTATTCTCTACCAGTTGTATTCTCTTTTCTAGTAATGTTTTCCCAAAAAACTTGATTCCAGGGTTTAGAAATGTGAGTAACCCTGGCTTCAAATATCTTCTATGATTTGTAAAATCACATTGCAGGCATTTTTGTTTAATTAATTGTGTATATATTTGAGCATATATTTACCTTTTCCCAACAAACCATTGTAATATGTGCAAATACAGGGATATAGGAAGTGCCATAGGGAACAGGGAAGAAACAACAAATACAGAATGCTCGAGAATTTTGAGAACCCCGGGATGGATCCATCAGGATCAGGAACATTTCTCTCTTTTAATCATGCCTGAGTTGCCACATCATGAGCTGCTCCATCCTTTGATGGGGCCCCTCTATTAGCCCATTTGTTAGACCGTGTTCTTTTCCTTAACTCTATACCTATTTTGTCACAAACTGACCATTTTTGAAATAAGCCTTGTAAAGCACATCATCACGATATCTCTGTGGGGTTCCTAGTGTTTATTATTTGTGTATTTACTATGTCATTTGCCATACATCATTAAATTTTCCATTTATTTATGCATGTGTTTGTTTATGAGCCCTGTGATGGGGATAAGCACAGAACGTTATGGGGGCATGTTGAGGGAAATGCAATTCAGCTTAGAAGGAGGTAGGGATTCAGTTTCCAGAACAAGGCTCGAGGGAGGAGCCAAGTCTCAGGAACAAAACAAAGAAGTGATTTCCAGAGCTGGATTCAAAAACCAGAAGTACATAGCAGCGAGGGCAACCTAAGTTTGGGGATATTTAAATTGCCCTTGCCTAGAGACAAGGACCAATCTTCTCTGAAGTCATTGACCCCAACCTTCAAGAGAAGATGGCAGGAGGCAAGGATGAGGCTGATGAGACTCATAGTGTTTCAAATTTGGAACAGAAGCCTCATTATTCTGACAGTGCAGCAGAGGCCCGCTAAGGCCCAGGAAATACCAGAAGTCCCAACCCTGGAAGCGGCCGGGGTTAACAGCCAAATGCCCTGGCCCTCATTTCACCACACTCTTCCTTATACCAAATAATGATTTTCCAGAGTGCAGGTTTTTCTTTTCAAAGTCTATTTCTTGGTTCTTCATGATATTATATGCTGAAACTCTCGCCAGCAAAGATTCTGAGATGTCTTAATGGGAATCAGCAAGTGAACTCAAAGCATTAAGGAAGATTAGAAGCTCTCTAAAAGGTTCTGGAAAGGTGATCCTTACTAAAGATCTGTATGATATGCCTAACAATTTGTCTGACTATGGCCTTCTAAAGATGTGTTATGTGTCACCTAAAAGCTCTTGAGGATGAAAGTCTCCAACTTGCAGCCTGGTGATCTTCATGTACTTACATATTTCTCTCCTTTCTCCAATTTTTACTGACTTTTCCTATATTTCTGGTTTATGAAACTTTACTCATCAATAACAGTAGAGTGAGAAACAATATAATAAGGAGTTATTAGCACCCACATTTTGGGGGATAGAGGTGTCAGTGGTAAAAATATTTTATTTTGAAAACTATACTTTTGTACATGACTAACACTTATTGGTAAAAGCATTTGCAAACAAGCTCTTGGTTCTTTTTATTTTAAATACATACATTCCTTTCTCTTTTGCATAAATCTTTGTGCAGAGTAATCTTCAGCGGCATATATACTTTTGACCCCACATTTCACAGTGGGAAAGGTATGAGAGTCACTAGCTGAATGTTTAACAGCAGTTTTTCTGCTTGTGATGTGGGATCACATAAACTTCTCTTCTTTCCACAAGCCTCATCCAGACTTGCTCCAAGTGAACACTTTCCACACAGGCCAGTGTCTGTGCTATGAACTTACCCGCTTTCCCACCAGCCTGAGAGATATTTTAGTCTCAGCCTCTGGTAGCTGAGGCCACCTCTTAAGCAAAAGTGTGCCACTGTGCCAATAGTGAGGCTGCTGTATTTGACGAGGACCACAGCGCCCTGGCAGATAGACCCTGTTCTGATTTGCCAAACCTCCTGGAGGTGAATGAAGGTTTGCTGACTGTGGTCAGGAAGGTCCCAATTATGAATGATTCCCTAACCAAGTGTTGAAAACACTTTACTTTGTAATTAAAATGCAAAACACATACAAACTGCCAAACCCAGCAAAAAAATCTTCAGGAATTTTCCTTGAAAGTTTGGTTTCTTACTTCCTTCAAGCATCTTCCCTCTAAATCTACTTTTATTTCTCTTATTCTTTCATAAACAAAATGATCTTTTTTGATCCTCTTGATTGACATTGTTTTTCAAGAAAAATGGATATAATTTATCTTATTAGTAAAATATATTTTTAGGTACCTGTTCTTCTTCTCACATATCTTAAACCTCATTCTCACTCTATTTTGCTAGTGTTATGAAAATCAACTCTGTAGTGAGGAAAACAGTAGAAAAGACAATTTTCTGGAGAAGGCAATTTTTCTTTTTAATCTGTTGTATTAGTTCGTTCTCACATTTGCTATAAAGAAATACCTGAGACTGGGTAATTTATAAAGAAAGATCTTTAATTGGCTCACAGTTCACAGGCTGTACAGGAAGCATGGTAGCATCTGCTTCTGGGGAGGCCTCAGGGAGCTTTTTACTCATGGAGGGAAGGCAAGGTGGGAGCAGGCATATTACATGACAGGGGCAGAAGCAAGAGAGAGGGGAGGCGCTACACACTTTTAAACAACCAGATCTCATGAGAATTCATGCACTCACTATCATGATAATAGCACCAAGGGGATACTGTTAACCTACTCATGAGAACTCAGCCTCCATGATCCAGTCACCTCCCACCAGGTGCCACCTCCAATGCTGGGGACTACTATTCAACATGAGGGTTGGTGTGAGACACAGATCCAAACCATAAGTCTGGTAAGATTTTGCTCTGTGTATTATAAGGCTTCGTTAGTGGGTGCATAAAGTTTAGAATGCCTTTTTGGTGAATTGAATCAGTTATCATTATGTGGTGACCCCATTATTCCTAATAATACTTTACATTTAAATTTGATGTTGTCTGATAGTAATGTATCTGTAACAACTTTCTCTGAGTTGGTAGTATTTACCTGGTATTTGTTTTTCCATTTTTACTTTTTCAATTTTTCCGTGGTTTTCCTTTTACTTTCCATATAGCTGGAGAGGAGGTAGGGAGGGCAGGAGACTAATGTGAGCCAAAGTCAGCAAAAGAGAAAGAACTGAGACAAATGAAAGAAAGGACAAATTAAAAAGGGCTCAACTTCAAAAAGTAAAATAGTTCCTTCTTATCTGCGAGAGATACGTTCCAAGACCCCCAATGGATACCTGAAACTTCCAATAGAATGGAACCTTATAAATACAGTACTCTGTTTTTTCCTATACATACACACCTCGGAAAAAGTTTAATTTATAAATTAGGCACAGTAAAAGATTAGCAACAATAACTAATAATAAAATAGAACAATTTTAACAAGAGACTGTAATAAAAGTTATGTGAATGTGGTCTCTTTCTCTCTCTCTAAAAATGTTTTCATATTTTTGGATCATGGTTGGCCAAGAGTAAGTGAAACCTTGGAACAGGAAACCACAGATAAGGGAGGGCCAGTGGACCTATGGGCTAAGATTTACGCAAATGTATCTGTGCGTCTGGAGCTTCATATACAGAAAATTTAAAGAAGAGAAGAAAAATCTTCTTTAGCTAAAGATCCCATAGAAAAAGTCAAATAACTGTCATCAAACTGGGAGAAACTAGTTTTAATATATGTAGTAGAAAAAGATGAATATAACAACATATGAAGAATGTCTATAGTTTGATAAGAAAAAGTCTATCAGGAAAAAAGATATGAATAGATAACGCACAGAAGATGAACTGGAAATAACAAATAAATGTATTTAAAAATGCACAACTTCACTAGTAATCAAGGAAATGCAAATTAAGATGAGCTTTGATTTTCCATCTCTTAGATTGGGAAATACTCCAAAATTAAATAACATTACGTATTGATAAGGGCATAGAAAAAAAGTAACTCTCTTCTCTAAATTAAATTTCTGGTCAGGGTTTAACTCTTTCTTGCCTTTTTTTGTAGGGCATTTTGCCAAACCTTTTAAAATTGCACATATTCTTTGAGCCAACAATCTCACTTCTTGGTATCTACCCAAAAGAAACACAGCCACATGTGTGCAAGAAGGCATGCAAAAAACTGTTCCCTGTGGTATTTTATAGAATAATTTTTTTCAAAAACCTCTGAATTTCCACTAGTAGGGCAATAATTAAAACTTTCACAATCCATATTATGGAATATTATGCAACAATATTTCAATGCAAGAAATCTATATCTACACTGATGGAAATATCTAAAGACTTCTTGTTAATTAAAAGCATTCACAAAGTAAAAGATTATTCTACTTATGTAAAAATACAGACTTGACACAAATTTTTTATTTATGTATTTTCATCATACATACAAAAAGGGTTGAGTGGATACACACTAAATTCATTACAGGTATTATACCTAGTAAAAGAATGGGGCCGGAGGGAATATTTTTAGAGTGACTTTACTTGAATCTACATTACTTCAATTTCTTACAATCAGAAATGAGCTCATAGTTAACTGTGTAATTAAAGCAATTGTTTTTAAAAAGAAATGATCATATGTTTGACTAATGGGTACATTTTTAGTATGATTTGATGTTCACTGTTTAGATTAATTGGATCACAATGTTTAATGCAATGATGAAATTCTTCTCTAAGCTTAAAGGATAAGGCTAGCACATAGGAAAATCTACTGGTGGACCAAGCAAACTTAAAATTAAGTTCAGTCTTTAGGGAGAAACGTTATGTCTAGAGTAAAACATACAATTAACAACTGTGAGCAAATCTCTCTTCTCTGACCAAAGGGAACACGGATGCTTGATATGGTTTGGATGTTTTGCCCCCTCCAAATCTCATGTTGAAATGTAACCTCTACCACTGGAGGTGGGCCTAGCAGGAGGTGTTTGGATCATGGGGGCAATTCGCTAATGAATGTCTTGGTGCTATCCTCATGGTAATGAGTAAGTTTTTGCTCTATTAGCTCATGTGAGAACTGGTTGTTTGAAAGAGCCTGGCACCTCATTCTCTCTCTCTCTTACCCTTCATTTGCCATGTAAGCCTGCTGCCTCTTCATTTTCCACCATGACTGTAAGCTTCCTGAGGCTTCACCAGAAGTAGATGCTGGTGCCATGCTTCTTGTACGGGCTGCAGAACTGTGATCCAAATGTTTCTTTTCTTTATAAATTACCCAGTCTGAGATATTCCTATATAGCAATGCAAACTGGACTAAGACAATGCCTTTTGCAGTTGAATTATGGGGAATTCTTGGTAGACAACACTGGCAGGCAGAAGGTGAGTGGAAATGTCTGGAACAGCTCATACTCCCTATTTTAGTTGGTGCATCTCACTCTCCCAGAATATAAGGATCTTTTTCTTTTGAGTATCCCCTTTGAGGCACTGGGGTAGGTATTACAAGCCGGTGGCACAGGGCAAATGGCCTGATCCTACAGAAGGTGTCAATGTCTTTAGGATTATAAACTAGTGTAGAGACCCCAAAGCCTACAAATTGAGTGATGAATTTTAATCTGGCTTAGGTCTTTAAAAATTAAACTGAAAATCTGAGCTGTAAGGGTCTGGTCTAATCTTCCACTTTACAAAGGAAGTAACTGAGGACCTGAGGGTTAAGTATCCTCCTCAAGATCACTCAGCCGAGAATGACTCTTCTTATATTCTTCAGTGGCTCTGAAGAGATTGTAAATGACCAGGGTAACCTCTCTCAGGATCTAGGGGCTCCTCAACTGCTGCTCGGTGGAGGGACTGATTTAAAGCCTTCTGCTTACTTTGCAATAATTCTGGAGAATGATCAATTCTGAGCAGAGATGTTTAGGTTCAGAGCCCCCAGCTAAAGCTGCGTATTTATGGAGAATTCCAGACATTATTTATTGTTTTCCTTTCTCAGGTTGTCATGATATTTTACCATTTAAATTCTACTTTCAAGTGAGATTTTTAAGCCATTATCCCAGTGAACAAAGGAGAGATAAAGCTATCAAAGTATAGAGATTTCAAAGGTTAAAAACTCATAAAACTTGGAAATTTAGAATTAAAGCTATTCCAGTTGAATACTTATTAATATAAATCTAAAACAATATTGAGTAATGTCCCCTGTTCTCACATTTCTTTATTTCTTTTTCTTTTGTTTTCTTTTTTTTTTTGAGACAGAGTTTCACTCTTGTTGTCCAGACTGGAGTGCAATTGTGCGATCTCTGCTCACTGCAACCTCCACCTTCCAGTTTCAAGCAATTCTCCTGCCTCAGCCTCCAAAGTAGCTGGGATTATAGGCATGTGCCACCATGCCCAGCTAATTTTCTACATTTTTAGTAGAGACAGGGTTTCATTATATTGGTTAGGCTGGTCTCAAACTCCTGACCTCAGGTGATCCACCCACCACCTCCTTGGCCTTCCAAAGTGCTGGGATTACAGGTATGAGCGACTGTGCCAGGTGTGTTCTCACATTTCTGAGATATTTACTTACAATAAAGATTAAATAAGGATAGGATATTGGTCTTTGACGTTTACTGAATTTCCTGGGTTGATGTAGGATGCCATTATCATTATAGTTTGTCCAAAATACCAGAAACCTTTCTGTAACAAAAACAAAATTACCTGTTCTATTCCCTTATGTCTTTTGTTACCCTGTCCCTTTATGTATGCATGCACATGCATGTGCATGCACACACACACACACAGAGGCAACGTTATTTCCAAGCAACAAAACGAAAACAGGACCTGTAAACTCAAAATAAATTGTCACCTTTGTGCTGAAACTGTACATAGCCATGCAGAGCCTTTTTACAGTGTCCAGAGAGATTGTGAAGGCAGGCGACCTGTGCTTGGGGTCCGATTTATGACAGTCTGACTTTGTTACAGGTTCAGCAGAGGACACATCTGGAACCCCTTTCCTGCTGGAGTGGACAGTGGAGGCAGCGCCACAGTGGATTTTCATTGGTGTCTCCCCTGGCTGCCTGGTGGCTGCCTGTCAGAGCCAGCGCTTGAGAACGTGGCTGCTAGTGAAAGTGTTTATGTGTTTATGTGACCACAGGTATGTGCCCTTGGTGACAGATCTATTCCATGTTGTACGTTCTGTCAGGCAGTGGGATGTGGGAGGAAGCCAGAGGGAGCGTCCCTGAGGTTGCAACGTCACACTCAGGAGAGGGAGGGTCCCTGGGGTACGGAGTCTGGGCTTTGGGAGAATGTGTGTGGCGTTTCTCCTGGATTCTGGCTGAATGAGGTCTTTGGAAATGGCACTTCCTCTGCTGTTAAATTTAGCTATGGTTTATCCAATACAGAGGAAGATGGCCTATCTCACAAGTGACACGTCACCAGTTCCCTACTTTGCAAATGCATTTTCTGAGTGTGATAGCCACTGCTTAGCACAGCCCTAACTCTGGTCAGGTGAAGATGATTTCCTCTCTGCCTGCCAGTGAACTCTGAGCCTTGAACACTCCCTGAGTTTCAGGAGAAATCTTCCCACAGACTAGAAGACATCTCTGCTTGGCAAAGCCCAGTGACAGCAGGAATGTTCTTTCCCTTTCCTGAAGGTTCCAGGAAGGAAAAGGGCTGTGGGATACCAGCTGACCAGTGTTGTTAAAGGCTGACAGGGAACCCAGGGCCCTGCTGGGCAACGTGGGGAATACCAAGGCAATTGAAGTCACAACATTTGGATGTTGTTGTTTATTTGTTTTTTGCTTTTTATTTTGAGATGCTTCCAGCCCCACAGGGAGATAAAATGGAAAAGTGAGAGGTCTGCTCCGTGCCCTTCCTCATTGCTGTGTGCCCTTCGGGGTGTTCCACAGGTTTTGTTCTTGGCTTTCCCCATCTTCTTCGACACACTCCCCATTTCCAAGCCTCCCACAGTGATTGGCAGTTCCCCCCCAGCCCGAGATCTCTTGATCACTAAACCCGTGTATCTGTCATTTAATATCTTGTGGACATCGCCCCGTTGCCTCATGGGTGCCTTACTGAGCGGTCCCTTGCTGACTCTGGCATTCTCTTCCTCATATTTGCATGTTTCAGTTAAAGGTTCCACGATCCTCCTCGTCTCATAGGTTAAAAATCTCAGGGGCATTTTGACAGTCCCTTCTTAATCACAGCCTTTTGATTTTTACTTCTAAAGTATCTCTTGAATACAGTTTCTTTCCTCCATTGCCAAAGCTTTAGCTTGGATCTTCTGCATTTCTTCCTTGGATGATCAGAGGCACCTGTTAGTGGTCAGTATTATGAGAATAAATTCTCCCTTTTCATAAGAAATATTTTATAAAATCCCCTTTACTGCCCTGAAATGAAATTTGTAAGTGATGTAATCTACTTGCACATGTATTTTAAAAATTCATTTAGAGCCCCAACTTTGATGTAAAAGAAAAATACAATTAAAATAGAAGTTTATAACATAATAATACATGTTTCAGGACATGAAGACTCGGCATGACAGAATTAAGTGATTGGTTGCTGCACCTCTGTGGAAAATTGTCAGAAATGTGACAGCTGCAAATGCAGCCCACCAAAGGCCTTTAGCATGTTCGATGGGTGGCTCAAATATGGAGAGGGGTGCTGCTGTTGGTGACATAATTTTCCAGTAAGGTGAAAACTCACAGGAAAGTTCTGACCCAAATAAAGTACAATCTTCCCATAACTTATAGACACAAAGGTTGCATTCCTGAAAAATCCAATATATATTAAAATCATGCCAACCCAGCCCATTTGTTTTTATATGTAAATGTGTAGCAGGACACAGAACGATTCTCTCATGTGGGCAAGTGTCCCTGCATTTTCAGGACATCCAGCACCCCATTTTCTACCCATTCACTGATAGCCATGCCCCAAAGCATTGCCTCAACCAACAAACCCTCCCGCAAGTTTAGAAAATGTATCTTGGCAATTGGTAGTGTTTCTATTGGGAATCACTGCAAAACCTCAATTTACTTAGGTAAAGTTTTACTTAAATAAGCAATGCACAATTGTCGCCTCCTTTTAAAAGATGAAGATTTTTACAGGTGCAGTTAAATTCCGTCTGCTTCCACCCCTACCCTAGTCTACTGCACACTCATTCTAAGAGGCAAGCAATGTCAACAGTTGAGCATATATCATTCCAGAAGTTTTATATATTCACCTACAGTTTATGTATCCATAGAAAATATATGGTACCTGGTGTGAGTTGAATTGTGTCCCCTCCTCCAAACTCATATGTTGAAGTCTTAGCCTCCAGTACTTTAGAATGTGACCTTATTTGGGAATAGCACCTTTGAAGATGTAATTAATTAGGTTAAGATGCAGTCATGCTGGAGTAGAGCAGGCCTCTAATCCAGTAATGACTGCTGTCCTTATCTGGGAAAATTCGGATGGAGAGACACACACACAGGAATGGGGTCTCTCTCTGTCACCCAGTCTGGAGTGCAGTGGCACAATCACTGCTAACTGCAGCCTTGACCTCTTAGGCTGAAGTGATCCTCCTGCCTCAGCATCCCAAGTAACTGAGTCTACAGGTGCATGCCACCATGCCTGGCTAATTTTTTTTTTTTTTTTTTGGATAAGGTCTTCCTATGTTGCCCAGGCTGGACTTGAACTCCTGAGCTCAAGTGATCCTCCTGCCTCGGCCTCCCAAAGTGCTGTTGTTACAGGCATGAGCCACTATGCCTCACTGGGGTGATTCTTTAAAGCCAAGGAACACCAAAAATTGCCAGCAAACTGCTAGAATCTTTGAGAGAGGCAGGGGACGGATCCTTCCCACACCACCCTCAAAAGAAACCAACCCTGCCAATATCTTAATCTTAGACTTTGAGCCTCCCGCACTGAAAGGCAATGAATGCATTTCTATTGTTTAAATCCCGCAGTTTATCTAGAGCTTTGTCATGGCAGCTTTAGCAAAGGAATACAGTACCCTTCTGTGTTTCGGTGCTTTAGGTAGCAAACAGATAAGAAACTATCCGACTGAGGAGCAGCAAGGGTCTGGAGCTACTGCGATTGGGTGACCTGGGTAGAGACCCTCCTGGAGATTTCACTCTGACTAGAACTGGAAGGACAAACCCACCGCAGGTATAGACTCTTGCATACAAACTGTGTCTTTTTCCTGAGTCCCATCTTACAACAAAAGACATACCCATCAAATCAGATTTGCAATCGAGTTGTTTGTGTCAAAAGAGAAATGTTGTAATTAACCTTGAGACTTTTTTCAAGCAGCAGGTTTGCCTTATAAATGAAAAATAATGAATAAGCCAAACTGTACCCAGGGGTATGACAGAGTTTTAACTGGCTTCATGTATAGCCAGTGTGGCTGGGAGAAATGTGATCTCCATTTCATTTCAGATCTTTCTCTGAACCTTCCATATGCATGCATGATGGAATGGGTTCCCAAATCCAGCTTGAAATGTAGTGCATGACATACTACCCACGCAAATAAAATGAATAGTTCAAAATTATGGGGCACTGACAGAAAAAGCAGACCTTTTAATATCTAGTTTCATTGAGTAATGCATTTAAAATAATTTGCAAACTGGAAAGGTAATTAAAAGGGTCCTTTTACTCCCCTATGCCACATGTCACAGTCTTTAATGTTTAATGAGAGTTGCTCTTTGAGTCTAGGATTTAGTGAAAGACATTTGGCTTGGACAAGAACTAAGACAAATGCTGCTAACATGATTCTATTCAATTTAGTGCTTTAAATACTTTCAGGAATGGTGGATTATTTTCAAAGTAAGGTTTGTGGAAGCTGGGAATTTTGAAGTATTTTACCTGGAAATTATCTATCGGAATGCTTCTGTATGCTTTAAAAAATGTATACTCTACATATGGACACAAAGAAAGGAACAAGAGACACTGGAGCCTACTTGAGGGTAGAGGGTGAGGATTGAAAAACTACCTATTGGGTACTCTGCTTATTACCTGGATGATGAAATAATCTGTGCACTGAAGCCCCGCAACACACATTGACCTATATAATAAATCTGCACATGTGTCCCTGAACCTAAAATGAAAGTAAAAATATGTATATTCTAAATGGAAATTTGTCAATATAAAAAACTTCTGTTAATTTTCTAGATTATAAAATAGTTTGAGCTAACAGAAACCTATAGTATTTTTGGTCTTCATTAAAAACACAATATATTTGTGTATGAACATTACAAAGGTATATATTTTGCTACAGAACTGTACAATTATCCTCCATATCCAACATAATAGAGACAACATTATTTATAATTGTATGGACATAGTACTGTAAAATCGAAATTTTTATGTCAGTTTCCTTGACTGATTTAAAAACCATTAAAAATATAAATACTCCTCTTCTGTCCCCTTAAATTTACTGTTTTTTTTTTTTGCATCTTTCAACAACACAGTTAGAATATTAACAAATTCTTAGTGTTTTTCTTATGCCTACTTGTCTCACCTATTTGTCATTTAAAAATTGTTTGGAAAGGTAGAGCAATTTTGGCAATTCAGCAAGATCCTCACATCCTGCTTTGAAGAAGCATTAAATATTTTGTCCAGCTTAGCTGTCTGAAAAGAATGATCAGTTCTGTCATGGTGGGACACCATGGAAGTTCCTTGGGAGGTTGACAAGATCAAATACACCGCACTGCATCTGTGACAGTTTTCTGTGTGGAGTGTCTTTTCCTAATACACCTGTGTGTGCCGCCTTCATCATCACGGCCAGCTTTGATAGTAGCCCTGAGTCATTGGTCCCAGGGCCTGAAGTGTCCTTCTGCCTTTTGCCCTGTCTCACCTTCTCATCCTTTGTGCCTTCAGCAACTTTGTTTCTGTTGCAGAAGAGCCTTTCCTGGGCCTTCACCTCACTGGGTCAAACCACCTCCACCCTCCAGTACCTTCTCTGGACACTATTGTCTTCCCTTTGCTCACTACAGTTGTGACGCCACACTTATTTGTGAAAGGATATTGTGGCTGGCTGTCTGCTTCCATGGTCTGTAAGCTCCAGAAGCACAGGAGCTTTTTAATTTTTTTTGAAGAATCAAAGAATCAAATCACCTGTTATTAATATTGTGTTTTTTTCATGAAAATTCATTTTAGATGATAAACCTGACCTCATATGGTAAGGTAATCATCTCAAAACCCCATGCAGTTTTTGTTGTGTTTTTTTTTTTTGATAAAATATACACTGTATAAAATTTACCATTTTGACCCTTTTAGATATACAATTCAGTGACATTTACTACATTCACATTCACCGTGATCCAGCTCCAGAACTTTCCTATCATCTCAAACTGAAACTCTGATCCCATTCATCGTGAACTTCCCATTCTCCCCTCACCCCACTGCCTGGCAACCACCATTCTCCTTTCTGTCTCTGTGAATTTCACTGCTCTAGGTGCCTCATAAAAGTGGAATCATGTAAAATTTATCTGGGGCTTTGTTTAATTCTGTTCACCTGATGCTTAATGAAGCACCTGGCCCGTAATAGGCCACTACTAAATACACTTACTAAATACTGGAGAATAAATGAATGAAGCACAGGGTATGAAGTATTTTGATTTGAAAGCATTGCATGAAGGGATTGACTACTCTGGAAAGAAGGAATGATGCTTTTCAAAACATTGACTTGTGTCACTCAGAATCCACCCTACGCCTCGTGGAATGGCCACAGACCAGACCAGCGTGCTCAAGGGCAGAATGCATGCCATGTTTTTAATTATTGAGAGCACTGCCACGGGGAAGGAGCACAGTATTCCAATTCATATGATTAAGGCCTCCTCCAAAAGGGAGCTCAGATGTTGATGTGCTTTTGCATCTTCTTCATTCACTCAGAAACATTGACTGACACACTGGTTGTGCACTTGAGTATGATGGGATAGAGACAGATGTTTGCTCTGTGCTAGTGGGGTAGGCAGTCTTGAGCACCAGTTTTCAATGTGTGGTTCTCGATTGTTTGCCTCAGAATCACCAGAATGGATGTAGCTTGTCAGCCTTCACTGCAGACAGACTAAGCTCAAATATTTCAGAGGGCGGCGGGAGAAATCTTACACTGGGACAATTTCCTCTGTCCTTCTCACTAATGTTGGAGTCCAGAGAGGCTCAGGAGGGGTGTTTATTAAATGCAATGTCCCCCAATTTGACTTCACCTGGGTCAACTGGTACCAAATCATACAACATTCTAGTGAGGCTTCATCCAGTTCTGAGGTGCCTGCTGTTCACCAGGGCAGCATGCTGGCTCATAATTGGGGGCCCAAGTGCTTGGTGTGTTCTCTGGTCTCTTTCAATAGCTGCTTGTGTGTGTGGATTCTTGAGGCACTAGGTTAAGCCACAGCTGATTATAATGTCTCCAAGGACAGAGAGACATTGCTTAGCCACTGGCCTGAGATGCGTGAGCCTGGGCATTTCACTTTACTGCTCTTGGCTAATAAAATGAGGACTAAAATCTCTTTGCCATAGATTGAGAAAATTACACAAAACACTGTAAGGTTCCTAAAACAGGGCTAGTGATTCAGTAAATACTTAAATGATGTTGATCCCCAAGGACATTATTAATTGAGAAACTGCTAATAATGTTCCCCTCAACTACAAAAGTTCTGCAGACTTCTGCAGTTTTCTGAATGAGAGCATAAAATCAAGATAACAAAACTAAGCTCATCCAAAGGTGCTACTATGTGAAGGGAAATGGTAGGGATAGTGCTACAATCTTCATCACATCTGCTGACAGCCCCAGCACAGCCCCACAGGTAGGGCAATTCGAACTTCACATAACAGCCATGGTCCCAGCAAGAGTTTACCTAGGTGGTTCAAGTAAAGAGAGTTGAAGGAAGGTATTACTTTCAGAGGAGCATGTAAGGCTAACGGCACAAGCAAGGGATGCTGAGAGACCCAGAGGCTCATCACAGCAGGAAGCCATTACCACCTCCCTTAGGCCAGGAAGGACATGGGAAGAAGTGGTGCTACTGGAGCCTACTGAGAGCTGCACTGTGAAAGGGGAGGCTAATGTAGCAGGAACAGCAGTCACGGAGAGATGCTAATATTGCCAAGGCACGGCACCAAACCAGGGAAGAAAGACTCTGACCCTCTCCTCTCCCAACCTCCATGCTCCCAACAGTGCCTGCTATTGGCTAAGTCTGAACAGAAACCAGCCAGGAGCAAGCCACTGGCGGGGGAGCCCAGGTGTTGAGCTACAAGAGAGAAAGGCTGAGAATAGATCAAGAGGAAGGGCTGGCAAATGAGAAAAACAGCACACATCCTTTGCTCGGGTGTTTCTATGGAGAATATTCCCTTTCTGAGAGGCCTTCCTTAGGCCATGCATCAAGCACAGAATGGGATCACAGCAGATTCACATGCAGAAGCACTGCCTGGTCCATTTCACAACAGAGACTTGAAAATCATCCTGAATTGGGAAAGCACAGTGCGAGGCAACACTTGTGTGAAGACCATTCACAGTACTTTGAGTTTTCACTTTATTTTTAAAAATCTGCCTTGTTTCAAAATGTGTTTAGGTAGTTTCACATCATAGTCACATCTATTCCATTTTCTGTTGAGAAGTTTTATCTCTTTTTCCTACTACTTGCTACTGATCATATTGACTCAAGACCATTTTTTCTACAGTTCAGCAGTAAATGGGAGAAAAATGAAAAAACAAATAACATGATCTTTTCAGGGTACTCTGATAATCAATGGCAATCACCTCAAATGCTGATTTGGGTGTACCATAAGCTGTAAGGTGTATACTTTTTTTCAGCATTTGTAAATAACTCTCAAGAATGGAAGGAACCTTCTTTCTGTCTGGTCTAGGGAGGTCATTGCCACTTCTCATCAATGGTACATCTATGTAACAAAGCTGGTCTTTCATTTGGCAACCTCTAGCTAATCCTAAACTTTTTGGAATGAGATGTGATTTCAGTGCCAAGTTATTCAGGAATGGAGAGACTTCTATTTCTTGGTTTTGTCATGTGCGACGTAAGTAGAGAAGCACTGTGGCCTGCTGGGTGGGGGAGGGTAGAAATAAGTGTGATCTGAAGGTTCTTTTGATGGTAGACAAAGAATGATTCAAGGGATACGTTAACTCTTAGGGTTCTCTGTGGGTCAACAGTGAGGTAATCGGGGAAGCCCCAAGCCCCTACTCTTTATGGAAAGGGTTTTAATTACCCTTGGCAGGCTGTTCTTCCTTCTGCAGTGTGCCTTGGTCCAGAGCCATACTTTGGGGATGGCTACTTTGGGCACAATGGCTATTTATCATTTGGGCATTCGAGCTCTAGCCAAATATACAAATCATCTCCCAATCAGACCGATATCAAGGTTTCCACGCTGGGCTATGAATTTCATTACGGGCTTTTAGCACCATGAAGTGGTTTTTCTCACGCATGTCCTCACACCCTAATAATCATGGCTAGTTTTCTGAGGGGAGAAATGTTTTGCTAAAATGCTGCATTTATGCCAACTCAAGTGTGCTTTTATTCAGTCAAAGCTCCTGACACCTTCTCTTTAGAGATACATTAGCCACCTTCAAGAATTATATCCTAAAACATTAATAGTTTAGGGGACATCATTGTTGCTGAATCAAACTTGGGTTCACTCCACCCAGTGCACAAAAAAGCCAAACCTGACACCAGGATTTCTGGTGAGAGAAAGTGAGCCTTTTACCGCAAAACACCAAGCAAGGAGAATCGGACAGTTAACACTCAGGACTTGAACTCCTTGATGGCTTCAAGGCAGGGGTGCATTTCAGGAAAGCAGAAGTTATAGGCAAAATTGTAAATCAATGGATGGAAGTCATACACTGGTTTGGCCTCTAAAGGCAGGGTATCTTGAAACGGGAACTTACAGGTCATAGGTGGATTTAGAGATTTTTTGATTTGCAATTGGTTAAGGAAGTAAGGCTTTGTCTAAAAACTTGGGGTCAGCAGAAAGGAATGTTAAGGTTTGGCTTCTGGGCGTGAGTCTCTTCAGGTCCCTCATGAAGAAATTTAGAGCAAGAGCAGTGGTCAGAGCTTTGTCCCCAGTTTTCCTTCATCTGAGGTTTACGCAACAGTGGTTGGCATTCTTTATTTGGTGGGAGTACTGGGTTCTGAAAAACAACGACATATTTCAAGATGTTATATGGAGCTGTTACAGGGAAGAAAATATCTTGTGACTTTAGCTTACTTGGGTGCCTATTGTTTAAGTTATTATTACCTTCTTGTTTAGTGGGTTATTTACTTTTCTAATTGCTGGTTGTAGGGCTAGCTAGCTGCCTTGAATTGTCCTTGAAGGGACTCAAATTTTTTTCTTTATCTCTATGGTTGGGGAGGCAAGGGAGCCCAGCAAGCTCCTAAGAAGTGTCCTTTTCCATCTGATCATTAAGCTCTAAGGTATTTAACTGAGTGATGGGGGCATAGTGAATCCTAAAACTTCATTTCTTTTCTTTTCTTTCTTTTTTTTTTTTTTTTGAGATGGAGTCTCTCTCTGTGGCCCAGGCTGGAGCACAGTGGCACAATCTTGCCTCACTGCAACCTCCACCTCCAGGGTTCAAACGATTCTCCTCTCTCAGCCTCCAGAGCAACTGGGATTACAGGAACGCACCACCACGCCAGCTAATTTTTGTATTTCTAGTAGAGAAAGGGTTTCACCATGTTGGCCAGGCTGGTCTCAAACTCCTGACCTCATGGTCTGCCCGCCTTGGCCTCCCAAAGTTCTGGGATTACAGGCATGAGCCACTATGTCTGGCCCTAAAACTTCATTTCTTTCTGTGGTGTGTGTATATTGCAGACTGCATGTGTTTCCCAGGTTTTCCTTTCTTCAATTTGATTATTCTGATGCCTTTTTATAGAATCTTTATAATATCAGTGAGAAGTAGTGGGAAAAGCACATGATTTAGGGTTAGAAAACATGAACTTCAAGTTCTTGATGCCGACCTATGGCAAGTCACTTCACTTCCTTGGGTCTTACTTTCTTCATCTGTGAAATAAAGTTGTGATGTGTCAGGGGCTCTAACAGGATCAGGCACTGCGAAGCAAGAGGGCAGTTCTAGGAAGCACTGAAGCTTCCTCGTCACTGCAGAAGAGGCTCCGCTGACTCACAGCAAAAGAGCATGAGATGATCAGAATGAAGTCATCAATGTCAGACAAATTTTTCCCAGCACCCAAACCTTCACAGATGCATCATTCTTTAGGGTATAAAGTCTAAATGCCTTAGTATGATGCCCAAGAACCTCCTTTCTCCAGCCATGCCTGACCCTGACTTGCTCTCAGTGGCTGGGTAGTGCTAGCACCATTTGCCATATGCCTGTCCCACTGTCTGCCCGTTGTCCCTCACCATAGCTTTTCCTGCTGTCAAGATAACCCTCTCTTCCTTTCTTGCCCATTGAGGTGCGGTTCACTGAAGGCCTCCTTTCATGGACTGGCTGAAACCAGCCCTGCTGCTGGGCCCTTAAGTGGTAAGGCTTTAGGAAGGGAGAAAGGGAAGTGAGCTGGCATGTGCCGAAGGATGGTACATTGTTACTGCATTTTATCTTCATACCCACCCTGAAAGAGGTGTTTTTGCCTCATTTTACTTAGGAGAAGGCTGAGGCTCAGTGAGGCTAAGTAATTTGACCATGGTCACATGCTGCTAAGTGACGACTTTCAGATTCAAATTCAGGTCTGTACAGTACCTAAAGCTGCCTCCCCTGCCCAGAACAATGCCATTCTTTTAGGAGTCTTGCAACTATTCTCTAAAAATTGTGGTTAAATAAACAGAAATTTATTCACTAATATAGCTTGAGAGGCCTTACAACCCTTTCCAGCATCAAATGATTAATTGAAGGCCATTTGTTTTTCATAAACATTGACAACAATAGAGGCCTGAACATAATATTGAGGCAGTTTTTCTTTCTTTCTTCTTTCTTTTCTTTCTTTTCTTTCTTTCTTTCTTTCTTTCTTTCTTTCTTTCTTTCTTTCTTTCTTTCTTTCTTCCTTTCTTTCTTTTATAAGGTAAAGGATTTGGGATTATTTTTCTAAAACTATGTAATGGTGAAATGGCTAATATTGTTCATATTTAAACTAATGAGTTGTTGGGGTTTACTTCAACTGATCTGGGAGTCACAGTTCAGAGAGAAGTAAATTCCACATTATTTTATTACCAATGTAATTTTCTTAGAATTTAATTGGCTCTGCATGATTTTTTAAAATATGTCTATTTGGGGGGCTCTGCTGGTACTAGCAGCTGCTCCTTCCTTTACAACCAAGCAAAACTGGCTACACTGAGCCAGGTGGGTTGCAGCTGTTTCTCCCGCTGAGGTTTGGGAGGTGGGGGAGCCAAGCTTCCAAGCTGCCTGTTGGAAATGAGGTATTTCAGGCCGCCTTCTGGAGAAACTAACCTCGCATTAGGCTGCATTCACACCAGACAAGAAGTTACCAAATCCCAACACACTGGCAGACACACTTCCAGAGATGGGGAACCACAGTGGTTAAGACTTTTTTTGTTTTTTATTTTTTAAACTGCCTAAGGTGATGATGACTCATTGCAAGGTTAATGCATTTCACCCTTTACCAAAGCTGCAGCCAACATATTTTTCCACCTTTATGACTCATCCTTTTCCCAGGCCTGTTAAATTAATAGGAGCTTTAAGAAAATATACAGGGAAGGTGGAGGCAGTCCCCATAGTCTACCTGATGAGCAGAGATATGTCCCAGCAATTATCTAGAGCTTTCTGCCTTTTCCAGATTTAGGTTTAACATCGAGACTCTGAAGAGTTCCAGTGAAAAATGCACCTATAGCCTTTAGAAAGCTGTGATTCCAGTTTCAGTGTCACAGAATTTCTCTAGTTTCTATGAAATAGGTATCCACTTGATTGAAAAAGGGATCCATTATGAACCAACCAGGGAATATTTTTAATTGTGATGTATCAATAAGTAAATCTTTAGAGGGCCTTGAATGTCCATTATAACCTAGCTTATATAACTGTCTCCTACCAATTTCCTGCATTCATCCTGTGCTCCAACTAGACTGTTCTTATGTACCTGAAGCCTGGTTTTTGGGGAGTCCCACCTGTATGCCAGTGTCTCAGTTCTAACTCTTTGACTCGTGCAGGTCCAAGTCTTGGATTCCTGGTCTTGGGAGATATTAAACCTAAGACCTCACTGTGACCTCAGGGTAGACAAAGTACCAACTTCTACTTTTTAACTTTTGTTTTCCTCTTACTCTTCACTTTTGGTTTTTATTTAGGCTTATAAGCACATATACATTTTTAAAAGTATGAAAGTATGTTTGTCCTATTTTATTTAGCTTTCTGGATGTTTTACAGCATTAAGTTTTTCAGGATTTTCAAAGTGCTTTAGAACCCAGATGAGCATAAGTAGTCGGTTATCTTGCTTTGGAGACATCATGAGTGTGCACATTTTTCAGTATGCATATGTGCTTTTATATGTGAATTGTCAGTTGCTTTGCTAAAAATGCAAACTAACTTACTACTAGGTCCAGCGTAAGTCCCTGAATTGAAGTAACATAGTTCTTTATGGGGATAAACTATATTTTAATTTTAAGAAATAGATTTTAAAGTTTACATTGAATATTTCTGTGGGGTCCATGGCTTAGTTGAATTTCTTAAGTTGTGGTGTACTCTATGACATAGCAAATTTCTAGCACATGATATCATAATACTTTTTGGATTTTGTGGAATGTTTTGCATCTTTCTTTTAATGAATTTTGTAATAAAATGGTGTGCATTAAAATGCACAAACAACTTTGCAGTTTAAGAATTGTGTGACCTGAAGAAATGTCCTTTCAAAGATCTTGATGATACAGCATGCTGTGACCAGTCATATCTAAACCAGGGAACAGAGCAGTTATGTCCTGATAGTTTCTTTGTTCTCAAATTTTCCATTTTAGGAAGAACATAAAATTATCTGACTTTGGCAAGAACCAGGAAGAATCTATTTATTTCTCCAGATTCTCACCTACAAATGAAAACAATCTTCCATGTGATCTTTAAGTGAGGATTAAAAAGATCTTCAAGCCTGATTTTAAAGCTTCAGGTGTCTAACTTTGAAGAAATGTAAATTCCTTGATTTTTTTTAAAAACTTCCTCTTCAGGATATGGAGAAATAGGAACACTTTTACACTGTTGGTGGGACTGCAAACTATTTCAACCATTGTGGAAGTCAGTGTGGCGATTCCTCAGGGATCTAGAACTAGAAATACCATTTGACCCAGCCATCCCATTACTGGGTATATACCCAAAGGATTATAAATCATGCTGCTATAAAGACACATGCACACGTATGTTTATTGCAGCACTATTCACAACAGCAAAGACTTGGAACCAACACAAATATCCAACAACGATAGACTGGATTAAGAAAATGTGGCACATATACACCATGGAATACTATGCAGCCATAAAAAATGATGAGTTCATGTCCTTTGTAGGGACATGGATGAAACTGGAAACCATCATTCTCAGAAAACTATCGCAAGGACAAAAAACCAAACACTGCATGTTCTCATTCATAGGTGGGAATTGAACAATGAGAACATATGGACACAGGAAGGGGAACATCACACACTGGGGACTGTTGTGGGGTGGGGGGAGGGGGGAGGGATAGCATTAGGAGATATACCTAATGTTAAATGACAAATTAATGGGTGCAGCACACCAACATGGCACATGTATACACATGTAACAAACCTGCACATTGTGCACATGTACCCTAAAACTTAAAGTATAATAATAATAAAAAAATGATGAGTTCATGTCCTTTGTAGGGACATGGATGAAACTGGAAACCATCATTCTCAGCAAACTATCGCAAGGACAAAAAACCAAAGACCGCATGTTCTCATTCATAGGGAATTGAACAATGAGAACACATGGACACAGGAAGGGGAACATCACATACCGGGGCCTGTTGTGGGGTGGGGGTAGCGGGGAGGGATAGCATTAGGAGATATACCTAATGTTAAATGACCAGTTAATGGGTGCAGCACACCAACATGGCACATGTATACATAGTATACATATGTAACAAACCTGCACGTTGTGCACATGTACCCTAAAACTTAAAGTATTAAAAAAAAAAAGAACTTCCTCTTCAATCTGCTATGTAGTCATTTCCTAGTACCACAAACTGGGTGGCTTGAGCAGCAGATATTTATTCTCTCAGTTTTGGAGCCTAGAAATTTGAAATCTAGGAGCTGGCACCCCCCGTGGCTTGTGGACTTATCACTCCAAGCTGTGCATTCGTCTTCACATGGCATTCCTCTGTTAAGGAGGTCCCACCCTAATCCAGTACGACCTCATCTTAATTGATTACAACTGCAAAGATTCTGTTTCTAAATAAGGTAACATTCTAATGATCCAAGTAAATATGAATTTCAGGGGAAACTATTCAACCCACTCTAGTCCAGGAGTGTGGGCTTTGGGCTGGCCAGAAGGAGCACAGGCTCTGGGAAGAGCCAACCACCATCCCAGGCATCTTGTTAAGAGTCCAGATGTCACCTCCCAATGGAGGTGTGAGGTGTAAGGTATAGTTTCATAGGCCAAGGATCTCCTAAACGTGGAGCCTAAATATACAGGCCCTCAGAGAGAAACATGTTCATTGTGAAAAGCCATTGGCATTTCACAATAGTTAGGCTTTACTGTCTCCATCCATTTGGGCTATCCTGTAAGCATGGAGCATATATTTCCAAAAGGTGAAAAAGAACCGAACTGAACTATAAAAGAAATAGGATTGGGGCTACCAGGAGGCACTAATAAGCACAGCGATGTAATCGTTTCCAAAGCTCACTGTCACCTTCCCAAATCTTGAGAATCTCTGACATTTTACTGGGCAATGATGAATGCAAATGAAGCGAAACTGCCTCTAGCCACCACCCTCCACATCTTCCTCAGTTTTCCCAGATTATGACGCTAAGAGCCAGGGCTGTCTACAAATATTACATTTCCTTTAAAACACACATGATTATCAAAAATGAACAGATTAGAAAAGTAAAAATATTCAGATTCCTTTAAAGTCCAAGAGGACTTAAATAGCATTACATTTTTTTTAGCTGGATTGATAGGAGTAGTAACATGGTTTTTCACCAAGAAGCATTAAATGCCAGATCTTCATTCTCCCGCTCCCCATTTTGTCCAGAGAGCAAAAAGAGATACTTTAAAAAATCCTTCTAGCTGCACAATTTCCATGCTACAAACTAACATTAGCTTTAACCCCACAAACTTGCATTTTCCAATAATGCTTCATTGCAATAAGGTTGGAAACAGGATCAGCACAACTCAGGCTCAAAGGGAAATTGCAGTATCCAAAGGATCGCCTCTTGGAATTCATAACATGTCCTTATTTTGCTAATTTTTTAAAAGAAAGCAATGCCTGACTGCACTTCAGAGGGGATTTTAGAGGAATTGTTGGCTACATACAAAAACTGAAAAATATGACTTAATTTTAATTCCGTAATAGGTCCCTGTGGTTGCTGTCTATCTTAAAGGAAGGATTAGAGGAAGGAAAATGTTTCTTTCTACTAACCAAACATCGTAGTTAATACTATTCTGACATTAACTTTTTGTTTACCTAGTGTATTAGGTGTAATTGGTGTGTCAAGCTAGTTATTCCTATTAGGGGTCCCCAGTTAAACCACCTTTAAATCAGTTTCAACTTTAGTTGGCCCAATATCCTCACCCACAATGATTTTAATTCTGAAGAAATAATTACTTGGCTTTTCACTCAAGGTTTACCTTTACTTGTGGCTTTAGAAAAAGTGTTGTCAAAGCCACTGGTACAGATTTTATACCAGAAAGGGAAGAAAGGCTACAGAGAAAAGAGCATCTGTTGATTGGATGGTTCCTATTTAAGATTTAGGAATTTTTATACCAGCGATTTGAGGCTTTTTGTGCAATTGAGCTGACTTGCTGTTTCCTGCATAAGCTCTGCAAGTTTTCAAAGTCAAAGGTTAGGGTCAGAGTTAAGGATACAAACACATTACCTGAACTCATGATAAGAAAGAATAAAGCTAATTGTTCATTGCTTCTTATGTCTAAGGTTCAATTCTAAGAATTTTTTGGTGGACAATATAATTTGCTATTTTTCTCAAAATGAAAAGGTCTTATTTTGTTTAAGCTGTTAAAAATAATATCTGGACTGTTAAACATTCGAACAATTGCACCCACATAGAAAGTTAAAAATACCTCAAATTGCACTTTGGGAGGCCGAGGCGGGCGGATCACGAGGTCAGGAGATCGAGACCATCCCGGCTAAAACGGTGAAACCCAGTCTCTACTAAAAATACAAAAAATTAGCCGGGCGTAGTGGCGGGCGCCTGTAGTCCCAGCTACTTGGGAGGCTGAGGCAGGAGAATGGCGTGAACCCGGGAGGCGGAGCTTGCAGTGAGCCGAGATCCCGCCACTGCACTCCAGCCTGGGCGACAGAGCGAGACTCCGTCTCAAAAAAACAAAAAAACAAAACAAAACAAAACAAATACCTCAAATTGGGTCACTTAGAGATAACCAGGATTAACTTTTCAGGGTGTATCCTTTCAGGGCTTTTTTTTCCTGTGCAATACATACATTAATACAAAATATACTTGTAGATTATAGTTATAAAATTGGATCATATAATACATATTTTATGATTCAATCACTCGGTGGTAGCTTATGCATATCTTCTGATATCTGAATGTAGATCTTGATCAGAGTTTGCAATGACCCTATAGAACTCCCTATTTTATGGATGAACTTTAACCAGTTCCCTCTTGGTAGATGTGTTATTTTTCTCTGTTACAAGCATGGCTGTTAAACACATTTTGTGCGTATTGTTTTCTTATCTACAATTAGTCTACATTTTGTGCAACTGGAACCAATTATTTGTTGCCTTGTGTGTGTCTTTTCCTTATAGATAAACGCAAATCACTCAGGATTGACAACTTCTACAAAACTTGGCCTGATCTCATAGGGGTCAGCTGGAGAGGCGTGGATCTGGGCATCATCCTCACTGTTTCTTCTTATATCTTCTTGACTTAGTCTCCCTCCTCCTGACTGTAATATACAGGTGTACCAGTGGGCACACACTCATGCATGCATACATACATACACACAAACACACACATCATGCACAGGCATAAACATTTTAGGAAAATGAAGTTCTTCCCCACAACACTGACCAAATACCCTCAAAATGCAGATTTTAACATTTTATGGATACTTCTGCATTTGGGAAGTACGTTTCCGTATTTGGGAAGTGTACTTCTATGGAAAATATGCTTCAAATACCAATTCCAAATGTGAAAAATATTTTTGAGTGTTCTAAAAAACAAAACAATAGAAACCAAACTAAACAACGGAAACACCAGCATTATAAGTAAAACAGATATTAGCCAAACTTTGCAAAAAATTATCTAATCTGAAAAAGGATTATCTTCCAGTAACACTCAATATGTAGTGTCATTGTTAGGAGAAAATGTGATGCCGTGAAACATTACAACCTTAGTACCCAGGCTCATAAACTCTTTGCACTTCTCTCATTAATGTAATAATGCAGTGATAAGTTATTTGCAGAGCACTCATTTGCCTTTTGTTATTTATAATAATACTGCAAGGGAAACTGGAAGTTTATAATCCCCACTTCATAAATGAGGACCCTGAACCCAGAAAGGTGAAATGACTTGTCCAGGGACTTCCTCCAACATGAGGCTCGGGCTGTGGTCTCTGAGTCAGACTTAAACTCTCAACTGCTTTTCTAGTGTTTAATTTATCATTCCATAAAGTCTTTCCATTATGATAGTTCTCCCATTACCTCAGAGTTTGGGTCCATGAGCACCGCTTGGAATGAGATCATTTTCCTATAAAACTTCTGTTAATAAAACTGTTCCATGACTGATTTGTGAAGTATCCATCATGCATGAATTTGCCTACCAGGTCCTTGACATTTTTAAATGGTATTCTAGGGGCCTGTTTAGGGGAGAAAGAAAGTTGTCTCTGACGTGCGTTAATTCTGGCGCACATCATCACTGGGATCTTGTGTGCTGATGTGCACCCCTCTCCCTCCGTTTCTGGCTATTTCTAAAAACATCTCCTCATGGTTTAAAAAATTTATTTACGTATGTTATTATAAAATATAACAAATTCTGCTTCATTGATAATCCTAAATCTTATGTATTTTCAGCCATAATCACTGTTAACATTTAAACATATTTCTTCCCATTTTTTTCTTTTCTTTCTAATCTTTTTTCTATGTCTATATGTGCTTTTGTGTGGTTTTAAAACTGATGTCATATTGTTTTGAAATGAGGTTCGTATCCTGCATTTTTGATTTACAGTTTTATCATAGGCATTCCCCACATCATTAAATAAATTAGAGTATATCCTTATAATGGCCTATTATGCAAACACGTCTATAAAAAACTAATCCTTCTTCTATATTAGGCCATAAGGTTGTTTAAATAAGATTGCAATGATGAAGATAGGTACACCTAAATCTTTTCCTGAGAGTTTCTGGAAATTTATGTCTCCATTGATAATGTATATGATAGTGTATAAGAATGTTGTTTTCATTGTCTCTTCTAAAAACTTTATTACTTTTAAATATTCCATTAAACTTTTTTTGCCAACTTGATAAGCAAAAATGGTAGCGTATTCTATTCTATTTATTTCTTGGACACATCTATGTTTGCTCTTCAGAATTACTTTAGGAGGAATTTCCAGTTCTCTTACTTTGTGGTGTCTTGTGTCTCTCTGGCTCATTTTTCCAGTTTAGGATGAAGAGAAGGCTGTCTCTTCACCCAGGGCCTGTTGGCCAAGGTACCAACCTGCACTTGTCTGCTCCCTATCCACGCACAAGATAAGAATTCTCTCATCTACAATTCCCGGCCCAGCCCCGGTTCCGCTCAGTCAGGTTCTGCTGGACTTAGGAGGGGTCTTCTTTCCTTCTCTCTGCCTGTTCTCTGACAACTGCCAATGCCAGAGTACACAACAAAGCCCGCTTCCTCTGCGTGCCCTGCTGCTTGGCCTATTTTGACAGCATTTTACTGGGTAGGCCTACAGCTCCTAGGATGCACTGTATACAACCCCCTTGTGTTATATTCTTTTACTGATGAGAAAGAGATACCAACTGGATGTGGGGGATAGAAGTCATCCTCAAAAATGATACTCCTACAACAGAGGGAGAGTTTTCAAGTTGGTGGAGGTCCTCATCTTTCAGCCAAGAGGTGAATGGTAGGGGACACAGGGAGCCCTGTGGGACAGATGGGGTAGTTGGTTTCAGGTGGGCAAACACAGTCACACACTGGTCTGTAGTTCTTCAAGCAGTAGAAATCCTCCCTAATTCCAACCAACATTAGGTTGATTGCCTGTATTCGTTCCAATGTAAGAAGTTTTCCTCTTTCATTGGATATGTCTTTATAGGTATTTTGTTTGGAATATCAGAAGCCTCCATCAGTGAATTATAACCATGCTCTTAAAACATTTTTTTAAATTGAAAGCTTCCACTGGTTTATTTTATTTTAATGGCAATATTTGTTATACATAACTACTGTTTGTATAGACAGCATACCTTTATATGTTTCTCTTGCTTTAAAATTAGGGAGGCCTTTTGCCACCCAGAGAGCGTATCATCCATTCTTACACCATGTTATGGACTAGCATTTTGTTCAGCAGATGGCTTTTCCCATTTCCTCAGAAGAACCTGCTGGGCAAGGGAGAGAGCCGATGTTTTTTCCTCCCTTAGAACACCATCACATTTACTCTCCACCTCAATGAAGGCCAGCACAACCTCTGGACATTAGCCTGATGCTCTGTGAGGTTTATTAAACACATCAGATGATAAATAGTAGTGCAACCGCAAGCATCCTTCTTTTAAAAAATAGTCTCAGTTTGATAAGTAAAAATGGCACCTCTAATCTAACTTTTCAATCTTTGATTACTAATAAATAAACAGAACCACACGTTTGCCATTTACACTTTTTAAATAAATTTTCTTGGAATAGAGTTTCGATTTCTTTGTTTAGGAAGTGTGGTTCTGTTTTGTCTTTTCACTCATCCTGGAGAAGATTCTACCCTAAGTTGCTTGTGGTCTTCTTAGTCCTCAAATATTCTTTCTCAGCCTCCCTCTCGACAAACTGGATGACTTTTTCTAATCACCTTGCAACTCCTTCTCCCTCCCTGAAAACGTTCCTTCACTCAAACTACTTTAAAGAGCCCACAGTCTGACTTCTGCACCTGTCACTCTTCTGCCACCACCCTCTAGAAGGCTACTATGATGTCCCAAATCAATGCAGTGTCCCTGTTCCCATCCTCCTTTGGTTCCTCTACAGCATTTGGCACTTGTGGCCATCTAGACCCTGATGCCCCTTTGGCATCTGAGACCTGGATTCTGCTCCCAAGGTGGGGTCTGTGTGGTGGACAGAGTCAAAACCACAACATTGCCACTGACTTTCTATATGGTGCTGAGAGGTGGAGAGGGGTGCATCATTGTAAAGCCTCTCTGTTTGTAAAGCTAAACTTGTGATATCCACCTTATAGCTGTTTGTTGAAGATTGAGTGGAATAACGCAGGTGAGAGCATTTTTATATCATTCTTTAGTATGCATTCACTCAACAACTATGCATTGAGAGCCTACTAAATACCAGGAGTAAAGTGCTGAAAATCAAGGATCCACGGTGACCCTGTCCTCAGGAACTTATAGCTTCATGTGGGAACCTTTGTAAATCAAGTAATTGTACAAAAAGATACATGGTTGCAACTGCAATATGTCTGGAAAGAGAAAACATAAGATGCTGTGAGGGAATATAATGTAAAGATTTGACCCACCCAACCAGAAGAAGTATGAAGCGCTTCCCTAAAGAAAGGCCACTGAATTGAGAATTATATGTAGAGGGTAGCGAGGCCAACTGATGACAGCAAATGTTCTTAAGCAGGGCAAAGGCCCTGTGACAGAAGGGAACCTAGCAGGCCATGGGATGGAGAGAAGACCACAGTGGCTGAAGCACAAACGGAGGGGAGGGAGAAGGTAGTGCTTGAGAGGTAGATGGGGACAGAACAGACAGAACTTGTGGGGCCTTGCGGGCCGTGATAAACTTTGATGTGTATCGCAAGAGCAATGGAAAGCCTTTAGCGGATGATGCTGTGGTCAAATCTGCATCTCCTGATGCTCTTTCTGGCTACAGTGTGGAGGGAATTGGAAGAGGCCCCCGTGGCCACAGGAGACTGCTTCTCATTTCCCCTTGTGCTCTTCCTTCTGTTGACTCCTACGTATACCCCCTGCCCTTGTGGTTCTGGCCTCTCTACCTGAATTTTTAGCCACCTGCTGGATCTATCTATCTGGTGGCCAGAAATTTAAGCACATCTTCTTAGTTAGTCTCTGCAGATGGAGCCTATGAAAATATCTTCAGTTCCTCCCCTACCTTGGCCCAATCAGTTGTCATGTTACATAAATATCTGGCAGATAATGGTGAACATACAGCACCAGTGTACGGACTTCCCGCACAGTTTTGAGAATATCTTTCTGGTCCTTAGGCTTATTTGTTTCCCCTTTAGCATACCCAGCGCTATTGCTGCCAGATCAATATTCCAATGGGCACCTCCAATGACTGCTTTTCTCTGATTAGCCTCCCTACATTCTTTTTTTTCTTTTTTTTTGGAGACAGAGTCTCCCTCTGTTGCCCAGGCTGGAGTGCAATGGCACGATCTTGGCTCACTGCAACTTCTGTCTCCCAGGTTCGAGCGATTCTCCTGCCTCAGCCTCCCGAGTAGCTGGGATTACAGGCATGTGCCACCACGCCCAGCTAATATTTGTATTTTTAGTAGAGATGAGGTTTCACCATGTTAGCCAGGCTGGTCTCGAACTCCTGACCTCAGGTGATCCACCCGTCTTGGCCTCCCAAAGTGCTGGGATTACAGGTGTGAGCCACTGCGCCTGTCCCCTCCCCACATTCTTTACATCTGTTGTGCATTCTAGCCACAGTCCCCTGCTTCTTGCTTTTATTACAGATGTGCTGGGGTGCTCCAGCCCGATGCCATTCTGCCTTTATTTTCATCTGTTGGAATTATAGGCATCTTCTATGCCTCAGCTGAAATACCACTATTGACAAAAAACCTTGTGGACGCTTCCAATCTTACATGAAACTTCCGGTCTTCAAGCCACTTATAGGACTTTACTTCTCTCTTTAATGACACATATCACACTGGGATTTGTATTATCCACATGTTGTAGATATGTGTTACTCTCTCTTCTGAGCTAACTTTTTCCTGGAGATCTGGGATCACAGATGGCTCACCTGTGTATGAGTTATAACTTTCATATCTGTGTCTTGTGCAAGGAAGATGCTCAGTACTTATGTATCAAATCAGTGTCTGTTAGGATAATAAATAATTACGCATGTATGAATTAAACCTGTCTATTCTTTATTACCATGGTGTGTTTTCTGCATTCTTTTAGAAGTTTGGAGCAACGAATTATTTTGTTATTCTATTGTGACTATTCCCTCTGTCCCATATTCAAGCATACAAATATGAGAAAGGCATTTTTGAACTGCATGTTATGAAGAGAAAAAAGAAAAAGACAAACCAAACAATTCTTTGTACGTTTCATTTTGGTTAGAAGCCAATGTAAATGCTTGTGCTATAAGAACAAGCATATTTCCTGCCGTGAAGGCTTGGCTGTTTATCCTGGGACCCCTCTCTGACACTGGCTGCCCTCGAAAGACTGTTAACCCCTGCTTTGAGCCAGCAAACCAGATGTGGGTTTTTTAAGCAAATTATTGGTTATTTCACCACATGTAGTTTTTGCAGTTAAGTGTTTCCAGCTTTTCAGAGCATTCCACGGGAATAACATCATATTTTTCCTCCAACCTGTTAATTAACATAATTATTTATCAGCCCTAAAACCACAGCTTGAGTTTGTTAAGTGGCTAGCTGAACATATATTCACTGGATGGAGACCAATGCTGCTGGAGAGAACAATTCAGCAATAAAGAAAAAACTGGAGGTCCTTGGGGGAGGGGGAGTGGTGCAACATGCTCCATTCCCTTCTTGCTTCTTGGGACTCATCAGTGTGTGCTTATGCTACACCTTTAGGTGTTGGCTTCACTTCCCCAATAACTTGTCATCAAGTCAATCTACTTTTTCGACTGAAGAGTTTGTCATGTGACCTCTAAGTTCCCATCCAGTTGTTTTTCTTTTTTTAATTTTATTTTTCCATAAGTTATTGAGGGTACAGGTGGTATTTGGTTACATGAGTAAGTTCTTTAGCGGAGATTTGTGAGAACCTGTTGCACCCATCACCCAAGCAGTATACACTGCACCCTATGTGTAGTCTTTTATCCCTCGCCTCCCCTCACTCTTCCCCAGAAGTCCCCAAAGTCTGTTGTATCATTCTTATGCCTTTGCATCCTCATAGCTTAGCTCCGACATATCAGTGACAACATACGATGTTTGGTTTTCCATTCCTCAGTTACTTCACTTAGAATAATAGTCTCTAATCTTATCCAGGTCATGGTGAATGCCGTTAATACATTCCATTTTATCCCATCCAGTTCTAATATTTGAAATCTGACATTGTAGATTCAAGGGGTAAAACTGTGAAACTGCAACACCTCAAGACTATTTTTCCTTCACTCTCCAAATCTCATGGCACATTCTTGGGATTAGCAGAAAGTTCTTTCTTTCCCCCGCCCCCTGCACTCCTACCCCATGGTGCTGCTTTCCCACCAACTGGGAAAGGATAACAGCACTTTAACAGATTGAATACGGAAACAGAAATGGGAATCCAGCTATCTGCTAATAAGCCAGATATTAAATTAATGAGATTTGCAAAACAGTAAGACAATGCTACCCTTCTCATTAAATATTTTTGGTTTTGGAAAATATACTTACTATTCATATAAGTATGATATTTATGACAACATGTAATATATTTATTGTTATCTTAAGTAAGTTTAAAAAATTATCAGTTTTAATTTCAAATAGAAAACATCAATAAACGCTACCTATATAAAACAGAAGCTTTTTGGGAGCCTTAATAATTTTAAGAGTGTGAAGAAGCACTGGGACTAAAAAGTCTGAGAACCATGGCCTTTCATATATCAAGGATGTGAACAGATCTTATGCTACCAAGCTTTTGTCATTCTATTAGGCAAATGGTAAGTTCCTTAGAAAAGAATTCAAACACGCTGGGCACGTGTAAGTGTTTAAATACTTTGACAAAAGCCACCATGAGGGGCTCCATCCTTAAGGTGCCACAGTCGACTGAGATTACCTCTAACAGTCCTGAGCCAGCTTGCTCTAGAAACTATAATGCATGTGCTGTTAGGGAAGAAGCCGGAGAGCTGAGGATGAGAGAAGCTGGTAGCTATGGGGCCCAGAGAAGGGAAGGAGAGCCCTGGGATTAAATTAATAAGTTTTGGGGAAATACTTGTGGGTAGGGGTCCTGGGTATCTACAAATTTCCTCCCTTTAGCATTATTCCTTGAGAGCAGAAAACCCATTTGCAGAATTCAGCTACTGCCTGCACTGTGGTTTTTGTGAAGACAGTAATTAGTAGCTTGCAGTGGATTTCATGTGAAAGTTATAGTGGCTCCAGGCTAGACCAGAGATGGATACATGTCCAAATGTTTAAGTCAATGTTTAAATGGCCGAACCATAAAACGTTTGAATTTGATTCCAATTCCTGTAAAGCAGACCCCATCTTGCAACTTCTTGGGACTATATTCTGCTTCTCTCACAGTTCGTTGACAAAACCTCTTTCCTGCCAACAGAGGTTTATTAGCACATTAGTGCTCGCCCTCACATTCCATTTTGAGAAAAACCTCACATACCCACAGCCAAAAGTCATTTTCATTCTATTTGCAGAAGCCAAAGAATAGCATCTTCATATCACTTTGATCAGAGTTACAGTCTCCATAAGAGAAGAAAAAATTGCAGCAACTCTTCAATGACACAGTTTTTCTTGGACTACTAGAGGCGCATCAGTGATAAGGGTGGAGAGATGTACAGTCCTGTTTTGGGGTCCAAATAAGTCCCTTTAACATTAATACCCAAATTTCAATGATTTATTTTTCCTTCTCCCATTGAATTGCATTGTTAAAATTACCCTCAATGATTTCAGAAGTCCTCAAAATAGGGTGTCTCTGTTATGCTAACGAAGGGGCCCAATCACCTTGGAAATGAACTTATAAGAGCCTTAGTTAGCCATCTAACTAAGTATCCTCCCGTTCTAGCACTTTAAAAATTCTACTTAGCGTTATCTGGAATTGTCTTTTTAATTTATACCAGTGTGTGTTCTGACTCACTCCTTCCATTAGAATATAACTCCTGGAGGCAGAAATTCTGTCTTGCTCATACTATTTTCCTGGCACCTAGAACAGTGCCTGGCTTTCAGTATTTGTTGAGTAAAAGAATGAAGTTACAGTGCCCCTTCTGAAAATGCTTTTTCTCCAGGAACAGTCATGCTCCTCTGATGGAGTCCACACTGAACCTCAGTTTTAATCTCTACTAACATTTGTGGTTGTATCTTTGCAAGGACAGGCTCAGAGAGAAGCATAAGGTGGGGTTTCTGCCACGGAATTGCCTGTAGTCTACTTGAGTGCTGTATTGTCAGTTAGGGTCCTGCAGGAACAGAAGATAAACCCTCATTGGGTAATTTGAAGTGAGGCTGATAAAGGGACTATCTATAAAGATATGAGCAAGGTTGAGAGGATCTAATGAAGGATGCTACTATTCCCTTCAGCTAGTAATGACAGGGAGCTGTTGTCTCCCCATAACCCCAGGAATGTGGTTCTAAGGAGAGGGCCAGCCAAGTGGACCTGGAATACTCCAGAGGAAACACGGCCAGCTTTGCCATGTGCTTCCATGACAGAGCCAGAATTATGAAGGGAAGCCAGAGAAGCCGAAAACTAACAGGGGGAGAAGGGAGAGAAGAGGGAGAAAGAGTAGAGAATAAAGACTTCTTGGACCTGCATGGTGTGAAAAGAAATGCCTTATGGTCCAGCATCTTCTGGATTCAGCGTGTGTTTGTGATTGTCTGATAAGAACATTGCAACGCTCTCAACACCGTGACAACCGTCATTCCCCAGTCGATCCTGAAAAAGTATCTGTAGATCCTTAGGTCTCTGGAGTATTTAGAGTATAGCATCTCTTAATATTAATCATCTTTACAGGAGAACCTTCAGGAGTGAGGCTAACTCATCTGTGCCACTTAATGCCGGAGTAACAAAGCCCCCATCCACTGAGGACGGAGAGAGCAGATTGTAAGGAGAGAGCAGATTGTGTGGAGAGGCAGGGGTTTCTGTCACGTAGAAAGCATCTTGTACAATGTCTGACACACAGCAAGTGACCAAAATGTGGTGAGTAATAATGATATCAGGCTCCCGACAGGTAACTTGACTCTTTTAGGTTTCTGAAGCCGGTCTAGAAGCAAGCTGAGCTGGACCTATATCAGAAGACCCCAGCAGCCCTGCCCCGAGTTGTACTCAGCGGCAGAAAATCCAGCCAAATTCACACTCAGGCAGTCTGGCTGCAGCATCTGCTCTCTAAACCTTGTGGGTGCCCCACCCGTAGCCCCTCAGTACTTGCTGTTCTTGGACACACCAGAGGCTGCTTACTGCCAGCCTTATGCTCTCTCCTCAGGGCTTTCTCTGGTTGCAGGCACAAGTAGACCAAAAGTACCAGAGAGTTAAAATCCAGGAACATCTCTCATCTAGCAGCCTAGACTTGGTGACTGAGTACTCCGAAGAGTCTCTGCTCAGCTGGGATGGCTCTCAAACTGGTTCTTCACAGTCCTTCCCCGGCTCCTAGCAGGACTGAGTCCTGGCTGCCCACAGTGTGACCCTGCTGATTAATGTACCCTGCATTGACTTTCTTCCCATCCCTGGCCCAATATCTGCTTCTTTTCTGGTCCTTCCTGGGATCACATCCTAAATCAACTGCTTGCATTCACGTTCTTGTCCCAGAGCGGGTTTGAAAGGAGACCAAGCCTAAGGCACCGCATGCTCCAATCTCCTCACCTTCAATTTCCCCCATGCTTTAATGTTTCCTTTCTCCCAGCAAACTCTTCCACCAGCAAACACTCTCTCCTGTGGGTTATTTATAACTTAGAGTGGATTTAAGCCAATGTATTCCATGTATTTCCAGAGTTTCTTCCATTTAATGGGGAGGTCAACTCAACTCAGCGAGTTTTGCCTCCATCGTCCTCCATCAGCTCTGGGGATTATTCAACAGGGCTGGCTTTCTTCTCTTTCCCGCATCACTCTTCTACTTTCGATTCCAAAGTGTTAGAGCTTTCCCTCCGCTCTCTCCAATGACCTGCTATGTTTTTATCCTTTGGAAAACAACTTTTTTTTAAAAAAGAAAGAAAGAACACACATATCATTCTTGTTCCTCTGCTGTCTCCTCTTCAGTGCTAGATTTGTCCATTGACTTTCAAGGCTTTATATATCATGTTTGGATGGGTGACCTCTAAAGCTATATCTCCACCATTAATTTCTCATCCAAATCCTGGTCTCCCATGGTCTATGGAACATTTCAACATCCATATCTCTTTGTCCCAAATAAAGTCAGTAGATGCAAACGGAATTCTTCATCTTCACTTTAAAACTGTCTTCTTTTCCTAAGCTGCCTACTAATATCAAAGAGAACACCATTCCCACAATCTTTCAGTTTCACACTGTAGTATTCATGTACATTTCCTTCCTCTCTTTTGGCGTCTTAACCCTTTACCACTTCCTAACTCTCCTCTCTAACCACAGACTCTCCCTGTTTCACACTGCCCTATAGAAAGCTGAGTTAGTTTTTCCCAAATTCTGCATTCACCGTGTCATTATGCGGCACAAAAAAATACCGGTAGTAGCTCTCAATGGACTTCGGAATAAAACCCAGGTTTCTCAAAATGTTTGTGCACTTCTCTGTCCTTTTCTTATTTCTAAAAGTTATTTTAGATCTACACAAATCTTGACTAAAAACTATTATTTTATCTTTCTCTATTTCCCTGTTCTCTTCTCCAGCCAGGCTGGTCCACCCAGTGCTCTCCAAACACCGTGGTCGCTTGCATCTGTGGGATTTTGCTGGTGATCCTTCCCTATTTATCTGAGGTAATGTATCTTGACCCTAGCCATTATGTGCTAGGCATTATGCAAAACTCTGACATTGTATATTATCTCATTTGATCCCTATGACAAGTCTGTGTGCCAAGAGCTATTATTGCCTATATTTTATAGATAAAGAAATTGAAGAACCATGAAATTAAGGCACATTGCCACATCATACAGTGGGCAAATGCTGGAACAAGGTTAGAATTCCCTTCTGTCTGAATACTGTTTTAAAAAGTACTCCAAACTTGTAGATCCTGTCCATATTGTGTCCTTTCAATGTTAAATGAGAGCACTGTCAAACAGGCCTCCATAAGGAGTACCTGGTTCTCCAGAGAGATGTATTTTTGTTTGACTTTTATTATTATTGCTTAGAATCTAGACTCTGTGGACTTATTTTAACTCAGTAGAGATTGTCAAATTGCAAATGATCTTTTTACAGTAGAGAAGCAAATATTTTTGTCCAGTAGGAAGGGGAACCTCAAATGTTACAGTTTTTGTTGTCCCATAGAACATTAACCAGTTTTGTTTTTGACTTAGCAATCTTATTTCAGTCTTCTGACTCTAATGAACAACATGTACTTTGATTTCTTGTACATTCTGTTGAATCATCTTTACAATATACTGATTCCCCCATTAATGAGCTAAGTAGAACTTTGAAAGCTATGCACTTCATATTTTTATGAGTCATGCTTTTAATGTTTAGAAGATTATACTTTGACAATGTAAAGCCTACACACTTATTGTGCTTAGTAACTGACTCCCAGTTCCAGAATGCTTGCTCCTTATCCATCCAAATCCTCCCCTTTTCTGTCAAATTTAGATGTAGGCTCACCTCTCCTCTTGATATCCACCCTGAATATTTCAGCTCATGCTCATCATTTTTTCTTAGAACTTCTAGAATATTCATTGGTTTTAATGACATAGTACTTTGAATTTTCTCTTATTGTCTTATGCATCTACCTCTCGCTCTATTTCCATCTTGATCTTGATCTCAATCTCAATTTTGCGATCCATCCATCTATCTTCTCCCTCCACTCCCCTGACCCCAAGGTGCTTAGACTAGCTTTGGGCACACAATATGTGTTCAGTAAATACATGTGGAATACAATTTAATTCAGCTTTGCAGATTAGCCTTTACTACAGCTTAGAATTCTCCTGATTTATATTTAAGTATCTCCAGTCAAAACAGAGAGGCATTGTATCCAAGAACGAGTAGCCTTCTGGAAAGAATAGTAGTGACTAGAAGATTCTGTTATCACACGAGGAGGCAAAATGTCTTCTGCAAGCCCAAGAATCCTAAGAGTTAACTTTAGAATTTGCCCACTTAGCTAAACCTCATTCCAAATGCCACTTTTCTAAAAAGCCAGCCCAGTGGCAATCTGTGCCTTCCCCTTTCAACCACAACTCTGTTTAATTTCAAAACAAGGGCAGATAAAATATGCTAATACACAGCAAGTCTCCCCATTGCTATTCATTGGGAAGTCCCTTTCCAGTGTGAAAGTCCAGTCTTCCGTGAATTCACAAACAAATGATTGCTCTTGTTACTGGCATTCCACACCGGTGATAAAACATGAGAGTGAATCAGCCTCAGCCTAATTGTATGAGTTTTCTTCTGGAAGGTGCTGTGCTTTTCGTCTTGAATCTATATGGAAATGCATCTGTGTGCACATGTAGGTTGTTTTAAAATAAGTGCACATCTATCTGTCGGGATGTTAATAGGAAATCCTCAGAGACTTCCATTTAGTGGTGCTGATGGTAGTGATGGTGGTGTGTTTTATAAGTTCAAAGTGTTTGCACTTGAGCTGTAAGAGTCTTCTGTAAGCAGTGGGCTGTTTAGCATACCATGTGGGCCACAGCCTCTGACATCTTTAGCTAGAAAAGCAAAGGGCTGGGAAAAGGAACACGATGGAGTACTAGCAGCCACGAGAGAGCAGGGCTGGAATGCTGGCTCTGACCACAAATTGGTACACGGAACTTGTGTTTTTCATTAGGGTTGCTGGAGTAATGCTGGTTTTTAGCATTCCAAAGGATATTCAGACTTATATCAAATTAAATTCTCCTTTAAAAATCACTCTATGTTGGAATAACATCAAGGATCAGACGGCAATCAAGAAAACTCAGGAAATATAAAACTAAACCTAGCTCTGGCTTTTTCTTATGCTGTTGGTATGAATGTACAGTGTACATTGTCCATGATTCAGACGGTAATCTGGAATGCATCTTACAGATGAAGTTTGCCTAGAGCTTTTAATTGACTAGTTAGCTCAAGTTTTCAAATATTATTTGTGGATTGTAGAAGACAACTCTGAGTGACCATAGTACATTTGTATGCCAGTGCAAAACAAAAACATAAGAATATGTTTCATATTGTGCATAAACACTTAAGTAAGCCATGTATTTGTTTATATATGCTTATATATCCATTTGCGTAATTTACAACTAAAAGTCCCAAACTGGCTAAAATCAAGCAGTTAAGGAACTTGTATCTTATTCTAAAATCAAGCTCTCACTATAAATCAATCCTGTCTTTCTCTTTCTCTCTCTCTGTTTCAAACACATACCCAACAAACATACACCCCACAACACATACACACACAAAATTTATGTGTGCACGTTGATGTTTCTAAGTTCCTAAATAAGCATATATATTAGTCAGATAGGCTTGGCAATGCTGCAGTAGTAGACAACCCCAAAGTCTCTGTAGCTCACCTGAAGTTTTCTCTCTCTGCTATAGCCCTCCATGAATATGGGCAAACAGTTGTCCTCCATGATTGACCTCTGAGCAATCCAGGCTACTTCACTCTTATGGCATTTCCATGTTAACACATGCATCCAAGACTGTAGCAACAAGGAAAGAATAGTCTAGGAAGTTAACCACAATTAACTACCATATGTTGTTTCCATGCACATTCTATTGGCCAGAGCAACTTGCACTGCCATACCTGACATCAAAGAGAGCGAGAAAGGACATCTTCCCATGTGTCTGAAAGTGGATACTGGTGACTAACAACAGCCTTATAGCATGATTAATGTAACCTAATGATTATAACTCAAAATCAATCAGGTAATAGCTTCCTCCCCCACCCATCTCTCTCTCTTTCCCTGCCCATTCTCCCTCTTTCTCTTTTACACACACACACACTCTCTCTCTCTACTCCAGGGGCATAAGTGAAGTTCTTCTGTTTTCTCCTGAAAATAGACTAATCCAGGTTGATTACAGAAGCCATCATGCCATTCTTTGCGGGTGGGGTATTGCAGTCTGTACCTTTCTACAGGAGTTTCACATCATATTAATATCTAGTCTTTACTGAGAAAGATTTTCAGGTCCTGTCCTGAGAGTTAGTTCTTAAGGAAAACAGAATTCTTTTCCTGAGTAGCAGTGAAAGAAGTGGGGGAGAAGGAAATGAATTAGCCCAGGATGGGATTGTAGGTGTTCTCCAAGCTAGACTCAAGAATTTCACAATATTGTTGCAGACCAATGATGCTGGTGTAGACTGACAAAATGTATTTTCAGTCCTGATGGCTGAAGGGATCAGTAGATGAGTGGGATGCATTAGGATTTCCAGGTTCTAGAAAGGAGGAGTCAGGGATTCCATTTACAAAAGCCTTTCTTGACAGTGCTTCTCCCCATGAAAACTAAGAGAGAGTAGAATGGGGTAAGGGATTGAAAAGTGGGGAGACAAGAGACCTTCTATGTCTGGGAAGACTTGCCCAGGTATTCAGCTGCACTACAAATAATGGCAAGTGCTTTTGGAATACACAAGGCCCTGTAAGATGTAACCCCTACATTCCTGTCTTCAGCATTGTCTTGGATCACTCTCCATCCCCTAACCACCTGCCTCCGAACTCTAACTTTCTACCGTGCTGGGCTTTGTTCTGTTCCTTGAGTGAGTAATTCTCCTTTCTGCACAAGGCCTTTGCATAAGCAGTTTCTTTGGCTAAGAATGCTCTTCCTCATCCCTTCTCACCTAAGTAATGCCTGTTCATACTTCAGATCTCAACTCAAATGCTACTTCTCACAGAAGCCTTCCTTGAACCTGAGACAAGGGCAGCACCCTCATTACCATATGTCTTTACGTGGATGGGTGTAGTGGTCTGAGTAATGCTTTTTTCCTTCTAGTCTATAAGCTTCATGGGGGATCATATCTGTTTTTCTCACTGTTTTATCTTTATTCTCTATCCCAGTCCTTTGAACATATTAGAAACTCAGTAAATATTTGCTGAGAAATATAGTGTTATAAAAATAAATGATTACAATCTCTAATATTTATATAAGCATATTTCCTAATTTTATACTCAAAATAGATGAGTTGAACAGTGAGAGATAGCCTAGGTTGTGATTCAGGAGCACAAGTGGACTGGTTTCCGTAGCTACGACTCTCTATTCAGTACTCTCACCTTGGAAAAGTCACTTATCTTCCCTCACCAGGTCTCATCCTTATGTAAAATTAGTGCTACATTCAATATTTATAAAGAGGTCCTACAAATAAAGAAAATAAGATACACACCAATAGACACATGTATGAACAGAAAATTGGTAGGAAAGGAAATACAAATAATTAAAAATATATTAAAAGAATATTAAAAGACCTTATTCTTTAGTGAAATGCAAAGGAAGCAGAATCACAAAAGAAATCACTTTGTAATTCAAATGTACAGAGGAAATGTTTCCTTTTCCTTTTTTTTGAGATGGAGTTTCGCTCTTGTTGCCCAGGGTGGAGTGCAATGGCGCGATCTTGGCTCACTGCAAACCCTGCTTCCCGGGTTCAAGCAATTCTCCTGCCTCAGCCTCCCGAGTAGCTGGGATTACAGGTGCCCGCCACCAAGCCTGGCTAATTTTTGCATTTTTAGTAGAGACAGGGTTTCACCGTGTTGGCCAGGCTGGTCTTGAACTCCTGACCTTAGGTGATCTGCCCGCTTTGGCCTCCAAAAGTGTTGGGATTACAGGCATGAGCCACTGTGCCTGTGGAAGTGTTTCTTTATTATAGAAAGTAATGTGGTCTTCTTCCAAGTCTCAGTCATTGAGCAGCAGGAAAAAAACTACATCATAAAATTTACTCCAGTCAAGTAACTACAGTCTAGGCTGATGCAAATTTTAAACAGTCCATTGCAATTTTGCTCAATGGCTTTAGGTAAAAATGCTGATGCTAGTGTCCCAGAGTTCCACTTACTTTCCTGGCTTCTCTACAAAATGACTATGGATGTATAAAGAAGCTTATTGGGTCTTAATAGTGTGGGGTTCAAGGGGAGGAAGCCCCACCTCTGTATGGGATGTCCCTGTAATGTCTTCTTACCCTGGGGCTTCTCTGTCCTGGCCATCTGTTTGCCAGTCTGATGCCAGAGTCTGTATATTATGATTTGTTTGCTGTTTATTGACTTGTTCATAGTGAGGTAGAGTCAAGGACTAGCTATAGCTCACTTAGGCTCCCATTGACCCTCCCTGTGTGTCTTTGCCATACCCTCCACCTGGACTCCTGGCCTGCTTCTAGCTTCTGCTGGTAGCCACTTTGCCAGGCCACAGCTGATCTGATGGCAAAATCTCTGTCTCCCAACTCAGCACCCATGCTACATGGGAACCAAGGGAGGCTCATTTTTGGGAGGCTAGCCCAAAAGATGACACCCTCAAGGCTACTAGTGTAAAAGCCTAGACTCATGGGGGACTATCCCGGAATGACCCAAAAGGGAGTAGGGATACAGGAACATAATTTTTCTTTTTTTTTTTTTTTTGAGATGGAGTTTTGCTCTTGTTGCCCAGGCCGGAGTGCAATGGCGTGATTTCGGCTCATCGCAACCTCTGCCTCTGGGTTCAAGTGATTTTCTTGCCTCAGCCTCCCGAGTAGCTGGGATTATAGGCATGCGCCACCATGCGCAGCTAATTTTGTATTCTTAGTAGGGATAGGGTTTCCTCCATGTGGGTCAGGCTGGTCTCAAACTCCCTATCTCAGGTGATCCTCCCACCTTGGCCTCCCAAAGTGCTGGGATTACAGGTGTGAGTCACTGCACCTGGACACAGGAACATATTTTAGGTTTAGTAAGAAAAAAAAAAAGCTGAAACTTGAAGAAAGAGGTGACATTTAGCTGGTCTTAAAAAACAGATATGCCCCTTTCCTTAGGGGTGTTAATGAAGACCTGGATTCCACTTTTTTTTTTTTTTTTTTTTGAGACAGAGTCTCACTCTTTCCCCCAGGCCAGACTGCAGTGGCACTATCTTGGCTTATTGCAAGTTCTGCCTCCTGGGTTCACGCCATTCTCCTGCCTCAGCCTCCCAAGTAGCTGGGACTACAGGCGCCCACCACCGTGCCCGGCTAATTTTTTTGTATTTTTAGTAAAGACAGGGATTCACCGTGTTAGCCAGGATGGTCTTGATCTCCTGACCTTGTGATCTGCCTGCCTTGGCCTCCCAAAGCGCTGGGATTGCAGTCGTGAGCCATCGCACCCGGCCTGGATTCCACTTTTATGCAGCACCCAGATGGGAGCTGAACCATGATTCTCAGGGTGGGACTGGGACTGCATCCCAAGAGCAGTGGCATTGAGCAATTGTAGTACATCTTTATGCCTACGTGTGCCCCAGAATCTTCAGGGAGTTGCCTGTCTTCAAGAGAGAGACAGACTTAAGCCATGAGGCTACAGGCAGACCAGCATGAAATAAAAATAGAGAGCCCTTCTAGAATTCTCTGGAAGGCATAAGCTCTAAAGTCAGTGCTGGTGGTGCCAAAGTGTAAGAGGGAACCCCAGTGTCTATTGGAATGAGTTCCCCGCCAGTCCAGTAAAGTAGAATTTAGAATAGATTACATTTGTTTAGGGAGAGAAAATAAATGTGTGGTATTTCTCTCGCTCTAATATGTGAACTAAAAATTTTACCCACACACAAGAATGTAAATATCTAAAGAGAGGTTAGGAAAGAGAAGGACTGGATGATTTTCAACAGTCACCTCTCCAGTGGGAATCTTAGAGAACGGTGGTGAAGGCCTTTCTGGTGTTTATTCTGTGTTTATTTGTAATGTTTAGCTCATTCACCACAAGACGCCATTCTGGTATTAGTTGCATCATAAGCACATACAATCAAAAGAGGATAGACCCAGGTAAGATCTAAGAGTTTCTGGCAGCTCTGCTACTCTCTGGTGACTTTCTCCATAGCCAGAAACAGGTGAGAGGGGCCCAGCTCGGGGCACCCTAACTGTTCACCTCCCTAGTCCTAACCCTCTGCTAAGCTTCACTGTTTGCCTGTGGTTCTTAACCCTGGCTGCCCGGTAAAATCGCTTCTGGGAATTTTTTCAAATGTCACAAATACATAGACCTCTTCCTCGGAGACTGTGAATTGATTGGTCTGGGGTGGGCCTGGGCCTCTGTATTTTTCAAAGCTCCTAAGTCACTCTAATGGCAACCAAAATGGAGAACCACTGCTAGATACTTCCAGGACATCCTAACCCAGCAAAATGTTTCCTGTCTCTGCCTTGGTCTGTGCTAGATCCTCTGTCCTGAATGCAGTCCTGAAATTTTGTCAAAATTTTTTCTGTCCTGGAAGTCTGTTTCCAAAACACACCTTCTCTGTGAAGATTTTGTCCCCGGCTGTTATCTTTCCTTGCTGAGAACTCTTGTTCTTAGCTTTGTTCATCTTCCTATATGATCTATATCATCTTGTTCAAAGCCTCAGTGGGTTTTGTCCATCTTCCTATATAATCTTTATTCTGGCACATTTTGCACTGTAGTCAGTTGGGCGTTTGCTTATATACAAGACTGTAAGTTCCCTGAGACCAGGGCAGGGTGTACTCCCCTTTGCCAGGTGCCATGGGGGATACATAGAGCTCTGTCCACAAAGAGTCGTGAGCCAGTCACATTGAAACTCCCTAATTATTTTAGCCAAACTACATCCACATGGACTAAATTAGATAAATGTTTGTGGGAAATGGGAGGATAAATGGATCATATTAGCTTTCAGCAAAAGCATAGCTCGTTACTTTTTTCCCGAGAATGTGTTCTGAAGAGCCACAATCTCCATGCACTTATTGTGGCCACTGGAAGTCAGATGGAGCCCATTGCTGCGATAGTATCTACTTGAATGTGGTGGGGGAGGGGGGCTGGGATTTAAGAATTCTGATTTCACCAAAATGAGCTCATAAATTAATCTCCTTAATGTCCTTCGGGAGGAAAAAGCACCCACAATTTTAGTCCAAAAAGTACAGGGAAAGCAAGTCCCAGAGAATATGTGAATGTCAGTTAAGTAGGAAAGGAGAGAAAAAATATATATTCCTTCCAAAATATGCATTCACATCATGCTGTGATTCCTGGAAATGAAAGTGCTAACGGGAACATTGCATAAAGAGATATTATTACATAGTCCACATCAGGATGCAAAGCTAAATTGCAAAAGCCTCTGGATTTACCCACCAGTTTACAGGAAACACAGGGACAGATAAATAGGTTAAATAACAAAATGGGTGCAATCAACAAAATCCAGACTGGGAAACTCGACAGGATGAATGATCTGGTTTTGTTACGGGATAAATTGCAAAGGTGGCAAAAAGAGATGGAGGAATACATTATAGGTTAGAAGAGACCTGAAGAGGCATTGCCAACTCATTGCAATGTATTGTCCTTATTATGATCCTGATTCAAACAACAAACTGTAAAGCAGAAGGCATTTAGGAGATGATTAGGGAAAATTGAACACTGAAGACATTTGATAATAGTAAGAAATGACTCATTTTTACAGGTATGATAATAGTATTATAAAATTTAAATAAAGAGGCAAATATTTATGTATTAGAGCAACAATTTAGAGTGAAAATTATGATGTCTAGATTTGCTTCAAAATAATACTGGGATGAGTGAGTGAGAGAGGGAATAGATGAAATGAGGGTATAGATGCTGTGAGTTCATTGTTGAATGAGTACATGGGGGGTATTCATCAGGGTTCTCCAGAGAGATAGAAGCAATAGAATTACATATCATGTGAGCCAACACAGGCATATGAAGACTGAGGAGTCACATGATCAATGGTCTGTAAGCTGGAGTCCCAGGAAAGCTGGTGGTGTAATTTAGTCCGAGTCCAAAGGCTCAAGAACTGAGAACACCAGTCTGAGAGGGCAGGAGAAGATGGATCCCAGCTTAAACACAGAGAGCAAATATACCCTTTCTATGCTACTCCTTTTCTTCCACTCAGACTCTCAGTGATTTGAATGACACCTGCTCACACTGTGAGGGTGGATCTTCTTTGCTCAGTCTACCTATTCAAATTCTAATCTCTCTGGAAACATCCACACAGATGAAATTACAAATAATATTTTACCAGTTATCTGGGCATCTCTTAGCCCAGTCAAGTTGACACATTCAAATTAACCATCACATGTTATTTATTATATGATTCTCTACTTCTGTTACATTTTACAAAATGATCTAAAGTATGAACAAAAAGATACGAAAATATATGACAATAATTTAAATATAAGTGAGTTACCAGTAAATTCACACAAGCATCATATTTAAACAGTATCTGGGAAATGATGAAAACTGTCAAGATTACCCAACCTGTGTCCCCTTGCAGTCTCTAAGGGATAAAGCACTGCCAAGGTTATAATGGAAGAAGCAGGGCAGGAGGGTGGAGATAGAGGTTTTTGTTCAAAAAAGTGTTAGACTTGGTATGTAATTAGATGTATTGCCTTAAAAGTGGATTAAAATGGAAACTAGAGTTTCAGAATTTAAGCAGTTTGCCTCAGGCTAAAAACACTGCCTGAGAGTGAAACACAAGCATCTGGAGGTTACAAAGGGAAAAATGGAGGTTTTATGGATTTTCAAGCCTACTGGAAATTAAAAGGGGTAGGGAAGAGATAAATCAGGTGAAAAAAAAATCACTTGAAAATTCCAAATCAGAGGATAAGAGGGTCACAGTGGAGCTCCTTGCCCAGGGTCTACACTATCTTGCCCCATGATGGGGGCCCTCCATAGACTGGTGAAGTGGTGATTGCTGTTCCATGATGACACCGGCAAATAATAGTTTTTTTCCCAATTCTCACACCCAAGCCAGCCCTCACACCTATGATGGAGTGCAGAGAGACTAAGAAAAGCCACATACAACACACACACATACACAATACATACACACAACACACATATATACAAAACACACACTTACATACCTCTCTATTCACACTGAACATTAAAAATGGACCTGTTTCAAAGTGTATGTAGACAGTTAACACAGGCATCCTATCTAAACTGAGACCTTTTAAGGACCCAACAATAAACTAGTTTAATCATCATTATTAATCATTATTATTGATAAGTGTGGGCTGTGCTGGTATGTAAGCATAACAACATACAAAAGGGCTCTTGTACGGCCCTTGCTGTTCTACTGTGCTACACCATATTTGTCTCTACAGAAAAGTAGAAAGCCAGTCTGGATGTTTCCCAGGGGCTCTATTTCTTCAGCTTAGTCATGCATGGAATATGAGAGGGAACTCATAATCCACCTCTGTATATGAATTTGCGGAAAGTGAGAAACAATTAGAGAAATAATGATTAAGATGAACACCAAGCTGAGATGGAGCAAGTCCAGAGGAAAGGGAAGTCAGCCTGGTTTAATGTCAGGTGACTTAAAATGCCTTCCTCCAGCCTTGGAGTTTCTTCTATCCTGGCCTGTTCTCACAGCAGGTGGGCATCAGTTGTACCGGTCAACAAGGATTGTCTCAGGAAAGGGTTATTACAGGAAGACGGATTTTAAAAAGAAAACTGACTCTGAGTGACTCAGCGAAGAGAAAAAATTTATTGGGTCACTGCATTGGCACCTGCCCACACACACATCTTTAAGACAGAATCCCCCAGAACTGCAGGGAGTGGGAAAGGCAGCTAGAGAGGATGAGTGAAAAGAAAGACATTGAGCCCATGAAAAATCACAGAAATGAGAGGGCAGGGAGCATCAAAGACCACTTAACTTCACCTCAACCATCATCCGGGCTGACGTCTGGGCTCATCTGCAGTCATAGCCAGCTGTATTGTGCAGGTTCCATGCCAAGGATCTGGCAAGATTCTTCCTTCTATAGTTGCAGAACCTCAGGAAAACCTCAGGAATTAGAGGACCAAGAATGTCTAAAATGTAGGAGTCGGGGGAGGGATGGGAGTCTTGGTTGAAAATTAATATGAAAAGCAGCCAGACATTGAGATAAAACTGACAATGTGTTAGTATATCTTTGTAAGAGTTTGGGGTGGCTTCTTAAGATATCTAAAACAATTCTTTAAAAAGTTAACCCTAAAAAAACAAAATCTCCTACAAGAAGAGAATGTACTCTTAGTACTGTAGGTGATGTGACTCAATGCCAATAATATTTACACTGCTAGAAAAACACAAGCGATGAAAGTCTATTTATTTAAAATAAAAGTAACAGAATTATATTGGGAAGAGAATGGGTCATATTGTAGGAAGGTGGGGAGAGCTAACTCCTTGCCTTCCATAGCATGAAAACAATGAATCCTTACAACTGACCAGAATCAAGGAATAGCAGGATTCCAGCCGGCTGTTTAAAATATGGACATAAATAACACAAGAAACACTAAAAGTGGTTGGATGTGATTGCCTCTGGGAAGCTAAAATTGAGAATAGAAAGCATGAGGCAGGAATGCTGGATTTCTTTCTTTTTTGGAAGGTGAGGGAGGTTATATTTGGCCTTCTAAGCCACGTACATATATTCCTTAGATAAAAAAATTGGCCGGGCGCGGTGGCTCACGCCTGTAATCCCAGCACTTTGGGAGGCCGAGGCGGGCGGATCACGAGGTCAGGAGATCGAGACCATCCTGGCTAACACGGTGAAACCCCGTCTCTACTAAAAATACAAAAAAAAAATTAGCCGGGCGAGGTGGCGGGCGCCTGTAGTCCCAGCTACTCGGGAGGCTGAGGCAGGAGAATGGCGTGAACCCCAGGGGGCGGAGCCTGCAGTGAGCCGAGATTGCGCCACTGCACTCCAGCCTGGGCGACAGCGAGACTCCGTCTCAAAAAAAAAAAAAAAAAAAAAAAAAAAATTAAAATTAAATTTGAAAAATATAAAGTATTTGTGTATTATTAGATGATGGTACTAGTGATCAGTTAGCTCTTCTCACTTTGAGAATCTATGATCATCTATCAAAATATGTAAAAAGCCTCCAGCATTGTACCCAGAGCAGAGGTGCTTGGCCATTGTCGGTTCCCAAAGCTTCCAGATTCAAATATATTTGCCTTCTTTGAGAGTGACTTTGTCTATTGAGGAGCTGATTTCATTTGTGCCATGAAAACTCTGCTTTGGTGCTCCAGTTGAACTTTGTGTTTGTGTGGTTGTACCTGAATGCTAATACCATTTTCAATTAAAAAAACTTTCAACAACAATTTTGTCATTGAGGCACAGCACACACACTGAAATACACCAGTCCTGAGTGCATAGCTTGATGAATTTTCTCAGAGCGAACACACCCATGTAATCAGGACTCAGATCAAGAAACAGAGCATTACCAACAGCCCTACCAATCACTATTGCCTCTGTCATCTTCAAAGGTGACTGATGTTTTAAATTCCAAACCAAATACAGTATAGTCGGTCATCCATAATTGTTGGTTCTGCATCTTCAGATTTACCCAATTGTGGATCAAAAATATTGGTAAAAAAAGACAATAAAAAATAACAATACAACAATAAAATAATACAAATAAAAAGTAGGGTATAACAACTGTCTACATAGGATTCACATGTGTTAGGTACTTGTAATATAGAGATGATTTAAAGAATATAGAGAATGTGTGTAGGTTACATGCAAATACTACACCATGTTATTTAAAGGAATTGAGCATCCTTGTGTTTTGGTATCCAAATGGGGTCCTGGGACCCATCCCCCACACATACAGAGGAACAACTGCATGTATTCTTTTGTGTCTAGACTTTCCCTCAATAGTTTGCTCATGCAATTCATCAATTACCATGTACCACAATTTATTTATTCATTCTACAGTGAATAATGCTGCTGTGAGCATTCTTGAACATATCTTTTGATGCATTTATATTGGGCAGATACCTAAAGGAGGAGCTGTTATATTCAGCATTGGTAGACATCATCAAGTAGGCTTGCAAGGTGATTTTTCTCAATTTGCAGTCCCAATAGCTGTATATGAGAGTAGCCACTGCTCCACAATTTTGGCCACAATTGCATTGTCAACTTCAAAAATATTAGGCATCTTGGCGAATGGTATCTCATTATGGTTTTAATTTGCATTTTCCCTTTGACTGAAAAGTAGAGAAACTTTTCATAAACTTTATGATTTTCTTTAAAAATTTTATTTTCTTGACTTGGTATTTATGGTGCTTCTTGAACATGACCCAGTATCTATTCAGTTTTGAGAAATTTTCAACCACAACTATTTTAAATACTACCTGTACCCAACTTTTTTCATCCTTTCCTCCTGGGATTCCAATAACTTATGCATTAAACTTTTCTACCACGTCTCACATATCTTGCATTCTTTCTTGTATTTTCTACTCTCTTTTCTCTTTGTGCTTCATTTTCAATATTTTTTCCCGTCTAATTTGATGTTAAACCCATTTGATGAGCTTTTGGTATCAGTTGTTGTATTTTTCAGTTCTAGAATTTCCAGGTTTAAAATACCTTCCAGTTAAAAAAAAATTCTACTTCCTTTAATTCCTTGAACATATTCATCAATATGCTTTTTTAAGTCTGTATCTGATAACTCCAGTTTCTGGTTATTTATTTTCTCTTCATTTTTAGTCAATTGGTTTCAAATAAATTCTTATATTCTTGTTTGGCTGGTTTTCTTTTTAAATAAACTTCTTATTTTGGAATAAATTTAGATTTACAAAAAGTTGCAAAAGTAATCTAGACTTCCCTTATGTCTTTCAGCCAGTTTCAGTTTCTCCTACTATCTCATATCACTGTGGTAAATTTGTCAAAATGAAGACACCATCATTGATATGTTACTATTAAACTGAAAGCTAGAGCCCTGTATATTTTTGATTGAATGCCAGGCATTTTGAATGATGAACTGTGAAGGTAATTTGAAGCTCTGGATGTTTTCTTCCTTCAAAGATAATTTATTTATTCTTCTAGTGGGAGGATGGGCTGGGGAAGATTATATTATAAAATTGAAATAATCTGAACATGGATTTCCTTTATCCTGAGGACTGACCCAGTTCTGATTTACCTTTCTCTTTTGGTATAATCTTTTGGAGCTCCAACTAGAGGCCTGGGATATCAGGGCCTCTCCTCCTTGTTGGGCTGTGAACTCTATTTTATTTTTCCCTTCATACCTGTGAGACTGCCAGAGCTCTGTCCACTTCTCAGCCTTGCAGTCACCACTTTCACTTTCAGAATTAATAATCAGCTTGAGGGGAAAAGCGGCCCCAAATATGCACATCTTAAGTCCCTTGGCTTTTTTTTTTTTTTTTTTCAGATCTTGAACCTGCAAATTTTCCTTGCCCTGGTTACTCTCTGATGCCTTCAAGAGTGAAATATATATATATATATATATAAAATATATGTATATACACACAAATATATATACACACATATATATGTACACAAATATACACACACACACACACACATATATATATGTAAGGATGTTACACAACCTTAAAAAGGAAGAAATTGTGATACATGTTTTAACATGGATGAATCTTGAGGAAATTATACTCAGTGAAAAAAGCCAGCAACAAAATATGTATATATGCGTATGTGTGTGCATGTGTGTCACACCAGGTAACTCATATAAGTGGAGTCATATAGTATTTGTTATTTTGTTGCTAGCTTATTTCACTGAGCATAATTTCCTCAAGATTCACCCATGTTATAACATGTGTCACAGTTTCTTCCTTTTTAAGGATGTGTAACACGCCATTGTATGTGTATACCAAATTCCATTCATCCCTTCATCTATTGATTGACACTTGGGTTGCTTCCACATTTTGACTATTGTAAATAATGCTGCTATGAATGTGAGTATACAAACATCTATTCAAGACCCTGCTTTTAATTCTTTTGGATATATACAGTGAGTCCTCATGCAATGTTGTTGATGGGTTCTTGGAAACTGAGACTTTAAGCAAAACAACGTACTGTACAATGAAATCACTTTTACCATAGACTAATTGATATAAATGAGAGCTAAGTTCCTGTGGCGTATAGTACATTGTTTTGCTGAAAGTCACAGTTTCCAAGAATCTATGGACAACACTACATGAGAACTTACTGTATCCTGAAGTAGAATTGTTAGATCATATGTTAATTCTATTTTTAAATTTTTGAGGGACTACTGTACTGTTTTCCATGGTGGTGGCAGCATTTTGCATTCCCACCAACAGTACACAAGAGTTTCAATTTCTCCATATTCTTAATAACACTTTTTATTTTGTTTTTAAAAGTTAAAAAAAATTTTTTTGATAGTAGCCATCCTAATGGGTATGAGGTAGTATCTTCTTGTAGTTTTGATCAAAAACGCTTCTGGATGCTTATTTTTCAATGTCCAATTTGGACTATTTTTATACGTAGATAAAACTTATATGTCCCCGTAAGTAGTGTGGAGTAAGGGATCTGCTTGGATGACAGCTGCAAATTTTACTTGTCAGGCTTTCCAGATGAGCTAACATGATAAGCCTGTTGGACGTCTGTTTGCCCTGATGGCAGAGGCTCAGTTCAGGCTACAGGCTATGCTGGTACAGTGCTGTCTGTCACTTATTTCTGCCCCAGGCCCAGTCCTTTGGACTCTCATCTGGAGCCGACAAAAAAGCACACATTATGTACAAAATTAAAAAAGTGCCTCTGATTAAAAACTCTGTGTGACACTACTTTGTGTATCCCTAAAGGATAAACACACACACAAAAAAGAAAGGAAGTTTTCTGGCTCTGAGTGCATCTTCCAGAGTGGGACCTTTTCCATGGTGAGGCACAGAGAAGGTGGTCAGAGTGTGTGGAGCTGTTCACGAGCTTGCTTCTCCCCAGGAAGAACTCACCTGCATCCTGAGAGCCAGTGGGTGTGGCAAGAAAAATACTTTGTGCTGCAAATGACAGCAGTGCCGGGGGATGTCAAGAGACACCTGACCAGACTTGTTAATAAGCTCATACGAGCTACCCTGGATTGTCTCAGAAATATCTGGGGGAACTTTGAGTGGAAAATAAATTTAGAATGAGCAAAGAGGACTTGTGGGGGTAAAAATACAGATTATCACTATTAATGTGACTCCATTTGAATGAAAAGCTGGTGAAACAGAAGGAAACCTAAGATGCGTGCAGGTAGTAGTTTTGGTATCGGTAGGCCAAATGGCTGTTAGCTGGAGCCTGCTCGGTTTAGCAGCTATCTGAGAATGTCTATCCCCCCATCTCAGCCCTTAACCTTCGCAGACATTCCTGAGATATAAATCAACCACATTTCTGGAGGCCATTTCTTCTATAGCATTTCTTGCCCTGTTGTACTAAAACAACAACAACCACAACAAAATCCTTCATGTTCATGCATTTTCAGGAAGTGATATCATATGTGCATACTGGTAAAATTAGCCCCAGGGTTTTTCTCTATAGAAACACAACAAAAGAAAGCTTTGTCACTAATTATGATAACTTATTATTGCTGTCATGTAACTGGATAGACAATGATTTCAGTCAAAAAGCCATACTTGTATGTTGTTATGCTTACATACCAGCACAGCCCACATTTATCAATAATAATGATTAATATGGTGATTAAACTAGTTTATTGTTGGGTCCTTAAAAGATCTCAGTTTAGATATGATGCCTGTGTTAACTGTCTACATACACTTTGGAACAGGTCCAATTTTTAATGCTCAGTGTGAATAGAGTGGTATGCATGTGTGTATTTTGTATATATGTGTGTTGTGTGTATGTGTTGTATGTGTGTATGTTGTGTGTGTGTGTTGTGCTTGTGTTTCTAATTTACAAAAAATACCTTTTCTATGTGGGCAAAAACATATGGACATGTACATATACACATTTTTATTAAGAACTTAGAATATGGATGTATAGGGCATAGTTTTTGCCCTTAATGAACTTAGAACCCGATTAGCTATGGAACCAGTGAGTGGTAACTAGGGGAATGTAGACTCTCTTAGGGATGGGAAGAAAGGTTGGCTTGTAACCTGAAGTGCCAGTTGAGTAGGGGTGCTCAGGTTTGATCAGGCTTGAGGGTCAGTAAGAATGCCAGAACTGGCCGGGCGCATTGGCTCATGCCTGTAATTCCAGTACTTTGGGAGGCCGAGGCAGGCAGATCACTGGAGGTCAGGAGTTCAAGACCAGTCCTGCCAACGTGGTGAAACCCCATCTCTACTAAAAATACAAAAATTAGCCAGGTGTTGTGGTTCATGACTGTAGTCCCAGCTACTCAGGAGGCTGAGGCATGACAATCACTTGAACCTGGGAGGCGGAGGTTGCAGTAAGCTGAGATCGTGCCACTGGACTCCAGCCTGGGCAACAGAGCTAGACTCCCTCTCAAAAAAAAAAAAAAAAAAAAAAAAAAAAAGGAATGCCAGAACCAAAGGTTAAAGCAACAAAGCTAGTTAGGTTGAGATGGTCCTAGAATGCCTGTGGGAAAATCTGTAAGATAAAGCTCAAGTTGCTTTGGCAAAGAAAATAGTCAGAAGATGATTTCTCAGAGGAAGGGAGAGCACTGGCCTTTAAAAGTAGGGCAACTGGGTTGAAATTTATGTATTAAGTTTCTGAGGTACAAAACACTGCAACTTCCTTTATTCTGTATTACTGAACTCATTTTTCTCTGGAGACTTCCAGCTAATATAAACTTGCCAAATTGAAAGTAACACAATCTCTACTGGCTTAATTCAAGTTCAATTCAAGGTTAGTCTCTGTCAGGATGGCTTCTCTTCTCTTCCTCTCCTCACTGAGCCCTCAAGCTGGAGGCTCTATGCATGGGAGCAGGAGAGGTGCTCCCATTGTGTTCTGGGAATAGGAGCTGGGAGGACCAGAAATCTGCATCTGGTCTTTATGCCATCAGGTTCTGTTGGGGGCTGGCTTTGGCAGCTGATGCATGCATGGACAGCGTAAGTTGTTGTCCCTTGTCTCCTCAAAGACAGGTGCCGTGGCTGCGGACTTACTCTTGGGGACTTATCCATCTTCCCTAGTTTATTAGGCTTGGCTTTCTGTAGTTCTATAGATTTGGTGAGGTCTTGCCAAGTCTACCAGGCAATCCCAATGTGGGCACACCACCCTAGAGCCCTAGAGCCCTCATGGTCTCTTTGCCCCCTGTTGTGGTGATTCTCCCAGGCAGGTTAGACAGTCATCTCTATCAGCTCTCTTTTGTGTGTCAGCCAGCCGTCACACCCAAGATGGAGTGCAGAGAGACTAAGAAAAGCCACTTCAAGCTCATCATCTGTAACTCTTGTGCTGCCCTTGCTGTTCTACTGTGCTGCACCATATTGGTCTCTACAGACAAGTAGAACACCAGTCTGGATGTCCTCAGATTTTCTTTTCATCTATCTGAGGGTTCCATCAGAATTTCCTTTGTGCTGCCCTCTCCTTTTGGGTGGAAGCCTAAGGTTGGCAGGAACCCAGGCAGCATTCTCACCATAAGAAACTCCTTCAAATCTCTATCTCCTCCACCTTTTCCCACTCATCTTCTCCAGTGAGAAAGTCCTTTCTTTTCTCTTGGGTAGGAGTTCCTCTTCATATCCTCCTCCTTTTCCACCTTATAGCCATACTGCTTTCTGAGTAGATCAGAACTCACATATAATGGGGACACTTATTAAAGCAGAGACATAAAGATGTATAAGGAGGAATTTAGAAAAAAAAGCCCTCAACAAAAGCCCGGCTTTTAAAAATATTGTCTTCATTTGGACCCAGAACAATCTACTTTGTGAACTGAAACTGAACAATAATTTCTTTGTTATACCAGGCCATACCTTCCCCTCCTTGTCTGAGACAGAGCCTCATAAATTATCCTCAATGCCATATGGGCCACAAGGAATTTTACTTATAGGAAGATTTTTAAAAGCACTGATTATACTTTCAAAATGCCCACTACTTCTATTCCCCAGCTCCCAAATAGACAGACTTCTGAAGCTCCCTCATGCCCATCTTCTCAATCATGGTCTTTTCTGTGTGTTCACTTTGAGATGGACACTAGAAAGAAGATTAACTATACTCAGAAATATAAACATGTATACCCAATAAATAAGCACCTAGAGTGATGTGTGATGATCATATGCTCAGAGGACCACCACATACCTGCTCTACTCCCAACATGATAATATTTGGAGGTGAGGTCTTTGGGAAGTAATTAGATTTAGATGAGATCATTAGGGTTGGGTTCCCATGATGGGATTAGTGTCCTTATAAAAAGAGGAAGAGACCAGAGCTCCTTCTGTCTTCACCATATGAGCAAGAAAGCAGCCATTTGCAAAGACAGGAAGAGGATCCTCAACAATAACCAAATCTGCCAGTACCTTGATCTTGGACTTCCCATTTTACAGAACTGTGGGAAACAAATGTCTGATGTTAAAGTCACCCAGTCTAATACAACGCCTAACCTGGCTCTTTCTCACTCACGCACTTGATTTGTTTTTCTCCCTTTATTTAATACAGATTTTTTTTGATTGTCTGCTTCTCTTTCTTCCTCTTTTTCTCCTTTCCTTCTTTTGTTCTTCCAACTTATTTCACACCCAGTGTTACAACGTGATGCAGCTCATGCTGTTCTATAAAAAAGTAAGGGCCTCCTGTGAATCAGGAGGTATGTCTTGCTATGGATAGGGGGATATCAAGATGGGTCATTATAGTCTATTGTAAGAACAGCTTGGAACTTCATAGATTTATGATTTGCTGGACATAATCTCCTTTATAAAAATTACAACTGCTGTGTTATGTCATTCTTGCATTGTTAAAAAGACTTACCTGAGACTGGGTAATTTATAAAGAGGAGAGGTTTAATTGGCTCATGATTCTGTACAATAATGGCACCAACATCTGCTTGGCTTCTGGTGAGGTCTCAGAAACATTACAATCATGGTGGAAGGCAAAAAGGAAGCAGGTGCATCACATGGGGGGAGAGGGGGGGGGGGGCAGGGGAGGTGCTGCACTTTTAAACAAGAGCTCCTGAACACTCACTCACTATCACGGGAACAGCACCAAGTAATGAGGGATCAGTCGCCATGATCCAATCACTTCCCACCAGGCCCCACCTCCAACATTGGAGATTGCAATTCAACATGAGATTTGGGCAGGACATATATCCAAACTATATCAATTGCCCTTTTGTATGGGTTCTAAGAGTACATAGTCCACTGATCCAAAAAAGAACAATGCACACAAACACTCAAGAGGCCAATATAGTAAGGAAAATAAATCAAAAGGAGACTTTATTATCTAGTCCAAAAGGAAATTTGCTTCCTTACCCTGGATTTGTGACTTTGATGGCTACAAACCAGTGGTCTATTTCGTAAGGTAAAAGTCTTTGATATTGTCAGAGTTCAAATGAAATAATATATGTAAATATATCTTAAATAAAAAGATCTATGGAAATGTGTATGGTTATTATTATCAGTGTATGCTTTGTACGCTTTAAGTCTCTTTCCTCATCAAGTTCAGAATAATTTCTTTTTTCTCGATTCTACGTACCATAAAAAGCTTGTAAAAGGAAATGTTTTCAAGCAGAAGAAAAACAGTGTCTTCAAGACTAAAGATGCTGTGATTTGTTTAATGATGAGAACATCTTCAAAGAACCACCACTTCTTACAAAGCCCTTCTCACTAAACTTATATAATCATATATATCTTTCAAATATAGCTCCAACATATGAATTTTAGAGAAACACATTTAGTCCATAACAGGTGTAGAGGGCAAAAGATACTCAGCCTTATTAGAAAAGACCTATTTATTCCTTTAAAAGAAAATTTTACTACCATATAGCTTATACACTTTTTATAATCATATGTATACATAGAAAAATTAGAAGTAAATATGGCAAACATTAATAGCAATAATTCTGGGTTGGAATATGAGAGATTGTTGTTACTTTTGTTTGTGTTTTGTACTTTTCAGACCAGATAAAATTTAGCCAAATAAAAATCAGATCAAATAAAACTTCATGAACTCCATTCTGGCTTTATCAGTGATACCTGGCAGCATTATCCCCTCTCTACAGAAGTTTTTGTATTATTTGGTTAATGCACAACAGCAATCATTGATGGCCATGACCATACCATAAGTCAAGAAACTTTGCTGAAAACCTACTATGTGCAAATTGTCCTGCATAAGATAGAAAATTTTGCAAAGTTGGTTCAAATTTTTAATCTCGCAAATGAAGACTTTTTTCTTTTGCTAACAAGTACTTGTATGACTTTGGTTCATTTCTCATCTTAGAAAAGCAGAACACAGCATTTGTAAATGTGGAAAAACACATTTATGCACCCTGGAAAGTTAGTATTGATGCTGGTCATTTTTCAAATAAACAGTTAAACTGAACTTTATCAAGATCAAAGAGTTATTATTGTTAACTCCCAGAATTACTTGGTTCTGTCTGGGTTCTTGTTTTAATTGATTTAAATATTTTATGTTATCAAATTTCTGTTTTTCAAGTTCAAAGAAAAGTGGATGATCCAGAGAGATGAATGTTAGTGATAAGAAAAGCACAAATTCAATACTCTCAGACTATCTAAATAAAAACACAATATATTTTGATCCTTGGCCTACTAATGAAGGAATTTAATCTCTAGTCACATAGAGTTTTTGGCCTAGGATTTTGAGAGGTGAAGTTGACCATTTATAAAAGAAAATGGTTGCGAACAATTTGTGCTTGTAAAAATAATTTGTAATTCATTTATTCTTACAGTTTTTATGTTCTAACACCAAGTCACATGATGATATTGCCATAAGACTTACTTGCTTATTTAAATGGAGTTGAAACCTTTAGTGTTTGGCTTTCTTATGCATTTTGCAAGCTGACAGTGGCAGTTTCTTTATTTTGGTACTAGTATCTAATGATATATTTCAGAGCATCTGGTCATTACTGTGTGTTTTTAGAAGAGAGAAGATTGTTTTCAACATGTTTTTAATCCATTGTATGCAGATTATTCTACTTCTCATTGACTACGAATAGAGTATGAGTATGACCCTGTCCTAGAAGTGATGTGTTTAAAAGTGAGCATGCCATGGTTTGGATATGGTTTGCTTGTTTCTGTATAAACCCATGTTGAAATTTGATTCCCCATGTGGCAGTGTTGGGAGGCAGTGTCTAGTGGGAAGTATTTGGGTCATGGTGGCAAATCCCTCATGAATAGCTTGGTGCTGTTATCAAGGGAGTAGGTGAGTTCTCTCTCTGGTGAGACTAGATTAGATCTCATGGGAATGAATTAGTTTCTGTGAGAGTGGGTTGTTATGAAGTCAGGACATCCCTTGGGTTTTGCCTCTTCATACATGTCTGTTTCCCTTTTGACCTTCTCCACCATGTTATGACACAGCCTGAAAGCTTTTGCCAGAAGCCAGGGTCATTCCCTGAACTTCCCAGCCTGCAAACCATAAGCCAAAAACACTTCTTTAGTTATAAAATACCCAGTCTCAGGTATTCTGTTATAGCAACAGAAAACGGACAAGAGTGCTTTTGAGTTTGACTCACCTAGTCCTACTTGGGCAAATCTCTTTCCTCTTTGAGCCTCATTTTCTGTACCCATGAAATTAGGATTAAAACGTCTACCTCATAGGGGTATTGTAAGAATTAAATAAGATTATATAAAGGGAGCATTAAGATAATTTCGTGATACATAGCTAGTTTTCAATAAAGGATTATTGCTATTTTGTTATTGATGAAGGTAGCTTACTCAAAACCAAACAGTTGTGCCAGTCTCCTTACTGAAAACTTAGCTAAAGGCATTTCTAAGTTGTCACTCCCTCCCCCTCACCCTCCTGCCTGTCTCCTTCATCTGCTCATTCAAAGCATGGCAGGCCAAATCTCTTATTCTGGATGTCATATCCCTCATCATCACTCTTTTCTTTAATCTACTCTTTCAGATATTTACACACACACACAGTGTATATATATATACACACACACTATTGTATCTATATAGTATATGTGGTATGTGTGTGTGTGTATATACATATACATATATATATGTGTGTGTGTGTATATATATATATATATATACTAGAGATGGGATCTTGCTATGCAGCCCAGGCTGGACTTGAATTCCTGAACTCAAGGAATTCTTTCACCTCAGCCTCCTGAGTAGCTGGGACTACAGGTATGCAACACTGTGCCTAGCTGTGTTTAATATTTTTTAGGCTTGTAAATGGTATTTTAAAAATGTCAATGTCATATTGTTTTTAGTTTCAGAAATATAATTGATTTTTGTATGTTGATCTCGTATCCTGCCACTTTGCTAAATGTACTTATTAGTTTAGGTAGCTTTTTTGTGGATTCTGTAGGATTTTTCCACATAGACAATATGTTGTCTTATGATAAAAGATAATTTCACTTTTTCCTTTCCGATCCGGAAATTTTTTTCCCCACTTGCCTTAATGCACTGGCTAGAAACTCCACACTACAATGTTGAATATATAATGTTGACAACAGATACCCTTTCCTTGCTCCTAATTTGAGGGAGAAAGCATTTAGTCTATTATAATTAAGATACTAGCTGTAGGTGTTTTGTAGATGTTCTTTATTGAGTCAAGAATGTTCACTTTAGTTTGCTGAGAGTTTTTATAAGGGATGGCTGCTTGATTTTGTCAAATCCTTTTCCTGCATCTGTTGAGATGTTTAAATGGTTTGTCTTTTTAGTTTGCTAATATGCTGAATTGCACCAATTGCATTTTGAATATAAGCCTCCATTTAGTCATCATGTATTATATTTATATATATTGTTCTTTGCCTCCATGTTCATAAAGGAAATTGGTCTGCCATTGTCTTTTATTGTAATATCTTTGTCTGATTTTCATTTCCTTTCTGCTGCTTTCTTTAGGTCTCTTGTTTTTCTTTTTTCTCATTTCTTAGGGTGCACACTGAGGGTCAACATTTGAGGCCTTTTTTCTTTTTTGATATAAATTATAAATTCTAAGTATTGCTTTATCCTCCTCAGATACATTTAGGTATGCAATGTGTTCATTTTCATTAAGTTAAAAATATCTTCCAATTTTCCTTTTGATTTTCTCTATGACACAAGCTGTAGAGTAATGTATTATTTAATTTCAAATATTCAGGGGAAATTTTCAGATATCTTTCTGGTTTTGATTTCTAATTTAGTTCTATTGTAATAAAAGAGCATACTTGTTTTGTTTGAACCATTTTAAATTTTTTGATATTTGTTTTATGGCCCAGAATATGTTCCATTGTTCTATTATGGTAAATGTTATACATGCATTTGAAAAGAAATGTGTCTTTTATTGTCGTTGGATAAACTCTTCTCCAAAAATTAATAGTTCTAGTTGATTAATAGAGTTGTTCAAGTCTTCTATATCCTCACTAATATTCTGTCTATTTATTATTTTGCTGTAATTGTGGATCTGTTTATTTCTTACTGCAATTTTATCAGTTTGGTTTCATATAATTTGAAGCTCTGTTATTATGCATATAAACATTTGGGATTGTTATGTCCTCCAATGAATGCACCTCTTTATCATTATAAAATGATCTTCATTATTGATGGTAATAATTTTTTCTCTGAAATTGCCTTTGCCTAATGTTAATATAGCCACTCTAGCTTTCTTTTGATTAATGTTAGCATGCCACATCTTTTTCAACTTTTTTACTTTTAATCTATTTGTGTCTTTATATTTAAAGTGGGCTTGGTGAAGTCAGTATATATAGCTGAGTTTATTTATTTATTTATTTTTTGAGACAGAGTCTCACTCTGTCGCCCAGGCTGGAGTGCAGTGGTGCGATCTCGGCTTACTGCAAGCTCTGCCTCCCAGGTTCACGCCATTCTCCTGCCTCAGCCTCCTGAGTAGCTGGGACTACAGGCACCCGCCACCACGCCCGGCTAATTTTTTGTATTTTTAGTAGAGACGGGGTTTTACCGTGTTAGCCAGGATGGTCTCGATCTCCTGACCTCGTGATCCACCCGCCTCGGCCTCCCAAAGTGCTGGGATTAAAGGCGTGAGCTACCGCGCCCCGCCTATAGCTGAGTTTTACTTTTCTTCAATCTGAATGTCTCTAGAGTTTAATTAGGAAGTCCATTTACAGTAAATATTTTTATTGATATATTTGGATTTAAGGTAAAAATATTTCTATTTGTTTTACATTTGTGCTATCTGTTCATTGTTCTTTTTCCACTTTCTTTTGGATTCAGTATTTTTATAATTTCATTTCACCTCTTATATTAACCATAGTTTTAATTTTTTATATTTATAATGTTTTGACATCTTTGAGGGCCTTACTGGCTGGAAAGAAACTGCCTCTCCCAGGACTAGCTAATTCTTAGAAATATCTTGGTATACAGTAATCCACAAATTCTGAGTTCATATAACCAACCACCTCCTTTTTCCAACTCTCACACATCAAGTCATTATTTCTCCTTCACTAAATCAACTCAGGGCCAGGTACCAGACAACTAGGGACAAGCCCTATGCCCCAAAGCCTATCAGAATTATTCAGACTAGTCAATCCTAAGCTGTTTCCTCTGACCCACTTGTCTTTCCCACAGAAAACATAATAAAGACTCTGGCTTAGGCTTTCCCCTCACCCCTTTCTGCCTCTTGACCAACAGTGGTATTTCCTAACATGGTCCTGCATGGTGTGTTATGTGCCTTCTTCTCAGGAAATGTAAGTTATAAAAATCTTTTAAAAATGACATTAGTGGCCAGGCACGGTGGCTCATGCCTGTAATGCCAGCACTTTGGGAGGCTGAGGCGGGCGGATCATGAGGTCAGGAGATCGAGACCATCCTGGCTAATACGGTGAAACCCCATCTCTACTAAAAATACAAAAAATTAGCCGGGCGTGGTGGCTGGTGCCTGTAGTCCCGGCTACTCTGGAGGCTGAGGCAGGAGAATGGCGTGAACCAGGGAGGCAGAGCTTGCAGTGAGCCAAGATCGCGCCACTGCACTCCAGCCTGGGTGACAGAGTGCGACTCTGTCTCAAAAGAAAAAAAAAAAGACATTAGCTTCTTTGTGTCATCACTCAGTCACCTCCAAAAATTAAAATGAGTACAAATGATACACCTCATTTGTTGGCTTACTACCTACAACTCTGTTGTATTATTTTAGCCTTTGGATTTAAGCTTGACAGTATGCATCTTTAACGTAACACCGTCTATTTTCACGTATAACCTCCTTACAATAGTGTACTTACATTTCCTCTCTCTGAAGTCTTGCACTATTATTGTCAAGTTTTACTATTATATATGTTATAAACCACACACTGTGGTGTTATTTTTATATTCTTTTAAGCAATTATGCTTTAAAGAGATATAAGTAATAAAAAATCCTATATATTTGCCACAAAATGACCATTTCTGGTGTTCTTCATTCGTTTTACAGTTTCTTATTTCTCTCTGGTATTATTTTCCTAGTGGCTGAAGGACTTCCTACAAAGTTTCTTACAATGAAGGTTTGCTGGTTATAAATTCTTTTAGCTTTTTGTTTCTGAAAAAAAACTTCATTTTCTTGAACTTAAAAAGTTTTAAAATAATCTTTATTTTGAAATCTGTTTTCACTGGGTAGAAATTTTTGGTTGACACATGTTGCCCTTTAGTACTTTAATAATGTTACTCTACTATCCTCTGTTTTACATTGTTTCCAGTGTAAAATCTGCTGTTGTCATTTTGCTCTCTGGCTGCTTTTAAGATACACTCAATATTACTAATTTTAAGCAATTTAATGATGATGTACTAGGTATAGTTTTCTTTATGTTTTCTGTGTTTGTAGTACATCGAACTTCTTAGATTTGTGGGTTTATATTCTTCATTAAATTCAAAATATTTTTAGCCTTCATTTCTTCAAATATTTTTTTCTGTCCAACTTCTTTTTCAGGGGCTCCAATTACATATGGATTAGAAGAGTCGAACTTTTTCCTTAGCTCACTGACACCCTGTTACTTTTTTTAGTAGTTTTTTCTTTGTGTTTTATTTTGGATAGTTTCAAGTTTACTAATCTTTTCTTCTGCAATATCTAATCTGATGTTAATTTCAACCTGTGTATTTTTCATCTCAGGCGTTGTAGTTTTCATCTCTAGATATTTAACTGAGTCTTTATTATATTTTCCATGTCTATATTTAAATTTTTCAATTTTTGCCTAGTTCTTGAACATATAAAATACTGTTATAATTACTGCTTTAATATTCTTGTCTATAAATTCTATTGTTTGTCTCATTTCTGAGTCAATTTTGATTGACTATTTTTTTTCTCCTGATTATATGTTGTAATTTCATGTTTCTTGGCATGCTTGGTAACTTTTTATTGGACATCAGACATTGCAAATTGTACCTTGTTGGGTCCTGGAAATTTCTGTGTTCTTATAAATATTCTTGAGCTTTATTCTGGGATGCAATTAGGTATAAAAGCAGCTTGATCCTTTTCGGTCTTGTTTTCATCTTTGTTAAGCGAAACCATACCAGTATGTTGTCCATGGCTAATTTTGCCCCACTACTGAGGTAACACCCTTCTGAATACTTTCCACAACGCTCTGTGACTTATGAGGTTTTTCACCCTGGCTACTGGAAACAGAAATCATTCCCAGTCTATGAGAGGTCTAGGGATGGTTCCCTCTGATACCTGAGTTATTTCCCTAGCCTTGGATAGTTTCTTTGTATACATGTACTGACCAGTATTGAGCAGAAGATTTGAGAGGGACTATTCACAGTTCTTTGGAGCTCTTTGTGAAGTTCTCTCCTTACTGTTATTTTTTTCTGTGAACTTTCGAAGTCTTGGCCTCCCTGGACGCCTACCTCAGGAGGCCTTCAGACTCAGCAACATTGCTGGGCTCCACCTGGGTTTCCTCTCCATGCACCATGACTTGGAAACTCTCCATAGGGAATAAGCTGGGGCCATTATGGAACTTACCACGTTTGTTTACCATCTCTTAGATCACTGCCCTTTGTTGTCTGATTGTGTAGAAAACAGCTTTTGCTTATGTTTTGATTAGTGTTTAGCTGCTTCAGGTTGATGGACAAATTTGTTCCCTGTTACTGCATCAATCCACATGGGCTTCGGTTCCCTCTCTTGGGTTAGGTTCTTGGCATCAAAGATATCAGGAGGAAACATCCACACTTGTCATCTTCCTGTTCAACTCTCAAAGTCTCTACATAAATTTATGTTCATCAATAAATTAATAAAGAAATTAGCTTTATAATATTTACTATGTGGATCAACACTGCTGATTCATGTGATCTATTTGTCAGAGGTTGTGTGTGGTGCAGTGTATGTGAGGCATTCTGAGGGAGGAAAAATGATTCACTGTGGCGCCTCCACCCATTCTATCTAGATGATGGCTATACTGTAGCTCACATTTTTATAGATATCTAGTTAGGCAGAATGCTGGGATCTACTATCTAGTTTTAACTAAACAAATCCTCCGAAGATGGAGACAGTTAGCTCAACAGATTTATGCGAAGACACTGCGGACAGGAGATAAGACTAATAATAAAAGCACAAGAAGCTACTAGAAGAAAAGGAAGACATAACACTTTTTCTAGTCCTAGTTTGAGTGTTTTGATCTATAAAGACTGTCAACCCTCATTATTCATAAATTCCATATTTGTGAATTTGTCTACTCACTGAAATTTATTTGTAATCCCCATGTCAATCAATACTCACAGCACTTTTGTGGTAATTCACAGACATGGGCACAGCAGTGAAACAGTTGCATCAACGGACTTGCATGTTGCTAACTGAAGTCACACAAGGTGACGCTCTGCCCTCTTGCTTCAGTTCTCGTATTGTAAGCAAGCGTCCTTTTCAGGGACTATTTAGTGCCATGTTTTTCACGTTTTTGTGCTTTTTATTGATCATGTCACTGAAGAGTCATGCTGAAGTGCTGTCTGTTGTTCCTAAGTGCAAGAAGGCTGTGGTGTGCCTTCAGGAGGCAATTTGTGTTAGAGGAGCTTCCTTCAGACATGACTTATAGTGCTATTGGCCCTAAGTGTATTAAATAAGATGTCTTTAAACAGAAGCACATTAAATAAGGCTATGTAATGATTGGGTGATGAAAATATTGTGACCAAATGTTCACAGGCACCTAACCTTGTATTTCCCCTAAGAACAATGGTTCAGTATTTGCTAATTCATTGTGGTGACTTTATAGAATATAACTATCACAAATAATGAAAATTGACTCTCTATATAAGGAAAACTCCACAAATCTAACCAGATCTTACAAAAAGTGGTCAAAAACAGGAAAATTATCAGGAATATTGCTGAAAATTAGATTTACATGCAGTAATGTTAGCAAGTAATTTCACGGTAAAGAATCTTGTTACTAATAAGACCATTAATGAGCCTACTGATACCAAAAAAACAAATAATACATTTAATAACTAATAATTCAGAACATGAAGACAAATCTCTGTAGAAATATTTAGAGCTATTCAAATTAATGTCACCTCACTACATTATTTTCCAAAATTTTCTAAACTTAATAATAATTATTTAAAAGTCTCTTAATTTTTTTAATTTAATAAGTGAAGATATAAGTATATATTTGTTTTTCACTGTATGGTAAAAAATATAGCTGAATTACTGCACAAGAACAATTTTGAAACAAACATATACATTTCTTTGGTAGCAAATATTATTAAAAGATGACTAGAAAATATTGTCAAAGGTATGGAGAAGCATCCCTTAGGAAATAAATTATGTCATGTGGGAGGTTTGCACTGCAGATAGAAAGGACAAATATCTAACATGCTCTAGCTTTGGTATTCCTTAGTATTATTTCAAAAATAAAATTTAGGAATACTAATATGTTGTGAACGATTGCAGAAAATGTTATAGGAAAAGATATATTTTTAACAGTAAATTACTTCTTTAATAAAAAATAGTTCACTAATTATCTCACATAAAGTATTTAAAGGAATGATCAAAATTAAAACTTGATTATACATTTTGATTTTACAAAATTTTAAATTCTCAAGAACAACTGATCTACCATTTGGCAATCATCAGAGTAATAATCATCAGTAGATGTTAAAACGCTGGGTGAACATTTCATGAGGAACAGAATATTGATGTAGTTTCAAAGTATCTCCTCCAAAACTACTACGAAACACAAAAGGAGAAGTAAATAGCAATTCGACAGTAGAGAAACAGGGCAAATACTACCTTAACCAAGTGATCTCAGTTAACATCATCAGTAATGGAACAAAAGGACCTCATTTATCTCTTGATAAGATGGGTTGAGAAGGACACAGAATCACTTCTGTGGTATTGTTGCCAAAAATGATTCTAAGCTTGAGGAAATGAACTCAAATTCCTTGAACTTTCCAAAAATAAGGTCATGGGAGACAAAGGAAGAGTAAGAAACCATCCCAAATTAAAACAGACAAGAGTCGTGTCAATTAAATGCAGTACATAATTCTGAATTTGATTCTAAATAAAATTTTTACTTTTATTTTTTGCTAAAAAGGACATTACTGGAATAATTGGTAAAATTTGAATGAAGTTCATAGATTGGATAGCAGTATTCTATCATTGTTAAGTTCCTGGTTTTGCCCTGTGGTTTTGTAAGACAATGCCCTAGCTCATAGGAAACAAATACTGAACTATGTAGATGTAAAGGAGCATCGTGCCTACACCTGACTTTCAGATCGTTCATTAAAAAATAATATACATACATACATATTTAGAGAGACTGATAAAGCAAATACGACAAAATGATAACTGTTGGGGAATCTATGTGAAGATTATTCAAGGACCCTTTGTACTGTTCTCACAACTACTTCACAATAAAATGTTACAAAAAGTTAATTTTTTTGTGATGACAACTGTGATTAGTAGCATGCCACTTAGCAGATAGTTTTGGAAAAAAATTGTACTTAATCTGCTCCTATTAGGAAAAGTGCCACTTAAACAATAAGTAGTTAAAAGATTTGCATTTCCCTGATTATTAGTGATGCTGAACATTTTTTTGTGTTTATTGGCCATTTGTATATCTTCCTTTGAGAATTGTTTATTTATGTCCATAATCAAAAAATCAAAAAATAATAGATGTTGGTGAGGATGCAGTGAAAAGGGAACACTTTTACACTGCTCGTGGAATGTAAACTAGTACAACCACTATAGAAAACAGTGTGGAGATTCCTTAAAGAATTGAAACTAGAACTACCATTTGACCCAGGAATCCCACTACTGGATATCTACCCAGAGGAAAAAAGTCATTATATGAAAAAGATGCTTGCATACACATGTTTATAGCAGCACAACTTGCAATTGCAAAGATATGGAACCAGCCCAAATGCCCATCAATCAATGAGTGAATAAAGACATTGTGATATATATATATATATATATATATCACATGGATATGTGATATATATATATATATATATCACATGGATATGTGACATATAAAACATGGAATACTATTCAGCCATAAAAAGGAACAAAATAATGGCATTTGCAGCAAACTGGATGGAACTGGAGACCATTATTCTAAATGGAGTAACTCAGGAATGGAAAACCAAACATCGTATGTTCTCACTCATAAGTGGGAGCTAAGCTATGGGATGCAAAGGCATAAGAATGATACGGCGGACTCTGGGGACTCCAGGCAAAGAGTTGGAGGAGGGTGAGGGATAAAAGACTACAAACTGAGTATAGGGCATACTGCTTGGGTGACGGGTGCACCAAAATCTCACAAATCACCAGTAAAGAACTTACTCATGTAACCAAACACCACCTATTCCCCCAAAACCTATGGAAATAAAATTAAAAAATAAGTAATTTAAAGAATGCTTTTTAAATAGAGACTTTTGCCCACAAAAAAAGCATTTTGGGAATGAAAGCTTGAAAATGTTTTTCATTATCATGATTCTGCAAAAATTTTATGAGTATACTCATACAAAATACTTGTATCTGCACACTTCAATAAAAACATGAGATTAACTTTTCTAACCTGTTGAAAAGTCTCCCAAGTGTGGTATTTCAGTAAAATTCTGTTCTAGATAACTATCACTACATAAGAAACCACTCCAAAACTAAGTGGCTTAAAATAACTTTTTATCTTTCACAGTTTTGCGTATAGACAAGGTTGTCTAGATGGTTCTCATTTGGGGATCTCTTCTACAGCCGCAGTCAGATGGTGAGTGAGATTGAAGTTATCCAACAATCTCTTCACTCTATGTCTGGTATCTGGACTAAGATGACTGGAGCAGCTGGGGCCTGGTCAGTCATCTCTTTCCCTCTTTCTCTGTATTTTGTAATACATATTATTATAGAAAGCCCAAGCAATTTATATCACATTACATTATATTAGTTATCAGTTATCTAGAGATGATTTAAAGTATACAGAAGGATGCGTATGGGTTATATGCAAATACTACACCATTTTATATAAAGGACTTGAACATCAACTGATTTGGGTATCTGTGGGGGTCCTGGAACCAATCCCTGGCAGATACCAAGGGATGACTGTACATCCTATTGGGTCTGTTTCTCTGTAGAACACTAACATATAGACAAAAGCCAAAGGCTTCTGATGATCAAGTCTCAGAAGCCATGCAGTATCATTTTTACGATATTCTGTGGCTAAAGCAGTCACTAACCAGCCAAGATTCCAGCGAATGGAAGAACAAAGTTCTTATCTCAACAGGGGAGTGGTGTGCATATATAGGAAAGAGATAATGGCAGCCATACTGAGAACATGCTACCAAACTTTGAAATCTAATTTGTTAAAAATACAAAAAATGTGACATGTTCTGATTACTTTTTTTTTGAGAGAGAAAGAGTCTCACTCTGCCACGCACTCCACTCTGCTGGAGTGCGGTGGTGTGATCATAGCTCGCTACAGCCTTGATCTCCTGGGCTCAGGCAATCTTCCTGCTTCAGCCTCCTGAGTAGCTGGAACAACAGGTGTGCACCATCACAGTGGACTGATTTTTAAATTTTTTTGTAGAGACAAGGTCTCAAACTCCTGAGCTCAAACGATCCTCCTGCTTTAACCTCTCAAAATGCTGAGATTACAGGCATGAACCACCCTGCCTAGCCCTAATTACTTTCTAAGGAAAATATATTGATAAATGGGAAAAAGAACATTTCCAGCCAAACTTTTGGAAAATACTTTGTTTAATTTGTGAATGAGATTAAAAATGAATGTTATGATTTAGACAGTACAGCCAATGATGTACTTCTTCCCTTAGAGTTTACCTTTGCCCAGCAATATTTTCAGCTATGACAGACAATAAATTGAACTTAGAACCAAAGTTTCCAATGGCTGTATCAAAAAGGGTAGAGTCAATTTTTTTAAAAAAGGGGAACATATTCAATTATTTTATTCTCACTAAAATATTACTATTAAGAATAGTTTTATTGAAAGAAAAACTTTTGAGTGTTAATAAGTATTATAAAATGTTACCTAATTTATAGCCTCCCTTTTAATTTCAATTTTTGTATATAGTTTATAATGCACATAATATATCTGTACAGTTGCATTTTAGAGAGAGGCATCCAACTGTTAGGCTAAGAGCATAGATTCTGGAGCTAGATACCAGGAGTTGAATTCTGGTTCCACTGTTACCTGCTGTGTGACCTTGAACAAGTTACTGGACCTCTCTGCACCTCAGTTTTCTCAACTTCAAATTAGGGGTAATAATAGTGCCTCATCATAGATTACGAGGATTATTTAAGCTAATATAGAGTTTGTCACCATATTTAGCCATAACAACTACTGTTTAGCAACATCTTTTAAAACAAAAATATGCAGATCGTTTGACCTAACAATTCCATGTCTAGATGTGTACTATAGGAAAATACTCATGTGCCTGAGGAACTTTGTGCAAGAATGTCTATCGAAATATCATTTTTAATAGGAAAAATATTGGAAACCATCTAAATATATAGGGAAAATGTTTAATAAATTGTGGCATATAGAAGGGATGGAATATTTCACAGTAGTCAGGTAAATTTACACGTACTGATACAGAAACATCACCAGGATATTAAGTTAAAAATCAAGTTGTGGAATAATGTGTACAACATGATTCTATGTATGTAAAAGACGATCTTGACATTATATATTTCTATATTCATAGTTGTATCTACATATGAATATTTGTATCTACATATATATTTGAATGTAAATATAAATATGTGTACATATGCATTAAAAGGGTCTGGAAGGATATGCCACCGATATGGTTTAGATTTGTGTCCTCACCTGAATCTCAGGTTGAATTGTAATCCCCAATGTTGGAGGAGGGGCTGGCTGGGAGGTGATGGGATCATGGGGGTGGATTTCCCCCTTGCAGTTCTCATGATAGTGAGTTCTCTTGAGATCTGGTTGTTTCAAAGTGTGTAGCACCTCCCCCTTCTCTCTCTTCCCCTTCTCCTGGCCATGTAACACATGCCTGCTTCTCCTTCACCTTCCACCATGATTGTAAGTTTCCTGAGGCCTCCCCAGCTATGCTTCCTGTACGGCCTGCAGAACCATGAGCCAATTAAATCTCTTTTCTTTATAAATTACCCAATCTCAGATAGTTCTCTATAGCAATGCAAGAATGAATTAACACAGTCATCCTTAGTTTACAGGAGAGTCAGTCCAACATGACCGTGGGTTTTTCTATATTTCATTAATATTTGATAAGGATGCCCCTATATAATGATTATGTAATTAAAGATATGTTTGTCATATCTTTCAAAAAGAGTGAGTGTCACTTCTCCAGATTGTGAAAGGGAGTCACCAAGCTTGACAATTAATTACATAATTGTAGTTACAATGGAGAAAACAGGCAAGTGGGCTTTTTGTTGTTCTTTCTCAAAAACTGTTCATTTCACTCATAACTTCAATGCAGTAAGAATATTTTTTTCTTTTTTTTCAACTAGCAAAAGATGGAAAGAGATTTTTTGAAAACATTTACTATAGTTAATGGCAAAAGCAGAAAATCTAAGAACTTGTGCATGTGGTTCCTTTCAAAACTCGCCATGATAATAGTTCATTCAATTAAAAAAAACACTTTAACAATCACTTCCATGGAAGAGAGGTTCCTTTTGCCACTATCAGTTTTTTACTCTTATTTGGTTGAGACAAAAAAAGTGGGGAGACAGGTATTATGGCAGATTATTAAATCTGTATCATATGTTATTCCTAAGTGAGAATCACTTTTCCAAAGTCCTGGGTGTAATCATCTCTTGAAATACAGCTTCACTACATGCCTCGAAGTCACTGGCAGTTCTCCAAAGAGACTAAACAGAACTTCAAATATTATTTTAGGACACTGAGGGAAAAGGAGAGAAGTGAGATTGATTTCATTTTAAATGACTGGAGCCGAGCTTTGCAAGGTCCAGTCTTCTCTGCCTTATTCCTGGGGCTTTTGTATGCCAATTAGGGAGTATAACCTGGATTCAGAAGTTGGGCTAAACCAAGGCCTCATTGTAACAGAGATGGGGAGGAGACACGCTCCCTTCACAGCTGTCCTTGTGTGTCAGCCCAAGTAACAGATGGGAACAGCTGTGCCCCAGCCACATGTGCCCTCGTGAGAAAGCCAGCGCAGATCAGTGACTCCTTGTGATTTCAGAAAAGCAACTTGATCCTCTTATGGAAAGTGATGGTGTTTGTGGTTGTTTCATAGGGTCAGGAAAAGCCTAAGGAGAGACCCCCAGCCTCAAACTCTGTCCTTCAATAGGGGCCGAGCAACCCCAACAAAAATCAAAACCAAATTCCTGAACCAGAGAAGGAAGCACTTCCAATGTGACAGGTGCTCAGGGCTGGGCTTGTGAAGTTTTGCTTTGGGTGCCTGGAAGATGAGAAGAAAACAGAACTCACTTTTCTGTCTGGTTCTGTAGGAAACCACACACACAGAACCAGACACCTAGGAGTGGGCGGATAGTGATCATGCAAGGGCACCCTGTGTGATGAGCAGAAAGCAGTCGGGTGGGGTGTCCTGCAGGGAGGGAGGCAGGCTTCAAGCCCCCAGCAGCTCAGGCCACCAAGAAAAAGGATCCATAACAAAATGCTTTCATCCTCACCAGTGTCCCTGGTGATTCAGGGGCTCTTCCTCCTCGTGGAGATCATGGAAGGCATCTAACATGCCTGAGATGAAAGAGTATCCCTGCTAATATTAAGTTCCTTAATATTATTGACTTAATAATAAGCCAAGTTAATTGAAACATTGGATAGGTTTACCTCATCCAAACATAAAGGGACCACTATGATAAAGCCCTGGGATTGGACATTAAGGATTATTTCTGTGCTTTGTAGGTTTGTTTTTATTTATCTGGGGGTTTTATTAGGCCTACAGTCCAGACTCCCTCCCATCCCTCACTTCTCCTCTGGGCAGCCACTTTTTGTTACCTGTCCTTTGAAGTTTCTTAATGCATATCCAAACAGACACATATAGATCATTGCCTGTCCTTTTATTTATTATATGGTAGCAGGTTATAGAGAGGGTTTCATTTTTTTACGGTTTTCTAACTTTCCATTGTATGACGTATAATAATTAATTTAATCAGCATCTTATTGATGGACATTAAGTTTTTTCTAGTGTTCTTTGTGATTACCAACAATGCAGCCAGGAGTAACACTCCACGTATGTCATTTCACTCATATGCAGGTTTCCTATATGATAAATTTCTAAAAGTAGAATTGCAGGGCCAAATGGCATGTGGATTTTAGTGATTCAACCAAATTGTTCTAGATGCCCACAAGCAATCTATGAGAATTTTCCACATTCTCATAGCGTATATTCACACTTTGAGTTTTGCCATTCTGACAGGTGAAAAGCAGTGTCTCAGTGTAATTTCAATTTTGATTTTTCTTATATGAGTGAGGCTGAACATATTTTTATATGGGTAAGAGTTATCTACATTTCCTTTTCCGTAAACTCTTCATATCCTTTGCCCATTTTTTCTGAGTTGTTGGTCTTTCCCTCTGAATCTAGTAATTTTTAAAAACTGGTTATTGTATTTTTCAGTTTTAAAATTTCCATTTGGTTCTTCCTTACATTTTCTATTTCTCTGCTGTGACTTTCCACTTTGTCATTTGTTTCGAGCATTCATACTTGCTTTAAAATCAGGGCATTTGTATAATAGCTGCTTTATGATTCTTGCTGGATAGTTTCAACATCTGTGTAATCTCAATGCTTACAATTGCCTTTTCTCTTTCAAGTTGAGATTTTTATGGTTTTCAGTGTGATGAGATTTTGGATTGCATCCTAGACATTTTCAGTAGTATGTTATATTATTCTGGTTCCCATTTCAGTCTTTGATTTTAGCAGGCACTTGACCTGTTTAAGTTCAGAATGCTTGTTCCGGTTCACTTTGTGAGCTGTGGCTCAAAAGTCATTTCATTTTCAAAGCCTTTACAGTGCTATTTCAATCTGCCCCACTTGGGTGCTACCCTGATGCCAATCTGAAACCCGGGCAGTGTTTCAGACCAGTGTTCAGTTTTTCTGACCCTTGAATCTTTTTGCTGTGTTGTTTCTTGTCTGTTTTGTGCATGGGGCACTCAGAGTTCTAACCAGGATTTCATACACAAATTTAGAAAATTGCTTTCTCCAGTTCTCTCCCCCACATAGTCCTCCCCCAGCCTCTAGTTAGGAGTGGGAAGGGTATGGTCACATTACTGCAGGAGGAGGAATAAATGAGTGGGCTTCATCCACAATGTCCCCCCAGCAGCACATGGTGGCAGGGGAAGGGGTTAGCCAGCACAAAAGGGCAGATGTGGTCAAAATGTTTTTGCTCTGCTGGAAACACTGGTCATTTGGCTAAAAAGAGTTTTCTTGGGGTTTTTAAATTTGTACCCATCTGTGTTTCCGGGTGGTAGGCATTGCTAGAGCCCACACTGCCATACACGGGAGAAAAAAATTAATGAACAAAAGAAAACAAACACATAAACAACACCCAAGGCACTCCCTGCTACATGATGCCTTGAGTATGGAGGAAATCGCCAGTTTTTATTTCTTTTTCCAACTTCGGAGTCTTCTGTGGGTTGCTTTATAAATTTTGTCCAGAGCTTTTTGTTATTGTTAGTAGGAAGAATAGGGCGGAACATGCTTAGTCCATTTAGTCTAGAAACTAAGTTGTGGAGATCTACTCACTTTTTATGAAACTGTCCCCCAGAATATACTCTGTACCTGCCCCACCTTCCTGCTCCCTGAAAACCCCAGTAGGTCGTTTCTCCACGCCTGGGTCTGGATCATGGCCAGTAACGCTTTCTGACCCCACCTCCCCATGCCTCAGGGGTCACGTGGTCTCCGAATTTAGGTTCCATATCTCATCTAGCAAAGAGGTGAAGGCTTGCATGCTCTATAAACCATGTTACCCCTATACACCGTGCTTATCTAGGTAGTAACTGCTGATACAGTCCCCACACTTACCTCCTGAGGACAAACACTAATGCTCAGAGGCAGTGCCATTGAAGCCATAAGAAGGAAATACTTTCATAACCGCCTCATAATATTCAAAGTTTCTCCCCCACTAGGCAGTCAAATTTCACATTATTATGCCCTTTCTCATATCCGCTTCCAAATTATGCTGCCTCAAGCCTGCCAGCCAAAGAAAGGCCCTGTTCCCGAGCCAGCTGTGTCTCAGACAGTTGCTTACCTGCCAAGGCTTGAAGACTACCTCTGCACGGGTAATTAATTCTGTTCTCAGTCAAGGGCTTTCACATGAATCTGTTCCTGGTTTTCCCTATTTATAGGTTATTTTATACTCACAACTCTCCCTCTTTAACAAACAAAAAATAGTATGAAAACAATGTCAGCAACAAGAACAAATAAATAAATAAAAACTCCCTGCATCCTGCCACTCTGCTCTGATTACCACCATCTCTTCTTTCCTTTTCAGACAAGTTTCTTGGAATGGTAATCAATGAGTCCTCATATCCTCCCTGAGATTCATATCCTATCTCAGCTTTGTTTAACTCTCACCACTTCATTAAAGTTCATCAAGGCCTTCAACAAACTGAATATTGCCAACGCCAGAGGGTACTTGCTAGTCCCCCTAACCCGTCACCCTTTCTCAATACTCTCAGCTCTTCTGCTTCTGTGATAGTCCTCTCTTTTTCCTCCCACCTCTGTAATAGTTTTTCACCTTCTTCATGAACTTCTCAGCAGCCCATCATCCCTTCAACATGAATGTTAATAAGATGATGATGACGATGATGATAACCCTCCCCAGCATGTACTGAGCTCTTATGCCAGGTTCTAGGACAGGTAGCTGGAATGCATCATAACATTTAATTCTCATAAAAATCCATTTTTGGAATGTGGAAACTGAGAAATGTCAAGTTATTTGCCCAAGTTTAGGCAGCTATTCCATGGCAGGGGATTTAGGCAGGGGATTTACCAAAGAGATTCATCTTTGGTCTGTTTCACAGTTCACTTTGCATCTTCTCTTTGAATTATTTTGGCTGTTTTCATGGTCTTCCCGAGTGACATCTATCAAGAGGTTTTTCCAATCTGGGCTTCCGACTCCTAAATCAGACTTTCTCCTGAAGTTGTCAATCTGGATATCCTCTACTGTATTAGTCAGGGTTTTCCGGAGAAACAGAACCTATAGGATAGATAGGTATATCGATAAAAATAAATTTATTATAGGAACTAGCTCATGTGCTGATGGCAGTTGAAAGTTCAACAGATGATCTGCTGTCTGCAGACTGGAGAACCAGGGAAACCAATGATGTAATTCAGTCTAAGTCCAAAGGCCAGCAAATTAGGAGGCTAGTGGTAAAAGTTCCAGTCTAAGTCCAAAAACCTGAGAACCAGGAGTGCTGATATCTGAGGGTAGGAGAAGATGAATGTTTCAGCTCAAGCAGAGAGAGAGAGAGAATTTGCTCTTCTTCTGCTTTTTTGTTCTATTAGGTACTCAAATAATTGGACAATGCCCACACACATTGGTGAGGGTGGATCTTCTTTGTGCAGTTTTCTGATTCAAATGCTAATCTCTTCTGAGACACAAGCACAGACACATCCAGAAATAAAGTTTTACCAGTGATCTGGGCATCCCATAGCCCAGTCAAGTTGACACACAAAATTAACCATACACTTAGAAACCTCATAGAACTCATAATATTCCCTCCTCTATGCCACCTGATCCTTCTGCTGTGTTCTGGGTCTTTGTGATTGAGATAGCTAGCTTCCACCCAGTCGTACAGGGGAAACACACAAAACATTTTCGACTCCTCCTCTCTCCTTTGCCCTTCACTTATCATAAAGCCTATTAATTTTATTTCCTGTTTCTAGAATCCAGCTTTTCTTCTCACCCCAACTAGTACTCTCAGGCTCAGGTTCTCATACCTTCTCTTTTGGTTATAGCAATGAATTCCTACAAAGTTTTCCTACTTTCATTTTATCTTTTTTTAAGTCAGTAAGCTTCACTTAAAGTGTCTTCCCTCCTCCATTCCTTCCCCCTAAAACACCCAAAACATAAACATGGCAATTTGGGTTATCTATTGCTGTGTAACAATCCACATGAAAACTTGGAAGTCTAAGATAATTTATGATTATATCTCCAATTCTGTGGGTTGTTAAGGGGCAATCCTCAGTTGGGGTATTTCATGCAGTTGCATTCAGATGGTGGCTTGGAATGGAGTCATCTAAAGGCCTGACTTGGCTGGATGTTCATGATAGCAATGCACAAGATAGTTTTGGCTGGGAGCTCAGCTGGGGTGACTGACCAGAGCACCTACATGTGGCATCTCCATGGGGTTTAGACTCTGACCGCATGGCAGTTTGCTTCTAAGAGGAGATGTCATGGTCCAGGAGCTAGTATTCTGAGAGAACTAGGCAGAAGCTGCAGGACTACTTAAGACTTCTTCTTAGAATGTCACTTCTGTTGTCTTCCCTAAGCCAAGCAGTTGCTTAGGCCAGCCTAAACTCAAGAAGAGAAAAATTAAAGCCTACCTTTTAATGCAGTGAGCAGTACACATGCACAGAGAGGAAAGCCAGTGAGGTGATATCTTGGAGACTATCTACCTCAATGACCATATCATTTTCATGTGTCTAACTCCTGAATTGCTCACCAATCACTGGGACATGAAGTCCAAGCTCCCTGTAGTACAATGCATAGACTTTCTAGAGTTTGCAACACTGACTTCTCCAACATCTTTTCCTTCCACTCCCAGCCCTCCACATTTATTGCTTATACATCTCTCTATCCTGCCTCTGCCATAGACCTTAATGGTTATTCCCTCTCGCCACCCACCTTAATATCCTTACTAAACCTTCTTTTCTTAGTCAACTTCTACTTCATCCTTTAAGGCCACTTAGACACCACATCCTCCAGGAAGCTCTCCTGGAATCCCAGCTTGGGTAGGGTGAGCCACTTTTGTGGGCTTCTGTTGCACCCTTAGTGCACTTATCATAATACTTGTTATAATATAATATTTGTGTTGATATTATACATTCATGTTTCTCTTTCCCTTCACACCCCTAGATGATTAGCCCCTTGAAGGCAGGAGCCATATCCCATCCATCTTTGTACCTTTGGTGCACTTTGGTGTGGTAGCTTTGCAATGTGTCAACTTGCCTAGACAGAACTACATTTCCCAGAATTTCCTCCCCTGCATGTTTCTGGTTAGAGTGAGCCACAAAAGAGCCTCCTATGGGACATGTGAAGGTTGGAGGTGAAGCAGCAGCCTTTTTTGTAGCTCACACATATGCTGCTTGTTGCTGGTGTGGGACAGCAGGCCCCTGCTGTCCTGCTTTGGCCTCTTGGCTCCTGGGCCAGCTCTGTGATAAAGGGCACAAGCTTTTCCTGCAGGACACCCACACCATCAAAGTCAGAGGCAGCAAGAATTGGCATGAGTCTCAGTCCATCCTCATGGGTTCCAGCTTGTGCCCGTGGGCTCCATCTTGTCCTTGCTTCCCCACTGCCTGCCTTGTGGACAATGTCCTTACAGAGATTGCTTAGCAAGAACCCACAACTTTGTAAGGTACAAATCCCTGTAACAAAGATACACACACACACACACATAGGTATATATGTATATGTGTGTATAAGTGTGTGTCTGTGTGTTTGACATGCATACATAAAACATGTATTACCTCCTAGTGCGTCTGCTTCTGATTGAACTATGACTGACATAGATGAGAGGGTTTATCAGGAAAAATTTGAGACATGTCAAAAACAATGACAAATCACCTGCTTTTTAAAATAATCATTGCTGTAATAATATTACAACTAATCATATCTCCATGCCGTCTCTTCACCATCCCACAGGACAGTGTCAGAGAGGCTGGGTTCGAGGCTGGCTCTATCACTTTCTAGCTATGTTTGTTGGGCAAACTCCAAACCTCAGTTTCCTCATCTGTAAAATGTAAGAAACAATTGTGTCTACCTCATGGGTTCATGGAGGATTAAGAGATAATACACTTGGAGGATTAAGAGATAATACACTTGAATTTCTTAGTATGTGCCTAACATGTAATTAATGTTTAAACCAAGTTAGCTAATATTAACTGTATAAAATACATAACTACTTGTAGATAGCACATTTGTCCCCATAATAATTTATATTCCATCCATGTACATTTACACTCATAATTCAGAAACTGCATTTGTGTTATTGAAGTGCAGAGATTACAGTGCACTTCAGAGGTCATGAGTATAAGTATTTTTACACTGTTCCGAATCATTTATGGGTTAAAAAGTTTATAATAAAATATCTCAAAAATTAATAAAAGTATAAGATTAAAATTATGTAGTCTGCTTGCTTGTGTTGATGGCATTAAACCCAGAATGAGATAACCCCTTCATTCCTTTGGCTCTTTCAGAAATCATCCTTCAGCCTTAGAGTTTTAAACTCTTCCTTCTTTAAAAACTGAATCAGACTGGGCGCAGTGGCTCATCCCTGTAATCCCAGCACTTTGAGAGGCCAAGATGGGTGGATCACTTGCGGTCAGAAGTTCAAGATCAGCCTGGCCAATATGGTGAAACCCTGTCTGTACTAAAAAATATAAAACAATTAGCCGGGGATGGTAGCGCACGCCTGTAATCCCAGCTACTCTGGAGGCTGGGGCAGAAGGGTAGCTTGAACCCAGGAGGCGGAGGCTGCAGTGAGCTGAGATCATGCTACCGCACTCCAGCCTGGGTGACAGAGGGAGACTCCATCTCAAACAAACAAACAACAACAACAACAACAACAACAAAACCAAACCTGAATCTATCTATACATTTAAAACGGCTTTGTAAATTCCAAATCATTTGTCCTTTTCACTTTATCTTTTTAGAGTAATTTCAGAAGGTAGACATAGCCATGGCATTTAGAACCAGTTTTAATATTGATCTGTCTAGAAGCCTTCCAAGATCCCACTAAAATCTTTACAAAATGAGGAAATGAAGACAGTTTTTAGAAGTCCCATTGGTTCTTAGGGACAGGGCTTGCAGGAATGTGCAAGACAGAGGGTGAGAGAATGACTTGGGATGATGTGACTTTTCTATTCATTTTGCCTTTTGGAACATTCAATTTTTCTGAGCTCTCTTTGTTTATGAATTGAAAATGCTTTTGTTTATTAAGTTAATTAAATTATTTTAAGAACATAAACAATGCGAGATAAGGGACTCAAACATTGTGAGCCTCTCTGTCTCTCTCTGTGCTAACAAACGGTCGGTGTCATAATAAAACAAGTATATTTCTAAATAAGGCAAAAACGCCCGGGTCCTGTCTGATGAAGCAAGAAGCCAGACAGAGCTTCCTACTGTTTCTCCTGCCCCTGACGCACACTGGGACCCTCAGAAACTCAGCGTTATATGACAGAGACAAAAGGTTAGTTCCCAGACAACAATGGACAATGCCTTGATATTTGTTTATCACCCCTCAGCGACTGGGGAAGGCTCTAGATTGTGAGAACTCAAAGCAGGGCTTTCCCATATCTGCCTTAGACTGTAACAATCTGGATATATACATATTCTTACCCCACTACCCTATACACATCTTGAGAGCAAACCACAGTCTGTATTCCCACTTGTCATGTAGGAGGCATTACAAATCAATTATATTCTACAGAATAGAGAAACAATTTGCGTTTTTTAGCAAATTAAACTTTAGTTCAAATATAATGTTATACACTTCAAATATTGAGATTAAGCAAACTAAAGCCTCACCCACTCCTTTTTCAGCACCCTTAAATGAGTTCCTAGGAGGCTCCAGAACCTTGTCTTAAAGATAAACGATGAGATGAAAATGCTTGCATTTCTAAATGCTGTTTCCTGAGGAACTCAATGTAATATTTTTAAGGTTCAAGAAGATGGAGTGTATATCTTGAGTCATAGACAGAACACGTTCATTGTCAGTGCTGGGCTCAGCATGTGACTGACGGGTGCTGATCCTGGCTCTTACAGTCCCCAGATTCTGAGAGCCACCTGGCACAAGGGGCATCCTCCTATGCTGCAGATGGCCAAGGGCAAAGGTCAGAGGGCCTGATGCGCTCTTGACTCTTTCTTGCTTCTATCTTGCCTCTAACTCCTGCCTTCCTATGCATGGGCTTCCTTCCATTACCTGAATCACCACAGCGCCTATGAATTCCCAGTAAGCAATTTGTTTAAAATGTAGACCCACTCAACTTCCAGGAGCTCGTGGAAGATGGGTGGGTATACATTTTTAGGAATGAGAAGGGAACTAGTATTTCAGTTCCTATCCTGAAGCATGCATCATCCTCAAATTGAAAAGAAAGTGGATAAAATTAGAACATGTTCACTGCCTTTGAGGAACTCATGGTCTCATGGAAAGACAGCATGTCCTATCTTGTACTGTGGATTTGTCTTGAGAGCAGATGTGATGTCTCTTCCAGAACTGTTGGGGGCAAGAGTAGGGTTCTCCCAATGCCTAGGATCATTGATCATTGTGATCATGATGCACAAAACAGTCTAGCCTGTTCTTCTTAAGTTTCAAGTAAATTTCAAAGATCCAAGGAAACCCATGTGTCATGACCTCCAAAATAAAATTTGGAGACGAAGAATGATGGCTTTCTGCTCTTAGAGGAGGAACAGATGACAGGAAGCAATGTCACTGGAAGTGGGGTTTCCTCTTTTGTGAAATCCACATATTGCCATTTGTTTCCTGTTGTCCTCGGTGTTTTGTCAGTAGCTTGTGGAGGAGAATGAGCAGAGGTGTGCTTTATTGTGTCTGAGCCACAACGCTGACTTTATGATGATACAGCTGTGTTCTTGCTGTTCACCTTTCATTATTACTTCCATGGAGTTCACTGCTGGCTACTATACATCACAACACTGACAACTGATGTAACCTCTGACAAGTTTAGCTGTAGCCAGTGGGACCTGTGTTCTAGATGGTTTGATTTGTGCCTACAGCTTCTTGTTTGGATGATAGATTATACAAACACCCAGGTCATAGCCAATACGCAGTTATACAGCTCACTTTTTTCGTGTGATTTTGGTTGGGTGATTTTGTTAACGAGTATTTACAGTTTTTCACACCTAAACTCACAGTATGAAGCTACTCCATGTTTATTGCTTTGCATGGTACTGCAAAACTGCATTTATTGTGCTTTCATCAGAAACGCTTCTTTGAGACATAAACATTGCCTGTTTTTCACTCCGTTTTTAAAAAACAAATTAAGCAGGCACTCATTTATGAAGGTACTTCAGGTAAAAGAGAGGAAAGGTTCCCAAAAGGGATGTGTGGGGGCCACTTGAGGGCTGTCTTTCATGTCAATCTCAGCCATTCCTCAGGAATTTCTATTTTCTTTTTGACACTGCCCAAGTGGCAATCCCACCCTGTCCCCTGTCCCTGACCTTGGACACGGGGAGCAGCACTGTCCCACGGAGGGGGAGACAGAAGAAGGGAAGATGGTGAGCCCAGCCACTCCTCAGCCCAATTGGGTTTCCTCAGCAACATCTTACCCCAGACTGTCCTCTCTCTTCGCTCCTCTGCTCCAGACAGGATGGTTTCCATGTGCTGCTTCTCTGCGATCTTTCTTTCCTCTTATGTCTTTCATTATGAAACCAAAGTGCTAGAGGGATTGGGGACTATGGGGGACCGACAAAATCCCATGTTCATGAAGAAGGAAGAGAATGCTCGTGGGAGGGGGGCTGAGGCCTGCAGACATGGGGATGGAAAGTTGCCGCCTTAGTCATCTGAGGCTGCTCTAACAGGATACCATACACTGGGTGGCTAATAAGCAACAGATGTTTGTTCCCACAGTTCTGGGGGCTGGGAAGCTCAAGAGCAAGGCACCAGCAGATTCAGCATCTGGTGAGGGTCTGTTTCCTGGTTTGTATAGAAGGTGCCTTTTCCCTGTGTCCTCATATGGTGGGAAGGGCAAGGCAGCTCTCTGGGGCCTTTTTTATAAGGGCACTGATCCCACTCATGAGGACTTTCATGCCCTGATCATTTCCCAAAGGCCCCACCTCCTAATAATACCATCACATTCAGACGGCAGCAGCCTCCTCTTCATTCTGAAAACCTCCCTCAATAACAATCTTTGTTTCAAAAGGATTTCAAGGCAGAGATTTTGATACCCACTGGGGCTTTTATCCTGTTTTTCAGAGGTTTGAGAGGGTTGACAACAGCTGTGGTTGGAATAAGAGGAGTTAATGGTAATGGAAAGGAAGTTGACACCTGAGGAGGACAGTTGGGGTCACAGGATAAAGTGCCTACAAGGTTTCTATCACTGGGAAAGCTGACTGGCTAACCCTGGCTGCTTGGAACGCCGTGTCTATGCCATTCCACCTTCCTCGCAACTTGGCAGGTCTTCATCCAGACTCCATCCCTGCATTACCTTTCCTGGTCTCCATTAAGATGCAGCCTTCCCGAGGACAAGGGAACTGCTGGGCGACTTAGACAGTGAGGCCCTTTGCTGCTCATCACAACCAGCGTCTCTGGAACCCCAGAAAGGCAGCCTGGGATCAGGCGGAGGCAGACATTACTTATGGATGAAGGGGTAGAGAGCGAGTCAAGGGGTAGAGAGAGGGTCTAGGTGTAAAACGGGCACCAAACCACCACACAGGACTACCCCAGTCAGGATAAAAGGTGAGGCTATTTAAGCATCAGAACGTGCTCCCTCGACCCCAGAGCCTGCCCAGAATGTTGGGGGCTGCCACCTGCTTGCCTGCGAGGCCTCCATGCTCTCGGGCGCTCATGTTCCCATCTGCTTGCTGCAGCACTAATGAAGAAACTCGACTGCCAGGCATGCTTGGAGGAATAACTCATGAAACAGATTGTAAAGCCGGGGCCCATGACTTGCTCTTTTGGGACTTGGCACTTACGTCTCTTTTTCCATTTGCACCGACTGAGCAGGAGGCCAGGCCTCCCCGCCCGGGCCTTGCGAGCGAGGCCCCTTTCCTCTGTCCGCCAGTTCTCCCACTCGGCCCCCACACCCCCAGGAGGAGATGCAGGGGAGCTCTGCTGACGCCGAGGCCGCGCCTGCTCCACATTCCAAGCGGGACACGGCCTGAGTCCCGTGGGCCCTGCCCGGAGGCCCCTGGGTGTGAATCTGTTTCTCCCCTCTCGCTGGCTGCCGCGCCGCCTTCAGGCTTTTTTTTTTCTCGCTCTCTCTCGCCGTTCCCCGGGCAGGCAGCGTCTGCTTTTCAGCGCGCGGACATTTCCGGCTGGCGGGGGACAGAAGGGACCGCGGCCAGCCAGTTCCCGTTCCCGTTCCCGCCTGGCTGCAGGCGCAGCTGCGATGACTTCATGACTCTGCAATGGCCGCGGGGCCGGGAAACAGGGCCGGGATTGTATTAACGGGATGGAAAGTAGCAAGTTTGAAAGAGACCCGTGGCAGACTCCACCTCCTGCCTTACTACCTTTTTTTCAAAAATTGCTCTTATCTCCAGCAAAAACTCCCTGAGTGCCTTTTCCCTCTCCTGGCAGCACTGGAAGGAGGGCCGCCTTGGAAAACGTGTCCTCCTCAGACCTGAGTCCCCCGGGCCCTCCTCAGCCAGGATCAATGTAGAGGGAATGCCAAATACTCAACCGCCTTTAGGTGGGGTTTTAGGTTTGAGGGGAAATAATGAAATTTTGCATTTGAATCTGAAAATGAGTCTGGCAGCCTGAGTGGTTGGGTGAAGAAATGGCCCTGTTTCTCCTATTAGCTTGTCCTCCCACCTCGGGGAGAGTCTGACCCGGTGAGGTGGCCACAAGACCCTAAGAGCCCTGCTCCACCGAGTTCCAGAACGCGGAGAACTGAGACCCAGGCACCACGTGACTTGATTGTCAAGCTGCCTGACATTTCAGTGTGGTGGCAATGGACCTGGTGTGCCTGGGTGGGAGGAACATGTGGACATGGATTGTCAGATATGACTATGTACGTGGTGGCATTGCTTGTGATGGTGAAAAATTGGATTGTTTATCAACAGGGAATCAAACAGGGAATAAGTAAAGTGTGTGTGTGCTGTATTTATATGATGGAATTGTATACAGCAGTTAAAATAAATAAAAGTGATCTAGTTGAACTAGCCTGGGATAAGGCTCAAAAAAAAAATGAGCAATTTGCAGAATGAAACTGCAGTATGAAACCATTTATGTAAGAAAAGAATGAGGGCGAGGGAGAGAGAAAGAAGAAAAGAAAAACAAGAAAAACCCTCATGAAGAAATACCGCTCTCTGTGCTGCACTATAGGCTACTATAGACCATATATAAAAGGACTGCAAGGCTAAATCCCCAAACCCCAAACTATCCAAGGGGAGGGTTCAGAGGGATAGAAATTGGAGAATGTGGTCAAAAGGCACTTTTGAGTAAATGTCCTAATATTTCAGAAGAGAATGAATTCACTTATTTCTTATGTAATTAAAAATTCATTACAAAATAGGGGAAAATGAAGTGTTAGTGGTTTACAAACTTCATCCATCCAGATTGAGCAGATGTGGAGCTTTGCCATTGACTTATTTGTGAGTAATTAGTGGTTTCGGTTTTTTTTTCTTTTGCTGAGATGCAGCAAATTGATATGATTAAAAGGGTGAGACAAGGTATGTGTGAGTGTGCGTGTTCATAAATCAACAGGTGACTGTGTTAAGTAACCCTCAAGAGAGTCCTTTTTCAAGTAGTTAGTCTGTCATACGTGGCCTTGCTGAGCCGCAGGGTCATCATCCCGTCAGGCCAAACACGGGGCTGCAGCATTTATTGCTCTAATTGTGCTGTTTAGAAACAGGTGACACACAAAGGCTAGGGAGCCCTGATCTGTTTTTGGAGACCTGCCGTCTCCCTTTGTACCTTCCACTTGGAAAATCTTGCAGGTAGACATCAATTAGCAATGCAAACACCATGTTGGAAATTCACTTTATTTGGGGGCTTGTTGGGGGGGGGTGGTCAGGTAAGTGAATAATTTAGCTAAGAATTCTGCAAACCCAAAGGTAGTGATTACTATAGACAGAGATTTTAAAATATGGATGAAGCTTGTGTGTGTGTGTGTGTGTGTGTAGAATTAACAATACAAAATTTTAAAATTATTTTAAAAACATTCTTTTATTAAAGGAGAATATTTAAAATTAGAAAATAAATTATAAACTTATTAGGAAATAGCTTGCTTATGTTTTAGAATCAGTATGAATATTACTAGTTGTTTTCAAAAATAATATTTTCCCTAACTATAATAGTTATATTCTCATTGTAGAAAACTCAGTAAAGAAAAGTGTAAACAACACAATTAAAAGCAAACAAAAATGAAGCAGTAGCTAACTCCTGATGGTTGAATTATGGATGTTTTCTTTTAGACTTTTCTATTATAAATATAACAAAATCTCCATCCTACTGGTGATATTACTTTGTAGCCTGTTTTTATCATACTGTTAATATGTGAGAGGCCCCCAATCCAGAAGTTTTCCTGTACCTCCTTCCAGCCAGTTTCCTACCCACCCCAGGCATTGGTGGCCACTGGTCTGATTTTTATCACTATCGTGTTGCCTTTTTCGGAATGTGATATGAATGGCATCATACAGTATGTAGCCTTTTGTGACAAGCTTCTTTCATTTATCATAATGCTTTTAGAGTCTTCTATGTTGTTTCAAATATCAGAAGTTCTGTCTTTTGTGCTGAATAGAACCCCATTGTATGGGCATATTACAATTTGTTTATCTATCATTTGCGGGGATTTGCTGAACATTTAGATCTAGTCTGTGGGTCAAAGTCTGTCACCTGTTTTGGAATACTCTTGGATATTATTTCTTCAAATAATGCTCTGCCCCATTTCAGCCTCTCCTCTCCTTCTGGGACTCAAGTTGCAGCTGTGCTAGGGAGCATTTGATTGGGTTCCTTATATCTCTTATGCTCTATTTTGTTCTTTTCCTTTTTTTCTCTTGGTGCATCAGTTGGATCTTTTCTGTAGATTTCAACTACACTGTATTTTTTCTTTCAGATCCTTGAATATTTCTGATGCTATTGCTATGAGGCTGGTGCAAATAGAATCTGAAATTTTACTTCCATCCCTTTTTTGCCTGGTTAATTCTTAGTCATCATCTAGATTTTGCTTCCCCAGGAATGCCTTCTCTGACCTCCAAGATGAAGCCGGATGACAGCCCCTCAAAGTACTAAGCCTCTTTCCTCTTGAACACTAACCAAAGTTGCAGAATTTGTCTGCCTTCCTCTCTAGACCATAAGCTTTACAGGGCAGAGATTGGTCTGCTTTTTGTTTATTGTTGTTTCCCCATCTGTAGCCTGGTTCCTGAAACATAGTAAGATCCTAATATTTTTGAAATGTTCCCCCTTCAGGTAGTTGGGGGTTGGCTTCCTGAGATTCTTTAGGTAACCTCATCATAGCTCGGGGTATCTCATCTATGCCTTTGCACCAAGCATCCCACGCTTGGTGATGGTCTTTACAGAAATGTCTACTGCATGTGGCCTTAGTTGACTTCAGAGATGGAAGATCAAACCAATGCAAGAAGGGCATGATCAGAGATATTTCTGCCATAGCATGGTTAGAATACCAAGCTGAAAACAGAACATAAGCTTGAACATAGCTGTAGTGGATAACCCTCAGACTCATGGGGAACTGTTGGCTCTTTTGGCTGAACTCTTGGTTATAAACTTCTAATTTTGCGGTTGACCTAGAAATTCTCATTTCTGGAAAATGACTGAGCCAATTCTCTGTTCTCCTAGTTTGCAAAGAGCTTCTGTTGTTTCCGACTAACATTAACTTGCCACACTGGCTTACTTTCACTCTTATTCTCTAGGGGAACAAGGTTTCTTTCTTTCCTTCTTTCTTTCTTTCTTTCTTTCTTTCTTTCTTTCTTTCTTTCTTTCTTTCTTTCTTCCTTTCTTTCTTTTCTTCCTTCCTTCCTTCCTTCCTTCCTTCCTTTCTTCCTTTCTTTCCTTTTCTTTTCCTTCCTTCTTTCTTTCGTTCTCTTTCTCCCTTCCTTCCTTTTTCCTTTTCCTTTCCTCTTTCTTTCTATATGTTCTTCCCTGAGGAAGACAAAAATTTGTAACTTCCTTTCCCTGAGGAAGACAAAAATATATAAGTCCATACAGTATAATTAGAATTTCAACCAAAGGAGCCTCATTAATAAACTTCAGAGGACATAAATTTTTCACTGGGTAAGTAGATGAGTTCAGTGTCCTATATAATATATCAAAATGCCCAGGAAATTTTTCTGGAACATATGTATATAGAAATCTATGAATCTATAGATAATAGCAGTAGTAAGAAGAAGATATAAATGAGAATATAGGTACTATCTCATTTAATCCTCATACGTATCAGAACATAAGGCATTGTTACTAATTTATAGAGATGTGAATTTAAGTACAAGGATTGTAAGTTGCAGGGGTCAACTAATGGTGAAACTGGGAAAGATGCTCAGTGCAAAACCCATGCATAAGACTAAGATGAGAGGAAAAACATGAAGGATATAGATAGTGCTTCTTTAATTTACATTCGCTCTTGTTTTTAGGGAAATTGTACTTTCAGCAAATTTAACTAGCTAATGCATAGTTCTGATCTAATGCATAGTCTCCACTACCTGAAACCTTCCAGTAGCTCTTTATTGTCTAACCAAAGCCAGGCAAGTTTGCCTGTCATGAGCTTTCCCAGAGACTTTTCATCATTTTCTACATGCCCTGGCACAATGAGAATTTCAAAAGGGGTTAGTTTATCAAACTTATTTTCCTACGGACTGTCTTTTATCCTGGAGCATCTTTCAGTTTCCCAGTGATCTTGGGAAATGCAACATAGAAAATAAAATTTAAATATCTAAGTCTGTTCTTCATTTCTTAGTTTATACCTTTCTGGCCATCTCAAAGTTTTGCAAGGGCCAGACCGGGAATGTAAATGAAAGAAGCCAGGAGAAATGAAATGATGGGTGATAATTACCTTCCATAGTAAGAGGAGGGGAGTGGTCTACTAGGAAGTATTTGCTTATTAAAAGGAGAAAACCACTGAATGTCATGTGAAATATAGCCTCAGAATTGCCAGGCAGTTTGATACTCTAAGTGAATTTGGGAACTTGAATTTTGATCTATACTATCATTATTTTTAAAGGATGGCAACTAGTTCAGATTTAAAACTCTCTGTGGGTGAACACTGTGTGAGCCAAGCATGACCCATCTACAAGCTGAATTTGGCTTAAAGACAGCCAGTTTGTGACTTTTCTACATGATGGTATCTCGACTACTTTTTCCTGTTTATCTCTAAAATGACAAAAAATTGTTGAATATAAACTTCTTATTTTAGGGAGGAGTATGCCAATTTTTTTCTATTCATTTTTCAGGATAAATGTCTCTCACACACACCTCTTTCTTTATATACATGTATGCAAATATAAACCAGTCACACCCATATTTGATTAGCTCATTTTCTAGGTTCACCTCATTTTGAAGGTTGTGAATGTTGTGACAAGCTGTGGACTTATCTTCTTTTCTGCATTCCCACATGCAGCAAGTACAGTGATCAGCACTATTTAGTCACAGGCTACTAGACCGGTGTGTAGTTGACTTGAGCTACTTTTTATAGAATCTATTTCTATGTGGTACAACTGGTGGTAGTTTCTGTGTATCCATGTGTTTGCTCCTAATACCTCTGAAAATATCTGCAGAGGAAGTAAATTATCTTGTAGATGAGCTCATTTTGAGCCACTAGGGTAATTGATGGAGGTTTGGAAAACTGGATAGAAGAAAAAATACTGATATTCCCCTTTAAAAGGTGCATGCTTTTATTTTTTTATTTTTATTTTTATTTTTTTTGAGACAGAGTCTCACTCTGTCGCCCAGGCTGGAGTGCAGTGGCGTGATCTCGGCTCACTGCAACCTCCACCTCCCGGGTTCAAGCAATTCTCCTGCCTCAACCTCCTGAGTAGCTGGGATTACAGGCACCTGCTACCATGCCCGATTAATTTTTGTATTTTTAATAGAGACGGGGTTTCACCATGTTGGCCCGGCTGGTCTTGAACTCCTGACCTCAGGTGATCCACCCGCCTTGGCCTCCCAAAGTGCTGGGATTATAGGCATGAGCCACTGTGCCTGGCCTCATGCTTTTAAAAGTAGAGAATAAGTAATTCTTTTAATCCCATTATAAGTAGAGCTCTAGTTTAAGATACTAATAAAGCGCTTGTTCTGTAGGTGTGGGAATTTCTATTGGCATCAATAGTTTTCAAAGCATGGGGGAATCTAATGTGGCTGTCACCACCATTAACTTCATGCTGAGTATATCTCACCCATTTCTTCTCCTACTCAGTGAGCTTTAATCACTCTTCACTCCTCTGTGAAACCTACTCTGACTGCTTCACCTTCCTTTCTTGTGGAAAGGTAATCACTCCCTTTTCTGCAGTGTATGTATCTGGTGCAATGAGAGCACCCTGTGAAAATGCTGTAGGAGAATAACATCTCTGCTTGTCTATTCCTCTCCTCCATATGCAACCATGAGAGCTACAGTGGCCATGTCATCTGTAAATCTCAGTTCTTCATACTGTTCTTCCTACCCAGGAGATGCTCAATGAACATGGAATGAATGGCTGTTTGAATAAAACATGGAAATTTTGAAAGTAACAGGTAGAATGACGACTAGAACTATCTATCCATGGAACGGACATCTTTGAGCCCTCCATCACTTGGGGGTGTTCAGGTGGAAGTTGGATGACAGCTATGGAAAATATATCTGTAGGAGTTAGAAGACTTGAATGACATCCTCTCCCAGGTCCTTTCTAGTTATGACATAATCAGGGATTTCGGCTTTGCCAGTTTGCTTTGGCACCTGGGTTGTGGAGTTAGGGGAGCTCCTTCCCCCACTTCCCCGGGACCCAGCCTTACCATGGTCACACACTGCCCAGACTTCTACTTGCCAGCACCTGCATTTTTTTGCCTGGGCATTTTTGTCTGGGCTCTGGGGCCTACTCTGACTGAAGAGGGCTGTTGAGGATAAATACCGCAACTCACCTGTCTATTAGGTGGGATCATGCTACCCTGGCCGCCATTGTTTCCCAGGGAGGTCAAGCAAGCTCCAGCTGTCCACAGCAGTAAGTGGCCTGATGACTACTGGCTGGTGTCTCTTCCTGTCTACCTTTCCCACTCCCCTCCTAGTGTTTCCGGGGCCACCCATCACCTCCCAAATAAATGACTTGCACTCAAATCCTTGCCACAGGGTCATCTTCAAGAAAAACCCTAAAAGTTAGTTAGATTCTCAGCAGATTCCTTCCATGGGCTAAGTCCTAGGACACCCACATTTATTCTCCAATGTGGAATTAAATTCAACAAATAGCTCCCAGACAGAAGACTTAGAAGTCACAGTGACAGGGGCCATCAGGGGAAATACAGCAGCGGGAATACAGATGCGCATTTCAGATACTAATTAACAGCTCCCACACCTCAAAGCCGAGGCAACGTCTAGCACTAAAGGAAACAGTGTGATTGAAACTTGCCACAGTACCTGACAGCAACGGCCAGCAACTCTGTAGATGCCACCTTTGCTAACAGCACTAATTACAGAACGCGGCATCACTTAAAAACAGTGCACAGCTGAATGATAACACACTTAAACAAACAAGCCAGGGTTCAGTCGTCTCCAGGGATAATTGTGTGGGAACTAGGTAAGGAGACAGGTGAGAGGTAAGTTAGAATCCTTGTAGATTGTCCTCTATGGAGCCAGTAAATATGCTGTGGAAGAAATGACTGATTTTACGGTTACAAAACACCCACATAACAGCAGGGGGTGGGGGTTTTATAGGATCCCTCATAATGACCAAGCTATTAAACATCAAGCAGAAGTTGAGCTTTTTTTTTTGTCTAAGCTGACATTTCTCCAGGGAAAAAGCCTAACTATAGGCATCCTCCAAGCCAATCCAGCCCCAAGAGTGACGAGTCTCATGATTAATGCTGACTCCAGTTCCCTCAGCCTTAGCATGGCCACATGAGCAGCTGAACCAGGAAACTCAATATGGGCAACGCGTGATTGATGAGGAAACCCAACCTGCTGGGAAATGCCGCTGGAGGGGAAAGAGCCTCAGCATCTGACCTATATAAAACTCCTAGCCTGCTGTGGCTCCTGCTGACAAAATCTACCATCAGGACTGGAAAGAATACACGAGTGGTGGATAAAGGGACTTCTTTCATTCCCTTTGGTTAAAGAGGATCTGTTGCTCTTCTAAAAACAGAGCTCTAGGAGAACCTACTGAAGGCCTCGAAGCCCTAAGCTGAGCCTGGGGACATTGGCATCGCATTCCCTGCCTGCTTCAACTTGACCAGAAGACTGTAAGAGCCAAACCATCAATTGTATGCGTTGGAAAAGGTTTCTCTATTTCTGCTCAATTCTGAGAGTCTAGGCAATTGGACAATAAAACACCAGAGAGGAAAAAAATTCAATGGCCCCATGTCTATAAAAGACTTGAAAAAAAAAACTATTTGTTGGAAAAAAACTTTATTGAGGGCTCTAAATACAGACCGCTGCTGAGCCAGGTCAGAATTAAGGTAATGTTTTTGTTGAGTCTTTTGTTGGCATCTACTTATCAAATGCTACATCAGAATCCAAATGGCAAGTAAGCAAACCTAACTATTATCCATACAATTCCGTAACTCCAGATCATCTGGTTTGAGATCCCCCAAATTCTGAGAGTCAGCTACTTTTCAATTTCAAATTAGTTTAGAGAAATTCCATGTCTAGGGAAGACTTTGCAGGCATCACCACATTTCCAAGGTCTTTAGAAAAGAATCCCAAACTCCTACAAAACAGAGCCTGGAAGACCTCCTCCATCTTCTGCCTTTTGTTCTGATGGAAGATAAGTCAATGACCACTGCTTTGATGCGACACCATGTACTGTCTTTTCTCCTCAAATTCAAATAAATTTGTCTCAAACAAAATCCTGAACTCAAGATGATATGGTATAAATAAGAACTCCAGGGCTATGCAGGAAAAAGGACTCCTACTCTCAGTTTAAAACATGTGACAATTATATTTGGACTCAGCTAACATGCTGAGGATTGACTTACACTTATTTGATGTTACATTGATATTAAATTTATTACTTCATTAAATCTTCTCATCCACACTGTAATGTAGATATTAGGATCCTCTTGTTTCTCTGAAGGCCATGCTCACTTGTCCAAGTTCCATCATCTATTCAGGGACAGACTTAGAAAGATCCAAACTGAAAACCCTGCTCTAAGCCCCTAACGTTTTCCATTACAGATGTTTGAGCAATAATTAAATTGAAATGACAGCAGAGGGGAAAATTTGAATGTACGAATAACTTCATTTTCCTGGCTGCTCTTGAAAAGCAAGAGTACAATTTGAACAAGAAATCATTTTGTAAAAATACGAACATCTCAATTTTTTCCTTCTTGCCTGGCGACAGACTCTTGGTCTCCCTCTCAGCTAGGCTTTTCTCCTTTCTCTGCTAGCCTTCTTTTTTCCTAACAAGTTTGAAGCCCCACACCATGTGTGCTCAACAGAGGGAAAAATAAGCAGTATTGCTTTTCAGATGTCCCTAGGAAACCTAATATGCATTTGATGCTCACTGCACTGAAATGGAAGCTCCTTGTGCAATTCAGCACCCCCCCAGACCCTGATCAGGCTCAGACATCTGCAATCTTTCAGATGGAGAGAATCTATTTCCCCCCACCCCACTTTGGCCTTACATGGGCCCTTTTTCTTTTTATGCATGCAATAGGAAATTTTCAGTATAGTGGTCCTAGCTGGCAAGGTAAGGAATGAAGGAATATTTGGTGCTGGTTTCAAGTGTGATAAAGCAAATAATGACACTCTAAGGAACTGTGAACTATTAAAGAAAATTTATTGCTACATCCACTTAAGCAATCCACGTATTTCCATCTTAAATATAGTCTTTTTAACAGGGTTTGGAAGTTAGAGTGTTGGCATCTACCATTCACAGAGAGCACAAGAGGTGAGGGGGTGGCAAAATTCTGCCAGAGTGAAGACTGAACATGCAGGAAAAGGAGATACCCTTAACCAAGGAATATTAAGATGTTTCTCCCAGCTCCCTCTACCTTCTAGGGGAAAATAGGGAATTAATTCTCATACAACATTAAATTCTTGTTCAGAATTTACTTGCAATAGTTGGCATGTGATTCAGTCATTGATTTGTACATAAAGCTGTGCAACATTTTGAAATTTCTAGAGGAGTACTACTAAGATTGCAAAATCCAGGATGCAGTGAGCTTGAATACATTTCATTGTAAGATTGAAAATATTCTGTTATCTGGACAAACAGACTATATATTATAGAGATATATTTTTGGCTACATTTTCTTATATTTTAAAGTTATTTATTGCTTTGGTTTTCTTTTTTCTTTTTCAAGTGGAAGCAAGTATGAGACTGATGAATCCTGTATTCAGTTAAGGAAATGCCCAAATGAGGGAGCCCATTGCTTCTCCAGAAGGAGATAAACATCTCTACCTCACTGGAGTATTGGATGCTGTCTCTGTGTTGAACCAGCATCATCTCTGATTGACAGGCTGTCCCTGTGGTTCTTGTGCCTTCACTTTTCTGGATTATAATGCATTTACAAACCTAAACATATAGTTATTTGCATAAAACTAAGAGATATCAAATGCAAGATTTATAAAATCAGCATTTGATGCCTCTTTTAGTTTAGGCTTTTGGTCTAAATCTTACAGAATTGATTTGCAGAAACCAGGAGAGAGGCAGAAAGCTGGAGCAGCATTCTTCACCAAACCATCTGGTTTTTGTCATGGGAAACATGTCAGCTTTCATTTGGTGTCACTCAGCTCACCTCAGGCTGTCTAGTCTGAAGCCCAGGCTAAGGGTTCCTCTAGTAAAGCTCCAACTGTATTTCCTCCAGTTAATGCAGCCTGTGAGTGCCTGGTAGTTACCAATCTCCTCTTACTCCCATTTACTCCTTTTTACATGGGCTTTTACATCCACAGACGTTTCAAGGAAGATTAATCACAGAAAGCAGTGTGGGGACGCAGCTGCCAGCAAAAATGCACCAGCAGGCATTCTGCAGCACAGCCCGGATTCTTGCCTAATCCAGCATCGGTACAACCTGGGGCTCTGAAAACAGAACGAATGAAGGACACACCTTTAAATCCAACTGCAAATGTGGTTTATTTATACTGAAGACATTTAAATGTCCCTAGAGCCACAAAAGTTACTCTTTTAATTAAGGACATTTCCTTTTATGACTTTCTGAAGGTAATGGTAACATGCACAAAGATTTAATAGTTAGAGGGATTTTGTTTAAGTGCTGATCACTCTCCATGCAATTGAAGCCTATTTCATGGAGAAATGTCTTTGGTTTTTATATATTTTTTTATTATGACAGCCTTTCCTCTAAAGCAATATTTAAAGTAAATTGGCTGATTTGAGCTTAAGGATTATAGGTGTCTGGTGACTGTTTCAATTAATCATTATTTAAATGAATTTTGTGAAAACCTAGTTTTGCTGTCCAGTTTGGTAATGACCAGCCGCAGATGCCTATTTAAAATGAATCTTAAATGAATTACAATCAAATAAAATTAAGTATTTGGTTTATCAGTGGCAGTAGCCACATTTCAAGTGCTCAATAGCCACATACAGCCGGTGGCTACCATACTGAACACAGAGGTAGAACATTCCCATCATTGTGAAAAGTTCTGTCAATGGCACTGAGTCCTAAAGCATAAAGGCAGGTGGACTGCACAGTGAGCACACTACAGATGTGGGAAGGTGTCAGCACTTGGAAGGCGGGCACCATGTAGCTTAAGGAACGAACAGTGAAAGGTGATGTCCTATCTGGGCAAAGTACCCAGGCAGAATAGGTTTGATGTATCAGTGTCGAAACAGGTGCATGAAGTTCAAACCTGAACAATTCTGGGCAGGATAATAGAATCTAGTCCATATACCAGGAGCAAACTCAGGGCTAAGAAATGGACAGTACCAAAGTCTCTGGAGCAAAAAAGAATAAGAGAGAAAGACAGAAAATGTAAAAACACAATTGGGATATGGCAGTCATCTAGACTCTCAAGGAATGTTGTATTCAATTCCCGCTGCTGCTTTAACAAATGCCCACAGACTTTCTGGCATAAAACAACACAAATTTGTTATTTTATAGTTCTGTAAGTCAGGAATCTCACTGGGCTAAATGAAGGTGTCGGCAGTGCTGTGTTTCTTCTGGAGGTTCTAGTCTCCTGGCCTGTCTCCAGCTTGTAGAGGCGACTTGCATTCTTTGGCTCTGTGGCCCCTTCCCCCATCCTCAAAGCAGCAGCATAATCTGTTCAAATCCCCCTTTGACTCTTAGCCCTATTTCCCTCATCAAGTCTTCTTCTCTGAGTCTTATCCCCCCCAACCTCCCTCTTATCAGGACCCTTCTGATTATATTGGAACTGTTCAGGTAAACCGGGATAATCTCCTCACCTCAAGGTCCATAACCTGAATTACATCTGCAAAGTCCCTTTTGCTGTGTAAGGTAACATATCCATAGGTTTTCAGGATTAAAATGTGGACATCTTTGCAGGGAGAGGCATTATTCTGCCCATCGAAAGTACAGTAACACCAAAATGCCTGCTTGAGGTTTGGTGACTTCACCAATTTACAATTTAGAGGTTGTAAAACCCACAGAGCAGGAAACAATATATTAATTTATATCCCACCTAGTTTCAGAAATGAATTAATAGTGTATAACAAGATATAACAGAAGATAAAGGGCATGTCATATCACATATAAATAAGGCAAAAAGAGAAAAATGGAACGGGATAAGAACATAATGGAAGAAAGAATGAGATTAGGAAATATGCTCTATAATGACCTCCACTCATCCATCAATACACCTATAGTCATCTTAAAGTCAGAATTCCTTGACTAGAGAATCCAAGTGTGTCCTCAATGTTACTTGAGTAATTTTGACAAGGAGTGCAACTAGAATTTTCAAATAACCACATCCTGAGGGTCAAAACAACAGAGATGGTAACTGAGCATAGGGGAGGATGTTTGTTTCAATGTAGCAGAGTGAAACTGCCTCTCCCTTTCCCTTAAGATTTGGGAAGATACAGCCTGAGGAAGAAGTGATGCAACTTGCTATGTTTCTTAAAGTCCAACTATATTTTGGTCACTGAGACTTCAAGGGTATTTAGAATTTAGCATTTTCCAAGTGTTAGCCCTTAAGAGATTATTTATTGTTTATATTTCACTTAATTCCAGGAGTGAGTTAGTGGATTATGAAAACAAGTATAATATAAAATAGAGTGTTAAATACACTTTAGATGAAAGAAAAAAGATACATTAGAGAAAGAATGCCATGAAGGAAGAAATGAAGCTTAAAAAGTTCATTGTGTATCGATCTAAATCTGTTCAGGTTTAAGATATGGCCCTAACCTGGCCACTTATACAATTGACAATGTTTTTAAGATGGAAAAGAACAAAATGCATCACTGAAAAAGATTTCAATTATTCTTCTAAAGCAAGATATGTAATTCTTCCTGGTGTCCTCCTGAACATTACATAATGATTGATGTCCTCAACAATGTACTTTCCTTGGATATTGAAGCCTCGTAAGGTTTTTTTCTATGGCCCTTTGCATAAGATCTTGGTATGCCCAAAGCACAATTTCATAAAAAACAATTCTGTAGAAATCCAATAAAATAAAATTTGCTTACTGGCTTCTTTTTTAAATTGATACATTATATTTATACATATTTATGGGATCCATGTGATATTTGGTTACATATATAGAATATGTAATGATTAAGTCAGGGTATTTAGGATATTTATCACCACTAGCATGTGTCATTTCTGTGTGTTGAGAACATTCCAGATCCTCACTTCTGGCTCTTTTGAAATGTATAGTATATTGTTGTTAACTTATAGTTACCCTACTCTACTATGAAGCATGAGAACTTATTCCTTCCATTTAACTGTAAGTTTGTACCTATTAGCCAGTGTCTCCCCCTACACACACACACACACACACACACACACACACACACACACACACACACATCCTTCTCTTCCTCTGGTGACTATCATTCTACTGTTTACCTCCATGAAATCAATGATTTTAGCCTCCTCATATGAGTGAATACAAGTAATATTTGTCTTTCTGTGCCTGGCTTGTTTAACTAAACAATATTTGCAGTTCCACCCATGTGGCTGCAAATGACATGATTTTGTTCATTTTTATGGCTGAATAGTATTCCACTGTGTAAATACACCACACTTTCTTTATCCATTCATCTGTTGGTGAATACTTTGGTTGATTTCATATCTTTGCTATTGTGAATAGTGTTGCAAGAAACATGGGGATACATATATCTCTTTGATATACTGATTTTCTTTTCTTTGAATGAATACCCAGTAGTGAGATTGCTAGATCTTATAATAGTTCTATTTTTAGTTTTTTAAGAAAACCCCATACTATTTTCCTTTTTTTTTTAAATTTTATTTTAAGTTCTGCGATATGTGTGCAGAACGTGCAGGTTTGTTACATAGATATACATGTACCATGGTGGTTTGCTGTACCTATCAACCCATCTTCTAGGTTTTAAGCCTGGCCTGCATTAGGTATTTGTCCTAATGCTCTCCCTCCCCTTTTCCCTACCCCCGACAGGCCCCAGTGTGTGATGTTCCCCTCCCTGTGTCCATGTGTTCTCATTGTTAAACTCCCGCTTATGAGTGCAAACATGTGGTGTTTGGTTTTCTGTTCCTGTGTTAGTTTGCAGAGAAGGATGGCTTCCAGCTTCATCCGTGTACCTGCAAAGAACATGAACTCATTTTTTATGGCTGCATAATATTTCATGGTGTGTATGTGCCATATTTTCTTTATCCAGTCTATCATTGATGGGCATTTGGGGTGGTTCCAAGTCTTTGCTATTGTAAATAGTGCTGCAATAAACATACATGTGCATGTGTCTTTATAGTAGAATGATTTATAAACCTTTGGGTACATACCCAGTAATGGGATTGCTGGGTCAAATGGTATTTCTGATTGTAGATCCTTAAGGAATTGCCACACTGTCTTCCACAATGGTTGAACTCATTTACACTCCCACCAACAGTGTGAAAGCATTCCTATTTCTCTGTAGCCTCTCCAGCATCTGTTGTTTCCTGCCTTTTTAATAATCACTATTCTAGCTGGCCTGAGATTGTATCTCATTGTGGTTTTGGTTTGCATTTCTCTAATGACCAGCGATGATGAACTTTTTTTCATATGTTTGTTGCCTGCATAAATGTCTTCTTTTAAGAAGTGTCTGTTCATATACTTTGCCCACTTTTTGATAGGGTTGTTTTTTTCTTGTAAAATCATTTAAGTTCTTTGTAGATTCTGGATATTAGCCCTTTGTCAGATGGGTAGATTGCAAAAATTTTCTCCCATTCTGTAGGTTGCCTGTTCACTCTGGTGATAGTTTCTTTTGCTGTGCAGAAGCTCTTCAGTTTGATTAGATCCCATTTGTCACTTTTGGCTTTTGTTGCAATTGCTTTTGGTGTTTAAGTCATGAAGTCTTTGCCCATGCCTATGTCCTGAATGATATTACCTAGGTTTTCTTCTAGGGTTTTTATGGTTTGGGGTTTTACATTTAAGTCTTTAATCCATCTTGAGTTAATTTTTGTATAAGGTATAAGGAAGGGGTCCAGTTTCTGTTGAGAAAACGCCATACTGTTTTCATAAAGGTTGTACTAATTTACATTCACACTTTCATACTCCAACAGTGTATTTCAGTTCTCTTTTCTCTGCATCCTTGCAAGTATCTGTTATAATAGCCACTCTAACATTGTGGTTTTGATATTGTGGTTTTGATTTTTCTCTAATGATTAGTGATGTTGAGCATTTTGTTACTTATCTGTTGGCTATTCGCATGTCTTCTTTTGAGAAATATCTATTAGATCACTTGCTCATGTTTTAATTATATCATTTGTTTTTTGCTGTTGAGTTGTTTGAATTCTTTGTATATTCTGGAAACTACTCACTTGTTGGATGAATATTTTGCAAATCTTTTTTTTTTTCATGCAACAGGTGCTCTACTGATTGTTTCCCTTGCTGTGCAGAAGCCTTTTAGTATAATATAGTTCCATTTGTTTATTTTTTTTTTTTTTTTTTTGAGACGGAGTCTCGCTCTGTCACCCAGGCTGGAGTGCAGTGGCGGGATCTCGGCTCACTGCAAGCTCCGCCTCCCGGGTTCACGCCATTCTCCTGCCTCAGCCTCCCAAGTAGCTAGGACTACAGGCGCCCGCCACTACGCCCGGCTATTTTTTGTAGTTTTAGTAGAGACGGGGTTTCACCGTTTTAGCCGGGATGGTCTCGATCTCCTGACCTCGTGATCCGCCCGCCTCGGCCTCCCAAAGTGCTGGGATTACAGGTGTGAGCCACCGCGCCTGGCCTATTTTTGTTTTTTTATTGCCTATGCTTTTAGGGTCTTCGCCATAGAATTTTTGCCTACAACTATGTCCTGGAATGTTTTTTGTATGTTTTCTTCTAGTAGTTTTATAGTTTCAGGTCTTGTGTTTAAGTCTTTAATCCATTTTGAGTATATTTTTGTATATGATAGGAGATAGGGGTCTACTTTCATTCTTCTGCATATGAATATCTAGTTTTCCCAATAACATTTATTGAAGAAAGTGTCCTTTCCCCAATGTATGTTATTGTTGTCTGTCAAAAATTAGGTGGCTGTAAATACATGGGTTTATTTCTGCATTCTCTATTTTGTTCCATTGGTCTATGTGTCTGTTTTCATATTAATACCATGCTGTTTTGGTTACTATAGCCTTGTAGTATATTTTGAAGTCAGGTAGTGCAATGTCTCCATCTTTGTTCTTTTTGCTGAGGATTGCTTTGGCTATTCAGGCTTTTTTTGGTTCCGCACAATTTTTTTTGTTTTTTGTATTTCTGTGAAAAACATTGGTTTTTTGGTATTTTGATAGGGATTGCATTGAATCTGTCCATTACTTTGGGCAGTGTGGTCATTTTAACCATATTAATTCTTCCATTCAATGACCATGGGATGTCTTTATATTTGTTTGTGTCTTCTTCAATGTCTTTCATCAATGTTTTGTAGTTTTTCTTGTAGAGATCTTTTACCTCCTTGGTTACATTTATTCCTAGGTACTTTTTTGTAGCCATTGTAAATGAGGTTGCTTTCTTGATTTCTTTTTTAGCCAATTCATTATTGGTGTAGAGAAGCGCTACTGATTTTTGTATGTTAATTTTGTGTCTTGAAACTTTACTGAACTTCTTTATGAGATGTAAGAGTTTTCTGGTAGTGTCTTTAAAATTTTTAAAATATTAGATCATGTCATATGCAAAAAGGGACAATTTAATTTCCTTTTTCCTAATTTAGATGCCTTTTATTTCTTTTTCTTGCATGATTGCTCTAGCTAGGACTTACAGTACTATGTTGAATAGGAGGGGTGAAAGTGGGCATTCTTGTCTTCTAATTCTTAGACAAAAAGGCTTTTTCCCATTCAGCGTGATGTTAGCTGTAGGTTCATCATATATGATGATGATATATGGCATCTCATATATGGTATATGGCAACCTAGTCCAACCCATAGCCCACAGGCTGCATGTAGCCCAGGACAGCTTTGAATGTGGCCCAAAACAAATTCATAAACTTTTTAAAAACACTATGAGTTTTTGCAAGTTTTTTTGTTTATTTGTTTTTTGTTTTGTTTTGCTCATCAGCATCATTAGTTTTATATCCTTCTGTGTGGAGCTCCCATGATGGTTTTACAAAGGTGTCTCTGTCTTGCCAAGAATACAGACAAAAGAAAGTAATACGAGAAGAAACCATTCCAAAGAGGACAACATGCCATTTCCTAATGATAGACTTTCTTAAATGGGAGAGGAGAAGCTGTCATGTTCAGGGTGTAGTCCACTGTGTAGATGGCATACGTGTGTCAGCTGCTGCATACACCAAGGCACAGAGTTGGGTTTTGCTCTTCTTGCAAGGAGGGGAGGAGGGGCTTTAAATTTTGTGGCCACTGAGAACTATGTCTTAGTCATTACTCAGCTCACTCTAAACAGTGGATATATTGCTTCCTTTCTTTTGTGTTCTCTGACCTGTTTAAGACCTAGAGAAGCAGAGCTAGACACTTCCTGGTGGATGGAAAAGCTGCTTTCTTCTCATCCTTGAGGTCCTAGCCTAACTATCACCTTCTGAGAGACTTACTCCCTGATCCTCAGCTAAGAGACTTCCCCATCTGAATCCACATGTCTTTCTATCACAGCTCTTACCATAACAAAGATGAGAAGCAGTGCAGTGTAATGTCAGGTTTGGAAGCACAGATTCAAGATGTGAACCGTGTGGATTGAAATCCTGGCTCTCCCATACAGGCTGTACAATTTTGAGAAAGGTCCTGAACTGTTTTATGCCTTAATTTTTTCATGTGCAGAATGAGGCTATTAATTGCTCCTACCTCATGAAGAAATCCTGGCAACTAAATAAGTTAAATAAAGGGCTTAGTGCCTCAAACAGGTAAGGCCTATGTAAATATTCACTATTACTACTTATATATTTGCTTATTTGTTTACGATTTCTCTTCTGCAAAAGACTGTAAGTACCATTAGGGCAGAGGTTCTATATATAGGTAATTTTTTTCATGTTGAATGAAAGGAAAAACAAGATCCCAATCTTCTATTATAGAAAGATTAAAAAAATTTGAATCCCTTCCTCACACCATATACAAAGATAGGGCGTTGAAGACTCAGTGTGAAAAGTTTAACATTTATTATAAAATTTTGGAGAATATCATTATCATCTTGGGGGTAAGGAAGGTTTTCTTAGGTAATTTTAGAACTACTTACCATAAAGGAAATAATAAATACATTAAAATTCTGTATAACAAAAAGTATCAGAAACAAAGACGGAAAAGTTACACTCTTGAAAAAGATATTTGTAACCACATAGCTGATGGAGAAATAGTGTTTGATCACTTAATAGGAAACCTAAGTGGTTAGCAAACACAAGAAGTTAAGCATCATTTGTTATTTGGAAAACGCAAATTAACATTCCAATAATATTTCACATTCATCAATTCACAAGATTTAAAATCTCTGACAAATCCCAAATATTGGAAGTATATGGAGAAATCGCAATTCTAATGCCCTGTTAGCAGAAATGTAAATTTATATAAGTACTTTGAAAATGATGAGCACTGAATTTATTATCGTGACTTCTCTCTGTAGAAAATAGGAGGAGAATGGGACTGGGAAAAAGTCATATACAGTAAACTTCAACTATATTTGAAATGCATTTTTAAGTACTTTGAAATAAATACAACATAATGCTAAGATTTGCTCAATCCAGCCATTGGGAACAGGCTAGTCACTGAGTTATTCTCTGTTCTCATTTCTATATATGAAATAACCTTTGTAACTAACAAAGCCAAGAAGTTAAGCATAAAGAAGAGAAGAGGCCTCAGAGAGCATGTGATGCTCTCACACTCCAGGGCATATCCAGACATCTGCAGGGCTGCTAAACCACAGATCACTGGGTCCCATACCAGAGTCTCCAAAGCAGCAGGTCTGGGAAGGGCCTGAGAACCTGCATTTCTGACAAGTTCCCAGGCAGGGCTGGTGCTGCTGATCTGGGTCCCCACTTAGAGAACACTGATCTCATCCAACCCTTCATTCTAGAGACAAGGAGCTCAGGTTCAGAAACGAGACATCATTTTTCCTCCCTCAAAAAATACTTGTATTAGGCACAGCTCCAGTACTGGTGACACAGATCTTAGCAAAACAGACACAGTCTCTGCCTTCACGGAAATTTTGTTCAGTTACAAAAGGGGTGGAGCATTTAATCAGCACGTCCACAAATAAGGAAACAAGATAATTGCAGACAATGGTAAAGTCTAAGAAGAAAATAAAACGGGGTAATGTCAGAAAGAGAGCGTGAGCAGGGTGGGAGTGTCATTGCATGGGATGGTCAGCTGCAGTGTGAGGAGGTGATATTTGTGTTGAGGTAGCAGAGAGGAGAAGGGACAGTTGAGGGAAGATCAGGGGAATGAATTGTGGGCAGAGGAAGGAGAAAGTTCCGAACCCGACACAAAAAACAAACAAGGAAATGTAAAGGGCTAGTGAACATATGAAAAGAAGTTTAACATTATTAGGTATCAGAGAAATATTTAGTTATTAACTATTTCCTAAACAACTAATAATTATTAGAGTAAAGCCACTTTGGTTAGATTATAGTGAGCAGAGAGGCACATGGAGACCAAGGTGAGAGGTAGGGATTTTATCCTTGTTGGAGGCCTGGATGTCTTGATGTCTAGGTTTTCATAGTTCATCTCTCCATTCATGCTCCAGGTTCTTCCCACCAGCCCATGCTGCACATGTGTCAAACACAAATTAAATGTAGTGCAAATAAAACACAGCCACCCCTTCCCCACTCTCTGTGTCAGTGCATCACTGCTCTCATGCTCTGCTAAAGCAAATAAAATAAATCTTTCAAAAGAACTCTTTCCACATCTGAAACATTTTTCAAGAGTGTCAGAACAATGGTCAGAGATATTAATTTGCAAATAAAATTTATTATGTTTTTCCTGTGTAGAGGTGTTTTCTTACTTTTGAGAGCCAAGGAGACAGATTACATCTATCATCAGTGAAACATAATAGATATACAGTGACTCAGAGTCCTCCGCGGGCCATCAAAGTGTCATACACAAATTTTCTTGAAAAATTTCTAGTGCTTACATCTTTGATTCATTTAGCCAATGTGTACATATTAAGCCTTGACTTTCCTTGGTGTTTCCATCTTTCTTTGACAGATAGGCACCACTTGATTTTCTCCTTTTGGACTAATATATGACCCAAACCACCATCTCAGTGTGTTTGTAAAAATATTTTAAAATAGTTATCAACGCCATCTTTCATGAGCACATTTGTCTTCAGTTTCTCAATGTTTTTATTTTGCAATTGGTATTGTGGCCCAAAGAAGATGGTCAAAAGATGGATGATGACTAAGTCAATCTGATACAGGGGTTCTATTATTATAAAATGCTCTCATTAGTTAATTTATTCAGGAAACACATGTTTCTTGGTCATCTCCTATATTTCAAAGCTATTGGAAAACAGCAGTGAAACAAACAAAGCCATTGAGCCATTGTTATCATGGAGCTCACTTTCTTGTGGAGGCAACAGATGACAAACCAATAAATATCCCATGTCAGGTGGTGGTGAATGTGAAGGAAAAAGAAAACAGGATAAGTAGACAGAAAAAGAAGGAAGTATCTGTATACTTTAAATAAATTAGAGAGGATTGTCTTTGATAGTGACATTTATTTATTTAAAATGGACAAAAACTGTATATATTTATGGTGTACAACATGATGACTGGATATATGTGTATACCCAATGTGGAATGGCTAAATTAAGCTAATTAATGTGTCCGTCACCTCACATGTTTATCACTTTTTGGTGGTGTGATGCTGACATTTCAGCAAAGCCCTGAATGAAGCCAGATGGACAATATCTGGAAGAAACAAATAAATAATGATGTCCTGAGATGATAGCCTGAGTGGCTGGAGCAGAGTGAATGTGGGGGAAGAGTTGCAGGATATGAGATAGAGGCAGGGGCCAAATCAGGGAGGGTTTTATAAGCTACAGTGAAAACTTTGAATTTTATTCTGAGAGGGATGGAAGCCCCTGGCAGATTTTGGGCAGAGAAATTATAGGTCCAATTTAGAGCTTAAAAGTACTTTGGTTTCTGCATTAAAACAAAAGAAAAATAAAGTGTGTGTGTGTGCACGCGCACACACACACACACACACACACACTGAAGAAAAGCAGAGGGATAGAATCAGGGAGACCTTAGAAGACTGCTGCAGTAATGTTGGCAAGGAATGATGAAAGCAGAAAAAGAAGGGGATTGAGAAGTGACTAGATTCTGAATATATTCCAAAGACAGAGCCATGAGTAACTAACACTATATTGGAAGCAGGATCTGGGAAGAAAAGGCGTCAAGGAAGGGAGGCTTCAAGGATTTGGGCTTGAACAACAGGAAAGATGGAGTTATTTAAGTGGAGTTATTTACTGAAATGGGAAAGATGGGGGTAAAGCAAATTTGGATTGGGTAATAAGAGTTCATCTTTGGACATGCTAAGTTTAAGGTATTTATTTTCTATCCAAGAAAGCAGGTAGATAAATAAGTCTCAAATTCGGGAGAACGACCCAGGCTGCTGATAGACATTTGTGAGCCATTTAGCAAGCAAATGGCGTTTACTAGAGATTATATGGAGAGTCTGTATAGACAGAGGAGGGTGGAGACTAAAGGACTGGCCTCTGGAACACAACAACATTTGGAGGTTGAGGGAGGAACAAAAATCCAAGCTGGGCATGGTGGTGCATACTTGTAGTCCCAGCTACTCAGGAGGCTGATATGGGAGAATTGTTTGACCCCAGGAGGCTGAGGCTGCAGTGAGCTATAATCACACCACTGCACTGCAGCCTGGGAGAGACAGAAAGATTCTGTCTCTAAAATAAAAAAAGAAGAATCAAATAAAAGTTATAAGAAGGTAATCATATGAAAAGAAAACTAGGAGTAAATGGTGCTTTAGAAGCCAAGAGCAAAAAAATGTACTTCAAGGAGAAATGATCAACTGGCATAAATTCTGCAGCTAAACCAAGAAAGAAGTAAGAAATAAACAGGAAGGCTGCGGTAGACAATCGGTTGAACCTGGGAGGCGGAGGTTGCAGTGAGCCCAGATTGAGCCACTGCACTCCAGCCCTGGTGACACTGTGAGACTCCATCTCAAAAATAAATAAATAAATAAATAAATACATAAATAATAAATAAATAAATAAACATTGGATTGGATTGACAGGAGGTTTAGTGGAGTGATAGAGGTAAAAAGCTCTTGGAATGTGTTCAAGAGAGGATCAGAAGAGATAATGTAGAAATAATAAATTTAGAAAATTATTTGGGTAAGTTTTTCTACAAAGAGTAGAGAAATGGGGCAAGTAGTGGGAGGGGGAGATGCTGTCAAGGGACAAGAGGACATGAGGGATGAGAAGCTATGAAAAGATGGAGGGAGCAGTGGTTAGAGGTCCTAGGAGATCAAAGAGTTGGAGTTTGGTTACTGAGGTGTGATCAGAAAAGACAGGAGATGATGGTCAGAAAGTGGAAAGCTTGGCCGGGTGCACTGGCTCATGCCTGTAATCCCAGCACTTTGGGAAGCCGAGGCAGTGGATCACCTGATGTCAGGAGTTCGAGACCAGCCTGACCAACATGGTGAAACCCCGTCTCTACTAAAAATACATAAAATTAGGTGGCATGGTGGTGGGCGCCTGTAATTTCAGCTACTTGGGAGGCTGAGGCAGGAGAATAGCTTGAACCCGGGAGGCGGAGGTTGCAGTGAGCTGAGATTGCGCCATTGCACTCCAGCCTGGGTGACAAGGGCAAAACTCCATCTAAAAAAAAAAAAAAAAAAAAAGTAGAAAGCTTGGCTTGAAATCAGGATCATGGAAGAGACACAATTAATGGTAATGAGAAGGTCTAGAGGAGGGTTGGATTGGATAGGTGAGAGTGGAAGCAAGCTCATGGGAGGTAAGGAAGAAGAGGGAGAATTAAGAAACTAAATTATTGAAAAATTTTTTTCTGTGGATATTGAAATCTTGAAGAATCATAACAGGAGTAGTAGTGGGGAGAATGGCAGTGAAATAAAGAATAAACTCAACTCTTCAAGAAATAAGGAGGAGTGACTAGGCGGTCTGTGGATGACTGTCCCAAGGAGAAGCAACTTGTGGCGCAGTCTCGTGGCCTGAACTTCAGAGAAGCTGAGGTGGGGCGGGAAAGGAAGGGTGTGACGACAGGAGGATAAATGGCCTAGATCAAGGACACGTACCTCACCTCCGGCCTCAGTGGCATGCAAGGGGGAAACTTAAAAAACAAATAGGAAGGTAAATAGCCATCCCCTTGAGGAGGCTGGAAGGGAAGCAGTGTATACAGGGCAAAGCCAGTTACCAATTAAATACAGTTGATTCTCAATAAATTTAAAAAAAAACATTAATTAATTATTTGCTTTCAACCTCTTCAATATAAAAGCAAAATAAAATCTAGCTATGTCCAAAATATTCATTTTTTGGTTCAACATTGTTGCACAAAACTTTCTAAAAAGTAATTAGTAACCCATTTTCGAGACAGGAAAAGCAAATGGCTTACAAGTTTTTAGAAACCAATCTTTGTGCTGGTGGAATACAGACGAAACTTAAAATGTTCTAGTAGTGACCTCTAAGACCCCAAATGCTCATTGACTGGCATAGGCATTTGGGGGAAATTCTGAGGTGACAGAAATGTTCTAAATCTTCATCAAGCTAGTGGCTATATAAGTGTGTATTCAGAGGTAAAATTCACTTAGCTGTATACTTAATATTTCTGTACTTTAAAAAATATATGCAAATCCTACTTCAATAAAACAAAATGAAAACAATGTGAAATTGATGAATGCTATGGGGGTTTCTCTATGAGGAATGTTCACTTTGTCGCATTATGGGAGACAGACAGAGGGAAATATGGGTGACCTTCTGAACTCATGCATGAAGATAAAAATGCTTGATCACAGCAGCTCTTCTTTGTGCTGGCCTTGGCATTTAAGACCTGGTTGTATTTTTTCCTTCTCTCCCGATTTCAGGTAAAACTAACAGTCTTCCAAGTCACTGAGTAAACCCTTATATTTTATTTCAGAATGGTTTGTCTTGGCTAAATGAAGTTATATTCATGTCTGTGTGTGCATCTGCATGTGTGTGTGCGCACGTGAGTGCACATACATCTATGTTTGCTCATGGAGCATGAAGAGCCAGCCAGTTATTTTATGTTATTGTCATTTTACTGGTCTTAAAATAAATGAGTTTATTTGGATTTCTAGAAATGAAACTGCCTACTTGATATAGCTGTTTGGGACATGAGCTTTCTACAAATGTTTGCCTTGTCTATGGAAACTGCAAGGAAGAAGATAGCATAAACAAAGTTTTAAAAGAATAAAATGCTACTAAAAGCTAGATTTTTATGTGAATGTCCATCTATTTTTAGAAGCCCTTAAAGTTCTTCATTATCCTTATCTGCAAGATTTTCTTGATTTAAAAAAAAGTCTGCTTTTTTTATTTTCTTTCAACCTCTTCAATATAAAAGCAAAATAAAATCTAGCTATGTCCAAAATATTCATTTTTTGGTTCAACATTGTTGCACAAAACTTTCTAAAATTTTTCATTCTTGAAGATCATCTTCAGTTTTCTCATCTGTAGAGTCAGATGCAGTCAGAGCTGGAAAAGCAGAGTGCGAAATGATCTGGGGCGACTTGGGGATTCTCCTTACATCCTGTTCTGTGCCTAGGGAATGTAGGTTTGGGGAGGGAGTCAATTCCTCCACCAAATATGAGCCTGAAGTATGCTTTAATTAGAACACTACAATGATGTATTTCAGATCTGGGTTAATCTTTCCTTTCTGGATAAAAAATGGTGTGCTATTATTTTCTTCATTTGCTTTTGAGAATATTGTGTTGGTTAAATACAGAGAAATGTGTTTGGGGAAATACCGGGCGTGCCTCTTGCTCCTTGTTCTGTCTTGACTTCCTCTGAACCTCACCAGATGCCTCTGTGGCCCATTTATGAATCAACATAAATTCTACTTCTCTCTTGATGATTCATGATAGTCTTACAGCAAAGTTTGATTTTCCTGAAGTCTTGATTAAAGGGGGGAACAGGATGACTAATTATCTCCTTCACGTGGTAACTGTGCAGGGAAATGAAGCCTCCACCATAGCCCACATCCGTGAATCTGTTTTTAGTCCATGTAACTATGATTTACACACAGAACTGATTCTTAAAGAGGCTGAATGCCTGTTTTCCATATACTCTACTCCTCAAAAATAGAAAAGTGAATGAGAGAGAGAAAAAAGAAAAACCAGAATGTTATCACACTAAAGGCCTTTTTTTCTTCATTCAACTCTGCTTCATTTTGACACACCTCACTAGTCTTGACTCAGTATCCACTTGTTGAGTTCACTTATTGAAAATAAAAATACCTTCACAAAAATGTTTCAGTGCCATAAAGTGAAAGGGCCCTTACTTCCCCCCAGAAATTTCCAGAAAAAGTGCCTCGAGAGCTATAAACATCCATACCCTTCTCTGGGTCTGGGGCTGGTGGATCCTGGACAGTAAATCACTGCCAAGGCCCAAGAAAGAGAGTGGCCCGTGGGCAGAGATATTCAGAATGCTGACATTTTAAGGGCTTTTGTAGGGGAAAATGATTTGCAAGTGTTTGGCAAACAAAAGCTCTGTGTAGCTGCATGTCACTTTCGAAGTCAACTTTAGGCTCCTGCAACTTTCGTGTTTATGAGAACGGAAGACCATGATTTAGCCTGATGCAGATGAAAAACTCCTTGTTGCTCTGTGTACAAAGGTTGAGGCTAAGGACCCAGAAGTGGGGTATATAGCCATGAAAACCAGCTGGAGCCTCAGAGAAATGGGGCAAAATCCAGAGGAAAGCAAGCAGAACTTCTTACAGAGGAAATTTACTTGGTCTCACTATTTTGATTGCCTTTGGGCTACTCTCCATAGACATGGACAAGGGCTTTGCAGGTGAAGTGGGGTCAGTTGATGGAGCTCTCAGGCATGTGCACCCCTAGTTGTGTAAAGGGGGTAGAAGTTGATAAGCAGGCTGGGAGAAAAGGTGGTTTTTTTAAATAAGTTCGGACTAAAATGAAAACAATCCATCAATTATTCAACACGAGATGATAGAAATACACTGAGTAAAAAGAGGGCTCAGGTTTCCATTCCTGTGGGAATCCCGGGCTGAAAATGAAGAATCTACTAGCAAACACAAACCAAGAAATCCCAGGCAAGTAAGATAATCAGATAATTTTTAGAAATTATTTATTTATCTATTTATTTTTTGAGATGAAGCCTCGCTCTGTTGCCCCGGCAGGAGTGCAGTGGCACTATCATAGCTCACTGCAGCCTCAACCTTCTGGCCTCAAGTGATCCTCCTAACCCAGCCTCCTGCATAGGTGGGACCATAGTCACGCACCACCATGCCTGGCTACAATCATCTAGATAATTTTTAACAACCGATTTTGATAGTGTCAATGAAAGTTACTTAGAAAACCAATTATTTCCTTGTAGAGAGGAGGAGACTGGGCCAGTCACTTAAGCTTTCCCAACATGCAGCCAGAGATAATCACCCAGGCCCCCTTGATGCCTGGTCGAGGGCTCTCTGTCCACTCCAGTAGACAAGGCCCATCAATGAACAAACAATTTCTGACACTCAGAAACCAGCATTCCTAATAAGAAGATGCATGCCCCTGTCCACTTTCCTTTCACCATGATTTTCAGCCTGACTTTGCAGTCTCTTTTCTCCTTCAAATATTTCTTTAGAATTGGGAGGTTATGGAGGGTTAGAGAAGGCGAGGGAATAATTCAGAGAATTTTAAGGGAAGGTCTAGAACATCCCATTTCCTGGCCTCTTTTATAGATAGTAATTAAAAAAAAAACAATGCTTCTGGAAGGAATGTTGAAATGCAGATTCTGATGCATGAGGTCTGGGATGGGGCCTGAGAGTCTGGATTTCTACCAAGATCCTGGGGGACACTGACATGGCTGATCCACAGCCCACTCTGCTGAGTATCAAGGCTTGAGATTAAGTGCCTAGCTTCAGACTACATTAGTCAGTGGTTACTCTAGTGGCCATAATAAATACCAATTAATTTTAGATGGTTCAGAGCCATGCAACTTCAAGCAAGTTTTTAAAACCCCCTGAGTTGCGTTTTCCTCACCTATTCACCCTTTTGAATAGTTGAGGGGATAGCACGGTCTTCATACTGATCTTTTTTTCACAAAGGAAGAGCAGGGTATGAAAAAATATCGAATCAGGAGCCCCTGGGTGACCTAGCCATGTGACCAGAGGAGATACTTTGGACCTCAGTTTGTTTTTCTGAAGTGAGATGTTGGCCTTGGCCACCTTTCAGATTCCTTCTGGCTGGAACTGTTTACCATCCAGAACATAATATTCTTAGTTTAAAGAAATGTAGTGACGTGCGGTCGTGCTGTCTTTCTGTTTGCAGCATATCAATAGTCCATTTAATGCCAAGTTCTTGACCAGGAACACAGACCCATAATTATGCATAATTTCTGTGGGAAAAATTGTTCAGCTTTCTTGCTCCACTTGATGACATATTTTTCCAAGAACAAAGGGGAGGGAGGAGAGTGATGGCAGCTGTAGATTCGTAACCTTCTGATGAGTGGGAGTCTTCAGGTTTTACCCTTCTTTTGTTCTGTCACCCAAGCGGAGCTCTCTAACTCTTGGATGTAACCCCATGAGATCACCACAGGTCCCTTAATCACAAATTATTCTGAGAACAATCTGTAGTCACTGCATACTCACGTTGGCCACAGTACATGTAAGTGTTTGGCTACCTCATAAGGTAAAGAATCTCAATACTACCCTGTTTTCTCGAAAAAGGAAATTTGGACATGTAGGGTGCCCTCCTGCTTCTTCATAGAGAATCATCCAAGAACAACTCATGCCCCTCTCAGGGAAGTGCTCTCTGGGATCTTCCCTAATGACAATTTCTTTTTTTAAGACAGAGTCTTGCTCTTTTGCCCAAGCTGGAGTGAAGTGGCATGATCTCGGCTCACTGCAACCTCCACCCCCAGGTTCAAGTGATTCTCCTGCCTCAGCCTCCCGAGTAGCTGGGATTATAGGTGCATGCCACCAAGCCCGGCTAATTTTTGTATTTTTAGTAGAGATGGGGTTTCACCATGTTGGCCAGGCTGGTCTCAAACTCCTGACCTCAGGTGATCCACCCGCCTTAGCCTCCCAAAGTGCTGGGATTACAGGCATGAGCCACTACACCCGGCCCCTAATGACATTTTGCATATGTATGACAGATGCCATCTTGACAAACTACATTTCCTTCCATCGCATGTGTCCTCACAGTAACCCCGAGAATCTGGTCTCCTCCCCTCCTTCTACAGAGGAAGAGTGAGGGCTCCGTGTGGCGAGGGGTCTGCTTGCGGTGCTGCCCAGAGCGTGGAGGGGCCGGCCAGGGCTGCACTTCAGGCCTCCTTGTTTCCTGTCCTGCGTTTCCTTCATTCCACCAAGGCCATGATTCTGACATCCTGCGAATGCCCTGTGAAGATGTCCTCATGAAATATATGCTCCTTGCTAAGTCTGTTTACTTCTGACTCTGTGGAAAGATTTTAGAGATGTTAGTAACTTTTTTTCTTTTCTAAAGTCCCTATGGAGAAGTGATTGTATCTGTAGTGCTGCCTTTCTAGGCCCTGGAAGGAATCCAAAGCTGTCACTGTGTTTTCCATCTGGCCCATTATCAAGAATCTCTGCTGCTTACTATAGCCTGGAGGCTGTCCTGCAAAACCCTGTACAGGGCTGCCAGCAGGTTGGCAGAGCAGGAAGGGCCAACACTGCACAGCTTCGCAATAGAGAGAAAGGATAGGTGGGCACGCAGGTGCACCCCGCTCTAAGACAGGGGCAGGGGCCCCCAAGGAGACTGATTCTCATCCACAAATAACTACCTGCTGGTTTACTCTTTGCTACCTGTAAATTGTAAACAGCTCAAGTAAATACAGTTCAACTTATAAAAAATTAATTTGACTTTTCTAAAATAGTCATAGGTCAAAGGTTTTATTTTTATTCATATTTGTTTATTTATTTGAGACAGAGTCTTCCTCTATTGCCCAGGCTGGAATGCAGTGGTACGATCCCTGGAACCTCGACCTCCCAGGTTCAAGTGGATCCTCCCACCTCAGCCTCCCAAGTATCTGGGACTACAGGCATGTGCCACCACACCAGGCTAATTTTTGTATTTTTTGTAGAGATGGGGTTTTTCCATGTTGCCCAGGCTGGTCTTGAACTCCTGGGCTCAAGTGATCCTCCCACTTCTGCCTCCCAAAGTGCTGGGATTGATTACAGGAATGATTCACCGTGCCTGGCCAGTCACAGGTTTTAAAAGCAACACTAAAATGGGACATCTGTATTTCCAAAAGAAGACTAATGGTAAGTGAGTCTTTGCATTAGAGTTTTATCTGTCCCATCTCCCCATGGGTTCCTGGCACCTCAAACACCTCATCAAGAAAAGTGAGATAACAGAAGTCACATCTTTGCAGAAAGTTCAGAAAATCTATATTTATAAAAGGGTTTGCAATAGAGGCTGCTGCTCATGTGTTTCTTCATAAATAGCTAATAGAAGTGAAGTGTTAGAAGGGAATTAATGGCAGGGTCTAGTTATACTGAGGACAACTCAGCCACTGTTACCCCAATTTTTAAAAGCACTTGTAGCCCCCATAGTCATTCCAAATTTAACTCAATCAAAGTGGAAAATAAGAGGAGCTGGCATTGTCTGGGCATTAATATTGGATGAGCCTTAGTTTGAATCAACTTTCATGTATTAATCACATCCCTGATAATTCAAGAGGACACTCGTTTTTTTTCCCCTCCCTCCCATACCCATGCCAGGCGCAGTGGCTCACACCTGTAATACCAGTACTTTGGGAGGCTGTGGCGGGTGGATTACTTGAGGTCAGGAGTTGGAGACCAGCCTGGCCAACATGGTGAGACCCCATCTCTACTAAAAATACAAAAAAAAAAAAAAACAAAAAACACCAAAAAAACCCGGCATGGGGGTGCATGCCTGTTATCCCAGCTGCTCTGCAGGCTGAGGCAGGAGAATTGCTTGAACCATGAGGTAGTGGTTGCAGTGAGCTGAGATTGCGCCATTGCACTCCAGCCTGGGTGACAGAGTGAGACTCCGTCTCAAATAATAAAATAAAATAAAATAAAATAAAATAAAATAAAATAAAATAAAATAAAATAAAATAAAACACATGGGAAGAACTTGTTGTTTAAGGATTCTTGTAGCTGATCCCAGAACTTTGGAGCTGGAGGGGAAGCTAGTAATGACACAGTACCTTTCACAAATGAGGAAACCCCAGATCCAGGGCCATGGACTGATGTGCACTGTGCTCAGGTGCTGGGCAAGGCAGAGCTGAGTCTCCCAGGTGCTGGATCCCTCTTAGCTGCCTCCTCTCCTCAACTCTGCCCTGCCCTGAAATAGACCTTGTGTTCAGAATCTGTGTGCACAAAAACAAGCCCCTAAAGAGAGCACTCTGGGACTTGAACAACTCCAAATTCAGTCGTCTGAGTGACAAGGCAGTTCCCTTCTAAATGTCTCTTCCACTGGGCACAAGGCACCTGTGTTGGTTTCCTGTGGCTACCGTAAGAAAGTATCATAAACTGAGTGACTTAAAACAACAGAAATTTATTTTCTCGCAACTGGAAATGCTCGAAGTCCAAAATCAGGATATCAGCCAGGATGTACACCTTCCAAGGGCTCTAGGGAAGAAAATTTCCTTGCCCCTTGCCGCTGTTGGAGGTTCCAGCCACTCCTTGGCTTGTGGCTGCATCAATCCAATCCAAGGCCCGTGTGGTTACATGGCCTTTCTCTCTGTACCCTGTGTCATCGCCTCCTCTTTCTCTGATAATGACACTTGTCCTTGGAACTAGGGCTTACCGCAGTTATCCCAAGATGATTTTCTCTTCTTAAGATCCTTAACTTAAAAACATCAGCAAAGATCCTTTTTCCAGGTAAGGTCACCTTCACAGGTTCTAGGCATTAGGATATGGAAATACCTTTCTGAGAATCATCATTCAACCCACCACAAGCACGCATGTAAATAAACTCTCAGAAACGCCCTAAATCCTCAATGTGGGTATAGCAAGCTCTAGATTTGCATTTGCCAAGGTGTGTTTCTTACACACCCAGATTTGAAGAGCTGTTTTTCAACTGTGTTTCATGGTAAAATAAGTTTGATAATTTGGTAATTTTGGTAAACAAAGTTAAATAGTAAGCAAAAGTTTTTGCGTTGTTTTGTTTTCTTTGTTTAGGTGCAGGATTCCTCAGAACCTTTAAGAAGCTAACAGGCAACATGGCTCTTCAGAAATGGGATATGGTGCGTGGTATTTCCCATGTGCGAATGTTTTGGAATTACATGTTTTGCCTGGGTTTCCCAGAAAGGAGGGCTTGAAACAAGGCTTAAGTGCAAGCTTTCCATTGGCTACTGTGGTCCAGGGAGCCTGAGAGAAGGCCAGGGATTGGGCCAGCAGAGGGAGAGCCAGTGCTAAGTGTGTCCTAGATCCAGGCACCTCTGGGGAGATGTCTCCAAGAGCTGGAGGAAATGGGTGTGGGGCTGTCTACTGGAGAAAGGAAGGGGTGGCAGTTATCTACTGATTCTCTCCACAGTTAATTAAAGTTCACCCGGCAGGACTGTACCCTCCAGACCCAGGTATCCCCACTGTGTAAGCACAACATCAGCACCTGCAGGAAGCTGGGCAAAGCCTGCACAGAGGCAGTCACACCACAGTTGCTGGCTTGAAGAGACAGCTGAGGCTGAGAGAATCTGGAATTGTGCACTAGAGGTGTCTGTTTCTATCCCATATATGTTAGTTCAGAGAACATCCATCTCATGAGACAAGTGTTCCATGGAAGGCTCTTTGGGAAACCAATTTCATTCTTAACTTGCTATGATACAATCATTTCATTAACAAAATGGGTCTAATCTTACTTGGGTATTCTGGTATTATCACACATGCCCTTAATTCTATACTTAAGGTTCACTATCAATCTAATTTTATAAAATACATTACTATGCTATTTTTTAAGTCAGAAAAGAGTTCATTGTTGAAAGAACTATTTATACACACTGGAAAGCACATTCCTGGAGCTGATTTAATTTTAACTTTATATGTATTCATATCTGCTGACTGCATGCTATGATAACTGGAAGGTTTCTTAGGGGTATGGAGCACTTCCAGTTCTGCTCATTTGGCCAATGTGGTGAATATCATCTTACCAAGAGAGGAGGGAAAATAATACACAGCAGTTTCTTGTCTAAGTCAATGGGAAGAAAAAAGAAAGGAAAAGAAAGAATGCTGCCTGGCCCAAATTTCGGGACAGTTACATTAAACAAAAGGATCAGAAAATGGAAATCTATTCCTTTGAAATGGCTGTAATTGGCTGAATGTTGAGGCTGAGAGAAAAGTAATGATGGGGAACCAGGCAGGCGAGAGTATTAATTTTCTCTGATGATGAAGGGTATATGTAGTCATATTTGAGAGTCCTTCAAAAGCTTTTGCAAGAAGAGATTCAGACATTGCAGAGAAGGCCATTTTCAAGAGACCTGCTATGCTTATTGGAGTCTGTTTTATGGATGATTGGTTGGTAGAGAGTGGCCTGTGAACACAGTGTGGCTGCGTGCTCTCCATGGCAGGCACACAGGAAGCATGTGATCCAGACAAAGTCAGAAAAGTAAAAATTATCAGAAAACCCCAGAGCTGGCAGTATCAGCTTAACCTGGCTATGGGGTTGCCATCAATGCAACAAGCTAGGATCATGGGTGTCGACAGCACAAGAGGCAGCAGCAAGTGGAGGATGGGATGCAGCTGTGCTGGTCCACGTGTGGTTAAAGGACTCCAGAAATGTTATTTTGGAAGCAGTATGGTGAAAGAAAGAGAACCTAGACTTTGCAGCAAGGTGACTTAAATGAATTTTCTGGATTGTTTGCTTGTGAGCTATGTGGCTTTGGGATAGTATTTAGCTTTTCTGCCTCAGTTTTTAAATCTGTAAAATGGAGGGCATAATATCATGTCATTGAGTGGCAAATAACAGAACATGCTACTCAAACTAGTTTAAATAATACAGGAATACTTCCAGGAAGGATGGCTCTGGACACTCCTCTAAATACCTGAAAGTATACTGGAAAAGAAAAGGTATAGTTGGGGCTCAAAGCCACATAAATACATTTAAAGGCCACAAATGGAAAAATAATACAAAGGGTCAGAGTTATAGAAGAAAGCAGCATTGACCAAGAGTTTGGCCTGGGTCGCATTACTGCATGCAAAGAAGGCCAGTTCACTGCTTGATGCTAGGGCCTGGGTGGGTCTTGAGGCTACAAATTTATGAGACTAGAAGGGAAAAGCTAAAGGCACAGCATCTTGAATAGGACTTCTGTCAATTCACTCACTGACTTGGTGACATGGTGACATGACATGGGACAGGAACAGAAAACATCACTGACATAGAACTAGGGACTCAGGGGCTCAGAGAGAGGACGGATAAAAGTTATGTTATTGTATGCATCTAACAACATAGACTTAAAATACAAAAAGCAAGAACTGATGTAATGAAAAGGAGAAATTGACTAATCCACAAACCAATTGGGATATTTTAGTATGCATCAGAAATAATTGGTTGAGAAGACTCTAAATTGGAAAGAATATAAAAAATATGAACAGGAAAGTAAAAACTTTGTTCTAATAAATACAGAAACAATCCTACAACTCCAAATGAAGAATATATTTTATTTTCAGGTACATATAAACTATAAAAATGTACTATGTATAGATCAAAGAGAAATTGTCTACAAGTTTCAAATAATCAAAGTATTGCAAATAATGGTTTCCAAATAAAAGCAATTAAAGTAGAAATCAGCAAAAAATGGAATACGAATAGGCTAAATATGGATTAGGCAACTTAGAAATGTGTTTTCAAATAATTCATAGGCGTATTGGTTTCCTATTGCTGCTATTACAAATTACCACAAACTTGGTAGCTGAACATAACAGAAATATATTCTCTTACAGTTCTGGAGACCAGAAGTCTGAAATCAATATCACCAGCCTGAAATCAAGATGTCAGGGCAACGCTCCCTCTGGAGGCTCTAGGGGAGAATTTGCCTTTTTGCCATGTCATAAATTCCAGGAATTAGGATATGTACAGAAAGAGATGTGTGTGCATGTATGTGTGTATACATACATACATATATTTGTAGAGGAAGCATTATTCAGCCTACTATATGAGTTAAAAAGAAAAATCACAGTGAGAATTATGAATGACACAGGTCATATATATCAAGGCTTGTGGAATGCAGGAAAATCATGCCTATAGGTAAAATTATAGCCTTATATACAAATATTTTATTTTTAAGGACACTTAAAATAAACTACTTGATTCAACTCAACAAGTTGAATCAGGAATCAAAATACTACCCTCCAAAAGCAAAAGGCCCAGACTGTTTTACTGGCAAGTTTTTGGAAACTTTAAGGAACAAACATTCCACTTCTAGTACAAACATTTGCAGAGTCTATATTTTAAAAGTTTAGCTACCCATATAATTTTATGAAGCTAACAGAACTTTGATATGGAAACTAGACAGAACAGTACAAGAAAAGACAATTACAGACCAATCTTACTTATAATCATGAATGCAAAAATCCTAAATAAAATGCAGAAAACTGGATTCAGCAGTAAAAATATACAATGACAAAGTAGGGTTTATCCCAGTAATATAAGTCTGGATCAACACTAGAAACTCTGTCAATGCAATACACACCATTAACAGATTAAGGTGAAAAAATTGTATAATCGTCTCAATAGATCCCCAAAAACCATAAAATGGAAATCTTCCCTTATTCATGACTAAAAAGTTAAAAACCCTTAGCAAAACAAAACTGAAAAGAAGCCTTCACATGATAAGGGCATACATGAAACAACTACAGCAAACATCATATTTAGTAATGAGATTTCAGAAGTTTCCCCACTGGGCTGAGAAAGAAGCATGCCTGCATTCACTGCGACTCCTTTGGCATGTCTGGGTTTGGGTGGCCTATGCTAGTTGGCCATTTTCCTTTCTAGCATTGAGGTATGTGTATGCAGGTAGTGGTAGTATCAAGGAATGGGCTACAGTACAACAGCACAGACTCCTGGTTGTCTACAAAACCCACTCTTCTCTACCTCCATTGTAATAGAGTTCCAGTAAGGCATGCAGTAGCCTTACTATAGTCCATATTTCTCCTCTCCCATGACTGCTCTGTGGTGGGGTGACTAAGTTCTCTCCCACGGAATGCAAAAGGAAGGGGTGTGTGCTACTTAAGCATTTGTGTCTTAAGACATGGATGTGCCCCTTTCAAACTCTCCACCCCTTCCCACCATCTGGAACCGGGAAGTGGCAGGGACTCAGCTTCAATCATGCAGGTGATGACAGTCCGGGGACGATGAAGTTACAAGAGGAAAGAACGATGTTCCCTGGAAGACCCTGTGGGAGAGCACTGCCTCTCCTTCCTGCATTGCTCATACTGGGGCTAAGTAACAAACAAAGATGTATTCTAGAAACTGCTGAAGCATTGTGTGTCTTTGTTACAGCAGCTGGGCCCTAACATAATGGGAATTGCACATCCCACATCTGGAAAGCAGGTAATTCTAAAGAGAACCAGAAGGTAGGGACATTGGATCAAGTGATGCTATAGAAAGAATTTCAACAGCACCTTTAATGATTGATTTCTCTAAGAAAAATGCAGAAGAAATTCTAACAGTTTTAAAATGCTGGGCTGTAAGTATACCAATATGCCTTATATTATTTTTCTATTCTTTTCTTCAGGTTTGAAATATCTAATAATAAAGCTGAAAGAAAAATGCAATAAATGGAATGTGTTGGCTATATTCTGACTTTAGAATCATCTCAACTCAGCAGCTCAGTAATATCCCCAGGAATTGTTTTATCTTTGAGTTGGATCTGTCTTCCTTTGGATTGTAGCTTCCCCTTAAAATGTTCTTCCTGGTCTCAAGATAACTACCAGCATCTCCTAGATTTTATGTAGCCTAATTCATTACAAATAAAAAGATCATCATTTCCCTCAGGTGGGTAAAATAGTCCTTCATCAAACATTTTTTGAGATTTTATTATTTGTCAAAAACTATTGGCACAGAAATGACTCTGAGACATGATTCCCTAAATGGAAAAGCACCAAGTCATTATCCTGGGACATCCACAAGTTTTTTTTTTTTTAAATAGATTGTTTTTTAAAGTGCTCATATTCTGCAATTTATGATGCATGTTAGGCAACTGACTTAGAATTAGCACCCACTCTTCCTCATCCTAGTCTTATATATCCATGAACATAAGATGTTCACACTTTGCTTTAGTTATTCTCTCTGCTTTCAAAACCCTTTCATTTCTTCTCCACTAGTACAAATCTAAATGTTTCTTCAAAGACCTCCAAGACATCTTTCTAGGGATTATAAAGAAATGGGATCCACAGGCAAGTCAGTGACTGGAGTGATTTCTCCCTAACTATATTGTCATTGCTTCAGAGTTAGAGCTGCTGGATTTTACCCTCAAGCAAGTTTGTTGTTCCCTCCTTTGTGTCCCCACAGCATTCTGTTTATATCATCAGTATAATACTGAGATGTTAAATTAAATAAGCAGGAGGCCATTAGACTGCAGCTGTCTCTGTACTTTGAGTTCCTATGTAAGAAACTGCAACCTAATTGAATATGAAAACAAACCAAAACCTGACTTAGGAATATAGCAAACCGCTGAGTTTCAGCCAATCACAAGCAGTCAGGTTCCAGCCTAATACAGGCAGCCAACTCATCGCACCACGCTCAAATATGGCAGACGCCTGGTTGTAGCCAAATCAGGTGATCGCTCTACTTTACAACTGAATCTGACCTATAAAAACTCACCACTCACACTGCTGGGCTGTCTGAACCTCTTCTGGTTCTGAGTGCTGCCCGGTTCATGAATCACATTTGTTAGGTCAGTGCGAAACCAACTGTAAATCATAATTTCCCAGAAAATTTCTTTTGAAATGCCGATTCTGAACTCCACCAGAGAATTTAGGAACCCAAATTCTAAGAATCTAAGAGATCAACTGACCTGTTGACCAGGGTGTGGCAAAATGTGGCCATGCAATGTTCAGCTGACCCCATCAGTAGGTCACAGCCACCAGCATCCAATAGCTCATGACCAAGGAACATGGTCATCAGGCACCATTCTTTAATTTTACTACTTAGGTAGCCATCTCCAAACACCTGAACTTCTATGAAATGAGCAGAGGCACATTCATAGACATTTTCCACAGGTATTTGCGTACTATATCAAGCACTAACACAGTGCTTGCAATATGTGTCTGCAATAAAGTGTCTGCAATAAAGCTGGGAACAAAACATAAGCCTCTCTGTCCAAATGTAGCTTAGAGGCCTCAGGTACAGACAGAAAATAATCTAATCAACAGGTAAACTTGTATGTCAAATGGGGTTAAAAAATCTCCTGTGAATGTTAACTAGCCTGATTCTAAGAAAAACAACTCTTCCATCATTTGCATGTAGTATAAGGAAAGAGAGCCCCCTACCCTTACATGTCAGTGGTGGTATTTAAGCAAAGCCAGGTATGTTGTAGGCACATGCACATTTTGGATGCAGGGATTGGGCTAGACACTTTTGTCAGGCCAGCCAACCTTGAAACTCAAGCATCTTTTGTTCTCTGTCTCTCCTTTTGCACTATCCCCTTTCTTCACAGAACTGTCCAGAATTAATGAGAATGGGCTCCAGGGTAGAAGAGATTGAGGTGGTAAGTGGAAGATTTTCCACATGACCTTGTATTCAGGTAACCAAATGAACTATTAAGTAAGCAATCCCCTTTACATACATTTTAAAAATCATTTTCTAGTTCTTTTAATAAAAACATATTTTAAGAAATTTGTATTTAAGACATAGGAGTACTGGAAAAAAGGATATGGAATCTGTGAACATTAAATAGTATAACTACTTGTGGCCACAGATATTTGAAAACAGTATCACAGTCACATCTGAGCTACCCAGCACATTACTACAGAGAGCACAAAAGAAACAGAGTGAATCAGAGACAGCAGAAACTCCATTTAAGGTCAAAAGTGGCAAGGAGAACATATTTCAGGATGAAAAACAAATATCCAGTTTTATGCTCATCTTTGCATGACTTACTATTTCAGCAACAGTGGGAAACTTTTAAACCACTTATGTGGGGATCATCAGTCAGTAAAGAACTTTATGTTCACAAGGAAAATCTTTTTTCCCAACCTTAACCTTTATGACCTGAGTCATATGATAATGCTTTTTTTTCTAGCTATGTGTTTCAAAAGTGTATGAGATTCTGTATTTTTAAAAATTATGGTGCATATACAAAATGAAGAAATTTATATTTTTTCTTAACAATCTGACATGAAAACTAAGCACATGAAAATCTTGACCTTATAAAAGGGTATTCTTTTTGGAATTGTGGATGAGGGAGGGAAAAAAAGGACTGAGACATGGCAAAGAAAAACAATCCCTCCACACATTCTCATTTTTCAAAGTGCTGAAATTCCCAAACAGCCTGAGGATTTCTCTATAAGCTGTCTCTGCAACAAAAATTTCTCTTCTAGTTTGAAATCAAACCTGAGGAATTCCAGGCTTAAAGGAAAACTCTTTCTCTCTCTCTCTCTCTCTCTCTCTCTCTCTGTGTGTGTGTGCGTGTGCGCATGCTTCAGAGGATTCAACAACTCCACCATCAAAGGCAGGAATTAAAGTCACTCCTTTTAAGACTAAGTGACATTTTGGGGAGCAATCTTGCCATTTTCCCCCAAGCCCCAGTATGTGGACTTAGCACCTCCCCAAGAGGGTGATGACACATCTGCATTGGGCACAGTCCAAGCTTTCCATCAGTTAGAATGGCCTGTTTGAGTCCTTGTCTCTTCATGGCTATATTGGATTTCTCCACACAAGAGACAGGTAGTGTGAACCAGAAAATAAAGGATCCCTTATGATATGAGTTAAGAATTTTTCCTTATGTTAAAATTAATTGGAAGCCTAAGCCCCAGGATACACAGTTGAGTGTAGCCAGAGAGGTTTTCTTTTGCTCTGGCAAGCAGCAAGACAATGGCTCTAATATTAATACATCACTCATTTTCCCTTCTCGAAGTGGAAACTGATTTTAAATTTTTATGTATCTCAGGTCTCCCAGGACAAAAACTACTCCTAGGAAGAGAGCAACATATTTTGGGAGGCTCCCATGAACTCTTCAGGGCCACAAGTGGGAAATAACTGTTCCTTGGACAGGAGCCAAAGGCACAGCTTCCAAAATGTCTAACAGCTTCCAGGGGTGGGAGCTAGGGAGAAGATGAGCTGAGAGAACTGGCTTTCATGCATCTGGGGAGATGGAGTCACTTGGGTGTCTGAGCATGTGATGTGACAGCCTGGGAAGGGAATGCTTTTCTGGGACAGAATTAGAACTTCAGGTGCTTGATCTCTGCTCAATCTCACATAATAAGAAAGGAGAGGTGTGTTTATAAGCATGCACACACAAACTTAAATACTTGGTTGGTATATATTCTTTACTTTCTTAAGCTCTGTAATTTAGATTTTGACTCACACAGTTAAAAATAAATTTTTAAGAGTTTCCTGTCAAAATCTTCTAGAAGATTTTTTTCCACTATATAAGCAGGTTCATTGTGTTGAAAAAATTACACTCTGATGAGCTCTGCATTTCTAATGTGCACCAGGCACTGAAAATGCAGTAGAGTGTGTGTGGCAGGGAAGAAAGGAGTGCGCCCAGGACTTTGATGTGAGGAAGGAGTAGCTTTAGGGCGCTGTGGCATCTTTGTTTCAATCACTCCCTTCCCATCACCCTTTTTCACCTTTCTTCACCTATAACTGTACTCAATTTTCATTTCGTTTAGAAGAAGAATTGGAAGTATGGTGGCCTTACATCAATAGCACTAAGGAATTAATGCCCCATGGGAGCAGCCCTCAGCCAATGACCTCTGGAGTTGGTGTATAAATACCCACAGGTCCTTTATCCCTTGGGAGGGGTTCCACATGGCTCCCAGAGTTCACCCAGTGGAAGCTGCTTAATCCTCCACTCTATGCTTCTTTTCCCTATGCCAATCCCTACTCCCCTACCAGTGTATACTACTCTCACCTCCCAAATAAAGTGCTCATACTTGTATCTTTAGCTTAGTGTCAGCTTCTGGAGGGACCCAGAGTAAATCATGTGTCTTCTGGGTACTGAAACGTTGACATGAATCATCAGGTAATGGCCACACTGTCCGGGTTCCCTCCTCTGACAACACCTGAAGCAGTTCTCAGTCTTCATAAAGTCCTGAGTTGCAGGGTTTTGCTCAGTACAAGCTGATCCACATTTTGCAATGATAACTATCAACATTTTACTAGAGTTTAACTCGAGCCTAAACATATAGACAGACAAATTCTGTGCAAGGAATTATCAAAATGACAGTTTCTTCACATTAAGGAATTAGTGAGAGGCCAGGAGGCTGAGAGTTCCATCTTTCCTGTGGGCTTGTCTGGATTCTGCTTCTTACTTTGTCCTAACCTCCCTCCTCTTCAGAGTATCCCTCGTGTTCCTGCCCTACACATTGGCTCTGGAGTTGGTTACTTCCTTGTTTCAGGATCCTCAACAATTTTCGACATTTCTATGATGATTTTTTGGTGTTTCCAGTTACAGTGGCCCACAGCTCACCTGATGAGCAGGATACTGACTAATGTAGTTAATAATTTTCATTGATTCTATTTCTGAATGTCTCCGTGTGGTGTATCTTCAAAATACCTTGCAAGATTGTGACTCACATGCTCATCACCCACTCCCCACCCCTCCCCTCCCAAAACCATCTCTGGGAAAGTAAGGTTCTTGCTGAGGACAATGAGGAGCCATTGAGCCATTCCTCAGAAGCAAGTGAATGACATGATGAAGAGCTGGGAAGACTGCCACCCCCTGGAGGCAGAGATCAGTTTACAAATCTCCAGTGTCATTCAGACCCTAACTGCAATGAGTGCAATAAAGAAGGTAATATGAGGAATGACCAGAGACAAAAAGCAATTGGATCTTTTCAGAAAAAAATGTGGTTATTTCAAGGATGAGAAATCAACCAATAGCACTGATGATCATAATCATAATTATCAGCTTTTTTTACTATCCATTTTGTGCTAAGAACCATATTAGATATTTCCTCAAGTTGTCTCTAATCCTTCTTCCCCAACAACAACCCTCAAAGGAGGATGTTTTATTTCTTCTTCCTCTCTCTCCCTCACTACCTCTCTCTCTCTCCCTCCCTCTTTTTCTTCCTCCCTCCTTCTTTTTGTCTATAGCTGAGACTACCAAGACTGTGAGTAGTTAGATTGTTTGATCAAGGTCACAGCTACTCCATAACAGAACTGGAATTTGAGCCCAGATTTTTCTGGTTCTAAAATCTGTATCTTGTATTCCTTGACTTTTTTAAAAAACAACAATAGAGAGTTTGAGAAATTCTTTCATGGTGAAGTATGAAAACAAATTACCAGCATTTCTGCATTTGAACTTCTGTACAATTAGCAACAATGGTTAATGAGAACTTACCAAGACAATTGACTTTTAAAAAATAGACTTTTTCTCTTCTTTACAAGCAACTGACAAATTCACCCACTCAATAAATATTTGTTGAACAGATTGTGTGCATGAAACCTCCTAGAACAATCAATCAATTATGGTCTTGCATCTAGGATACTCGCAGTTGAACCTCCGATAAGGTCTTTAAAAAGAAGTGGTGATTTCTGAAAGAAATGTAGTTTTTAAAAAGTCACTCTAGCCATATAGGAAGTACCTGGGAACTTTTCCCTCACCATATGTAGTGGGTTTGACTAGGAGGGCCAACTTCATGTTGTACAAATATGGACCAGTTTTAATATTTCCAGTGAATGCTTTCATTTTGTTCATTGAGTCACCATCTGTGTGGGTAGCCAGAAACTAGATAGCTTAGAGAGATCCAGTAAATATTTAGTCATTTATATTTTAAAACTTAGTCCAGTCTAGTTTAAATTCTGACTTCCAATTAGCATAGACAAGACTTAAAAGCAGCTCCTAGGATCTGCCTGTGACAGAGAAAGGCAAGGCCCGCTGTGATATCTCTTTCTCCCCTCCCTCCCTCTCTTCCTCCCTCCATCCCTTCCTCCCTCTTTTCTTTCATCTCTCTCTCCCTCTTTCTCTCTCGCTCTCTCAACTTTATACTTCCTCGGCCATGAATGGGGCTTCTTTTTCCTCCCTACCCTTAGAAATGCTTGTTCCAAGCAGTACCTGTGATCACCTCCCTGAGACTCTAAGCTTCCAGAGGCTTCACAGTGGAAGGGACTGGACAGAAAGAAACCACAGATTAAACAAAACAGGCTGCTCAGAAGGAAAAATACACAGGAAGGTATTTCAAAAGCACAATACTCAATGCACTGATTTTTGTCTACGTTTCCTCCGACCTCTTGAATTTAAGAACACATCTGTGTTTTTACCGCCTTCCCCAGCACAGTGCCTGGTTTAAAGTAGGCACCCATGGCTGTTTGTTGAATGAAGGCAATTCAACGGAAGGTATCAGCTGTGGTGAGATTGACCAGCACAGGTAGTATTGAGAAAATGTGTCCTGACCTGGATCTTGATGAAGGCATATGACATGTAAGAGTCAAAGGTGAATGAAGAGGGCAAAACTTCCTGCTTTCAATTGAAAGGCTGAGCATCAACCATGCACTGGGCATTGCTACTTGGGCTCACTCAGACATAGTGAAGAATAAGGAATGTTTCTGTCCTGAGGAGCTCATAGACTGGTGGAAGGGGCAACATAATGAATCATAGTGGGTTTTGTTATTTTTTTTAACTTGCCCAAATCCTATAATGGAGATATGATGTTATCATGTTATAATAAAGATAATGAGATAGAGATGTGCAGGTACTAGATTTGTGGGGTCAGTGTGGAGTTTACAAAAGAAGAAATTCCATTAATAATCTGGGAAATCTGAGGAGGAAGGCCCCCCCTCCCACAGGGCGGGTGAGGAAAGCTATCAGTAGTTGTCATCTCCAGCATCCACACATAAGGAACTAATGTAACATGTCATATTCTTCACCTTGAAAGTTCCACCAAATAGCTAGGCTTGTATCAATTTGCAAGGTGCTAGAAAATTATTGAATGCTCTGTGCATATTTAGAGATATTGAATAAGACAGCCTGAAAAATTTTTACTATTAGATAATGTATGTAATTCTTATTTGAAAAATTTGGTTTTTGGGAGGTTAAAACTGGAATTAATAAGGCTAAGTAATTTTGCTTTGACTCACTGTTCACTCTCAATACATACTGAAGTTCTCGGGGAAGGTGTCCCTGGCAGAATGAGAAATAGTGGCCATTTGACAAAATTCTATACCTCATAGAAACTGCTATAGAATACGTAGAAACTGGGAAAAATTTCCATCTGACATAAGACTTGAGCTCTAAATGGTTCCTGTCCTTTAAAACAAAGTGACAAAATAGAAATAAAATAAAAGTTAGGTATCAGCATGTGAAAAAGAATCCCTAGGCCGGCAATACCCAATATAGTAGCTACTAGCCACAGGTGGCTACTATTAATAAGTACTTGAAATGTAGCTAATCCCAAATGAGATGTGCTAGAAGTGTAAAACCCATGCTGGACTTCAAAGACTTAATGCAAAAGAAGGAGAAAAAAAGTAAAATATCTCATTAATATTTTTAATAATGATTACCTGATGGAATGATGATATTTTGGGTATATTGAGTTAAATAAAATATATTACTGAATTAATTTTACCTGTTTCTTTTTATGGCTACTAGAAAACTTAACCTTATTCACCAGGCATGGTGACTTATGCCTGTAATCCCAGCACTTTGGGAGGCCGAGGCGGGCGGATCACGAGGTCAGGAGATCGAGACAATCTTGGCTAACACGGTGAAACCCTGTCTCTACTAAAAATACAAAAAATTAGCCAGGTGTGGTGGCGGGCACCGGTAGTCCCAGCTACTCAGGAGGCTGAGGCAGGAGAACGGCTTGAACCCGGGAGGTGGAGCTTGCTGTGAGAGGAGATGGTGCCACTGCACTCCAGCCTGGGTGACAGAGCAAGACTGTCTCAAAAAAAAAAAAAAAAAAAGAACACTTAATCTTATTCATGTAGTTTGCACTATTATCTGTTTCTGAGTGCTACTTTAGACTGAGATTTGGAACATTTCCCCCCTCCTTTTTTTTTTTTTTTTTTAACAGGAATTGGGAAAGTTTTCTATTAAAGGCAATTGACCTGCTTTAAAAGAAAATCACAACCACATGGGAATATAAAAGAAACTTAATTTCATTTTCTCATGTTTCGTTTTGTTTTTGTAAGAGAAAGATACCTGAAATGTCATGCTCAGTTGATCTTAAAATTTAGAACAGAGAACACAAATATCTTTTTTAAATACAATGTTAAAGGCTCAAAATCCACTTCAGTTCAAGTAGTGCTGATTAAGGGAAGGGAGCAGGGGGATGTGCTGGGGAGAATGAAGAGTGCTATATTTTGGATATTTGTCCCCTTCAGATCTTATGTTGAAACTGGATTCCCAATGTTGGAGGTTCCACCTTATGGCCCGTGTTTGAGTCTCAGGGGTGGATCTCTCATGACTAGATTAATGTCCTCCCCCTCACCACGAGATCTCTGCACATGGCTCTCCTTCACCTTCAGCCAAAAGTGGAAGCAGCCTGAGGCCCTCATTAGGAGCGGATGCTGGTGCCATGCTTCTTATACAGCCTGCAGAACTGTGAAACAAATAAACCTCTTTTTTTTTTTTTTTTTTTTTTGAGATGGAGTCTCTTTCTGTCACCCAGGCTGGAGTGCAGTGGCACCATCTCGGTTCACTGCAACCTCCATCTCCCAGGTTCGAGTAATTCTCCTGCCTCACCCTCCCGAGTAGCTGGGACTACAGGTGCACACCACCACGCTCAGGTAATTTTTGTATTTTTAGTAGAGACGGGGTTTCAGCATGTTGGCCAGGCTGGTCTTGAACTCCTGACCTTGTGATCCACCTGCCTCGGCCTCCCAAAGTGCTAAGATTACAGCCATGAGCCGCCGCACCTGGCCTCTCTTTTCTTTATAAATGACCCAGCCTCAGGTATTCCTTTCTAGCAACACAAAAATGGATGAAGGCAAAGAGGTAATGACTCATTGCTGACTTCAGAGCACTAATTTTACACTCATATTCCTAAAAACCTCGAAGGAAAAAAGATATGCATATGAGACAAACAAATATCTTCTTATACCATACATCACTTATCCATGATAATTACGGCCACTCAGATGAATTACCCCAAATTATGTGCAATGACTGTACCATTCAAAGTCTACTATGGATATCCTATGGATATCCAACTATCTGCTATCCATAGTAGACTTTGGTACAGTCATTGCACATGATTTGGGGTATAACAAGATATTCTTCTGTGTATAACAAGATATTCCCTCCTATGAGTGCAGCACGGATTTTTCTGGTCAGGAACAAAGGTTTATTGGGGAAGGAGGAGGAGTAGTCACAGGGTCCATTTGAGCTTTACCCTCAGTACAACAGGTTTGATTTGGTCATTTCTGTAGCTGCAGGGTCAGCACTGACACACTCCTGCACAGAGCAAAAGAGAAAAGGCATCAGACGCAGACTCCTTGGTTCAGGGTTTTCTCCCCAGATTACTGATGGGGGCCAAGGGCAAAGCTGAGAGCTGCAGGCTTTCACTTGGTGTCCCCATTACCACATATTGCCAGCCCATTGTCTAATGCAACTGTTTAAAACTCTTACCAAAGGCCTTGGACAATGGTTTCCACTTCTACTGCCAACTCAGAGGCCAGGAAATGAGTTATAAAGCATCAGCTTAAGTTCAACACTGTCATTGATGCTATATGTAAACAATACGAAGCATTTTACAATTTTAGGCAATCTGCAAAGCAAAATAAGACAAGCAATGGAAAAAAAAATTAAGAAACGATTGACTTAGGAGATGAAGTTGACGCACATGATTTTATTCTAGCTCAAACTTCACTTTTCATGGGTGATAAAACTGAGACAGCAAGGGGCTGAGCGATTTTCCAAACCACATCCCCAGTTGGGATTAGATTAGCTCTTAGTGTATCTCCTTTTAGTCTGCCAGGGCTCCTTGGTCACTCCGCAGTAGTTAAACTCCTAGGTAGTTAAACACACTTTGGGCCGGGCACGGTGGCTCACGCCTGTAATCCTAGCATTTTGGGAGCCCAAGGCGGGAGGATCACGAGGTCAGGAGTTCGAGAACAGCATGGCCAACATGGTGAAACCCCGTCTCTACTAAAAATACAAAAATTAGCCGGGCATGGTGGCATGCTCCCAGCTATTCGGGAGGCTGAGGCAGGAGAATCGCTTGAACCCAGGAGGCAGAGGTTGCTGTGAGCTGAGATCGCCCCACTGCACTCCAGCCTGGGTGACAGAGCGAGACTCCATCTCAAACAAACAAACAAACAACCACTTCAGGGCAATCTAACTCACCGTGAATTACCTGCTTTTGGTTCCTTTTCTAAGCATACTAATAGCTGCCCACAGTCTGTTAAATATTTGCTGTACTGGATTTTACTTAAGAATCCTATGAATTATTTTCTTACCATATGAGTTGAATGCTTAAGCAGAATCAGCTAAATTTGTTCCCAAACCTGTCTCTGTCAGTTGTCCTTGTTAATTGTCTAATTAAATTAAATATAAATCAATGAAAATTAAATTTAGAAAAATAATTTTCTCTATAAAAATTAAACTTAATGCTTTGAACAGTTCTAGGAGAACTGTAAAGTTTTTGGGGAAAAAAATCTTCAAAATCCAGAGAGATTCTGCTCTCTCATGGTTTTCTTGGTTTTGATTTAAGATCTTGCTTCCTTTAAGAAGAAATTGAAGCTGGGAGCTACAAAATACTTATTTTTGTTGTGGTTCATGTATGAAAGACAATACAAAACTTCAATCAGCTATCTCCAAAATCAAAGAATAATCCTGGCCCTGTATCAAATGTTGGTAAACAAATGTAAATGTGTATATTTTGAATTAAAATAAATTACACAGAGTATGTATCATTTTTATAGTGTATCTTCATGATATCTGTATTTTCTGATTGACCTGCTACGTATTTGTCATATGGCATAAGATAACAAGAAAGCTGCTACTGTAAAAGAAAAGGAGAATGTATTACAAAGTATAAAAGGTTAAGCCTGGGCGTGGTGGTTCATGCCTGTAATCCCAGCTACTTGGGATGCTAAGGCATGAGAATTGCTTGAACCAGGGAGGTGGAGGTTGCAGTGAGCCGAAATGGTGCCACCGCTCCCCAGCCTGGGTGACAGAGCGAGACCCTGTCTCAAAAAAAAAAAAAAAAAAAAGCCAACATCCCTGCAAAAGTATTTTAGAGCTTTATGGAAGTAGACATTCTTTAATTCAGTGTTCATGGCAACTTTATAGAACATAACTTCTATCAATGATGAGACTGTGTTTGTCTTTGGACATGACTAATTTGCATTGCCGTCAATCATCTACAGCTTACAAAGTTGTAAAATAGTTCAAAATAAAAGACATAGATATCCCATAAGGGTACTCTGGGCACAACACCCAGTTATCTTTTTTTGCCAATTTCAAAATCTTCCACAATTTTTTCTGACATGAATATTTTTCTTGGTCACTGGGTTGGTTCAGTTGTTTTGATAAAGCGAAATAAACAGCGGTTGTCAGTCTAAGAAGTAAGTTCTTTTAAAATATCTACTTGCCTGCTAAATCCTAATCCTTTCACATTTAAAAATAATGTGATCTCACTTGTAGTCACATTTGCATATATCAATCATTTGATGATTTTTCTTGGGAAATTATGAGGCAAATGGAGTCAAAAGTAGGTGAGGAAGTATTAGGTAAGAGAAAGCAGGAGGTAGACAGATAAATGAACTCATTCAACCCTGGAACGTCTCAGGGAAGCAGATAAGATTTAGCCATTTTGCAGAAGAGGAAACATAAACTCTAATAAGTTAAATAATGCTTAAGAGGTCACAAATGAATAAATGGATTCAACTCAGTTCTTCTGGATCCAAGCCCAGGGCTCTTTCCACCCACAAATACCCTTTCTATGTTCTATCATGAGTTATGAAAACCATTTGTCTCACCTTTTCCCTCTGGGTTGGTGGTAACGACTGGAAGACTGATTCATAGTCTTAGTGCATTATATTAATGTCTCTATGCCAAGTATCCTTATTTGTTGTATGAAGCGCTCTTTATTTGTTGATTTTTATTTTTTATTTTTATTTTTGCCTACAGTCTCAATTTTGCTTTTTTACCTTAGAAAGAGGAAAGGAAAGTAGAATTGTTGGGCTTGGCTCTGAGAAAAAAAATAAAAACAGGCTACAAGTCTGCAGAATCTATGAAATGCTTTGAGAGTCAGAAGCTGAGCATGAGAGCTGAACAAATTCCCAATACTCATGTGTAGTTAGATATTTTTGTTTCTTTTGTTTGTTTACTGTTTCTGCATTTCCTATCTGTACCAAGATGTAATCTCTAGAGGCCAAAGTGAAGAAACAGCTTACATAACCGTCAATTCTTTTGGCTTTTGGATGAGTAACAGGTGTTTAGTAGTTAAAAAAATTACTCAGAGGTTACAACACCAATTTCTCAGTCTCTCAGCTATCAGTCTTTAGATATATGGCTGTGTGCCCATCAAAACTGTCTTTCTTAAGTGTATGTAGCACTGTCTGATTTTAGATAGTAGGTGATGGGCAAATAGACAGATAAATGATAGAAGATGTTAGATGGATAGATAGACATTTAGATGATAGGTAGATATTAATGACACATACGTATATACTACCTACATACATAAATACATAGTATAAATAATTTTTTCCTTTTTTTAAGTTCAAAGGTACATGTGCAGGATGTGCAGGTTTGTTACAAAGGTAGACGTGTGCCATGGTTGTTTGCTGCACAGATCATCCCATCACCTAGGTTTTAAGCCCAGCATCCATTAGCTATTCTTCCTGATGCTGTCCCTCCTCCCACCCAACCTCCAACAGGCCCCAGTGTGTGGTTCCCCACCGTGTGTCCATGTGTGTCATTTAGCTCCTACTTATAAGTGAGAACATGTGGCATTTGGTTTTCTGTTCCTGTGTAAGTTTGCTGAGGATAATGGCCTCCAGTTCCATCCATGTCTTTGCTATTTGTTACAAAGACATTAGTGCCATATAGATCCTGAATTTTGTCTAATCTTAATTTACCTGACATATGTTATGCTCAAGGACCTGTTTTGGCCGCAAGTATGATCAATAGACTCTACATTTTATATATAGGTGATACACAAATAGACAAGTAGCATTAATTCATTCCAATAAACACAGTATAATGAGACAATGATCCAAGGCAATGGCATACTCAAAGTGACAGAAAATCAATAATTCCATCAAGGAAATCCAGAAGAGGCCTCTATATACATATTCTTTTATATTTGTCATAAAGAAAAACCAAAGGCTTCTGTGAATACAACAACAGATGTAACGTAGCATGGTGACTTTTTACTTAGCTAAGGTGGAGCTGGCTTTCCAGACTTGCCTTCACTGTTTAATTCTGGGTCAGGATTGGCCATAGGGAAATGTGTGTGAGATTTCAAAGGTGGCAGTGAGGCAATAGCCATTACACCCCTAAGGTCAGCGTAGGGCACCTGGTGTCACAGCAGCTCCCCATGTGGGTGCTGATTAGTGAGCTCCCCTGATGGCAAGGGCAGTGGCTGGGCTTCAGGTGTCCTGGCTCCTGTCCATCTCCTCCTTCTGCCTGTCTGCATCCTAGGCCAGATACAGGTGCGCCTTGTGGTGAAGACTGCCAGCTTGTTATCACGAGTCACCTACATAGCTGAGGTTGAAGGTAGAGAGACAGATGCCGGCTGGAGAAATGAACTTCAAGTGGGGAGACTGGATTCTGGTCCAGGTATTACCACAGCCTCATTGTGTGTTTCTGGAACATCACTTGACTTCTCTGTATCTCTGTTTTGTCAGATTACATGAACGTTAGTTGCAGCTCCAACTCAAAGTTTGAGAATGTTAATAAAACACCTCCATAGCATCTACAACTTATTGAGACATTATGTTCACCAGGAGTTTTAGAATTAGAAAAAAGTAGCCGGGCGCGGTGGCTCACGCCTCTAATCCCAGCACTTTGGGAGGCCAAGGAGGGCGGTTTGAGACCACCCTGGCCAACATGGTGAAAACCCGTCTCTACTAAAAATACAAAAATTAGCCAGGCGTGGTGGCGCACACCTGTAATCCTGACTACTCAGGAGGCTGAGACAGGAGAATTGGCTTGAACCCAGGAGGCAGAGGTTGCAGTGAGCAGAAATCGCACCACTGTACTCCAGCCTGGGTGACAGAGCGAGACTCTATCTCAAAAAAAAAAAAAAAAAAAAAAAAAAGAAGAAGAAAGCTAGCAGAATGTTTTTAGTCAAATGAAGCTATGAATCTAAGATCCCCATTAAAATATAACTTTGCATATTAATTTTTTTGCAAAGTTTGAAATTAACTTTGAATCATTCAAAATAGCAATCTAAATATTCACTGACGAATGAATGAATTAAGAAAATGTGGTATATACATACAATGGAACATTATTCAGCCTTAATAAAAGAAGGCAATTCTGCCGTTTGTGACAACTTGAATGAACCTGGAGTACATTATGGTAAGTGAAATAAGCCAGACACAGAAGACAAATATCACATGACCTCACTTACATGATGAATCTTAAGAGCCAAACCCATAGAAGCAGAGGGAGAACCATAGTTGCCAGGCACTGCAGGGAGGGATTAATAGGAAGGAATTAGCCAAAAGTTACAAAGCTTCAGTTATACAAGAAGAATAAGTACTAGACATCTACAGGATAGCATAGCGCCTATTGTTAGAAATGCTGTATTGTACATTTAAACTATTTGCTGACGGCAGATCTTATGCTAAGTGCTCTTATGACAAAAGACTACAAATAATAATAATAATAAATAAAGAAGGCAGGAGGAAACTTTTGTAGGTAATGAATGGGTTTATGGCATAGCTTGCGGTGATGGTTTTCACAAGTGTAACTTATCTCCAAACTCATCAGGTTGTACGGATTAAATATGTAAAGCTCCTTGTATGTCAGTCATTCCTCTGTAAAGTAGTTTAAAAAATAAAAAAGAAAATTAACTTTGTTTACTTGATGTTGAAGTACACTTTTGTTATAATGTTTTTAAAAATTATTAATACAGGACAAGTGCACAGTGTCATGTGCCATATGACTAACTCCAAAAATCTAAATTCCCAGAGCATATGTGCCTGTGAAACAGCCAAAAATATCAATTGCTGTAAGACCTGTGCTGTCCTAAATACCTGTAGGTGTCTGAATTACAGGAATCCTGCAACCGTGACACAGCACACGTTTATGCTCTGTTCAGTGAAGGGTGGCAGGAGAGTGTCTGTGGGTCATCTGATAGCCTTCCTTTCTTTGCCCTGCACATTTTTGATAATTTCCCAGGACATCTCATCTGAGCCATTAGGGTACAAACATGTCCCAGGAGCTCTTTCATTCTTATACATCAAATAACAGAGATGAAATGCAAAGTTGGAGTAAAAAGCAGATTGGCATGATTGTAGGATAGAATAGGGGCTCTCTGACAACTCTTTTCAATAAGAAGACAATGGGGTGAACTCTGGCAAGACCAATCCATCCACCCCCCAGTGAAAAGCTGCATGTTGAAAACATGCTGGTGAGATAATTTTATTCGTCACCACCGTCTCAGTACCATGATCCATCATCAAAGAAATCACGATGGTGTTGATAAGAGCTACTGCAATAACACCACCTTGCATTTCCAAGGGGCCCATTTCTGAGCTGCTATTGTGCTATTTCTTCCCCCATTTAATGACACAGATGTCTACATCCAAATGCACCTGTGTTTAGAAACATAAGGTTCATTATGCGAACAGAGCCCTGAGCCCCTCCTGACCATTCCTCAGGCGAGAACAATGGCCACATACATACATCCGCAGAGCCAGCCAGCCCTGGAATTAACTTCCTCGATGGCAGATGTGTTCTTGGACTTCAAAATTCTAAACCAGTAAGAGCAAATTACAGGATTAAGGGATTTAATTCTTATTACATGAGGAATGCATGCACATTGATTATTTTCTGCTAGTGATGGGTAAACAATGGTTTTCATTTAAAACACAAATATCTCATTTAACAGAAAGGACAGGAGAGGGCAGGGAATAGAATGTGTAGGTGATTCTCAAAAGGGTTGAAGGAGCTGAGGGGTCATCTCTCAGGGGTCTGGTTTCTTACAAAGTGAGAGTGAATTTCTTTCCGTATCTGAAGCATTTAGTTCAAGAGTTATGCAAACATCTTTCTGGCATCTTATCTGTATTAGGCATTGGGGCCATTCTCGGAGAATTTTTAGTACGGCGAAGAAGAAATATTGGTTCCTCATCCATTTTGCTCATCTCCCTCAGCTGCCCTTAGCTTATTCTGTAGCATCAGTCCTTGGGGTGGTTGTTTGTGTTACCAGGAAATGTGAATAATTTTGGCGAGACAGTTTCCAACACAATTCCTTTGCAAGTACAGAGAACTCAGAAACTAGGCATAGGCCGTCGTGAGCAGTAGGGTATGTATTCCTGGGTACCTGGGCTCAAGGTCAGTGCTTCCTCAGCAATTCAACAAATGTTTATTAAGTGCCTGCTAGATAGAAGGACCTGCCTGTATTCTAGGAAGGCAGACAGATAGTCTGCAAGTAAGTAATACAGAAAATATCTGACAGTTGTAAATGTGTTGAAGAGAATACAACTGGGTGATGTGACCAGGTGAATGGGAGACTCATTTAGCTAGGATGGTCTAGGAGGGCTTCTTTGAGGAAATAACATTTAAGCTGAAAACCGATTGACGAAAGGAGCCAGACATGCAAGGAGGGAAAGGGAAAGGGATTCCAGGTAAGGGGAATTGATTATGCAAAGGCTGTAAGAGAGGAACCCACTTGGCCTCTGCATGACATAGAAAGAAGGTCAGTGCCACTATGATCAGAGTTGGTGTTAGAGAGATGACAAGATCTTATAGGGCCTTGTAGGCCCTGGTGTGGAATTTAGATTTTAATTTATTTTGGTGTTTCTCAAACTTCAGTGTTTGTTAAAACACAGACCAATGGAACAAGTTAGAGAATGCAGAAATAAGGCTGCACACTTACAACTATCTGATCTACAACAAAGCTGACAAAAACAAGCAGTGGGGAAAGGACTTCCTATTCCATAAATTGTGCTGGGATAACTGGCTAGCTATATGCATAAGATTGAAATTGGGCCCCTTTCTTACATCATGTACAAAAATTAAGTTAAGATAGATTAAAGACTTAAATGTAAAACCAAGAACTATAAAAACCCTGAAAGACAACCTAGGCAATACCCCTCTGGACATAGAAACAGGCAGAGATTTCATGACAAAGATGACAAAAGCAATCACAATAAAACCAAACACTGACAAATAGGATCTGATTAAAGAGCTTCTGCACAGCAAAGGAAACTATCAACAGAGTAAACAGACAACATACAGAATGGGAGAAAACGCAAGCTATGCAGCTGACAAAGGTTTAATATCCAGCCTCTATAAGGAACTTAAATTTACAAGAAAAAACAACCTCACTACAAGGACATGAATAGACACTTTCCAAAAGAAGACATACACACAGCCAACAAGCATATGAAAAAAACTCAACATTACTGATCATTAGAGAAATGCAAATCAAAACCACAATGAGATACCATCTCTTACCAGTCAATGGCTATTATTAAAATGGCAAAAAATAACAGATGCTAGCTAGGTTGTGGAGAAAAAAGAATGCTTATACACTCTTGGTGAGAGTGTAAATTAGTTCAACCATTGTAGAAGACAGTGTGACAATTCCTCAAAAACCAAAAAACAGAAATACCATTTGACCCAGCAATCCCATTACTGGATATATACCCAAAGGAATGTAAATTGCTCTATCATAAAGAAGACACATGTACACGCATGTTCACTGCAGCATTATTCACAACAGAAAAGACATGGAATCAATCTAAATGCCCATCAATGGTAGACTGAATAAAGAAAATGTGGCACATATACACCATGGAATACTATGCAGCCATGAAAAAGAATGGAGTCACGTTCTTTGCAAGAACATAAATGAAGCTAGAGGCCATTATCCTTAGCAAACTAAAGCAGGAACAGAAAACCAAAACATTTTCTTCCTTATGAGTGGGAACTAAATGATGAGAACACATTAACACAACAGACACGGGGCCTATTGGAAGGTGGAGGGTGGGAGGAGGTAGAGGATAAGGAAAAATAACTAGTGTATACTAGACTTAATACCTGGGTGACAAAATACTCTGTAAAACAAACCCCCATGACACAAGCTTACCTATATAGCAAACCTGCACATATACCCCTGAACTTGAAATAAAAATTAAATTAAAAAAACAACAACAACACAGATTGCTGAGTCCATCCCTAGAGATTCTTTAGTGGGTCTGAAGTGGGCCCTAAGAATTTGCATTTCTCCAAGCTGCCATATGATTTAGATGGTGCCTGCTCACAAACTACTTTAGAAACAAACAAACAAAAAAACTTTATCGAGAAATAATGTACATACCATACAATTTACCCATTTTAAAGTGTAGAATTTATTTTTAGTATATTGATGGATATGTGCAATTGTCACCACAGTTAATTTTAGAATATTTTCACCCTGCAATGAGAAACCCTTGACTCTGTAGCTAGTTCCCTGCCCTGCTGCCACCCACCCCTCCCCAGCTCTATGCAATCACTCATGTCCTTTCTGTCTCTATTGATTTGCCTGTGCTGGGCATTTTGTAGAAATGGAATTATACAATATGTGGGCTTTTGTGACTGGCTTTTTTCATTTAGCCTAATGTCAAGATTCATCCATGTTGTAGCATGTGTCAGAACTTTCTTCCTTTTTATGGACAAATAACCTATAACCTTCCATGATATGGATATACCACATTTTGTTTATTCATTTGTTAATTTACAGACATTTTGGTTGTTTCCATCTCCACTGACCATACTTTGGTTGACACTCATCTAGAAGCAGTTGGAGGACACTCACATGAATTTCCATATTTTAAAAACCACTTAGCTTGCCATGTGGAAAGTGAGCTGCAGAGAGACAGGAATGGCCACAGGGATGCTGGTTGGTAGGTTACTGCCCTGCCAAGGCAAGAGACGACTGTGGTCTAAACTAGTGTGGGTGATAATGTTAAAGAGAAATAGAGGTAGAATCAGCAGGGTTTATTGATGGATGGAATATGAGGTAGTGAGAAATCAACATAGTGCTGGCTTTTGGACTTAAACAACTAAGCAAAGCACAGTGCTATTAACTCAAACGAGAAGATTATTATTATTATTGTTTTAGATTTCTGGGGTCCTGTTTTTGGTGTGGCCATTAAGAGGGTGTTAGTCCAAAGAAATGTTTCCCATCAATAAAGAATGACTACTAATTCTATTTTTTTCCTAATACACCACTCAACCAGTTGTGCATGTTGCTGTATTGTGTTTGTTGTATTATTTGAAAATATTCAGTTCTGCTATAGAAAACAAATGGGATAGATGGAAATCATAAGATGTGTAGGCAAGTAGCTTATGAGGAATATACAGATTGATGACATGTGTTAGATACAGATACGTTAGTAACCTGGGAGACGTGTTATGCGTGGACAAAAAGAGTCTATGTGCACTACACAAAGAAACAAAGGGAAGTAGCATGTGCTGTTAACTTCAGGTATTAGCTTGGCTGGATTAAGGGATACCTAGAGGGGTATTATAGCATTTCCTCTGGGTGTGTCTGTGAAGTGTATTCAGAGGTGATTGTGAGTCCGTGGACCGAGTAGGGAAGATCCACTCTCATCGTGGGCAGGCGCCATCTAATCGGCTGGGAGCATGGATAGAACAAAAAGGCAGAGAAAAGATGAATTATTTCTTATTCTCCTGGAGTGGAGACACCTTTCTCTTGTCCTTAAACATCAGAACTCCAGGCCTTTGGGCTCCAGGACTTACTCCAGCATCCTCCCTCAGCCCCATCTCAGCTTCTCAGGCCTCCCCCATCAGACTGAAAATTATACATTGGCTTCCTGCTTCTGAGGCTTTTGGAGTTGAACTTCTTAGCCTCTACAATCATGTGAGCCAATTCCCCTAATAAATCTCTTTCTATCTATCTATCTATCTATCTATCTATCTATCTATCTATCTGTCTGTCTATCTATCTATCATGTATCCCTCTAATCTATTCATCCATCCACCCATCTCAGTATCCTATTGGTTCTGTCTCTCTGAAGAGCCCAGACTAATACATAGGGCAATAGAAACCAAATATCCATGAGCTATATGAGGCTCTGAATATTCATGACACCCTAAATATACACGAGTCAAAGAGGCACTCAATATTCATGAGGCCTTACATCAGCTACCCATTAGTGACATCTCTTCTGGCCTAACTTGTCCTCTCCCCAAAAAAGGCAGATAAAATCAAAAGCTATTTATCAGGCTCACAGGCAAGCTACAGTTTGCATCTGTGCAATAGAATGTGTATTGTTGGCTGCAGCTCATTTCATTCACTGGGCTTGCATTGGGATTGCTGAAGCCTCACTCTTATGTCCTTAACATATGCCTGTCAGTGGGAAGGTTCAGGTAGCAAAGAGGAAGAGAGAGACGGGGCTGATCAATACTGCACGGCTGAGGATTCTGAGAGTGTAGTCCTTCCACCCTTTCGTGTAACTGGTTTAACTTCTTACCCATCTCTTTTCCTTTGCTTCTGACTAATGGTTTTAAATTGAGTTAATAAACTGTGTGACTCAAGGATATTCATTTGGTTTTGTCCAAATTGGTTGGACATTAATTTGTGTCCAAATTCGGTTGGACATTAATTTGGGAGTCTTTCCGTTCTGTGACCACTGGGGGTCTACTTGGAGGCCACTATCTAGATAAACTTCTCGTGCAACCTTACAAACTGTCACATATCAGAGAGCAAGAGAGGAAGAAGGCCACTCCCTGAGATCCAGGGATGGAGATGACATGGAGTTTGTTCTCAGTGCATCAATCTTGTGAGTCAACTGCACTAACTTTAAAGATTTCCTCTTTCGCTCATATTTACCAAACAATGTCCTTGTATTCGAGGACTGCTAATCTGAAATCTGATGAATATATAATATTCATCTGTATTGATTATCCCAAAAAACACATCAGTGAACCACTTACACAAAGAAGGTAGCTACAACTCCAACAACGCAAATGTGGAGTGAATCTATTTCCTTAAGAATTAGTGTAACTGTGACAACTTACAAGAAAATGCTGAATTCAGAAAAAAGCAAAAGCAAAACCAAAAGGAAACAAAACCACTTATAATCAAACCTGGTTGAAAGTAAATGTTCAAGGAAGACTCACTCAAGGAGGCTGAGGCAAGAGGATCGCTGGAGCCCAGAAGGTTGACGCTGCAGTGAGCCACAATAGTGCTGCTGCACTCCAGCCTGGGTGACAGAGGGAAACCCTGTCTCAAAAAAAAAAAAAAAAAAAAAAAAAGAAAAAGAAAGACTTGTTCCTTACTAAGAACCAAAGTGCCAAAAGAGGAGAATAACGTTAAGGGTTAGGACTAACTGCTCTCCTCTCTCTATCGCCACCCTTTGAACCTCTTCTTTAGGAATGTATTGATAAAATTTTACAAAAATACAAGATTTGACCTTATTTCACATGCCTTCAAAAACCTATAGAAAACCCAAACCAAAATATTTTATGTAACATCTAAATACTAATAAAATGGTTACAAAATAGTTCAGCAAAGGACAGGAAGTCAGACAATTCAAGAAAGAAAAAACAAAATGTTATCCTAGTGATGAGAGGCTCTTGGCACTTAAAATTTTCCATTTGAAATTTTATTCTCCCACTGTGCATTCTGAGAGCTGTCTAACACTTTTGAACAGATTCTAGGTTGGAAAGCAAGGAAAAAAAGTTTTCCATTCAAAGTTCCCACCTTTCAAATCTATTTCCATTTCTTCATTTGGCACAGCCAATATTGGATCTGAGTCTTAGTTCCACATCCATCTGGGGGAGACATTTGGCCAAAATAAGAGGGTTAGCAAATTTTTCCCAGATAATTTATATTACATATTATGTGGCAATTTTGTCCATGTTTAAAAAATACATTTTAAAAGGGACTAGTAATATAAAGTCAAGTACTTAGCAGTCATATTAATTTTTACTCATGAAAACCTTCTATGTGCTTTTACATGTCATCTTGCTATTTTATCCTCAACACAACCCTGTTCAGAAGGTAAAATAGGATAATGTATCATGCCAGGAACTCTTATCTGAGAGATGCTTGAATAGTGCTTTCATCCAAGGGAAGAGCATGCCTTCTTTACTCATGTCTTTCTCCATGTTCTGCCAAACTTCATGAGCTGGTTACACAGATGCCATCTAATGCAGTACAGGAGGGGCCATCAATGCATCCACCTTAACTCATTCAGGGTCCCATCGTTGCCATGTGTGAGTCCCAGCAGTAAGAGTGAATGATGCTGTCAAACAAGAGCCAACATTCAGGACGACTGTCATTGCACCCTAACATCTAGAGTCTTGGTGGCTTAGCTGCAATTAGGTTGGGAAATAATATGCCTCCCACCTCATAGATGGACACAAGCTTCTCTGCAGCTCATGCCAGATGATGGCCAGGACTCTCCTATCAAAATAAATGGATATCAAAATTCCTTTCCAGGAGGAACATGAGACATGGGATTACTGACAAGGAAATGCAAGATAGTCAAGGATCTTCAGACAATCATGTTCTGGGAAGCTTGAGGTCATGGTAAGAGCTTAGAATGGGGACTTTGAGAATTGACTGCAAATCCTGCTCCATTACAGACAAGCTTTTGACTTTGGAAGAATCTCAAAATGGAGAATTTGAGCCAGACAATTTCCAAAGTCCTTTCCAATTTCATCTCAAAAAACAGAATCACTGAAAACTGAATTTGTTCTGCAACGTGCAGTTGACATAACAGGAATTGTTACTGCCTCAACAAAGCATCATACTTCTACTTTTAAAATAGAATGGAATATAACCCAATTACCATGACAAAAACTGGTCATAGCCATCCTAACACAACCAGACTAGATGCATGAAGTGTTGCAGCAAGGAAGGAAGCCATAGGATCAAAAGAATTAACAGACATCCTGACCTACAAATTCACAGTGTGGATGCTGCCACTGTGAGGAGGCGAATTAGCTGCTCTGGGCTTCAGTCTGAGAAGGAGAACAACAGAGCCATTCTCTTGAGTGGGACATCAGGATCCCAGACAGGGGCGGTCATGCCAATGTAGCACAGAAAATCTCATTTGAATAAATGATTAATTTCATCCACGAGAGAGAAAAGAGATTTGGGACGTTTGACTCCTGGGCATATTTGGGTGTAAGGAGACTGTACAGTGATAAATGAACAATTGCCAAACTTGTAACTAAAACATGCATTCTTTTTAATAGCTTCCTGTATTGCTGAATTGGGTGGGGGAACCAGTGCTGATGGAAGCGTATTTCTCATCCAAATGTATATAGTATCCTCTCTCACTTTGCAGTTTCTGCAAAGTCCCTTGGGAACCAACCCTTGGCATTGTGACTTGGGCTGGCTGCACTTGGCTGGGGAACAATTCTGGAACCAACATGCCAGTTGTCCAACACCAAGGGTGCTGTCAGCACTCTGAAGATAGCAACCCTGATCATATTTGTTTTGGCCTCTCAGCCTCAAGGGCAGATGGTTGTCATGCTGACTGAGAGAAAGGTATTGTGACAGGAGCCAAAGCTAGCCAGTAAAGGACTTTGGGAGGCTTCCACACAAAATGACTATTTTCTAGAAACTTTCTAGACATTTCTAGAAACAAATGAGGCAGCAATCTGAGGATCAAAAGTTTTCTCAAATTCACGGTGCAGCAGGACTCAGGTTTGAATGGAGGCCAATAGGAATGTGACGTAACGGGCTCCCTCTTGGGTAGAGGTAGCTTCACGACCCTCACCTTGGAAAATTTCATCCCATCCCCTCATATCATGGGGATTCGTCTGGTCGATGTGGCTTTGGGGCATGGTCAACTTCTCTTGCATAAGAGTTAGGGGGAAAACCTTCATGAGGGGTCCACAGAGTGTCACAGATGGCCCTGAAGTTGCTGGACTTGGTATAGGCTTTTCCTGAGAATTCAGTAGCTCCCAAGAGAAAGAGTGAGCTGGGGTTCCACAGGGCCACGATTCCTGATGGGAGCAGTTCTACTTTTCCACATTCTTGATGAGCTCCTGTTTGGAGGAATTACTCCTTGTTATGATATGCAAACCAGAAAATATCTATTGGGCACCTATTTGGCACCCAGCACTATGGGATGACAGGATCCTCAAGGATCTCACCACCTAATCATGAACTTGAACTCTGATTAGGGGCTCACATGCTAATCACATCATCCTACTACAACATGGGATTGTCAGTGGACCACTTAATAACACTCATAAATGAATATATTGCCATTTCTAGTAGTACTTTTATTTTCTAGCTTAGCTCCTAACCTTACATATATGAGTTTTCTAGGGCTGCCATACCTAATTTCCACAAATTGTGTGCCTTAAAATAACAGAAAGGTATCCTCCCACAGTTCTGGAGGCCAGAAGTCTGAAATCAAGGTGCTGGCAGGGTGCCACTTCCTCCAGATTATGAGGAAAGATTGTGACTCCTTCAACATATGGCAGCTGCCAACATTCCTTGGCTTTTGGCTCCATCACTCCAGTCTCTGCCTCTGTGGCCACATTGCTTCCTCCTCTTCTCCTATCTGTGGCTGTCTTGGGAAAATATATGTGATTGCATTTAGGGGTAATTCAGAATACCTTTTCTCATGATCTTTAATGTGATCACCTTGGCAAAGCCCCTTTTTCCAAATGAGGTCCATTTAGATGTTCTAGGAATTAGGACCCGGACTTACTCTTTTGGAGACAACTATCTAGCCCACTACATCTTATATTTTACAGTTTTCAAAGAGATCTCACATGCACCATTTTATTTTATCACCTTAATATATTTACAATCCCAGAGCTTGAAAAAAGTAATCCAACTTTGAAATCTTTCCCAACTTTGATTTTAAAATATAATTTTCACAACTCTATGGCTCACCAGCCTTTTACTTGCCCTAAAAGATGGGAGACAGCCCCATTTATGCTGACCTTTGTCATCTCCTTCCTCTCCACGTCGGTAAATACTTTCAGTTCTTTTTCAGCTCCCTCCTCTCATTACAGCCCTTTATAACTAAGCAGAGTGGGACTAGTGCAGAGAAGCACAGGACACACAATTTAATGCTTGTTTCCTGCTATTAGCTGCCAAGCAGACTATGAAGTGTTTTTTGGCCTCTGGCCTCTAGCTCTTCTGAAGATCTGTTAATGAATATATCAGCTTTCCATAGCTGCCACAAATGACCATAAATTTAGTGGCTTAAAATAATACAAATTTATTATTTTATAGTTCTGTCGGTCAGAAGTCTGACATAGGTCTCACTGGGCTAAAATCGAGGTTTCAGCGGGGCTACTTTCCTTTCTGAAGTCCAATGCGGGAAGAATCCATGACCTTTTCCAGCCCCTAGAGGCAGCCCACATTCCCCCATTGGCTTGTGGTCCCTCCCTCCAGTTTCAAAGCCAGTGACGTTGTATCTCATCTGGATAATCCAGATGAGCCCAGTCTAATCTGAAAGACTGTAAGTTTACTCACATCGGTAAAGTCCGCTGTGCCATGTAAGGTGACACATTCACAGGCTCAGGGATTAGAGTGAGGGCCTTCACAATGGGTGGGCACTAGGCCAAGCTGACAGAGAGTGCAAATACAGCTCAGCACGACACATCCGCTTGGGATACTTCACCTCTAGACCATTGAAAAATGGCCTCAGCCAAAGGCCAGGGCGGAGAGGACTGGCATCGGAAAGCCCACGACGAGAAAAGGGGCAAAGCCACCTTGAACACTGGCTCTGGCTCATGGTGGTGCTTGCTTAGGTTCCCTCCCTTTCCTCCCCCTTCTGTGACTTTATTTCCCTTTTCCTTCTTGCCTCCTCTTTCCTCTGTCCTCTAAGCTGAAAGGTGCCGGGAAATATTTCCTGTGAAGGTTTGCCTATTTCTTGTCCTTGAGATACAAACGTGGCTTCCCTCGGCCCAGCTCGTCCTTTATGGATTCCTGCACTTGCCCACAGTCCTCTGCCTAGCCAGGGCGAGGCGGGTGAACCTCGGCTTCTCCTTGCTCATCTCTCACCCTTTCATCATGCGGGCGAACAGAGCCTTCCTTAAAGGCCATGAAACATCCTAGAAGAACAGGCCATTGTGTGTTATCAATGGAGGCTTCAGAAACCTCTGGGTCAGGGTTTATAAAAAAAATTTTTAATAGGGAGGTGGGGAGTTTCTGTCTCAATCAGACAATGAGGACATTATTTAAGAGAGAGATCACAATCAAATCTGAGACACTGCTTACAGCTTTATCCTCCTCTCTGCTGTACGTTGAGCACTCATCCTCTGCGGATCCCAAACATTGGAAAAGGGAAGGAAAAATAAAAGTGAAAAGTAAATTCTATTCCCACAAAGTAGATTTTACTTTTAAATATGCTCTTTATCTTCATTTTTCACACACACACGCAAATAACGCAGGTAAGTTTTTGATATAACTACGCTCTCAGAATACCTCTTACATGAAATTAATTATAGGAGTCGGGGCGCCAGGGGAGGGGGAGGGGAAAAGGGGAGACCGTGCAAACGGCGTGGCCGCCATCTCGTTTATGCGCCAGCTTCGCGCGTGCTGCGTTCTCCGAGACTCCCGCTTCCCCCCTCACCTCCGCGGTGCCTGAGCCTATGCAGTGCCCGACTCCGCAGGAGCGCCAGGGCGGCTCCTGCTCTTCCTGGACTCCCTGAAGAGGCGTTTGTCGAAATGTCCACAGAAGGAGGATTTGGTGGTACTAGCCGCAGTGATGCCCAGCAAAGCCTAAAGTCCTTCTGGCTTCGGGTCATGGAAGAAATCTGGAATTTAGCAGTGAAAGATTTCTGAATGCAGGAACTCCCACTGGCTCGTATTAAGAAGATTATGAAACTGGATGAAGATGTGAAGATGATCAGTGCAGAGGCCCCTGTGCTCTTTGCCAGGGCAGCCCAGATTTTTTATCACAGAGTTGACTCTTCGAGCCTGGATTCACACAGAGGATAACAACTGCCGGACTTATGTCGCCATGGCAATTACGAAATTTGATCAATTGGATTTTCTCATCGATATTGTTCTAAGAGATGAACTGAAACCTCCAAAGTGTCAGGAGGAGGTGCTGCAGTCTGTAACTCCTGCTGAGCCAGTCCAATACTATTTCACGCTGGCTCAGCAGCCCACCGCCCGTCCAAGTCCAGGGACAGCAGCAAGGCCAGACCACCGCCAGCTCCATGACCACCATGCAGCCTGGGCAGATCATCATCGCACAGCTTCAGCAGGGCCAGACCACGCCCGTGACGACGCAGGTTGGAGAAGGTCAGCAGGTGCAGATTGTCCAGGCCCAGCCACAGGGTCAAGCCCAGTAGGCCCAGAGTGGTACTGGATGGACCGTGCAGGTGATGTAGCAGATCCTCACTAACACAGGAGAGATCCAGCAGATCCCGGTGCAGCTGAAGGCTGGCCAGCTGCAGTGTATCCGCTTAGCCCAGTCTGTATCAGGCACCCACGTTCTGCAGGGACAGATCCAGACACTTGCCACCAGCGCTCAACCGATTACACAGACAGAGGTCCAGCAAAGACAGCAGTAGTTCAGCCAGTTCACAGATGGACAGCAGCTCTACCAGATCCAGCAAGTATCCATACCTGCGGGCCAGGACCTGCCCAGCCCATGTTTTTCCAGTCAGTCAACCAGCCCTCTGATGGGCAGGCCCCCCGGGTGACTGGCGGCTGAGGGCCGGAGCTGGCAAGGCCGAGGACACTCAACACAATTTTTGCCGTACAGCCCCAGGTCATGAACACAGCCTTCTTCCCCAGAGGACCCGGCCGACCTCAGCTCCTCCTGCAGGCTAGGACAATGGCGCACTAGGCCTCATGCCTGGGGGCCGAGATTCTCCAACAGAAAGATGCAATATTTTTTGTTTCCTTTTTTCTCCAAGGAATCAATATTTCAATATGTTGAGCTGTGTGTCCAATGCTATGAAATTAAAATATTAAATCACATATTTGTGGCATTTTCTTGAAGAGTGTGGCTGAAGAAATATTTCTCCTTTTGTTTGTTTTGTTTTGTTTTGTTTCTCACCGCCACTTCTTTTTAGAAGCAAATCTCCCCGTGGGTGTACGATATTTCTTGACCCTTGGAACAGCTGCTGCCCCCAAGATTTGCCATGTTGTTCTACCCTCAGATTGAATTAGGTCAATATGTGTAGCTGCGTTTTCACTAGTGGTCCTCTCCCCATCCCTTGCTCTTACCCCAAAGCTCTGTGTATTTGCATCCAGAGGCCATGGAAATATTCCTTGCATTTAAGAGACAGATTTATTCCCCATGGAGAGTGGGTGGGTTCATTGCCACACTCTTTTCTCCCAGGGACCCAGGACACTAGGACTTTATGTGTTTGCTGCCCTCCTCCCTTTTATTTTTTAAATGCATTAAAAACTGTGCTAGTCCCCTTTCCATGGCCTTCAAACTGCGTGAAATGCAATAAATCTATTTTAGATTAAAAAAATAAATTAATAAGACCTTATCTTACTCAAAAGTTAGCCCTTAGATTTACTAACACAATAAGAGTTGCAAAATAGACATATGGTTTCAGAAACATGCATGTAACTGATTGTTTTTGATTATAAAATTTCTTACTTCCTTAATGATAGGAGTGGAAATGTGGATTTAGCTATCCTGTGGATAGCCACTGCAAAGATGAATTTAGCCCACGGTTTGATGATTGGACTATATTCCTTTCTTTATTCATCTGAACATTTCAACCAGATGGAAGCACTGTGCTAGGTGTTGGGGACAAAATGATGACTAGGCCTATCCCGGCTTTGAGAGTTTCACAGTTAATAATTTCTAAATAATGAAGTAAAGACAAAGAAAGAGAAATCACAGGGCCCCATGAGAGAAAGAGAAGAACATAAAACTTAGCTTGAATGTGAAGAAACGTCAGGAAGGAAGGGATATCCAAGCCGCGTTTTAAAAATCAGCAGAATTTCCAGAAGGTGAATGGAGGGTAAGAGAGTGGGGGCTGAGAAGGTGAGCAAGAGGGAAGATGGAGAGGAAGAGCAAGAATGAGAGCAGGGATATGGCTTGAAAAGGACCTCAAAATGCTGGGTGTTCCTCAAGCACTGCATTAGAGGCCAGCCTGAGAGGGACGTGTGGGGCTGTTGTGCACGTCACGTTTGTTGTCTGTGCTGCATCTTCTCCCCCTTATTCTAGTAATGGCATCTTGGTTTTCTTTGGGGGAATTACTTCTGCTCTAACTTTTTTATGGTTGGGGATAGGGCTCTACCTAACTCAGGGCTCCAAAGATGAGCACATGACCAATGGCTGGCTGCTCAGAACATCCCATCATTTTTGATACTACTAATGGGTTCAACAAGAGGCAAACACTCAATGGATTACAGAGAATGAGTAACACTAGCTGTTGTAACAGTCTCTAAATCTCAATGGCTGGTTTCCCCCTCACAAAAACAAACAAACAAAACATTGTGCACGCTCCTGATCAGGTGGTTCTTCAGTATGGCTTCCTCCAAGTGGTGACTCAGGGATCTAGGCTCATTTCAACTAATGGCGCTGTCACCTGCTGAATGTTCTATGCCCAGACAATGAGTGAAGAAGTGAATGTGGAGTGGGTCCAGGTCTGGAGGAGATGGTCTTTATTTTTACTTACATTTCCCTACCTGGCACTGTGCACATGACCAGACCTAGATGCGAGGAACCTGGGGAATGTGCTTAGCTGTGTGCTCGGGAGGAAAAGGAAACAGTTTGGGGAGCACATTCTATTGAGTGACTCTTCCACACTCAAGTGGGGCTAATAAGAGCCAATGAGCCCAAGTCTTGGGGTCATTCTTTCCTGAAATAAATGGAAAAAGAGTTTTAGGGAGGCAGAGGTGATAAGGAAAAAGTCTGGTGATGTGGTAGAACCATGTCTGGTGCTTTGGTGAGCTTCTGCGCACCGAGTGAGAAGAACTCACCCAAGAAAGAAAGGAACATGAAAAAAAAAGCTAAGAGAAAAAGAGGGTCCAGGGTAAGGCAGGCAAGATGCCTACAGTGCAAATTTAAGAAGGCAAGCCTGTGTACATGGGCTCTGTCTCTCAGGGCCCTGCTAGAGCAGAGTCAGTACTTGCATGACCTGCTGCCTGAAATCTTGCACCCCAGGCACAAAGATTGCCCAGACCTCACCCTGAGACAGAGAAAATCTTGGCAGTATTATTTGAACTCCTGGATCCAGCTGAAACCAGTCCCATGCGCTGGAATTTTCAGCCACATGAACCAATAAACATACTTTTAAGCTAAAGCTTTTTAAGTTAGGTTTTTGTGCCTTGCTACCAACAGAATTCTGATAAATATGCATTAGTACCATAGAGAACCTGTGAAACGTTTTAAGCAGAAGAGTAGCAGAGAGGGGCCAACATAGTTAACCCAATCTACGTGTAGCACATCCTGCCATTCTCACCGAAAACGGGCACTCATCTCACCTCCATGAAGGTTTTTCTCCGCATAAACAGTGTTAATCTTGCCATCAGGATTCGCAACTAAACGCAAATTCAAAAGCTTTCTCTAAATCAAAATAGCCTTTATAAGACTGTATTTGATGCTTTTGACTTTCCTGCTTTTAGCTGAAAGTTTTTGAAGCTGGTACTGCAAGCAAAGGCCTTTCTGTAGCTTTTCTGGCCCCTCCAGGACCAATAAAAACTTAAAATCTTGCAGCAGGAAAATATGCTCCAAGTTAGCACTGAGTCTTAAGGAAGTGAGTAAGTGAAACGAGTGTTTGCTTTTTGGGATTGAATTTGATGCTGGGTAAGAACCAGAAAGTATACATAGTGTATTTGGGGCACTGCCAATGTTAATCCCATAGGTGGCCCCAGTGGGGCAGTGGTGAACGCTACCTTGGAGTCCAGAAATTGAAATAGAATCCACTGTCACTGTAAACTATTTCCTGAGACAGTGATTGTCATTACCAACATTCCCTCTTCTGCTGTTTGTGAATCTCAAGGTTTAGATCAAAGTAACACTGGCAGCAATGGATATAAATAGCACAGTGGGCCATTTTACAGCCACTCTGTGGCCACACAGGGGCTAACTAGGGAGTGGGTAGGCAGGGAATGGTGATGTAATGACTCTCGACTATTACGCAGATCAATTTCTTTTTACACTGAACAGATATGCCCTAGAATATTATGATACACGCTGCCTTCTTATTATCAAATACCAACGTGTTTCTTTCTGTCAATGGTTTCGTAATTTGCAAGAGAGAGAAAGCAGACATTTCCCTTGAAGCTGTTCCTCCTGATAAGTATCCCAGATCATCTCAGGAATTTCCATTTGTCTTATCTTTTCAGCAATACTGCCAGGAAAAATGTCAGACTTTTCATTTAAAGAAGCCAGAAGGTATTTGAGTTCATATAAAAGATGAGCAACATTTTGGTGGGTTTTTCTTTTTTTAATCTCGCCATTAATTTCAGTTGTAGACTGTCCTATAAGTTAAATGGTAATTTTCCTTCAATCTTTTTATTTGGCCACCAAGTAATCTCTGAATAGATTTGAGAATGAACATTAGGAGGCTTGGATCTCCTGTCTTAGGGAAAATCCCTTAAGGGGTCTATTTCTCACGTGCTCCTGCAGTCAAACAGAAATAAAGCCATGTGACATTGTTGCCTGACAGTTTTATTTAAAGGTGAGTCTTCTTAAATTGACATTAACATATATCTTCATATTAGTCCACCTTCATACTGCTGTGAAGAAATACCCGAGACTGGGTTATTTAAAAAGAAAATGAAGTTTAATGGATTCACAGTTCCACATGGCTGAGGAGGCCTCACAATCACGGTGGAAGGCAAAGGAGGAGCAAAGGCATGTCTTACATGGTGGCAGGCAAGAAAGCATGTGGAGGGGAACTGCCCTTTATAAAACCATCAGACCTCATGAGACTTATTTACTGTCATGGGAACAACATGGGAAAAACTTGCCCTCATAATTCAATTACCTCCTACCAGGCCCCTCCCATGACACCTGGGGATTATGGGAGCTACAATTCAAGATGAGATTTGGGTGGGGACACAGTCAAACCATATCAATCTTCTACCCTAAAAATTGCCTATTATAGATTTCCCTTCTTCTTAGACTGTTCCATGAGACTTTTGGAGCTGAGCCACTCTCTCCTTTTAAGAGGAGTCTTTTTGTTCACCAACGTAGATCCAAAAGCTTTTTGCTTTGCATTATTTTTAATCATTATAATTCACCTGGGGATCCCTTGAAATGCTTTAATGAAGACATAATGAGCAGTTATATGCTTAAAAACACTGAACTAGAAGTCTATGCTAAACATAAGGCTCTCTTGTCATTAGTCTAGGTATTTACCTCAGCTTATCTCTTCTTTATTTTACCCAAAATACTACTTGTTCTAATGGAGTCTATCTGCATTCTAGAATCAGAAAGAATTCCTTCTCCTTGACTGCAGTGATCAGGGCTTGGAAGAGCAGACTAGCAAGGATAATGAGCCCATTTTGGGATGCTGTCAAGTAGCGTTCCTTCACACAAATCCCTAACTATTTTGCAAGGTGATTTGGAAAAGAGGTGTTTACCCCATTTGGAATGGCTTTCTTTCTTTTTTTAAACTATCGATATTTTATTTTATTATTTTTTTACTTCTACCTTTTAAGTGCATGTGCAGGTTTGTTATACAGGTAAATGTGTGCCGTGGTGGTTTGCTGCACAGATCATCTCATCACCCAGGTATTAAGCCTAGCATCCACTAGCTATTCTTCCTGATGCTCTCTCTCCTTCCACCCACCCTGCCCTCCGACAGGCCCCAGTGTGTGTTGTTTCCCCCCATGTGTCTATGTGTTCTCATCATTTAGCTTCCACTTATAAGTGAGAACATGCAATATTTGATTTTCTGTTCCTGTGTTAGTTTGCTAAGGATCATGTCCTCCAGCTCCATCCATGTTCTTGCAAAGGACATGATCTCATTCCTTTTTATGGCTGCATAGTATTCCATGGTGCGTATGTACCACATTTGCTTTATCCAGTCTATCACTGATGGACATTTAGGTTGATTCCATGTCTTTGCTATTGTGAATAGTGCTGCAATGAATGTACATGTGCATGTGCCTTTCTGACAGAATGATTTATATTTTGGTGGGTATGTACCCAGTAATGAGATTGCTGAGTTGAATGGTATTTCTGCCTCTAGGTCTTTCAGGAATTCCCATACTGTCTTCCACAGTGGTTGAACTAATTTACCATCCCACCAGCAGTGTAAAAGCATTCCTTTTTCTCCACAACCTCGCCAGTACCTGGTTTTTTTTTTTTTTTGACTCTTTAATATTAATAATGGCCATGCAATGGCTTTCTTCTTTCCTTTGGATTATTTAAAGCCCTCTTGTCTCTTCATATAAGACAGAATTCTAGACTCCTGTCAATCATTCATTCACTGATTTATCAAATATTTATGAAGCTCCTACTATGGGCCATGCCCTATTCTAGGCACGTGGGAAACATTGTTGAACAAAATCAATTAAGTCATCAGCCCTCCTGATGCTTATATTCCTGCTTTGAGTCCACATGGGTCTTGCTTTCTCTGAAATACTCCAACATTCACTGCTGAAAGGAACTGGATTCTTACCTATATACCCTGATGGCTGGTGTCCTAATTGTTTCACAAGTTAGACTTACAGGGTTGTGTTAAACGAACAGGCTTTGGAATCCACTGGCCTGTGTCACATCTCACCTTGATGAGGCACTAGCTTGAGCAAAGACCAGAACTCTCTAGGCCTCATTGTCCTCATTTGGAGGTGGCACAAACAAAACCACCTAGTTCACAGAGATCTGTGAGGATCGTATGAGAGTTCCACACACTGTACTTAGCCCTGTGGCGCACTGAAGTATGCATTTCATATTATTATTTTGTCTTGAATGTGAAACTACGGACTCAAGCAGTCAAGAAATACCTTTAAAATTGCTTCAAACTGACCTCATCCTCCTTCACTGGGCAGGCTAGAAAATTATTTTGAGTCACTCCTGTGACTTCTCCTTCTCTCTATATTTTTAAAAAATCTGAGAAGCTTGTGTTTGGCATTCAGAGGCAGAAAAGGGTCTGTGATTTCCAGACACAAAAGGGTCTGTGTGGCAGATCTCTGCTTTTGGGCCATGCATGAGGCCAAATCTTCAGTGCTTGGGCTCCAGCCTCCCTAGGAGCCCAGTGCCACCACATTACCTCAGAGGCTCTGCAAACTCACTAGGGTGCTTCCAGAGACATGCCTATAGGTCCCTGTTTTGCCAACAACTTTGGAACTTTACCCACTTCCTGGTCTGGGGTAAGCCGGTGCTTCCATCTTTTTGCCCTGAAAGATAAGACTCCTTATAGTCCTTTGTATCAAGGACATCCAGAAAATTTCAATCCATCCAGGCTTTCACAAAGGCAAGAAGAGTTGAATTACCAACCTTAAAAAGCTTCAGGTTCCTACCATAGCACAAACCTCCCTGATGCAAAAGAGTTTACAGGTAGGAAGAGACCTGGAAACAGGCAGGCCAGGGGAGGAAGACTATACTCTACAGACACAATATCCTTTATAAAAATGGATATCTCCATACAATTTCCTACAACATGGAAATATTCTCTGCAGTTGGGACCATGTCTTGTGCTGTTGTGATATTGCTTACATCACCTGACAGACATAGCCATGAACACAGTGAATAGATTTGAAATGCTGGCACAAGGCCTACTCAGTGCATGGGGAGGTCAGGTTGAAATAGTTGAAATGGATGTGACTTACTTCCAGGATTTTGATTTACGAGTCATAGATCCAGGAAACCTCCATGTCCCGCAGTTCACTCCAGATGGCATTCCCTGAAAGGTGTCTGTCTTGGATCTTGTTCATGAAGGGGGAGTTACTAACAAGAGCCAGGAGGACCAGTTCATTTCACAATAAGGTCCTTGTCACCTGGACTCTGAGGCTATTGTTAGCTCTATGTCTTTCTCCCTTTTACTTTTATGCAAATGTTATAAATAAACTATAATACTCATCTTGTGAGGTGCCCAGTTCCATTTCCTGATCCTTGGGACACACAGTGCCAACTCTGATGGTAGCATAGTTCCTATGCTCTTTCAAACTCAGCAGTCATAATTGTTTGTTTCTCTTTGAACAATTTGCATTCAGTCTTAATAGAAAGGTGTCAGACTTTATTTCGGAGAACCATCCAGGAAAAAGCAGAAACACACTCAGAAATATTTGTTCAGAGACAATGGAAAAGCAAAATACATATTATTAAGGGTCTGATGTTTATCAAATGACTTCTCCTTCGGCAAATTATGAAGTGCACAGACTTAAGATCCATTTATGTTTTTCTTTTTCTTTTCCTTTTCCTTTTTTTTTTTTTAAGGCGGAGTTGCGCTCTTGTTGCCCAGACTGGAGTGCAATGGCATGATCTTGGCTCACTGCAACCTCTGCCTCCTGGGTTCAAGTGATTCTCCTGTCTCAGCCTCCTGAGTAGCTGGGATTATAGGTGCTGCCACCACGCCTGGCTAATTTTTCGTATTTTTAGTAGAAACCGGGTTTCACCATGTTGGCCAGGCTGGTCTCAAAGAGCTGACCTCAGGTGATCCACCTGCCTAGGCCTCCCAAAGTGCAGGAATTACAGGCATCAGCCACCGTGCCCAGCCCTGTTTAGGTTTTGAAGTGAATATTTTGGAGAAAAACACATGGAGGAATAAAATTCATTTTGATTATCACTGCAGTGGTAAAGAGCACAGACTCTGTGAGCAGATGGCCATGTTCGAATCCCAGCTCCTGCACTCATTATCCCTGTGACCCTGGGAGAGTTACTTAGCTTCTCCAGGACCCCCCACTTCCTCACACATCAAAATATATATAACAACAGATTTGCAATGAGTATTGTAGGGGTGCTGGCACCCCACTCAACCCCCCTTGGCATGCCTTCTCCCTGTGAACACTTATGTCTTCTTACCCCAGGCTCCCTACCTGTCTTTGCAGGGACTTCCTGGCCACCAAGTCATATTCAACACATGAGTGAGGCAGACCGGAGTGCTAGGAAGTCATGGCCCATGGGAGCAGGACTTCTCACCAACAAAACAAGAAGTGGGTAAGTAAGTGCTGCAGCCTTCTGGACCCTGTGGGGAGCTGGGGGGCAGCACTGAGGCTCTACATCCTCTCTCAGAGGTTCCCAATGGAATGGAGGCCTGGCTGCCCACAGCAGGAACTGTTCATGAACGCACCCTGTACTGGCTTCTATCCCTCCGCACTCTCACCTCTCCAACCTTGCTAGCACTCCTTGGAATCACCTCCCAAGCAAAATTCTGGTCCCTGGGAAACACAATCTAAAACAACTATAGAGTAACATAATGTTATAAAATGCTCTGCACTTTTCACTAAGTCACAGTAAGTATTAGGTAAATATTGGTCAAATGAAAAAAAAAGGCAAAGTATAAGTTATTTTTACCAGCCTGAGATAGTCAAAACATAGGATAACATGCTTTACTGGCTTGGATTTGATGGGAAATCCTGGACCAAGAAAAAGTAATATTTAAGAAAAAGAGTATCTGGTGACATAAGATTAATAATACTTTATTTATTTATTTATTTATTTAGAGACAGGGTCTCTGTCACCCAGGCTGGAGTGCAGTGGCGCCATCTCAGCTCACTGTAGCCTCTGCCTCCTAGGCTCAAGCAATCTTCCTACCTCAGCCTCCCCAGTAGCTAGGACCAAAGGTGTGTGTCACCACGCCTGGCTAATTTTTGTATTTTTAGTAGAGACAGGGTTTTGCCATGTTGCCCAGGCTGGTCTCAAACTCCTGAGCTCAAGTGATCCACCCGCCTTGGCCTCCCAAAGTGCTGGGATTACAGGTGTGAGCCACTGCGCTTGGCCAACTACCATTTTTTTTTTTTGAGTGCCTACTATGTGCAGAACAAAAACTTTAGCAAAGATTATTGGTGAGCCTTAAAATTTTACCTCCAATTTGCCAAATTTCCTAACATTTACATATACACATACAAATTTATACACCCACGTACATACATCTATCTGCATACACACAGCACCCACACTCACGCCATGCTACTCACGCATACACAGACATATTTATGTACATTCATCAATGAGCAATGACTGGAAAGGCCATGGCCAAGGGCAGGATAAATTTCTGTAATAGGCAAGACTGATATTGGGCTGGTATGGTGGAGCCCTAACCTGTATTTAAATACTGCAGTACCCCCACACTGGTTGGTAAGTAATCACTGCCCTTTACATTCAACTATTGCAATACTTACCAACATTTCGTGAGCAGAAAGTGTAATAGTAAATTTTCAGTGTGGAAGTGCTCCAGTCCTAAGTGCAGAAATAATTGGCTTAGATATTCAATTAGAGCAGATTTGTTAGCATTGTCATCATAAAATTCATTTTCAATTGAGCAGCACGATTTTATAAAGTGACCAAGCAACTCTCCATCAAAAGTGGCAATTTTTGTTAAGCATGAGGTCCGATGATCCTAAATGGGAAATATAGTCATAATAATATAATAAAATAAAACAAAATATTTAAAACTACCTTGAAATTGCTAACATTATTTTATGCCCATGTGTTCATGAGTTCCCCATGTATGCATAAGTCAAAATTTAAGAAATATTTAATATAGAACAAACCATGAAAGTATATTTATACAATTAAATTAAACATTAAATAAATCCAAATTAATTAAATCAACTTGATTTAGTTTGAGCAAAATGCCCTCTATTACAGTATTTTTGTTAATTTGAATTTAATTAGCTTTGTAGTTTCATTTGTATTTGATGTGCGAATATGTTTTGAGTTTACAGTTGCATAAGCTTTGCAACTACAGAGGTCACACTTAGGTTTAGGTTTTTACATATTTAAGTGACATTCTAATAAAAATGATTTTTGTCAGGACCAGGGTTCCAGAGCATTTTTCTCCCCTTATAAAGATTTAGTGTCCACTGACTCAAGTTTGGCACTTGCTCAGTGTCTGGGGTGAACCGGCTAACTTTTCTGCGCCTACGTTCCCTCATCTCTAAAACAAAGATGTTCTCTGCTCACCACCCTGCACCCCCGACAACAACAAAACAGACTTTCTGTGGTGTCCCCAAAGCTCCAGCCCTGCTCCTGTCTGGAAAGGTCATGTGGTAAAAGTAACTTGTGTTCTTTTTCCCTTGCCCCTTCGCTGGGGAGACAGGTCGTCTTTATCAGCATTGTGTTTTGTTTGTTTTTGCTTTTAATCTGTGAGCGTTTTTTAAAAAACGAAGTCAGATAATTAATAATAATGTAATCTGTATTTCAAAATTTCTGAGACGATAGATTTTGAACGTTCCCACTAGCTTGAGTTCATCATTCTGTATTGTATACATATTTCAACCACCACATTGTACCCTCTAAATATATACAATTGTTGTTTGTCAATTAAAAAAAAAAGAGTCAGATCTTTAGAATCCCAGAAATGAGCTTCTCACTCAGGCTTGGCTATATCATTTTTGGGGCCCAGTATAAAGTAAAATTGTGGGGGTCCCTGTGCAGAAAGCAGGGAGCAGTGTTAGGAATTAAAATATCAAGCATTTCTCCCCCCATTCCACTCCCTCTTGATCTGCTGTGGTGTTTTATAGTTCCTATTTAGTGTCGCTGCCTGCAGGGCCAGTGCAGACCCTCACAAGCCCACAGAGGCCTTCAAAGCATGAGCGTGTGCATTGGCTGCCATGATCCCCCTCACTTCCCTGGATCAACTTCCCCTGACCCAGGCAGATGGATGACCCCCTAGGTATTGTCACCCCTGTAACATGCAGTCAAGGCAGATGAGAGGCTTACCTCCACCAAGTCACCCCGCCAATGCATCATGATGCTGCTGCCTTGAGACACCTGAAAATCCCAGTGCCTGTGCCTAGGCCCCGACCAGGGCCAGTTGCTGGGTGCGGGCAGGGAGGAGGAGGAGGCCGAGCAGGACCCAGAACTCCAGAGAGTAGGAAGGCCAAGAACATGTCCCGAAGAGGACCCTGTGTAAACCAAATCTCCAAGCCCTCAGCCTCAGTGCCTGCTTCCCTGTCTCATCAAATTTTATTTACAAAACACAAAGCCAAAGATGATATGATTAAGAATATCAAGATGACAACCACAGAATACTAAATTCTAAGGACAACCCTCTTGAGGGCAGGACCCTGTGCAATTGTTCTGGCCTCAGGCCCATGTTCCTGTTTCAAGTTAAGGTAGCCAATAGGCATGCTTATTGTGATGGTCATTTTCCTAATGTGAGGTCTCTCCCTCTAATGACTACGCAGAAATCAGAAAATTCATTGCATGCAACAAAAGGTGTACATCTGAATGGGAGAAAATAGATGGGCTCAAGGAGAGCTATAGGTGGCAGAGCCTAACTCCTAAATGGAGCACCTCAGGGCCCTCCATCACCAGGAAACACCAGGCACACTGATGAATGTGCTAATTGCAGGTCTGGGTGGGCAGTGCATGGAGAGGCAGAGTTGGTGTGGGCTGCGTGGGATGTGGTGCAGGGAGGGTAGGCTTTCCTTCTGCTACACACACAACAGCAGTGTGGCTTGCACAGGAGCTGTCACCCTCCTGACAGCCAGGATTTCCCTTGATGTACCCATCTACGCTGGGCTCTGAATTCATTTTGGTTGTTTTGTTTCCTGCAGGCATTCCGTGGCCAAATGTAAGATGAGAGGTTGAGAATTTCCCAAAATATTCAATTCTGTTTATAACATCTGACTCCTAAAAAGAAAGCCAAATAAGCTGGTGTTATCAACCACCCAACAAGTCAAATTCCTTTTTTTTTTTTTTTTTTTTTTTTTTAAGACAGAGTCTGGGTCTGTCGCCAGGCTGGAGTGTAGTGGTGTGATGTCAGCTCACTGCAACCTCCGCCTCCTGGGTTCAAGCGATTCTCCTGCCTCAGCCTCCCGAGTAGCTGGAACTACAGGTGCATGCTACCATGCCTGGCTAATTTTTGTATTTTTAGTAGGGACAAGGTTTCACCATGCTGGCCAGGCTGGTCTCGAAATCCTGACCTCGTGATCCATCCACCTTGGCCTCCCAAAGAGCTAGGATTACAGGCGTGATCCACAGTGCCTGGCCTCAAATTCCATTTTAATCCAGAATCTTTTCCTATAGTTAAAATTGCATAACTCCAGGACCTAATGCCTGCACAGGGTACACACCCAATAAATATTTGTTGAATGAATGGCTGAGTTATATGGTTTGGCTGTGGTCCCAACCAAATCTTACCTCAAATTGCAATAATCCCCATGTTTCAAGGGTGGGGCCAGGTGGACATAATTGAATCATGGAGGCAGTTTCTCCCATATTGTTTTTGTCATAGTGAATAAGTCTCATGAGATCTGATGGTTATATAAATGGGAGTTCCCCTGCACACTCTTTCTTGCCTGCTGCCATGTAAGATGTGACTTCGCTCCTCATTTGCCTTCTGCCATGATTGTGAGGCCTCCCCAGCCATATGGAACTGTGCATCCATTAAACCTCTTTCCTTTATAAATTACCCATTCTTGGGTAAGTCTTTATTAGCAGCGTGAGAACAGACCAATACACTGAGTAAACGAATGCATTGATTTGGAGTTTTCGTCTTCGCGTTGACACAATTTTTACCCCCTTACAATAACTAGAAAAGGTAGACAGAACAAGTGTTATTTTCCCATTTTACATATGAGGAAATTGAGATTTGGAAGGATTAAGTACCTTGCTCAAAATTACTCAAAGTTATTGGGCTTCCTGTGCTCAAATGTAGGGCTTTTCTGCTGCTACAGGGTACACAACAAAATTCCACCCTGATGGCTGCGCCACCTGCCCTACTTTGCTCACAAGCCACATTTATGGTTATCTTTTAAGTTTTGTCTTACAAATTTTGTCTTTTAAGTTTTATCCCTTTGGTGAACCAGGGCAGACAAATTGCATTTTTGTGGACTCTGTGTTTCATTGGCTAGAGGTGATGATGAGCTATCAACAGTAAAATGCTTTAAGGAAATCATCATCACCATTATCACACACACACACACAAACACTTTTAAGAGACATACTTAGCTGTGGAAGTATCTCTCCATGTTCTTTTGGTACAGAAAACATCCTGTTTTCCAGGGATACACACTTCAGGAGATGGAGGAGTGGACAATCATGCTTAAGTACTTAAATTCTAGGGCTCAATTTGCCAGAATTCCTGTTCTGAACTTTATTCCATATTCCATGAATGACCTTAAGATGTTATTTAGTCTCTCTTGACCTCAGTCTCTCACATGTAAAGTTGAGATCATAAAAATAGAAAACTTGGAAGGGTGTTGTGAGATGGGCTGGTAAAGTGCTTACAGAGTCCCTAACACGTGGCGAGAGAATAACAGGTGTTCTCTTGTTTCTAGGGCAGGCAGAGACTGCATCAAGGAAGGATGAGGCCAAAGCACTCAGACATAGATTTGTTGTGAAGAATTCCCCTTACATATACATCATTGCACATCTCTGTGCATGTCGTCAGATTAAATCCCACTGTCCAGCTGGCTAAAAAATAAATTAAACATATTAACCCAATTAAATAAAGGTACGAACTTCCGTATTTGCAAGTGCATCTCAATACTTCTCTATTTTGTATAAGATTCAGCCATAGGGCACGGAATTTGCCCCTAAATCTCAAAACATTAGTCATTTTGTGTTTCTTTTATCTTTCTCTTTATTTCTTTCCTTCTTTCTTTCAAAACTTAAAGTTGTTTTCTGGCTGTTTGAAAGACAGTTTCAGAAAATAAAGCTGAGATTGAAAAAAATCCTTATGTTGTTTGTTGCTAAATTCATCCCTAACTGTGACTGGGGCTCCCATTTAAAATGAAATGACTCAGGACAATTTCTACTGGAAAATGAATTACTCCAGGCTTATGTTTCCTTAAATGTAAGCGTGTGAGGCAATCTCTTTCTACAGCTTCTAAATGAACAGCTGCCTTGAACTTTCTCATAATCAACCACACGAAGCTCTCATCCTTTGCTTAGTTCCTCCTTCAAGATGAATCAGGGAAGGGAAAGATGAAACGGGCTGGTGGGGAAGCATCCCAGCAATCTTCAGACAAGTGGAATTGAAGGAACACTTTCAGATCCTCTCCCAAAGCCTGGCTGCAGCCAGAAGTGTGAGCTTATTACCACAACAATATTACCACAACAGTGAACTCCCCATGCCAGCTCAGTTCTCATGGTGGCTTTACAGTGTACATGCCCATTTGCTCATTTCTGCTGTGTGGAAAACAAAACTATCCAAATGTGTGACTTCAGTCACACATTGCTTTTCTTTTGAGATAAAACCTGCTAATGGGTATCTAGGTATAGGTGTCCATTTGATTAATGCTAAGCTTCTGAATAGCAGAAAAGACTAAGAAATCCAAGGAGAGAACAAATCAAGATAAAAGGATATTTTGTGATTCACTCACTTAACGAATATTGAGAACCTTCTGTCTTCCAGACACTGTGCTAGGCTTTGGGAATGGAGACATGAACAAGACAGATGTGAAAACTGCCTTTTGGGGCACTTAGGTTAATGTGGGTAGACAGACATAAACATATCTTTTAGGAAATATATTTTAGGGGCTTATATGTCAAAACAAGCAAGCAAACCACAGCCAGTGCATTTTAGCAGCTTGGTCTTCTTATCTGTGTTGTCATGCTGTGATTACTGGGAATTACCTCAAACCTGAGACTGTTTCTTCATCAGTAAAATGGGAATGATTCTACTTACAGGTTTGTGGTGAGGCTCAGATGAAATGACTGCTCTCTTAAAAGCATTAAGTTTGATTTTCAAATTTTGATAAGATCAATTTTTATTGAGCTGCAATTTTGTATCATGCAATACACTAAAGCACTTCAATAGACAACATCTCACTCAGACTTCATGAGACAACTCCATACAGTTGGCAGAGGCACCAAATGGATGAGCTTAATACTAAGAACTGGTTTCATAGGAACTTATTGCCTTTGCTGGAATACAAGATTCAAATAAACTAATGTGGAATAGGCCCCAATGAAATCAAACGGTTAACTTTTTCATTCTCAGATCCACTAAAAACTGGTTGTTACTTCTTTAATTCTTACTCTCCTTAAGTAGCCAAAATTAGGTTGGAATTAAACCAGTTCTGATTTGGGGATTTCTCTTTTAATACAAATGATGATCCCCTTTGCCTCATACTTGAATGCCTAGGAGTCAACTAAGATTTAAAACACCAATTTGAAGCTGATATAGAGATGCCTTCATTAATGGCTCATCTTTTTAAAGCCTGTGAATCCCTTTGATGGTTGGTGAGTCACTGTTAATTTCAGTTAACTCAGGGGAGAGATATAGGGGAGTTTAGAATGTGGCCACAGTTAGAATTTGGCCCACGTAAAAACTTTACATTAGCTTACTCAACATACTTTTTACCTAGGGCGTCTGAGTCTTGGCCATTAGAATCCTAGACACAGACAAGTTTTCACTGCTCAGCATTGGGTTAGGCAGTTAAATCACCTTTGAGCAAGTAGTCAGGGGTCGTTCTAGCTCATGCAACGTCAGCATTTTACTAGGCTACTCTGCTGCCCAGAGAGAAATGTCTGAGAAAGTAGGGAAAAAAATTACAGCCTTTGGATGGTATTTCAAGTCCTTCATGGCCTCCCCAACTATCCTCTCTATGGTCCACTATTTTCATGTTCTTAGAGAAAACTGCATTACACACACACACACACACACACACACACACACAATGCGTTAATGTACTGCAAATTTAACAAACACAGTTACATATTCATATTTTAGAGAATGCTGTGTCCTGTACTGGGGATGCTTCTCTCCATATTTGTCACCTCACAGAACCTTATTCTTCAAGTTTCAGCTCAAAATTCACATCTCACATCTTAGCAAGACCTTCTTTGATCTTCCCAAGTCAGAATGCATTGTTTTGGATTCTCTACTCCCTTACTCAGACTTCCTGCTTACTAGGGACAGACGGGACAGATGGGGTGGTGGGCACAGATATCCTTACATGGTGGTTAAGACAGACAAATACTGCCAACTTCACAGTATCCAAAAGCAGATCGACTATGGTAAGGGCTAGTCATGTTCATTATGCAGTGGCAGAACAGCTGTGATTAGAGGTACCCCATTAAATTCATCCATATAACAGTTAATTCATCTCCTGGTAACCTATGGTGTGTCATTCTCTCTGACTGGTCTTTTAAAAATGTAGGCCCACAATCAACAAGCAACATTAGGGTGAGGCCCAACAAACTCTCCATAAATGACAACATCTGTTTACTTCCAAGTCTTGCTATCCTTCTAGCAATTCCAAGGCATGTTCTAACCTCATTCTTATTCTCCAGGCCTTAGCAAAATATCTACCACTAATTTCTTAAGTTTCTGGCAGTGAGTACTTGTACCAGCAATTCCAAAGTCTGCTTAATTTTAAGTCCCACAGCCACAACACATCATCTGATAGAATAGGGCAATAACTTCCAACTAGTCTGGGCATTTCCTGCACGTACTTTCTCTTGATCTCAAAGTACCTTAATATTTTAGAACCTGGGTGTCAGAAGATGTTGGCTGAAAACTAATTTTGAGCTTACCAGTTCTCAAAATGGGTTTCAAACACTGTTGTCATACAAAACTCACACAGCACTACAAAAGTTCACCTCTCCTGCATTCTACCATTCATCGCAACAGGTATTATTTGTCTTTACAACATATCTTCAGCTCTTCAGGATTATTCTGGCAGTCATCAGTGGTTGGATTTAATTGACTCTTTTGTTTTTATACCATTTTTCCAAAAATCTGCCTGCCATGGGGAAAATGCACTCTTAACTTAGGTCTAGGGTAACAGTTAATCCATGGTCTAGAAAATAGCCCCTGATATAGCCTCACTTGAAACCATGATCCATGAGGTACAGCCTTAGAGCAATGGCACAGTCAGAAAATGCATCTGATTAAACCCACAATAATCTTTCAATTACCCACATTCTTTATTTTTATTACTAAGGATGTACAAAACTCACTACAGTTAACGTTCCATTTTCTTTCCCGTAAGATTCCCAGAAGTGTCCAACATCTTTGAGGCTTCCCCTCCAGCCCTGCCTTAAGCACCGCTTGCCTTTCTCCCCCATGCCTTTCACCATTTCCTCCAACCTCCGTATCTCGAAAGCCCCCAAATCTATGTGAAAATGGCAGAGGGTTAGACAAGGATATAAATGGGATAGGCGAAGCTAGAAATGTTTTAGCAAATAACAGGATAGGAAAGAATGGAACCCTACATATATTAAAATGTCTAGTGATATATGATAAAAGGCTTGGTGATAAATTAGTTGCAAAGTAATACAAACACCCATATGAATTTGGAAGCTTTCTGATTCCATGTCATGTATGGTCTTTGGTGGGTAATTCTTATTCTGGTCTGCAAAGTCCCAGTGGATACTAACTTATCCTGAAACTTTTCTGTAGCTGGAACTGTGTGTAAAACCCAGGGAGGTCCTTGATTCTGATTTCAGTGCATGATGGTTTCAGGCCTCTTGAAGAGCTGTCTTGATTCCAGTCTTTTCGCATTGGTAAGTGACACGTGCAAACTTCAGGATGAATTTGCTGTGGGTTTGTGCCATGGATTTTCCAGACTTCTTCCCCTTTCTGTTCCCTCACATATTCTTTTACATAAAACTGATTTCTGGCTCATCACAGATGTGGCTTAGTGTTGTTTTCCCGAGGACAAGAACAGTCTGATTTCCACCACTTGGGCTGCTGCAGAAGCCACATGACTCATTCATTTTGCGAGCTATTCAGATATTTTCTTTCTAAAATAAAGAGAATAGCACCTCTTTAATTTCTTTTTTCTTTTTCTTTTTTCTGTCTTTCTTCTTCTTCTTTTTTTTTTTTCTTTTTTTTTGCTTGTTTGATAGTTTACAATAGTATCTGCCTAAGGGACACTGTGAGTTGAATTGCTTCGGGCGCTCTTTTTAGCTACCTTGTTAGTTTTGACAACTCCACTGTCTAACAGAGAACTAGCAGGCAATCCTGGAAAATAGGCTATTTTTTAAAAAAAATCTAAAACACATCAGTGTTGTGTGTACCGCTAAGAAATTAAAAACCTGTGACATGGTACTCAGATGCACTCTGAGTTTAGAGATATTAAAATATGAAAAAGCTTGCATTTAGAATCAGTAGAGTATCGTGTATACACACACACAATTTTTGTTACTTTCACATTTTTGAGTGAGAAGAATATATGGATGGCATAAAATCCAAGAAGTTCCAAAATGGCACCCTTGTGCCAAGTCTTCCTGTTCACCATCTAAGAGACAGCCACTCTTACTGGGTTCTTCTATTGGGCATACATTTTATTGTCATCGTTATTGTTTGCTATTTAGTTTGTTTAAAGTCAGGTTTATGCAGATATACATACAGTAAGATTCACTCTTGTTAGTGTATGGTTCTATGAGTTTGGACAAGTTCACAGGTTCCCTCATGCTCCCTTGTACCCATCCCTTCCTTAGACCCCAGGCCTTGATAATTACTAATCTGTTTTCTGTCCTGATGGTTTTTCCTAGTCCAGATGTCATATCAATAGGACCACACAGTAGGTAAACTTTTGAGTGTGACTTTTTCACCTAGAATAATGCATTTGAAATTCATGCGTGTTGCGTGTATCCGAAGTTCATTCCTTTTTATGAGTATGTTTTCAAGTGCAACTCTTTTGAGCAATTTTTTTAACCTAAATTGTCTGTGGCTGATCTGTGAAAATTGTGTACTATTTCTGTTCTACAAACCTGCTCTAAAATCACATAGGCTGTATATTTTCCAGTGCAGTGACTACTGTGCAGCATCCATGTTAAACTCTTTGGTTTAATTATAATTTAAAGTGCCTTCAAGAGTGGGAAAAAGTGTTACCTTTTCAATACCTGTGAAGCAAAAAGTGGCTTTTGAGGATATGTTTTCAGCCTACCTTCTAAGAATATTCATGATTTAATCTTGGGCCTAGGGTGGCCTCTGGTATGTAATTTAGAAGGATCTGAACAAGGCTTACAAAAATGTATTTTCTCCAATTATGTTTCTTTATTTCTTTGTGTCTCTATATTTTTCTGTCTCTCCACTTTTTTCTCTTTGTCTCTCTCTTTCTCCTGGTAAAAAGTGTTTTCTCACCTAGCAAAAAAACAAATAGGAAATTGGTGCTTTTAAATTTGGATAACCTCGAAATTTATAAACAGTTTTTCTGGATCAATTGCTAGCCATAAACAAAAAAATTAATATGGAATGCATTAACTGGTAAGAGCGTTCTACAGAAAAGTAAATCAAGAAAGAGGACAGGGAGTGCCTGGGGAAAGGTGATCAGTGAGTGCCTCGCCCATACACCGTGTGATACTCAAGTACAGCAGATTCCAGGCAGAGGGGAGTAGCAAGGTTGACACCCTGAGATAGGAGCTTGCCCACACATTAACTCCTTTGCTAATGCTTTAAAAGGTAATCTGTTGGAGGTTCCTGATGATAGTAACTGTAAATCCTGAATATCCTTTGGATTAAAAACAAAAACATAACAAAATAGAAATATCAAAGGCCACAGAAAGCCCTAAATTTTGTCTTCACTGAAACTTCTATATTCTTGAGGACAATGACCTTGTCAGGGTTCCTTTAATAGAAGCTCTAACCACTAAATCACAATGCTCCTGCTCCAGCCTCTCAGACTACTCAAAGAGATTGTTGACTCTAATCCCACTTCATTTTTAGTTGAACCAAGGTTATAATGGAAACACACACACACAAACACACACACACACACACGCTGTACTTTGTGAATGACCCACAAGCCCTCAAATCAAAAAGTCAACTGGAAAGAATGTCTGTGGGTGTGCTATTGCAAAACAGAATAAAATGTTTTCATGATTTATGGCTATATTTTAGAAAGATAATCTCAGAAGCACTTTCCATATTTTCCTCTCATTTCTTGCTGTTGTTTCTCTAAAATCTCTTTCCACTCTTCCTGACTTTCCTCCACAATCATTGACATTAACTGAGTTACATGGAGGGGAGATCTTCACCTGGAGCCTGTAGTTTCAGGCTTGAATTATTTTGCAGGAGAGTTTGATAAGTAATTCCTCAGTGGATCTCCCGTTAGGTCCTATGGCACTTAAGGTATTTTTGAAATAAAGCAACATATTCATTCCCCCCAAAACTCCACATTTTGTAAACTTTTGCACCAAATATAACGAAGTTTATGAAAAAAAAAAAAGATGAGGAAGGGGAAGAGGCAAAGTGTTCAGTGTCCATGCATTTTTTCATCTAGAGCACCAAGGAAAGCAATGATTGGAACCTGGGGAAGATATCATGAACATTCCTGGTGACAGACACTAAAAGTGAATAAAACTGCCAGGGTGAAGACAGCCGCAATACTTGGATTGGCTCAGAGCTGCAAAAGCTGAGTCCAGTCTGGACGGAAGTGGTTACTCTTAAGTTGCCAACTTGCCCTGAGACCAGAGCAGCACAGAGTTGGGAGCCCAAATCTTGACATGGGGTGGAAGGAGGAAAGCCTGACTGTAAAAACTTGTTTCTCATTTTTTTAAAAACATAGCTTAAAGGGCTCCTTCTATGATAGCAGCAGCCAAGTTAAGAGATTTTTTCCTTTCCTACGAAGATTATAATCCTACTTTTACCTTTCTGTCTCCTCTTTTCCAGGAAAATTTGTGCATGAGCTAACATGATTTTCCTATGACACTGATGGCATTTCCCTATTTACCATTTGTTTGTGAACTTCTTCACATTACACAAACAACACACTGCAGGAGAACAGACTGTACTTGACCAGTTAGAAATGGGATTCTCTTAAACTCACAACTTTAATCATTGCCTAGATATAATAACAATGGTAACAATAATAGGGTTGGTTAACTATTTAGTGCTTTCCATGGGCCAGGCACTTTGTTAAAAGTTTTATAGCTATCACCATATTTAATTGTTGCAGTGATCCCATGTCTAAGGAATTTCTATCCCTATTTTCTGCATGATGGAATGGGAGCTGAAGAAAGCTGGATAACTGTACCCATGTTACATAGCCAGCAATGCAGAACTCAAAATTCATTTCCAAAACTCATGCTTGCCTCCAAACCATCTCTCTCTTTTTTAAAAATTTTATTTATTTATTTATTTATTTATTTATTTTGTGAGACGGAGTCTCACTCTGTCTCCCAGGCTGGAGTGCAAATGGTGCAATCTCGGCTCACTGCAAGCTTCGCCTCCCGAGTTCATGCCATTCTCCTGCCTCCGCCTCCCGAGTAGCTGGGACTACAGGCGCCCGCCACCACGCCTGGTTAATTTTTTGTATTTTTAGTAGAGACGGGGTTTCACCGTGTTAGCCAGGATGGTCTCGATCTCCTGACCTCGTGATCTGCCCACTTCGGCCTCCCAAAGTGCTGGGATTACAGGCATGAGCCATTGCACCCAGCCCAAACCATCTCTCTCGAGTCTCTAAACTTTGAGCTGAGTCTTGAAATTCTTATTAATTATAACATTGACTTGAGACCAAGAGAAAATTATGAAGTAGGCAAGTTTTGTTGCCAGTGGCCCTTCCACGGCCATTTGTCACTACTATCGCCCCTCACTCCCATTATCCACTTCTGTTCTCAAATATCTGTTGTTTCTGACCAATTCCTCTTCACATCCTGGTTACCTGGATTCCGTGCCCTCCCATCCACCCCTAAACTAGCTCCTTCTGAAGTGCCCATGCCACAGAATTCTTCTCTGAGCAACATTTATGATTCCTGTGTTCCGTGTGCCTCAGGTTCCCAATCTCTGCATTCCAAAGGAACAGCTATACACTCTTAGCAGTGCATGTGTAGCATCCAACATCAGCAGGTGCATTTCACACATCGTTCTGTGCTGCATTTTACTAAATGTACTGCAACCAGAATGCCCAGAGAGGTCCACAGAAAACCCCGTCTCTACAAAAAATAAGGAAAAACTAGCCAGGCTTGCTGGCATGCACCCATAGTCCCAGCTACTTAGGATTCTGAGGTGGGAGGATCACTTGAGCCTGGGAGGTAGAGGCTGCAGGGAAGCGTGATCACACCACTACACTCCAGCCTGGGACAGGGTGAGACCCTGTCTCACTCTGCAGGAGGCTTGGAAACCAAACTGACAGGGTATTTCTATAATTCCAGATAGATAGGCTCAAAAACCGAGAAGGTTTTAAAACAGAAGATTATTATTTGCATTTACTCTTTTTAAAAAAGAAAATAAAGAAATAGCTGGGCATGTGTAAAGAATATTATATGTGAAAACGAGACAAGGTATTGATAAAAAGATTTTAAAGGAGAAGGTGAAAGGGAAGCATCATGAAAATCCCAAGTCTAAGATTAGGTTGAGTAGAAGACCCCTTTATGCAGTCTTCAAACATGGTTGAAGCTCAAGGTTACAGGGTCCCTGTGTTGTGGTTACTGAAAGTGCCCCGGGGACGGTGTCAGGAGCCATAATATGCTAAATATCTATGTTTTCTTTCCATGTTCATTCATGTTTAAAACAACCCAATGCCTGATTTTTAAGCTGCAGCTAGAAAAAAAAGAATGTTTTAGAGATGACAATCTTTTGTTGTTTTCTCAAATATTTAATAACTGACAAATCTGACCCAGGTCTCAAACATTACTGTATGTAGAATGCTTGCTGATATGGTGCTGTGTTCCGCACTAATGATAACATTGTGGTAATCTCTTGCTCTCTCAACTCTTGCTCTCCAAATTTTCACCATTTGAACTCAGTAGCTGAGCTTTCTAACTCTGTAGTAAAAATGAAAAGAAATTTTTGAATAAATTCCTTGCAGTCAAAGATTTGCTGCCTGCTCTCTGAAACTTAAGAGTCAAATGGATTCAGAAACAAGTCAATTCTGCTTCCTGTGCTATTCAATCTCAGTAGCTGAACATTTGATATCTGAAGCAGGAACTGAGTAGAGTGGTGGGAGATGGGTATTTTAATCAACTCCCAAATGCATATTTCATGGGGAAGGAGGAAAGTTGGAGCAAAACAGTATAGATTTGAGAAGGCTTAGTAGATCCCTTTGTTTAATTGTGTTAGGCAATGAATTGTAAATTAATTAATGAGTTATAAACTAGATCCATAATTCTATAAGAAAGCTGAGAAATTATTTGGGAAATTGACATGAGGAAGGAACTATATAGAGATACTATAATATTATATCATGTCAAAATCTCTTCTAGGCTGAGTGTGGGGGCTCATGCCTGTAATCCCAACACTTTTTGAGGCCAAGGCAGGGGGATCGTTTGAGGTCAGAAGTTCGAGTCTAGTCTGGGCAACATGGCAAAACTCCGTCTCTACAAAAAAATAAAGAAAAATTAGCCAGGTGTGGTGGCGTGTGCTTGTGATCCCAGCTACTTAGGATTCTGAGGTGGGGGGATCACTTGAACCTGGGAGGTAGAGGCTACAGTGAGGCATGATCACACCACTGCACTCCAGCCTGGGTGACAGAGTGAGACCCTGTCTCAAAACAAAACAAAATCTATTCTAGTTACTCTTTAATAAAATGATTTTAGAATTCCCTACTTTCCTTCCTTCTCCTACCTCTCTTGCATCCTGCTTTTTTGTTTCTTGCTTGATAATCTAAGTGATAATTCTCTACGTTGTCTCTGCATAGAACTCTATTATCTGAATGGTTAACTCAACCAGAAGCATAAATGAAAGTGAGGCCGCTAATGAAACCAGAATTTGCTTCACAAACAGGGAAACATCTGGAAGACTTTGGGAATTACTTTGCTTCTTCAGCTGGGGTTTTGTTTGCCCTTTGCTTCTGATCTGCTCCTAGATTTTCACATATGAGACAGAAAAAAACTTTGACTAAAGCAATGTTTCCCAACCTTGCTGGATCACGAGAATCACCTGGGGACAACTTGTTAAATACACAGACCTTGGCATGACTGAATCAGAATTTCTAGGAACTTGGCTTGGAAATCTGTGTTTTAACAAGAGTTCCAGATGAGCCTCATGATCAAATGGGTTCAGGACTCACTGGACTAAGACAGGCTTTTGTGGCATGATCTAGAAGCATGAACCAACAGCACAGAGCTCCACTGTGTGTAAGTATGAACAGCACAAGCCATTCACGTGAGGACCTGAGACCTTCATGGGCATCTGAAACTCGGCATTATCATTCACGAGCTTTAGTGTCCATCAGAGAAATCAACTGCCAATTCCCTGCCTTGCTCCAGAAGATTCCAAATCAGTAGGCCCAAGGGGAATGCTAAGAACAGTTTAAGAAGCACTCATAAATGTCATCTGTCATCTCTGCTTAAAAGCTAGCCCTTTGCAAATTGGTGAAGTAACACAATTTTCCCAATCATCTTTCTCTTCTTCCCCACCCCTTCTTCTCTCTCCCCTGTATTAGTTCCATTTTCATACAGCTATGAAGAAATACCTGAGAATGGGTAATTTATAAAGAAAAGAGGTTTCATGGAATCCCAGTTCCACATGGCTAGGCAGGCCTCACAATCATGGCAGAAGGCAAAGGAAGAGCATGTCTTCCATGGCAGCAGGCAAGGCAGCATGTGCAGGGGAACTGACTTTTATAAAACCATCTGATCTCTTGAGACTTATTCACTACCATTAGAACAGCATGGGAAAAACTCATCGCCATGATTCAATTACCTTCCACTGGGTCCCTCCCATGACATGTGGAGATTATGGGAGCTACAATTCAAGATGAGATTTGGGAGGGGACACAGCCAAACCAGATCACCCCCTTTCCAAGGCTGGAAGTGGCCTTATATCACTTCACAAGGGCTTGAGTGCTCAGGCCCCATCAGGAATCCTCCTTTCCCCACAATGTTTCATCCCTTCCTCCCATTTTAGACTATAAACTCCCAGGCTATCCCCTCTCTCCCCCATTTATGCTGAGATCTCCCTAAATTTCTCCAATCCATCAAGCTATCTCCCTTGAGCTTCAGAGCTTTTAACTTCAAAACTATCTAGAGCTTTTCCACCTGAGTATATCAGGCGTGCTTGAAAATTCACAAGTTTGAGCCAGACTCCCGTGTTGTGGCTGTCTACGACATGCCTGAGGCAGACATGATGTTTTCTTGATTTTTTTACTCCATGTCACCTTTTCCCCAGCATCATGCCCATCCACAAGTTCTACCAATGCTATCAGCCACACCCAGTTGTCTAAGTACGCTATCGTTGTTTGTTCAGATTTGGGTTTTTGATTGGGAGACTGAGGCGGGTGGATCATGAGGTCAGGAGATTGAGACCATCCTGGCTAACACGGTGAAACCCCGTCTCTACGAAAAATACAAAAAATTAGCCGGGTGTGGTGGTGGGCACCTGTAGTCCCAGCTACTCGGGAGACTGAGGCAGGAGAATGGCATGAACCTGGGAGGTGGAGCTTGCAGTGAGCGGGGATCACAGCACTGCACTCCAGCCTGGGCGACAGAGCAAGACTCTGTTTCAAAAACAAACAAACAAACAAAAAAACAGAAACAAAACAAACAGATTTGGGTTTTTGGGTTTTTTCCTACCCCAAAGCAAAACAACAAACAAGTACGCAAACCCTGCTGCAACCTCTGGCTTTCCTATCTCAGTAAATGGCACCATCATCCACTCCAGAATCTCATGGCAAATAACTTGGAGTCCTTCTTGCCTCCTCAAATCTTCCCCACCCACATCCAATCCATAAGCAAATTCCCTAAAGCCTACCTGTAAAATCTATCCCCAATCTGAACATTTCTCCCTCTCTGCATTGCTCCCACACCAGTCCTTGCCTCCAATACTGGAATGACTGCCCTGTTTTTTCTGCATTCACTCTTGCCACCACCTGGTGACTGTTCACTGTAAAATAACCAAATGATCATTCTGAAATGTAAATCACTATATTAGTCTCCGGTTTAAACTCTTCCAATGGCTTTCCATACACTTAGGATAAAATAGAGTCTCTTTTTTTTTTAAGGTGTAATATCACATATCACTGTTATTAAATAATAAATCCATGTGGTTGTAGAATTTTCTGTTCCACTCATCTACATTATTTCTTTATATGATACTCTTGCAAAAAATGTAATTAGTTGAAACAAGTCTTAATGAACTTTAGAATCACTTTATTAAGTTATAAGAAGGTGTCTGGCTTTTTAAGTTGAGTGAAAAGTCTGTCAATTCTGAGAAATAACATGTTTTAATATTCAGTTTTATCAATTCAGGAAAAGATTATACATTTTCATTGTTTCAAATATTTTTAATATCCCCTAGCCAAATGTTGTAATTTTTATTTATTAAAATATTTTACTACTTTAAAATGTGTTATTTTCTAAGAGCTTTTGAAATAAGGAATTGCTGTTGAATTTTTTGAAATTCTTTGAGAAAGCATTTCTTGTTGAACCTTATTTTGTGATGCATAATATTAATAGACATTCTAACATTTTAAATTTTTAAATATTTAATCAACAAAATTATCAATTAAATATTTAAAAATTAAAAATGTTAGAATAACTACTATATATATATATAGAGAGAGAGACAATGTCTATATATATTCAAGATGAAAAATTTGGTAATTTAAAATACATGTACATTGTGTTCTGATGATCACAGTCAAATTAAATACCACATCCATTACCATTCATAGTTATCATTTGTGTGTGTGGTGAGGACACTTAAAATTTGCTTTCTTTTCAAATCTCAAATAAACAACACAGAATTATTAACTACCTATAGTCACCATGCTACACATTAGATCCCCAGAACTTATTTATTTTATAACCCAAAGTTAGTACACTGTAACCAACATCTCCTCATTTCTCCCCCTCCACCCTAGCCCCTGGTAACCACTATTCTACTCTCTGCTTCCATGAGTTTGACTTTTTTAGATTCCACATAGAAGTAAGATCAAAGAAACTGAAAACAACACAAATAAATGGAAAGACATTTCATGCTCATGGGTTGGAATAATTAATATTGTTAAAATGTCCTTACTCCCCAAAGTGGTCTACAGATTGAATGCAATTTCTATCAAAATTCTGTCATTTTTACAGACATAGGAAAAACAATTCTAAATTTTGTATGAAACCACAAAAGATCTCAAATAGCCAAAGCAATCTTGAACAAACAGAACAAAGCTGTAGGCATCACATTCCCTGGTTTCAAACTATATTACAAAGCTATAGAAATCAACAGTATTGTGTTAGCATAAAAAGAGACACATAAACCAATAAAAGAGAATAGAGAGCTCAGAAATAAACTCATGCATATATTGGCAAATAACCTTTGACAAGGGTGCTGATACGTTTGGGTTTTGCGCCCCACCCAAATCTCATCTTGAATTGTAATCCCCATAATCCCCAGGTGTTGTGGGAGGATCTAGGTGGAGGTAATTGAACCATGGGGGCAGTGTTCTCTATGTTGTTCTCACAATAATGAGTGAGCTCTCATGAGATCTGATGGTTTTATAAGCATCTGGCATTTCCCCTGCTGGCACTCACTCTCTCCTGCCACCTTGTGAAGAAGGTGCCTGCTTCTGCTTCGCTTTCTGCCATGATGGTAAGTTCGTTGAGGCCTCTTCAGCCATGCAAAATTGTGTCAATTAAACCTCTTTTCTTTATAAATTACCCAGTCTCTGGTATTTCTTTATAGCAGTGTGAGAATAGACTAACACAGGTGCCAAGAATACACAACAGGAAAAGGACAATCTCTTCAATAAATGTGGTTGGGAAAACTGGGTATCTATTATCAAAAGAATGAATTGGACCTTGTCTTACACCATACACAATGTAAAATGGATTAAAAGCTTAAATATGAAATCTGAAACCATAAAATTTTAGAAAAACACATAGAGAAAATGCTTCTTGACATTGATGTTGGCACTGATTTCTTTCCATGTGACACCAAAAGCGCAAGCAACAAAAGCAAAAATAAACAAGCAGGCCTACATTAAAATAAAAAGCTTCTGTACAGCTAAGGAAATTATTAACAAAATGAAAAGGTAACTTATAGTATGGGAGAAATATTGCAAACCATAATATCTAATACGGGTTTAATATACAAAATATATAAGGAACTTGCCCCACTCAATAAAAAATAAAAAACTGCCCAACTCAAAAAAAAAAAAAAAAAAAGGAAAAAGGCAAAAACAAATAATCTGATTAGCAAATGGGCAAAGGACCTGAATGGGTATTTTTCCAAAGAAGTCATATAAATGTACAACAGGTACATGAAGAAATGATCAACATCACTAATCATCAGGAAAATGCAAATCAAAACCACAATGAGCTATTACCTCACACCTGGCTATTACCAAGAAAATGAGAGATAACAAGTGTTGGCAAGAGTGTGGAGAAAAGGCAACCCTTGTACACTGTTGGCAGGGATATAAATTGGTGCAGTCATTATGGAAAACAATATGGAGGTTACTCAGAAAATTAAAAATAGAACTGAAATATAATCCAGCAATTCCACTATTATGTATATTTCCAAAGGAAATGAAATCAGTATCTTGAGATATCTGCACTCTCATATTCATTGCAACATTATTCACAATAACAGAGATGTGGAAACAATCTAAGTGTCAATCCAAGAATGAATAGATAAAGAAAATACAATAGAATGTTATTTAGCCACACGAAAAAAAAAGAAAATCCTGTCATTTGCTACAATGTGAGTAAGCCTGGAAGACATTCTACTGATTGAAATAAACCAGATCAAATAGCACATGATCTCACTATACATGGAACCAATCTCTTTTGGAATTCTCCTAAACCCTGTACCATCTGGCTGTGTTGCATCTCTACCTGTATTTCCTGCCCCTCCCACCTCCTTTTCTCTCTGGTCTTCTTGTTGAGAATGTTTGCATTTACTGTACCTCGGCTTGCACCCTTCTCCCTAAGGTCACTGTGGCACACGCACCTTCTCTGCATTCAGGACTCTGCCCACCTGTGTCCCCCTAGGCAAATTGTGACCACCTAGTGAAGATAATCATAAATCTCACTTGGCCCAGGGCCAGTCCCCTCTTATGCTTCTTGTTCTGACATCCTGTTTAATGTATTATTTGGCCCAGAATTTTTTTTGACAGAATATTGTCAGTAGTAGAGGCAATAACTTATCTGAGATATATTTAGTTGTCCTGCATTTTGTTCTTTCAGCTTTTGCCATAGCATCACCTGTCTAGTAACCTGTGAGGATCATGTGCAGTTAAAAGCACTTTAACATCTAATTAAATCTGAAAGACCTCTAGGGATTATCCTCTGCTATGGCCTGAATGTTGACATCTCTCAAAATTCATATGTTAAAATCCTAACCCTCAAGGTGACAGTATTAGGAGGTGGGGTGTTTGGGAAGTGATTAGGTCATGAGGAGAGAGCTCTCAGGAATGTGATCCATGTCCATATAAAAGGGGCCCAGAGTAATTCATTAATTTCTTCCATCATGTAAGGACATAGCAGGGAGGCTCCATCTATGAGCCAGAAAGTGGGCTCACCCGACACTGAATCTGCCAGCACCTTGATCTTGGACTTACCAGCCTCCAGAACTGTAAGAAATAAATTTCTGTTGTTTATGAGCCTAGTTTATGGTATTTTGCTGGAGTGTCCTAAGACGCAGTCTTTTTCTGATCTTTTCCAGAAGCAACCTAACACCTATATTTCAAGTATAGATGCAGGGGGCTCACTGATTAAAACAAAGTGTGTATAGGCAACTAACTCTTCCTGGTTATTGGGTGGTGGTGGGTGAAGTCTCTGCCTAGTACTTGGTGCCTTAGTCAATTGTGCCATGGCCTGCATCACAGCCTGCAAGACACAAAAAGTTACCAGGCCATTAATCTGCAGAATAAGCAAAATGGGGGAAGTTATACACCGTGTGTATATTGGAGAAATACAAGTTTAGCAAGTCTATCATAGAAGGTGTAGAGAAAGACAGGGGTTCTTGCTAGAGGATTTTTGTCATTTATTGTGTGATATCAATCTCCAGCTATGTGTGTACTGCACTGTTTAGCAAGACATTTTTATTTTTCAATACATCCCTTCAGCAGCAATAAGCTTAGAAAACTGAAAAGGAGTGTTTCATGACAAATTAGGTACTTCATTTCCATGTCTCAAAAAAGTTGATGATAAATGTGCAACTTACACAAAATGTCAGTATCCACCATCACAGGGAACATAGTGATACCAAAGACCATGTGAACCCCAGAAGACACCATGCAGCTGAAGAAGCATCTGTGTCTACTTCAACATCTCAGTGATTATTTCAAGAAGACTGTGAAATAATGAATTATATGTACATCCAACTTTTCCCTGTATATTTCTGCTTCATATGCTTCTTAACTTACTGAAAACAGTACTTTTACTACAACACTTTGTGGTAGGCAGGAAAATGACCCTCCCCCACAAGATGTCACACCCTAATCTTTGAAACCTATGAATATGTTACCTTATCTGGTGAATGAGATTGGACTGATGTTACTAAATTTGTAGCTGTTGAGATTAAGAGATTACCTTGAATCATCCAGGAGAGCCCCATCTTATCCCAAGGAGACATGAAGATGCTACGATGCTACACCGCTGGCTTTGAAGATGAAGGAAGGGACCATGAGCCAAGGGGAAAGATGGCCTCTAGAAACTGGAAAAGGCAAAGAAACAGATTGTCTCCTAGTGCGTCCAGAAGAAATATAGCAATGATGTCACCTCAAGGTTAGGCCAGTGAGACTTCTGACCTATAGAACTGTAAGGTTAAAAAAAAAAAGAAGTGTGTTATTTTAAGCCCACTATGTTTACGGTAATTTTGGGGTTTTTTTCTTTATTTTAAAAAAATTTTCCCTTTTCTTCTTATTTTTTAGAGATAGGGTCTTGCTCTGTCACCCAGGCTGGAGTGCAGTGGCATGATCTCGGCTCATTGTACTCTCCACCTTCAGGGTTCAAGCAATCCTCCCACCTCAGCCTCCGGAGTAGCTGTGACTACACGAGCACAGCACCATGCCCGGCTAATTTTTTGAATTTTTTGTGTTTTTTGTAGAGACGGGGTTTCGCCATGTTGCGCCAGCTGGTCTTGTACTCCTGGCCTCAAGTGATCCGCCAGCCTTGACCTCCCAAAGTGCTGGGATTACAGGCATGCACCACCACACCCAGCCAGTTTGTGGTGATTTGTTACAGCAGCGATGGGATATTAATTTGCACTCCAACCAAAATCTGTATTCATGGTATCATCACAAAAACAAATATTTTTATCTTCAATATGGAGCGTTTTAAGTAAATTTCAATAGTATTCGTGATAATAACATATGGTTTATCTTAGGATGAAGTTTTTAAAAGCTTTACTTTGTTTCCATAAGTTGAATGAAAAAAAAAATCAAACAATTATTGGAATTGACTTGGTTGATTTTCTATCCAAAGTATCTGATGATATCATTTAACCATTTGCTCAGTTCTTCTGTTGGTGGAGCCGCCTCAGGAGTCAGGTTAAAACATTTATACATTTCCATAACAAGAAAGACCAGATGTGAAGTAGAACTAAAAATATCCTTCATTTCAAGGTAAGAGTTATTTTTATCTCATCAACAGATGAGTTATTTGAATTTCAAATTTATCAACCATAAAAGGCAAAGTTTAAGATGGTAGGCATTTGTATGAATAAAAATAAGTTTATTTAAAAAAACTTTAGAAAAATATTAGTCACACAGAAATAGAGATACATTAGTCTAAGATTAAAGTAATAAATATATTTCTCAGAATATACTAGTTTGCGGGTTTTTAGCACTTATCATACACTTGAAATTATCTAATTTATGTATTGGTGTTCATTATCCATCTTCCCCTGCCCTTGTCAGAATGCAGGCTCCATGAAAGTGTGGCTTTATCTTTATCACGTAGCCAGTACTTAAATATGTACAATAAATGAATAAACCTTCTAGCGATCTTCCTACCTCTGATTTTCACTCCTTGAATCTACTCTCACATGGTAAAGTGTGGAGAGCATCGTTTCTAAAGCTGGGAGCTTGTTGCCAGGGTCAGGCCAGGGTGAGGCAAGCGAGGCACTGGGAGACAACATTTAAGGGGGTGCTCATAACTGGGGGCTGCCCCTGCATATACATGGCCAGAGAGTGAATGGTGCCTTACGTTTTGCTAGGCTCCTGGTTTGTCCCACCCTAGTACTGACCTGGCTTATAACTTACTATTTTATTTAAAACCTTTCTGTAAAATCCCTATTTCCCTGGACATAAAACGCAAGCTCTTCAGTGGAGCATGCAAGGTTGTATATAATCTTGTTTACCTCTGCAGTCTCATCACCCACCACTTGACTTGTTTATATTTAGAGTGCTTTCCTGTAGATAGCATGTGGTTGTGTCTTGCTTTTACAACCAATCTGACAGTCTGCCTTTTTAAAAATACAGTTTTATGCAATGGGGAAAGGACTCCCTAGTCAATAAATGGTGATGGGATAACTGGCTATCCATATGTAGAAGAATGAAATTGTACCTCTACCTATCACCATACACAAAAATTTATTCAAGATGGATTAAAGACTTAAACGCAGCATTTGCTTTTCAGTTCCTGCAATAGTTTGCTAAGGATAATGGGCTCCAACTCCATCCATGCTCTGCAAAAGACATGATCTTGCTAATTTTTGTGGCTGCATGGTATCCCTTGATGTATATGTACCACATTTTCTTTATCCAATCTGTCATTGATGGGCACTTAGGTTGATTCCATATCTTTGCTATCGTGAATAGCGCTGCAATGAACATTCATGTGTATGTGTCTTTATGGTAGAATGCCTTATATTTCTTTTGGTATATACGAAGTAATGGGATTGCTGGGTCTCATTTACACAAAGGACAAAACAACAGACACTGGGGTCTACTTGAGGATGGAGGGTGGGAAGAGGGAGAGGAGCAGAAAAGATAACTATTGGGTACTGGGCTTAACACCTGTTTGATGAAATAATTTATACAACAAATCCCTGTGACATGAGTTTACCTATGTATCAAGCCTTCATATGTACCCCTGAACCTAAAACAGAAGTTTTTTTTAAAAAAAGACTTAAATGTAAGACCTAAAACTATAAAAGTCGTAGAAGAAAACCTAGAAAATACCCTTCTGGACATCAGCTTTGGCAAAGACTTTTTGACTAAGTCCTCCAAAGCAATTGTGACAGAAACAAACACTGACAAACAGAACCTAATTAAAACAGAGAGCTTCTGCACAGTAAAAGAAACTGTCAACAGAGTAAGCAGAAAACCTATAGAATAGGAGAAAATATTCACAATTTATGCACCCAGCATAGGTCTAATATCCAGAATCTATAAGAAACTTAAACAATTCAACAAGAAAAGACAAATAAATTCATTAAAAAGTGGGCAAAGGACATGAGCAGACACTTCTTAAAAGAAGACAAAAAAGCAGCCAACAAACATATGAAAAAATGCTCAACATCACTGATCATCAGAGAAACGTGAATCAAAACCACAATGAGATACCAACTCAGACTAGTCAAAATGGCTTTTATAAAAAAGTTAAATAATAACAGATGTTGGTGAGGCTGCAGAGAAAAGGAAATGCATACACACTGTTGGTGGGAATGTAAATTAATTCAGCCACTGTGGAAAGCAGTTTGGAGATTTCTCAAAGAACCAAAAATAGAACTATCATTTGACCCAGCTATCCCATTACCAGGTATATATCCAAAAGAAAATAAATTGCTCTACCAAAAAGACACATACATTGTATGTACATTGCAGCACTAGTCACAATAGCAAAGATGTGGAGTCAACCCAGGTGCCTATCAATAGTGGATTGGATAAAGAAACTGTGGTACATATACACCATGGAATACTATGCAGACACAAAAAAGAACAAAATCATGCCTTTTGCAGCAACGTGGATCATCTGGAAGTCATTATCCTAAGCAAATTAATGCAGAAACAGAAAACAAAATATCACATGTTCTCACTTATAAGTGGGAGCTAAATATTAGGTACACATGGTCATATAGATGGGAACAATAGACACTGGGGACTACCAGAAAGCAGAGGGAGGGAGGGGGCAAGGGTTGAAAAACTACCTATTGGGTTTTATGCTCACGACCTGGGTGATAGGATCAACCATACCCCAAACCTCAGCATCACGCAATATATCTCTGTAACAAACCAACACATATACCCCCTGAATCTAAAATAAAAGATGAAGTTTTTAAAAATGAAAAATAAAAATATATCACAAAACAATACACCTTTATAAAGATATAATTTACAGACCATAACATTGACCCTTTTAAAGTTTACAAGTCAATGGTTTTTATTATAGCTCAGAGTTGTGCAACCAACACCATGGTCCAATTTTAGAACATTCTTATCATTTCCCCCCAGAACTGTCCCCATTAGCAGTCACTCTCCATTCTCCCTCCCACACCAGCTCTATGCAGTCAAGAATCAATTTTGTATACTTGTTCATTCTGGAGGTTTTGTATAAATGGCATCATACAATATGTAGCCATTTGTGACTGGCTTCTTTCACTTAGTGTAATGTTTTCAAGATTCATCTATGTTGTAGTATGTATTGGTATTTCACTCCTTTTTATTGCTTAATAGTACTCCATTGTAAGAATATATTATACATTATTTATCCTTTCATCAGTTGATGGATATTTGGCTTGTCCCCAATTTGTGATATCATGAATAATCCTACCAAGAACATTTGTGTGTAAGCGTTTGGGTGGACACATATTTTCAGTTTCTTGGGTATATACTTAAGAGCAGAACGGGTGGGTTATATGATAACTCTTTGTTTAATATTTTGGGAAATTTCCAAACTGTTTTTCAGAGTGGCTGTGTCATTTTCCATTCTCACCAGCAGTATATGAGGGTTCCAATTTCTCCATATGCTTGTCAGCACTATCTTTTTTTATTATAGCCATCCTAGTGGGTGTGAAGTAATATCTCATTATGGTTTTTATTTCATTTCCCCAATGACTGATATTGAACACATTTTCATGTGCTTCTTGGTCATTTGTATATTATCTTTGGAAAAATTTCTATTCAAGCCCTTTCTCCCTTTTAAAAATTGAGTCATCTGTCTTTTTAAATTGTTAAGTTCTAAAAGCTCTTTATATATTCTAGATACAGGATCTTTATCAAAAATATAATTTGCAAATATTTTCTCCCATTCTGTATGTTGTTTTTTCACATTCTTGATGGTGTTAGTTGAAGCATAGGAGTTTTTGATTTTGATAAATTCCAATTCAGCTATTTTTCTTTTGTCACCTCTGCTATTTCCTGCCTTTTAAATGGTTTTAGATCATTTTCATTTAGTGTCATCATTGATAGGATTAGATTTAGATCTATCATTATATTTGTTTTTATGTCCTATATATTCTTTTTTTCCTCTCAAAGTCTTTTTTGCCTTCTTTTGGATTAATGGAATATTTATCTTTTTAGTGGTTGCTCTAAGTTTTACAATTTATATCTTTAATATATTACTTCTTACCTTCAAAAGTATTATAGAATCTCAAGTATAGTCTGAGAGTCTCCTAATTGAGTACTTCCAGGTTTAACCTCCTAGCATCTGTTCAATTTTTTACTACACATTTTATTCTTAATGCCTATGTATGTTCTAAATACCATAATACATGGTTATTATTTTTGCCTTAGATAATAAATTATTGTATAAAGGGATTAAAAGTAAGAAAATATTTCTTTATTATTTGCCCTCATTTTCAATCATTTTCAGCACTCTTCCTTTCTTTGTTTAGATTCATATTTGTATGAGGTATCATATTCCTTCTGTCTGAAAAACATTGCTTAACATTTCTTATAATTCAGGTTGCCAGAACTGATTTATCTTAGCTTTTGTTTGCTGAAAAAGTCTTTATTTCACCTTCATAGTCGAAAGATGTTATTGCTGGGTATAACATTCTGGGTTGAAAGTTTTTGTTTATTTTAGACATCTACGCATTGTCTTTCAGCTTGCATAATTTACAATATGAAGTCTATGGTGATTCTTTTTTTAATTTTTTTTTCTTTTATTATTATACTTTAAGTTTTAGGGTACATGTGCACATTGTGCGGGTTAGTTACATATGTATACATGTGCAATGCTGGTGCACTGCACCCATTAACTTGTCATCTAGCATTAGGTATATCTCCCAATGCTATCCTTCCCCCCTCCCCCACAACAGTCCCCAGAGTGTGATGTTCCCCTTCCTGTGTCCATGTGATCTCATTGTTCAATTCTCACCTATGAGTGAGAACATGCGGTGTTTGGTTTTTTGTTCTTGCGATAGTTTACTGAGAATGATGATTTCCAATTTCATCCATGTCCCTACAAAGGACATGAACTCATCATTTTTTATGGCTGCATAGTATTCCATGGTGTATATGTGCCACATTTTCTTAATCCAGTCTATCATTGTTGGACATTTGGGTTGGTTCCAAGTCTTTGCTATTGTGAATAATGCCGCAATAAACATACATGTGCATGTGTCTTTACAGCAGCATGATTTATAGTCCTTTGGGTATATACCCAGTAATGGGATGGCTGGGTCAAATGGTATTTCTAGTTCTAGATCCCTGAGGAATCACCACACTGACTTCCACAATGGTTGAACTAGTTTACAGTCCCACCAACAGTGTAAAAGTGTTCCTATTTCTCCACCTCCTCTCCAGCACCTGTTGTTTCCTGACTTTTTAATGATTGCCATTCTAACTGGTGTGAGATGGTATCTCATTGTGGTTTTGATTTGCATTTCTCTGATGGCCAGTGATGATGAGCATTTTTTCATGTGTTTTTTGGCTGCATAAATGTCTTCTTTTGAGAAGTGTCTGTTCATGTCCTTCGCCCACTCTTTGATGGGGTTGTTTGTTTTTTTCTTGTAAATTTGTTTGAGTTCATTGTAGTTTCTGGATATTAGCCCTTTGTCAGATGAGTAGGTTGTGAAAGTTTTCTCCCATTTTGTAGGTTGCCTGTTCACTCTGATGGTAGTTTCTTTTGCTGTGCAGAAGCTCTTTAGTTTAATTAGATCCCATTTGTCAATTTTGTCTTCTGTTGCCATTGCTTTTGGTGTTTTAGACACGAAGTCCTTGCCCATGCCTATGTCCTGAATGGTAATGCCTAGGTTTTCTTCTAGGGTTTTTATGGTTTTAGGTCTAACATTTAAGTCTTTAATCCATCTTGAATTGATTTTTATATAAGGTGTAAGGAAGGGATCCAGTTTCAGCTTTCTACATATGGGTAGCCAATTTTCCCAGCACCATTTATTAAATAGGGCATCCTTTCCCTATTGCTTGTTTTTGTCAGGTTTGTGAAAGATCAGATAGTTGTAGATATGCGGCGTTATTTCTGAGGGCTCTGTTCTGTTCCATTGATCTATATCTCTGTTTTGGTACCAGTACCATGCTGTTTTGGTTACTGTAGCCTTGTAGTATAGTTTGAAGTCAGGTAGTGTGATGCCTCCAGCTTTGTTCTTTTGGCTTAGGATTGACTTGGCGATGCGGGCTCTTTTTTGGTTCCATATGAACTTTAAAGTAGTTTTTTCCAATTGTGTGAAGAAAGTCATTGGTAGCTTGATGGGGATGGCATTGAATATGTAAATTACCTTGGGCAGTATGGCCATTTTCACGATATTGATTCTTCCTACCCATGAGCATGGAATGTTCTTCCATTTGTTTGTATCCTCTTTTATTTTGTTGAGCAGTGGTTTGTAGTTCTCCTTGAAGAGGTCCTTTACATCCCTTGTAAGTTGGATTCCTAGGTATTTTATTCTCTTTGAAGCAATTGTGAATGGGAGTTCACTCATGATTTGGCTCTCTGTTTGTCTGTTATTGGTGTATAAGAATACTTGTGATTTTTGTACATTGATTTTGTATCCTGAGACTTTGCTGAAGTTGCTTATCAGCTTAAGGAGATTTTGGGCTGAGACAATGGGGTTTTCTAGATATACAATCATGTCGCCTGCAAACAGGGACAATTTGACTTCCTCTTTTCCTAATTGAATACCCTTTATTTCCTTCTCCTGCCTAATTGCCCGGCCAGAACTTCCAACACTATGTTGAATAGGAGTGGTGAGAGAGGGCATCCCTGTCTTGTGCCAGTTTTCAAAGGGAATGCTTCCAGTTTTTGCCCATTCAGTATGATATTGGCTGTGGGTTTGTCACAGATAGCTCTTATTATTTTGAAATATGTCCCATCAATACCTAATTTATTGAGAGTTTTTAGCATGAAGGGTTGTTGAATTTTGTCAAAGGCCTTTTCTGCATCTATTGAGATAATCATGTGATTTTTGTCTTTGGCTCTGTTTATATGCTGGATTACATTTATTGATTTGTGTATATTGAACCAGCCTTGAATCCCAGGGATGAAGCCCACTTGATCATGGTGGATAAGCTTTTTGATGTGCTGCTGGATTCGGTTTGCCAGTATTTTACTGAGGATTTTTGCATCAATGTTCATCAAGGATATTGGTCTAAAATTCTCTTTTTTGGTTGTGTGTCTGCCTGGCTTTGGTATCAGAATGATGCTGGCCTCATAAAATGAGTTAGGGAGTATTCCCTCTTTTTCTATTGATTGGAATAGTTTCAGAAGGAATGGTACCAGTTCCTCCTTGTACTTCTGGTAGAATTCAGCTGTGAATCCATCTGGTCCTGGACTCTTTTTGGTTGGTAAGCTATTGATTATTGCCACAATTTCAGATCCTGTTATTGGTCTATTCAGAGATTCAACTTCTTTCTGGTTTAGTCTTGGGAGAGTGTATGTGTCGAGGAATTTATCCATTTCTTCTAGATTTTCTAGTTTATTTGCGTAGAGGTGCTTGTAGTATTCTCTGATGGTAGTTTGTATTTCTGTGGGATCGGTGGTGATATCCCCTTTATCATTTTTTATTGCGTCTATTTGATTCTTCTCTCTTTTTTTCTTTATTAGTCTTGCTAGCGGTGTATCTATTTTGTTGATCCTTTCAAAAAACCAGCTCCTGGATTCATTAATTTTTTGAAGGGTTTTTTGTATCTCTATTTCCTTCAGTTCTGCTCTGATTTTAGTTATTTCTTGCCTTCTGCTAGCTTTTGAATGTGTTTGCTCTTGCTTTTCTAGTTCTTTTAATTGTGACGTTAGGGTGTCAATTTTGGATCTTTCCTGCTTTCTCTTGTGGGCATTTAGTGCTATAAATTTCCCTCTACACACTGCTTTGAATGTGTCCCAGAGATTCTGGTATGTTGTGTCTTTGTTCTCATTGGTTTCAAAGAACATATTTATTTCTGCCTTCATTTCGTTATGTACCCAGTAGTCATTCAGGAGCAGGTTGTTCAGTTTCCATGTAGTTGAGCAGTTTTGAGTGAGATTCTTAATCCTGAGTTCTAGTTTGATTGCACTGTGGTCTGAGAGATAGTTTGTTATAATTTCTGTTCTTTTACATTTGCTGAGGAGAGCTTTACTTCCAAGTATGTGGTCAATTTTGGAATAGGTGCGGTGTGGTGCTGAAAAAAATGTATATTCTGTTGATTTGGGGTGGAGAGTTCTGTAGATGTCTATTAGGACAGCTTGGTGCAGGGCTGAGTGCAATTCCTGGGTATCCTTGTTGACTTTCTGTCTCGTTGATCTGTCTAATGTTGACAGTGGGGTGTTAAAGTCTCCCATTATTAATGTGTGGGAGTCTAAGTCTCTTTGTAGGTCACTCAGGACTTGCTTTATGAATCTGGGTGCTCCTGTGTTGGGTGCATATATATTTAGTATAGTTAGCTCTTCTTGTTGAATTGATCCCTTTACCATTATGTAATGGCCTTCTTTGTCTCTTTTGATCTTTGTTGGTTTAAAGTCTGTTTTATCAGAGACTAGGATTGCAACCCCTGCCTTTTTTTGTTTTCCATTTGCTTGGTAGATTTTCCTCCACCCTTTTATTTTGAGCCTATGTGTGTCTCTGCACGTGAGATGGGTTTCCTGAATACAGCACACTGATGGGTTTTGACTCTTTATCCAATTTGCCAGTCTGTGTCTTTTAATTGGAGCATTTAGTCCATTTACATTTAAAGTTAATATTGTTATGTGTGAATTTGATTCTGTCATTATGATGTTAGCTGGTTATTTTGCTCGTTAGTTGATGCAGTTTCTTCCTAGTCTCGATGGTCTTTACATTTTGGCATGATTTTGCAGCAGCTGGTACCGGTTGTTCCTTTCCATGTTTAGCGCTTCCTTCAGGAGCTCTTTTAGGGCAGGCCTGGTGGTGACAAAATCTCTCAGCATTTGCTTGTCTGTAAAGTATTTTATTTCTCCTTCTCTTATGAAGCTTAGTTTGGCTGGATATGAAATTCTGGGTTGAAAATTGTTTTCTTTAAGAATGTTGAATATCGGCCCCCACTCTCTTCTGGCTTGTAGGGTTTCTGGCGAAAGATCCGCTGTTAGTCTGATGGGCTTCCCTTTGAGGGTAACCCGACCTTTCTCTCTGGCTGCCCTTAACATTTTTTCCTTCATTTCAACTTTGGTGAATCTGACAATTATGTGTCTTGGAGTTGCTCTTCTAGAGGAGTATCTTTGTGGCGTTCTCTGTATTTCCTGAATCTGAACGTTGGCCTGCCTTGCTAGATTGGGGAAGTTCTCCTGGATAATATCCTGCAGAGTGTTTTCCAACTTGGTTCCATTCTCCCCATCACTTTCAGGTACACCAATCAGACGTAGATTTGGTCTTTTCACATAGTCCCATATTTCTTGGAGGCTTTGCTCATTTCTTTTCATTCTTTTTTCTCTAAACTTCCCTTCTTGCTTCATTTCATTCATTTCATCTCCCATCGCTGATACCCTTTCTTCCAGTTGATCGTATCGGCTCCTGAGGCTTCTGCATTCTTCACGTAGTTCTCGAGCCTTGGTTTTCAGCTCCATCAGCTCCTTTAAGCACTTCTCTGTATTGGTTATTCTAGTTATACATTCTTCTAAATTTTTTTCAAAGTTTTCAACTTCTTTGCCTTTGGTTTGAATGTCCTCCCGTAGCTCAGAGTAATTTGATCGTCTGAAGCCTTCTTCTCTCAGCTCGTCAAAGTCATTCTCCGTCCAGCTTTGTTCCATTGCTGGTGAGGAACTGCGTTCCTTTGGAGGAGGAGAGGTGCTCTGCTTTTTAGAGTTTCCAGTTTTTCTGTTCTGTTTTTTCCCCATCTTTGTGGTTTTATCTACTTTTGGTCTTTGATGATGGTGATGTACAGATGGGTTTTTGGTGTGGATGTCTTTTCTGTTTGTTAGTTTTCCTTCTAACAGACAGTACCCTCAGCTGCGGGTCTGTGGGAGTACCCTGCCATGTGAGGTGTCAGTGTGCCCCTGTTGGGGGGTGCCTCCCAGTTAGGCTGCTCGGGGGTCAGGGGTCAGGCACCCACTTGAGGAGGCAGTCTGCCCCTTCTCAGATCTCCAGCTGCGTGCTGGGAGGACCACTGCTCTCTTCAAAGCTGTCAGACAGGGACATTTAAGTCTGCAGAGGTTACTGCTGTCTTTTTGTTTGTCTGTGCCCTGCCCCCAGAGGTGGAGCCTACAGAGGCAGGCAGGCCTCCTTGAGCTGTGGTGGGCTCCACCCAGTTCGAGCTTCCCGGCTGCTTTGTTTACCTAAGCAAGCCTGGGCAATGGCGGGCGCCCCTCCCCCAGCCTCGCTGCTGTCTTGCAGTTTGATCTCAGACTGCTGTGCTAGCAATCAGCGAGACTCCGTGGTTGTAGGACCCTCCGAGCCAGGTGCCGGATATAATCTCGTGGTGCGCCGTTTTTTAAGCCAGTCGGAAAAGCGCAGTATTCGGGTGGGAGTGGCCTGATTTTCCAGGTGTTGTCTGTCACCCCTTTCTCTGACTAGGAAAGGGAACTCCCTGACCCCTTGCTCTTCCCGAGTGAGGCAATGCCTCGCCCTGCTTCAGCTCGCGCACGGTGCGCGCACCCACTGACCTGCGCCCACTGTCTGGCACTCCCTAGTGAGATGAACCCGGTACCTCAGATGGAAATGCAGAAATCACCCGTCTTCTGCGTCGCTCACGCTGGGAGCTGTAGACCGGAGCTTATTCGGCCATCTTGGCTCCTCCGTTCCCTCTATGGTAATTCTTTTCTTTCTTCCTGTTGCGTTTCTCTGGCTACCTTTAATATTTCCTTTTTATCTTTGATTTTCAGCAGTTTGATCCTGAAGTATACTTGCACTTCGTATCCTTTTTCTTTTTCCTCTTCCTTTCCTCTTCGTTTCTTCGTCTTTCATGTTTATAAAGTTCTTTTTTCCTGGGTTTGTTTCAGTTTGAATAATTTCTCTCAAACTATTTTCAAATTTACTGATGTTTGCCCTCTTGGCAACGTACAGTCTGTGCATGGGCCCTAGAAAAAAACTTTTTTTACAAAAAACTCTGATTTGTTTTTTAATTTCTAGTGTCTCAATTGAGACTGTAAAAAATGCTATTCATCTCTGCTGAAATACCTCATTTGTTTAATTAATGTTTCATTCAACCCTTTAAAATTATGCTCTCTTCCCTGATGGTAGAATGCTGTGGTTTTTGTTGTTGTTATTGTTTTCATCATTTTTTAAATCTTTTTCCACTCTAAACTAAACTTTGTAAGGACAAGGACTTGGTGTAATTCGCTGTCATATTCCAAATACTCATTACTGTAGTAATGCTTTAACAAATTGTAATTGAGTGAACAAACGAACACACTGCCATGTTTACTGCCATGGTTTAAAGTGTTGCCACTTCCTGATAAAATGTACATTAGTATCTGTTTCTGTCCTATATCTCAAAAAAATTACTAAACATAACGATTTATGCCTAAATAAGATAATCTAGGCTAAAACATTCAGACTCTAAAAATCGAAAGTGAATGCGTTAAATATGAGCTAGGAGCAGTAATGAATGATCAAAATGTTTTAGAAAAGCATAAATACCAAAGTTCCCTACTGCAATGAACAACCATAGTTTCTGGTCATTAGTTTTAAAGACTGGAATTCATTGGAAGGCAACTGATAGCTCATAGAACTGATAGGAAACTAGCAAATAGAAATTAAGGAATAGGTGAGAATGAGGCTGCTCTGGGAGTCCAAGGACCCAATCACTTTGTAAGAGGCCTGGTCAGACCAAGACACTGCTATTGACATAAGACTCCTGCATAAATAGACTCCACCACTGACTCCCTGGAAGCCACTGTCCCTAGCCGCTGATTGTTTTGGCTCATCCCTTTTGGTCTTCAGCAGTGGTAGGCAAAGTATAACAGCCACTATTGGTGGCCTGCCACTATTCCCTCCTCTCATTTCACTGCAAGCCTCCACACTTTCTATTGTCAGCACCTGCACCCCTTAGCCTGAGGGAGCCCTCAACCAAGGGTATTTGTATTAGTCAGGGCTATCCAGAGAAGCCAAACCAAAAGGCTGTGTGTGTGTGTGTGTGTGTGTGTATGTGAAGACAGAGACAGACAGAGAGAAGAGATATTTTAGTAAGTTGGTTCACAGGATTTCACAAATCCGAAATCTGTGGGGCAGGCTGGAGATCCAGGATAGAGCTGACATTTCAGCTTGAGCCTGGAAGCAGTCTGCAGGCAGTCAATTTCTCTTAAGTCCTTAGCAACTCACTGGGTAAAGCCCAGTGACATTATGGAGGGTAATCTGCTGTATTCAAAATCTAGTGATTTAAACATTAGTCATATCTAAAAATATACCTGCACAGCAATATCTAGACTGGTGTTTAACCAAACATGTGGGCACCATAGTCTAGTCAAGTTGACATGTAACATTAACCATCACAGTGTTAATGTTTAAGTTCCCCAGCTTCCTCATCCTTCTGGTGTGGAAACCCTGAGAGTTGTGTTATAGGCTGTTTCCCAGAGTTTCTCATAAGGATTAAGCTCCTGTTGCCTACAGTGATGACTCGCTTGATAATGCAGCATTTGTTGTTTTTTTCTCCTTTGCTGTTTTACTTTCCTGCCATTTTACCAGTGTCTTTTGGAGTCATTTTCAAAGTAAACTCCTTGCAAGTAACTTATTGTCTCTCAGTTTGCTTCTGAGATAATTCAAACAGAGATACAGAGCATAGAATTACCACAGCAGCACATACAATAAGGGATTTCTCCTAAAAAGAAAAAGGACATTTGGGATGCTGGACAATCAAAAAGTATTTTTCTACTTATAGCACAGGTGACATTTAGACATTGATCTCTACTGAAGTTTTCTTTCTGAATCCATCTTTTTTTGTTAGATCATTAATAAAAAAAATTTTTAAAGTTAGAGAAGTAATTGTCTTCTTAATCATAATAATAAACATTAGAGACACTCACTTATTAAAAGAATTTATAAGTGGCCAAAAGAATACTGACAATTTCATTGAAAACAAAAGTATAAAACAAAAAAAAGCCTGAATTTTGTACCAAAATTGTCATGTAGTATAATGATCTTAAGGGTAGAAGTTTTGTCTCTATGTATGTACTTATGTTTTCATTTATTAAGCAAGGCATAGCATTTAATCGTGGCTGGTGACTGTTTCTGTATTGCTGTTAAGTAATTACTTTCATGCAACTTATCAGAAAATTGGCTACTTTTTGACTCTCAAATATTTTATGAAGGTAGTGTAGTTAAATGTTTGATTTATGCAAAAAATGCAAAAACATCTACTATTATGTGTTTACTAATTAAGAGCATCTTGTTCTTAATATAACAGTTTTCTATAAGAATATTTCCTGCTCTTATAACCTGCTTTTATATCTTTGACAGCATTTTTGAGGTCATAAACTCTACTAAAATATTTTGAAAAAGAAATCCTATCTCAATATAATTGAGGTAGGATAATTATATAAATGAGGAGGCCATATACAGTATGAATTTTGTATTTAAAAGGCATATTAAATAAAATGAAGGGTGGCAGGTTGGTTATTTACTTTGAAAATGACTCCAAAAGACACTGGTAAAATATTGGGAAAGTAAAACAGCACAGGAGAAAAAAAAACAATAATGGTGAAATGTACCACAGTTTAAGTAGGAGTAATGTCTGAAGTGACAGAAATCATTGCCCTAAGTTTTCCAGGACAACCTGACAAAAAGAATGTTTGAAAGCAGAAATATCTGTCACAATATGTCTTATTTTTTATTCAAAATATGGATCTCATCACCCTATTTTCTGGTCTCATTGTTTTTAGATTTATCTGCACTCCTATTCCCAATATTCTTCATTGAACATATTCTCTTACTCTTGATTTATAGTTCATGATTAACTGGCCAAGTTTTATTGAGAGAATCCTCAGTCTGAATATCAATGCACTGGTTATAATTGCCACGCACTTACATTGATGCATCATTTATTTTGAAATAAAAGTTTTTAAAATGTGCTAATAGTCTTCTCTCCTAAACTGTGGAACCATGGTTTATAACTCTAAGGCCTTCCTTGTCACATAAATGTCAGTGTTTGTATTTGAACCTTTCACTTCTGAATGAGGTATATGGATAGGCTCTCTATGGCTGATTTGGATCTGTAGAAAACCTTGCAAAGCAAGTAAAGCTATTTGCCTTACAAATCAGGTCCTTCTTACATAGAAATAGTCTTAGGCAGTTGGCTCACCTTGTCATCTCTGACTGAGTTTTAGTAATAAGAAGGTTTTGAGCACATAACTATTCAGATGAATGAGAATTCTTAGTACATTATGGCTAGTAAGCAATCTCTTAGAAACCAACAATATTGTTGAAATTAGATGACAGTCTCTCTCAGCACAGAGGCCTAGTTACCTTCATTGGCAACTTCTTGGTAGGATGAAGCAGTTTGGGTGAAGTATGTCAAACCCATTCACTATAACCAGAGGGATTTTTCCATCAGTGTGATGTCATTACAGAATAAATAAATAGTAAAATTTTGAAAATGATTATTATTTGATGAGGCAATAAATAGCAGTCATTAAGGACAAAGGCTTTTTAAATAGGCCGATATGACGTTTACACCCCATCTAACCAACTAACTAAATAAGAAACGTACTGAGTCTCCATTCTCTCTGCTATAAAACAGCAACAATAATCACTTACCTCAGAGGGCTGTGTGAGTATTAAATAAGATAAAACATTGTGAGTGCTAGCTTAGCACCTGGCACATAGGACTGCTCAAATAAGCCCCAAAGGGTGCAGAGTGACTGTGTCACCGTATTGATTGCATAAAACAATTATATTCAAGGCTTGTTTTTCTTGTCTTTGCTATCAGCTCTTAACATATTATAGCTGTTCTATGTCTTGGAACGCAAAAAAATCATCAAAACACCAAGGTCTACTCTTAGAAATGTGATCACTTTTGTCAAGAAAAATGTATTTCAAAATTCTCTCCATCACTAGTTTCTAATTCTATCACTAAGGTGAGTGTGCGTACCCAGGGGATAGCAAGATGCTCCAACTGAATGAACAAAGAAATATGATTTTCTATGTCAATTTTCCCTCTTTTGTGTTTCACTTTTGTGTTAGTGCAGTAGGATGTATACAGAATTTATAAATAAATATGCACGTATGGGAGGGTACTGCTCTGAGTACACAACCTTTTGGAAACCATTGTTCTAGAACAGGAGCTGGCAAACTAAGGCCCATGGGTCAAATCTGGTCCGTTGCTTACTTTCAGAAATAAATAAAGTTTTATTGGAACCACAGCCATACCCATTTATTTACATATTTTCAAAGGTCACTTTTGCACTACAATGGCAGAGTTGAATAGTTGCAACAGTGACTGAATGGCCTGCACAGCCTAAAATAATTACTAACTGACACTTTAGAGAAAATGTTTGCCAAACCCTGTTCTAGAAAATGATTTGTATAGGAGGAGAATCATAATGCATACTGAGACCTGGTTTTTATACCTGTTCACACGAGTACTCAGACCCACCAGCCAACTTGGGAAGGTGGATGATGTTTCCCAGTTCCTTGCTACTCAGTGTGGTCCAAGGACTGGCAGCATTGGTGTCATCTGGAAGCCTGTTTGAAATATAGATTCTTTGGTCCCATGTCAGACCTATCAGAATCTGCTTTTGAACAAGACCTTCAAGACATATGTGTGTACATTAAAGTTTAAGAAATATCAGTCAAATTTATATAACTGTTAGGTGGCATGTTGGTGAAATACTTAGAAATGCCAAGGCACTATAAGTGGACCTTAGTTTTCTATTTCTCATTGTACATAAATCTGCCTCTTGCATTGCACCAATGCACTGATTGGCCATATATAGAGAACTAGGGGAGCTGGCATGGTCTGGCTCTCCTCCAGTTAATATTTATATATGGAAAGACTGAGTCAGCAGTATATGAGCTTTGCGATCTTTTTTATGAAAAGAAAAAAAAGTATCTTATTCCTGAAAGTTAAACCTTAGCGATGTGTTTATTGTTGGAGAAACATATACTACATTGAAGGAAAATTGATCTCTAGATTTTTGTTGCCATAGTTAAAAAAAAAATTCTTAACAGTTATAAAAGAAGGTTAAAGACAGGGTTTTTGTCCCCTACCTCACAAAGATGACATGCATGTAAGGTTCACTGTAGGAGGGCAGCGCAGGGCAGAATGAGCTTCCTAAACATGTGGGGAGAAACCAAGGCTCCCACTCAGGACTGGGCACCTGGGCCTGTGAGCACGAAAGGAGCATCGGATCAGGCTCATTGTACATTTCTGGCTTGGAGCTGGCTGACCCTTTCCTTCTTGAGGTTTTGTCAAGGGGTTTCCAGTTTTCCTAATTAACTATTAATGAGGTGGGTGTAATTTATTGACTAGGGCGAGGTAAACTAGCTGTGCCTGGAGTTGAGTTATGTTTCCTGAGGGAAAAGAAAACTTATGAAATAAATCATTCTCTCTTTAATTAGCAGCTTTGGCTAGCTCACTTGAAATGACTGCGCAAAATGTGAAAAGAAGCCAGAAGTTTAGTCAGAAATCTAAACGTGGGTCTCATTTGCTGCTTACTGAGAGATTTATGCAGTTCAGGGTGAATGTGTCGGGGGACCTGGGTGAGTTGCATGAAGCACCGTAATGAAATGTTCTCCTTCTGCTATGACTCTGGACAAAGCCTGAAGTAGGTTCCTTCCTTCTTTATTCCAGTGCATGCTCCAAATGGAAAAAGCCAGAGGACCCCAGATAGAGGAGGGGAACTAATTAATGTGTTTTCCAACCTTTTAGCTTTATCTTCCTGTCAACTTATCTGCACCATTAGGTCTATGTATCATTTTTACTTTCTTAACACAGAGTGCCTATTCTCTGACTTTAATACTACAAGCTATTGGATATAACTGCACCCAAGGTGGAAGCAAACCTTTATGTATTGATCAGTACAGGAAAAAATATATTTGTTGTTTCAGTTCTGGTCAGCATTCATTGGGTGCCTACTAGAACGTGTCAGATACTGTACTAGGGGGATGTAAAAATGACTCTACCCGGTAGGGGATCATAGATGCTGGGGGGAGAAGAATCTTTGAGAGTTCATGAGAAAAAACAAAACAAAACTGATTATGAAGTTTTAACTTTCTCAACAGACTAAGAGTAACCGAGATAATTTTCTTCATCTCACAATATTGATCATGCTTAAAAGCTCAAAAGAACATTGACCCCTTGCCTTCCCCCAGTTACTATCTCCAGCCTAAAAACTGCATGAGGAAAATGTATTCATTCTTCTTCCTGGTATTTCTCAGTAGAGCCTATTAGATTTTTTCAAGGTAGAGCCCACTCACACCTTGAGAGTGAGTTTCAATTTGAACCTGCCCTTTCTGGGGTTAGAATCCACCTTCTATGGCCAAACACGGTTTTCTGCCTTGAAGAAGAATGACCTGACAAGCTTTGTGGACACCCAGTGGCTCACTGAAACGTTTTGACGAATGAATCAAAAACATATGGATTACGTTTTCTTGAACATACTGGTGATTTTCACAGAAAATGAATTTGGCCCCAAGCATTTTGTTCTCCTGAACTTTCCGTCTGGACTCCAAACATTAGCAGGAGGCTGGGCAGAGATGTAGTTGGCCCAGTGTTTTCGGGCTGATATGTGGATTTTATTAAAACCTGCAGCTTCTTTCCTGACTCCTTGTTTGAACGTTTTTGTGAGGGGTCCGCTGCAGATGAGCACACTTTTAGCTTCTCAAAGTCATCCCTTTCCCCAAATGGCGACCTTTTTACTCCTTGGAAACAGAGGAAAGAAGAATTCCCATGCTTTCCTAGGAAAGGCTCATTCCCCTATCTCAGACCTCTAGGAACAAAATTACCCCCACACGCTACCATTTTAAAAAGAACAAAACAAAAGGGTTCTGGGAGCCTTTTTCCTGCCACAGAGCTATTATGAAAATCTAGCTCATGTTTCTATTTCGATCCCATTCACCTTTGTCAGCTAATACTTCATATTCATTAAATCCAAACCTTGACACTCCAGGTTCTTTTCCGTGCCTTGGTGTGGAAGAAAGAACCAGCTTTTCCCAGAGGCCGACATCTTTCCTCGTCCCCTTGACTAAAGCCACTCTGCCCACCTGCTGCCGAGAAAGCAGAGGCCAGTTCAAACCTGGGCATGGCCCTTGCGGAACAGGGGCTGAGAGCTCATTTGAAGAAGAACAGACCACTAATAAATCTCATGGTCATTACCCTTTATGCATACTTGTTCTAATAGGTGTCGCAGATTCCTGCCTCCTAATAAGGAAAGGAAGTAGAAAAACACATAAATTCTCTCAAGGGAGTCAGACAGCCTGAAGCCACACTCGACAGCTGCAAACGTTACCATGAGCACAAAAGCAAAACAGGGCTTAAAAAAGTGATACATTGCCAGGGATTTTGGCAAGATTTCCTTGAATCCAGACTATGTTTTGCATTGTTTCAGTTGAAAAGAAGAACAGCACTCCTGCCTGCCACATGTGATGGAATTTGGAGATTAAATAAACAACGGTGTTAATTGATCTAAAAGGGCTTGATTGAAAGCATCCTAACATTTCCCTTTACCTTGTTTTGTTTGTTTGCCTGCTTGCATGATTATTTTTTTCTTTCTTTCTTTCTTTCCTTCTTTCTTTCTTTCTTTCTTTCTTTCTTTCTTTCTTTCTTTCTTTCTTTTCTTTCTTTTTTCTTTTTCTTTCTTTCTTTCTTTCTTTCTTTCTTTCTTTCTTTCTTTCTTTCTTTTCTTTTCTTTCTTTCCTTCCTTCCTTTCTTTCTTTCTCTTCCTTCCTTCCTTCTCTCTTTTTCTTTCCTTTAAAAAACCTTAGCAGTTCAAGTTAGAGGTGTTTTTTTCTTTTCTTTTTTTTTTTTTTTTTGCCTCCAATGCCACCACATCATTCAGTCTAACTATTGAGCATTGCAGGTTTACTCAGGGGACAATTCTTGCCCTCCCCACCCCCTCTTCCCTTCTTCTTTTCTGGATTTACTTTCTCTGGGATGGTCTGGAGATTTGCTAGAGATGTACTGCCTACATATGTGGTGACTGCAAAAGGGGAAATTCATGTGCCTGTTGAAAAGGCCATTAGTCTACCCCATGAGAATTTAAGGGCTTATGAAGAAAATCCATCAGAATATTTAAGGCCAGAGTTCAAAGGGGACCCAAACATCCAGAGCAGCAGATATAAATTGCTGCACATTCTGATTTTGTCCAAATTTGTTAACTAAGACTGAGTCTTTCCTATGAGCTAGAATTAATTTTCCACAAAGAATACATTCTAGACTTTATTTCACAATTATTTCATTTCATTTAGTCTTGTTCACACTGATTTTAGGAAGTTACTTTTGAGAAGAATGCATGATTCTGAGCTTGGGTTTTTGTTGTTGTTTATTTTTAAAGTAATTTGTTTCATCTAATTTTGCACAAATGGAAGCTGAAATATTGCATTGCTAGAGGGTCTCTTATTCACATAAGAAGCAGAACTCCACAGAATTCCATGTCTTCATTAAATAATCAGAAAGGGCTTTCATCCATTACTTGGCATATTTTAATGCTTGTACTGAAAGGCAGCATCAAATAAATGCTCTATTTCCTCCCCGATTGGGACCTATTTCCATTTTTCTAACCAGAAACTTAGTCTAGGAAGACATGAAGTCAGGCCTCAGCTCCATTTTCTAGCATCCAGCCGGTATTTTTCTTTCTCTATTTTGTATCATAGGATAATCAAGGTATTTTACAGAGTTTCACATTTCTCAAAGGCCACATAGGCAGACATGGTAAACAAAATAGCTAAAAATCCTAGGTCCAGTGGTTTTCAAAATGTTTCAAGAAACTCAAAGATTCCATAATCATGCTTCAGATGTTGAAAACTTCAATTTCAAATTAATAGCTTATGGAAAACTATGGCAATCTCTATTAAAATTAAAAATACATACAATGTTTGACCTAGCACCTATACTTTGGTGGAATCCTTCCATTAGAAATAAAATGCCTCAGTACATTAGGATGGATGGATCTATCTATCTATCTATCTATCTATCTATCTATCTATCTATCATCTATCTATATTTATCTATCACCCATCTTCCTATCCATCCATCTGTCCATCTATCCACACACACACAGGATTATTAGAACATTGTTTACTTTATTAAGGAGCTGGAAACAATCTGAATAGCTAGTAATAGGGTAAAGACTGAAAACATGGTGTCCCATCCTTGCAGGATATTTCTGATGTATCATTAAGTGAGACCCTCCATAAATAAATGATACAGGTATTTAAAGATGCCGGTCCTCATCCACAATCACAGATGAAACATTCTTTTCTCTCTCAAACATCTTTATTGTCCTTATTTTTGCTGACATTTAGCTTTCATGCCTTCAGCATAAAGGAGTTTTAGGTAAGATTTAATTAAAAAAAAAAAAGCCCTACCAGATAATGAGCCCTTCAGAGAAAGAGAGGAACACAGCTGGAAGGGGCCATGGGCATCTCACCTCCATTGGTAATGTTTCATTCTTAAGGTGATGGTTACTACAAGAGTAGTCATTATGTCAGTCTTTATATTCTTTTGCATGTCTGAAACATTTCTCTTTTTTGAGACAGGGTCTCACTCTGTCACCCAGGCTGGAGTGCACTGATGCCATCTTGGTTCACTGCAGCCTTAACCTCCTGGGCTGAAGACATCCTTCCACTTCAGTCTCCCAAGTAGCTGGGATTACAGGCACCCGCCACCACACCCGGATAATTTTTTGTACTTTTTTTGTAGAGACGGGGTTTCACCATGTTGCCTAGGCTGGTCTCAAACTCTTGGGCTAAAGGGATCCACCTGTCTTTGCCTCCCAAAGTACTGGGATTATAAATGTGAGCCGCCGTGCCTGGCCTCATAATTTTTAAAAAGATAGTTGAGCTTTAAAATGTGCAGAAGTTCCTAGGCTGGAACTTCATAATCATAATCATCATGGGAAATTCATAATCATGGGAAACATAATCATGGGAAGTTCATAATCATCATGGGAAACAGAGGGTAAGAGGAGCTATCACAATAAATCCAAGGATATCACACCTATCTTCAACATCTAGGCTTCCCTACCGTCCTCCATACAAGACATCCCAGAGAAGCAAAATCATTTAACTTTTAGACATATTACAGTATGCTGATAATTACAGCATAAGAGATAACATTGACATTAATTAGCTAAGAGAGATTTAGCTATGATTATGGTCAAACATAGGTCACATTTCTATTTGCTGTGTTGGAAACATCATAACTGCTTATCAAGATAGACACATAGAGCATCATCTCATAGAAAAGTCGGCTGACATCTGATCATGTCCTAGTGCCCAGGGGCAGGCTGAGTAGAAGTACTGTCTCCCAACTATACCATAGTGACACAGAGAAAGCATTGAACCCACGATTCTGGAATCAGATACATGGATTACAGAAGTAAATGATGGTAGAACTATCAGGTATAATCTCTGCCTTTTGCAGGAATTTTTTTTTTTTTTTTTTTTTTTTGAGACGGAGTCTCGCTCTGTCGCCCAGGCTGGAGTGCAGTGGCGCAATCTCAGCTCACTGCAAGCTCCGCCCCCAGGTTCACGCCATTCTCCTGCCTCAGCCTCCCAAGTAGCTGGGACTACAGGCGCCCGACACCACGCCCGGCTAATTTTTTGTATTTTTAGTAGAGACGGGCTTTCACCATGTTAGCCAGGATGGTCTCGATCTCCTGACCTCGTGATCCACCCACCTCGGCCTCCCAAAGTGCTGGGATTACAGGCGAGAGCCTCCGCGCCCGGCTGCAGGAATTTTTAAGGGAGCAGATCCATGAGTTTGAATGGCCTGTGGTAATTGCAGTTGGCTGGAGACACAGTTTTTCCTCCAGACCTGGCTTTCTGACTCCCATTGCAGTTCCTTTTCACTATATTACACTTCACACCGTCAATCACAGGGCCTCGCCCAGCTCACTTGAATCAAATAATCATCCTAAGATATCAGTTTGCTTAATTATATTTAATTTCCCAAACTTCCTTCTGGGATAGGAAGCAAAATTCAACTGGGTATGGTTTTTCTCTTGTAAATATTTAGAGGAACTGTACTGAGTGTTAGAATAAGTGTCTATTTCTAGTCAGAGAAAGTTGCCTTTCAGTGGTGATGAACCAAGGCCATTTGCCATCCAGAACAAGCCATGTAGCTCTGGAACGAGCTGTTAACATCTAGATTGTGCTGCTCCACTTTTTAAAGAACTCAGAGTATAACTCTACAAGTTTCTTTATGATCATGGTATCTCCCCCTGCCAGGTAAGTATAAAAAGTTAATTCAATTAGAGTTTATGGCAGTCATCAAATAAGGTCAGTGTTGCTAACTAGATCTGTTTATTATTTTAGTCGTCATTTATATATGATGATTTAATTTTAATTAACCTGGATGCATTGTATTGTAAAATGTTCTGGTTCTGTATAGCAGGGTGGGAAGGGAATTATATTGCTGACTTGCATTAAAGTCAGCACTAAGAGGCAGGTTTCTAGTAGAAAGAACTCAGGCAGACACACAGGCCTCAGATGGGTCCACTACAAAAGGGGGAGGAGAAGCAGAAAGAGGAAGTTGGCTCTTAAAGAAGGAAAGAGAACAAAGGAGAGGCAAGCACAGAGAACATGATAGAATTAGACATAAGCAGACTGTTCAGAGAAATGAGATTCAGAAAAATAGAAAAGCACGTGCAGACAGCTTCTGAGTAGTAAAACTGTGTTGTATTCTGCTTTGTTTTATCACAAAGACTCATTCTTTTTATTATTATTATTATTATTATTATACTTCAAGTTCTAGGGTACATGTGCACATTGTGCAGGTTTGTTACATATGTATACATGTGCCATGTTGGTGTGCTGCACCCATTAACTCGTCATTTACATTAGGTATATCTCCTAATGGTATCCCTCCCCCCTCCACCCACCCCACAACAGGCCCCAGTGTGTGATGTCCCCCTTCCTGTGTCCATGTGTTCTCATTGTTCAATTCCCACCTATGAGTGAGAGCATGTGGTGTTTGGTTTTTTGTGCTTGCCATAGTTTGCTGAGAATGATGGTTTCCAGCTTCATCCATGTCCCTACAAAGGACGTGAACTCATCATTTTTATGGCTGCATAGTATTCCGTGGTGTATATGTGCCACATTTTCTTAATCCAGTCTATCATTGTTGGACATTTGGGTTGGTTCCAGGTCGGTCTTTGCTATCGTGAATAGTGCTGCAATAAACATATGTGTGCATGTGTCTTTATAGCAGCATGATTTATAATCCTTTGGGTATAAGCCCAGTATTGGGATGGCTGGGTCAAATGGTATTTCTAGTTCTAGATCCCTGAGGAATCGCCACACCGTCTTCCACAATGGTTGAACCAGTTTACAGTCCCACCAACAGTGTAAAAGTGTTCCTATTTCTCCACATCCTCTCCAGCACCTGTTGTTTCCTGACTTTTTAATGATCGCCATTCTAACTGGTGTGAGATGGTATCTTATTGTGGTTTTGATTTGCGTTTCTCTGATGGCCAGTGATGATGAGCATTTTTTCATGTGTCTGTTGGCTGTGTAAATGTCTTCTTTTGAGAAGTGTCTGTTCATATCCTTCACCCACTTGTTGATGGGGTTGTTTGTTTTTATCTTGTAAATTTGTTTGAGTTCCACAAAGACTCATGCTTATCAGCCAGAAATCAGCAGACATAGAACACAAATACCAAGCAGTAGGGAGACAAGAGTAATCCTAGGGTCAATACATGAAATGATACAGAATTTTGCCCTTTTATTGTTACACTTGTTTGTGATGTACTTGTTTATTTCTATTTGAAATGGACAAGTAATTGATCATGTCTTCATCCCACAACTGAAGCCCTCCTTTTCTGCCCTAACCCAGCATCTCCTCCTGTATTGCCTTTCCCTTTTGGGGATACCTATGCAGGAGGCCTCTCAACTTGAACCATAACTTTTTTTTTTAGTGCTTATGAAATTAATTTCATTCGTTCATTTATTTTTTTTTCTTTTCAATTTTTATTTTAGGTTCTGGGTGTACATGTGTAAGTTTGTTACAAAAGTATATTGTATGATGCTGGGATTTAGAGCACGATTGAACCTGTCCCTCGGTGGTGAGCACAGTACCCCTTAGGTATTTCTCAACCCTGGCTTCCCTTCCTCTCTCCCTCTCTAGTAGTCCTCAGTGTCTACTTTTTCCATCTTTATGTTCATGTGTGCCCGGTGTTTAGCTCCCACTTGTAAGTGAGAACATGCCATACTGGGTTTTCTGTTTCTGTGTTAGTTTGCTTAGGACAATGGCCTCCAGCTGTTTCCATGTTGTTGCAAAGGACATGATTTTGTGTTTTTTTATGGCTGTATAGTATTCCATGGTATATTTGTACCACATTTTCTTTTTCCAATCCAGCATTGATGGGCACTTGGGTTGGTTCCATGTCTTTGCTATTGTGAATACTGCTGCAATAAATATACAGGTGCGTGTGTCTTTTTGGTAGAATTATTTATTTTCCTTTAAATATATACTTAGTAATGGGATTGCTGAGCTCAACTGCTATGAATATGGAAATTTTAATAGAGCTATGATCCTTCTCACTTCCTAATAATACTTCCGAATTGTTTCTTAAAGCCTGCTCTACACCTACTCCCCTTGCCCAGTTCAGGCCTTCATGATGTCTCACCTGGACCATTGAAATAGACTCCTCCCTCCTCTTCTTGCCTTTACTCTTAACCGTCTCAATGTATTTTTCACAGAGAAGCCAGAGTGCCAGATTTCTAGAAGGAAATCTCAACATGTCACTTTCTTGATAAGAACCTATCAATTACTTCATGAGCTACAAAATAAATTCATTTCCATATATAGATTATGTGAATAGATTCATTTATCTGTGTAACTCTTGTTCCTCATATAAGATTTAGTTAGGGCTTCACCTTATCTAAAAACTAGCGAGAAGATCTTGCTTTTTCTACTTTAGAGTGCTGTGTAAACCATCATCATTGCACACCTTACATTATATTGTAACTACCTGTGCAATACATTTGTTTCTTTTATTACATTATAAACTCCCTTAGGGAAGTTGCAGCTCTTATAAAAACTTTTTGGGAGCTTAACACAGTAGTACCTGGCATATGATAACAGGTCAAAAAACGATAATTGGACAAATCTTTTTCTTATAAAAATACTATTGAGTGCTAAGTGGTTTAAAATAAACCAGGTTTTTCCATGAGCAGAGCTTCCTATTTCTAAATGAAATCAACCCTAAAAATAGGAGCTACTAGATATCAGAAACTGGAGATGTACAGTGTGCATAAAGAAGTCACAAATGTTCTCATTATGATGTTAATTTTCTTTTAAAAAGAAGGAAATGAAAACAGTGTTGATGTTCTAAATCAAGACATATGGTTGCCTCAGGAAGCAATTCTTATTTAATATCAGCTTTATTGAGATGTAATTAATATACACTATTTTAAAATACATAATTCATTGTTGTTTAATATATCCACAAAGTTGTACAGCCATCACCTGTGTCTCATTGTAGGACATTTTTATCACCCTACAAAGAAATTCTGTACCCTTTCAGAGACGCTCCACAATGCCTCCTCCTCCAACCCCTGGCAACACTAATCTGCTTTTCATCTCTACGGACATGCATATTTTTGGACTTTTCACATAAATGTAATCATATAATGTGGCTTATTGTGTCTGGCTTCTTTCATTTAGCATAATGATTTTAAAAGTTCAACCATGTTGTTCCATGTATCAGTATTTCATTCCTTTTTACGGCTGAATAATATTCCATTGTGTGTGGATAGACCACATTTTGTTTGTCTGCTTATCAGTTGAAGGACTTTTGGGTTGTTTCTGCTTTTTGACAATTATGAACAATGCTTCCATGAACACTCATTTACAAGTTTTTATATGAATACGTGTCTTCAGTTCTCTTGAGTGTACAGCAGGGAGTGGAAATGCTGGATCATATGATAACTTTGTACATATTTAGCATTTTGAGAAACTTCCAAACTATTTTCAGAGTGGCTGCACTATTTTACAATTCAAACAGCAATGTATGAGACCTTTAATTTCTTCATATCTTCATGAATACATTTTTTAAAATTTTAGCCTTCCTCATAGTTGTGAAGTAGTGTCTGCTTGTGGTTTTGATTTACAATTCCATAGAGACTAATGGTGTTGAGCATCCTTTCATGTGCTTGTTAGTCATTTGTACATACCCTTTGAAGAAATATCAATTGAAATCCCTTGCTTATTTTAAAATTGGGTTATTTGTTTTGTTGTTGGATTATAAGTGTTCTTTTTATATTATGCATTCAAGTTCTTTATCAGAGAATGTGCATATATTTTCCCCATTCTGTGGTTTGTCTTTTCACTTTCTTGATGCTATTATTTGAATCACAGTGGTTTTACATTTTGATTGAGGTCAATTTACCAATTTTCTCTGCTTTTGATGCCATATCTAAGACTTCTGGTATCATGTAAAGTCACAAAGATTTGCCCCTATGTTTTTTGCTAAGTGTTTTATAATTTTTGTTGTCACATTTAGTTCTTTGATCCATTTGAGTGAATTCTTATATGTTGTGAGGTAGGGGTCCAACTTTATTCTTTTGCATGTGGATAGGCAGTTTTCCCAGTGTTATTTGTTAAAAAGACTGTGCTTTCTCATTTAATTGTCTTGACATCCCTGATTTTGTAGAAAATCAGTTGACCATAAATGTGAGGATATTTTCTGGATTCTCAATTTTATTCCATTGGTTTATGTTTAGCTTTATACCAGTATCACACTCTTTTGATTATTGTAGCTTTACAGTAAGTTTTGGAATTGAAAATTGTGATTCCTTTTTGTTCTTTTTTTCAACACTATTTTGGATATTATGAGTCCTTTCCTTTTCTGTATAATAAAGAGTGTGGCTGGCCTTTGTCCTCAATTCCTGGGAGATAACTTCTGAGCCCTTGGAATTTCTCAAAAATAGTAGTTTCTTTGTTGTTCATTGTGGGCCTTTGGACCACACCTGTTAGTTTGTGCTGACAAGGTCACTAAAAATGAGTCTGTAGATAGTTTATGATAAGAAAATAACTCAGGATGGGGACGGTCCATGCTAGAAAGACCAACCATATGATTAGAAGGCTAGGGCTTTGAGCCATATTACAGCATACCTGACTTGGGGGAGGAGATGGGAGGTTAGAGATTGAGTTCAACCATGTGGCCAATGTTTTCATCAATTATACCTATGTAAAGAAGCCTCAGTAAGAACTCTGGACACTGAAGCTTAAATAAACAATGGTGAACTTCTCTGGTTGGCAATTCATTTTGAGCGAGTAGGAGCACATTTCAATGCCTAAAGGGTGGCACATCCTAAGGAAGATGGAAGCTACACATTTGGAATCCTCTCAGACTTTTTTTCATGTGTCTCCTCCTTTGGCTGGTTCTAATTTATATATAATTAAAATACTTCTTTATTTGCGGAAATGAAGCATTGTCATAAGTATAGCATTTTCCTGTGTTCTGTGAGTCATTCCAGTAAGTTATCAAACTTTCTCAAACTCAAAGGCAGTTGTGGAAACTCGAATTTTTATCCAGCTTGTGAGAAGTGAGGATGGACTTGGGGACCCCTGAACTTGCAGCTGGTGTCTGGGTTAGGGCAGTATCATAGAGGACTGTGTCCTTAACCTCGAGTTAGGCTAACTCCAGGTAATCTTCATATAAATTTTAGGATAAGCTTATCAATTTCTGCAAAAAAAGAAAGCTGGAATTTTACTGAACCTGTAGATCAGTTGAGGAACTTTGCCATCTTAACAGTAGTAAGTCTTCTAATCCACGAACAGGGGATTGTTTTACATTTATTTAATATTCTTTCATTTCTTTTAATTATATTTTGTAATTTTCACTGCATAAGTATTTCACATCCTTGGTTAAATTTGTTCTTAGCTGTTGTTGTTTTTTTTAAATGCTTTTGAAAATGGAATTGCTTTCATAATTTTATTTTTAGGATGTTGATTGTTAGTGTATAAAAATACAATCGATTTTTGTAGATTGATTGATATGGTTTGGATCTGTATTTCCACCAAATCACATGTCGAATTGTAATCCCAGGGTTGGAGGTGGGCCTAGTAGGAGGTGATTGGATCATGGCGGTGGATTTCTCATGAATGGTTTAGCACCATCCTCCCTTGGTACTGCTCTTAGGATAGTGAGTGAGTTCTCATATGATCTGGATGTTAAAATGTATGTAGCAACTTCCCCTTCTCTTTCTCTTGCTACTGCTCCCACCGTGTGGTATGCCTTGCTTCTCCTTTGCCTTCTGCCATGATTGGAAGCTTCCTGAGGACTCCCCAGAAGCAGAAGCCACTATGCTTTCTGTACAGCCTGCAGAACCATAAGCCAATGAAACCTCTTTTATTTAAAAATTACCCAGTCTCAGGTTTTGTTTTGTTTTGTTGTTGTTGTTGTTTTTGAGACAGGGTCTCACTCTGTTGCCCTGGCTGGAGTGCAGTGGCACTATCTCGGCTCACTGCAACCTCTGCCTCCTGGGCTCAAGCAATTCTCCCACCCCAGCCTCCCAAGTGGCTGGGATTACAGGCGCCCACCACCATGCCCAGCTAATTTTTTGTATTTTTAGTAGAGATGGGTTTTCACCATGTTGGCCAGGCTGGTCTCGAACTCCTGACCTCAAGTGATCCGCCTGCCTTGGCATCCCAAAGTGCTGGGATTATAGGCATGAGCCACCGCACCCAGCCCCAGTCTCAGCTATTTCTTCATAGCAATATGAGGATGGACTAATACACTGATCTTGTATCCTGTAAACTTGATGAATTTATTTACTAGTTCTAATAGTTTTTTAGTGGATGCCTTAGGATTTTCTATATATAAGAATATGTCTTTTCAGAATAGAAATAGTTTTACTTCTTTCAGTCCAGTCTGGTTGTCTTTTATTTCTTTTTATTGCCTAATAATTCTGGATATAACTCTCAGTACAGTGTTGAATAGAAGTGTCAAGAGTAGACATCCTTGTATTTTTCTTGATCTTAAGGGGAAAGCATTAAGTATAATGTTGGCTGTGGGTTTTTCACAGATGGCCTTTATCAGGTTGAGGAAGTTCCCTTTTATTCCTAGTTCTTTGAGTATTTTTATTAAGAAAAGGTAACTATTGTTTTGTGAAGAGCCAAGAAGAACAGCTGAATGAAACACCCTATAAAGCAACAATATGAGGCCTCTTCCATTTAGTTACTTCCTTATTTTCCATACCAGTTGTGAATCTTGAGAACAGAACCTCTGAATTGTAGGCAGTTGCCAATTTATAGCAAGCATGTTACTCTGCTGCCATTGGAAACTTACAATGAGACACATAGCTCCCTATTAACCTATGGGCTATAAATTTGTTCTTCTGAGAATACCCAGGGGAAAGAATAAAGGTAAGGGGATGTAGAGAGCAGATTACTCTTCTCAGTACATCCAGTCCCCTCTCTAAGCAACTGTGCTGGCAGCTTGCACACACACACACACACACACACACACACACACACACACACAATTTCACAACAGCAAATACATTTTCTTCCTTATCTGTGACTGGTCAGAACACTAAACTATTAATATCTCCAACTAGATTGTCCTTAACTTTGTACAAAGGTGAAAAGATACCCTCCTACCCTCTATTGACCTGCATGCAAATCATCTAATCAAGAAAATATCCTGTTAAAATGCTCCTGATTTCTGAATGTATGAGCAGCAAAGGGGCCCTGAATCAGAAATAATTATTTCAAGGAAGTACCTTTACAGTTCCAAGAAAGTTCCTGCTTCTTTATGAAAACAAATTCTCTCTAACTGAGATATTAATTTCCTCAAACAGGAGGTGCTTAGGAAGAAAGGACAGGGGATTGAGAATGGGAGATCCTTTGCTCCCAGTGGGGGTTAGTCAACTCTCCATACCATCCATGCATCCTCATAAGCATGACCTTTTGTAGTCACCTGACCCTAACAACACAAGAAAGGAATTTTAAAAGGAGGTTTAGAGAGAGCAACTGTGCCAAAGACAGCAGTGACGGAATATTCACTTAGAAAAAGATAACTCTCTGATTGTGATATTGCTGTTTGCATTATTCTAGGTATGCAGTGAAGACTCTGCTTCCTCTTGCACATCTAGTCTGATTGATTGTAGTGACTGTCTTGTGAGGCTGGGTCAGGGCTCAGGGAAACAAAGTGCAGTGATGAATTGGCAATGCCTGGCAAGACCAGAGGCAGAAGATATGTGGTCCTGCCTGACTGTTTCTCCAGGGTCATTAGTAATAAACTTCCCTATTTAGTAGAAGAAGAAAGTAACAAAGTGGGATTGAGAATTGACTTTGAATTTTAGCTGGAGTTCCACTGTTGCAGATATTCCTGGATAGAATGCAAGGAAAAATACATTTACTTTTCATGATCTGGGAAACTCATCGAGACAATTGCCTTAATTTTTTTTCCTTTGTGTTGTTATGAATACCACTGCTATTTCCTTCTGAACAGGTAGTAACATGGTTTTGTTAACTCAAAGAATACAGACTTTGAGTCTCTTTCACACATATCTAAAACCACCCCTGGGACAGCATGGTATGAAAGGAAAGCCAGTTTCTTATTTTCCTCTCTGACCATTCCATTTTGTCTTGGCTGCAAGCGATGCTGTTGTGAAGCTCAGGTTAGGAGAGAAACAAAACAACATCTCTAAGTGGTGTTAAGATGAGCCAGAGCTCTGGGAGGTACACCAGGGCATGAACAAGTGCCGTGTAAGCCCTCAGGAGCACTTCCAGCTGATGTGCCATGGAAGGAGGTCAGAATAGCTGATGGAAAACATAAAACTGCATAGTGATTGCCATGTAGCTCGTGCACGGAAGTTTTGATGGTGTGTGTGTTCTCCAAGACTGCCAGTCCAGGTTTCAAATCCTGGCTGTGCACCCGCAAAATTCGGAAGGTCCTGGACAATGTTTTATTCCATCTTTGAATTTCCTCACCTGTAAAAAAAAAAAAATAGGTGGGGGGCAGTAAGAATACCTAATTTACTGGATAAGTGGAGGAGTAAGTGAAATGATATATAGATAATGAACATACAATAGGGTGTGAGTGTGTGCATAAAATTTTGTATGTATTTCATGCAGGTAACATTTTGGACATCAGGGATTAGAGATCCTCTGAAGTAGATTCGATCTTCAATACTAGGTTTTCTAACTTAAATTGGAATTCAGTGTAAATAAGGGAAAATATTAAAATCAGGCTGAAGAAAAGCAACATAGACTAAAGGGAGTTTGTGGAACCAGGGAGAAAAAGCTAAGAGAAACAGAAAAATGTGATTTCTCCTCCAGCAACAAGGGCATCGGCGGGCATACTCCACACCTCTATGGTGCCTGGCAGAGGACACACTAGGTATGATGTCAATGCCTCCCCATCTAGAATGAAAATCTTCCATCACTGGAGGGTCCACTAGAAGACCAGGTGTGCCTGAGTCCCACAACATCAAATGTGTTCCTACTGACTCAAATGACAGTCACTTCATGTGTCCATTTGACATGTAACGTCTTGAGCCTTCTTCAGTATTTGTGAAATTGGCTTCAGTTGCAAAACTCAAAAGACAGAGGCTGGGGGCCTTATGTTCATGGTTCATAGTCTCAGGCTGCCCTAAAACCTCCCAAATTTTAGCTAGAAAGAACTCTTGATTTACAATTACGCCATGATGGATTACCTGAAAACTCAACCTTCAGGCAAACTGTGATTAACTTGACCAAAGACATCTGGGAGAGCCATCGATGGCCTGAAATTATGATCTTAGTATTCTAGCCTGAAACTAGACACCACTGGAATTACCCTTCTGCAAGACTTCAGCACAGGGGCCTTTGTTTGCTATCTCAACAGTTTTTTGTTTTTTCTTGGAACAGTACAGCAAAAAACACATCCGCAGGAACAGCCTACAAAGAATCAAAGATGACTGTCCAGCTTAGCAGAAGTTGCTTTTTAGAAAACAAACTTCATCTTGCTTAAATGCTGGGAGAAAAGCAATTAATGCCTTAATGATTAGCAACTGCCAAATAAGTAAGTTTGTCAGAGCCATGGACTAAGTATAAAATTTAGTGCTTGAAAAATCATATGCTCACAATTAGCTGGGCTTTGCTGCTGGATACTGTAAAATCACAACATGCTGTCAAGATTCATTTTCAGGGGCTGTTATCGGCAGTGAGTAAAGGTTGAAATGAAATGCAAAACAGATTTACAGGTGCTAACATGAGCAATTTATCAGCATGCAGCAGGCTCCCCTTTGTTCTCTGGACAGCCCTGGGGACTTTGGTGCCTTCTTTTGTGCTGGGGAGTTGATGATCCAGCAGTGGCCCCAGAAGTAGGACTTAGAAAGAAACTAAAGAAATTTAAAAAAAATCAGTAAACCCTCTCACCCAAAGGAGCCTTCCAAGAAACTATTTGGGCTTAAAAACTACAGTTGTAGAGACAAGCTACATATTTTCTTTCTGTCCATTTCCCTCCTAGCCAATACATTGCCCTCTAATCTGGGTCATTTGTTCTAAGGGAATTTGATTTTTTTTTTTTTTTGTCTCCACAAAGTCTAAAACCCTATGCCAATGAGGACAAGAAGCCTACAGAGCTTATGCCCATTTGCTCTAGAGGATAGGGCTTATTCATGGAAGAAAAATCAGCAAATTCATCCATTTACTTTAGTTTGGGAGTGCCTTAGGAACACAGCAAATGGGTGAAGTAAAAGTATCTAGGTGTATAAAATTAAGTCAACTTTCCAGAAGGGCCAGGGACAACGAAGCAACAAGAAGATAAAACCATTTGAAGATAACTGTTGTGGAGGCCTTTCACATTTTGAAAGACCAAACTCATCCTTTTAAAAGAAAATCAATGTAAATTAGGGGATTATATTTAACTCTGAATCATAAACACTGAAAATTTTACTAGAATTTAAACTTCTCCAATGAATTAGAAATATTTTCTTCCAATGAGAAACAAGTGGATGGGGTTAGCAGCAAATATATAAGAATAACACATCTTAGAGGATATTTTCACATGGCAGAGGAAGAATGGAACAAGTTGTGGGGTTCACCTTGGGGTGAAGGACCTCGGTCTGTCATGCCTGGCTCTTGCCATTGCCATTCCGGCTGTTGTCAGTGACTCTCCTTATCTCTGGACCTTTCTCCTACATTTCACCCCCTGGAAAGTCCATTCTTTCAATATTGGCTTCCTTTGTAATTTTCATCAGCCATTCATTCTCTGTTTAGTTGGTTTCCACTGATGAACAGGGGTGATGGTGGTGCGAAGGGAAAGAAAGTAAAAGAGGTGAGAGGCGAAGTAATGTGCAGAGCAGTCAAAACCAAGCCTTACAAGAGCCAAAAATAGAGCCCTTGAAATCATAAATATCATGGAGATCACTTCAGATAGTATGTCTCCTTCCTAGTCTTCAGGCGCACCCTGAAGCTTCCATTCTAGCAGGTCAAGGTCCTGCTTTTGACCTTGCCTTAGGTCAAAAGCAGGTTTCATGAAGGGATAATGGAGAGGAAAAACATCCATACTTAAAATAAAGATTTGCTTTCCTGTGGAATTGTGAAAGCTTTTGTATAAACAACTCAATTTAGGACTTTTACTTTGGACCCTTGGAGGTCTTAATAGTTTACACGGAATGCCCCTAAAGAAAAACCACTGTTGACATTAAAAATCTGCTGTGGTTCACCTTATACTTGCATCACAGAGAGGCCATGTCCTGATGAACTTCAAGTTCAGTCAAAACTTTAAGAGGTATTTCCCTAAATAGATTTGCTATCTTCCTAGGCATTAAGGAATAATCATATTTTCATTAGACATTTTTCTCAAGTCAATGAGATATTTCTTCCTGTTTCATGGGTCTAAGGGAAGATGAGTATTTTTCACTTGGAGGCCAGCAGAGAAAAGGTGAAAGGGGAAAAGCAAGAGAAGCAGGAAGGTGCCCTTGCTTGCAGCCACAGGCAGTCATGCTGCAACACTCTCTTGCTCTCCCTTCCTCGAATTCCTCCTGAATGGGTCAGGAAACAATGAGAGACATGGGAAATTAATATATTTCATTTGCAGGGAGCAAAGGTGGCTCTGGACTTGCATTCCTGCTCATGATGCTCACAGATAAAGGGGTGCTCTTTCAAGGATAAGGGGAGTACCTGGAATGGAGTTGTAATGAGGACATGGGAAAGCTGGGGAGCTTTTTACAGATTACCTCTTTATTTGTTCCTGTTTCATGATAAAATATGTTACGATCTTAGATCATTGGCATAGTTGGAACTACCATTAATAGGTATGAAATATTCTTAGAAAGTTAATGATCCATTACATTTGGAAACGGTAAAGTCCAGCAGATATTATTGAATCAAGGCTAACATTGATGGAGTCCAGGAGCCCATCTGCTTTTGACTCTACTTTGAGCCTTAACTCTACCTTGCAGAGTTCTCCATGTAGCAGAGCTCAATAAATGTTTGTTGTTGAATTAAGTGACTAGAATTGAATACAGGATGAAGGCCACATTGTAAAGTTGTGGGAAACAATGGATTTCTTTTCAGAAAATAATGTTGGCTAGCCATTTGAAGAAAATACTAATTTTCATATGATTTAAAAAAGAATTTTCAGATGAATGAAAAGGCCAAATGTAAAGTCCAAATTTGTAAATGTAGAAGAAAATAAAGGAGACTCTCTTTACAAGCTTGATATGGGGACAGTCTTCCTAAAGAAGATAGAATACCCAGAACCCATAATGGAAAAGAAAATCAGATATAATGACCTTAAGGAAATTTTTTTGAGGAATGAAATACACTATAAACAGCATTAAAACACACACACGCACACACACACACATGCACACACACACACAAAACACAAAACAGTCTGGGAAAAAGTATTTGCAAAATATATAACTGTTAAAGGAAAGACAACAGACAAACCACACAATAGAACAAGGGTCAAAGGATATGAGTAGTTAAGCCACAGAAGAAAATTCAGATAATCAACAAACACTTGAAAAGACACGCAACCTCACCAACAATCAAGAAAACACAGACAAAAAGAAAGACAAGATAGTATTTCTGCTGCCCACTTGACTGAAAAAAATGAAAACCATTGTGAATCTAGTGTTGGCATCCTGAAGACTCCCTTGCAGCATGCTGCTAGGACTGTACATTGGTAAATTTGTGTAGGTAAATACTGAAATGTAAAACATGTGAATTACTTCACATCTATAGACAAACACCTGATGCATTTACTGCAGTAGAGTTAGCAAGACACAGGGGGACTAAAAGATCCAGAACTAGATTATTTGTGTAGAGGGTGAGCAAAAGTCAGGAAGTAGTGTAGGGTAAATTGGGTACTGTAGTGTAGGCAATGAATGGGTTAAAGAAAGGGCCATGGGAAAGGGGAAGGGAGGGAGAGTTAGAGGGAGGAGCCTTCCAAGGACCAAGGGAGAGTCTTCATGGTACTGCTCCCATGGCCCAAACCATTGGCCAAGAAGTTGTTCCTGGGCTGCAATCCACTCACACGCGTTTTGTTTATTGGGCTTACATTTTCTTGTAGCAGCCATCACCTGCAACTCTTTGTTTTGCCACAGTCAGCACCACTTACTCCCCATTGTTTCCATCTGGCCAGGGTGATTCATTTATGTTTTTGAGCTGGCCTGTGTCAAAAATTTCACGTATTTTTGTCCCATGCCCTCTGGATTAAGCCTGCATTGTTTGTTGTGCAAGAAAATAAGATAGTGAGACCTGGAGTGCAACCTGATCTCATTCCTTATCCTCTATCCCTCTCCTGGACTTGTACATGTTTGGGAAAGTACCTGGATTCCCATGGAGTCCAAAGGGTAAAACATATCCAGACAGATAAGAAGTAACCCATCCCCATGCCATCCACAGGTCATCACTAAGACTCTGGGGGTAACGATGAGGGCCCAGAAACATCTGCCCTCAGGTGCCAACCTAGATGGCAGGCCCCAGAGTGGAGCTTGAGAGATTCCCTATGGCATGGGAAAGGCTCAAACTCCCTGTAGGTTGCAGATAAATGACAGGGACTATCAAACTTTATGTTTAGACATCATTTTTATTGTTTCTTGATTCTGTGATGTTTACAGAACACAGGACATGTACTTGTCTTTCAGAAGTTTACCCCTGAGTCCCAGAAACAAAGGCATACAAACTCAGTTGATAGAAACTTCACTTTTCCCTTTACCCTTGGACTATCTCATTTTTGTCCCCTCCCCTTCTTTCACACCCCATCTTGAATCCCTCAGCAAACTGTTAGTGCCACCTTCAGAATAGATCCAGGGTCTGACCACTTCTCACCACTTTCCCTGCTACTGCTTTGGTCTAAGTAAATCCTCTTCCTACCTGGTCTCCCTGCTTCCACCCTTGCCTGGCCTCAATCTAGTCTCAACATGGCAGCTAGAGTGACCTTCAAAAGTCAGAGGCCAACAGTTCTTCATTTAAAATCCTGCAATGGCTCCCCCTTCAGCCAGACTAAGTCAAGATCTTCATAATGGTCCAGGAGACCCCATGTAATCTGTACCCCTCCACCCCATGACCTCTCTGACCTCACTCTCACTGGGCCCCCATCCCTCTCACAGCTGCACTGCTGTTCCCCCACCCCTCCCCTCCCACTTGTTCTCTCTCTCTTCAGGACTCCTGCACCATTCATTCTGCCTGCCCAGGCCACTCCCTTTGCTTGGCTAACCTACTTTTCTTTTGCAAGCCTTTGAAAGTCACCTTCTCAGTGAGACTGACACAGAACCATCCCCAACTAAAATTGCAGTCTGCTCTCTCCATATCTCCCTACCATGTTGTGTGTTTTCCAAAGGGCTTAAAATACCATGTATTTTACTTATTTATTATGTTTATTCTCCACCTACTAGAATTTTAGCTCCTCAAGAACAGAGATTTTTTTAACCTGTTTTGTTCCCTGGTATATATAATCCAGAGGGCTGTGAATGAATGAATGAATGAATTTATGAACGAAATGGTCATTAACTGATATGGATGGCTGTGTCCCCACCAAAATCTCATTTTGTATTGTAGTTCCCATAATCCCCACATGTGGTGGGAGGGACTCGGTGGGAGGTAATTTAATCATAAGGGGATTACCCTCATGCTCTTCTCATGATAGTAAGTGAGTTCTTATGAGATCTGATGGTTTTATAAGGGGCTTTTCCCCATTTTGCTCAGCACTTCTCCTTGCTGCTGCCATGCGAAGAAGGACGTGCTTCCCTTTCTGCCATAATTGTAAGTTTCCTGAGGCTTCCCCAGCCATGCAGAACTTGAGTCAACTAAACCTCTTTCCTTTCTAAATTACCCAGTCTCTGGTATGTCTTTATTAGCAGTGTGAGAACGGACTAATATATTAATAAAAACTTCATTTGTTAAATATCTAGCAAGAAGCACAGATTAGTGCTAAAAATGTAATGAAATGGAGATGTCAGGTTTTCATAAATAAAGATGTATCACCAAAGTGCAAAAGACCTTAATTTGAGGAATGGTTTATCCTTCCAGGTTGAATTCATACAATTTAAGGACAATAGTGTGCAATTTAAAGATAGTGTGGTTCAAAAATAAAGACAACTCCCAACTTTTACCCTCTCCTGAACTTTGGTATTTGTTTATCCAAGTACTGGATTGACTCATTAGAACTAGGTATTTGGAATTATATTTCAGGAATTCATAACTGCTTTTAATTACTGTAGCAAATATCTAAGCACAAGAAAATAAACTACAAAAAGATTAACAGGTATTAAGTACTATTTGACAGTGGATTCAAATGCTGTCAGATCTAAAAACTCAAGTCATGCATTTTCCAGCTGTTTTAAGTCTCAGAGCAGAGCTGAATGTCCTGAAAACTTATGTTTCTACAGAGAAGATTATTAGCACCAACTGGGAATTGTCAGGTTGGCTCCAAAGTGGCTAATCTCAGAGATGCTGCTCCAGGAAAAAACTTTTTTCTCATAATTACAGGAGATTGCAACCACGGAAAAATAAAAGGCAGGAGAAATGGAGAAGTAGATACTCTGGAAATGTAATCTTGGTTAAAGAGAGAGAAACCACCTGACACAGAGAAAACAAAAAGCTATGTTTCCTCAGCCATGCACACAATTTAGTCCTGCTATTCTATTCTGTGAATATCTGAAAGGGAGATAGTCGTAGCTCACATTTTTAACCTAAATAGAATTACCTTTTGTGACTGTTGGCAACCTAGATTTGCTTAGAGTTTCTAGATATGAGTGTGAACTTATTTAAAAGTATTTTATTGTATTCAGGTTTTTGGTGCCTATTTTAACATTTTTTTCTTGTTTAAAAAATGCTCATTTTAGAGAATTCACACTGAAAAGCACAAAGAAAAAAACTAAAATCACCTCTAACATCACCATATCATTAACATTCTGACATTATTTCTTTTCAGTCTTTTTCCTCTGCTTGTATGATGACTCCAGACCTCCATCTAAATTTTCAACAGGTTGTCTTTCATGTCTACCCAGTGACCTCTAAACATTTTTGATATGACTGAGGGGTCAACCCCCTTTCTTATCATCACTTTGTGGAGAAAATACCAGGACTTTTAACCATTGGCTAGAATGCTCCATTCTGGGTACTGTTACCTTTACTGCTGACAAACTCAGGAAGTCTGCAGCAAGGCCAGTTCAACGCAGGACCCTGGAGGGAGGTTCTTCAGTAGAACAAGAGTCTGGAGGTCTAAAACATTCATCACTACATGAAACACAAGTCTCACTGCCAGGTCACTGGTAGAAGTTTCTCTGGAAGAGGAGGCTTAAAGGCAAAAGGAAGGTCCTCCTTGCATTGCTGCTCAGGCCATGCAACTACAGCCTGGATCGCTCCTTGTATTTGCCCACTCAGCAGATACACCGGGTTTGTGTCAAGGCCCTTCTGCTGGGGTGGTCAAGTCAGGAGGAGGTTAACGTTAGCTGTACATTGTGCCTCAATCCAGCCTCTCCCTGGAACAACTTCAACCCTGGTTTTGGGCTCAATACCAACTATCAACCAATCTAAATGCAACTTTGTCATCACCAAGCAGAATGTTAGTGGAGCTCTATAATGGGAATATTGGAGAGGTTGCCTCATCACCTCCCTAAGAACTTGACCATGCAGTGGGTTAATGGGGGTGGGCATGTGCTTTATTTATTCATTTCATAAATACCACTGACTCCTATTTTTTTAATCACACTGTGGTGTCAACCAATCTCTTCTGTCCTTCTTCTCTGAAATGATTCAAAGCACGTTGCTGCAAGTGAGTTATTGTAAATTGTCTCTTATTTATTAAAACAGGATTGAATACAATTCTGTAATTACACAGCAGTTTTGTTTTTTTTTTTTTTGAAGGGAGACATGACTTTATTAGAAAAATAAAAAACAACTGAGGCGAGGGGTTGGTCTTCAGCGGATGCCTTGGTGGATGAAGCTGCTTTTGGCTGCACTGGCCTTCTCCCGCTCCCGCCGCCACACAGGGTCCAACTCAAAACAGTGCCATAGCCTCGGGGTCTCATCTGCTGCTGCAGATGCCACTGTGGCCCCATCTGGGCTCATGGTCAGAGTCAGGACCCGGGATGTGTGACCTTTGAGTTCAGCCACCTTGGCCATGGTTGGGTACTTCCAAATAACCAGCTGGTTCTGTGCAAAGCCATGGCCTGAGATGAGCTCCTTGTAGTGGGGAGACCAGAGGGTGGAGCACACCTGGGAAAGGGCATCCACGGCACTCAGACAGGCCCCAGAGCACACGTTCCAGATGCAAATGTGTCGATCACTGGTGCCCCCTCCTGTTGCCGGGACATTGGACTTCCAGGGACACCATGCTACGGCCTTGACAGCCCCTTGAAGGGTGAATGTCTGCAGAGGAACCCAGCCACCCTCTCCAAGAGCACTAGGCCACACTTTGACCAAGTTATCATTGCCACCACTGGCCAAATGTCGTCCATCTGGGACCCAGCGCAGCCCACACACTTCCTGGCTGTGGCCACTCAGTGTGGCCACGTGGTGTTCTGCTACCCGAACATCATGGTGGTGGATGTGGCCAGAATGTGAACCACTGGATAGGATATAGCTGTTCCAGCTTAGGGAGCCCACTCGGGCAGAGTGAATGGTCATATTTCGAAGCCGTTTCTGCTGCTGCACATCCCAAAGCTGCACCTCAGCACTGCTGATGCCCACAGCCAAGTAGTTGCCCTCTTTGATCCAGGCCGCAGAGGATACATATTTCCCAGTCTGCTCCATTTGCAAAAGCTGCAGGATGTCACCAGAGCTTGCGCTCCACAGGTACACACTGTTGTCCAGCGCCACGGCCAATACATTCCCAGAGCTCCAGTCCACAAGATTCAGGTAGTAGTCATTTCGGATTTCAGGGGCATCCAGGTTATGGTCTGGCAGGGAAGGAATGTAATGGTAGGTCTTCCGGCTGGAGCCAGGAGTGGCCTTTTGGCTGTAGAGTACTTTCAGTCTGTTCTGGTAACCCTCTGGCGCATTTTGTGGTTTTCCACTGAGCCGAAGGATCTTGGCTTCCTCTACATCAAAACCGTTCAGGTTCAAAGTCCAGGCTTTCTGATGTTCCTTCTTGGTGGGCGTCTGGCTGTTTTCAGGCTGGTTCTCCTTGCTCAGGAGGAAGCTGGCAACCTCCATCTGGGCAGCACTGCGATGGGGGATATAGCGGTCACCGCCAGGTTTGCTAGGAGTGGTCTGAACCTTGGAACTGGATTTGCCAGGAGTTCGGCCCGGAGTCCTGCTGGCGCTGTGGGATCGGTTGGCGGCCCGCATGGGTGAGGGGGCCGGGCCTGTGGCTTTCTTGGCTTTGCGCTGCCAGCGAGCAGGGGGTGCATTGGGGATGGGTGCATCCAGTTGAAGCAGCGAGTGCAGGTCACTCTCGAACGCGAATTGTGCCAGGGGAGCGCCCGCAGGGGGAGGGGGCCTTGCAGTTGGTGACTACGGAGCCCGTGCCCTCCGGAGCAAGTTGCAGTTCCGACCCTAGACAGCAGTTTTTAAAAGCATCAAAACAAAAAACAAAAAACAAAAAAACCAGGCAATGAGTGAATATCATTGTCAGCGCCATTGCTTCATTATCAAATGGTTTTCAGCCACAGCTTATTCATGATGGTGTAGACACTGTTTTGAACATAAATAAATTATATTTGGGTACCACGGTATAAAAATCTTGAAAATGTTTTGAAATATACGCAAAAATATAAAACAAAGGATGATATTATGATAGACACATACATGTGTATATTCACATATACATGTATATATATGTTCATTCATGTACATTTCTATGTGTGTATATAAATATGAGTACATTTTTGTATATATACATAAATGTATGAGCACCAATATTTCTCTCTCTCAGGGAACATTCCTATATACCTATTTTTTAAAAATCCTGGTTAAAGAATATATTTTCTACCTTGCAATATGTTACAATTGAAAGTGGGCATTGTTAACAAAATAGAAGAGAATAATTCTACAGAGAACATCTAAACCATTCACACAAACAGCAACTAATACCCATGAATGAACAAACAAAATATGTACACTATTTGTGTATGATGGTTGATTTCATACTTAGAGGCCCTGTATAAGAAAAAGGACAGGAAGAAAAAGGCTTTTCATATTCAGGAACATCCTGATACTTCAAGAAATATGTGAAGGAAAGAGAGGAAGGGGTGGGCCAAACATCACTGGGATGAAATTTCTGGCATGAAAGAGTGCGGGTGACGACCTGATGTTGTGAGTGAAAAAACACATGAAAGTATAATGCAAACACCAGATGGCTTGAGAGAGAGAGAGATTTCATAGGTCCTAGGAAGAGATGGGACATTTGCAGGATACTGACAGCCCGTCATCTTTCTAGAGTATTGAGAAAAATTCAAGTTTTAACCTATATTTGTTCTTTATAGAGTCCCTTTATGTAATTCTGCTTTAAAACAATTCTTTCAGAAGGAATAAATGCAATTTATTTGCTATCCAATAGAGCTACAGGGATTTCCATCAGTGACTTCTTCCTTTGAGAATAATTATCTCGGGAGTTAAACAGTACAGACATTATGGCATGTGAAGATGCCTCAATGGCTTTGCAGGAAAAACAAGTTTGCACAACAGCAACAGACAGCATCAGAAGTGGCCCTCTGAAAGAGGAACAGGATTGGGAATTCCAAATCAAATTTTTCTGCTCCTAAACCTTATAAACCTTTCTTCTCTGTGCTATTTGCTCCCCATCTTCAGTCCCCAGTGAAGATGTCCATCCTTTTACCCTAAGATATTCTTGAAATTTATTTTTGGAAGCAGTCTTCCTTCTCTCTGGCTCTAATCCTTTCTCTTTCTTCCCTATTAGAGTCCAACCAGGATGGCGACTTGACTGGATTTTACAGTTTCATTGACACGCATGAGCTCTATCAAACTTCTGGGAGTTTTTCTGAAATGTTTACATGGAAGGCACCTGGAGCCCATTGAATTTCCCTCTTCAAATGCTTAAGTTTTCTTCTGTCTTGGTGGCTACTGCCTCCTTCTCACTTTCTGCCTTAGGTCAAGATAAATGAGTTTTTCCCCAAGAAAGCCATATGGATCTCTGAGGTTTTGAACTCTAACCAATGCTATCTCGTTGATTGCCTTTGGATTTCAGGGTCTTATTTTACGTCAACCTCAGCCTCTCTCTTCTGCAGTTCCATATCCACATGAGCTACAAGAGTCCCATGTAGGTCCCTTCCTCTGCTAATAGCTGCCTCATTGTACTGCTTCTGTATTCACTTCAGAGATAGAGGATCAAATGGTAGAAACTTTTGGCAAACTTTTGACCAGAGAATGGCTTACATGGGAATTAATTATGCACTTGTTCGTTTTACTCTATAGAACAATCCCATCTGTATTGGATCTGTATGTTCCATCTCCCATGTGAAAGAAGCACCCTACAAAGATAACTTCAGTCTGGGCACAGTGGCTCACACCTGTAATCCCAGAACTTTGGGAGCCTGAGTGGGGAGGATCTTTTGAGCCCAGGAGTTCGAGACTAGTCTGGGCAACAAAGAGAGACCCTGTTTCTAAAACAAAAATAAAAACAAAGATATCTTCCGAGCCTGTTCAGTCTTTGGTCCTGGTTTAGATATAGGTATATAGAGAGAGCTATTTGAGTAATCAATTCCCAATATGGTATGATTTGAGCATTTGGAGAGGTCTTCTTTACATATCATAGTACTTAGATTATTACCAATAAATATTTTTCTTTTGGGGTTAACATTACAGTAATAATATATTTTGAATCTAAAATTTGGATGGAGACACAGGACACAGAATATATAATGCTCAAAAAATGTAATGCTCAATGAATGTCTCTATCATATTCTTTTTTGTTGTTGTTGTTGTTATATAGATGAGGCCTTCCTATATTGTCCAGGCTGGTCTCAAACACCCAGCTTTGCCTCCTTATGTGCCAGGAAAACAGGCCTGAGCCACCAAGACTCTCAATATATTATTAAAATATAAACAAATTACTTGAAGTGGTACCCCTCAAAATAATGTCATTTTCACTTTAATGTAAATTAGTCTTACTATAAAATCACTTTCCTGCTTTCAACAAGTTGCAATGTAAGACGGGACATTTTCTGAAATGGAGAGAAGATAAACATGAAGTAAGAAGCTTTGTCCCCAGCAGGCTTTTCCTGGCAGAAAATATGGACATCTGGGTGGTGTCATAGTCAGGAGGCCAGGAGGAAGGATTTGCCAAAATGGGTAAACTGGGCAGTGCATGAAAACTGGTGCCTTTGCTCCTATGGGCCATCATCCTGTTGATAGTGAGGTACCAAGAGAAGTGCTGATGGTAAAGCCCTGTGTCCTCCCCATCCATGATCTTGGCCGAAAGCATTAACCTCCGAAGAGTCTCGGTGCTTTTAGAGACTTCCTGGTCTGAAGTGACTGCCTGTTGTGGACAAAAGCTGAAAACAAACAACATAAAAACAAACTAAAAAGGTCAGTTACTCAAGGATCTAGACAACTAGCCAACACCTCCACAAACAAATGGGAGCTTAATAGACTTTGCAAAATTACTTTTTATCCAGTTGTTTTTTTTTGCTTATTTAATAAAGTTGAAAATACAATGCAGTTCTGCGAGGCATTTTTTTTTTCTTTCATTGTGTCATTTACTGCTTTGCTTAAGGGGGAAAAGTCTTTTATACTCTTGCCAAAAAAGAAGCAGGGGAGGACTAAGAAGGAATGTTTTATTTGGGATTCCTGTCTGTATCCGTCAAAATGAAAGAATTGGCAAGATGATATTGAAATAATGGTGGATAGTCTTGCTGGCCTCATTTTGGACACTTTCTTGAAAAGGCTGCTTATTAGATTATGCAAAGCTCTTAAAAATTCAAAGAACTCTTACTTTGACAAAACATTTTTCCATCATCTGGTTAGAATTTCTGGGCCAGTTAGCTCAGATCTACTATTTCCTCCCCATGTGTTGTTCTGCAAACCATGAGGAGAGAGGGTCATTATTTCGCAGGAGTCAGGAATGAGATGCAATTATGGGGCCTGTGGACAGGAGAGATGGTATCTTCTCCCAAGCTCACTAGCATAGAAGGCCACTTGTCTACATTCAGGAGCTGCTGACTGAATTTGGCCTGGTATATCCTACAAATGCCTTATCAGCCAACTCTCCTCTTCTGTTTATTTAGAAAGAAGCCATTGTGTGATGTGGTTATTCTTATGAGGCCTGCAGAACAAGTGCTGCCTTTGACATGCTGAGTGTGCAGTGTACACATATGCCCTCGTCTATGAGTTCACATGCACACAAACACACGCACAGCCCCAAATGCCCTCCTGCCTGGTATGAAAGGGAAAGCCTCAGATGGGGGCCTGCATCTCTGTAATTCAAGCAGATGGATTTGGAGCTGGCCAGAGGGTTTGCTCTCCTCAGTCTCTTCCTTAATATCTTGGGGGTCAGTTTAAATTGAGAAATCCAGTGTATAGGAACGCTGGAATAGCTGCAATTTGGGGTAATTTGCCTGGGTTTCCATTTGTGCTTTCTTTGGCTTAATCTGCTTAATTGAGACCTGAACTCCGGCTGGCTGCCAGTATTCACAAAGCATGTGGGCACCAGACTGATTGACCTCTATTTCTGTCAACCGAAAATGCCATCTCTCCCACTCCTTTAGCCTCTCACCCCAGGAAAAGTCGTGTACTGAACCTACTTGCCTGAAAATGAATTAAAATTTTCAGTAAATAAAGAGAGAAAGTAGATGTACCCATTTTCACACTTATCCCTCATTCTCCAAAGATGGAAACATGTTAACAAAAGAAATGTGTCATCTAAAAGGGAAATCAATACTGGGCCAAAATTCATTCTCATTTACCAGAAGAGAGTTCACTTAGAAAGAAATATTCAGACACGTATTGACACGTCTGCTAGCAGCTCCCATCCTCAAGCAGCCTTGGGAATTCCAGACAAAGTTTCCTGGACCTTATTTAACTCGAGAAAGGGAGAGGGATGCATGTACAGTGTACTCTCATACAAGACAGCATGAAAAGACATAGATCTATTTTAGACGTAAAAGCAATCTGTACAGAGAGGGGATTCATTTTGTTCTGGGAGTTGGGGAAGGAAGGTTCATGGAGGAGTCCCCTTCTAAACTGAAACTCTCTTCTGTCAGGAACATACTGCGCACAGACATGGAATAGCTAAATGGGAGCACTACTTTCACTTTCCAGGTGTGAACTGAAAAATACCACACACACACACACACACACACACACACATATGTGTATAAATATATATGTATGTGGTATGTGTGTACATGTATATACGTATTTCTATGTGTGTGTACATATGTAAATGTACATATATAAGGAGTGAGAAATTGTTGGGTTTTTTTAATACTGTCTTTAAAATGGTATCTCTTTTAAATTGTTGAAGCATTATGATAAATTTAGGAGATGTTAAACAATACTTAATTTATGGAGATATAGGCATATATGCCATTATTGGTCAGCTTTATATCTACTTACTGAGAGAATAGACATAATTTTCCACCATGCTTATAGCTATATGTGATAAGAAAAATTGTTGTCTTTCTATTAATTTCAGTATTTTTTCTTTCAGCAACACTACTACAGAGGTGCTCTACCTTACCTTCAAATAATATGGCTGGAAACACTGGTGGGATTTCTGGCAGACAGTAGCTATATCTGAGGTTCATATGTGGCAGGTGCACAACCAGCCCAGTTGCAGCCTGCGGTGGTAGAGCATGACTTCCCTCGTTCGAATCCTGGCTCTACCTTGTTCACACTGCCTGATCCTGTAGTTACTTTAAGCTTTAATTTTCTTCTCTATAAAATAAAGATCATGACTAGGCCTACCTCTTGGGATTGTTACAAGTCTTTAGTGGGATGATAAGGTCAGCCCAACATATCTGTGGGTTCTGAATCCAAGAATTAAACTATCTGGGGATGGAAAATATTTGGAAAAAAATAACAGTACAAGAGGAAATAATATAAATAAAATACCAATATAGTATAACGATTAATTATATTGCATTTACATTGTATTAGGTATTATAAGTAACCTAGAAATTATTTAAAACATACAGGAGGATATGCATAGGTTATACCCAAATTTATTCACTTTATATCAGGGACTGGAGCTTCAGCAGATTTTGGTATCTTGGGGGTGTGTGGAGGGTGGGGGAGTGAGGAAGTGGTCCTGGAACCAATCCCCCATGGATACTGAAGGATAACAGTATATACTAAACATATTGTACAATCCTTGGTACAGAGAAAGCATTCTAAAAATGTTATCTATCATCATATACAGAGTGTAATAAATACTTGGACACACAGTACACAACTTAGACAACATAATTATGATTTCCTTAGAATTGTTTTATTTTACTTTTCTAACCTGAAAGTACAATTAAATTACTAGAATATCATAGAGAAAGCAATTGACCAACACTTTCTTTTATATGTATAGTATTGACTTTATTTCCAGTTCTGCTGTGATTCAAGTCCTGCTAAATCAAGGGCAGGGAGATTGGTAAAGGCTGGGCAAAGGGATCTTTCTCAATTGCTGCAGTTCATCAAGACAGATTCGATATCAATGAGAACAGTATTTTGAGAGTCTTATTATCCATAGTGCTTCTATCTAATGAATCACAGGAGACAGGTCTCCATAACTTAACAGAGCATTCAGGTAAATTCAGTGAAAACAAGTCATTATTGGATGTTTTGACTTGTAAAGCTCCTCCACCAACTCCTGAATTCCTTGAAGTTATATTCATCACAGTACCTCCCACAGCTCATGGCAGCACGTTGGGCTCTACCTAGGACTTTTGCCATGAAGAAGGAATGAAACAAATGCAGCAGCTCCCTATAGTTGGGTGCAGGTCACATGATGTATGACTTGGTCAGCTTGAGCCAATGACACAGAGTTATGTGGCCTTTGCCTGCTCACGAACCTTCAATAGCTCTCTCTGACCAAGAAATCAAGCCCAAAATCTTTAATCTGTGTAGAAAAAGATGATATTTGCAGTCTTTCTGCAAGGCAGTAGGTTAGGCTCTGAGAATACAAACATGAGCGACTCAATCTTTGTGTTAGGGAGCAGTGCTAGTGCCAGAGGGCCTAGGAATGTTACCTATTAGAGATTGATGGGAAAGAACCCAGATCATCTGGGTTTTTCATCTGAGAAAAAAAAAATCATAAATGCTCACAACGGTGTGATATGGACTATTGTCTTAAGTATTTCTAAGGAAACGCGAATATTCAGTTAACAAAGTTTCCATCCAACATGAAGGTAGAGAGTGGAAAGATAGACAACAGGGACTGGAAAGAGTGAGTGGGGGCAGGGATAAGATGAAGAGAAGTGGATTAAAAGGTACAAACATAGAATAAGACAGAAGAAATAAATTCAATGTTTGATAGCAGAATAGGGTGACTATACTTAACAAAAATGTATTGTACTTGGGTGGTAGACATCCTAAACACCCTGACTTGATCACTATGCCTTATATACATGTAACAAAACTTTTCATGTACCCCTAACAAATTAACAAACAAAACAAAACAACCCAAAGGTTCCAACTAGTTTTATAATTTCAAGATATTTCCACTCACATTGTGAAGACTTTCTTGATCACCCTGCCTTCTCATAGTCTAGTTCTTTATCTTTCAAATTTCTAGAACAATGGTCATCTGTGTGCCTTTACTGGCATAGGACACAGTAAGGTGTAGGGTTCATTATGTTTTCTGTATAAATGCACCAGCTCCCAATCTTGATTCTAAGCTTGGTCAAGCCCTAGATTCTTCTCCTGTGATGAAACATGACTCAATCCCAACATAAACATCTATGAACACCTTGCCACCTCACAGTCCCTTGTCAAGTGAGTACTTCATTCTTAGTAGGCCTTTTGGGACTTAAATTAGTCAATATGTGAAGTTTCCATGTTTCTTGGTTTCTGCAGTGGTGATAATGTTTGGTTAGCAATATCCCAGTGTACTTTATTGCTCTGCAAGAAATTCCCTCAGGCCTGTAGAAGAACATCCTTATGCTGTATGTCAGACAAGAGTTATTTTAGTTACCTGAACTGAGATACCACTGTCTGCTGAGTAAACATTCTGTTCAGGGGTTAATGTGTTCTCTCTGAACCATTGCTCCAGGAATTTGGAAGATGGATAACTAGACTATCAGAAGGTAGGGTGATCAAGAAAGTCTTTGTGATGTGGGTGGCAATATTTTGAAATCATAGAATTAAATTGAGCCTTTGGATTTGGGGAGGGTTTTGGGGGTGTTTTATTTGTGCAAATGTATGGGGTACATGAAATTTTTGCTACATTTATATACTGGGTGGGGTCTCTCCAGTTTATGTTTTATGTTGTATGTGAAGCTACTGTGACAAGTAGAAAGAAGGAAATAATGAATTTGAGTAAAAATTAATAACAAAGAAAACGAATGTACAAATAACACATTTACGAATAAACAAGTATGCCATAAAGAGACTTGAGAATACCAAATGTAAGTTATTGAAAAAGGAAAGTAAAATTGACAAACCTGAGGTATGACAGAACAAAAATAATGGTCTAAAAAATAGATTGAACCTTCAGTCTTTGCAAAAATGGAAGATCGGGAACAAGATCTCAGGATCAACCTGAAGCAAACAAAACAGAAAAAAATATGTGAAATAATGGTTTTCAATACACTGGACATCAGCAATGAAACACAGTGATCTATGAGAGAAAAGAAAATAAATCAGGTAAGGCAGGGTTGTTTCACAGTTCTGCCTTACAAGAGATTCCAGGCCATGACCTGGGGTTGGAGATCACAGTAGAGTCACCAAGTTGAGGAGTCAAAGCTAAAAATCTGAATAGATGAAAGTGGCTGGAGTTTACTGGGAAGCATACTAGAGAGGGCATCTGCACACAGAGATCTGTAGAGATTTTCCTTTATTTATTCAACAGAGCAGTAATCAGAGCATGTTTGTGAAGAAACTGCCCAAAGTTGGGGAAAGAACTTCCCTAAAGACTTGGAAGGAGCAGTGTCTGGAACTCACATAAGGCAGGTAATGGTGCCTGTACTCACCATTAAACTACAAAAAAATGTAATTCACCTAGCATTGGGTAGAGTATTTAGAAGGGATTTAGCTCAGTAGTTTGAATAATTAGCACTAGACTGAACACTGTTCTGGTCCTTTTTAACAAATCTTAAAATCCAGACCTAAAAGGATCAAACTGTCTGCAAATAACACAATTGTATTCCAGAAAAAAAGCTCAAGATATTCAAAAGAAAGCAAAAAGTATCCAGAGCTCAACAAGGTAAAATCCACAATGTCTAGCATCCAATAAAAAATTATCAGGCATTTAAAGAAGCAGGAAAATATGAACCATAGTGAGAAGGAAAAAAATCAAACAATCAAAATATTAAACATTGCAAAAGGAAAGACTGGTGAGTTAAAGACATCGCAAGATAAACTATCTAAAGTAAAACGCAGAAGAAAAAATGACTCAAAACAAGAGAAAATAACAAAAACAACAGAGCATCATTGATGTGTGGAACAACATCAAATGACCTAATATACCCGTAATTGAAATTTCCAAAGAGGGGAAAGATGAGACAATGACTTTTTAAAGAAATAATGGCTAAACCTTTTTCAAGTAGATAAAAAGCTATAAATTCACAGATTGAAGAATCTCAATGAACTTCAAGCCGAAGGAACATGAAGAAAACCACACCAAATTATAATGTAGTAAAATTACTCAAAGTCTGTAAAAAGAGAAAATCTTAAAGATTTTTCTTCCTCTGGAAATAATGCCAGCAAGAAGACAATGGAGTAGCATTCTTAAAATACTGAAAGAAAAAAAAGTCAACATAGAATTTCATACCTAACAAAAAATATTTTCAAAAATAAAAAAAGTTTTTTAAGTATACCAAAGCTGAAAAAATTCATCACCAGCACCTTCGGGCAGAAGGAAAACGATAGCAGGTGGAAATATGGATCTACACAAAGAAATGAACAACACTAGAAATTATAACTACGTGGTTAGCATATATTTTTATTATTTATTATTAAGTCTAAATAAATATTGTTTAAACAAAAATATTACAAAATCATGTAGAGTTTATAACATGTAGAAGCAAAATAGATGACAAGAATCGCACAATTACTGGAGGAAAATGAAAGTATACTACAATAAAGTTTTTATACTATGTGTTAAATAATATAATATGACTAGAACATAGAATGTGATAAGTTGAAGATGTTTACTATAAACCCTAAAGCAACCACTAAATTAGCAAAATAAAGTTATAGCTAATAAGCAAACAAAGAAGATGAAATAGAATTTTAAAATACTTGATATAAAAAAAGGCAAAAAAAGAGTTTTTTTGAAACAAAGAACAAATGGGACAATTAGATATTCAATACCAAAGTGGTAGATTTGAACTTAATACATATTAATAATCACAGTAAATGTAAATGATCTAAATACATTAATTAAAAAGCAAAGATCATCAGATTGGATAAAAAAGATCCAAATATATGCTGCATACAAGATATAGTAACATAATATAATATAAATCATATATGTAATGTCAATATAAAGATACATTGGGTTAAAAGAAGAAGGATGGAAAAAAGATATAGCAAGCTAACACTAACTGAAAGTAGAAATAGATAATTTCAGCTAGAAATTTCTAACTGAAAGTAATAATAGACAAATCCATGATTATAACTGGAAATATTGACACCTTTCACTAATTGATAGAGTGAGTAGAAAGAAAGTCAGTAATAATATAAAAGACTTGAACAACACTGTCAACTAACTTGACCTAATTCACAGTTACAGAACATCCCACTCAACAATAGCAGAAAACACATGATTTTTAAGTGTGCCACGAATGATTACCAAGATAAACCATACTCTGTGCCTTATAACAAGTCTCAATATACATAAAAGAATGCAAGTCATACAAAGTATTATCTCTGACCACAATGGAATTAAATTTAAAACAGGTAACAGAAAAATATCTAGAGAAAAAAATGGATACAAAGGGGGAACATAACTTCACATTCTGCTGAGATTTAAATAATAAGGGGTTATTAATACAACTTTAATCTGACTTGAAGATGTAAACGAAAAGTAGAAGTTTCTGGAAAAATAAGCTGTATTACAAAAATAAAATAATGATTTAAAAAATCAGTATTTTATCTTCCTCCAAAAGGTCTAGAATTAAGTGCCTTTGTAGTGAATTCTGCCAAGTATTTAAGGAGCAATTAATTTCAATAATACATAAATTATTCCAGCTGGTGAAAAGAGGAAACTGTCTTCAACTCACTTTATAAGTATTATATAATCCTTGTACCAACCAGGCAAGGACAGTATAGGAAAGCAAAGGCATCAGCCAATCATACTAAATTCATTAATGTTTGTAGAAGATATCATGACCAAGTTAACTCAGAAATGTAAGGCTGGCTTAACACTCAAAAAAATCAAAGTAAAGGAAAAACTACAGTAACAAAAAGCAGATCCATGGTTTACTGGGGCTGGAGAGAAGGTGAGTATTAACTGCAAAGGGGCCTGATAAACTTTTTGTGGTGATGGAAAAGTTCTAAACCTGTTTATTGTGTTATTCGCATACATTTACCAAAACTTACTGGACTGGATACTCTAATAGGGTAAATTTTATTATATATAAATTATGCCTCAATAAACCTGATTTTAAAATATCAAAATAATAAATCTTTATACTAATTTTTAATAATCATGTGATCATCTCAATAGAAATGCAATGGAGAAATTTTGATAAAATTTAACATTGATCTATAATAAAATCTCTTAATAAACTAGAAATGAAACAAATCTCTTAACCTCATAAAGACTCTCTACAGAAAACTTACAACAAACATACCCAATTATGAAAGGCTGATGCAAGAGCAAAGACCAAAGGCCAGAGTAGTGCCAATACTGGAAATCATAGAGAGTGCAGCAAGGCATAGAAAAAAATTAAACCTGTAAAGATTGTGGAAAAGAAATAAAATTATCTTTATGATGAGTTATAACACAATTGCATAGAAAATCCAGTAGAATAGGCCAGGGCGCAGTGGCTCACGCCTGTAATGCCAGCAGTTTGGGAAGCCAAAGCAGTCGGATCACCTGAGGTCAGGAGTTTGAGACCAGCCTGGCCAACATGGTGAAACTCTGTCTCTACTAAAAATACCAAAAATTAGCTGGGCATGGTGGTGGGAGCCTGTAATCCCAGCTACTCAGGAGGCTGAGACAGGAGAATTGCTTGAACCCGGGAGCCGGAGGTTGCAGTGAGCTGAGATCATGCCACTGCACTCCAGCCTGGGCAACAAGAGCGAAACTCCGTCTCCAGGAGAAAAAAAAAAAAAGAAAATCAAATTGAATAAATAAACTCTTAGACATTCTAAGAGATTTTAACAGGTTTACTGAATACAAATCTACATTTTAAAAATCCATTAAAGTTTTCTATGTGAAATAGTTAAAAATGTATATATTTTTAAAAATACCATTTATAACAGCATCAAAAATATTAAATACCTAGATATGAATCTAAACAAAAGATAAGGCCTCTAAAAAGACAATTATAAAATGTTATTGGAAGAAGCCATAAATTGGTGAAAAAATAGATCATATTCATAGATTGGAAGTTACAATACAAGAAAAAACTGCAAACTTGCCCAAATTGATTTAAGGATAAAAAATTTTGCCTTTTATTTTTTCGTACCTGACAAGTTAACTGAAAAATGTAGGTGGAAGCACAAATGAACGAGAATATCCAAAACACCCCTGGATTTAAAAACAAAAGAAACAGGGTTGGGAGTGGGTATTTGCCTAATTAGATACCAAGAATTACTACAAAATTATATAATTAAGACAGTTGAGTATCATTGGAGAAAAAATGCATATCAATCAAATGCATATAATTTTCATATCATAAATCAAATGAAAATTTGATTTATGACAGAGCTAGCATTATAGTTCAATGAAAGAGAGAATAGGCTTTTCAACAAATCATGTTAAAACAATTGGTTGCCTAAAAGAACCTAGCCAAATGCCACCATGTTGACTTCTCAGGCAGAGCTTGAAAGGTGAAAGACCCCACTGCTGAAAAGTAAAGAAAATGGGAATCAATCCAAATGTCACCCAAGGCCTGGCATGTAGCACACGTCAATACCTAGTATTATTATTATTACTTTATTATTTCCCAGCCGTCCTAAATCTTAATAGCCATTCTTCCATTGAGTTTTTCAGTTCCACACTCTGCTTCACCTCTGTAGATGGGACCTGTTTTCCTTCTGAGAAGGGATTGTCACCAGGTTATCACCCCCACACCTAGGATACCTTTGCATAGTATCTGAAGCTGGATTATTTGGGCTCAATTTGTAGTTCTACCACATAGCAGTGTGTTGCCTTGAACAAATTACTTAAATTCTTGGGGTCTCAGTTTCTTCATCTGTAAAATAAGGATAATAATAGGATTTGTCTCAGGATTATAATGAGGGTTAAATAAGTTAATACTTGTATAGTGCTTAGAACAGTGTCTGGTACACAGTAAGCTCTATGTAGATTTTACTTTTTATCACTAATAACAAATTGATTAACTTTATTAACATACAATTTTAATATTATGTCTCATCACTCTAGAGATAGTCTCCCTTAGAAATGGAGAACTGTATGACAGGTTTTTCTATGGAGTACTACTGTGTATTTGGATTCTTAAAAATGCAAAGATATAACGTAGAATAATTGATTTGAGCTTTGTTTTCATGAGTTTTACTTCTCTCTCTGCTCCTTCATTTCTAATTTTTTTATTATTGTTCAGTACAAGTATGATAAAAATTATCCACATCTGTTATTTATCTTTCCATCCTGGGGCAAGGCAAATGTGTATAGTTCCCCCCAGGATAACACGAACCATATGGAGCCTATGGAATTATATGTATTATCAGTTTATAAATTCAGACTTTGCCAAAGACTGTCCACAAGCAGCCCAGAGTTCTGGGGTGCAAGAGTTTGCACTGGGATGTTTATATTCAGCAAACATATTGGTGTAAAACATGCTTGCAGCTGGTGCCTCCTCAGAGAGAGGGGGCTTGACGGTGCTTTGCTGCACATTAGGATCGCCTCAGAAACTTTAAAAAATATCAGTGCTGAGGCCATACTCCATACCAATTAAAATAGAATCTGTTGGGTAGGATCAGTGGTATCAGTATTTTTGGTTTTCCAAATTCTCCAGGTGATTCCATTGTGTAGACAAGCTTGAGAACACCAAAAGCTTTAGAAAAGAAGATTTTGCATCTTTTTGGCCCCTATAGGAACATGCCTAGGAACACAAACACACCCTCATTTGGAACCAGTTTTTGCCATCTCCAGTATACGATGCACACACCTGGGTAGAAATTTCATCTTGCTCAAATCCCAATTAGCATCCCTGAAGTACTATACCTCAAGAATATCCTTCTTAACAACAGCAAGCACTGATTTGACTAGACTAAAGATGATTTAATCTAGCCGTATTGAGAGGGAGAAAGAAAAGAGAGAGAGAGTAAAGAAACACAATCCCCATCCATCCAATTTTCAAGTCAATTGCTACTCATTCAACAAATTACATCCTGGGCTTAACACAAATTCTGTATCTGTTACCCTTAATCACATGCAGTTGTTCCTCAAACAGAGACCAGAAGGTGGCAACCAAGGTAAGCTCCTTACATCAGCTGGCTCCAATTCAGTGTCCTGGAAAGATTCATGCAGAATTGTGGGTCACTTTTCAGAGGACGGTCCACTGGATGCCACTCTTAAGGCCATTTGCTTTGATTTCCTATGAGCAATTTCACTTTCATGAAAATCTCTGGGTCCTGCAATTCCTTATGATGGTCTCAGTGCCTACAGAATCCTTTCCCAAGTTTTCCTCTTGTTGCAGAGAAACAATGAGGCATTTAAGTTACTAGCAAGAGCTGTGTTGCCATCAAGAATTGAATTCCTCATTTTGTTTTCTTAAATATTAAATAGAAGTAATATTTCAGCCGGGTGTGATGACTCATGCCTATAATCGCAGCCCTTTAGGAGGCTGAGGCAGGTGGATCACCTGAGGTCAGGAGTTCGAGGCCAGCCTGGCCAACATGGTCAAAGTCCCTCTCTACCAAAAATACAAAAATTAGCTGGGCATGGTGGTGGGCACCTGTAATCCCAGCTGCTCGGGAGGCTGAGGCAGGAGTATCGCTTGAACCTGGGAGGCGGAGGTTGCAGTGAGCTGAGATCGTATCACTGCACTCTAGCCTGGGTGACAAAAGCGAAACTCCATCTCAAAAAAAAAAAAAATAGAAATAATATTTCAAACAATAATTTTCCTTTGTATGTTAAGTTGCTTTGCTGTATAGAACCTGTTCCTGACTGCTTTAGGTAAATGATTTTAGTGATTACAGATTATCTGTAAAATGAGTAATTATTTAATAACATGATCTCCAAGGCTATTTCTAGTCCTTAAATCTAAAATGATCTGAATTTGAGCATTTAGAGGTGGTAGTGTAGTTGAAAGACAGACAAAAGTTCAAGTACCAATTTCACTACATATTTTGGACAAGTTACTTATTTTTTCTGGGCCTCAATTCCTACACCTCTAAACAAGGAGCTGATTATGGTATTTGCCTCCTACGTCTGGAAAGTCAGGTAGCAAAGCATGGGTTCTAGAGTTAGGCTGCATGGCTTGAACCACAGTCCAAGCAGACTCAGCTATGTCACTTTGAACAAGGTATGTAACATCCTTCTACTTCATTTCCTTCACCTGTAAAATTGGAATATGACAATGAATATTTCATAAGGGAATCATGAAATGATGTAAGTTAATGGATATTGAATTTAGCACAAAACCTGTGTTAAATAACAAACATTTAAAAATAACTATTGCTATCATCACCATGTCATCAGTGTAAAATAAGATTGCACAGATAAAGTACAGATGCTAGAGACGTGCACACTATCATCCTCCTTGTCTTCCCCTCCCCTTATTTCCATAAGATTCTCCAGCTGCAACATCTTCCTAACATGTTAGATTTAACCTGTGGGATCCCTGAGGATATGGAAAATTGGCTCATTTTTCACTCTCTAATGCTATTCCCTGTACTCAGTAAACACTCAGGGAATGAATAAATGAATGAATAAAAATGTTCGCGAATTAAGTGAGAGATGTGATAAACTGGGAAGTGATGATGAAGTGAGAGTCCTTAGAGAAGCCTCAGAGTAGAGATGTGAAATTATTTATACAGAGGGAGGAGGGGAAAAATTAATGGATAATAACAGAAGTTCTTAAGGAGCATGTGAGAAAGAAATTAAACTTCCCCATCTATGAATATGCCTAATGGAGTCAAAAGTTATATGTAGCATTAAGCCCATCCTCGTACTTCACCAGCAGTGTGGCTATCAGGGGCTTTCAGGGACGTTCTGTGGGAGATCAAAGCTGCCTTCCATGATGTCAACACAGAAGCTTAAATGTTCAGTTTATATACTTGTGACTAAATAATACACATCTAGATAGAGGAAAACTAAGAAAGTCACTATGGGTTCTAAATGACAAGTGTGGAAAGCACACATCTATCCTTCACTTTCAGATCCCCTTTGAACTGCCACACCAAAACAAAAACAAAGAAGAATACCTGTGCAAGGGACTATTTAAGAATGTCATACGTATACTAAAAATCTTAAGCACGCATCTATCCTTCACTTTCAGATCCCCTTTGAACTGTCACACCAATACAAAAACAAAGAAGAAATACCTGTGCAAGGGACTATTTAAGAATGTCATACGTATACTAAAAATCTTGAGGAATTTCTGTGAGATGTCTGGGAAACAGGGCAGATTGAGGAAAAAGTCTGCCAATCACAGTTCACTGCATGAGAAGGTGCCATTTTCTCAGCAGAATCTCACCAACTTCTAAGTGCCAGAGCTAAGGTCAGTCTATAACACAGCATTTGTAGGAAAAGTTTGATCCTAGCAGGCACTGAAGGTCACTTGGAGTAAGGACCCCATGAACACACTCACTCCCAATTATCCTGATGTCTGAAAGTAGGATCAGGCAATAAGCAGGGAATTTGAAGAGGCAGTTATGCCAAGGGGAGGTGGGAGTCTCAGAACCAGCTGGGAAACCAGTGACAAACAGGAAAAAAGAACTCTTTGGAACCCAGGTGACACTGCCTCTAGCTCTGACTCCTTCCTTATTTCTTTTCATTTTCTGAAATTTTGTGTTAGTGAAATAAAATTACAGAAAATCTAATCTTTTCCCTTCTCTCTTTACCTACACCACTCAATGCCTTAAAAATATTTCTTAGTTTTCCAAAAAGGTAAAATACAAAATTTTCTTTCTGCAGGAATGAGCAAATGGACACAAAGTGCCAGGCACAGAAATTAAAAATGTCTTCTAAAGGTTTTAAGGAATCAGAAACAATATCCTCTCAAGAAACAGAATTATTATGTGAAATATGTCTGGAAATAAACTTAAGAAAGTCTGGAATTAATATTCTTGATAGGATTTAGAAAACTATTAAATAAGCAGTCAGGCGAGAGGGAAATGCAACTTGAGATAAGAATATAATTGTGTAATTTGAAACCCTAGTAATGGCAGGGAGAGGCTGAGAACATATTGCAGCAAAGAGAAACAGTGATGCCCAAGTTAACTTTCAGAAAAAGAAAAATACATGTTATATTTGCTTTTACTTGCATGAAAAAAACTGTGGAAGGTACACAAAATACAATAAAGGTAATTAAATATTGTTGGTAGTAACAGTGGTAATGGGCAGATGGGAGTGGAATGGGAGAGAAACTTCCACCTAAAAAAGAAACTTGTGTAAAAGAACCTTATATGCCTGATCTCTGCTACAAGTTTGCTATTTTAAATTACTGATATTAGTGGTATCACAGAATATTTGTTCTTCTGTGTCTGGCTTATTTTGTTTGATATAATGTCTCTCAGCTTCATCCATGTGGCAAATGACAGGATTTCCTTCTTTTTTAAGCATTAAGCCAACCCCCTTTTTAAGGCTGAATAATATTCCATTGTATGTATGTATCACATTTTCTTTGTCTATTTATCTGTTCATGGACATTTAAGTTGTTTCTGTGTCTTTGCTATTGTAAATAATACCATAATGAATATGAGTGTGCAGACAGCTCTTGGAGAATTTGGTTTCAGTTTTGCAGGGTATATACCAAGAAGAGGGATTGCTGGATCATCTGGTAGTTCTTTTTTTAAGTTTTTGAGGAACTGCTCTGTTTTCCACTGTGGCTATATCAATTTATAGTTCCAGAAAAAGGTGTACAAGAGTTTCCTTTTCCCTATTTTTTTGATAATAGCCATCCAAAAGGTGTGAGGTATTACTTCATTGTGGTTTTAATTTGCATTTCCCTTATAATTAATAATATTGAGTACTTTTTTATATATTTGTTTAAGATTATTTATGTTTTTTTACAAAGTGTCTATTTGGGTCTTCTGCCCATTTTAAAAGTCAGATTGTTTTTCTGCTATTGAGTTGTAGAACTAACTCATATATTTTAAATATTAACTTTTAATCAGATGTATGATTTGCAAATATTTTCTCCCATTCCACAGGTTGCCTCTTCATTCTGTTGTTTCCTTTGCTGTGCAGCAGCTTTTTAGGTTGATGTAGTCCCATTTATTTATTTTTGCTTTTGTTGCCTGTGCTTTTGGTGTCATATTCAGGAAATTATTACTAAGGTCAATATGAAGAATCTAGAAATTTGTATTTATTTAACTTTTGAACAAAGTTAATGTGTTACATATTCAAAAAATAAATAAAAACCATGAAAATTTCTATTTTAAAACATGCTATTTAAAAAGGTAATGCCAGAAGAAAAGATAATACTTTAAAGTGACTTCTGAAGAGAATAAATACAAGTAATATATGAGAATCTGCCATTTTTTTCAAAAGCTTTTAGCTTTTGACTTGTAAAACTGTGCATATGTGTTTTTACATCAAAAACACAAAATTAAAAACTTCTCCAAGAAATTGAAGAAAAAAGATTATAGAGTTAGTGAGAAAGAGAGCTATATATATTACCAAAAGGAGAAAACAAAACAGAGAGTGAGAAAGTAATCAAAGTTATAATAGAAAAAAAATGTATTGAACTAAAAGCAGGGGTGTCCAATCTTTTGGCTTCCCTGGACCATACTGGAAGAAGAATTGTCTTGGGCCATACATAAAATACACTAATACTAATGATAGCTGATAAACTAAAAAAAAAAAAAAGGGCCAAAAAATCATTTATGTTGGGCTGCATTTGAAGCTGTCCTGTGGGCTGCAGGTTGGACAAATTTGAACTAAAGCATTTGTGTTGTTAAAGCAAATAGGCTCACTGAATATGAGGCAAAATAAATAAAGACAGACATGGAGACAAATCCTTTGGAAACATATTTTTGAGAGGATATAGCAAAAGATTTCATACTGGCAAAAGATTCTCCTCTACAATACTAAATCGTAGCTATTGCTTTTTCCTGTTTCCATCTTCAGCACCAGAATATCTTTCTTTTTTTTTTTGAATGGAGTCTCGTTCTGTCTCCCAGGCTGAGTGCAGTGGCGCGTTCTCACCTCACTGCAACCTCTGTCTCCTTGGTTCAGGCAATTCTCCTGCTTTAGCCTCCCGTGTAGCTGGGACTAAAGGCATGTGCCACCACACCCAGCTAATTATTTTGTATTTTTAGTAGAGACGGAGTTTCACCATGTTGCTCAGGCTCATCTTGAACTCTTGACCTCAAATGATCTGCCCGCCTCAGCCTCCCAAAGTGCTGGGATTACAGGCTTGAGCCACCGCACCCGGCCAGCACCAGCAATATCTTAATGGCAAGCATTTATGGTTGCTAAGATCCAGGCACAGTGCTTAGGGTTTGCATGTGATTTTTCCTTGAATCTTCAGGACCATGCCATGAGATGGGAATTTAAGTATCAGAAATGCTAAATAACTTACTCAAGGACGCAAAGCCAAGAGCTGAACTGATGCATTCTGACTAGATGATCAATATTCCTTATCACTGAACTCTATAGGAATAAAAAAATAAGGTTGTAGTTTACAACCCCAACTGCAAATTAGAATCTCCTAGAAAGATTTTTAAAATCTTGCTTCACTAATGGTGAGTCTGGCTTAACTTGTCTGAGGAAAGAGTGTGGATATTAAATTTATCGAATAACATTTAAATTCTAGTGTGAAGCCAAATTTGACAGCCACTACATCAGAGCAAAACCTAGAGAGTTTTGAGGATAAAAAATGTGCTCTAAGCAGGATTAAAGTAAGGTGAATGAAGTCCTGAGGTGCAAAATTTTAATGAACACCCAAAAATTCAGTAATCAGGAGAAACAATATTTACTGCAATTTTTAAAAATAAGAATTAAATGAAATGTAATGAATTATAATTCATGCTGGATGAAATACTAAAATTTTAAATTGGGGAGATCTGATGTTGCACCTGTATGACTCACCCCACCCTAATCTTGCCTTGTCAAACTCTATTTCAAATTTTTATATTTTGTCTATCATAGATTTTAGCATAATTTTTATTTTTTAAAATACTTCATTAAAGTATTCTGTCTCTTGATATTTTAGGTTTGTGTTTGTTTGATTTTGGCTTTCTGACATGAAGAATAGGGAAAAGTACATCCACTCCATCTTTCTGGGTGTCCTAAGAGTTTTACATCTAATGAAACAGTCAAGTGAAAGCAAGTGAAAGTCATCCTCAGAAATTAAAGTCTTCAAGTAGAGTTTCACATATATACTCTTCTTTCAAACATTGCTCAAAGGGCCAAGCATGGTGACTCACACCTGTAATCTAATCTCAGCACTTTGGGAGGCCAACATGAGTGGATCACTTGAGGCCAGGAGTTCGAGACCAGCCTGGCCAACACAGCGAAACCCCATCTCTACTAAAAATAAAAATTAGCCGGTTATGGTTGTGCGTGCCTATAATACCAACTACTTGGGAGACTGAGGCAGGAGAATCGGTTGAACCGGGAAGGCAGAAGTTTCAGTGAGCCAAGATCGTGCCATTGCACTCCAGCCTGGGTAACAGAGTGAGACTCTGTCTCAAAGAAACAAAACAAAACAAAAGAAACAAAAAAAATTGTTCAAAGAAATACTATAACATATTCAAGAATGAGGAAGGCGTAGTATTTTCATCAAAGATGAACAATGAAATCAGAAAACTACAAATAAGTCTAAATAATTATTGTTAATGTGAATATTAAGCATAATGCAAATATCAACAATAAGTCTTAAAATAGAAGACATATACTATAAAAAAATACTGTGTATCTAAAATTCTAATATATAAAAAATTGAAAAGAAATATAGAAAAAGCAGAAATAAAAATATATTAAATGTATTACCTTTCAGAGAGGAAATGGAGCGATTCTACTTTGTTCTTTGCAATTTGCTTTTTTCAAGTGAAACTCACGTAATGTAAAATTAGCCATCTTACAGTGAACAATTCAGTGGCATTTAGTACATTGAGAATATTGTGCAACCACCACTTCTATCTAATTCTAAAACATTTCATCACCCCAAAAGGAAACCCTATACCCATTAAGCAATTGTCCTATTCTCCTTTCTCCCAGCCCTTGGTAACCATCAATCTGAATTCTATCTCTATGGATTTACTCATTCTGAACATTTCATGTAAATGGAATTATGCCATACTTTTGTGTCTGGCTTCCTTTACTTAGCAGAATGTTTTCAAGGTTTTTCATGTTGTAGCACACATCGGTAAAACATTATTTTTATGATTGAATAAAATTCCATTGTATGCATAACGACATTTTATTCATCCATTCATTGATGGACAATTGGGCTGTTTTTACCCTTTGAGTATTGTTAATAGTGCTGCTATGATCATGTGTGTACATGTATTTCTTTGAGTCTCCATTTTCCAATTCTTAGAATAAAACATAGGAATCTTGGATTTAACAATGATTCTTAGATGTGATACTAAAAGCACAAGCAAAAAAGAAGATGAATAAATGGACTTAATAAAAAATAAAAACTTTTGTGCATCAAAGGACATTGTCAAGAAAGTGAAAAGACAACCCACAGAATGGGAGAAAATATTTGCAAATTATGATTTGATAAGGGTCTAGTATCCAAAATACATACAGAACTCTTACAATTCAACAGCAAAAAAAAAAAACACCCAATTTTTTAAATGGCAAATGACTTGAAGAAACACTTCTTCAAATAAGCTATACAAGCAGCCAACAAGCACTTGAAAAGATGCTCAACATCATTAGTCATTAAGGAAATACAAATCAAAACCACAATGAGGTACCCCTTCACACCCACTAGGATAGCTATTAACCAAAAAGGAAAATAACAAGTGTTGGTGAAGATGTGGAGAAACTAGAGTCCTCATATATTGCTGGTTGGAATAGAGAATGGTTCAGGCACTTTGGGACAGTCTGGCAGTTCTCAAAAGAAATAAACATATTAAGTTTGTATCCTAGCAACATCCCCTTTCAAGGTACCAGTTTCTGCAGTAGGTATGGCCAGCTAAGTTGCAATGAGAAAGGGTTGTTGTGCTAATACAGATGAAAGAGCATGGTGGCTTAGACTAGAGTTTTAGCAATAGAAATGACAGGACATGGTCAGATTCCAGATGGAACTGAGACACAGAATCAACAGGACAGACTGATACATGACATATGGGGGGACTGGGAAAATTGGTAAATAACCTTCCAGGTTTTTGGTCTGCATAACTGGGTGAGTTGGTGAGGGGTAGGGGGGGACACATTTTCTGAAATAGGAACATTTGACATTTGACCTGAATGAAATACAAAAGACGAAAAGCAAGTATTTCTGGGAAGAATGTAGCAAAAAGAAGAAACAGTAAGTGCAGAGACTTGAGGAATGAAATGAGCTTGGCTAATTTGTGGAACGAAAAGAAGGTTAATGTGGCTATGCTGAGAGTTGGGGGTTTTCTTGCCACTGAAAAAAGATCACTTCAGTTTGCCCTCTTTAAAATGATAAGAATTACTGATCGTTTTAATTAAGTACAGTACTAATTACTGTACATGGTATACCCAAAACAGGATGAGATATTATCAACTTTAAAACTTGCTGAAATTGATTTGTAATTTTAAAAAAACATACCTTTAGTTATGAGGTAGATGATTTTAAATTATTTTCTGAAAAGTTCAACAGTTCTAAATCATTTTGTGTACATTTTTTCGTGTCTTCAAACAAGGCAGGCAAACACTGTTTTTAAAAAACAAGTATACACTTAAAAAATAGGTATACACTTTCAAAAAGTTCAAAGAAGTATTCAAGGCCTTATCTACTAGAAACAGAATCTTCACAAAGTAATATTATTCAAGTAATTACAGATTGATAATATTAATATTTAATATTTGAATAATTCAAAAGACAGCAAAATCTTATTTTACCTCTTATATTTCAGTGTTGTCCAGGCCTTAGCTTGGTTAAAATACTTAGTTGTTAGAACTGTATGGCAAAACCCGATAGCGCAAGTGGAGTGCTAAAAGTTAGACCACTGAGCCTAAGGCCACAGAACAAGGCAGAGGCTGGATGAGGAGGGTCTCACAGACCAAATCTGGTTGTGGGGGATCTGGTTGGCATGAATTACAGCCACCAAATCTTCACATCACATGTTCTGCTGTGTTAGTTTAGACACTGCCTAAGTAGGTTTCTACCACACAGAATTATTTTTGGCACGAACACCCACTTTCATATGCTAAATAAGTATGTTCAAACTTCTCTCCTTCTCTTTGAATATAATGTTTCCTTGGTCTAATGTAGACAATCACAGTATTTTGTATTCAGAGAAAACTTTTGATGCATGAGATTTCAAGTATGTACTTTGGCAAAATAAACAGCTCTAATAATTCTCCCAGGTCCCTGATGTCCCAATTGCATTGGAACTTGCAGTTTTCTTGGCAGGGGCGGGGAGGGGGGCCACTGGGCCAGTTCAGATACCATTCTGCCTCTATCCCCCCTACTCCTTCATATTAGATAATATGCTAAAGAACTGCACATCATACATTTTCTTCTGAGAAGTTTTTCTCCAGGAAGTTGAGCTTCCATGGAGGGTCACCTCCTTTTAAAGACCTTCCTTACTCTTCCTCCTACTTCCCCCGCTCCTAACTTCCACTCCCTGCTGTAGTACCCCCAGCAAAATTAATTCCTTCCTCCTTTTCAAGCTCCACCTTACTCTGTTGGAATCTCTACCATGGCTTGGTTGTCAGGATTATGAGCTTTGCAATTAGAAAGACCTAGATGTGAATTCTAGCTACTCCATTAACTAGCTGTGTGCATTTGGGTCTCAGAGGCTCACCTCTAACACAGGCATGACAGTTGGACTGACCACAAAGAATTGTTATAAATATCATAAAAGGCAGTATTTACAAAGTACTTGGGACAGTACCTGGGGCAGGGGAGGTGCTTGATCACTGGTAGTCATTAACAGTAGTAATCCCAGTAGTGTTTCAACATTGTTATCACTATTTTGGCAATTATGATAGCTTTTTGCGTATACAGTTGCCCCCTTCTCCGACTCCCATTCATGGGTTCCACATATGTAGATTCAATAAACCTCGAATAAAAAATATTTGGAAAAAAATTTCACCTGTGTTAAGCATGTACAGACTTTTTTTGTTATTGTCCCTTAAACAATACAGTATAATAACTATTTACATAGCATTTACATTGTATTAGATGACTTAGAGTATAAGGGAGGATGTGCATAAGTTATATGCAAATACTATGCCATTTAATATAAAGGACTTGAGAATCCACAGATTTTAGTATCCATAGGAGGTCCTGACACCAATCCCCAATGGATACTGAGGGACGATTGGACGTGTTCACTTATCTTTCTTTACTGAGTTGTCACATATCTTTCTCTACTGAGTTGTTGCTAAGCCCTGTAATGACAGGGCACTAACTTATTTGACCTTGTTTTCCCACCACCTAATTGAGGACCTTAATAAATGTTGATTGAATTTACGAATGAACTACTTTTGCTCACGGCTAGCATTTTCAGTCTTTTTTCTACTCTCTAGACAACTTATAATCCACAAATAATCAACAAATGACTCAGTTACAACCTCCTTTCCCTGCAAGTTGTTTATCCAATCAGTGACACTGACAGATTTGAAATTCACCTCAGGCCAAAAGGGTAAGTCAAATAGGCTCACAGCTAACAGGAGAGAATGGAATTGCTTGGACAGCCATAAGTAAAATCATTCAATCTTTAGTAATGAGAACTATTTGGTTTTTACTATTTCTTTATGTCTGAATTACAACATCTTCAAGATAATTAATTTTACAATATTATATCACAATATTGGCTTTTTCCCACCATCCCTTCCATCATCATTAGCATATTTGTATTCATCCTTGTGCTGTCACCTCATAGGGTCAAGATGGCTGCCAGTTCTCTAGGCATTGCATCCACCATCAACAACTAAGTGGAAAGTAGTGGACAAAAGGCTTTTTTCTCTTGGGGCTCCACCTTAAAACTTCCATTTTTATTTCTTTGGCTAAAAGTGGTTATCATTTATACTCCCCCTAGAGCACTCATTGGTAAAGAAGAATGGAGCTAGTATCATTACATTAGATCAACCAGAATTTGTCCACTGGGTCTGGGTCTTCCCTCATGTTGAGAGACCTCTGCTGGCTACATGGACCCAAAATCTAGGCCCTTTGTGCAGAGAAGAAGGTACTAAATGGCTGTTTGGTTGGAAATGAACTGCATCACAATTATTATCAAGAACTTATAGATAAGAACATAGAGGCTCAGAGAAGTTAAACAATACCATCAGCAGTACACAGCTCATGAATAAAATGCAAGATTTCAATCTTCAATGCCATCATCAAATTAAGCAGTTCTTAAAATATATAAGGCTTGCAAAAAAAGAAGGGAACCCCTTGGAATTAGGGCATTCCTGAAGAAGCAAGTTAGTAGAAGAGTGAAGAGAAAAGGAAAAGTTTTACTTAGCTGTCTACTATAAGCCAGGTAGTATGTTATTTACACTGTTTCCAGACTTAGAACAATTGATTTTACAAAGAAGGGCCCAGAGAAGTTAGGTAACTAGCCCAAGGTCACACAGTTTGTTAATATGGTACAACTATTGAAAAGCAGGTATTCTCATTCACAGCCCATGATCTTTGCATGCCATTGCCCTGTCCTTTTGTGTAAGCACACAAAATGGGTGTCTGGAATCAAAACTTACACCATGAGAGGGAAAGTCCAAAACTGAGCCAAGGGATTGCTGGGAGAAGGAAGGTAGAGAGTAGATGGCCGTCCAGGAATCCCTGTGTTCCTCTAATTGCCTGATGCTGTGTTTTCAGACAGGATTCATTGTCCGCTGCCCACTGAACTAGTCCCTCAGAAACAACTCTGCTTCTGACATTTTCCCATAAAGCTGTCACAATCCAAATTCTTACTTATTTAAAACTAGTTATTTGTTTAAAGCCATATGAACACAGTGGTGGCTGTGGGTGGCTGGGGGCCAGCAGAGTGATCTAAATGGCCTAAATTATATGGAACCCTCATTTTCTATCCTGACAGCCTGCCTCTGAGATAGAGTCTGGGTCCAAGAGTGGAAATCAATTTTGAGCTGAGGCGTGCTAATAATTACTTCTGCAAAGCTCTTGCTGCCATATCTAATTCTCTCTGCGGGAATTCTCTGTGATGAGGGATTAGATGAGAGATAAGAAGTTTAAAAGAGCAAACATCAAAGTATCTTTCTAGAAGTTTCTGTTGGGAGTAAGAATGGGACTCTGTGGATAAGTAAAGCTTCAGAGGCAGGCAGCCTTGGTTTGCAATGCCAGCTTTACCATGTACTGGCTTAAGATTGTCAAGATATTAAATTTCTCCATGAATTTTATTGGTAAAAGTAAGACTGACAAAATTGGCCCTTTGAATGCCTGTGGGCATAGCGCAAAGTAAAGCTCAGCCCATTGCTTGGTACACAGCAGGTGCTGTTTACTGTCACATCTTCCCAAAAGCTCCCTTCTCAACTGGCTCTCTTCCACCCATTTGGATAAGGGCTGAAGAGCTGTTCAGATACCTGCTCCAAGGCCAGGTATCTAATGCCCAGTTGTAGAGGCATGCAAAGCGGGCTGACGGCGCCCTTAACATTTGGTAGTCATCAGATAAACGAGACCCTGATGCCATAGGTCAGATTCTGACATTACAGCTAAGGGAAGCCAGTTGCCTAGAAATGGAGAAACTGGCTGGCAATTAAGCAAATTTATAGATATTTCTAAAATTCCTAGGAGCCTAGATTTAGCGGGGAAGGAGAGGTAGGAGTAGTGGTGTATTTTACCAAAAGCTCAAATAAATCCAAACCCAACAGAATCACTGCTCAGAGATGTAAAAAGACAAGAAAACAATGAAAGGGCAGAAAAAGATTATTTTTCAAAGGTTTTCTGGTTGGGACAGCAGGCACACACATACTCTGTTTCTTTTCTTCATCTTCTCAGGCTGGCCCCAGGGTCAGAGGAAGAACCATCCTCCTCTGGTTTGTTTTTATCGACAGCCTCCAAAGGAAAGTTTTGGGAGAACTTTTTTTTTTGCCAATTTGGATAATGTCTTGCCCTCTAATCCAGAAAGTGGATTTTTTTTTTCACCCAGCCTTGGAAATCAATGCCAGTTTGTTTATTTATTTATTTATTTATTTCTGTAGAAATTTTGCACAATTTAAATATGTGCATGTTCACATTGGCTTCATTTTTCTTTTCTTTGCATAGATTTCCAACTTAATCAGGAATGGCTGGATACTGTAACTTTTTGGCACAAACAGCAAAAAGAAAGGGGGGTAAGTGTGGGGGGAGTTCTTTTCCAGGACTGAACTGTTTGCACTCTTTGTTTTGATGGTGCCACCTGACCCCCCTGGGAAGGGTTGAGTTTCTCCACATCCATCACGCCTACAGAGGGCTGTGTCAAAAGCCCGACCAGGCCTCCCCCTTGCCCATCTATGGCTGATTATTCACTGCATTGTGTTCTGAAGACGCACAGGCTGTCACGGAAAAGGTGCCTTCCTGCCTAGCCGCTCAGGACATTGACTCTTGTGAGCCGACTTTCCTCTCTTATTCCCATATCTATGACCTTCTCTTACTGTTCAGAGCCGTTTCAAGTGTGAGCTTGCAAGGTATCGTTTTTCCAAAAATGTTGGCCCATAACCATCGGCATTCAGATATGAGTAAAAAGATATGTTGGTAATAAAGCCAAACATAACAATTAATGCGTCAGGATTCCAAAGCACATTTTGCAATACCAGCTCATGTTGCAGCTGATGTCAGAATGTACATGCTGTTAATCTAATGAAAGGGCACAAGGATTTCTCTAAGTCCTGCACATATGAAGACGCTATCAGATCATCTGACTTTTTGTTTGAGCACATTGTGTACCACATTGAAAGTATTCCAGCTTGATTTCTATCCTTCGAAAAATTCTCTCCTTATCTGCTGAAGTCAGATTTGGATATATTCGCAAGGGAGTAAAGATTTAGCTGATCAGAATTGGAGTCATTAAGCAGGCCTGGAAATTCCCTATCAGGCACCCACGCCAGTGTTTCTTGGTGCTGCATAGCTTAAGAATTTGGAAGGAATGGGGCAATGGGCCAAACAATCTCATCTCTGAGGTTTTTTTTCTGAAATTGATGAAGGCACTGTGCAATCACGCAGGATGAAACATTGCAACTAACTAGATTGCCTTTAGTACCTTACCCTAATTAAGCCAGTATTGAAACTGTATATAAGCAGTGTACCAGGAATTGCAAACTCAGGTGCCCAGAGGACCACATAGGACAGTTGGAGGGGATGCGAGACGGTACAGTAGTGGGGACAGTGACAACCAGAGAGAGCATTCTTTGTCTAGAGGGACATTCACTACTCTTCTATCCTGAAAATGCAAATATGGCAAGATTTTCTATTTTTTTCCAAGAAAAGTCAAAAATCCTGATGTTTAGGATACATTTTTAAATCTTGGCTACCAATTCAATTAAAAAAATCCATGCAAGTAAAGAGTCTGACTGCTGAATTTGGCCCTTATGATATTAGCTTTTAATCTCTACAACAGACTAGAACTTGGAAATTTGTTTCTACACACAGAATTTGAAGCTTGACAAGTTGAGAGTTATAGTGACCTTTTTCTTGTGACTTCTTGGACAGTCTGTCACTCAGTCCTGCACAAAGAATGATTCAAGATAAGGGCTTCTTATCCATGGGCATCCCGGGGTCCTTCACCACAGTTAACACACATTGGGGATTGATTCAATGATGCTGCTCTTTGTTTCCTATGACTGCTAGCCCAAATTGCCACAACCTTGGTGGCTTAAAACAACACTAATTTGCTTCTTGACAGTTCCGTTGGCTGGAATTCTGACATGGCTCTCACTGGGCTAAAATCAAGTGATGGGCAGAGTTGCATTCCTTTCTGGAGATTCTGGGGGATAATCCATCTCCTTGCCTTTTCCAGCTTCTTGACACTCCTGCATTCCTTCCCCTTTCTCGATCTTCAAGGCCAGCAGTGGCAGGCTGAGTCCTCACACGACATCCATCCTATCTTGCTTCCATCACCATGTTCCTTCGGACTTTGGTTCTTCTGCCTCTTCCTCCACATTTCAGGTTGCTTCTGATTACGTTGGGCCCTCCTGGATGATCTCCCTATTTTAAAGTCAGCTGATTAGCAACTTTATTGCCCTTTGCCATGTAGCCTAACATATTTTCAGGAAGGCCTGTTGAGATGTGGATGGGAGAACCTGGGGTTGAAGCTTTAAAGTGAGACCAGTGAGCCACTGGCTTTTAACCTAGGGAACTCATGTTCCATTGACTCTTTGGGAACCTTCCCATGAATGACAGCGCATTTCTGGTGACTTACTACCTGGTTGCTTACCTAACGTGAGGGCTGTAGACGGCCTTTGCTTCTTGTCATCATTTCTCCTCTTATTGAGTTTGGGAATCACTGGCCATTCCAGAGTAACCAAAACCAGAATACAAACAGCGTTACATGGGGCAAAGAGATCAGCAAGGGATGAACATAGAACCAAGTGTTCTCAATGTCTGCTTTAAATGCCTGCTTTTATGGAAGATGTACAATGGTCTTACCATTCATCATTTTCGTAAGTCATATGATATTTCAGCATGCCATTCATCCCATTATTTTTGCATTGAACCAAAGCAAGTTTTCTTCAACTGCAATTTTCTTCCCTAATCTTTGGAGGCTCATACTATCCCCTCCAATTAGCTGCTCAGCACCTCTGCCTGAAAAAGATAAAAAGATTCAGGTAGCAAATGCCATTTCCTGTCTACTCACTTAAAATCCCTAAAACCAAGGACTTTGTTTTGTTTCTTTTCTTTGCATTTTTGTTTTTCAATTTGCTAAACCTTTATTGAATGGCTTCACTGTCTGTAACACTCCATTAGGGTTGGGATGGGGAGACTAATTTTTCAAAGTAAATTAAATGTCTTCTATTCCTCATTTTCTTATTGAGTATACAACTGGGTAAAAGTGGAAACAGGGGAGAAAATGAGTGAATGTTGGAGAGTGGAGAATGCTGCCTGGGGACTAAGAATGGATCTAATGAGCTTCAAAATATCAACTGGAATGTTGCTATTACAGTCTGGTTTTCTGCCTTAAATATTATTTTGTGCTACAATTGAAAGGAGAGAATATTCCACGTTGGGTGAAAAAGTTGAAAGTAATGCAACATGGCAGGTCAGGGTCAGTGCTGTGGTGTGAATGATGGGGCAATTGAGAATGGGTCTCCCTTAGATTCCACCTCATTTTTTGCAGTTTTTGGCCAATGCCTTGATCAGAACTTCTTTTCATGGTCATAAATATGTGCCAACTTGTGAAATTCAAGAGAAAAAAGTACTCTATCAAAATAAAACTACAAAATTCTGAATGTTGGTTATTGATGTTGCATGTAGCTGATTGTATTGCAATTTATTTAAAAATAAACCTGTCTTCCCCTTGAGGCTGAGGTGTTGAGGAAGCAATGAGTCCTGACTTAACTTGTCCTTCCAAACTTGAGTCATACTTAGCACCTGCTAGGTGCTTAATGAAAATGTGATTTAGGTTCTGCCCTTCACTCCTCTGAATTCCATTCTCCCACCAGCTTATGATATCACAAAAACACGGTGCTAGGCAGGATTTTGGCCCCCATGACTTTCACCCGATGTTTTATGCTTGTGATTATGTTATGTAATTAAGGTTGATAATCGACCTTCAAATAAGGAGATTATCCTGGATAAACAGCGTGAGCCCTGGGTAATCACAGGGTGCTTGAGAGTGGAAATGGAAGGTAGACAGATGAATCAGAAGAGAAGTGCAGCATGAGAAGATTCTGATCCTGAACTGTAGGGGTTGGACCATTGCAAGGTGTGGAGAGAGGTCTTTGAGAGCTAAAGCTGACCCCCGCTGACAGCCAAAAAGGAAACGGGAACCCCAGTCCTACAACCACATGGAACTGAATTCTGCCAACAATCCAAATAAGCCTGGAAGCAGATTGTCCCCCAAAGCCTCCAGAAGGAATGAAGTCTTGCCAATGCCTTGATTCTAGTCAGGTGAGACCATGTCAGATTCTGACCTACAGAACTGGAAGGTAATAAATTTGTCTTGTGCTAAGCTACTAAGTTTGCAGTAATTTGTTACAATAGCAATAGATAACTAATTTTAAAAAACTATTTGTAGATCCCTAAAAATCCTTCTTGTAGACACTTTGTTTCTGGTCTCTCCGAAAAGAAGTGTCCCCTCCCTCCTCCTAACCACAGAGCACCTGCTATCCATTTGACACTTGTAGCATAAGACTTACCGTAACATTAGCTCAATTTTCTTGTACCGTATCTGACGCAATTGACTGTAAGTTCCTTGAAAGTAAGGACCAGGTATTAGTCATGTTTCTCTCTTTTTGCATAAGGCTTAAGGGAAGCCATTTATTTCTGACAAGAAGGAGTCCAGAACTTATTTGGGAGAGAGGTGGTAGCAGGCTTGACTATGGGAATTGTTTCACAGGCTGGGGTCTACAATGGGTGGCAGTGTTCAGCTCTAGTCCACCAGGAGGGTCACTGCCAAACCTGAAGGAGAACCAAGTCAGATACAGCAGCTACCATAGGAACCCAGATATCTGAAGCCAGGAAATGAAAGCAAGTACACGCATGTTGGGAGCAGCAGGGAAGGACCTGGAAGATTACATAAAACATCTGCTGAGTTGAAAGATTTGCCTTTGGAGCCCAGTAGGATATAGTTGACCTGACTTAAAGGGCCCAGGACCTCATGGGTGTCCAGGGATAGCCATTTTCCTAGCTGGCAAGCTATAGGCATCTCCCTATCACCAGACTACCATCAAGATAATAGCCTTCAAGCAATGTATTATCTCTAATAACCTAGGGAGTAACTCCTCACAAAGAATTCTAGAGTCCGAATTTATAACTAACTAACCTTGAGTGGGTCTTGCACCATTTCACTTGATTCCATAATCTGAGTCTAAAGCTTCAAAAATAAGATCTGTTCCCCCACCTCCCCTCCACCCGCTACCACACTCACGTTCCCACTTGGCTAGCCTGGAAAGTTCAACTGTAGAGACTACCTTCTATTTGGATCTCAGTCAACCCTAGGCGCTCTCGTGGTTGTCTCAGAAATATGGATCGTCTGCAAATCAGACTTTTCAGCTCACCAATCCCAAGTGGTAACCTCTCCAGCCAAGTCACCCCTGGAAACATATTTTCAACTCTTTTAGCAGAGAAAAATATTTGGATCTCTGCCTATTTTGCAAAGGCTTAGCATCAAATTACATACTCAGGGCTTCTGTTTTTTTAATATTATGTGTCTGTACTATTTAAACATACATGGAAAGTAGTACTTCTTTCCTAACAAACTAAAGCTTGCTGGCGCCAGAGTTGCATTGGTGACTGTGACTGTTGTGTGAGTTGTGTCACTGGGATGCAGTTAAAGGCCTCAGCAAAGTGGTCTGAATGCTCAGGATGGAGCCAGCCGGATTGGGACAGGGAATGTGGCCCTTCCCTTTGCTTTTCTGGAAAGCGTGATCATCACTGCTCCTACAAAGACTTTCCATTAATTACTCAAATGTCACATCCTGTGTCTCCAAGCTGACCACAGTAAGCCTTTGGATATTGAAATGTTATTCTCCTTTTATTTGTGGATACTCTTTTCATTCAATATTTTTCCTGTCTATAATCTTTTTTTTTTTTTAGTTTAGAAAACATTCTTAGCCTAGGTATCTAGGCTATGTGAGCACATGTGCTTTGTAACACTACATATTTCAAGAGGAAAAGAAAGAGATTTTTGGAACATATTTTCCAAGTCTCAACTGATTAAGAATCTATTTTATCTTCTATGTCCATGAATAGTTCACCAATGATGTGGCCCAAGTCTTTTACCCTTGAATATCGTATAGCGTCATTAGTGCAGACTTCCCTTGGGAATTAAGGAAGATTTGAGCAGCAGCTGCACTGAAGCTTATGGTCCCACAGTCCAGGGAGGAAAAGTTAGCTGAATAAATTAACAATATAAATAACACTTCAGAGGTTTTTTAAAACCAGTTAAGAAAACAAGCTATCTCCAATCTCTCCATATGAATTATTAACATTCTAAATTCTAATACTAAATTTGTTATTTTGTTTTATTAAGCCAGGCATTTTCATTTTCCCTGCTAGGAAGGCCCTTATTAACATAGCTTAAGTTATTATATCTACCCGAAATAAGTATAACTATATATCTTTAAAAATTAATACTTTTTAAACATTTTCAACCAGAATTTTGCCCCATTTAATGATGTTTGACTCCAGCTTTAATTACATAATATGCTGTCTGGCTGTTCCCTTCCTTTCTTTCCCTTAAGAACCTCATTTTGACTTCGGACAGCTTTCTTTTTACTTGACAAGTGTCGCAAAGTCCTTGCTTAATTTACCTGGATTCCCAGTGCTGGCTGATGAACAAGTTGTGTTTCCTAGGAGGCTGTGATGGTAAAGTGGACTCACAGAATCTGTGCCATCCAGCTCAGCCATGCCCTCATCAAACAGAACTCACTCTCCTGTAGGCCTGCCACAAGTGGAGGCAGGAGCTCACATTTTTGGTTCACCTGCTATGTGCCACATGGTACAAATCACTAGAAATGCATTACCATATTTCATTCTCCCAGGACACCTAAGACAAAAGTGCCATTGTCCTGATAATTTCCCACTCTACTTAGAAGAGCAGGGTTTTAGGCTAAGGACCATCTGATCCCAAGGATCATATGAGTATATGTAAATAAATTGGTCCCTTAAGTCCAATAAAAGATCCAATAAATTACAACATCCTTTAAAGAAAAGCAGAAACAATTTCACAAGTCAACCACTTCAGTGGAACTAAATATTTTGTTGAATTTAAGGAAAGAATTGTCTTACACGTAGTACTTTAAATTGTAATAAAGAGTTTTGAGTAAAACAATGACAGGCCTGAAAATTCTTGTAAACTGAATACTTTGGAGGTGATTCAGATAAATATTAAGTCAGGAGGTTATTTCTTCTTTTGCTTTTCAGAGTTATTTTCTGACTTTCGCCTGATTAGGGTGAGATGAAATTTTTTGCCTTCCCCTCAAACCTGCAAGTTTTGTCATAGCAATGAGAGAAAAGCATGGCATGGGTGAATCATCTTTAGAATATGGAAAGTCAGGCATGTCATTTCCCTGTTCTAAATGCTTTAAGGAATCCCTGATGTCCACAGTAGAATAATCTAAGCTCCTTGGCAGAGCAGACAAAGGCTACAGAATCCCACTGTGACTTGCTGTGCAGCCTCTCCCCCGGCCCTCTACACCTGCATTCGGTAACAGAGACACCACTCCAGGTCCTCATGGTCTGGATGTCATTCTGTCTGCCCAGGGAGGCCATCTCCACTCTACTTCAAGCATCATAAACCACTGCCCTCCTCACTTGTTTCTGTCCTACCCAACTCTATTCCTGCCTCAACAGGGCATCTGCCTTTGTGTATTGTAATCCCGGGGCTGTGTGTTGATTTCTCACTAGATGTCAAGCCTTCTGAGGACAGACACTGTGTCTTTTCAGCTCAGCATCCCCACAGTTTTACTAAGTCACTTTGCCTATTGTGGAATGAACAACTTTCCTCTGAACCCACTCTGAGGTCTATAAGCCCAGGTTTAAGCAATAGAAGTTAAGGACAAAATGGCAAAATAAGAAAACTGACCTTTTTTACATTGGGTGGTCTATGAAATTCTAGACGAAATTTTGTACATCTGAGCATTGGTTTCCTCATCTATAAAATGTAAGGGTCTACATAATTGGCTCTAAATGATGTCACCCACAGCTAGAAGGAGCTAGAGTCAAAGGATGACCTCCCATCTCCAGACCCTCATCTATTTTCCTTTTATCACAGGTCCTGTTTATCACAGGTCTAGTCTTGACACTGTAGCCAAAATCTTAGCAATGTGAATTCCTTTAGGTCCGTTGAGCCCTAAATCTCCAGTTTCAACATTTTTTAAGTGATTTTGTTAGAAAGAAATAAGCACTGGGCACATTACAATTCAGGGACAGCCCGATGATGAAAACTACAGATCGTGTGGTACTGGAACTAACACAAGGAAAACCTTTTCTTCCTTCTTTCTTTATAAAATGTATAAACTGTGGCTGTCTATGCAGCAAAATATTCTTGAGGTATAAGATATCAGTAAATAGCTATTCATAACATCCTGAAATATACAACTTTCAAAATTGAAAAAAAAAATTTAAAGGAAATATGTAATACTAAGAGGATTGGAGATAGTTAATAGTTAATAGTTTAGAGGAGGAGTTAATAGTTATCGACAGTTATATTCACTGTGTTGTCTCCTAAGTAAAAGAATGCATGGAGTCGACTTAGGAATTTAGTTACAAAGAATAATAAAATGCATTTCAAAAGCAAAATTATTGGATCCAGATAAAAAAAATTTCAGGCCCAATTGTGTGCTGCAAATAATAGAAAGAAAGTTGTAACTTCAAATATTTCATAACCAATTTAAAAGAAAGACTTCCTTCAAAGTAAAATCATAGTAGTTTACAAATTAGAAGATATTTTCACTATCTGAACTTCAGACACATGGAGAAACTATATACAGTACACAGCTGTCTTTACATTGCCCTTTTTGTTACTATAAAGTACAGTAAAAAGAGACCAATCCCTGTAGAAATGAGATATGCTCTTTTTTGTCAAAAGGAGTTGCACTTTCATGATTTCCCACAAAACAGCTGCAAAAATACCTACAGTAGGGCATCTGGAATTCTTAAAAGTGACTTGAGGATTTGTGGCTAATGAAACATTGTGAAATAACACTCACCATGTTGTAAAAACTACCCTTAACCATTTATTGGTATTTTTTAAGACAAAAATGAAAGGTGCCCTAAGCATATTAGCCTAGCTTGATTAGAAGAAAACACTAAAGTGACAAAGAAATAGTGTAAATAAATGCCTTGCCAGAAACAAATCTTGACACAGTAGACATTTAAGTCTCTTTTGAAAGTTATGAAGAACAGTGCGGTAAAATCATAACGTGACGGCTGTCCCTTAAGTGTTTGATCAGATTGCGGGACATCATCAGTAATAACTTTCATGTTCTTAAAAAATGTGGTTTCCTATTGAGACTGAGCATTGTTCCCAGGGAAAAAAAAAGATGGAATTCTCTTAAAGATGTTTTTCATTTTTACCTCTCGCAAAGCAGGACTATCAAAATGAAAGCAATGGCCTTTTCATGAGAACTTGGGTCAAATAAACCACATATTGTTCCATCTTAAAATGAAACATCTGGTTGATTTAAGAAGAAAACGAGCTTAATTATTCTTGAGCATCTAACAGAGAGAGGTTAACTTCTAAATCTATATGTCTTTCCAAGCTAAACATGGAGGGGGGAAAAAAACTATGAAGTTATTTTTGACTCAGGAAAGTAGATCTGGAGGTAATTTAGTGAACACAAATTACCATTGACAAGGGAAGAAATAATTTATTCTCCTGGTGAGTCTTTTTTATTTGAGTGGGCAGTGTGGAGCTGTCAGCAGAGAAAAGGCATTTGGATGGATTTAAAATAATTGAAACCCAAGTCCAAAATCCTATAAGATATCCAAGGTATCATATATAGTTGTGACACTCCTTGGAGAAGTTTAACTTCTAAACTGAAGCATGAGGGTGAAGCCATGAGATATAAATTTGGGTAGAGGAGAGTTCACAACTTGGAGATAAACAGGTTGGAGGGATAGCCATCCTAAAGTATTTCTTAACAAATCCTTTTCTTTTAGCCTCACTTTCCATTTTTTCCTTGGGTTGTCAACCTAAAAGTCTCTTCTCACTTGAGTATTTATGGATGTCTTCTTGGAAGTCCTATCTCAGCTCAAGTGCTCCTCCCTATGGCCCCTTCCTTGAAGGTGGACCTTGACTCGCTGTTGATGGTCATTACCAAGCATCATCCCCTTGGAAGGGTGTTGTCCTTTCCCAGCTGGAACCATAAGGCATGGGTGGGATGAGGCATTGATTTGGTACCTGGCCAAGCTTCCCTCAATGTCCTGTTTCCTCTTCTTCACTTGCGTGTCACTGAAGACTAAAGGGATGATCAGATTTTCCTGAAGATATGGAGTAACTTCAAGACAACTACATCCTAAGAGAAAAAAACTTTTAAAAAACTTACAATTATACTTTAAAACTGTCTTCTCTCACCGTTCTGGCGGAAAGCACCTATAGTTGAAAGGAAAAGTGCCTTCATAAGGGATCTCCTCCAGGTCACACTCAAGTTATTCACCTTGACCTTGACCACCTGACCTGTACCTCCCTCCACCATTTCTTCTTCTAATCTCCATGGTGTGAAACTCTGCAGGCTTTTTGGCTCTTATCACAGGCTCAACTCACGATCTGTCCTTTTCCCTGCCCAGCACTATACTTCCTCCAGTTTAGAACATTTTCCTCTCTGAGAGGAACAGCAGACTAGAAGGAATTGTGATTGTTGGTAATTAGCCTTTTAAGTCAATGAACAAGCCATCTAGCTTCCTTTACATGATGGAGAGACTGTTGAACACACATACTTACATATCTCACAGAGACAAACTTTAAATCTCAGAGAGTATCAACTAAACTTGGAGGGAGAGGAGTAATTACCTGACTGCACCATAATTTGCAAAACTGCCTCTCTCCCAGTGGAGTTTTACTTCACCATATTACACAGAGCTCTGTTAATGCAATCCCTTAAACCCCAACAATGCTCTCATTCTTTCTTTACCATCTACAAGGAATAACCGTATAGCTTTGGTTAGAACACTCTTTTAACTTCACAAATACTCCTCCGACACTTTGAGGTTGCCAAATACATCAAATTCTTATCTGAGCGTCATCGTAGTCTTTTTCTGGGGTAAGGAAGTTATAGTGACACCTGAAATTATTTTATTGATGAAGATTTCATAGCTGGCTATTGGTCACATAATCAAATGCAACGTCGGTAGTCACATGGATAATCTCAAATAATTTATGCTCAAAATAATCTTAATCTAATGGTTTATGTATATTGGAAGTGAGATATGTTAAAAATTTGAAAATCTACTATAACTCAGAGAACAGTGAAGCTCTACTTTAAATACCAAATGCAAGAAGCCCTGAAGACTAGCAGCATATTTGCAATGACTCTTCAATGCCACATCCATGTTTCTGGGGATTGAAGTGATCTACCTCATCATTAGGAATATTCTGGAACTCAGGCAAGTCCTATCTCTAGCTCTGTGATTCTCAAACTCTTTCTTAAGGGAGAGGTGTGTGTGTGTGAGGAGGAGGAAGAGGAGCAGTAGCAGCAATGTGTGTGTATGTGAGAAGAGGAGGGAGATGAAACATAGGGAAGGGCTACCAAATGCTTTTCATGGCAAAGATGGCTCAGGAAAGCCAAGTTTCATGAAGAATCAGGAATGTCTATAGAAGCTCTATATATTCAGGACCCACCTTAAGCAAAACTGTCAATGTGGTCAACTATACTTTGTAAGACTAGGTGGTAAGCTAGTCTTACCAGGAGTTAGGTTGTATGACAAATCATTTGCTCAATGAATCCCACAAAATAGGGGAAGCAGAACATCCCTCATATTACCTATACTTTTCCTCACTGCAATTTCTTGGTTTCATGCTTCTGCCTTTATTGTTTAAATTGGTGTGGGGAGGGAAGGGCAAGAGAGAGAGCAAGCAGAGAGAGAGAAAGATCATTTGCTAAGGAGGATCTGAGTCCCAGGGATGGGGAGAGGAGTTGTAGGCAAGGCTCACCAGAGAGGAAGCTTGGAATAAGCAGCTTGAGGCCCCGTTTCTAGCACAGTTGCCTATGCATTGTGGGATCTACCATGTTTACACCAGGGAAAAGAATTGAATCTACATTAGTAGGTTGGTTTTATGTGTGTTTAATGCCCCATGTAAGAGAAATGAAGATTATCTCTACTTTAAAAATAAATTAATAATAAATTCAGGTACTAGAGTTCATTTTCAATTGCATTATGAAAGATTAATAATGTAACTAAAACAAAGACATTTGACTTTATTTCTAAAGGTGATATTAACTTAGGAATTCAAAATACTGACTAAGATGAATGCAAAGTGATCAGGTGACTTTAATATTATGCTGAACAGCAAATCTTAAAAATGAGTGCTACTAATGGGTCTTTTTTTTTTTTAAAGGATAAGAACACTGATTCCCAGCCATGGTTTGGAGTTGTTAGGAGAGCTTTCTGATCATCCAAGGACTCTTAAGGAATTCGCCATTTTAAGTCCTCTGAAAAAAATACAGGTATTTGTTACTCACTATTTGATTATTTCAGTGGGGGGTTAGAATGTTAGGTGGAGTCATGAAATAGGGCCAAATAATTTAACGTTGCAACTCACTTAATAAAATTAAATCCAGGATACACAAGTCACTGAGTTGGGAGAGAACTTTCTGGAAAAGTTACAATTAAAGCAAGAGGGCTTCTCATCAAGACAGGGCCTCAGGACTTTGGCACTGAGGCATAGCCTTGTTTCCAGGGAAAGAAAAGAAGTTTTACACATTCTTTGAACTTATCTTCACTGCTTTAAAAAAGAGAACAAGATGGAGAGCTAAAGCCAGAGAAAGAAAGGGAGGAAGAGAATGTTAAGGAAACTATGACACATAAGGGATAAAAAGAAGGAACATCTGCAGGACAATTAGCAAATTCCTTCACAAACAGAACATTTAAATCTTTAAACTTTTCAACACCAACTAGGCTACATTGCTTTCAAAATACTGTTTACTGTTATTTTCTATTCTAAATTCAGGAACTTCTTTACAGAGGAACATGCGGAGAGAGAGAGGAGAACCACCTTCTTATGGAACTACCATTTTAAATCTCAATCTATCATGAATGTTCGGTATTTTGTTTCCACCGAGAGGGGAAAATAGCTTTAAATATAACTTCCAGGCCTGCTAGATATTCAATTTTGCCCACGCTTTAAATCCAATTAATGTGATATCCAAAGGCACCACTTTTTAACAAACCAAACAGATGGTGTATTTCACCTCCTTCGGTTACTAAGGAAAGTTAAGGGATGAATTGGATTTTTCATCTGGCACACGTAAAAAGGAACTTCAAATGGTTGTGTCTCATATCTAGCTGGGAGAATGGTGAACCGGCAAACAATTAGCTTACAAGATTGAATGGGTTTCAAGAAGAAAATGCAGGTGAGATCGGTTTTTATACTTAAAAATTTAAGAATAAAAGTATACTTTAAGTATAAAAGAATAAAAGAGGTAAGCTAAGGAAATGAAGCTTGCCTCCTATCAGAGTAAATAAATGAAAACAAATAGAAAGCCCCACAAGCCTTCCCTACTGGGCTAATGCAGTGCAAGAAGGGTCCCCATCCCTAAGGCAACAGGACAAGCAGGTAGTAGCTCAGACAACAGCATCTGGAATGGCCATGGCTTTATCCGTCACTCCTCCTTAACTCCTTGTCACCCATCCCTCCTCCCCTCCTCTTCTCTTTCTCCTCCACCCCTTTCTTCTTTTCATGTTATCAGAGAATACTCTGATAGTAAGTTAGGGTTACTACACCTCCACTGATCCCACAACTGGAATTTAACAACCTCATTCCCTCTGAGGCTAACATAGGAGGCAGTTTGACAGGAAAGCAAGAGTCTAGGAGTATCAAGGAAGAGCGGTAAAAGATGCTTGTTATTCCAAACTCTGATGTTCACCTCTAAGAGGCATTAGATGATTTCACTTAGTGAAAATGATCAATTTCTTGGCATCCCTCAAAATACCATGATTTATAACATCAATAAGAATTTGCATACATGTCCTTTAGTAAGTAAAAATATGCACAACTCTTCAGTCACCACAGGCCATTTGTGATGAACCTAGCCAGTAGCTTATTTGCTCACAGGAAGTATCAGTTACATCATGAAAAATCACAAAAGGCTGCTCTCATAGCTCCCATCTTCTGTGTCTTCCTCATCATTCCTAGGGAATTGGTTATCAGTGTGTGGACCTCACAGGTCTCATAGGTCAATGCCTGATGCTATAGAAAAGGTCTTAATCGGCCGGGTGCGGTGGCTCATGCCTGTAATCCCAGCACTTTGGGAGGCTGAGGCAGGCAGATCACGAGGTCAGGAGATTGAGACCATCCTGGCTAACACAGTGAAACCCCATCTCTACTAAAAATACAAAAAAATTAGCTGGGCGTGGTGGCAGGCACCTGTAGTCCCAGCTACTTGGGAGGCTGAGGCAGGAGAATGGTGTGAACCTGGGAGGCGGAGCTTGCAGTGAGCTGAGATGGCCCCACTGTGCTCCAGCCTGGGTGACAGAGCCAGACTCTGTCTCAAAAAAAAAAAAAAAAGGTCTTAATCACTCACTTAGCTCAACACCAGACTGCCTATATCAAGGGCAGGAGGAAACATGGCTCACCTGCTCTTCTGATCCCAACTTTTCCTGCCAAATGAATCAGTTGAAATAATAATAACAATAATTTATTTGGATGGAATTTTTGGTGCTCTGTGAGAATATGTACGAGCAGGCGATTTGATGGCACCCCCGTATAACAAGCCTTGACATTAACACTGATCAAACAAGAACATTAATAAATGTTTTTGTCTCCTAATATCTCTTATTAAGTGCAGGCAATAAATCAATTGTGCTGATTACATTCCACTGACCTGAAAAGAACGCTCTTCAGATCGTCTCATCTTTTTAGATGCTGGCTGTGTAACAATCAATAACTATTCACCTACAAACTTGTGTTGTGCATAGTAGGTACCCACTGAATGTTTGTTGAACTAAAAGAAAGACCCCTAAACTATATCTTACCAAAATCTCTTAAAGGCAATTCATAGGCATCTGAAACATTCCTAAGTGCGACAAAAACTAGCGTAATTATATTTATCAGGATCCACCTAAGAAGGCAGAAACCACTGTGGGTACATCAAAGAGAGAGAATTAAATTCCTTACATAGATAATAGATGCTAGGAAGCTGAACCAGGCACAGCGGTGTAACCCAGAGATCTGCATGAGCAGGGAGCTGCCACGTCTCCAAGGCTAGAAGGACAGAGAGAAAGATCATAGTTACCTGAGCCCAAGGGTCAGGTCACAGGAACCAGTGAGAACTATGGCAGCCAAGTGGGTAATGGAGGTGTGGAGTCGGGGGATGCTGCTTGAGGCAAAGAGGGACAGGAAAAACATCCTGGATTCTCCCTTCTTTCTTTCTCCTTTGTCCCTCACCAGTGCCTCCCCTCAGCCAAACCCTGCTGAAAAACAGCTTACAAGGAAGCCTGAGAAAGTCAGCCAGCAGGGTAAAGCTCTCAGTGATACAGAAGAGGGGAGAGAAGGGGAAGGACAGGGACTGGATCTGGAGCCGATGGCACAATGGTGGAGTGTCAGCTTAGGTAACATTAACACTAACTGGCTAAATACATTCAGAAAAGAGAGAGGCACTGTTGTCCCTGACACATTATAATGTAGGTGCTCAAAACAGCTTATGTCACATATACATTTAGCTATGCACACAAATATCAGAATGACTCAAAGAAGTCACCAAGAAGCTCATACACAAAATGGAGAATAGGAACATTTGAAATGACATAAAATAATTTTAGACACATTTCTCTCCAGCGTTGCCTAAACAATCAAAAGGGATCACTCTGCACATGTGTAGTGTTGAAATTGGCATCCTGAATCCAAGGCAGCTAACTACTTAATCTTCTTTCTCTTTAGGAAAGCAAAGGTTGGCAGCCTTGGGAAGCTGGCTGCCCACGGAATGCACATTTCCCACCAATCTATTTCGCCCAGGCTTTTTACCAGTTCTTGGAGCCTACGGTGTCTGGCTTGTGGCTAGACCACAATTCTGACAGGAATTGTGAGTGGGGGCCACGCCAGGCTGACTTCACCGTGATGATATCAGAGCTGAGGCGGGGTTGCCAGTCTCGACATGCTGATGTCAAAGCCAGCCCACTCCTCCAACCTGCTTGGTTTGTTGGCTAAAATAATTGGCCAACATTAAACCAGAGACTAAAGACCAAATGATTGTTTGAGGCCCCAGCAGACCTGTTTCCCAGCAGCTGCTCAAAGTAAGCACTTGATAGCACATCATGTACAATGAGGCAAGTGAGGCAAGATGTTGGAGTCAGAGAGATCTAGCTCCATATCCCAGTTGCTTGCTAGCACTATGGCTCTGGGCATCTCAAGCCATGCATCTGCAAATAGGTAGAATGATGTTAGGATTAAGGGCATGGTGCACATATAAACCTAGTACACTCTAGCATAGAGTAGGTATTCAGCCCACCACATCTCCTGAAAATATGAATGCTCAATAAAAATTAATCATCAATGGCCGGGTGCGGTGGCTTATGCCTGTAATCCCAGCACTTTGGGAGGCCGAGGAAGGTGGATCACGAGGTCAGGAGATCGAGACCATCCTGGTTAACGTGGTGAAACCCCGTCTCCACTGAAAATACAAAAAATTAGCCGGGCGTGGTGGCGGGCGCCTGTAGTCCCAGCTACTCGGGAAGCTGAGGCAGGAGAATGGCACGAACTCGGGAGGCGGAGCTTGCAGTGAGCCAAGATCATGCCACTGCACTCCAGCCTGGGTGACAGAGCGAGACTCCGTCTCAAAAAAAAAAAAAAATTAATCATCAATAATAATGATAATCCTTGGCTGGGTGTGGTGGTTCACCTCTGTAATCCCAGCACTTTGGGAGGCTGAGGCAGGCAGATCACAAGGTCAGGAGTTCGAGACCAGCCTGGCCAACATAGTGAAACCTTGTCTCTACTAAAAATACAAAAATTAGCTGGGTGTGGTGGTGTGCGCCAGTAATCCCAGCTACTGGGGAGGCTGAGGCAGGAGAATTGCTTGAACCCAGGAGGTGAAGGTTGCAGTGAGCCGAGATCATGCCACTGCACTCCAGCCTGGATGACAGAGCAAGACTCTGTCTCAAAATAAATAAATAAATAAATAAATAAATAAATAAAATCCATGAAGGAGATAGTTTTGCAAGGTGCAATATTGGGCTAATCACTAAAATAAAATTGCAATGTAAATGGCAAAATCAGTTGCCCAAATGTATTAGTCTGTTCTTACCCTGCTATAAAGAAATACCTGAGACCAGGTAATTTATAAAGAAAAGAAGTGTAATTGGCTCATGGTTCCACAGACTGTACAGGAACGTGGTGTCGGCATCTGCTCGGCTTCTGGGCAGGCCTCCAGAAAACTTACAAACATGGTGGAAGGCAAAGTGGCAGAGAGCACTTCAAACGGCCAGAGCAGGAGGAAGGGGGAGCAGGAAGGTGCCTCACACTTTTAAACAACCAGATCTCTCGTAAGAACTCGCCCACTATACAGTACCAGGATGGGTGGTGCTAAACCATTCATGAGAACAACGCCCCCATGATGCAGTCACCTCCCACCAGACCCTACCTCCAGCATTAGGGATTAAAATTGGACATGAAATTTGAACTGGGAGACAGATTTAAACCATAGCACCATGTGTGTTTAATAAATATGTCCTTCTCTTGCTTGAGACACAGAGTTCCCCAGGTTGTTTATTTGGCAACTGACCCTCCCAACCAGGCTTCCCGCGCTCTCAGATGATAATCCTGATTCATAAAGTCAACAGCCCCTAGAAAGGAACTTTCTACCCTGGGTCAATACATAGGAAATCATTAGTAACACCGTTACCCCCCTGATTTCACTGTTAACTGAGAAAAAACAGTCCTAAATACGTTTCACTTTGAATATGAAGACTCTGCTTTACTGGCTATATATGACATTGAAGCATTAATATTTGCTGTAGTAAAAATGCAGAGACTAGGCTGAGCACCGCGACTCAAGCCTGTAATCCAAGCACTTTGGGAGGCTGAGGCAGGTGGATCACCTGAGGTCAGGAGTTCGAGACCAGGCTGGCCAACATGGTGAAACTCCGTCTCTACTAAAAATACAAAAATTAGCCAGGTGTGGTGGCACACACCTGTAATCCCAGCTACTCAGGAGGTTGAGGCAGGAGAATTGCTTGAGCCCAGGAGGCAGAGGTTGCAGTGAGTTGAAATTGTGCCACTGCACTCCAGCCTGGAAGACAGAGCAAGACTCTGACTCAAAAAAAAAAGAATTCCGAGACTACAAACCTCAAAAGAGATTACTATTTCCTAAGGCAGCACTCTCAAACAATTACATCTAAACCTTGCTTGCTGTTCCCTTTCTTCTTTAGCTTCCCTGCCCTCCTATTTTTTCCTTCTTGCCCTATATAGCTGTACCATTAAATTAGACACATGAAATTATTTGTAGCAAGTATCCAACAGGCTGTCTAAAAAATGTGAGTCATATCCAAGTAATTATTTTAAGGATTTTGTTATTTCAAAATTTGAGAAATCTGCACATGAGAAGAGTCCAAAAGCTAGGCAACTGCTTTTCTTTCAAGGGGTATGTTGACATATTCAGCAAATAATTTCCAAAACACCATGATATGTTTGAAGTTGTTTTTCTCTCTAGACAATTGTGTCACTAGAAAATCACATTTGTACTGTATATTTTCTTAGATTGGCTTGCCAGGTGACTGGAAATAAAAGGCAGGTTCTTAAAAATTACCTCCTCTGAGGCCTATCTCCCCCAGTCGAGGGGGTTCAGTGCATTCCAACTGTACATTTTTTGCTTTAACGCCCTGTGTGGCCTTGCTCAGTTTAGATTTGAACCCAGTTCAAGAAAGCACAAGTCCAGGAAAAGATTATGCAAGACTTCCGTGTTTACGCTGCACTGTACATTCTTAGCAATACTAGCCATGTCATCCATAAACTTCAATCTAAATCTTATAAGATTACCAATCAACTTCTCGGCAAATATGACAAATTTCAAGACAAGAATGGAGAAAATTGTTGAAAAACAATGTTTTCCAAGAAGTTTATAGACGATAATGAACACGAGTGCATTTATGAAACCAGTGAAGCAAACGTTTGTGGAGTGTCTCCTTTAGGCCTCACACTGTTGCTACGTGCTCAGAGAAACACACAAGTGAGTGAGACCTAACTCTAATACTTATATTAATATACTTGAATATTTAATACTCTAATACTGTAATACTGTACTCATAGATATAATACAATATGATTCCACTTAGTGGTATAAAAGAACAGCCATTTTACTATGCTTACAGATTGTCTGGATAAGTACACTGGACATAGGAAATCAGATGGGAGTGATCTGTTTCTACTCTACAACATCTGAGGTCTAAGCTCAAAAGACCTGAACAGCTACAGGTGAACTGACCAACTGACCAATTGCAGGGGGATGGAATCATCTGGGTGATTCTTTCTACACATCTGACATTTGGCCTGGGAGGATTTGAAGGCAGGACTCAGTTGGAACTGCAGATTGGAGCACCTACTTATTGCCTCTCCATGTAGTTTGAGGATCCCCCCACCATGGCAGCCTCAAAGTACTTGTACTTCTTACATGGCAGCTCTGAACTCCAAGGGCAAGGGTTCCTGTGAGCAAGGCAGAAGCTAGATCACCTTGTGTACCTAGCCTTGGAAGCACTACTTCTGTTGTATTCTACTGATCAAAGCAGTCGCAAGACTGCTCAGAGTTAGGGGTGGGAGGAACATAGACCTTACTCTCCACGGAAGCAGTGTTAAAGAATGTGTAGCGATGTTTAAAATGGCCACAGACGGCTCTTATTAATACCTGCATTCTACAGATAAGAAAACCGAGGCATGGAGATGCAAAGTAACTTGTGCAGGATTACTTATTAAGCAGGAAGTAGAGCCAAGTTACAAACCCAGCCCACCTGGCTCAAGAGCCCATGTTCTTTCCTAGTGGCTACGCTGCCTCTTAATTCAGTCTTGCCATTTATTCAACAAATGTTTATGAAGGTTTATGTGCCGGTCTCTGTTCAAGGCTCAGGGGCTCTAGCACTAAACAAACTATATAAATGCCCTTCTCTTAGCATTTTACATTCTGTTTGTGGGTGACAGATAATAGAAAAGTAAGTATATAATATACCAAGTGATAAGGGCTAATTAAAAAACTAAGCAGAACAAGGCAGGTAGAGAGTCACAACTAGTTACTTGATTAATGTTATTCCATGTAGGGAGGTCATGAAAGGCCTCTGTGAAGATGACACAGTGACATTATTGGAATAATAATAATAGTCCATCATGTGGATTTCTGGAAGGATTGTATTTAAGGCAAGGAATACCACCTCCAAACCTTGATGGAGAGGGAAGGACGGAGGAAGTTTAGATCCACCAACAGCAGAGTGAATGGCAGGAACAAACGACCAGATTTGGGAGCCGGCTGGCCAAATATAAGTGACAACACAGCCATCTGAAGGTCTCCAGCAGATTGCTTGTGGGCCAGTGAGAAGAGATGAGGTCAGAGAGGTGCTGGGGGATGGGATCGTGTAGGACCCTGTGGGCCACTGTAAGAACTTTGGCTTTGACTTGGAATGAATTGGGGGAACTATTAAAGGGATCTGAGCAGAGAAGTGACATGATCTGAATAGTTTATGAAGAACAAGGGTAGAAGCAGGGACAAGTTAGGAAGCTGTTGTCATAGGTTAGGCCAAGGATAATGTTGGTTGGGCCAAAATGGTCAAGTTGGAGGCAATGAAAAATAGAAAGATTGTTGATTGATTTTGAAAGTATAGCTGCAGGATTTGGTTATGGGACTATGGAAGAAATGGGAGTTCAAGAATCACTTCAGAGCCTTGTCGTGAGTTGTAACTTGCTGAGATGGGGAAGAGGCTGGGGGAGAAGTAGGTTTGAGGAAAATGGAAACTCCAGCTTGTGCTTTTGATGTGCTCCATTGACAGTGACTATTGGACTTCTGAGTGGAGATGTTGAGGAGGCAGAAAAACAAATCTGAAACTAAGGGGAGCAGCCTCCTTGAATGAAACCTTGGAGTCATCCTCCCTTCCTTCTATTACAGTGGGTAGCTAGTTAGGCATGAGCAGGGCAGCAGAGGGCTCCCCCAACCAGGAGTGTCAGGTCACCATCAGGAGATGGTCAGGCAGTTGTTACAGTTTCTCTAAAATAATAATTGGTCGCAGCAAGAACCAGAGAAAGGCAGTCTCCCAACAGAAAAAAAAAACCCTTAAACTGGTGATCAGCAGCTTCCTGATAAGATCTCAGGAGCTGTGGGAGTGAGCTCAAGCATATGCATTAAGAAGAGGCAAAATGGTGGAGTTTAACTGGCATATGACCTTCTAAGAACATTCGAATGGTAAGGGAAGAACGCCTCAAGTGAGCATACGTACAACTCCAGTAGACACACTAGGCATGTGGCCCCTCCCAAGTGCCTGCAGTAGACACACTGCACATGTGCACAGCCCACCCCAAGGGAAGAATCAGGGGAGAATCGGGGGAGAAGGGGTACAACCCTTCAGAAGCATGCCAACGTTTAAAATCCCGAGTCAAAGTTCAAACAGTACACTTGATCTCTCAAGTTGCCCACTTGGCCCTCTTCCAAATGTACTCTACTTCCTTTCGTTCCTGCTCTGCAGCTTTTTAATAAAGTTTAACTCCTGCTCTAAAACTTGCCTCAGTCTCTCACTCTGCTCTACGTCCCTCGGTCTAATTATTTCTTCCGAGGAGGCAAGAATTGAGGTTGCTGCAGACCCGTTTGGATTTGCCTCCGCTAACTTACTTTGGTGTCACGTGATACAGAAACATTCCGCTGCTAACACTTCCTTTATTTATTATTTCCACTCAGTTACTAAACACTGTCATTTCTTGCGTTGAAAACAATCTTTCTTGCCTGCCCTTCTTTTTATATTCACTGCTCCCTCCTTATACATAAGCACTCTTTTCACCCTGGTTCATGGCCATCTCATCTTAATTAGTACTGCTGCCTCTCTTCCCTCCAATCAGTCCTAACAGGCTCATCTTCAAATGCTGCTCTGTTGTCACTCATCTGCCCAGAAACTTCCACAACCATCCAAGTTTCCTTAGCAAGAGTCCTCAGACTCCAGTGTGCAGAAGAAATCACTGTAGATGGTACCATGTGGGATTCGGCAGGCTCTGCTACCAGAGTCTTCTGCAGGTCCAGTAGATGTCCTGGAATCTGCATTTATGAAATAACCCAGGGAAGTTCTATTCAGGCTCAAGATAGGTCATTGTGGTGGTAGAGGTATCTTCTTGCTTCAGGTTAGCTGGTGAGGCTGTGAAGGACAGGGACTGTCTCACATTCACCTAGAGCAGCACAGCACCAGGACACGGCAGATGGGCAGTAAAGAGTCATATACACAGAACTGCATGAGTTTCTATCCAAGAGCTACTAGGTGTGTGCTCATAGATATCAGACAAATAAAGCATCTCATCTGTGGTTAGATTTAATTTAGCCAATATGTGTATCATGCTAGAAACTCAACTCTTCAGTTAATAATTTTATGCTCTGAACTTCCTTTTACAGGTTAAGAAATTTGAGTCTTAATGAGTTTAATTCCTATAAGGCTGAGATTCAAACCCTGGCTGCTCCTAGCATCTGTGCTGATAACCCACCACCTCCCCTGGGGAAGTCCCCAGTGAGTAACTCTCTCATTTCTATTAAAAATCCTGGAAAAAGTTGCTTTTACTTACTTTTTCCACTGTCTCCTCGTGTTCTCTTCCCAATTCACTATAATCAGATTTTATCTCATCATTTTACTTGTCAAGGTCACTAATGATCAAAATCTTGCTCTACCCAATGCAATGGTCACTTCTCAGTCTTCAGCTTATGTGACCTTTCCACAGCATTGGACATGACCAATCACCCCCTTCTTTCCAAAGTGCTTTGTGATATTTTCAATCTTAGTCTTTCTCTTATCTCCATATATATATACTCATTTGGTTGTTCAAAAACCATCTCGAACTTATCCTGCGCCAAGAGCACTTTTAATTTCCCACCCCCAAAATCGGGTTAGATTTGAACCAGAGAAGTCAGAATATGGCATCTAGCACTCAAAAGCAATGGGAAAGAGAAGAGGTTCAGCCCACCAACATTGCGCTTTGCCATTGATGAGGTATTGTACAAGCTGGTTAGGCATCAATGGCACCCTGAACCTTTTTCTCTATGTAGTAGCTCCATGACTCACTCCACAAAGCTCAAGTTCTCATTAAGCTTGTTACATTATGCCTAAGAAGCTTCCCTACACATGAGATAGACATTTTATTCACAATCATCATTTTAAAACTGATGCCATGGCCAGAGAAAAGGTGGGCATTGAGGAGAGAGCAGAATCGAAAGGGACCAGCTAGGTGACCCCAGAGCCTAATCTTGCCCTATTATCTGCTGACACAAATGTAATATGAGGCATATCCAGCATCAATCTCACGGTTGTAGCAACTGAAATAGAGACCGGTTCCTGAGAAATAGAACTAGACCACAGACAGGCAGTGGGGCGTCTCTCTCCTTCCTTCAGGGAAGCATATGGTTACCGGTTGCTTCACGTTTAACTGCTGTGGACCACTGGGTCTTCCTCAGCTGTTTCTCTCTGCTCCTCTCTCCAGTTAAGCTTGCTCTGTTTGCACATGGCCTCCCCTGTCAGCCAGCTCCCAATCTATGCCACATTTCAAGCCAATCTCCATGTCTCTTGGTTCAAATCCCAAAGAGAGGAATCAGATTGGTTGCTAGACAATGGGTTGGCTGACCTTGAGTCAGATGCCAAACCTGTGGCCATTAAAACCTGAGCTGTGTTTTTCAAACATGAACATCTGGGCTTATGAGATCTATGAGTCTGGGCATTTCTCACTGAAAGGAAATATTTTATAGTAAATTCCAATGGTATGGATTATGTAATGACAAATAGCAAAGCAAGATCATGTTTTCCTGATAAATTCTTCTTGAGAGTAAAGTTTACTTATAATGATCAGCGAAAATTACAGAAGTAGGAATCAAATGTACTGTAAAGGAAGCACTGAAGTTAAAAAAGGAGAAAGACTGATTTGAAAAGGACAGGTGGAAATGAAGAGGGAAAGAACATAATTCACTAAGTGCAATGTCCCCCTGAGTATGTGTATACACGTGAGACTGTAGATCAGCAGCGAAGGGATGAACCCATTTTTGGAGAAACAAAAATGCCAAGGGGGAAAAAATAGCAAAATATGGGTTGGATGATAGCCAATTTCTCAGTTCCAGACATCTGGAGACAAGACACGGAAAGGTGAGGAGCTGCCCTTGCTGCAGTTCTTGACTCCGTGTGACTGGTTACTGGGGATATTTACATTAAATTAATGTGGCTGGCTATGGCTGTGTTCAGCACTTGGATAAGCGGTTAAATAATCAGTGTGGTTTGGCTGCTGGTTTCTTTACTGTGGTTAAATAATTGGTGTTGTCTTGGTTGCTAGCTACTTTAAAAATGTATATGTGCACTTGTTTCTCTCTCTTTTTTCCTCCCTCTTGAGCAATTTTGACAAGCCCTTGGCAGAGAAGTGGCTGATCAGCTTTTAAAGGGAGGCTTTTCTTCCACCTTGTTTATGCTTCCCCCAGATGTTTCTCAAAGATTTGAGAATGGCATAGACTTTTCCTCCAGGACCTAGAAGGTCCTAGGAAGGAATTCACTTCACTTCTTTTGTTTGTGGAATAGAGATAAGACTAAGCCTGAGGGCATCTGCCGTTTTCCAGAAATTCCAGAAACGGACTCCGCTTTTGTAATGATAGGTCACTCAGTTCTCAGATTTACCATGAAAATGGGGAAAGAAAATTATGAGAGCCATTGGATAAAATGAACTACGAGGAGGCATTTCCTCCTGTTAGTTATTGCTAGACCTGTAGAACAGAGACCAGCTTCTGACACAAACTGGTGTGCAATTTTTTTTTTTTTTTTCTGAGACAGTGTCTCGCTCTGTTGCCCAGATGGGAGTGCAGTGGCGCGATCTCGGCTCACTGCAAGCTCCTCCTCCCGCGTTCACGCCATTCTCCTGCCTCAGCCTCCTGAGTAGCTGGGACTACAAGCGCCTGCCACGGAACCCGGCTTTTTTTTTGGATTTTTAGTACAGACGGGGTTTCACTGTGTTAGCCAGGATGGTCTCGATATCCGGACCTCATGATTCGCCTGCCTCCGCCTCCCAAAGTGCTGGGATTACAGGCTTGAGCCACCGCGCCCGGCTGGTGTGCAATATTTGTTCGATGAATAAAGAATAACAACAGCAAAAATGCATAATTCAAGATTGACATAACGTCTGTTCCAGAAAGTTGGTTCATTTGGTCACTTTGTTAATGTGTTTAATAATTGTTAAACTACCACAAACTGCTCTGCCCTGGGACCATAGGAAACCTTCTTGCTTCCATATGGCTCTGTCTCTTTCCTTCCTTCCAAACCAAGGGTCAAGAGTGGATTTGAGGGTACAAGAAAGGGCAATTAACCCTCTTAGAGCAGCAAACTGGCTGTGACAGTGAGGCAGTAGACAGCTTAGGTCCAGAGACAAGCCTCTACCTGACAAACACAACAAATGCAAAGGAAAGCAAAGTCTTCACTGGCTGCTCAGAAACCACAAGATTCTCAGGGTTCCATAGTGTATGGAAACTCAATGCTCCGAGTTTGGTCAGATACAGAATGGAAACAGGTGTTTCAGAGCAGGAAGTTAGGGAGGAAAGAGCGAAGCTTTGTTTCTCAAATATGTCCCATCAATAATAGGATAATTTCATCTCAAACAGAAGTCCAGATATTTTATGTCAGTCATTCAGTGATTATCTAGATAAAAAATGTTGATTTTTTTTTCTAGTATGTCTCTAGTGAGAGGGAAGGGATTTCCTAAAATTTTAAATGAAATCTGGGAGGATTCTTCAGAATTAACTGATTTTGCCATTTTAGTAAGAAAACTTATTCCTTTTCATAAAAAGTAATAATTTTTTGACAATTACTGATCAAGTGGAGGAAAATGCAAACCTTTAACCAAGCCTGTTGGCACTGTGCTATATAGTACAGGGAGGTGGGGGATGACAGAGGACAGGGGCTTGGGAGAGCACTTTCTGGGTGCCCTCACTTATGAGTTGGATGATGTTGGATCACCTAACCTCCTTGCAGTTAAATGTATTCAGTCTTTACTTTATTAACTTCCTGAGGACTTAAATAATAATGTATGACTTACATATAATAAGATAAATTAAAATTAAAGCTACAATGGCATAAATTTTCACTTATCAGATTGGCAAAGATCCAAAAGCTTAATAATAACATGTAATGTTGGTGATGATATTAGGAAACACTCTCATACACTGGCACAACTTCTACAGGGAATAATGGACCTATCAGAGATACATAGATAGAACAATTGATCTAGCACAGTTTAAAATGAACCTCCTCTTTGACTCAGTAATTCCACTTCTACGAATGTAAACTATGGCTGCATTAAAATATTTATGAGATGACAAAAGTGCAAGAATATTCATTGCCACACTGGAATAACAAAGAATTTGAATTTAAATATTCAACAATAAGGGACTAAGGGACTGCTTAAATAATTTATGGAACACTCAAAAGCAGAACGCTACATACTCATCAAAAAGGATAAGCAAGGAATACATCAGCTTTTTACAAAGTGACATGGAACAGTGCCCAAAATATACTGTTAAGTAAAAAAACAAGGCAAAGATTGTTGTTTTTAAAAAGATTCTTATATATGTGTATACATGTAATATCTCTGGAAATGCATGCCAGAAATTGATAACAGTGGCTAAAGGAAGTGGCAGTCTTGGTGCAAAGGTTAAGTGGAAGCTTGCTAAAATTATACAATAAAAAAAAATTCTTTTGCATTTTGTACTATATATGTGTAAAGGATTTTGATAATTAAATGTATGTCTATGAGTGAAACAAAGATATGTTACATAAGGTCACCTATCACAAACTTCACTAATCAAGAGAAAACAGACCAGAATGCTTGGCCCAGGGCAGGTAATCAAGAAATATTTCCGGATGGATAACTGAATTATAAGAAGTACTATTTCAACATAAATAGTTAATCATTTGAGGAGATGTGTACCACAGAGAGACCAACTTTTGAATTCAAATGGCATGCAAAATCTCACTTAATTTTTTAAATAATGGGCAAAAAAGAAATACTAGATCCAGAAGCTTTAAGAAGTGAAGCTGTAAACGAAAAAATTTGATTTAAGATCCCTTCTAGGTTAATACAGAATGCTTCCAGGGAATTTAGGGAGATGAAACTCTGTATGATATTCTAATAGTGAATACATGACATTATACATTTGTCAAAATGCATAGAATGAACAACACTAAGAAGGAACTAATGTAAATCGAAGACTTTAGTTAATAATAAAATACCAGTATTGGTTCATCAGTTGTAACGAGTGTGCCACAGTAATATAACACAGAATGTAAATAATAGAGGAAACAGGTGGGGGGAGTAGGAATTGTGCGGGAACCCTCTGTACTTTCCAATCAATTTTTCTAAAATTGCCTTAAAACTAAAAGTGCTTTTTAAAAAAAGTCTAGTAATAAAGAAAGAAAAGAGGAACAGAGATGGAAGACTTGAAGAAAACATTATTTGCCTTCCTAGAACATACAGTGGGAACTCAATAAACATCTGTTGGATTCAACTGAATCAAATTCAGTGAGAAATGAGCAGGTAAGTGTGCATATAAATTTAAAATTTAGGAAAAGTGTGAACTCATCAATGAGGTGTTTGATGAAGTCCTAGGATATATATTTCATTAAAACGAATTAGATGGCTTGTAATCTTTATCAATAAGATTACAGATTTTTCCCAAGACATTTATGACAATTACAGATTTTCAGCAGTAAATATGTAAGCAATTGTAGTACTTTTCTCAAATTGTCTAGAGAAGCATTAACCTGAAACTTACAAATTTTGTACAAGCTTGTTGCTAGATTTTTTTTTTCCTGTGGATAGGTTTTTTTGGGATGTCTATTGTCTTTATATAAATCCTCACAAGATAAAAAGCAGACTTTTGAGGCATTTGATAAGTTCACTTACAAACTATGTTATTTTTATTTAGAAAACAATTTATCTAGATTTATGAAAGAGTTAAATTATTTAAAAGTTTCTTTTTTTTTTTTTTTTTTTGAGACAGAGTTTTGCTCTATTACCAGGCTGGATGGAGTGCAGTGGTTTCATCTTAGCTCACTGCAACTTCAGACTCCCTGGTTCAAGTGCTTCTCTTGCCTCAGCCTCCTGAGTAGCTGGGATTACAGGCATGCACCACTACGCCCAGCTAATTTTTGTACTTTTAGTAGAGATGGGGTTTCACCATGTTGGCCAGGATGGTCTTGATCTCCTGACCTCGTGATCTGCCTGCCTCGGCCACCCAAAGTGCTGGGATTACATGCATGAGCCACAGCACCCAGCCAAAAGTTTCTTCTTAATTTCAGTAGTGAGAAGCTAGATTTGGAAATAAGGCCTAGCACGACTTTGAAACATACTAACTACGCATATTGTAGAATCGGCCCCAATTATTGGAGAATTTAGTAGGTAATGCCCAAATGTGCCCAAGGTACTCTCTTGGGGGAAAAAATGCTCTTGGTAGAAATATCGTTGTACTGCTAACTGGCTAACTGCAATCCACTGAGGTTGAAGCATGTTGTGCCTCAAATGTTCTATGTTGTATCTTGCCAATGGGTTTAAGTCTCTATTTCATTAATATCTCTTTTCAAAAAGTATGAAAGTCGAGTTTCCTGATAATTGGAGCTCCTACTAATTTTGTGGGTATTTCCTCATGTTATTAGATATTGAAACTGAGCCAGGATCTTGATCTCCCCAGTTCCAAAGCAATGATGAGGGGGTGTGTTTTCTGCTCCATAGAGAACAGTAGGCTGATGATGTTAAACAGCTGCTCTGTCTCTGTTGATACACTCATCAGTGAAAGCGGGATCGTGTTGTCATTTTGCATCTTGGAGTTGTTATCCATGTTCTCTGAAGAATTAGAAGTTTGTTCCTTCCATTTTTATTAATCTTTACACAGCGCCAAATCCTTATGTTCCTGTGCCAGACAACTTATTTACCTCTAAAACCAAAGAAAATAACCAGTATCCATTTCTTTTTTGTATTTTAATGTATATATTTCACAGTGCTTCTCAAATTGTCTGTTCTGAAACTGCAGAATTTTTTTGTCTATCATAGATAGTTTGTAAAACAAAATTTTTGAAGTTACTAGAAAAAAGAATACCTACAAAACAGAAGCCTCAAATTTTATTATTAGCTTCAACTGACATCATATTACTCTATGAGATAGCTATAAAAGTATTCAAATGCCTGCTCTAATGAGCTGAGTGGTCCATCTCATCAGGGACCACTACAAAGCACTGGATCACATTTGTGGAGCCCTGGTGTAGCGGCTGATTTTTCTCATCATGACAGCGTTGGTTTTCCTTCAGGAAGTGCTCTCTCTCTTTTTCTCTCTCTCTCTCTCTTTCTCTCTCTCTCTTTCTCATCTCTTTCACTAAGGTACATGGGCACATGGCCCAGATCAATTGAGGTTCCAAAACTTTTGCTAGAACTTTTGGAGGAAAAAAGTAATTATTTCTATTGGAATGGCTAGAATGCAGATAGTGTCCTTCCTTATCAGTATTTATTATTATTGGAAAGATTCTCAGGAATGGGTTGGGCCAAACAGTATTTGTATTTTACATTTTAAAGGTATTGCCAAAAAAGAATCCAACATTTCACATTTACACAAGCAACTTTTGAAGGTATCTTTATAAGAACTGGCTGTCAAAGTGCTTTCACATTTTAGTCGGTCTATGGAGTGTTAAAGTAATATCTCATTGTTTTCTAATTTCTTTTCATCTAACTACTAGTTAATTTAAACATTTTTTCACTTGTTTGCTGACAATTTGGATTTATGCTTCTGTGAATTGTCTGTTTCTATCTTTCACCCATTTTCCCTTGGTTTGTCCTTTTCCTGTTTTTTTTTGTTTTGTTTTGTTTTGTTTTGTTTTGTTTTGTTTTGTTTTGAGACTGAGTCTTGCTCTATCGCCCAGGCTGAGGTGTGGCAAAATCTCAGCTCACTGCAACCTCCACCTCCCGGGTTCAAGCAATCCTCCTGCTTCAGCCTCCCGAGTAGCTGGGATTACAGGCACCTGCCACCAAGCCTGGCTAATTTTCGTATTTTTTCTTTTTTTTAGTAAAGATGGGGTTTCGCCATGTTGGCCAGGCTGGTCTCGAACTCCTGACCTCAAGTGATCCGTCTGCCTCAGCCTCCCAAAGTGGTGGGATTACAGGCGTGAGTCACCGTGCCTGGCCCTTTTGCTGTAAATTTCTAAGAGCTCTTTGTTTACTAGAAAAATTTGTCTTTTTCATCCACTATCTTAGTTTGGGCTGCTATAACAGAATATCATAGACTGGGTGGCTTAAGCAACAAACATGGATTTCTCAGCGTTGACTACAGTTACAAAGAGTATGTGCACATAGAAAGGGGGCGGTGAGACTTTACATGTATTATCCAGGAGTAGAGCGTCAAAAGGGAGACTTTCTCTTGTAATCCCTTAAAGCTGGGGGACAGAAGCATTTCTCTGCTAAAGAGGCCAACATACCAAAGTCCCCGGAGAAGGGCAGGATGGAGATGCCATGGTGGATACTCAGAAGAGAAATTCCAGTTTGTGTGTATGTGTGTGCACGAATGAGTATGCGTGAGTGCATGCATGGGTATATGTTGTGCCTGTGTGTGCCTGCATGAGTGTGCACGTGTACATCCATATATGTATGTGAGTACATGCATCATATGTATGTGTATGTGAGTGCATGTGTGTGTGCACATATACGTTTGTGTTTGGGGGCACAGGCAAGAATAGATGGGGTTAAGTATTTGGAATGGGTCTTTCGAACTGCGTTTTTTTTTTTGTTTTTTTTTTTGAGACAGGGTCTTGCTCTGTCATCCAGGCTGGAGTGCAGTGGTGATCATAGCTCACTGTAGCCTTAACCTCCTGGGCTCAAGTGATCCTCCCTCCCCAGCCTCCTGAGTAGCTAGAATTATAGGCACGCATCACCATGTCTGGCTAATTTTTGTCCTCCCTCCACAGCCTCCTGAGTAGCTAGAATTATAGGCACGCATCACCATGTCTGGCTAATTTTTGTGGGTGTTCTTTGGTAGAGATGGGGTCTCGCGATGTTGCCTAGGCTGGCCTCAAACTCCTGGCTCTAGTGATCTTCTTGCCTAGGCCTCTCAAAGTTCTGGAATTACAGGAATGAGCCACTGCACCAGACCTCAAACTGCTGTAACACTGGTAGTGACCTTGGACTTTTTCCTGAGGAGTCACTATAAATTTTTAAGTGGAGTAGTGATTTCATCCGACTCATTTAACATCAGCATGGAGGATTGCTTTAGAGTAGTTATTCCAAAATGCTGTCTGAAGATGCAAAAGTTTCTGAAGAAGTTTCCCCTGTGTCGTAAATTCAGTTAAAATGAAAAAAAAAAAAATAGGACAATATAGTAAGTCCTTTAAATATCTAAATGTATTCAACTCGCCTGTATTCTCTGGTTATTCTTTCTCTGCCTTTGGGGTTTCAAATCCTCTTTATTTAATAAGACACTGGTGTTAACAGATGGTAGTAGTAGGTTTGTTTGTTTGTTAATGCTTGATAAAATAAAAAGTTGGCATCTTTTTTTAAAAGATATTCCAGATTTTTTTTGAAAATAAACGGATCTTTGAAATCTCAAAATCTAGCAACCACTGATGTTGAGTGGTTGAGGCAGAAATATGCCATTGTGTGTGTGTTTGTTTTTTTCCATAGTACACATTCCTTGGCCCCTGGGGAAGAATTCAAGTGTAATGAAGTTGGCACAGGCATATGTATTTTGAAAAAGCTCCCGAGTCCTTTAGAGATGCTTCTCTGGTTTACAATCCCTGGTTTGGAGGAGAGTTGGGAAAGACCTGGTATTCAGCAATGAAGAAAACCTTGAAGAAACCAGGACATGAGAAGACAGGGAGGGTGAATGTGAACAACATTTTTCTTAGATGGAATTAATAGGGCTCAAAGATGCGAAGATGGTCCTTGCCGAAGATATAAGCAAAGCTGGGGTTCAGGAGGAGGCTCCAGATCATTAGCTGGGAGAATGACCCTGCTTTACTGTGCATGAAAGGGATTTCCTTCTACATGAGGTTCCCATCCTTCTATCTTGTTCCCAAGAATTAATTCTTCTTAAGAAGGCAACAGACAAAGGGAAGACTTTTGTGAAGAATGAGGTAAACCTTCAGGATACAAAGTCTAATGTAGAATTCTAGAGTAGATGGTGCTTGGTTTCCATGCAGTATCTGCCACAAACTGAAGTATTAATATTTTCTGGTTTTAAGAATGCAAGTAAATAAAGAAAACAAGAGAGTGAATGTGATATGGTTTGGCTCTGTGTCCCCACCTAAATCTCATGTTGAATTATAATCTCCAGTGTTGGAGGAGGGACCTGGTGGGAGGTGATTGGATCATGGGGAAGGGATGGAGGGAGTTCCCCCATACTGTTCTTGTGAGAGTGAGTTCTCAAAAGATCTGGCTGTTTGAAAATGTGTAGCACCCCTCTCCTTTGCTCTCTCTCTCCTGCCAGCCATGTGAAGAAGTGCTTGCTTCCACTTGCCTTCAGCCATGATTGTAAGCTTCCTGAGGCCTCCCCAGAGGCAGAAGCCTATAAAGCCTTCTGAACCATGAGCAGATTAAACCTATTTTTTAAATAAATTACCCAGTCTTTATAGTAGTGTGAGAACACACTAATACAGGGTGTCTGTGACTTAAGACTTCTGCTAAGTGGTTAGAGCCTCTGACAACTCCAAATGGCCAAGTGACATATTGTTGAGTCCTCTGAGGGCAGAAGTCTATCTCCTCCTACTTTATCTGGGTTATGTTGCTAAAGCACCAAAAGGTAATTGGTATTTGTTGATTGAGGTTTTTGTTCTTTCACTGAACCAGTCAACCCTTTTGGAAATATAATTTTATATTTTAAAACTTCAGAACTATTCTGTATTCTTTAATCTCTCAGGGTCTTTATTACTGTTCTTTGTAGTAGAAATGATTTGGACTAGTTCTGAGTTGGCTGATTTAGAAGACAAGAAGTGCTGATTCTTCATTCATTCAACTTATCAAATATTTTATTGACACCTATGATGAGCCATTAATTGAATGTAGAATGTGAAGAAAAGGAAAGAATTCAGGCAGATACTAGCATCTTTCACCTAAGCAATTGGACAGGAAGAAAAGTTCTAATGCTCTATTGTTGCATAACAAACCATCTCAAAACTGAGTGGCTTAAAAGAATATTTTTTTGTTATTTCTCAGGATTCTTTGGGTTGACTGAGCTAAGCTCTGCTCTTCTTGCTTGAGGCAAGACCAGAACTAGAGAAAGGTGAGTGTAGTGTCTAAAGTACAAAATTTAAGGAGGCACTCACTCTTGGAGTCTTGGAGCCCAATTATGAAGGTCAATGCCTCCTTACATTTTGCACCAAAATGCCTCACTTGCTTCACGCTGATCTTGACCCTGGCTTGGGGTCTCTCTCATGTGTCTTCAGTAGGATGGCAGCTAGAGCTGGAGTCACCTGAAGGTTCAGCTGGGCTGGACATCCAAGTTAGTGTCTCCACTCACAAGTCTGGTGCCTTCTTCACTCACATGGCTGAAACAGCAGGGAGCTGGCCAGGCATCTCTTTCCTTCTCCATGTATCCTCTACACATAGTAAGCATGGGCTTCCTCACAGCATGCGAGTCTGAAGGTGGTCCAGATGTCTTACGTGGTGACTGGCTTCTGCAGAGCAAGTATTCCAAGAGGCCTGATAAGGTTTGGCTCTGTGTTCCCACCCAAATCTCATCTTGTAGCTCCCATAATTCCCACATATTGTGGGAGGGACCCAGTGGGAGATGACTGAATCATGGGGGTGTATCTTTCCCATGCTGTTTTCATGACAGTGAATGGGTCTCATGAGATATGATGGTTTTAAAAACAGGAGTTTCTCTGCACAAGCCCTCTCGTTGCCTGCTGCCATCCATGTAAGATGTGATTTGCTCCTCCTTGCCTTCCACCATAATTGTGAGGCCTCCCCAGCCATGTGGAACCCTAAGTCCAGTAAACCTCTTTCTTTTGTAAATTGCCCAATCTTGGGTATATCTTTATCAGCAGTGTGAAAACGGACTAATACAAGGCCCGAGTAGAAGCTGCAAGGCTTCTTGTGATCTAGCCTTGGAGGCCCCAGAATGTCAGTCACTTTCACTATGTCCTATTGGTCAAAGTCAGTAAGGCCTACCCAAGACTCAAGGGGAAGGGGATTATACTCTGCCTTTTGATCTGAGTAGTAAGGATGTAAAGGTAGGGAGAAAAGTGATGGAGACCAATTTTGGAGGGTATCTACCACAGTAAGCCCAGTAAACAAATAGGTTTTGGGGATGGAAATTTAGAAGTGCTCTTGGGGAAGCTTAAGTTTGAGATGTCCTTGGAACCAAGTGAATATATACATATGGAGATCAGAGAAAGACTGAGATTGAAAACATCAAATTAGGAGATGCAATTTAAAATCAAGGCACTAGATGTGGTTACCTAAGGAGTTGAGAGACAGAAGGAGCCACCAGGCAGTAAAATGAGAGAACAGGGGAGTATGGAGTTTCGGAAGCCAAAATTTTAGAAAGCGCTTTGAAAAGGAGGTGATCAGTCATGGCCAATGCTGCTGAAACGTCATATAAGCTGAGGACTGAGAAGTGACAATCAGGTAGAGCAAGGTTTTGGTCACTAGCGACTCTACATAATCGAATGGAACTCGATTATGTAGAGTGAATCGAGTGGGGAAAGTGAGTAAAAGCAAGATTTTCAAGTTTTCATGAAAATGGGATAGTGACTGAATAGGGACGTGGAGTCTAGAAGGTTTTACTATTATGTTTTTTTAAGATAGAAGACAGTATAGCCTATTGTGGTGAATGGAAATGACACAGTAAAAAGTGGGCTGAGAACCCCTCAGGCTTGCAATGCTAATGCTATGTGACTGGGATGCAGAAGTCCCCAAAGCATGCAGAGCTCTTGGGCCTCCCTTAAACCCCACTGAGAGCTGTATCAAGGCCAAGGTGGGGCAAGTGTTACCAAAAACACAGCAACAACACAGAAAAGAAACATGTTAACTTTGAGAGCAGTGATTCTCAAAGTTTGAGAGCAGCATTCCCTGAGAACTTGTTAGAAATGCATATTCTTGGGACCCACCAGTCCAACTAAATCAGAAACTCCAAAAACTAGGGATCTGAGTTTTAGGATACGTGCTAAGGTTTGGGTCCCACTATTCTAAAGGAACTCAACAAAAATTCAAGTAAAGATGAAACCGAGTGCTGACTTTGTTCCTTATGGGCCTAAAATAACAAAGCTTTAAAGACAAGAGGGGATTTTTCAATTGTCTAATTGGCTTCGAACCTTACCTGTGGAGGGATCCCAGACACAGAGAAGGTGTCTGAGTTGTCCAAGTCCTCCAGGCCGGACTGAGAGGACAACTCCAAATAATAGAGAAAAAAAAAGAGACAGAGAGCCAGGGATATGGTTGTTTTGATGTGCCATGAAGTTGCAGCCTTTCTGGATTTTTTTAGTATCGATTTATATTGCTGTTTGTCTACCAATACTCAAATCAGAGCAAGACGGTCCGCCTTACCTCAGTCTGGCTCTTTTAAGGTTTGATTTTGGTTTTGGGGACTGCAGAGGTGCAGCTTCCCACGGCAGACCAAGCGCCTCTGAGGAACGCAGCAGCTTCAGCAGGTACAGGAAGATTTCCCGCAGCCGGAGGAATCTCCTAGTGCTGGGCCTCCGGCTGTGACTTTTGCCATTTCAAATTCACTTGGCCTCTAGGGAGAGGCAGACAGCCCGACGCTGAGCGCGTCGGAGCCCCGGCTCCCTCTGCTTCTGGAGAGGAGATTTAGCCTTAATTTTTGTGACAGATGGAGTTGATAGTCTCTCCACGGAAAGGGGAGGAAAAAAGCGCCAGTTTTTGACAGGCCGCAGACGCCCGCTGCCTCTGGTGGCGGAAGGCTGCGTTGCGCCCCAGTTAAGGTAGCTCGGAAACTCCCTCGCCGAGAAGGCAGAGGTTTCCTCTGCAGAGCAGCCTCCCTTAAATATACTGAGGGGCTGAAACTTACACTTTAATATAAACCTTTGGTGCGTGCCCATTTATTCCGTCTTCTGTCCTGTGACTGCGGCCAGGTGGTAATTGCTCGACATTCCTGAATATTTTTAATGCTAGTTAAATTTTTTCATTATTGCACGTGTTGCAAGCTTATCTTCCTAAGAAATTATTTCGGTTGATTGGATTTCGGTCTTGCAATTTGAAAACGATGCCTGGCGCACGGGCGGTACCTGCCAGATGGCCTAGCTGGGGCTGGGGGGTGGCGGGCGGGTTGTAAGCATCTCATCAACATCTCCCTAATAAAGTGTGTGCTTCTTTCTTGTATGCTTCTTTAAAACAGTTTCAGTCTCACATTTTATCTCTGGATTCTCCCCTTCCCCTCTGTGGTGATCAAGACCCAAAGACAGGGAGCCTGGAAGATAAACTGAGTTCTGAATCCAGTCGAAAGCACAGATGGGGGCCAGCGAGAATTAATAAAACTACAAAAAAAAAAAAAAAGAAAAAAAAAACAAACAAAAAAGGCCCGTGGCTGAGCCGGATGCAAACAGCTGCCCCTAAGCCCTGCCCGCTGGTTCTGTGCGCGAGCTGGGGCTGCATATCCGAGCCTCCTTAAGAGTAGGAGGAGCTCCGGGCCTCCGTCAGGCTCCCTAAGCCGTTCCTTTCAAGCCCTGAATGCCTGAATGTGAGCTGCCCACCACCCTCCCGCCCTCCCCCACTCCGCAACCCCACTCCAGCGGCTCGTAAAAAAAAAAAAAAAAACTTTCAACAACAACAGGCAGGACCAATAGCATCTCGAAAAGCCGGGAAAGGGGGCCGAGCAAAGGGCGAAAGAGAGTGGAGAAAGGAGAAAGCGGGCAGGCTCGGAGCGCGCGGGGCCGGGGCTCGGCGAGCCGGAGGAGCGTTGCTAATGTTTTTGTTTGTTTGCTTTTCCATGCATGCATAATGAGGGGGCACCGCGGCACCACGCGGGGGCTCCCGGCCCACTTTTGTATTTAAAGCCTCGCTGCTAACGAGTCTGCAGCCGGGCTCAGCGGATCCGCTCCCCGGGCTCTTGGTCACCCGAGAAGCTGCCGCCGAGTGAAGCCAGGGAGCCGCTCTCCGGCAGCGCCGACTTTCTTGTTCTCCCCGCGCTTCCCGGAAAGAGCTCCCCGGAGCTCTGCGGAGGCCGGGGTTGCCGCGGGCGGAGGGGGAGGGGACGCGGGGCGGCCGGGCCGCGGGAAGGCGGGCAGCGCGCGGACGCCGGGCCAGGAAGCGGCGCGATGCGAGAGACCGCGGCGGCGGTGGCGGCGGCGAGGCACTGAGCCCAGGAGGAAGGAGCCGCCGCGGCCGCAGCGCGAGCAGCCGGCACGGGGACAGCCGGCCGCACAACGGATCTGCAGGCGCGGAGCAAAATGCACCCGCCGCGCCGCGCGGTCCTGCAGCCCCGCCACGGCCCCGCGGCCCGCACCCCCCCGGGGCGACAGTGAGCCTCTCCCGCCACCACCGGGGGCCGAGCGGAGGGCTCTCGGGTGGGAGAGCGGGACCAGATCTCGACAGCTGTTCATTTCCAGGAAGCCACCGCAGCCAGAGCGAAAGGGGACCTTCTGCCACCAGCGGGGCATCAGCCAGCGGCGCGCATGGATTTATGAAGACACTCATGCAAGAAGTGGGCAGGACTTGGACAAACTTTTCCACCGGCTCCGCGTCCGCCGCTCCCCGCGCCTCGTCTCCTTTCCCCTCCTCTCCCGGCGGCCGCCGCTGCCCGCGATGGTGGCCGCGCTGCTGGGCGGCGGCGGCGAGGCCCGCGGGGGGACAGTGCCGGGCGCCTGGCTGTGCCTGATGGCGCTGCTGCAGCTGCTGGGCTCGGCGCCGCGGGGATCGGGGCTGGCGCACGGCCGCCGCCTCATCTGCTGGCAGGCGCTGCTGCAGTGCCAGGGGGAGCCGGAGTGCAGCTACGCCTACAACCAGTACGCCGAGGCGTGCGCGCCGGTGCTGGCGCAGCACGGCGGGGGCGACGCGCCCGGGGCCGCCGCCGCCGCTTTCCCGGCCTCGGCCGCCTCTTTCTCGTCGCGCTGGCGCTGCCCGAGTCACTGCATCTCGGCCCTCATTCAGCTCAACCACACGCGCCGCGGGCCCGCCCTGGAGGACTGTGACTGCGCGCAGGACGAGAACTGCAAGTCCACCAAGCGCGCCATTGAGCCGTGCCTGCCCCGGACGAGCGGCGGCGGCGCGGGCGGCCCCGGCGCGGGCGGGGTCATGGGCTGCACCGAGGCCCGGCGGCGCTGCGACCGCGACAGCCGCTGCAACCTGGCGCTGAGCCGCTACCTGACCTACTGCGGCAAAGTCTTCAACGGGCTGCGCTGCACGGACGAATGCCGCACCGTCATTGAGGACATGCTGGCTATGCCCAAGGCGGCGCTGCTCAACGACTGCGTGTGCGACGGCCTCGAGCGGCCCATCTGCGAGTCGGTCAAGGAGAACATGGCCCGCCTGTGCTTCGGCGCCGAGCTGGGCAACGGCCCCGGCAGCAGCGGCTCGGACGGGGGCCTGGACGACTACTACGATGAGGACTACGATGACGAGCAGCGCACCGGGGGCGCGGGTGGTGAGCAGCCGCTGGACGACGACGACGGCGTCCCGCACCCACCGCGCCCGGGCAGCGGCGCTGCTGCATCGGGCGGCCGCGGGGACCTGCCCTATGGGCCTGGGCGCAGGAGCAGCGGCGGCGGCGGCCGCTTGGCGCCCCGGGGCGCCTGGACCCCACTCGCCTCCATCTTGCTGCTGCTGCTTGGGCCGCTCTTTTAGCCCTCGCGCCCCCCGCCGTTGGCTGCGGGAGAGCCCGCGTCCCACTCCCGTGCTCGCCTCGACCCCGCGCCGGGCACCTGTGGCTTGGGACAGATAGAAGGGATGGTTGGGGATACTTCCCAAAACTTTTTCCAAGTCAACTTGGTGTAGCCGGTTCCCCGGCCACGACTCTGGGCACTTCCCCTGAAGCTCCTCTCCGGAGCTTGACTTCTTGGACCTCCTCCCCCGCCCCAATTCCAAGCTCCAGAAACTCCCAACTCGTCTGCCGTCCAGAAAGCTAGCTGCAGTGTTCAGGACGTCCGGGAGGAAGCAAGCATGTGGGGGACAGAACAGTAGTCCTGGACTCGAAAGGGAAGGTGCTGACCAGTGGGGCCTTAGCAATTTGAAGGGTTGGGAAGGAGGAATTATATTTGCAAAGGGGCTGTCTATTAGCATATTTCCTTTGAGGGGGCAAAAAAAAGTGCCAGTATCGACTTTTACAGATTGTGGCCAGTGAGGATATTATAATCCTATGTAAACAGAAAAGTCCCACTTACCGATTCATTCTTTCACTGTTTGTATCTGCGCCCAGAATTCTCAGTGACGTGGGGGTGAGGGTGGGTGGCGATTGCCTTAGAGGGAACCCCTAAATTGGTTTTGGATAAGTTTGAGCCCTTGACCTTAATTTCATTGCTACCACTCTGATCTCTTAGCACATTTCTTAGGATTAAGGGTCCAAAAATGCTGATCTAAGGGGTTGCCATGGTGTTGAACAATGCAACTTTTTATTTAAAAAAGCTCTGCACTGCCATGTATGAAAGTCTCTTTATGATGTTTGTTTTTTTGTCATTTTTGTTCTTTACATCAAGAAATTTTATGTTTAAATATGCGGAGAATGTATATTGCCTCTGCTCCTATCAGGGTTGCTAAACCCTGGTACATCGTATATAAAATGTATTAAAACTGGGGTTTGTTACCAGTTGCTGTACTTTGTATATAGAATTTTTATAAATTGTATGCTTCAGAAATAATTTATTTTTAAAAAGAAATTAAAAGTTTTAAACTCACATCCATATTACACCTTTCCCCCCTGAAATGTATAGAATCCATTTGTCATCAGGAATCAAAACCCACAGTCCATTGTGAAGTGTGCTATATTTAGAACAGTCTTAAAATGTACAGTGTATTTTATAGAATTGAAGTTAACATTCTTATTTTCAAGAGAATTTATGGACGTTGTAGAAATGTACAAATGCATTTCCAAACTGCCTTAAACGTTGTATTTTTATAGACATGTTTTTTAAAAATCCTAAGTTTTTAAATAACTATGGATTTGTGTATTTTTTTTGGTTATTTGTTTTATTAAAACATGTACATCAGTAAAGAGTTTTAAACAATGAATATGGTGTAGTTACTTTCCAGAGTTACATTGTGGTTAACCCAATAATGGGTGAGGAGGGGGGTTGAGGGGGCACTGAGAATCTATCAACCATCAACTGAAATGAAAATACAGTACAAGACAAGAAATTATTTCTGCCTTTAATTTAATGAACAATTAGACATCTGTAAATGAGGCAGCCAAAAATATGTAATTGACTGGCTTCTATTGGTGTTTGCATTTGTGGAGAGAATTCACAAAATAGTGTCTCCTGTACATAATTTGAGGATAACTCAGACATGTTGCCCCGCCTCCCCCTTTTCCCCTGAGACCTCCCCTCTTTGTATCCCCCTTCCCATCACCCCTTACCCCCAAGAGTATCCTCTCTGGCTACTAGCCATTCTCAATCAAACATGCCAATAACATCTGTTACCAATAGGTTTTAGGAAGCTTGCAAGCTCAATACTTCAAAGTCATTTTCACACTTTTGGTGAAAAAGTACAAAATTTTGTTGCAAAACATTCAGACCAGCAAAAGTAAACACACAGGGGAAAGGAACAATCACCAGAACTTGTAATATTGTTGTGAGGAGTTGTTTAGCAGTGGCTGAAGGCTGGGTTCCTGCCAGAGCTACTGATCTACACTCAAACGCCCTTAGATAAATAATTACACTCTTAAGCTGTGTCGAGTGCTGATACACTTGACCTTGTAAATAGAAATGTTTGCAGTAGGAATAAACTCCGGCATTGGAAAATCTTTTAAACATTAACACAAAAGAGAGCGCTCTGTCCTCTAGGGATTTGAGCCTGAACCTCGCCAAGCTAGGCACTTGCAAGGGGGAAAAAAAGTTTATTTATCTTCTATTCCTGGTGTTTGTTTAAAGCTTTTCATTTTAAACGCGGTGATTGGAAGGCAAGTCGGGAGTTTAAAAGTCACCACAAATAAACTTTGTCTGAGGGGTCGACAGATTAGCAAGATCTGGTGTCTCTTTATTTGATATTAACATGTGCTGAAAAAACATAACCAGATTTCTCTGCTGCCTAAAGTAATTAACGAAGCTATGCCCCCATTCTGACTTCCTCATACCCACTCCCACCCCCCTACTTTTCAAGGTTTCTTGTGCTTCTAACTCGCTCTTTTCCCAGCTTTTATGGAGGTATTCAAGACACTTCTTGGTGCACCTAAAACCACGATTTCTATATGTATAGTATTAGAAAGTCTAAGATAGCTGTAGTGTCAGACTTAAGCCCAGGAGAGTGGTGTGTGGTTGGAATCTCCAGTCACCTGAATGGTTGAGTAAACATATTGTTAAAACAAAGCTGAGAGCGTTGTTTCTTTGGGAAGCGAACAAAGAGTATTCCCAGAGACTTGTAAATGAAATCAGCTTTCTTTACAAAACGACAAGTTAGCAGTGCTCCTGCGTTTGTCCTTAAATATATTTAAATCATCTCCATCTCATGTTATTTTAACACATGCTTGACTAAAAGTTAAGTCTTTGTCCCAGTAAAAGGCCCAGTTTTCCCCAGTAAGAAGTAAAAGGCATTAGCACTAGAAAAGGCCTGATAATTAACTGCTACAATAAACTCACAACTTGATTTTACAGGGTCCTGTCAAAAGCATCTGCCTGGAATAAATCAACACAACTCGCTCTTGGGGAGAGAGGACACGAGGCTTTATGTTTTCTTCCTTAAAGAAAGTGAACATTGATTGGTGGTCCATTTTAATTTAAACAATTATACACTGGAGCCCAGGAGTCCTCTGGTACCCCTACAGACCTAGCGGAGGTTGTTGAGATGTTAGAACCCTTTGGCTAGTGGTTATGAGATTGCATATTGCCATCTGCTTCTAAGCAGAAAGGATTTTTACAGATGTTGACATCTGTAATATCTCACGCTCTCTGGGGAGCCTTTTGGAATTTTGGACATTTGGCCATCTCAAATGTCCCATGGAGAATGGCTGGAAGTCCCATTAATGAAAGAAAAGGTATCTCTGGCTTTTCCTGGGGATTCTCAAAAAGCATCACCCTTCTAACAGAACTCTGCCAGAGTGAGAGGAACTCCTTCTAGATTTCATGTAAAATCATGAGTCCTCACGGCCTTTCCCATTTCCCCAGTTAGCAGGTTTGAATTCTCAGTGACAGTTTATTTGTCTTTGGAGGCACTTCAGTGACAAATGTTTAAGGGAGTGTGGGACAATGGTCGAGAACAAGGAGGCAGTTCATTGAACTGACAGTGACCATACAGTAAATAGAAGGAGGTTCAGGCTTCACTGCTCACCCGAGCACACAGCAACGCTTTTGTATATAATCACAATGGACATAACATAAGGTCCCTGTTTATTTTAAACAATATATAGCTATGTACGTGAGCAATACACGTATGTAAAGTGGAAACGTGTCTGTAGGGAAATAAGTTCTTCTACTAAGTAGCAGGACTTCTCTGTACTTGGACAGCAACGCTTCAAATGTCTAGAAGGATGGACACAGCTCCTGGCCCTGACTGCCACAAATTTAAGGGACCACCAGGCTCTAACACATCTAGGGTGCACCGCCATTCTCCAGATGGGGTCCCTGTGAGTGAAGACAGAATCTTTCCATCTCTCTGCCTTGAAGAGTCAGGAGAACCCTCATGGGAGTGAGCTTTCTCTGTTCCTTGCCACCATCTGTATTGACACCCTCACCCCATCCCAGCAATGTTACAGAGAATCAAATAAAAATAGATCCCCAAAATACAATGAGGACTTTCAGAAACCTCAAACATTGTATTAAAATTTTGTCTACTTTTAAACTTTGGCTTTGCATTGTTAGCTTGTTGAGTTCATTGTGGAGGCTCTCTAACAAAATAACCTCATGTATCTCTTTTCAACCCATAAAAAGAAAAGCCTGCGTTATTTGTGTTTTGACCTCTTACACCAAGGGACATCAGAACTCTTGCCAATTGACCCTGTTTCTCCCAGCTACTCAAAGCAAGGTTGTGGGAGGGCATCAGGTTGCAAATGCCTTGTGGCCAATGTAGTTAAGGAGGGTTGAGTTTCCAGTGGGTCTCGTTGCCTTGTGAGTGAAGTAAAGTTGGACTTTACTGTAGTCTATTTGAGAGATTGCCTCTGGAAGACAGTGGAAAAGGTTCACCCTTGACTATCTGAATGACATAAGTCATGTGCTATTAGCATAAATACCTTCCTTCTAAGCATCAATTTAATCAATTTCTTAAATAACAGAATGATCTACTACAAAATAGTGGACTGTATACACTATATTTTGGCACAAAGATGGTCATTCTCCCACTAGTAACCAGGGGCTCTAAATAAATGATTTCAACAATGTTTTATTAAAGGACGACAAGAGCCCTCGAGCTGCATTAATCGGGGAGAAGTCGAGTGGCACTTTTGTTATGGAAATGTTAAGCACATAATAGCACAGCCAAACAATGTGCAGCCACTTCATTCTTTCAGCCATGCTGACACCTCTTAAAGAGGAACTGCAGGGAAGGATGTGGGAAAGATTTGCTTTCCGAGGAAGCTTTCAGCTAATATTTTGGAGGGCTACCTTCAAACCCTGTGTAATATGCATGCAAGAGAATCCCGAAGGGCTGCTGAGATGCAGAAAGTGTTTTCTCCACTTATTTCAGGAGCATGGGTTCCATAATAAAATCAAATGTCTATGGTTTTTGATACGGTATTCACCAAAACAATACTTTACTGATTTTGTTGTTCTAAGAGTTCAATTTTATAAAGTTGATCAAAGACAGCTACTCTCAATGGTGCTGGTATATACTATAATTATCTATAGCATGTTCTCCTTAAGCACACAGATAGCATCTACACAATGTTGTCAAGGACATCTTCAATCTGTAATAAAAAATAAAATGCTATTATAGACAACTTTATGTTCTCTGGTTATCAGTATGTGTCCTTACAAGTTTATCTTTTATTTAAATTTTAGAAGTGCTATAGGATATTTACGGGTTCTTGGATACCAGAATGGGGTTAATACCACAACTAAATCTGATTGTATATTTTATCCCTGATTAGATGTTACTAAGCATCAAAATGAGGAACAATTTCAGTGAGATTTGAGGTCTTTGTCATAGACATTTCTTTTAGGAAAAATGCCAGCCTTTGGGTTTTAATCCATGTCACTTCTTACCTGCCAGTTAGTTTCACTGATGTGGAGCATCCTTCTGTAACAAACATTGAAGTGAGTTTTGCAAAGACTAAAACTTATGTCCATAATCCTGAACAGGTGCTGGGGGGTATAAAAAGAGTTCCAGAGGCATTTCCTGAGGGTGTGCTATGTGTGGGTGTACCCATGTGAATATGATACAGTCACGTCCATTGACAAGCTGACACTCAGAATAAGGAGATAGGCACACATAGAAACTTATTATATGACATGGCAAGCATAGAAGAGGATCACAGCACAATGCTGGGTTTAAGGAAAGCTTCTTGGAGAAGGTGACATTGAAGGTAAATCTAAAGACAGGCATGGAAGGTAGCCAAGAGAAAGGTGGGGAAGGCCATTGGATTAGAGGTAATAAAAGAGAAAACTTCAGTTGCATTAAATGTAAGAGTTTAATTAAGCAAAGAACGCTTTGCAAATTGGTCAGCCTCCTGAGCCACAGTAGATTGGGGTACTCCAGCGCAGCCACGTGCTGGAAGAAGATTTATAGACAGAAAAAGGACAGTGACATACAGAAAATGGAAGTGAGGGACAGAAACAGCTGGATTGGTTACAGCTCAGTGTTTGCCTTATTTACACACGGTTCAAACAGTTGGCTATACTGGATTGGCCGAAACTTGGTGATTGGCACAAGAGTAGGTTACGGTCTGTTCACATCTCCACTTGTTATGGTACAGGGAAACCTTTAGGCTGAACTTAAAATATGTAAGGAGACAGCATTAGGCTAAACTTGATTTAACAGGGAGAACAGCGTGACCAAAGGCATACAGGGATGAATCAGCATGGTGCTATGCATGAGACCACCTGTTCCCACCAAAGTAGAGAGTAGCAGGGGCCTGAAAGAATTGTTCATGCCAAGTCATCGAAGCCTTGAAGGACATGCTAGGCATAGACTTTACCCTACACAATGAGAAAGATTGGGAATCCTTGGGTGTTCCCAGCTGAAAGCTCAAAAGTTCACTTTTTTGCACAGAGCATATGTTAGCTGTAAGGGAAAAAGCCCAGAGATGAGAGAACAGTTCAGAAGCTACTGCAGGGTCCAGTGAACAAAGGCCAGGGTTGGAACTCAAGGAGTGTCAGTGAAGGGGAGGAAGAAGTCAGGTTCAAGACACCATAATTGGTCAAATATGGGGCATTCAGGGAGGGAAGAGGCCAAAATGACTGCTGGGTTTCTGGCTCAGGTAACCAGTGGATGATGTCACCTTTGATCCTAGAGGAAGAAAGGTGGGAGAGCAAGTGATGTGTGAGGACATACGGGATGCCCTGTTGGTGGTGCACTGCAGGAAACCAGCTACAGGCCTAAAGTTCAGGCAGAAGTCAGCCTTGCATAGTGGTCATTGTGAAAACTGAGGGAGAAAGACATGCAGTGGGAAGAGGAAGGGGTGCCCAGAGAGTACTCCTAGCAGGGATGAAAGAAAGTGAGAGGTGTCTGAGGAAAGCAGGAACACGGAATAATAATAACATTTCTGGGCACGTACACTTAAATATTAAAATGCTTAAGAGAGCAATACTATAAGCAAAGCTTAGAAAGCAAGATGAATTCACTGAATTTCTAAGAAAACGTAACTGATCAAAATATTATTCATTTTAACAATAATAGTAATCATAATTGTAATTACAACTAATTCCAGGAAAATTAAAATGACCAAGTTACACAATTATATTCAAATAATAATAATAATCAATGATTGTTCACATTATTAAGTGATTATTATTTACCATGACAATGCCGAGCACATAACATGTATCACATTATTTCAACATTACTACATCTTTATGAATAATAATTGTTATTTTTATTGTTATTTTTGTTATCACAACCACTGTAAAAATGAGGGAGCAGATGCTTAAATGACTTGACCATAGTCATTCAGTGGGAAAGCTGGTGAATATAAAATCTAGGTCTCTTTGCATCAAGAGGTTGTGATTATAACTTTAATACCTTACTGATTCTCAAAATGTTAAAAGCCCAAAGAACCCAAGAACATTTGAAATATTGGGCAAAATTCAAATAACTTTTTCTTTTCTTTCTTTCTTTCTTTTTTGTTTTTTTTTTTTGAGACAAGGTCTCACTCTGTCACCCAACCTGGAGTGCAGTGGTGTAATCATGACTCACTGCAGCCTCAGCCTCCCATGCTCAAGCAATCCTCTCACCTCAGCCTCCTGAGTAGATAAAAATACAGATGTGCACCACCACGCCCACCTAAATTGTTTAAATTTTTTGTGGAGATGGAGTCTCACTATGTTGCCCAGGCTGGTCTTGAACTCCTGGGCTCAAACAACCCTCTGGCCTTGGCCTCCCAAATTGTTGGGATCACAGGCATAAGCCACCACATCTGGCTCCAGTGACTTTTTCTAATCATCTGTCTATGAGAGGAAATGTGTCTTAATGTTAGCAGTCAATGATGTAATTGTGAGTCGTTATTATTTTCTTCCTTACAGATTTAAATGTTCTCTAAATTTCATCAATGAATATATATTATCCTGCTTTCACAATGAAAATGTTTTTAAAATATTATTCAGAACCATGAAGAAGAAACAACAGAATGTGGATTCAGTCCCTGTTGGTGCTAACCTGCCCCTGACAACCATTACCTATACTTTGGAGGAACGGGCCCTCTTTTTCCCTTATTTGTTTAGTAGACTTTGGATTCATGAAGAAGTTTGTATTCATAAAATAACACAAACTCTGAAACTGTTCTATTTGAAAAATATATGATGTATGAAAATAAATCATAACACAAAAGTGTTAGAGTGAGAAGACTTGATAAATTGTTTACTCATTCATTCAATCAAAATTTATTGAGCACCACTTACTATGGGCTAAGCACCATGCTGGGCTCTAGGGATACAACAGTGAACCAAAGAGTGAACTTTCCTGCTATCTATGAGTGTGGGTCAACACTAGAAACCTGCTTTTTGGAACCCCCCTCTCTTGTCTTCTGTAACAAGCCCATTCTTCCTCTACTAAAGAATGATTGCACCTTTCTTTTTTTTTTCTCTCTACATCTGTTCATTAACCATTTTGTTTATCTTCTCTTTCTCAAAATATGTTTGTGCCTTACAGATATTTGTGGGAAAATATTAGCTCTCATATTAATCTTCTGGGTTTTTAAAAATGTGTTTTATGAGTGGAAGACTTCAGTCCTATAATATTTCAGTATATTTAAAAAGTGTATGAAAGTACAGCTGTCTTATTTTAGGGAAGTTCTGATAGAAGGGCTAAGCCAAAAATTGTTATGGCACTTTCAGGGGCTAAATTATGCCCTGATTCTTGACATGTACTAAAATGAAAACATACTGTTATATTCTAGAAGGACAAGTTATTTATAGTAACTAAATTGATCATAACATTTCACATTGCATATTATTTTAAAAATAATTATGAGTAAGTTCTAGAAACACATAGACTCATATTTCATGTAAATTGCCAAAGGGGGTCCTTGCTCACTGTCTCCTGATTTTTCTCTATTTCACAAAATCCAGCCTATTGAAACCAATAGTATTTTAAGGCAAAACAAGAGGAAAAAAAACCTGCCAATATTTAGGTTACTGCCAGGAGATTCATGATTTTATTATTTGGCCTCTGCTGCATAATAGACCACCCCAAAACTTAATAGCTTAAAGTTTTTAGTCATTCCTTTGATCCCAATTTTGGATCTCCTTTGTTGGATCAATAATTTGGGCTGGGCTCAGCAAAGTAATAATCTTGACCTTTTCTTGGCTAATTTGGCTGTAGTTAGCTGCTAGGTCAGGGTAGGGAGGGTTGGTTCCTGGTGGCCTCATTCACATGTCTGGCAATTGGCTGGGTTGACAGTGACAACTGGACTACATGTCTCACATCTAGCAAGGTAACCCAAGTTTCTTATCGTGACAGCTAGAGTCCAAAAACAGCAAGAGAGGGGAAGCCCCCGTTTGCAAGAACTTTTTTTTTTTTTTTTTTTTTTGAGACGGAGTCTCGCCCTATCGCCAGGCTGGAGTGCAGTGGCACGATCTCAGGTTACTGCAACCTCTGCCTCCCGGGTTCAAGAGATTCTTCTTCCTCAGCCTCCCAAGTAGTTGGGTCTACAGGCGCACGCTACCACACCTGGCTAATTTTTGTATTTTTAGTAGAGAGGGGGTTTCACCATATTGGCCAGGCTGGTCTCGAACTCCAGACCTTGTGATCTGCCCGCCTCAGCCTCTCAAAGTGCTGGGATTACAGAGGGGAGCCACCACGACCGGCCTGCAAGAACTTTTTAAGCTTCCGCTAGCAGCACATGTGCGAGCATCTATATGAAATTCACATGACCAAGCCCAGCTTCAAGAGGTGGAGAAATAGACTCTCGACCTCTCTGTGGGAAGACAGGCAGCAGCCTTTGCATAGAGGTGAGCATTTGGGGATGTTAAGAATTATGACAGCCATTCTATAAACGATCTTCTACAACAATGGATCATTTTCCCTGGGTTCTGTTCCCACATCTTTTGTTGGCATGATAGGAAGAAAGAGTAGTAAGAAAGCAGTTCATTGTTTTGGTTTTCAGAATTTATAGAACTTTAAAGCCAAAAAGCCAGAAAAGACCTGAAATACCGATCTACTATTTTATTCACCAAACACTTGCATTGATTTGGTTTCTAGTAGGACCTGCTTCTATATCAAAACATTTCACATAATCCTGCATTGTTTGCCTTCCAGGTGAGTTTTAGAATTAGCTTGTGAAGTTTATTTTAAAAAGCTTTTGTTGAGATTTTGATTGGAATTGAATGGGATTTACAGATCCATCCAATTCCAGCTTGATAACAGTGAATCTTTCCATCTTTCCAGTTAGATAAATATTATAGTTATCTATAAACAGGTCTTGCTGAAGGTTTTGTATCTTTTTAAAATTCAGGTCTTGTTTATTTCTTCTTAGATTTATTCCTAGGTATTTTGTAGTTTCTGCTAGATTATTATTATTATTATTATTATTATTATTACACTATTTTATTATTACAATGAGTACGGGCCAGGTGTGGTGGCTCACGCCTATAATCCCAGCACTTTGGGTCTACTAAAAATACAAAAAAAATTAGCTGGGTGTGGTGGTGGGCGCCTGTAATCTCAGCTCCTTGGGAGGCTGAGGCAGGAGAATCACTTGAACCAGGGAGGCGGAGGGTGCAGTGAGCCGAGATCGTCCCATTGCACTCCAGCCTTGGCAACAAGACCAAAACTCCATCTCAAAAAAAAAGAAAAAAAAAATTGAGTACATAGGAAACTATTGGTTTTTATACATTGATGTTGTGTCTAAATACTTGGCTGAACTCTTATGAGTTCTAACTATTGGCAGTAGACTCTCTTTGATTTCCTAGACATAAATATAATAATGTTTTCTATCTAGGAAATGGTAAACTTTAAAAGTTTAATTATAAGGTAGACTCTGAAACCATATCAATAAACATTTCATAATCTGTTACATTAAATTCTATTATTCTATCTTGCACTTTTAATGGATCATTCATTCATGCATCATTTTGTAACATCATGCCTCAATCTTTTGAAAGATATTTGTCACTGAATTATGAAGATTTTCCAAGTGTTGACACATTTAATCTCATAATAGTAAATAAATCACATTTGTTAATATCCCCACTGATTCCATCATATAATTCTTTGTTGAAAAATGTCAATCTCACAGTATAGGATAAAAGTTTTTTCTGAAGTTCTAATTTTTACATGAATACCACATTTTTACTATTGACAACAAATTCTGTTATTTTCCTTAAATTGTGTTTGTTTTTAATAAATATTTGTCAAATATCCAAGTCTGAAAAACTTAATTTCCCTTACAGTTACGTTTTTGCAGTCTCTTCACGTAAAAATGGTGTTCCATGAAAAAAAAAAAAGTGGCTAATTCTATTTGTAACTCAACCACAAGCTTTTTTCTTAAGAAAAACATTTAATCCATACTTCCCATTTAATCATCAGCATGTTAAAAAGATGTATACTCAAGGGTTGAGATCAGATAAAATTGTTACTACTTTATTGAGGTTATTCTTAGGTGAAAGAGTCAATATTTTGTGCAAATACATAGCAGGGAAGAATACTGGTACAGTGTGGTGCAATTGCCTTTGTGCTAATTCACAATGAGTTTAACCCACCATTGTTTTTTGCTCCATCAGTGCAAATAGATGTCAACAGTGCAAAAGGAAAATTGAGCTTTGGGATTATTTGACCCCATGGCCTCCCTGAAAGAAGCTTAGGAATCCTCCAGAAATCTATACACTACACTTTAAAAATGGCTGATATATTTTTACTTTTTAATATATATAATATTTATGTCACATAATTACTTTTCATGTCTTATTGTTGTAGCTAGGATTTCCACTTAAATAGGAGGGTATGATAATGGCTATTCTTGCATGCTGACTTCAGGGATGGCATTTGTAATGTTTTTTATTATGATGCTGGGTATAGGTTTCTAGTTTATGCTTTGTCAAGTTAAAGAATTTTCTTTTCAGTTTATTTTTTGTTTATTGGTCTATTGTGAAATTCTATTCTTTTTGTTTCTTTTTTTTTCTTCTTCTTTTTGAGGCATGGTCTTGCTGTGCCCTGCAGGCTGGAATGCAGTGACTCAATCACAGCTTACTGCAGCTTCCATCTCCCAGGCTCAAGAGATCCTCCTGCCTCAGTCTCCTGAGTAGCTAGAACCTCAGGCACGTGCTGCCATGCCTGGCCAATTTTTTTTATTTTTAGTTGAGATGAAGTCTCACTATGTTGGCCAGGTTGGTCTCAAACTTCAAGCTATCCTCCCACCTCGGCCTCCCAAAATGCTAGCATTACAGGTGTGAGCCACTGCACCTAGCCCTATTCTTGAGCTATTGTTGGTGATCTATATTTTCATATAGATAAAATAAAATCACTTTATCTAGGTTTCCAATATATTAATGTTACATTGTGGAAGATATTCTCTTTCAGTTTTTAACATTTTCTGATCCTGTGTTTATATCTTCCTTCTTTTTTAAGCTTCTATGTGCCTTCTTTCTTTGGAAGTTTTGCTTGTATTATTGGTCTTTTCTTTTCTTTTTTTTGAGACAGAGTCTCGCTGTGAGGCCCGGGCTGGAGTGCAGTGGCACAATCTCAGCTCACTGCAACCTCCGCCTCCTGGGTTCAAGCGATTCTCTTGCCCCAGACTCCTGAGTAGCTGGGATTACAGGTGCTCACCATCATTACCAACTAATTTTTTTGTAATTTTAGTAGAGACGGGGTTTCACCATATTGGCCGGGCTGGTCTTGAACTGACTGCAAATGATCTGCCCGCTTTGGCCTCCCAAAGGACTGGGATTACAGGCATGAGCCACCGTGTCCAGCCTATTGGTCCTTTCAAATAGCAAGTTTTTAGTTTCATCTATCAAATGTATTCTATGATTGGTTGTTTCTTATCTTAATAATTTCTGCTGTACCATTCTTGATTGCATTTTTCTACTTTATGTTTCTGTTATTTTCCTGGGTTCCTCAGCTAAATGTTTAGCTTATTTATTTTCATTTTTTCATGTGCTCTAACAAGTTCATTTCTAAATGTTACTTTTCCTTTGTGCAACTTTTGGGTTACAGGTTTTGATGTGCTATTTCCTTATTATAATTTATTTGCAAAGAGTACGTACTTCCTATTTTGATTGTCTCTTTAGCCTCAGAATTATCTATGTTATAATTTTGTAGGTATTATTTTCTCGTTTTACAGCATTTTTGATTAACGAACACAGCCTAATAACTTCTGCTGTATGCAACTTCATGCTATTTAATGTATGGCTGTTAATATGATAAAATGTTAAATTTATATTAGGTGCATTAAAAAGAAATGTGTAATCTCTGATTTTGTCTGAGTTCTTCTTTACAACAGTGTATCAATTTACTTATCTTAATTCTCTGTATGTCTTTTTCTGTTATTTTCTTTAGGAGATATGTTAATATTTCCTGTCACACTATGGATCCATCAGTTTTTCCTCTTATTTCTGTCAGATTTTATGTATATATTTTGAAGGTATAGTGTTAAATGCATTTAGGTACACGACTTTTATCTTTATGGAGGAATATATTTTTTAACAATATGAACCTTAATTTTGCCCTTTTAATAATGTTTACCTTTAATTTTATTTTGTGTAAGAATGTCACATCAGGGCTGGGCGTGGTGGCTCACGCCAGTAATCCCAGCACTTTGGGAGGCCAAGGTGGGCGGATCACCTGAGTTGGAGACCAGCCTGGTCAACATGATGAAACCCCATCTCTACTAAAAATACAAAAATTAGCCTGGCATGGTGGTGTGTGCCTGTAATCCCAGCTACTAGGGAGGTTGAGGCAGAAGAATTGCTTGAACCCAGGAGGCGGAGGTTGCAGTGAGCCAAGATCATGCCACTGCACTCCAGCCTGGGCGACAGAGCAAGACTCCTTCTCAAAAACAAAAACAAAAACAAAAACAAACAAAAAAAATTGTACCTACTTTTATTTTGTTAACTGTTTTTTGAAGAAACTTCATTTTGCTTTTTCTTTGTAGAGAGTAACACGCACACATTAAAAATTTTAAAGATGCAGTTAATGAAAAATAAGACACTAAAAGCCACCCATAATGATAACACCTATAGATAATCTAAGTACATTTACATGTAACCTTTTGAGCTTTTCTATATATTTAAATTAAAATTAAAAAGTACATTCTACTTTATAAGTTGTGTCATCATACTCACAATCCCTCTAATACCACTTTAGGGAGTGGTAGCTTTTTAAATATCTTCCTCTTTATATTAGTCCATTTTCATGCTGCTGATAAAGACATACCCAAGACTGGGCAATTTAAAAAAGAAAGGTTTAATTGACTTACAGTTCCATGTGGCTGGGGAAGCCTCACAATCATGGCAGAAGGTAAAAGGCATGTCTCACATAGCAGCAGACAAGAGAAGAGAGAGCTTGTGCAGGGAAACTCCCATTTTTAAAACCATCAGATCTTGTGAGACTTATTCACTATCATGAGAACAATACGGGAAACACCCGTCCCCATGATTCAATCATCGCCCGCTGGGTGCCTCCCACAACATGTGAGAATTATGGGAGTACACGATGAGATTTGGGTGGGTACACAGAGCCAAACCATAATCGCTTGTCAATCCATTTATCTTCTTGTAATTTAGGTCTTGTAATGAGCACATAGTTGGGTAGTATGAATTTTGTTTGATTGATTGGTACCATTTTTTTAAATCCAATGGAGCTTTTTATTTCTTCATAGCAATTCAAAAACTATTTATATTTATTGGTTACTGGTTTGTTTTGATACATTCTCACCATTTTACTTTATGTTTTAAATTTGCCATGCTTTCATGGTTTTTTTTTCTCAAAAATCTCCCATTGATAGCCTTTGTTGGACAGACTATGTATGCTTGTTGCTGTTTTATTAATTTTTAAATTTAATTTTTGTGGGTACATAGTAGGTGTATATATTTATAGGGCACATGAGTTTTTTTTTTTTTTGAGACAGCAGAGTCTCGCTGTAGGCATGCAATACATAATAATCACATCATGGAAAAGTTATCCCTTGTGTTACAAACAATCCAATTATACTCTTTTAGTTATTTTTAAATGTACAGTGAAATTATTATTGGCTATAGTCATCCTGTTGTGCTATCAAATACTCGATCTTAATCATTTTTTTCTAACTTTTTTTATACGTATTAACCATCCCCTTCTCCCCTGGTCCCCTCCCACTACCCTTCTCTGTTTCTTATAACCATCCTTCTACCCTATATCTTCAAGAGTTCAATTATTTTGATTTTTAGATCCCACAAATAAATGAGAACATATAATATTTGCCTTTCTGTGCCTGGATTATTTCGCTTACCATAATGACCTCCAGTTCCATCCATGTTATTGTAAATTACTGGATATCATTCTTTTTTATGGCTGAATAGTACTCCATTGTGTATATGCACCACATTCTCTTTACCCATTCATCTGATGATGACACTTAGGTTGCTTCCAAATCTTAACTATTGTGAATAGTGCTACAACAAACGTGGGAGTGCAGATATCTCTTCAATATACTGATTTCCTTTATTTTGGGTATATATCATTCAGTAGGATTTCTAGATCAAATGGTAGCTCTATTTTTAGTTTTTTGAGGAACCTCTGAACTGTTCTCCATAGTGGTTGTACTAATTTACATACCCTCCAACAGTGTGTGAGGGTTCCATTTTCTCCACATCCTCACCAGCATTTGTTATGGCCTGTCTTTTGCATATAAGCCAGTTTAACTGGGGTGGGATGATATCTCATTATAGTTTGATTTGCATTTCTTTGATGATCAATCATGTTGAGTATCTTTTCATATGCCTGTTTGCCATTTGTATATCTTCTTTTGAGAAAGGTCTATTTAAATCTTTTGCCCATTTTTTTGATTATTAGGTTTTTTCCTACAGAGTTGTTTGAGTTCCTTAAAACTTCTGGTTATTAATCCCTTGACAGATGAGTAGTTTGCGAATATTTTCTCCCTGTCTGTGTGTTGTCTCTTCACTTTCTTGATTGTTTCCTTTGCTGTGCAGAAGCTTTTTTATATTTTTTATTTATTTTTTATTGTTTGAGATGGAATCTCTCTTTCTCTTGCCCAGGATGGAGTGCCGTGGTGCAATCACGACTCACTGCAACCTCTGCCTCCGGGGCTCAAGTGATGCTCCCACCTCAGCCTCCTGAGTAACTGGGATGATGGCGTGTGCCACCATGCCTGGCTAATTTTTGTATTTTTAGTAGAGACAGGGTTTCACCATGTTGGCCAGCCTGGTCTCAAACTTCTGACCTCAGGTGATCTGCCTGCCTTGGCCTTCCAAAGTTCTGGGATTACAGGTGTGAGCCACCGCACCCAACCAGAAACTTTTTTAACTTGATATGATTCCAGTTGTTCATGTTTGCTTTGGTTGCTTGTGCCTGTGGGATATTACTTAAGACATTTTTGCCCAGACCAATGTCCTGGAGAGTTTCCCCAATGATTTCTTGCAATAGTTTCATAGTTTGAGATCTTAGATTTAAGTCTTAAATCCATTTATTTGATTTTTGTATATGGTAAGAGATAGGGGTCTAGTTTTCTTTTTTTAATTAATTGGTTTTTTTTTTGGAGTCAGAGTCTCACTCTGTCACTGAGGCTACAGTGCAAGTGGTGTGATCTCGGCTCACTTCAACCTCTGCCTCCTGGGTTCAAGTGATTCTCGAGCCTCAGCCTCCTGAGTAGCTGGGATTACAGGTACCTACTACCATGCCTTGCTAATTTTTGTATTTTTTTGTAGAGACAGAGTTTCACCATATTGGCCAGGCTGGTCTCAAACTCCTGACCTCAAATGATCCACCGGCATCAGCCTCCCAACGTGCTAGGATTACAGGTGTGAGCCACTGTGCCCAACCTCATTTCATTCTTCTGCATATGCATATCCAGTTTTCCCAGCAAAATTTATTTAAGAGACTGTCTTTTCTCCAATGTATGTTCTTGGCACCTCTGTTGAAAATGAGGTGTGTGGATTTGTTTCTGGGTTCTTTATTTTGTTCCATTGGTCTATGTGTCTGTTTTTATACCAGTGCCATGTGATTTTGGTTATTATAGCTCTATAGCATAATTTGAAATCAGGTAATGTGATTCCTCCAGGTTTGTTCCTTCTGCTTAGGATAGTTTTCGCTATTCTGGGTCTTTTGTGGCTCCATATAAATTTCAGGATTTTTTTTTTTTTCTGTGAAGAATGCCATTGGTATTTTGAAAGGGATTTCATTGAATCTGTAGATTGCTTTGGATAGTAAGGACATTTTAATATTGATTCTTCCAATCCGTGAAGAAGGAATATCTTTCCACTTTTTTGTGTCCTCTTCAATTTCTTTCATCAGTGTTTTATAGTTTTCTTTATAGAGATCTTCGTTCACTTCTGTGGTTAATTCCTAGGCATTTAATTTTATTTGTGCTATTGAGATTAGTTTTTAAACTTCTTTTTCAGATTGTTCACTGTTGGCATATAGAAATGCTACTGAGTTTTGTATGTTGATTTTGTATCCTGCAACTTCATTGAATTTGTTTATAAGCTTTAGCGGTTTTTTGTTTTGTTTTGTTTTTTGTTTTTTTTTGAGACGGAGTCTCGCTCTGTCGCCCAGGCTGGAGTGCAGTGGCGGGATCTCGGCTCACAGCTCTAGCAGTTTTATGGTGGAGTCTTCAGGTTCTGCTGAATATATAATAAGATCATATCATCTGCAAACAAAGATAATTTGACTCCTTCATTTCTAATTTGGATTTCCTTTATTTCTTTCTCTTATCTGATTGCTTTAGCTGGGACTTCCAGTACTATGTTGAATAGCAATGGTGAAAGTGGTCATCCTTGTCGTATTCCAGATCTTGGAGGAAAGGCTTTCAGTTTTTCCCCCTTCAGCATGTTAATAGCTGTGGATCTGTAATATATGGCTTTTATTATGTTGAGGATGTTTGTGGCTGTTTTCTCACACCTTCCCCCTTTCCCCAATTATTTGAAGTTATAAATTATACTTCTACTTTGTCTAGTGTTTTATCTTAAAACTTAGCCCATATATTTAACTATTATTTTCTCTCAATGTCTAAGTGTTGGAAAGTTTCATATCTTCCTCCTAAAGAAAACAATAACTTTTCCTAAGCCTTCTTCTTTTACCATTTTCACCATTTCCATATTGTATCCTATAAATTGTTTTTCCTGTTTTGCTATTCATATTTTTTGTAATCCATCTTTACTTGGAATTAACAATACATGTTACTGCTTTCTTTGTGAAGAACAGCAAAAACGGAAGTATTTAAACATATCTACCTTACATAATTGTCATGAGAATTTGAGATAAAAGGAAAGGAATAAAACTTATTTTACCAGGTGGAACCAAAGTCCCTTTTAGGGAAAAAATAGACTGTGTAGGAAGAACCTTGATAAGTCATTGGATAGCAGCATGGAGGGAGGCTCCAGAATAGAAAGGTTGAATGGAGAACACAATAAGATAATTCAAGTGCTTTTTGTAAGTAAACAATAATTTGTGGTGGAGAAATCAGAAGAGAGAAGAGAAGGGCATGAGAGAGGAGAGTAATATAGGACATAGCAACATGGCCAGACACAGAAGACTGGGGTGACTTACAGACAATGGGGACTATCTAATCTTCTCTTTAAATTATCTGCTGCATAAAATTTACATGTGTATCCTTTGCTATTATCTATGAACTCTAATAAAAATATACCACCCATCACTACCCCTTACTGAATGTTCCTGATTTTTGTAACTGACTGAAGAATGCGGTTCCTTAGACAAAGAGTTTTGTCTCACTGTGGGCTGGTGCTGGAGTGGACATAAAGAGGTCCACAATGCAGAGGGAAAATAAGAGTACAAGAAAAGCAGAATGGCTGGGCCTGGTGGCTCATGCTTATAATCCCAGCACTTTGGGAGGCAAAGATGGGAGAATTGCTTGAGTCCAGGAGTTCAATATCAACCTGCACAACACAGCGAGGCCCTGTCTCTACAAAAATAAATAAATAAATAAATAAATAATTAGCTGGATGTGGTGGTGTGCGCCTGTAGTCCCAGCTACTTGGGAGGCTGAGGTGGGAGGATGGCTTGAGCTTGGGAGGTTGAGGCTACAGTGAGCTGTAATTGCACTACTGCACCCCAGCCTGGGTGACAGAAAGAGGCCCTGTTCCCAAAAGAAAAAAAAGAAAAGCAGAAAATTAGATTCAGAGGGGACTAGAAAAAAAATGATACTCTGAGAATTCATCAGATGCTTGGGGAAAGGACGAGACTCCATAGAATTCCAGGAATGAAAGTTCAAACTGCTCTTACTTATATCTTCATGTGCAGGAACATGGGGCAGATGGTCAGTGAACAGTAGTGGTTACTAAGGTTGCGAAATTGAGATGATGATCTTCGCCCTTCCTTCAGCAGAGGGTAAAATGTGCACCTCATGAGTGCATACAATGAAGTTCATTCTGTGCACCAGAAAGGCCCAATCAAATGTGAGGTGCTATTATGATTAGTGGACCCACAAATTATGTGACCCTAGTGTAGGATTAGAGTCATCTCAAAGGTATTGGGTCCTGAGAACATCTCTTCTTCAGCTTCTGATACAAACATTTTCCACTGGGAATGGGTGACAAAGGCAGCTTTCATTAGTGATAAAGTTCCAAGAGTCTGTATGTGTTAGTCCTATATTTAGCCTTATTTACTGAGTCTCATTTTAAATATTCATTTCTAACTTAAGGTTATACAAAACATCCCAGAGCCAAGCCAAATCTTCTGGAATAGATTCTTTTTTGCCAAGTAAATGCATTCCAGACATGCCATCTGACTTTAATTTGTTTGTAATGTTTCTCCCAGGAAGCAAACATGCTTGGTCTTAAGTGAGGCTTTAGCCCTTTCAAGCTATTCATTCAACCAATATTCACTAAGTGTCTCATGTGTGCCAGGAACTATGCTGCATGCTATAGAGACAATGTCATAATTATCATTGTCGTCATCATCACCACTGGTCAGCCACAAATAGCAGAGTCAAGGTGTGGTGAGGGGAGAGGCATGCTTCAGTCACCCCCACAGTTGTATCAATCCCCCCACAACCATCCAAATATTGATATGAGCTACATGAGAATGATGGCAGCCTGGCTAAGTCAACACTTAGAAACAAGAAAAGGGCCAGGTGTGGTGGCTCACACCTGTAATCTCAGCACTTTGGAAGGCTAGAGCAGGAGAATTACTTGAGGCCAGGAGTTCTAGAACAGCCTGGGTAACACAGTGAGACCTCTGGCTCTACAAAAAATAAGAATAAAAATGTTAGCTGGGCTTGGTGCTGAGTGTCTGTAGTCCGAGTTACTCAGGAGACTGAGGCAGGAGGATTGCTTCAGCCTAGAAGTTAAAGGCTACAGTGAGCTCTGATCACACCATTGCACTCCAGTCTGGGTGACAGAGCAAGACCCTGTCTCCAAGAAAACTAAACATATTTTTAAAATAAAAAAAAGAAACAGGAAAAGTTTCCCAGTCTCCCCTGTCAACCATATTGATGGTGCCCCTAAGCTCCTGGATATAGAAATTTTGGGATGTCATTGGCAGCAGCAATTTCTCCAGCTTCCTCTTTTAGTTCCTCTGCTTCAGCCTCTGTTTTTCCTTCCATTGTCTCCACTTCCCCACAATGCCTGTCATCCAGCAGCTCAGGCTGTGACTGTAGGGGACAGTCCATGCTACACTTGATGTGGCTGCCATTGCTGGGACATGTCTATGCAACCAAGCTGCAGTGGGGGACTTGTTGCCTTTGGCCTAACATGACCCGCACCAAACTCGAGCGTCCCTAGTGCCTATTGTTGAGGATGCAAGATGTTATGGTTGAATTATGCTCCTCCCCAAATTCACAGATTGAAGTCCTAACCTCTAGTACCTCTGAATATGAACTTATTTAGAAACAGGGTCATTGCGGATGTAACTTACTTATGTTAAAATAAAATCATGCTGGAGTGGACCAATATGACTGGTGACCTTGCTTTGAAAAGGGGGAACTTTGCACACAAACACATGCACACAGGAAGAACACATGTGACGATGAAGGCAGAGATTAGGGTGATGCCAAGCCGAGGAATGCCAAAGATGGCCAGCAAACTTTCAGAAGCTGGTGGAGAGGCATGAAACAGATGCCTCCTCCCAGCCCTCAGAAGGAACCAACTCTGTCTACACCTTGAACGTGGAGTTCTAACCTCCAGGACTGAGTCAATTTCTGTTGTTTAAGCACTCAGTTTGTGGTGCTTCGTTAACAGCCGCCCCAGCCAACTAATACAGGGGATTTCAAAAGAAGTTGGATTTGGAGTGGTGACAGCATTGTGGTTACATTTTTGACTTCCTTTATTGAGAATCCTACTGTTGGTGGACTCTATTGTTAGGCTTTGCTTTTAAGAAAGCTCATTCCCCCTAAAGCAAGTATCTTATCATATAATAATACCATATTATATACGACAACTCCTTCCCTCCCTGCCTCGCTCCCTCCCTCCCTCCCTTCCTTCCTTTCTTCCTTCCTTCCTTCTTTTTCAGACAGAGTTTCACTCTTGTTGCCCAGGCTGGAGTGCAATGGTGCAATCTCGGCTCACTGCAACCTCTGCCTCCTGGGTTCAAGAGATTTTCCTGCCTCAGCCTCCTGGGTAGCTAGGATTACAGGCATATGCCACCACGCCTGGCTAATTTTGTATTTTATTAAAGACGGGGTTTCTCTATGTTGGTCAGGCTGGTCTCAAACTCCCCATCTCAGGTGATCCACCCGCCTGGGCCTCCCAAAGTGTTGGGATTACAGGCATGAGCCACAGCACCCAGCCGGCAACAGCTTCTTTTAAGGCCACATTCATTACAACAGGGGTCAAAACTTTAATCCAATATTTCCCACACTTTAGTATACATAAAAGTTATCTGGGGAGCTTGTTCAAAATGCAGATTTCTAGGCTCCACTCTTCTTCCTACTGAATCAGAATCTCTGAGGGCCAAGCCTTGAGAATCTGTTTTTGTCAAGCACCCTAGGAGAGTCTATTGATCACACTTTGAGGGACGCTGACAAGAGCTGAAGGAATTATGAGATTTCATGCAAAGTCTGTTTGATGAAGTGGAGGCATCTTTTGGTGTATGTCTTAGTTTGTTTTTTGCTGCTATAAAAGGATACCACAGACTAGATAATTTATTTCAACAAAGAATTTTATCTCTTACAGTTCTGGGAAGTCCAAGATCAAGAGGCCACATCAGGTGAGGGCCTTTGTGTTTCATCATCTCATTGTGGAAGGCAGAAGGGCAAAAAAGCATGAGAGAGAGAGAGAGAGAGAAAGAGAAGGAGACCAAATATTCTTTTATCAGAATCCCACTCCTGTATAAGTAGCTTACTCCCTCAATAATGGCATTAATTTGTCCATGAGAGCAGAACCCCCGTGACCTAATCACCTCTTGAGGTCCCACCTCTCAACGCTTGCACTGGGGATTAAGTTTCCAACACATAAACTTTAGGGACACATTCAAACCACAGCAGTGTAGTTCTATGGAGAGTCCTGAAATCCCACTACAGAAGCAGTAATCTTTCTAGCTAACATCTAAGAGAATATCCCCAAAGTACTCATTATGCATCTTAGTTAAAATGATCTTATTAGAGAACTCCACAAAAACCACACAATTATAGTTTAATGAAGTAGAAAATTACTTCTAATTGGGTTTTTTTCCCCAAGTAAAGGCAAGAGTCAGGGAGAGTCAGCAGTTGTTGTTTTTTTTCATTTATTCAGTGAATGTTCAGCACCCTTTTAGGCACTGGAGAAAAAAAGCAGTGATTGAACACATCCCTGCCTTCGCTGAGCCTCCAGCCTAGAAGGGAAAGCAAACGAGAAACCAAGGGCAGATGAGAACGCTAAATGCTCTTGCCACTCACTCCCTTAACACCGTTACATCTCAGTTTTCCCTGTGTAGAAAATGGGTGTGCAGTGAGATTAAAACATACACCTAAAATGTGCATATATATGTATGAAACTCTGACATATTTTTAGAGAACAAAAAGATGACACAATGATTAACTTAAATGTCAGATTAGAGATTTAAAGTACTGCTCTAAAAAAGTAAACGGTGCTACTGCTCTGTGTGACTTACTCATTCCTTCATACACATTTTGCCTGTGCTCCTGGCTAGAGGAAGAACATATCTGAAGGTTGGATGGTGTTAACTCCTCCCTTTAAGAGGCAACACCCAGGACAGAGATGTGTTTCTGATTTGCTCCGTTATCCTAACGTTTCTACAAGGACTCCAGAGAGATTAAGTTTCAAGAGAAGATTTAATCATAGGTGTTCAAACTACATGGAAAGGTGCTAGTAAAAGAGTTAACATTCCAAATCACATTAAAAAGCAAAGAAAATCAGAATTGGAATTCTCGTTCATAACAATGACTAAATATTAGTTTGCTATGTTATTCAATACAGTTCAGGAGACAGTCAAATAGCATGTAGAGGGTAAAACAGGCTGTATTTAAAATTGAAGGCTAATTCAATTTTGATAGATGATGCCAAAATAATTCCCCCAGTGAGTACTACGTTAAAACTTAACATGATTTTAGTTGTGTAAATTGTTTTGCCAATGTTTACATACATTTTCTTTTAATATCCATAAGTGCATCTTTCTCAAATCCCAATGCTAGATTTGAAAATAGAACTTTTTAGGAAAAGCAGCAATCATCTACTACCATTCATCCACTCCAAACAGGAAGAGACAAACTATATAATTTAGCAGCAAAAGCTTGTTTTTCTTCTAAGTTCCTAGTCTCGCATTTCAGGGTTTTGTGTGGCGTTTTAGAAAGAACGTCAAAGACACGGTTCCTAAACCCACGGGCACCATAAGAGGATACAACATGCCTATTAATAATTGTATTACTCTTCTATTATTGCTAAGAAGAATGATGGGCTGGAAGCGTTGGCCCCCAAGCCAAATTTATCCTGAAATGTTTTCAATTAACTCTTGGCACCAGCAGGAAAGCATCAAACCTTTCCCAGGCTGAAATATGGAAAATCTGCAGGGAACATCTCAGCAGGAGAGGAATTTCATTAAAATGAGCACATCATAATCCAATGACTTCTGCTCCCCCTTTAAGCCTCCCTATTGATAAGGAGTCCTGGGCGATTTTTATGGATTTGCGAAGAGAAATTATTTCATAAGATCTTTTCAGAGAGGTTGCTTTGGCCTGGTCCTTTGAATTATTATCTGCTTGGTGATTAAAAAATGGTCAGACATTTGGCTTAATTGTGACTGCTCCTAAGAGGCTGGATAAGAGGGAGTCGAGGCGAGATGAAGTTTCATCCTCAGACAGCTGCTTTCTGCAGTCACTGAGGAGCTGCCACCTGGCCCGTTTTCCCAGGTCTCCATAAAGTGACACACTGTTACAACCCGTGTTTCCAACGTCCTGCTTGGAGAGGGGAGTAGCAGCCTTCTAAAGGAATGAGATAAGCAAGCGCACCATCCAACAGCTTTCCTGGGGCAAATCCATCTCAGAAAAAATTAAACTGCCCTCCTGGGTAGGGTGGTGGGGGCGGGGGGTCGGGTAGCTGGAAGCCACTGGGGGAAGTGGTGCCGGGAAATAAAGAAATTTATCAGCTGGGCTCAGCGCCTCACACCTGTAATCCCAGCACTTTGGGAGGCTGAGGTCAGCGGATCACGAGGTCAGGAGATCAAGACTATCCTGGCCAACATGGTGAAAACTTATCTCTACTAAAATACAATAATAATAAAATAATAATAATAATAATAATAAGCTGAGCATGGTGGCGCATGCCTGTAGTCCCAGCTACTCCAGAGGCTGGGGAAGGAGAACCACTTGAACCCAGGAGGCAGAGGTTGCTGTGAGCTGAGATCGCGCCATTGCACTCCAGCCTGGTGACAGAGCGAGACTCCATCTCAAAAAAAAAAAAAAAAAAAAAATTAACTGTGGATTTTGAAAAAATGTATGCCTCTGTCCTCAACCTCTTACCCTAACTCTCCTGCATTCTATTGTTAAACGTGTCATGAGAAATAAAAGAGAGCCTTGGTCTGCCCACCTATGTAAATCATAATCATGGTAATACTATCCAGTCAGAAAGTATCTGTGCTGTGAATGTTAAGAGACACTACATATAAAATGCTGAGGAAGTGTTAGTTGTTATAATATTTTTAAAACATCAAAATACTTGACCAGAACAACTCAAAACCAAGTGAAGTCATCAAAAACAAGGAAAGCCTGGGAAGCTATCAGCCAAGAGGAGCCCACAGAGACAGGACAAGTAAATACAGCCTGGATGAGATCCTGCAACGGGAAAAATAAAAATCAGAAACAGGTAAAAACCAGGCATGGTGGCTCATACCTGTAATCCCAGCACTTTGGGAGGGCAAGGTGGGCGGATTATGAGGTCAGGAGATCGAGACCATCCTGGCTAACACAGTGAAACTCCATCTCCACTGAAAATACAAAAAATTAGCCGTGCGTGGTGGCGGGCGCCTGTAGTCCCAGCTACTCAGAAGGCTGAGGCAGGAGAATCGCTTGAACCTGGGAGGTGGAGGTTGCAGTGAGCCAAGATCACGCCACTGCACTCCAGCCTGGGAGACAGAGTGAGACTCCATCTCAAAACAACAACAGCAACAACAACAACAACAACAACAACAAAACTCAAGAAGTCTAAAAAAACTATGGATTTTAGTTAATAACAGTATATCCATATTAGTTCGTTAATTATAACAAATGTAACATACAAATATAATGTGGGCCTGGTGCAGTGGCTCACACCTGTAATCCCAACACTTTGGGAGGACAAAGCAGGAGAATTGCCTGAGACTAGGAGTTCGAGACCAGCCTGGGCAACATAATGAGACCCCCCATCTCTACCAAAGAAAAAAAAAGTTAACCGGACACGGTGATGCACCTGTAGTCCCAGCTACTCAGCTACTCAGGAGGCTGTGGTGGGAGAATCTCTTGGGCCCAGGAGACCCAGGCTACAGTGAACTGTGATGACGTTCCAGCCTGGGTAACAGAGTGAACTTGTCTCAAAAAAAAAAAAAAAAAAAAGAACATGTTAATAGTAGTGAACACTGAGTGAGGGCATATCTGGGAACTCTTTCTACTATTTTCTCAATTTTCCTGTAAATGTAAAACTATTCCCAAAAAATGAAGTTTATTAAAAACAAACAAAAAAGTAAATCATTACTTGAAATTATAAGGTGATCTATTATGGACAGTATTTCATTCTAATAAAAGCAAGATCACATATGCATTTTAAACTAGATGACTAAAGAACATTTGCCTCGGCCAGGCACAGTGGCTCACACCTGTAATCCCAGCACTTTGGGAGGCTGAGGCAGCCGGATCACGAGGTAAGGAGTTTGAGAACAGCCTGACCAACATAGTGAAACTCCGTCTCTACCAAAAATACAAAAAAAAAAAAAATTAGCCAGGCTTGGTAGTGTGCGCCTGTAATCCCAGCTACTCAGGAGGCTGCGATAGGAGAATCGCTTGAACCTGGGAGGCAGAGGTTGCAGTGAGCCGAGATCACGCCACTGCACTCCAGCCTGAGGGACAGAGCAAGACTCTGTTTCAAAAAAAAAAAAAAAAATTTGCCTTTTACTGCTCTTCCCTCTTACTGCCCCCCACCCATATACACAACATGCTCCAGCTACAACTGAGATGCTGGTCATTGACTGTGGCTCACATGTAGTGAGGGTGTAGTACATTTGTCACTCAAGGTTACCTACATATGTATCTTACCTCTCAAGCTGTGTCAGCTGCCGCCTTCCAGGGTCAGCCCCAGGTCTGCTATGTCTGTGTCCCTCTTTATGTCCAGTGACCTACAGGACACACCTTCTCAACTTCATCACCTGGACTTTGAAACAAAACAGAAACCTCTGAGCTTTCTTTTCCCATAGCACACACCTTTCCCAACTTCCTTAGTTGATCATCATGACTGATACTAAAACCACAGGCTGCTCTGGGCAGGCAAATAAGGAATGCTTAGACTCTCTTCCCTCTCCTTCCACGTGCCCTGTTACCAAAGCCCTGTGCTGATGCTGCATTTGCCTCTTCCATCCATTTCTTTAGTTGTTACCCTATTCCAGCCTCTCAAATCTAGGTTATTTCAACTTCATCCATTTTTATCTTTTTGCAAACCCCGATATCTGATTGGAAAATCTTTTCCAAACATCATTTTCACTATGCTGCTTGTACATTTAATAAGAAAATATATGGCCTGTTTTTTTGTTTTGTTTTGTTTTTTGTTTTTGGGGTTTTTTTTTCTCTGAAGCAGTGGTTCTCAAACTTGCATCCAAATGGGAGAACTTACTAAAATGCAGATTGCTGAGGCCCAGCCCCAGGGTCCCCAGTTCAATAGGTCTGGAGCAGAGGCCTGAGGACCACATTTGGAGAATCATGGCTCTGAAGTACCAACTCCAAACCCTTCTGTCTAGATTTTAGTATTTCTCTCTCTCTCTTTCTCCCAACACTCTACATTACTCTCAAGTACCTGCCATGGCTCCAGGTCCTCAGTCATATTAATATTTGTTCACTCCTTGTTTGTCCCTCCTCTGCTTCGTTTCCTTCCAGTTTTCCTTTCCCCACTGTTCCTTATTTTTCACCCTTGCACACCAATTTGAGACTTTTCTCTTGCAGTCTATTTCCCAAATCAATTTATCCCACCCTTAGGAGTTAGAGAGTAACCTCCCCTCAAACCACACAGTCAACCAACCATCCAAACAACAAGCTCACCATGAGCCACAGACAAGCATAGGCAAGACGATTCATGTGGTTCTGTCCTCTTCACCAGGACAACTGCTTCCAGACCCACTGAACCAGAGTCTCCAGAGGTGGGGCCCAAGAGGCTGGATTTCTCAAAGCCCCCAGGCTTGCAGGTGGTGTTTGAGAACTACTGGTCTATACTCATGCCCTTTACTTTCCCAACATCCAACCATTTCTTAACACCTTGAAATTGGCTTTGGCCCCACCAGTCCATTGAAATAGTTTTCTTGAAGGTTATCACTGATTTTTCTAATAAATTAATCCAATAGTTTTGCCTATTGATGATCACATGTCCTTCTTAATTACTTTCTCCACCTAGGCTTTCCTGGCACCACATTTTTCTGCTTCTTTTAGGAATCTATTCTAATTCCTTTCAATCTTCCCACCCTGTAATGCAAGCATTGTTCAAGACCCTATTTTTGGCCATTTTCTTTTCACTCTATATATTCTTCTTTCTGGAAATCTCACCTACTTGCACTCTCTCTCTCTCTCTCTCTCTCTCTCTCTTTCAATTCCCAACTCCTTACAGATGATTTCCAAGTTTTTTCTCCAGCTCAGCCTCTCTTTCGATGGCTCTTCTCCATTTCTATCCATGTGTTGTATGTGTCCAACTATGGGTCATCATTCCTGGAACCTTCCTCATTGCCTTAACATGCAAAACTTTTCTTCTTCCTATGTTTTTTATTTGTATTAAGGCCGCCATCACTCTTGAGGAAACCTAGTCACCTCATGCTTAATCCATGGCATCAATCACCTTTGACTCCCTGGTCTGCTCCACATCATACATCTAAAGTGTATGAATCTCAGCTGGGCACAGTGGCTCACTCCTGTAATCCCAACATTTTGGGAGGCTGGGGCGGGAAAATCTCTTGAGCCCAGGAGTTCAAGACCAGCCTGGGCAACAGTGAGACCTTGTCTCTATTTTTTTACATAAATAAATGAATAAATACATATAAATAGTAATAAACAAAGTGTATGAATCTCATGGATGCTGACCTTTTCATTGTCTGAGACACACTCCCCCATTCATTCATGTTGCTATGATTCCAGCTTGGAATTGGAGCTGGTACTGCCTCACTAGTGTCTTGGACTCAGACTCATGCTTGCCCAATCTTTGCCACAAACTATATTCAGATATACATATCATGTTGCTGCTTATTTATAACTCTACCTCATTTTAGCCTGAGGATTTATGGTAATATTGATAAATATATTCAATAAAAGATAAAATATAAAGTATAAAAGTCAGAATCATGGAAAAATAAATATCAGAGTGGAAGATCAGAAACTAGCAGAAACTGATTGCAGATTATAAAGGCCATAATATTTAGCCAGGTAAAAACAAATGGCAGATTTGCACTGAGCATCCTGGGAGACAAATGGAAAAAGAAAACAATTAGATGATTCTATTCCCTATAAAGAGTAAACTTAAGAGTTTCTCAGAAGCAAAAAAGAAAATAAATTTTCCAAGTGAAGGTTCTTTAAAGGGAGTCACTAGATTACTTTTTCTAAAGCATAGCTCCAATTATAATATTTTTCTGATTAAAACTTTTAAAAGTATCCTCCTATGAGCTGAAAGAACTAATTCTAAATTTCATAGATTGTGGTTTGAGTTTTGGGGATGATTAAATACCATGTTATCTTTCAGTCTTCTCTCTCATCACTTTCTCTTGTGGTCCCTGCATTCCAGGCAAGCAGAATTACCTCCAGTACATGGGCCCTGCCTTTGACTTCCCAGAGTCCACATCCAAGCCCAGGTATCAGGAACACTTCTCCCCAGTGCCTGTTCCATAAAGACCAGCTGAACTGCCATCTCCTGGGATCTCTTCTTAGTTCTCTCTTCTAGTTTTCTCCCTATCTGATCCTCTGTGGCTTTGTCTGTAATCCTTTGGTTGACATTTATGTCATTCAGCCTCCTGCCTCTCCTAGTGGATCTTCAGCTCTTCCAAAGCACAGGCTGAGACTGTGGGTTCCTCCACAGCACAGGCCATTTTGCTGAAGTCCCACGGGCTAAACACTGAGGCTCAGACCTGAAATGTGAGGAACCGCATGGGATTCTTGATGGAACTGTTCAATATGAAAATGTAAATTTCTCCGAAGACAATTAAAAAAAAGTTTTTATTCATTTCATTATGTTTGAATTCCAAACAACATGGAGAAATGCTAAACTGGCTTCTGTTAGTTTATTCTGCTAGTTAGAGTCAAGAGCCATCGTTCTAGATGTAGTCTTAGGGCCCCTCAAGCTACAACGGTCTCACCTCTCAGGAGCTCACCTCCATGCTCAAGAAGTAGTTTTTAAAGAATGAATTGTCTCTCAAGATTTTGTCAAAAATCTTATGTGCAAAATCACATGAGACATTTCAGACATTTTCTATAGCTAGTCAAACAGAGGGGTTTTTTTTAAAAAAACAGAAAAAAAAACTGTGTTTGACTAGTTCTTTCTTATAATCCTCACCATCATTTATAGCAATGTGGTCAAATGGAATAATTCCAGATATTTAAAAAATACATTCCTCCTTTTGTCTTTACTCAAAATGTCTACAGCTGATAAATAAAGGGTATTTATTAATCACCATTTTAAACGGCCCAGTGTAATTTGTTTCATAATCTCCAGTGATGGCAATTTGAGGCAGTAACTTTCTCAGTCCCTCGAAAATGTATAATTTCTGCATTCTAGCTGGAAAATACATTTTTTTCTTTGTATTATTTCTGCATTCTAGCCGGAAAATACTTTTTTTTCTTTGTATCATTTCTGCCTTCCAGCTGGAAAATGCATTTTTCTTTTCTTTTCCTTTCCTTTTCGTCCCCTCCTTCTTTCTCTTTTTACTTCTTTCTTTCTTCCCTCCTTCCATCCTCTCCCCATCACCTTCCTTCCTCTTTCCATTCTCCCTTTCTTTTTTTTGTAGTATTCAGAGTTTGGGCAGTGCATTCTCAGAATTTACTTCAATCTCTTAGTACACTAAACTTTTTTTAAAAAGCTTCCTTATGTGTTTAATTAAATTATTTTATTCTCATAATGCTCTATGAAGGCAGCAATACTATGATGCCCTTTTACAGAAGAAACTACACAGAGAAAGGTGAAGTCACTTGTTCTAGGTCACACAGCTAGTCAGTGCTATAGATGAATTTAAACATAGGCTGCCTGGCCCTAGAGTCTATGTTCTTAACCTTGACACTCTCTACAGACTAAGCTACACTTAAATGTAACTCCTGGTTTCCTGCCCTGTCCATCTCTGAACACTGATTTCACTCTAATTACCTAGTTCGATCCTCACAGCAACTCTGTGAGGCCCAAAGAATGGGTATTACCATCGGCCCATTTTGCAGATGAGAAAACTGAGGCTGAGAGAAGGAAAGAGATTTAACTAAGATCCAATTTAGATTGGTGGTTGAGCTGACTCAAGCTGGAGAAACCTCCTTTTGGCTGGTATTTCTCCTAATAGATATTTTTTCCAGTAAACATATTATTTCACATATACATGAAATACACATGTATAATCAGAGTTATTGAGACATAACTCATACTATGAATTCACTCATTGAAAGTGTAGAATTCAGTGACTTTTTAGTATATTTACAGACATGTACAATCATTTCCACCATCTCATTTTAGAACATTTTCATCAACCCAGAAGGAAGCCCAGTTCCCATTAGCAGTCACTCCCCATTTACCCCAACATTTTCTCTCCCTCCAGCCCTAAGGAATCACTATACTTTTCATCTCTGTGGATTTGCCTATCCTGGACATTTTATATGAATGGAATCATATCATATTTGGTCTTTTGTAGCTGGCTTCTTTCACTTAGCGTAATGACTTCAAGGTTCATCCATGTCATAGTGTATATCAGTCCTTCATTCCTTTTTATTGCCAAATACTCTCCCATTGTACACACACATCCCATTTTGTCTATCCATTCATCAATTGATGGGCACTTGTATTGTTTCCACTTTTTGGTTATTATGAATAAAGTTGCTATGAACATATGTCTATGAGTTTTTGTGTAAACACATATTTTCATCTCTTGGGTGAGAAGTAAAGTGGAAATGCTGGGTTAACTCAGTAACTCTATCCCTAACTTTTTTTTAGAAACTGCCAAATTGTTTTCCAAAGCAGCTGTACCCTTAAAATTCCTACCAAAGATCTGGGATGGTTGCACTCCCTCTACATGCTTATTGTCACTTGGCATGATCTGTCTTTTTTTATTTCAACCATCCTGGTACCTATGAAGTAGTATCTCATGTGGTTCTGATTTAATTTACCTGTAACTAGTAATATTGTACATATTTTCTTGTGTGTATTGACAGTTTATATACCTTCTTTGGAGAAATGTCTATTCAAATCCTCTGGCCTATTTAAATTTGTATTACTTGTCTTTATTTCTTAGTTTGGGTTCTTTATACACCCTGGATCCCAACCCTCGTACCCAGATTTGCAAATATTTTCTCTCATTCTGTGGGTTATCTTTTCAATTCTCGATGCTCTCACTTATAGCACAATAGTTTTTAATTTTAATTAAATCCAGTTTACCTATTTTTTGTTTTGTTGTTTGTGCTTGTGGTGTCCTATCTAAGAAACCACTCCCTAACCCAAGTTTATGAAGATTTACTTTGGAGTTTTCTTCCAAGAGTTTTATAGTTTTCACAATTACATTTGGGTATATGGTATTTGGCCCATTTTCATTTCATTTTTGTGTAAGTTATGAAGTAGGCAACCAACTTCAATCTTTTCTCTAAGATTTCCAATAGTCTCAGTACCATTTGTTGAAAATATTATTATTTTCACCATTGAATTCCCTTGGAACTCTTGTAGAAAATCAACTAAACATAAATGTAAGAGTTTATTTCTGAACTCTCATTTCTACTCCATTAATCTAGATGTTTATTGTTATGTCTTGATTACTGCAAGTTTCCAAACTTTCTTCCTTTTCAGGATTATTTTGACTCTTCTGGATCCCTTGCATTTTCATAAGAATTTTAAAATCAGCTTGTCGATTTCTACAAAATGTCAATTGGCATTTTGATTGAGATTGCATTGAATAGGTAGAACAATTTGGGCAGTATTCCCATCTTAACAACATTAAGTCTTCTGATCCAAAGCATGAGATGTCTTTTCATTTGTTTAGATCTAATTTAATTTCCTTCAACAAAACTTGTAGGTTTTGATGTATGAGTTATTTCATTAAATCTATTACTAAGTATTTTTGGATGCTATTCTAAATGGAATTGTTTTTTAAATTTTATTTTTATTTTTGAGTTGTTTGTTGTTAGTGAAGAGAAATATGATTGATTCTTTGCATTAATCTTGCATCTTGCAACATCAGTGAACTTGTTCATTACTTCTAAAATCCATAGAGACTCAAGTCTCTTATATGAAATGACATAGTACAATTTGCCCTTCACATCTGCAGGTTCCGCATCCATGGATTCAACCCAACTCAGATGGAAAATGTGTACAGTCAGCCCACCATATCCACAGGTTTCCACCCATAGTTGGTTGAATCCGCAGATGCAAAAACCTGTGGAGGGCCACAGAGGGCCACTTCCTCTTTTTGTTGATTCTTTGGGATTCTCTATATTCAAGATTATAATATCTGTCAGTAGAGTAGTTTTACTTCTTCCGATCTGGATGACTTTCATTTCTTTTTCTTGCTTAACTGCCTTGGCTAGAACCTCCAATACAATGTTGATTTGAAATGACAAGAACAGACATGTTTTTCTTGCTCCTGATCTTAGAGGGAAAAACACTCAGACTATAAATGTTAACTGTGATACCAGCTCTGAATTTTTCATAGGTAGCCTCCCTCGGGTTAAGAAAGTTTCCTTCTATTTCAAGTTTGTTGAGTGTATTTTTCTTCATATTATGAAAGGTTGCTGGATTTAGTCAAATGCTTTTTCTGCATCTAGGCAGATATGGTTTTTGTTTTTTTATTCTATCAATATAATTGATTTTCAGATGTCAAACAAACCTTGTGTTCCTTAATAAATCCTTCTTGGCCATGATGCATAATTGTTTTTATATATTGTTGGATTCAGCTTGCTAGCATTTTTTTTGAAGATTTTGACTCTTATATTCATAAGGGATATTGGCCTTTAGTTTTCTTGAGATATCTTTGTCTGCTTTTGATATCAGGTTAATACTGGCCTCATAAGAGGAGTTGCTTTCAAGATTACCTGTTTTTGACTTTTGGCAGTTTGATTATGATGTGTTTAGGTGTGAATTTGTTTGTGTTTATCCTACTTGAAGCTTTTTTTTTTTTTTTGACAGAGTCTTGCTCTGTCGCCCAGGCTGGAGTACAGTGGTGCAATCTCGGCTCACTGCAAGCTCCGCCTCCCAGGTTCACATCATTCTCCTGCCTCAGCCTCCCCAGTAGCTGGGACTACAGGCACCCACCACCATGCCTGGCTAATTTTTTTGTATTTTTAGTAGAGACGGGATTTCACCGTGTTAGCCAGGATGGTCTCTATCTCCTGACCTTGTGATCTGTCCGCCTCAGCCTCCCAAAGTGCTGGGATTACAGGCTTGAGCCACCGCGCCCGGCCCCTACTTGGCGCTTTTGAGCTTATTTCAAATTAATCTTTTTAATCAAATTTTTAAAGTTTTTGGCCATTATTTCTTTAGATATTCTATTTGCCCCCCGCCCCTCTCTCTCACTAGAATTCCCATTATGCAGATGTTGGGATGTCGGATAGTGCGTTAGGAATTTCTGAGACTCTGTTCATTTTTATTCATTTTTTCTCTCTATTCATTAGACCAGATCATCTCAATTAACCTGTCTTCAAGTTCTCTAATCTTTATCCTTTCAGTTTATATTTTCTGTTGAGTCCCTTTTGCACATTTTCCATTTCTGTAATTTTATCTGTTTTTTTAAAAAATAATTTCTATTTCTTTATTGGTATTCTCTATTTTGTGAAGCACTGTTTCTATATATTCCTCTTCCTCTTTAGTCATGGCTTCCTTTAGTCCTTTGAACATATTTATAATAGCTGATTTGAAGTCTTTGTTTTGTAAGGCAAATATCTGGATCCTTTCTGATAAACATTCAATTGGCTAGTTTTTTCCCCTGTGTATGAAACATAATTTCTTGTTTCTTTGCATGTATTGTAAGTTCTTGTTGAAACTGAACATTTTAGATAATATAGTGTGGCAACTCTGGAAGTCAAATTACCCTCATCCCAACCCCCAATTTGTTTTGTTTGCTTTGTTGTTGCTGCTGCTGATTGCTCATTTAGTGCTTTTCCTGGACTAATCCTATAAAATCTATAGTCTTTGTGGTGTGAGTAACTGAAAACTCATCTCAGTTAGCTTAGTAATCAGTGAACGATTGGTCAGAGATTTGCTTACAGGCCCTAAAGCAATAAGTCTTTCATCTTTTGTCAAATGGGCCTGAGTTTGCCTGGGAATACATGCTCAATGCTCTAACATTTTACAACTCTGCCTTAGCCTTCACTTCCTGCTTGTGCAGGGCCTCAAGTTCAGCCAGAGATGAGAGTTTGGGGTCCTGTGAGGTCTTTCCTCGTCATGCACATAGCTCTATACATGTATGCAGTTTTGTAAATCCCCAGGAATATGTCAGAGTTTTTCAAAGCCCCCTACAAACATCTCATTCTTCAGGCTCTCCTTTCAGGTTTTGGTAAGGGTCTCATTTTCCCTAAGTGGTAGAACAGTCTCAGGCAGCTATAATGTTAACAATTTCCTCTGATTGTTTTCAGCAAATGCCCTGGGGTTAGGGTTTCCCTGTGGGTGAGCTCCAGGTTAGGTCAAATGAAGGCACAGCCTTGCAAATGGTGCTTTTCCAAGGAGCTGCAAGACAGTTCAAATAATGGCAATGCTCTTGGGATAGGACTCCAAAGCTGGCTTCCTCCCTCTAGTGACAGCTACCATAGTTGGAGGCTGCTGGTTTTCATGACTACCGTGGAGCTGTGGAGAGAGGAAAGTGAGTAGGCAAGTTTAAAATGTACCTAAAATTCTGATGTCACTGAAGACACACAAGCCAGCTCACCCAGACAAGGCAAGCCCAGGAGGCTGGTGAGAGCTCCATGGTACCACAGCAGTACCCCCGGAGTCCCAGGACCAGGCCCTGAGCTCACCCATCTATGGACTGAACTTTGCCAAAGATAACTCTTAGCTGGTAGGAAAGGTTTATTTATTTCTTAAATAAACACTTTAGATTATTGCAGGCTTTGGTTAATTTCCAGAGTCATGAAAATGTTGATTTTGACCATTTTGCCAGTGTTTTTGTTGCTTTTATGGAGAAATGGATTTACAGAGGTTCTCATTCTATGATTCAGATAGTATGGCCATCCACTGAACTCTTGAAAGTTGATTTTTTGCATCTGAAATAGGATTGGATGAGTCATAGCCAAACATCTGTAATAACCAAAAGGTTTCCTGGCACTGGAATTTTCCTTCTTCTGATTATGTCTATGAATACAGTTGCCTGATAAAGCTAGATTGTTCGTGCTATCGTACACTGAGATTGGAAGTAATTGCAGAGGATGTCTCCTTTAGTTCTCTTATTTGCAATCACAGATATTTATAATAAACCCTTGAAAGCTGTGGCATTATTTTGAAGCTACTTAGGTATTCATTAAGCAGTCTTGAAAGTTGGGACGTTCCTACTTCTCTTCAGTTGAAAAGAAGTTAGGTAATAAGATTGATTAAATTCAGGTAACTGGGTAAAGATTAAACTTAGCATACTAAACCCTGCCTGATATAGTAGTGTTTTTTTCACCTGTGATAGAGTAATTCCCCACCCCCATCCAAGAAGAAAATGTAAAAAGATATCTACATTATAAGTTCCCAGAACTTGTGACACACATGACAATCACATTGCAGATGGGATTAAGTTAAGGATCTTGAGATGGGAAGAGTGTCTTGGATTACCCAGGTGGGCCCAATGTAATCACAAGAGGTTTTTTGTTGTTGTTGTTGTTTATTTATTTATTTTTTAAGACAGAGTCTCATTCTGTCACCCAGGCTGGAGTGCAGTGGCTCGATCTCAGCTCACTGCAACCTCGGCCTCCCAGGTTCAAGTGATTATCCTGCGTCAGCCTCCTAAGTAGCTGGGAATACAGGTGCCCGCCACAACACCCGGCTAATTTTTGTATTTTTAGTAGAGAGGCGGTTTCATCATATTGGCCAGGCTGGTCTTGAACTCCAGTCAAAAGAGTTCTTATAAGTGAAAAAGGGGCTGGAAGTGATGGCTCACACCCATAATCCCAGCACTTTGAGAGGCTGAAGCAGGTGGATCACTTGAGATCAAGAGTTTGAGACTTAACAAAACTTTTTAAAAATCTAGCATCAATTTGTTTCAGCTTGAGATGATATTGGAGGACCTCCAGCTGTAAATGCCACAAATAACTACTTCACCACTTGCAGGGTTCCTTCTCACAGGTAGTGCCTTGATCACATGTTGGAAATCACAAAGCAGGCTCTGGAGAGACACATGTGCTTGTCACATAGATTCTGAATGGATCTGATGCCATCCGCCCACAACTACACCCCGCCTCCTTGTGCCTGTGGGTTTTATTCCTAGGAGTAGATTCTCCAGCTTTGTTTGTGTAGCACACAACTACACAAATTACCTTATGCTATAATTTGAACTGAGAAGGTAAAATACAATCTCTGTTTTCTGGCAAGTGCCAGTAGAAGAAAACGGAGGTAACTTTGCAGAGTAAGTCATAGCTACAAGAAATTTAATAACTCTTTGAAATGCTATTTATAAGAAAATAAAATTGAAGACAGATTCTATCAGAAAAATAGTTTTGATGACACTTTAAAACAGAATAATTTTAGAAAATGATTTTTTAAATTCAGAATGTCAGTATATATGGTTGAAGGAACTTGTCATTTTCATTCATCCATCCTGCACAGAAATGTTTTGAGCTTATTACAAAAATACCCCTCGATTATAACCTCAGCCATTTTCTTATTTTTGTTATCCCTTACTAAAAGACTTAGCTTCAAGTTTATTTTCAATAAGTTTTATTTTCATTTTTATTTGCTGAACCTTGTAGAGAAAGACAACTTTTTGTCACTAAAGTACACCAACAGTTACAACAAGTCTGGCTTATAAAGAACATTCTTATCCTGATTTTGTTCAAATGCAAGTGCTGATACAATTTGATTAAAATAGCTGTAAAATATGCCAGGTATGTGGGAGGTAGAAGTATGGAAAGGGTTTGAGAAATCCTAATCCTGCAGCTCTCAGGACTGCAAGAGTTAGACCCCAGCTGGTGTAAATGGATTAAAAATCTTTTCTCATTTCAAAGGTTTGATCTCAACAAGGGCTTGATTTGATGAAATCACAGTGGCAGCTTGGATTTGAAAACTATTTAGAGTGGAACTTCCTAAAGTTTACATGTGAGGAAAGAATTGGCAGAGGCATAAATGCGGGGTGACCATGTATTTATATGGTGTGTTTCACTGGAGGTCTATTTGTAAAGGGATGAAGAATGTAAAAAAAAAATTGAAAGTGAGGATAAGTATCAGGTTACTTGTGTAACAGAAGAATGTTTTTATAATTCTTGGCTTGAAAGGTGAAAGAGTGGATATGCTTTTAAGAAACAGGATCTCCTTCAGTAAAAGTCATTTTACATGTTATCTCCCTCCACCTCCTCCTTATATCACTCCCAATACATACTCCCAGACCCTTGCACTCCAAGTTAATTTCTCCTTAATTGTCTGCTATAATTTGTGACAAACACTACAAATAGACACAGGAGAGCAAAACAAAAACAAAAGCAAAAACATGGTGCATTAATAGATGGTAAACAAAACCTAGAAAGTGAAGACTGGCCCACATATATGTCTTTAAGACCTAAATTCTTAAGGGTTTCCAACTATTTTCTCTGGAAATGGGATTCATCTTCTTTCAACTGAGTTGGGGCTACTACTAGTTTTACTGATAATTTACATCTCTGTTGTCTCTGTGGTGATCTGAAAGTCGTTAACACTGTCTCCCATTTCCCACCCCTCCATACAATGTCAACAGAAACTCTGGCAAATTATATTTTTTCCTATAGGCATAGTTCAGGCAGCATCTGGAACAGAAAAGATGTTGGGGAAAATTGGGTTCAACATTCTGCACAAATTCTGGGGTGATGCTAGAGGCTAGCAACATAGCAGTGGTGGATATGACACCTGATGAAACAGAAAGCCATGGCTCAAATCAGCCATGCTTCTCAGAGTTAGCAAATCAAGTGCAGAAATCACTGAGCAAAATTCTTTTTACACATAAGAAATCCACGAGATGTAAATTAAACACCTCTAGATTTTTTTAAAAACTGTCTAAGGCTTTATATTCACATTCAGTTCTATATTTATCTTGAACATAAAGAGGTTATGGAAAACACTAGGTCTTCCACAAAAGACACAATTTAGGATTAATAGGAGGTTAGAGTTTGTACCAGGTAGTATGTGAACAATACTGTACCTTAGAAATATAGAACCTTGATATTTGCGGGGTAACAAATGAGCAACAACAGAGGGAAGAGAAGGATTAGGCAAAAAAGTGAGCAGACAAAGAGGGGTATCTGCAAACACAACATTAAGCCTTGACATCTTAGGTTCTCATTATGGGAGGAGCCCTGAGTAATTTGATCAGGATGAGCTCCAATCCTCCAAGTCACTGGAAGGTCAAGATGCATAGGGAAATTGCTGCCAACTCAGGCACCACTCTGCCCAGGCCCCTGGTGTACCCTTTCCTGTGGAAGCACTCAATTCTGGAGGCCAGTGGTAGCACTTGAGTCTCTATTGGGGAGCTGCTGGAACCTATGTTACCTCAACACAGCCTGGTGATCCATGGCCCACCCCACCCAGCCACTATTGAAATCAATAACTCAAGAGTGTGGGGCATAAGTACTACAGTTCCTCTGCCCCGTGGTGGGAATCTTTCTGAAGGATGAAGGATGTGTGTTACATCACTTTCAGAGCTTTCTGGGAAGATTGCAAATCAGTTGCCCTCAGTGTTACCTGGCTCAATAATGCCCCCTCCTTCAGTGCCTTCCCTTCCCTATGTCACCTCCCCACCCTTGCTGGTGTTCCCTTTATCTCCAAAAAATATTACATGCCCTTAAACTATGTCTCACACTCTAACAGGGAACCCTTTTAGAATCATTGCATGGGGGATATTTGTTTTCTTTAGTCCTCAAGAGACAACTAGAAATCAGATAGAAATAGAGGTGAAGAGCTAGAGAATCAGTTTATGCAATCTGGCTACAGTGGGAAGCTTTCCTGAGCAAAAACTCCACTTTCATGACTCACTAGGCAGGAACCGTGGGTAAAGTACTCCCTGTCACTGAGCTTCATCTATAAAATATAGAGAGGACCCCTTTTTTGAGATCCGTGAGCATCGAGACACAATTCCAAGTAGGTGTGCAATACCTAATGCTCTTTTCCAGTGTACACTGCAATCTTCACTTTTGCTCTGAGCTCCTCCAATCCCATGGTGACTTACTTGGTGCATGCCTGGCTGAGAAGAGTAGGGAAATTAAGACTTATGGGACAACTCTTAGCCAATGGGAAAAATGGAGGCTGTGGATAAATGCCCCTGTCTTCAAGCAGGTAATTCTAGGAAGCATTTGGGACACTTCTCTGAAAGTCTAGGTAGAATTGATCCCCTTGCTCTCAGTGGTAAGCTTGATAATTCACCCTTTAATGGGCCTTTGTTCTTTTCTTGTCTCATTTCCCCACACTTTTATCCCTGCTTCCTGGGATCATACCCCCACATAAACTGCCTGGACCCATGTCCTTCCCTTAGGGTCTTTTTTGGGGAGGAGACCATATTAAAACATGTTGGCTGCAAGATTTTTCTAAAGTTCACATCATATTAGAGATATTGCCATGTGATAAGCAGGCATCCATACAATTCCGTAAGAATATTTTCAAAGGAGAGCACCACCATTGCTGCCACCCCGAGGATGCCTGCACCTCTCTCTGTGCTCCTGAGTTGCTCATGCCACTCTCAAATATCCTCTTTGGAAGTCTTCAGACCCAGTTTAGGAACTGCATCAGGAAGTCAGAAGCTAGCTCATTAGGGAAGGAGAAGGAAGGTTAGGGTTTATGAGGTGGAGAATTGCCCCTGGAGTAAGGCTGCTGGACTGCAGAGGAGTCTGCCTATAGCCCGGATCCCCCTGGGACTTCAGGCGACCCCATTCACACACGTCATTTCTCCACCCATGGGGCTAAGCTTCAGGGAATTCCTCAACTCACATGGGTACCCATTGAACCCCTCAAATTAAGGGGTCGCCTTTCCCTATCACCTTCATGAAAGGTATGTTAATATTTAAATATTTTATAGAGACAGGGTCTTGCCATGTTGCCCAGCGTGGTTTCAAGCGATCCTCCTGCCTCAGCCTCCCAAACTGTTGGGATTACAGGTGTGAGCCACCACACCTGGCCTACTTTTGGGTCTTAGACCAAGAAAATCAAAATTTTGCCCTACTCTTAGATGTTTCCTCCAAAGCACCTAATCTTTAAAAATATTATAAAATGTGATTGCTTTAAAAGTTTCCATCCCAGCTGAGTCAGTCTCTCAAAACCTTAATGTTTTTCATGGTACAGCGATTATATCCTTCATGTCAACAACTGCTCTCTAGTTTACCAGGTGGTTTTATTTAATTCCTGGATATTTTGCAGGAAAGAGTTGGCTCAGGTAGGCCCTGGGTGGTGAGAAGAGAAGCCAGGGAGTGGGGCAGTGTGTGGGCAGAGCGGGGACCCCAAAACAAGGCGGTCCCTTAACCCATAGGAAATGCCAGCCAGACTCTTCAAAACCAATAGTGCATTCTTCCCCTTCACCCTGCTGGAGAAGCACTACAAGGGTTTAATTTTTCACATTGTAAGCATGTTTCCCATCTCTTGGGGTGATGCAGACTATGCAAATAGACAAATGTGTGTTTCTTTATTTAGATTGCTTTTTCAATTTGTTCAGCAGAGAGGGCTATAAGTGAATGATGTTAAAGGCTTTATATTCTGTCTTTCTGTGTGTGTGTGTGTGGCAGGGGGTGGGCCCTGAACCCTGAAGGTTCTTAGGAGGCCATGTGTGTATAAGTCACCATCAGCATGGGAGCTCAGGGCTGCAGAGCAGCTGCTCTCTTATTTTGCTGGGAGCTCTCTTCACCTTCCCCTCCCGCAAAGAGAAAAGAGCAGCAGCCACAGCTACACTAGTGATTAACTTTGGAAGGAAATTAAGGCTTGACCGCTGCTGCTGACCTGACGGGAGAGTCACCTCCAAGCAGACTGGGCTGGCCCAACAACAGGGAGTGAGCAGCAGCAGGTGGAAGCACTCAGACAGGGCGCTGCTGGCATCAGGTCGGGAGGGGTTCGACTCAGGGCTAGGACACGAGGAGGAAGGAGGAGGAGAAGGGGATAAGCAGAAGAGAAGGAGGCAAAAGATGTGTGTGTGTGTGTGTTGGGGGGTGGGTGGAGAACAAAAGACACCATTTTGCCAGCTCTTCTCTGAAAGGCAATCATCTCCACTTACTGTCTCAATAGCCCAGGCTCAAAGCACAGCAGCCTGTGGGCCAACTTCTGCCTGTTCTGGGATGTGCACTTCCCGGCAGGAAGGTGAAAGGGCCGAGGGGAGATCGCTGGAGAGGCTGGGAGGAGGGAGGAGAGGGGAGGGGCGGGGACGAGGTTGAAGGGGGAGAGAATAAGCGCGGATGGAGAGGAGTAGGGGTGGGAAGGAATAGAGAAAAAAAGAGGAGGGGTGGGGGAGGGGAGAGAAAAGAAAGGGGAAAACCCCCTTGCTGACACGGGGCATAACTTAATTTTCACGGTGCCGGGACAGCTGTATCGTGTAATCTGCCATGGCATGCCGTTAAAGCTTCAATGACTTTACTGACCCAGAAGGGAGACTCAGACCGTGGAGAGGCTTTTGAAAAGAAGTGGTGATCTTTCACGATTTATGAGCTTGTCTTAAAGAAACAGACTCCACTCACTTTAAATTAATCACCCTTTCCAGGGTGCATAGAAATGGGGGTCTTGGTGCCGCGCGCTGGGAAGGCCCTGTGAGATGGGGCAGCTTTGACCCCGGGCTCGGCGGCGGTGGAGGTGAGGGTGGCGGTGGAGGTGAGGGTGCTGGAGGGGACGGTTTTTCCATTTCGTCCCTTTCCCAGCCCGCGCGCCCCCGCAGAGGCCGGGGGAAGAGGAAAGAGGGCCCGGGCTGCAGGACTGCCACTTGCGGAGGAAGGGGCATCGTCCCCTTAGGGAGGCCCGGGGAGGTCAGAGCAGGGATAGCTGGCAGGGGGTGGGAGAGAGCCTGTGTGTGGTGGGGAAGGGCCGCATTCACGTTCCTGCACTTGCATTCATTGTGCAAGAGGAAAAAAGAAACCAGGAGAAATATAAGGCATTTCACACCCTGATGAAATGCGAGACCTCCCGTGTGATTAAACCGCTGAAAGGAAAAGTGGGGTGTTACCAGACCCGTGTGATCCTCCCTCATTTTCCATATTTCTGAGAACAAAAAGGTGAAAACCTCACCCTAATGTGCAGATACTGATTGCTTAAATTTCGACAGATGCACATTTCCCCCAAAAGGAACGTTTCCTAGAACAGACAAACCTAAAATTACCAGCCATAATGTCCTAGAAAAGAATCCTAATACGAGGAATGTTCTCTAACTTAATACAACCAAGCAAAAGACTGCATTTATCTTTCAAACACCTTTGCAAACTGCAAAGCTTTCTCTTGGTAATTCACCTACCTCTGCAGAGGACAAATGAGTCTACAGAAGGGAACTCCTGCGTGTTTTTCCCTTCATTTCATTTGAGATTGTCCTTTGTACCTGTTTTGCATGGCCAGCGGCTTCTGCATGTTAACACATTTTGGAGCGTTTTTGTAGTTCTGTGATTTCACCAACAGCTCTGTAAGACTGGTTATCTTTGAGCAGTTTCAGAAGTGTTGAAGGCTCCTAAAAGATCTGCTACTCAGTGAAACCTTTTCTGATGGTAAAAATGGGATCCAGTTAAAGGAAATTTCAAAGACAACAAATGGGGTAAATCTGTTCTTTATAATTTTGATAAAATATTGTATCTGGTCTCTGTATAGTGATTAGAACCATTTCTTCTTAACCAATGGTGTTGGTCCATATTTTAAAGTTTAGCACCAGTCAACAGACATCTACAGATGCTTGTATGGAGGGGCTTGAAGAGAACAGAAGAAGAAGCTGGCCATGCTCCCCACCCACCTTGTGAGAGGATCAGACATAGCCCTGCACCATCTCTGGGATACCCTAAGCCTTCCGAGCTCTTCAATGAGGTAATGTGGCTTCCAATGGGATATCACTGGAGGTGCTCTTCTTGTGCCCACCACCAGTCAGGGTTTGATGGTTTCGTTTTTCTTTCTTTCTTTTTTTTCTTTTTGTTTGAGATGGAGTCTCGCTGTGTCACCCAGGCTAGAGTGCAATGGCATGATCTCAACTCACTGCAACCTCCACCTCCTGGGTTCAAGCAATTCTCTTGCCTCAGCCTCCCGAGTAGCTGGGACTACAAGCGCCTGCCACCACACCTGGCTAATTTTGTATTTTCAGTAGAGACAGGGTTTTGCCATATTGGTCAGGCTGACCTCAAACTCCTCACCTCAGGTGATCCACCCACCTTGGCCTCCCAAAGTGCTGGGATTACAGGCATGAGCCACCGTGCCCAGCCAATGGTTTAAATTTCTCAAATACAAGCTACAGTACTGTCATGACATTGTTGATTTTATACAGTTTGTCTGCTAACATTGCAAATTGGGTAGTCAGAGTTGGGCAGTTCTCTATGACTTGTTTTTGACTGACCATCTGACTGGAAAACTTCAATACCATACAGGTCCTCTAGACTGGAGCCCCAGCATGCATCATTTTAAAAAGCTTCTTTAAAATATGTATGGATATGAATTTCACATAGCATAAAATTAATCATTCTAAAGTGGACAATTCAGTAATTTAGTACATTCAAAATAGTGTGCAACCACCACATCTGTCTGGTTCCCATACATTTCTCTCTCTCCAGAATAAAACCCTATACTCATTAAGCAGTTCCCCTTTCCCCCTCCCTCAAGCCCCTGACAACCACCATTCTGTATTCTGTCTCTTTGGATCTACCTATTTTTAGTATTTCATGTAAATGGAATAATACAATGTGTGACCTTCTGCACCTGGCTCAGGACTACATATATTTAAGATGGATGTTCTTGCTGGTGGAGGCACAATGTCCCCCTAAGGACAGACTTGGTGCTTTTTTTCCTAAAAGCTTTGCATTTTAAGTATCATCACACAACTTCACAACATCAAGCATGAAACAGTTAATAATTCATTTCACCTTACAATCCATCTTACAGCGACAATTTATCTATCTATCTATTTATTTATTTATTTATTTATTTTGAGATGGAGTCTTGCTCTGTTGCCCAGGCTGGAGTGTAGTGCCGCCATCTCGGCTCACTGCAACCTCTGCCGCTTGGGTTCAAGTGATTCTCCTGCCTCAGCCTCCCGAGTAGTTGGGACTACAGGTATGTGCCACCAAGCCCGGCTAATTTTTGTATTTTTAGTAGAGACAGAGTTTTGCCATTTTGGCTAGGATGGTCTCGAACTCCTGACCTCAGGTGATCCACCCACCTTGGCCTCCCAAAGTCCTGAGATTACAGGCGTGAGCCACCATGCCCAGCCTAGAAGCAACAATTTAAATTTTTTGTGACTCTTAATTTTTGTTGAGTTTTTTCTCAATAAATATTTTTTAAATTGAGGTTTAATGTTGTGGGAAGTCAGGGACCCCAAACAGAGGGACCGGCTGAAGCCATGGCAGAAGAACGTAGATTGTGAAGATTTCATGGGCATTTATTAGTTCCCCAAATTAATACTTTTGTTATTTCTTATGCCTGTCTTTACTGCAATCTCTAAACATAAATTGTAAAGATTTCATGGACACATCACTTCCCCAATCAATACCCTTGTGATTTCCTATGCCTGTCTTTACTTTAATCTCTTAATCCTGTCAGTTTAGGAGGATGTATATCACCTCAGGACCCTGTAATAATTGCATTAACTGCACAAATTGTACAGCATGTGTGTTTGAGTAATATGAAATGTGGGCACCTTGAAAAAAGAACAGGATAACAGCAATTGTTCAGGGAATAAGAGAGATAATCTTAAACTCTGACCGCCGGTGAGCCGGGCAGAACAGAGCCATATTTCTCTTCTCTCAAAAGCAAATGGGAGAAATATCACTGAATTCTTTTTCTCAGCATGGAACATCCCTGAGAAAGAGAATGCGCACCTGGGGGTGGGTCTCTGAACTGGCCCGCCTGGGCGTGGTTGTCTCTTATGGTCGAGACTGCAGAGGTGAAATAGACTCCAGTCTCCCATAGCGCTCCCAGGCTTATTAGGAAGAGGAAATTCCCGCCTAATAAATTTTGGTCAGACCGGTTGATCTCAAAACCCTGTCTCCTGATAAGATGTTATCAATGACAATGGTGCCCGAAACTTCATTAGCAAATTTAATTTCGCCTCGGTCATGTGGTCCTGTGATCTTGCCCTGCCTCCACTTGCCTCATGATATTCTATTACCTTGTAAAGTACTTGATATCTGTGACCCACACCTATTCGCATACTCCCTCCCCTTTTGAAACTCCCTAATAAAAACTTGCTGGTTTTTGCGGCTTGTGGGGCATCACGGAACCTACCGACATGTGATGTCTCCCCCAGACGCCCAGCTTTAAAATTTCTCTCTTTTGTACTCTGTCCCTTTTTTTCTCAAGCTGGCCGATGCTTAAGGAAAATAGAAAAGAACCTACGTAAATATTGGGGCATATATTCACCATATCTGACAGATTCTCCGATAGTTTAATACAATCTTTATGGATTAAATCTACCTGTGTAGATGCACCTTGATTGTAATGACAGAATACATGAAATATTTTGCTCTTCTTCCAGAAGTTGCTTTCTATTTACTTCTGCATGTGCCTAATACTTACATGTGTTTGTTTTTCTCTTTGTGCTGCATATCAATGCATTAATATATTATAATTTTCCACACCTTTCTATTTTTTTATCCTTTTGATATTACCATGCTAAACATCTTCATTCGTAAAATTGCTTGGATTTTTCATAGTACTGGTATTTCTTTAGGACAGATTTCTAGAAATGGCATTATTGAATCAAAAGTATGGATTTAAAAAACTTTTTTTCATGAATGAAGTAGTTAATGTTTGTTCTAATCACAGCTCTGAAAGAACATTTGACACTTACATTGGACTAAAAACCGCAGCCTTTCAGTGTCCGCTTCATCACATCCCATACTCAGATCAGAACACTTCCAAGTTTCAAAGAAGCAGAGATGGCTAGCCAGCATGGATACACAGTGCACTGCCTACGATGATGACTGACTGTCCATCTGTGCACATTCCCCACTACCCTCAGATTGCAAAGATCTCACAACACCCTGGGATCCACTTTAGGAGAGTAGAAGGGAAATTCTGCAAAAGGATAGCAGGTCTCCGGAGAGCCTATGCTTCAATGCCTGTCAGAAGGCAGCATAGAAGTGTGTCTCTCATCTGCCACCTGGCAGCGAGCTCAGGGCATCCCATTACAGCCAGGAGTAAAGATGCTTTTCCAGAATAATGGCACAAGGCCATTTCATAACATCACCAGTCCCCCCGAACACTCACAGACGAGCATAGAGCTGGTGTTACAGGAGCTCTTACCTGAGAGTTCAATGAAAATATCACTACAGGAAAAAAAAAAAAATGCTGTTCTTTAATATCCACAGAAGGGAAGGTGAGGCCCAGAAATACCTGTAAGGGAGTGGATCAACACTGGCAGGAATGTGTACCATTCAAGGGAGGCTCACCAGGAAACAGCAGACATGGTTGTTCCTGGATGTTTTCTGAGATGCTTATTCTTATAAGGAGGAAAATAATAAATTCACCTTTAACCTGAATTCATTATTAAACCAACGTATTTGACAGCACAAAATGTCCAGTTTACTTGGGAGACATGAATTGGTTACAGTTCCAAACTGGTCAGAACAAAATTTGGATGAAGTGGGATTTTGTGTGAACTAGAAGGATACTTTAAGACATTTATTCGGAAACATAAGTCCAGTGATGGCCATCTATCCTGTTCTCTCCTGAGGTGTTGGCTGCACCTCAACGGGGCTTGTCAGTGATAAGAAGATGCTAATCAAAAGCATTTAAAGTTGATTTCCTTCTGTTCAGAATTCCTGGCATTTCCTAATGCTTCATGGAAATGTTAGGCTTTGAGATGTGGAGTCAGTTTCACAGATGGAGCCTCCTCCTTTGGCCTCTCTGCAGCAGGACTCCCCCAGTGTCTCTTGGTTTCTATTCTCCACAACCTAGGCTTGCCTGGTGTGGTGGGTTGCCATGGCAATGGCTGTGGCCCCCAATTCTACTGGACCTCATGACTCCAGTACCATTAGCATCCTGATACAGCTTCCGGGTCTCTTCATTCAATTCATGATATAGAGATCTGATGCCTGGTTCCATGTGGCCACATGTCACTTTGGTCTAATCAGCCAGCCATGATGGCCCGGACAGGGTCACCTGGCTTAAACATGACCATTTAAACTCATCTCTTTAGCCACTTCCAAAAAAGCAGCATGGATGCACTAGGCAGGCATCCCACTTCACCATTAAAGGTGGATTTTTGTGCTTTTTCTTTTTTGGCTTTTAACTCTTTCATTTGTTCATCCATCCATTCATTCCTTAATTTACTCAACTAACATTTAATGAGTGCCTACTTTCTGCCAGGTGCTGGCTGGGCTTACCACTGTAGTTACAAAATAAACAAGATAGAGTCTCTGGTGACTAGGAGCTCTCAGTCCAGCAAGAGAGGCAGACACAGAAGGGTGGATGCTCATTTGGGCTTGGAGAGCAGGGAAGGCCCACGCACAAGGGCTGAGGAAGATCACACATCAAGGTATGTGCTGGGGACTCTAGCAGTTTATTTGAGGAGCATTATGTGGATGTGGCTGGAGAGATAGGCAAGGGCCAGACACAAGGTCACAAATGCATTGTTAAGTAGCTGGGACTTTAGCACACTCATCAGCATTTTCCAACAGGTGGGTCATAGACCCCCTCCAGGGGTTCAAGAAGGTGTTCCTGGAGATCCAGCTATCAAAGATGCTATAGGATCTATTTAAAGTTCTATTAAGATAATTAATAAATGATATATTTCTTTTATTGCCTTAAAAAAGGCAGCCAGTGTGCATGGCAATTAATGGAGGCCAATGAACAGGCTTAAAATTACTACTTGGCTTAAAATTATTAATTGTTTTGGGTTTTGGCCATACAGAAGCTTAACATATGAATTGTTGCTTTGATGAAGAATCATAAGGAACAAAGGAGTCAAAACAGAGCACATTAATGAGGAGACTAAAAGTGAAAATAATTCTGAAAAATTACCTCCAGACCATCATCACCAGATCAGAAAACATGGCTCTAATCCAAATCCTTCTGTAGCACACCAGGGACTTCAAAACACAAGGTGGAAAGAGAAGACATTCATGTTTATATTCACTTTTACATTACATTTAATAATAATAAGGACCACTTACACTCACAATGCTTCATTTGTAAAATGATTGTAGTCAAAGGTCTGAAACCTTTTATTTTCATCTCTTAGAAACAATGCAATTATTTATATATATATTTATATATAATATATAAATATATATTATATAATATATAAAATATCTATAATATAATTATTTTTTAAATAATACAATTATTTTTTAAAAAATAAACAAAATAATTTTTAAGTGTAAAGTTCCAGAATTCCAGATATCAGGTCATAAAAGGACATTTGTTTCAATTGCAAAGCTAAGACAAACAGTTCAATATCAGTCTGCAATTTAATATACATTTTTACCCAAACCAAACAAAATATAATACATCATTGGTAATATGCTCATCAACAAATAATGCTTTTTCTTACAAAATTAATTTACACTCACCTGAGGGCAAGAGTCACATTAACTGGGAAAAAGTTGAAACTTGTCTTTATATACCACGAATATTAACTTTTTGTTTTAGAAGTTAATTTTATAACCTATGAAAATATACCTATATAAAATAAAACATTTTACTTGAGATAATTTTTTCCTCATTCATTAAAAAATTTAACGAATAATCAAAAAAGTTCTTAAGGAACTGTCTTAATCCATTTGTGTTGCTATAACAGAACACTGCAGATTAGGTAATTTGTAAAGAGCAGAAATTTATTCCTCTCAGTTCTGGAGACTGAGAAATACAAGTTCAAGACGCCAGCATCTGGTGAGGGCTCCTCCTTGCTTCTAAGATGGCACCTTGAATGCCGAGTCCTCCAGAGGGGAGAAATGCTGCATCTTCACATGGCAGAATTCAAAAGACCAAAACTGGGACAAATAATTCCCTTTATCAGGCCCTTCTATAAGGGGACCCAATCCCATTCACGAGGGAGGAGCCCTCATGGTCTAATCACCTCTTACAGGCCCCACTCCTTAATACGATCACACTGGCAGAACCTGAATTTTGGAAGAGACACATTCAAACCATAACAGGGCCTTCACTAGATTATTCATTATAATGAAAAGTGTTTTTGGAAAGTTACAAAAGTTAAATCAGTTATTGAGATTGACAGAAAGCCAATGGAAAACTTAAATAGGAGAATAACTTGATCCAGGAGGGCACCTGGGTCCCTTCTTGGTGTTAGTGTTACAGGAAAGGGGTCCAGATCCAGACCCCAAGAGAGGGTTCTTATTTGTCACGCAAGAAAGAATTTAGGGCAAGTCTGTAGAATAAAGTGAAAGCAAGTTTGTTAAGAAAGTATAGAAATAAAAGAATGGTTACTCCATAGACAGAGCAGCCCTGAGGGCTGCTGGTTGCCCATTTTTGTGGTTATTTCTTGATGATATGCCAAACAAAGGGTGGATTATTCATGCCTCCCATTTTTAGACCATATAGGGTAACTTCCTGACATGGCCATGGCATTTGTAAACTGTCACAGTGCTGGTGGGAGTGTAGCAGTGGGGATGACCAGCGGTCAGTCTCGTAGCCATCTTGGTTTTGGTGGGTTTTAACTGGCTTCTTTACTGCAACCTGTTTTATCAGCAAAGTCTTTATGACCTGTATCTTGTGCTGACCTCTTACCTCATCCTGTGACTTAGAATGCCTTAACCATCTGGGAATGCAGCCCAGCAGGTCTAGGCCTCACTTTACCCAGCTCCTATTCAAGATGGAGTTGCTCTGGTTCCCACGCCTCTGACACTAGTACCCTCAACTCTGTTCAAAGGCAGATTCCAGAACCCACTGTGTATCATTTACTAGAGGAAGGTTTGATGTTAGAAAATGTCCCTGCTTGCTTTGAGATGAATTCAATTTACACAATCACAGGCACCAAATTGCCACCTTTTGTTGCCCTACTCTTTGGGTCAAAAAAGTGGCCAACAGAGAAGTGTCTGGAATTCACACTGTTCATATACACCACTGCAATTATCTTCTCACAAAGAATGTCTTTTATGGGGGAAACTGCAATGATATCACCAGAAGGACGTCACTGCATTATCTTGGGCCAGGAAACCTGCAGCGCATCTGGAAGCTGGTGAGGGCAACAGATCAGATGATTACTGCCACTGAAAAGACAGTGTGTTACTCAGCGTTCCCAAAAGGAGCTGGGCATGCCAGGCCACACAGGACCACATAGGGGAGCACTGGGGCCTGTTAGGAGGCAGAGGAAGCAAAAAGAAGCATGAGGAAGGATGGTTTCCACAGTAAGAAATGGGCAAGACAGGGCAAACAGGATCAGGATTGGCTATTTTGAGTAATTTCAGCAGGCCCTGGAGAGTAGGGACTTTCTCTAGGCCTCAGGTACCTGGCCCTGGAGTGATTAAGGAAGGGGAAAAGCGGCTTGGAGTGTGAGAGCCAGTTAGAGGAGGTGGGGGTGGCAACGTTGTCTGGGCTCAGGATTGGTTGGTTTGCATAGGAAAGGTGTGCTGTCAGGTGGGTTGTTTACTGTCTCTAGGAATCTGCTAGCCTGGGGAGGAGCAGTCTCTAGGTTTAGCAAGGCACCAAGACACAAAAGCATTGGAGAAACAGAAAATAACAAGGCGTGATTAATTCAACACTTTAAAGCCACTGAATAGATGCCAAATCTGGTGACTTGGAATTAACTATAATGGTAGCATATGGAAGTGGGGAGCAGGGGTAGAGAAGGAAATGTGGCGGGCGCATTAAAGCTTCTTAGCACAGTCCACAAATGACCTTGCCTTTTCCATGAATGCATATTAATCAATAGGACTGTATTAGGAAAATCTACTTTCTTTTTTTTGAGACGGAGTCTCTCTTGTTGCCCAGGCTGGAGTGCAGTGGCGCGATCTTGGCTCACTGCAACCTCTGCCTCCCGGGTTCAAGCAATTCTCCTGCCCCAGCCTCTTGAGTAGCTAGGACTACAGGCACTCGCAACCACACCAGCTAACTTTTTTATTTCTAGTAGAGACAGGGTTTCACCATATTGGCCAGGCTGGTCTCGAACTCTTGACCTTGTGATCTGCCCACCTAGGCCTTGCAAAGTGCTGGGATTACAGGCATGAGCCACTATGCCTGCCCTACTTTCTTTAATAAATGAAACCCAGGCATCCTCTGTCACATATAGGGAAAGAGAGCATGGGCAGGAAAAGATGCTGGGCTACACAGCTCCAATCTTGGTTCTCTGTATAGGATCCACATTCCCCTGAGTGATTTTTTGCTGGAAATTTCTGCTACTAGCATATTAGCTTGGAAGAGTAGTTTTTCTTCCTTTAGCACTCTGATACATGTGTGCCCCTTATAATTGGCTGAACAATAGGAATGCACAAAAACCAAACAAACAAAAAGGTTTCTTGAGGCAAGAGCGGAGCAAAAGAGAAATAAAAATAGGTACTATCTTTTCAATTTCTGGCTTATAAAATGGAGATTGCTCATTTTGAGCCTGTGGCTCCTCCCAGGGGTCCCTTCCTGCCCAGCACCAGGTTGTGCCCAATGGCAGTGGTCATCTCTAACCTACACTACTGGAGTGAACTCTTAGACATTCAAGTTTCTCAAAGTAAAGACCAAGGAAAGGAGCGACATTGTCTCTTCCATCCTTTCAATCCCACTCTCCTAATTCCTGTTTCCTGTCTAAGGAATCCGGCCCTTATCTGGGTGGATGACCTCATCCTTAGGAACGTTCTTCACCCACAGGGATTTCATCTCACCCCTGCAGGTCTCAACAGAACAAATGCATCTCAGTCAAACATAACAATTCAGAATGATAAGATACCCCCCCAATATTCCAGGCCCCTGGTGTACATACCCTTTATAATCTCTGGGACTTTGACTCTGATGAAATAGTCACTCCCATGATTAGGTTATGCTATATGGTTCAGTTTGTGTTAGGAAAGGAAAACTATCCTTGGTCTGCCTGACCCAATCAGGTGATGATCCCTTGAAAGGGACTGGAGAAATAGATTTGAAGGGTGACAGAGATTGACATAGAGAGTCTCTAATGCTGACTTAGAAGACAGAAAGGGCCATGCAGCAAGGATTATGAGTGGCCTTTAGGAATGATTAATTCAACACTTTAAAGCCACTGAATAGATGTGAGAGTGGCTCCTGGCTGACAGACAGCAATGAAACTGGGAACTCAGTCCTGCAACTGCAACTCACTGGATGTAACCTTAGAAGAGGACACCCCACTCCAGGTGAGAACACAGCCTGGTTCTCACCTTGACTTTAGCCTTGTGAGACCCTGAACAGAAAAACACAACGTGCCTGTATTTTTGACCTCAGAACTGTGAGCTAACAGTGGGAACTGCACATAACCCACAAACTATCTCCTCTTTGCCACAAGACACAAAACATCTGGATATGTCTACGTCACACATGTGAACATCTCCAAATCAGTATATCTTGGACCGAGAACCACTTTTCTATTGTCAAGATAGAAGGAACATTTTTGCCACTGATGGATCAATGTGATGATGCCATTCAGAGAGTAATGAGTGCCCTTTGAAGCCACTGAGTTTGTGGTGACTTGTTATGCAATAATAGAAAAACGAGACAACTCTAGCCTTCTTTAGTGAAGCACATCTAATTAGGCCATGAAGTCCAGAAAGTCTATTGCAGAAGGAGAATTGATGGCAGTGGGTTCTGTTGCAAAATGTTTCAATGTGTTCTGGGGTCTGCAATGAAAATATCAGCTCAAATCTATTTATGACACAAACCCACTGCCTCTAACTTATTATCTCATTACTCGCTGATGGTGAAAAAAGCAGTTTGCCTTATCTAGTTACTAATCAATTGATGCCTTAAATCTACCTCTTTCCAGGCAATGATGAAGTTAACAAAGTAATTCTAGGTGTTGCTATCTGCTCTTAATCCTGCCCAAACTTACTAGGAGACCTACCCAGGAACCTATGAGTTAGGTCATAAGAGGGCCAAAGAGTAAGTGGAACCGTGTGGCATCACCACATTGATCTATCAGTGGAAAAGATGTTCCTCCTGTCTTGACAATAGAAAAATGGTTCTCGGTCTACAGGCCAAAATATACTGACCTGGAGATGTCCACATGTGTAATGTAGGCATATCCAGATGTTTTGTGTCTTGCAGTAAGGATGAGATAGTTTGTGGGTTATAAGTAGTTCCCATTGTTAGCTAAAATACCAGCCCGATGAAACCACTAATTTAGAGAGCCATATGGCATTGGTTTTTAGCTAGACCTCCTGATGATAAACAAAATGAAGAAAACACACGTTTTTGTTTTCTGACTACCAAAACTGCTGACAAGGAGTCATCTGGTGTATCCACATTTACAGCTTCAAAGAGGAGTTCTCAGGGCAGGTGAAAATATTTTTAGTTAAAAGGGAAAGGGTACCATGTATGACATCTGTTTGAGTTCAGATATGTTGCATGATTTCCATGAGCACTAACTTAATCTCTAGTTTTATACCAGAGAGAGAAAGCTGAGACTTTCTTAAAATTTTTCGACCTCTTTGAGTCTTTGTTTCTAGTCTAGAAAATGAAATGATTCCTGTTTTGTAGGATTGTTGTGAGATTTGAATAAAATAATGTAAGTAATAAAATAATGTAAGTAATAAAATAATGTAAGTAAAATACTTTGTACAATGCCTGGCACATATTAAACCACAAATGAGAGTAATAATCATCACCATTATCACCATCATCATCACCATCACCATTGTTATCATCATCTTCATTAACATTATTAAAAACAACATCTTTACTGAAAGCTTGCTGCTTGTTAGCTCACCTTAATTCACCTGGCTTCAATATTACCTAAAACACCTCTGTATTTACATATTCAAAAATATTAAGCAACTGGCTGGGCTCAGTGGCTCATGCCTGTAATCCCAGCACTTTGGGAGGCTGAGGTGGGCGGATCACCTGAGGTCAGGAGTTTGAGACCAGAGTGGCCAACATGACGAAACCCCGTCTCTACTAAAAATACAAAAATTAGCCAGGCGTAGTGGCAGGCACCTGTAATCCCAGCTACTCGGGAGACTGAGGCAGGATAATCGCCTGAACTTGGAGGAGGCAGAGGTTGCAGTGAGCCAAGATCGTGCCACTGCACTCCAGCCTGGGTGACAGAGCGAGACTGTCTCAAAACCAAAAAAAGCAAGTAAGACAAAAGGCACAGTGGATAGATATAATAAAGGTCTCCCAAGTGGCTAGTTCTTGCCTAACTTTTCATTCCAAGGTCATAAAATACTCTGCCTCTTTATTTAAAATAAATATATTGATCTCTTCTGGGGCAAGCATGTCCCCAGCATCTTTATATAAGGTCATTAGTTTTAAAGAAATCGTCTTCATATTGCAGTTCCTTTTCTGTCATTCCTGAGATTTTCCCTTCTATGGGCATGACTTTAGTCAGCGGCTCCCATGACCATCCCAAACCCTGTCTCCACATTATCATTCAGTATAAATTGTGGGGAGGTGGGGGAACCTGTATTAATGAAGACAAGACTGTAATTCTTTTCTCACTACAAAATCTTTTCCTAAAATCTAATGTATTCAGATTGACTTCTGCATAGCTTTTCCTTAATTATAAGATAATGTTTTCTTGTTTGTCTTTATATGTCTTGTGCTTTGGAGGGATATTTTTTATTTGTTGTTTACATGTTTGAAGTTGATCCCATTGTTCATAATTAAAACAAAGCTGGGGAATGGGAATAATGAAGGTAGGAAAAGTAGAAAGTAGATTAGGCATAGAGGTTTTGTAGTCTATGAAACTTAACTGTACATTACCATCACGATGATTCTTATATGTAAAATGGCACTGATGTCATCTTTATTTAGTGTGCTTTCTTTTTAGCTTGTTTGTTTTGCACATGGTATATACAACCAAAAGTTATAAAACAGTAAAAAAAAGTGAAGAGAGGCTCACCCACTCCTCTTTACAGTACCTACTCCTTCCTTCCTCTCAGAGGCAGTTGCTACTAGCAGTCACTATATATCCTTCCAGCATCTGGCAAGTAGTTAACATTAAAAAATTGTGGTACGTGTTAGTCACATGGTTCTACACCATGCTTTTTTCACTTTGACAGTATATATAGAATGCTTTATTATTCTTTTTAATAGGTACATAGTATTCCAGTGTGTGGATGAACCATAATTTAGTGCATCCTCTTCTGATGAACATTTTCATTGTTTTCAATGTTTGACTATTATAAACAATGCTACTGGAAATATTATTTAGCAACATCATTTCAGTGGGCTGTCTTTATTTATTTATTTTTTTGAGACAGAGTCTCGCTCTGTCTCCCAGGCTGGGCGTGATCTTGGCTCACTGCAAGCTCTGCCTCCTGCGTTCATGCCATTCTCTTGCCTCAACCTCCTGAGTAGCTGGGACTACAGGCACCTGCCACCACGCCCGGCTAATTTTTTTTGTATTTTTTTAGTAGAGACGGGGTTTCACCATGTTAGCCAGGATGGTCTCGATCTCCTGACCTCGTGATCCGCCCACCTTGGCCTCCCAAAGTGCTGGGATTACAGGCGTGAGCCACCGCACCTGGCCTATTTTTACTTTTTATGAAAATTCTCAAAAGTATTTATAAGTATTCAGTGGATGCCTAGCAAATTCAGTCCCTTCAAAATTAATTTTTGTTGTAAAGTATTAAGCTCCTCCACCAGGATTCTCATTTAAACACAACTTTTTATCCAAAAACATTGAGAAACCATTGTCAGATGGCTTTTTTTGTGTGGTAAGAGAAAATATTCCTCTCTCAAAGCCACCTTAAATTTGATTGCTATTTCCTGCCAAGCAAAATAGCAGAGCAAACCTGTGCTCCATAGTTACTTTCTAGCTAAATCATCCCCTGCAGCCCAGAATTCTCGAGGTTTATACTCTTCCCTGGCTGTCCTCCTGCCATTCTGCCCACTTACTTGTGTGTCACACAGGTATTCCCAGACAAAAAAATAAAAAGTGAAAAAAGTTAAAAATATTTTTTGCCTTTATAATAAACATTATATAAGCAATTGGAGTTTTCTTCATAATCTATACATGGGCTGTATATATAAAATGATCACAAAATCATTTATGAACTATCTGCCTCATCATGAGACTACAGTGACTGTTGTTACACATGTGTGTGCAGACATGCCTGAAGCATGTAAATGAGCATTTGCCCATGGACTGTATCTACACAATAATAATTAGAATAAACATGCCATGCCATGGGCTAGTTTAATTATCACTCAAGGAGTATTCACAGAAAACCTCTATACATCCATCACTCATTTCTCCTATCTCTTTGTTTACTCATGGCTACCTTCGAGAAATATAAAGTTATGTGAATCCAATTTAACTTTCGGCAATGTGCCACAGAGTGGCAGAAACTTCTGATACTTGCATCAAACATTTAACTGATTTTCTCATAGTACTGATTGGTTGGTAATTGAATCAGCTTGTATTAAGATGACTTGTCCAGGAGTTGTAGGACTGTGGGGCTCAAGAGAGCTTCAAGATGATCATGTTCAATCTTTTATCTCACTGATGAGAAAAACGAAGCCATGGAATAGACTGTTACCTGCTCAGGATAAGACAGCAAGCTCAGATGAGAATTCCGACTTCCTGATCCCTGGTTAGGATCTTTCCTTTTTGTAAGTCAAATGGATCAGTTGTTACTTAGGCTATTTTTACTCTCTTAAAGTTTGTTTCCGTATTATGCCCAATAATAGGTGTACTGTATGTGCGCTTACATAAGTTTTGAGAAATATTTAATCTCTGAAGGGTATTTTAAAAATCACCTGGCCCATAATACTTTCTTTCCCTCTAATTACCAATGCTATTATTCTGTCTTTCTTGCAGTCACTCTGTTCCATTGGTGACCTCCCAAACAAAATAGAGATGTGACAGGTAAATTGAGCTATTAATATGTGTGTTTTCCCATTTCAGCATCATTCCCTTTCTGTTCCAAGAAGGTCCTTTGACTGCCTGGCCCCAGGGGAGGTTTCTTTTGTTTTCAGGAGCCCTGAGGGAGTTGAGGGCTGTGCTAAAGGAGAGGATAGAGCAGCACAGCCAAGAAGATGGGGTGCTGGGGTCCCCCAAATTGGAAAAGTATGGGGCTCCTTGGTCTACAGGTTCTATGGAGAGGGTGGAGTAGGCAGTGGAAGTCTGGCTATGGGTGGTCCTTGGGGGTAGACAAGGCCCCCAGCTCATTTCCTACCCAAAGAGAAACCAGGAATGCTGGATTTCAGGATCTCTTATTGATTTGGCCAATGGGACCTTAGTTTTAATCAGAAGTCCAAATACCAAAGCTCTTTCCACCTAGCATTGAGCTCTGCTTGAGATCCCTGGGATGTTTGCAAAACCCTGCAGGGTGTATGGGGAGGGCCTTGTATTAATTATCTCTCACCTTGTGACAACCACCCCATGACTTAGTGACTTAACTCAACAGAAAGTCATTTCTTTTGCTCATTAATCTGCAATTGAGGTTAGTCTCCTCTCTGCTCCACCCCCGGTCAGCTGGAGTAGCTTGGTTTTGGGCTGGATAACGTGCTTTCAAACTGGCTTAGCATGTGGCTGGAAAGTTGGTTCTGGCCGTTGGCTGGGAGCTCTGCTAGGGCCATGGGCTGAGGATCTGATCTGCCCTACACAGGCCTCTCCAAAGGATGCTTGGGCTTCCTCTTACAGCCTGTGGCTGGTCTCCAATACCAGGTGTCCCACAAGACCCAGGGAGAACCAATCTCGGAAGTAACATGGTGTCAATTCTGCCTCCTCAGGAGCAGGGACCTCATCCCTCGATGGGAGGATTATGTATAGGAGGATTGTCAAAACCACACTGTTAAGTAGAGCATGTAGGATGGGATGTATTCTTTGACGATTCTTGGAAAATAGAGTCTGCCATATTCCCAAATGACTGAGATGTCCAGTATGGGACAGGCGTGCGGAGAGGCCTGTATGGGAGAGGTCCAGTATGGGAGAGGCGTGTGGAGCTAGCGTTGTTCAAAATTTTATAGACTTCACAGTGTGTCAGTTCTCTCAGGCTTCTACAACAAAACACCAGAAACGGGGTGGCTTATAAGCAAGGGAAATTTATTTCTCACAGTTCTGGAGCCTGAGAAGTTTAAGATCAAGGTGCCAGCAAATGTGGTGTCTGACGAGGCCCCACTTCCCTCTTCCTGGACCTGTCTTTTTGCTTCTCTGCTGGAAGGAGTAAGGGAGCTCCCTCAGGTCTCTTTTGAAGGCCATTAATCCCATTCATGAGGGCTCTGCCCCCATGACCTAATCATCCCCCGAAGACCCCACCTCTTCATATGATTACCTTGAAGATTAGGGCTTCAACATATGAATTTTGGGGGACACAGACACTTAGACCATAGCACAGTGTGTACAGAGAGATTCATTTTGCCTCAATTTGCACCAGTGTCATCTTCCTATTCTAATTGTTTGTCAAAAGAATTACATTTACACATAGCAATGTACAGAAAATATTGCAGAGGGGCTTTCTCTTCATTTTGTGTTTATTTACAATTGATTAATTTCTTTCTGTTCCACAGATTTCTCATGAAAGTGGTCATTTATTTTTAATCAAATAGCTTAGCGGCTCTTACTATTTAGCTATAAATTTTACCGTATAGTTCTTCCCTAATATAATTTATCATCTGCATTTCAACATTATTTTTTCTTAACTTGGGCACACCTGCAGGTCCATTTAAAGGTGCTGGTGAAGTGATTACAAATCTCCCCATGGCAAACAAACCTCTGGCATATTTATGAAGGCAAAGATTCTTCAATTTACTCACAGTAAGTCATCTCAGGTAAAGCTCAAGAAACCTAAGCCAGAGTTGTCCTTTGCTTGGTTTAGCTGCTCTCGATGGTTTGAAAAAAATGCCGACTGTGAAGACAACCCTGGGAGGAAAATGCCTTAAGGTGATTAAGGGAAAAGTATCCTTTCCTTCCGCTCACAAAAAAGCAAAACAAGGTACAGCCCTCCCTGAAATGCCTTTTGTAGTCTTTCCCTCTTTTTCTTAGATCACAGCTCTCCTTAGAGTCATCGTTTAAATGCAAATGCAAGGGAAAAATAGGAATCTCTTCAGGAAGTCTCCAACACCTTGCTGGGGAGGCGGGAACTGTTGGAAGCAGGACTATTATCAGGGACTGGAAATGTGGGGCAGCAGGGAGGGGAGGGTGCAGGAAGCCCTCTCATGGCTGTCTTTGCAGACTCTTAATGTCTCCCTGCTTTCTCCAGGTGGCATTTGTTTCTAAAGATGAAGCAGCAGTTGGTTAGTCAATACCATTCGTATATCTTGGATTTAAATTAAAAAAGATTTTGGGAGTTCAAGACCAGCCTGGCCAATATGGCAAAATCCCGTCTCTACTAAAAATACAAAAATTAGCTGGGCGTGGTGGCGGGCACCTGTAATCCCAGCTACTTGAGAGGCTGAGGCAGGATAATTGCTTGAACCCAGGAGGCGGAGGTTGCAGTGAGCCAATACTGCGCCGTTGCACTCCAGCCTGGTCAACAGAGTGAAACTCCATTAGGAAAGAAAGAAAGAAAGTAAAGTAAGAAACTCCATTAGGAAAGAAAGAAAGAAAGAAAGAAAAAAAGAAAGAAAGAAAGAAAGAGAGAAAAGAAAGAAAAGAAAAGAAAAGAAAGAAAGGAAAGAAAGAGGGAGAAAGAAAGGGAAAGAAAGAAAGAAAGAAAAGAGAGAAAGAAAGAAAAAGAAAGGAAGAGAGAGGAAGGAAGGAAGGAAGGATACACTTTGGAAAAAAGTCTCTTTTTATAGCTAACCAGCAGCTTCTATCCGCACCTCATTTTCTACATCAGAATGGAATTTATCAGCCTGCTTTAACTTCACCCTCAGGCCTGGGGTGAAGTTAAATAATGAATCATTTCCAGTGGCCTTTTATCCTCAGAGGCCCGATTCATCAACACCAGAATTCTCTTCCACCTGCATAAGCATCTCTCAGCTATGGACAACACATTGCAAGGTTTAACTATTCCAGAGTGAGACATGATAGTAATTTCCAAGAATGATAGCTCTGGAAGGAAAGGAATCAGAGAGGAGAGGCCTCAGTGGATGTCTGCTGGGCCCATGGCCTCACCTAAGGAAAGCTGGCCTCTGGGATTGGGTGTCTCCAGATCCGGCCACAGTGGATCAGACATGAAAGGACTCCTCCCACGCAGCTGGTCTTCAGACTGGCCAGCAGGCCTGGGGCAGCTCTGCCCAACTGGGATAGGTGGTTCTGTCTCACTGGATCAGCTACAGTTTGTGCTGGGAACAGGGGTGGGCAGTCAACATGCCTCCAAAACTTGCAGACGGAGTCAACAACTTAGAGCAGGAAAAGAAGCAGAGTATCACACAGACAGATGAAAAGGCACTGAGTTACTAGAAGCCGAAGATTCAGGAGGTCAGAAGCTACATAGGAAGAGAAGAGCCTAGATTTGTGCTTCTTCAAACTTTAATGTGCATACATGTCTTATGGGAGTCTTGCTGAAATGTTGATTTTGATCTGACAGCTCTGGGGTGGGACCTGAGACTCTGCATTTCTAATGGGCTTCAGGTGCCTCCAGATGCTGCTTCACAGGCCATATCTTGTTGCAAGGGTTCAGAAAACCAACAACTCTCAGCCTGTGGCTGAGCACTAGAATTGTCTGAGAAGTTCGTAAAAATCCCATCTCCAGGAGTGGGATCTGGGCATCTGTCTCTTAACATCTCCAGGCAATTCCACAGCACAGCCAAGGTTGAAATCATTGTCTGGGAGTGAAGTTTTCTGCTGGTTGAGAAGCGGCAGATACTGAATCGGCCCCATCATTGAGTGTCCAGAAAGGAGCAGCAGGTGTCTTTCCAAGGACATGCCTACTGCACTTGCTATATGTCTTGATCATATGCTCTGGCTCCCATAAGGTATCTGCTTCTGTTTATTATTTTTTTAATTTCATTAGTTGTTGGCTTACAGGTGGCTTTTGTTATATGGATAAATTCTTCAGTGGTGATTTCTGAGATTTTAGTTCACCCAACACCCATGCGTCTGTTTTCATCGCCATCATCAATCCAGTTAACCCAAACATATCACTGTTTGGGTTACAGCATGGAAGAATTCAGCGAGGATGACAATAGTAATGTTTCTTTTACTTCATCTACGAAATATACAACCAGGATCAGAGGGTGTCTACCTAAGGAATTCCAAGTCTCATGGGGAGTTGTGTTATTTGTCCACAATTCTGCATTCATGTGGCCCCCATATTGGCATTCTATGCACTGATTTTTTTTATAGAAACATCTTTCGTCGTCTTTTAAGGCAAGTGAATAAATGTTTCAAGCCATGGCATAAATCTACATACTTTTAGGATCCTGCCTAGTGTGCAGCTTCATCATGCCTGTTTTCTGACACTTCTCAGAAGAAGAAACCATCTCTAACATTCCAAAGGGGGCAGAGCCCAGAAGTGCAGCTGAGAAAGCAGTTTGAGAACCCAAGACCAAATACGCTGAATCCCTTGAAGATGGAAGAAGTTTCTCCAAAATAACCAAGTATTTTTTGAGCTGGGAGTAATTACGTTGTGGGAGATAGAAGGAAGTATAACATAGTTACTTGCCTTTAAGGAGCAAATATTCTGACCAGATAGAAACAAAGTCATGTACGTTGCTCACCAGAGAGACAAATCATTTACTCTGGGATGAAGCAAAGAGCTCAAGTGGTGAGACATAATATGAGCCTTGATTTTTCAGCTCCTTAAATCTCAGAATGAGGAATTCCGAATATTAGAATGCCTCTGAAGGAGGCAGAGTATACTCATTAAGAACATGGTCTCTAACACCAGATAGAGATGAGAGACCAAAGGCTGGGGCTTCCACTTACTACCTCTGTGAAGTTGAACCACTTCATTTTTCACTTCTGTCAAGGGGAGTCATTGCAAGGATGAACTAAGGCAGGCCTGGCACTGAGAAAGTAGCCAGGCAGTGTAGCCAGAGGTGTCCATTGTTAGGTAGTGAGAAATTTTTGAAAGCTTTAAAACAGTGTGGGGAAGAAGGATGTGAACAACACAAAGAGAATGATTTTGAAAGATGAATGTAGCAGGAGTGTCAGCCTTTGGAGGCATCTGTGCTGGGGAGAAGCCGGTAAATGCAGAAGCGACTCAGAGAGTCAAGGAGGGGAGCTTTGAAGACAGGAGCGCATTTGTTGCAATGGTAACAAGATAAGGTTGATAAGACCTGGGAGTATGTGAAAATTTGAGACAAATAGGTTAATAAATCATCTCAAAGACAAGGAGAAGTCAAAGTGATGTTGAGCTGTGAGTTTTGGGTACCCATGAGAATAGACTTTAAAGGTCTTAGGGAGGTGAAACACACTCCACTTACCTCCTCAATGCCCTCTTCATGAGATACACAGACTAGGAGATACTGGAGAAGTTTCTATATTCAGGGGGTTCCTTGGGGCACAGCCGTTATATGCACGCTGCATTGTTTAATTGTAAAACACTGGCTATAAAAAGACGTTTGAGCTTTTAGGTCACACACACCCAAGTGCTAGGTAAAATGTGAAAAGTAAGCTGAGGTTTTCTCTTGTTCCTCTGCAGTAGAAAAATGAAATTTTGATTGTTTTGTTTTGTTTTGTTTTGAGATGGTGTCTTGCTCTGTCGCCCAGGCTGGAGTGCAGTGGCATGATCTTGGCTCACAGTAATCTCCACTTCCTGGGTTCAAGTGATTCTCCTGCCTCAGCCTTCCAAGTAGCTGGGACTACAGGTGCATACCACCACGTCCACCTAATTTTTGTATTTTTAGTAGAGACAGGGTTTCACCGGGTTGGCCTCAGCTGATCTGCCCACCTCGGCCTCCCAAAGTGCTGAGACTACAGGTGTGGGCCACCGCGCCTGGCCAGGAATTTTAAGATATAAGATGAAAATGAGAAAGTAAAGAGCAGTCCAAATAAGCATTGGGATGCTGAGCTTCAGAAAATAAAAATTTTCACACATTTATCAGTCCTCCTGCCAAGTAGCCATTAAATATAGATTTTGAACTTTCTTCATGCTGGAAATTCCCTGAGACCATGAAAGGTCAGAGATGGACTGTCTTTGAGGCTGGTTGGACAAATGGGTAGTCTAGACGATTAAGGACTTATGTTTTCTTCTTGCACAGCAAATTTCTTTCCAAAAATTAAATAGTTTCTGCCACAAGGAAAATCTGTGCTATTTTCATCAGTTTCCCCTTCTATTTGTTTTTCCTGAAGTGCTATGAGGTTTCTAAAACAAAGTATAAAATATGAATGCTGTGAATTCTTGCTATTGTTCATAAACTTTATTTGGAAATACTCCATTTGGACTTTTCCACTTTTCCTTCTGTTACTAAAAACAAGCTATCAACTTTTCTATAAGAATTTTTTGCCTGTAGTTACCCTATAATTTTTTATTTAATCAAAATACTTACAACATTCTTGTTTTTCATTAATTCATACTTTTTTTTTTTTTTTTTTTTTTGGTAATGGGGTCTTATGCCCAGGCTAGTCTCAAATTCCTAGGCTCAAGTGATTCTCTCGCCTCAGTTTCCCAAATAGCTAGGATTACCGGTGCATGCCACCCAGATTAATTCATTTATTATTTTAATGGCTTAGGGTTGCTTTTCCAGATGATAAAGAGGTAAAAATTATTTTATAAGAGTATAATCAACTGAACATTATTACAACTCCCTCTTGGTATAGGTACAAAAGGAATGAGGGTGGTGGAAGGAAAATTGACTTTCATTACTTCTTATGTTAATACTTTATAGAAGTACTTTATACTTTTAATACTTTAAGAAGAATGATTAGTTATCAACATTAATGACTAGGTATAGAATACTAAAAAATTATAATAAATAAGAACAAAGCAATGAGGAGCCTCAATGGAGGGAAATTTCTCAATATCTGCAGCATGACAAAGGCATATTTCCCTGGAGCCAACAATTGCCCTGTAGGAACATATCCTGTGGATAGACCTGTAAGTGCTCAAAATGCATTTGCAGATAACTAGAATGTTCCCAACCATGTGCTGGGTAACGTGTAGGACACGGGAGAAGAAAAGGATAAACTGGTGTCTCTCAAGTGAGATGAGTGAGAGAGGAGGTTCAGCCCTGACTCAGATGGGGAAGCAGAGTCAGAGGAGAATGAGCAACTGCAAGGAGCTGAGAGCCTTCTGCAGGAAATCCCAGGTTAAAGCTCCATAGCGTCGAGGTAAGACTTTGGGTAGAAAACGCAGACAGGCAGCTGCAGCTTATCCCTTGTAATAATTACATTTTCTAGTTTCTGTGTTTGATGTTTTGACATCTGAGACTTGCTAACTCAAGAGAAACTACTGCTCCCAGGGCAGCTAATTCCTAGAGATAGCAAACAGCTTGCCTGGGAGTGCCCCTTTCATCTGCACACCAACCAATCTAGAGCCCACACTCTCCAATCATTCTGGGTATAGGTAAAAAAGGAATAGGGCAATGGAAGGAAAATTGACTTTCATTACTTCCTATTTTAATAAGTTATAGACATACAGATAAGAGAATGATCAGTTAACAACATTAACTTACTAAGTAAAGAATGCTACAAAATTTTAATAATTAAGAACAAAGCAATGAGGAGCCTCAATGGAGGGAAATTTCTCAGATTCTGCCCCATGACAAATGCGTATTTCCCTGGTTTGGATCTGTGTCCCAACCCAAATCTCACGTTCAGCTGTAATCTCGTTGTTGAAGGTGCGGCCTGGTGGGAGGTGATTGGATCATAGGGGGGAAGTTCTCATGTATGGTTTAGCACCATCCCGTTGGTGCTGTTTTCAGGACAGAGTCCTCACGAGATCTGGTTGTATAAAAGTGTGTGGCACCTCCACCCCTGCTTCCTGCTGCTGCAGCCATATGAAGATGCCTGCTCTGGCTTTACCTTCTGCCATGAGTAAAAGCTCCCTAAGACCTCCCCAGAAGCAGATGCTGCCATGCTTCCTGTATAGCCTGTGGAACTGTGAGACAATTAATTCTCTTTTCTTATAATTTACCCAGTCTCAGGTATTTCTTTACAGCAGGAAGAGAATGGACGAATACATCTAGAGCCAACAATTCCCCTGTAGGGCCATATCCTATGGATAGACTCATTCTGTGGATAGCCACCAATCACTTTCTTTATTTGGCTCTCCCACTCAGGGCCATTATCCACCTGTCTCAATCACCCCACGGCCAGGTGTCAGACAGTTAGAAACAGTGGCTAAGTCCCAGAGCCCATTGAAATTACTCAAACTAGCCAATCCTAAACCTGCTTATTCTACCTCATGGGTTCCTCCTCATGGAAAACACAGTAAAGAATCTTGCCCATGTTTTCCCCTGGCTCCCTCTGCCTTCTGATGACCCTGGTGCTGCCCCACATACCCCGCATGGCGTGTCATGCCTCCTGTTCCTAGCAGTCTGTGAACATTGACTTCATAATAGTCAATTTCTGTGTCTGCATGTCTTTCATGCCTGATTAAAACAAATCCCAGAAATATTTTTAAACTTCCTTGAAAATAACTTTCAAATAACTTGAACTCTTTGGAAATAAAAAGGACCTCCAGAGATGTGACAATTCCCCTGTCCTAAAGACAAGTATTCAGAAGCCCATAGTCTAGAAAACGAAGTTTGGCACGTTATGTGTGCACATGATGGGGAAGGGGAAGAAGTTGGTGTCTTTGATGATCTTTAAGTTTCCTCTTGTATTAGTCTATATAATCAGGCATATTCTATATAATAGTAGAAGCCTGATGTTGTGCTATTTATTTCTGTGCCCATGCACTTTCATTCAGTTTTGTATACACAGCGTGTATGCTGTGTTCTGTGTAGTGCCTAGCACATTGCTAGTACTTTTAGAAGATTAAGGCCCAACAAAATCTGAATATCATGCTCTCCCATCATGAATTGCATCTAGTGTCTAATTTTCTGAGTGTTCCTAATCTCCCTTTGTCTGATGTGCTTACCTCAAAATATTGGCAGGTGGGTGGGGTAGAGGGCTCGATGGGGGAGAGAGCAGCATTAACTAGACAGGTACTAGCACCAGAGGTTGGGTTCCTCTTTCATCTGGGCCTATTGTGAGGAGCTTCTTACCACTGGCTACAAAAATTACCTCCAAGATATAGAATGAGGACTCAGAGTCAAAGCCAATTGGGAAAAGGTAAGGTACAAAGAAAATAAAAATGTGACCAAAATTCAGGATCCATAAGTGAGATTTGGTGGGAATTTCAGAGCTGAGCATTTGGAAACTACAAGGAAGAAGTCAGAGCAAAAAAGATTAGGAATCAGCTAAATAAATTCTTGTGTGACTTATGAAGCAGCCTGGGGCTCCCTTGGCTGGTGGGTAAGAGTGTGATCCTTAGGGGTCCAAGTTGGTGGAAGGGTCAATGAAGGCAAAATGAACATGTGTCTTAGGTTGAGTTCCTCTGGAAATGTATTCTGAGAGTGTGCAGAGTTGGGGAGTGCTCTCAGGAACAACATCTATAAGGAAGCGAGGAAAGCCAAATGGGGCAGAGGGAGGAGCTGAACGACAATGCAGGTGCAGCCAAGGCCTTGGGTAATCTATATGTCACTCTGTAACTGGGATGGCAGTTTAGAGTTGTCCAGAGCTGAGGTGAGAAAGCTGGGCTTTTGTACCTCCTCTATGGATCTGGACTACTCTGGAGCAGGGGACATAACTTGAGTGAGGCAACCTCACTTCTACCAAAGGCAATTCCTGGGGCTGCAACTGTGAGCTCAGCAGCCAACAGTCAAGACAACTGGAGGAATGAGAACTTCAATCCTGGTGAGGGATCTTGGTGGCATCCACGACAGCATCCCATTAAATAGAAAACTGGCAGTACTATTTTTGGAATTATGGATTTTACAACTCAAGTCTGTCTTATTATCTCAAATCACTGTCAAAATGTTAAATTCTGCTGGACCAGGAACTAGGATGCTTCAAACCCGTCCATGATACGTTCTTATAGCTGCCATAAACGTCTTAAGAACCCACATACAATTCGGCCTGATAGCCCAAGGAGGTGTTATGCTAACTGATGTCTCTGCTGACTCTGCTAAGCTGGGGAGCTTGGTTGCAGTACACCGGGTGTCTGGCTAGGAAGTCGTTTCCATGCCTAGCCAAAGGTGAAGGACCCAGGGTGGTCACCTGAAATGTGTTTGTCAGATGCAGGTCATCCTTCCTGGGAATCTTTGGCCTTATTTCCCAGATCCCTCTGGCTCAAACATGTGATGATTTAAATCAAGATGCTTGGAAGCAATGGGAAATAATCCACTAGAATGTGTCTGCTGCTTCCCTGCTTGCCTACGGTCCCACCCTCTCCAGCACACGCGCAGACAGACACACACAAGTACAGTACTGTTCTACCATATCCTTAATTTTACAGATCTCCCGCTGAAGGTTCTGACTAATGGTAAGTTATTTGTTCAGAAAGATTTTATGGCTCTCATAAAACGTCAATTACAGTTTTAAAATAACTTGTAGTTTTTCTGTAACATGATGCTGCCATCTTGGTTCCCAGAGGGTGTTCAAGTAGCAATAACAAATCATTTAAGCAATAAATAAATAACCTGAGACGGAGCGTTGTTAAGAGTTAATAGTCTCCCATACACTCAATAGAGGTTGAGGCTCCACTCAATTAAAGTGACCCCGGGAGGGGGGGGCACAGGGGCCAAACTGCACCCAGTCGTTTTGTTGAAGGTATTCAACCCGCACACATTCATTTCCTTCTTTATGTTGTCTCTTTTCAGCAGGGAAGGCTCTCTGCAGTCCCTGGTTCCAGAGAACAATTACGGTACAGTCTCAGAGAACAGAGAGAAAGCTGGGGTCATAAATATGTTAAATGGGTGCGTGGGTTTAAGTGGCTTTGTAAACGAAACACGGAGGAAAACTCAGACTAATTAATGAATATGAAGCAGCGGGAAGGCTGGAGGTTTCTGGGGGACAATCTTGTTGTGGGGTGAAGATGTGACATCTGTAGAATTATTTTCCTCCAGAAAGGGACACTTGCTTATTTCAAAAACTTTTTTTCAAGATCTCAAAGTGGCTTTGTGGAGAATATCAGATGTGGATGAAAACACGCAAAAAGTATTTAAAAGTGAAATCCTCTTAAGTTGCAATTTCTCTGATCATTATAACCTGGGCCCGAAAGAATGATCTTACAGATTTTTAAAAAGTGTTATCCTTGTATTCTGAGAGAGAGACATCATGCTAATCTAGAAAAGAAGATGAATTGCATATTTTTAAATACAGAGTCACAGCTCATTGCAGTATATAGACTCTCTCCTAATAAGTGGCATTGTTGAATATTAAATTCCATTTGGATCAAATCAAGGATTAAGATTTTATGATGTTGCATTTCTGCAATGTTCTAAAATATTTCAGTTTCTCTGTTTGGAGAATTTACTATTTTTCCTTTTGTTCCTTCTTCACCTTTTCTTGAAAAAATTATTAGCACAAATATCTTATCTGCATAGGATGTTAAAGGTTCCCCGCATGCCTTCTATGACCCGTGTTTACCTACAAATGACTTCCCGATCTTTCTGTGTGAGACAAGCCAGTGCTAGTAATCTGAAATGTCCCTGAACTTGGGGGATGCTGACACTGTAGGAGCCAGTCAGAGAACAACCACCAAACATAGGCCACAGCAGAGACGCAGATGGACAAAGGAGTCAGGGAGGAGAGAAAGACTCAGACAATGTTGGGAAAAGTAGACAGGCACAAAGAAAGCCACAGAGAAAAACAAAAACAAAAACAAAAAACTCAGAAGCAACAGAAAAGTGGCAAACAGTAATACTGCTTCTAGGATGCGCCCAGGCTTCCTTGTTTAATTGACTAAATGTCAGAGCTGTGAGCAACAGATTAAATAGTTGATCTAATTTGATTGTTAAGATACAAAAATAAGCAGACCAACCTCACCTTAAGCTGTTTCAGCAGTCTTAGTTGCAATGATAAACAAACGAAACCTTGCTAAATCTTGTCTATATTGATTCAACCAACTTATTTTATTTTTATTGCATTTAAAGCTGAAGGATTACTTCTGTAATCCTTAAATGTAATTCATAAATGACATCTATTCTTCACAAAGAAATAGTACATGTTTTATTGAACACCTACTGTAGGAAAGGTAGGGGATTAAGGCTTTGCACAAAGAATACAAAGATGTATAAGAACTCTAATTGATCTTAAAATATTAAGGAAATAGATGGTCAAGGTTACATGATAAACATATGTCAAACTAAATGATATCAAGATAATAACTGAATAGTACAAGAAACAACAGAAGAACTGTCACAAGAAAAAACTCTTGATAAATTGCTTAATGAGGGTTACATGATTATAAATGTTTTGAGGTCTGAAAGGAGAAGACTTGGGAGTTACAGTAATCATTGATTATTCCATGGAGATGATGACATGCTTTAGGCCTTCAAGGACCTCTGATTCCCTTATAGGTGAAAAGAAGAAAAGGATGTGGGGACATTTATTTACATATTATTTGTTGCTATTGTTTGATTTATAAGGAACAATGAAATCATAAACATATTAATAATAGTATGATGTGATTTGTATTTTGTCTTAAATTTTCAACTTATACACAAATACTAAGAAAAGTTATCCAGGCAGTCTTCAGGCTGCAATGAAACTATTCTATGGAAGAAAGTGATTCTGCAAATAGTTACGCAAAAAAATGATAGTAACTCTCAAATACCTATCTCTTTGGTCAGCATCTGTATATACAAACTAGCAAAAGACTATTTTATGTGTGGTCTTTGCTATGTCAGAATGGAATAATGTCCTTCTCCCCTGAATACCTTATAGCTCTCAGAGCATGATTTAAACACTCAAATGTCTATCAAACAGAGAAGAAAAACAGATCAGTATTTGCCTAGAGTTGAGGGTGGGAGCAGGGAATAACTGTTACCTGGGCACAAGGGAATTTGGGCAGTGATGGAAACGTTCTAAAAAATTACATTGTGGTAATGATTGTACAATTCAATACATTAACTAAAATCATTGAATTGTACATTGATTACAGGCAAATTTAATGATTTGTAAATTATAATTCAATAAAGCTATCTTTTTAAAGTGTCAACCAGGCCAGGGTGGTAATGTAACGCAACCCCAGGTTCTATGTTTTGGATGAAGATGCACTCTTTTTGCATGGTAAACGTTTAAGAGTGTCCCTCAGCCTCACTAAGATTTAGCAATATCCCATATTTCATGAAACCCAGAATTTTCTTGTCCTATTTTTCATTTTCTAATTTTTATAGAGACATGAGTATAGAAAAACATTTTTTAAATTAGAGGAAAAGAACGTGAGAAATGACAATCCAAGATTTCTCACTGTGGAGCCTTGGTAGAGAGAGGTGGGGCCATGATACCTGGAGGGGTGTGTCCCGTGTCAAGGGGACGACCACTACTCAGCTCCATTGGTTGTTACAGGGTGGGGAGGGGAAGTCGCCAGATTTTCTACTTCTCCAAGAGAATGTTATAATGAAATCTTCCGATTTTAAGATGTTGGTTCAGACTTTTAAAACAAAACACAGTGTGGTCCAAACAAAATGGGACCAATTCAGTCGATGAGATGAAAGTCCACAGCCTTTGCTTTATAGTCAGAAGCTTACAGTGTAGTGCTTAATTGTGGATTTCCTAGTTTTGCTCACTGTTGTTCTATGTGGGCTAATTTTGACCCCCCCCCTACTTTTTATAGTTCCTGGAGCTGGAGGTTGGGGTAAGGGTTTTGGGCCTGATAAATACATGTGTGTGCATGTATGTGTGTGTGTACTGGTCTCAACCCAGTGCCTAGCTTTGTGCCAAATATATATTAGAAATGCACTGTCAGTATTGTTGATTTCATTAATATAATCAAAATATCATGCAAATAAGTGTTTTCTTGAAGGCTAGCTCAAATATGCATGCTACTTCACCCATCTAGTAAGATATAGTCTGGACTCAATCTCAAGTCTAAGCAGACATCACTTAAAGTGACAATGACCTGTCACGTTTTCCCTGGCCAGATCTAGCATACAAGAAAATAAAATAATAATTTTCTGTATTGGGCCATCATATTATTTCTGAAATGTGGCAGAGACTAGATAGATTCTTACCAAATGCTGTTTCTTCTTTCTGTACATAAAGACTACATTTCCCATTATCTCTTGCAGTTAGTTTGAAGTCACTTGACTATATTTTAGGCATGGAATTTGAGCAGACATATTCCAGGACTGGCTTTAGAAGTCTCCTGCATGAACCTCCATACCACTTCTCTTCCCATGCTATAGCATTTGTGGAGGATACATGTTAGAATAGAGTCATCACATGATGGAAGGAACCTGGGTTCCTGAGTCACAGTGTGGAGGAGAGTCACCAAGGAGAGCCATCTGGCCTACATCAGACTAAGACAGGTAATAAATAAATATATTTGTGTTAAGCCACTGAGATTTGAGGATTATTTGTTATATAGCAACTAGCATTATGTATCCTGTGCTTTTTTAGGGATAGTCTGAAAAAAATTGATTACACATGTAGGTGGTTCAGACCCTTCTGATGTAATTAATAACAACAGATTGCCAAATAATCATACACTTTTCATAGTTAACAAAACTCCTTTGCATACTATTTTATGTAACACTCACAACACAACCCTGTGAGGGAACAGGATGAGGCTTATCACCATTGGGACAGATAGGAAACTGGGGGGCAGAAAGGTAAAGGGAAGCAGCTGGGATTTAAACCTGAATATTCTGAGTCCTCATTTAGCTTCCTGTTCATCTACCACTGTTTATGTTTAAGGAGCGAATCCCCAAAGAGGTGGAAAGAATCCTTAAACTTAAGTTATCTGATTATCTTTTCATATTCGTATTTTAATTGCAAAATTACACTCAATATTGATGCCACGTCTTCAACATGGCCTGGGTTCTTGCGCTAATGTTAATCACTATTGCTTCAATTAGGCTTCTGTAAAAAGAGAAGGGGTTGTGCAACTTCATCTACTGCATTTTAGGATTGATGACATATAAAAACTTGGATTTTTATAGTGTAATGTATCTCCTGCAAAAGTATGAAATTGCTCAGAATTTTTCATCTATAAGGTAAAATACATGGTGTATAATTATAAGTACAATCTGCCCCATTTTAAAATAACTTCTTTCTCAATTAGTGGTGTATACACTGACAAAAATTTCCTTTGTGGGGACAAAATTAATAATATTTTATAAATATGATCCACTAAAAAATTAAACACTTTCAAAACTGTTTTTCTCCAAAGAGAAGAAATAAAATACCAAAAACGAATAAGCTCAGGGAATTTCCAAACTTTTATATTCTATGGTCCCACTCACTTTCTATCTCTTTGGTCAAGCTTTCCTTGCTCCCCTGTCTGAAATAGCACATTTTAAATCCATTATGGTTCTGTCAATTTTTTTAGGATTGCACTGAGTGCAGCCTACTGTGTACCACACCTAGGTGGTTCTAAACCCCCAGAAAATGTTTGGCAATGTTTGACAACTGATTTATTGTCACCGGGCTGCCTATTCCGAAGGGCCCCATGTTTCATTTTAATGCTCTGTTGCTGCCCCTTATCATTCTTAATAATTTTATCTTTGAGCTTGTATTTTGTAAGTAAAGTCTGATGGGACCATGGAGAATGTGCATAAGAAAGATGTAGAATATGTGGGTATGCCTTTTCTTGCCACCCCATTCACGTATAGTAGCATTCATGATGCCCCATGAGCACAGAATTCCGGTGGTCTACCATGAGTGGGAGTTCAGTGAGACTCAAAAGTTGTACAAATTAAGAGTGTTTCATCTATACGAATGTAGCTCCACTAGGCTGTACTTTCTGCTTGAACCAGAGCCTTCTTTGAGTGCAGGAAAACACAAGCAATGAAGGAATCTTGTCATATTCTTTCTTATTCAGGCCATTTTCCTGTATTAGCCAACCACTTGTCCTGCAAATGATGACACAGAGAGAAAAGGAAAGATAGGGCAATGCATAGTTCCTTTTCCTTCCAGATCTTCCTTACTCAGCAGTAAGTTGAAGGTAGAGAGAGTTTGTGGAATGTGTGCATATTTTTTATTTTATTTTTTGAGACGAAGTTTCACTCTTGTTGCCCAGGCTGGAGTGCAGTGGCACGATCTCGGCTCACTGCAACCTCTGCCTCCAAGGTTCAAGCAATTCTCCTGCCTCAGCCTTCTGAGTAGCTGGGATTACAGGCATGCACCACCACGCCTGGATAATTTTTTGTATGTTTAGTATAGATGGGGTTTCACCATGTTGGCCAGGCTGGTCTCGAACTCCTGACCTCAGGTGATCCGCTCACCTTGGCCTCCCAAAGTGCTGGGATTATAGGCATGAGCCACTGTGCCCAGCCGAATGTGCACATATTTTGTGCAACATTTTCGCTATTCTAGTAAGAGTGACATGCATGTGCGTGCATGAACTATGACATAGGAGTTGGGTAATTTTTTTTTTTTTTTAGATGGAGCGTGACTCTGTCATCCAGGCTGGAGTGCAGTGGCACAATCTCGGCTCACTGCAGCCTCTGCCTCCCAGGTTCAAGCGATTCTCCTGCTTCAGTCTCCCGAGTAGCTGGGATTACAGGCACACGCCACCATATCTGGCTAATTTTTTTGTATTTTTACTGGAGATGGGCTGACCTTGAAATCCTGACCTCAGGTGATCCACCCGCCTTGGCCTCCCAAACTCCTGGGATTATAGGCGTGAGCCACTGCACTCAGCTATATCATTTCTTTATATGAGCTAAATGCTGTTATATTTGTGGTTAAAACTGGCATTCTGTAATATAAAGATAAACAGTACAATTCATGCTAATAAGTTAAAGTTTTTATTTTTCTTTACTTGGAGTGACATTAAATAGCAAATAAAAAATATTAATACCTGGGCAAGTTGAGAGAGAGAGACGGTGGAAGAAAGGAGAAGCTGCCCATTTTAGTACCTTTGATGTTACTTTTTCCCTGCTTTTTCAACAAGGGGCCTACATTTTCATTTTGCACAGCGTCCTGAAAATTGTGCAGTCACACTAATGGAGACAGTTTTGATTGTCACAACTGGGATTGGGGATGCTACCAGCATCTAGCAGGAAAAGGCCAAAGATGCTGCTAAATGCCCTGCAATGCACAGGACAATCTTTACCACGGAGCCAAAAATGTCCATGGTGCAAAAGTTGAGAAACCCTGTGGCATTTGGGTCCATCTATAACTTTTCCAACTAAATGTCCAGTCCCTTAGGTCATGGGCCATTGCTGCTTTTTCCAACTCATGTAGCATCCAGTACACTTTCTGGTACCATTGGTGGAATTTTTTTTAAAAGTGATCAATACTTGTTCTCTGGGGTAGGGGGAAGGGGGAGCGGGGAGGGATAGCATTAGGAGATATACCTAATGTTAAATGACAAGTTAATGGGTGCAGCACACCAACATGGCACATGTATACATATGTAACTAACCTGCACGTTGTGCACATGTACCCTAAAACTTAAAGTATAAAAAAAAGAAAAAAAGGAATAGTCTTTCAATATTCTTTGCTTGTTATATCATCATCCTTGTCATACAGGCTTATTAAACAATTTGCAGAGCTTGCAGATGACTTGTGTGCTTCAAGTCAGTGGCGAAGCTGGAAACAGAAGTCTTATCTCTGATCTTCAGAGATAGACTTAGATTTATTATTTCCATCAGAATTAATATGTAGCTGAAAAGGCATAATTTAGAATTGAAAAGATTTTACTACTAAAGTTAGGGGGCAGGCATCAGTGAAAGCAAATATTAATTTAGTTCCCGACTTATGGACACTGATATTGGGTGCTTTATATTTAATTCTTTGTTAAAAATGGTTATTCTTTTTTATAATGCTTATTCTTTTTTATAATTTTTTATAAATGGTTATTCCGTTTTATAGGTGAGAAACTTGAGGCTCAGAGAGATTCAGTAACTCATCCAAGTTCATATGTCTAAACAACATAGACTCAGGTCTGCGTGACTCTGAAACATGTGACCCAGGACCAGGCCTCCCTGCAGTTACACTTCACCACTGAGGACTACAATATGAACCCTGAGGTTGAAATGCCAGTCCCATTCCACATTTATGAAGTGCCCACACTGATGGGGGTACAACACACCCGGTCCAAACCAAGACACCTTTGAGAGTGAAAGGGGAGTTACTAATCTGTATGCTGGGACAATAGCATATTATTAACTAGGACTGCTCCAGTGACATGGGGACCTACTATGATCATCCCCAACCCCCAGGAACCTCTTGGAAGAGGTTCTCTTAGCAACACAAGGGAAGCATCCTGGTCAGGGCATCTGCTTCCCCAGAGCAACCACTGACATGCCTACTATGTTTACTTGGTAGAAAGAAGTAACAAGGGAAAGAAACAGGCAAGGCATTTTACAATTCATCATAAAATGAGTGCTGGGACCATATTTTTTGCTTCAAAAACATTAGTCAAAACAATTCAGCTGTAGTCCTGGTATCATAGAACATACATATCCTAGCAAATCTCAAATGCAATTGTTTATCAGTTTATTGTCTACAGAAGAGCTTCTAATTATAGGCCTGTGCCAGATTCTCCTTATCCTGTGGTGTCTCTTGGGCAGCATACATGGGCATGCAAATGTGACGAGAAGAATTCTGATTCCTCACGCCTATTTAAACATCCCCTGGAAGTTGTGAAACTCCTATTCTGGGTTCATGCCACAAACATGATGTGGCTAATTAAAGAGACTAAAATCAAAAGAACCACAGCTCTTTCTTTCAAAAAACTGTACTTCTCTTCCTCTTTCTGCTCCTCCTTCTTCTCTTATAGAGCTCTTACTACCAAATACATGCAAATTAGACATGCATTACTGGAAGAAACTGGAGGAAAAGGAGCTGATGACTTTAGTGGGGCAGAAGGTCCAAATATAGGGCAGGAATCCAGCCCCACACGACTCGCTTATTTGAATATCCCCTGCTATTCATATTCTACTCACCTCCTGTCCCCCAAATTTCTGCTGGGCACTGGCCAAAACTCTGAGATATGAATCTAAATTTGATGTTCAGCACACATGTTTCTTCCCATTCATGAAGATCCATGACTACAAAGACTAGGAAATTAGAATCTAGGCCCCAGACCTTGCTTTGGACTACAGTATTTCCATATATTGGCTCAGGGATACTTAGAGGGCTGGATTTGCGATGTCACGCCTGAGAGGACTGCTGGTTGCCAGCGGGGGTCTCCTTCTTGGCTGAGGAAGGCAGTGGCTCAGAGACCTGCTCTTTGTCTGAGGTCACACAGACTCTTGGCAGCAGACCTCTTCAGTTCAAGCTTGCTTGCTTCTGGAGTCCTGCCAAGCCTCACACTAAGAAAACGACAGCATTTAATTAGGGGGAAACACCTCTTGCTACATGAAAGAGAAGGGAGAAATGGGAAAAATTAATTCATTGCTATGTAATAGGTGTAAAACACTTTAAATATGTAGAGGTTGCCATTTAGCTAAAAAAAGAAAAAGTCAGCTTATTAGACAGCAGTGTAGATAGATATCTTGACAGCTTTTGCATGTTGGTAGCAGCCTAGGGCAACATGGACACTAGAAAGCCGTTGCAATAAACCTCTGAGCTTTGCCCTATTAAAAATGTCAGACTAATAAATCACATTTTTTAATGACCAAGGAGGGAGGAGATCAATAAGCTCTAGGAAGCCATCTACATAAGGGTCATCTGGTGCTATTTAATGTAGGCTCACTAAAGGTGGCAAAGATTTCACAACCATCTACCGTTCAATGTTAAGATCCACATTAGAACATGAAAGTTATATTAACTTTTAGGCCAGGAATCTTGGAGGAAACTCTCCTATTCTTAGGCACTATTTAGTCTTTCAGATTGTTTATGTGTTTATAAATAGCCCTATGTTTTCAAACTGTTTTCTGTCTTCTGAGTCTTTAATATGTAGAAAATAATATTTTCCTCGGTTCCATTAACCAGAGTTTTTAAAAACATTTCTAAATATGGCAATTATTTAGCATATTGAAACAACAACAGGAACTCAATTAAACAAAAGAGTGAAATTTACTGTTGAGGCAATGAATGGAAGAGTATACCCAATAGACCTGCAGGCTTCAGTGTTAGCAAAGATCAAACTGTCAAACTCAAAGAAAAATAGATCCCTTAAAAGAAATAATCCAAGGCTTATCATTATTCTTAGCGTTTTTTTCTTCTCTCTTCCTCATACCTCGCTACTTCTGAATTATATATGCGTTCACAAACATTCTCATTGGAGGGGAAAAAAGCTAAATTTGACATCTTTTATAAGTTATTCATTTTAGCAAAAGTTTCAAAATTGCCCTACTTAATGAGTTTCTCTTCACCAGTACAAAAGATATAAATAAGACACAGTGATGGGCAGTGAAGGAAGGTCTTTTGAGGTCTTGGTGAGGCTGTTTAGCAGGGATTGAAGACCACTTCTGATGCTCACTCTAAAAGAAATATTTTAAGCAAACCATAAAAGTGGGCTTGACCCTTCCATGGGCCCATCATAAATCAATTGTTAAAGCAAGGGTGAAAACTGGGGAGGAGGTCAGAGGTGGGAGAGAGGCCAAAGAGAAAGGACAGTGTGAGAAACTAGAGCGAAACCAGAGAAGAGAATAGGGTAATCTTTTGGTTGAGCAGCATCATTAATTCAGAAATTGTGTTTCTGCTGCTTAGAACTGTACTGTAATGAAATTATAGCCATATGCAAAATTCCCGTAGCAGAACCTAAAACCTAGGGTTATTTTAACTCTGAGGCTCCTGTTCAGCAACAGGTAGATTGAAACTTGGTTAAAAGTAAGCATCAATCTACCCTAAGTCTTTGGGAAAATTCCTCCAAATATACAGGAAAGTTTATGCCACTATTTCCTATGTGTCATTAAAGGATACGCCTTAGGATGAGTGGGTGGTATTCAGACATAAATACCTCACTCGTGGTATCTCAAAGCATGTAGTTTTGCCCTAGTCTGAGAATGGCAGCCTTTAACTTTTTGCCAAATTGATCTTATACTCACAAGAAAACACTTCGTGATAACCCCTTCATTAGGAGAAAAGAATATAGAATGACAAGTTAGTGTGTTGACTAATCTAAAAAATAAAAACTTCTGCTTTTGTAGAAAATTTTGTATCAAATGTAGAGTTTGAATGATCTATATATCTAGTCATTTGTTTCCTTAGGGTGGAATCAAGTTTGAAGCCCAGACAATTAAACTGATTCACATTTAAATGAAAGGTGGCTCGATTGATTTGTAACGACACAATTTATTTGGTAATAATGACATTCCTTGTGTTTGGCCAAGAAAACAAAGGTTGATTTATTTCCTAATAACAAAGACAAATGGCCCTTCTGCTCCAACCTCTTCCTTATTCTCAGTGGTTTAGGGGCAGGTTGTCAGTGGACTCTGCTCTGTTCTCTATCTTGCTGGAGGAGGATTCTAGACAAAAACTTTTAGAAACATGCCCAGAAAAGTCCCAATAATGGAAACTAGACAGTTGTACACATATCTGAAAGTTTTAAAGAGCCATGTGCTTTTTTTTCTACTTGCAGTTGCACAGCTTGGTATCGAAAACAAAGGGTTGTGCTAGAAAAATTACACACCTTACGCAAAGCACCTTAATGTTGTCATTTGCAAAGATACAGCTCTGGTTAACATATGTTTTTGAGACTAATCTTAGAAGACTCAGATAAATAGGGGTGAATATAATGATGGCATCATTATTATAATGATAATGCTCATATTTTAAAAAATTATCCTTTAAAAATGGTCCAATGTTTAATGCAAGTGTTTCACTTTAAGTAGGAGTTTTAAATGCAAATACAAGTGGAATAACTGGGAGGTGTCTATTTAAGCTTAATAAGTAACGATAAAAAATAATATGAAGACAAACAGATAAAATAAATCCATTTTTAGTAAATATGTGGTTCCTATTTTTGTGTGACAGAATCACAGTACTAAGCTTATTTAAAACAAGTTTTCTATTTTATTTTAATATGTTTTTAAATGTTCAGAGAAAGCAGGGTGGTTACTTGGGGACTTTAAGAAACAAAGTCCTTGAGTGACGTAGAGAATTTTCTGGGGCCAGCTAGACAGAGTAGGCTTTTCTAGTGTGAGGGAGACCCTGGCCAGGGAAAAAGAGGCCAAGGAAACCAAGTGAGTTGGAGTGGTGTCCTGGTGTGGTTTGCAGAAGATCTTTTTCCTGAGCAGGAAAAGTGCAGTAATGTGAAATGTAAAGTGGAGTGTATAACCTTATCTTTATTTCTCTCTGAAAACAGAGAAACGTTTGCATTTTGACACTGAAAGTTTGCTGGGAACTGATACAGGTAGCTGTTAGAAGAGCTGAGAGAAGAACCAAGGCACCAAATTGCTCCTTGCTTTGCAACGCAACATTCATTCATTCAACAAACAAGTCCCTACTATGTGCCAGTGGTTGTGGGACAGGTGACTAAAGCACAGGTGACTAAAGGGAAAGCGACTAAAGCACACTTGTGACAGTGATTGGAGCTGAGGAGGAGGTAAATAGAGCAATGCCACAGAGCAGGAGCAGTGAAACTCAGAGGTCTACAGTCAGGCAGGTGACCTATGTGAAAAGGTGCCAGGGAGGCCTCATAGAAGGAAGCCTGCTGTTTAGCTAATGCAAAGAAAACATTTTAAAAGAAAAAGTTTTAGCTTGGGCAACATGGTGAGACAGTGGCTCTACAAAAAATACAAAAATTAGCCTGGTGCGGTGGCACATACCTGTAGTCCCAGCTACTCGGGAGGCTGCGGTGGGAGGATCACCTGAGCCCAGGAGGCAGAGGTTGCAGTGAGCCATGACTGCACCATTGCACTCCAGCCTGCACTCCAGCCTACAGTGAGACTCCATCTAAAAAAGAAGTTAAAAAAATCAGAGAGGTTTAGTATACAATGAACAATCAAATGTATGACTAAAATTCATAAGCAATGATAAGTGCTAACATACTGTCATTTGGGCTTTGGGTTAATTTCCATGAAAGAAATAAGGATACTGTATTAGAGCTTAAGTCCTTTTTTATTCTTTTGGTTTTATACTCTAATTCCCCTTCCTTCTTTCCTCCCTCCCTGATGGAGACAATCACTGTCGTGACTTTGGTGTTATTCTTTCAGTCCTTGTTGCTACACGTATATGTGCTGCCTGACAGCAGCATTGCTTTGCGTTTTTAAAATGTATATAAATTGCATCATTCTGTATGTAAAATTCTGTTATTTGCTTTTTTATTTAGCAGTATGTTTTGAGAATTGTCTATGTTAATTTTTATGGAACTAATTCATTCATTTTGTTGGCCGTGCAGTATTCCATCAGATTAATGAGAGTTTGACTTTTTAACAAATTTTACTGTCACATAGCATGCCTCACTCAACATTTATGTATATGTCTCCTTGTGCACAGATGCAAGGGTTTCCTTAAGGATTACACCTAGAAGTAGAATTACTAGATGGATGTAGGATATTGGGTAGACACCAGATATTCCAGATACTGAGGAACTGTGTTCCAAAGTGATTGGACATATTTATAGTCCCTTTAGGAGTGTGAGGCTTCTCCTTTACCTGATGCTTGCCAGCATCTGATATTGTACATCAATTTTATTGTTACCAAATTATATTTTTTTCACATTGTCATATGAAAACTATATTATTTCTCGGATTACCAGTAAGGTAAAATGATTTTTCATACATTTATTGGTCATTTGGTTCTTCTATTTTGTGAATTCCCTGTTTCTATCCTTTGCTGAATTGTCTATCAGATTTTTCACATTTCTCCTTGTTAATTTGTATCAGCTATTTACACATTCTGGATTCTGAGATTATATACACACACACACACAACATATGCACAAAGACACATATATGCACATATATGTATTTAAAATTCTACTAAGCACAAAAAAGAAGACCTAAATTAATGGGGAAAAAATCAAGTCCTTGGAGAAGAAAATAACATTCTAAGGATGTGAATCATCCTCAAATTAATCTATTAATTTAAGAAAATTCTAATAAAAATTCAAGCAACATTTTTTTTGTAGCATGGAACACAGAATCCACATATTAGAGTAAAAAGAAAATCAAGAACAACTAAGACAACCTTTAAAAACCGAGAAAGGACAGGAAGCATGTTCTATAAGGAGACAAGAATTATTGTAAATTATATGTTAATTACATATAACTGTAATTAACATAAGTGCAATATATGCGCATATATTAATAGATTATATATACACATACACAATATACACACAATATATAAGTATATATATCAGTTTATATCTGATCTATACAGAGTCATCCCTCGATATTGAGGGAGATTTGTTCTAGGACTCCTCATTGCTACCAAAATCCGAGGATGCTCAAGTCTCTGATATAAAATGGTGTATGTAGTATTTGCATATAATTTATGCACATGCTCCAATATATTTTAAATTATCTGTATATTACTTATAATACCTAATTCAATGTAAATGCTATGTTAATACTGGTTATACTGTATTGTTTAGGGAATAATGACAAGAAAAATAAGTCTGTACAAGGTCAGTACAGACACAATTATTTTTTCAAATATTTTTAATTTATGCTTGGTTGAATCCATGCATGCAGAGCCCATGGATATGAAGGGCCGGCTGTACTAATATACGTGTATTCAGTAAGGTGTGCAACTACAAACTTACAGAAAAAGTTAATAGCATTAATTTATATACATAGTAATCAACCAGCTAGAAGATATAATTGAGGCCTCAGGCTAGGTAACATAAACATAAATACTCAGAAATAAGTTTATTGAGAAATACTGATAAATTTAAAAATTCTACTAAGCACATAAAAGAAGACCTAGATTAATGGGGAAAAAAAATCATGTTCTTGGGAAAAAAATAACATTCTAAAGATGCAAATTATCCTCAAATTAATCTATTAATTTAATAAAATTCTAATGAAAATTCAAGCAACATTTATTTTGTAGCATGGGACACAGAATCCACATATTAGAGTAAAAATAAAATCAAGAGCAACTAAGACAACCTTCAAAAACTGAGAAAGGAGGCAGGACACCGTGGCTCATGCCTGTAATCCCAGCACTTTGGGAGTCCAAGGTGGGTGAATCACCTGAGGTCAGGAGTAGAGACCAGCCTGGCCAACATGGCGAAACCTCATTTCTACTAAAAATACAAAAATTAGCTGGGCATGGTGGCGCATGCCTCTAATCCCAGCTACTCGAGAGGCTGAGGCAGGAGAATCGCTTGAACCCAGGAGGTGGAGGTTGTAGTGAGCCTAGATCACGCCACTGCACTCCAGCCTGGACAACAGAGCAAGACTTAGTCTCAAAAAAAAAAAAAAAAAAAGAAAGGAGAGGAAGCATGTCCTCTAAGGAGACAAGAATTATTGTAAATTACAGTAATGATATCTATGTGCATTGGTAAAAAAGACACACAAGGAGACATTGGTCCTCAGTGTATCTCCACAAATTTTTATTATAAAAACATTCCTATATTCTATACTGCTACTTATTTAGCCATTAAATAATTCATTCTGTAATTTTAAAATAAAATTTTAAAAAGCAATTTTAGGTCCACAGCAACATTGAGTGAAAGGTACAGAGAGTTTCCATATCCTCCCACCCTACAAATTCTCAGCCTCCCCTATTATCCACATCCCCCACCAGAGTGCTGCATTTGATACAATTCATGAGCCTACGCTGACACATCATTATCATTCTTTAATTTTTAATAAATAATTCTACTTTAAAGGGAGAAAGAAGCATCACAGTCTGGCTGATATCTTAAAGTTTCTAAGACACAGGAAGAGCCACTGCTCTCTTGAACCAATTAAAACACCATCTTCTACTGGTTGACTCAAGAAATACAGGAGGAATTAACTAGCTTCTCTAGGGCTATTTCCTTACATGTGACAGCCAGTTATACATGAAGATATTACACTCAAAGAATCATATGAGAATATAATGGGATTTTTTTTCAAATACTATCCTCATAGTATCTATACTACAAACTAGGTGTCACCATCTCCATTGAACAGATAAGCAAGCAGAGGCTCAACAAAGTAAGATACTTTCCCCAGAACACAAAGAGAAAGGGCAGAATCAGAACTCCCAGTCAGGTCTAGAAAACTCCAATCCTGCACCCGCCATCTTGCTTGATGCCCACTGACAACTCCACTTACACTGACCCTGTGCTCACTTGGAGAATTGCAGCCATTGATGACTTGGAGTTCTGTAAGACTGGGATTCAAGAACTATAGAACACAATTCCTAGAACTTAGAGTGGGTTGCCTGTGGCCACATGCTTTGGGGTGTCCAAGCCTCCTGGGCTGCACCATTTCAATGTGTCCTTGGAGCATGTTAGTGGCACTTCATTTTGCTTCTGCTTAGCTTCAAGGATTTTATGTGCTTATGTCAAGCATTAGTTGCATGTTCCTGCAGTTTAAACCAGTATAGTGTCATGACAAGAGTAAACCATTAATGCAATGGTAGTACAAATCAGTAGCCTGAAAAAACAGTAGGGAGGTAGTGATCAAGGTATCTTCTACACCATTTTTTTTCATTCACTTGGTCCCTGGAACTCCAGTTTCTTTTCCACTCCTTGATCATGGGAAGCTCTTTCCTGCCCCCCACCCCCCGCCCCGTCAACAAGGTCTTTATATTTACTGTTCCTTCTGCCTTAAAACTGACCTACCAATTTGTGAATGGCTGCCTATTGTTCTTTAGGCCTTGAGTCAAATAGCAGCATCTCGGAAAAGCCTGCTATAATCACCCTTGGTCACAAGGCTCTAGTTACTCTCTATCATATCCCCTGGTTGTTTCTTTTCTACCAGTTATCTCAATCTGAAATCATCTTATTGATTCATTGTCTTGAAGCTAATACCTCTTGCTCTCTGTTAAATACCCAGCACCTAGACTAGAGCCTAGAAAATGATGGTAGCTCAGTAAAAATGTGTTAAATAAGTCATTGAGGGAGCAATCTTTACTAGAGATAGAGAAATGATCAGAAAACCTTTTCCAGCTACATTTCCAAGAAAGAGATTTAGCGATGAAAATGGGTGGTCTGACATACTTTTATTCAGTTCCAAAGCCCTGGTCAGTAAATACTGGCTTCAGAGGCCAAAGAAACCTGAGACTTGACTGGCTCTGGGATTGCACTGCAGCTCAGAAAACCCCCACATGCAAGCAGAACAGGGGTTATTCGGATCCCCCTCTCTCTGCTCCTTTGGCATGCATTCTGGGCCCTGTAAAGTTTGCCATTTACTGGGTTTTGTCAGATCAACACAAAGTAAATATTTTCAGTTCCTGAATGCTGGTGAGAGCATGGGAGGGATCAAGTGACGATGCCTGGGAATAAACTCGATCTCCGTGCAACAGCAGGCTCAGTTCCATGCTCTCTGCGGAGCCAGGCCGATTAGTGGCACATGGCTAGGGCTAAGATCTGGTATAAAATGCAGTCATTTATCCTCAAGATCATTAGTTTATTCATGTCAATTAACACTGTTCATGGGCTCCAGTTTCTGATCAATCTTTTGGAAATCTATCAAAATATTTGAAAAAATTATTCGAGTGGTAAATTGAACATTATAGGTCAACTTCTGATATCCAAGTGAAAGACACAGAAGACTTAAAGAAAAACATATCTACCATGAGAAGTTTGTTCTTAGCACAACCACGAGGATCAAGTTTGAAAAATGCTCTCCATTGGGACTAAATATCCATAAGAACTACAGTTCATCAAAATCATCTAGCTCCAGCAGCCCTGTGACATGCAGGAAGAAGCTTATGCAGCTCTATGAAAGAAATCAACACCAGTAACAAATCAAGTGTCACTGCATGCTCCATGGCTTATAAATACCCCTAACCATACAGAGATGCTGGTGGATCACACAGCATGAGAACAGAAAGGTGGTGGGGAAAGACACGTAGCAAGTCAGGAAGAGGAGTTAAAACAGCTCTGCCAAATGATCATAACAGAAAAGAAAATGTTGGTTGCCCTGAGCTCCAGTGTGTGAAAATCACACTTCTCCATAGATTAAAAAGTACCTATAAAAATTACCAAAAGCTGTGACTATTTATCCCTGCAACAGAACAAGATTCTGGCATCTGTTTGAACCCAGGAAGAGTAATATGCCCTGAAGCTCAGAGTCCGATCGCTGTTCTCGTGCAGAGTGGGTGGTAGCTAAGCCCTCCAAGATGCTCTGTTCTTCTTGGCCAACAGGAGAGAATATTAGGGCTTGCCCAAACAGGCCCCAACAAGGCACTTTTATTTAGTTTCTAGCATGATTAATCTAATTTGTTTAAGTTCTGGGAAACTGGCTATACTACAAGGTAGCTTTCTGGAAACTTATGAAAACTTACATCCAAAAATTCTTGTGCAAATTAGACATTAATGGGCCAATTGTACATGTTTCAAATCAGCAAGCTGCTCCATAGGTGAAATTGATCTATTTAGAAAAGGTTTAGAATTTAGAAAAAATTAGGTTTCAGGAAAATAGTGTATCTTCTTTTAAACCTTTCTTTCCCAAGCTCACTTTTAAGGGATCATTGGGATTCCCCACTAAGAAAGTTACTGTGTCTATCATCAGAAAGGTGGTATCAGATGGCACCCCCTTCTGCTGATGTGTTAGGATTTTGAAGGATTTGCTAATCTTAGAGAAGCCTCTCTCTTAGACTGCTTTCTGTGCTGGGAGTGCAGGTAGTGGGAGAGTCCCAGAGGTGGGGCATGGCTCTGGAGTGGAAGCACCCAGTCCTGCAGAAGCAAATGATGGAAAGGGAACACAGCTCACAGCATAGAAAATAGTTTCCTAGATGAATTAAATCATTTCCCTAAAGAAACCTGGCCCAAGATCTAATGAGAAAGCCAGTTAGAAAAGCTCCATCTTCTGATTTGTGGTCCACAGCCATCTCAATTCTGTAGTGTAGGCAGTCTGTTTGGATAGTCCCAGTGGGTTCAATTCTAGAAGCCACCAGATTGAAACTGGTCCAACCAGCTAGTTTTAGGACATAAGTTTTCCAACCCAGGACTTCATATTCCATCCTTACCCTCCAAAATCCAGAAACCATTTTTAAAAATACTTATTTCTATCTTCTAAAAGTAGATTGTAAACCCAAACCATGCCTCTAAAAGGATCCACAGACCAAAGCCTTCTCTACTTACCCTAGCCCTCTTAGCTGTAGGTAGAAATGATGTAGGCTTTTCAGATGCTTAAAAACATGTCCCACTTGGGAGGAGATGGCTCCAGATAAGATCTTTTGGCAGGTGCCTATTAGGCTCAATTCCATGGCTTTCCTCCAAGATGATTTTATTTTTAAACAGAATCAAATTTTATGCTGTAGCCTTGCTAGGAATATAGTATATGAAACTGTTCTTTTCTCAAAACAGCTTTCTTTTATTTCATAAAGAACACGTTTAACCTTTCTTTCTTGTCTATGAAATAAAATGGAATTCTCTTTACAGTGGAGCTTTGTTTTAAAGTAAGAAAGATCTTACCACCTCTATCCATGCTATGGGCAGAAGAGATTGTTTAAAAATCCTTGACAATATTAAATGTGGGATGTAGTGCTCATTAAAATTATACCTTATCTTTGTTCAGATGCATAGCCCAAGAGACACAAATGTTATAAACAAACCATTATAGTAGCTTGTATTTGAAAGAACTGGTATTAAATGTAGTCATTTATCCTCAAGATCATTAGTTTATTCATGTAAATTAACACTGTTCATGGGCTCCAGTTTCTGATCAATCTTTTGGAAATCTATCAAAATATTTGAAAAAATTATTTGAGTGGTAAATTGAATATTATAGGTCAACTTCTGATATCCGAGTGAAAGACACAGAAGCTTTAAAATAAAGGAAAACATATCTACCATGAAAAGTTTATTCTTAGCACAACCATGAGGATCAAGTTTCAAGAATGCTCTCCATTGGGACTATATGTCCATAAGAACTACAGTTCATCAAAATCATCTAGCTCTCTGTGGCCCTCAGGTGGTATCTGGTCATTCTGGCCATAGACTAGCTACAGAACTAGCTTTCAAAAAGCAGTTCATCTCAACCAGCTTCAAGATTAAATCAGAAGATCAGATCAGATCCAATTTACCTGTAAAATCTCCATTCCAGCATTTAACAATGCACTATAGTTGCTCAGTCTGTCTGTCAACTTGTCAACATAAGTTTATTTAGCTAAGAAAACAGGTGAGTTTTAATCTCTTCTATAAGGGCCATGACAATAGTAATCTCCGTGTTGTGTTCCCATGCACGCAAACTCTAGAGTTTTAATTTGCTTTCCTTCAGTAGAATGTAAACTTCACTGAGGGCAAGAATCTCTGCCTTGTTTGCTTGTTTGTTTGTTTGTTTTTCCCCACTGTTCTTTTCTCAGAACCTAGATCAGAGCCTGACATGCCGTAAGCACTCAATACGTATCTGGTGAATGAATGAATGAATGGATACTCAGGCGTGGGGTTTCTGCTTTGTATGGTTGGCTGGGGGATTCCACTCCCACTATTGGGACACCCTGCTTGGTTACAATGCAAGGTGTGCCTCTCTTTGGCTACCTTATTTTTTACTTTGGAGATTTGTTTCTAAAAGGTGGGCATGGGTGCTTCCTTTCCTCTAGTCATAAACAATAGAAGTAGACCAATGTTATGAACCTTGCTTTCAAGGAAAGAGAAAATGTTGTCAGCTGCTCTTGAACTTCCCAGGGATACTTACATTAGATAGTATAGCCATGCAGCCAATATATCTTTCTTCATATGATTTAGAAAAATATTCCCAGCAGGTATTCTCTGTGGCTGGAGAGTTCACAGATTTTTTTTTTTTTAATTTCCTCTGCTCAATACCCAGGACAGAAGAAAGCAAGGGTAAAATGCCACAAGATTGATTTTACTGGGTCTGTCTTGATTTGACCAGGACAGATGAAATCTTGCACTCTCCACCTCCCGCTACAAGGAAAAGTACGACATGAATGGGCTTCCCAAGCCAATGCTGGCCTCTACTGGTGTGGAGGCAGAGAAAATCAGAAGGCCACTGGAAAATGGCCCTTCATTCCAACCAAGATGGCAGCCTGGGGCAGAAACATACACTCACCTGAGAGTGCTTTGGTTTCTTAACATTTCAGGAACTAACATAAACTAACATCCACCTTCTATTATCTCCTATTAGAGATATGTACACACTCAGGTAGAGAGCCAGAATCGATCTGCTGCAGTTTTTCTACAAAATTACCAAAAGCGATGGGAACAGAGCAATGACCAGTTGACTTTAGATCTCACTGCCTTAGTATAGAGCCCGGCATATTGACAGATGCTGGCCAATGTTTGTTGAATGCTAGAGTGACCGAGAAGTCCTGGTTTGCCTGGAACTTTCTCAATTTTAGTAGCAAAATTTTTATGTCTCAGGAAAATCTTCTGTCCAGGTCAAACTGGGATAGTTGGTCACTCTATTCAGAATGCCACGGTGATGCATGGATTTACAGAATTCTGAGTTAAGTTCAGGTTACCGCTTGCAAATCAGTGCAGTGTACCAAAATGCCTGGCATAAATTTGTTTGTAAAAAAAACAAAGAAACAAAAATTGTTCTATTAAAACATCAACATATTTTTTGAACTGTGTGAAAAATGTTTTGTTTCTTTTTTCAAATACCTGTCAGAATAATCAGTTAGCATAAAAGACTAAAAGATGGTGAATAGAAAAGAACAACATCAAATAAGAAGCATGACAAATGATTCTGGTTACAGAAGCAAACATATTGTTTTCATTTCCCCAAACTGTTACCTGTCAAGTAACTTATTGCAGACACAATAGGGTCAGGGCTGTAGGCTGGATATTTTGATATGAAAAGATAATTTTTTAAAAAAATGCTAGGAAAGAAAGACCATTAAATATTTCCTTACTCTTCCTTTCAAAAACAAAAATAAATGTGTCAAAAGAAATATCCCATCATTGTTTTAAATACATTTTGCATGTTTAGAATTTCCTCCAATAAAATGCCACAGAGAATGCACATTTTACAGCCCTAAACATATTTAATATACTGTTTTTACAACAGCTGTTGCTTTCACAGAACTTTAACCCTGCTGTGTAAATGCATCACCAGGAAAATACCCAGGTTGTCATGGAGACAACCTCAGCACAGAGCCCTTTGCTCCGTTGAACTGGTGTCAGCTTTCAGCCTCCCTGCATTCCAGTCTGGCATCAACCCCAGGCTACAGCTCAGACTTCATTAGAGGTCCTGATGAAGGACAGCGAAGGAATCCAGGGCAATTACTAGAACTGTAAGACCTCTTTCCATCAACACACCTGATGGGAGAACTAAAAATTAATTCCAGAGGGAGTGATGGTATTAATCAAGATTTTCTGGCATCTTCCTCCAAGAACGCTAGATAGACCCAGTTGTCTTTTCCTAGCCAATTTTAGGCCCATCCATTGTCTTAGCAGGAAGAGATAATATTACAGTTGACATTTGGAAGATTATTTAAAGTATCACGTGGCAAATGTTACAAGTGTAAGGCCAAATTTTCAGTGTTGCTAAGTTCGTGAAATTTCTATCACTACTTGAAGAAAAGAACCATAGTTGCATTGAATCCTTCCTGCTGGTAATTCATGATAACATTTTCTAAAAAACACTGAATATTTGACTTTAAACAAAACTGAGTTCAAAGGGGTGGCACAAAAAATGGTGGATAAAGTAAAATGATGATCACACAGTTCTTGTAAAGTATCGCAGAAAAGACAAAATGAATTTTTTTAGCCTAGCTGACTGCTTTAGAAAGCAAATTAAAACAAAGTTTTCTAAAGCAACTTGGTTTTATGGTCTCATAGGTACAAGTGAGTTATGATTCTGTTTTTGTTGTTGTTTTTTTTTTTTTTTTAGAAGGACTGTCGCTCTGTCGCCCAGGCTGGAGTGCAGTGGCAGGATCTCGGCTCACTGCAAGCTCGGCCTCCCGGGTTCGTGCCATTCTCCTGCCTCAGCCTCCCGTGTAGCTGGGACTACAGGCGCCCACCACCACGCCCAGCTAATTTTTTGTATTTTTAGTAGAGACAGGGTTTCACTGTGTTAGCCAGGGTGGTCTCGATCTCCTGACCTTGTGATCCGCCTTCCTCGGCCTCCCAAAGTGCTGGGATTACAGGCATGAGCCATCGCACCCGGCTGAGTTATGTTTCTTTTACCCCTGAAAAGTTCTTAAATTTGGTCACAGGAAGATTCAAAAATTGATTTATTTTATAAAACCTTTATATATATATGATTTATCCAAACAAAGCACCTCCTTGGTCATAAAGGGAACTTACCAGAATTGTTATCAGTGAACTAACCAGAAATCAAAGACACAAAATGAACTCAGTACTCTAATCATCCAATGGCCTTATGTGGTGGCAAGGCTAACAGTAAATGGACAGAGAGTAGGCATTTGCAAAGCTAAGTTTATGTTGAGTTGACCTTAGACATCTGAACAAATCAGGCTTGTATTTAGACCAAAGACGTGTGCATAAATAAACCTGAAATGTATGGCAATTGTCATGTTTAATAAACTGATTAAAAGGGAAGGAAAAGATAAAATTTATTGTAATTTGCTCTCTTACTGTTCGCTTCCTATTATTTATTCATTCAACAATGATTTACCGAGCACATATTTTGTGCCATTGCCTGTACTTGATGTATAATGATACATCTATTAATAAGTATGATATTGCTCACATGAAACTTAGGTTTTTCTGAGCTGTTGTTCACTGGGCATGTATATTTTTTCTCATATTGTGATATTTTCACCTCTGTATTTCCATATTTACCAATTCCTTGACAGCAGAGGTTTGCAACTAAAATAAGTTGTGTTTTAAATAAGTGTTCTCTTTTAAATGAAATTGCCACCAGAAAGAATTTTACAGGGCATGCAAGAAATATAACTTTTCCCATTTTTAGTCCATTTTCTGACCAGTAGATTTATGTCCCATCCTGATCACTCCCTTTTTCCATCAGATTTGGCCCAGAAGGTCAGCATTAGATAGACTTATTAACAAAAATCAATGTCAAAGAACAAAGGGATGCCCCAATTAAGGCTGTTTTAAATAGTGAGACATAGGTGCTATTCCAAACAAGACATTTTAAAAATCAATGGCAGTGTAATAATTTTGAAATATTAAGCAATGTGTTTCTTGTCCTCTTTGAATACCTCACTTGTGGCTCTGTGGTCATTACTTTTGGAGAGACATGTGACAGAGCTAAAGCATATAAAAATTAGATGACATGGTTGATGTATACCATGGAATACTATGCAGTCCTAAAAAGAAGGAAGTCATGTCCTTTACAGCAACATGGATGCAGCTGGAGGTCATTATCTTCAGCAAATTAATGCAGAAACAGAAAAACAAACACCGCATATTCTCACTTATAAGTGGGAGCTAAACACTGGGTGCATATGGACACAAAAATGGCAACAGTAGACACTAGGGACTATAAGGGAGGGAGGTAGGGAAGGAGGCCAGGGTTAAAGACCACCTATTGGGTTCTGTGCACACTACCTGGGTGACGGGATCAATTGTACCATAAACCTCTGCACCACACACTGTATTCCTTTAATAATCCTGCAAATGTGCCCCTTGAAGCTAAAATAAAAGTTGAAATACAAAATAACCAGCTAGCATCATAATGACAGGATCAAATTCACACATAACAATATTAACCTTAAATGTAAACCGGCTAAATGCCCCAATTAAAAGGCACAGACTGGCAAACTGGATAGAGTCAAGACCCATCAGTGTGCTGTATTCAGTAGACCCATCTCACATGCAAAGGCACACATAGGTTCAAAACAAACAAATGGAGGACAATTTACCAAGCAAATGGAAACCAAAAAAAAAAAAAAAAGAAAGAAAGAAAGAAAGAAAAGAAAAAAAAAGCAGGGATTGCAATTCTAGTCTCTGGTAAAGCAGACTTTAAACCAACAAAGATCAAAAAAGACCAAGAAGGGCATTACATAATGGTAAAGGGATCAATGCAATAAGAAGAGTTAATGATCCTAAATATATATGCACTCAATACAGGAGCACCCTGATTCATAAAGTAAGTTCTTAGAGACCTACAAAGAGACTTAGACTCCCACACAATAATAGTGGGAGAATTTAACACCCCATTGTCAATATTAGACAGATCAATGACACAGAAAATTAACAAAGATATTCAGGACTTAAACTCAGCTCTGGACCAGGTGGACCTAATGGACATCTACAGAACTCTCCACCCCATATCAACAGAATATACATTCTTCTCAGCACCACATAGCACTTATTGACCACATAATTGGAAGTAAAACACTCTTCAGCAAATGCAAAAGAATGGAAATCATAACAAACACTCTCTCAGACCCCAGTGCAATCAAATTAGAACTCAGGATTAAGAAACTCACTCAAAACCGCACAACTACATGGAAACTGAACAACCTGCTCCTGAATGACTACTGGGTAAATAACAAAATTAAGGCAGAAACAAATAAGTTACTTGAAACCAACGAGAACAAAGACACAACATACCAGAATCTCTGGGACATAGCTAAAGCAGTGTGTAGAGGGAAATTTATAGCACTAAATGCCCACAAGAGAAAGCAGGAAAGATCTAAAATTGACACCCTAACATCACAATTAAAAGAACTAGAGAAGCAAGAGCAAGCAAATTCAAAAGTTAGCAGAAGACAAGAAATAACTAAGATCAGAGCAGAATTGAAAGAGATAGAGACACGAAAAACCCTTTAAAAAATCAATGAATCCAGGAGCTGGTTTTTTGAAAAGATTAACAAAATAGATAGACTCCTAGCAAGACTAATAAAGAAGAAAAGAGAGAAGAATCAAATAGACACAATAAAAAATGATAAAGGGGATATCACCACTGATCCCACAGAAATACACACTACCATTAGAGAATACTATAAACACCTCTATGCAAGTGAACTAGAAAATCCAGAAGAAATGGAAAATTCCTGGATACAGACACCCTCCCAAGACTAAACCAGGAAAAAGTCCAATCCCTGAACAGACCAATAACAAGTTCTGAAATTCAGGCAGTAATTAATAGTCTACCAACCAAAAAAAGCCCAGGACCAGTTGGATTCACAGCCAAATTCTACCAGAGCTATGAAGAGGAGCTGGAATCATTCCTTCTGAAACTATTCCAAATAATAGAAAAAGAGGGACTCCTCCCTAACTCATTTTATGAGGCCAGCATCATTCCAATACCAAAACCTGGCAGAGATACAACAGAAAAAGAAAATTTCAGGCCAATATCCATGATGAACTTCGATGAGAAAATCCTCAATAAAATACTGGCAAACCAAATCCAGCAGCAAATCAAAAAGCTTATCCACCACGATCAAGTCGGCTTCATCCCTGGGATGCAAAGTTGGTTCAACATATGCAAATCAACAAATGTAACCCATCACATAAACAGAACCAATGACAAAAAACACATGAATATCTCAATAGATGCAGAAAAGGCCTTTGATAAAATTCAACACCCTTCATGCTAAAAACACTCAATAAACTAGGTATTAATGGAACGTATCTCCAAATAATAAGAGCTATTTATGAAAAATCCACAGCCAATATCATCCTGAATGGCCAAAGCTGGAAGCATTCCCTTTGAAAATGGGCGCAAGACAAAGATGCCCTCTCTCACCACTCCTATTCAACAGAGTATTGGAAGTTCTGGCCAAGACAATCAGGAAAAAGAAAGAAATAAAGTGTATTCAGATAGGAAGAGAGGAAGTCAAATTTTCTGTGTTTGCAGATGACATTATTATATATTTAGAAAACCTCATCATCTCAGCCCCAAAACTCCTTAAGCTGATAAACAACTTCAGCAAAGTCTCAGGATACAAAATCAATGTACAAAAATCATATGCATTCTTATATACGAATAATAGACAAACAGAGACCCAAATCATGAGTGGACTCCCATTCACAATTGCTACAAAGAGAATAAAATACCTAGGAATCCAACTTATAAGGGATGAGAAGGAACTCTTCAAGGAGAACTACAAACCACTGCTCAAGGAAATAAGAAAGGACACAAACAAATGGAAAACCATTCCATGCACGTGGATAGAAAGAATCAATATTGTGAAAATGACCATACTGCCCAAAGTAATTTATAGATTCAATGCTATTCCCATCAAGCTACCATTGACTTTCTGCACAGAATTAGAAAAAACTACTTTAAATTTCATATGGAACCAAAAAAGAGCCTGTATAGCCAAGACAATCCTAAGCAAAAGAACAAAGCTGGAGGCATCACGCTACCTGACTTCAAACTATACTACAAGTCTACAGTAACCAAAACAGCATGGTACTGGTACCAAAACAGATATATAGATCAATGTAACAGAACAGAGTCCTCAGCAATAACACCACACATCTACAACCATCTGATCTTTGACAAACCTGACAAAAAAACAAGCAATGAGGAAAGGATTTCCTATTTAATAAATGGTGTTGGGAAAACTGGCTAGCCATATGCAGAAAACTGAAACTGGACCCCTTCCTTATACCTTATACAAAAATTAACTCAAGATGGATCAAAGACTTAAATGTAAGACCTTGAATCATAAAAGTCCTAGAAGAAAACCTAGGCAACACCATGGCAAAACCTAGGCATGGGCAAAGACTTCATAACTAAAACACCAAAAGCAATGGCAACAAAAGCCAAAATTGACAAATGGGATTGAATTAAACTAAAGAGCTTCTGCACAGCAAAAGAAACTATCAGAGTGAACAGGCAACCTACAGAATGGGAGAAAATTTTTGCAATCTATCCATCTGACAAAGGGCTAATATCCAGAATCTACAAGGAACTTAAACAAATTTACAAGAAAAAAACAACCCCATCAAAAAGTGGGTGAAGGATATGAACAGACACTTCTCAAAATAAGACATTTATGTGGCCAACAAACATATGAAAAAAATCTCATCATCACTGGTCATTAGAAAAACGCAAATCAAAATCACAATGAGATAGCATCTCACACCAGTTAGAATGGTGATCGTTAAAAGTCAGTAAACAACAGATGCTGGAAAGGATGTGGAGAAATAGGAATGCTTTTACACTTTGGTGGGTGCGTAAATTAGTTCAACCATTGTGGAAGACAGTGTGGTGATTCCTCAAAGACCTAGAACCAGAAATAACATTTGACCCAGCAATCCCATTGCTGTGTATATACCCAAAGGATTTCAAATCATTCTGCTGTAAAGACACATGCACACATATGTGTATTGCAGCACTATTCATAATAGCAAAGACTTGGAACCAACCCAAACGGCCATCAATGATAGACTGGATTAAGAAAAGGTGGCACACATATACATGGAATACTATGCAGCCAGTTCATGTCCTTTGGAGGGACATGGATGAACCTGGAAACCATCATTCTCAGCAAACTAACACAGGAACAGAAAACCAAACACTGCATGTTCTCCCTCATAAGTGGGAGTTGAACAATGAGAACACATGGACACAGGGAGGGGAACATCTCACACCAGGGCCTGTCGGTGGTGAGGGGCTAAGGGAGGGTTAGCATTAGGAGAAATACCTAATGTAGATGACAGGTTGATGGGTGCAGCAAACCACCATGGCATGTGTATACCTATGTAACAAACATGCATGTTCTGTACATATATCCCAGAACTCAAAGTATAATTTTAAAAAAGTTGAAATTAAAAAAATAAAAAGCAGAGAAAAATGTTGTTTTCCTGGTATTGGCTTCCAAAATTCTGATCCCTTAGGGAGACATAGAGGGCTCCTGCAAAGAGAACACATTTGGGGATCACATGACTTTGAGTAGAGCTTCTAAGATTCCCCCAGGCTTAAGGTGGGGGAGGGATCATGGACTGAGATGAAGGGGAAGGAGAGGAGGGTAGAGAGGTGGGAGGGGCTGGAGGACAGCAAGCTGGACTTAGTAGAGACTGAGTGGAGGAACGAGGACTGTCTCAACCAAAGGCCACCATGAGAGGCATGATTAAGTGTCCAGGCACTGGGTAGGACTAAGAGACCAAGTAATCAGAGTATTACCCAGTGACAACTTAGCAGGAGTAGCACGTATATGAGTCTTCCAATTTTCTTTTTCCCTGTCTCACATGCTTGGGAATGGGCTTAGTTATGTTGCCATAACCAGCAGCCCAAATTTTCACTGGAGGTTGATGTCTTACTCACAATACTTACCTGTTGGGCATTGGCTGGATGCTCTCCTCCACTGTCATTGCTCATGAGAGCCCATGGTGATATTTCAGTCACTGTCTGGGCCTCACCTGGGTGAGCTGGCAGAAGGGGAATGGGATGCTGGTGGTGAACCTGTCTAGAAGTCTACAGAACTAGCCTGAGATCCACCTGGGGCCAGATCAGAGCTTCACTCTGCTCCTGGTACCAACATGCAATGGCAGCCTCACCGGGAATAAGCCTCATTAGGAACAAGCAGATATGCTTCCTAGAGTGAAATCATTTTGTTTGCTTTTGTTTTTGTTTGACCATCCACTCAGTTGAATTGCTTATAATAAACCAGAAATGCATAATTAATGTCTTATCTGAAAAATGACAAAAGTCAAAGTTGTCTGCAATGATCAGAGTTGAAAAATTGCCTGGAAGTAATTCCTAATGTTCACAATGCCTGGTTCTTCTTTTTTTTATTTTTTTTGAGACGGAGTCTGGCTCTGTCGCCCAGGCTGGAGTGCAGTGGCGCGATCTCGGCTCACTGCAAGCTCCGCCTACCGGGTTCACGCCATTCTCCTGCCTCAGCCTCCCAAGTAGCTGGGACTACAGGCGCCCGCCACCACCCCTGGCTAATTTTTTGTATTTTTTTTAAGTAGAGACGGGGTCTCACTGTGTTAGCCAGGATGGTGAGGATGGTTTTGATCTCCTGACCTCGTGATCTGCCCGCCTCGGCCTCCCAAAGTGCTGGGATTACAGGCGTGAGCCACTGCACCCAGCCGAGAAACATCTAAACAAGCTTATTATGTTCAGTCATAAAGAATTTTCTCCTTATACCAGTGTTTTATCTTTGTTTTTCAGAGATTGAGGAAATACAAACTTTATTAGTGTGATATTTAGGATTCGCAAATACAGTTACCAGTTTGTTGCAAAGTCTCAACTGTATTTTTCTGGCCACTTACTATATTGCTTTTAGCATTTGTATTCTTAGGAGACAATAATAAAAGGCAGAAGGTCGTGATCCCCCACTTGGTCAAATTTCAGGATTTACCAGTTGAGTATAGAACACAGAACATCACCTTCAGTATCTCACCCAGGCTTGCTTATTTTTGTGACCCAGTCCTATTGATTATTTTTTGTGAATTGTTCATTCTACCAATCCTTTTATATTTTTATTACTTATTTGTAGAAGCTTCTGTTATATTAAAGATATTGATCTCATTGTTCTTGATGCAAATTACAAGGGTCAGGAGTTGGGTAAGTATTACGGATTCCTGTTGCAAACAGTAATTGTTAGTACAAGTAAAATATTATGTTTCAATTTTAAAAATGGTTGTTCTGGGAAAGCTGAGATCAACAGCTGTGTCAGAATGTTCTGCACTGAATCATCCTTGTTCATCTGCTTGAAATGCCTTCTATCCTCCCCTGAAGTCTCGTTCTATAAATCACTTACCGTTTGGAGCCTAGCTGTCTCTCTTCCCCTAGGAAGCCTCTCCCCATCACTCTCTCTGCACTCACAGCCCTGCCCTCTGTGTCTGTAGCACCGCAGCCCATAGCTCACCATCACGGTGTTTGGTCACAGACCCCCTCACATGATTATTCATACATTTTATGTATTTATGTCTCCACTCCAGGAACTGGGTCTCCTGCTTCCTTGACGTCTTCCACAAACCCCACCACACTCATGTGGCTACAGACCAGGTGTTTCTAATGCGATGGTAACCTCTAGGTTTGGTTCCCTTCCTCCATTTTTGTTGCACGTGGTGCTAGGCCCAGAGCCAGTGCTCAGTAATGGTCAATGGATTAGGTGGAGGTTATGAGAAACGAAAGGGACCCCTCCAGCACAAAATGTCTTCAATTTGTCACTGATAGAATGGAATGGGAACATTCTACCTCCTGCTCGTGTTCTGCATGGTAGACTAGCATCGAGAGGCCTTAGGATCTCTTCAGAATTGTTAAATATAACAATGACAATAGCAGAGAGATAGAGCAATCTTTAGTGAGTTTCTGTTACTTGCAACCATGAGTTTTGAATAATCCTGTGATGACTTTTTGGTAGCACAGGAAAAGTACAGGTGCCATATAATTTTAAAAATTAGGATTGATCATGCTGTCCCTAATATTCTCTTAACTTTTTATCCTCATTTAATAACATACAGTAGAAAGATTGTCATGCCATTACACATTTTTCTATGTGATTTTTATTTGTTATGTAACTGTATTATATTATGATTATGGAACATTTGAGTTGCTCTAAAATTTTCAGTATTTTAAACAATCCTATGACAAACGATCTTACTTGTATACCTTGGAGCAACATTCCTGGTTATTTGATAAATATAAATTCTCAAAAGTTTGGGGTTCAAAGAGCATCCTCATTGTCACATAGTGATCAATTGTCTTCCACGGTGCTGTATCAATTTACAGTTCCTTCCCATCACTCACTACTGCTTGGGCCTAACTTTTCCACACCCTAATCAGCACTACCTTCTTATCAGGGTCTCTTGAGCTAGACTTCAGGGCTACAGGATTTTTGCAAATTGTTCATTCTTCCCTACAGGGCCTAGGTCCTCTACTGGCCAAGGATGTGACCCAGCCACGCAACCTGAGGCACATGGCTTCACCTCGCTGGCCCCAGTTCTAGTTCCCTCATCTGTGAAGTGGGGATGAGGTTCTCATGCCACGATGGTTGTGCAGTCTCCTCTTTGCTGTGCAATTCAGCCTTTGGGTACTTTTCATAACCTACCTACCCTCCTACTCAGCCAAAATAACGTGGCTTATATGCCTTTTGCGTTTAGTCCATTCTGCATCCAACAGCTACTTGCATGGTGCTATTTGAGAGTATTTCCAGAACAACTGTCCAAAAATCTCTCCTGCTAAAATGTCATGGAATTTGAAATTCTAATGTTGGAAATGATGAAGAATACCATCCTTTGTTAAAACACACTGCAAAACATTACAAGGCTTCAAAAGAGCTACCGAAACAGAATTTTCATAGAGGAAGAGAAAATTATAAAAGCAGAATTGATCTAAAGTTTTGTAATCACATTTTTAATTAATTAATTAATTAATTAATTTGAGACAGAGTTTTGCTCTTGTCACCCAGGCCTGAGTGCAGTGGGGTGATCTTGGTTTACTGCAACCTCCGCCTCCTGAGTTCAAGCAATTCTCCTGCCTTAGCCTCCCAAGTAGCTGGGATTGCAGGTACCCACCATCACAACTGGCTACTTTTTTGTATATGTTGGCCAGGCTGGTCTCAAACTCCTGACCACAGGTGATCCTCCCACCTCGGCCTCCCAAAGTACTGGGATTACAGGCATTAGCCACTGCGCCAGCCCTGTCATCACGTTTTTTAGATTGGGATAGTTGAGAAACATCAGTTGCTGCTATGGCAACCTGGATAGATTAAATTCCGGTTAATAAATATATTTTTAAACCTTATATCTTGAAGTTATTCTGCATATCTGGACACATACAGTGATCCAAAAGGTGAGCATCTTCCTCCGTTCTGAGTCTCAAATCAGACAAGCTCTGAAGAATAGGGTTATAGGTACTAAAATTAGGAAAAAATATATGCAAGCTTTTATAAATATATTCACTAAGATAAAGCAATGAAGATATAATAGCTCCAGGATCTCAATCCCCAACAGTTTTGAGTATACATTTATTTTATTTTTAAAGTTGCAGATGAAATGCCTCTGAAGAGGCACTTTCTTTTTCTGAATGAGTTCCTCCATGTTTGGGGCCCTTGCTTTTATGACTCCAGGTCTATGTGCCATGATTTAAAATCCTGGGGCTAAGTGTCTTTGGCAATTTATAATTGTTTTAGTTTTTAGAAAGTTAATAACTAGTGTAGGTGGGATAAAATTGCCCAGGGCCCTTAGCAGGGGTTGGGTCTACCCCATAATCAAACCCATTATTTGGATGGCAAAATATTGAATACTCAAACCGAGTAGAATAAGTAAAGATTACACGTAGCCTTCAAGTCACATCAGGTTTTGCTTTGAAACAAGTGAGAAGGAATCTTTAGGGCTCCAAAGCTTTTTGGATGTTGGATTTGTGAGGAAGGGAACGTGGCTTTGTACAGATAACATTAGTTTGCAATATCCATACCATATTAAGGAGGCAAATGAGATTCCTAGGAAACATTTCCTTTTCAAAATAAGTTTAAATGTTCAACCTACACTATCTAGAAATAAGCTTTCATTTATTAAACAACTATTTATTGCAATCCTTGGCTGTGCCAAAGCCTGTGCTAGGCACTGGGGGAGATCAATGAACAGATAGACACAGCTCTTGTCCCCATGCAGATAAGCTTGGCAGAATCTGTAGTTATGTAGATACACCGAAATTTAACATGAATGGAAAAAACTGGACATGTCGCATTTCTTTTAGAGCTGATTTATAATTCTTATTAAGTTACCCTGATTTCAGCCCACGACTGATTGTCAAAGCTATTAGAAGCCCGTTGCTTATGAGCTGCATTTAAAACCTGCTCATTCAAAAAAATAAAAAATAAAAATAAAATAAAAGTACATGCAAAACTATAAAGGAGCTTTCAGCTTTCATGTCTAGGTTTTCTTTTGGATGAAAATTTTCATTACCATTATTTACTTTTCAAGCACATATTTTTCACTAGGTGCTAGGGAACATAGCAAGATAAGACCCACTACTTTGCTGTAGTAGAAGCAAGGATCTGACATACATTTTGCCCCTGTTTCAGGGAACTTGGACCCCATCCCAACACTTAGGGGACTGCTTACTTTCCCCTAGCTACTTGGATCACAGAGGCATGAGAACATACAACTCTGATGCAAAAGCTGCCGAGGCTGTAGAGAAGGAGGCAGTGGACACAGCCTTTCTAGCTACCAGGAAGCAAGCTTCAGCCTGCACAGTCAAAGGACAGAAGAGTCTGGAACAGAGCCAAGATGCAGTGGTGCAGCACAGAATATCACAGATAGGATACTGGTCCAGGATAGGGGAAGAATCCTGTGCAAATGGAGGTGGGAATATGGAGGGATACAAAATAACATATTCAGATGTTGCTCTAATCTTGCTATAATACAGCTCCTGCCAAGATGGTCTGGTCTCCTAACAGGAGCAGTTGATGGTGAGACTGGATGGCCCAGCTCATGGGGGGCTTTTTATCCCCTTGGACGGGGCCAGCTGGGATACAAGCCAGGCAACACAGTGGGGAAGGGACGGGGAGAGTGGACCAAGTAGGAAACTAGCAAACCTCAAGAGTTTCTTTGGAAACCTCTGTGTTATTTTGAGACTGCCTCTAGCAACTAGAGGCTTAAGCAACTTTTCACATATACATGACTTGGCCACCAAAAATGGGTAAGGGATCCTACGTGCTACTTAGTAGAGCTCATTCTCCAGGGGGAGTGTGTCTTTTAAAGCAGAGACATCTTTATGGAGACAAAGAGCTCAGAAGGGGTTTAAAGCATTTGTTGACTGGGCAGGCCATCAAAAAGTGGCCACGGGGCGGATGAGTGAAGGCAGGAACGTCTAGTGGGCGTCTGCCAAGACAGATGACTGGAAGGAGCAGAGGCCGCATGCTCCTAAATGCCTCAACATTCTGTGGGCACTGGGACTTAGCACAACCTCAGAGGAATTTATGGGGGAGCCATAGCTTGATTACAATAAGGTTTCCACAATGCTGGTGGAAAGAGGGCTCAAATAGGAATTAGTTGACCCTTGAACAATAAAGAGCTTAGGGGTACCAATCCCTTCACAGTCAAAAGTCCTAGTATAACTTTTGACCCTGCAAAAACTTAACTACTAATAGCCTACTATTAATCAGAAGCCTCACCAACAACATAGTCAGTTAACTCATATTTTATACATTATATGTATTATATACGGTGTTCCAACAATAAAGTAAGCTAGAGAAAAGAAAATGTTATTAAGAAAATCATAAGGAAGAGAAAATATACTTACTATTCATTAAGTGGAAGTAGAACATCATCAAGGTCTTCATCCTCATCATCATCACATTAAGCAGGCTGAGGAGGAGGAGGAAGAGGAGGGGTTGGTCTTGCTGTCACAAGGGTGGCAGAGGTGGGAGAACATCTATGTATAAGTGGACCTGCACAGTTCAAACCTGTGTTGTTCAAGGGTCCACTGGAATTTGAATCTTAGAGAAAGAAGTCATACTTCTCCTGTACCTAAAGTTATAAACTAAGATTTTTACCTGTTTCACATATATTTAATCTGATGAAAAGGAGGCATAGATGAGGTGCCAGGGCCTGGATTGAGAGTTGGAAAATACAAGATTATGAAAATCTTTAAGTATCTGTAGAATCCCCTTGTAGAAGACGGATTTGACATATTCTATGGGTGATACATTTACAACAATGGCTGGAAATGGCAGCTTTTACACTCAGAATAAAGTTGTTCCAGTTGTTGGGAATGCCCAAAATGGAACGATTCTCATCGGGAAGCAGTGAGGTAAAACTCCTGGCTTTTGGAAGAATTTGATCCTTTAAAAGGAGATTAGAAAATTATTGGGATGAGAGATCTAGCTATCTAAGATGCCAAAAAAAGAAAGTCTAACGTAAGATGGAGGTTTGGGCTATACGCATCTCAGGGACAAGAGGGGGAGAGGGTACCAACATGGGTTGAGCACCTAGTATGTCCTCTAGTGGACATTAGTTTTGTTCTTGTATTTGTTTTTGTTTGGCCACCCATCTCCTGAGTCCCTCTTCTGAGCTTGAAAATTTTCCTACCTTGCAAGTGTTGCTGTTAGAGACATCTTGCTATAGAATTTGAAAATGCTAGTTAATCACTCTCACAACCACCCTTGCCAACAGTGCAAGCTCCAGCGTCTGGGGATTGGTGACAATGGCAACAGCATCTCAATCTTTTCCTAAGAGATATCTGAGCCTTATTCACCAGCCCTCATAGACAGGCTGTTTCCTGTTTTGTGGGAGTATTTTATTATGAAGAATTTCAAAAGCACACAGGCACATGAACCCACACAGAACAGCAAAATAAATCACCATGTATTCATAACTGAGGTGCAACAATAATCAATGTTTTGCCAATCCTGTTTTTTTCTACACTCCTCCACGTCCCTCCTCCTATGACTTCTTTCCCTAGAGTTTTTTGATGTGAATCTCAGACATTGTGTTATTTTACCAGTAAATACGTTAGTATGCTAGTCTCTATTAGAGCCTCTACAAGAACAGTAACCCTCATGACAATTTTACACCTAAAAAAATTCACAGTAATTCCTTAATGTCATCCCAAACCCAGCCTTATTCCAGTTCTTCTAATTGTCTTTTCATGGTGGTTGCTTGAATCACGATTCAAGTGAAGTCCACCAATTACCTTTGGTTGTTATGTCTCTGATGTCTCTTTTATTCAACAACAGCTCCTCTGTTTTTTTTTTTTTTTTAATACCATTGATTTGTTGGTGAAACCATTCGTTTTCCCTGTAGAACTCAATATCCTTGCAATAAATTCCCTTTCTGCTTAAATCAGCCAAACTGGACTTCAGTTGATTGCAACTAAGAATTGTGACTGAAACACAAGCCTTTTAGGGTTCCCAGTTTTACAGAGGAGGAAATTGAGGTTCATAGGGGTTAAGTAACTTGCTAAGTTTTCAAAGCTAGTAAGTGTCACAGCTGGAATTGAAATTCAAGGCTCTCTCACTCAATGTCTATTCTATAATCATCAGACTTTCTCCTAGCTCCCTTCCAGTGCTAACATTCTAATATTTCATGCCCCTTTCCTCAGTCCTCAATTCATTTCAGTCAGCAGGACACCTCAGGGGTCCAGAACACCTGGGTTCCCACTGCCAGCAATGATGATCTCTGCTCAGCTCAGCTGCTCCCTGAAACCACTGACTGGGGACAGGAAAGGGGTCCAATAATTGTTGGCTTTGTTACAGTCCATTACGCTTCCTGCCAGAATACAGTTGCAGATGTGGGTAAACAGAAATGTAATCTATGCATGTATCTTTATCTTAACTAAGCCAGTGGTTCTCAAAGTGCAGGCCCCAGAACAGCAGCATCAGCATTACCTGGGAATTTGTTAGAATTCCCTGGACCCACTGAGTCAGAAACTGTGGGGGTGGGGACCAGCCATCTATGTTTTAACAAGCCTTCTTCATGATTCTGTTCAAGTTTGAGGACCACTGCAGGAGGCCTTACCACCTGTGCCTTCCCATAACATCACATTCCTTAAAAATATAAAGTTGCTGTTCTTTTCTCTACCTGCTCACATAGAATTTCCAACATTGCACATTGAGTGCTCTTTCTTTAGTAGCTAGAAATCTTTTATCTACCACTGAGTTTGCTGGTAGACTTTGGTATTTATAAAAATGTTATTCTTTTTTGAAATGTCATTATAATTTAATCTCTCATTTCTTATATTAAAATCACAGCATTGAATGAAGTCCCACATCTCAGACACTAAGGCCTTGTTCTTACTTTGTGAGACTCGTATTTGTTGGAGCTAGAAACTCTGGCTTTCAGGCAAATGGCTCAAGACAACCTTCAAATCCACAGAAACTCATGGAGCGTGTGGGCCTTGCAAAAGAGCCTGTTTGGGCCAGTGGGCTCCCCACCCTTGGCTTGGTCTCTGGTTTCATTCAGCTCTACAGGCAAATGGGAGACAGGGAAGGATCTAGAAAGCCTGAAGAGGCAAATAAAGGTAGGTACGGGAATGTTTGCTGAGTTGAGGGAAGGCCTGAAACTTTGCAAAAATCTTTAAAAGTCATTAAGATTTTTGTGTTCTGGTTGTGGTATTCTGTGGTAAGCCCCATTTGCCCTCTCTTATTTTATGCCTATTTCCTTACACATAACCATTCTGCTAAAATTCCCACGGCTGGATCCTTGCCATCTCATTCATGATGGATAAAACCAGGCACTTGGCTGATGGTCCTGCTGACCTCAGTTGCCCACTCCCGACAGGGCAGCATCTGCCGGCCCTCCCCAGGGCTCCCCTGGGCATCAGCCTCCAGGCCTTGGGACAACACGCCCAGGTCATGGGGCCACACTGACCTGTCCGCAGCAGTGTGTTTGGCTTCCTGCTCAGCCTCAACTCTGTGTTCACATTTCAGGTCCCACTGGGAGATGTGAAAAACTGCAGGAGTGTTCTTTGCAAGGCACCATCTGTTTTTCCTCTCCTGTTCCAGCCTTTTTCCTCCTAATCTTCATTCTTTTCCAGGACACAGTGATACATCAAGAATTATTTAATACTTTCCTTCTCAACCAATTCACAGTTTCCTCCCTCTGTAACTTTCTGGGCCACACTGAATTTCCCGCCAGCGAGAAACAGGCTAATCTTACCACATGATGTCAAATTGCAGCTATGCCGCACGCACACGTAGGCACAGGAGTGCGTGCGCACACTCGCACACAGAATGTCTTTAGGTTTGCCTCACCATTCCACAGTGTTTTCCCTTCAGAAAGTTAATGAAATCTCTCCATGGCACTAAAACCACCAATACTGATTCTACTTAGTAACAAATTGGACGTTTCTGGGAAGGGTTTCCCGTGTAATGTTTGGGCTTAATGTTTGTAGTTTGTGTCGGGTCATGACTTATCCAAGACATCACTCCCCTTCATTAAGTGAAAAGTAAATACATCTCCAGTGTTACAAAAACAAGCTGCTATTTCCCCAGAGTCAGTTATCTGAATCCAAGCCCTCTTTCTTGGAGCCTGAAGACCACAGTCTTTACACAATGAATAGGCACGGATGTGTGTGCCAAGGTGCCTGGCCTAAGAGAACAATGAAAAAAACCCCTCTTTTATCCCCCACCTTCTCTGGGTCTCTCCATTTCTTTTGGGGCTGTCATGGGTTCTTAACATGATATAAGAAGGTGCCTGAGGATCATTTACTTCTCTTGGCATGGGAACGTTGCGGGGGTTTATGCTTCCCCATCAATCTCTGCTCTTGGCTCCTTCTCACCAGGCTCCAGAATGAAAAATGAGAATGCTTCAATCTCGCATATTAAACCATAACTAATTATTATTAGATCGGTTTTCACTTTTTTCCCAACCCAAATGTCAAAGGCAAAGGTCTTAATTTACTAGCTCCAGTGGGCTGCAAGCTAGGGTGAAAAGGAGGACTGGAGATTCCAGGCTGACTGCAATGGGCTCAAAATCTCCAGCAAGCAAAACAGCTTTCGGCCACTTGAAGGCATGGACTCCAGTCTGTTCACCGGATCGCCCCTTACATGCTCTCAATGTTGCTCACATTCTCTGAACAGAGGAAAGATGTCTGCGGGAAGCAGGAGTTGCTCGGCGCTCTGGTATGACACCACGTAAAAGCCAGGCAGGCACTGAGAGTTTAGGGCCACCAAATGTCACAGCTGGAAGAGACCCCTCAGATAGCCTGCGAGCACCACAAACTCCTCCAATTACCAGTGAGCAAACCAAGGTTTGCAGAGGGGCCGGCTATGGTAACAGCCACAAACCTCTCTGTTTCAGGCTTCCTCTTTCCTCAGTGATCTGGACCATGTCCACCTCTTGGCCATCACAGAGCAGAGGAAAGGGTCATGGATCAATGGAAAGTGCAAGAGTAAATCCGGAGGTCTTAAATTCTACTCTTATGTTTTGGCACCTAGAAAAAAATGTAAGCTAATCCAAATCTTATTTATATTAAATTCTCCCAAAAGGCATGGAAAGTCAGAGAATCAGAACAGATACAAACACACTCAGTACACTGTGGAGCCCTGAGTCAGACTGGGCCATTACATCAAACGCTGTTGAGCATGGGGGTAAACAATCTGGGGTCTGAGGTGTGACGGGCCTAGTACTCAGTCCCCACTCTGCCTTTCACAAATGTTAACCTTGGGCAACCACAGTCTCTCCAAAGGCTGAGTTCTGGTTGGTAAAGGAGTAAGAATAGCACCCCGCTTGTGGGATTTCTATGAAAATTTAAAGGGCTTAATAAAGTCCTTAGTACATAAATCTTAGATAATGTTATTATTTCATTACAGTTAATACTAGATGTGGCATTGGGAGAAAATATTCTGGGTGTATTGAGTATCCAATTAAAATTTCTAGAAAACTACTAGGCACTTAAAGACATGAAATTAAGAAATAAATAACTTTATATCATCATGGGACCCTACCTTTTGAGACTCACATCCTCTAAAGGAAATGTCAAAACCGTATATGAGTACAAGTTACTTTCTCGCTTCTGTTACTCATAAAAGCTCACTGAGTGAGCAAATCCTCCTCGGCCCCTGTTGCCTTCCTTCCTTGTGGTCTTAGAGTCCTGAAGTGGCCTCTGGGGACCAAAGGGACTCCCCTGCACTGTAAGTAAGGCAGTAGGGATCTCACGAACGAGCACTGTGCTTTCTTGTCACCCTGTAGAGCAGGATGACTTGAATGTCAGCTCTTACAGTCAGCATGTCTGTGAGTGCCTGTAACATATCTAGACAGCAGGAATGTTCCATAGAGAGGGGATAGAGATTTCTCTGCAGGAACAGGAGGTGAAGGAATGGAATGGGGAGTGGTATGGATGAATAAAAAAGACTGGGTGAGCATGAATAGAAAATAGAATTTCCCCTCCTTGCCAAATCAGAGAGGGATTAGCTTGTGATCTTATGAATTTGGAAGGTTTTGTTTGTTCATTTTGGTGCTGGTTGGGGGAGCATTAGGGGAGCAGACAAGGCCACCTGAATTAGAGCTGGGAGAAGGCAGCTATTAGTATACAGACTATGGATTCTAAAGAGACAAGGACAGGGCCATTTGAAGTGGGTAGTATCAGGGCTGAGAAATGCCAAGAGTACAAATCTCCTTTATCTTTAATGACCCCAAATGAAGTGACAGCTCTCACAAGGCTAGAAACATGAAAAGGAGGAAAAGGACTTCCTGGCTTCAAAGGAAAGACACTAAATTAATATTACATTTTGCATTTTTGTTGATAAATTCTGTGCCACTGATGGCTATCAGATACAAGGGTGGGCTAGGAACAGAGCCCAGTTTCAAGAAGCAACTGTTTTCTAGACCTAAGGATATTAAAGCAGTTAGGATAGAAGACACCAAGCTTGCCGCTCTGCTTACACCACATGTAGTTAAATGTATTACATAGGTGCATACGTATACATGTACTTTTTTCTTAATCCTTGAAAGATAATCAAATTATGGTTTGGGGGGAATGGAGTCCTTTTGGTGACATAACTTTACTTTCTTTCTCTCTTTTTTTTTTTTTTTTTTTTTTGAGATGGAGTCTTGCTCCGTCACCAGGCTGGAGTGCAGTGCTGTGATCTCGGCTCACTGCAACCTCTGTTTCCCAGGTTCAAGCAATTCTCCTGCCTCAGCCTCCCGAGTAGCTGGGATTACAGGCGTGTGCCACCACGCCCAGCTAATTTTTCTATTTTTAGTAGAGATGGGGTTTCACTATATTGATCAGGCTGGTCTTGATCTCATGACCTCGTGATCCACCCGCCTCGGCCTCCCAAAGTGCTGGGATTACAGGTATGAGCCACCGTGCCCGGCTACTGTCTTTCTCATTCTTATCTCAAAACCGAGAGAATCAGTTTTTTGGTTTTCTTTCTTTTTTTTTTTTCCCCCATGGATAGCAAGTTCCACACCCCTCAACTTTGGCAGGGTTCACATGAGGAAAGTGAGATTCTGGATCTCTGAAACTGAAATCCACAGTCCTTGCTGCTAGTTCTTAAATTCATAATTCACACAAAATGTACTGTGATGGTTGGTATCTGTGTCAGGCAGGAGATCCTAGGCTTTCCTGCAGGACAAGCAACTTCAAACCTTTAGCAACAGAAGTCTGCTTCTGGCTCACCAGGTCCTCTGCAGGTCTGGTCTCATTGACAATCCTAGCAACTGTTTAGTTTTCTGTGTGATTGGCTAGTGTTGTTCCTTCACGCACTCAAAGGCAGCTAAACAGAGGCAAGGCATTAAATGTTTTTCCCTGGAGGTAATAATGCCACTTCTGCTCACATTTTATTGGCTGAAGTAAATCACATGGTCATGCCTATCTTCAACGGAGTAAAAAACTTAAATTTCCAAAAGGAGAGAAGAATTACAGTAATCCTACTGCAATGCCATTGAGTCATTCTGAAAGTGAAAAAGCACACAAATGCACTGTCCTACCTAAACAGTCTCATAATTCAGAGACATTAGCCATTCTTCAGGGCCAATGTATCCAACTCCTCAGCCTCTGCAACCACCCCTCGCACTCTATTAGACACCATATGTTCATTATCCTGACAATGGATGGCTCTTTCCTTAGGTAGCAACTGATAGTCAATAATACACCTCAATTAAACTCAAATTTTGCTCATTTATGCCGGAATTTTGGCATAGCTTAGTTAGAAACTTAGAATTTTATATACCTATAGAAATCAGTCAAATGGTGGTCAGGCACAGTGGCTCACGCCTGTAATTCCAGCAGTTTGGGTGGCCAAGGAGGGCAGATTGCTTGAGGTCAGGAGTTCAAGACCAGCCTGGCCAACATGGTGAAACTCCATCTCTACTAAAAATACAATAATTAGCCAGGCGTGGTGGCAGGCACCTATAGTCCCAGCTACTTGGGAGGCTGAGGCAGGAGAATCGCTTGAACCTGGGAGGCCGAGATGGCAGTGAGCCTAGATTGTGCCATTGCTCTCCAGCCTGGGCAAAAAGAGTGAAACTCCATCTCAAAAAAAAAAAAAAAAAAAAAAAATTAAAAAAAAGAAAGAAATTAGCCAAATGGCCCCAAAATTCTGTTGCCATGTCCACTTATGCAACCTTACTGCCATTACACACATAAGAGTGGCCATTATTCTGTTGGCTTGGGTTTCTGAGGCAATGCTTGTGAGATTATTCGTTTTCTTGTAAGAGTTTTACCTAAAACTTGATTGAGATACAACCATGGGACAATGCGTCCCGGGTTATCACTTCTAAGAATATACCTCTTCTTTCTACTTAATTGTCATTCTTTTTTCTATAGTAATATAATTATTTAAACTAGATACAAATAACTATTAATTTGTGAAATAATAGCTTACTTATGCAGACACGATTTTCTTTGCAAGCTCCACTATTTGAGAATCTTGAAGGAACTTAAATAATAGGGTTGTGGGCAGTTTGTGTATTTATGACAATTTTCCTATGATTTTAATAAGCTTCATATGGTTAGTCAGGAGCACATCAAACTCAGGATTGGGAAGGAGTCCTTCCCTCATAACATAACAGCAATGAAAAAGACAAGAAAGTATAAAAAGCAAATCCAAGGATTTGAAGAGTAGAGCAGTCTAGAAGTCCAGAGTTATTTGGTAAGGGAAAAATTATCCCATCCATCTTACTGTCTCTGATGGGCAACAAAACACAGTAAGAATATAGTTTACAATGAAGATCTCAAACAATAGTTATGTTTCATACTTTTTTAAAAAGTTACCACATATAATAGCAGCAGAAAAGTATAAGATACATAGGAAAGAATTTAACAAAAGATGTGCAAGACTTTAAAAGGTTGTAAAACTATGCCGAAAGACATCTAAGGAAACCTAAATAAATTATATATATATATATATAAATGTATATATGTATATAAATATATATATATATATTATATATATATATATATATTTTTTTTTGAGATGGAGTTTCACTCTGTCGTCCAGGCTGGAGTGCAGTGGCACGATCTTGGCTCACTGCAAGCTCCGCCTCCTGAGTAGCTGGGACTACAGGCGCCTGCCACCAGGCCCAGCTAATTTTTTTTTGCATTTTTAGTAGGACGGGGTTTCACTGTGTTAGCCAGGATGGTCTCGATCTCCTGACCTCATGATCCGTCTGCCTCGGCCTCCCAAAGATAAATTCAATATTTTTTAACAGCAAAAAACTAAAAATAACCCAAATATCCACTGAAAATAAATAAATAAGATATACCATACACCAGGAGGAGAAGACTGAATTTCATAAATATACCACTTCTCAAATTAATATACCATTTCTCAAATTAATCTATCAATTTAGAGCAAATTCTTCTGGAGACTTAACAAGTTAATTCTAATATGTACATAGGAAAGCAAAAGGCAAGAATAGCAAAGACACTCAGAAGAGAATGAAGGGTGAGGAGGTGATTGCCCCACCAGTGTTCAGGCTTAGTGAAAAGGTATAATAAATAAATCAATATGTCACCAGTGCAGATAGAGGCTAAAATGCCAAAGAAATCAGAAGAGAGGGCCTGGGAATAGACCCATGCATAAATGGAAATTTCATATGTGGCTGGTAGCATTGAAGATCTAGGAAAAAAGGGTGAATGAAGGACCACATAGTGCAGAATTAACTGGTTATCCTTGTGAGAAATAAAATGAAATTAGATCCCTCCCACACACAATGCATAAAATCAGTGTCAGATGGATTTAAGGATTAAATGTGAAAAGAAGAAATTTAAAACTTTTCGAAGACAGTATAGGATAACTTCTGTGTTTGTGGTGGTGGTTGTTTTAATTTCACTGTGGTAAAGGATTTCTTAAGACAAAGGAGGCCAAGCCATAAAGGAAAAGGTAGAAAAACTAGATTACATTAAATATAAATTTCTGTTTATCAAAGAACACAATAAAAAATAAAAACATGAAAACCTGTAAACTGAGAGATAATTGTATTATATGCATGTGACATATTAATACATATATGTATGTATGCATGTGTGTCTGTGTATATACACAAAACAAACAAAACTATGTATATGTATATACACAAAACAAACACAGAAAATAGAAAACAAAATAGAAAAATAAGCAAAGACAGGGGTAGGCAATTCACAAAAGAGTAAATCCAAATGGTCAATAAACATATAAAAGGATATTCAATCAGAGAAATGCCAAATGAGATCACAGTATACCCTTTTTTACTCACCAAAATGGACAAAGACATCACCTTGAGATGTGACAGAGTAGGGTGGTACGACCACTATAGCAAATCACGTGTTGGCTGGGCATGGTGGCTCACACCTGTAATCCCAGCACTTTGGGAGGCCAAGGCGGGCAGATCACTTGAGGTCAGGGGTTCAAGACCAGCCTGGCCAACATGGTGAAACCCCGTCTCTACTAAATATACAAAATTAGCCAGGCATGGTGGTGCATGCCCGTAATCCCAGCTACTGGGGAGGCTGAGATAGGAGAATCACTTGAACCCAAGAGGCAGAGGTTGCAGTGAGCCAAGATTGTACCGCTGCACTACAGCCTGGGTGACAGAGTGAGAGTGTCTCAAAAAAAAAAAAAAAAAAGAAAGAAAGAAAATCTCACGTTCTCTGGTCAATGTGAAGATACATCTTCCTCGTGACTCAGCACTCCATTTCCAGGTGCAGGAGAACCATCCACACACCTGCCCAGGAGACATGGCTAAGATGCTCGTACATTTATTATTTTTAATAGCAAAATTCTAAAAAGAGTCTGAGGGGAATGAATGAATCAATCAATCATGGTGCAGTCATGCATGGAATATTATGCAGTAAAATAACTGAATTCCAGCTATTTGTATTTATCTGAATAAATTTTAAATGTATCATGTTGGCCGGGTGTGGTGTCTCATGCCTGTAATCCTAGCACTTTGGGAGGCTGAGGCGGGCAGATCACAAGGTCAGGAGTTCAAGAACAGCCTGGCCAAGATGGTGAAACCCCATCTGTACTAAAAATACAGAAAATTAGCCAGGCATGGTGGCACATGCCTGTAATCCCAGCTACTCGGGAGGCTGAGGCAGGAGAATTGCTTGAACTCGGGAGGCAGAGGTTGCAGTGAGCTGAGATTGTGCCACTGCGCTCCAGCCTGGGACAGAGCGAGACTCTGTCTCAAAACAAAGAAATATAATGTAGTCAATGTTCACATATATATCTGTTTATATAAATATATATCTGAATATATATACAATATAGATTTATCTGTATATATACATCTTTTATACATATACGTATATATTATACATAATGTATTTAGATATATGTATTATATCTCTATATATCTATAAAATTTCTATAGATATAAAAATCCATCTATCTAGGAAAAACACATACAATATGATTCCATTGATGTGAAATTCCAGAACAGACAAAACTAAGTGATATCTTGTTTAGAGATATAGTCACATAAAATAAAACCTATGAAGAAACACGAGAGGATGATCCATAGCAATTCAAGAAAATGGTCTACTCTTGGGAGAGGGATGGCGATCCAACCTGGGAGGGCATACAGGGAGCTTCAGAGGAATTGGCATTATTCAATTTCTTAGGCTTAATGGGGAATGTGTGGGTTTTCATATGTATTGCATATTCAATATTATTATTAAATACATATCAATATGTTTTATATATTATTTTATTACTACATGAATTAAATATTCTATAATAAATGTCATTGACAATTTCTAGTGATTGGTTTGTATGAGGATTGTAGCATGTTGATTCAATAATAATAATTTTAAAGTATATGAATAAGATAAACAATATATATTGTTGTTATCCTCAGGAATCTCCAGAATGAATGAACTACTCACATAAAGGATTAGGTTGAGAGTATCACTAATGAGATTATAAAAATATCTTTTATCTCTTTAAAAATGTTTATTTGTTCTACTCATGAAATGTTTAAAATGCATATTCCCTAGCATGACACTGAGAAGTCACTCAATAAATATTTGTTCAACAAGTGAGCAAACGGATGGAAATAAGCAAATTCTTCCATGTGCTAGTTATTTTTGTACATATTACCAGTTGCAACCACCCCAGGCATACCCATAGGTCTGCTGTAAAATTCTGCTACGTGTGCTGAGTCTTCCCCAGGTCCTGAGTCAATGGAAGCCCAGACAGTTGGGTGGAATGGGAATTTCCTCTCCATTGTTGACTCAGGGTCTAGCTAATGTCTGCTGTCTTGACCTGGTGTCCAGTGTGCCTGGGGTGAACTTAGCCTAGGGACACAGCACCAGACATAGCTGTTATTTTCACCCCACTAAGTATGTTTCTTTTTTGGAGACTTGGGGCTGCCTGGGGACGTGGAAAGGGTCACCTTATGGACCAGAAGATGCCATCTCTTACAAGGATCCTGAAGGTGCAGGGTGGTAGGCCTCTGATTTGCTGTCTGAGGGGTGTTGTCCTAGCAGAGGATGTGTGCTGCGGCCTGGGCTTCCATTTTAACACAACAGTGATGGGTCATGTACACAATAAAATGAAACAGGCCCACATGGAGAGAAGATCAAATGAGCAGAAAGAAAAAGAGACAAAAAATATGAAGAGAGAAGTTACATAATGACCTCTTTGTTCTTGTGAGGGTAGGTGGTTCAATAAGCCCCTGAATAACAATAACATCAACAAATAAAAACAATAGAAAATTAATGCTAACAGTAACACTTACATAGCATTTTCTTCATATCAAGCACTGTTCTAAGCACACTAAACATATAATTCATTGAATCCATGGCTATGGGTTAGAGGTTCCCATTTTACAGCTGAGAAAACTGAGTCATAGATATTTTAGCTAACTTGCTCATGCTAAGTGTGGAGGAATGACTGGAATCCAGGAGTCTTCAGGTGGATATGATTACTTGTAGACATTCCCTAACTAACTGAATAAAAGGCATCCTTTTGAGAAAGCTGTACTGTTGGCCCACTCTGTAAGCCCCAAGCATTGTAAATGGTTGGACAGGCCCTCTGCCTGGGGCCCCCCTACCCTGCTCATACAATGACTGCATTTTTGCCATTAGATACTTCTTAATGTGTGGCTTCCTCTCCTAGCGATAGCCTGTTATTATGCAATTTTGCATATTTGGAAGCTTCATTTTTTTTTTCATGAAAACAAAGTAAATGAAAAATTTGTTCTGGGCTATGCTATGCTTTTGGGAGGCATGCATTATTCCCTTATTTAATTATTGGAATTATTTTATTTTTCTAGTTCTGTTTCCCCGGTCTAGATGTTGGGCAAGGTAAACAAGCCTCTCAGCATGACATCTTGCTCAGTTTTTTATTTATTCATTTGTTTGTTTTGCAGAACACTTCACATGTGTCAGAACCAGTATTTCTAAGAACACAAGTTTGGGAAGAGCTTTGTGTTTCAGTTATTCAGATTCCCTTCTGGTTGCTAGAATTCACTTGGAAGATGGCTGCAAATGCTGCCTGTAAAAGGCTCCGAAAAGTCCTTGGCCAAAGAAACTTGATTGCCCTTTTTTACTTTATTGTTCTGCAAACAGAGTTTTCAAATTTTTTTCTTTTTAAAGAATTTCTCATAAGGTCCCAGGAGTTGATGCTCTGAGGAAATGCAACTAAGAGAAAGCTCCTCTACAGTGAAGATGTCATGAGGACCCCGCTCCCTTCTGAGTAAACCCCATGGAGTCACGGAGCAAAAACACGCCCTTGATTGAAGATGCACTTGACTTTGTAGAGCTCTTGAGGTTTGGCGGGAAAAGCCCAGATATTGGCATCATAGAGATCAGGTACCAGCTTGGTGCCTGAGAAAAAATATTAGACAATCCAGGTTTCAGTTCCCTTCTGGGTAAACCCCATGGGATGGTGGAGACAGTGACATAAGATCATCTATTTAAATCTAAATAGAGTGACATATAATAGGTACTCAGAAAAGGGAAGATCATATGTTTTGTGGGTGGCAGCAAAAAAATAGGGAGTCAAAATGAATCTGATGGTCTGCTGAGAGAAGAGTAAGCCTTCTGTATACTTGATTTCTTCATCCAATTGACCCTTCCATGCTCAACCACAGCAGACAAGACCTTCCACAGGTCGAAAGTGGTATAGGGATAGCAGAATAGCATATCAAACAACCTGCATTAAAAACAAACACAGAGCAGAGTGCTTCGTTGCTTCCATCCACATTTGTCTCCTTACCCTCTAAGTTGGGACATTTTGTCCTTCCTATGTCTAAGGATGGCTCATTAGTTAATGAACCCCTTTTTCCTGGTAAGGAGAAAGGGAGGAGGGGAGACAGAATACTGCTTTTCTGCCCTTTCATTTAGGAAAGGTCTTGTTAGGACTGCTGCATGCCCCACTGGAGGAGGGAGCTGCCTGCTAGCCTGGATACTCAATCCCACTCTGCAGTTCACCACTCAGAAGGACAAGGGTGCTCTTGAGCAGGAAAGTGCTAGCCTTTCATTGCAGGCCAATTTCAAAGCCTCTTCTAAGGGGCTCACAAACAAGACTAATGTGGCTTTGCCTTTGTCCATGGGTCTGCTAGGCCTCTAGTAAGACAGCTCTTGAGCAATGGAATAAGCCCTTGATCTGGGACAGAGGTTGGCCAACTCTGTCAAGGACCATGAAGTAAACATTTCTGGCTTTTCAGGCCATATCTTCTCTGTTGCAACTACTCAACACTGCCCTTGCAGCAACAAAGTGGCCATGGATGATGTGCAAACGTGGTTTTCCAAGGAAACTTCACTTACAGACACAGAAATTTGGATTTTAAATATTTTTCCTGTATTGTAAAGTTTTTTTCTGCAATCGTTCAAAAAAGTAAAACCCATTCTTACATGTTGTACCAGACAAAAAGTACATGGTGGGTTGGATTCAATCCATGGCTGCCATTTGCTGAGCCCTGAGCTAGGACATCAAGGTATAGCCCAGAACATTCTGGATGAGGTACTTTGGACAAGCCTTTTACCTTCTGGAAGCGTACTTTAAAGAGAATATCAGCCAGCAATGGGATAGAACGAGATCATATCTATGAAATTGCTCTGATAACTATACAGTGTTTTTTAACATAAATTAACATTAATATTATCAAAGTAAGTCTTCATGTAGAAATGTTAATTCCAACTTAGACAGGCATGTGAATTGTCCAGGGATCATTTAAAGAGGGAGAATTTCAAACTTTGTGGGGAAAAAAGTAATTCAAATGGTCTTTTCCAAACCTTTTTTATTTTGTAGGGAACAACAACCTCAACCAAAATGTGATTTGTGGTTTGGGATGTTGAAGTTTTTTTTTCTTTTTGCCACCACTCACATTATTTTAAAAGTTGTAAAGTCAACCACATATTCAACTTCTCAAATTATTATTTACTACCATTTAATTAATTGCACCACTAGTGGAAGCTTCTCTTTTGCAGTTACCCCCTTTTCTGTACAATATGTAAGACAGGTATCCCAACATCAATGAAAACAGAAGCAAATGCAGCACTTTCCAAATATGAATAATCTCCCAGCCTCAGTTTGACAGGTATTCTGGAGTCTGGAGTAGGACGAAATAAAAAGATGAGGTCTCACGCTGAACCCTCTAAGTCTTACATTCCCTTAAGCTTTCTTCCAGCGGGTGTAGAGAGTGGCACTCACACAGGGCTGCTGTGGCGTGCTCCAAAGAAGGTGGGCTTTACAAGTGTCACATGAAGAGAGGCCACTAGACCAAGCACAGGATTCTCATTTCCAAAGGCACGTTCCCAGCAGGATGACAGTTACAACTCTGATAGATGGAGAGAAGGAACAGGCAACAGGCACTGCAAGGAAGAGAGGAATGGGGCAGCCAGAGGAAGGAAGGGAAGACCAAAGAGATGTGAGTACGCTTCATTTTATTTTTCTATAAAAATGAAAAATGCAGAAGTTGACATCAAGATGGCTAGGGAGATCTGATCTAAAGGAATTACCTGCAGTTGTATTGCTCATTTAACAACTCAAATTTAACCATAGGCCCAAGAGAAAGGGTGGTGGTGTTGGGGAAGGAAGGGCAGAAGAAGAGAGAGGAAGGGAGAACAAGACAGGGAGTGGAGAGGGAGAAGCAGGAAAGAAAAGGTGTAGGGAGGAGAAAAGGAGAGGGAAAGGACAGGATGAAGGAGGGAAAAACAGAAAATAACATGAAGAGAGCAGAACCACCTTGCACCCCATGATTTCACTCATTGAGGCAGATCTGGGGTGAGGCAGGAGTAGGAGGTGTGTCTTCTGCACCCCAGGGAGACTTGCTCCTTTGCAAACTGTGGGCATCTTCCATCTGGTGTTTACAGATGCGTATTTCCATTCCACCAGTGCAAGTCAACTACTTAGTGCTGTAAAAGCACTCAAACAGATACAGCGTTCCTGCTTCCCCCTTGCCTTCTACCCTTGCCCTCTTTCTCTTCTTTTCTGTTTTTCTTCTACCTCCTTTTTACCATAAACTTTGACTAACCAATAAACTTCAACATTTGCCAAAACAGTTCTCACAGGTTATTGGGATTGCACCAAACATCCCAAGCAACAGACACAAAAACAGGAACAAACTATCACCAACCATAAGTTTTCTTAAAGATGAAAATTGCCACCTGATGCAAAAACTGCAAGGATATGTACTCAATCCACCCCCACCCTTTGAAAACCTTGGTTCTGCTTAAACAGATAAGTTTCAGGTTCTCCCTGATATGCCCCTGTGGAACAGAGACTTTAGAACCTATTTAGTCTCTAAATAGAGACTCTATTTAGACCCAACCTCTGCTTGAGTCACTTAAATCATTTTCTTTTGACAGTACTCAGTAAAAGACTCAGTCTACTCCGATCCTGAAAAAAGCCTGGGTTGTTGGTCACCCACATGTTGCCTTCCTGAAATATTTATGAAATCCTTTGCACCTGTGGCTCTGTCGTGAGGGTGACTCCTTGCACAGGACCTTGAAGGATTTCAGTGTGAGCTTCCGCACCCTTCTTTTTAGCATCCTCAAATGGCTCCCACATTTTCATGAATGTAACAGACCAGTAGTTCTTAACAGAATATTGCATTAGGAGACCTAGGGATGGTGGCGTTAGGGCTAGAGGAGGAGTCAAGAGTTTGGGGTTGTAATAGTTAATTTTATGTATCAATCTGACTGTGCTGAAGGATGCCCAGACAGCTGGAAATCATTACTTTGGGTGTGTCATTGAGGATGTTTTTAGATGAAATTAGAATTTAAATAAGTGGACTGAGTAAGGAAGGTCTGTCCTCACCAGTGTGGGAAGGCACCATCCAATCCATTGAGGGCTCAGATAGAACCAAAAGGCAGAGGAAGAGTGAACTCTCACTCTCTCTCTTCTTGGGCTAGGACATCCGTTCTCTCCCATCCTTGGACATTGATGCTCCTGGTTCTCAGGCCTTCAGACTCTGGACTTACACGAGGGCCCTCCTCTGCCAGTTCTCAGGCCTTTGAACTTGGCTGAATCACACCACCAACTTTCCTGGTTCTCCAGCTTGCAGATGGCATGTCATGGGACTTCGCAACCTCCACAATCACATGATCTAATTCTCATCACAAATCTCCTCTTCTATACATCTGTCTATATCCTATTGGCTCTGCTTCTCTGGAAGACCCTGACTGATACAGGGGTTGTACACCCAGCCTCATTTCAACTAGGGATCCTCTAGTTTTGCTTGTTGGACGTGTGAGTTCACTTGAACAAATTTTAATAAATAAAACTTGGAAAACCACCCTAGAGACTGAAAAATATACCAAGAAGAGTGAAGGCAGGTCACAGGTTACTCAGGCAGCCAAAGGATGGAGAAAATGGCTCTGTCTTTTGAGCCCTGAAAGTCATGTATTTATTCATTGCCTACCCCACTTCCTTATGGACAACAGGCTCTCCCAGAGTTACTTCCCAGGCCAGAACCACCACCCTCCTTGCCTGGAAACATGACATGTAACCACCTGTTGTCTGTGTGAGGGCATTTAGTGTGCCTCACAGAGAATGGAAAAGGGAGGAGCTTCAAGGCAGGGAAACATAGGCTAAGACCCCTGGCTCTGCCGTTTACGACACCTAGAACTTTCAGATACTTTGTTTAACTTCTGTAAGCCTCAGTTTCCTTTGTGAAAAAAAATGAAGATGCAAATACCTACCTCTTTAAGTCAAAAATTGTTTTCCCTTCCCCTTCTCTTTTTAGAAAAATATCCACTTGACTTTCATTAAGTAAAATGAGTTTGTTAACTTGTTCAGAAAAGATAAACTCAGTTTTTTTTTTTAAGTGCAGTCATCTAATAGTACAACATAGCACAAAATGTCTTTAGTTCTGGCATCGGTTTCATAAAGGAAAAATGGGCCTAGGGTAAAGAAACTGAGGATAGGTCATTATTGGGGCATACTCATCAGATACCATCTCAGGTAAAATTGCCTTTTTATTTTTTGCCCTTTATTTATTTGTTCCTTTTTAACAGGCTTCCTTGTTTTGAGAACAGTTTTAGATTTACAGAAAAACTGAGAAGACAGTATGGGGAGTTCTCATTCTCCCCACAGCCAGTTTCCCCTCTGATTAACATTTTTCATTAGTATGATTACCTCGTTACAATTAATGAGCCGGTATCAATACATTATTAAGTAAAAGCCAGACTTTATTCTGATTTCCCCAGTTTTTCCCTAACGTTTCTTTTCTGTTCCAGGACTCCATCCAGGAAACCACATCACCTCCAGTTGTTGTGTCTCCCTAGGTACCCCTTGGCTGTGACAGTCTCTCAGGCTTTCCTTGTTTCAATTACCTTGACTGTTTGGAGGAGTACTGGCCAGGTATTTCATAGCATGCCCTATTACTTGAATTTTCTGGGGGATTTTCGCATGATAAAACTGGGGTTATGAGTTATTGGGAGGAAGACCTCATTCTCATAGTCTCGATAAACATGACTTTTCAGCATTGGGGTTGGCCTTGGTCCCCCCACTGAGGTAATGTTCGTCAGGCTTTTTCACTGCAAAGTTTCTCCTCCCACTCTCTACTGGACATGTTGGAAGGAGGTCTGAGGAACCCATCACTCTTGCTTTCATGTAGGTCCTCCTGGTTTCTCCTCCCCCAGTCTTCCAGGTCGGCTTCCCTTCAGTGCATATACTGCATAAACATTGGACTCCTGCTATTTCCCTTGCCATTTTGGTAAATTTCAAAGGTTTCTAAATGTTCTCAAAATCTCTTTTCTTTCACCCAAGTCATCATGAACTTTCCAGTTTTCAGCAAAGCATAACTTTTCCTCTGACCTTACAAAGAAAATGTGGGATGACTGTACACTCACAACCACACTCTTGCTGTGTCCAACCCTTCCTGCTACAATCCCAAGTCAACTTGCATGGATCAGCAGGAGAATGAATTGCAATTTCCCAGACCAAGTTTTCTTTCAGGCAATGATGTTACCACATAGAATGAGCAAGACGGTGTGGATATGCATCCACAGGAGATGATTGTATTAGTCAGCCTAGGGTACACGCTTGCTGCAGTAAGAAACAAACCCCAAATCTCAGTGACTAAATATATAGTGTTTGTTTAGTCTTCACTCTTGCAATGTCCACTGTAGGTCTGGTGATTCTCAAGGACAGCTTACCTTGATGTGGAGACACAGCAATCCATGCCTCTTTAATTCCATGTCTCCTGGCACTGTGATCCCCTCAGAAGGGGAAGAGATAGCTGGAGAGTTGCATTCACTGGTGATAGATTCCCCATGACTCTTGCATTCACAATCCATAGGCCAGAACAGATCACATGGCCCCACCTATCTGCAAGTGGACAGGGGTCGTGGGTGGCCAGGAAAGGCCAGAGAACTGGGCATTGTTGAGCACTAGTAATGCCTACTACAATGACTAAGTCAGAACAAGAAGGTACTTATGGACCCATGATACCCACAGCATTCTTGGAACATAGTCTTAAGTCCACCCTTTCATACATAAATCGTATTTTTCTTTTTGTGATCTCATTCTGCGCCTGACACAAAGCTCTCCCAAACTCCTTCCCAGATTACCTCCTAAGGTGCAGTAGCTCAGTAAGCCAAATGTTGCCCCATTCCAATGACCTTTAACTTTGCTTTAATGTGCTTTTTCTCCCACATTATAATGTAACTCATTGTTACAAAACATGATAAGTGCAGCATGCCTAGTATGGCTATTGCTAGAAACTTAATCCTACTTGGTTAAAAGCCCACTGTGTTCTTGGCTCACCTCACTTTTTTAGTGCAAAAATACAAAACTTTCTACAGTTTATTCTTGCTTTTTTTTTTATCTCTCCGTAAGGATACATGGAAGTACTCTCATTTCTAAATTTGCTAACTTAACTCCTTTTTTTCTGCTCACCAAATCTGATAACTTTTCCTCCTTCTCTTTTCTAAATGTCTCACCCTCCCCACCCGACTTTTCCCTCTGCCTATTCAATACTGGACCACCCAAGTTGTCCTCACTTCCCAAGTCTGGACCTCAATTTCATCATCTGTAAAGTGGGAGGTTAGGGTGAGCTATTTATTTCCTTCCAGGTCTGCTGGTCTCACAGTGTTTGCACAAACTTTCTCCGTTGGTGTCCCCTGGGGCATCCTCATCATCAAGATGTTACCCCCTTAAACTCATGGAACGGCCAATGAGGCAGTGAAAACCTGACATGTTTTAAAACTGAAATAAAAACCCTGTAAGTTTTACTTTGAATTTGAAATTTCTCCCATTTTACTTTTCTTTCATTTTCTCATAACAGCTTTCCATGAATTGAATCATTTGGAATCATTCTTTAAATGACATAATTAGTTATACAGTTTACTTTTGGATTTCAGTACTGCTGTGAATCATAAACAGTGAAAATATCAAATTCTCCTGAAAAAAATAATGAAGTTGATTCGTATTTATTTTCCTTCCATGGAGTTACAAAGGACTTAGTTACTTGAAACAGAACTAAATTAAATGACTGAGTTAATTTTGAAGTTAACAGCTACATGGATGAGATGCTTATGTAGAAACATGATATAAAGGAATGTTTTTAGAGAATGAGATCACCTTAAGAGTATTATTATGTTTTAGTCATTCCTCTTAAAGGGATGACCGAACACTGAAGGACAAAATCAGGTTTGCCTCATTTGTCATGGTTACTTATTAAGTAACTTGAACATTTTAAAGCATTTAGCCAAATTTAACTTTTAGACCAATGGCGAGGAATGTGATGACTTTCTCTCCAAAGCAAAGGATGTACCCTTGACACTGCTCAGCAGTGGCTGCTGGTCCACAGTCCTTCTCACTCACAGAGGATTCTGAGTGTTCGTGATGATGAAGTCTGTCCACAGTTCATTCTTCAGGGGTCTGGATTGCAGGTAGAAATGAAATGCACAGATACGGGGAACACAATTTTCCCAACAGCTTCTGTCTCTTACCTTTTTGTTCTGGGTTCTGTTGCTAGTGCTGAAATGCAGAGAAAGTGCCTCAGCTGCTGGGGAGTTCTCTGTCAGCCAGCGTACTCCAATCCATATTATCTGCATCATTGAACTCCAATTAGTGCGTGATTTCCACTTTGGTGCTGATTGAAGATTTTCATTATTGTTAAACAGAATCCCAGGCTTTCAACTGCAGGAGTTTAGGGCTGCAGGTTTTGCTGTAGAATTCCCCTCAGGCCTCGAGAGGCAGATCTTCTTGGGGTGAGAACCCTCAGTATCAGTTTCTGACTATGCCATTTTTTCAGTTGTGTGACCTGGGATGAATCATTTGTCATCATGATTTTATGAGAAAACAGAAGGGCTGGGATGCCACTGTTACCTGAAAAAGGCATTTGTAAACAATAAAATGTTGTGATTTATGATAGCACCATAGTAATCCAGACAGACAAATAGATCAATGGAAACCAAGAAGAGGGCTCAAAGACAGGCCCACACAAAGTGCCAGGTCATTTGGTGCTGAGAAGATTCTGTTTTGTGTTTTTAACAAATAGCCATGGGACAATTGGACACCCATGTGCAAAATAATGAACTTCCGCCGTACCTTCCATCAAATCAAAATTAACTCACAATGGATATGGACCTAAGTGTCAAACTACAGCTATAAAGTTTCCAGAGATAAACATGGGGAAATATCTTTGCAACTTTGGAGTAAGGAAGGAACACACAGACATAAATGAAGAAATATGATAAATTGAACTTTATCAAAATTTGAAATCTCTGCTTCTTAAAAGTCACCATTAAAGGATAAAGAGGCCACACACAATGTGGGAGGGAGAAAAATATTCACAATGCATATATCTGAGAAAGAACTCGAGTCTAGAATACATAAACATCTCCTATCACTCAAAAATAAGATGACTCCCCATTTTTGTTAAAAGAGAGGAGGATGCAAATGAACATGTCACAAAAGAACAGACATGTCACAAAAGAAAATGTATAAATGGTCAATAAATACATGAAAATGTGCTCAGCATCCTTAGTTATTAGGAAAAAGCAAATTAAAACCACCGAATTATCTCTACACACCAGTAAGAATGGCTAAAATTTACTAAGTGTTGGCGAGGATATGGAGACTTTCACACACTGCTGGTGGGACCCTAAGGTGAACAACCACTTTGGAAAACAGTCTGGCAGTTTCTTGTAAATAAAATGTGTGATCATTGCCAAATGATCCAGCAATTCTACTTCTATGTATCTGATCTAGAAAAATAAGGACATATGCTCCTACAAAAACTTGTACCAAAAGTTTACTGCAGCTTTATTCAGAATAACCAGAAATTGAAAATATCCTAAATTTTTATCAACACCTGATGGTGTAAACAAACAATGGTATATCCACACACTGTAATACTACTCAGTAATAAAAAGGAACAAACCACTTACACACAACATGGATAAGTTTCACAAACATTATGCTGAGCAAAAGAAACCAGATACAAATGAATATATTCAGTATGATTACATTTATGTAGATTCTAGAAAATACTAAACTCATCTGTAGTGACAGAAAGCAGACCAGTGGTTGCCTGGGGTCAGAGCAGACTTAGGACTGACTGTAAAGTAGTATAAGGGAACTTTCTGGAGTGATGAAACTGTTGTATATCTTGGTAATGGTGGTGGTTACACGGGTATGTATCTCCATAAAAACTCATCAAACTAAAAATAAAAAAAAAATTTTAAGATAGCTGAAAATGTTATACAAATGTAAGTTGCCAGGGAAGATAGAAGCTGGAATGTAAGCATAACTGCATATGTATAATATTGTCACAGTCCTTGGGGTGTCTCTTTTCCAGCCAGAAGCCTCTGTGACCAGTGGCACCTTTGCTAGAATTTTGCTCAGGCCTTTTGGGCTCATTCTGCTTACTCGGCCTGGCAGGTTGCACATGGCTTGTGCTACTGGCCTGGATCCTATACCTGTCAAGGGTGAGCCAGGCACAGAGTGGTGAGGGGTGCATGTGTGAGCAAGCGTGGGGTTCGGCCACTGTGCACAGCCATGGACACTGACAGTCACACTGGCTGCTTCAGTGGGGTGGGCAGCTTCAGGTGCTGGCACGGGTGGGCAGCTTCAGGTGCTGGCACAGGTGCCAGCTCTGTGCAAACCTGCAGCTGGATCAGGTGCACCTCAAGAGACTTCTGTGTAGGCATATGCGTCTGGACAAGGGGACTGCAGGTGGCACCTGGAAGCTTGGAAATGCCAGAAACCACAGAGCCCCAAAAAGGGTGTCACAGCCCTGCTTCAGGGAGCCCCTAGGTCTGGGCTCCCCAAAAGGCTACCACTCTTCTCTCCTTCTCATCCACAACACGGTGAGTAGGGAGGTGTGTTTCAGCCCTGTTTGTGTTACAGCTCTTTCAGTCCCGCTATTCAGCAGGACCCAAGTTTTTGTCCCGTGTCCAGGAAGAATGAGGTACACGGCCAACTGGAGGGTGAGCAAGGTGAAGAGGAGCTTCACTGAGTAACAGAACAGCTCAGAGGAGACCTGGAGATGGTAGCTCCTTTCCGCAGGCAGGTCGTTCTTTAGTCTGTGAGATTGTGGCTGAGTCTGGGATTTTATGTACTTCAGAGCAGAGGAAGTGTGTGCCAATTGGTCCATGGGCTGCCATGGGTGGGCTCAGAAAAAGCACCATAAATTCTCACTCTGGACCTTGGAGTCCACCTGGAAGTGACAGCCTGGGCCCCATGCTTCAGGACGTTCCTGGCTTGAAGGTGGGGCTTCATCAGGTAGACCTGCCCCTTTCTACCCAGGAGCTTGTCTGCCTCCTGCTGCCATCTACATACCATCCACAGCACCCAGGCTGTTTGTGCCAAGGGGCACCTGCAGGGCCTCATCCCCACCCTTGGCCTCCATCCTGTGCTCATCAGTGCCCAAAGTCCAGATGGGGTCCAGGCGACAGGGGTCTGGCATGTGAGTGCTGCCCTGAGTGTATGCACACCTGGTTGGGTTGTGACAGCACCCAGGGTTGGCCACAACTTTGCTCAGCCCTGGAGCAGGCACTGGGAGTGGAGAGAGGCCAGGCAGTAGGAGCAGGCACTTCTGAGCCTGCAGGGAAAGGGGGCTTTTGAGCCTGCAGGGAAAGGGGGCTTCTTGGTGCCCAAGAGCTCACGGATGCCCAGGTCTGCAGCCACAGCTGGGCTGCTGTAGCTGCCAGAGAGGGTGGGGCTCCCACCTGTGTCCAGCTCCCACTGGCTCCATGGAGCATGCAGCCCCGGTGGTGTCTTCCTGGTGGCAGCCAGAGTCTTCACAGCTACCATTCCAGATGGGCTGCCGTTGCCATTAACATTTGAATATATATGTTCTATTAAGAATGTAGATGCTGAGTTCAGATTCCAAGTCTGTCTCTTGTCATTTCTAGCCATCTGACCTTGGGCAAATTATTCAATCTTCCACACCCCCCGTTTTCAAATCTGTAAAACGAGTACTATAATAGTATCTACCTCATACAGCTTTTATGAACTAATAGAGGCCAAGTGTTTATAACAGGTACCATTGCAGAGTAAGGGGTTGTAAATATTAAGTGTTTCCATTATTAACGGACTCTGATTAGTCTTTTATTTCTGTCTGCTAATAACCAGATTATATCTAATCTCCAGTGAATAGACACAGAAGCAAAGGGCCTCGTGGACCCAGGCCCTACTGTTGTCATCTCATTTCTTACCTTGAATCCACCAAGTCTGCTCCTTTCCCAGGAACTTTAAGAACAAAGAGTACAGTTGAGGCAAATCCTTTTCCATCTGAGCATTCCCACCACATCAGGAATCCTCCAGATAGTTTTCAGGTGCCAGTGAGAAGCTTTCTTATTCTCCAGTAGAACCTACACCAGTGGGAGGCGACAGCATTCACAGCTGTTTGCCATGTGGATGTATCAATTCCCCCAAGCTGCCGAGTGAGAGACAGCCCCTTGCCTGTACCTCCACATGATCAGCAGGGTCTCCTTGGGCCTCTGGGGAACTTCACTGGCAATGGGGAGATAAAACGAAGGACAAGCCTGAAGTTTCTTGCTCCTCGGGGTAACTTTCGACCATATGAAATGGAGATCTATCATTCCACGCCACATCAGTAACCACTCAAGTAGGTGGTTATAAACCCTCACTGCCCAACAGGCACTGTTTAAAACGCTTGACATCCATTAGTTCATAACAGCTCTATGAGGCAGAGACTATTATAGTACCCATTTTACAGATTTGAAAACTGAGGGTCTAGACAATTGAATAACTTGCCCAAGGTCATATGGCTAGGAATGATAAGAGACAGATCTGGGATCTGAACTCAGCATCTACATTCTTAATAGAATATATACACTCAAATATTATACATATGCAGTTTGCTTATATTCCAGCTTCTTCCCTGGCAATCTACAGCCTTTTCAGCTATCTTCGAAATCAATTTTATTTATTCTAAGTTTGATTAGTTTTTATGGAGATACATACTCATCTTCTCTGTCCTTCTGAGCCAGCCCTTACCTCCCTGAAGGACCCTTCAGCCAGGCCTAGCCCTTGAATGTCTCCTGGCCAGGGTTTGATGGGACAGGGAGTTGAGCTGGGGTCGGATGTTATGAGGCTGGACTGCACCCTCTTTCCTGGCCCCTGCCTTCTTCAGATCATTTTACTTGCCCCCTACTCCCTACCAGTACCCTACTGGGGCCAAAGTCCTGTCCTAAACAACCCCTTTGCTTAGGCATGGACCTGGCTCCTTGCCAGTTCCAACTTCCTGAAGGTTGGGCTCTACTTCCCATATCCCCTTCCACTGACAAGAATTAGGCATCCTGGTCAGCTGGAAAGACATAGGCTTTCAAGAAACACAGCCCTCAGTGCAAATTCTAATCAGCCTCTTTTAAGCAGTGTGGTTTGGATGAGATCTTAGCCTCTCTGAGCTTCGGTTTGTCCTTCTATGAAATGATAAGATCATGTGCACCTTGGAGATTGTTAGAGAGTGTGAATTACACCACCCCTGTCATTTTAACACAATGCCTGACCCATGGCAGGCATTCAATTCATGATGGATATAAACACCCTATTTCATCCATTTAAAATGTACACATCCTTTCATAATTTCACATCTCTGAAATCAGGAGGCACGCTACAGCCAGTGACTCTCACAACCACTACAGGCTGGAGACAGGTGTGATGTGGCTGTCATCTCCTGCCATGCCTATTGTTCCTGAAAGCTTGATGGTATGTCTAGAGTCGAGACCATGAGCTTGATGTTTTTGTCAACCAGGCATTTGAGGACTGTTTCAGGAAGGAAGAGGAGTCCCGGCTGTAGGCCATACGCCTTCCATTCTCACCTGCACGGGAGGTGAGGGAAGCATCAGCTCAGATCTTGCTGAGTGGGTTTCAGACTTCAAAGGAAGCCCCAGCGACCACAGTGCAGCCATCTTTCTGAAGTGCTGCGGCCCCAGCCCTCTCCTCCTGGCAGCCTAGAGGACGATCCTGGACATCGACAGCTTTGCGTCAAGAAAATTATTCAGCTGATCATGCTCTGTATGTAAAGAAGGTTTAGCAAGTCCATAACTAATGTTTCTGTTTTCTTTCTTGTATAAGCACAAGAATGATATAAAGATAATAATCTCTATTTAAATAAGCCTAAAAGAGCTCTTTCAATAAGTAGTAAATCAACCTAAGTGGTTTGAAATGCTGTGTTATATTTGAGTACGGAGCCTATGTTTTTTCTTTTTTCATGGTATATAAAATAGAGAGGTCCAGGCACAGTGGCTCACATCTGTAATACCAACACTTTGGGAAGCTGAGTCAGGAGGATCACTTGAACCCGGGAGGTCAAAGCTGCAGTGAGCCATGATTTCTCCACTTCACTCCAGCCTGGGTGACAGAGTGAGACCTTGTCTCAAAACAATAAAAATAAAAAATAAAGGGCACCTTTCTATTGATGAGATGAAACAAACACAAATAGGACTGCCTACATCATGATTATTTTCTCCCTACTGACTTGGGAAGTGACTTTTGTCCTGGAATCCCTTTGTAATGAAGCCCTCGTGGGATGGCAGCAAGCTGTCCTCACACTGCTTTGGTGTGCCGGCTGCCCTCGGGCCTTGTACAGGAGCGATGCTACTTCCCCAGCCCCAGCTTGGCGCTCTCTCGGCTGTTTCCATTTCTTCCAAGCATCCCCCCGAGCTCCCAACATAGGCAAAATGTGTACTGTGTTTTTGTTTCATATTTAAGATCTAGCCTATCCCAGTTATGACATCTACAATATAAAAACTTGGACTAGTCATTTGCTTTATCTGCTGCAGAAGACAGAACTTACTCTTTTCCTGAAATCCGGAAGAAGAGATGATCAGTGGTGTTACACTTCAAGATGTGTCCTCTCTAAACTGCAGCTCTCAACTCTGATGGCGAATTAGAACCCCCAAGAGAGTCTTTGAAAATACTGATGTTTGGGCTCTCCCCACCACCCCCTCCCAGCCCGCCCCCCTTCACCCCGACCAATTAAATAAGACTCCTGAGGGATGAAGGTCTCAGACACTGGTGGGTTCTGCAAGCTCCCAACTACTTCTGGTTGCAATGAGTTACATAAAAGCCCTGATTTAGACTTTGGGCCATGCTGACTTACCTTGGAATAGAGCTGGGCCCTCCTCCTGTCTCCTACACTAAGGCCTAATTTCTGGATGGCTTAAGAAGTAGGCTGGGGAATTTGGCATTTTAATTATTTCCATTCCCGTTTAATTGTTTAATGGAGTTACCAGAAGAGTGCGGAAACAGCTATCGGGTTAATGCTACAGAACTTGAACAGTGACCGGTAACTTCAAATCCCACTGTTAAGCTCTGACGCCTCCTTTTACAATGGAAATAAGTGAGTTTTCTGGTTTGGGTTTATGGTTTTTGTGGTAAAATATACATGTTTATAAAACTTACCATTTTCACCATTTTTAAGTGTATGGTACAGTGACATTAAGTACATTCACGCTGTTGTGTAACCATCACCACCATCCATCTCCCAAGTATTTTCATCTCCTCAAGTGGAAACTTCATACCCATTTGCTATGATCTGAACGTTTGTGTCCCACGAAACTTCCTCTGTTGAAACCTAATCACCAATGTGATGGTGTTAGGTAGTGAAACCTTTGGGAAGGGATTGGGTCATAAGGGCTGAGCCCTCGTGAATGGGATCAGTGCCTTCATAAAAGAGGAGAGCTGCCTTATCCCTTCCACTTTGTGAGGACACAACGAGAAGGAAGGACCAGAAATCGGGCCCTCATCCAACATCGAACCTGCTGGCACTTTGATCTGGACTTCCAAGATTCCAGAACTGTGAGAAATAGATGTCTGCTGTTTTTAAGCAACCCAGTGTGTAGTATTCTGTTAGAGCGGTGCTAATGGACTAGTGCACCATTTAAGCAGTAACTCCCCATTTCCCTCTCTCCCCCAGCCTGTGGCAACCTTCATTTCACTTTCTGTCTCTATGATTCTGCTACAAGAGCAGAATAAGGAGAGGGGAGAGAAATATCAAGAAAAAGATGAGTGAAAAAGACAATCTAGGTAACTTAGCTGAATTTCCTTTGTTATGGGTTAAAACTCACTCTGGAGTGATGGGTGTCCTCACTGTGCCTTCTTTGCCAGATGCAAACCCAGATTGACTTGGAGAATCTGTCACCAAACCAGGGCATGAGCATGGAGATAAGTGGCAGGAAGGAAAGTTTTAAAGAAAATGAGTTCAGGATGTTGAGTGTGAAGTAAAGCAAGTATGTGGGACTATATCATTTCCTGGGGTATAGCGTTGAGCATGCTTTTTTTTTTTTTTTTCTGAGATGGAGTTTCACTCTTGTTGCCCAGGGTGGAGTGCAGTGGCATGATCTCGGCTCATGGCAACCTCCGCCTCCTGGGTTCAAGTGATTCTCCTGCCTCAGCCTCCCAAGTAGCTGGAATTACAGGCATGCGCCACTACGCCTGGCTAATTTTTTTGTATTTTTAGTAGAGACAGGGTTTCGCCATGTTGACCAGGCTGGTCTAGAACTCCTGACCTTGTGATCTGCCTGCCTCAGCCTCCCAAAGTGCTGGGATTACAGGTGTGAGCCACTGCGCCTGGCTGAGCCTGCTTTTATGAGACATGGTTGAGGGGAAGCATAAATGGAAAGAGAGTTGCAAAGTGAATTTGACCCTAAACTGTAAGAAAGATTATTTAGTCTAAAATTCCCTCTGAAATGAAGAGTCACTCTGAGAAAAATCATTGCACTTTTCAGGCATTGTTCTGTGGGGAGACATACAAGGGAATTGCTCAAGCTGTTCCCCACTGTCGGAAGCCCCCTGGTTTACCCGGTAGACAGTGTTGCCCCCTTTTATTCCTCCATGGCTCCCTTTACCATAGCCCTCAGCAATGTCCTCCACCAGACAGGGGGCTCCAGGGAAGGGAGAGGTTGTTAGGAGCAATGGCCATTGTGCAATTTCCCATGGAAGCTATGGATAATCATATGCTCATGGGATGCAAAACACATGCCTGTCAACACCCAAATAGGCTGTCGTGCTTGGGCCTTGGTTGCCACCCTGGTTTTTAATTTTATGTCTGCCACATCATCATTGTTTGCTAAATAAACATACAATTACAGAGCATGAGTTTAAAGTTTCCAGTAGGGAAAAAAAAGTGGCCAATATATCTGAATATGATGACCCTTTTAAAGCCTGACAAATTAAGTTTTAGTGGCAAGCAAGCAAGAAGGGTGTGTGTGTGTGTTGAGGAGAACCAATATTAAAAATGTGAAAGACTTTATACCAGTGGTCCCTGGCCTCCAATGACCCCTGCCTCCTGGTATTCATGCCCTGGGCAGCCCCTTCCACAGCACATAGGGTTGGTCTGCATGATTGATAGAATGCAGAAAAGTGATGGCAGGTTACCTTCAGAGATTTGGTTCAAACAGTCTGTGATTTCCACGTTGGGCTCTCTCTGGAAACACTCCCTGTGGAGGAAGATGCCACATTTGAGGACATTTGGGCAGCCTATGGAAAGGCCCGTGTGGTGAGGAGCTGATGTCAGCAGTCAATGAGGAGCTGAGACCTGCCAACATCCCATTCAAAGCAGTGGGACTCCTCGCTGAGCAATCTCCACCCACAGGAGACACCTGAACCAGAATCATCAAGCTCAGCTGCCTCCAGATTCCTGAGTTTTAGAAACTGCAACTTAGGCTGGGCACGGTGGCTCACACCTGTAATCCCAGCACTTTGGGAGGCCGAAGTGGGTGGATCCCAAGGTCAAGAGTTCAAGACCAGCCTGGCTAAGATGGTGAAAGCCTGTCTCTACTAAAAATACAAAAATTAGCCAGGCATGGTGGCATGCACCTGTAATCCTAGCTACTCAGGAGGCTGAGGCAGAGAATTGCTTAAACCTGGGAGGCAGAGAGTGCGGTGAGCTGAGAGCATGAGTTTAAAGTGCCATTGCACTCCAGCCTGGGTGACAGAGCAAGACTCCATCTCAAAACAAAGCAAAACTGCAACATAATACATGTTTGTTGTCTTGAGCTGCTAAGTTTGGGGTAATTTTTTATGCAGCCATAGATAAGACACTAATTTGCATAATCATTTTCTCACCTAATCTAGAAACTAGGTGTTGGCTTTGCAGGAGGGATGATTTATAGAATGCCAAGAAAGGTGATTGGAAAGACAAGACGGAAGGCATGTGATCTGACCGTCACATCTTGCCGTCCTCTTGGGACACTTGCTGTGAGTCCTGAAGGAGGTGACGCAGGAGGACTACCTTTCAGAGGAAGTTTATGAATGGCTCCTGTTCCCAGCGGGAATCTGGGGAAAAATAAAGATATTGGATCTTTCATCTAGAATTTTAAAAAAGGACAAAGAAATGAAATGTTAAATCTGAGTGGCATCTACAGATATTCAAGCAAGCAATAACAAACATCTTCCTATATTCAAGATGAAAACCCCTGAGCATGATGGCATTGCAAAGAAATTTCTATGAGAATCTAGGTGATGCTTTACCTCAAACAGCTACTTTCTAGTAGCCAGTTGAAAAATATTTAAATAAAAAAAAAAACAAAAACACCAAGCTGTGTTTGTAACTGCTGTATTGAAAGTTTTTCTCAACAACCAGGGAAAATGGTAGTAACAGCCTCCTTCAGTGTCCAGCACATGTGAAGGGCATCCACATGTGAGGTGGCTGCCTCAGTCCGTTCAAGTTGCTATAACAAATTGCCATAGACTGGGTGGCTTATAAACAACAGTCATTTATCCCTCACAGTTCTGGAAGCTGGGAAGTCCTAGGTCAAGTTGCCAGCAAATTCAATGTCAGGTGAGGGCTCACTTCCTGGTTCACAGATGGAGGCTTCTTACTGTCTCCTCACATGGAAAAGGAGGAAGGAAGCTCTCTGGGTCTCTTTTATAAGGGCACTAATCCCATTCATGACAGCTGCATCCTCATGACTGATCATGTCTCAAAGGCCCCACCTTCTAATGCCATTGCTTGGGGGTTAGGATTTCAACATATGAATTTTGGGGGAAGAAAAACATTCAGCCTATAGCAGTAGTGCTCACAGACCACTGCCCCCACTCAGCAGTCACGTTCAGTCCTTCCTTGGCTCAGCCCAGCCTTTGGCCTTGCCCAGGGTGGAAGCTCATCCTACCACTTCATTTAGCATCCAAGGGTCCCTTCAAGCTAACCATGGACCAGGCACCCAAGGATGGAGCAGAACCAGTTCTGCAGGCCTGCTGGGCATCTCTGTCCATTGGAAAGTCAGTTTATTCTGATGGTGTAGAGTAGGTAACAGTGTAAGATGAAATCGCAGCCCTCCCTCTGATCCTCCTCTCCATGATCTCAGCTGGCACTGCCCCACTGCCAGGGGCTGGCCCCCAGAATTCCACCCTGGGCATCCTGACCCCAGAATTGTTCTTCTTCTCCACACTATTTCACCCCACCCTCCATCCCCAGGGAACCCCCCTTACACACTGTCTTCATCCTCAATCCCAAGGTTGTATTCCCTATTGTCACTAGGTCTTATAATCTGTTAAAACCAAATCCCAAGTCATTAGCCACCAAAAAAAGAGAGGAGAGAGGCAGCGACCCACTCATTCCAAAGCAGCAGACAAAGGAAAGAAGCAACTCCCCACCACAGGGACATTGTTGTTTCCATGGCAACCCCGGTTAAACACTGACATCCTTCTACATGTACATTATCTCATTTAGCCTTTCAAATCGACTCAGGAGGCAGATACTATTCTTCTCCATTCATTTCCAGGTGAGGAAACTGAGACTGAGAGAAGGTGCCAGCAACAGCCTGTGAGTGGCTGGAACTGGAAGCTAGGTCTTTTGTCTCCATGGGCTCTGCAGGCTCTTGACCCCGCTCCATTCCGACACCATCTGATTCCCATTCCAGCTGCCGCCCTAGCAAAGTCATCTCAAACGCTGTTAAAGGGAAATGTCTAAGTGCCAGAGTTTACAAAAAGCAAAATCCATCGGCTGATCAATTTTTCTTGGCAACTTCCCTGTGGGAGTCAGACTCCTTTCGTTGGACAACTGAGTGTTTATTACAGGACCCCACGAAGATCAGCGGCTCAGGCGCATTTGCGACTCAGCTGTCTGTAGCATCCTTGCATGGCCTCTTTATGACAACCAAGTCCCCTTGCAGCTGCTCCCAAGGCTATGGCAGGGTCAGAAAAAGAAACTCAAGGCTATCCTTTGCTGGTGACAATTTTCCCCCTCTTTTAAAAAACAGTCATAAATCTTCAGACATTCCTAAGACTCTCTCCTATTTTGAATTTTGGGGCAGTTGCGGATGAAAGCCGTGTGAGTTTCAGACATTTACACTTAGATATCTTGTGTTCTTTAACACGACAGGGTGCATTGATGGAAGGAAAGGTAATGTCCACAAAAATGCCTTGGGCAAGATGTCAGAAAACGTCAATCAAAAAGGTAAATGATGGCCAGGTGTGGTGGCTCATGCCTGTAATGCCAGCAGTATGGGAGGCAGAGGCAGAAGGATTGCTTGAGGCCAGAAGTTTGAGGCTGCAGCGAGCTGTGATCATACCACTGCATTCCAGCCTGGGAAAGATCGTGAGATTGTGTCTCAAAAGAAAAAAAAAAGGAAAATGATAAAGATAATAATAACAGTAATAAAAAATAGCTAACATTCATTCAGCACTTACTATATGCTAACCACTATTCTAAGCATTTTATACGTATTAACTTATCTGTTCTCCAAACAATACTATGAATCAGATACTAATTCTTATGGTCGTACTTTTCAGACAAAGAAACTGAGACAACAAAAGGTTAAAATAACTCGTCCAAGGGTCACAAAACTACCAAGAGACAAATCTAAGATCCAGCTCATGTAGGCTGGATCCATTAAGCATTTAAATGCTAGGATAGGCCGGGTGTAGTGATTTGTGCCTGTAATCCCTTTGGGAGGCCACGGCGGGCAAATCACTCGAGGGCAGATCACTTCGAGACCAGCCTGACCAACATGGTGAAACCCCATCTCTACTAAAAATGCAAAAATCAGCTGGGCGTGGTGGTGGGTGCCTGTAATCCCAGCTACTCGGGAGGCTGAGGCAGGAAAATTGCATGAACCTGGGAAGCAGAGGTTGCCGTGAGCCAAGATCACACCACTGCACTCCAGCTTGGGCGACAAAGCTAGACTCCGTCTCAGAGAAAAAAAAAAAAAAGCTAAGATATTCTGAGAAGATTATAGCTAAAAACTGTAATTATTTAGCTACTGGGGAAAGCCATAGCTATTACTGAAGAAAATATCTAACATATTAGTTATTACAATAGTACCACATAACTAGGAAATGGAGAGTAATTGCTTATAATAGATCAGATACACAGAACTGATGCCTACATTTCACAGCCAACATGCATCGTGAAGCCCATGCAGCGCTGCCTCGTGCCTGTAACCTCAGATTCCTTACCATGAGCAGAAAGCTCAGTGGGTCCCTGGGCTAGGATTCAGGAACATTCTCTTATGAAGGGCAGGTGTTTTCCGATAACCTTGAAATCTGGTGAAAACTCCATGGATGTCTGATTTAATTTGTGTTTGCATAAACCTCACCCCAGATTGAAATTCCTGCAGGCCCGTGAAGAAAGTGGTGTTCAGTGATCCTCTGTGCCAGCCCAGAATGCCTAACAGAAGTCTGAGAAAAGGCCAATAACAGTCTTTTTGGGAGGGGGAAGAAAAAAAAAACAGAATTAGCAAATCAGACAGGCAAAGGGACGGGTAGGTGTGCCGGTTTGCAAAATCATTCGGGTGCAATGAGCCCAGCCTCCCTTCCCCCAGTGTATAGAGCTTCAGAAGTATCCTGCTAATGCTTGTAAATCTTCAAATCTTCCTGAATGTCAAGTTAAAAAATATCATTTCCTACTCTCCCTGTCCCGTGTCTGTCCAGCGTTGAATGCTCTAGCAGAGATAATGCAGCAACTTGGGCCTACTGCTCCGGAGAGCTGAACTGCAGCTTCATAAACCTGCCATGTGAATCCATGATGTCATCTGTTCCCTCCGAGTTTGGGCTCCTGAGCCCCAGACCACCCACGCTGGCAGCCTATTCTCTCCCTGCGTCGTCAGGGAGAGACCTGCCTTTATAAATGATTCGAGGTCGAAACGGAGAACGTAGCTTGAATTGTTATACAAAAATGCTGCCAAAGACAGCGATAAGCATTTGGACGTGTCGATGTGGTGATTTTTTTCTCATTTGAACTCTGAAATTCTCTCTAACAGACGGTGGAAAGGCTGAGAGACAGAGTGAGGCGAGGGAGGTTTCAGAAACAGGCCTGAGAATCTGTAACAGACAGTAAGCAAGAGGGAAAAAGAAGTAAAATGTTGGAAGCCTTTGAAATATTGGGGGGTTCAGTAATTAGATCAACATTTTAGATTCACATTTAGATGACATTTTCCCCCCACTCTTGGTTTGAAGAAGAAAATTGTCCTGGGGGAGGGCGGTGTCTGTATTGCATTTTTCAAAACAATTTGCAGCTATAAGGAAACTAGGGCATTTGATTATTTTTGCCTAATCTTTAACTGAAAAGAAGAAAGAAGCTCATTTGAGACCACAGAGTGTGAAGAGCACCATGAAGGCCCATGTACGAAGTATCCATGCTCCCATCTGCCCCTGCGATGCAACTGAGGCCCTGGACAGTGTGAGCCTTGAACAGTGACGGAGCTTGTCTGCTTTTTTCCCATGGGGGAGCAGACGTGAAATATAGGGGCAAGGAGGGAATATAATCAGATTCTAAATTTATAACACTGAAGACATGCTTGATGGAAATAAATTAACACAGAAAGTAAAAAGCCAGTTCCGTGATGTCTCTACTAAGGGAATAAGTCATGCCAAGTTTGGGGACATATCACCTCTAGCCCATGCATGCCTTTAGCAGTCTGGTGAAGCTTATGGGTAACTTCTCAAAATAGTGTTTTTATATGAATTTAGCAAAAATACATAGGATAACCTGGGCAATCAATTATATCAAAATGCATCTGTCAAAATATTATTAAAACACTCAATATATATTTTAGTATGTGTGCTTCTTTATTGACTCTTTAAATAACAAGATCTGGTGCTGAGTTAATTACTACTATAATTCCAAAGTACTGAAGAGCAAAAACCAATGTTTTCAGATATTTGTAGCAATTGTATAGGTTATGAAAAGATCTGAGATTTCTGTTGGTGACAAAGTCACAGGTAGTGCTCTTACAGTTGTTGCTGGTCACATATAATTGAAGGAAATGCTGAATTTCAGCTAGAGGTCAAAAGTAGAGATATATATGTTTTTTCTCAGTCAAGTTCATGGATGCCCCTGTTATGAGCCCCTATCCTAAGAAAGATGGATCCAGGCTGCCCAGTCAGGCTTGGTGATGAAGATTGGAGCACTGTAGAGGAGAGGAGGGTCAGTTTAGTCTAGTGAAGTGTGTGATCTCCTATTTGTCTTTTAAATCTTTTTCTAAATAAAAAGTTTGAAAGAATTGTTTCCCCCAAAACTCCCTGAGATACTGGGGCACAAGAAACTATTCTCTGAGGCCTCTCTGACAAATTGTAAAACAAATGCATGTTCTCCTTCTCTTTGGGGTAGAACATCCGCAGGGAGCTCTGATGAGAGAAGGCTGTGGTGCCAGGGGAAGACCATGGCCTGGCAATCCCTCATCAAAGTTTTAGCAGTGCATGGCCAAAACGGCAGTATCCAGTAGAAATGGAATAGGCAGAAGGAACAAAAGGAAATGGAAAAAACCCCGAGGTATCTCAGTTGGGCCAATTAGACTGGTTTGTGACCACACGTGAGTGTTCTTTTGGAGAGCCTTGGGAATTCATAGGGTGAAGAAGGCCTCTAGCTCGGGTCTTGCATTTGCAGGAAAAGATAACAGGGGAGGACTGTGGATGGCCTTTGTTGGTTGCCTACCTGCATTCATTTCATTTTCACCCTCCCCTCCCCTTCCTAACAGTACCGAGGTCTCATCCTGCATCTGCCCCTCCTCTACCCAGCCCATGTCATCTCTGTTTTGGTGGAAGCTTCAGGAGAAGGGCATGGTTGACTGAAGCGGTGCTCTAGTCTCCTGGACACAATTTTTGGTTGAGGGGTGGACATGTCACCTGAGCTGATACAATTAAGGTGACTTTCAGACTGTCACTGGGAAGGCTTGGCAGAAGCATTCTCTTTGTCTTTGAATTAGCAGGGTGTAGATGTGAAGCCTGAACCAACCATGGCCATTTTGCTATTGAAAGGGAGGCCAGCCCAGTGATGATGCTAATGTGCCGACCAGGATGTAGCCAAGGGGATCTCAGAGAAATGAGCCAAGGTCTCTGGATGAAACAAACCCCAAAGTGCAGCCCACAGTTGGATTTCCAGGGAAGAGAGTCAATGGACTCCCCTCTTGCTTAAACCAATTTAGGTAAGGCTTTCTTCTACTGCAGCTCAAAGCATCCTGAGTGAGAAAGCAGGATTCCTGGTCTAGCCTAAGTATGCAGTCACGAAGCATTATGTTCTCCAAGGAGTTTCCAGCATTTCCCAAAGTTTTGCTCACACATCTACTGCTCAGTCTGCCCTTCCATGTGACATCTTCCTGGGGCTGAGACAGGAGGTGTGTCTCAGGGTCCAAAATCCCAGAATGAATTCTCAGCTCCATCACTAACGTGACCTAGACAGGACAGTTTACCACTCTGAGCTTTAAGGTTCTTATCTGTAAAATCAAGCCACAGATATAAATGATTAGAGTAACTGATCCCAAAGCCTTTTCCACCTAATAGAGATCCAAGTACATCACTAAGAGGAGGACTAGGTTTAATATTCAACCTTGTTTCCCTTATGGCTTGGAAAAGTATTTACCCTTCTAGGATATATTCAGAGCTATGTTAATATTAGAGAACTGAGGATGTTGTATGACCATGAATGTTAGTAGCCAAGGGAATATAAAGTGTCATATTTATAGATTTTTCTGTCATTTACAGGTCACTCAGGAAGTTCTACATACCAAGAATTATAGTAGCAGCAACTATATAGAAACAACAGAATGATATAGTCTTTGTCTTTAGAGAGCTTCCGATTTAGTGAGGGAGACAGCAGGACTGCACTGTACAGTGATGTAGGATGTGCGCTGATCAACTCTGAGAGGGCTGCCTTTCACGCCGATATCTCTGTGACAGCTCAGGAAGAAAAACAACTAAAAAATAATAATTGTAAAAAGAGCAAAATGTTGGACAGTAAATACCCTACGATTCTGTCTGTGTGAGGAAAGGATGGTGAGATAAGGTAGATCTCTGTCTATACCTATAGATAATCTCAGAAAAGAGATGTAAGAAACCTTCATAGAGGTTAACTCTGGGAAATGTGACTGAAGGGAAGTTGGGATGGGGAAGAGGTAAACTTCTATTGAGTACTCTATACCCTTCTATCCTATGAGAAAAATTGTTTCCTATGAGAAAATTTTACCGTATATCAAAATAAAACTTTCAAAATCCAGCAATTCCAATCTAGTTGAGTAAGTGCGCTGCTGAGATACTTCTGATGCTGTAACATCATGGAGGCGAATCTAGTCCTGCCTGGGATAACCAGAGGATTCCCAGAGGAGAGGATGTTTTGATTGAGGCTAAAAAGATGAATAGAAGGCATTCAACTGAAGGAGGAAGAGAAGAGCATTTCAGACAAAGGGAATTACATGTACAAAGCACAGAGGCAAAAGAGCTGGTTGCTTGTTCAGAAACTGAGATTTTGGTATAAGTGAAGCATAGAGGATGTGTGGGAAACTGATAAGAGTTGGGGCTGCAGACATGGTGCAGTGCTCAATGTGCAATTATATTAAGGCAGTCGGCGTGAGTGCACTGTAGGGTTTCAAGTAGGGAGAGACAAGCTTCTGCTTGGTTTTTATATCATTCTCAGAGTAGTATGGAGGCTAAGATGGGGAAGACATGTACATACATGCACCCACACTTACATACACTCACATGCATATACACACATGTACCCACACATACATACACACACATGCATATGTGCACATGCACCAACAAATACACACACATGCATATGCACACATGCACCCCAACACACATGCATATGCACACACGCACCCACAAATAGGTACACAGACATGCATTTGCACACAAGCACCTATGCATACACACACATGCATATGTGCACATGCACCCACACATACACACACATGCATATGCACACATGCACCCACACATACACAAACACATGTGCACATGCACTCACATATACACACAGATGCATAAGCACAATGCACCCACACACATACACATACATGCATATGTACACTTTTGCACACATGCACCCACCCCAACAAATACATACGCACACATGTGCACACATGCACCTCCACACATACATACACGTGCACACATGCACCCACCCACACACATGCATATTGTACACATACACCACACATACACACACATACATACGCACACATGCATATGCACATACACACACATACATACACATATGCATATGCACACGTGGCACACCTGCACCCACCCCCCACAAAATGCATATGCACATATGTGCACACATGCACCCACACACACATACACACATGTGCACACATCCACCCTCACATGCATGCATATCCACACATGCACCCACACATGCATCGCATATCCACACATCCACCTACACACACATGCATATCCACACATCCACCTACACACACATGCATATCCACACATCCACCCACACACACATGCATATCCACACATCCACCCTCACATGCATGCATATCCACACATGCACCTACACACACATACACATTTGCACACATGCACCCACACACACTCATGCATGTGTTCACATACACCCACACATACATACCCACACATGCATATGCACACATGTACCCACACACACATGCACACACATGCATATACATACATGTGCACACATATAAAACCTACATCCAAATGTTGTGGAAACTTTTATCTGTCTTTCCTTATTTTTTCCACTTTCTTTTTCATAGTCAGATCTTTGATCTACCTAGAATTTATGTTTGTTTATGGTGTTAAGTAGCTTTGCTTTGTCCCAATACCACAAAGTTAATAAACTATCCTTTTTTAAATAACCTGAAATGTCACCTTTGTTATACATTAAATGCCTATAGCTTTCAGAGATGGCTTCTGAACACTTCAAGTAAGTAATCTATTTCATACCATGCTTTTCAAAGTACTATAGTTTCGCACTATTTTCTTATATCTGATAACTCCAGTGCTTCCTTATTATTTTCTTTTCCAAAATCTTTACTGGTTTTGTAAATATTCTCCCAGATTAACTTTACAATAAATCTGCTAAGTTAAAAAGGAAGAAATATTTGTAATTTTCCTTGAAAATGCATTTAATATAGAAACTAAATTGGGCAGAATTTAGCAGTTAGTAGAATTTACCATTATAAATTCTTAAGTTCATTAAATCTAAAATTGCTAATGAATCAATGTGTCACTTTTTAGAAGACAATAATTGTTTTAAAAAGTACATTTGGCTGGGCGCGGTAGCTCACGCCTGTAATCTCAGCACTTTGGGAGGCCGAGGCAGGCAGATCACGAGGTCAACAGATCAAGACCATCCTGGCCAACATGGTGAAACCCAGTCTCTACTGAAAATACAAAAATTAGCTGGGCCCAGTGGTGCACGCCTGTAATCCCAGCTACTCAGAGGCTGAGGCAGAAGAATTGCTTGAATTCTCCACCAGGAGGTGGAGGTTGCAGTGAGCCGAGATCATGCCACTGCACTCCAGCCTGGGTGACAGAGCGAGAATCCAACTCAAAAAAAAAAAATTTAAAAAGTATGTTTAGAAAAGAGCACAGAAGCAATTTTAGTATGTGGGTTTTCCCCCAACCAATGTTTAAAAAGATCCTTTATCATGGAGACCCAGTGTAAAATATCCCAGGACTTTGTGAAAAAAAGGCACAGGCCAGTGATAATTCCATTACCACCATGACACATTTCCTCACAGCCTTCCAAGCGTCAGCAAAACATCTCCTCAAACAGTCTCATTTACTTCTGAGAGCAACAGCTCCCCAGCAAAGCTACACCACCCTACTAAACTTTCAGGTGAGGGTTCTTTTTTTTTTTTAAGGGCATCTCCTCCACAGAACTCCAAAATAGTGTCTGCTCTGAACTGGGGAGCCTTAGCAGCCTGAGGACAGAGTCAGCCTCATATTTTAAGGGGTCTGATTACATTTTTGATGAATGCAAAAGTCTCTTTCTGCTGGATGTGAAAATGACTTCATTCCCTGTCCAGCAAGTCATAAGGGAAAGAAATGGTTCTCTTTAGGAGTTTAAACGTATTACTTAATGTAATGACATCTGCCAAGCGAATGTTAGGAAAAGTACACTGAGCTCCATGGCCAAATTCCATGGCAACAGCTGGCAAATCACAGGTGTTGGCCAGGAAAGCCTCCAGCCCTGCTTAAATGTTCCGGGGAGAGTTCTTTATTATTTTAAACACCACGTTTGAAAAGTGCTTAATTTGCTGGGATTCAAAACATTCCTCATGGGCAAAGTGCAATGTAAAGAACGTTCCAGGAGAAAGTCATGTCAACCTAACTTTTTATTTGCAAACAGGGTGGTTAGAAAACAAAGTGCTTAAGCATTTTCTGACTGTGATGTTGCCATGAAGAATTTAGGAAGGCTATGAAGGAAAATAATTCTCTCAGTTAAACCAACCATAATGGGAGATCTTTGATATTAGCCGGGAGAGGTGGACATTTCTGGGCAAACTCAGTGCCTCTATCCTGACGTGGAGGGGAGCCAGTGTGAGGAGAGGCAAGACCCATGGAAGAGACTTTGAAGATCCAACAGTAGGTGTAACCTTCAGGGTAGGGTTGGAACCTTCAGGGTCCACAAGTATTTTGAAGGTAACTTAGTATACAACTCACATCTGTGACAGGAGTTCCAGGCCCACTGCCACATGGCCCAAGCCTAAAGAGTGAAAAAAAAGTCACCTAGAGGGGCAAAGCTTTTGGGTTCTAAATTCTTCTTCACGTAAAAACATGTCTGAGAACACATGTGCTGCAGCTATGCCTGGGTGAGGCTTCCCTGTGCAGGCACCGGATTTAATTTGGATCCTACTGTTACACATGGGCTCAACCACTCATTCATAGTCACTTTTCAAATACTCAGTGAGCACCTACTGAATTCCATGAGCTGTGCTAAAGCAAAGGTACGCAAGGGAAAACAGACACATCCTTATCCTTGAGGGGCTGTGGATGAGTGAGGGGACAGAGAAGTCAGAATAGTGACAGTACAGAGGGATCATTAACTCCCAAAAGGCATGAATGGGAAGACTTTCCCAGGCCATGAGACTTCTCCATTCACCATGTCTATGCCTCCCACTGCACTTCTAAAGACAGACCAAGTCCTTGGCCTTAGGAATCAATCCGCATCATCCCTCTAACCCCAACAATCTGTGTGAGAATAAACCTATTATCCCACCTGGAAAAACCACAACTTTCTTCAGGATTGTGCAAACTGAAGCTGGCGGGGTAAACTCCCCTCTCTGCTCACCCTCTGGGCCATGGAGGCCAGCTATGGCAGGAAAGAGTGAGGCCAACTCCACTTAACGATGAGGCAGAGACATTGACTCCTGACAGCACCAAGTCCCAGGACAAGGCCACCCCAGGGCCAGCTCCACCCCAACCCTTTCTGCATTTGAGTATTTGGTTCAATAAATGCCCCATCTCCTTTTATTTTTCCTTAAACTAATTTGAATTGGTAGTCTGTCATTTGTCACCAGGAGAGTGCTGTTTACTACATGTGCCAAAATATGGATACGTGCAGGGGCAGCATAAGCACTCAGGTGGGTGGGTGCACTGAGCCCAGGGTAGGGGCCGGGCCAGAGTGAGGCTTCCTGGTGGAAATGACATGGGAACAAGAGTTGTAACTAATTACAACTGGACCTCTGAGCAATTCTGTTCCATTGCTTTATTTTCCTTTATAAAACAAACAAACTTCCTTTCTCTTCCTTTCTCCTTTGAGAAGTGGGTTTCACACATGTGTACACACGCGCATACGCACATACACACACACATTGATGACACTCTAGTGGGGCAGGGACATGAGATCAGTGTCCAGTATTGTTTTCCTTGGTGATGGGAGTGAGCTGACCAATGAGCAGAGCTGTGGAAGGAGGATGTCTCAGAGTTCAGATGTAGGACTGGCATTGCCGGGCTGCCATTGTTCTCTCCATGGACAGCAGAGACAGTGGCAGGACCAAGCTTGTGCCACCTTTAGCAGACTGTGTCCTGACCACACTTGCCCTGCAGTGGTCACCAGCCAGGCCTTCCCTCCCAAGGATTGTTGCTGCCTGTGCGTGCCTTTCCTATTCACTCCCCACCATCATTCCCCTGGGGAAAAGGGCCAAGGTCCTTCCTGAATGGCACAAGGACCCAGCAACTGGACAGGGCAGGGAAAAGCATTTTCAATGCAGGGAGTCAGAGCTGCAAAAGCATAGGAGCATGGAGCATCATGTATATTATGTGCAGAGAACTTCAAGAGGTGCATTTGTGCTGAACCATAAATCACCAGCAACCAGCAAGGTATGCATATGTGAGCTTCAAAGTCCCCATCAAGGGAAAGTGTTTTGCACTTGGAAGATGTCTACCGATGCTATTTTCTATCATTACACATATTGCAGTGTTGCTGTGGGACCCAAATGAGATCACACTCCTATAAAGTGGCTCTGGAGGCTGGAAGAGCACTGTACACGTGCTAACTGAGTGTGGGGTGTGGCTAGAGTACATTTCAGACCGCAAAGGAATATAAAAAATCAAAATAACAGCGAATTTCTCTTAAATCCACAGTATTAAATGTGTTTGCATATTGGACATTTTAATGAAAATACTTCCCATCATTCCTTTACAGATAAATGAATGATTTCATTGTCTATTAAAATGTTTCTTTGCTAGTAATTAATTAGACCACCAAGCTTCAGGCTGGGGACCTGAGAGTTATTTTTGTTGACTTACACATCACCAAAAACACTCAATATGGCCTCTAAAATATAGGCATATGTATGCATGAATAGATAGATGGATGGATGGTTGGATGGATGTGTCTATACATAATTTTTTGTTTTCAAATTTGTATCCATTATCTTAGGACATCATTGTTTTTCTCCTGAAATGTTACAGTGGTTTCTTAGCTGCTTGCTCTGTCTCCAGCCTCCTACCTCTCTGCTCTCAAATCCATCATTACCACAGCTGCTCAGAAGCTCAACAGCATTTTAATTACTCCACCCAATTTGGCAGTAATGTGGGTTCTCTCATTGTGAAAAGGCGTAAAATAAGAGTAAAAAGCACAACCACAAGAAAGAAGAAGGAAAATTATTTATTCCAGGTGCTTTGATTATTTACCTAAATATCCAAGAGAATTAGCTAAAACATCACTGGAACTAACAGGAAAATTTGATAATGTTGCTTGATATCAATAAATACCAAAAGGCCAATTATTTCCCTACCTACCTGCAAAAACCAGACAGGCAGAATATAGCATGGAAAATAAAAGCTGCCGATCTTTGGGGTATCACAGAGATGCTGAGTATTGTCCTTCTGGGCTCCAAATAATTTTGATTGTGCCCAGAGCCCCACAAAATCTCCCATGAAAGCAGCTTTTCAGTTTCTGGTCTCTCTCCACTAAGATGAAGGCCTGACCCAGCTCCAAAGTCAAAGTGGGACATAGACATCTTGGCAATCCTGTTACCTTTCCAAAAAAGCCTAAAATAAAAGAAGTGTACAGAAATGCTTCCCTGCCTCCTTCATATAAATACCTTTCTCCTTTTCACATGCAAAGCAATTTTAGCACCCGATAACTCCATTTTCATAGACTATGAAGACCCAGTTCTATACACATCTACCAAGTGTCCCCTGGGGATGGTCTCCCCTGGACAGTCTGCTGTTAAGAAGTATTTAAGTTGGCTGGGTGCAGTGACTCACGCCTATAATGTCAGCACTTTGGGAGGCCGAGGCGGGTGGATCATCTGAGGTCAGGAGTTCAAGACCAGCCTGAACAACATGGTGAAACCCTGTCTCTGCTAAAAATACAAAAATTAGCCAGGCGTGGTGCCAGGTGCCTGCAGTCCCAGCTACTTGGGAGGCTGAGGCAGGAGAATTGCTTGAATCTGGGAGGCGGAGGTTGCAGTGAGCCAAGATCACACCACTGAACTCCAGCCTGGGCGACAGAGCAAGACTCCGTCTCAAAAAGAAAAAAAGAGAAGTATTTAAGTCTCCACCTCCTGCCAAATAACAGTGATTGCAGCTTTTAATAAAATATTGCTTTCATCTTTACCCATCAAGTTTGGAAAACCTTAAAGTATCTGACTATCCACAGCATTGCTGAGGATGGGGAGGTCTTCGCAGATCAAGGCCTGAGTTGCCTTCATTTAGTTGGCTTTGACCTTGCTTAAGCTGCGACATGAAGAACAAGTAGAAGTTCAGAGGATAGGAGGGGATGGAGCTGATAAAAGAGAGTGGTCAGGGGAGAGAAAAGAGCCTGGTGGGGAAACAGGAGGTGCGAAGGGCTCAATAGCAGGTGAGTGTGCTGAAGGAGCAGCTGATGTCGCCGTAGTGAGAGCCAGGAAAGTGTGCATAAGTAGTAGTTCCTGACCAGTGGGGAAAAAAAAGCTTTTCTGTCCAGGTTCTGATTCCAACAAGGCGCCTGCTGTCTCTGCTGCTCCCCAAAAGGAACACGGGTAGCGATGGCGACAGCTATGAAGAGACCAAGAAATATCCCAACCCCATTCTTCAAATGCTGGAATTCACAACTCCTGCCATTATAGCAAATCTCCAAAAGTAACCATGTTCAGAAAAGCTGGCAGAAATTAATGAGTTCTCAACTTTGGCAGGGGAATTTCATGGGGTTTTGTGGAGTCCATGTACAGAATACAAACTTCCTACTCTAAGTGCTTGACCTCACAGAGGCCGGCCTCAACAATGGCCATGCATGGATGGAGTTAAAATGCCCAGGTTTCAAGTCAGCAGTATGCAACAAGACCTTCAATACATCAGTTATGTTAAATAGAAGTTTTTATTTGAAGGCAATTAATTGCAGCCGCAACATATAAATACTTTAAAAAGGAAACAAACTACTGGTTAGATAGTAGACAGAGTTGTTTTTTCAATCTGTCTTTCTAGTGCAGCCAGAAAATAAAAAGCTAAAATCTTGTAAATAATATTTAACAATATGGAGCAAGTCTCAAAATACACTAAGTGAAAACTTGATCAAACAGCATACTAATTAAAATTTCCATACGATGACACATGTACTATGAAAATATAAAACTCAGCAGGCAATACTCTAAAATATTCACATTTGTTATCTCTGACAGGCATGGTTTTAGGTGGTTTGCTTTTCTTGTTACCCTTTTCTGTTTTTTTTCAAGTGTTTAAAAATAAACATGTAATATTGTCACAGTCAGGGGAAAAAGAATATTCATAACAGCCTACATTTTACATGGCAATGAGTATTCCTGAACTGGGTGTGCATCTGAATCACACAGCGGTCTTTGTGCAAATAAACGAAGGGCCAATTTTCCTGAGTGTTTGAGAAAAAATAAAGTTTTTCTGTGAGATTTATCTGTCCATGTCTTTGGGCACAAAAACACAGACACAGATACACATGTTTTTTTTTTTCCTGTTGTGCAACCCTAGAATATTTGGGCGTTTGGCTCCAAGTCTGAAATTCCAGTTGTTGCCTCCAAATCTGGGAGCCCTTTACGTCCGTGAAACACAAGCTGCAGCTCCCCTGGAAGAACACGCTCCTCAGCTTCCTGCCTCATTGCAAAGAAAACTGCCCTTGTGTGCATAGCCCTCACCACCAGGGCCAGCAAATGAGAACAGCTTGGAAAAACAGCGAGATGCTTGCAATAGTTTGTTTGGTGTCTCAGAAAATAAAATCCATCTTTCTTCACCAGATGAGAGTCATCGCTTTCAGATGATTTTGGAAGAGGAGTCATTCCCTACATTGAATCTGGAAGGCTGGCTGGGTTTCCAGGACTGTGTTTTCATGGACATGAAGAAGAATTTTACGAGAAAAACAATTGCAGAGGGCTTGATTTCTATAGGATTTTTATCTCCTGCAGATTCTTCCAGCTGGACCCTTCTTCCAGATGTTTGTGAGACCTATTTAATCAGATTCTCCAGGGATGGGGCTCTGGCATTCACTTTCGCAAGGTTTACAGGTGATTCTGATGTATAGCAAAGTTTGAGAATGCCTGCTACAGCAGGACGACAAAGGGGGGCTTTATGTAGAAAAACAATGGCAATGAAAGCACACATTGCATTTGCAGTAGAGATATTTAAAGGCAATCTTAAAAATGATTTTTTAAGAAGACTGTCTCCTTGGCTAGAAAGGGTTGCATACCATTATTTCACTTCATTCACAGATCCCTCTCACAGTCTGAATAGAAACAATGAAGCAACCCTAAGGCACACTCAGTCAGGGCCCTAGGATGCCACATAAATCAGCTCAGGGCAAGCTGGCCCAAGTGAGGGTGAGTGCCGCAGAGGTGAAACAGCCCGTCTGGTGACCAAACGCTTTTTGCCTATTAACTGCACGTGTTGACTTTGTGTGGGGACCTGGAGAGTCCAGTCGCCACAAACACGGGGGTCAACAGCCACTTGGCAGCCTCTTCACCCTGAGCAAGTGCTGAATTAAATACAACTAGCATTTAAACAGCTCAGCATCCTCCTGGAGAGCCACTCTGCGAGGTGGGGTAAACACATGCCCTGATTTGTGAATGGGGTTTAGGCCCATTGCCCAGGTGTAATTCTTAATAGCACCCCCTTCACACTCAGAAGTACCCTGGTTTTGTAGATAAGTTGTATGATCACCTGGCTTCAAGGTGAAGGTGATGGCCTGTTGGCTTAGGGAGCTGAGGCGGGGGAGGAGAGCTGATAATTCCTCTGCACTCCCACAAAACAGTTATGAAGCAATCGTAGTGCTTCCAGCACAGCCACAGCTCCCTCCTTTAGCAAGCAGCAAAAAGAACTCCTTGGGAAAACTCCCTCCTCATTCTTTCTCCCCACCCCCTTGCACTCTCTCTCTCTATATATGTATTTAACTCTTTCAGTTTCTTTAATATCCATCATTGTCATCTGAGCAGCACAACGGAGTAACTGTATGTCAATTTTCACTTTGTAGCATACACTCTTTATTCCCAAATTACCCCAGTAACCCAAATAAGAAAGGAGAAAATGCACAAAGAATTACTGTGGCCATCTGGAATGCATAATGTGGAAAGATCTGCAATACATTACATGGTCTGGAAAGTGGCTGGTTGAATTCCAGAGAGCTCAGATAGACTTCAAAGTCTGGCTGTACATCAGTGAAACTGCTGATCTGCTCCAATATTTAAAGTGGGTGTAGATGAATGAATTTATTACAGTTTTTATCTTCTGGGCTCAGATGGGGAAATGGGATCATAGTCAGGCTCTCCTTTAATTTCATGCTGAATTTTTTTCTTAGATTTTATTTTTCTCCACCTTAATGCTGTACTATTTCTTAATTTTTCTTTTGAACTGAAACGTACCTTCCTGAAAACTGACTGATGTGCATTAATAAAGTAACTCTGTAGAGACTAATGGCCTAATCACGAGCTATTTTGCATAAAGGATCTCAATTCCAAATATATGTATATAAAACTCCTGACTTTTCTCTCTCTCTCTGTCTCTCTGATGGAGCAAGTCAATAGATCTGAACTCAACTGCATGGAATTTATTTCTAGAGTTGAATTTGGGTGATATCTAGTTATAGTTGCTGATTAAAAATATAAATAAAAGCAGGACTCAGGAAATATTTGGAAACACTTGATTTAAGTCAAGAGTCTGCTGTCAGGAACTCCCTTCAGGAAGAGATGAAAGAGCAATTCTTTAGGTTCAACCGCCTCAGAATCCCTTTGAGAGGCAAGCTTCTTCACATCTCTGCCAACTTGGTTGCTTTTATCTTTATACAAATTTTTCTTGATCCTTGAAAGAATCTTAACACATACAATTTTAAGCCAACTCCATAGGAAATGTCTGTGCTCCCCCACCTTCAAGAACTTCGGGGTTCTATTTCTAAACTCTAAACACAATCTCACCAGCAATTAAATATTTCTTCTGGATCTCTTTTTGAATGGGGAAGAAAAGAATTATTTTTCACACATACATAAAGGAAAGAAATATACTAGTAAGGTAAAGTTAAGAGTATCATGATAACCTACAGCTGCTGCTTTCCTTCTCTATTTTGCCAAGTATCCATTATCAATTTCTTGGATTTCTATAATAATTAGATTATCAAAACATAGCTGAAGTTCCTACTAAAATTTTCAAAACTAGCCCAGGACAAGAGGAGCAAATCCTGAACTGGTAGAGTTTGACTTCCAGGTCACCCATCAAGCTCCTGGGAACCGCCTTTTTTTTCAGAGGCACTTTCTCTACTTTCTTCCCATAGTAATCAAAGAATGAGATACTCACTCTTAAATGAGCTTTCCCCTTCAGGCATCTTTTCTATTTGAAAAGGGAGTTAAGGCATAAACTTTCTTCAACTCAAAGGGATGAATCTCTCATGTAGGCCATGGATAAAGAAAATTTTGTGGGGCACAGGGGCTTCTGACAATTATGTCATGAGAGTGTTTTCCAATACTCAAAGAATAGCATTAGCTAAAGTAGTTGCTAGAGGTCAGTGATGTTTACGGAAGGCCTCAATATATTGTCCAGCCATGTATTGTATTCCCAACCGAGTTCCACCATAAGACTTCTGAACAATAGCTAACAGGCAACTTGTGGTGGTTTCCTAGGGCTCCCTTAACAAGATAACACAAACTGTGTGGCTTAAAACAAGAGAAATTCATTATATTACAGTTCTAGAGGCCAGAAGTCTGAAACCAAGGTGTCAGCAAAACCATGCTCCTTCCAAAGCCTCTAGGAGAGTATCCTTCCTTGCCTCTTCCAGCCCTGGACTTTCTTTGGCTCCTGGCAGCATAACTTCACTCTCCACCTCTGTTGTCACATGGCCGCCTTCACCCCATTTGTCTCTATATGGCCTTCCCTCTCTGTGTGTCTCTGTGTCCAAGTTTTCTCTTCTTCTAAGGACATCAGTCACTGTAGGTTAAGACCCATCCCAATGACCTCATCTGAACCCAGCTGTATCTGCAAAGACCCTATTTTTAAATGAGGTCACACTCACTGGAACTAGGGGTTAGGACTTCAACATATATTTCTGGAGTAGACACAATTCAACCCATGACATGCTCCTAGACATAACAACTGAAGAAGAATGAAGACCAGGATCATATCCTACAGGGCAACCCTTAGTTCCTCCTTGATAGAAAGATGTAATTCAACCTTGAAAAGCCAAGGACAAATAATTCTAGACAACTCTAGAGACTCTAGATGGCTCTAGAGTAGTGAAAAGATGGGTCATTCCATGTCTGCCTCAGTCATGGAATGACTGTAAATAAGGAACTATAAAGCTCACCTGCTCTACTTTTCTCTGCAGAGCCACGTAAATGTGAGTCATCACAAATTATGATTCACCTCTGAGTCACCCTGAGACAGGGCTAGAGAAGATGACCCTGGGACCCTCGATTGTATCTTGGATCATTTCAGCCCAATCTTGTTTTTATTAGCAATCAGAGCTAAAATTCTGCATCGTGGCACAAGTGGAAAGGTGTACTTTTTAAACACCACAGTTGAAAACCATATAGATGGGTTCCAAGAAGGAGGTATGTGATCCTTGAAGGCAGGAATTATGTTAAACTCATCTTCATAGACCAATGACCTGACAGGCACTCAAGGAAAGCTTGATTAATAAATAAAGGCCCTTTTTACTGGGAGCTTACAGATATTAACTGACTTGCCAAGGAGTCAGAATCAGGGATTTGAACTCAGGTCTTCTGCATCCCCACTGGGAAGTCTTTACATCATACCAGAGGTTCACCAACTTTGGCAGGCAGGAAACCTCTGGAGGTTGGGAGGGCTTGTTAAAACACAGATTGATGGTCTCCATCCCTTGATGAGAGCCCCTGTGTAAGGGTGGCCCCCATGTGCATGGCCCCCATGACTGGGTCTTCTGAGTCAGTAGGTCTGGAGGGGGGCTGATCATTGACACTGCTAACAAGTTTCAGGTGATGCCAATGCTGTTGATGGAGGGCCACACTTTGAGGACCACTGTGCACTGCTGAATATTAGGGTCACCTGGAGAGCTTTTCGATTTCATTGACCTGGGACAGGGCTTGGCCACTGGCAGATCAAGAAGCTCACCTGGGGATTCTGATGTGCAGCCTGAGCTGGAGGCTGTCCTTTGCTCCTCAGCCACCTAACAATCTGACTCTGGTGTACATCGACCCCCAGTTCCACTTGGGAAGAAGCAAGAGAATTGTTACTATCTGAGCACAACCAGGGCATGCTTGCCACCACAGTTCAGCTTCTTCCCATCCCATACCCCTCAACTCACTGCGACTCTGTCCTTCAACCATTCTCTTAAGTGAAGGGAAAGAAATCTCTAAGAAAATGTATTCACACTCTGTGGGCAATGAGAAGGGATCCAGAAAGTAAGACAGACTTGTTTACCTGTTTATCTGTTTCACCCCAGACCCCACAGTCAGGCACAGGATCCCCCTAGGGGTTGTTTCAATCCCTCACCTAACTAGCTGGGCACTTTCTCCTGGCTAAACTTGCAAAGTAGCCATCCTCCCAGTTAGAATTAATTTGCCCCTCAGATTGCTCACTGCACTTCGTTCCAACTTTACATATTCTATCTGGATGGAGTAATTTATACTTACTACTACCGTCACCCATTACCACCCCGTGGAATCCTAGGAAATGGGAACCTCAATTTGTATATCTTAGCATTCCTCCATAAACCCTAGCTCAAATCTTGTGCATAGTAAATTCTCTAGTCCAGTACTGAATTGGATTCAGCTCGGGCTTTAATCTCTGTTCCTAATATGAGCTATGCCAAGGGATAGACATTTTATTAGTCATTTATACTTTAGTATGAATGTGTTTTCATCCCTTTCGTGAGACTGTGTTATAAAAATTACACAGCACAAGTGTATGGTGACAGGGATGGGAAGGAGGAATTGCAATAACAACAAGTTCCATTGATCAGCTTTCCCCTCCACTCTCAGGAAACGTGAACTCTGTTGAGGCATGTGGCTCATCCTGCTGCCCGTGAGCTAGTGACTGAAGTGGGTTCAAAACTAAAGGCTTGCCTAAGTAATGATTATTTTTCAAGAATTACATTTTAGTGTCCCTCATTAGCCCCCCGAATCATTCTCCTTCTCTCTGGCAAATTCTTACCCAAAGCGCTCTCACCCAGCAATGATTCCTTCTTCATTGAAAAGTTTTCCATTTCACCCTCACATGGTTCTTGATTTCTGCACATTTTCTTTTTTGCAGAAAGAAAGGGATCCTCCCTGTGGATTTGCATTCAATCTTTAAGACAAGTTTTGCATAATATCATGCCCTATAGGAACTTCACAAATAAAGAATCAAAGTTTTCCCTATGGTTCTAATTATCCAGTTGTATAATTCACACGCAGCTGCCTTCAAAGCCACTTGTTTCTGCAACCGAGAGGGGAGTCTGCCTTCCACCCAGGCAGCTTTGAGAGAAGTGCTAAGAAATGGCCTTGCCAGACGATGAACCTTTCAAAGGCTTAGATTCCTGTATTTTATCTCATTCCAAGTGAACTCCTTTCTGAGTGGGGCATGTTCAGACATAGATATAGACACAGAAAAAAATTATAGTGATGACCTGGGACCATCAGATGATCTTCAAAACATCTAGACTTAATTGTTCAGTGAAAAAGGCAGAACATTTAGAACCAGTCACAACCTCAGAGGTCTCATACGTGGGATGGGAACAGACCATGACCCCACGAGCTGTGTGGAAAGAAAGTACCTAGCACAGGGCCAAGCTCACAGCAAGTGCTCAAAATCTGTTGTTCCCTGTTCGCCCTGCTGTTTCTCTTCTCGTCGGCCATATCTGTAAGTAAAGATGCTGCAGCTTCATTCAAGCATCCATCCAGGATTTCACCGGAGTGCTTTTCCTCTAGTCCCCGTCAAATCCTCCTACTTTAAGTTTGAGTAGGCAAGTAGAACAGCTCACTTTTCTCTTCTTCTCTATTCCTAAAAAAATTGTTTGACATCTCAGCATCTTTGGTTGGTCTGTGAAAAATAAGGAAAACAATGTCTACCCTGCCTGTACTTTTGTAGCGATATTAAATTGATATAAAGTATATACAAATGCTTTGGTATTGTTTAGGTCAACATATATAGGTATTGTTTAGATATTGTCTAGGCCAACATGCAATTTGGTATTGTTGAGGTCAACATGTAGGTATTGTTTAGGTATTATCTAGGCCAACATATTATTTTTCAGCATTGCTGCCTTAGTTCAATTATTTATTGCCTTTTAACTGTATATGGAAACTGGTCCTCACTGGGCCCTTCACACCTAGTGGTGTTTCCATCCCACCCCATGTGCCTACCACATCAAGACCAATCCTCACTGTCATTAATTTCTCCCCTAACACCCCATTTCTCAGGTGTCTCGACACAGCTTAGAGGGAAGAAAAGCTGGAGAAAATGTTTGCAATGTAAAAAAACTGGCAAGAGACTCGTAACAACAAGTACTATCTAACAGAACTTTCTACAGTGCGGAAAGTGTTCTCTATCTGCATCGTCCGGGACAGCAGCCACTAGCCGTATGTGGCTAGGAAGACTGAAGAATGCATTTTTAATTAATTTAATTAATGTAAATTTAATAGGTTAGTGGCTACCATATTGAAAAGCGCAGACAGAGACTTTTAATAAACCTGTATCTACCTCAACTTAGGGATCCTATCGAAGTGCGGGTTCTGTTTCTGACACGCTCCTGGGTGCAGCTGCTGCTTCTGGACCAGAGACCACACTCTGAGTAGCAAGGGTCTATCCTAGACTATACAAAAAGCTTTCGGGCAGGGGCGGTAGCTGCGTAGCCATGAGCCAGCCATCAATTTCCTGGACATATATCCCAAAGATGTTGTCACACAGGTCTGTAAGGGCTGGTATAAGAAGGCTGTGATGGGGAAGCAGAGCGGAGCCATGCATCCATCACTGGAGAGTGGGTGGGTGAAACGTGGTGGATGCACAGCATGGAGTACGAGTCAGCACTGGGAAGCAATGTGTTTGACATGCCTGTGGCGACATGGATGAATCTCAGAGGTGATAGCACTGAGCAAAAAACTATGAATCTGCAGAAGACATATAACCCAATGCCATGTTTACAAACTAAAATGCCTGCCACAAAATAAGAAGTCACATTTTGTCAAAACACATACAGGCCGAGCGCAGTGACTCACGCCTGTAATCCTAGCAATGTGGGAGGCTGAGCTGTGTGTATCCCTTCAGCCCAGGAGTTCGAGACGAGCCTGGGCAACATAGTGAGACCCCGCCTCTAAAAAGTGTAAAAATTATTTTTTAAAAAATTATTTTAAGAAACCACATACAAATAAAAAAATACATCTTAAACACTTTAGATTGATTGCCGATGGTGAAAGTGAGATGGCAGAATGGGAGTGTGAAATGAGGATACCCAGGAAAAATAAAGCAGGAAAATGGCTAGCATGGGCTGTGACAGTATGGCATGTAGCAAGGGAGAAGTCTGGAAGTCAGGACCTCCCCAGCTGGTGCCGGCTGCCTTACCTACCCTCTCTCCCACTGCGCCCCACATCAACCCTCCCGCCACTGCTGACACATCCATCCAATAGCTCTCCTGCAGACATGTGTGAGCCATTCCCTCAGACTCCTTTTTCCAGCCAGGAATCTCTCCAAGCTCCTGAAATCACCTGCATCTATCTGAACCTTAGGCTAGCTTCTTTGGGAAGCTTTATTTGGGAAACCGTCCCCTCTCCCCCAACATCAAAACCAAAATGATCACTTCATTCTCTGACATCCCGTCGCCCCTATATTCTGCACCTCTCCTCTGGCACAGATCACAGACTGACTTACACCAGTGGCTGCCATTGTGTAAAGACATAAAACAAAGCACAGAACAAACAGAGCATTGCCAATGAGGCAAGTCCCTGCTGGCTGGTCAGCTGCCTGAACACAGGTCAGCACCTTGTCCCTGTTTGGGATCCTCAGCAGCGTCTGCTATCATATTTTTCAAAGACCTACTTAAAAAGAGCTGACTCAATCTTCATCTGTGAAACTACTCCTGTATGAAAAGAAAGTGCAGTATTTGCTTCTTACCCAGAAGGTAATGTACGTGAGGGGAGAATTCAGAATTGAAGAAGTCAGGGCTTTTGGGAAAACACAGTTTGCAGACCAATGTCACCAGTAACCCTTATAAATATTTTTATATCTATTAAACTAAAGCAATAAAGATAGCATACTCAGTAAAGATAATGTCAATCATAATTTATATATCCTAAAATTGTATTACTTTCAGTGGCAGAAACTGCAATTACTTTTGCATCAATCTAATAATAATAATGAACACAGTTCAGTTTATTACAATTTACTATTGCTTAGAGTCCAGAATTTCTTCAGGATATCTTCCTTCAGCGGTTTTAACGTGACCCTTGTAAATCTGGCATTCTTTGTATATAAACACTGAGTATGTATTCTGTTTCCAACTGTACACTCTGCAGGTTATAGAATCCCCATTGTATAGGTGACGAAACAGAGGGTCAAAAGCAATAAAGGAACTTCCTCGTGGCTGTCAGCTAGTTAGCAACAGTGCAATGTTTCAAATCAGGTTCATGTGGCTCCCAAACACATCCCCTTTCAACTATCTGCTGCTGCCCAGGAGTTTTCTAGTGTGTCTGATTCTCCAAGCAAATGTCTATTGGATATTATAACTCTGAACACTCAAGTCACAAAAAGACGTGGTTCATAACCCACATAAATCAATGATTCTCAAATGTGCATGCACTTTTAGAACCATCTGTGATTGCAATGTAATTGGTCTGGGGGTAGGATCTGGGCATCCTGTAGTTTTAAGCTTCCAGGTGATTCCAATGTGTGTCTGGCATTGAAAACCACTGGCATAGACTCAGAAAATATACCCAGATGTGAATCCATATATGCCAGAATTTCTCTTATGGGAAGGAATTCCTGTAATAAAGTTGCCCTCAATCCCTTTTTTTTTCCCCTAACTTAAATCTTTGTAGTTGCAAGTTTTTAACCTTTTCTTCCAACATGTTTACATTTTCTGTCATCCCTCTCCAGCTTCTTCTTGCCTTTTTGGAAAACAAATACCAAAATTAGAAATACTCTGTAAGGGACTGATAAGTGCAGAGTGTCATAGCAGTGATTTAAAAGCTACAAAGCAGGACTGCATTAGTCAAGGTAAGCCGACTGCTGTAACCAATATCCCCCAGACTCTGGCTTAACAAAGTAGAAGTTTGTTTCTCACTCTCCCAATAGTTCAGCAGACAGCCTTCTATGGAGAGACTCAGGGACCCAGGCTTTTCACATCCTGTGGTTTTTCTGTCCCCTACAGCTCAAATTCCTCTGCTGGATCATTAATACCTGGCCGACAAATGGGAAAGAGAAGTACAACAGGGAATCCCACCTTACGAGAAAGGATTTTAGGGCCAGTCCTAGAAAGTAGCACATCCTCTCTGCCTACATAGTACTTGGCCAGAATTTGGTCCAGAAGTTGGCTACACCTAACTGCAAGGGAGGTCAAGAAATATAGTCTTGTTGTGTGCCCACAAGAAATATAAAAATGGGTTTTGGTGTGCATATAGCAGTCTATGCCACAAGGGCCTTTTAATCCTTCTAATATCAAGCTATACTTCTCCCATCAAAAGCCTCATGTTGCTGTTTAATTAAACTTAAATTCTATAGAGAAATCAGTATAATATTTACTGAAGGCCAACTATGTTGCAGGCATGAGTTGGGTAGGTTACATATATTATGGCACACTCTCTTGCCTTGCCTCCTGAAACCATGCAGAATCACTCTACCAGCGTACGTGATCACCTCTGTTATACGGCATCAGAATGTCTTACTCTTTGGTATTCTTTAACATCTGTTGGAAAAAAAAATGTCTTTTGATGTCAAGATCTTTTTGGTCAGTTGCTATTAATTTTCATTTTATCAAACACAGACTGCTATAAGATTAAGGTGGATTATCTCAGAGTGTTTCAAACTCTAATAAATCTGGGTGAGTATTTTGGCCTCATTGGACAAAAAGTTTCTTCATTTGTATTTCAAGTAAAATGGAGGGTTTTGTATTCTGTCTACCAGAAGAAAAGCTCTAGCCTGGGAACAATTCCTCACATGCTCAACCAAATTTCTCATCTCAAATCTGTTCCTACTCAATTCTTACATTTCCAGGCAGTGAATCCAACTTATAGATCACCCCAAGTCTGTTTTTGCACTTTCTTAAAAAGGGTGGAAGGGGTAGATGGAAGAGATAAAATGCGAGGCTTTGCTGTTAGACCTTCCATTTATTCAACACATTTTAGCCAAGTCTCACTTGGATCTGGGCACAGAACTAGATGTTGGGAAGGGGGCAGCAATGGAGAAGGCCTCAGAAATCACTGTTAAGAAGCTCCCAATATCTTGTAGGGGGTGGAATACATGACCCACCCTGATATCCCATTATATCCACTCAAGGTATGCTAAAAATTAAGAGTTATAGAGACACAGGGGAGGTAGATTTAAGTGTTACAGATATGTAGTGGAAACTAACTCAGCTGGAGAAGAAGGAAATGAAGTGGCATTGGAAGTGGTATTTGAGGTGAAACTTAAGGGGTAGTGGCAGCTTTTAAAACAGAGAAGGAGTGGAAAGGCTTTCCAGGCAAAGGGAGTGACACGATCAAAGGCACTTCTAGAAGCACATGACCTGGAATGGCCAGTAATTGGGTGACACTCAGATGTGGCACTCAGGGAGGACAGCAGGGAGAGATTTTGCTATTGGAAGAAGTAAGAAATCATTAAAGTTTGCTGCTGGTGTTGTTACTTTTTTGTTTATATCATTGTTGATGTTTTCTTTTAAAGAGTTAAGTAGAAAGAAAGCATCTGGGGCTAGGAACCCATCAGTAAACTGCCACAACAGTCCTGAAAAGGAAATGATCAACAACGCCATGAGACCTGTGTGGCCAGAGAGGAGCAACAAGATGTAAGAGACCTTTCAGAGATAGGACTGAAAAGACTTGGTGTCTCAGAAGGATGAGAAAACAGGAGCAGTAAGCAACCCAGGATTCCCATGTCCCAGGACGGGGCACTGGCAATGTGGTGGCAACATTAACCAACAGAGCATTGAGAGGGGACTTCTGGGTAGGGTGACCAATGAAATCAATCAAGACAGGACTGAAGCTTGTATTAGTTCATTCTCACATTGCTGTAAAGAACTGCCCAAGACTGGATAATTTATAAAGAAAAGAGGTTTAATTGATTCACAGTTCCTCATGGCTGGGGAGGCCTCAGGAAACTTACAATCATGGCAGAAGGGAAAGCAGGCACGTTTTACGTGGCAGCAGGCAAGAGATTGTGGGAAAAAAGTGAAGGGGAAAGAGCCCCTTATAAAACCATCGAATCTCATGAGAACTCACTATCATGAGAACAGCATGGGGGAAACCATACCCATGTTCCAATCACCTCCCAGCAGGTTCCTCCCTCAACACCCAGGGATTACAATTCAAGATGAGATTTGGATGGAGACACTAAACCAAACTATATCAAAGCTGTAACAGAAGAGAGTTACGAAACAGCTCTCCTGAATTTCTCAGTGGGAGATTGTGGACTCCTCATGCCCTATTGCAACAGATACCAGAATGCTGATTGTGTCTTTTGATGGTGATTGTAATGACGTAGGAAGGAAGTAACATTTGGTTTAAGAATAAGAGTTTAAGAATGGGCTGTAGGTCTGAGCTGCTATTAGCTGTAAAACCGTAAGAAACTTGTCACTTAATTTCTGTGTTACAGAATATTCATCTGTAAATTAAAGCTGTTATAATAGGTAACCTCCAAAGCATGGTTCTAGGATCCTGCTCTGAGGACTGGTGCTAATTCATAATGAAAGGTCCACAAATAAAAGAGGAAAAAACTGCTATAGGATCATACAGATAAGCATTTAGGTGGATAGACAATAACTAGAAAGCTAGACGAAAGTTAGGTGAAGAAAGATCTGTGAGTTTGAAATTAAAATTTTTGTTTTCTGGAAAAGACTTTCCTATATTTCCTATATTCCAATATAAATCCTTACTTCATATTTGGTGTTAAAATGTTTTTTCTTTTGTAAAATAGTACCAAGAGTAGATAGTAATTGCTTTAAACTTTCATAAAACCCTCAAATTTTCTAGACATCTATTATGCTTACTTTTTTTTCATTAAAAAAACTTCTTAATCTACACAATTCAATAGTGTGAGAGCCACCTTCCTCAAATTTCTCCCAGCTATAGGGCCACAGGCCACTGTGACACAGGGTCGTTTTCTTTTGACAGCCCCTGACCCTGGACCACATGCTCACCCTGGCCGTGTGAGGAGATCCTTGTCTAGAGAGCACCATGTGCCTGCCCACTGATGAGGGTAAGGCGATCCCACCCCAACCCAGAAATTAGGGGATTTGCTTCTGAGGACCTTCAAAGAAACTCTACATTTCTTTTTCTGCCTTTCTCCTTTATTCTTTTTATTCTCTCATACACATCAAAAACCAAATAAAAGAAAAAGAAAGGCAAGAAAACAGTGGGAGGAGAGAAAATTTGTTCTCCAGATGATATTTCTGTTCATTCTAGGATGCTTTAAACCCACAACTTCCCCAAAGCCCTCCCCTGGCCTCCCACTGGAGCTGAACTGAGGTCTTCTGTTACATAGCCATGGAATTGCTGGGCATGACAAATTCTTTCTTCCAAAGAGACGTTTGCTGGAGGAAGACATAGAGGTCGGTTATGCTAAAGTTTCATTCAATATATGATCAGATAACACAGGTTAAGTTGATGTATGACAGGATCTCAGACTATGGGACAATTATACAGTACCTCCACTAAAACCTCTGAAGAAACACCTATTTCCCCCACAGGGAAATTAAAGACAGCATCACAAGGTTACACATTGGCCTAATCCTGTTGTGTGCCTACTGGTCATAACGGACACAATAGTTAATGATAGCTATTATTTTTCAGACATTTACTATGGATTAAACACCATACGACAGCCTTTAAAATGGGATTTATTGCTCTCTCAATTTACAGATGAGAAAACTGGGATTCAGGGAAGCTAGTGCTTTGCCCAGAATTATACAACTGGTCAATAAAGGGGGTGGAATTTGAATTCAGATTTGTCCAATGACAAGCTCTAATTGCTGGGCAATTTTCAGTAAGTCCTCCACCATCCCAAGGCCTAGACAATGGCCTTGAAGAAATGGTCCTATTCACTAGCTGATGGAGGATCTAGACTTGCAAACAATTAATTACACTACAGTACAGATTAAGAAGAGGGATATAATGCAGGGAGCTAGATGAGCTATCCATCACCTCAGAGAAGCCTTCTGTCAAGATTGATATTTGAGGATCAGTTGGCATGTGCTCAGGAGCAACTCAATGTGCCTTAGAATATTATTTATTCTTAGATTATTATTTCACAATGAGGATGGTCAAAGTCATGTTCAAAGGCAGAATTCAGGTTTTACCTTTATAATGTGAGACTATTAGTGTCCAGTAGAAAATTAAGTCTTTTTTTTCCAGGTCAGCTTGCTTCTGAGGTAGCACACACAGCTCTCAATGTTGGCCAATGAATGGCAACTAGGCACCACCATCAACCACAATAATAAAGTCAGAGACCCACCCTGCACCTTCAAAGATGACAAAGAAAGATCAAGGGTACAGTCTTCCTTGGAAGAGGCTAAGGGGACAGAAAAGGGTGGGGTGAGAAGAGCTGGGGGCAAAAGAGGTGCTTGGTAGAGAGCCCATGGTTTCTGAGTAGGGCAAGCAGCAAGATGGAGGAACATGCATGTAGACATTCAGAGAAAGTTCAGATGGAGGTGAATGAGACTGAAGGTAGATCTTTTTGTCAGAGATTTGAGTGTGTTTAAATGCTGATGGGGTAGAGAGAAAGATATTGAAGATACAGGTAAGAGAAGAGACACCTGGTAGAGAAACGTTCTTAGATTTGTGGATAGGGATGGGGTTGGGAGGCACAAGTGGAGGGATAGGCCACAGCAGAAAGAGAGACAGAGGACACTGTGGGCCCAAATGCAGATGGGTTTTTAATTTGCTGTTGGGACACAGAGGAGTGATTGGCCAGTGTCTTGTCTTTTCTCTGTGAAGTAGTTGAGGGCACCTGCTGAGGGGAAAGTTTAAAATCATCACCCAGGACAGGAGAGAGCACCATGACAGGAGTCACACCGGGGCAGATGGGGCAGTGCTGAGGCCCCATCCACCTGCAGGGAGACCACCTGGCCCACAGCTTTGAAGCTGATATCCTCTGGCCGCCTCTGCCCTGGTGGCCAGGAGCACAGGAAAGAGAGGGTTGGGGTTTTACCAGGCAGATGGCTGAGACAATCAACCTAAAGGATTCGGAATTAGGGACGGAAGTGAAGTCAAAGGGCATCCCATGTAGCAAGGATATAGTCCTATAACCTCTGAGGATTTTGCAAACTTCTGAAATTCTGTTAGAACATTGTGTTCAGTCGTAGGGACCCAGTGCCTTCAGGTGGCTTTGGGGACACTAACTGACCCTAAACCAGTGTCTTTTCCACTCTTCCCCTGTGCTCTGGCTGGCTTATCCTGGTTGGGTTCTCAGTATTATCAATTATCTCCTCCCCCAAGGAATAGCCAACGAGATAAGGTTACCATGGCCTTTATTTGGGGTCTTGGAGTGAGAAATACAGGTCTTTGTGATCTAGAAAAAACTGAGTTTGAGTGAAATTCCTGCAATTCTGCAGAGAGACACAGCTCTGAAGACTATGAAATATGTAGACATTGCTAGTGTTGTTATTCTTTGTTTTCATAGAAAGAACACAGGTTCGTCTTTCCATTTTTTTATTTATAAAGCAATAGATGAATCATGTGCATTTAATAAAATTAAGTAAGTATACAAAGTAAAAAAAGTGAAGCTACCCCTTTACCCATACCCCTCACACAATTCCACTTTCTTGCCAGCACATAACTACAAAAAAAAACTTGGTGTATAGTCAACTTCTTGTATGTATTTATAATTCTATGTATTCATTATATACATTTAATTACATATTTTTATGTATTTGTAATATATTTAATTATATAATATATTACATATTATATATTATGTAATACATAATTATATAGTTACTTATATATGTAATTATATATTTCGAATCATACATTTTATATGTAAATTGAATATATATTATCTATTATATATAACTGTATGCATAATGTATAACTTTATATAAGTAATTATAAACATATATAATTTAATTGTATTTATGTAATTATAATATATATGAATGTCCAGAATACAATTCTATATTCATCTTTTTCATAAATTGTAACAGAAAATATATATTTTTCTATAATCACTTTTTCCATTAACAAGGGAGAATTTTCCATGTCAGGGAATATAAATTTCTTTTTAGAATTTTAATTATAAATTATTTAAAAGACAGGGAAAATAGAGAATGGAAAATAATCTATGTTCCCACAACCTATATAAGTATAAACAAATAAATAATATATAAAATAAATAAATATGAATAATTTATATTGATATTTCATCAAATTTTTTAAAGAAGTGAAACTTTAGATAAAGTTGAATTACCTTTTTCAGCCCACCCAATTCTATTCCTTTCTCTAGTTTCCCAGAAGAAGACATAATCTTGAGAACTGTTGAGTACATTTTTTTGTTTCTGTTTTTGTTTTAACCACATATGTATGTTTCCATAAACTAATTATGGTATTGTTCTGAGAGTTTTAAAAACACAGAAATGGTTTCATATTGTATGTGTCTTTCTGTGACTTACTTTTCTTGCTCAGAGTTAATTTTCTAGATGGTCCTTGGTCACAGCACTCTAGTTTTCTTTTCCTGGGTCTACAATGCAAGTAACATACGTTGTGTCCATGTGCATACGGTTTCTACAATTTGCACATTCCAGTTCTGGAAATCCTGAGGAACAACAATGTCATATATACTTTTTCTTCCCTTGCAAACAGACGTCATGGTGAATCCAAATTCCAATAATCCTAAAGAAGGCAATATGTCAGCCAAGTGGGTAAATCCAAGCCCATAAGCCTCAACCTAAAAGAAGTTAGTGGACCTAGGGAAACTCAGATTGTCTTAACCCATTCATTCGGGCAAAAGGTGTGGTCAGTCAGAAAACCCTAAAACTTGTATTATGTTTTTTCATGGTATTTTTATGCAGTTTTTCATATGTCACACATTTATATCACTTTAATGGTAAAAATTATGAGAAACACATAAGCTTGATATTAAGGGTTATTTGCGTGTGCTTTAATTTGTATTCCAAACACCAGGAAGAAGACTACTTCACTAGATATAAGGAAAGCCATATTGTTGGTTTATGAAATGATAGTATTAGATGGCCCGTCTTGCAGAATGCTGGAGTAGGATGATGATTAGAGCCACAAAAGAGAAACTGTGCTTCTTTTCTACTGTCTGACCACTTTCCTAACAAATAGTTAATAGTCGTGATAATTACTGGTTTCTTCAAGTAAGACTCTGCATCTCAAAATATATGAAAATCACCAGCAAACCCCGCTATTGTTCGTGATGTTTTGCCACTACATTTTAAAAGTTCCAGATTTTTAATGAAGGTCAGATTCCTTCATAATAGGAAAACATCTGTCATAAACACTGCAAATATTTACAGGGCTAAGCTGGCAGTATACAGCCTCCTCTCTCCCTTTCTTAATTGAAACTGAATGTACAAGGGCAAACACAACATGAAAAGAGCAAATGAAGCAGGTCACAGAATGCCTACATGAAGAGCACATCACCAACTCAGAAATTCTTCAGGTTGGGCAAAGAAAACACGTGTGGGAAGTTCCTAGCAATCTGAGGTTCATTGGCAGACTCTTTGGTATATGTTATTCAATAACTGTCTCTTTTCCTTTGTTCTTTTGATTGCAGATATTTTTTGTTTCCCCATGAAGGATTCCTAGGCCTCAGTGTTATTTTTCTCTGATAAACTTCTCCACATCTTTATTCCATCTAATTTAGTTCAACATACCATATTAACTGTACCTCATATTGAAATAACATTTATATCTGACCAGAAATATTAAGATCGGTGATGCCAAAACACAGAGGGACTGAAAAGATTCAATCAACTTTTTGGTAAAAGACATTAGAGAACTTCAGAGGATGTTTATAGTGGTAGAGGCTTAATTAAAAGAAACACTGTCTTCCAATCTCTCTTCCTTAGTCCCACTATCAAAATTAAAAGGGAAATAAAAATATTTAGAAAATATTTTAAACTAAATGAAATGAAAATATAACATATGGAAAAATTTGTAGAATGAAGCTAAAGCAGTACATAGAGGGACATGTATAGGACCAAAATGCCGTTATTAGAAAAGAAGAAAGTCTCAAATCAATGACCTGACTTTTCACCTTGAGAAAATCAATAAAATCAAGAGTTGGTTCTGTGGTTCTTTAAGAAGATTATTAAAACTGACAAACCTCTAGCCACAAACCTCTAGCCACCCCGATCAGTACGAAAATGAGAAAAGATACAAATTACCAATATTATGAATGAGGGAGGCAACATCATTACAAATTACACATATATTAAAATGATAGTAATGAAATATTATCAATAACTTTAGGAGGATAAATTCTAGAACTTACATAAAATGGAAACATTTCTTGAATCTCACAAATTACCAAAGTTCGTTTAAGATAAATAGATAACCTGAAGGCCCTATAGTATATGTATTAAGGAATTTGTATATGTATTAAGAAATTTGTAACTTAAAACCTTAAAACAAATAAAATTCCAGGCCCAGATGGCTTCATTAGCAAATTCTACCAAGCATTTAAGAAATAAATAATATGAATTCAACACAAATTCTTCTAGAAAATTGAAGAGGAGGGAATACTTTACAACTCAGTCTATGAGGGAAGCAGTACACTAATACCAAAACCAAACAAAAACCTTATAAGAAAAAAATATAAATTAATGTCCTTCATAAATACAGATGCAAATATTATTAGCAAACTTTAGCAAACTGAACCCAACAAGGATATTGTATCATGGCAAGAATGCTAAAACGGTTTAACATTAGAAAGTCAATCAACATAAAACACTCCACTAACAGACTAAAAAAGAAAAACCATACAATCATCTCAATGGTTTTGACAAAACTCAACATCAAATTCTGATAAAAATTCACAAAAACTAGGAATATAAAAGAATAGCCTTAGCCTGACAAAAGACATCTACAAAAAAACCTATAGCTAACATCATTCCTAGTGGAGAAAAATTTAATTATTTCTCCCTACAACTACGAACAAGGCAAAGACGTTCACTCTCGCTACTTCTATTCAACATCATATTGGAGATTTTAGTCAGTACAACAAGGCGAAAAAACTTTTCAATGACATCCAGATTAGAAAGGAAAAAGTAAAACCGTCTTCATGCATGGACAACATGAACATTTATATAGAAAACATTATGGAATCTACTAAAATTAATAAATGAGTTTACCAAGATTACAGAATAAAGTCAATATGTAAAAGTCAATTGTGTTGCTAAATACCAACAATGAGAAATCAGAAATTATAATCTAAATAAATGCAATTTATAATAACATCACAATATTAAATACTTAGGGATAAATTTTACAAAAGATGTGAAAGACCTATAGGTTGAAATAAATTGCTGAGAGAAATTAAAGAAGACTCAAATAAGTGGACAGGTACACCTTGTTCAGGGGTCAGAAGACACACTACTTTTAAAATGTCTGTTCTCCCCAAATTGATCTAGAGAGTCAATGTAATCTTAATCAACAACCTAGCAGGCTGTTCTTTTGGTAGAAATTGGCAAGCTGAGTCTAAAATTAATAAGGAAATGCAAAGGACCTCAAACAACCCAAATTATTTTGAAAAAGAATAAAGTTGGAGTAATCACACTGCCTCACTTCATAGAAAGCTATATGCTTTATGTGACAATTCTTCAGGTTGAGCAAAGGAAACACAATGTGGGAAGGTCCTAGTTATAAAGCTATGTGAAGTGAGGCAGTGTGATTAATATAAAGCTTACTATAAAGCTGTAGTAATCAAGAAAATGTGGTATTGGTGTCAACAGAGACAAATATAACATGAAATAAAAGAGTCCAGAAATAGACCTACATACACATATGATTAACTGATTTTTGACATAGGTACAAAGGCAATTCAGTGGAGAATGGATAAGCTTTTAAATAAACTATGCTAAGTCAATTGGATAACCACATGCAAAAATGAAACAAAACAAATAAACCTTGAATCAAGTTTTACGCCATACACAAAAGTTAGCTCAAAATAGAACATACACCTAAGGGTAAGACATAAAACTTCTAGAAAGAAATGTAGGAGAAGTCTTTGCAACTTCTAGTTAGGCAAAGATTACTTAGCTACAACACTAAAAGCACAAAACATAAAATAAAAAATATATAATGAACTTCATCAAAATTTACAACTTCTGCTCCTTGAAAGATATTATTAAGAGAATAAAAAGACAAGCCACAGACTAGGAGGAAATATTTGCAAATTATATATCTGATAAAGGAATTATATCCATAAAGTATAAAAACACTGCAAACTTAATAATAAGAAAACAAAGAACTCAAAATAAGCAAAAGATTTAAGCCTATACTTCACCAAAGAAGACATAGAAATGATAAGTAAGCACATAAAAAGATTGCCAGCACCACTAGTCACTACGGAAATGAAAATTAAAACCACAATGAAATGACACTATACATCTATTAAAATGTCTAAACTTAAAAAGACTGCCACATCAAATGTGGGCAAGGACGAGTAACAACTGGATCTCAAATGTGCTGCAGCTGGGAATGTAAAATGCTACAACCACTTTAGAAAACAGTTTGGCAGTTTCTTAAAAAGTTAAACATATACCTAAAAAAATTTCTAGCTACTACATTCCTAGGTACTTACCATGAGAAAAGAAAAGATACGAATTTATACTCAAATGTTCACAGAAGATTTGTTTTTCATACTAAAGAAACAAAACCGGAAACAATCTCAATGGCCATCAACAATGATAAGTTGTGCTATATCTATATAATGGAATATTACTTTGCAATGAAAAGAAATGAGCAACGTTACGTACAAAAGAGGATACATCTCAAGTATAATGTTGAGTGAAAGAAATCAGACAAAAAGGTAAATATTATATCGTTTCATTTATATAAAATTCTAGAAAATGCAAACCAATCTATAGTGACAGAAGGCACTTTGGTGGTTGTATGGAGATGTGGGGTGAAGGGAATTACAAAGAGGCATGAGAAAACTTTTGGGGTGATGGATACATTTAGTATGTTAACTGTGGTGATGGTCTTACAGGTATATATGTATGTCAAACCTTATCAAATTATACACTTTAAAGATGTGTCATTTTTTGGTAAGTCAATCATAACTCAATAAAGCTGTCAAAATTCATTGACTTAAAAAACTTAATCCAAATATTATCAGATTTGAATAAATATCCTTAAATTAGGAAAACCGTTTAAAAGTGTGCCTTGAACGACAAGTACCTTGGTGAGTTGGTCAACGGAGACTGAGTTTATTATGACCTCCCGGATTTGTGCTCTTTCTTGTTTTTTGTTTGCCTTTAGCAACAGCCAGTACAGTATCTCTCTTCCCCCACTGGTTGCATCTTTGGGTAGAGAGGGGGTTAGAGGATCTCCTGTGATCCTACAGATTCTTCATACTCCAGAAACAATTTTGGTCCTAGGTTCCCTTACCCACCCTTCCTATTACCACTTTTCAAGTGAACAATGATTATTATTAAAAGCTCCCTCTTGTTAAGCATCTACTATGTGCCAGGCAATTGACATATATTAACACAAATGCTCAGAATAATTCTGTGAGCTATATTTTTCCATTTTTCAGATCCATTAACTTGCCTCAAACTACCATTGCTAGCAAACAACAGGGATTCAATCAGGACCTAGTCTTGTCCATCAAAACACAATTTGCTGGATAAATGTCACTGTGGTGGCAGATGCATCAGTGCTCTGGTGACAACACATGTGCCATCTCTGATCAAGAAAAGAGACAAACAAGGGAGGGGCTGGGAGCCTGGATTTGTTCCCCTCAGTGTGTTTCCCCCTTGAGGCTTCAGAACTGGCCTTTAAAAAACATTTAGCCAAGTCCTCAATGTGTTTTACCAAACACTTTTCCCCTTGATTTTTAAACCCACGTGTTATTTCATGAATAATAGAAACCATATGTCTCTGACATATTTACACTTAAATCATCAACATGTTGTTTTGTCAGAACTTTTTGATGTCTTCTGAGATTTTTTTTTTAAATGGAACCCTCCTAGAAGCAGCAAGTCCCCATCACAAATAAACAAATTAAAACAAGAAAAAGCCTGAGTCAGGATGCATTTTCAGGCTGGCCGTGTGGGATGGATTTGAGACTTGGCAAATTGTATCATTCTCCCCTGGCTCCAGGAGGGGCTGGGAATAGAATCTGGTGTCCGATGGTCATTTTGGAATCGCTTAATTCTGTTTCCAGCTTCAGATGAAACCATGAAAACTTGAGTTCCATAAGTACCAATCTGGTGACACAGTAAAACTTGTTTTTGGAATCTTGGCAAGCCAAACGCAAAAGAGAGAAGTTAAATCAATGTGATGTGGTGAAGCTTAAGTCTTAAGGTAAAAGACCTTGAGAAGACGACCCTTTTGTTGTTCAGAGGAGCTATCTGTGTTATCTCTACCAGGAGTAGATAATAAGGAGAGAGAACAAGCACTCCAACAAGCTAGAGCCTCCTATCTTGTTGGGGATATTACGCGGACCTTACCCATAATTCACACAGCCTGTACCCCTAGAATTCTTCTGAAGACAAAGGTAGTTTCTCAGTCTTCACCCTTTCTGAAAGTTCTTTTCACAGCATTAAGTACATTGGAGAGAAGTCAAGTGAATTTCAGAGTATTTCTCTCAGTATCACCAGGATGGCGCTGGTGATGAATGGACAGAAGTCGTCACTATGGTCAGATGTCTGGTTCCAGATCCCAGCCCTGACACTTACCAGCTGTGTGACTTGGGAAAGGTCTTTAACCTCTCCGAAGCTTAATTTCTTCATCAGAAGAAGGGGCATAAAAATGACACTACTCCATTGAATTAGTGTGTGAAAAAGTGATTACTGTAATGTGACGCCTAACAAACAAGAGGTTCATAATAAATTGAAGTTGTTATTCTGACACCTGAAAGAATGAGAAGAAAAATCTTTAAGTGATGATTCAAAAAAAACAGTATTTTCTATTTCAGGGTATTGCTAATATAAACCATTTATAAAACTATACAATTATTCAATTTGAGAGATGGGATCACCAAACAGTGAGATAGCAGTTTCTTCCCATGTGCTACTTGATTTCCGCTCTACTAAGCATCTATTTATCACATAAGGCACTGTTTTTTTCTCCAAAGTGTATGAAGACATCTATATTACGTATTTTGAAAATCTATGTATTCTTAACAATTTTAGAGTTGGAATATGGTCCAATGCCCCATTTGATAATTGAGGAGGAAAGTGGAGCCAGCAATGTTGACAAATTTTTCAAAGGTCGCATTGATCTTTAGTAGCATTTTGGGATGAGACCCAGGTTTCTGAGCTTGTAAGCCAGTATTCTTGTGACAACATTCTCTTTGCTAATCTGTGGTACCTGTTTTTTCTGCTCTTGTTTCTTTTAACCTCATTACTGTACTTAAAACATAATCCAGAATCAATTTGCTGTGTTTCTAAAAAATACCCTTGTCAATTCTACAGATGTACCTGGCTCTGTCAGTGCAGGATCCTGGCCAGAGCATGATGGAAGGTTTTGTCCCAGAGGAGTACTCAAACTTGCGGTGCCGGTGGAATGTTAGGGAACACTGCAGTCAGCCGACACATGGGGAGGTCTGCTTGTGATTACTAGAAAACTCTGGGGAACTGAAGGGTTTGGGAAACATTTTTGTAGGGTTTTGCCAAAGGAAAAAAAACAAAGCGAATCTGGTATATGTTAATTGACAGATTATTCCAGAAGAGTGTCCAAAAATATAAAATAGAAATTGCCAAATTCAAGAATGTCTAAAGTATGGAACTTTGCTGGGATGCTTTTGTGCATTGAGCTAAGTGACAACATCTTCACTCAAGCCAGACTCAGGAGCATTTGGCGTCAACAGTCTCCACTTTCCACCCCATTCCCACTGCATCCTGCTCTGCCTTCTTAATGTAGGTCTCCTGAACGAGGTCAGGGGCCCAGATTATCTTGATTACTTTTGGCTTTAAGTTTACTCGAAGTTATCCCATTTTGCACTTCACCAGAATGATGTGGTCCAAGGCTCCAAGAGGCCCCTACCTCTGTGCAGTGGGAGAACTTGGGGCAAAATAAGAAAGGCAGACATAGCTTGGAGCCTAGAGGCACAGATGTTTCCAAGAGGAAATGGTCATCAACATGTTCTGCAAAGGGGAAACATGCCCTTTCTTTGAGTGAAGGGAAAAAGATGAAAGCATCATCCTTGGAGAAATATTGCTGCTTGGAGTAAGGGGAGGGCTATCCAGGGGGAGTTGAAGTCACGGCAGCTGGAACGTCCCCCCAGCCCGCCTCAACCAAGGCACATCTTGGCCATCCCACAGCTTTCTGGACAGCTTACCTTGGGATGCAGCCCAGATGTTCCCAGCTGTGGAGCCAGGCATAGGGTGGGAAAATGCAGGGGTCCATGAGGATGTCAACCACCTACTCTCAATGTCAGCTGACCCCTTCCCACGAGAAACTCAAGACAATAACAATAAAATGGATAAATGACTTTAAGTCTGTTCTTGTTTTTTCTCTGCCTCTTGGCTGATAGTTGCAGGTACCTCGATTTTAGAACCTGTGGCTATTTAACCTTGATTTTACAACTTAGGTATAGCAGATGGCTATGTACCCACCCATAACACACTGGCACTCAAGGTCAATGGCTTGATTTCTTGCCATAGCCATCTGGGACCCTGTGGAGAGTCTGCTCTGGCCATTGTTCTGCTCATGTGTCATGGAGTTCACTGACCCAGGGGCAGCCCACCTCCAATGGCATATGGACAAATAACCCAGATGGGACAACTTGAGCTGTGTCCTACAGAGTACCTGCAAAACAGAGCCCGAGTTGCCATCAGTGGTAAACAGGTCATTAGCATGCACTAAACAGTCCCCCCACAACTTCCACTTCTCCTTCTCCACCCTTCTACCAGTGCTTCCTAGGATCACTGTTTAAACAAACAACTTGCTCTGAATCCTTGCTTGAGTGTCAGCTTCTGGGGGACCTAACATAAAATATTAAGTTTCTGTTACTCAATAAATGCTCATCAAATGCTCATGCACCAAGCATCATGCTGAATGCTAGGAATATAGAGAAGGAAAGAGTAACACTAGAACGAGTAAGGTGCAGTTGCTCAGTCCCTGTCCTCAGGGTACTCGCATGTTTTTTAAAGGTGATAAAGGCAGATACACAACATATATCAAATGACAGAAAGTGAAAATTTCCATAAAAGAAGAATAGATGGGGACCTAGTTCCATTCTACTACATGTGGCTTACCAGTTTTCCCAGCACCATTTACGGAATAGAGTGTCCTTTCCCCAATTTCTGTTTTTGTATGCTTTGTCGAAAATCAGTTGGCTGTAAGTATTTGCCTGTATTTCTGGGTCCTCTATCTTGTTCCATTGGCCTAAGTGCCTATTATTACAGCGGTATCATATTGTTTTGGTAGCTGTAGTCTTGTGGGTGTAATTTGAAGTCAGGTAATATGATGTCTCCAGATTTGTTCTTTTTGCTTAGTATTGTTTTGGCTAGGTAGGCTCTTTTTTGGTTCCCTATTAATTTTAGGATTGTTTTTTCTAGTTCTGTGAAAAATCATGATGGAATTTTGATGGGAATTGCATTGAATCTGTAGATTGCTTTGGCTAGTATGGTCATTTTCATATTATTGATTCTTCCCATTCATGAGCATGGGATGTGTATCCATTTGTTTGTGTCATCTGTGATTTCTTTCAGCAGTGTTTTGTAGTTTTCCTTGTAGAGATCTTTCACCTCCTTGGGTAAGTACATTCCTAAGTATTTTATTTTTTTGCAGCTGTTGTAAAAGGGATTCAGTTTTTGGTTTAATTCTCAGATTGATCTTTGTTGAGGTATAGCAGTGCTACTGATTTGTATACATTGATTTTGTAACCTGAGACTTTACTGAATTCATTCATCACATCTAGGAGCCTTTAGGATGAGTTTTTACAGTTTTCTAGGTATACAACCACATCATGAGTGAACAGCAACAGTTTTCCTCTTTTCCAATTTGGATGGCCTTTATCTATTTTGCTTGCCTGATTGCCCTGGCTAGGCCTTTCAGTACTATGTTGAATAGGAGTGGTGAAAGTGGGCATCCTTATCTTGTTCCACTTCTCAAGGGGAATGTTTTCAACTTTTTCCCATTCAGTATAATGTTGGCTGTGTGTTTGTCATACATGGCTTTTATCACTTTGAGGTAAGTCCCTTCTATGTCTGTTTTGTTGAGGGTTTTTATCATAAAGCAATGTTGGATTTCATCAAATTCATTTTCTGCATTTCTATTGAGATGATCATATGGCTTTTATTTTTAATTTTCTTTATGTGACGCAACACTTTTATTAACTTCCATATGTTAAACCATCCCTGCATCCCTGGGATGAAACCCACTTAATCATGATATATTATCTTCTTGATGTGCTGTTGGCTTCAGTTAGATAGTATTTTGTTGAGGATTTTTGAATCTGTTTTCATCAAGGGTATTGGTCTATAGTTTATTGTTGTTGTTGTTATATCCTTTCCTGTTTTGTTGTTAGGGTGATACTGGCTTCATAGAACAATTTAGGCAGGAATTCCTCTTCCCCTATCTTTTGGAACTAAGTCCCCCCCCCCCCACAATCTTATACAAAAATAAACTCAAGATGGATCAAAGACTTAAATCTAAGACCTGAAACCATAAAAATTCTAGAAGATAACATTGGGAAAACTCTTCCGCACATTGCCTTAGGCAAAGTATTCATGAATAAGACCCCAAAAGCAAATGCAAATAATAATAATAATAATAAATTGGATCTAATTACACTAAAAAGCTCCTGCACCACAAAAGAAATAATCAGCAAAGTAAACAGAAAATCCACAGAGTGGGTGAAAATATTTGTAAACTATGCATCCGGCAAAGGACTGGTATCCAGAATCTACAAGGAACTCAAACAAATCTGCAAGGAAAAAAGGAAATAATCCCATCAAAAATAGGCAAAGGACATGAATAGACATTTCTAAAAAGAACATATACAAACAGCCAACAAACATATGAAAATAATGCTCAACATCACTAATCATCAGGGAAATGCAAATCAAAACCACAATGTAATACCACCTTACTCCTGCAAGAATGGCCATAATCAAAAAATCAAAAAACAGTAGATGTTGGCATGGATGCAGTGATCAGGGAACACTTCTACACTGCTGGTGGGAATGTAAACTAGTATAAACATTATGGAAAACAGTGTGAAGATTCCTTAAAGAACTAAAAATAGAACTGTCATTTGATCCAGAAATCTCACTACTAGGTATCTACCCAAAGGAAAATAAGTCATTATATGAAAAAGACATGTGCACATATATTTATAGGAGCACAGTTTGCGATTGCAAGGATATGGAACCAACCAAAGTGCCCATTGACAGAGTGGTTATAATGGAATACTACTCAGCCATAAAAAAGGAACAAAATAACGTATTTTGTGAAACTTGGATGGAGCTGGAGACCATTATTCTATGTGAAGTCACTCAGAAATAGAAAACTGTATGTTCTCAAATATAGGTGGGGAATCTAAGCTATGGGGATGCAAAAACATAGAGTGATATAATGGACTTTGGGGACTCACAGATGGGAGGTTGGAAGGGGAGTGAGGGATAAAAGATGGCATATGCCTGCCATGTACACTGCTCGGGTGACTGGTGCACTAAAATATCAGAATTCCCCACTAAAGAACTCATCCATGTAACAAAAATCACCTGTACTCCAAAAACTATTGGAATAAAAATAAGAAGAAGAAGAATAGAAAAAATAGTCTGGAAATTCAGGAGAGGAAACAACGAAGTAACTGGGAAAGTGTTGGGAAGCTGGGAAAGGTAGTGATGAGGCAGGTTACAGTTCACCCCAAAGGAGAGGTGTTACTTAGACAAGTAGATGCAGGTGAAGAATGCCTCTCCGAGGAGACACCCAAGGGCACAGCCCTGGCCCCAGCTGGCAGACCCTGGTGAGGTCTGAGTCCCCATCCTGGCCAGGTAGCTATGCGGGTTCAAGGGAGCTCAGCTCAATAAAGAAAACAAACTTTGCTGTACAATTTAGCCTCCCTTGAGAGTCTCCTGAATGTAAGTTATATTAAGGCAACTGACAGTTCTCAGAAGGGGAGAAAGCAAGAGAGTATGTAAACCATGTCTTTCATTTTCTGCATTCTGATGTTTTGACCTCTGAGGTCTTGCTGGCCCTGGAGGGACTGTTCCTCCCAGGCTTGGTCAATTCCTAGAGACAGTGAAAACCTCATCTGTTAGCTGCTTTTTAAATACAAGCCCATGTCCCAACCAACTTCTCTATCCGGCTACCATACTCCAAGTTGCTATTCACCTGGCCTCTGCACCCTACGAGGGGCGAGTCCCTTCCTAACTCATTGTACTTGCAAACTAATGGGTCTGCTCCATATTTCCCTTTATGTATGAAGGTAGAAATGAGGTCCCCATTTGTGGAGAGAGAAGGACAAAGAGAGGGAAGAGGGGAAGACATAAAATGTCATGAAGAGATATTTATTAAACACTTAATCTATGCAAGACGCTGGAAAGTCGTACACAGACAGTGAAGAGAGTTTTGAAGGCAATAATAACAGATACAAAGTGCTTATGCAACAGGCACTGACCTCGAGACCGAACACATATTAATTCACTTTCAACCCCACAACACCCTGATGAGGCAGGTACTAGTTTTGCAACTGCCCTTTTATGGATGCAGTAACGGAGGGACAGGAATTTCAGTAACTTGCTTGAGGTCACAAAGCTAGCAAACAGCAAAGCTGTCTTTGAATCTTTGTAGCCTGTGTTGCAGAATCTATGTGCATTAACACGATGCTCTGGGTAGAAAGTGACCAACTTCAGGGCATGTGACTGCTCAGTAGTAGCTCCATCAAAGGGTCAGCTGAGAAATAAAAGAAGACAAAAAAATCTTTTTAGCTACTTGGCAAGAAAATTACATAAAAGGAAAGCTTCAGATTAGTGTTGAGCTCTCCTCTTTCTGGGGTAAGCCTACTCCTTATTATCTTTTATTGGTATCCTCATTACCATATCAAATTAAGAGTTGACATTGGGTCACCCTTCTGCCACTTTGCCCCAAGCCCTGCTCTCATTCAGCCAGGTTAAACCGTCTCCCTTAATTACCAGTTGGAGCTCAGTCTTGCACAAGGAGAGCTGGGATGATAAATTAAAACAAGGAACCTTTGTTTGGTGCACGCAGTTGGGCATCACAGTCACCTTAATTATGCAATGATGTCACCCGCGGCCGAAGGGAAGTTCTAAGGGCTTAATCACTGGGAGGCCTGGGAGGCCGTGAGTAATGAGCAATGAGCATTGTTGCATGGGTGCAATGCACCTCCTTTCGTGGGCAGAGCCAAAAGGGGGGCAGGGAGTCAGTGGGAGGAGCCCTTTCTCCCATGAGGAAGGCAGGATAGTGCAGTAGACCAGAGCATGGGCAAAATGGGTTTGGGTTTGAATCCTGGCTCCAGCATGACATAGCTGTGTGTCCTTGGAGAAGTCCCTTCAGTTTGCTTCAGATAATGGGGTAATGATAGCTAATTTGCAAGATCATGAGGAACAAATGAGACAGTGGATTTTAGTGTCTACGACAGTTTCCAAATTAAGCACTTGGTGTTTGTGTCACAAGAGGAGGAAGATGCCCTTTGACATTAAGAATATCTACATTACTACCCAAGAAAAGCGCAAGGGGGACTTTCTGCCATTGCCCAGGCACGTCCCCGAGACCTGGGCTTATGACCCTACCCTATGCCCTCGGCAAGTTACTTCATCTCTGTGAGCCTCAATCTCCCCTTTTGTAAAACGGTCCTAAGATTTGTGAGGCTTGACTATGAGATAGTGAATGTCAGAGAACCCCACACAGTGCCTTCATTTATTTCCAAGTTGGGAAGGGAAAGAAACATTTGGGGGACACAGCAAGTGAGGCCCAGGGTTTCTTCCCAACCATGTGAAAGTTTTATCATAACCAGCTTCCAGACCAAGCCTTCAACCGCTCTGCTTCACCAGCCTTTCATCCCACAGAAGCGTTGTTGTTCCCCTTTTGTTTCCTCTTGCCAGTTCATGGGCTGCTGGAACTGAAGAATCCCTTCGGCTGTGACCCTCTCCTTCCCACTCCCCTGCTTCCTCCTGCAGGCCTGCATGGGCAAGGTGAGTCCTGCCCCTCCTCCTGCAGCTGCTGCTGCTGTCCCCTCCCACCACAGGCTTCCACTGTGTGCCTTGTCACCCTCCAGGTGAATCCCCACTCTCCAACTTCTTTGCGTCCTTACTCTCCTAGCCTCAGGTTTTCAGTTCTGCCCAAGAGCAGACAGGAAACCTCTTCCTCAGTTTGGGGGAAAGCGAGACGCAGCTGTGCCACAGCCTCCCACCCTGAGGTGGACAGAACTCCCACTCCAGGCCGGGCGGGGTGGCTCATGCCCGTAACTGCAGCACTTCGGGAGGCAGAGGTGGGCAGATGACTTGAGGTCAGGAGTTCGAGACCAGTCTGGCCAACGTGGTGAAACCAAGTCTCTACTAAAAAATACAACACAATTAGCTGGATGTGGTGGTGCACCCCTGTAGTCTTAGCTACTGAGGCACAAGGATCGCTTGATCCTGGGATATGGAGGTTGCAGTGAGCCCAGGTCGTGCCACTGCACTCCAGCCTGGGCAGCATGCACACATCCACACACACTCACACACACTCATGCACACGCTAACACACATACATATGCAGTCACGCAGTCACACACTCTCACACCCATATTCTCCCCACACAGACCCAGACACATCCACACACTCAGGTATTCACACTCACATACTCCCCCCCATACACACACTCATGTACACAAACACATTCCGCACAGTCACACACTGTCTCACACAGACACACACACATACATGCTCACACACATACACAGATGTACCTGCACACTCAGTCACACACACACAGACATACGTTCAGGCACTCACACACACAAGTACACTCATTTATAGTCATACACTCTCTCACACAGACACCCATATAAACAGACACACATTCTCTCACACAGACACATTCACACACATATACACACTCGCATACACAGATGTACCTGCACACTCAGTCACACACACACAGACCTACACTCAGGCACTCACACACACAAACACACTCATTTACAGTCATACGCTCTCACACAGACACGCATATACACAGACGCACACTCACTCATACACATATACACACCCACATATACACACACTCACATATACACACACATACTCACACACTATACACATTCGCGCAGTCACACTCATGGTGTGCCGCCAACGGATGAGGGCCCCCAGCCTGTCACAGAAGTTTCTGGAGATGATTCCAGATGTGTCTTTGAGCAGTGAGGGAAAGGGCTTGGCACCCCAGCAGTTGTGAGCCATGTCACAGTGATGACGCGGCAGCTTCATTGGATCCAGAGCCAGCCCCACTGGTGCGAGCTTCTGGGAAATATCTCTGCCATAGAGACAAGGCCACCCATGGAAACTGCTGCCTTCCTGCTGATCCACATCGAGAATCCTATTTATAGTGTCAGTCCTGTGAAACAAATGTTTTCAACCCTACATCTGCAAGTGATCCTGGCATGTGCGCAGATCCATTTTTGGCCTCAGTATGCAATACCCCACTTGGATATTCCTAAGGGTATCAAGGAGAAGGTACTCTCAGCTGCCACAAACACTGCTGAGCAGGAGGCGGAATCCACGCCGGTGGCAAGTCATGTCCACATACAGAAATCAAAGGGGGTGGCTTCTGTCACTGTCCAGGCCACCTTCGATGTGCTGGTTGGGGGAGATGTGTTTCCCACGGCGGATGGAGTGGGTAGATGGGACAGAACACTCCCATGGTTGCGACAGTTCTTCTACTCAAGAGCCACACGCTTTATCATGTCAAATGGCGAAAATATTTTGTTTTCTACCTAGCTTAGGTGCTTCCCATTCTGGCAGGGATTACGTGGATACCAGAGCAAGCCGTCCGCCTAGGAATGTGAGCAAACTGGCTGTGAAGGGAGCCCTCAAGACCCAACAAGCTGCTGCATTTTGAATATGAGGAGTCCGTTCTCAGTTCTCTTTTTCTTCGGGCTTTACAGGGATGCAATTTCCTGCCTTGTGAATATGACACTGAAGATAGATTTTACCAGATTTCTGTCTCTGTCATGAATTTTCTCAGTCCTCTTAGAAATATCCTTCAATTGTTTGTGAATTAGTTTCTTCAGCTAAAGAGTCAGCAGAAAACATGATATTTCACCCTCCGGCTTATCCCCAACCTCACCTGCTAAATACACCCAGCCACAGTGAATCCAACCCCTCAGGCCTCTGTGCCTTTGCTCATGCTGTCTTCCCTGCCCAGAGTAGACTTCCTTCCCTTTTCTACTTCCCCTTTAGGTGCAGCTTACAAGAGCCACAATTCTAGTAAAGCCTGCCTGAACCATTCCAGAAAAATATAAGTTACCTTCCTATATTATTTTGCTGTGACTGCTGTAACAAATTTCCTCAAACTGGCTGGCTTGAAACAACAGAAATGTATTCTACCTCAGTTCGGAAGGCCAGAACTCCGAAATCAAGGCATTGGCAGGGCCATGTTCCCTACAGGGATGGAAAGTCCACTTCTCGCATCCTCCAGGTTCTGTCTCCAGGCATACCTTGGCTTGTGGCTGCATCACTCTAATCTCTGCCTCTGTCTTCACATCACCTACTCCTCTGCATGTCTCAAATCTCTCTCTGCCTATCTCTTATCAGGACATTTGTCTTGGGACTGAGGACCCACCCAGGAAATCCAGGAAGATCTCATCTCAACATCTTTAATTGATTACATCTGCAAAGACCCTTTTTCCAAATAAAGTAGTATCCTTAGGGTCCAGGGATTTGGACCTAGACCGATCTTTTTGGGGGCCACCACTCCTCACCCCTTTCATATACCATAATGCACACTACCAAAACCAATCCATCACTAAGTTATGGTACTTATCACACTGAGCCATAAAACGTCCTCCCACTTTGATAGTTAGGCCTTGAGCTACATAGACTCGATTGATTTCTCCTTTCAAAGAACAACCTCATTATGCGATTGTTGCAGTAGACTCAGTAATAAATATAAAGCCAGCGTCTCCTCTGGCCCATTCAAATCCAGCTGCACTGTCACTCTCTGCTCCATCAAGGCGGCCAGGGTTTAGCAGTTTGGTGTGTGTTGGCATTTAGCACTCAAGTTAAACACTTCATCTGTGTTTTAAATCCACCTCTGTTCTTACTAGCACAGGGCTATTAAATCAGTGCTACTTACCACCAATGCAATTTGCAAATGAATCTTAATTGTAAATGCAAAAATGGCAGAGACATTTTGTGGCAGTCCTTAGCTATCGGTGTTGATCAGATGACCCAGAGTAAGATTGTTGTTGTTGTTTTTTTTTTTGCCATTATAATTTAAAACAAAACACATTTTAGGTTTGCAGACAGAGTTGTCAGATCCCTACAGATACTCATATACCCCAATTTGAAAAGCCCTTTGTAATGTCCTTCTCCTGTCATTTGCTTTCCTCCAACCTACCTCCTCCAACGAGCTCTGGGGGCTTGTTTAGCCTTCACTCGCCCTAATTTCATTGCTTCACTATGTTGAATCCAGCAGGTTTATAGCATGTTTTCACATCTGGCTGGGCAAAATCCTCCCTGCCACCCCTTCTTATTCCTCCTTTTCAAGTTTTTATTGGAAATTCTTACACATTTGTACTTTCATAAATACTTCAAATCAAGAAGTCCAATTCCTAAAGCCCCACAGAAAAAGAGGAGGGATTCTGATGGGAAATGACTTTCATGTATCCATGCACAGAGGAGACTTAAGATATTAAGTCTCTCCTCCAGGAACATGATGTATTTCTCCATTTGTTTCTACCTTGTTTTAAGTCTTTCAATAAAGTTTTACAGTTTTCATTGTTATTAAATTCATTCCTGATGATTTCATAGTTTTTGTGTCTATTACAAATGTGATATTTTTTCTATTCCTTTTTCTAACCATTTATGTCTATATCAGGGAAAGAACTCTTGAGTTTATGTATACAAACACAACTATATATACCTTATCAAAATCTCACTTCTAAATGGTTTTTAAATAATCTTTCACATTTCCTAAGAATACATTAATTATCTGAAAACAAGATCATTTTGAGGAACTTTAATTATAATGTATCTTGCTAGAACCTTCAAATTATGTGAAATAATAGGGCACCCACTCTTATCTTTGATTTAATAAAAACAGTTAAAGCATTTTAATGTGTTTCTCATAGTCTTTAGGATGTCTCTGTTTTACTGTTTACCTCTGTCTGAGCTGAGGCAGAGTTTTGATGAAGAACGTCTTCAAAATGTTATCAAGTTCTTCTTTAGAATCTACTGATACAATTATTTTGTTTTTCTCCTTTAATTAAATTAATAATTATGTTTCTGGATTTTCTAATGGTGAACTGTTCTTTCAATTATAAACCCTAAGATAGGGTTTGGCTGTGTCCCTACTCAAATCTCATCTTGAACTGTAGCTCCCATAATTCCCACATGTTGTGGGAGGGACCCAGTGAGAGATCATTGATTCATAGGTGTGGTTTCCCCATACTGTTCTCGTGGTAGTGAATAAGTCTCTCTAGATCTGATGGCTATATATATTTTATATGTAAGGGGAAATCCCTTTTCTTTGTCTCTCATTTTCCTTTTGCTCCCACCATGTAAGATGTGCCTTTCACCTTCCACCATGATTGTGAGGCCTCCCCAGCCATGTGGAACTGTGAGTCCATTAAACCTCTTTTCCTTTATAAATTACCCAGTCTTGAATATATTTTTATCAGCAGCATGAAAACAGACTAATACACCCTACTGGGTCATGCTGTAATTGTCATTCTTCTACTGTCTTGCTGGATTATATTTGCCAATTTCTTATTTAAAATCTGTCACTTTATTCATAGGTTTATTGTTCTATAGTCTTTGTTTCAGTGCTACCCTTCTCAAATTTTGATATTAAGACTGTAATAGATTTGAAATAAATTGAAGAAATTATAACTTTCTATAGACAAGAAAATTTTTAAAAACCTAAGAATTAGCTATTCTTTGAATATAAGATGGATGTTAGCTGTGAAAATCCTCAGAACTGAGAATATTTTTGTTTCTTTTCCTAACACCATTGAGCCAATTTTGTTGCTTCATCTTTTGTTAGAAAATCATCAACTTTAATATTTTTCAAATGTATTATTGTAGAGTTGCATAAACACAGTTTTTTCTTATTTAGTATCCATAGTTATGCCTCATTTTTCATACTTAATGTTATATTTTTTGTTTTCTATCTGTTTTACCTACCAGTCTAGTATTTTATCTATTTTATCTTTTAAAAAACTAAATTTTTATTTTATTTTTCTGTTTTATCTTTTATATTACATTAATTTCAAGTTTTATTTTTATTAATCCTTTACTTATAACCCCTTTTGCTCTACTGTGTTGTTCTTTATCTACATTTTTCTTTCTTTTCTTTTCTTGAGACAGGGTCTCACTCTCTTGCCCAGGTTGGAGTGCAGTGGCATGATCACAGCTCTCGATCACAGTGCAGCCTCGATCTTCCAAGCTCAAGCAACCCTTCCACTTCTGCCTCCAGAGTAGCCGAGACCACAGACAAGTGCCACCATGCTCAGCGAATGTGTATATTTTTTGTGGAGATGGGGTTTCACTATGTTGCCCAGGCTGGCCTGGAACTCCTGAGCTCAAGTGATCTGCCTGCCTCAGCCTCCCAAACTGCTGCAATTACAGGTGTGAGCCACCATGACCCGCCTCCAATCAGTGTTTTCTATTAACAGTTTGTAAATTCTTCTATTTATTTTAACCTTCAGTGTTTCAGATAAGAAGTCCAATACAAATCTGATTTTCTACACAGTAGTCCTCCTGTATCCTTGGTTTCACTTTCTGAGGTTTCGGTTACCTGCCATCAACTGCGGTCAACTGAGGTCTAAAAATATTAAGTAGGAAATTCCAGAAATTAACAATTTGTAAGTTTTGTTACACCGTTATACTTAACAATTTGTAAGTTTTGTGCACTGTTCTGAGTATGGTGATGAAATCTCACGCAGTCCTCCTCCTCCCGCCAGGATGTGAATTATTTGGTGTATCTTCGCTGGATGGTTACCCACCCTTTAATGGCTTAGTAGCCCTCTCAGTTATCAGATCAACTGCTGTGGTATCGTAGTGCTTGTTCTCAAGTAACCCGTATCTTAACTAAATAAGGGCCTCGAAGCACAAGAGTAGTGATGCTGGCATGTTGTTATCATTGTTCTATTTTATTGTCTGTATTTTTTGTTGATGCCTTACTATGACTAATTTACAAAATAAACTTTATTGTGTGTATGTATAAGAAAAAACATAATATACTATCCACTGAATCAGGCATCCACTGGGGGTCTTGGAATGTATCCCCTCTTGAATACGAAAGCCCACAAGTTTATAAGCTTTTACTTCAATGCTTATATTTAAGAAATTTCACCAGGAAATGTCTAGATCTGATGTCCAATGTGATAATGACTAGCCACATATGACTATTTAAATGCGAATGTTAATAAATTAAAACTAAGTAAAATTTAAAAGTCAGTTTCTTCGTCATACCAGTCATTTCAAGTGATCAATAGCCCATGTGGCTGGTGGCTGCCATACTGAACTACACAGAACATTTTCACCACTGCAGGAAGTTCTATTGGCCAGCTCTGGTCTGGTCTATATTATTATTATTATCATCATTAATGTTATTATTAATCATGCATGGCACTTGCCAAGATCTTTCAATTTTAAAATGGAGGTTTTCTTCAGTTCATGTTTTCTTTTATGAATTTTGTATTACTTCTTTATTCTTTTTTTCTGTTGAAATTCCTCACTATTGCATAAAATATTTTCTTGAGTCTCCAACTCTCTTACAGTTTTCCTCATTGCTTTCTTTTTTCCTTCCTTCCTTCCCTCCTTCCCTCCTTCCTTCCTTTTTTCCTTTTCTTCATTTGCATTTTTTATTACAAGATATTTAATTATTGGCCATGATTATTGTCTTTACATTTCTCCTATTAAACGTTTTAACTTGCAAACATGTATTTTAGTTTTAAAATTCCTTTTAGGGGTTCTGTGAATGCATCTCTTTGAGAGGTGTTTTTTTGTTTGTTTTTTTTGTTTGTTTGTTTTTTGTTTTTTTTAACTAAAGTACCCTTTTGTCTCTTCCACTCTGGGGAGCCACAGCCCTGATTGCTCAGGTTGATCCTCTTCCCTGTTTATTTTATTTCTTTACATATGGCGGACTTTTTCTTGCTTCCCAGTAGCTGTGACACTCTCTGTGGCAGCACACACAGTCTCTGCAATGAGATGGTAGCAGCAGTCGGTTGGCACAGTGTCCCTCATCCAGGCACCAGTGCAGTGGCCTCTCTGGCTGCAGTGCCCAGGGTTCTCACTTTCTAATTCACCCCCTCAAGCACATAGGAGGCAATGAGAGCCAGTCTTTGAGATGCCTTCTTCTGGATCCCAGGCTCTTGGAGACTCAGATTTTATGTTATGCATGATTGAAAGAGAATTCAAGAATGATTCTTGGTGGAACTTTGATAAAAGTTAAATCCAATTGTTTGCCTTAAAACACAGTGGGAATTTTTCTCCCAAAAACCACTGGTTAGAGTGAGAAAGATATTTCTCACAAGACTACAAATTGGTCCAAGCTTTCTGGAAGACGACTTGGCAATATACTTCAAAATTCCTAAAATGCAAATTCTTTCTAACCAGGCAATTATATATTTATGTGTTTATTCTGAGGAAATAGTTGAGGATGTACACAAAGATTTAACTATAAGAAAAGAGTTTAATACTCTTTAGGCTAGTAAAACATAGATAGATAGATAGATAGATAGATAGATAGATAGATAGATAGATAGATAGATGATAGATAGATAGATAAGATGATAGATAAGAGATGATAGATAGATAGATAGATAGATAGATAGATAGATAGATAGATAGATAGATGTAGGTAGAGAAACAGAAACAACCTAAATATCCAATAACAGCAAGTCAGCTGCAAAAACTATAGTGTACATACCAGTGTAAAACTATGCAGTCATTTACAATGATATTATAGAAGATTTTCATGATTATAGGATTAACTAAATAGCACATACAAGCTAATATGTGCAGTACGATTCCATCTCATGCTGTATCCAGATCTATAATTCTCTATTTCTATTTGTCTTTATATACATAAATTGTAGAAGGATATAATATACAAAAGTGTTAAGAGTGATAGTTGAGTAATGTTTAATCACTTAAATTTTTATTTTATTTTAAAACAAGGAACACCTTTTGCTTGAGTGATTTTCAAAAATAGTAAACTTATTTTAAAAGGCTTAGACTAGAACTCCAACTGAACTTTTCAAAATTATGTTTAAGGTTCCTAGCAGACCACGTAATTACCTGATCCCAGCTCCCTATTCTTGATGTTTCCAGATTTATTCTCATCTCAGCTGAATCTTCCTCCCCCAAATCTCCTTCCACCATCCCATCCCTGTTAGATGTTGATGAGCTGGTTTACAATGCGATCATCGTCATCTTAAGGAAGTCATACTGACTTGGAGTGAGGCTTTTTTCCCCATTCCCCTCCCCAGGTCTTTCTCCAGTCTCCTGTTTTACCAGTGAAAGGTCCAAGGGAGCAGGAATGGGGAAGCCAGGGCAGTTCTACATGCAGGCTGGAGCTGAGGGTTGGGGATGCAGCAGCTGAGGCTGTTTGGAGCTGCCTGTGGTACTGTCCATCATTAAGACGGAGTGGTGAAGGTGGCAGGGCTGAGCCCATCACCAGGGCAATCATGGTATGCAGGGCACCAGGTCAGACCAGGGCCAGCCTCAAGGATCACTGATGACAATTTACCTGCTGGTTTGGGCTCCTTTAATGTCCCCTAGTTAGCAGTGACATTAGTTTGAGTCTGGGATGGAAGGATAGAAATTTTAAATCTGCTATGGCCTGCTCAGTGCTATTGTAGGCACCAAGCAGTGAGACAGAAACTTGTCAATATTTTCTCCCCACCAGGCTGCTTGAAGAAAGTGCGAGGACTGAGCAACATGAGAGAACACTGAGTCACTCTCCTGATGCTGTCGTTTTCCTGGATGCGAGTTTCGCTTTCTGAGAAAATAAATGAAAAAAAAAAAAAAAGACAAACTCTTTTGGAGGAGAATAACACATCAAGATGGCACACAGCACACTCGGCAGCCTACGTTCTCTTTAATGTTCAATACCACGTGCACACGCTGTGTCTTGGAAGCTGTCTCTTTGCACGTGACAGATACTGCATGGATGGAGCCTTCCCCGGGAAGACAGAGATTCCTACTCCCAGGACATTTGGCTTTCTGATGTTGGCTGTCATGAGCAGCCTGTCAGTGATGGCACGTGGGGCCTGAGAGTCTAAAGACTTCTCCCACTCACCAGCTACTGTCATCTCTCTCCCTCCAGCATCAGCCCATAGAGTGGGAGCCCCTCCGGGGCAGGAATCTTCCTTTCTCTCTGTAGCCAGAGAGCCACCCCAGGGCCTGATGGACAGCAAATGCTCAGTTCTGTGCTGAAGGCATGAGCGAGAGATGAGAGGCACACATGAGGGCAGAGGTTGCCCCGTGACCTGTGTCCTTGCCCACGGGCGCTTCCAGTCGTGGGGGCTCACTGAAGGATGAGACAAGAGGGACACACCTGAGTCTTAAGTAGAGTGTTCAGGAGGGTCAAAGTGGCAATTCCCCCGTGGTAGAGAGGGCACCCAGGTCTGGTTTTATTCAAGTGAAGTGGCATTCTCTGGGGTCCCAAGGGCCCTTGGATTTTTGAAATAAAATCTTCATGATTTGTTGCCTTTAGACCAGTGCTCTTCAAACTGTAAAGCTGTACAGGCATCAGCCAGGGATCTTGTCAAGACGCAGATTCTCATTAGTCTGGGGTGGGGAGTGACATTCTGTGTTTCTAGCAAGCTCCCAGGCATTGCTGCTACTGCTGCTGGTCCGCGGCTCCCACTCTGAGTAGTGAGATTTGAGAAACACAAATAATACAAGAATTTTTCTATGATTAGAGTAGCTTTCCTCAGACTCCCAACTTGATTTTCTGCCTACAGTGGCCTGGGGAAGGGAAAAGAAGATGCTAAATGTCAGAAGATGAGTAGATGGGCGGATCAACAAACACACCACCTTTTTTTTTTTTTTCTTTTTTTCTGAGATGACGTCTCACTCTGTCGCCCGGGCTGGAGTGCAATGGCGCGATCTTGGCTCATTGCAACCTCCGACTCCCCGGTTCAAGTGATTCTCCTGCCTGAGCCTCCCAAGTAGCTGGGATTACAGGCACCCACCACCATGCCCAGCTAATTTTGTAGTTTTAGTAGAGATGAGGTTTCGCCATGTTGGTCAAGCTGGTCACAAACCACCTCTTTCAAGTTCACCAGGTTTCAGCAAAGAGACGCTTTATATTCGCCACACCTGTGAAGCTCATTCTCGGCATTAAAGGGGTTAAAGAAGCCAGAGACAGTGAGAGACAGCCTCCTTTTCATGGCATTTCTAACAAGCTGAACCTGATCCAAACCTTGTTTAATGAGCACGTATTTTATACAAATAAGCTCACAGGCGTGTCCTCATCTCTAATTAAATCAGAAAGGAAGCGTTTGTTCTAATTGGACTGCATAGCTCAAGAATTAATTGTGAGATTGTTTAGAATTGCAATCTTGTGACCCGTTCACCAAAAGAAAAAAAAGAAAAAAACAAAACCTACTTTAGAAGGCTCACTCTATGTAATTTTTTCTGCACTTTTTCTTTCTTTTTAATTCCTGGAAAGCTTAGTCCAAATTGAACTGATGATTTGCAAACAAAAGAGAAAACTTCTAAGGGCAGCTTGCTGTGCAGTTTTTTGAAAGCCCTGGCAAAGGCGAAGATAACAACTCAATTTAGCCTGATATTCTAATGTGCCCTTGAGAAAGTGCCCTCATAATTAAGGATTTGCACAATTTCTATTGGGATGGGGGAGGAATCGTGTGCCACATTATTTATCAATATCAAAAGAGTCACTTTGGAATTCAGCAGTCTGGAGTGCCTGCAAACAACAGATATTCTCACCCAATGCTAATCTCGAGCCACATTTAGCCAAAATGCAAGAGGTTTTTATTGGCACATGTGGTGCCCTTGGGTGGCATTGATTACCATCGGGTTTCTAAAGGATTATTTGACAGGGCTTAGCACAATCAGCTCATGAACTGCCCTCCTCTGCTCCACCTCTCCCTTTTGCATCTTGTTGGTACAGCTTCCTGAGAAACGCTGGTTGTCTGCTGCCAATTCAGCTCATCCAGTTGCAGAGGGAACAAGCTGGCCCTTTGCCCTACAAAAAAAAAAAAAGAAGCAAAAAAAAAAAAAAGAGGCTATAATTGTGTCATTTCTGACTGCATACCCTGAGCCCCTGGAAACCAGGGGCAGGTGTGTTTCAGAGGGTTGGGCAGGCTGGCACCAAGGTGATCTCTCACACCCAGTCCATTGGTGCAGCTCTGCTCCTTAGCTGTGCTTTGGTTGCTAATACTCTGCCAGGGGCAAAAGGAAACCCAGATCACTGCCAAGAACTAGCTTGAGCTTGTGGTGCTGACACTTGGAAAAGTCTTGCTTTGACTTGCATATGGAAGGAGGATACTTCAAGTTGAGTGTCAGTGATGGGCAAAAGGGAGATGCTTGCAATGGCCTTCCCACGAAATGCCTGCTTCATGTTAATAGCACTTTAAGAGAGCATGTTCATGAGCAAGTCAGATTTCTGCCGGGTGCTTTGCCATCTCACAGCCTTTACTTTCACCACCATGAGCAACGCTTCTACGGCTGCTCACTCTCCAGTGCAAAACCTGGCTGTCTCCAAGTGGTATGGATGGAAAATGATGACGACTTTTCCAGAAGCATATAACATGAAGCAACCCAAAGCAGGCTGTAGTGATTGAGTATGGAGAATGGATCTAAAACCAGGAGAACCATTTTACTTTGGGAATAGATTTCAATAAATATGAAGACAGACACAGTGGCTGATCAGTGTGCCCAACACACACGGCATCAGCCATCTCTGAAGCAGTCTCCGCATTGCCAGCAGTAACCTTGCATGAGGATGATAAATGGGAACCCAAAGACAAAATTCCTTCCCTCTAAGGAGGAAGTGATAAAGGGCAAAACTAACAACTTGGAAACTCTGAGTAGACTATAAGTGACCTTCTTAGATTGTGAGGTCTTTCAGGGCTGGCTCTGGTCTCTGTGTTCCCAGAATCCAGCATGGAATTCCATCCTAGGGGCTCAGCAAATATTTCTAGAATGAATGGACAGATGTAAGACAGACTATAATTAACGTGAAGCAAAGACAACCGCTGCTATAGCAGTTCAGAAGGGGATAGACTAGTGTGGGATTGAATGAGGAAGGATCGTGGAGAAAGAATTAAGCCTCCTTTAAGAGTGTGATCCTGTCATGAGGTCAGGAGATGGAGACCATCCTGGCCAACATGGTGAAACACTATCTCTACTAAAAATACAAAAATTAGCTGGGCATGGTGGCGTGTACCTGTAATCACAGCTACTCAGGAGGCTAAGGCAGGAGAATCGTTTGAACCTGGGAGTCGGAGGTTGCAGTGAGCCGAGACTGAGCCACTGCACTCCAGCCTGGTGGCAGAGCGAGACTCCATCTCAAAAACAAAAAGAAAAAAGAAAACAAAAAGAGAGTGATCCTGAATATCCTGTGGCCCATACATCCCCTGATTCCTATTCCAGGCCTTTCCCCCACTCTTCTGAGTTTCCTGAGACCATAGACTGTCTCAGGCTTCATTCACTCACTGCCAAGAAAATTTGATTTACACACTTCTAAACCCACTGCCCACATTGGGTAACAATCTTAGCATCTTGTGTTTAATACATGCAAAATCTAAAAGACCATAAAAACAAAAAGAGATGCGAATCTGTGTTTTGTTTGCTGCACCGAAGAATTTTATCTATCAAAACTTTCTAATCTTATATTTTACATATATGCAATACAATGCATACATCAGAATGTTTAAAATACTTTCAAATGTAATTGTTTAAATAAGATATACTTAAAATACATGTTGTATCAATCAGGGTAGGTTAGGCTATGCAGTGGTAACAAATGGTCTCTGAAATCTAGATGGCTTAACATGCACAAGTTTGTTTCTCACTCTGCTGTATCTTCAGAGGTATGGCAGGGAGAGGAGTTTTGCTTTATAGAAATCAGGCCCTATCATGTCAAGCATCTCCAGACCCCACAGGAAGAGAATAGACAGCTATTAAGGGTCACACACCAACTCTTCTATGCCTTAGCCCTGAAATGACATATGCCATTTCCACTTCCTGCCCATTGGTCAGAGCTAGTCACATGATCTGCTTAACCATAGTGGGCCGGGCATGGGGGACAGTTGATGGAATGTGTGTTGAGCTCCATCACCTCTGCCACACACATTTGTTCATTCCCTCCTGGAACCACTCTCTATCATGACATTTCGGAACCACCAAAGAGGTGGATTCTTTGCTCTAATGAAGGGTCATCCCCAAAGAAAAGATGTTTCCCTTCCCCTGGAGTCTTGAGAGACATGGGGTGGTGGGTAAAGGCTATGGATTAAAAACCAAATACTTGGTATGGAATTGCCACTGGCATCCCGGCTACCCTACCAGACAGGAGTTCCAAAAACAAAATAAAGAGGAAAATGCTGTCACCACCGGGTTTAAAACTTAACAGGAAAGTCATTAACCCCTACCAGTCAAACCCCAACTACTGGCTGAGGCCTCTTTGATCTTCTCCATGTACCTCTCAGTTGGGTGATACATGTTTTGGGGGGTTTTTGTTGTTTTTTTGAGATGGAATCTTGCTGTGTTGCCCAGGCTGGAGTGCAGTGACACGATCTTGACTCACTGCAACCTCCGCCTCCTGGGTTCAAGCCATTCTCCTGCCTCAGCCTCCCGAGTAGCTGGGACTACAGGCACGTGCCACCACGCCCAGCTAATTTTTTGTATATTTAGTAAAGATAGGGTTTCACCGTGTTAGCCAGGATGGTCTCTATCTCTTGACCTCATGATCTTACTGCCTTGGCCTCCCAAAGTGCTGGAGTTACAGGTGTGAGCCACCGCACCCAGCCATTCCCTAACAGGTTTGACCACAGGCCAGAGTCCACAGAGGACAGGCAGGCTCAGGAGCTGGCAGGGAGCTGCTGAGGCTAGAGAAGCTGTTTGGTCCAATCTTCACATCAGGAGAGCTCCGATTTTGTTTGTGTTGTCATTTCTAGCTAGGGATAGCATACAATTCCAGAAATAGACCAAGTAAACTGAACATATCATAAGGTGTTTTTAAAGAACCATTTGTAGGTGTTTCTTCATTTTTTAAAATACTGGAAACCTTAAAAAATGGGAAGTTTGAAACCTCAAAAATCTCTGGACCTCTGAGATACCTAACCAGGGATAGATAATCCAGTGAGTTAGTTGGCAAAATCCATTGCAAATACATGTGGCATCGGCCACCTGGAGATGAGCTGCTCTAATTCAAGACCTCCGCACACTCATGAACAAACCCACCTCATCAGGGGGATCAACCACAGCAGAGAAAGGCAGGGAGACTTACCCGCGGTGCAGACCTTCAAATACAGGTTTCCACCCGGATGGCTTGTACTTGGCCTTCAGCACCTCCAGTGGTGGCGGTGGGATGGTGGCAAGGAGTGGGAGCTCTGGCTGCCAAAACCTTGCAGTACAATTTAGAGAAGTTGGTCGGATTTGGAGGATTGAGAAAATACAGGATTCAGCCAGTGTGAAGACTATTGCCTTTCAGTGCTAGAAGGGTGGTCCCTGGGGGTGGAGGTCTGGCCCAAGGCCCACTCAAGTCCCATCACCTGAACAAATATCTCCGTCACATCGACGTCACTGGTGAAAACAGCTGAGGTTCAGCTAAAGCATCTGCTAATGAATCATTTACATGGTGTCAGCTCTCCCACTGGGGGAGTCCATCCTGTACTCTGACACTATTTTTCTTAAATGAAAAAAGAAAACTCAGAGTGGTATTTATCTAGGTTAACTGACTAAGTCAGCACAGTTGGCTCAATCAGCTTAAAGAGACCTCACTGATCACCAGCTCCAAATAATCTCAAAACCAGCCTCTGTATCCTCCTCCTCTGAAGGACAGATGCAAACCAAAGGCTAAGTCCTGTGGGTACCAAAACCACTGCTCCCTGTGATGGGGAGATGCAAAGATGAGCTGCCTCTAAAGGTTCCCAACCAGGTGACAAGCAGGGGAAGACTCTGCCTGGCGTTCGGGTAGGGCGGGGGAGGCTTAATGGGAAATTGGGTGTTCTCTGTGCCTCCAGCCCAGGGCTGCCTGGGAACTTAGGGAGGTGTAGGAACCCAGGCCGCAGGCGTGTGGCATGAGTGTAGACACGCTGAACCTGGGCCAACTTCAGCAAAGGCTAAAGTGAAATTGGGTTATGCGGGCAATTGCTTTGCTTTCTTCTGCCAGTGGCAACTGTGTTTTAAACTGTATTTTGCATTAACGTATGGAAAATGGGGTTGAGTTTCTTGTACAAGGTAGCAGACAGGGCCAGTTTCAGGCTATTTTCTAAGCTAAGAAAACACTTACTTGAGCTTTCTAAAAGGTATTTTTACCCCAACTTTTAAAGGTGTGTCAATTAAAAGCATTTAATAAGTGCCTGATTGGGCATAGCTGTAGATACACTATGTAACAGAGGGTTCACAGACACAGGTTTATGAGGCTTTATTATCTGGTATCAATGAAGCCAATATGATGTATATTTTGCAAATTTGAAAAAGTTCAAGAAAGTCTTAGATGGTAAATTTATGATAGAAGATGTCTCTCGCCTTAGAAGAATTCTTTCGTAGTTACATACTCAGTCATCTCCTTTATAGACATTGTACTCTCTAATTCTTCCCTTCCTTACAGTTTAACAATTCCTTATACTTCCAGAAAATTCTCCAAGGAATGTTGAGGCTGTGCTTCTATATTTAGAAGCACTGGAAAACCCTACTTTTGGAAACTTGGGGATTTGTTTGTGTTTTGGAAATAATGTACATCTGAACAACTCCTGTAGTTGTGTTTCTCTGGGTTACATCACCCCTAGAAGAACTAATTTGAAATATACAAAGTAAAGAAAGCAACGCCAGGTTGAAGTTTATCCAAGCAAATGATGAGGTTAATACAGGGTCAGACTCTTCTGCAAATCCCTCAGCTTCCGTGACATCATCCTCCAGGCTATGGACAAACCATGTGACCTGTTACTTATCACTGACGAGCAAATGGACTCTTGCCAGTGGATTCTTCAAAACCTTCTTTCTCTTGCAGCATTGTCCCATTCAATGAATTTATACAGATTATGTCTATTAGAACAAAGAGTTGGAGCCATTCATTAAAAACCACGAGGTTCAGAATAATGATTCTAACTCATCTGCTTGAGTTTGGATTCTCTGCAGCAGTGAACATAGAAGAAGATCAGAAAGAACAGATGTCTATTTTTTAAAGACACATGGATATACATCTCTGGGCCTGTGCAGTTTACTTAGCATCTGCATGCTTTCTAAAGTAAAGTACATAAGCCAACAGCATAGTTACTGCCAAACAAGCTCTCAAATTCCTGTATTTATACTAAAAGGAAGCAAAATTCTAAGCAAAAAGAAGAAGAAATTGTTTATAAAGATCTAATCGGAGAAGAAAAACTTTCTCACTGGGATGGTATGCAAACTCATTCTAAAATAATAAGCCAATGTTAGGGAGGCACTGTGATTTTATATTTTTCTTTAACAAATATATTATGAGCACTTCTTATGTGTCAGGCACTGTGACAGGTGCTATAGATATTACAATAAGAAAGGCAAACTTGGCTTTGCTCTTGGAGTAGTCACAATAAATGAATTTGAATAAAAGGACTTATTAATAAAAGAATTACAAATTGCGATAAGTGCTACAAAGGAAACTAACAAAGGACTGACTTAGAGACTGGCAAGTTATCAGAAAAAGCCCCTCTGAGGATGTCATACTTAAGCTGAGGTCTGGAGTATGAGGAGGGGAAGAAGGCAGAGTGTTTCCAAGCAGAAGAACAGCACAGCCAGAGACCCAGAGACAAGGAATCACTGTGCACATTTGAGAAACTAAAAGAAGGCCAGCATGGCTGAACCTGAGTGACCAAAGGTGAGAGTGAGATAAACTGCAGTTAGAGATGTGCAGGGACTGGATTGTCAGAGCTTTCCACACCACTGTGGATTGTGGATTTTACTCCATATGCAATTAGAAGGATTGTAACTAGCAATCATGATAGAACCTGGCTTACATCATTAGATTATGCTGAATGCTGTGTGGAGAATGGGTTGGATGGTAGGGATTTTTGTTCATTTTCTGTTACTATAACTCAATACTTGAGACTGGGTGTTTATAAAGAAAAAAAAATTATGTCTTACAATTGTGGAGGCTGGGAAGTCCAAGACTTAGTAGCTGCCTTTGGAGAGGACCTTCTTGCTGGTAGGGACTCCCTGCAGAGTCCTGAGGTGGTGCAAGGCATCACATGGTGACGGAGCTCACAAGAGATGGCCAAATTGACTTTTATAACAGATCCACTCTCGTGATAACTACCTCACTCCCTCCATAACCCACTAATTTATTAATCCATGAATAGATTAATCCATCTATGAGGGCCCTCATGACCCAATCACTTCTTAAAGGCTCCACTTCATAATATTGTTACACTGGGAAAGTTTCAGCTTGAGTTTTGGAGGGGACAAGTATTCAAATCATAGCAGTAGGTAAAGAAGAAGAAATAAAAAATTCAGGAACTGTTGGAATAGTCTACATATGAGATAACAGTGACCTGGGAGAGCACACTCTTGGGGATGGAGAGGCATGGATTGGTTGGAGACCTACCCTGCTGTGGAACCAACAGGACTGGAAGTAGATGTGGACTAAAGAAAGCACTCCAGGGCGACTTCCAACTTCCAGCTTTAACAACCAGGTGGATGATGGTGACATTTACTGAGATGAGGGAGGTTGTGAGGAGTAAAATGTTGGGTGTATGACCAAGAGCTTTGTTTCAGACAAATTTAGATATATGTGCAAGACAGCCAAGGAGAAAGAGTGTGTAGGCAGTTAGATACATGAGTCTGGAGCTTAAAAATCTAACTTTGGAAGTCATAGGCATACAACAGTATTTAACATCTGGAAATGAATGTGTCCACCTGGTGTTAGAGCACAGAGTGAGAAAAGGGGCTGGGACTGAGGATTTTGAACTGCCACCACGTTCAATTAAGTAGTTGATGCATAGCCAGCAAAAGAAATAGCTTTCATTGTTTTAGCCCTGGCTCTGTCACTAAGAAGCCTGTGTCCATGAGCAGGCATTGAGCAGATCCCAAAGGTTCCTTATTGCTTTACCATTCTATGATTTTACCAAAAGGCATTTTCTCAACCCTGCAATGAGAGGAATGTTGGGTGAATTCAGGATTGAGGTTATAGATGTCAGCTAGAGTGACACGCATCTTATATCCTCATATTTCTGCAGACAAAATTCTCAGTAAATAATAGTCCTCACATTTGTGTGGAAAGAACCATCAGACCATAGCAAAGAAAGCTGTAGAGAATGGAAGGACCAGTGGTGGGTATCTGTCAACTTAGGGGTTAAATTCAAGTGTGTCTTTTGCATGGGAACATAACTGGGAAAAGATTAGGAGAAGAGCCAGGGAAATTCCCTGTCCAATCAAGCACACCATCGTTTTTTTGACCAACAAAGCAGGTATTTCTTGTTCTGGATTTTGTGAAAATAAAGCAGGATGGCCTATCTTGTCCTTAGATCACCTAAAGCAGATGCTTCTCAGGTCAGTGGGAGAGAACCTAGCTCAGTGGCATTCTGTTAAGAAGAGCTTCTAAGAGGTGAAAGTCATAGAAAGTTTATGGTCACATTGAATTACATTTGGCTTATGTGTGTGTTCCTCGAGAGCCTGAGTCGCTCTCTCCCGCAGGTATGGGAAGCTATGTTGGGGAAATCAATAGCGAGCTGTGCCATGCTGTCCCCGGCAGTGATTCACTTACCATGAGGGAAAACTGTTTTACAGGAGAAAACACATTTACTTTGGTTCATTCACTGAAAGCAGTGCTTTAGTTGACATTCTGCTGTACTTATTGGTATGTGTTGGGACCCTGCCAGCCTACCTGCTGGAAGACCCGCGGTACCTGATCCATAAGGACTCAGCTGCTTTCCACTCCATCTCCCACTTCCCAACAAGCACCTCTTCATGCTGCATTTCTGTCTTTTTTTTTTTTTTTAATTTATTTTTGAGACGGAGTCTCGCTCTGTCGCCCAGGCTGGAGTGCAGTGGCGCAATCTCGGCTCACTGCAAGCTCCGCCTCCCGGGTTCACGCCATTCTCCTGCCTCAGCCTCCGGAGTAGCTGGGACTACAGGCGCCCGCCACCACGCCAGGCTAATTTTTTGTATCTTTAGTAGAGACAGGGTTTCACCGTGTTAGCCAGGATGGTCTCGATCTCCTGACCTCGTGATCCACCCGCCTTGGCCTCCCAAAGTGCTGGGATTACAGGCGGGAGACATCACGCCCGGCCTTCATGCTCAATTTCCTCTTCCATCTTCCCCACTCTACACCGTAGGGTCTTTTGTGCCCAAGAGGAACTACCCAAGAGGAGGCCACCTCCCTGTCTCTACCTTCCCTCATTCCCCTGACGGCAAGCACCCAGGTTCTTTACCTAAAAAAAAAAAAATGCATTTTTTTTTAATGACCAAAATGAGTTAGTGTCCACTGTAGAATGAAGTAGAAAATGCATGTAAGTTTAAAGGAAAAAAAATGAAAGTAGCCATATTTCCAGAACCCCAATATTATTACCATTAATCTCTTGGGTAAGATTTTTCCAGATCTTTCTCAATGAATACTAATTTATATATGTTTTATTTCATTTTTCTTCACTTTTCATTCTCTTTTCTCTCCCCTCGCTCACTCTGTTCCTGGAGTCTGGTCATACTGAAGGGGCCTTGATGGGCATCTCAAAACAGGAAAGGAAATCAAATCATTTAGCCCACCAAGCCGGAGAGCTGCAAGGAGGAAGAGGTCATTCAGGTGGTGTGGAAGCTCCAGATGGTTTCAACCATGCCCCCACCCACAGGGATGGAATGATGAGGACAGCCACTTCTCCCACCTCCTGGTCCCTGCATGCCTGGGAGGAGATGAATAGCAGATGACCAGCATCAAAGAAGAAAAATTGGGACTTACAGAAAGAGCCAGGACCAACCCTTACTGGGTATGGTTTATGAGCACTTCCCAGCTTACATGCTTATTCCACATAATCTTCATAATTACAGGCATCACTACAATTGCTATTCCCATTTCACTGGTGAAAAAACTGAGGCTTAAAGAGGTTGAATATTCAGAGGCCAAGGGAAGGGGAAAGCAAGATGAGAGTCAAAGGGTTCAGGGCTCACTTCTCCTAGGGGAAGGGCTCCAGCAATTCTAGAAGACTCCACTTCCAAGGAGGAGCTATGGTCCAGTTCCAAAGACTCAGAGAACAACTCTCTAGTCCCACACCCTTGGATAATTAAATTCTTTAAAGCTTGGTTCCCTCACTGATAACTCAAACTAATAAAGCACCATTTAGTTGTGAGACCTAAATGAGATCGTACATGTGAAGGGTTGTGCACACTTCCTGGCCAAGGCCAAGCACCCAAGATGTGGGCACTGCCATCATTGTTATTATTCCAGTGCTGCCAATTATTTTTCTAAAACATTGTAATATATACAGAGCATTGCATTGGACAGATTCACTTAATTTATTTATTTAATCCCCTGTTATGGGACATGTAGCTTGTTCACAAATTCTTTACCATAACTTCTCTTAATTATCGTAGGGAGAGCAAGCAGGGGATATTGGAAATACAAAAGTAGGAAAGGAACGTGGCTTATTGCATCCTATGAAGTTGGGGGCTCTTTCCTAGGGAGGCCCCTCCGCTTTGATGACTGAAGGGAGTTCACCAACCTCCACCCGATCTCACATAAATGCAAGAGGAATCTACCCCGCACGCTGAAGCAGGCCTGCCCGCAGCATTTGCAGGCTTAGAAAACAGTCCCAATGGAGGTCACACATAAATACTTAGAATATAGAAACCAAGCTCACAAACTGCCTGATACGTAATCTTCTATCCTCCTGCCTTCATCATGACCTAGAAGGCCAACTTCCAACATGGAATTTGCAGAATTCTTGGAGTTCCATGTTGAAACTGGCACCTAGGGTTGCACACATTGGACTGCCCTTTAGAGGACAGACATGGGGAAAGATCCTATGCAGGCCGTGGAAGCGGGCTTGAGGTCCTTGCACAGGGAATTCTGGAGTCTAGAAAGGGGGCACTCTAGAAAGGATTTCTGGAAGGGTCATACCTCCTGCTAGACTGCACTCTGGGAGGGCACATCCTCTTTGCCCCTTGATCCTATGGGGAGCAGCAAGGCCAGAGAAGGGTCAGAGTAAGGCCCTATAAAGCAACAGGTCCAGGATAGAGGTGGCTTTCGTTCAGGTCTAAGTAGAGGCAGAACTTCCTAGGTGAAGCCCTCTTTTCTAGCTGTTAAACGTATAGACCACTACAGGGAATTGACCTCAAGTAGGTACTTCCTTTCATTCATTCATCTTCCAACAAGTATTGTATTGATCAACTACATGCTAGGTAGGGATACAGCAGTGAAAAGACAAAGTTCTTGCTTTCATGACACTTAGATTCTTACTCCACATAATGATAATTACACAGATAAATAATACTGCTACTTCAGAAGATGATGAGCACTGTGAGGCCATGGCCATGGAAGCAGGGCAATCAGAGACAGCGGGGATCCCCAGCCTGATTTACTTTGAGTATGGCCTCTTTGAGATCTCTTTGAGAAGGTGACTTTTGACTCAAGACATAAATGTCAAGAAGGATCCAGCCATGTAAAGTCCTGAGGGCACAGGGAATAGCAGGTGCAAAGTCCCTGAGGCAGGACAAAGCTTATAGTGTTAGAGAAGCCAAAAGAAAGCCAATGGGCTCGAGTCCAGTGACCAAAAGGAAACGGGCAAGAGATGAGGAAAGAGAGGCAACCGACACTAGGTCAAGGTATATAACTATATTTTATGGCAGATTATTGTTCAAAGTGTCATGAAAAGCCACTAGATATCCAGTGACCTGATTTATGTTATTGAATAATACCCCATGCTGCTATGTAAAGAACAAGGAAAGAAAATAGTGGATGAAAGCAGGCACACAACACAAGAGGCCTAGTCCAGGTGAGATTTAGTAATGTCTGGATGAGTCAGTAGCTGCAAAGGTGGGAAGACATGGAAAATTCAGGATATATGTTTTGGAGCTAGAGCTGAGAGAACTTCGTGATGGATTAGATGTGGAAGGTAAGGTAAGGAGGGGAATCAGAGATGAAGCCTAGATTCAGATCTGCTTAACTGAGTTGTGAGTGGTGTCATTAACAGAGACATGGCACAGGAGGAGTCTTCTGAGAAAGACAGAAGGAGGAGGTGTGGGTAAATCCGTGGCTCCTTATGGGCATGCTAAGTTTTTAATGTCTATGAGAGTAGAGATGTCAGGGAAGCAACTGAATAAATGGGTCCTCTTGGCTCCAGGTCAGGGATAGAGATATGAAGATGGGAATCATCTGCATAGGGATGGTGTTTAAAGTCATGGACCAGGGGAATCACCTGGGATGCCAAGAGAAGGAGTTCCAGGATATAACTCTGGGGGTGCCCTAAAGTTCAGATATGGAGAAGGGAGGGAGAAGTCAGCAGGAACTCAAGGATTCTCCCATGAAGTAGAAAAGAAACCGGGAGAGGACAAAGACATAGAAACCAAGAGAACTGACTGAGAAGTCCTCATCTGCAAGTGTCTCTGTCCTCCTAGAGGGATGGTTGCCTCTGCCCTATGCCAAAAGAGGCAGAGGAAATGGTGCCAACACCTTATTACCACTGGGAAAATAATCTCAGGATGGTCACATTTCAGGGTGAAGAATAGGCCAATCCTAGGCCACGCCATTTCAGGGTGAAGAATAAGCCAATCCTTGGCCAAAGCACCATTTTGCTCCCTTCTGAGAAGTAGAAACTGGCTCATACAAAAAAAAATGCTGACGGTGAAGGGACTTGACAATCAAGGGTCATGGGCGCACCATTCAGAATGGGCCAGGCTCTGCTGCAGGGACAGATGAGCCCTAGAATTTCAGTAGCATAGCACAATAAAGCCTTATTTCTTGGTTGCTTCAAAGTCTAAAGGGATTCAGACGCTGTCCTCCATCCTGTAGGCTTTTGGAACATGTGCTTTTTGAGATTGCTAAGGTAGGAAAAGAAAGGGATGGAGGAAACAAATGCCCTCTTAGCCAGAAAGATATATACAGTGCCCCCGCTTTAATTCACTAGGACAAGTCACATGACCTGATCTAATTGCAAGGGAGGCTGGAAAATGGAGAGGGGCATAGGGAATATCCAGGAAGCAGGAATCATCTCTGCCACAATCAGCCACATACAAAATTAAAGCGAGTAAATCGATCTTTGCCCTCTTTCTATCTGGAAACCTGTGCCACTCTTTCTTTTCACCCTTTCTCTGCAAATGCAAGCTCCTAGACTGCCTCATTCCCTCAGAACTTGACTGTCCATCACTTGAGAATCAGTAGCACCAGAAGAAGACACTGCTTCCTCGGGAATCCGTTATTATCTATTAAAATGCAAAGCAAGTCTGTGTAATGACAGCACTTCTGGCCCAGTAGCAGGAAGAGTGAGGTGCCAACATAAATTATACATTTATCCAATTTGTGTTATAATGATGCTTCCTTTCATTGGATGCTCATTGTGTATTGCCACTTACTATATTTTATTGTTATTACTATTTTTTTTTTGAAAGTAGCAATAGTCAAGTCAAATCCCAAGTCTGAGACTTAGTGACCTTGAGCAAGTTACTTAACCTCTCAATCCTTCTATTTGCTCAACCATTTAAAATAAAGATAGTAATGCCACCTCCCTCACAGGCTTGTAGAAGATAAGAAATGACAGATGCAAGGTTCAAGTCATAAGACAGGTGCTCAAAACACAACGGCAAAAGCAGCACTGTTATAATAAAGAGCTGTTCGAACAGAAAGACTAACAATTATGGTTTTAAGGAACCAGGGTGGCAAACCCAGTTTGCCCACTGGACACTCTTTCCTGAGAGAAAGACAGAAGCTGACAGAAGAGAAAAAGGAAGTCAAGTAATTCCATAGGAGCCCTTTGAAAGGTTTGAGGCCCTGTTCCAGGTCTGGAGTGCAGCTGTGTGCACAGCCTGCAGAAACCACAAAGCAACCAGAAGCCCACACCAAATGGCCCTTCCATGGAGGGACTATAGGTTGCATCTCGATACTGTTTTCCCTCTAGCGAGCTTCAATTCCCCTCTGAATCCGTGCTTGGCAACCAAACAATGTTTTCATCCAAGGGAAGAGGTGGGTGGCATGCTAAGAATATTGACACAGCAGTGGCTTAATTAAATCTTTAGTTGGAAAAACACAGCTAATAGGTGGAGCTTTCCCTTGTGTCCCTCTCTGAGCAGCCAGCTTGCCGGGAGTCTGAGCTCTTGCCATCCATCCCCTAGTACCAGGGCTGGAGTTAATACCATCACTCTTACCATGACGTCACTTTGAAAGGTGCTGAAGTGTTGTTTGAAAACACAACCCAGATCTTGAAATCAGACACCTTCAGTGGAGAAACTCCCAGGGTAGAAATTCTGGGTGTGACCTTAGGCCAAGCAGAGACTTGGATGAAGTGACTCATGGTGTAGTGAGATATGAGTCGCAATAGGAGCTGGAACAGAGGTGGCAGAGGAACCCCGGGAGACAGAGGACTCACATTCTTGCCTCTCCAAGTCACCTACAGGCTGGCACCTGATCTTTCCTGTTAGACTGCATTTCTAGGTCACTTCAAGTTGAGAAATTCTGGGATCCCATACCAAGGGACAGGGAGGAAAACCAGCAGGAGAGGCCATCAGACCTTTATTTGATACAAGCCTCCAAAGTTTCCATTTCTTCCTCCTTCAATACCAGGACCAAGCATATTTCCCAATTCCTGTCGTGTTTCATGATATTTAATGTTTTTTAAGCATTTACAATGTGCCAGACCTGCACTGTCTAATACGGCAGTTGTTAGCCACACTTGGCTGTGCAGTCCTTAAAATGTGACTGGCTGAATTGAGATGTAAGAATAAAACACACACCAGATTCTGAAGATTTTATTTAAAAAAATGTAAAATATCTTATTAATAATTTTTTACATTGATGACACATTAGAATGATAATATTTTGTTGTTAAATATATATATACTATTATGTTTATATATAGCAAGACAATATACAGAAAGTTAAGGAAAATATTATTTAATTTAATTTCACCATTTCTTGGCATTTTAAAATTGTGGCTATTAGGAATTTAGGATTGCGCGTGTGGCTCACATGATGTTTCCATTGGACAGCCCTGTGGTGTTAGACTGTGCCGAGTACTTTTCATATATCACCTCATCTAACCTTCAAACAGCATCCTTGAGGTCATCTGCGTTTTACAGATGGGACCCTGCCCAAGGCCCCATGCTCCTCACCTCCCTGACTCCCCTCTTTACCTCCCGCCCCTTACTCACTTGCTCTACACCAGAGGCTCAGCTTCCTCTGTGTTCCCAGAAGTTCCAGGCACAGGTCGGCCTTGGGGCCTTTTATTCTTTTCTTTTTTTTATTATACTTTAGGTTTTAGGGTACATGTGCACAACGTGCAGGATAATTACATATGTATACATGCGCCATGTTGGTGTGCTGCACCCAGTAACTCGTCATTTAACATTAGGTATATCTCCAAATGCTATCCCTCCCCCATCCCCCCACCCCACAACAGGCCCCAGTGTGATGTTCCCCTTCCTGTGTCCATGTGTTCTCACGTTTCAATTCCCACCTATGAGTGAGAAAATGAGGTGTCTGGTTTTTTGTCCTTGCGATAGTTTGCTGAGAATGATGGTTTCCAGCTTCATCCGTGTCCCTTATGGGGCCTTTCTTCAACTGTCCCCTCTATCTGGAATGTTCTCTGTTCAGAGAGCTCCTTGGCAAATCCTTGGTTGATATTATCCAAATAGAGACTACATTTCAGCAGAATTTTAATGAATGATGCCCAGCTGCCTTCAAATTTTACTCTGTGTCTTCCCTCTGAAATGTATCCTGACAGTCCAACCTTTGCAACCCCCAATTTCCTCTCCTGCTCTACTTTGTTTTTTGTTTTTTTAAGAAGACAGAGTCTCATTCTGTCCCCCAGGTTGGAGTGCAGTGGTGTGATCACAGCTTACCGCAGCCTCCAACTCCTGGGTCCAAGGTATCCTCCTGCCTCTGCCTCCGGAGTAGCTGGGAATTTGGGCATGAGCCATGACTCCTAGCTCTGCTGTACTATGTTTTTACTAGCACTGTTTTCTAATATCACACAATTTATTCACTGAATATGCTCCTGAGTCTGCCAGTGCTAAAATGTAAGCTATCTAAGGGCAGAGACCTTGGTCAGTTTTGTGCCTTGCTAAAACCTAATCCCCTAGGACAGCGCCTAGCACTGAGTAGAGCTAATACCAGTTTGTAGGATGAATGACTGTGGTCCCTGATCTTCAGAGGTCATAGCTCAGTAGGGGAAACATCACAAATAAGAGTAGTGCCCACTGAGGGGATGTGTGATGGTGCAGGAGGCTCAGATGCAGGCAGCTAGGGAGATCAGTGATGCCTAGGGAAATAACACTGCATTTACTTAGCTAGAAGTTGCTGAGCCCTTCCTCCAGACCAGGACTGGACCAGCCATCGAGGACATGGCGGCAAAGCCATTACCCAAATGGGAATCAAGTTTGGCAGAATTTTAACTAAGAATCCCTAGTTCTTAACATCTATATTTTATCCCATCACCTGTGGAGTCCAGAGCACTTTAAATCTGACCTTGAAAATTAAGCAGGATGAGACGCTTGGGAAGAACATTCCTGAAATGATTTACCCATTTAAAGGTTCCCCCATGAAGTAATGCACCATATGTTCAAGGGACAACTAGGACTTCTTTATGGCTAGCATTTTTGATGAATAAAAGAGGGTGGTGGTAACAAATCTGAAAAAGTAGCCCAAGTCAACTGTGTGTGCCATGCTGAGGTGGTGAGACTTCCATCAGCAATAAGAAGGCATCTGAGATTTTAAAGTAGGAAACACCATCCAATTTATTTTTGAAAGACATAGTGGTGGCCATTTGGAGAATGGACAAGAGCAGGAGCCACTTAGGAGTCTGAAAAGCAGGCTGTATGAAAGAGAAGGGCTCCCACTGAGGGAGTGAGAGGGGAGACACTGAGAGGGATGGATAGGAGCAGAGACTCTAGGAGCGGAAGGGACAGGAACTAGGAGGATACCACAGGGGAGCTATGGAAAGAGGCTCTTGGGTGACTCCGATGGCTTCAGCATGGATGACTGGATGAATGGCAGAGTCACTGTCTGAGATGGAGAACAGGACAGAACACAGAGATCACGTCTAACCGAGGACCTCTTATGTTTGAGGTTTCTCTGCACCCCCTGGCAGAAGTGAAGAAGAGAGCATCTGACAGATCTGACTGTGGAACCTAAGGTGGAAACCACAGGTAGATGAGAACCCCAAAGACAGGCTGGAGAGAAATGGCAGAGGGCAGAGACCTGGGAAATGCCAAGGTTGAGGTGTACGTGGAAGAACCTGAGCCAGTGAGTGACTGGAGGGAGGAGCCAGAGGAAAACACCCAAATGAGAATGATGACATGGAAGTGAAGGGAGGAAAGAAAGTGTAAGAAGAATGAGTTTTCCCATGGGACAGTGTGTTTCTTGGACCAGTGCCCAAAGCCTATTGCATGAGTCAGGGAGGAAACACACAGCACACTCAAACTGGATAGCCTAAGCCAGGCGTGGTGGCTCACACCTGTAATCCCAGCACTTTGGGAGGCCGAGGCGGGCAGATCACAAGGTCAAGAGTTTGAGACCAGCCTGGCCAATATGGTGAAACCCTGTCTCTACTAAAAATACAAAAATTAGCTGGGCATGGTGGCACACGCCTGTAGTCCCAGCTATTTGGGAGGCTGAGGTAGAAGAATTGCTTGAACCCGGGAGGCGGAGGTTGCAGTGAGCAGAGATCATGCCATTGCACTCCAGCCTGGGTGGCAGAGTGAGACTCCGTCCAAAAAAAAAAATTGGGTAGCCTAGGAGAATTTAACAAAGGGATTGTTCACAAAGATGTGGGCAAGTTGTAGGGAAATCAGAAGGGACAGTGCAGTAACTTCGAGGATAATAATGATGGGCTTGAATAAAAGCGATTGACGTCGGTGAGTAAGAGGTGGTTCGTCGATTTTTATGAGAGAGATTTCCATGGGTCATAAACACAGATGCCCATATACAAGGAGCTGTGGGAATTGAGAAAACATGCAGAACACAGCCAGCTCCAGCAAGGAGGTGGGTGGTGCCGGGAAGGATCAAGCAGAGTGGCTTGGTGACGTGGTAGAGTCACAGGTTTTGTCTTAGGATAGCAAAGACTTGCTTGTGTTTGTAACATAAATCTGTGAAGCTTGTGATGAGGAAAAGTTTAATGGTTGAAGAGGGATAAAGGAAAACTAAAAGGTCTGGGAAGAGGGGCCCAGCAGTACACCATCACTCATTATAAAAAGTACAAAATTGTGTCATGAAAGTTTTCCCAGAGGCTGAGGCAGGAGATAATTTTGGTTGAGCAAAACCGTCATCTCCATTTGACTGAAGAAGAAGCAGGCTTATGAAATTAAAAACCCCTTTCAGAAGCTTGCAGGGCACTTCCTCTCATGTCTCATTGGCTAGAACTTGTCTCATAGTCTTTTGTAAGCCAATACAAAAGAATGAAATTATCATGATGCTTTAGACCAACCTAGATTTACTCCTGAGCTGGACATAGAGTCACTTCCTCTGATAAGGAGGTGTTTACCTAAATAAGTTGAGGCTCACCAGGCAATTAGTAAAGTCTGTTACAGGAATAACTATTTTAGTCTGGGATTCCATGTACTTTAATTTCATATCTGAATTCTGTTTGAAATTACCTTGAGTATCACCCATAGGATACAGCTGACAACTAATAAAATGCAGCTTTGCTTGGCTCTAAAAGAAGGTTTGTGATGATAAATCAGATAGAGAGAGATGTGGGGCTGGGTCTGCACCAGGGTCCAGAAGGCAAAAGAGGTAGCTTAGAGTCTAGATACTCAGACTGGAAGATTGTTTCCTAGCCAGCAACCAAGGCCTTTCAGCCATTTCTCCTCATCAGAAGGGTCTTCCTATGTATCCTCTTCCCACAGGACGCCATCTTCAGGATGGCCAGAACTTGAAAAATCTGTGATCAGTACAGTATCAATAGCAAAAGCAGCCTAATACAAAACCTTTCTTAGGGACATCTATATTTATATGGGAGAAAATACCTCAATGCAAAGGAAAAACGTGCTAACAGTGACATTTGAGGTGTTGGGCAGGGCAAGCATGGTGATTATTTGAGTTAGGAGACCTTTCTTCTTTTAACTGGCATATTCTCAAATTGCACCTTGCAGATACACCTATTCTCTGCTCGTCATGCATGTATGACATGTATCTTAAATACAGATGATTACCAAGTAACAAGATTAAGATTCATTTGTCACTTATGAAATCCATCTTGCTGCATTTCAGCTAGAGTGTCATATGCCCCAGTTTGCCCAGAAAGGTGCCAGTTTCCCTGTTGACCAGAATAATTAATAGTAGTACCCCCTTCACTCTCAAAATTAAATGCTTATTGTAATTACACTAACCTATATGCATAAGTATCCTTAAATATATGTGTATGCGTGCACACAGAACATGTATGCACATGAGTGGGAGAGAGACTACGTGCATTAAAAATGCACACAGTAGAACTTGGAATCCATTTTCCTTCAGAAACAATATCACACAGGGTGGTTGGGTTTGTAAACCAAAAGATGTCTCAATTAATTTAGAAGTTTATTTTGCCAAGGTTATGAATTGTGACTCATGGCACATCCTCCAGAGGGCCTATGGGCATGTGCCCAAGGTGGCTGGGCTACAGCTCAGTTTTATACATTTTAGTGAGACCTAAGGCATCAATCAATACATGTGAATATACGTTGGTTCGCTCTGGAAAGGTGGGATAATGTAAAGTGTTGCGGGAGGTGGGCTTCCAGGGGTTTTTATAGGTGGATTCAAATATTTTTTTGGTTGGCAATTGGTTGAAAGAGTTAAGTTATATCTAAAGACTTGGAATCAATAGAAAGGAGTGTCTGGGTTAAGATAAGGGGTTGTGGAGACCAAAGTTCTTATTTTGTAGATAAAGTCTCATAGGTGGCTGCCCTTAGAAGCAATGGCAAATGTTTCCTATTTAGACTTTTAACAGGTGCTGGGCTCTCAGCCAATCTCTTTAGGATCAGAAAATACCTGGAAAGGGAAGGGGATTCTCTATAGAATGTAAATTTCCCCCACAAGAGACAGCTTTGCGTATTTCTTTGACAAAAACACGTCAAAGAAATATATTTGGGGCTAAAACACTTTGATTTATTTCAAGGCCCTGCTATCTATCCTGTGATGCTATCCTAGAGTCAGGTTGGAATTTGGTATCTTACTGCTACAAAGAGTCTGTTCTGTCGGTCTTAGGATCTTTGTTTTAATGTCAATGCTTGTCAGTTGTGCCTGAACTCCAAAGGGTGGAGACCATAATGAGCTATGTCTGACACCCCCTTCCCATCAGGGTCTCAACTGGTTTTTCAGGTTTCAGTGAGTCCCCTTGGCTGACAGCAGGGTTCCATTAAGTCAGTTGGAGGACTTAGAATTTTATTTTTGGTTTACAGATTCTAAGACCTTTTAGAAAACCATTTTACGATTGCAGATCCCCAGTCTGCCCTCTTTCATCCTGCTCCACCCAAAAGGCTGATCTGAATGATCTGCACTCACTGGCCCCTTTGTTCTCTGGCTTCTGGTTGGGTTCACCCAATGGGTGGAGGGAGATGGAGATTTGGATGTTGACTCCCTGGCTCCCTGCTCACTTAGCACAAGCTGACTGTGTCTCTCCACTGAAGATGGTCTGGCTGGTGGCCGTACCCACAAAGCTGTCTCCCCCAAGTTTTGATAACTACTCCTGTCATTGCCTCTTGAGGCCCAGCGTGACACCTGAGGTTTCCCATTGACATTCTCCATGTGACTGCATCATCCCTTGTGATTTCTCTACATGCTGCCAACATCTCTGGAAACAATCCCTTTATTAAACTCTCTTAAATTATCCAGTTTGAGTGTGTCATGTGTTTCCTCCCTGACTCATGTAAGATTCTTTTGCAGGCTGCTCCAAGATATCAACTACCATGTAAAACATTGCTCCCTGGGAAAATTTACTTCAAGGAGCAAGTCAGATTGCCAGGAAATTATCCATTCCCAATGTTGCCCCAGCAGGAAGAGGGGATCTCACCCTCTCAAGTTGAGTAAATGGGGGTAAGCTGCCCCACCTCCAGTAGTTCTTGACATTCCAGTAGTTCCATGAAACCAGATGGAATGGCTGCATGGTGGCCAGGACTGTAGGCAGCAGCAATAGGAAAGGCCAAAGGAAGAGGCTGGATCCCTACAGTCATCGTGTTCATGTGCAGGGACTGAGCTCAACTGAGGGTTTGTAAGTCAGGGGTGGCTTGAGCACATGTCCCTATGTGCATAGTAATATTAACTCATTCATCATGTATTTATTGAGTGGCTCTTATGCACCAAACATTGTGCTTGGAAGATTTTACATCCATATCTCTTTAAGCCTCAAAACAACCAAGAAGTAGAAATTTTGTTTACAGCTAAAGAAACTACATATACTTTGGGATGGTTAATTTTAGGTGTCAACTTGACTGGGTTGAGGGACGCCTAGAGGGCTGGTGAAGTGTTGTTTCTGGGTGTGTTTGTGAGGGTGTTGCCAGAGGAGATTGACATTTGAGTCAGTGGACTGGGAGAGGGAGAGGGTGCGTAATGTGGATGGGCACTATCCAGTCAGCTGCCAGTGCAGCTAGAACAGGGCGGGTGGAAGAAGATGGATAAATGTGCTTGCTGAGTCTTCTGGCTCTCTTTCTTCTTCCCATGCCAGACGCCTGCTTCTCCTCCTCCTCCTGTTGGACATCAGACTCCAGGTTCTTTGGCCTTAGGGCTCTGGAACTTGCACTGACGGCTGCCCAGGGAGCTTTGGGCCTCCAGCCACAGACTGAAGGATGCACTGTTGGCTTCCCGGATTTTGAGGCTTTCGGGCTTGGACTGAGCCACTACTGGCTTTTCTCTTTCCCTAGCTTGCAGGCAGCCTATTATGGGACTTCAGCTTGTAATTATGTGAGCCAATTCTCCCTAATAAACTCCCTTTTATATATACATATATCCTGTTTGTTCTATCCTTCTGGAGAGCTCTGACTAGTACATGTATTTATATTTATCTGTCTTTCCACACACATATACAAAAACACGCACAAACAATATCAAACAACCAGCAATGAAAATTTGAGCTTAAAGGTACAAAAGCTTAACCAACTGCCTCCAGAAACTGAGATCCAGAGAAGTTAAGTGGCTCACCGGGGAAGGCACACAGGAAAGCCCTGGTAGAAATCAGTGGCTCTCACACCAGACTTAGAGGATGTCTATCTGACTGGTCAGCCATCCTTCTTCAATGCATATGTCATTTCCTATCAATTAACATGTCACTAGAGTGCTAATAGATACATGTATGCCCATGAAGAAACAGCCTTCCTATTCAAGCAATGAACTCATCCCATTCATAATTCCCATGAGAGTGTAGGAAAAGGACAGAACCCAGGGGACTCTGTCGTGCCCACTGTGGGAAGAGTCACACTGATAAAAGTACACTGGAGCCTCTGTGACCAAGAACGTCATTTCTGGCAGGCTGAAGAGAGAAGACCAAGATGGCCAAGGGGACAATGTACACATACAAGAAGGAGGACAACTGAGCAAAGAAAATGCACTGCCACATTCAGTTCGGATTCAACACAGTCCGCAGGGAAACTGTAGCCTCATTTGCTGCAGATGGCTTAGTGAGATGCTGCAGACCACATTTCACGGGAGCCATAAAATGTGCCCTCGCAATGGACATGCTCAGGGTGCTGGCCTCAGTCTCTTTCCTCGTTGGCTCTATTGTCTGTTTCGTATCCCTGTCAACTCTTCAGAGATTTCTCTTTTTCCCCACTACTCTTGTGCCCGAGCCTCTCTCACCAACTGCTGGTGAGCCCTCTGGGCCAGCTAGACATCTTCCTAGAAGTAGGAAGGGAAATACCATATGTCCTCCTGTCTTCTCGTCCCCACCCTGTTTAACACCAAATGCTAATCAACACAGTGTTCTCTCAAGCCCTGATACCTTGAAAATGCCAGAAAGAATTAATCCATGAAATGCAATTCCCTCTTGGGTTCATTCGTCCTCATCTCACAGTTTGTGCAGTTTGGGCAGAACACACAGCAATCAGATGGCTGCCAGGATACTTGTAAATCCCATTACTGTTCCCTGGAGGTGCACCCATATTGGAGCCAAAAAATGACTCATGGATGATCAGTTTCACGGTGCTAAACCCCAATCCCATGACAACATCATACCTCATCAGCTTTGACATTCTGTTTTGCAACTGAATCTTTAACAGAACTGGATTTTCATTTACAGCCACTCTCAAGAAGCAATATTAACTGCATGGGGTAATTCTCCAACCAAGATCAGAGGCCTTAATTTATAATCTGGATAGGGTACTGAAATCAAGAGACAATATAGCACTATGGATTGTGGCATGCCCTTATAATTATCCTAGGCAGGTCTGAGTGAGTACTTATTTTTTTTAACAGTATTAGGTTCCTTTTATGAGCAGAAAATTGACTGCTTCCCACCAGTCCCTTAGAGATGTGATCCATGTTAGTATTCATTTTAAAGATACAAGAAAAACACTTAAATAGTTTTGAGAATGAAATTTACAGTGAATTTTGTGGCTCCCTCTACAATTCTTTAGTTTCAAGGTCAAAGCTTGCCTGATAATATCAACATTAAGAAAGACCTAAAAATAATAATATTAAAATTATAGTTGCTTAGTATTTAGCACCTAGTCTTTAAAAGTCCTTGTTCTAAGTACTGTACATATTATCTTGTTTAATCCTCACACTAATCTTATAAAATAGGACTGCTATTATCCCCATCTTATTAATGAGAAAACTAGAACTTTAAGAGGCCAAAATAAATAAATGTTCAAGGTCACATGGCTAAGTGTGGCAATGTCAGGATTCAAGTCAGATCTCTCTGACATCAGAACCCTCTTCTTCACCTCTAAACAACACTGGAGCAGAGGCAAATGAGATTTGATTTACTCTTCTCCCATCTTTTCTGCCTTACGTTTGTTTTTCCATTTTTCCTCTTTCTGCAATGTTTGGAAGACTGAGGAGTACAGCTCCAGTCTCAAAACAATTTAGCAACTGCTTGAGTCAGAGGCAGTTGACCTTAGAATAACTGGGCAGGTTTTTATTTGAAGCTCTATTTGTTGAATAATAGCTTATCTCTAAAGAGAAGTATTTGGATGCCAAAAAGAAAAAGTGAGGAAAGAAAGATAACACCTAAATTCAGCCCAACATAAACAATGTTGAAATATCTGGAATACATGAGGGCTTTCCACATGAATGATTTATATGATTAGGGAAACAATATGTGGTGACGAGTGTGTGTGTGTGTGTGTGTGTGTGTGTATGTGTATGTTATAGGGACAGGGTCAGGATGAAGGGAATAATATCCCATTATAAGGAAGTTAGTCTAAATCTCTCAGATTTCCTTTCATTTAAAATATTTAGAAAACTTGTAAGTCCTCCCCTGCCAGAAGAAAAATTAACGTTTCTATGCACTTGTTCATTTAATGTATGAGTTCATTTATTTATTCTTTCATCAAACATTTACTCATTCACATTTAAGAGTCTGAACATATATACCATTAAGTTGCAATATACTATATATATATATATTCCAATTTTGTGGGAAAAATATATAATGCAACATAATATTTTATAGTAGTTACATATCACATATTATATTTAATTCAATATAATGTTTTATACTTTATTAAAAATCACATCATATTGTATACTCTGCCTAGGTTATAGATCCGTATTTATTTTAATGTTACATACAAACATTAAAGTTATAGAGTTATAGGTGATTTTTTCTTTTGTATTTTTTGGTTCGCCTAAATTTTCTATAATAAATGTATATTACGTACTTAGAAATGTAACAATATTTATTTTCAAGAACACAGCCTGATAACTAAACTATCCTACTTTCTCATTTCACAAATGAAAAAGCCCAGGCTTTCCTATGATAGTATCAGCTCTGTTAAAGAAACATTCAGCCTCTATGAACTTGTTACAAACCTTTGTCTTCAGAATTCTACATCTCCACCTATTAAGTACTTTCTAAGCAGGTGGGGAAAGGACTGTGGGCTCACACACACATACACGCTCACTCACACTGGAGAATAAGGAGAATGCAGGTTATCACCCTGAGTGGCGCAGTTTGACAGCTGCAGCTTCTCAGTGGTGGCTCTGAAAATGTGGCCTCTGAAAACCTGAGGAGTCGTGATCTGCCTGCACTCACCTGAGCATTCATCATCCCCTTTATATAAATGAAAACAGCAGCAGCCAGCCCCATCAGCCCTATAGAGAGACACTGAACATGTCAGTCTAACTGCAAATGTAACTGAACGCATATTGCCCTTACATGGCAAAGGAAGTTCTCCCCCAAATCTTAATCTAGAAGGGAATGGGTACTGATTTCAGCAGAATGGGATCATCAGACATAGCTGCCATGGAGGAAGGCACTAGGAAGAGATTGCTGACAAGGCAGTGTGTTTTCTAAAGGCAAACACTGGACAAAATCTCTCCCTGCGATGGCGAGACTCACAGAGACAGGACAGCTGGGTGAGTCAGCTGGCTTCTCCCCAGAATGAGCATCAAGACACTTGCCACCCTAAATATGTATCAGGGTTGAGATCCACATGCCAGCTTCTGGGACAAGCAGGGTCTCCCTCAGCTGTGCCATTGGATTGGTTCCTCTTGTTAAAATAGTTAGAAAATTAAGACTCTTTTAATAAGCTTTAATAAGCTTCAGATATGCTGCAAGCATCAAAAGCAACACATGTCTGTTATGGCGGCTGTTGTAAACCTAGAACTAAGGAAGACGCAAATATAAAAAATGATCTCTCCCTCCCCAAGAACTTAGCAGGAGAAGTAAGATTGAAGAACATGCAATAACCAGAAAATACTGCAAGAAAGTGTATTTCCATAAATGTATATACTAAGTATGAATTAGCCCCACAACACTTGAGTATGAGAGATGTACTACCTTCATTCTTCCAGATCAGGCAAATCTGGTTCCCAGTCTTTATCTATCTGACTAGCAGAACATCTGGCATCAGTATTTGTAGGCTCCTTTCTCTCCTCCATCACATTCTGGAAGAATCCCTGGTTATCCTGGCCCTTCGTGTGTGTTGAGAGACATGGACTCTTTTTTTTTTTTTTTTCTGAGACAGAGTTTCTCTCTTGTTGCCCAGGCTGGTGCAACCGCTGCCTCCCAGGTTCAAGCAATTCTCCTGCCTCAGCCTCCCGAGTGCTGGGATTATAGGCACCTGCCTCCACACCTAGCTAATTTTTGTATTGTTAGTGGAGATGTGGTTTCATCATGTTGGCCAGGCTGGTCTCGAACTCCTGACCTTGGGTGATCCACCCGTCTTGGCCTCCCAAAGTGCTGGGATTACAGGCGTGAGCCACCACACTGGCCTCGAGACATGAATTCTACCACACCTTCTTTGACTAAGCCCACTGTTGAGTGAGCTCTTCCTTTATCATGGGTCAGTCACTAACACACACACAACAGGTCCAAAATGTATATAAATACCACACTTCTCAAGGTATGGAACTCAGCGCCAGGCTGGGCTTCGACATTGGAGATCAGTCCCTAGACAGCCCCTAGACACCTACTCCAAGGCCCTGCTCCCTCCCAGGGTTCTGTGGGGAGGGCATCCCTCACTCCTTCTCATCTCAGTCTTTCTCTTTTGAAAGAGTGAAAACAAGACAAAACTAATATCTCAATAGATTTTTCACAGATATATATGTATATGTGATATGTACCCTGCAAAGCACAGGATCTTACTTGAAAAGACAATTAATTTCCCATGCAATGCCAGAGAAAATGGAATTATTCCATAAGCCAATAGCTTTTCCCAGGGTCACCCTAAACTCCCCTACCCATATCACATACTTGGCTGGAAAGCCAAGGCTGGCCTGGACAGCACACCGGAGAGTGTTTTGAACTCCTCCTCGGCCAATGTGAAATGACTTTTGGTCAAGGAGACATTGTTGAAGGCCAGAACACACACTTTTGGCCTGCAGTCCTCTCTCTCTCTCATCTTTATTAATTATTCTTTGTTGGACCTTTCTTATACAGGTAGGGATTAAGTAACATTGTGCTTCTAAGCCATCTCAAGAATTCCCCCCAATACTTAACTCTCTATGCTTCTTTTCTCTTAAGTCCTTGTTTTCTTATATTCTTTCACCCAAGTCATGATCAATCTGGCAGAGTCTTTGTTCACATCCTCCTGGGAAATGAAGTGGTGGTGGTGAGTTTAGCTTCAGAAAGACCTGAAATGGAGCATAAATTCCAGTTCCAATAATTACAAGCTGTGAGACCTTGGACAATTCCCTAACCTCTCAGAACTCCATTTCCTCTGCTGTGCGATGCTAATTCCTCCCTGGGAGTACGGCTGTGAGCCTTGAATGAGGGGCTGGGTGAACTCACCACCACGTCCCTTTCCCTGACTGTGCTAAGGGATGCTATGGAAAACGCTCCCTCATATCTGAGTGGAAGGGGATGACCAGGGAATTCACTGCACCATACTCACTCTTACTACCAACTGTTGGGGCAGAGAAAAGACTATACTTGGGGGAAACTGCTCAACTTACTATGAATGATAAAAGCTTCCCTTTCTCACGTCTAAATTCCTCTCAGGCTCAGTGTTTCAGAAATGCAGTTTTATAATTGATACGGTTTGGCTGTGTCCCCACCCAAATTTCACCTTGAATAGTAATAATCCCCACATGTCAAGGGCGTGACCAGGCGGAGATAGTTGAATCATAGAGGCTGTTTCCCCCATACTGTTCTCGTGGTAGTGAATAAGTCTCATGAAATCTGGTGATTTTATAAAGGACAGTTACCCTGCACACACTCTCTTGTCCGCCACCATGTATGATGTGCCTTTTCTTCTCCTTTGCCTTCTGCCATGACTGTGAGGCCTCCTCAGCCATCTGGAATTGTGAATCCATTAAACCTCTTTCCTTTATAAATTACCCAGTCTTGGGTATGTCTTTATTAGCAGCGTGAGAACAGACTATTACAATGATAATGTTATTTTAGTTACTTCATATTCCCAGGCGTAAAATATCAACCTTTATGAAGTTATTACCACTTGCAAGAAATTATTCCAAAATTTGAGCAGTATCTTGCCATTTTTAGAGTGGCAAGTGGTAAGTGGTTAGTTTTCCTGAAATTTGTGGTCAGCCAAGATAGGACTCTTCTTCATAGATGAGACAGGTCAAATTCTCCCATCTCCAGGCAAAAAGAGACGTCTTCAAGGATATCAGTCAGACATTTATACTTCTACCTCTGTCCCTTTGAGAGCAGAATAAGTACAGGACTTCTGCCAAGTTCCCAGGAGTAACCCCAGGATCTGCATCAAGGAGATGCTTCATTGCTGCATGAAGTAGATGACACAAGCCCATAAAGCCTTTGCTGCTCCTCCCATTGAGCAGAGCATCCCCATCTTTTCATTCTGGGCTGCCCTGTGACTGGCTTTTGACAAATAGAATGTAGTGAAATTAATGTTGTATAAATTCTTGAGCCTTGGCCTAAAGAGGCCTTGTAGCTTCTGTTCTTGCCATCTTGGAAAGCAACCTTGAGACTGCTATGTAAGGAAGCTTGTCCAGCCTCCTGGAGGATGAGAGGCTACGTGGAGGAGAATCCAGGCATCCAGGCCAAGAGCCAGCACCACCTGCCAATCTTGTGTGGGAGGCCATCTTGAGCCCTCTGGCCCAGCTGGCTCCCAAGACGAGTGCAGCCACATAAGTGAGCCGCAGGAAAAACCAGCAGAGGAACTGTGCCACCAACCTACAGCATCTTGAAAAACAGTATTTCATTGTCATTTAAAATCACTACTTTTGGGGGTGGTTTATTACACAGAAAAGTTCCAAAAGTATTTTCTATAAGAAATCAGTTCTTCAACCTTGATCCCCATGTATTCAGGATCAAGGTCAAAGCAGGTTTCAGGCATAGCAGATTAGGACTCCACTGGCAGGATGGGATTTGGAGTCAGAAATAATGTCTCCTCCTAATGGATATGACTACCCTGGCCTCGTACCTTAAATGCCCACTCTGTTCTTTTAAGTTCAGTATTGTGCTATTCCAAAAAGTTCCTACTGAACTTGAAGAATGTCAACAGGATAAAGAGTAATACACTAATTTATTAAAGATAATTTATACATAGGTTTTGATTTATATAACAAGTTTTGGAGCACTGGGTTGGCAGAGAATACAAAGATTAAAATGATGATGATGATGATAATGGCACTCCAGTCACAAAGGCAGTGTGCAGTCTATTAGGAAAAAGATATGCAGGCTATCAGTACCTTTGTCAGACCACTGGGAAAGTTATGAAAGTGTGCAGGAAAAAGAAACTACTCCTGATTGGGAAAATCAAGGAATGGTTCCTAAAAATGACATTTGATTGGGATCTTTAAGGAAAGATAGGATTTAGTAGGACAGGGGAACTCTTGTAGTTTATCAAATTAAATATAGATGCAAACGTGTATAATTTGAACATATATGTAGTAATATAAATATAAAGCAATTTTTTTTTGAGATGGAGTCTCACTGTCACCCAGGCTGGAGTGCAATGGCGTGATCTCGGCTCACTGTAAGCTCTGCCTCCCGGGTTCAAGCCATTCTCCTGCCTCAGCCTCCCGAGTAGCTGGGACTACAGGTGCCCAACCCCACGCCTGGCTAATTTTGTTTTTGTATTTTTAGTAGAGACGGGGTTTCACCATGTTAGCCAGGATGGTCTCGATCTCCTGACCTCATGATCCACCTGCCTTGGCCTTCCAAAGTGCTGGGATTACAGGTGTGAGCCACCGCGCCCGGTAAAAGCAGTTTTATAATGTGTGTGTGTGTGTGTGTGTACACGCACATGTGTGTGTGTACAGCAGAGGCCAGAGAAAAGGAACCTTAGAGGTTTTTACTGTCAGGGAACGGCCTGAGCATTTGGCTTTTCTCTGAGGAGTCAGACCCAATTGTGGAGCCTAGGCCTGTCTGTCCTAGACTGCCCGATAGCATCATGAGGATGCTGAGGGAAGGATGAGTCTGGGAATGGAGATGCACGGGCCACATGAAAGAGGGTTATACAGTGCATAGCATGTGCCTGGTTTAGCCAAGTGCTCTATTAATATTTGTTTGAGTTTAATGGGAGGCGATACAAGAGCTCCTCTCACAAGCACGAGGTATCACCATCCACTATTAGACCCTTAGAGATTCCTGGTTCCACTTTTTGTTTTCTCTGCTTTTCACATTCCTGACGTCTTCTGCTGTTTGTTCTTCCTTACTTTTATGAAGCTGTTACTTCATACTCTGCACCAGCTCCATACAACATAAAGAATCATAATTTCTCAGCTGGTCATTTCCTCTAATTCAACTAATAATGAAATAAATGAACAGGGAAGGTGAGAGATAATAGATAAAGAAATAAGTGCACACACATGCACAAGCAAACACACATGTAGTCGTCAAAATTAGGGTGGCCACTTTTTATATGTGAGAATGTTCTCACACTGTTAATCTCATACCAGCCCTCCTACCTAATCCACTATTTGTTTAAATCAAGTGGTTTTCAATTGAGGGCGATTTTTGTGCCCCAGGGGACATTTGACAACATTTGGAGACTCTTTTGGTAGTCACAACTGGGAAGGTGCTACTGTTCTCTAGTGTGTCCAGGCCAGGGATGCTACTGGCCATCCTGCAAGGCACAGGGTGGCCTCCCACAACAGACAATTATCCGGCCTCAAATGTCACTAGTACCAAGGCCAAGACACATGTTTGAACCCAACTCTTACAACATATTTACTTTTTTTAAAATAATAAACTTCGTTTTTAGGATAGTTTTAGATTTACATGAAAAACTATGAAGATAGTATAAGAAGTTCTCATATATCCCATATTCACTTCCCCCATTATTAACTTCTTACATTGGTATGGACCATTTGTCATAGTTAATGAACCAATCCTGATACACTATCCAAAGCTAATTATTTAGATTATTAACTGAAGTCCATACTTAATTCAAATTTTCTTAGTTTTTTTTTTTTCTCTAGTGTCCTTTTTGTGTTCCAGGCTCACAACCAGTACACCACATTACATTTAATCATGTCTTCTTGTTATTCCTCAATTCCTCTTGGTTGCTTCTCAAACTTTCCTTGTTTTTGATGACCTTGACAATTTTGGGAGGTACTGGTCAGGTATTTTGTCTAATGTTCTTCAATTGGGATTGGTCTGATGTTTTTCTCATCATTAGTTTGGGTTTGGGGGTTTTGGGAGAAAGACCTGAGTGCCATTCTATCAAGGGTGTATCTTATCAGCGTGTCTTATCACTGTAGATGTTGCCCTCAGTCACTGACTGGGGTACTGCTTGTCAGGTTTCTCCACTGTAAACCCAGTAAACCCGCTCTTTCTCCCCGTCCCCTTTCCATACCGTACCTTTTTGAAGGAAGTCACAATGTGTGGCCCACCCTTATCAGTGGGAAGGGATGTTTCACCTCTTCAATGGCAGAGTATCTCCATAAATTATTTGGAAACCTTCTGCACATAAAACTTGCTCTCCTCCCCCATTTATTTATTCAATCACTTACTTATATCTGTGTGAATTCACGGATATTTATGTTATACTTTGGGTTATGACACTATACTATTTTATTTATTTTCTTGCCCAAATTGTTCCAACTTTGGCCATTGGTAGCTCTTTCAGTTGGCTCCTGTGTCCCTTTGACATTCCCCATTATTATTAATATTACGATATTGTTCTTGTTATTGTTTGGGCAATTCCTTATTTGGGGGACTATAAGATGCTCCTTTCATTTCCCAATCCTAGGATCACACATTTGTCCAGTGAGTTGTGGTTCTCCTCACTGGAGAACAGTATTAGAAACTAAGATCTGGGTGCTAAGTGTGCTCATTACTACTGGGCCATATTTACCTTCCATTTTAAAAACCTTAAGTATATAGTAGGTCTTGAGATATTAGCTAGTAATAGTAATACATGTAGATAACCTATAAATATAAACATATTAGGAACATGTGTCCCATTTTTTTTTTCACCCAAGCATAATGGAAAAAAAAATGCTTGGCAACTACTGCTCTAGAATACTGTCATTAATGGGACTCCACGCTAACAAATCCTGCCCTCTGTGAGTCCCAGGATCTCATATTCCTGAGACAGACAATCTATTGCTCCAGAGCTGGGCATCCACTCCTCAGCCAGGATGGTAAGACCTGGCTCCTGCAGGTCACCTCGTGCAGTCAGGGGCAGGGGCAGCTGCCGAGAGGGAGTTATTGCTGTGAAGTGAGCACTTCCTTCAAGAGATGCCACTGCAGAGTGATAGGAGGGGATGTGGTCAGGGAGGAGGGGGAGGAGGAAGCAAGAGATGGGGGGTGGGTGGAGTGAGTTAACTCTGACTTCAAGCTAGGGGACCTCTCAGATTCCTCCCTGTACCACATATTGGTTCTGTTCTCATCTCAGGCACCATCTCCTGTTTACCTGCCCCTTTCACACGGGGCACCAAGGGAGAGAGACTGGGGATTGGTCAGTGCTTCTCAGTTGGGAGAACAACAACAAGAGAACAAGAAACAAGAACAAGACAGCAGAAGAACAAGAGCAAGAGAGCAAGCACTCTTCTACTGCTGGGAAGAGTAGCTTGTATATATGTAAACACATGAACACAGAATGTTACAGAAAATCAAGAGGACTGTTGGGGGCTGAGTCCATCCACTCACACTCCCCCCATCAGCCCCGCACTCATGGGCCTCTCCATAAGCTTTTGTAAATGACCTTATTCATCTTCAAAGCAGGCAGGTCTTGTAGTTGACACGGGTAAATGTTGATCTTCTTTTTCTCCTTTTTTAGAAAATATGCTGAAAAATAAAGTGTCTTACTTTTAAAGAGAACATTCCCAGAAATCCTGTTGCTACTGCTGGCTGCAGAGATGGCAAATCATAATTGGTGACTAATATAGGAGTTTGATCTTTATCCCAAATTTGTTGGGATGTTAGCAGTGATTTGGCAGTGGCTATAGTAAATAATGGGCTGGGTGCGAAAGTTCCGAAAGATTTCATCCTGGGTAGGACAAGACTAGGTTTCACTTGAGAGCAGCCTTCCACCTGGGAAGTGGCCTATTCTTTCTTGACTTTCCTAATAAGAGTGTAAGGTGTCATGATCTGAGATTTTGCCTCAGGTCTGGAAAGATAAGCTCATGAATATTTATCCATCTGGATCTAGACACAGAGTGGCCAAATGGGGTCCCAAACCCACCTTCCATTTTGGTCCTTCAAAACCCTCCATCTGTGAAGCTTGCTTCCCAGCAGCTGGAATTCCAGCAGGGAAGAACCCCTGAGGCATCTACCCCAGTCCCCAGCCCTCTCCTCCCCTTACCTGAGGCTGTCACAGAACACTCCTCCCCACAGCCTGGCCAGGGGAACAAATGAATTCTGTCCATGAACCCACAAGACTTCAGTCTGGGGTTAAAAGCATAGAAAATCATAGTATCAGCTATCATTGTTGCAGCTCTAATGTTACCCTAGTCAAATCACTGCTGATTAAAACCAGCCCTGTTAATAAACCACAGGCTTTATTTCCCCTCAAATGTCTATAACCACTTTCTTCAACCCCTATTAAAAGGCAAAACCCAAAGAAAAACACAGCTTTGGAGCCCAAGTGCCGCTTATTCCCCAGAGGAGAAAAAAATAAGCATGAAAAAAAAATGGCTCTTTTTTCCTCACCTTTCCCCCACTTAATGGAATCAAACCTTTTAATAACTAAAGGGAGAAATCAATAAAAAGCAGGCGGGTGTTATCAGTGGCCTGTAACGTTAGAGCAGCTTGAAAACAGTCCTCCTCTGCCTCCCAAAACGAATGCATTTGCCAGCAATTCCCTGCGTCTGACTCACATCCTTATTACCTCCTTCTCCTCTTGCTTTCCCCTTAAGGGACTGATTTTTCCTCCCATCTAAGCCAAAAAGAATTTCTTTGGATTAAGAAGACTGATGAAAGCATTTTTAATATTTGAGCTCAGGTCTGCAAGCTCCATAAAACTGACTTCTCCTGTTGCCTGCTTTGTCTCCCCTCACCTGCCTTGTCTGTAGTTTTCTCCTTCATTTGCTCTACAGAAACCAGCCAGGGACCCTCTCCAGAGCGGGGGGCGGTGGGGGTGGGGGGGGGGGTCTCTGGCCCCCTGGCAGCTTCCCCTGCAGGACTGGCTGCAGACTCTGCTCTGCTGGCTCCAGAGGCAGGATGTGACATCTTTCAAAACCCTCAGAAACTGGGGAGAGGGGAACTTATGTGACAACCTTCATGTTGATGCCGTGTGTCTTTCAAGTAAAGACCGGTTTGACAAGTGCTGAGTGGCTCAGAGGGGAACATGTTTCAAGCCTGGAGGGGAAAGTCTTGACAATTCATTCCAGGGAAAACTGGAACCTTCTCCACCCACCCTGCCTTTGACTAAGGAGGTGGAAAGGAAGGGAGACCTGAACATGATGGCCTTTGTTCCTAGTTCTTCCCACATTTGCATCACTGTTACAACACTGCTTTCCCTTGCTCCTCAAATTAATGGTAGCTTTGCCAACATTATCTTAAATTCCTGGAACCTTGAAATTACCACACGTAGACAGTGCTTTGCTGGAGTAACCTTGCCAGGAACTGCTCAATTAAATGGTTTTTGGGAGACAAGGGACCCAGCTTAAAAAAAAAATAGTGGTGATTGGGCCACTCTGCTACTGTTCTGAGCTTGGGTTCTGAGATTTGATCGCCCCATTGGGAAGCTACGCAACACCAGGCAACTCTTTCACCCCAATATCATACCAAAAGTCCCGCTGGCTTCCCGGCAAAGCATCATTTTGAAAGAGTGAAAAAGCATCTGCCATCAAATGCCTCACTCTATGATATTTTCCATCCATTTTCATATCCAGTCAAGTCATCATCCAGAGAATAATTATTTTTGGATGATGGCAATGTACTAAATGACAGATTGATGTGTATCTGTGTGTGTAAGTGTGTATTTTAGGGGACATGATAAATGTCATCTCAAGGTATAATTCCGAGAAAGGACCGGCTGACACAGAACCACCAATCAGTGCAATAAATCACACAAGAAAATCGTTGCTCTAATGGAGAGATGAGCACTTTTGTCTAGATCAGTGGATTTTACGGTGTGAGTCCTCTATTTTTTCCAGTGGTTGTGCTCTAGAAATTTTAATATTTATGACGTTAATGGTTTTTTAAACATGATGCATTGTAGCAACAAAAACAGCCAAAATATCATTTTATTGGTGTTTCTTCAAAAGAGTGGGGAAATTAATATACTTTCTGCCAGGAACTTCTTTTCCATAAATTACAGTATTTATTCTTGATACAGTTCCATGGTGTACATATTATAAACCAAATGAGGTGCAAAGAGACTGTGTCACTTACCCAAGGTTATTTATCATCATCCCCATGACGGTCATTATCATCCCCATATCTACTCTTTATTTAGCACGAACTTTAGGCTAGGAACTCTTTGAGATATATTATAAGCAGAATTTCTAATGCTATCAATAACACTGCAGTGTAGGTATTTTGAGTTTCAGTTCATAAATGACTAAACTGAAGTTCAAAGATTCATCAATTTGTCCCCAGCAACGCAATGAATAAGAGACAGACTGGAGATTCACATTCATGTCAATGACTTCTGAGACTCGTGGTGTGCTGCTTTTAAAATATGTCTACAAATTCTTTGATATTCCTCCCTTCATAAGGTGGACATTAATTTTTCTGCCCTTAAAAGTAGATTGTACTTAGAGGCCCACTTCGAAACTGTGTGACTTCCAAAATTAGGTCAATTTATTGTGACTTCTTGTTTGTTCTCTCTCTCTTACTCTCTCACGTGAGTGTGCATGCAAACCTATGCACTTGGTTTGCTCTTGAGGAAGCCAGCTGCCATGTCATGAAGACACTCAAGAAGCCCTATGGAGACACCAAGTGACGAAGAGCTGAGGCCTCTTGCAACACCCATGGGACAGAGCCATCTTGGAAGGAGACACTCCAGCCCCAATTGAGCCTTCATAGGGCTGCAGCCCCAGCTGACACCTTGTCTGCAACCTCGTGAGAGATTTTGAACCAGAACCACCCGGTTAAGCCACTCCTGAATTCTGATCTGCAGAACTGTGAGATAATAACTGTTGTTTTAATCTGCTAAATTCTGGAGTAATTTGTTATGTAGCAATAGATAACTAATGCACATATTTCCTCAAAAGTAACTCCATTTGCCCATGGAACAAACATGGAGCAGACATGGTTGAACCCAGTTTCCCATGGCACAACTAAAATAAAAGCTTACTTGTTTTCCATTTGCCACACCCCATGTGTGTCCAGTGGTACACAAAATTAAGTGAGACGAAGAAATTAAAGCCCATTTCCAGCCTCCTCCAGACTCAGCACACTAAAAATGTACTTAGTACCCTGAAACTTCATGACTTGTCACCCTGACTCTCCAGAGAATCACGAGGAGCTAAAGTTGACTATCTGCTGTTCGACTCAGTTTCCCATGGTTCAAACCAAAGCACAAAGTAGTGTTGCTTATTGGGTCTACATTTAAACATTCTGAAGTCTCCAAACAATGAAGTAAAAAGTCTTATTCCACGAGTCCCGTGATATTATGGCACAACCCTTTATACTAGGCTGACACCACTTGACTGAGAAGACTGGAGACTGACCACCGAAATCCCTCAAAGGCACTTTTGATTGGCAGAAAATGTCCCTCTGATGAATTGAATGACCTGAACATGTCTCTCAAATACCCACCGAAGCCTGAGGACATTTGGCGATATTCAGACATACCTACATTAAAGACTGAGTGTCTCAGTGTCATCTTTGCCAAGCCGTTGATAAAAACACTGAAACACTGTAGCTTGAGAAATGTACACGATATAAATGAACTTGCTCTCAGAGACACAGAATCTAATACGGTCCAGACGAAAAGTTCAAACAATCTGGACAAGTTTCCAAACTTTATCAGGATTTCTGGGACATCCAAACTCATTCTTCCTGTCGCTGCTTTTTCAGCACTTAGAAGTTCTTGCACGAGAGATTAAAAATGTGGAGGTTTTGCCTCTTCGTAGATCTGCAAATAAAATATTCCCAAGAGAAGGTCTCCTTGATAAATAAACACATGATTTTCATTTGCCTGGCTCTGCAAAAGTGCTTTTAAAGTAATCCAGGTGAAATCTCCACGGGCCACAGCTCACAGGCTGCCTGTTCCCCGATCCTAGCATGAGGACAGCACATAACATGTTTTTTTCCTTCCTCTTTTTAATCAAATGCATTACAGCATGCTATTACTCTTGGGGCTGTGTTTCTCCAGATGATTTTCCAGCACCACTGTGGACTCCATTCAGAAAGAAATGGAACAGTATTTTCCAGTTTAGTACCTTAAATCAGTTTGTTTTCCCCAGGCCTCTGTACATGCTGACCTCACTTTCACTGAACTCCAAGAGACCAAGTCCGTATCACGCCAGACTGGATCAACTATGCCTGGGGTTATACACTGATGCCAAAATATAAGTAGCTTTCTCTCCCCATTGCAGGAAGTAGGGGTTTGAACATCGAAGCCTGGAACAATACCTTGAACTTCTTTTGTCATAGTTTCATAGTGGCCATGCAATAGGCTAACTCAAATCCATAAAATATATTCATATAAGATTTTTTAATGATTCTGTCCAGGTCATATCCATCTTGGTTTGAAATTCTAATGGTGGCACAACTAAAATAAAAGCCTATTCATTTTCCATGCAGCACACCTGCAATCCCAACAGCTCCAGGCTAGCTCAGTCAAAGCTCACATCCATCTTCTCTCAAGGACAACCATTGGTTCCTTAGTAAGAATCTCCCTTCAGCAGCCAGTGGTAATAGCTACACCCACTCCTCTAAATCTGTTACTTGAAGCCCAAAGCACAGGAGAAAGTTTTCCCTCTGATGGCACCCCCAGTCCCAGAACAGCTCCAGAAAACAATTGATATCTGCATTGATATTATCCTACTTGATAATAATAACAACAGATAATGCCACGTATTAGATAGTTACTATGTGCCAGGCCTGGTGCTATATGCTTCATCTCATTTAACCCTCATAACAGTCTTATTTGTCCTTAAATAAGCTGAAATAAATTGGTCCTTTTTAATAAACTAAAAATGAAGTTGAGGGGTTATGTAATGTGCCCAAGGTCACATGGTTAATAAAGGGTAGAGTGTGAGGGTCTGGGAACCTAAGTCTGAACAAGACACAAGCAAGAACTAAAGGACAGCCTTTGGAAATTCCAGCACTGTATGATGATCTCCAGGAGAGTCATGCAGAAACCATAGTGTCCTGGAAGAGGGTGCAATTAACTGGGTAAGTTGAATGGGTGGGAAGGCTGGGAGGCGGACTTCTCAGAAGCAAAGGTACTTCAGCTTGATCTTGAATGATGAGTAGACATTGACAAGGCTGATATGGAGAAAGGAGCAGTGAGAGGCTGGAGGGGTATTCGAAGAGATGGTACACAGTGTCACAAGTGTAACGGGCAGAGAACGTCTGAGAAGGGACAGAGAATGGAGGACAAGGACAATCATGTGGCCTGGGATCAGATCATCAGGGCTTTTTATGTCCACCTAAGGACTGTATTTTACACTGTGGGTGACAGCATCCCATTAAAGATAGTCATTACAAATTTCTATACATTGAAAAGATGTCTCTGCAGATAGCCGGGGCTGGAAAGAGGGTGGCCAGTTGCCTGTTCTAAGTAATTAGAACTTAGAGACTGGGAGGAGAGTTGTAAAACAGATTTAGGAGGTAGACTTAGCAGCTATGAGCTTGAAGGGAAAGCAAGTAGTGGTGGAAAGAAAGTTGGATTTTAGGATAATATTCAGTTGGTGCAAAAGTAATTGTGGTTTTTGTGATTACTTTTAATTGTAAAAACCTCAATTACTTTTGCACCAACCTAATAATAATGTTTCTCAGTGGATGGTAGCAACCCAAAGGATGCAAGGAAAAACTATTTTTTGTTGGGGGGAATGTAGAGCTAATTTTTATTATGGCGTGCTTTCCATGAAATGCTGACAATTTCCATCTGGATGCGCTGGAGGCACCTCAGAGAAGATCTGGAAGGCTGGCTGAGATGTAGCCATCAGTCTGATTCTGGAACCCTTTAGGGGAAAAGTTGACATCCAAATCTCCCCCATCTGTTGAGAGTGTGAGAGAGGAATCTTCACAAAGCCTGTCTCATCCTACAGAGGACCTGGAGGGCTTGGAGTAGAAGACTTTGCCTCATGCAACCAGCCCTGTTCACCTTTCAGCATCTTGTCCGGGCCTCTCAGCCAGACACCACAGTGAAAAAAGCACTCCACAGGGTGTAACTGATGAATAATACCCAGATGGAACCCACAGCCCTTCTTCCCAGAGGATGTCTGTACTTGGAATTACAGAGGAAACAGGAAGGTCTAGTTCAATCAAACTAACATTCATTTGGCAGTTACTATGCAACAGTCACTGTATGGAACATTAATACTCAAAGGTAAGACCGTGGTTCCTCCTTCCTAAAGGAGTTCACAGTCTACACAGGACTAACAGAATGATGGGGGCACTGAGGACTATGGTGGTGGAGAAAAACCCAGGTCAGAAGGGCAGCAAAGGATGGGGTCCTCCTTGTCTATGCTCAGTGTGACCAAATCCTGTTCACAGTCAATAAAGACAAACCAAGTCTGGAACTCAGGACACAATTAGGGAAGCTTCCATTTTCAGACCAAGTGGCTGAAACGTCCACTGCTGTGTCCTTCTCCTTCCTAACATTTTTATTCCAAGTAAAATCGGCGAGTTGTTGGTGGTCATTTGCTTCATGCCTGTGTCTCCAGCAGGACTGTGGATCGTTTGTTTATTGCTGTACCTCCTTTGCTTAGTATCATTGCAGGTATATAATCGGTGTTTAAGGAAATACTTGCTGAAGGAAAAGCTTCTGGAAGAGGTTGAAGAAGGAAAAAGAAGGCAAATATATGAACACAGCCCTCCAGGCCGGGCGCAGTGGCTCACGCCTGTAATCCCAGCACTTTGGGAGCCCGAGGCTGGTGGATCACTTGAGGTGAGGAGTTCAAGACCAGCCTGGCCAACATAGTGAAACCCCGTCTCTACTAAAAACACAAAAATTAGCCGAGTGTGGAGGCACGCGTCTGTAGTCCCAGCTGCTTGGGAGGCTGAGGTAGGAGAATTGCTTAAACCGGGGAGGTGGGGGTTGCAGTGAGCCAAGATCGCGCCACTGCACTTCAGCCTGAGCGACAGAGTGAGACTCCAACTCAAAAAAAAAAAAAATACAGCCCCCCTAGAGAAGCCACCCAGCCCCCTCCCCATGCATGCAGACACCAAAGATGAGCACTTCACAAAGCAGACTTCATTCCACCAGCCCTTTCTTCAGGTCTGAAATTTCTCACAAAGACTACCTCTATAAGCAGTAAAAATAAAGGAATCTGCTTGGAAAAAAACACACTTTAGGAAATATTATTCATCTCCCTGAGATGCATTCCCCATTTATTTCTCCTCTTGGATTTTCATTCCAGAGACTTTATCCTCTAAATGCTTTCTATCCATAAATAATCCATGTCCATTTCAAAGGCTCCAGCTATCCATGACCACTCGAGAATTATAATGAAACCTGGCTCTTGACTCTGGCCACCTCTGACTTTCGCATGATCTCCTAATGACGCAGCTAACTGAGTGCAATGTGGAGCTTCTCTGGATGAGATCATCTGGATTGCATGGGAGTGAGCTTTATGTGCAACTGGACATTTAGAGATTGACAGACCTGAAATACAGCATATGTTGTGTTGTAAAAAATGCAGAGTAAACTGACATAAGAAATTATTTTCGTGGTAGATATGCTCCTTGAAGGCAAATCTGTACCTTCTTTACATGACCTACCCCAGCTACCCCACTGAAATTCACTCTTTGAGGAAAATTTTTCTATCAGTCATTTACACTTTAGTAAGAACTTTAGCCAAGGTGCTACATCTGTAGAAGCATTTGTCTCTTATATCTCATTTTAGTTATAAAATGAAAGAAAGTCACTGGGAAAGAAATTTCAGGAATCTGTAACAGACAGGACAAAAAAATACTTGGGAGAAGCAAGGGGAAGTTCCTGGTTTCCAGACCACTTGTTACTGACCCATCCAATAGATTAGAAAAGCCGACCTTGGTCCACATTTCCTAGGCTGTACTTAGATTCTCAATATATCTCTCAGAGACAATGTCTTTGGATAAAATACTTTATAAAACAGAGTTGAATTTGCTAATGAAAATAATGCTAAGTGTAATAGAATGGGCAGTATTACATGGTTTGCGGCTCATTTATCTACGTGCTAGAGGAATGATACTGAACTAAAAAGACCCTAAGACAGCCGAGTGTGGTAGAGTACACCTGTAATTCCAGCTACTTGGGAGGCTGAGGCAGGAGGGTAACATGAGCCCAGAAGTTTGAGCCCAGCCTGGGCAACATAGCAAGATTCCATCTTTAAAAAATATATTAATTAAAAATACTACAAAATATCATAAGACATTTTTAGCATGTTTTAAACAGAATGAATTTTCTCCCTGCTTATATTTAGAGATAATAATATTTAGCAAGCCTATTTTGGAGCAGTTTTTTCCCTTTCTGTGGCCTGTGGGCCCATCTGTTCTTCATAAAAATTTGGCTTTAACTCCCACATTGTTAAACTGTGAAACAATGATATAAGTGACTTCACTTCAGTTTGCGAGGGATTGGATGGCTTCTCTCTTAGGTGGAGTGGTCTATTTCATCTCCTTAGCACATTCTTTGACTGTAGGCTGAAGTAAAGTCCAGGATTTTGACATTTCCTATAAGTTTGGTTTGTTCAGCAAGAATATATAAGCCCCCACTCCTTTCCTTATGTTGTATCAGGATGGGTGAAACCCACTGAGGGACATATCTTGGCCCTCCCCGGGAAGGGTAGGGACAAGTGAGAGGTAAGATCCGTGCTAATTTGTGGGATAAATTGGAGAAGGAACATCATTTATGTTCACTGGTCAGCCTCCTCTTCTTTAATTTACAGGAGAAAAAGGACATCAACATAAATTCCCGGGTTCACAAAGAATATCACCTGATCTTATAATTGGAGCTTGGAGACCATCTAAACCAATGCTTTCATTCTTAGTCACAAATGGCCAGTTACTGAGTCACTTCTCCAAGGTCATCCATGTAGTAAGTGGCAGGCCTGGACTCAAAACCAAGTTTCTGACTCCTTAAGTTCAATCGCCAAACATTCCTAGAGTTTTTACTGCAGAGAATGTATACAGGATTTGCCAATACCACATCTACAGAACATGAAGTGAAGTGGAAACTTAAACCACTCTCTAGAATAATTCAGGCAAACCAGGCAAGTTGAGAGAATTATTTTTCCTTTAATTGATCAAGAAAATTCAACTCATGAGAACCCAAACTAAGAAAATGTAATGCTTACGCCTTTTATACATTTTATCATTGTTTATAAGAAAGCTAATACACTTAGAGATAGATACTACAAATGAGAAAACTTCTAAATATAATGGATTCAGTTCTTCCATTTCCATTTAGGACATCTTTCCAGAGGAAATATCTGCTTTTCCAGCAGATATCTTCCTTTTACCTTGGGTTAAGTCTAGGAAGGGGAAGATTTCCAGTTCCAGTTTGCATTGCAGAATGTCTTCCTTGAATGCTGGCTTTTTAAAGTATCTGCTGGCATCCACAAGGCTAAAGATTTGAGACTTATCAGCAAATGTCAGAGAAGATAGAAACTGCCCACTTTCTGAGCAGTTCTTACTCACCCTCAACAGTGTTTCTCATGGGGTGTCAATGCCGTGGGCTATACATAAGCTTGGAGATCACTCTTTGTGAAACCAAAAGAAGGCAAGGCTGGTCACCTTCCCTGCTATTTCCACTGTCTTCATGAGATGTGTTAGGATCTGCTGCTTTAACATTCTGGACTCCAGAAAGTGGCGTTGCTCTCGGCCCACTCCCTTGCATTCCTTCTCAGGGGCACGACACCTTCCAAGCTAGCAATAAAAGCTCAGATTGTCAACAGATCCCAGCTAGATCTAGTTTGTGGTGGTCCTCCCTTTGGGGTTTTCACACTGAAATCCAGAGCAAAGCAATTTCTGAGTTTAGATTTTTCCCAATTGTGTCCTTTTGGGAAAAGTCCACATTCTCCTATTTTATCCAGTGAATTCCCCGAGTCTAAGTCATCCATCTTTAAGCCACTGGGTAGCATGGCTCTTTCCATAGTTCAGAGAGAACCATACTTCAGGCATCTTCCTGGCATCAAAACTTCCAGGGAAAGCCAGGTGTGGTGGCTCATACCTATAATCCCAGTGCTCAGGGAGGTCATGGGTGAGAGGACCTCTTGAGGCCAGGAGTTTGAGACCAGCCTGGGAAACATAGCAAGATCTCATCTTTAAAAAAAAAAACAGTCATGCATGGTAGCGCACTCCGATAGTCCCAACTACTCAGGAGGCTGAAGTGAGAGGATCGCTTAAGCCCAGGAGTTCGAGGCTGCAACGAGCTATGATCACGCCAGTGCACTCTAGCCTGGGTGACAAAACAAGACCCCCCCAAAAAACTTCCAATGATCCGTTTATTCATTCACTTACTCAATAATTATTTTGGGTAAACAACTGTACTCTATATCATGCACAAAAGAGACATAAGTCCCTGCCCTTACTGTGGCTTACACTAAAAGACAGAGATAGCCAATAATTAAGAAAGAGTATACACTGATATATATGTAATGTTATGTATATATGTGTGTATATGTGTGTTACATAAAATTATGCACACACACATATACAAATTTACACACGCACACAAACATATATATATACATATACACAATATTAAATTGTGATATGTGCTATAAACAGGGTATTTGAAATGCTATGAGAAAGAACAAACAGAGGAAATCTACTTATATTAGGGGTAAGTTAAAGGAGGTGATATTTCATCTAAGACCCAAAGAATGTGAGGGGGTCAGTTCCATAAATAGGGGAATAAAAGATCCAGGCAAAAGGAGCAATAGTTGAGCAGTTTCTAGGGAAGGAAAAATGCATCAGCTAGTTTCTGACCCTCACCAAGTTCTCCTTCCTTCCTTCTTCATTTCCCTATGCTTCTTTTCTTCTTGCCCCATACCTGGCTCTCAGCATTCTCTTGCCTTTTCTCTATTATTGATCTAGGCCCCACTGGGTCCCTGGGGTCCTGAGGATGGCTTCCAGACCATGAGCTCCTTATGTCAGCCTGTTCCTATGAAACTTGGAGTCATCTTCAGCACAAAAGCATGCAAAGACATACTCTGCAGAGAAACAAACTTGTCTTAGTAAATGATCTTCTGAACACAAAGCCAATAGGTAGCCTGGGTTTGTCCAAGAGCAAAGCTTCATCACACACACCTTTATTGTGCAAATGAAATCTATTTTCAGAGGGCCATGAAAAGGCGGTTCTTGAAAACCAACCAGATATGAAGATACTGAGAGAACCTGAAGGCATAGGAATATAGATAGAACAGAGGCTTTCCTTCATCTTCTTCCTTCTTGAGTCAAAGCAGCTTTCAACTAAGAAAGCTTTTTAGAAATTCCTTAATCTGGGAACCTATGGAATGGAAGTCTACGAAGATCTTCAGAGGGTCCACGAACATCCTAAGTTGCATGCAAAAATTTCTCTATGTGCATATGTACATTTTTTTCCTAGGTGTACGTGGAAGGGGTAGTAGTCCAGTTTTTGCTAGGTTCAACAGGGGCCCATTGGTTTGTGTGAAAATGTAATACTTGAACAGAAAAAAAAAAAAAGAGAGAGAGATGCTGTCCTGCATGAAGAGGTGTTGGCCTTGTCACTTCTCCATGCACATCTCCTGTAAGACCCCCAGCCTGGCTCTGCAGATCACTGTTTCAAAACTCTTGCTATAAGCACCACTTAAATAAAATTCTAAATTCAAAGGTTTTGAGCTATTTTTTGCCCACAGACACTCCCTTCAACAGTTGTGGATGGCATGTGGTCCAGGCGTACCAAAATGAGGAACTTATAAAGGAATTAGGAGATGACTAACATCTGCAAATGACTTTGGGACTTTCTTTACAATGCTTTGTCTAGAAGCACCTACTTTTCATCCAAGAAAACAGGTTAAATCCATTCCCCAAGCACGTCACTTAGAGTTAACTACAAAAGCAGGAATTGGTGTATACTCAGAACCAATAACATCTAGACATTTTAAGCTCTCTGAGAGTTCAATAAAAAATAAGCTTTTATAATCTAATAAAAAAATTTACTCACGCCTGTAATCCTAGCACTTTGGGAGGCCGAGGTAGGTGGATTACCTGAGGTCAGGAGTTTGAGACCAGCCTGGCCAACATCATGAAACCCCATCTCTACCAAAAATACAAAAATTAGCCAAGGGTGGTAGCAGGTGTCTGTAATCCCAGCTACTTGGGAGGCTGAGGCAGGAGAATCGCTTGAACCTGGGAGGTGGAGGTTGCAGTGAGCCAAGATCATGCCATAACACTCCACCCCTGGGCAACAAGAGCAAAACTCTGTCTCAAAAAAAAAAAAAAAAAAATGCCAGGTGCGGTGGCTCACGCCTGTAATCTCAGCACTTTGGGAGGCTGAGGTGGGTGGATCACGAAGTCAGGAGTTCGAGACCAGCTTGGCCAACATGATGAGACCCCCTTTCTACTAAAAAAATACAAAAAATTAGCCGGGCTTAGTGGTGGGAGCCTGTAATCCCAGCTACTCAGGAGGCTGAGGCAGGAGAATTGCTTGAACCCGGGAGGCAGAGGTTGCAGTGAGCCAAGATTGCGCCATTACACTCCAGCCCGGGCAACAGTGCAAAACTGTCTCAAAAAAAAAAAAAAATTACTTTAGCCTTAAATTCACAGAGACTAAAACATGGAAATAGTTGGATTAAACATGGGGACAGAGGAAAAACATGGGATAATGTTGGTCAAGTTCATACTACCCAAATGATAAAAGAAATTATAATTTATAATTTTGGTAATTTTAAGCATTCACTAGATTCCTCTAAAGATATTTTTCAGCATAAACCATATGCAAAGCTTTTGTACCAGTCTGGGCTTTTGGTGGCAAACAACAAAAAGGGGCACCGAAAGAAAGAACTTATGAGACAAATAGAGGGAAGCTTGGGAAATGTGTGAGACAGCTAGAGAGCAAGACTTGGAAGGAACCCAGGAAGGCAGAGAGCAGCTGTGATCCAGCCACAGGAGCAACAGTCATAGGACATGCCCAGTGGTGCCGGGGACCTCAGACACACTGTCACCACCACACCACCTTTAGGCCCTTCATTCCACAGCACTGGACACTTGCCTCTGCAGTTAGATCTGTATCATTTCCCAAAGACCCTCTGGAGAGTCCATATCGGGCGCCATCAACTTCTACCTTTCCTGGGATTCCCTCTCTAAAGAGAAAAGCATTCAGTGGCAGGCAGCCAATTATTTGTTTTCTGAATGTCTTTGGCAACATTATACCAAAAATGTGAGAATACACATGTGCTGCTCTGAGAAAGAGACAATGTGAGGATCTTCACAGCTGACACCAGGATTTCCTTTAAGAAGCAACTGTGTTAAGTAAAATTCTTTTATCAGAGTCTTGGAAAAGGTAAGCGTTCTGAGTGTCACAGGCTCCTCCTGCACCCAGGCTAACGAGAAGGGAAGTTGTCCTGAAAGTTGAAATGTCACCAACTGCAGGTCCCAGACCACCTGCGAGGGGAGGGAAGTGAAGCTGGGAGGGAGAGACGGGGAAGGAGGCAGCAGAGCTCCCGCTGGTGGAAGGCTGAGAACTCAATGATGTGGTCACCCCATGACTGCTTCACCCAACAATTTTCTTTTTCTAGAAAGTCTATCAAACTCATGAGACCTCAGTGTGAGAAATAAGTACATTCCTCATTATGGAAGCAAAGATGTTTCTTATTGGGAACAAAATGATGCCATCAAACTCAACAAGTGAACAAAGTCAGATAAGCAGAGAAAGTCAGGAGAATGTGGCCCCCCGTGTTACACACACACACACACACACACACACACACACGCTTACATTCCCCATATTCAGCAGAAATCTAGAGAGGGCCTCAGACTTCCACCAACCTAAGAGTGGATGCAGAAACATCCAAAGCAGTTAGGGGACAAAGTGACACCTAAGCTACCCAGAGATGAACAATCTAGTAAAAAAGACAAACTCATAGAAAAGTAAGATTAAATGAATGCAATCACAGTGTATCCAAATTCAGTGGGAAGTTCAACAGATGGAATAATTTAACAGAGAAAGGGACACATATTGTGTCCTTGTGAATAAAATATTGTGAGTAATATTTTAAGGTAAACTTTAATTAATGAGCAGAGTTTTGACAAGCAGAAGAGTGGCCTGGGGTAATGTGCAGGGAATAACATAAGAAAAGAAATAGGCAGATACAAATGTGCAACAGCTCAGGAAACAGGCTACTTCATGGAGGTTACGTGTCACAATGGCATGAAGGTAGGTTGAGCAGCCTCATCGTGTCAACTTTGAGCACCTACTAAGGATCTGGGACTTTATTCCCTTATAGGGCCATAGGAAGCCATGGCATGTTTCAACAAGGAGAAAGAAATATCTAATCTGCGTTTTAGAAAGATGATCATTTGTGGTGGTATGTAGAGCACGCTAATTTAGTAAGAGATTAGAGAGACAGAGAACAGCTGAAAGGTTATTGTGATAACATAAACAAGAATTGCCCACAGCTTGAGGCCAAGCAGTGGCAAGAGGGCAGAGATATGATGTGCAATGGGGATAAACTATGTATAACTGACTGACTGGCAGACACACAGCAAGAGGGGAAGAGTAGTTGAAGTCATGCCAATGTGTATAAAATGGACAATGAGAAGAGGAAGAGCTGGGACTTGAAAACAAAGGCTCCACTTAGTGAAGTTAAGGAAGCAAACATAATTTGGGAGTGTCCAATTTTATCAAATGTATCACAGAATCTGTTTTTGAGCTAAAATGTAAACCATGGCTATAATTCCCCAAAGTTAGTGTTCTGTCCTGAGATTATTGCAAACCAAGTCACTTGCCAGATTTCTTCAAAAATCTTGGGTTGTTGGAAATAGAATTTCATGCATTCTCACCTTAGGGGCTGGTGGAAGCCCTCATCTCTTCTCTGATGAGATGGCCCAGTGGTAATAGCCCAGCAGGGAGTGGAACCTTCAGGTTCAGAGGTATAGATGTGGGAACGAAAGTACATTCCCAGAGTGGAGAATGAAGACAGGACAGAAGTGAGGAACTCCGAAGCCCATCTCTAAAGGGTGAGCCAAAAGGGATCAGCCAGCAAAAGAGGAAAAGGGACAACAGATTTAGAACTGAAAGGAAAGGGATAGGAAGTGATAGGGAAAACAGCAGAGCTCATTCAAGTTGTCAGAAGGGTCTCTGCCTTCTCCTTTGAGAACTTTCTCACATACCAAAGCAGTCTTCCATCTGGCTCTGGAGAGATGTAGCTAACAACGAGATTTTTCCAGCAAGGGCAGCAACAACACTGTCATAATCATAGATGAAAGTGGACATTCTGACATTAATCTGAGGCCCCTACCTGGCTTCCACCAACTCCTAAGGTGGGAACGCATGAAATTCTATTTCCAACAACCCCAGAGTATTGAAGAAATCTGGCAGGCAACTTGGTTTGCAATAACTGCAGGACAGAACGCTAACTAACTTTTGGTGAATTATAGCCGTAGTTTCATTTTAGCTCAAAAACAGATTCTGTGATACATTTGATAAAATTGGACTCTCCCAAATTAAGTTTGCTTCCAGCCTGGGTGAGTTAGCCCACTGAAGGATCAATGGCCACCAAAAAAGAAAAGTAAATAAATAGAGCTGACAATAAAGGTACAATCAAAGCTCTAAACTAATATAGGACGAGGGCTTGGGGGTTGGGGGGAAGAGCTAGTAGGTCTTCAGCCCATGCCTAGAGGTGAAATGCAAATGTACTTCCAGAGATGGTTCCCCTCCCAGGCAAGGTGATGGGGCTGAGGGGGGAGCCCCGTGTTTAATGAACTCGAAGCAGGAGGGCTTCTACCCAGGAAAGGGCTGAAGACAGTAGTTCTCAAACTTGAGAGGACATCAGGATCACCTGGAAGGCTTATTAAAACAGAGATCACTGAGCCCCCTCCCCCACTCCAGGATTTCCAATTCAGGAAGTCTGAGGTCAGACCTGAGAATTTACTCTTTAGTAAGTTCCCATGCAATGTTGATGATGCTGGTCTGGAGACCACACTCTGTTAACCACTGATTAAAAGACAAGGAACTGTGGGTTTAGCTGGATTGGTGAGTCTCATACAATCATCTTAAGAGTGGAGGGGGGAATCTTGAGTCCTGGCATGAACTAGTACAGCCCAGAGTTGGTTTGTCCTGCCTGCTCTTCCAGGGAGGTTTGGGCTGGGGTTTGTGAGAGGCATTGCCTCAGCGGGTAGACTCTGTAGAGGACGAGAGGGTATACCAGCAGACCCCCCTAATGCCACCAGCAGTACAGAACCCAATGGCATGGCCAGAGAATTTGGTGATTATTAATTTTCATCAAATACATGTAAGTGTCCCCTCTTTGGGAATAGAACCACCTTTTATTCATGGTTTTTACTTTCAAAATACCTAGCTCACAGTACATTTTTCATTGATTTTATTAGTAGTAGAATAAGCTACTTTTGATAAAACATCAACTAATTACTGTTTCTTTATCATCTCCCTACAAAAGATCATACCAATTCACATCATCAGAGGAACTTTTCTTTTTTGTAAACATTAGAAATAAAATCTTGGAAGACTAAGGTGGATAGATAAGAGGAGAGGAGTTCCCTTTTCCAATAAATCGGTCCAAGAATTAAGCAACAGAACCCTTAACATTTCAAAAACATCACACAAACACGTGATCACACAAAACATAAAACTGAAGGCAAAATTCACTGTATAAGTAACAAAAAAGACCTTATAGAGCTTGGGTAGCACAATATTTTGGTGTTAGGTGATTCACACGATGCACTTAAGAGGTTGAAATGGGAAAATATTAAACCAGCAGGTCAGCCTTTCCATATTTGTTGCCAATGTTTACTTCAGTTCCGGTAACACAGTAGGCTTGGGTATTTTTCTTTTCAGTACGTTGAAGAATATGAGTAACATATGTGGCGTGTGTTGATACTTGTTGATCCAGAGCTCAGAAATGTTAACCTAAAGAGAGTAAGCCTTGGAGGAGACTGGATGCTGGACAGCCTTGGATTCTGATTCATTTGAGACTCAGCATAGAGATGAGGCCACGATCTCCCCCACCCTTTACATTGCAGAGGATGAAAAGGGGATGTAATATAATACTACACCTCCAGGTATCAGAGTACAGAAAAAAAAGTGTTTCTTTTTTGCTTGTAGAAAGGTGAACCTTGTGAACACATTTAATGGAATAAAACATTTTGTGAGAGCTGTAGGCAGTTGTGATTGCTCGAGTGCCTCTTCTGCATCATGGAACCAGGATTGAAGAGAAGAGCTCAGCCCCAAAGGAGAGGAACAGAATTGCTTCTGGAAGCACCATGAGAGCTTCCACTCTCCGTGAGAAAAGAATAGCAGAGGAGGAAACGGTGGCCCTGGAAAGAGCTTGCTGTCTGAGAGGCAAAGGAGGCTGGCGGACACAGAGCTAAGAAAGGTAAGGCGGCAACAAGGAAAGACATTGTTCTGGCTGAGTAACATCTCCATAAGTTGCATCTTTTCAGCAATTTTGTTCAGGTACCATACTGTGTGGTGGTTGCTGTAACTATGATGAAAAAGATGTTCTGGTAAAGGCAATGATAGAGCCTGAGGCCCAGAGGGAAGGAAGTCACAGGGAGGTCCCCTGCCTCTGAGCTTCATCCCCACAAGCACCCAGCAGCTCTCCCTCTGCTCACAATACTGTGAAAGAGAAAAACACAGAGTAGATTCTTCCAACACAAATTGGGTGAGCCCAGGTGATCTGAAGGGAGAGCACCTAAGGTAGAGAGTGAGGGTCAGCGATTCAGAGAAGATCTTTAGAGCTGGGGATGACACATATAGGACTTCAATGATGGGTACAAGTCAGGGCACTCGTCAATTCTATTCATCAAGCAGAACTCTACAAACAGACTGCAGTTAGGCTATCCGCCAAAGAGACTTCTATCTGTCAGGCTGCTTTATGGTTGGTTTTTTCCCAACCTTGAGAAGGTCAAGTGCAGCTACAGTTATGTCTCGCTAAGCAATAGGAGTACTTTCTGAGAGATGCATTAGGCATTTTTGTTGTTGTGCAAACATCTTAGAGTATACTTATACAAACCTAAATTGTATTGCCTACTACACACCCAGGCTGTATGGTGTAGTCTATTGCACCTAGGCTGTAAGTCGGAACAGCCTGTTACCATACTGAATACCATATGCAATTGTAACACATCATATTTGTGTCTCTAAACAAATCTAAACATAGAGAAGGTACAATTAAAATATGATATAAAAGATAAAACATGGTACACCTGTATGGGGCACTTACTATACATGGAGCTTGCAGGACTGGAAGTTGCTCTGGGTGAGTCGGTGAGTGAGTGGTGAGTGAATGTGAAGTCCTAGGGCATGACTGTACACTACTGTAGGCTTTATCAACACTGGACACTTAAGTGACACTAGATTTATAAAAATATATATATTTTTCTTTATTCAATAATAAATTAACCTTAGCTTACTATAGCGTTTTTACTTTATAAACTTTTTAATTTTTTTAACTTTTTGACTCTTATAGTAACAACTTAGCTTAAAATTCTTACACATTGTATAGCTACACAGAAATATTTTCTCTCCTTATGTCCTTATTCTATGTGTTTTTCTATTTAAAAATGTTTTTTCTTATTAAATTTTTTGTTACAAACTAAGACATATGCACACACAATAGCCAAGGCTACACAGCATCAGGATCATCAATATCACTCTCTTTCACTTCCTCATCTTGTCCTTCGAAAGATTTTCAAGGAGCCATCATCTCCCATGGTAGCCATGCCTTCTTCTGGATACCTTCTGAAGAATCAGCCTAAGACTGTTTTACAGTTAACTTTACATACATATACATATGTGTGTGTACTTGTGTGTGTGTGTGTCTAAGTAGAAGGGGTACACTCTAAAATGCTAAAAAGTATAGTAAAAAAACAGTAACAGAGTTACTTATTGTCATTATTAAATATTATACACTATTCATAATTGTATATGCTATACTTTTATATGACTGGCAGTGCAGTAGGTTTCTTTATACCAGCATAACTACAAACATATGAGTCATGCATTGTCTACGTTTTGACAGCTACGACGTCACTAGGCAAGATGAATTTTTCAGCTCCTTTATCTTATGGGACCACTATGGTATATGTGGTTTGTCATCAACCAAAACGTTGTTATGCAGCACGATTGTACTGTATATTCGTAGAAGCAGAACCCAGTTCCCTCTATCCTGGGTCATCAGAAAAATAAACTCAGAATTTACCACCAAAAATTTACCACCAACATATTTCTGTTGGTTTAAAGAACGGCTTTGTAGGGAACTGCCTCTGAGTTTTCTGTCCTTTAGGTAAATATTGCAAAAATGGCCCACCTTGAGGAAGGACAAAGGTCAAAGTGTTTTTGAACTTGCTACAGAGAAAATGAATTTACTGAGGCAACAAAGGTTGAAGATGTTAGAAAAACATATAGAATTAGCAATAGACTATAAGAATCAAAGATGATAGTAAGGTGTTGTGTGATCTTAACAGGGTCCCTGGGCAACATTGCCAACTGGCTAAATCACAGCCCCTGAAACTGGATCATGTTTATTCAGGGGGTCCCCACAATGGTGCTCTGAAATACACTCTGATTTCATCAAAGTATTTTCAGAGATTATTTCAGAAACTCTGTCAACAACTTTTCTGAGACACTCCTGATTTCAAATTTTTACTGGATTCTGCCTTCAGCCAATCATTTCCTGCCTCTGGGTACCAATTTCCTTCTCTATAAAATGAAAGTGTTAATGAAATTAATTCAAACATACCATTCCTCTTTTAGTACTCAGTGAGGCCTATAACTCATCTTTCATACATGTTACCTTTATTTTTGGAGCCAAAAAATTAATTACATAGGTAATAAATGCATTTTCTTTATAAAAGAAAAAAACATAATAAATTAAATCCAGCTTTATCACTCCCTATCACAGCTTCCTCCCTCTCTCTTCTAATCATCATTAGCTTGCCAACTTTTTAAAAAATACTTTTACTTACATATATTTGGTCACGGAAAACATAAAGCCCCGTTTAATTTGTGTGTTTTTACACGAATTGTACTCCTTAAACATATAATTCTGTAATTTGCTTCTTGTTTATGTTACAATACTCATGAAGTGGTTTCCACCTGAGTGTAGACAGGACTACCTTGTTCTGGAGTATGAATGCATCATCACCTTTTCATCAGGCTAATGTGCATCATTTTATTCTACTGAGCATCTTTAAAAATGCCTCCTTGCGCACACATGGAAGTGTATGCTGAAGTAAATCATGCATAATGAACTTGCTGGGTCATGGATATGAATTCTTTAAATTTTAGCAAATACCAAATTGTCGCAAGTGACTACCCCAGTTAATGCCAGCAGTTCATAAGTATTTCCTCTTCTCATGAGAAGATTCTTTCTCATATCTACCATTACAAACTTTTGCAGCCAGATGGGTAAAAAAAAATGGCATCTCATATTTGTGTGATCCTGATTACTGGGAATGTTGAGTACCTCTTCACATGTTACTTCTTTTGATTTCAGTTTACATATGGTACCCACTCAGGTATACTGGGTATGGTCTCAGAAGGTCTGATTCAAATCCTATCTCTGGTATTTACTGGCTGGGTTAAGTCACTGAATCCCTTTGTCCACAGTTTTCTCAGCTATAAAAGGACAATAAAGATACCCGTTCTGCCTCAGTAACAAAAATTGATTGCGTACTTCCTGGGCACTGTTCTAGGGCAAGATTGTGAAGGGTTATGTAACTGTATCAGGCAGAGTGAGATTAGAGGAGAAGAATCACTACAGTGATATAAAATAAGGGATTTGTTATGAGAATTTGACCTTACACAATGATAGGTGATGATTAAACAGTCTGTGTAAGGCTGTAAGGCTGTTGTGTCTGTGTTGGCTCTAAAGTCAGCAGGGCAGGCACCTGGGAAAGAAAGACGGAATTGAAGTGGGGGAGAGTGGGACAAAAGTGGATCCCATGGCAATGAGCTTGAACCCATGAGGATGGACTGAAATCCATATTGGTTTCTCCAAACATCCCATTAAAGGATGTGATTCTGGCACCTTTCTCATCACAGAACAAAATCTACACTTGGCCCAGGAATTGGAGAAGCTACCAACAAGGTGCTTCTGCACCCCCGAATGTCACTTCTACCTCTCACTTCTTGTGGTGCAAGCCAACCTGGAACCATGCAGGTAGAGAATTCTGGGAAATGTAGTTTCACCTCGGCCAAGTGCCCACACTACAAATCCATCAGAGCAACTTCAGGAAATTATAACAAATGTGAAACATGCAAGTTGCAGATCCATTATGGAAATGTATGATCTGTGCACATACTGTTCATTCCATTTGACAGGCTGCATCTATATACACTTGTCCATGAGGAGTGAGATCAAGGGAGAGTGGTGATCCATTTTCTATGCATTAGGAGGCCAAAAGAAAACAAGATTTTATGAGGGGAGAGACTGACAACATATGCTGAAATAAAATCTGGGGATCTATAGGCTGCTTCACAGGGAAACAGAAGAAAGCTGAACCTACTTCCCTTTTCTATAGATTCCAGCCACACGTGAGCGCCTGGAGAATCCAACCGTGTGGATTTCCTGATGGCCAAGTGAAGTACATCTTTGTCTTTTGAAACAGTCCAGTTTTACAGGAAAGAATTAAAAAATGAGGATCATATTAGCACTACACTAATTATGAACTGGAATGTGTCAGCCAAGAATGAATTACAAGCTGGCCAGAGCCTGCAAACTCTAGCTGGATAAAGTTCAGACATGCAGCTGTGAGCCCTCCTGGAAGCTGGCCACCATTTATTACGGTGGCGCCTGGCAACAGGCTCGTCGTTAAGGGTCTGTCAGCCTTTCCATTAGAAGCTCCATCTTTTCAGGATTCTCCAGCTCTCCCCTTTTAAATCACATAAAGTAGAAACTTCTACATAGCTCGTCAAAAATGAGGACATTTTGTTGTGTTGTGGTTATTGTTGTTCTTGTTGTTGTTGTTGTTGTTAGATTCTGAGAAACTTAAATCTGGTTCTGCCTTTTACTGTACAATTAAAAAGAAAAACCAAAATAGCCAAAGTTAATAGACAGATTGTCAGTTTGGTTCCAATTTTTCCTACAGAAATAAACTTCTTTTTCTTTTCCCTTTCTGAAACCATCCTGAGAAAGGAAAATATACTCACTACAGACGAAGTGTTCTGCCTAAAAGATTAAATCTGTCTTGAAGTAAGTCCAAAGATAGCTAACGGTGGGGAAAGTTAGCTGTCCATTTCTTGTTGTGAGATTGTGAGCTTGATAACATAATACAAATTAAGGAACAGTTTTATGCTTAAGAAGCATTCTTCCACTGAAAAACTCACACTAGCAATATTGCATTAAACAATAGAACTTTTATCGTTTCTTGGCCTTTTGGCTAAGAACAAGTGTAGTAACAATAGAACTTACTCATAAGTGGGTGATAAAAATGGGTGGACATGGACACAGAGAGTGGAATGATAGGACAGGTAGGGTGAAGGGTGGGAGCAGGATAGATAATGAGAAATTACTAAGCAGGTATAATGTACATCATTCAGGTGATGGATACCCTAAAAGCCCTGACTTGGCCACTATGCTGTTACAAAACTGTGCTTTGTACCCCATAAACGTATACAAATTTTTAAAAAATAGAACTTGCAGTAATTCCTCAGCTCTGATTGTAAGATACAATATGGTTTCAATAACAACTATTCAGAAAAAATAAGAAGAAAAAAAGAAAAATGGAAGGAGGGAGGGAAAGGAAGAAAATTACCTCCATAAACGTACTCACTGGTGTTAAGATGCATCCCAATTTCAGAAGAAAATACACACACACACACACACACACACACACACGGTGGAGAAATGTCCTCCTACATATAACTCATTCTCATTTGCAAAACACTTTCAACCAAATTTTGCCAAATCATTCTTCTCTGCCCTAGATGAAATACCGGGAAGATTCCATAGTAAAGTGCCAAGCTGTTATCTAATTTAAAATTTCTCACCTGGCCTTGCTTGGGCAAGAACCAGCTTGGAAACCTGCAGGAGTGGATGGGGTGTGATGAGCCTCTCTGTGATTTTTTTTTTTTAATCTGGCTCTTTCTCTTCTCCTCCTTCCCTCCCTCTGCTGACTCTGGCTTCTCCGTGTTTCAAATGAGATGAGGATTTGGAGAAAAAGGTATCATAGACCTTTTACATAGAGAGTAAGTCATCTTATAGCTAGTTCACCAGACTGGCTTACCTTGGGAGCACCCAAACATGCCTGCTGTCTGCGATGTTTTTAAAGAAGTACATTTAGCCAACATTTGTGGTAATTCACCAAGAGAGGTCTGGTAGACTTCCACTCTAGACTTCCAGGTTATGCTGTGGGTTTGTCTGGTACCTTAGGAAACTCATGGAAGGAAAACAGAGTTCTCCCATAAACATGTGGTTAAATCTGAGAGATGACCATATGATAGCCTCCCCCCGCCATACCTGACCCTTTTCAGACACAAGGTGACTAGTATTTCCTTGTTCAGGGCAGCATGTAGGGCATTCACTGATAAAACTGTAGCAAGGGATGTTGCTTCTTCCAGTCTTCAGTTAGTAACACCCCTACTAGCAACTTGGTATACCAGACAGTTGTGTCATGGCCAGTACCACAGACTATACCACAGCCTTCAATGTGCAGAAAGGCATGAGGCTGCCAAGTGGGAGAATCAGTGGGAAAGATGAAAAATTGTAGGCTGGTTGTATGTGAAATATATGTAGAAAACAGAGCTGAGAAATCTTGCAATATAGAGAGTAGTGTGAATATATATATTGCAATATAGAGAGTAGTGTGAATATAGAGAGTATAGTAGTAGTATAGTTTTTGTTACAAAGGTTTCCTGCGTGTTATATATATAGCATAAACCTACAACAATTTATTTCATTCTTTGGTAAGTAAATATATTGTAGATAACAAGAGCCAGACTTCTCATCATTGGAGAAAGAAGTTACAGATAAACAAAAGGACAGGCTAGAATGAACATGCATGCTGAATTGGGAGGTATCAGTATGAACTCCTGCACTCAATATGAATTCATATATATGCAGATAGGTAGATATAGAAATATAAGTGTATTTGTGTGTACATGTTTCCTAGCTGTGAGACAGCCTCGGAGCAATGACAATCCCATAGCAATTTGAGCAGCCCTAGTGTCTGGATCTTGGTTCCTATATACCATTTTCCAACGAAAGAAACAAGGTTCCTTGGAAAAGAGGTTGATTCCAAGGCTGGGACAGGAAAATTAAAAGATGAGCTTGAAAGATCTTGTGCTGCCAGGAAATAAGAAAATGTTCAAGAAAGGATGGGACATGCCAAAAGACAAAGACACAACTTGGAGGAGATCCCCACGGGCAAGCTGCCATAACTGGAGCAAAGAAAGTATTAATTGTAGTACTGGATCATAGCCCATAGAATAAAATAATTGTCTAGGATTGTATATTGATATTAACGAATAATTGAATCAACAAATAAATGGGGGAGGAAGGGACAGCTCTTGCTTACAGAAGAATCCCAGTTAATGAATATAGAAGGAACGAGAGTTTCCTTTGTAAGCTCCCTTTGGGGTTCTGCAAAGAATAAAGTAACATGATGCTTACATGTATGTTTGCTCCTGAAAGGGCTGTGGGCTAAGGCTCTACAAGCTTCCATCCCAAGGATTGCTTGGCCCAGGTATTGTGCTCCACAATCCACTCCCTTCTCCCGTATAGTTTTCTACCTAGAAGAGATACATGGTTTCTACACAAGACCTAGTTGTGTTGCACACTCCAAGGACAGTCCACCATATTGTTTTCCAGGGCATTCTTTTCAAACAAAAAACAAGTCAAAAATTATTTCTGTTCTTCCACTTCTAAAAAAAATTGACAATATTTCCCTGTGTACACAATGTTTCTGTGGTGTCTCTAGTAAATTATTGTCTGCAGACCCACTGACTCTGCTGAAAGCCCACCCCTTCTCATGCCTGGGATGACCTCTCACCCAAGAGGTCAGTACCCAAAAGGCAGCATGAGCCAACTGCATTGTGTGTTCCATTACCCATGAGATTATGAGTAATTGTGGATAATTGCTGAGGCAAATGAGTTATAGCTAATTACTAGCATGTTCTTAATCCCAGCAACCAGTGAAAGCCAAAGCTCACTGCCATTTCACTCTTGACTATAATGAATACAACTTGCAGTTTTAGTTGATGCCAAAACAGTCACTATCGTGAACAGAGCCTGAAATCCCAAGGGAATTAGATAGATAAGTTTTTAAATGGGGAGGATTTTTCTTTCTCCACTTTTAATTTACTGCCAGGTATTTTTAAAGGCAACTCAACTTCCTTTTCACCCTAAGCAATTGCATGGGCCTTCTGTTATAGTTTGCAAACATTATTTAGAGATACCTGATTCTATAACCTGCTAAAAAAATACAATATTATGATAATTTAAGGTATCATTTGTAAGGATAAAATGAAATAATAGATTTTAATGTTCTTTGGAAAGATAAAAAAGCACAGTGTAATTACAGAGTATCATCATTATCTCCTTAAAACTATTATCTATGTCTTGTATAAAATATAATTTTTAAATTACTGCATGTAATGTTGTCAAAAATAATCAGCACAAACCTGGATAATCATAACATGTAGACTTTCTTCAACAAGGAATCCTAGAGTATTTCCTCTCATTTTCTAAATCTGTATCTTATTTGATATAATTTAAAGACGTTTTCAGTTTCTTAAGAAAGAGTTAGCTTTGAGACGGGTAGCACAGACAGACAGAAGCACAGGACATTACACAGCAGCAAAGCCAAGACTAGAATCCTGGTCTTCTGATAAGTAATTAAGTGATCCTGGGAAAAGCTTGTAATCATTTTGAGTCACAGTTTTTATACCCTCTAAAATGGGATATAACATATCTAAGAATGTCACAAGTATAAAGTGAAATGTAAAGGAAAGAGCACTTTGAAATGTCAGGTGTACATTAAATCAAAACTTATATAAACAGTAGAATTCACTATTCATAATAAGAGCAATAGGTAATTTCATCATGAAATGAGGCCATTGAACCTCTTTTCCAGTCATAACTGTTTTAATACCACATTTCTGTATTTCAGGGGTTTTGGCGAGGGTGACAGTTTTGTTTGAGCTGCAAAACCAAATGAGAGAAAGGTGGTTGTTACCAATTGTCCTCTGATTTGAGCCTGAGGGAAGGGCTGGTTTAGCAACTTGCATATCTCCAGCTTTTTTTTTTAATTTGGTTTGAAGCCAGCATCACCTCGCTTTATCTAGAAGTCTCTCTTCTTTCTGAAATAAGTGCAGTTCTCCAGGGAGACAGTGGCCACAGTCAGACAAGGAACTTCAGGAAGAATTCCTCTTAGTCTTTTTTCCAAAGGAAGTTTGGACTTTCCAAAGGAAGTCCAGGTCCTGAAGGCCTGAATGAATTTGGAGAAAAGACAGAGGATGTAAATGCAATCGCTGAGTCATCTTTACTAATAATTCCTATCTTGCCAGAATCCAGACCTCAGTAGGCTCTTCCTAATGTTCAAAAATAAAAGTAAAGTCAGGCAAATTTATAAAGTATATACTTGCTCAGCCAACTAATATTTATGGACTGCCTACTGTGTGTAGTGTGTGCTCTAGGTTCTAGAGACTCCGTAGTGAACAAGACAGAAATTTATCTTTTATTCTAGCAGAGTGAACAATAGCAAACAAATAAACAAGAAGATGTCAGGTTGTAACACTTCCTTTCCACATCATTAGAAAAGGCCATGCCATGGAAGAAACTGGGTGATCAGGGACGTCCTCTCTGAAGTGACATTATAACCTAAAACTTCAGTGACAGGAAGGATCAAGAAGCTTACCCTATCTCTCTTCCTTTACTCAGCTCCTTTCCGTCTCCCTTTCCTCTACCGTAGATCTGGGATACTTATACTGCAACAGCCTTCCAAGGCCAGGCCTTCCACTAAGCAGGCCATTCCCTTGACTTCTAGTTTCATTTATTCAACAGACTGAAAAAGGGTGGTAGCCTCTGTTCACTGTCTCTGCCCGAAGTATTGGATGATCCTCAGAACAGCACTATGATGCTGGTATTATTAAATCTATTTTACTTCTTGGGCACAAGAATAACAACAACTAATATTTATTAGGTGCTTACACTGTGCCACACAGATCAATGCAAAGAAGCAATGGCCGCAGCTGTCACCAGGCTTAGGACTGGGGACCTTTTACATTTTCCTGGGCTTATAAAGACTGCAGGGATTGTGTGCAACCTAAAAGAAGGTGATTAATGTTGGGAAACTTCAAAATCAACTGATAAATGCTGTATATACTTTGGCAGTGAAAGACTGAGCCAGATTTATTTCTATTTAAAAATATATGTATAGGACAGTCATGGTGACATGTGCCTGTAGTCCCAGCTACTCAGGTGGCTGAGGCACGAGAACCACTTGAACCTAAGAGGTGGAGGTTGCATTGAGCTGAGATCATGCCACTGCACTCCAACCTGGGCAAGAGAGCGAGACTCTGCCTCAAAAATAAAAAAAATATATATATGTATAGTATTTTGTATATCTTATATAACGAAGATATATAAGATATGAAATAATAACAATATATACAATATTACTAGCACCTGAGTATTTCCAATCAAACTAATTTGATCATGTCATTCTTCAGTTCATTAAAACTTCAATGATTTCCTATTTCTCACATTAGAAATGTCAAACCAAATGGATACAGGCACGCCAATATTTTGGGGGGAGGTGAGGAGACACACACAATGTCATAAACACCAGAAATTTTTTCAATAAAAATCTCAGATTCCTGAATTTCTTTGGGAAAAAAAAACAGAAGTTCTGACATTTTTTAGCCCCCACATCACCAGCTAGAATTGAACAGCAACTGTCCACAGATTTCCATAAACAGCAGTTTTATTAAATGTTAGTTTTACACAATTTTCTAATTCTTGTATTGCTTTCTTCTTTGATTCAGGGAAGTTTGAGGTGTATTTTTAAATATCTAGGCCCACAGTGTGTCCTAAAGTTACTTTTTATTATAGATTTTTAGCTTAACTCCATTCTGTTTCTATAATGTGGTCCATATGACACTCATTCATAATTTTTATTGGGAATTACCTTATGCCTCACACCCAGGTCAGTTTTCATAAACCCTCTGAATGTACTCCACTGGTTGTGGGAAGTATTCCATATATGTCCATTAGAGCTGCTTAATCTATACATTTACTGATTCTTTGTCTGCCTTGTCTATAAATGGCTAAGGAAATAGTCTGAAAATCTCCCACTATGATGGATGATTTGTCCATTTCTGCAATTTAGTCAAATGTTGAAGTTTTTAAATTAGACATCTTGTAATGATCTCCAGAATGTCTTTTGCCTTAAAATAGATTTTTGTCTAGTATTAATCTGGCTATAACAGTTTTCTTGAGTTTGTATCGTCTGGTATAATTTTTTCCATCCATTTACTTTCAACCTTCTATAACCTTTTATTTGAACTTATAACTCCACAAATCCATATCTGAATTTGTAGCACTGATGTTTATTTGTTGATGTTTTCAAACCAGTCTGACACTTTTTGACTTTTAACTATAAATTTTACTCAACTAATATTCATTTTCTTAATATTGCATTTGGATTAATTTTTACCACTTAGTTTTGTATTTTCTTTAACTTTTTAACTTTTCCCGCTTGTTCTGCCTCCTTTTGACTTGATAGTGTTGCTTTTCCCCTCCTCATTTCACTTTTTTCCTCTTCTCACTTGAAAATCATACTTTATATGTTAATTCTGTTAGCAGTATATTAGAAATGATCAACATGCATACTTATTAACTTTAAAAAGTAGAGGCTAATCAATAGTTTTACCTTCCTTTGAAAATAAATGAAACTTAGAGCATTTAAACATTGGTCACATGCCTTCTGATTTATATGCTATGTATTTGAGGATTTTATTGCTGTATCGATCTTATATACCCATAGGATAGATTTTTAATTTGTTTATGTAGTCTGTGTTTATCTATATTTACCCAAAAGTACACTGTATTATTTATTCATTGTTCCTTTTTGTATCTTGGGTACTCCTTCTCGGCTCATTTTTTCCTTCCTGAAATATAGTCCTTAGGCATTAATGGGGAGCTACTCACAGTAAACCCTCTCAGGTTTTTGCCAGTTCTGTTGCTTGTTTTTTCTTTTCTTTCTTTCTTTTTTTTTTTCTTTTTTGGGATAGAGTTTCGTTCTTGTTGCCCAGGCTGGAGTGCAATGACACAATCTTGGCTCACTGCAACTTCCGCCTCCCAGGTTCAAGTGATTCTCCTGCCTCACCCTCCCGAGTACCTGAGATTACAGGCATGCGCCACCAAGCCCAGCAAATTTTTGTATTTTTAGTAGAGACAGGGTTTCATCATGTTGGCCAGGCTGGTCTCAAACTCCTGACCTCGTGATCCACCCACCTTGGCCTCCCAAAGGGCTGGGATTACAGGCGTGAGCCACCGTGTCCCGCCTTGTTTGTTTTTTCTAAAAATATCTTTATTTTGGCTTCATTCTCAACAGGTACTTGTAATAGATATTTAATTCTATATTTAATTGTTTGTTGTCAATTATTTTTTCTTCAGTATATTGAGGAATATTATTACTTTTTCTTCTGGCTTCCACTGTTGCTATTGAGAAGTTATATAAGTGAACACACCTCTACAGATAACCTTTCTTTCCTCTCGGGCTGCTTTTTCTTTTTCTGATTGCTTTCAAGATCAGCTCTTTGTCTTTGGTTATTTTCAGTTTCACTAGGATGTTTTCAGATGAAATTTCATTTTAATCCAGCTTAAAGTTCCTTGAGCTACATAAACATAAGGATTGTAGCTATTCATCAATTAAGGAAACTTCTCAGCTACTATCTCTTTGAATATTATCTCTCTCCAGTTTTCTCTATTTTATCTTTCTGGGTTTTCACTTAAACACTTATTAGACCTTCATACTATATCCTCTATGTCTAAACTTCTCTTTTGTACGTTTTATCTTTTTATTTTTGTGCTATTTCCCGAGTAATGTCTTCAGATCTATCTTCTATTTCACTAATTTTCTTGTTGGCTGTTTTTAATTTGCTGTTTACCTGACTGTTTTAAAATGTAATACTACGTATTTTTATTTATAGAAGTTTTATTTGGTTTTATTATAAAAATCTGCCTTGGCCAGGCACAGTGGCTCACACCTGTAATCCCAGCACTTCGGGAGGCCAAGGTGGGTGAATCACTTGAGCCCAGGAGTTTCAGACCAGACTGGGCAATATGATGAAACCCCATCTCTACAAAAGATACAAAAATTAGCCAGGTTTTGTGGTGTGTGCCTGTAATCCTAGCTACTTAGGAGGCTGAAGCAGGAGGATAGCTTGAGCCTATGAGTTCGAGGCTGCAGTGAGCTATGATCATGCCATCGCACACAGCCTGGGCAACAGAGTGAGATCCTGTCTCAGAAAAAAAAAATCTGCCTCATCAATATTCATAGTTTCTTGTTCTTTTACCATGATTTCAGTATCTTCACTGGTTTATTTAAATGTGTGAAATATATTTGTTTTATAGTCTGTGTCTGTTGAGCCTGCAGTTTTTACAAACCTGATTCTGCCATTTGCTGGCTTTCTGTTGTCTCTCTCTCATAGTGTCCAATTTTCTTGTATGTTTAATGATTTTTAAAATTTTTTTTTAAATTGTGAGCTCATGTTTCTTTCAGAATTCTCTGAAACCTGTGTTTAACATGCATCCTCAAAAAAGGATCTGTTTGCTTCCATCAGTTGCCTGCAGGTACTTATCAACGTAGGACCACTCTTTACTAAATTTCCATCCTGAAATTTTGTTAAGACTACTCATACAGTGTGAATTATGGCCTCCAAATACAAGCCCATTCTGGCTTATGATTAGGAATTCTCATATGAGGCTTTTATTTTTCCTTGTCATCTTTTACAGAATTCAGGGCAAAGTCTAAGGCAGTCAAGTCCCCTTTGTGGGGTTGGGCTTTCTAGTTTGCCCTTTGTGAGCATTAACCTTTAGGGTGTCATTTTTCTTCAGGGTTCCCCAATCAGATTTCTCACCTGTCTCGATTCTAGGTTTGGCCTGTGACTTCCATACTACAGTCCATTAAAACCAAGTCTGTAGAACACCATACACTGACAGATGTACCCAAGCCAAAAAAAAAATAGGTGTTCTCTCATCATTTCTTAGCTTCGGTATTTTCTTTGCTGTCAGCTCAGCTATGCTTTTTAAATGTTTTATTTTAAAATACATTTCATTCATCATTTTAAGTGTTATGCACCTGGAGGGACACATGCATAGAGTCTAGAGTGCTTTTTGGCTAACACTATTTATTTATTTATGGAGTTATCCTTCTTTCCCAACCAGATTGTAAGTACTCAAACTGCTCTATTCTGCTACACTAGTAATTCCTTGCACACATTAAAGAGTTAATAAATGTTTCTTGTTTGAAATAAATCTATTCTCTGTTATCTGAATAAAATTCTGAAAAGACTTACAGAGAAACAACATAAGTTCTCCCTCTTGGCTTTTCATTTTTAATTCTTTTCTCATACATAGAAATGTTTCCGTTTGATTAACACACAGTCTTTATACACACTATGTTAATTAAAAATACTCCTCTGGTTTCATGAACCAAGTAACCTAATTTTTACCTGAAAACTCAAATTAACAGGGCACCAGTCCAATATCAGCTATTGGAAATAAGATGATTATATAAAGTACAAGACTTGACTTGTCAATGAAATTTATTTATCTCTAGGCATCTTGTAGAAGTCATTATCCAGTGGTATCAAACGTATACCCAAGTGATCCTGACATCAGAGTTGAATGACCACATGCCTGAGGCAAGAGAATATAGCCACGGTTTTTTAATCTTAGAAAAAAAGTCATCCAAATATTTATTTATACTCCAAATTAAATCCATGCTTGTTTTTAACAACGTTTTAAATAATTTACCAATTAAATTGCACACCACTATCATCACACCAATTTCATAGTCAAACTATGTAAGATGTACGACATTTGTTTGATGGCTTTGTCTACTTCCAAAACATAGGTGTGTACCTGATTTTTGGAAGCCACATTATAATGTTCAAAATGAAGAGAAATGTGAAAACTTACAAAAACAGACTGCTCTGCCAAGAGATCCCAACTCTCTTTCATCAGCTCAGTCCTTCCACTTCCTAACCCCACATAAGGCTCTAATTCAGAAGTAGCAAGCTTAATTGACTAGGAGGACTTGCTTGGAATGCCAGTGAGTACAAAGGGCAAGGTAGGGACCCTGGCAAGGCAGAGAGAACTGGTCCTGTCCAAAGGGGCAGGCCTGCCCTTCACCTCCAGCCAATTGTTTCCATGTGGAAGTATAGGGGAGGGCTGCAGATCTCCCAAACCAAGCCTCCAGATTTTTATGTAAGTTAACCTAATTTTATAAGTTTGTCTCAATCAAATGAAGAGAAACTGCATGATTCATAAAAGTGTGAAATAAAACATGGAAGATGATTTTCCTAATCTTAGAATGGAAAAAAAATCTTTTTAGGTATGGCAGGAAACAAGGAAAAAAACACAAAACATGGCTATATAAAAAAATTTTAAATTCTGCATAACAAAAAACAGCAAGCTCACATGCAAAAGCCAGTAAAGATGCACATATGCAGGCAAAATGCTAAGGTTCTTAATACAAAAGTGCTGTTGGAAGCAAATTTCTTATATACATGTTATATATTCTATTAGAAAATTATTGGCAACAATATGGAGATACAGTTTACAGAAAAGGAAACACAAGTGGTTCTCGTACACATGAGAAGACAAATAACATCACCCTTGATAAGAGAAATGCTAATTATATTACAACAAGATACCATATTTCACTGACTAATTTGGCAAAGATCAAAAAGCTTCAAATCACACTTTTGGCAAAGTGATGGAAAACAGGCCTCACATACATTGTTGGGGGATTATAAGTTGAAAAAAGCCTATGGGCAGACATTTGGTAGAATTTATCAAATTTACAACTATGCACCTTTTCATCTAGCAAGTCATTTTTGTATATAGATATACAAAATAAGCCAATGACACACCTACAAAGATATTTACTGCAGTATTCTCTGTGCACACTCTAAAATGTAAAGCCTCTGAATTTACTTAATTTAAGCTAAAATTAAGGGTAAGTAAAGGGAAAACATGGCCTGGGGGAAGATAGCCAGAGTTTGAACCCAGAGCCAAATTGCAATGAAGAGAATAACAGGGCAAGCTGCACCTCTGCCACCAGAATGTAGAGGCAGGATGAGGTTTATTTAGGTGAACAAGAAGAAAATCAACATGTTCACAGCCTCTGAGCTCATATGCTTCAGTAAGACACACTTATCATGTGTCTCTTCTATCCAGGCTGTACTAAGCATCATCCTTACATGTTCTCTTTTAATCCTTACAAAAACACTTGAAGGAGAGTACCTTTCCTCTTGCTTTTAGGGATGCCAATATCCAGAGAAGTTAAGCAACTTGCCCAGCTTACATAGCTTATATAGACGTGTCTAATACCATAGGTAAGAAAACACAGGGTGAAGAACTTTGGCCTGAGAACCAGATTCCTCATTATTTAAGTAAAATTATCTTTTACAAGCTGTGTACCCTTGGACCAGTTATTTAGTTCCATGGGACTCAGTTTTGTCATCTGCAAAATGGTAGTGATAATAGTGACTACTTAAGAGAGTTATTGAAAGGCTTAAGTGAGTGGAATTCTTGAAGAAGTATCTTAAACATGTTCTAATGTGACAGACTGTATTTTCCAAAGATGCCTGTAACAAAGATGACCCCCATTGCATGTGCTCTTTTTTGAAGTGACTTTGACACTCCTCCATCAAGAGGTGCACTCTATTTCTCTACTCGCTTCAACCTGCGCATACCATGGGTCTGCTTTGACCAAAAGAATGTGGAGGAAGGGGCCAGGCACAATGGCCTATGCCTATAATTCCAGCACTTTGAGAGGCCAAGGTAGGAGGATTGCTTGAGTCCAGAAATTCAAGACCAGCCTGGGTAACATAATGAGACCCTGTCTCTAAAAAAAAAAAAAAAAAAAAAAAAATCAGCTAGGCACGTTGGCACATGCCTGTAGTCCCAGTGAATTGGGTGGCCGAAGTGGGAGGATTGCTTGAGCCTAGGAAGTCGTGGCTGTAGTGAGCCATGACTGGTGCCACTGCACTCCAGCCTGGGCAACAGAGCTAGACTCTGTCTCAGAAAACAAAGAAACAAACAAACAAACAAACAAACAAACAAGCGAAAAATACGGAGGAAGTGATGCTGTGCCACTTCTGAGCATAGCCCATAAGTGACCTGGCAGTTTTTGCTTCTGCCTCTTAGAAACTAGCTGCCGCAAAAGGAAGTAAAACTGTTCTGAGACAGCCATGATGTGAGAAGCTCAAGCCACATGGAGGGAGGCTGGAGGAGGAAATGCCATGTGAAGGGAGAGAAACCAAAAAGCAGGGAGGAGTCAGATACTGTGATTGCAGAGGCCACCTAGGGAGTGGAGCCTCCGGTGCCAGTTGCCCCTGCGGACATCATGTGGAGCAGAGACAAACCACCCAGCCAAGCCATTCCCAAAGTCCTGACTCACAAGATCATGAGCAAAGCAAAATGGCTGTTTTAAACCACTAAGTTTTGGTGTCATTTGTTACACAGTAATAGATAACCAAAGCATCTAGTATAAGGTGCTTGAGAAATGATGTTATTATTTTATACTCACTCTTATGCTACTCTTACTATTATTTTTAACTCCCACAAAAACACTATAATAAATAGCTGTAATAATTTCTTTGGTAAAAACAAATTTTTAATCATTTTTAAAATGATATATTAACTGGTCACAAAAGGTCTTCAGTAATTCCCCAAAGATTAAAAAACATGAGGGAAGGAATAAACTAGCTCTAACTCTAATTCAATTAGTATTATTGAGAGATACTAGAGATACTAGACTTGTGCAGAGCAAGATTGATTTTTATTTATATTTATTTATTTATTTATTTATTTTTGAAACAAAGTCTTGCTCTGTCACCCAGGCTAAAGTGCAATGGTGCGCTCTCAGCTCACTGGAACCTCCACCTCCTGGGTTCAAGGGATTCTCCTGCTTCAGCCTCCCAAGTAGCTGGGGTTACAGGCACGCACCACCATGCCCAGCTAATTTAAGACTGATTTCTAGAGTACAAAGATAAACCGAAAATGTTCTTATATTTCATAGATCTTTAGAGCAAATATTCATGAGAATGAACATGGGGAGAAGACTAGAGATGCATTTCTGCCTGCATATACGTTTACCACTGAATTCTTATTATATAAAGTTACTCACACAATGGGACTGAGATAAAGACTCTTAAACGTGAAAACTCTGCTGTAAAATGTAAACAAAGACAACTAGTTGGATATCCCTTTTTCTCATCCACAATTTGGCTGGTAAATACACTCAGGCTACATTAGTAAAACACAGTTAAACTGCAGCAGACATAGTACAATAACATCTTCTCAACACTATCATATTCAGATGGACCCACAGAACATTGTTATAATCTCTGTGATCTTTAATTAGTCTCTGTAGCCTGGTAATCCCGAGAACCTTTAGGGTAACACCTCGACCCCTGGCTCCTGCATTGGAATTGTTTTGTAATGAAGGGACAATGGCTTTGCTTCTACTAATGAAGAATTCCCTTTGTATGCCTCCCCATTCCTCCTCAGCAGACCTTTGCCTGTAGTAGATGCTCCGTCTACTTAAAAATTAATTGAATTAAGCTTAAAAATGAAAAAAAGACCCAGTCTTGTTTTTCATTTTTTGTTTTTCTTTTTTTTGAGATGGAGTCTCGCTCTGTCTCCCAGGCTGGAGTGCAGGAGCTCAATCTCGGCTCACTGCATGGCTCCCGGGTTCACACCATTCTCCTGCCTCAGCCTCCTGAGTAGTTGGGACTACAGGAGCCCGCCACCACGCCCGGCTAATTTTTCTGTATTTTCAGTAGAGACGGGGTTTCACCGTGTTAGCCAGGACGGTCTCCATCTCCTGACCTCGTGATCCGCCCGCCTCGGCCTCCCAGAGTGCTGGGATTTCAGGCATGAGCCACCGCGCCCAGCCCCCAGTCTTGTTTTAAGAGAGATTTCAGTCTAACGCATAAACAAGTCAGCAAACAGCTACTGACCTGGTATACAAATGGCCTTGGCAGGGACTTAAACCATTTGTTTAAAGAGTGATGAGCCATTTACATGATCAAACCCTTTATCCATAAGTGCAATTTCTGCTGTGTCTTATGCCTAGAAACAGGAAATGGGTTCTAGATTATGGGTCCTGGGTGCTGAGATCACAGCTTTTGATTTTTTAAAAAATGTTATATATGGAAATTGACATAGAGAACAATAATTGAATAATAGTTACCAGTCACTATACGCTCACTGTGTGCCAAGCATGGTGTAAACCACTTTCCATATATTATTTTATTTAATCTTTACATCAATAGAGTTAAAAGAGTGTTATCTGGCTTTTGTATATTAAGAAACTAAGGTTTAAAGAAAACTTAAATAGTATCCCCCTTCTCCCTCTCCTGCACCCACCAGAACCAAAAATATAAAAGATAGAGTGAAGTTAATGTATCTCATTTTGGACGACTGGGCATCCCTCCTCATGTGATACTAAAGGGATTTCAATGACAGGACCCTCCTCCCGACCACATGAGTAGCTCATCAGATTTGTTCTCTCAGATCCTTGGCTGTTGTCCCTAAAGTCATAGGGACAGCAGTAATGTGGGTGAGTCACCCAAAAGCAGCATCTTGAGATAGTCTACAAGTTCTGTGCTCTCAAACCCTCAAGGCTTCCTTGAAGTTGAGTGGGCAACTCATTATTTCTTCTTCCAATTTTGTTAGCCACCCAATATCTTTCCAACAATTGCTTCATTCTTTACCAGACTGTATTTACGTTGTATACATGCAAACAACCACAGCTGATAACATAGTGACAAAGAGTACAATGAAAGAAATGTGGTTATCATACTGAGATGAGGCACAAAAGAAGTGGGATTCCTATCTGTGATCTGAGAGGGGTGGGAACCAGCCCATGTAAGCACTAAGAGCTACTTCTGAATGCACAGGATGAATTAAAGTTACAGAATACACGCGGAAACCTTGGAGTTTCCAGCCTGTGGCATGGAAAACAACACCACACATGGCTTTTCCGTGAGTGCTGAAAATGTTTCTTATCTTCTTAGAGTTGAGATGATGGAAAGCCAAAACCCAAAAGACTGATACTGTTGTTCACTGAATCCAAATACCAGTTAAATCCTTGCAAAGTCTATTTGCAAATCTTGTCCTTGATCAGGAAGGAGCAGAATTCCCACAACTGGAACAGTGGCATCTGGAGGGAATGCAGAATATGGAGAAGCCCCAACTTGATACCAACTCATTTTCACAAGAAAACAATAAAGTGAATCATATTCTGCACCTATTTTGCATACAAGAAAATATTTTATAGACAAGGAAAATTTACAGGTTTCACACTATAAGTGGCAGAGCCAGAATTCAAACCAGAAAGTCCTACCCAAAGCCCATGCCTTTAACCAGGGTTCAGCAAACTCTTTCAGAAGTCTCTACCAGGGGGACTCTACTCTGCCACTGCAGTGCGAACACAGCTATAAACAATATGTAAACATATGGGCATGACTGGGATCCAATGAAACTTAATTTATGGACACTGAAGTTTGAATTTTACAAAATTTTTACATGCCACTAAATATTATTCGTTGATTTTTCAAGGTAAGTTTAACATGTAAAAACCATTCTTAACTCATGAGCCACACAAAAGCAGACATTACTACAGTTTGCTAACTCTTGCTCTTACACTGCATTAGCAGAATCAAAGCTAATATTTGCAAGTGGATCCATGATTCCTTGAAAATATATCCATGAAAGGCTTTTTCTAGATAAAGGCAGCATGTGTTTATTCTCTGGCTTATGAGCAGTAGGGTCTCATTCTGTCAAGTGATGGCAAAGCATACTTCTAAATTGTTCATGTAGGCCACATGTGCAGCTGTAAACAGGACAGACAGTTAGGTATTCATCTAAAAAATGAAAGAAGATCACGTTAGAAGAAGGAACTTGAGTGTTTGGGAAAAGCACCCATGCTGACCTGAGGCCAGCTGGAATGGAGATTTCTGCCAAGGAACTAAAATACAAAGAGCCAGGCATGTTTACTTTGAATCCTATAAATGATTTATGAGAACTTTAATATGGCTACTGAGTATACTTGTAAGCTTGTTAGACATTTTATTTTTTTTGACCAGGGAAACATTTGTAAACTGAAGACCCTGATGTGTGAGCTCAGATTTCAGAGTCAAAGGTATATTTCAGCATTCTGGAAGTTCCCCTCTTACCCATCTCCTCCCTTCTGCTATTTTGACCAATGTCCATTTCTCCATGGTCACCAAAACTCAGATGTTACTAATATAAAGAAAGACTCAGTCTTTACTAAGAATTCCACATCTTCTTGCCAGAAAGGCAAAGAAGGCAAGAATGGGGTGGAGATGGTGGTCAGAAGCAACTCTAGATTTGGTGACAGAGGTAAGATACACTCAACCGGTATGCAGACAGAATCTTATTGCCATCTTCATATAAGTGGCTGAGAATGTTGAACTTTTTAGAAAGCCAGCCCAAATTCACCACATTTAGGTTTATTACAGGATAGCAGCTGAAAAGATTTGTACCCTCCATCCCCTGTGAACCACACCTTGCGATTTAAGAAAAGAAACTGGAGAGGTAAATGTCTTCCTTTGATTCTACTCCATTTTTGTTTTATTTTCATGAGTCTCTGTTTATAAAAGAATTTTAAAGATACATCCTCACAGTTTTGTTTTGTTTTTTTAAGTCAGAGTCTCGCTCTGTGGCCCAGGCTGGATGGAGTCAGGTGGTGCTATCTTGGCTCACTGCAACCTCCAGCTCCCAGGCTCAAGCGATTCTAGTGCCTCAGCCTCCCAAGTTGCTGGGATTACAGGCATGCTCCCCATGCCCAGGTAATTTTTGTAATGACAGGGTTTCACCATGTTAGTCAGGCTGGTCTCAAACTCCTGGCCTCAAGCAATCTGCCCACCTTGGCCTCCCAAAGGGCTGGGATTACAGGTGTCAGCCACCACACCCGGCCTCATTTTCTATTTACTAATTTATATGTGGAATAGCAGAAAGGAGTAGAGATAGAAAGATAAAGCGTATTGGCTAAGAAGTATAGGGTTAATAGAGATATCAAGAACTGTTCAAGAGGTTTGACCACTGAATTTGTACCAGGCATTCAGATGCAGAGACAACAGAGTTTTCAAAGTCCTTATTTTCAGAAAGCTAATCTAATGAAGTAGAATAAAATATGTACAATAAACGATGATGTTTTAAGTCCAGACCAGCAAGGGTACACTCTTTTAGCACTGTAAGATAAAAGATATGAAGATCTAATACTGTTTTTGTTTGTTGCCATCTAGATATTTTCCTAAAGCCCAAAACAATTTGAGGACCTCTTTCGCCATCCCTCCTAGAGCTTCAGAATCTGAAGATCCATGCCCCTATACCATCCTTTGTAGGGGTAATAGAAAATTATTGTCATTTTCATCAAAAACTGGATACAATAGGGAATGAGAGTTTGGAGGAGGGCAAGGGATGGCAACTCTGGTCCTTGGGTCAAAGTGGCCAGATGCCTGTTTCTGTATGGCAAACAAGTTAACAGGGGTTTTTTTACATTTCTAAATAGTTGGAAAAAATAAAAAGAACAATATTTTGTGATGTAATAATTATATAACATTCACATTTTAGTGTCCATAAGTAAGGTTCACTGGAACACAAACGCCCGCATTTGTCTGTACATGGTCTATGGCTGTCTGGCACTGCAACAGCAGAGTCGAGTGGTCCAGCAGAGACCACATGGCCCAAAGCCCAACGTCTTTACTCTCTGGCCCTTTGCAGGAAAGGTTTGCCAACCGCTGGATGAGATAAATAAAAGAGATAAAAAGAGAAAGACCGAGGAGGAGAGAAAAGAGCAACATGAGAGTAAGGGGCCAATCCAGGGGCCACTTTCATTTCTGACTGTGAGACTACGTGTAAGGGGAACCTGAAGAACCAGGAAGTAACACCGGTGTCCTCAAAGAGATCAGGACAACATGGATAAACTAGGATATCCACTTGTTAATTTCTCTATGGAATGCATCATATTGTTTAAATCCAAATTAGGGACAGACTGAACATTCTTTGCAATTCCACCTATGTGCTGCAGCAGCTGACGGGAAGCCGACTTTGCCACAGCTGAAACCTTCTCTAAAAAGTACAGTAAGTCTGTGTGTGTTTGGGAGGAAGGGGTGCTTATGTGACAGATGCAGATTGCAAATGCATTTTATTTTATTTTAATTATTAGTACAAATTTGTGGGCTACGTGAGAAAATTTTTACATGTATATATAATGGGTAGTGATCATGTCAGGGCATTTGGGGTGTCCTCACCTGAGTACAATACATTTTTTATGTATAGTTATCCTGCCCTGTTATCAAACTTTAAATTTATGCTTTCTATTTTACTGGCAAACACATTTTTAAAAGGTCTGTAGTGGGGAGTGAACTGATGCAGATGACAGAGGCTTAGCTTTTTATTCTATGTGCTTCTGTAGCACTTAATTACATTCATGCCACATAATAATGTTTCAGTCAACAACAGACTGCATATTGATGATGGTCCCATAATATTACAATGGAGCTAAAAATTCCTATTGTCTAGTGACATTATAGCTGTCATAATGTGCAGCACACTACCTTTTCTGTTTAGATACACAAATACTTAACGTTGTGTTACAATTGCCCACAGTATTCCATACAGTAACAGCTTGTATGGGTTTGTAGCCTAGGTGTGTATTAGGCTATACCATCTAGGTTTGTGTAAGTAAACTTATAATGCTGACACAATCACAAAATTGCCTAATGACACATTTCTTTTTTTTTTTTTTTTTTTTTTTTTTTTTTTGAGACGGAGTCTCACTCTGTCACCAGGCTGGAGTGCAGTGGCGCAATCTCAGCTCACTGCAACCTCCGCCTCCCAGGTTCAACTGATTCTCCTACCTCAGCCTCCTAAGTAGCTGGGATTACAGGCGAACACCATCATGCCCAGCTAATTTTTGTATTTTTAGCAGAGATGGGGTTTCACCATGTTGGCCAGGATGGTCTCAATCTCTCGACCTCAAGATCCGCCTGCCTCGGCCTCCCAAAGTGCTGGGATTACAGGTGTGAGCCACCACACCCAGCCTGACACATTTCTTAGAACATATTCACACCATTAAGAAACAAATGACTGTATTACAATAAGCATTTTTAGTAATTTAATAAAACAATACAAATTGAATGTAAAAAGAAAACATATGCAACATTAAAGAATTATAATCACAAGTTTTGCATACTCAAAGATAATGAAAATCCCTATTTGACTACACAATAAAAAGGAAGTAGAAGAGGCAAATCAGGAAATGCTTTAGAAGAACATGACATTTTCAATAAGCCTTTGAGGATCAATAAGATTTGACAAGGTGAAGAGGGCATCCTATGCCAAAGAAACAAACAAAGGCACAGGGGTGCAAGGGCTCCTGCCCATGGTGAAGAAAGGATCTCCCCAGATGGTCTTCAGGCTTACTGACTTTGGAAATGGAATGTATTTGCAAGGTTGAATTAGTGGTATGGACAGATACACTTCACAAAATAATCAGCTATAAGGGAATGCTCAATTACTTGCCATCAGACATTGTAGCTTATAAGAAAAATAGAAAAAGGGAGGTAAGAACATTTCTATTATGCTAATATAGATGCTGAAGATATTGCACCATCTTGAAGAATTCTAGCCACACTTGCTTACCAATGCTTTGCAGGACAATAACCAAACGCAAATCAATGCAACAACTTTGATTTCCAAATCAATTAGCAGTCATATCTTATCTAATGCAAACAAACATGAGCAAAGCCAGCTTCCAGGTTTAATAGAAGGTTATTTTGCCTTCCTATTCACATGGTCTACCAGCACTTCTCAACCACATAACGAAATGTTGTTTCTCGGACCCTTCTCTAGGCCTGTCAGATCAGTATCTCCACAGGTGGAGACTGAAAATTTTTATTTTTATTAAGTTCCCAGGTGATATTTACAGACTAAAGTTTGAAAACCTCAATTCTAAAATTTCCACAGCCTTGTTTTATAACCTCTATGGTTAATAATCCGGCCAATGGCAAGTTGGAGCATCTGGAGACCTTGCTTCTAACTTGATCTTTCCAATCAATAGTAACTGCAAGTTATGGAATGTAAGGTCACATTCTTTCTGGCTTGTGAGTGCTCCATCAGGAGCTACATGGACTTAGAATCAGCAATGTTTCTCTTCTTTTCCAAACCTTTCTCCTACAGTTTCTAAGGAAAGTAAATGGAATAACATACATAAAGCTTTCAGCACAGGGCCTGATACTTAGGAGATGCCAATAAATGCTGGCTGGTTTCCTCCATTCAGTTCATCTCTTAAATCTCATAGTGGTTTGTCTTGAGGATTCCCAAACGAATGGTGGGGAATTATTGCAGGTCCTTAAAATGTAGCAGCAGTGAGTGACTCCAAGGCTCCCAGACTCTTAGATGCTTTTCCTCTAGGTCTACGGTTGAAGACAACACACTCTTCGTGGTACTGACAGTTAATGGCTCCTCACTTACTTCTATGCTGTCAACCTTGAGCTACTCTCTTTTCAACATTTGGTCATTGGTGGAGTCCGTGATTCCAGTGGAATCTAACCCTGAGGTCAACGCTGGGGATGAAGCAGGGATGTGAGAGCCTGGAACCTGCCTTCCCCCATTGTCCCCCCCACACCCTTCTACACGCATCAAACTGGGGCCCACCAGGGGCCCCAGTTTGGAAACCATTCTCTAAGTCTTGGAGTGTGTTGGAATCTAACTGATAGAAGAAATGAGGTATGAAAGTTATAAAAGCCCAGATTCCAGAGCATTGGAGAGAAAGCAAAGCTCCACATGAAAAAAATAATAATAACTTGTAACTACAATGCTTTCATTATAAAATGAATATTTAAAATAAAACTAACCTAATTATATTATTAATGACTTTGAGAGAAGTTCTCACTGACCTCATTGCCCTAAAACAACTGCTGCCGTTAACTACTTGGGACATTTGGAAAGATGATAAATGTCAAAAAGGACAAGTGTAGAATCATACAAAGTTGAATAAAGTTCCCAAGCATAATAGCATATCAAAGTTATGCTATAGGATGAGAGAGCTATCTCAGAGATGCTCTATCACAGAATGCAAAGAAACTGGGGCTTTCTCCCAAACCACTGGACCTCAGGATCTGAGGCTGCTTCTCCAAGTATGGCCAGGGTCCTGAAGAAGGGCAGAGGGGTAGGAAAAGGGATGGAGAGAAGGAGAAGAGGGAAGGAGACAGAGAGCCCAGTGAGAGAAGAGAACTTCAGGATGGCCAACAGAGGTGGGCTCTGCATGGGTTACCAGCCTCTCAACCAGCCTGTTTGTCATCAGCTAATTGCAAGACTTACTCTCCGGTGCAGAATTGGACTTATATACTCTCCAGTACTTATTTTTGTTTTGTGTTGTTGTTTGCTGTTGTTGTTGTTGTTGTTGTTTTGAGACAGGGTCTTGCTCTGTCACCCAGGCTGGAGTACAATGGTATGATCATAGCTCACTGCAGCCTCAAACTCCTTGGCTCAAGCAATCCTCCCACCTCAGCCTCCCTAGTAGCTGGGACTATAGGCACGTGCTACCACACCTGGTTAATTTTTTAATTTTTTTGTAGAGACGGTGTCTCACTATGTTGCCCAGGCTGGTCTCAAACTCCTGGCCTCAAGTGATACTCCCACCTCGGCCTCCAAAAGTGTTGGGATTACAGGCATGAGCCCCCACACCTGGCTCCCTCCCATACTTCAGATACTTGACTAAGAAGCTACATAATCAGTTTCACAGTCCTTTAGCAGCTCCTGGCACCTTTGGCATAAAGCCCTAATTATTTAAGGCGGCTGGTAAAGTTCTTATTAACACTTCCAGACTTGTTCCTTCCCAACCCTTTCTCCATCATCACCATTCTCCCCCTAACCTTCAACATTTACAGAACATCTTCTGTGTGTCATGCTAAAAAGACTATGTGCCCAATGCTGAAGAATCACTGGTCATCAAAATGTCCACTCAGGAATAGCCACCCTCTGACTCCTTCAAGGCCTTCACTCATGTTATCACACTGTTCCCTCCACCTGGAAATTTCTTTTCCCCTCCTCTGACTAGCTCTAATTCTTCCACCAGACAGGAGCGTAAATGTTTCTCCCTTAGGAAGACTTCCCTTAACTGTCTTAGCCTCTCTGACCAAGCTAGCTGCTTCATCCATGCTGAGGGAGCACATGCCCCTCCTCCAGACTTTATCACAAAACTTCATGCTATTACTTTCCTTTTTGGCTGGAATAGGACAAGTGGGAGAGGAGAAATTGTGTTTATGATCCAGCCTTTGTCAATGGGGGCCACCCAAGGAAATTAAGCCCTATAGAAAACGGGTGACTATTTTCTCAATCCTGTTGTTACCAGTTGAAGGTGTCCAGGTTCTCAGCGTTTTTGAACAAAAAATTGGACAAAATGCACAAGCAAAGCAAGGAAAGAATGAAGCCACAAAAGCAGAGATTTATTGAAAATGAAAGTATACTCCACAGAGTGGGAGCGGGCCTGAGCACAGGGGTTCAAGGCCCCGATTACAGAATTCTCTGGTGTTTAAATACCCTCCAGAGGTTTCCCATTGGTTACTTGGTGTGCACCCTATGTAAATGAAGTCATGGCCCACAATCAGAGGCTGAAGTGAAGTTACAAAGGTTACACCCTATGCAAGCATCTGATTGGTTGTGGAAATCAACCAATCAGAGGCTAAAATGAAGTAATAAAGTTAACTTCTATGCAAATGAAGACTTGGCCGGCAATCAGTCTGGTTGGTTGTGGAAAGCAACCAGTCAGAGGCTGAAGTGAAGTTACAAAGTTACATTCCTATGCCAACGTCTGGTGCAGAAAACAACCAATTAGAGATACTTTCCATTTTCCATCAATTAGAGATACTTTCCATTTTCTATCTGTCACAGAGAAAACGGGTGTGTGTCGGGGCGGGGCGGGGGGTGCTTTGCAAATGGAGTAGCCTCTGGTCCTTTTGTTACTTAGGTGTGGGAAGTTGGGGTTTTCCTTTTGATTTAGTTCTAAGAAGTCAGCTCAAATCGGCCTTAGGTTCCCTGCCTCCAGACCCTATTCTCTTGCTTCACTCCCACGGATACCATGTAGCTAGCATCTTTCTAGATGGGTAGGAAAAACATTAAGATATACTATAGATGCCTTGGGCATTAGGGTTCAATTCTCTCAGAGAACCCCATGGAGAAGGGCCAGCTATCCACCCACATGGTGTTTGACACACGGTAGCTCTCAGTCAATGTGTGTTTAGTTCAACTAAATGACTAAGGTCTCCAGGTTTGGGGGCAAGGAGAAGGATTCACTGTGTCCTCACCAGTTTATAGGAATAAAACTGGCAAGGAAAAGAAGAGCTAAGCTTTAAAATGCTGGATAGCCTAAATGAGCTGTGATTCTTTCAGCACCAAAGATGCATTATGTCCACAGGTTCCAGGCCTGAATGACTTCTCACCTCGCCTTCATTCACTGTCAGCTTTTACTGACTAGGTGCTTTTATGACTTTCCCTTGCAGATACCCCTGTTTCTAATTAGAGCCAGGGGCCTGACCCCTGGAGAGCTGATAACAATTTTGCCCTTCGATGTACCTTATTGGCTAACTGGAAAAGGCAGGTTAATGGTGTCTGCATGGAAGGTATATTATTAGAAGTGAGTCTGTGAAGCAAACTCCCCGTGACTCTAATCTTCAGAATGCTGACTCCTGAGGTCAGTAATTGGGCACCACAGAATTCACTGGAGCAGCAGGCCTAAGCCTGTCTTCAGACCTCTTTGAAATGCAGTTCCTGAGGTCAGAGAAATAATTGCTTCATTTGAAGGGGGTGGAAAGAGATGAGAGGAGAAGAAACAACCTTCATTATTTCTCCAATTTATCAATGCACCATGTTCTCAATATCCTGGTCTAATTAAAATAACACAGGCTGCTTGAGAAACTCAATCATTTCCACAGTGATTCTTGTCAGTTTGCTCCTCCTGCCAGCTCAGAGATGCCTAATGGCAGATAAGCCTGAAGCCCGAGACCCCCTCGCTTAGCCATTAATTCAGCGACCAGGGTGCCATGATGCTCATTAAAGTTCTTTACCCCTGTTATATGAAAACTCTTAATTAACAGGGAGGATATTTTAATGTCAATGCTTTGCAACTTTCCAAAGAGAAATGCCAATGTAATCAACCTAAACCCTTGACCACCCCTACCAAGGCGAATCTGCCCTTCTTCTCAAACCCCAGGGACTGATTCTGGACTCCGTACGCCATCAGAAGAGACTCTGCATGCCTGGTATTGGCTCTCAGGGAAGGGCTCGAAAAATGACTCAGAGTTCAGCCACTGTATTGCAACCCTGGTAATCTGAGAAAAGTTCCAGGCAAGATCCTGAGATCCACCTTTTGTGTTCAAATGCCATTAAAAAAAAAAAGGCACGAAGAAAAGGGAATGTTGCTCTGTTGCTCCTCTTTCAACTGACTCTGCACATCTCCTGTAGGCCAGACTTAATTCAGCCTCACAGAAAAAGAAAAAGACAAAAATTAGTGCAAAAGGGATGTGAAAGGAATAAACAAAAATTCACACGTTGGGCAAAAAAAGAAGCAGGGGAAAAGTTAAAGAAAAAAAAAAGACTCAATCCTGCAATTGCACCAACAGTATCAAGTTCTCCGGTCCCTGCAGGAGACCCTGCATGCATCCTGCAGGAGCCCTGGCCTGGCCCTGGATGGCTCAGTGTACAGCACAGAGGATCCACTGCAGAGGCAAGGGGGCGACCTCTGGCCTGGTCACCTCAGGGACCTGCACCATGGATCTTTAATCCAAGCAGCTTTGGAGGCTGGCCTCTGATTATAGCTTCCATACCCATGCAAGCTCCCCTCTGCTGTGGCTCCCCACATTTCCAGTATGTTCCCAGATTGCCACTCTCAGAGCCAGAGCTGAGTGCTTTGTAAGACATCAGGTCCTTTGAGTTCCTGCTCCTTCTGTATCTGACCCAGAATCTATCCGACCAGCCACTGAGATGGCTCTTGTGACTGGCCTTGCTTGCTGATGAACCATTAGCCCTGGTAGGGCAGAAGATCTCACTTTTGGCAGCAGCCAGCATGCTTAAGTGGTGGGAAAATAAGTTAAGAGATGACATGAAAGGAAGGGTTGTGGATATAAACCAGCTTCATCTGACATAAGAAAATATTTTAAAATAGAAGCCGCTTTTCTTCCTGTACCCTAATATGCAAGTGTTATAAGTGTTATTAAAGTAATTTTAAAGATTGTTTAAAATTTTCCTCTCTTGTTTAGCTTAATTGCAAGGCAGATGCAAATGTCCCCTCTTGCTCATCAGGTCACAGCAGAAAAGTATTAGAAAGGAATATATCAAAGCTCAGAGGCTGGAATTTTAAAAATGAGATTCAGATGTGTCTATAAATATGACAGGGAGATGCAAGGAGACCCTTGAAGCCAGTGTGGGCAAAGCATGCCTGGAATTTGGTCTGTGACCTCACCTGGCCATTTGCTTCATTAAATCTCCTGCTTTCGGGCACACATGGGTCTGGGGGTCAGCTGGTATGTTTTCATCCCATTTACAATATGCAATATTGTTTGCTCGCCTTAGGGGCTGCTGAGCCTTCTGCCTCCTGCTCAAGTGTCATGACTCAACCAAACTGAAGAGGCAGGAAACAGAGCTGGATGGATCACTGGTTTGATCTCATGACAAAAATCCCTTGTTGTGACTTCTTTCAGAGGCAGGAGATTGTTGGAGGCTGGGAGGAGGGGGCATGAGGTAGAGTCAGAAAAGGCCAGGAGATTAGTATTTACTATGCTTCCAGGCTTGTCTCCTGCTCCTGTATGCCACCTGCACATCCCCACACCTATCCCGCTTCTGCATGCCACCTGCATATCCACACACTTATCCTGCTCCTGTATATCACCTGCACATCTGCATACCTATCCTGCTCCTGCATGCTACCTAAATGTATACTCATCTCTCCAGAGTGAATTTGAAAAAGTGCCCAGGAGTGAAACGCAAGGAGATGGCATAAAAAAAAACCCAGCAGGTATTCTGGAGGAAGATGATTCTAGGTTCAATACATGGGTCTTCCCCTCATTCGTGAGCTGTGCTTAGCCAAGTGATTTGGCTTTTCTGTGCCTTGGTTTTCTCATCTGTAAAATAGGAATAATAATATTCATGTGTCATAATTTCCAAAAGGAACAAATACAAAAACATAGGCAAAGGGCTTGGCATGGACAATTGTTTGATTATTTTCTTTCCTTCTCCATATCATCTACTATAGAATCATCAACTGTGGGGCAAGAGAAGACCTGAGAAATATAACTATTCTCTTAGCAACAGGGAGCAACAGAAGCAAGATGAAAGATGATGAAATCAAGCCTCTTTAGCCTAAGAACCACTAGCAGTGAGAAGAGAGGTTTGGGGTGAGAAAGCAGATGCATGGAACACTGGCCCATTTACTTCCAAAAATATTAAATCCCTTTTCACAACTGATCACTCAACTGAGCGATTAAGGTGCTCACTATCTGTTGGAGTTTGTTTTCCAAAAAGCCTGAGCACTCATGGAAGTACCTTATGGGAACTTCCTTAGGGATGACCTTGCTTAATAGGTAAACCTGCTTAATCGCCAACCAACAGGCTCATCCTCTATGGGTCCCAGGAGTCCCCCTTCCTGTGTCATAGCCTGTCACCATGTCACAAAGTCCGGCTCTCCTATCTTCTTTCTGGAGGTGCAGACTTTTGCCATGAGGTCCCTGAGACGGGGAGAGAGAGAGAGAGAGAGAATAAGAGGCCCCACTCACTCAGGCTATGGCCCAGCTCTTGCTTCATCCCATGCCAAAGAGCACTTTCTTCCCAGGATGATCAGCCCTAAGGGTCTCCATTCACTTATCACTCCTTCTTGGCCCAAGGGCACTTAGCAATCACTAATTATACTAGTCCAACTTCAGTATGTTCAGGAATACTTATTTTCATGCATGCCTACATGTAGTCCAGTTTGTTCTTATACATTATCCTCCTGCGCAAGTGAAGGATACACTGCATAAACTTCCTGAAGTCCTCTCCATCTCAGCTCTGGGTTTCCTGAACATAACCACTCCAAAAAGAACCCACACCATTTCCTGAGAACAGACAACAGAGACTTCTCAAGTTTCATGACTGCAGTGGGATTGGCAGTTGGGGTGTTTTCCTTCCCTTTCCTTTTATTCCAGCTACATAGAAGACAGAAGACTTTTTCCATGCAGCGCTCTGCTGGTTTATAGGACACAGAGAGTGTGGGGGACAGGTCTTGATAGCCTTCTTTAACATGCCTCCCCTAAACTACTTTATCTCCCATTTGAAGGAGAAAAGTGAAGAAAAAATAACCTTTCTTCAGAATCTAAGTTATCCATCTTTATAAGTGTTATAAATGGGGCAGAAATTGACAGTGGAAAAGCCAAAATGGAAGTATTTAAAAGTACCTTCCCACACTCTATTGTGTACTACACTCTGGAGATACTATGTTTTGTCCGAGAACCACCACCTCCAAGAAGGAGCTGTTTGTGCCCCACAGATGGACTGTCTCCTTTATGGAATCCTGAATGCCATATGTGTCAGAGAGCCAGACCCAAATTCACAAAAAATTATCGGTGGATTTAGGCTCTTCAAGTCCGGACCATCTCCCTTCGACCTGCATCTCGTGGGCAGGCCTTCGGACTGCAGTTAGGTTTAGATTTATAGAGGCTTTTTCAAGATGTGTCAGGATTTTTCTTGGGTTTCCTTTTCAAATAAATCCTCCAGCCTTGAGTCCTCTGTGTCTGAGTCGGCTCAACTAAAAGCATATTCATTTCTGTGGGAATGTTAGAACGAAGAAGGAGGGGTGGAGTTCGGGGTGGATTTTTCTTTCTACTCACAGCTGCCTCTAATCTCAGAATCCGAATCCCCAAAGCTGATAGATCATCATTCAAGTTGGTTGAATCCAGGGCATCTTGGCAACATTTCAGATCTTTTGGCTGGCAGAAGTTGTAAGTTCTCTCATGATCACTGGGGTTTGATACCACCTTAAACAATCTTTTAGATGAATCATTTAAATTAAAATAAACTGAAATAAAATATTTCAGTGACTTAAAAAAAGAAATCATGTTTACATCCTCTTCTTCCTACCACGGTTCAAAAGAAGAACTTTAAAGGTTTCTTGCTTGAAGTAGCCCTCTGGGTGAGCCTTTAAGCAGTCATGCAGTGCAAAATGAATTCTGCAAGATCTTGCATAGTATGTTGAGTATAAAATATAAATTTTTTGGAAATCATCACTGATTATAGATGCATAACATTATCTTGCTTGACTGGCAGAGTGATATTTGGTGATAGAATACACCCTATTTTTGGAAATAAAAATTCTCTCAGAAATACTAATCATTTTCTCAAACATTTTTCCTGTCCCAAAACACCTGATAAGACACATTCTCTTCAGTTATAGGAGCTGGCATGGATTGGGGATAAAGGAGAAAGTGGGTGTTCCATAAAGGAGGTAATAGGCTCTGCCTATCATAACCTGCCAGGAAGACAAGGCAGTTTTCAAAAGCCCCAGAGGACAAGGGGATGTGCCCATCTATCCTCCCCAGCAGCTCTTCCTTCCTGCCTTTGTATAAAACACAAAGTGAAAATATTCACTGCCCCCAAAACAACTAAACAACAAAAGGCTTCTGAGGCATCTACCACTTACAACAGACCCTTAAAATGATCATTTACCCAACCATGACACATTTACTAGGAAGGGCTGCAAAAAGTCCTTCACACCACCCCATTAAGGAATATAACATAATATATACATCTTAGTATAACTGGACAGTAATTATTATGGTTCTGCATGTGCTATTAAATTTAAAATATATTTGCTACTTATCTGTTAGTGATTACAGTTTATATTTATAAAGCTAGTTTAACAGCTTCTTCTAAGAATATATACAATTTTTTTCTTTTCACTACCACTTTTTCATTTGTTTCCCTTACATGCATCCTCTATCATTTAACCAAATTTGCATGTAAAACTGTTAGACAAGGAAAAGTGAAATGTTTTACTCCCACTATTTTCTCAGAGTATCCTAAACACAATAAACATAAATGGCCTAGATTTTTTTAAAAATGTAGAATATGAATATAATAAATCATCCATTGCTTAATAGTTTTCATTTAAATAACTTGGAAATAGTTTTATGCTGCCTCCTACCCTCCCTTTACTCCAGAGAGAAAAAAATAAAAGCAAATAAAATACTAATCATGGCTGTTAAGAGTACAATATACAGTCAGCCGAACCCCCTAGAGTGTGAATCAGTAAGTTTAAGTCAAGTAATCAAGTTTGCAGAAGATTTCCCAAATTAAAAGTTTGACTTAGACCTTTTATTTCTGAAGAGACTTATTTCCTGTTCTCATCTTATTTCTTAAGCTACCACCAGAAAAGAAGTTGAAGGAGTCTGTGAGAGAATTTCCACTCTACCCCAAATAGCACAGTTTTGGGGTAGCCTCATTGTCGACGTGCTTGAAGCTGCATAACCAGGGAGGAAGCATAGTATCCACTCATGTGTTTGTCATTGAGAGGAAAACTAGTTCCATATGTCCGCACACACACACCTCATTTTGTGTCTCGCCTTCAGACAAGTAACATCACATAGCAATGTCAAGGAAACAAGGACATAGCAGTCTGGTTTTACTTAAACCTATGTACAAGAAAAAATACATTTAGATGACCTATCCAAAAGGTGTTTTGACTTTATTCCAAGTGGCCAATAGAACTTGTGTGAAACAAGTCAATTTTGTATCCCCTAAAAAATATGAACCATTAATATTTTCAATTATAAGATTTGTTTTAATCAAGTGTTCAAATAAATCTCCAAGGAGTTTTCTCCCTTCTTTCCTAGGTTAAAAAAATCATGCGTCCAAGAAGAGAAAAAGAATACTGTTGAATTCACTATTGAAGTTTAGAAATGAGAAGAAAGGGATGATGTGCTGCAGGGGGAGAGCTGAGAAGGAATGCCATTAGAACAGAAAGAGGAATTTGGATACAAGTACTGGAAGTCATATAGCAATTTGGGAGCAGGGTTCTTAAACACACATGCACATAGACACACATATACAACCCTATTTAGCAACCTGTCGGGATTTCTCCATGAGATTCTTATTCTCGCAGCTCTCAGGCTAGGCCCCATTATAGGAACTGATCATAATTCATCTACTTCAAGCCTATTTATATGATTTGCACAAGTTCACAAAAACTTTGCCAATTTGCCTGTGAAATGCACATGTCAATTACCCTTCAATGGTTCAACAACCCAGGACCCTGAGCCCACTGGCATTTCACAGAGCACTGAGAGACTTTGTCTTCAGTCCACCCCAAAGTACCCCAGCCCTGCCATCAATAATAACACAAATGAGTTTCCTCAGAGTCAGACCAGGAGTGTCAGCAGTGAATTGTTGGGGAGATCTGGGAACTCCCCATGGCTCCATGGGTGTTCCTGAATTTCACTCTCCAGGCTATCACTTTTTCCAAGTTTCTTTATTGCTCCATTACCAGGAAAAAAACAGGGTGTTAAAAAGAGCCAGGCTGCTCTCACACCCCAAATGACCTGTAGCAGAGTCAGCAACAGGCCAAAACATGCACAAGAGTGAAGACGTTTTTCTTCCCCAGATTTCTCCCTGCTGCTTGTGAAGTTGGAAGCACTGTTGCTGGCTCAGCGGGAAGAGGCAACAGTTGTCTTGTGCACCTGTGCCCTAAATCTCCTCTACTGGTGATGAGCCCTTTACATCTCCAGGGATGCAATTTCCCCTCCCTCAAGTTTCTCCCTTCCAATAGAACTTGTGTGTATGAAAGCTGAATTAACCACATTCCGACTTCAGGAATGCAACGGTCTCTTTCAAAATGTTTCCAAAACAAGGGAGCAATGGCAGCTATTAATCCAAGAACTTAGATCCAACAATTCTCTCCAAAAATACAAAATAACAATTTTCAGCCCAGCAAGAATGTATGACAAGTAAATTGATTTATGAAAATGCATTAGCATTTTACACAGAAAAAAATAAAGATTTCTTAAAGATAAACTGTATTACTTGCAAGCTGCTTGCTTTCAGCCAACTATATAGGAAAATTGCCATGGATTCGCATTTTATAACTGAATATGATATATTAAAGTAGAATTTAATTATAATTAGATATATAGCATTAAATTAAGGCTAGAATTCATTAATTAATATATTATGGCTAATAATTTTAATCATATTTAAAAAGTTATTCAAAGGCATAATATTATTATTGTTGGTTCATTTCACTACTGATCTCCACCTATGGCCTTACCAAATACAGAGATGGCGATGTAAAATTAAAGCATCCTAGTTAGAAGCCACAAAATAAATGTCCCACATGGCCATATACCCATTTTGATTCTTTTTATATATAAATCTAATTTGATTTTGGATGTTGGGCTTTATTGTCCATGTTTTATTATAAAATTTTAACTAACATGATACTGACAAAACTTTTTCTTCTTAGCTGTAGATTGATTTGATCAGCTAAAAGGAAAGTGGAGGAGTGAATCCTTGGGTTTAAATTGTGAGGAAGTGAGGCACAGTCATTACAAGACAGCTAGGGTGGAACATTACCAGCTGTAGCTGTGTGACTTCAGGCCAGTTACCACACTGTTACTCACTTTCCTAATCTATACAGTGGGAATAAAAATAGTATATCTCTCAGAAAGTTTTAGTAATGATTTCACAAATTAATATATATAAAGTTCTTAGAACAGGAAATACATAGCAAGCACACAGTAAATCCTAACTCCTTTTGTAACTTACCAGAATTTTCAACCTCTTACTGGATTTTTCTATTTGACTGCACCTCCAGGTCAACACATCTAAAAAGGCATTGTTCCTTTTCTCTTCAGGGCAGCTCCCCTCCCAGCTTCCTGGGAAATATAGCTCAGGGCAGTGCTGCTGCCCCCATTCGATAACCATAGAAGTGTCACCAACTCATTCAAGCTGTCACCAAACCTCTTGATTCTTCCTACAACACTGGTTGCCTATGTCAACTCCTCTCCATTCCAGCCTCCACCTTCCAATGGAGACCCTCATTACTGCCAACCTCAGTATCCCCACAACTTTCTTGGGAGCTCCTCACCCCCAGGAATGCTGTCTTCCTGTTTCTCAAAACAATGTCAGCTGCATCTTCTTGAAATGCCACTGCCATGGTGTCGCCTTCAATCTTGATTCTGGCATAAGGGCCCTCTGCAGTCTGTCCCCAAATGACCTTCCAACTTTGGCTCTCATCATTCCTCTGAGCCAATCTATTCCGACAGGCTACTCATCCAACACCTGGGCTATTGTGGAGCATCAGGTGCAAGAAGCAGAGCCTCTCTCGAGGTGACCTCAGTCAATGGAGGCATAGAATGGGCAGCCATGGGTAGGGAATGTACCTGGTTCTGTGTACCAGAAATACAAGGTCAGGACACCATCTCAGCACCAATGCTGCTTTGCTTCACAAAGAGGCTAGAGAAAATGTCAGTACTGAAGACATACTTATATTGAAAAATCATTCGTTGTTTGTCTGAAATATAAATTTACCTGGACATTCCATTTTATTTTGTTCTTGGGTGGTGGTTGTTCTGCTTCAGCATTTTGTGTTTGCTAAATCTAGCAACCCCACCACACAGACAACCAGGAGGACATTAAGGTCTTTGGTTTACAACAGCAGCCTCAGTGTCCCAACAAAAGAAATTACACTGTCCAATGCCTGCAGGAGCTGGGTAGGCAGTGTGAATGTGTGCAGCAGGGCCTGTGTGGGATGACGCATGATGACTCACACTCATCTCAATTGTGGGGGTCCCCCCGGGGAGCAGTGGACATGTAATACACTGGTGTGCACTACACACGCTCCATCTAAAGTGAGTAGTTCCTACTCACCTCTAGCTATTGCTGCAATCAGGGATGTGGCAGAAATATTCCAAAATTTCCCACGTTTGAGATCTTCATATTTGAAAACCTTTGATATTTCAATGCTGGCAACTAATTTAATAATAAAATATTGTTCTGGCAACCCTATGTGGATGGACCAAAAAAGGGACACATTGGCCACCCCAACCAACCACCCTGCGGGTTGCGACCTCTGCTTTGCAGCAACAATGGAGGTCAGTCCTCAACTGAGGATAGGTGTCCTGTGCCCCAGCCCCAGCCTTCATTATGGTGGCTCAGCTGCACTTCTGCTCTTGACCAACTGGCTCTCTTGGTGCATCTTGATTTGAACTCTTTGAAAGACAGGACCTGATTGGGCTGGTCAGTCACCTTCCAGCATGCATCAGTCTTAGTCAGACTCTCCTAGGTCTTTGGCCAGCCTAGGGAAGGGTGCTGTCTAGTCTAATCCACCGTGCCCTGCATTATAAGGTCCAGACAGTTCCTCTTTCCACCGTCTTCTGTCCTACCACAAAGCCCTCCTACATGCCCCCTCTGAAGTCATGCCTCCCTCTCCTTCACCACCAAATTCACACCTTTACACACTTCAGATCTCAGCTCAGTGCCACTTCCTCACAGACTCCTTTCCTGGACTCTTTGAAGAGGTAAAACGCCATCACTATAAGACCTGAGAGCACCCTGCAGCCAAGGTTGCTACTCAAAACCTTGACTGGTACTGTGCAGATATTGACCAACCAGAACCTAGGCCCCATTAGAATGGATGCTGGGACAAGATCATGGAGGCTTCCTTCTGGACCAGGAATTAACCACTTAGTACTAACACACAGGTAGGGGGAGCAGTCCCAGGGGTACTGGAGACAGGGCTTGAAGGGTCCAGGACACAGGGGATTGGGCGCTCTGGGAGCCCATGGCAACAGCTCTACAGCTGTATAACACCCCTCCCCAAAACTCCGTAGCTTTAAACAATTGATTCTTTCTCACAATTTTTCAGTCTGGACTGGCTTCAGCGGGGTGATCTTCCTGCTCCCCGTGTGTTTACTGGGGCAGGAATGTCCAAGATGGCTTCTCCAATCACGTGCCTGGTGTCTCAGCTGGGGTGGCTGAAGAGTGGAGACATGGCTGGGCATTGCTGCCTCCATAGAGCCTGTCCCTCAGACCAGCTTGGTTTCTTCACACCACGGTGGTCTCTGGATAGTTGGGCTTTTCATATGGCCAATGGCTTCTAAGAGGGTAGAAATAGATCTGCCCGTTCTCTTAAGGCTTTGGCTCAGAAGTCTCAGTGTCCCTCCAGTACGCTGCTCAAAGCAATTCCCAAGGCCAGTCCTGATTCAAGGGAGGGAAAAGACTTCACCTCTTGAGGGGCAGAACAGCATTGTGTGTACAGAGGGAAGGAAAGTGAAGGACGGCAGAATACACATCAGCCATGTATGTCCCTCTCCTTTGGGTCACTGTTGCAATTTTACATTTGTTTGTGATTTATTTGAGAAGAGTCTCCCAGATGGCAGGGACCGTGACTACACATGCTCACTGCTGTATCTCTCGTGTCTAGCATGGTGTTGATCACATTGCAGAATTTAAAATGCATTTGTTGAATGAATGAATATCCCCTTCAAGATGCAGTAGCCACAGTCACATTGAACTGCTTCAGAGACTGAAATGCTTCCATTTTTGTGTGGTGAAAGTTTGATAAAGGGTTTTTAGAGGGAGTGGGATACAGAAAGCTTTGATTCAGCGTTCTTGCTGGCAGAAGACCTAGTTTTGCTTGAAGGCTCTAGAATGCATATTTTGGCACTGGATCCCAGATGTCTGTGGGAGGCCTTAGGGTGGGGGAGAACTGAAGTGAGAGAAAAGGACTTAATACAATAGGATTCCCCCCATGCCTCCCCTGTTTTATGGATGTTCTTAGCACCCAGCACAGATTTCCTACAACTGATAAAATCATCAATAACAGGAACCACCCACCAAGACTTGCTGGAGCAACCGCCCAGGAAGGCTCTCCTTAAGCAAGAATTAAGAACTTCCTCAAGTTTGGGATGCTTAGTGTGGGGTAAAGGTTGTATTTGGGAGGCAGCCTGGGGTAAAGAAAAGAACAGAGCGTCAGAAAAACTGGGTTTCTTTCCAGCTTTCCCATGCACTAAGGAATAGCCCTGAATAAGGCACTTCTCCTAGCACCAAATCACCTTCCGAAATCCTTTGAGGGCTCAGCCAGCTTCAGGTCTAACGCTCTCCTGACGCACTTAGTTAAGCCATGCTCTGTCTTGTAATGGGATATAAAAAATCCCACCCTTCCAACCTCTTTGCTCCCATCGGTAATGCCCCATCTTCCTGCCGATCCAACCTGGAACAGTGAGACTTGTCATTGATTGAGTCACTCTCTCATCTGCCACATCCACTCACTCCCCAGGTGTTGAGATGCTTGCCTCCTGGGTCTCCTACCTCCCACATCCATTCCAGGCCTGCTGCCTCTCCCCTGTCCAGGTCTTCCTGGATCGCAGACATGGCTTGGTTCCTGCCATCCCTGATTCCAGACACCCTTGCCAGAGGGCGATCAGGATGAAGCTCCTGAGGTTGGAGTTCCAAGCGCACTCACTTGCCTGGGCTCCTTTCCAAGGCCCAGGAAGAGGCGAGCATTTCACTGACAAGGTTACATGTTTGTGTAAGATATTTTAACCACCGTGGTTGTGACCCCTGTCATTTTTCACCCGTTTCCCTCATGTTGAATGGCGGTGGGGTGTCTGCAGGTCTTTTATGATATGCTCATAAAGGGAAGTGGAGTTGGTGATACATTCAGTTCGGGTTCAGTGGAACATGTTTGTGTGGTTTACTTAAAGGTGCCCGCATTGGTTGAAAGCAAATAGTGAGGTTTAGAAACTGTTTTGATTATACTCAGAACATTTTGGGGAATAAAAAGCAGTAATGCAAAGAAATTATAAATGTTTGAGATGATGGATATGCTAATTACCCTGCTCTGATCACTATGCAGTGTATGTATTGAAACATCACTATATACCCTATAAATATGGACAATTATGGGTCAAAAATAAATAAAAATTTAAAATAAATAAAATTAAACTGTATCTCCTAAAAAAACCCCTGAAAACTCACATGTATTCCTACATTTAAATCAACTCTACATAATAACAAATAAATAAATACAAAACAGTAATACATTAGGAAGAAAAGACAGATTTTGAATAAAAGTGATAAATAGGCTCTTGGATTATTTGATAATTTGATTAATAATTTGAATCATGTGGACACAACGGAAACAATTTTAATTTCTTGCTGATTTGGCACAAAATACCAATGTCAACAAGTTTAGCCCAAACCTCATAATACACATTACAGTGAGGACATTGACGATCAAATGTTTGATGAGTGTAATGATTGAAAAGAGTATTTGAGATTAGTCAACACATAAGACAGCTTGAAATCTGAGAGCTCTTACAAACTCATGTATGAAAGAAGCTGGATGGAGGTTTGTGCAACGTTAGCAACAACCCTAAATCTTTACCTCACCTTACCCCCAGGAAGGCATCAGGCTGAAAGGAACTTTCTTAAACCATCAATTTTTTTTATTTGATTTACCATGTCAAGGAAAAACTGAATTATATTTCTATCATGATATAGAAGATGATATGCAAAATCACTGTCATGTGAAGAGACTTTTAAAGACTATATAGCCCCTGCCTCAAATAAAAAGCAGGAAAAAAGTCATAGGAATACCCCAGGCAATTATTTGAAAAGTCATTTTACATCTTTAGATTTTTTATGACATTTTACCATTTTTTTATTTTGTAATTTGTTACGGTTTCCTTTCTCAGTCTATGAAAATATTCTTTTTTCATTCCTAATTTTGCATTTATAAGTTTGTATGCCTTTTCTTAAAGAGGACCCTAAAATACATGAGCAGCGAGCCATATAAAACCTGAGCTACCTTGCCAATAGTCAATTCCCCTTCCTTTCTCCTAAGAGAATACAAATGTATTCAGGGACCCACTTTCTTCTGTCTGACCTTGGGTTTCAAGGGAGGTGGTTCCAGCTGTACTCCCATAGGACCCCATTCCCCTTCCAGTAACTGTTTTAGGCATACACATGTGGTGTAACTCTGGGCGATGAATAGGAAGAAAAGTCTACTGGGGGAGTTGGTGAAAGGTTTGCTTCTTTGATTAAAGCTTTATATTTTTCATTTTTGTTTTAAAAGCCACCCAGGGTGGAGTGCCCTATCTTTGTCATCTGGACTTTGTTGTGTTTGGATGTGATTTCTGGAATCATAGCAGCCATCTTGTGACAGGGAGGACAGCCAGCCTCAGAACAAGCCAACCAGCAGAGAATGATGGAGGGAAAAGAGCCAGCCCCAGCCCCACATTCAGACTTCTGTGTGAAGTAACGATATGTTTTCTTTTTCTTAAAGCCAGTTGAGTCAAAGTTTCTATTACTTGTATCTCAAAGCTTCTCAATGGATACACTTTCTCTCAAAGCTCTCCATTGCCTCTGACAACCCTCTTGGGGTGATTTTTTTTTGCACAGTTAAAATAAAGGGATGATCAGAGAATGATTTCACAAATCACATGGTTTGCCATACAAAGACAAAGTTTTGCTTTCATTCATAAAGCTTAAGAGGAGAGTAACAAGGACAAATCTCATTGAAAATATACTCAATAGACTTTATTGTGTACCATTATTTTGTACATGGTATACGTTGCATACTGTACTGTATATATAGTGTGCAGTGTACATTATTGTGTACTATTAATGTGGTACAGTAACCACGTAGCTTCAATTTTGTTAGAGTCCAATTATTAAAGTCTGGTTGCTCAATGACGATAGATGCAAGCCTCGGTGGAATGTAAGTCTAATTAAAGTTTGAGGTGTAGCTTTATACAAGAGGTTCTTGGAAGAGAAGGCTCAATCAACACAGTGAACAACACAGTGAAGATCTATAATGACATGCAAGAATGCTTAGTGCTTGAGAGGTGCTAGTGTAGGCTGGTGAGGCTCCAGAGATCAGCTCCAAAGCCAATAGGGTGTGGCCCTGCCGTAGCCTGAGCTCTCAGATTTTAAAGAGGCGGCTGACGGAGTGCACCCTGCCACAACCTAAGCTCCCAAAGTCTCTGTCAAACTCTTAGGTTTATATGTATGATGGAGTCCAGTGGTTGAGATCAGTAACTCACATATGGAGTCTGATAAAGTGGAACCATCACATTCCCAAGGGGCAGGGCAAGTTCTTAGCACAGCAAAACACATGTCACTCACATAGCAAACTATGGAAGTGTATGGAGTCTTTTCAAAGCTATACAACAGTCGTTTTCTAGTCTCTTGGTATTTGTACCCATCCTCCCCACCCTACCGTATTTCTGAGGACTCACAGCCACACAGCCTCTAATCTTAATGGACATGTGCTGTGTGTACTCCTTCCCACATTTCATGTGCACAGGCTCACCTGTCTGGTTTCCCTCCCCTTTATCTTCGGGGTACCATATCCAACTCAAGCTCTGAGGCCCATGTGAGCCTTCTCTGATTAATTCAGCTGAATCATCTCTTTTTTCTGTATATTTCTATAGCATCTACAGTTCTTTATCACATAATATGGTGTATGATATTGAATTATACAAAATGATAGAAAAGCATTCTACCTCTGTTAGCCTTGTCTTCTTAACTGTTTTCCCATGAAGGAAGAAATCAATCCACATATATCTTTTCTATCTCTAAAGATACAGTAAGAATTACACAAACACTTATCCAAATTCCACCATCGAGAAATTTAAAATTAAAATTATTTGCAGTATAATCCATATTTCTCAATTACTTACCTGTCAATTTTGCACCCAGTATGGCTTGAAAAAAGCTGCAGATGATGTTAAAGGGCCAGTCAGCCCACCCATGACGCTAAGATAGCTGATGCTACAAACGAGTCACAAAACCAGAATTTGAAATTGAATAAAAACTAATAGCAATGTTGGACTGAAAAGCAATTATTTATATTTATATATAAATGTGTATGAGTACTGCATGATGAATAACTATCAACAATTGCTTTAGAAGCCATTTACAATGTTTTAAAAGTAATCACCTCAGCCTGGCCAACATAGAGAAACTTTGTCTCAGCTAAAAATACAAGAATTAGCCAGGCATAGTGGCGCATGCCTATAGTCCCAGCTACTCGGGAGGCTAAGGCACAAGAATCGCTTGAACCTGGGAGGCAGTTTGCAGTGAGCCATGATTGCACCACTGTACTCCAGCCTGGGCAACAGAGCAAGCCTCTATCTCAAAAAAAAAAAAAAAAAAAAAAAGTAACTACCTCTTATGCTGTGCATTGGGACAACTGGCTAAATTAGCATTGGCATCTTTATAAATGAAGACAAATGTACATGTATTCTACATGGACCAAAGCTGAAACAAGACAGGCAGCTGCGTTGTTTTTTAGATGGTCCTCAACTTATGATGGCTTGACTTATGATTTGTCTACTTTACAATGGTACGAAAGCAAAATGCATTCAGTAGAAATCAAACTTCAAATTTTGAGTTTTCATCTTTCCCCAGGATGTTGATAAACAGTACAATACTCTTGGGATGCTGGGCAGTGACAGCGAGCTGCAGCTCCCAGCCAGCCCTGTGATCACGAGGGTAAGCAACCCACACCCTAGAGTGTGCCGTGTTGCCAGATAATTTGCCCAACTGTAGGCTAAGGTAAGTGTTCTGAGGATGTTTAAGGGAGGCTGAGCTAAGCTATGATGCTTGGTAGGTTAGGTGTATTACATGTATTTTCTACTTAATGATATCTTCAACCTGTGATGGGCTTATCAGGACGTAGCTCCATCGTAAATCAAGGAGAATCTATATAATGCATATTTATTATTTTTCATGTCACTGAAATATGCTATTGTATTTGACTTCACAGTAGTGTACTTATAAGCATTTCTCCTGTTACATTTCAAGTGTGCAGGTTTCTCTCTTCTGAGCTCTGAGTCAGGAAATCTGCTGGCTGTGGATCGTGGATCACACCACAAACCTTCTCACCCCACACCCCACCACATCCTGTGCCTTTTGACAGAGACAGCTGCTCCACACCCACTGAAACACTCAAGGAATGCTCAGTGATACATATCTACATATATTCACTCATTCATTCATAGTTATTTAGGGACACAGTGATAAACTGATTCAGTCTTTGCTATGATGGATTTTAGAGTCTAGTTTAGGGAGCAAACATTAACCAACAATCAAAAAATAAATATGTGTACATATAACACTCATTTTAACACCACTTTACATTAACTCTCAGTTCTAATGCAGAATTAGAATCTCAGTGCTAATGCACTGAGTCTTTATCTTACGCAATGAATATCCATGAAGAAGATTCTGGAGGTCCAGTGAAGTCCTATGGAGAGAAGAGCAGATCCAATTGCAGAGACCCAATCTTCAGGAAACCTAGTTACCAACTTTAATAAGTTCCTCCTTTGTTTTTTTTTTTTTTCTAAATGGACTGTAATCTGTGTATGCCGTTTCTTCATAGCACATTGAGTCATCCTCTTGCTAGGCTTAAAACAGGTGCACTCACTAGAACAGGTTATGTTCAGCCGAGGTAACAGGCACTCCTAAAATGACAGTAGCTGAAAACAGCAAAGGTTTATTTCTCATGTTACGTGTCCTTCACTTGGAACACATTCTTCTTTTTACTATCTTCACTCAAGAACTCAAGCTGAGGAAGTTTCATTTCTGAAGAAAAAAAAGAAGATGAACTGTTCTAGCTTGAAACACTTATCACATCTCATTGGCCAGATCAGGTCAGATGGCTCTGCTCAACCACAGAGGGGGACAGGAAACAGCTTTTTGTGTGTCTTGAAGGAAAGAATTGGGTACCAGTGTAGCACTAATGACTACCTCTGTGTGTTTCACAGGATCAAAGTCACCTGAAAGGAAGGCTGGTGTCAGCCCAGGAGCAGCCAAATCCCATTGTACCACTGTTTTTTCTTGGGTGGCATCTTTGATTGGATAATATCCTGCCTTTCTTTACTTACTCCATAGTAAAGATCCCTCTCAAGGCAATTGATACTCATTTGAAAAACTAAAACCACATATACTCAAAAGGGTCTTCTACAGAAGATAGCTATGAGAATTATGTATGATCATTGTATGTTTTCTTGAGGATGCCTGGGGGCTAGGACTATTGAGGACATCCACAGATGAAGAGGAGGCAGCAGCCAGTGCCCAGGTCCCAGCGTATAGGAGATGCACACAGGACTGAGTTCTCCTTTCAGTCCAAAAGGAAAAGATGGGTGCTGGAGCTCAGCTTTGGCCCTTTCAGGTAGTAAATGATGCAACTGTGTTGACTGCATCATGTGGAGGGAGAAGTTGCTGGCTTGCTTGTTTTTTAAAGACGTTTCATCACCAGCCCCTAACTACAGCCCCACAGGCCACACTTTGCTCACTAACAATGACTTCAGAAACTCAAGAGCTGTGCTATTCAATATGGTAGCCACCAGCCACAGGTAGCTCTTTAGATTTCATTAAATACAATTTAAAATGTAATTCCTTGGTTGCACTAGCCACTTTACAAGTGCTTAATAGTGACATAGAGCTAGTGGCTACCATAATTCTACAACACAAATATAGACTGTTTCTATCATCACATGAAGTTTATTGGACAGAGCTATTCTACAAGACCCAGGTTTGAGAACAGGACACCATCTCTGATGTACTATTGCCAGAATAATAGAACTTGAATTTTATCAAGACTATGATTCAAGGAAATGCAGAAACTGGAAGAACATGTAAAAATGGCCGGGCGCAGTGGCTCCCACCTGTAATTCCAGCACTTTGGGAGGCCGAGGTGGGCGGATCATCTGAGGTCAGGAGTTCGAGACCAGCATGGCCAACATGGCAAAACACCGCCTCTACTAAAAATATAAAAATTAGCTGGGCATGGTGGTGGGTGCCTGTAATCCCAGCTACTCAGGAGGCTGAGGCTGGAGAATCACTTGAACCCGGGAGGTGGAGGTTGCAGTCAGCCGAGATCGCACCACTGCACTCCAGCCTGGGCAACAGAGAGAGTCTCCGTCTCAACAACAAAAAAAAAAATTCCTGCGTGACACAGAAACAATCGTCAAAGTGCAGGCTGTGGGAAACTCCAAGTGCAGGCTGCAGGAAACTCAAAGAGACAATTCAGTTTCTAAAAATTACAGAAAAAAAAGACAAAAGAGGAAACCTATGAATACTTATAAGACACATCTAACAATGACAATGTGAGGATCTTACTGGAATAGATTCAAACATAAAGCTATAAAAGTATGTATGATAAGCATGAGATAACTGGAATTTGAACACTGCTTAATTGATGATATTAAAGGTGGATATTTTATTAATTTACTTCAGATATGATCATGGTTTTGTGGTAATGGCATAGTAAAAGGTCCTTATCATTTAGACATGTGTACTGGGATATTTACAAAATAAATTATATAATGTCTGGGATTTGCATCAAAATAATTTGGGTAGGGGGATGAATGAGTGTGTGGATGGGATAGGATTGGCCATGGACTGATGATTGTTGGCTCTCACTGATGGGTTTAGAGGTGTTCATTTGATTATTCTGACTACTCTTGCATATGTTCAAAATTCTCCATAATGGGTGGTTAAAAATAAAACTGAGTGAGTCTGCCATTTGATCCAGCAATGCACTCCTTGGTATTTACCCAAAAGAGTTCAAAACTATGTTCACACACAAAATGCTCCACATAGATGTTTACAGCAGCTTTATTCACAATTGGCAAAATTTGGAGGTAACCAGATGACCTTCAGTAGGTGAATACATAAACTGTGGTACATCTAAACGAAGGAATATTATTCAGCTCTAAAAAGAAATGAGCTATCAAGCCACAAAAGACATGGAAGACCCTTTAGTGCATATTATTAAGTAAAAGAAGCCGATGTGCAAAGGCTACATATCACACGATTCCAACTCTATGACATTCTGGAAAAGGTAAGGCTAAATAGATCAGTGGGGAGAAGAAGGGATGAATAGGTGGAGCACAGAAGATGTTTAGGGCAGTGACAGCACTCCGTATGATACTACAGTGCTGGATACACACAACTACACATTTGTCCAAGTCTATAGAATGTACAACACCAACAGTAAACCCTAATGTAAACTAAGGACTGTGGGTGATGATAATGTACTGATGTAGGCTCATCAAATGTAACAAATGGACCATGTTGGTGGGAATGTTGATAATGGCATCAACTGTACATGTGTGGAGGCAGGGGGTATATGGGAAATCTTTATACCTTCTGGTCTATTTCACTGTGAACATAAAACTTCTCTAAAACAAAGTCTATTTAAAAAAAAAAAACCTACAGTGAGATACTAAATATATAGTAAAGTAGGACCACGGTGAAGAGAGTTACAGAGAATGGAGATTGTCCCTGAATTCTTTCTCCAGGCACTCCACAGGGACATTGCCCTTGGCCTTGGCTTTTCTCAACAGTCCTTGGAGAGGATCTGCTTCATACAAAGCCCTGAACAAAGGCATCTGGAAACCAGAGAACACAGGATGGGAGATGAAGCTTGGTAATGTGGATAAACCCAGGCCCGGGGATTTTGAAGCAGGTCACCCCCACTTTGTGCATATGAATATCTCAAACCCAATAGCACCATTCTGGGAAGCAGAGAAAAAGGAGGATTTATCCAAACTCCATACAAAAGTGGAGTTTGGATAAGTCACCTGGATGCCTGTTTGGACAATTTCTAATGGGAGAAAGAACTTTACATGCTACCCCACAGTGTGAGTCCTGTGGAAACAGATAAGTTGGTAAGAGAAGTGGTTGTTTCATCCTGGTCAGCCTTAATGACCCAATGGGGTTTCACTCCACAGATCATTTGTGAGACCTTTAAGGGAGGGAGGAATGTGACAAAAGTAGGAATTAATATCTATTAGGTGGTCACTGTAACTGGTGCTCTGTGAGTGTTGGCTAGATATTTTTTATGATGTATCATTATATGGTTTTCCTCTTGTGTTTTTCCTTTCCTTTCTGTAATCACTGACTCAAGGGAGGATAAATGGAGGCAGCCTGAAAATCTCCCCGACCATCATCTCCCAGGAATCTAAGCCGCAAGACCCTAGGGGATTGAAGAGCAGGAATGAGGTCTTTGCCAGGCGTAAGGGGTTCAGCAGGACTCCTCCTTTGCTCCCCCCTCCCCTAAGTGTTCCCTAGCCTAGCGGAGGGGTGGGAAGAGTAAGACCAGTGGGCCTCTCCTGGCAATGCCACAGAGGAAGGGGCAGGATCCCAGAGAAGCGGCTGCATGTCCATCCAGACAGAGCAGATGCCAGGAGTCTCCGAAGGTCCCCTACCTGAGTGGGTCCTGAATTCTTTAAGGAGCTACACTCAAATCTCAGCACTTTGGGAGGCCAAGACAAGAGGATTGCTTGAGCTCAGGAGTTCGAGACCAGCCTGGGCAACATAATGAGACTTCGTCTCTACAAAAAATTTAAAAATTAGCCAGGCATGATGGCACACACTTGTAGTCCCAGCTATTCAGGAGGCTGAGGTGGGAGGATCACTTCAGCCCTGGAGGTCAAGGCTGCAGTGAGCCACGATTGTGCCACTGCACTCCAGCCTGGGCGACAGAGTGAGACCCTGTCTCAAAAAAAGAAAAAGAAAAGAAAAAAAAGAGCTACACCCAGAGCTGTGTAGACATGGCTCTTGGTTCTTGGCAGTAACTTGATCGCCCTGCCTCATGTAATTTTGGCATTACAAGGTATTCCTGAGTTGGCACACATCTGGGAGGGGTCTGAAAGAGGAAGACTATGGTTATCATGTCTGCTTGTCTAAGAAAAAGAAACTTTCGACTTAAAACTGCTATAGGAAATGATAAATAACAGAAAAGAAAATAATTATTCTTTTCAAACATCTGAGCTGGTGACTGATTCATAAAGTACAACCAATAGGCTATCCCATGCATTTTAATCCTCCAATACCCTTATGAGGTCAAAGGCCCTCTGTCATGTGTGATTTATTCTTTCACTGATTCATTCTAGCCACAGCCACTGAGTCCCTTGGGACCCAGGCATTCTCCTTGGTGCTGAAAAGAACAGGGAACAAAACAGATGAAGTCTCTGCCCTCATAGAGCTTTCAGCCTAATGGGGTAATAAAAAAATACACAAATAAACAAACAAGATCAATACAAACTGGGATAGGCATTGTTCACATCATATCATAACCTGGATGATGTGATCAAGAATTCTTGGCCCATAAACAGGATAAACAAGATTGGGAAGGCCTCTCCAAGGAGGTATTTTATGAGCTAAGACTTCAAGCATGGGAATAACCTAGCCATGCAAAGAGTTGGGAGACAAAACAGAAAAAAACAGGAACTGCAAAGACTTGAGAACATATTTGAGAAATAAAAAGGAAGGCAGTGTAGTCAGCCTCTGAAGAGTGAAGGTGAAGACTGGGGAGGAGAGATTGGAGGGAGAAGTGAGATCATTCAGAATCTTGCAGAGCAAGACAGAGAGCTTGAATTTTATTCTTAAAACAATGAGAAGCCATGGATTAATTTTAAGTAGGGGATTTGCCTAAGACTGGTACATGGATTAAATAAATTAATATATGTAATACACTTAGAACAGTGGCTGGCAGACCAAGCACTGTAAAAACATTCTTATTTTTATCCTCATTTGTATTGTTAAAGATGATAGAGAAGCACCAGGTAGACCTGTTGAGAGGCTATTTTCATAGTCCTTTTTGGAGCTGAACCAGGGTAATGGCTGTGAAATTGAAGAGAAATTGATGTACGTAACAAAACTGTAACTCAGGCATAATAAATAGGACTTTCTGATGATCAAGAAAAAAAAAGGAATGGAGGTCTCCTTCTGGGTTTCTGTCATGTCATCTGTCAGATCCATTAATTAATCTAAAGAGGACTGCAGAAGAAACCAATTCAGGAGGAAAAAAATCAAAATTCAATTTCATTCTGTTGAGTTTGAGATGCCTATCAGATATCTAAGTGGGAACATCAAACATGTTACTATCCCTGTTGCACCATGGAGAAACTGAAGCTCCTTTACAGTGAGGAAGCTGAGATTTAGAGAGACCATGTAATCTGCTCAAAGTTGAACCGTGGTTGAGAGGTAGAGTCAAGCCTGGAATCTAGGCTAAGAACCCCTTTAAAACCAGAGATCTCATTCTCTCATAGTTAAACACCTGTAGGTGGAGCCCCAGGTTCCTTGCTGATGTAACTGGAAAACAGAATCAATGACAGCAGAACCATCAATACTGATATGGTTTGGCTCTGTGTCCCCACCCAAATCTCATCTCAAATTGGGAGGGACAGACCTCCAGGGAGGGAACTGGTGAGAAGTGATTGATCATGGGGTTGGTTTCCTCCATGCTGTTCTCATGATAGTGAGGGAGTTCTCATGAGATCTGATGGTTTAAAAGTGGCAGTTTCCCCGAGCTCTCTCTCTCCTGCTGTCTTGTGAAGAAGGGACCTGCTTCCCCTTCTCCTTCCACCATGATTGTAAGTTTCCTGAGGCCTCCTCAGCCATGCAGAACTGTGAGCTAATTAACCCTCTTTTGCTTATAAATTACCCAGTTTCAGGTAGTATCTTTATAGCAGTGTGAAAACGGACTAATACAAATACAATCATCTACAAGTCACCTGCACACTGCTGGAATTTCAGAAACCCCAGGGCAGTGCATGAGCCAGCAACGGAGGCCATAAAATGTCATCTGACTCTTGGTGGGCAGATAATTCACCTAGGCAAGAAGGAAAGGCCAAGCAAGAATTGTGTTCAGTTAAAGGGGGTGACATTAGCTTACTAGGCCTTGGTTTCCTATCTGTAAAATAGGTATGGAAACCTAACTAATACACACAGTGTTGGGTCCGATATAAAGGACTATTGAAAAAAAGAAAGAAAGAGTTGGAGCATGTGCTTCATACGCCTTCCAAGGGCTACATGTTCTTTAACCCTTACCATCAAAATAAAGTTTAAACCAGGAGGGTGGGGGAGACAGACATGAGGAGTTAATGTTTAATGGGTATAGAGTTTCAGCAAGGATAATTACAGACTGCTGGAGATGGATAGTGGTGATGGTTGCACAACAATGAGAGTATACTAATGTCACAAAACTGTACACTTAAAAATGATTAAAATGGTAAATTTTATGTTATGTATATTTTACCACAATAAAAGAAAATTTGCTTGTATTATTGAATCAAAGTTGGCTTAATATACTTTTATTGTGTTTACATCATATAGAGCTAGGCAGTGAGTCAGACTCAGTTGTTGTGCCTTCACACATGAGGGAGGACTGGTTCTTACTTGGACAGGAAAGGTGCTGGAATCAAGAAATAAGCTATAAATAAAACCATGGAGGTTGTTTTTTAACTTGAATTAGGGGCTAGATTTCAAATTGCATCTTATTTTATCTGAACAGGATCATTTTGGGCAAGCAAGCATCTGTCTGGGTTAGTTTATGATTCCCCTGAGGGCCAAGTTATGCCTTTGCCTGTCTTTTCAGTATTTTCTCAGTGCCTCACATATGAAAGTGCTGTTACATTGCCGGGAAAATTGACTAGAGAAATCTAATGATGGTATAAGTCACTGTTAGAGAAAGAAAGAGAGACAAAACTCGAGAGAGAAAAAACTAGAGCACCCACCATCCAAAACTCTCATGGAACTGAGGTAGGAGGCGGGACTTGACTCCAGAGGCAGGGTTCAGACACCGGACCAGATTGAGGACTAGCTAAAACAGGGCTGGGGCAGAAGCAGCTTTCCAATCAGACGTGCCCACCAGTGTGCCATGGCAATTTATCATTGCCATGGCAACACCCGGGAGTTACCACCCCTTTCCATGGCAATGGTCCAATGACCCCAAAATTACTACCCCTTCCCTAGAAATTTCTTAATAAACTATCCCTCAATCTGCATGCAATTAAAAGTGGGTATAGATACGACTGCAAGACTGTCCTGAGCTGCTACTTTCTGCCTACTGGGTAGCCCTGCTCTGCAGGAGCAGTCACGGAGCTGTAACACCATCAGTGCAGTAACACTGCCACTTCAATAAAGCTGTTTTCTTCTACCTCTGGCTTGCCTTTGAATTATTTCCTGGGCAAAGCCAAGAACCCTCATGGGCTAAGTCCCACTTTGAGCCCCACTTGTCCTGCATTAAAACCATCATAAGTCAGGGACCCCCCATTCTGTACTACAAACAACTCTACACACATAAAATTGACACTTAGAGGACATGAACCAATTTCTCACAACTCACCCAACATTGGAATCAATCATTGGAAAATCTGAATAGCCCTACAACTACTAATGAAATTGACTTTGTAATTTAAAAATTCCCAAAAAAGAGATCTCCAGGTCCAGGTGGTTTCATTGGAGAATGTTTAAAGAAGAACTAGCATTAATTCTACATAATCTCTTCCAGAAAATAGAAGAGGAGGTTATACTTACCAATTCATTTTATGAAGCTTCTATTACCCTGGTGCCAAAACCAGATAAAGACAATAAGGCAGTACAAAAAAGGAGAAGGAAAAGAAAACACAGACCAATATCCCTTATGAATTTAGATGCAAAACTTCTTGACAAAATATTAGCAGATAAAATTCAGCAATACAAAAAAATAATTATACACCATGACGAAGTGGGCTTTATTCTCAGATATGCAAAACCAATTGATATTTGAAAATCAATCAACAAGATCTACCATATTAATAAGTTAAAGAAGAAAAAAGTCACATGATCTTATCAATTGATACAGAAAAATCATTTGATGAAATCCAATACCCATTCATGATGAAAATTCCCAGAAAAACAGGAATAGAGAAGAACTTCTAGAACTTGATAAAGAGCATCTACAAAAAAAACTTACAGCCAAAATTATACCTGATGGTGAAAGACTGAATGCTTCTCCTCCAAGAATGAAATCAGACAAGGATATCTGCATGCATCATTAATCCAATGTAGTACTGGACGTTCTAGCCAAGACAATAAGGCAAGAAACGTAAATAAAGGCATATAGCTTGGAAAGGAAGAAATAAAATTGCCTCTACATGCAGACAGATTTTCCTACAGAGAAGATCTCAAGATAGTTACCAAAAAAAATTCCTAAAACTAATAAGTGACTTCTACAAGGCTGCAGGATATAAGATCAATATATAGGAATTAATTGCGTGTCTATACATTATGAATAAACACAGGGTAACAAATTTTAAAGCACTATCATTTCCAGTAGCTCAAAAAACAAAGCAGGTGTAAATCTAACAAAATATGTATAGGACTCACATGCTTAAAACATCAAAATACTGATGAAAGAAATCAAAGACATAGTATATCTCACATGGACATGGACTAGAACCCTCCACATAGTAAAGATGTCAATTCTCCCAAATTAAATAAAGATTTAAGGCAGTTCCTACCAAAACACTGCCAAGATTTTTTATAGATACAGATGAGATTATTCTAAAATTTATATGGAAATGCAAAAGAAACTAGAAGAGTTAAACAATTTTGAAAAAGAAGAATGAAGTAAGAAGAATCAGTCCCCTCGATTTCAAAACTTATATTAATCAAAACGTACATTAATCAAGAGTGTAGTATTGGTGGAAAGATAGACACACAGATCAACGGAATAGAATAAAGAACCCAGAAACAGACACATAAATATACTCAACTTTTTGACAAAAGTGCCACTCATTTAATGGAGGAAGGATAGTCTTGTCAATAAATGGTGCTAAAGTAATTGGGCATTCACCAATGAAAAAAATAAAACTTGATTTAAGTTTATACCTTATACGAAACTTAACACAAGATGTATTATGGACTTAAGTGTAAAATGTAAAACTTTTGGGAAATAATGTAGGAGGAAATCTTCAGTATCGAGGGCTAAGAGTTCATACAGTAGATGTCAAAGCACAATGCATAAAAGAAAAAAAATTGATAAACTGAACTTCACCAAAATTAAAAACTTTTACTCTGTGAAAATCCCCGGTAAGAAAATGGAAAAAAAAAAAAAAGAAACACAAGATACAGACTGAGAGAATATATTTACAAATCACATCTCTCACAAGAGACTAGTATCTAGAATGTATACAAAATTCTGAAAACTCAATAACAACAAAGCAAGCAGTATAATTAGAAAGTGGGCAAACAACATAAACAGATATTTCACCAGGGAGGAAATACGGATGGCAAATAAGCAAGTGAAAAGTTGTTCCGCATCATTCGCCACTAGGGAAATGCAAATTCAAACCACAGTGAGATATTGCTACACACCTAATGTGAATGATATAAATAAAAATTTATGACAACACCAAATGCCGAGGAAGATACAGAGAAACCAGGTCACTCATACATTGCTGGTGGGAGTGCAAAATGCTGCAGCCACTCTGGAAAACAGTTTGGTGGTTTTAGAAAAACATTAAACATCAACTTTCATATGGCCCAGCAATTATAAACCTGCACATTTATCCCAGAATAATGAAAACTCACGTTCACACAAAAACCTATCCATGAATATTCATAGCTGCTTTATTCTTAATAGACAAACATTGGAAGCAATCTAAATGTCCTTCAATAGGTAAATGGTTAAACAATTAGTATAACTACATCATGAAGTAATACTACCCAGCAGTGAAGAAATGAACTGCTGGCCCATACAACATCTTGGATGAATTTTTAGAGAATTATGTTAAGTGAGAAAAGTCAATCCTACCAGGCTACATACTGTATGTTTCCATTTATAAAACATGCTTGAAATGACAAAATTATAGAAATGGAGAACAGATGAGTGATTGCCAGGAGGTTATGGACAGGGAAGATAGAAGGGAACTAGGTGTGTCTATAAAAGAGCGACATGAGAGATGCTTGTGGAGATGGAAATGTTCTGCATTTTCACTGCATCAATGTCAATATCCTGATTGTGATATTGAACTACAGCTATGCAAGATATCATCATTGGGAGAAACAGGGTAAAGGGTTTGAGGAATATCTCTGCATTATTTCTTACAACTGCACATGAATCTACAATTATCTCAAAAAAATAGTTTAATTTAAAAAGTTTTGTTCACTAATTTGCTCAAATATGTATTGAGCCACTCATGCATTAAAACCAAATGGGCTTCCACAGTTTACAGCTGACATTTCAGCAGTGGGATTATAAAATAAGATATATGAGCTTGCCTATGGGCTGGAGAAAGGATTTTCTTGGAGGGAGAATTCAAATTGTGAAGCAGAAAAACATGTTCAGTCAGCTCTTCAGCAAAGAGGGAGTGGTGTGTTGGTAAAATTCTCTGTTGCTGCACCCAGATGTTCCAAAACGATGGGCTGGCTGAGGTGTGATGTTCTCAGAAGACCATCTTCCCCACCTCGGGTCAACCTGCACCCTACACTCTCAGTTTGCTCTCTCAGGAGAGAATAGGCCTTCGGAGCCCCGTGGGATGCTGCATGTTAGGTTTCTGGGCTCCCAGTGGAACCTGCCCAAATTAGCCCAGAGCATGATGGCAGTGAGGGCAGGTGGCCCCGGGTTGAGAGCACGGCTTTGGAGACACACATACCTGAGTTTTTGTTGTTTCTTGTCCACCTATTGGTATGCAATCTTGACCAAATTACCTATCTTTCCTAAACCTGTTTTTCATCCACAAAGTGAAGTATCTACTTCCTGAGCTGGTTCTTTCATTTGTTTAATGCATTTTAATAGCACACCTAGAATGGGTCAGTGACTGTTGTAGAGACTAGAGAAATCCCAGTAAACAACACAGAAGAAAGGAAGGAAGGGAGGGAGGGAGGGAGGGAGGGAGGGAGGAAGGAAGGAAAGAAGGAAGGAAGGAAGGAAGGAAGGAAGGAAGGAAGGAAGGAAGGAAGGAAGGGAGGGAGGAAGGAAATCTTGAGGGTATTCAGATAACAAATGAAATAAATAAAATACATAGTATATTCAATAGCGATTAATACTTTTCAAAGGGAAATAAAAAGCAGAAAAGGAGGCTAAGATGTGCTGAGGAACGAAGAGAGGATTTGATTTTAAAAAGCGTAAGTCCTCATTGAAAAGGTAACAGTTTGAGCTTAAGTTATTATGAATGGCGTGAGAAAGCCATGCAGCTAGTTGCAAGTTTTAATGAGAAAAGGAGAGGATTAAATGAGATAATATTGGTAATAGGCTTAGTATAATATAATGCTTGGGACACAGAAAATGTTCAATAAATGTTAATAAGAGAGACACTGAAAGAAAAAATAATTATAGACCAGTAGAATAAATTCTACCCATAATACTGTAAATGCAGGTGGCTTCAGATGTCATAAAACTACTTAGTACTTGCAGAACCCTGCCCGACTGCCCTATCATCTAAGGTTATGTCTTGAAACCTGGTCCACAATTCACCTGCATCAGCATCACCTGGATCTTGTTAGGAATGCACATTCTCAGGCCTGCTGAATCAGTCTCTGTAGGTGGAGCCCAGGAGCACGCATGCTCACTAGCTCTTTAGGGAATTCTAATGATGGCTAGATTTTGAGAACCATCAGCCTGGAAGGAACAGGCCCACTTATCATGTGACCTTGAGAATGACACTCCTGACAATGTCCACACATATCTCAATCCTTACACTATGGTAAGTACAGTCATGTGTCACCTAACGGCAGGGACACATTCTGAGAAACACAACTGTAGGTGATTTCTTCATTGTGTAAACATCGTAGAGCGTACTTATACACATCTAGAAAGTATAGCCTCCTACACAGCTAGGCTATATGGTATGGCCTATGCTCCTAGGTTACAAACTTGGGCAGCATGGTACTACACTGAATACTGTAGGCAACCGAAACACAATGGCAGCTATTTGTGTACCTAAACATATCTAAACATAGAATAGGTACAGTACAAATACAGTATAAAATATTTCATTTTAGGGCTGAGTGCAGGGGCTCATGCCTGTAATCCCAGCACTTTGGGAGGTCAAGGCCGGCAGATCACTCAAGAGTTTGAGACCAACCTGGGCAACATATCAGGACTCTGTCTTGTAAAAATGAAAAAAAAAATATTAAAAAAAATTACTTTTTTAACAATACACCTTTATAGGGCACTTGCCATGAATGGACCTTGCAGGACTGGAAGTTGCTCTGGGTGAGTTCATGAGTGAGTGCTGGGTGAACGTGAAGGCCTAGGGCATGACTGTGCATTATTGCAGATGTTATAAACACTGGACACTTAGGTTACCCTAAATTTATGTTTAAAATTTCTTTCTTCAATAATAAATTAACCCTAGTTTATTGTAACTGTTTTACTTTTTAAAGTTTTCTTTTTCTTTTTCTGTTTTTTTTTTCTTTTTTTTTTTTTTTTGAGATGAAGTCTTGTTCTGTCGCCCAGGCTGGAGTGCAGTGGTGCAATCTCAGCTCACTACAACCTCCACCTCCCAGGTTCAAGCAATTCTCTACCTCAGCCTCCCAAGTAGCTGGGATTACAGGTGCCCGCCACCACGCCCAGCTAATTTTTGTATTTTTAGTAGAGACTTGGTTTCACCATCTTGGCCAGGCTGGCCTTGAACTCCTGACCTCATGATCCACCTGCCTCGGCCTCCCAAAGTGCTGGGATTACAAGCGTGAGCCACCGCACCTGGCCTAAAGTTTTCTTTTTTAAGCTTTTTGACTCTTTTATGATAACATTTAGCTTGAAACCCAAACACATTTTACAGCTTTACAAAAACATTTTTCTTTATATCATTTTTCTATAAGCTTTTTCTATTTTTTAAGCTTTTACTTTTTACTTTGTAAACTTTTTTGCTAAAACCTAAGACTAAAAACACACCTAGGCCTACACAGGGTCAGGATCATCAATATCACTGTCTTCCACCTCCACATCTTCTCCCACTGGAAGGTCTTCAGGGACAGAAGCACACGTGGAGCCATCTGGTCCTAGAATAACAATCCCTTCTGCTATTATACCTTCTGAAGGACCTGCCTGAGGCTCTTTTACAGTTAACTTTTTTTTTCAGTAGATGTACACTCCAAAATAATAATAAAAAGTATAGTATTGTAAATACACAAATGAATAACAGTCATTTATTATCATTATCAAGTAGTATGCACTGCACATATGTATGTATGTGTCCGACTGTTATACAGCCAGCATCGCAGTAGGTTTGTTTCTGCCAGGATCACCATAAACACGTGAGCAATGCCTTGTGCTATGACATTACCACAGTTATCATGTCTCTAAGTGATAGGATTTTTTCAGCTCCATCTAATCTTATGGGACCACTGTCATATACTAGCCCTGTCTTGACCGAGACATTGTTATCTGGCCAATGACTATGATTTTTCTATTTGTCATAAGGGACACTGAGCCTCAAAGAATTCAGGTGGGCCTGGAACTCAAACCCAAGTCAGTAAGCCTCTCAACCTCCCATTCTTTCCACTGTCCTCCTGGCTTTGCTTGCCAGGAACACAAACAGGCAGCAAGGAGGGGGAGTCCCTTACCCTGGGGCTCCTTGAACCCAAGACCTACAGCTCTCCGCAGCATCCCCATGGAGACACAGATGCTCAGTTTCCTCTACTCAGAGATTATGGAATATACAATTGAAAAAAAAAAAAGAAAGAAAGAGTGGCTTGCTCACCTCAAGTTCAATTTTTTTGCTTATGATAATTTGTGTTAAAAACCAAAGGAACTGTCACAAAACAAATCAGGCCTTCGTCTGAGCCTTCACAGATCTGTCAATCCCTGCCAGGGCCTGGCATCCGCGCTCTTGTAACATCCGATGCTGGACCATGCGCTTCCCAAAACCTCCTACGCCAGAGCCAGGGCCCTCCGCGGTCCTGAAGGCCTATTCAGTTTGTGCAGTGGAGGGGAGGGGACACAGTTCCCGGGGTTAAGAGCTGGCAGTGGGGCGCGCAGAAGCCCAGCTACCACCGCCAGGGACAGTCATTCAGAGCTCCATGTGGGTCTCTTTTGTGCCGGTGGGTGAGGCTTCCCACCATCGGTTCCGGTGACTTGGAATGCCAAGGGCCTAAACTTAATTAACTTCTCCGGGCCGGGACTTTTCCATCTCAGCCCGCATCCTGCTTCGTGGGGCGGCGGGATGCAAGGGCTCCCTGCACAAACATAAGGCCAGGGACCTTAGTGGGAGCATCGGCAAATACAACAGGGCCAGTGGCATCCTCATTAAACTCTGATTAGCAAGTGGACTTGATCCAGGCCAAATCAGAGCTGAATGAGATTTCTTTCTTCTTCTTCTTCTTCTTTTTTTTTTTTTTTTGCTGCCAGTTGATCAGATGTAGGCAATTAAGAACCCCCACACCTCCAGCTCTTGTATTTTTTTGAAGCGGGGAGCTCATACCAGTCAAGCCATAAAGACACTATTGTCCTAAGAACAATATTCCCCACTAATCTCACTTCTGGCAATTTACTTTTTCTTCCCAAGCAGATTTAGAAACTTAAAAAAAAAATCTTTGAAAGAGTACGGGGGAGGAATACTCCATGGTATCTAATCCTATCGCAAAGTAGGAGTTTTCTTGTTCCATTCAGCTTTTCTTTGAATGAGCACTGGATAAATAAACTACTGCATGGTCACATGGAGGCAGAGACCGTGAGGATCCAATTATGCATATGGAGGCGTGTGCATTCTGGTTTGCAAATCAAACACAAAGAGTGCAGCACAAGCTCCCTTAAATCAGTCCTCACTACAAATTTACAAACCTTCAAGGTGAGATTTGCTTTTGTTAAGTGCTTAAGGGCAATTATTACCTTTCTTTAATTTTCTGCTGGTAATTAGACTCCCAATCCAGTCCAACCTGGTCTGTACCTGGAAGGCAGCAGTACTTTTTGGTGTGATAGTCCTCAAAGCCAGCCAGCCAGCCTTGGGAGGATTCCTGAGAACTCAGAGAACTTTTTCAGCCTGAGGGCCAACAAGTCTGACAGGCATACACTGAGAAGCTGTGTCGTGTTTTGCCTTTAAAGAGAGATGAAAGACAAAGGGAGATGGAGAGAAGAGTAAAGAAAGGGTAAAAGGAAAGACAGAAACTCTTGAGTGGAGAAGAAATAAGGCAAGAAAGACAATGAGGATTACCTAACACTAAGAGTTTTTTTTGTTTTTTGTTTTTTGTTTTTAAAGGGAGCCGGCTCACGTTGCTACTGTATTAACACTTTTATACTCACTTACAGGACTCATGTTAATGAGTCCAGTGCCTCTGGGCCCCCATGCCTCAATGCATCTGGGCTATTGCATTGAATGAGGAAGCTAAGAGTCTCTCTGAAAAGAAAAACTAAAGGGGAAAGAAAGCAAGGGAACCGAAAAGCCCTGAAAAATAGCTAACCAAAAAGCTACACCTTTCACCATGCCCCAGAGGTCAACCAACTTGGCAGGCAAGACAGACCCGGGAAAGAATTGCCAACAGCTCCAGCCTCCTCAGACCCGACACGGAGGCCAAGCCAGGAATTCTGCTGCTCATCTCGCGTCTGTGACCGTGATGGCAAGATCCATCTCCCACCAGCCAGCATGGCATCCTCTGGGTCTTTTCCAAGGAGAAGCTATTTTTCAACTGGTGAGCTATTGAGAATTAGGATGGCATGCCTACCTGGGGCCGGGGGTGGGGTTAATGATAGTGAGCTGGTGAAAGAACTAGATTGGGAATCTGGGGTGCAGGACTTCATTAAGAAGTATCTGTGTTACTATGGAGAAAACCAGAGGAGAAATGGAGTAAGGTGGGCAACCTCACTAGTGCCCAGGGTCATCAAAGACCAGCGGAGACATTCCAAGCCCAGTAAGACACAAGAAATGGAAGTTTTCGTCTGTAAATTTAGTCTTTTCTCATGAGATAAATCTTTCTTCCCCAAGATGAAGGTAAAGAACGTATCCTTCTATGACGTAAGGTTTTAAATCATGTAGATCCCCCTTCAGATCCTGGCCCCGCCACTCACCAGCTAACAGTGCTGATAAAAGTCTTTAATCTGTATGAGCCTTAGTTTTTCTCATCTATAAAATAAAGAGAGTCCCGCCTTGAGAGGATTATATAAAATAATGTATGCAAATCACCTAACATGTGCATGTGACTGACACTCAAATCATCTGTATGGGAAATTTTGTCTAATAAATTATTAATATCCAGTGATTGTGTTTAAGAGACTGGGTTAAAAAGAGAAGCCAGTACTATTTCCCAAGAAGAATAGCAATGTCATTGACAAAATAATAGATAGATTTAAATATAGAGAGGTATGTATGAAAGCATTGCTGTAATTCACAAATGTGATATGCATTAACTGAGTGACCATAACATGTCTTCTACCCAGTCTCCACTGAACAGCAACTATTTGATAGGAGCTGTACATATGAACAAGCACCACATCCAGAGGACTTTCCATTTGGGGGTGACTTAGCAACATAGCGACCCTATAAGGCAGAATGTGGTAAGAGGCAAAGGGGCTGAACAATGAAACGCAGGAGCGCGTTGAGGAAGGAGAGATTAGTTCCAGATAGGAGGATTAGGAGAGGCTTTAGGTTGGAGCTGGCATTAAACCAAGGACTTGAAGCTAGGTAGAAATAAGAAGAAAGGGCATTCTGAGAGGAGGGAACAGTGTGAATGCAGGAAATGCAAGGTATGCCTGAGAAATGGTGAGAGGTACCGCCTGCCAGGAGTGAGGCTATATAGATGGGTTAGATCCTCCAAGGGCTCATTTGCCAGGAGAGTGGGACCTTTATCTTGTCAGCGGTGGACAGAACACAGTTGTGCTTGACTAATATCCCTCCAGAAGCACATGTGTGGATCAGAGGTGGGAAGACACCAAAAGCCAGGGACCAGCAGAGGCCTTTGCAGCAAAAGGAAAAATAACAGCCTGAAGCTGGTTTATGGGGATGCTTATGGGGGTGTGGATTCGTACTTATCAGGGCACTGTCATCGAGAGGACTGGCATTCTATTGAATGTGCGGGGTGAGGTAGAGGGAAGAGGTGTAGAGAACATTGAGAATCTGAACACTGGCAACTGCAACAGGCCAGAAATGTTATTCTGTAAACACTGAGATCAGAAGACAATTGGAAAGGTCAATGTATTCAATTTGGGACATCCTAAGTGTGAGGTTTTTGTTTAAGTATGGCATCTCAGCCAGTCACTTGTCAGATGCTACTGCTATATGCATTACTCAGAGCAGCAATTAAGCCCGGGGGCCTACCTTGAAAATTAGGATGTTTGCGGTCAAGTCAGAAAAACAGAAACGCATACAGGTCTCTTACACCAAAGGAACTTAATGCCACAAACTAACACAAAGATGATGTAAGAGCTGAGAAGCCCAACAAGAGATGCTGAGGCAACCTAAAGCTCAGAAGAGCATAAAGCTGATGCCTCCCCTAAGGCTAGAGGGACAATGAGTGGTGAAGGGCTCACCAGAGCCCAAAAGCTTAAGCCACCTAGCAGGAGTTAGCAGGAGTTAGGGCTAGACCCACAGAGCAAGAGGAGAAGGAGGTATTGCAAAACCTCTGTGCACAACAAAAAAGAGCTTCTCTCATTTTTCTCTCATGCACAAGGAGTGGGGCTTGTAGGCATGAAAAGTTTCTTGCAGAGGGAGGAAAGGTGCCTTGGAGAAGAGATGGAAGGAGAGCAAGTACTAGAGGATGACCCAGAGAGCTGGCAGCAGCATCCCAGGGCCTGGGATGAGAGCCTGGGACAGAGGGGAGAGTGAGTGCCTATAAGTTCTTAACCTCCCTACCCCAGAGGGCCATGGTAAGTCAGGGAAAGAAGAGGTGCCCACAGCTCCCCCTTCCTCTGTGTATCTCCTGAAATCAGTGCCCAACGGCATCCACAGTGTCAAAGCTGGATGGGTGGCTTCTGACCCCACATCCACACATGGTCCCATCCTCCCATGCACTCTCCACATTCCTGGGGCCACGGCACAGTAGAGTGACTTTGTCCTCATTTCGCCATTGTGCTTTTTGTCACTAAGGGAATCTGCCCCATTTATGTCCCTGCTACCCCATTCAAGGAGAACACCTGTGAGCTACGGTGCATCAGTGGTTTTGAAACGTTTGTGTATGACCTTTCTCTGATGCTTCTCTTTTTGTCTGTGTGGTTTGAAAAGTCCAGTGATTCTCTGGACTCTTATTAAAGCTTTTTCAGAGATATCCATTGAAGTGGGTTGGGGAGTTCCTGGAAAAATGATGATATTAAAAGGTCATATCCAGAGGGGACCACAAAGATCATCCAATCCAGTGTTTCCCAGATGTTCCCATGACCATCACCTGGGGCTTTTAATAGAATCTTAGATTCCCAGGCCTTACCCCAGGTCTACTGAATTGGATCCTCCAGATGATTCCTAAGATCATGCAAGTTGAGGGGACATTTATTTAATGCAAGTTGTTCATCTCAACAAGGAGGCCCAGAGAGTGAGGTGATCCAACACCTTCATCTCAACAGTGAGGCCAAAAGAGGTGAGGGGCTTCCCCCAAGAATTCACAGATTCTGTCTGGGAGAAATGGGATGAGAATCCAGGTGCCCACAGTCTGAGCCTAGTTTATCTTATAAAATATCCCAGGAGAGGAAAGTGCTATAGATGGTTAAATGCAAGGTTGATCGACCAAGACTTTTGGAGTTTTTTTTTTTTTCCCATCAGGCTTGATTTTCACTATATATTTATTCATTAAAAAAGAATAAAATAGCAATTTTTCAAATCTGTTTCTGTGTATACCTCAGAAAGCAGGCTGACCTGGATATATGTATATATATATGAACATACCCAGGCCCTACAGCTATCAAGTGGCAAGAAACTATTGGGTGAATGAATGAATGCCAGTATCCCAGGAACTGACTGGACTGCTGGTTTTCTGATCCAGAAAGTCATGGCCACATATATTTTCTGCTCAGAAGCAAGCCTTTCACCCTGGAGATTCTGAGTCTACAATGGCAGGAGTGCTGATTTGCTGTGCTTTCCAAACCAGCCCTGTGAAGGGAAGGATTTTTGTGTGGCTATTCTTCTTAAAAAACCTGTGAATGGTTCTTTTACCAGCATTTCCCGAGTATGGAAGTGTGGGCAAAGAGATTCTCAGAGTTAATTAACCACCCGCACCTCCCTCCTTCTTGTTTGCCCAGCTCATTCAAACACATAAATGCCACTACAAACAACCAGTAAATCTACAGAGGCTTGTTCTGGCTGTCAAACACAGCCATAAAAATAATATGCCCTCCAGCATGGGAGGGAAGGCAAGAAGGGAAGGCACTCACTAATTTTCAACAATCCCTCCTTAGAGACATAATCTTCAAATAAATATTTAACTTGCTCTGTCTTTGGTCTTAGATTATTTACAAATCAGGCTTTCAAGGCATTTAAAATGATCCTTCCTTGAGCTATTTGCACACCTACAGTTGCCCGGAGGTAGGAATGAGCCTTCCCGAGGCCGGAGGCTGGCCTCCTGCATTACCATACATGGCCTGCATGCCAGTTAGGAGCAGGCAGGCTCCAGGGCAGCTGGCAGCCTGTGCACTCTGTCAGGTTCATCGCCCTCCACCATGGTTAATACAGGGGATGGGCAGACCTGCCCACCTGCAGAACCTTGCCATCCAGTGCTCTTAGAGAGAAGTAGGACGCAGAATTTCAATCCTGCAGTCATTCAGAACACCAGGATTAAGAGAAGTAACTCCTGGGACTGAGGAGTTGGAAAAGAAACAGGGCAGGGAACTTGCTGTGAGAAAAAAGTTGAGATGAGGGTTCATGGGCAACTAGAAATGTGTTTGAGTTTGGCAGTGGAGGTAGAGATAAAAGATAATATGAATATATGGTAATACGAAGGGTCATACGAAGGCCTTCCAATCTTCTGATGACATCTTCCAAGAGTAACTGAAACTCTCAAGAGGTTAATAGGTTGTCCAAGGAAGGAAGGGATTTGAAGCCAAAAAAGTGTGAACCCCTATGTGTGAACCCACATGTATTCCTCCTTTTGGAGACATGGGAGCAGAGGTTGGGAAACCTTTTCTCTAAAAGGCCAAAAAGTACATATTTTCTGCTTTGTGTGCTATTTGGTCACTGAGGTAGCTACTCACCTCTGCCACTGCAGCAAGAATGCAGCCATGGAGAATATGTCAACAAATGAGCATGGCTGTGTTCCAATAAAACTTTACTTGCAAAAGCAGATGGCAGGTCAGATTTGGCCTATGAGCCACACTTTGCTGTTCCCTTCACTAGAATGTTAAAAGCTCCGAGAAGTCCTGCATTAAAGAAATCTTTTTTTTTAATTGTCTTGTTTATTTATTTTACAGAGAGTGTCACTATGTTGCCTAGGCTGGACTCTAACTCCTGGGCTCAAGCAATCCTCCTGCCTCAGCCTCTCAGGTAGCCTGGACTACAGGCATGTGCCACCATACTCATCAAGAAATCTTTAACTTCATCTAATCCATTTTTTTCCTCAATAATTTGGCCATAAAACCCTTCTTTATCCCCACATATTTATCGATATCATGTACTAAGCTAGTGTTCCACAGAACAATTTGGGAAACGGTATCCTGGGGAATGGACTGGGAAAGAAGAAAAGCTATAGGCAAAAGGTGTAATGCCTTGGTAAGCTGAATATCTAATGCTAGAGCTAAATCTTTGGTCAATTGAGAAAAAAATCATCCTCCACTTCTGAATGGGCAGAAAATAAGCAGCAGTAGGAAGAAAGTGATAATCAGCGACCAAAGCAAATTTCAGTGATAGAATCACAAATCTATAGCAGGCCTAAGGAGGCACATGGCACCAGCTGGGACACACAGGACAGGCACACAATCAACCAGGTTACAGGCTCACAGCCAACATGATTCTGACTGTCGCTCAAGCTCCTGGTGGTTCTCAAGGCTGCCCAGACTACAATGGAAAGCATATTAATCAGACAGGCTATTGCTTCAACCAACAATTTCAAACACAACAGACCTTATAAAGTTCCAAGAGGGGTTCCTGGTCAGTGGGAAGCTCTCATCCACACAGCAATTCAGGGACCCAGGCACTTTCTTTTTGTGGCCCTGCCATTCCCTAGGGTCTCAGAGTCCTCTGCTGCAACCTCTAACATCTGACCAGCCGTCAAGGAAGAGAGAGAGGGCCTGGAGGATGGGGCTGACAGCCTTTAGGGCCCAGACAGCTCTGTGAATACCTTCAGGGTCTGCACAAATTGCATTACAGCAGGGGGCCCAAGGCAAGAGCTTTTGCTTCCCTGAGAACTTCAAGCATAAATATATAGGCTCTATAGGTTTGCACACTGAGTCTAACTTGATCTTCATTTTAATTTCCATTTGCCATGAGTTCCTTTTATTCAGTTTATTCTCTTTTAGTGTCTCAATTAAGCTATTCTGTATCTTTTTTTTTTTTTGGCATGGGGAGAAATAATTAAATAAAATGTAACGTTAAGTTAAATTTCAAGGGGGAAAAAGAAAAGAAATGCCCATTGCTGTGGAGATCATTGGGAAGAAAGCAGAGTAGAGCTTCCTGAAAGCTTCGTGACCCTTTTTCTTTTTGGGACAGGGGTCAAGCGTGAGTGGCTGTCTCCAGGTTAGACTCCCAGTGTACCCACTCCACAGGACGTGCAGCATCAACGCTGCATCAGTCCAGAGGCTGACCCAGAGAGAGGAATCCAGAGCTCCGCCCCTTCTTTCAATCATCTCGCTGCAGGCACTGACCTCCTTCACAAATAGCTGTGCCCTCTTTGCATGAGTCTGGGGGGATTCTGAACCACAGCCAAGGGGAGATGGAGGCCATCTTAAGGTGGGCCAGATCCCACCCCCACGGGCAAGAGCGCCACCTTGTGGTCCCTGATGTCCAGCCGCTCACGTTTGACCCAAGCTGGAGCCGACAAGCACAGGCTGAACAAGCCCAGCCGGCAAACACTAAATTCTAACTAGGAAAAAATGGTGGGGAGGGAGGAGGAGAAATGAATTTAAGTTAGAAAAAATTCTTGAATACCAGCTGATATCTTTCCGAGGAGTCTTACAGACACATTGGAGGGCACAAACTTATGTGTTTCTTTCGATATTTCTAACCTACTGCTAATATTTTTTTCATCAGGGAAACATTTCGTCTTGTAAAAGCTGGATGTCATGAACTGTGGTTTTAGAAAACAAACTAGAGACAATTGGAAGGCCACACATACTTAAAACTGCACGCCCTCTCACCGCAAACGAAGTCATATATTACTGCACCCCCCTCCTCCCCCACATAGGGTCCTTTCAGAATGTCAATCATAACATTGAATTTGCCTCCCGTAAGTTCTCCATTATTGCCGCATTTCACATAAAATGATGACTAGGAAATGATAAGAATAATTCATACATATACATATTTATATGTATGCACATACATATATGCATACATATTACATATGTATGTGATATAAGTACATACTACAAATACGTTCCCAAATTACAAATATATTCTCATTTAATCTTCACAGCAACCCTGTGAGTCAGGCATGGCAGAAATTCCTCCCGTTTTGCAGATGAGGAGGCCAAAGTCAGCGGGGTGAATAGGTCGTGTTGAGCCAGGGAGCCTCAGAGCAGGACCTGGACACAGATCAGCCGAATCTCCTCCCCTGCCTGCTGCCTCCGATAACAAGAGTGGAGAGTAACAGCCTGCTAGGTGTCAGCAGCATTCACTTCGTATATTATGCTTATCCCCACTTAGGTCCACAGCCACACTTCCAGTGTAAGTTATTCTTATCTCCTAGTCACTGCTTTCAGGGAATGGGAAGAAAGAAACCAGAACACAGAGATGGCTGAGCTGTAAGCTTCCCAGCAGCCAAGGGCAGGAGGCCGGTCCATGGGTTCAAAGCTGTGTGAGACACACCAGAGCAGACATGGATCAAGTTGCCTTCCCTGTAGTTCTCTATCTGTCCCTAATATCCCCTCCTGACATCAGATCTAACCACCCACAACTGTGATGTCAGGGACCTGACACTTTAAGTACAAATCAAACACATACACATTTCAAAAACTGTAAGAGAACTGAGGCAATGATCTGCTTACTTAGATAAAACATTTTTGACTTCCAGAATATATGGATCACTTCAGAGGATGCAGTGTTTTACCCCGAATCCATTAAAATGCCAGACCCTCATTCCTTTCCTTCTGCACATTTGACACGAGGAGAGTCCTGGTGGGCGAACGAGGAAAGTGCTGGGTGAATGCACCGCGCACTGTACACAGGCATTTCCAGCCATAGCAGGTGCCTGGTGACCTATTCTCACATCAGTTTATGCCAGGGAAACCTGATTCTCATGCCTCTGTCACATTCCACCAAGTGACTTAGTGTCTCCTGGTAGAAAGCTCCACTCCTAAATCTCACAAAGTGAAAAAGATCAGTGTTCTCTACAGAATTCTAGAGGTGTCTGTGAACTCAAAGGCATCTGATAGATAAACCCAAGATCTATGACTTTCTCTAAAATTATGGCTGCTCCTACCTTTCTTCTAGAAGCATTACTCTTTTCTTAGGAAATGGTAGTAGACTGCCATAACAAAATACCACTAGCTGGGTGGCTTACACAACTAAAATTTATTTTCTCACAGTTCTAGAGGCTGGAAGTCCAAGATCAAGCTGCCAGCAGGGTTGGTATCAGTAGAGAGCTCTCTCCCTGGCTTGCAGATAACCATCTTCTCACTGTGACTTTATATGGCCTTTCCACTGTGCTCCTGGAAGAAAGAGAAAAATCTCTCTCTGCCTCTGCTTATAAAGCCACTAATCCCATCAAGAGGTCCCCACCCTCGTGAGCTCATCTAACCCTAATTACCTCCCAAAGGGTTCACCTCCAGATACCATCACATTGGGGGTTGGGACTTCAACATATGAATTGGTGGGGTTGGGGGAGACATAAATATTTAGTCTGTAACAGAAATTATCATGTTTACAATGTCGAGAAAAGACAAGTATTTTTTAAAATGTTCCATGACTCTTGCTCCACATGCATGATCAAAGCAAATTTATGTAAAGTGTATTCCTTGAAGGAAAGGAAAAAAGGAATGTACAAAAAAAAAAACCACAGAGAAATTAGGACTGGAAATTAGGATTTCTCTCTGGGGCCTCCCAGAGAATTTTACAGACTACCATGCCTTATATATTCCCATGCTAGATCTCCTCCAAGTATTTCTCAAGTGCAATAGCCAACATTGAGAGCCAACATCATCCTCCTTGTGGAACTGGGTACCCTTTGAATGGTCAATTACTGAGAAACAAGATCATCACCCAGACCAAAAAGACAATGAAATAAGGCTGGAAATACAGAATGTTGGTTTATACGTTGAGTCAGTGACTGCATGGAAGCCACAAGACAGGCTGTGATCTCCCTCCCATGTTCTTGATGTCCTTGTCACACCCTGTTATGGGCTGAACTGTGTTCTCCCAAGATTTATACATTGAAGTCCTAACCTGAATCTCTCAGAATGTGACTGTATTTGGAGAAAGGGCCCTTAAAGATGTGATCAAGTTAAAATGAGGCTGTTAGAGTGGGCCCTAATCCAATATGACTGATGTCCTTACCAGAGATGCTAGAACAGAGATGAAAGGCCATGTGAGGACAGTGTAGAGGCAGTGCAAGCCAGGGAGAGATGCCTCAGGAGAAACCACACCTGCTGACACTGTGATCTTGGATTTCCAGCCTCCAGAATAACCACACCTGCACACACCTTGCTGTTGGACTTCCAGCCTCTCACTGCCTCCAGTGAGAGGCAGTGCAAGCCAGGGAGAGAGGCCTCGGGAGAAACCACACCTGCTGACACCTTGATCTTGGACTTCCAGCCTCCAGAACAATGAGAAAATAAATTTCTGTTGTGTAAGCCTCACAGCCCATGGTATGTTGTTATGGCAGCCCTGGCAGATTAATACACACCTTATTAAGCCTTAGAGCAGGAGAAGGGAATGATTTCACCTTGAAATGAGAAGGTTTGGGGTTTAAGTCAGGCTTTGCCACTAAGTCAAAAAAGTTAGGATTACCAGGAGTCACTTTGTCATTGTGAGGCTCTTTCTAGCATTCTGCATGGGTCTACTGACTTTTTATTACGGAACAGATACAGCCCCAGCCCTGTACAGCATGGCCTGCCATGGCCACGAGGCCTTCATGCAGCAGCATCACAAGCTACAAGTACATTGCCTGGGACTTGAGATATGATAGGGGGAAAGAAAATCTGCATTCTCAAGTGGCAGGAATTAATGAGCTGAGAAGCAGTGATGTGGGTTGTGTCACTCTCCCTAATTGGGTCTAGTTGAGGGCAGGGATAATTTTTGCCTAGAAACCTTTGTGATTCTGAATGCTCAGGTATTCACTCCACCCCACACCCCTTCTTCTCACACACACCTCTCTCCCTGGAGTTGCTCTGGCTTGGAATTCCGCCAAACTCCCACCCGACTCCCAATTAAATATATCATGCAAGGTCTGGCCTGATGGAGAAAGCCCTCACTTGCTAAGGGGCTTAAATCACTTGACATGTGCATGCCAATTTTCTCCTCCATATCACGTTTACTGATTAGCCTTTTCTTTGTCCCTTTTTAAGAAAATGACTGTGACTCATTATTTTTAAAGAAGCCTCGATGGGGTTTGGCTAAGATACAAAACAATATTTCTACCAAAGGCAAAGAACATGGATTCTTCCAAGGGATAAAAGGAGGAGCCACCTAAAGCCACCTAAGTCAAGGTGAACTAATACTACTCCATGTGCCCAGTATCCCTCCATGTGTCCCCACTCCTGGCCAGGCAACTGCCAGCGTGCACATGAATTCAAAGCACTCTCATTGTCAGAGAAGCTACGGCTTTCCTCTTGTCTTGTCTTTTCTTGCTTGCTAATTAACATTGCAACCTAAGTAAGTGTGTCTTATGTGTAGAAAGAGAAAAAAAACAACAGTGACCCCATAAAGTGATAGTGTTGAGTCAGATCTTTCTAAACCCTACCTTTTTCAACCAAAAGATCCTTGAATAATAGATTGGAAATCACCAGAGAGCAGCAGAGGGGGGACAGGGGTAGGGGGCGGGGAATAAAAGCTTTTGAATAATGAGAAAATTTCCAAGCAACCCTTAGTTTATAAGTGACACCTGTTTCAGTCCGAAACTAGGTCATTGAGTTTAAATTTCCAATCAATAATAAAGGGATTTTATTTTTAAGATCACACATAAGCAGAGAGCATTCTTATTTGGAGGAGTGGCTCAGAAAACTTCCCAGAACAGCGTAAGTCCATAAAATAATAAGTAGAAAGATAAATATCTAGACTAAAAGGCAGTAAAACAATACTGGGTCTTAAAAGAGAAAATCTGCCGGGACCAGTGGCTCACACCTGTAATCCCAGCACTTTGGGAGGCTGAGGTGGGTGGATCACTTGAGGCCAGGAGTTCAAGACCAGTCTGGCCAACATGGTGAAACTCTGTCTCTATTAAAAATACAAAAATTAGCCAGGTGTGGTGGCATGTGCCTGTAATCCCAGCTACTTGGGAGGTTGAGGTGGGAGAATCGCTTGAACCCGGGAGGCAGAGGTTGCAGTGAGCAGAGATGGTGGCACTGTACTCCAGCCTGGGCAACAGAGTGAGATCCTGTCTCAAAAAAAAAAAAAAAAAAAAGGTAGAAAATCTACTCTGTATTTAAAAAAAAAAAACCTAAATGTTGTGCAATTTGAGGCAGAGACTGGCAACTCCAATAGTGTTAAGAGCTCTGGGGCCGGCCAGATGTGGGCCAAATGGTGAGGCTCATGGAAAAGCAGCAGAATACAGGGCCAGGACACAGTGGACAGGGTTATGACCAGGTCCAAGTCAGACAGGACTCTGGCCACTCCTGGAGAAGGCGCCCCTGTCCCCGAGAACATCACCCAGGAGTCACACACACACATGCAGGATGTGCCATTCCTTCCCGAGTCTGAGCCACAGTTCACTTCAGTGGGTTTGGGGGAGTTTCCTGGGATCTCTGATGAGAGCCATACTGAGTGGGAGCACTGTCAGTCCCATGTAAAGGGGGCAAGCAGCCTTCATCTATGTCCTCTATAAACACGTGAGTAAAGACAGACTTAAGAAACAAGACACAAAGACCCTCCAAAGATCTGTGACCTCCAAAGACCTCCTTTCGGATTGGATTTTCCAAAGAGAGAGTAATGAGCAGATAATCCTCTATCCAGCTTGGAGCCCACTTAGAATTACAATAAATCATAATCACCTTCGCTACCCAGGGAATGGTCCTCGGCTCCTTGATGTATGACAATCTAATCCACGATGTTCTATAACTGAATCTAGGTGGCCTCCTCCCCAGTTAACGATTCACTCCACAAAGAGCATCTTCCGCAGAGACCTGGACCAACAACAAAAAAATTAATTTCAATGAAGTGACACTAAAGCATCTGAGAGGATTAATAAAAATATTACCTAGAGACAAACCAATTTGAGAAACAAGGGTTACATCAAGCAAAGCACATAGCACCTGTCAACAGTATTCTTTTCCTTTATTATTTTTAAATAGCTCTGAGTTACCCCAGGAGGACTTGTGAGTGCCCTCCCCAGAGGTGTTGAAAAGAACCCGGTTTAGTTGTGCATTTACTTGTGTTTACTGGATTTCATGCAAATTAGGGGTGAGGAGAGACTAAATGTTTTCTTTTGATCCTTCCTATGTTTGCCTCTAGGCATAATATTTTGGACACTTTTCTGAGTTTGCTTCAATTTTCACCCACTCCTTTCCCCATAGATTTTGTCTCCTTGCCTTTTGTTTTGTTTGGTTTTGTTTTTGATGGGGTTTCACTCTGTCTCCCAGCCTGGAGTATAGGGGTGCCATATGCCTCACAGCCTCGACCTCCTGGGCTTAAGGGATTCTCCCACCTCAGCCTCCTGAGTAGCTGGAACCACAGGCATGCACCACCACACCTGGCTATATTTTTAAATTTTTTGTAGAGATGGGGTCTCCCTATGTTGCCCAGGTTGGTCTCCAACTCCTGGGCTCAAGCGATCCTCCTGCCTCAGCTTCCCAAAGTGCTGGGATTCCAGGCATAAGCAAGGGCACCAGGCTCTTTCCTTGATTTTTATAACTACTTTCCTATAAATAAGAAACAGCTCCACGGCAGTTCATTTGCCTAGTCAATTCTTCCTCTCAGGCTTCTTGATATTTGGGTTGGCAAAGAATAAAAATATAAAGCTCCCAAACCTGTAAGGGATTCTAAAAGTCTAAAATTCCCTGAAACAACAGAGGCACAATAGTTTCCCACTTGATAATGTGACCTTCGTCGCCTTCTACAGCCCTGGAATAGAGGAATGAGGCAGCAGGTCTATGTTGTGGCACCAGAAGGAAGGATGGATAAGATCTGCTGCATTTCCCAGTTACAGGCAGCTGATGGGGAGCAGAGCTGGTCAGCTGGTCATATTCAGTAGCTCTTCGTGTTTCATGAAAATGTGTAGAACCCTTAAACACTACTCTAAAAATAGGCCTATCCCTTGACTTCATCATGGTAAAGACCATAAATGAATCTTAGTCTACCAACTCAGATAAAGAGGAAACAGCACATGTCCACTTCTTTTAAATCCACTTAAATTAGCCTAAAGAGAGAATTCAGTCTTAGCCATTATCAGGCACCCTTCCCTCCTTAAGGGCACAATTGTTCATAAAACTCATGCAATGTCTAGACAATGGAAAGGGAAGTTCTTCCAGCCATTCATTGCTACATAACAAAATATCCCAAAAGTGCAGTGGCATAAAACAGAAAAGACTCATATTATTATTATTATCATTATTATTATTTTGGGAGACAGGGTCCCATTGTTTCACCCAGGCTGGGGATCAGTGGTGCAATCATAGCTCACTGCAACTTCAAATAAAAGACTCATATAGGCCGGGCACAATGGCTCACGCCTGTAATCCCAGCGCTTTGGGAGGCTGAGGCAGGTGGATCACCTGAGGTCAGGAGTTTGAGACCAACCTGGCCAACATACTGAAACCTCATCTCTACTAAAAATACAAAACTTAGCCAGGCCTGGTGGTGGGCGCCTGTAATTCTAGCTACTTAGGAGGCTGAGGCACGAGAATCTCTTGAACCCAGGAGGCGGAGGTTGCAGTGAGCCAAGATCGCATTACTGCACTCCAGCCTGGACAACAGAGTGAGACTTTGTGTCAAAAAAAAAAAAAAAAGACTCATATGAGTCCATTTGTATGGAATTTCTAGAAAAGAAGGAACTGCAGAGTCAGAAAGCAGATCTGAAGTTGTCTGGGATTGGGATTAGGAGAGGAAACTAATGACAAAAAGCACAATGAAATTTTTGGGTTGATGGACATGTCTTAAAATACCTTGATAAAGCTCATTTAAAAAAAAATTAGTGGCATAAGACAACAACCATTTCAGTACAATCATGAATGCTGTGGTTAGGAATTCAGTTGGGGAACCCTGTGCATGCTTGTCTCTGTTCCACAATGTCTGGGGACTCAGATGGGAAGAAGAAGAGCGAGAGGCTGGAATCATCTGGAAGCTGTTCAGGATGGCTGCAAAACTGAGCCTGGCCAATGCTGTCGACTGGAGTGCTTACACACGGCCTGTCCACCGAGCTTGGGTTTCTTACAGCATAGCAGCCAGCTGGGTCCTGGAATGGAGCACCCCTGGAAGGAGTGCCCAGAGAACTTACTTGCCAAAGACCAAAACTGACATAGTTAGGCTCTGTGTCCCTACCCAAATCTCATCTTGAATTATAATCCCCATATTCCCCATAATCCCCATGTGTCAAGGGAAAGACCACGTGGAGGTAATTGAATCATGGGGGCTTTTTCCCCCATACTGTTCTCTTGATAGTGAGTGAGTTCTCATGAGATCTGATGGATTTATAAGAGGCTCTTCCCCCTTCACCAGGCACTTCTTCCTGCTGCCTTGTGAAGAAGGTGCCTTGCTTCCCCTTTGCATGATTGTAAGTTTCCTGAGGCCTCCCTAGCCATGCTGAACTGTAAGTCAATTAAATCTATTTTCTTTATAAATTACCGAGTCTCGGGCAGTTCTTTATAGCAGTATGAAAATGGACTAATACAAAAGCAGAAGCTGCACGACTTCAGGTTACAAGCCAATCTCTAGGCCAGCCCAGATGCAAGGGGAGAGAAACTAGACCTCACCCCTCTATAGAGTGTGGCAGGGCCACATCAAAGAAGGGCATGTAGGATGGAAGATATTGTGGAGTCCACCTCTGGCAAACAGAATCTGCTACCAGACCCTATTCTTCTCACTGTCACAAGCCCCAAGGTCTCCCTGTGGGTGAACAGGCTTTTCTTTTTCAAGGGGTAACAGAGACCATTTACAAAGAGAAATCCTCATGCTAAAGTCCTGCCTTCCCAACAGCACCAGAAAGCCTTTTGCCTCCTGAGGTCTTGCTGAGACATTTCACTTTATAGGCACAAGTCCCATCACTTGAGAAACTGCTGGCCTCTGACCACACCTCTGATTTAGAAACTGCACCTTGCTGCTGCTGTCACTGTTCAGCTCTCCAATGCACTCGTCCCCCTTCCCATTCCCTCAAGGACACCTCAGGAAATGTCTTCAATGGGCTTTACATTTCATAAAATACAAAAAGAGGAGGCTCTCAAACAGCAGCATTGATTATGGGTTCTGTAAAATCTCTAAAGCTGGGGAAAGAGAGATAGAGAGATTGGGTGAGATGGAGAGAGAACCTGTCATTTTTTTTCCAACTGGGGAAGGCAAGTGACAGAACAGATCACACATCAATTTTCCAGTAAATCATTCTAGCTCAATTGCCGAGTGTACACGTGTGCACAAGCGTGCATGCACGAGATTTATAAAAGGCTCTGCAGTAACTTGCATGCATTTTTCAAATAAAAGTACTGCTTAGAAGCAGAATGTAATAAATAAGGAGGAGGGGAGGAGCTGGTTTCACCTAGAGAAGAAATATTTAATTTTTTGTAATTTTTTGGATAGTTAATGCCATATTTCATACTTGTGGGAGATAACACTCTAAATTTTTTTAATCCACAAATACTTTCAACATAACCCATCAATGACAGTTTAGAGATCATTTTTAAACAAACTCACTATCATATATATATATATATATATATATATATATATATATATATATATATATTTATTTATTTATTTTTTGAGACAGAGTCTTGCTCTGTCACCTAGGCTGGAGTGGAGTGCAATGATGTGATCTTGGCTCACGGCAACTTCTGCCTCCCAGGTTCAAGTGCTTCTCCTGCCTCAGCCTCCCAAGTAGCTGGGATTACAGGTGCCCACCACCATGCCCAGCTAATTTTTTGTATTTTTAGTAGACACGGGGTTGGTCACCATGTTGGTCAGTCTGGTCTCGAACTCCTGACCTTGTGATTCATCTGCCTCAGCCTCCCAAAGTGCTGCAATTATAGGTGTGAGCCACCACCCCCAGCCATATTTTTATGTATGAAGGAGTTCTTTAAGTGACCAGAATAAAATGTGCTGTACTCCAGGCAAAGTTTAAGGGGGTATGGAGAATCAAGATTTTATTGAGCATGAAACCAGAGTGTGCAAGCAGCTTTCCATTTATCATATAGTTTAATCTTTCCTATTATGTGAGACAACTATCTGTATCTTACCCAGTTTTTCAGATTTGGAAACTGGGGCTAAAGAGGTTAAACAACGAGGAAGTCAGGCCATAAATGACAGGATTGGGAATAAAATGCAGACCTGAGCACAGCTTAACCTGGAGTTGCCTGTAACACAGGAGTTGGATCCCAAGGCTTGGGAATGTCCCAATACCTGTCAGGTGCCTCTCAGTCTGATAAACTGGAATGATAAATTGAGACCCACTAAACAGAGACATTCTGAGAGGCCAGCAACATCTTTCCTTCCAGATCCATTTTGTCCTTCTGGACCCAGCTTAGAATGTCATTCATATGGGAATTCTTCCAATTAACTACATCCTCACCCAACCAAGTGAGGGCTTTGTAATATGCCTTGCGAAATCTTCCCTCAGCAGCACTCTAGCCTTCTTCTTCTTTTTTTTTCTTTTTTGAGACGGAGTTTCACTCTTGTTGCCCAGGCTAGAGTGCAATGACGCGATCTTGGCTCACTGCAACCTCCACCTCCCAGGTTCAAGCGATTCACCTGCCTCAGCCTCCCAAGTAGCTGAGATTACAGGCATGTGCCACCACATCTGGCTAATTTTGTATTTTTAGTAGAGACAGGGTTTCTCCATGTTGGTCAAGCTGGTCTCAAACTCCCGACCTCAGGTAATCCATCCACCTTGGCCTCCAAAAGTGCTGGGATTACAGGCATGAGCCACCACACCCAGCTTTCCTTATTCTTAACAGCATAGACCCTTCTAGACTATAAACGTTTTTAAGTGTCTATCTCTCACAATATACTCTACGCTTTCTGAGGGGAGACCCTGTGTCTACTCAGCATTTGCCCTGGTGCTGGGCACATAGCCGGTGCTCAAATGCTTGTGGAACACATGGATTAAAGTTCACTCAGACACAGTTAGTGCCAGAGCCCCTCCCACAGGTCTCACTAAGCATGACATTACACTTACACATCATAAAGGTCTTTTTGTGAGAAGAGATGGACACAATGACTACACAAAAGTTTAAAACACATAAACGAAAATTAAAAGAGAGTTCACGGCCTAGAAGAAAATATTTGCAAAGTCAACACAAGATTAAATCCTTAATATTTAAAGAATTCCTACAAATCAATATTAAAAGATGCATAGCACAATAGATAAATAACAAGATTATGCTGAACACATGGAAAGGGTTCTTTGATAACTGTTTGACCAACTCTGCATTTTGTTGAAGGCCTGAATGTTTAGCTTACAAAATAAAATAACGTGGTATCTCTCCTTGAGGAGCTTACAGTCTAGAAGAGAGTCCAACAATTAACATATAAAATCATATAACCCATAATGAGTGATACTATATGGTCTCATGGCAGACTGAAAAGATCAGGGAAAGTCAGGAAAGACTTCACTAAGGGCAAAGTTTGTCAATTGAGACTTAGACAATGAGCAGAACATTTTTTTCAGGTAATCAAACATGTATTAATTTTTAATGACATTTTATGTAAGTAAAAATAAACAAAATTGCTATTCGCATACAACCAAAAAGTAATTAAAGAACAAAATAAAAAAAACTAATTAAATGCAAAGTGAAAGAGTGGTTGTTGATTTCTAAGACCTCCTCCAGCTTTAAAAATGTCAATTTTTATCACTCAAAACATTCACTGAGTACCTGCAAAGTGCTCAGCTCTGAATTGGTTATGGAGGTAAAGGGATGATAAAGTGATGTTCAATTCATAAGAAGCTTACAACCTCAGAAGGAAACCAAACTAATGAACTGAAAATGTGCACCTGGCAGTGCCCAGGTCAACAGGCCATTCAAAGTGTTTATCTAGGCATCACATTGTATGGTGCAGACTCGAAAGATGAAGGCAAAAAATGAGGCAGTCAAAATCAACACATGCTCTCAGATTTGTAAGCTTATGTATGAGCTGCAAATATTCAGCCATATTAGTAACATCTTCAGTGAATCTTATTTTTTAAAATAGTCAAGTTATATGAAATCTAAATTCTGGCAAATACATATATATATAAACTAACACAATATGTGAGTATTGAACGATGATAGGCACTACAAACGTTGGGCATAAAACAAAAGTGGAACTTGAGTTGGGCCTAATAGACACGTTGGATTGGGCTCATGGAAGAGATTAGGAAGAATATTAGCGATAGGAAGAGGCCACCAAAGGTTATGGGATTCCCCTCCATTCTGAAAGACTTAAACAATCCTACATTGTTCTTATTACCCTTGCTTATTAGCCATAAAATGCCCAGGGATAAATGAAGTTTGCTCTTCTCACACCTATAATCCCAGCACTTTGGGAGGCCGAGATGGGCAGATCACGAGATCAAGAGATCAAGGCCATCCTGGCCAACAAGGTGAAACCCTGTCCTACTAAAAAATACAAAAATTAGCCGGGCGTGGTGGCAGGCACCTGTAGTCCCAGCTACTCGGGAGGCTGAGGCAGGAGAATCGCTTGAACCTGGGAGGCGGAGGTTGCAGTGAGCCAAGATCGCGCCAGTGCACTGCAGCCTGGATGACAGTGGGAGACTCCGTCTCAAATAAATAAATAATAAAATAAAGTTTGCTCTTGAAAAATCACTGGAGAAGCTCTGAGAGGAAACTAATCTCACATGGCTTACGAAAGCAGAAGTATCCAGGAGGCCATCAGGAACACCAAAGACTTCCACAGACCGGACATTCAAAACTTCTGAACTTTTGCCTCTAATGAGTCTGGTTGTACACTGTTTACTTTCAAAAAGAAAAAAGTACTATGAGAAAATAGCACTTCCAAAAATCTTAGAGGGTATCTAAGAGAGGCGAGTTTACAAGGCAAATGGAAGTAGAATACTAGAAACTAGAACATTGGAAGAGGCAGTGGGGAGAAAATGAACTGGGGGAGGTTGAGGGAACGGAGGAAAACCGGCTCTTGTTAAGTTTACAGCCAATTAACATTTGCCATACTGCAGACTGCAGTGTTTAGCAAGGGCTTCTCAATATTAAAGGCAGCTCTTTGAACAATAGAGTCCTTTTTTTCTGCAATTCACAGCTGTCAGAGATCATTTAACTCCCTATATATTTCCAAAAAGTGATGCCTTTAATAGGCAGCATAAACACTGGGGTTAGAGCACACTGAGGCTTGACTTGGATGCACGGTGTTAGGGCACAGCTCGCATCTGTCAAGGTCTGGAAACGAGGCCTAAGTAAATAGGCCTTAAACTACATTTAGAAAAAGAATGCAAGAAAAAAAAAAGGAGAGAGGGAGGGTGGGGTGGAAGGGGGAAAGATGAGGAAGACAGAGAAAGGGAGGGAGGGAGCAGGAAAGAAAGGAAATTATACAAGGATGAAAGAGAGAGACTAAACTTCTGCCAGGGAAGCTGAAAATGCATTAATTAAAGCTTCAAGTAACTTCTGAAAATGGTTCCTTTCCATTCAAATGTAAACTTAGTCATAAAGAAACATGTTAAATCTCACATGTCAGGCCCAAACAAATTTCCTAGTTATTAGGAATTCAACCAGAGCTCTTATTATCTCAATAGTTTATATTTAATTTCCAATTTGTTTTTCTTCTTTTACAACAGATCCAGGTATCACATATAACATGTGCTGATTTTTCTGTTCCTCTGAATATTTTCAATGGCCTTACTGTTCTCCAAGACCAATAAAACCAGTGGTGTGATGTTCCTCCCTTTGGAGTAGGATTCTGTATTAGAAATATAAATCCAATACAGTTATTAAAGAGAGACTATGAAACTTAAGAAAAAGGCTCACACTTCTAATTAGGCAAATGTGGCCTGCAAGTTTAAATGTTTTTTGAGCTCAGCAGTGTTTGTAAAAATATAAGAATCTTAAAACAATCTTCCTTTCAAATGAATAGTGGGAAGTAATAAAATGGTCTTCATAACATGATGTTAAGTAAAATTCTAAATGCATTCAGGAATTTTATATATAACCTTTAAAATAACTAACCTTTATAAAGTGAATTTATGGGAAAATATCGGCTAAGTTTATCTTCTTAAGTAATACCTGTATATGTACAAAAGCATAAAAAACTCAGCAATCCACAAAGTTCCAAGAAAGAAACAACTCACTTCAAACCGTGACAGCCAGAAATAAGCAATGGTAAGAGTCTACGAATATTGTTTTTACGGAATCTCTCCAAACCAACAGAAGAAGAATTAATACGTTAGATTTGATAGAGATATCTATAAACGGATAAAGATAGACACAAAAATGATTTCATTAAAATAAAATTATGTAATAGTTATCCTTTAAAAATACTTGATCTTATTTTAGGTGCATTTACAAAGATAAAAGAAACTGAAGTAAAAGTGAGGAAATTGCAGAATTTCAGATAAATGTTTCTTTCTTTGCCATCTGAGATCCAGAAAGAAATTTAAGTCATTATCAGCCTGGAGTCATCATCTGTGGCTGCCAGTTTTAAAAAAATACATATTTTATTTTTAAATAGTTTGGATTGATTCCCCACTAAAAAAGATGAGACCCAGGCTGGGCATGGTGGCTCACACCTGTAATCCCAGCACTTTGGGAGGCTCAGGTAGGTGGATCACTTGAGGTCAGGAATTCGAGACCAGCCTGGCCAACATGGTGAAACCCTGTCTCTACTAAAAATACAAAAATTAGCTGGGCGTGGTAGTGGGTGCCTGTAATCCCAGCTACTCAGGATGCTGAGGCAGGAGAATTGCTTGAACCCGGAAGGTGAGGTTGCAGTGAGTGGAGATTGTGCCACTGCACTCTAGCCTGAGTGAAAAAGTGAGACTGTGTCTCAAAAAAAAAAAAAAAAAAAAAAATTTGAGACCCTCTTTTACTTCCTCCTACCTCCAATCTCCCTCCCAATTTTTGTTGCTTTATATTATTTCTATTTCGTCAGAGTTTGAGACCTTTACATAAATCATAATTCCCCCATTCATTTCTTCTTAGATGTATATTTGAATGGAATCCACACTCACAACTAGTCTTTCTACTACCATCTGTCCATGCTTGACTTCTTCATCTTGATTCATTCCTTGCCCCAGATTATATATATATATATATTTTTTTTCTTTTTTTTTTTACATAGGCAAACACTTTTTTTGTAAAATATATTAGAAAGCTTCCAGTTTAGTGTGAACAATGGAAGTTGGGTAGTTGTAATTGTGCGTTTAGTGAGAGTTAGGGAAAACATAATCTGCTTAGGCACGTCGGACTTTAAAACACTGGAGACGTAATTTGTGAGAGGACTTGATGTGCCTCCTAAGGGAAACCATGCGAAAACTTCAGGGGCTGACAGGAGAGGCCTCTAAGACAGGGTTAAGGCTCCAGATCAGGGTGTGGGGAGATGCCGGCCTCATCCAGTCTTTTAGAAGGGCCCAGTTAGGTAGCAAATGCCTCTGGAAGTCAGAACGGTCTGAGAGTCTGTCTTGATACATTTATTATTGAGAGGCGAGGACTATTTTTTAGGGGTGATCTGTCGCCTCGCCATGCCACTTCTGTTTAGATGTTTAAAAGTTACCCCAGGCTGGGCGTGGTGTGGAGGTTCACGTCTGTAATCCTAGCACTTTGGGAGGCCAAGGTGGGTGGATCTCCTGAGACCAGCCTAGCCAACATGGTGAAACCTCATCTCTACTAAAAATACAAAAATTAGCCAGGCATGGTGGTGGGCGCCTGTAATTCCAGCTACTTGGGAGACTGAGACAGGAGAATTGCTTGAACCAGGAAGCGGGGGTTGCAGTGAGCCGAGATGGCATCATTGTACTCCAGCCTGGGCAACAGAGCAAAAACTCCATCTCAAAAATAAATAAATTAATTAATTAATGAATTTAATTTAATTAAATAACCCCAAACTCAGCCTATCAAAACTTGAAGATACCACAAAAATTCATACCCACAAGGATAGTTATAATTTCAAAATAGGGGAATAAGAGTGTTGGCAAAGACGTAGAAAAATTGGAAGCTTTGTACATTGCTGGTAGGGGTGTAAAATGGTGCTGCTTCTGTGGAAAACAATTTGGTGGTTCCTCAAAAAGTTAAACTTACAACCCAGCAATTCCACCACTAGATATATTCCCAACACAAGAGTGGATAAACAAACTGCAGCACATACATACACTGAAATATTATTCACTTTCAAAAAAGGAATGAAGTACTCATTTATATTACGACATAGATGACCTATTGTACGATTTCCCTACCATGTGGCTCTCCTCTGTCTTTCCTAGTTAAGTGAGGAGGCGTCCTCGTCTCCTTCATTGCACAGGTCAGACATGTTCTCTCCCTTACTTTTATATCCTGTATCCAATTCATATTCATCTTTCTCCACTGTCAACATCCTAATCGGCATTATTTCTTAGGGTGATAAGTGAGGGCCCCTTTTCAGTCCATTGTCCAAAATACAGAAATGTACCTGTAAAACAGCACTTGCATGACCAAATGGCCTCATGCAGTTTTTGAATTATTATGACTATTTTACTCCAAAAAGGGATATTTCTCAGTTTTCCATATAAGAGAGTCATATGAGCAGAAAAGCAGATTTAGCAAACTTTTTTTTGTAAAGGGACAGATAGGAATTGTTTCGGCTTCACAGACCACACAATCTCTGTTGCAACAACTCACCCCTGCCATTGACAGCAGTGAAAAGCAGCCATGGATAATATGGAAATCAGTGAATGCAGCTATGTCTCAATAAAACTCTATTCATAGAAATGGGGGGTGGACATTAAAAGAAAAATTAATACCAATCTTTCTCAAACTCATCTAAAAAAATAGAAAAGGGGTGAACACTTCCTAACTCATTCTATGAGGCCAGCAAGGCCCTAGTATCCAGAATATATAAAGAACTCTTTCAACTAAACAACAAAAAGACAACCCAAATAAAATAGGGCAAAGACTTGAATAGATATTTCTTCAAAGAAAATGTAAAAATGACCAACAAGCACATGAAAAGATGCTCAATCTCATTAGTCATTAGGGAAATGCAAATCAAAATCACAGTGAGACACCACTTCACACCCACTAGGATGGTTATAACTTGTAAAAAGGGGGAAAAGGAGGAAGCCAGGTGTGGTGCTGCCTGCCTAGTCCTAGCTACTCAGGAGGCTGAGGAAGGAAGATCACTTGACACCTGGAGTTTGAGGCCAACCTGAGCAATATAGCAAGACCCTGCCTCTAAATATATACATACATATATATATATTATATATATATATATATATATTTTTTAAGCTGGGCCCATATGGTGGCATGCACCTGTAGTCCCAGCTACTCAGGAGACTGAGGCAGGAGAATCATTTGAGCCCAGTTGGAGGCTGCCTTGAGCTATAATCACACCAGTTGTTTGTAGGAATGTAAAATGATGCAGCTGTGGTGGGAAACAGTTTGACAGTTCCTCTAAAAGCTGAACAGACAACTCAGCATTTCCACCACTAGATATATACCCAAAATAACTGATAACGGGGTCTCAAATAAATAGCAAATAGTGTTCATAGCAACACTATTTACAATAGAAAAGGGGTGGGAACAAACTCAAACGCCCATCAACAAAAGAATGGATAAACAAATTGTGGCATATACCTATAATGAAATATTATTCAGTTATGAAAAAGCAGTGAAGTACTCACTCATACTACAACATGAATAACCTCAAAGACATTATGCTACTTGAAACGGGCCATCCACAAAAGATCACATGGTGTGTGCTTCTATTGGTATGAAATACACAGAATAGGTAAAATCCATAGAGATAAAAAGTAGATTGGTGGCTAAGAGGGGCTGGGGAAAGAGGGGAATGGAGAGTAACCACTTAACAGCTTAGGAGTTTCCTTTCGGGGCAATGAAAATGTTTTGAAAGTCAATAGAGGTGGTGATTGCATGATGTTGTGAATGTACTAATTGCCACCGAGTTGTTCACTCTAAAATGGTTAATTTTATGTTATATAAATTTCATCTCAATAAATTTAAAGAAAAATTTAAATTTACAAAAACAGGGGTAGGTCGCATTTGGCTTAGGGTCCCTAAGTTGCTAAGTCCTGATCTAGACTGGTTAAGGAGTTCACCACTAGCTCTAACAGCGCCTTTCTCGCTGACCCTGGGACTAACAGTTCTACCTACCCCAGGCCTCTTCTTCTCCAGGAAGCCATTCTTGAACCTTCTACCCTGACCCTGCCTGGTATAGTTAGTTGTCCATCCAGTAGGGACTCCTCCAGCCATGTCACCATTATCTCTGTATGTCTTCATTTCTTCTATTGAACTTTGGGCTTTCAGAAAGCATAGACTGGATTTCATTCCTCTTTCCAGCTCCAGTGCCCTTTCAGTGCCTGACACATAATAGGCACCCGGTAAGTGTTGTGTAATGAACAGATAAATGAATAAATAATTATCAGAGACATCTGACCTTTCTGGCTGTTGGTTTGTTCACATGTAAAGTGAAGAAAATAATGCCTTATTTTTCCTTCACAGGGGTTAATTGTATAATTGTGCCATTCCGTCCTTATATGAACCTAAACATAGCCATGATTAGATATTATGTGGTTAACCTCAGTTTTCATTAAAATATGTAATTAGTGATAACAGAAATAAGCAGGTTGTCAGAAGAAATTACTGTATTTTTCAGTTGGGTCTAGCATATCTGATTTCTTCCCCTTTGTTTGCTTAAATTTTTCTTCACATTTTCCAAGTATAAAATTGTGGCTCATGCCTATAATCCCAGCACTTTGGGAGGCTGAGGCTGGTGGATCACTTGAGGCCAGGGGTTCAAGACCAGCCTGGCCAACATGGTAAAACCCCATCTCTACAAGAATACAAAAATTAGCTAAGTGTGGTGGTGTGCACATGTAGTCCCAGCTACTTGGGAGGCTGAGGCATGAGAACTGCTTGAACCCGAGAGGCAGAGGTTGCAGTGAGCTGAGATCATGCCACTGCACTCCAGCCTGGACATCACAGTGAGACCCTGTCTCCAAAAAAAAAAAAAAAAGTAAACATATTCAGAAAAATATTGAAAGTTAATATTTATCCCATCTTTCCCTATGCCTCATCTTATTACTCATAAGTTATTCTTTTAATAATTTGTTTTTAATCCCCCATAACTATGAATATGAATTTATATCTCTATTTTTATTTATAAACTATAATATTAAATATTAAAGATCAGAAAAGAAAAATAAGGAAGGACAATACGCATAAAACAAGTCTGTCCTGGGAAAACTGGTATTTTCACCCAAATTGTAACCCCATCTTGACCCCCCTAGATTGTACATCTAAGGATAACAACTTTATTCAGTTCTGCGCATCTCCAGAACTCCTACCATGGTGTGTTGTATAAAGTAGCTGATACTACTTGTAGAATGAATAAATTCAAGCTTGTTCTCTACCCTCTAAAATTAAAACAAAAAGTAGAAGAAGATTTAGTCTGCACTGCCTCCATCTCTCCTCAAACGTCCTCAGCAGAGTTGCTGGGAATAAAAGAGTGAGTAAGAAGACATGCCCCTCCCCTCAGGGAACCCCCATTCTTAGTTGGGGAGAAAGACAAACAAGTGTAAATTGTAATTCAATCCTATAAAAAGAATCAAGAAGCTGAAAACAAAACCAAAGCATGTGAAAATATGAAGGAGCTGGCCAGGTGAAAAGTGGAGGTTATTCTGGGGATTAAATAAAATAATGTATGTGAAAGCACTGTGTAAACTCTAATATGTCATACCAACTCCAGGTCTTGCCATTGCTGCTGTTAGCAAAACTCTGAGAGAAATTCTATCTTCTTTTTCCTGCTGGAGTTGGTAGTGGCCAGAAATGCTATGGCACTCTTTCCAAAAAGGTTTTCTTTTTCCATTGGAATAAATGGCCCAAGGAGCCAGTACTGTAACAGATGCCCAGGTCACACCTATTATAACTTTCTTTGAAGAAAGGTCCAAAGCAAAAAAAGGCATTGCCATTTTTTCTTTTTTCTTCTTATTTTATTTATGTATTTATTTATTTTGAGGTAAGATCTCTCTCTGTCGCCCAGGCTGGAGTGTAGTGGCTCACTACAGCCTCGGCCTCCCAAACTCAAGCGAGCCCCCCGCCTCAGCCTCCTGAGTAGCTGGGACTACAGGCACACACCTTCACATGCAACTAATTTTGTTTTTTTTTTTTTTGTAGAGATGGGGTTTCGCCATGTTGCCCAGGCTGGTCTTGAACTCCCAGGCCCAAGCGATCCTCCTGCCTCGGCCTCCCAAAGTGCTTTACAAAGGGATTACAGGCGTGAGCCACCACGCCTGGGCCATTATTAAGCTGAATTCATAACTAAGCACTTAATCTTTCCACGTTCAATGCAATTACAGTTTCATGTGACCACAGAGCTGGTGGAACCTAGGACTACACACAGCACTCACATACACAGGCACACACACATGCTCACATAGACACATACAACTAGAGAGTTCTCGAATTCTCACTGAGCTGATGCACAGAGCAGGAGACAGAGAAATCAGTCCATGAATCCAAGTATGAAAATCCAGAAAGTAACATTTAAAGGAAAACAGAAGAAAATACACATTTCAAGAAAGGCTTAAGCCTTTCTGGAAAGAGGAGAGAGATGCATTTTTTAGAGTGCTGAGCAGCTGCAAATACTTGTCTATCTTGAATCAGCCAACCATGATTCTTACAATCAGCCCCAACATGTAGTGCAGAGAGAGCAGGGTTTGTCATGAAGATCTTCAAAGACCTTCAATGCAGAGGACTTTGGTAACAGCGTCAGTTCCCTATCTTCCTAGTAAACAGCACTCCCATCCACCAAGTGTCCAAGCCAGAAACCTAGGAGATGTTCTCAACTCGTCCATTCCTTCATTCCCTTCTCTCACTCAGTCACCATGTTCTCATACCTCCTTAATCTCTCCTAAAGGTATCAATTTGTGGGCACTCCCCTTGCTACTGTTAGAGTTCAGTGCAATTCTCTCTCAGTTAGACCTGTTACAAAAGCCTCCTCACTGGTCCTTTTCACTTTGACTTTACCCATTCCAGCGTGTGTTCCTTATTCTACATTCAATGTGTTTTCTGAAACACAAATCTGAGATTTACAACATAATGGTTAAGAACTCGGGCTCCAGGTCAGAATGCCTGGGTTCAATTCCACACACCACCACTTACCAGCTCTGTGACTTTGATCAAGTTACTTCTTGTTATATGCTGAGTTGCGACTGCATTTGGAGATGGGGTCTTTAAAGAGGTAGTTAAGTTAAAATGAAGTCATTAGTGTAGACCTTAATCCAATCTGACTGGTGTCTTTATGAGAAGAGGAGGTCAGGGCACAAACAGGTGCAGGGGAAAGACCACGTGAAGACATAAGAAAAAGACAGCCATCTGCAATCCAAGGGCAGAGACCAGGAGAAACCAGCTCTGCCGTCACCTTGATCTTGGACTTCTGGCCTCCAGAATTGTTAGAAAATAATTTTTTGGGACAGGCGCAGCGGCTCACGCCTGAATCCTAACACTTTGAGAGGCCAAGGCGGGCAGATCACTTGAAGTCAGGAGTTCAAAACCAGCCTGGCCAACATGGTGAAACCCTGTCTCTACTAAAAATACAAAAAATTAGCCAGGCATGGTGGCAGATGCCTGTAATCCCAGCGACTCGGGAGGCTGAGGTAGGAGAATCACTTGAACCTGGGAGGTGGAAGTTGCAGCAAGCCGAGGTCATGCCACTACACTCCAGCCTGAGCGACAGAGCAAGACTCTGTCTCAAAAAATAATAATAAATAATAATAATAATAATTTTTTTGTTGCTTAAGCCACCCAGTCTGTAGTACTTTATTCTGGCAGCCTCAGCAAGCTAATAGACTCTACTCTCTAAAGCCCATCTTTGCATGGCAAAATGGAAATAATAATAGTATCTCTCTCAGAGAATTGTTGGGAGAATCAACTGCAATACTGTGTATGTTACACCTAGAACATTGTCTAACACATAAGTCATACAAAGGAGCAATGAAAAAGATAGTGATGATGACGATGCTACCTCCTTACCTAAAATTCTTCATTGGCTCCACATTGCCCAAAAAAAGAAAGTCCAAACTTATTAGCACGCTCCACGGCACTAAATGACCCAGACAGTGCATGCCCCTCAGCTCACCTCTTGCATGTGCTACAGCCATTCCAAACTGCTTAGAGTTTCCAGAGCACCTGCTGTCCCATTGTCCCAGGCTTTCTGATGCCTCCCTTTCTTCCTAACAGCCTTTTCCTACAGCATTGCTTACTCTCATCTTCAGAACAACTGCTCAGCTAGGATGTCATCTCCTCAAGGATCTCTCTGTGCTCACTTCTGCCCCCTGCTGAAATAAGAGCCCACAACACCCTGTCATTAATTTTATTTTACCACCTATCACTCTGTATGATAGTTGCATATGTCCTATCAGACTTTTCCAAAGGACCTTCTATTCCTTCAGCGATTACGCCTGATTCATTATTGAATCCCCAGTGTAGATCCTAACATGTGCCATGAACTAACTCATGAAATATTTGTGGAAGGAATGAATGATTCTGACCCTATGTCATCAGCCATGCTTTCAGTGGGGGCCTTGCCTGCTCGTTCCCACAGCACACTCAATGAGAATCTCACAAGGCATGACAATGCATGCTCAGGTGCCAGAATTCAGGACTAAGTCTCTGGTAGATAACTGTGTGTTTCAAAATCATTGCAAGAGGATACAAAGGAATGTATTATATTTGACAGGAAAAACCCTGGTGTGCAAACAATACATCTATGTAAGCTGCAAAAGAATGATTGTAAGCTTTTTTGAAAAAGAGGATGAGATGTGTTCAGTAACTCTGAGGAATTTGTTATTTACAAGCACGTTGCTGGTATTTTGGCCATCAGGCATTTCTCTCAAATGAAATGCCAAGAATGTGCCTGAGAACAACAGATGCCTTTCATTTGGAGGCCCAGCTCTGCTCCTGACAGAAAGTGTGTCCCCATAAGGTACACCCTGCTTGCCCCAAACATGCTGGCCCAGAAGGCATTACCCGTCCCCCCCTCTCATTTCCTCCGTGCTAGCAGTACCAGCCCCTGTGAGGAAGACTCAGAGGTCAGTCGACACCCAGCCATTCCCCCACATACATGCTGACTAAACTATCCTGAGTAAACCAGTCGAGGCCTTATAGCCCCCCAAAACATTTGCATGATGATGTTACTTTTTAAATTCAGTATCAGCCTGGGTGTGGTAGCTCATGCCTGTAATCCCAGCACTTTGGGAGGACGAGGTGGGAGGATCACTTGAGGTCAGGAGCTCGAGACCAGCCTGACCAACATGGCAAAACCCTGTCTTTACTAAAAATACAAAAATTAGCTGGGCGTGGTGGTGCATGCCTGTAATCCCACCTACTCGGGAGGCTGAGGCAGGAGAATCATTTGAACCTGGAAGACAGAGGTTGCAGTGAGCCAAGATTGCACCACTGCACTCCAGCCTGGGTTACAGAGTAAGACTCTGTGTCTAAATAAATAAATAAATAAATTCAGCATCAGGAATTTTGAACTGACGGGCTTTCTCTCACTGATATGTTTCCATTTATGTCTTAATTGCCAAGACTTTGAGACTCGCATTGAATATCTAATCACAATGACTATGTTAGCCGATGCCTTAGGTCTGTTTCCTTCCTCACTTCTGTATGATATTGAATTGTCCAGTTTTACTCTAATTATGCTGGCAGAGGGCATGGGTCTGGGCTCTGAAGTCAGACTACCTAGGTTTGGATCCCGGCTCTGCCCCTCATCAGCCGTGTAAACTTGGGGAAGCTAATTAACCTTTCTGTGCCTCAGTCTCCTTATCTGTAAAATGGGGACAGTTAAATGAGTTAATACACATAAACAGAAAACACAGATATGAAGATATAGAAACGTATGTAAAAAATAGAACAGTGACTGGTACAAAGTCATTGCTACGGCAGAATTTTTTATATGTAGTTATTAATATAAGTTGCTTGAATATCTTTGGGAAGCAGTTTAAGTATAAATTATAAATATATGATAATATTAGTAAAACATATTTGCTTTAGGAATGTATAGCTTGTAATTTTTCTGATTGGTACAGAGTCATTGCTACAACAGAATTTTTTTATATATAGTTATTAATATAAATTGCTTCAAATATCTTTGGGAAGCAGTTTGAGTATAAATTGTAAATATATGATATTAGTAAAACATATTTGCTCTAGGAATGCTTAGCCTGTAATTTTTCTTTTTGATAACACAATTGACAGAACAAATTTGATTCAGGACCTCATGGTGTATGCACACACACATACACACACACACAAACACACACGCTGTATTTACCTTGAAAACAAAACTACAGCAATATTCTAATCCTAAATGTGAGTTTTTTGTATTTGGAATTCTGTGATTTGAATTGCTGCAAAATCTATGTCTACTGGACCACTGCCACTTCTTACATTTTACTGTGTTTGAATAATTTGGGTCTCAAAGGAGAATCATGGTTTAAAAAGCCAAATAAAGAGAATAATGTGTTAATAAGCTTATCTTTATTGGAGGGGTAGCCCTTTAAACTAAACATGAGCTCAGACATCAGACCGTGCTGGCAAAAGGTCACAGATCCTGATGTCTATTTTAAAAACTACTTTCCATACCTACCTACCTGGCAACAAAAATGTCAAAACAGTTCACAGACAATTAAAAACTTTTTTTGTTCTGGAAGTGTTTGATTCAAATTTCATTTCAGGGATAATGTACTATCTGGCTCTGGAGGCCTTGCCCAGGGAAACAGTGGTGAATGTGATGAGCCCAGGTTCTCCTTAGAGAAATGAGCCACCAAGAGGGTGGCCTTGGCAGGTAAATAGGTAATTATCATGCTGTGTGGAATCTCACCTTCTTGTGCTGGAAGCAAGAGAAAAGATACGTGAGCTCAGGTAGGATACCTAACTTCAAGCCACAATACACATTTCCAATATTAGCTACGGTTTGCAGAGAACTCACATTTCATGCTGTATCTGCCAGTCACAGAAACCTAGGTGAGAACAAAAACAAACCTATTAGCCACTTTTAAATGGCTGAGTTCATATTTTCAGTGAAAACACTTGGGATTGGCAATGACCACTAAATCACCTATTGCTCTGCTTCCCCCACAACTCTCAAAACATTTTTACACCCTTGGTGCTCATACCTTTGTTTACATTGTTTTCATTATGACTACTGATCGAGTAAGAAATATTTATTGAGCACCAACTCTTTGTGGTAGAAATTATAGCATATCCAGAAGTAAAGCCATAGCAAACTTAGCTTTTGCAAGACTTAAGATACTAAATACTATACTTTAAAAAAAAAGTGTAGGATGATACAAACAGAAGCACTCAGGTCTACAATTCAGACTTACCCAGCATGCACTGGCATGGGGGTAAGGTTTGAAATGACCCATGAAAGCTAGAGAATAAATGGACGTGTAAGGGATGGAAAGTGTTGCTGCGTGAGAAAGGCAGGGCAAAGGAGCTGGTAGGTAGACATAGAAGAGCAAATAGCAAAGATCTGAAGTTGGGAATGAGCTTGTCATCTTTGTACAAAATCAGGAAATCAGGCTAGAGTTGGGGCCTATACACAGGTGGGGTCAGATGAGAACCCACGCTCCCCCCAACATACCTCTCTCTTTGATGTGTCTGTGCTTGCACACATGCTGCTCAACTGTCTCCACTGTCTCCACCACCACACTGCACACAACTCAACTAATTGATGTCCTCAAATAATAGAAACCCATTTTCTAGGCTGGACGTGGTGGCTCATGCCTGTAATCTCAGCACTTCTGGAGGCCGAGGTGGGCGGATCACGAGGTCAAGAGATCAAGACCACCCTGGCTAACACGGTGAAACACTGTCTCTACTAAAAATACAAAAAACTAGAGCCAAGATGGCCGAATAGGAACAGCTCCGGTCTACAGCTCCCAGCGTGAGCGACGCAGAAGACGGTGATTTCTGCATTTCCATCCGAGGTACCGGGTTCATCTCACTAGGGAGTGCCAGACAGTGGGCGCAGGTCAGTGGGCGCGCACACCGTGCGCGAGCGGAAGCAGGGCAAGGCATTGCCTCACTCGGGAAGCGCAAGGGGTCAGGGAGTTCCCTTTCCGAGTCAAAGAAAGGGGTGACGGACGGCACCTGGAAAATTGGGTCACTCCCACCCGAATACTGCACTTTTCCGACGGGCTTAAAAAACGGCGCACAACGAGATTATATCCCGCACGTGGCTCAGAGGGTCCTACGCCCATGGAGTCTCGCTGATTGCTAGCACAGCAGTCTGAGATCAAACTGCAAGGCGGCAGCGAGGCTGGGGGAGGGGCACCCGCCATTGCCCAGGCTTGCTTAGGTAAACAAAGCAGCCGGGAAGCTCGAACTGGGTGGAGCCCACCACAGCTCAAGGAGGCCTGCCTGCCTCTGTAGGCTCCACCTCTGGGGGCAGGGCACAGACAAACAAAAAGACAGCAGTAACCTTTGCAGACTTAAATGTTCCTGTCTGACAGCTTTGAAGAGAGCATTGGTCCTCCCAGCACGCAGCTGGAGATCTGAGAATGGGCAGACTGCCTCCTCAAGAGGGTCCCTGACCCCTAACCCCCGAGGAGCCTAACTGGGAGGCACCCCCCAGCAGGGGCACACTAACACCTCACACGGCAGGGTATTCCATCAGACCTGCAGCTGAGGGTCCTGTCTGTTAGAATGAAAACTAACAAACAGAAAGGACATCCACACCAAAAACTCATCTGTACATCACCATCATCAAAGACCAAAAGTAGATAAAACCACAAAGATGGGGAAAAAACAGAACAGAAAAACTGGAAACTCTAAAAAGCAGAGCACCTCTCCTCCTCCAAAGGAACGCAGTTCCTCACTAGCAATGGAACAAACCTGGATGGAGAATGACTTTGACGAGCTGAGAGAAGAAGGCTTCAGACGATCAAATTACTCTGAGCTATGGGAGGACATTCAAACCAAAGGCAAAGAAGTTGAAAACTTTGAAAAAAATTTAGAAGAATGTATAACTAGAATAACCAATACAGAGAAGTGCTTAAAGGAGCTGATGGAGCTGAAAACCAAGGCTCAAGAACTACGTGAAGAATGCAGAAGCCTCAGGAGCCGATACGATCAACTGGAAGAAAGGGTATCAGCGATGGAAGATGAAATGAAAGAAATGAAGCGAGAAGGGAAGTTTAGAAAAAAAAGAATAAAAAGAAATGAGCAAAGCCTCCAAGAAATATGGGACTACGTGAAAAGACCAAATCTACGTCTGATTGGTGTACCTGAAAGTGATGGGGAGAATGGAACCAAGTTGGAAAACACTCTGCAGGTTATTATCCAGGAGAACTTCCCCAATCTAGCAAGGCAGGCCAACGTTCAGATTCAGGAAATACAGAGAACGCCACAAAGATACTCCTCAAGAAGAGCAACTCCAAGACACATAATTGTCAGATTCACCAAAGTTGAAATGAAGGAAAAAATGTTAAGGGCAGCCAGAGAGAAAGGTCAGGTTACCCACAAAGGGAAGCCCATCAGACTAACAGCGGATCTCTCACCAGAAACCCTACAAGCCAGAAGAGAGTGGGGGCCAATATTCAACATTCTTAAAGAAAAGAATTTTCAACCCAGAATTTCGTATCCAGCCAAACTAAGCTTCATAAGCAAAGGAGAAATAAAGTACTTTACAGACAAGCAAATGCTGAGAGATTTTGTCACCACCAGGCCTTCCCTAAAAGAGCTCCTGAAGGAAGCGCTAAACATGGAAAGGAACAACCGGTACCAGCTGCTGCAAAATCATGCCAAAATGTAAAGACCATCAAGACTAGGAAGAAACTGCATCAACTAACGAGCAAAATAACCAGCTAGCATCATAATGACAGAATCAAATTCACACATAACAATATTAACTTTAAATGTAAATGGACTAAATGCTCCAATTAAAAGACACAGACTGGCAAATTGGATAAAGAGTCAAGACCCATCAGTGTGCTGTATTCAGGAAACCCATCTCACGTACAGAGACACACATAGGCTCAAAATAAAAGGATGGAGGAAGATCTACCAAGCAAATGGAAAACAAAAAAAGGCAGGGGTTGCAATCCTAGTCTCTGATGAAACAGACTTTAAACCAACAAAGATCAAAAGAGACAAAGAAGGCCATTACATAATGGTAAAGGGATCAATTCAACAAGAAGAGCTAACTATCCTAAATATATATGCACCCAATACAGGAGCACCAAGATTCCTAAAGCAAGTCCTGAGTGACCTACAAAGAGACTTAGACTCCCACACATTAATAATGTGAGACTTTAACACCCCACTGTCAACATTAGACAGATCAACGAGACAGAAAGTCAACAAGGATACCCAGGAATTGAACTCAGCTCTGCACCAAGCGGACCTAATAGACATCTACAGAACTCTCCACCCCAAATCAACAGAATATACATTTTTTTCAGCACCACGCCACACCTATTCCAAAATTGACCACATACTTGGAAGTAAAGCTCTCCTCAGCAAATGTAAAAGAACAGAAATTATAACAAACTATCTCTCAGACCACAGTGCAATCAAACTAGAACTCAGGATTAAGAATCTCATTCAAAACCGCTCAACTACATGGAAACTGAACAACCTGCTCCTGAATGACTACTGGGTACATAACAAAATGAAGGCAGAAATAAAGATGTTCTTTGAAACCAACGAGAACAAAGACACAACATACCAGAATCTCTGGGACGCATTCAAAGCAGTGTGTAGAGGGAAATTTATAGCACTAAATGCCCACAAGAGAAAGCAGGAAAGATCCAAAATTGACACCCTAACATCACAATTAAAAGAACTAGAAAAGCAAGAGCAAACACATTCAAAAGCTAGCAGAAGGCAAGAAATAACTAAAATCAGAGCAGAACTGAAGGAAATAGAGACACAAAAAACCCTTCAAAAAATCAATGAATCCAGGAGCTGGTTTTTTGAAAGGATCAACAAAATAGATAGACCACTAGCAAGACTAATAAAGAAAAAAAGAGAGAAGAATCAAATAGACGCAATAAAAAATGATAAAGGGGATATCACCACCGATCCCACAGAAATACAAACTACCATAAGAGAATACTATAAACACCTCTACGCAAATAAACTAGAAAATCTAGAAGAAATGGATAAATTCCTCGACACATACACTCTCCCAAGACTAAACCAGAAAGAAGTTGAATCTCTGAATAGACCAATAACAGGATCTGAAATTGTGGCAATAATCAATAGCTTACCAACCAAAAAGAGTCCAGGACCAGATGGATTCACAGCTGAATTCTACCAGAGGTACAAGGAGGAACTGGTACCATTCCTTCTGAAACTATTCCAATCAATAGAAAAAGAGGGAGTCCTCCCTAACTCTTTTTATGAGGCCAGCATCATTCTGATACCAAAGCCAGGCAGAGACACAACAAAAAAAGAGAATTTTAGACCAATATCCTTGATGAACATTGATGCAAAAATCCTCAATAAAATACTGGCAAAACGAATCCAGCAGCACATCAAAAAGCTTATTCACCATGATCAAGTGGGCTTCATCCCTGGGATGCAAGGCTGGTTCAATATACACAAATCAATAAATGTAATCGAGCATATAAACAGAGCCAAAGACAAAAACCACATGATTATCTCAATAGATGCAGAAAAAGCCTTTGACAAAATTCAACAATCCTTCATGCTAAAAACTCTCAATAAATTAGGTATTGATGGGACGTATTTCAAAATAATAAGAGCTATCTGTGACAAAACCACAGCCAATATCATACTGAATGGGCAAAAACTGGAAGCATTCCCTTTGAAAACTGGCACAAGACAGGGATGCCCTCTCTCACCACTCCTATTCAACATAGTGTTGGAAGTTCTGGCCAGGGCAATTAGGCAGGAGAAGGAAATAAAGGGTATTCAATTAGGAAAAGAGGAAGTCAAATTGTCCCTGTTTGCAGACGACATGATTGTATATCTAGAAAACCCCATTGTCTCAGCCCAAAATCTCCTTAAGCTGATAAGCAACTTCAGCAAAGTCTCAGGATACAAAATCAATGTACAAAAATCACAAGCATTCTTATACACCAACAACAGACAAACAGAGAGCCAAATCATGAGTGAACTCCCATTCACAATTGCTTCAAAGAGAATAAAATACCTAGGAATCCAACTTACAAGGGATGTGAAGGACCTCTTCAAGGAGAACTACAAACCACTGCTCAAGGAAATAAAAGAGGATACAAACAAATGGAAGAACATTCCATGCTCATGGGTAGGAAGAATCAATATCATGAAAATGGCCATACTGCCCAAGGTAATTTACAGATTCAATGTCATCCCCATCAAGCTACCAATGACTTTCTTCACACAATTGGAAAAAACTACTTTAAAGTTCATATGGAACCAAAAAAGAGCCTGCATCGCCAAGTCAATCCTAAGCCAAAAGAACAAAGCTGCAGGCATCACACTACCTGACTTCAAACTATACTACAAGGCTACAGTAACCAAAACAGCATGGTACTGGTACCAAAACAGAGATATAGATCAATGGAACAGAACAGAGCCCTCAGAAATAATGCCGCATATCTACAACTATCTGATCTTTGACAAACCTGAGAAAAACAAGCAATGGGGAAAGGATTCCCTATTTAATAAATGGTGCGGGGAAAACTGGCTAGCCATATGTAGAAAGCTGAAACTGGATCCCTTCCTTACACCTTATACAAAAATCAATTCAAGATGGATTAAAGACTTAAACGTTAGACCTAAAACCTAGGCATTACCATTCAGGACATAGGCATGGGCAAGGACTTCATGTCTAAAACACCAAAAGCAATGGCAACAAAAGACAAAATTGACAAATGGGATCTAATTAAACTAAAGAGCTTCTGCACAGCAAAAGAAACTACCATCAGAGTGAACAGGCAACCTACAAAATGGGAGAAAATTTTTGCAACCTACTCATCTGACAAAGGGCTAATATCCAGAATCTACAATGAACTCAAACAAATTTACAAGAAAAAAACAAACAACCCCATCAAAAAGTGGGCAAAGGACATGAACAGACACTTCTCAAAAGAAGACATTTATGCAGCCAAAAAACACATGAAAAAATGTTCATCATCACTGGCCATCAGAGAAATGCAAACCAAAACAACAATGAGATACCATCTCACACCAGTTAGAATGGCAATCATTAAAAAGTCAGGAAACAACAGGTGCTGGAGAGGATGTGGAGAAATAAGAACACTTTTACACTGTTGGTGGGACTGTAAACTAGTTCAACCATTGTGGAAGTCCGTGTGGCGATTCCTCAGGGATCTAGAACTGGAAATACCATTTGACCCAGCCATCCCATTACTGGGTATATACCCAAAGGACTATAAATCATGCTGCTGTAAAGACACATGCACACGTATGTTTATTGCAGCATTATTCACAATAGCAAAGACTTGGAACCAACCCAAATGTCCAACAATGATAGACTGGATTAAGAAAATGTGGCACATATACACCATGGAATACTATGCAGCCATAAAAAATGATGAGTTCATGTCCTTTGTAGGGACATGGATGAAATTGGAAATCATCATTCTCAGTAAACTATCGCAAGAACAAAAAACCAAACACCACATATTCTCACTCATAGGTGGGAATTGAACAATGAGATCACATGGATACAGGAAGGGGAATATCACACTCTGGGGACTGTTGTGGGGTGGGGGGAGGGGGGAGGGATAGCAATGGGAGATATACCTAATGCTAGATGACGAGTTAGTGGGTGCAGCGCACCAGCATGGCACATGTATACATATGTAACTAACCTGCACAATGTGCACATGTACCCTAGAAATTAAAGCATAATAAAAAAAAAAAAGAAAGCAAAAAAAAAAAAAACTAGCCGGGCATGGTGGCATGCGCCTGTAGTCCCAGCTGCTTGAGAGGCTGAGGCAGGAGAATCACTTGAACCCGGGAGGCGGAGGTTGCAGTGAGTCGAGATCATACCACTGCACTCCAGCCTGGGCAACAGAACGAGACTCCAGCTCACAAAAAAAAAAAAGAAAGAAAGAAAGAAAGAAATCCATTTTCAATTTTCTACATCGAGTCATTGGGAAGTGATTTCATAATTATAATCTTGTATTGTTAATTCTGTATTATAAAATAGGAATAAATGCGTATTTATTTATACCCTACTGTTTTCCAAAGTTTATTTAAGATAGTTTGCAGGAGTAACATAAAGAACAATGAAAGAGCATGAAAAAGCTCTAGATAAGAGAAATAATAAAGAGAAAACAAAAGTATGTATTAAGTTGAGCCAGAAATAAGCTTAGTACTAATTATAGGTCACATGGGGCCATAAATTTGTCTTCTGGCAGCATGGAGAGAGAAACCCGATGGTTATGGGAAAGTGGTCATTTAATCTGTCATAGTCACACATATCGTTAAAGCCATTAGAAGCATTAAGAACCATCCATGTCCAACCCTATCATTTCAAGATGTGACAGGTGGGGCTCTGGAGCCTATGAGTATGATCACAGAGCTAGTTAGGGCAGAATAGAAGTCAACTTTCAGAAGTGTGGAAATTATTCCGAGAGGAGATTAAGAATCAAAATTAAACCAATGAATAGAAATCACCTTTCTAAGGATTTGAAACCTCCTTTGAGAGCAGTGGAATTTCTTCTGCAAAAGGCACCACAGAGATGCGAATTAAGGAGTATTCTAAGCTTCTAATTAGATTACCTTAATTGTTGTTGCTACATTCAACTATAATACCTGAAAGAATGCTTGAAATCCAGCATAGTCTTTAGGAGATGGTGTGTTTCTTGTATATGATTCAGCATCAGCAATAAACTATATCTGCACATCTTACCACCATCACTAGTGAGTTCACAGAAAGATCCATTTTCTGATACTTTGGGACAGGAATTTTTGGTTTGTTTGGGTTTTTATTCATTTGAGGGAGTGTTGTAACCACATATCCTCACCCTGGTGGAAAAATGTGTTTTCACTAAAACTATAATTTACTACTTCAAGTCTGCCCCCTTCATAACAAAATGGTGACTCTACAGGAAAGGCCTAATTATGAAACTTTGTTGTTGTAATGACAGAAGAAAGGAATAATATTTAAGCATTGTTAACTTGGTGCAAAGAATCCTTGTTAGAGCTGGTGTTACAGCTGTAATGCCCAATTGATATAACAGCAAGAAAGAAATGGGGCATCCTGCTCATGTGATTGAGATAAAGACTAAGCAGAATTGAAGGAGGGCCACCAAAGACATTTTGTGAGAGATTTGGAAGGTGGAAGTGAAGCAGCCTGATAATATTACACTCAGAAGGTTGGTGGAGGTCTCGTAGGTGCTACTGCAGCTCCCGCTTCTCTCTGTGGAACTTCCTATTGACACAGGCAGCAGCTGGGCCTGCAGCTGCTCCATTTCCCCAGATTCTCCTTCACCTTCTCCAACCCCTGAGCCAGGTACCTTCTTTGCTAGAGACCACCCACATCATTGAGGTGGAAAGAGCTGAGAGACTGACAAGAGCTCTAGTCCATCCCCATGGTCTTGCTCCTGCTGGTGGGTCCCAGCTTGTCCTTGCTGTCCCCACTTTGATGCTCTGTCCCTTCCAACTGTTTCAACACCAGGCACAAAGACCATCTCACCGGCTCCCACAAGGGCCCAAGGGCAAATCCCTCTCATATGCCCTCATAAATGCCTAGTTGTTCTGCTTTGGGACAGCAGTGAGGGAATTCTAGCCAATAAATACAGACGGAATCACGGAATTAGAAAGTCATCCTTTTCCAGCCCTTAATGATCATCAGTGGTTAATAGAACCATCAGGTGAAAGACTGATAAGGAACTGTAGAATGGATGGGTCAGGCTGGCAATACCTTAAGCCACTGATCAACATTAACCTCAAACAATGGCTATCAAATAGTAGTCACCTCCTACTGTGAGGCAATAGGGAGGAGAGAGCCCCCATCTGTGATACATTCTAGCCACAAACATTGAACCTGAATCTAATCAAGGCTCCAGGTGAAGCTAACAGTTTACAGGAAACACAGGGCTAGAAGAACATGGCAAATGACACCAGCAGATACAATCATCAAAGTCCAGAATGTAGGGAACTGGACAGAACAGTTTCCTCCCAGCCTAGATACCTTGGGGCCATCTTTGACTCTTCAAATCCCTACATGTTGATTCCCAAAATATTTCCAAACCCTGTTATTATTCCTTTGCTATCTCTCTTAAATATACCCTTTCTCTTCCTTCTTGAGAATTATGTCACTAATTTATTTTTTGTTCTTATGAGCAGTCTCTTCATTTTAATAGTGTTTATTATACTTTTTAAGTAAATATTAATGTGTGTTTGTTTAATGTGTGTCTCCCTCACTCAATTCTAAGAGCCCTACGAAGGCAAAGGACCTGACTCTTGTTCTCATCTATTACCCTGACATACGTTAAGTATGCCACAGTGATATATTCAAGACTTAATGCTTGATTGACAGAATGAATAAATGAATTCATGCACCAATCTTTCAGGCTTCTATGTTATTTCCGGACTTTTTTCATTTTCAATTCATCTTACATACTCTTACAGTAGGTCACTAGTTAGACATGAGAGCAAGGCAGGAGAGGGCTCCCCCCAGCCCCCACCCCGTCCCCCATCAGAAATGTCAGGTGACAATCAGATGATGGTCAGGCAGTTGTTAAACTGCCTCACTAAAAAATAATTGGCCACAGCTGGCACCAGGGAAAGGCCATTTCCACTGACATCTTATTTGTCAGACCAAGCATAAATGTTAATCTCACCCCAAAAAAACACCTTCACAGAAACATCCAAAATGTTTATCCTAATAATGTTTTTCTGGACACCATGGCCCAGCCAAGTTGACACACATAAAATTAACCATTCTACCCTTCATTTCTTACCTACCCAAAGGCATTTTCCACCAGCCTGCAATTTTTCTGCTTCATGGTTTCCCATGCCTGCCACCTTCATTCCTGAGTCAGCTCTTTCCTGGAGCTGCCTCCACCCCACTTAGGAATCCTCTCCTTCCTCTGTCTGATTCTTGGACACCCACCCATTTCCAACAATTCCACTGCACCACCTTTTCTGGCCTCCCCTAGAGTTGTCATTTTGCCCAAGGGCCCCAAAATTTAGCTCTCTAAAATCATAGATTATTAGAGTTGCAAAGAACCTCAAAGTAAATTAAGTAAATTCAACCCCTTTCATTTTTATTCCACAAAACAAAACTCAAAAGAAATAAAGTGGCAGTTATGAGCTACATAGGAAGCCAGATCCAGCCCCTGTGAACTAACTCCCAGTCCCATGCTCCTTCAGCTCCGCACACAGAGGGGGCTCGACTGAAGAGTATTTGAGGGCCCATGTTTCACTGAGTTCTCCAGAGCAGTGGATCCCAAAGTAGGGTGAGCATAATTCCCCTGGAGTGCACAAGACTTCTGGTAAGAAAATAATAGAACTTCTAGTTATTTTTATTCTTCACTTATTCTCCTAAATGTTCTACTTCTCTGGGAGTTTTAATATACATTATATATTGGTACAGGAGGACATGTATATAATTGATAAATAAATGCAATGTCTCTACAGAGGTGCGTGCTTTCATATATTAATATATAAAATGTTTTTAACTGCTAGAGTTGTACCACACACACACATGCACACAATTGGTAGCATCTGCCTCTAGACTGCCAAGCCTAAAATATATATCTATTGCCTATTGTGAACCAAGGAACTGTTGGGCCATTTTGAAGGAGGGCTCCCTCCTCTGCTTTTTGAAATGACTATTTTTTAAAGCCTTTCAGTAAACCCCATGGCTTCAGGCAGTTTCAATCTGTTCAAATTCCTGAGGACACTTAAAGGCAATAGCTTCATTTAGAGAAGTCTTTCTTAAGAATTGTAGGGAGGGTAAGTGGGAGAGAAGGCTAAAGATCATGACCCCTACTTGCTAGAACACCTGGGCAATATTTTCCTATGAGCTCACTGATGGTGAGTTTATTTTGGTAACTTTCTGGAGATGACTCAAGTTCTAATTGAAAAGCAAGCATGTGTATACTGGGAGAGAAGAAAAACAGCAACTGCTAGAATGAACGCACGGCCACGTTATGACTGACAAGAGCTCTGCTCACACCAGAACACACATACTTGTCTAACTCTGGATATGCATTCAAATTTAAATGTTTATAATTCTTCTCTAGGTCCAAAAATGCAACAAAAAAAACCTTTGAAACAAAAGGTTCATTTGCTCATTCTGGACAACAGGTATGAAAGAAGGCTGACTGCCAGAATTCAAGTGATTTTTATTGCTATTCCTCATGGAAGCATATTTTAGTTAAAACAACTTAGCAATTAGCTTTCCTCCTACCCCAACCAAAAAAAAGTTAAACACAAGGCATTGATTTGCTGATTGTTCCCACCTTCAAGTTTAGGTCCCTGCAGATATTGACTATAAATTAGTTCTACTTTTCATGGACAGCAATAAAGAAAAAATTAGACAAAGTACATTTAACAGGTTTGTTTATTTGAGCAAAGAATGATTCTCAAATTGAGCAGCCCTCAGAATCAAGAAGAGGTTCAGAGAACTCCGCTCTGCAATGTGGGCAGTGAGTGTTTATAAACAGAAAATGGCTGAAGAATACAGAAACAAGGAACAAAAAGCAAATTGGCCATTTCGAAGTTACTTTCCTTGTAAGGGTTAAAGCAGACAGTGCTTCCTTATCAAGCCAGCTAAAACTAGCCTGTTAGGGGATTTGACCATTACCACTCCCTCCTGATCTCTCGGAAAATCAGATAAACAACTTAGTTTTGGCTTGGTGGCACAGAACTTTAGCATAAATGGCTCCAGTTTGGTTTGGTCAGTAGGGGTCCAGTGAAGAAGCTCAGTCCAAACCTATGGCATCTTATAAATTTAACAACAGTCTATTTTGGAAATTATTGTGTTCTTCTCAGTACACATAAAGAATAAAAAGAATGAGCTTTGTCTCCTTAAACTTAAGCAAAATTTTTCAAAATTATACCTAATTTTTCCATAAAACTTAAGAAACAAACCCCAAAAAAATAATTATCTGGGTGCTCTGGAAGTTGCTAATTCTATAATATTTCTTCAAGACAAAAATTCCTGATTACAGAATTTACCAAAAGCAATTAATTGCCTTCAGTAGTTTATTCCTGTGATTTAGCTCTATTCTATCAATACAGTCAAATCAGCTGGAAGGGGAACTAATTATGTTTATAAAGAACTATTCAGGAAAGCACTGCTGGATAGCTACAGATGTTCCCACACCTGTTGACTATATCCCAAATCCAGCACAATCCTCTGTACAGGAAATTATTATTAGTTCTCCCTGGTTTCCTTCCTGTAGTCAGAAATATGTCGAACAATGACATAATGCAAAAGCGTTTGCTCATCTAGGATTACAATACACAGAGAATGTGATCCCAGAGGTTCAGTGCTGCCTGGAATCTTACCAACATCTGCAAGGTGAGTTAGGGACCCGAAAAGCAAAAAAATACTTTCCCCAAGGATAGATGAGTCATACTCCTCACTGTGAGACACTTGGAATACAAGGCAGAAAAGAAAGAAGAGAACACACATTAACATCCAGCAATAATCCTTAATCACAGCTTGTACAAAGTTACTTGGATGACTTGAATATGGGGAAATTTTTTTCTTTCAAAAGTAAAATCAAACAATCATCAAGTCTAAAAATACGTTTGAAATAAAAGTCAATTCTGTATTTTATCTGTGAGTTGAGTCTCTAACATGTTTTAAAAAAACCTAGATAAAAGTGTTAAAAACAAACAAACAAAAATCATCAATTATTAAGACATTTGCCTCTATTGGAGAAGCATGTACCGGGGACAGATGTGAAAAAAACAGCATCAGTAGCAGCTTAGAAGTCAACAGAGCAGAACTGCACAGGTAAAAGGGGCCTCTGCCTGGAATGATGGCAGAAGAAAGAGTTTGGAGGAACTCTACTAATCAGGGAAAAATATTGTTTGAATTCTTGAACCATGAAAAAAAAATAGGATTTGGTTGATGAAACTCATTCTAGTTGGGGTGAAGATAGTTTATTTTCCCTTTTTGCAGATATGTGACCTTTGGCTGGCCAGTCAACTCAGCTGTTTGGAGCTTGATATTTAATTAGGTCAACGCCCAGGATTCAAGACCCACAGCCCAGTTAGCAATAAACATCACAATGAGAAAGCTTTTGTTCATGACCAGAGATTGATCTACTATCCCTAAACAGTCTCCTTGTAGAAGTAAGACCCCTTTTGCCAAACAAAAGACTATAATAAATTTAGAGTAAAATGCTAAACATAATTGGAAAGAGGAAATGTTCCATGTGACCCTGGGTAAGTTACCTAACCTCTCTGAATCTTGGTTTTCACATATTTAAATTGCAACCTATAATACTATCGACTAGATAGGGTTGTTGTAAAGATTAAATGAGTTACTTTGTGGAAAACTCTTAGAAGAGTGTGGGACATAAAGTAAGTGCTCGATAAATGTTAGTTCCAATTAATACTATTTTTAAAAAATATTAACGGTGGGTCAGAATTTTTGTCTTTTGTGAAAGCATGCTACTTAACAAGAATCAAGAAAGCTGATATTGGAAATTGAAGAAGTGATTAAGAACTTAAACAATAGTTAAGCAATAGGATTCAGCGGGTCTTAGCCTGACCAAAGTGGCAAAGTTTTTAAAGAAGCCTAAGCGAGGCTGTAAAAATAAAACGGATCCAGAAGACTCACTCGATTAATATTTTAAAAAACAGTACGATTTAGAATCTGTATGTTTGCTATTTGGGCTTTTCTCGAGGCAGAGACGTGGTGGTAAGAACACAGAGTGAAGCTGGAACCCTCTCCTGTCTGCATTATCCTTGCAAAAGATTCCTTTTGCTGTAACCCAGCTGAAAACAGTTCCCACTTGTGTAAGGCTGGGTTTGCAGGTGGAAGGACAAAATCCAAAAGGCTGAGGAGAAAAAAGACCTGCCTCAAAATGTGGATTTGTGTCCATGTGCTTTTTCTCGAATCCCACCCCTTCTCAGAGGTCTGCTCTTCTGTGTGGGGTGGGGTAGGAGGGGGGATGTTGAGTGAGGTGGGGCTGTTGGGGTAGTTGCTGAATCAGTCCAGTGGGATCAGAAGCTAAGTAAACTTCCTCTGCAACAATGAAGACCTGCTAAACAAAGGATTATCCCCAAGTGGGGGAAAAAAAGGATGTCTTTGCTGTCAGTCATCGCTCCCTTCAGGGAAAAGCCTCCTGAAAGGCAGACTCAGATGCTTACAAATAGAGCAGCTTTCCCAAATCTGATTATGAGCCCTTTGGGGCTTTGAAAATTATGGCAGCTTATGAAAAGTAACCACAGAGTCCTCTGTGGGTGTGGAGTAGGGCTCTGGGGTAGCCTCCCGGGAGGGGAATGAATTCAAGCCCAGCCTTCCAGGTCTTGTTGCCAAATAAAAACAGCTTTCCATCGACACAGAGCCATTTGCAGCTTTGGCTTAAAAAAAAAAAGTGAGTTCTTTCTGTTGTTTTGTTTTGCTTTGTTTCAGTTGTGTAGATATTTGTGGCTAATACAAAATCAGACCTCTCCTAAAGATATAAAGAATGCAAACACAATATAAAATAGTACAAACAGAGGACAATGTTAAGTGTTTCTCCCATAAGGAAATGTGAAATGTGCGGGTTTTTGTTTATTTTTTCCATCACAAATTAGCCCCAGAGAGCTAGAGGCTAAGGTGGGACTGGTAGAACCACTGTCCCTCCTCTGCCATGACAGACCTTGTTAATCAATCATGGTACTGTTTCTTCTAAACAAAACATTCCAAGCATTTAGTCATCCATCAGAGATGGCACAGAAGTGGAGGCCAAATTGAGAAAAATCTGGGAATCTCTGAATAAAGATAAAAATATATATGTATTTATAAAAGAACACTTTAGACTGGGCACCAAAATGCTGAGAAAAGAACACTAGATTGGAACAAAGTTATTACACTGCAGTGTACGTCAGAACCACCTGAAGTGCTTGCTAAAACACATTGCTGGGCCCCATCCCTAGAATTTCTAATTGAGTAGGTTTGGGGCTTCAGAGAGCTTGCATTTCTAACAAGCTGCCAGGTGATGTTGATGCTGCTAGTCCAGGAACTGCATTTGAGAACCACTGGACTAGGGTTTAAGAATACTATGGTGGGCTGATCATGGCTCCCAAAGATATGTCCATGTCCTAATCCCTGGAACCCACAAACATGACCTTACATGGTAAAGTTTCTGTGGGTGTGAATAATCAAAGATCTTGAGATGAGGAGATTCTCCCGGATTATCTGATGGGCCCTGCTATAGAATGAGTGTTTGTGTCCCACCAAAGCTCATTTGTTGAAGTTGAAACCCTCAGTGGAGTGGTATTTGGAGGTGGGGCCTTTGGGAGGTAATTAGATCCAGCTGACGTCATGTGGGTGAGGCCCCCATGATGGGATTCGTGTCCTTATAGGAAGAGGAAGAGACCAGCACTCTCTGTGTGCCATGTGAGGACACAGAAAGAAGGCAGCCACCTGCAAACCAGGAGCAGGGCCCTCTGCAGGAGCCTGGCCATGCTGGTGCTCTGAGCTTGGACTTTCCGTCCTCCAGAACCATGAGAAATGAATGTCTGCTGTTTAAGTTACCCAGGCTATGAAATTTTGTCGTAGAAGCCCAAGGAGACTAAAACAGGCCCTAAATACCATCACAAGTATTCTTGTAAGAGAAAGAGGGAGATGGAGACAGAAGAGAAGGAGGCAGTGTGGCCACAGGAGCAGAGATGGGAGTAATGCCTCCAAAAGCCTAGGAATGGTGGCTGAAAGAGGCAAGGAACAGATTCTCCTCTGAGCCTCCAGAGAAAACATGGCCCTGCAGACACCTTGATTTCAACCCAGTGAAACTGACTTCGGACTTCTGACTTCCAGAACTGTGAAAGAACAATTGTGTTTTCAGCCCTCAAGTTTCTGGTAATTTGTTACAGCAGCCATAGAAAAGTAACACATTGTCTTAAAGCTGAGAGGCTAAATCTGCAAAGCAGACACTAGAACTCACAACCTCTGCAGCAATTTGCCCAGAGTGGTCAGGAGTTGGTCAGAAACTGCCAGCTTCTCTAACTGTTGACTCCGCTTTTAAATTTAACCAACCAGAGAAAACCAAGTATGTCCCTGAACCAATCACATAAGATTGCCCTGCTTCTAGTTAGCCTGCCTCCAACTTCCTCATGCCAACAACCTCCTATCAGAGCATCCCTGACACCTTCCCATCTTGTTCACGACAACACTTTCCGACTCTCCTGCCTGCCTTTAAGTCTCTACCAAGTACTAGTGTTGGTGGCTGACCCTTGCTATAGCAAGCTCTGAATAAATGGCTTCAGTTTGTTCTCAGTTATGTAATTTTTATTTCCACAAATCCTTTGTCTCAGTAAATTCATACTCATTTTTTTCTACCACACGAAGTAGTTCATTGCTCATAGAAGATATTTAACAATTATTTTCAAGGCTGTAGCAAATTTAGTACAACCTCCCCTATTATTGATGAGGAAACTAGGACCTGAAGAGAGAAGTTGATTTGCTAAAGGCTATGTTGGAAGGAAAGATTAGAAGTCACATGTCGTCTGGACTCCAAATCCCATGTTTTTCACTGGGAGATTGACTTACTGCTCCCAGTACTTCCCCCAGTCCACCTGCTCCATACCATGGCCTTGGAGTCTAGGGAGTATACTTTCCTGTCCCTTGACTTTGAGCTTGGCCATGTGACTTGCTTTGAGCGATGGTATGTCAACACTCCTCACCCAAGCAAGAATTGAAATATGCCTCACAGTTGGACTTGGCATGTTGCACATTGTGAGAAGAACATGCCTCACTTGTCCCCTGGTCCAAGGAGGATGAGACACTCATGGAGCAGATGCCCATTCAGCATGGAGCTTGCAGCCAAGTGCAATAGCCGGCCTAGATTAACCAATCCTGGCTGACCTATAGATGCATGAGCAAGAAGTTTCTATGGTGTGTGCTATGGTTTGAATATTTGTCCCCTCCCAAATTCATGTTGAAACTTAATACCCAATATAACAGTATCAAGAGGTGGGGCCTTTCAGAGGTAACTGGGACATGAAGGCACATTAATCCATCCTGCCTTCATGTATGGATTCATCCATTCATGGATTAATGAATTAATGAGTTATCATAGGAGTAGGCAAGTTATCACAAGAGTGGGTCTGTTATAAAAGCCAGTCTGGCTCTCAGTGAGCCCCTCTGTCTATGTGATACCCTGAACCACCTCAGTACTCTACAGAGGGTCCTCACCAGCAAGAAGCCCTCACCAAATGTGACCTCTCAGCTTTGGACTTCCCAGCCTCAGTCTCTAGAACTGTAAGAAATAACCTTCTTTCCTTTATAAGTTACCTACTTTTAGTTATTTAGTTATAGCAACAGAAAACAGACTAAGACAATATACCCCGAGGCTTGCGGGTATTTTCAAGCAGCAAGCTGATTATTACAACTATCAATTATTTGAAATAAAATGTGTGACTTGGAAAGGAAAGCTCAAAAATAGAAAGGAGTTTATTCATAGAAAAAAAAAAAGAGGGAGAGAGAAAATCTCAGTAGGACTGCGTGTACTAGTTATCTATGCCCCATAACAAATTACAACAAACTTAGTGGCTTATTATCTCACAGTTTCTGTGGATCAGGAGGGCTTCTGCTAAAGGTCTCACAGGCTGCAATTAATGCGTCAGCCAGGGCTGGGTTCTCACCAGAGGCTCCACCAGGGAAGTGTCCACTTCCCTGCTTATGTGATTGTTGGAGGCATTTGACTCCTTTCAGCTGAGTCCATGGCAGTTTGCTTCTTCGAAGCCAACAAATGAAGAGAGAGCAGAACACATCTGCTAGTGACACAGGGTCTTTTTTAACCCAGCGTCATCACAGAGTGGCCTCCCATTGACTTTGCCACGTTCCGTTGGTCAGAAGCAAGTCAGAAGCCCTGCCCATACTTAAGGGGCGAGATCACACAAAGGCATGAGTGGAAGGAAGCAAGCACCTCAGGGAAGGGGATGACCGAGCCTGTTCACCGACGTTCACCTTCTATCCCCCACGCATGATCCATATCAACTGTTCATCCATTCCTATGTCATGGCGGTCTTGGACCTGTGCTATTGAAGAGTTGGCCAGGAGAACTTAAGGAAAGATGGAAGGAAATAGTGATATGTTCTGGAAAATAAAAAGCTGAATGAAGCTACATTAGCTCTTTGTTTCCTTTTTAAGGATCTTCATGGTCGGGCACAGTGGCTCATGCCTGTAATTCCAGCACTTTGGGAGGCTGAGGCAGGTGGATCACGAGGTCAGGAGTTTGAGACCAGCCTGGCCAAGATGGTGAAAACCCGTCTCTACTAAAAATACAAAAATTAGCCAGGCGCAGTGGCAGGCACCTGTAATTCCAGCTACTCGAGAGGCTGAGCCAGGAGAATCACTTGAACCCAGGGGACAGAGGTTGCAGTGAGCCGAGATCGTGCCACTGCACTCTAGTGTGGGTGACAGAGTGAGACTCCATCTCAATAAAAAAGCATCTTCATTACATTTAGTAGGAAAATGTGACCCAGGAACTCTGCCTTTTGTTACATGCCCTAGAGAGAACCACTAGCATGGGAAACTTCTACACAAGCCTCAGCATTTGTCATATCAAGAACTAGAAAAAACCTATCTGCCCAGCAATAGAAGAATCGCTAAATAGATTTTGGTCTTCTGTACTCTGGAATACCTTGTATTAGTTTAAATAAAAAGGGCAAATTTGAAGTATATTGTTGAGTGAAAAAAGATAAAGAATGCACATGCAGTATGACACTACGTGTATAAATACTCATGTAGACAAAACATGGAATATTTTCTAAGTATAAAATGCACAGTGTAATATCTGGAAAGACGTATAGTAGTAACAGTACTGGTCAGTTAAGAGCTCCTCAGCTGACAAGAACTGTGTCAGGGGAGGGATCAAAGGAGAGTCTGGTCATAGGTAATGTTTTGGCTTTTTGTGTATAGAGAATGTATTTTTATATTACTTACATAGTGAACTATGAAAGGAGTATAAATTAGAGATTCTATATATGGCATCTATATAGCTGTATAGATTGCAATGGTTTAAAAATATATCCACTCTCAGCTGGGCGCAGTGGCTCACACCTGTAATCCCAACACTTTGGGAGACCAAGGCAGACAGATCACCTGAGGTCAGGAGTTCAGGACAAGCCTGGCCAACATGGCGAAACCCCATCTCTACAAAAATACAAAAAAATTAGCTGGGCATGATGGCAGGTGCTTGTAATCCCAGACACTCAGGAGGCTGAGGCTGGAGAATCGCTTGAACCCGGGAGGCAGAGGTTGCAGTGAGCCATAATCATGCCATTGCACTCCAGCCTAAGGGACAGAGCAAGACTCTATCTCAAAAAAAAAAAAAAAAAATATATATATATATATATGTGTATATATATATATGTATATATATATGTATATATATGTATATATGTGTATATATATATGTGTATATATATATGTATATATGTATATATATGTATATATATGTATATATATGTGTATATATGTGTATATATATGTATATATGTATATATATGTATATATATATGTATATATATGTATATATATATGTATGTATATATATATCACTCTCATCGCACTACTGAAAATAAAGAAAAAAATTAATGATAGTACATTTTAAAATTGAAGAAAAATATGTCCACAAATTCTTTGATACATCTACCAGCAAGAGATGGGACTCAATTCCCTCCCTTTAAGTGTAGACTGGACTTGGTGATTTGCTTCTACAGAGTAGATTAAAGCAGCAGTAATGGCATGTCCCTTCCGAGATTAAGTTGTAAAAACACTGTGGCATGTGGCTGCTTTCTCTGTCTTCTCTCTCTCTCTCCCTTTCTCTCTCTCCTCTCTCTCTCTGTCTCCTGTCTCTCTCTCTCTCTGTCTCTCTCCCTCTCTCTCCACTCACTTTAGAGGAAGCCATGCTGTGAAAAGGTCTATGTGGTGAGGAACTGAAGCGTCCTGCCAGCACCCATAGGAGTGAGCTTGGAAGTTGATCCTCTAGTTCCAGCTTGGAAGTTGATCCTCTAGTTCCAGTCAAATCTGCAGACACTGGAGCCCTGGCAGATATTAAAATGTTTGTCATTTTAAGCTGGTAAATTTAACAGTAATTTGTTACACAGCAATAGGTAACTAATACATAGGTTCATTAGACTAGTAGTGGCCCTTTGCAACAAGGTGGTATTTCCACCCTGGAGCACATGAAAGTGTTTTGAATGATAGAAAGTATATCTCAATTCAGTTCAACAAATATTCATGTGCCAGGAATTATGAAAGGTATGAAGTTAAAATAAAGTTCTTGTTTTCAGTGCACTCACAATCACTAGACATGGAAACTCCTGTTTCATCAGGAAAAAAATATAACCAAAGCTCTACCAAACCTTTGTTGCATGATAACAATCACCAAAATCCTAGCATCCGCCTTGTCAAAAATGTTCTTCTGAAGTTTCAGATAGACAGAGGAAATAAATTTCAAGATCTATTACACAGCAGGATGACTATAGTCAATAATAAAGTACTCTATATTTCTAAATAACTATGAGAATAAATTTCAAATGTCTCACCATAAAAATGATAGGTAAACAAGATGATGGATATGTTAAATTTGCTTGATTTAATCATTCCACATTGTCTACATATATTAAAACATCGCATTGTATCCCATAAATGTATAGAATCATGATTTATCAATTAAAAATATTAATTTTAATACAATTTTTTTTGAGACAGAGTCTCACTCTGTCTCCCAGGCTGGAGTGCAGTGGTGTGATTTCAGCTCACTGCAACCTCTACCTCCTGGTTCAAGCAATTCTCCTGCCTCAGCCTCCTGAGTAGCTGGGATTACAGGCATGCACCACCACACTCGGCTAATTTTTGTATCTTTAGTAGAGATGGGGTTTCACCATGTTGGCCAGATTAGTCTCCAACTCCTGACCTGAAGTGATCCACTCACCTTGGCCTCCCAAAGTGCTGGGATTACAGGCATGATCCATGGTGCCTGGCCTTTAATACAAATTTTTAATGTTCTTCTGGTCCACCTGTAGTGGAATTTTCCTTTGGCTTTTAGAATGCATTCTTACAAGCTCTACTGCCAGAATCACATCAACAATTTGACAGCTGCCCAATGACTAATGATGAAAAATACGACATCCACATGTTAGCAGTGGGTGTTGAGGTTACTGGTGACTTAATTTTCTTTATTGTGATTCTCTTTTCCAAATTTTCTGCCGTAAGTGTGTATTAATTTGAAAAGCAAGGCTGGGTGTCATGGCTCATGCCTGTAATCCCAGCACTTTGAGAGGCCAAGGCGGGTGGATCGCCTGAGGTCAGGATTTGAGACCAGCCTGGCCAACATGGTGAAACCCCATCTGTACTAAAAATACAAAAACAATTAGCCGGGCATGGTGGCGGGTGCCTGTAATCCTAACTACTTGGGAGGCTGAGGCAGGAGAATCACTTGAACCCGGGGGGAGGCAGAGATTGCAGTGAGCCGAGATCGCACCACTGCACTCCAGCCTGGGCAACAAGAGCGAAACTCTGTCTCAAAAAAAAAAAACAAAAAACAAAAAACAAACAAAAAAAGTAAGTGCTAATTCTTTTTAAATGCCACCACATATCAATCAATTAAAAAAAATGTCTTTTTCTCTGTTGACATTCAGAACCTGGTTTCACTGAGTCCCCACCTCATGCTGTGGAAAGGTCTATGTGGTAAGGAACTGAAGCCTCCTGCCGACAGCCACAGGAGTGAGCTTGGAAGTCGATCCTTTAGTTCCAGTCAAATCCAGTTCACCACAAAGTACTTAATTTTAGCCAATGTGACCCCAAACATTTCTCAAAGGCAGCTGGGTAAGCCCTGTGATGGGCTTATGTCCTATAAGCAAACAAGTAAAACGGTATTACCTGATGGAAAAGTTTCCTTGATTTTGAGATCTTTCTGGGGCTAGGGTCTTGTGTCTTGTTTCTAAGGCTCAGACCTAGAAACAGAAGGTGGGCAGGGCCCTGGATCCTCAAACCTCTGGGAGCCATTTGAGGCACCCCTTTTTATTCTCGAAATTGTCCCGTTTTGGACAGTAAGTCAGAGGGTCACCTAACTGCATTGAGAAGGAAACCCTTGGGAACCTTCTCAAGTCTCCATAGCTCAGCCAAGTTTCTCTTCCAAGCTACACCATGCAGGGCCTGACACAGCTACCGACCCTTGGGACTGCAGGTAGTCATTAGGGAAAATCTTTCAGGAGGAAGATTCCACTCTCTCCTAGAAAATGACAAAGTGCCCTTCCAATCCCAATGCTAATGATTCGGGTTTTGATGTTAATTCTCAAAAGCTCAGGTCAGTGAAGATGGGGAAGCTGCTTCCCATGAAGTCATACCCTCAGCTCTGGGCTGAGTTAGATATTCCATAGTCAGAGCCAGTGAATGGTAGCAATGTGTTCTCCCACTGGGACTAAATCTCTCCAAGCACCCTGCATTTCTGTCCAGTGAGTTGAGTCTACCAAGCTTTTGGAGGTGTCAAGACGATGGCACATTTTACTGAAAACAAGTCACTCCCGTCAGCTTCACAATCAGTAAAGGCAAGAAAAGGAGCAGACCTCACATCTGCTCTACCTGGAAGCTTTTCCATCCTGCAGATAAGCCCTAGGCTGCCAGTACAGGCCCCCACTCTTTTAGGAGTGTTCTTCCTCACCGCCGATGCCATGATGGGGAGAGTCCATGGAACTGGCTTTCCTGGAGATGTTCGTAATAAACAGGGGAGAGAAAACACAGAAATTGCCATTCAGTTCAACACACTGGGTGATGAAAGAGAGAGGATAAGAGGGGAGTTGCATATACTTAGCCTCTTTCAAGTGCCAGATGGTTGGCTGGCGTCTTTGAATCGTGCCTTCACAATGTTCCATAGGACTGGCCTCAGGTAATTAATTCTCACGCTGAGTAGAGAAGGTCAGGGCGGTGTTATCGCGCAGTTATAAATTTCTCCATTTACTCCAAGAGTGGAACCTTAAGCTGAAATAATTCATCCAATTATTCCCCAGAGTACCCCCATCCCCACCTTGTCAGTGATACACAACGTGACCGGGCAGGTCATTTCTTTTTTCTGGGCCACCTTTTCCCAAAGGGATTGAACCAAATGATCTCTAGGCACCCTTCCTATTTTGAGGGTCCCTGATATCTGAAACTACCACCCCGTTCTCCTAATAATGAAAAATGTCATTCAGTTGGCCCTGAAGAGCTGGCCCTCTGAGCTGTTCCTTGTTCTCGGACCTGTAAAGGGTCCTGGAGGATGCCAGTGGTGGATTTGGATGAGGAGCATGTCTCAGGAAGGCGAGCGACCCCAAGTGGTTAGGCCAGGAAGTAAGCCCTTGGATTTGAGTTACGGATGGATTTCCCATGAATGTCAGACATATATTTTTTAAACCCTTGAGATCTATTTCACAAGTCATAAGAGATAAATGTCTGAAGAAAACACATGAAATGTTCCAGTAGGTAGTAGGTCTCCAGAGAGGTTTTACCAAGAATGGCAGAACAAACGGGAGTTGAAGAAAAAAGGTCAGAAAAAAAGGAATCACTTTTCATTTAAATCAGCATAAAACTATGGATTGGAGAAGAACAAAGACTAGAAATCACTGACCACTAGACTGCTAGAGCCTACTTGAAATCAAGGACCCTCAGATAGTGCTGGGACAAGAGCCTTGTGGCCTCTGAGGTCCAGACACTCAGGGTCTATTTCTGGTGTTATCCTCTGGCAGGTGATCGCTGTCAGGCCTCTGAGCCCAGGCCAGGCCATCGCATCCCCTGTGACTTTCACGTATACATCCAGATAGCCTGAAGTAACTGAAGATCCACAAAAGAAGTAAAAACAGCCTTAACTGATGACATTCCACCATTGTGATTTGTTCCTGCCCCACCCTAACTGATCAATGTACTTTGTAATCTCCCCCACCCTTAAGAAGGTACTTTGTAGTCTCCCCCACCCTTAAGAAGGTTCTTTGTAATTCTCCCCACCCTTGAGAATGTACTTTGTGAGATCCACCCCTGCCCACCAGAGAACAACCCCCTTTGACTGTAATTTTCCATTACCTTCCCAAATCCTATAAAACGGCCCCACCCCTATTTCCCTTCGTTGACCCTCTTTTCAGACTCAGCCTGCCTGCACCCAGGTGAAATAAACAGCCATGTTGCTCACACAAAGCCTGTTTGGTGGTCTCTTCACATGGACGCGTATGAAATTTGGTGCCGTGACTCGGATCGGGGGACCTCCCTTGGGAGATCAATCCCCCGTCCTCCTGCTCTTTGCTCCGTGAGGAAGATCCACCTACGACCTCAGGTCCTCAGACCGACCAGCCCAGGAAACATCTCACCAATTTCAAATCCGGTAAGCGGCCTCTTTTTACTCTCTTCTCCAACCTTCCTCACTATCCCTCAACCCCTTCTCCTTCACCCTCAGCGGCAAGTCCTGCTTTCCTGGGGCAGGGGCAAGTACCCCTCAACCCCTTCTCCTTCACCCTCAGTGGCAAGTCCCGCTTTCCTGGGGCAGGGGCAAGTACCCCTCAACCCCTTCTCCTTCACCCTCAGCGGCAAGTCCCGCTTTCCTGGGGCAGGGGCAAGTACCCCTCAACCCCTTCTCCTTCACCCTCAGCGGCAAGTCCCGCTTTCCTGGGGCAGGGGCAAGTACCCCTCAACCCCTTCTCCTTCATCCTCAGCGGCAAGTCCCGCTTTCCTGGGGCAGGGGCAAGTACCCCTCAACCCCTTCTCGTTCACCCTTAGCGGCAAGTCCCATTTTCCTGGGGCAGGGGCAAGTACCCCTCAAACCCTTCTCCTTCACCCTCAGCGGCAAGTCCCGCTTTCCTAGGGGGCAAGAACCCCCCAATCGCTTATTTCCGCACCCCAACCTCATCTCTGTGCCCCAATCCCTTATTTCTGCACCCTGACCTCTTATTTCCGTGCCCCAACCCCTTCTCTGCTTTTCTGGAGGGCAAGAACCCCCCACCCCTTCTCCGTGTCTCTACTCTTTTCTCAGGGCTTGCCTCCTTCACTATGGGTAAGCTTCCACCTTCCATTCCTCCTTCTTCTCCCTTAGCCTGTGTTCTCAAAAACTTAAAACCTCTTCAACTCACACCTGACCTAAAACCTAAATGCCTTATTTTCTTCTACAATGCTGCTTGACCCCAATACAAATTCGACAGTAGTTCCAAATAGCCAGAAAACAGCACTTTCAATTTTTCCATCCTACAAGATCTAAATAATTCTTGTCGTAAAATGGGCAAATGATCTGAGGTGCCTGACGTCCAGACATTCTTTTACACATCAGTCCCTTCCTAGTCTCTGTGCCCAGTGCAACTCGTCCCAAATCTTCCTTCTTTCCCTCCCGCCTGTCCCCTCAGTCCCAACCCCAAGCGTCGCTGAGTCTTTCTAATCTTCCTTTTCTACAGACCCATCTGACCTCTACCCTCCTCACCAGCCCAAGCTAGGTCCCAATACTTCCTCAGCCTCTGCTCCTCCACCCTATAATCCTTCTATCACCTCCCCTCCTCACACCTGGTCTGGCTTACAGTTTCGTTCTGTGACTAGCCCTCCCCCACCTGCCCAGCAATTTATTCTTAAAAAGGTGGCTGGAGCTAAAGGCATAGTCAAGGTTAATGCTCCTTTTTCTTTATCCCAAATCAGATAGCGTTTAGGCTCTTTTTCATCAAATATAAAAACCCAGCCCAGTTCATGGCTCGTTCGGCAGCAACCCTGAGACGCTTTACAGCCCTAGACCCTAAAAGGTCAAAAGGCCATCTTATTCTCAATATACATTTTATTACCCAATCTGCTACCGACATTAAATAAAACTCCAAAAATTAAATTCCGGCCCTCAACCCCCACAACAGGATTTAATTAACCTCGCCTTCAAGGTGTACAATAATAGAAAAAAGTTGCAATTCCTTGCCTCCACTGTGAGACAAACCCCAGCCACATCTCCAGCACGCAAGAACTTCCACCTCATCTGTATCTTGTTCACAACATCGGCAAAGCCATTCCCGAGTGAATTGCTCCCTTCTCTGCTCACATCACTCTTCACTTGTAACCGATGGATAAAATTCTGTCTTGCATTATAGTTTGCTCATTCAAATAATGTAGGTATTCAGCCAATACTTAATGACTCCCTAGAATGTGTAAACTTGAGGCTGAGAATATAACAATAATCAGAATAGACACAGCCCCTCCCCTCCTAGAGCTCACAGAGCTTAGAAACTAGCGAGTGAGCAAGACTTTAAACTTAGCATCACAGAAGTCAATGTAGAAATACAATTTTAAATGTGCAATGATAGGAAGATACAGGCTTCTGTAAGAGTGTCTAACAGGGTTACCTGATGGGGTCTTCAAAGGTAGGTTGCAAAAGTTGCATTTGTCCCCAACTATTTTACAAGCAAGCTCCCTGTAGGTATGATCCCATATTTATCTTTGCCTCTCCTACAGCCCTAGTCAGTGGCATATAGTAGCAGCTCAATAAATGTCTGCTGCAAGAAAGAAGTTACCAGACCAATTCAGTGCCAGGTCTTACTCCCACTTGAGTTAATAAAAAGCTCTAGTTACATGCTTCTAAAAGATATAACCTGTAATGTTTGCTTTTACTCCTTTTCAAGGAAGAAGTTCTAGAGTTCCAAACATTTTAAGAGAGGATTCAAGGGAGAAAGTTTGTGTAGCTAATGATCCAGCTTGGTATGGTTTATCTCAAAGCCAGGGGAGTTTTTGCTGCTTCACCCTGTCAGCAGGGAACGGGCTCTGAAGATATGGGAGATTACAGGAGCTTTCAGGACAAAGGCACATAAATCAAAAAGAATGAAAAGAAAACAAGATCCTTGATCCTCCTCCTGTTAATGTTCTTTTAAAAGTATTTTGTGAGAGGGTGGGGTGGGGAGGGTAAGGTAAACAAAGTTTTTAAATGGGAGTTAAGCCAGACGTTAAACAGCTGAAGCCAGCGTACAGCCTGGGTCTGTCTCTGTCTCTCTCTTTCTCTTTCTCTTTCTCTCTCTCTCTCTCTCCTTATTTCTTTCTTGCTGTTAACAATCCAAAATGATTAATAATTGAAAAATGATATCAGATGTCAAAGAGATAAGCCATTTCTTCCCTCTCATTTCAGTTCCTGTTTGGGTCAGAAACCCCAAGCTGTATACAGATCTCCTTTTGGTGCTGAAATGCTTTGGGCTCCACGGAATAAATCAAGACAAGAGTGCAAAATAGTGATGAGCAGGTCAGAGTATCCGGAGCAGAGTTGCTTTCTTCCAAAAGAAACAGAATAGATCTGATTTGGATTTTAATATTAACTCATCAACATAGATGTCTAAGAGCTATGGAGGTCTCACGCCCTCTATAATAAATGAAGGAGGGACCCAAGCCCCGTTACCAGAAACCTAGGCAGAAGTCATTCCACTCCAGGCCCCTCAGGCTTCTGGTCTTCTCTAAGATGCATGACCAGAACCTAAAGATACAGAAAAGTTCATTTCTGCCCCTGAAACTTCCACCAGTGGTCTACAATCATACACAGCAGATCACTTCCTCAAAAATTAGAGTTCCCATATAAAATTCAAGATATACAGTTACATTTGAATTTCAGATAGGCAATAATTTTTTTTTAGTATAAGTATGGTCAAAATGTTGCTAATTGGGGTGTCCTGTACTTTAATGTTACAGGACTTTTATGCTAAATCTGGCAACCCTTCCAGGTATCAAACTCAATAGACCTTAAAAATGTATGTTTACGGCCGGGCGCGGTGGCTCACGCCTGTAATCCCAGCACTTTGGGAGGCTGAGGCGGGTGGATCATGAGTTCAGGAGTTCAAGACCAACCTGGCCAACATGGTGAAACCCTGTCTCTACTAAAAATACAAAAAATTAGCTGGGCTCCGTGGCAGGCGCCTGTAATCCCAGCTACTTGGGAGGCTAAGGCAGGAGAATCACTTGAACCTGGGGGGCGGAGGTTGCAGTGAGTCAAGATCGTACCACTGCACTCCAGCCTGGGTGACAGAGTGAGACTCCGTCTCAAAAAAAAAGAAAAAAAAAAGTATGTTTACCAGATAAAGTACAGGACAGCCAGTTATATTTGAATTTCAGATAAACAACAAATCATTTTTTACTATACCCATGTCCCATGCTGCAATATTTGGAACACACATATTATTTAAAAATTACTTGCTTCCTATCTGAAATTCAAATTTAACTGAGCATTCTGTATTTTTATTTACTGCGTTTGGCAACTCTACTCACATGTTCCCTCCAACAGTTTCATGGAAGTAAAGCTAAGAAAAGAAAAAAAATAAGGTCATTCTGAGCTGAGATGAAAAGTCCAGAAAAAACAAGTCGGTGAAGGGAATGTGGAGGAGACAGCAGCGGGTCAGTCATACCTCTTTCCTTTAATAACTAAGGTTCCAAAATCGTGAGCTTAGAGATAGCTCTACTATTCTTATATTTTTGAAAATATTATATCTGAATTATTTCCCCTTTTCTGTGTTGTTTATTTGTTCTCTCTAATCAACCTTATCAGAGATAGTTTTTTTAAAGGATCAAATTTCAATTCTAAGAAGTTTGCCTGTTTCATTCATTTTTGCTTTTATCTTTATTATTTTCTTTGGATTTACTTTGGGCTATTTGTTGTTGGTGGTGATTATTTGTTGTTTTACTTTCTTGGGTTGAAACATTTTGCATATAGATTTTGTCATTATCATTAAGGTTTCTTTTTTTTATCCAGGTATTTAGAAGTGAGTATTTTGTGTTATGAAAATAAGAGCCTTTTCTTTTCCTTTGGTTATTTCCTTTTTTTTTTTTTAATCCAATGATGCTCCTTTATGGCAGTGTTTTTACTTTCATGCTTCATAATTCGGGGATATGAGCTCATTTACAACAAAAGGAGGTTTTCACATGTGTCTTCCATCCCCAGCCCATGGAGATATCTGGGAGTGGTTTTGATTTTACTTTGCTGAGCCCCACAGCCCTCACTAGTCCAGGACATCAGCTTAGTTTCCACACTGTCACTGTGGTTTAAATCCACCTGCAAGCTGCCCCCTGCATGCTGCCCCCACTGTGGGCTTGAGGCTCTGATTTGTCAGGGTCGTTCTGTGAACTAAGGTCACACTGAGAGTGTCAGGCCTGGGTTTAGACTTTGTGCACCATATGAGAGAAAAGAAACATAGTTCAAGTGTTTCATGGGCTCAAGTCTCGTGGCTTCTTCCATTTACTCAATGGCTGATTTTGGGCAAGTTGTTTAACTTTTTTTTTTTGAGAAGGAGTCTTGCTCTGTCGCCCAGGCTGGAGTGCAGTGGCACCATCCCCGCTCACTGCAAGCTCCACCTCCCAGGTTCACGCCATTCTCCTGCCTCAGTCTCCCGAATAGCTGGGACTACAGGCTCCTGCCACCATACCTGGCTAATTTTTTGTATTTTTAGTAGAGGCAGGGTTTCACCGTGTTTGCCAGGATGGTCTCGATCTCCCGACCTCGTGATGTGCCCACGTTGGCCTCCCAACGTGCTGGGATTACAGGTGTGAGCCACCGTGCCCAGCCAAGTTGTTTGACTTCTATAAGCATCAACTTTCCCATCTTGAAATGGAAAGGGTAGAAACAGTACCAACCTCCTAGGATTTTTTGAAAGATGAAATGAAGAGTCTTGGCACAGAGTAAGTGCTCAATAAATGTTAGTGATGATTGTGGTTACCTTTGTATTGTTATTATGGTTAAGAATGTAATTTTTTTAAACTGTAATCTTAAATTCACGGGTACATGTGCAGGACGTGCAGTTTTTAACATAGGTAAGCGTGTGTCATGGGGGTTTGTTGTTGTACAGATTATTTCATCACCCAGGTACTAAGCCTAGTATCCATTAGTTATTTTTTCTGCTCCTCTCCCTCCTCCTACCCTCTGCCCTCCAGTGGGACCCAGTGTCTGTTGTTCCCCTCTATGTGTCCATGTGTTCTCATCATTTAGCTCCCACTTATAAGTGAGAACATGTGGTATTTGGTTTTCTGTTCCTGTGTTAGTTTGCTAAGGATAACGGCCTCCTGCTCCATCCATGTCTTTGCAAAGGACATAATCTTGTTCTTTTTATGGCTGCATAGTAATTCATGGTGTATATGTATCACATTTTCTTTATCCAGTCTGTCACTGATGGACATTCAGGTTGATTCCATGTCTTTGCTATTGTGAATAGCGCTGCAGTGAACATATGCGTGCATATGTCTTTATAATAGAATGATTTATATTCCTTTGGGTATATACCCAGTAATGGGATTGCTGAGTCAAATGATATTTCTGTCTTTAAGTCTTTGGGGAATCGCCACACAGTCTTTCACAATGGTTGAACTAATTTACACTCCCACCAACAGTGTAAAAGTGTCCCTTTTTCTCCACAACCTTGCTGGCATCTGTTATTTTTTTACTTTTTAACAATAGCCAAGGAATGTAAATATTAGTGAGGCACAAAAATTGGTGCACTGTATGCACATACAGAGCACAGTATACACCTAATAAATGTTAACTCTGTTGGTGGCTGATCATTTCAAATAACAAGAATGTTTCTATTCGACTCATTCATTTACTCTTTCAAAATGTGTATCTCTCACATGTAATTAATATAAAATATTGAAATATTTTATATGCTTTTCTTTTTCTCATTAAGGAAAAGAATATAAAATATTTCAAACTCTAGCACTTCTCAATTTAGATGCTAAATTTTCATCAGAAATACTTCATCTGCATTTATTTCATAAAATGTACAATTGAAAAAGTAAATGTATGTACTCAAGTTGTTCTAAAGATACTTAAAAGCTTCCCAATAATTGAAGCAGTTATCATTTTAAAATTTAAGTTTAAATAAATAAATAGAATTTGAAAACCAGGCTCAGTTGCACTAGTCACATTTCAAGTAATAGATATTTGATGGCACAGATGAAAAGTGTAGCTCCAAACACCCTGCCCCCAGTATTTAGCCCTTAAGTTGCACCGTCCATTTCTAGTCTAGTGCTGTGTTTCCTGTTCTTCCCTGAGTGCCACTCACTTACTCTGTATACAGTAAGGCCGGCCCTGTGGAAGATAAAGATGGAAGACAGATTAAAAAGAGGAGAGGTTGGCTGGGCTCAGTGGCTCACACCTGTAATCGCAGCACATTGGGAGGCCCAGGTGGGTGGATCGCTTGAGACCGGGAGTTAGAGACCAGCCCTGGGCATCATGGCAAAACCTTGTCTCTACAAAAAACACAAAAATTAGCCAGGCATGGTGACGTGCACCTGTAATCCCAGCTACTTGGGAGGCTGAGGTGGGAGAATCACTTGTGCCGGGAAGCGGAGATTGCAGTGAGCCGAGATTAATCGCCCCGCTGCACTCCAGCCTGGGCCACAGAGCGAAACTGTCTCAAAAAAAAAAAAAAAGGGGGGGGGGAGAGAGAGAGAGAAAAGGGATTTACAACCAATGCATTCCAAAGGAACAAAGCTAATTCATCACCTGAACTCTAGTGACATTTTCTCGACACTACATTCAGAAGTTCCACAGGAATCCCACCTGCACATGATTTGGGGGTGTTTCTGCACCTAGCTTTTCATATTTCATGGTGGTGGGGATGGAGCCTTGTGCTTCGTAAGTATTCAGCAAATGCGTATTGGATGAACAGCAGGGCAGAGACAGAAGGGAGAGGATGCTGGAGGAGGGGAGCCCCCAGGTAGCTCTGCTTAGATGACCGACCAGATTCTATCTCCTGCCCCACCCCACTGCCTTTGGTGGTGGTACAGAACTGGCACAGCCAGGACCTGGGCCTGGGCTGTTCTCAGGCATCAGTTTGAGGGGATGAAATAGAGCAGAGTATCCATCCCAGTAGAAATAATCCAGAGACTAAAAGGCCCGCCTGAAACAAGACACCAAAGCACAGACCTTTGAGAATTGCTGAGAGCACTTCCAGAAGCTTGAGAAACACTTAGAAATAAGTATACAGGAATAAATGCGGTTGCGCAAACTCAAATGATTCCAACACGGAGGAGATGACAGGAACTCCTTTTTAAAAAGTCCCCAGGAATCACACAAAGAGCTCTCAGACTACTTTCACTTTGAGAAGGTCATGTGCAAAGGTGAAAACGAAGATGCGTAAGTGTTGCCCACCTGTAGGAAGAAAGTCAGCAGAGCCAAAGCCCAAAACAAGCTTAGGGGAGGGGGAAAACGACGCTTAGCATATAAACAGGACGTTCTATTAGTTTCCTATGCTACTGTAACACATGACCACAAACCCAGTGGCTTAAAATAACACAGATTTATTATCTTACAGTTATGGAGGTCAGAAGTCCAAAATCAGTTTCACTGGGCTAAAATCAAGGTGTCCGTGGGCCTGTGTTTCTTCTAGAGCCTCTAGCGGAAAATCCATTTCCTTGTCTTCTCCAGCTTCCAGAAGCTTCCCGCATTCTTTGGCTTGTGGACCAACCTGGCTCCAGTCTCTGCTCCTATGGTCACATCTCCTCCTTTCTCTGATCTTCCTGTCTCCCTCTTATAAGAAATCTTGTGGCCAGCCACGGTGGCTCACACCTGTAACCCCAGCACTTTGGGAGGCCGAGGCTGGTGGATCACCAGAGGTCAGGAGTTCAAGACCAGCCTAGCTAACATGGTGAAACCCTGTCTTTACTAAAAATACAAAAATTAGCCAGAGGTGGTGGCCGGCACCTGTAATCTCAGCTACCTGGGAGGCTGAGGCAGGAGAATCACTTGAACCTGGAAGGCAGAGGTTGCGGTGAGCCGAGATCACGCCATTGCACTCCAGCCTGGGCAACGAGAGCAAGACTCCATATCAGAAAAACAAAACAAAACAAAACAAATCTTGTGATGACATTGGGCCCACCAGAGTATGCCAAAATAATCTCCCCATCTCAACATTCCCAGTTTAATCACATTTGCAAAATTTCCTTTATCTGGGTTCTGGAGATTAGCACATGAGCCAATGGTGTCATGCTAAGAGATAAAGAAGAGGAAGTGGATCTCCTTAATTCCAATATTGCTTCCAGCATCTCTGACACGGTGACTGATCCCTGAGCTCATAAACTCAGGACTCATGCCTCCTTTCCCAGCCCCTCTGGGCTAATATATCTTGAGTCCCCCAAGGTCCCCATGGCTCATTGCACATTGCTTTGTTATAGTAATTAATCACTCAACAAATATGTATTGAGCACCTACACGTGGAGACCATATTCTCATTACCTAGGATACATGAGCCAACAGAGTAATCCAAAGCTCTTACCTTCAAAGTTTTACCCCACTAGTGGGAGAAGGCACACAATAAATAAAATAAGGAAATGATGTAGCGTATTTGGAAGTAGTTAAGTGCTATAAAGAAAAATAAGGCAGGTTGGGCCTGGCAGCTCATGTCTGTAATCCCAGCACTTTGGGAGGTTGAGGTGGGAGGGTTGCTTGAAGCCCAGAGTTCGAGACCACCTTGGGCAACATAGCAAGACTCTGTCTCTACAAATAAGAAAAGTAGCCAGGCTTGGTGGGATGCACCTGTAGTCTCAGCTGCTCAGGAGGTTGAGGTATCAGGATCCCTTGAACCCAGGAGTTTGAGGCTGCAATGAGCCATGAGCATGCCACTGCACTCCAGCCTGGGTGACAAAGTAAGACCCTGTCTCTTAAAACATAAGATAGGATAAAATAAAAGAGCAGAGAAGTGGGTTACAGAGTTCCATGTTGGAGGTTAGCTGCAGTGCTAAACAGAGTGGTTAGGAAAGGTTGGCTGAGAAGACGGCATTAGAGCAGAAGCTTGAAGGGTGTGAGGGAGCCACATAGATTCAACAAATAATGCAGCAGCCCTGAGTGGGAGCAGTCCTGGGTGATCTCCAGCACAGGGAGGCAAAGGGGCAGAGGCAGAACATGAGGACAGCTTGGAAATGGGAGGGCCAGCTGGCCAGAGGCTTATCACTTGGGGTGGTGCAGGGCTGTGAGCTCTGGAAAGCCAGGACACTGGTGTCCCTCACACTTCACACAGGATGAGCATTATAGTTAGCACTTGAGGACTGTGGCTGAAAGAAAGAACCTCGGTTTGATTCTCCACTGGGCAAGAAAATGAGGCACGGCTCCCTCTCCACCTTCACTGCATGCTTCCCTTTCCCTTCTGCATCAGGGACAGAGGCCAGGGTGTCTGTCACTGAGCTGTGTGCAGAAACCCAAGTGCCCAGCATGCATGGCACCGCTCTCCCCCTCAGGCCGAGAAGTAGGCTTTGCCATTGCCTGGAGCCATAATCTCGTGCGCCCTGCTCCACTGTCCTGCTGACCTGCTCTGCCACTGACTGCCTGTTCCTCTCTCTTAACCTCAGCCAATGCCATCCCACCTCAGCCAACAGCCCTGGCGAGGCCTTCCTCCTCTCGTTATCTGCAGGGTGCACAAGCCTCAGCTGAAGCCTGGAGAAACTGGAAGAATGGATGGGGAATAAAGGAGGTGTAAGAAGCTAGGGTGGGGAGCAGAGTTGAGAAACAGACTGAGGCTGTTCCTGGGGAACAGGAGCAACAGGAGAGAGGACATGACGAAGCCCCTTGGTTCCAGCATGCTGCGGAATAACAAAGGGTTAAGCCATTTGCATTACTGTATTTGTGTGCAGCCCTCAGAGGGCCCCCGGAGCCGCTCTTGGGTGGTCCAGTACAGTCTCAGGCAGCAACCTATTAGTGGTATCTCGGCGTGATTTATGCAGCTGTCAAGCTGCCTTCACCAGGACAAGTGAATTGCGGGCACCGGCCGGCGGCCTGTGCTCCTTCCGAGAGGGTAAGTAAATGAAGGCCAAAGAGAAAGAAAACAGCCCAAGGTGCCACCCCTGGTCCTCTGGGTCTTCTAATAACGAGTCCCCTCTATAGAATAACATCCAGCTTCTCACAGGAGACTGCTCTTACAGAGCCCCACTGTCTGTCGCAGACCGCCGGGAGCGGCCGCTTCATGGCCCGGCCAGGCCAGGAGGGCAGGGAGGGCTGGCTAGGAGCCACCCACCACGGATGGAATGGGAGACACTAGGCTGAAAGACAGCAGGACTCTCGGGCCATCCAGCTAGAGTGGCATGGCATGGACACTGGGCCTCTATTTTAGGCCTGAGAGTGATGGGGCAATGCTGGGGCATGGACTGTCCTCCTGCAGCCAACGGAAGCGCTGTCATGCACAGATGCCACCCACGAGGTCCTGAGGCTGCTGTACTCAAAAGGTACAAAGCCTTGCTGTGCCAGGCCTCCTCCAGCAACCGCCACACCTCATTTACCATTCCCTATGGACGGGTCGACCGGCGGGCTCAGGCCTGTAAGCATCTTGCGGCTGCGCTGGGAATGCTGAGGGCAGAATTCATTTCCAAGTTGGGTATGAGAGCCTGGTCTAAGCATCTGATGTTCCTGATGTTGATCCCCTCCTTAGGCTGGGGACCTTCCCGGGGTTAGTTCTTTCATAACACACACACATGCACGCACCCCTACATATATACCTGTTACCCACAGAGGGTACCAAGGAGTGGGCTGCCTGTCTCTTTCAGTGTTTGATTGACAGTGGAGTAGCCAGAGACATGTGCAAAATTTTAGAGGCCTGGGGGAGTGTGTGTGTGTGTGTGTGTGTGTGTGTGTGTGTGTGTGTGTGTATGAGAGAGAGAGAAGCCAACAGCAAGACTTCACTTTTTAATAACATCACGGATTTCTTTCGCGGTCCCCTTTTCTCCCCCAGCCAACTGGCATGTGGTGTATTGTGTTTGTGGCACGGCAGTGGAAGGCAGGTGTTTCACATTGAATTTGATTCCCAGCCAGGACATTTCAGAGGTTGGGGGGTGTGGGGGATGCAGAGACAGATTCCTGGTTGTTGCTGAAACTGAGGAATAAGAGAAATGAGCTGAGCGCTTTCAGCAAATGATAACCCTGAACTACATTTTATTCCCTCCTTTCTCATTTAATACCTTTGCCTGCTCTTGCCTCTGTAGGATCTTCACTCCAGAATGGGGGTGCCCTGAGGAAGAAGTCTCTTCGCTGGACTTAGATAGACACAGGTGGCACCAGCAGCTGCATGCTCCCTGAGTTTCTTGACTTGGCAAGAGGTCTGCAGATTTAGTCTTTTAACAGTCCTTTCAGCACAGGCAGGAGGGGACAATGGGCATTTTTAATAGGCTTCCTGTTTGTTCAGATAGGAAGCTGCTAAGGCCTCAGTTCGAAAGGGTGCCTGGAGGCAAATGTGCCAACTCGCCCTCCAAGCACCTGATTGCTCCCTATTTGCAAGAAACCTTGAGTGCCCATTCAACCGGAAGTTTGAAAGTTTGACAGTTTAGTTCGGGGCATGGCAGGGCTTGTACTTACCATTGCCAGGGGCCTTTTAAGGGCCCTTGCACCCTTCTGTTTTCCAGGGCACCATTCTTCTGCTCTGGTTCTGAGAATAAAGGGAACAGCTGCACTGGAAGTCAGGACTATAGCAGGCTTGGCCAACAGGCCTGTTACAATTCCCATCTCAGCCCTCTCGCCCACACCCCCACGTCCGGTCATTATACACAGCGCTTGCTTCCTTGAGCTTGCTTCTATTTTCAAATCTAAAATGCAGAACTTCTATGCTATCCTCCAGAGACCTGTGAGAGCCTCCCTCATTGGACTCTCTCACACCACATCACACCCTATTTGGGTTCACACAACACAAGGAGCCTTTGGGAGATTTGTTTTCTGGACAGTTTCCCCAGAGACACCAGACAGAGAAAATCACGGAAGTGGAAACGGTTTTTTCCATTTTCAGTTGCTCTTTAGAAAAAAAAAAGGCCAGAGACAGAGGCACAAACCGTTGTTGTTGCTTTTCAGGCACACTCTGTGGGTGAGGCCGTGCCTGGATGTAACAGTGGAGGGAGCCCAGAGTGATTGTTTTTTCTGTAACATTTCACATTTAAGGCCCTTTCTAACAACATAGGGGTTACTTTCTTTTCCATAAAGTTGAGAAAAGGTAAAATTTCACACCCGTCATGCACTGTCTTCTGCAGGAGCTATGAAGTCAGGCCAACTTCTTCATTGTTCCTACACATCTCAACCCCATCAAGCCTCATCCAGGTCACTGTAACAGCTTCCCAGAAATCCACTGACATGGTTTGGCTGTGTCCCCGCCCAAATCTCACTTTGAATTGTAATAATCCCCACGTGTCAAAAGCAGGGCCAGGTGGAGATAATTGGATCACAGGGACAGTTTCCCCCATACTGTTCTCATGGTAGTGAATATGTCTCATGAGATCTGATGGCTTTATAAATGGGAGTGCCCCCACACAAGCTCTGTCTTGCCTGCTGCCATGTAAGACATGCCTTGCTTCTTCTTTGCTTTCTGCCATGATTGTGAGGCCTCCCTAGGCATGTAGAATTTGAGTCAATGAAACCTCTTTCCCTTACAAATTACAAATTACCCAGTCTTGGGTATGTCTTTATTAGCAGCATGAGAACAGACTAATACATCCACCCTTCCTGCCTTTACCATGATCATCTTCTTAAAATACAAGCCAGATCTCACTTCCTCTAAAATCTTCACTAGCACTCCCTCTGCCTAAGCCTCAAACTTGAGAGTGGTATCAAAAGCCCTCAACAAGATAAATCTATGCAGTGTCTTTTTCTATCTGCTCCCTGCAGAAGATATAGGTGATATGTGATAATTTGGAATGGCCAGGAGGCAAGCACAAAAATAGGATTAAAAATGTGTAGATTTGATTAGGGCTAATACTTGTGGAAGACAAAATCAGTTGGAGAAGGCTGGAAGAACCGAGGCTATGATGGCAGTTTGACCCCCAAGTGAAGGAGAGAGGGATGGGAAAGTCTGCTAGAAATGTCTCAGACTACTGGAGAATCTAAGACAGTTGCAGTAAGGCCTTTGGGGAACAATGACAGCCAACAAAAAAAGTTCCATGGCTCCTAGGAATGGGCCAGTCTTAGTATCCCTGTCTCACTCTGTCACTGGCCAGGAGCAGGCTGTGGGAAATACCTGTGGCCGTGGAGAAACCCAATGTGTATTTCAGAGAGCAGCCATTGGGGCCCTAGGTCCATACACTCCCTGGAGTGATTCCATCTGTCTGTGCATCTGCTTATGCCTTTTTCCTTGCCTGTCATACTTTTATTCCAATTCTACTCATCTTTCAAGACTCAACTCAAGTGCCGTCTTCTCCATGAAGCCTTTCATCTACCATGATGATACTTTACCTGCCCCTCTATTATAGCATCCCTTAATTAGAACTCAGTGCTTGCAAGTCTCTCTCCTCTCTGTCCTTGAGAACAGCCACTATTTCACTGATTTGCACATGAAAAATTCTGGCACTATGGATCACATCTATTCATTTATTTATCTATTTGACCAAAATTTATTACTTGTTTATTACTGTGTGCCACATACTGTAATGGGCTCTGTTATTTGAACCACATGTAAGACAGAGAAGGAGCTTACTTTCCAATCTCGTTCAACAAATGAAGGAAAAAATAGTAAAGGAATAAAGGAAGAGGGAAAATATCCTGATATAAACATGTTCCAAGGAGCACTGCTACAGGAAAGATTAAAGGAGGTAGAAATTATTCTAGGCACTGAAATGTTATAATTGAAGTCAAACTTGGATAAGGGCAAGGGATACTAATAATTTGGTGGTTCTGAGGTTGGATGTCAAGTCAAACAAAAGACTAAATCTTGAGAGCTCTAAGAGTTGAGTCAAATCCTTATGTAGTAAATGATACAATGCCAATTTTTTTTTAAGTTCAAAAGACATGACTCTCATACAAATACAAAGTAAGCACATGTCAATGATTATTTAACTCATTGGGGAGGGAACTAGCAGGATGACAACGCAGGGAGTCAGAGCAGTAAGCTGAAGTGGATATGACATCTGCCTCAAGGGACAGGGAAGAAAGGGGAGGGTGCTGGGTTGAGAGTAGCTAGTATTCGGGTTTGCAAAAATACACATCAGTACATGAGGTCTTTGGATACCTAAGTTAGGGAGCTGAAGCTGAGACCCCCACAAAAGTTGGTAGTCTCAAAGGGCTGCAACCCAGTGAAAGAAAGATATGCAAACTTCAATGACCCCACGAGCCCAGCAAAATTACCAGGAAGCTTATATCCGTAATGGTTCAAATGGGCAAAAAAATCCTCTGTGCCAGTATCTTGCTCTAGTTTAAATTTTTTATTTTAACTTTGCACATGGGATATATAGTCTCAAGTCCAAGCCAAGAAATTAACAAAAAACATAAAGCAAAAGCTCTTTGAAACACATCTTCCATTAAGACTTACAAAGTGCTTGAGAAAACAATCCACCAAGGATGAAAAGTAGTAGACAGGGCAGGATGATTAACTCATCAAGGGCTTCAGATAACAGAAAAGCAATGTTATATAAACTATAAAGGAAGTGGGTTTGAAGTATTAAAAATATAAGGAAAGAATTAGATTCCATGAAATGAAGTCTAAGGGAACAGGTGGATATAAAAAAGAACAACAGGAAACTTCTATAAATGGAAAATATTTTTATTAAAATTAAAAAGTGAATTGCAGTTTAAACAGCAGATTATGTAAGACAAATTTCAAAAAATTATCCAGAATACAATACAGAAAAATAATGACATATAAAATATAAAACAAGTTAAGAAACATGGAGGATACTTGAGTTGGTCCAACACATGACTAGTAGGAATAGAGACAATATTCAAAGAAATAATGTCCAAGAGCTTTCTCACATAGATGAAAGATATGCATCCCCAGATTTAATAAGCATAAATTCTAAGCAGAGTAAATAAAACCAACACCTAGAACAGTACATTAAAACTGCAAAACACCAATGTTAAAGAGAAATTATTTAAAGCAACTAAAGAGAAAAGAGAGATTACCTGCAAAGAGAAAATGAAGAATAACTAACATAATTAAACTGCTGCAATAGAAGCCATGAGACAGTGGAATATTATGAAAATCCTGAGAGACAGAAGTGTTCACCCTGAAATTCTATATTCAGATTTTTTTTTTTTTTTTTTTTTTGAGATGGAGTCTCACTTTGTTGCCCAGGCTGGAGTGCAGTGGAGCTATCTCAGCTCACTGCAGCCTCTGCCTCCCAGGTTGAAGCGATTCTCCTGCCTCAGCCTTCAGAGTAGCTGGGATTACAGATGCCCACCACACCTGGCATATTTTGTATTTTTAGTAGAGATGGGACTTCTCCATGTTGGTCTCAAACTCCTGACCCCAAGTGTTCCACCCACCTCGGCCTCCAAAAGTGCTAGGATTACAGGCATGAGTAACTGCACCCAGCTGAAATTTTCTACTTTATTCTTTAACCAAGAACACAGAAAGACATTTCTGCCAGGTAAATGCTGACATAATTTATAATTCACAGATCTGCACTGAAAAACACTTAAAAGGATGTGCTGGCAGGGTGCACTGGCTCACACCTGTAATCCCAGCACTCTGGGAGGCCGAGGCAGGCAGATCACCTGAGGTCAGGAGTTCCAGACCAGCTTGACCAACATGAAGAAACCCTGTCTTTACTAAAAATACAAAATTAGCCAGGCGTGGTGGCACATGTCTGTAAACCCAGCTACTCGGGAGGCTGAGGCAGGAGAATCGCTTGAACCCAGTAGGCGGAGGTTGTGGTGAGCCAAGATGGCACCACTGCACTCCAGCCTGGGGAACAAGAGCAAAACTCCATCTCAAAAAAAAAAAAAAAAGGATGTGTGTTGTAAGAGGACAGGTTATGCCAAAGGAAAGATGCAAATACAAGAGCCGAGGATCCACCAATATGGTGCTTAAAATTTAAATCTAAATAAACGTTAGCTGTAAAATTAGTAGCAAAATTAATGAGTTACTTAGAATAGTTTAAACCTAGATGGATTTAAAGTACTTAACAAAAATAGCATGCGAACCATTGGGGGATGGCAAGATTAAGATCTTTATTGTATTGTTCAAACAGAGGCTAGACCCAATAGATCTTAACAAAGATGTATATTAAAATTTAAGGGTACTAAATACAATGTGGTATCCTGTATTGAATCTTGGAACAGAAAAAGGGCACTAGTGGAAAAACTTGTAAAATCCAGAGATCATCTGGAGTTTAATTAATAGTAATGCTAATGCATCAGTGTTGTGGGTGATTGTTTTTGTTTTCCACAAATGCGACATGGTATCAATGTATAAGATGTCATGGTAAATAAGATGTTAACATAGAAAATGGTGAGAGTTAGAAAAAACTCTCTATTCTATATTTGTAACTTTTCTGTAAATCAAATTATTGCAGAATAAAAACTTTACTAAAATACAAATAAAATTTATAAATGTAAAGATAACCAATAAAGACTGAAATGATAAAGTATTACCTCCAAATTGGTAGAGAGTAGAGGGAAATTGTATTAGTCAGAGTTCTTTAGAGGGACAGAACTAATAGGATAGGTGTATATATGAAAGGGAGTTTATTAAGGAGAATTGACTCACACGATCACAAGGTAAAGTCCCACCTTAGGCCGTCTGCAAGTTGAGGAGCAAGGAAGCCAGTAGTGACTCAGTCCAAGTCCCAAAACCTCAAAAGTAAGGAGGCTGCGAGTGCAGCCTTCAGCCTGTGGCCAAAGGTCTGAGAGCCCCTGGCAAACCACGGGTGTAAGTCCAAGAGTCCAATAGCAGAAGAATTTGGAATCTGATGTTAGAAGGCAGGAAGCATCCAACACGGGAGAAAGATGAAGGCCAGAAGACTCAGCAAATCAGCTTCTTCCACCTTCTTCTGCCTGCTTTTTCTGGCTTCACTGGCAGCCGATTGGATGGTGCCCACCCACATTATGAGTGGGTCTTCCTGAAGGTGGGTCTTCCCCTCCCATTCCACTGATTCAAATGTTAATCTCTTCTGGCAACACCCAGAAACACCCAGAAACAATACTTTGCAACCTTCAATCCAATCGATTTGACACAATATTAACCATCACAGAAAAATAGAGAAATCTTGAGAGAATAGAATAGAAGATAAGAAAAAAGAAAAAGAAAGGTATTTATCACAAGTAGAAAGCAATGAATTTAAGTATCACAACGGGGGCTCGAAAAAGATAAAAGCAGAAATTTATGAATTATAAAATAATAAAAAAGATAAGCTAATTAAAAGCATGAAGATATATTAATAATTCCTTAATTTAGAAAGAAAGGGAGAAAGAGAGAAAAAAGAGAAAGGAAAGAAAGTGCAAGAAAGAAGTAAATCATCAGGTAAACAAACTTTTTAAAAGAGAAAAACAAAATCAGAAAATAACTACAGATATACAGGAAACTAAAAAGACTATGAGAGCCCTTACTCAGCTGTATGTAAATCAACTGTCTACGAAGACCTAGGTGACAGGATTTTTCTTTTGCCCGTTTGATCCTCCCTCTGCCCTTGTCCTGCCTGCTGTGTGTCAGGTTGAACTATATGGGCCACATCAACCCCTCTGGTTTCCAGTTGCTTCGGGTTCAGCCAAGGGGAAGGTGTGAGAGGGGAGCAACAAGGAGGGAGGGACTGTTTCCCAGTCCCCTCCCAGTGAGCTGCTGTGGACGACTCCCTCACTCCACACAAGGGCACAGCTCCCCTGGAAATCCTCTCCTGCAGCTGTTCTCCTAGGTTCCCAAAACAGTTTACTCTCCTCTTCCCAGCAGATAACACCTTCCCAGGTTGACTTCCCTTCATCCTGCCCACAATTTTGTGAATTGTCATTTTATTAAACTCTCTTCCATTGATCCTTTTGAGGTTCTCTATTGGGACCTTGCCTAGATAATATGGATAACTTTTAGATGAAATAGAAATGGCCAAGAATGACAGAGAAAATGTGCAGAAAATGTAAATCAATCAAAAGCCATAGCAGAAATTGAGAAAATTATCAAAGAATTAAATTCCCTCATCCCATCTGCCTCAAAAGTGTCAAGGGTGTATGGGGGCCAAAAGGGAGGACAAGGGGGGAGTTGGAATGTCTTTGTATTATTGACATAGAAGATATTACAAGTTATTGACAAACTGGATGTGAAAGAAGAGGACGTGAGCAAGCCTAATACACGAGAAAGTGCGGCATCTTGTACCTCTTCTCTTGTCTCATGTATCATAACTCTACTTAGCTTCTTCTTATATTAGCGGAAGAATAATCTGTTAAAATGGCAATGGAGAAAATTCCAAGCCCCAAGTGTTACAGCTAGTCAGGCATGAGCAGGGTAGGAGAGGGTTCCCCCAAGACCCCACCCCAAACGAGGAATGTCAGGTGACCATCAGGTGATGGTCATGCAGCTGTTACCTGTCTCTCTTAAATAATCATTGGTCACAGCCAGCACCATGGAAAGGCAGTCTCCCAATGGATGGAAACACCTGAAACTAATTATCAGCAGCTTCCCAATAAGATCTCAGGAGTTGGGCGAAATGAGATCCTATTGGGTCTCATGACATGGGTCAAGTATGCACATTAAGAAGCAAAATGGCAGAGTTTAACTGGCATATGACCTTCTAGGAACATTTGACTGGTAAGGGAAGAAAGCCTCAAATGAGCATGTGCACAACTCCAGTAAACACACTACACATGCTCCCCTCCCAAGTGCTGGCAGGCCATTGCTCATGCAGATGGCCTACTGCAAGGGAAGAATCATGAGAGAAGGGACACAAGACCCCAGAAGTATGCCAATGTATAAAACCCTAAGTCACAAGGTCAAACTGCACACTTGATCTCACAAGTCTCCCACTTGGCCCTCTTCCAAATGTACTTTACTTCCTTTCATTTCTGCTCTAAAACTTTTTAATAAACTTTCACTCCTGCTCTAAAATTTGCCTTCGCCTCTCCTTCTGCCTTAGGCCCCTCAGTCAAATTCTTTCTTCTGAGGCGGCAAGAATTGAGTTTGCTGCAGACCTGTACAGATTTGCCACCGCTAACACAAGTTAGCATTGCTTTGATCACTGCTGTTAAGAGTCAAGAGTATAATTTCTTCCTTTAGAGGGCTGGAGTGTTGATCACATTTGGAGTAGAGTGCCAAAGGCAGAATTTCCCAAAGGATGCTCCGTACAACATTGTTACATGAAATTGTTCATGAAAAAATGTTCTGTGTTTGAAGGAGATGCCAGGGTGCTTTGCCCAGATTCCCTCTTCAGGACTGATGCACCCATCCCCCAGCTGTTGAGACCCACAGCAGCACCCCTGTCTTGGAACTGCCTTCAGCATAGGGAACCGCTTCAAAGAGGGGGCAACCAGCAGCCAATGAAGCTGATGCAGGAATACAAAAGCCCAGCCTCCTTGCCCAAATTCAGAACACCCTGAAGGCCCCATCCCCGTTCTAGAGCTCCTGGTAGCATCAGTGGAGGACTCAATTGCAGCTGTGTGGCAGCTCAGCTTCTACCTCTGCCCAATCTTGCCTTCCTCGCTTCCACACAGACATAACTTCCCAAGGACATTCCCCAATAAATATTCCTCATGCAATTCTCCATCACAGTTTCTGTTTTCAGGAAACCCAATCTAAGACAATGAATAAATGCATCTGGGAAGCAAACCGTACCTTCTACCACCAATAATCTGCAGTGTTTCAAGATGTATATTAGGATATCAAGATCTCTGAGATGTCCCATTGTACAAAATTTGGATTTGCTTGACCCAGCAATTATCACATGTGTTTGCCCACAGAATCTTTTTTAAATGCATACTAACACCCCATGGAACATGTTTTGGAAATACTGATTAAAAGATCAGAGAAATCAATAAGTTATGAATCAATTTGCAGGTAAGCAATGTTTTCTTTTTTCTTTTTTTATGTTTTGGAAAAAGCTAATTGAAAAACCAAGAGACTGGTCTCTACCTGTAATCATGAAGAGTCCCTCCAGGATGGTAGTGCATCATCAAGTATTGGAAAGAGCCTGGGAACTGGTTAAATCCCACCTTGTATGTCCTGGCTATGTGGTCTTGATCTAGTGAGTCCCTTATATCTACCATACAGGGTTAATGTAAGAGGAAGAGATTTGTAAATAAATAGAGGTAATGCATGCAACTGATAGAGACTATAAAAGCATAGAGATAATATAAAGGAATCAATAAAATTAGAAATTAGAATTTTTCTAGTAATTCTTTCTTACTGCCTGTGTTGTTTTCTCTATTCTTTATTCTCACTCTTCTCTAAATGATTGTATTAACTATGAATAATGAAAAAGTCATAGAACATTTACAAGATTATAATAGAGAAAAACACAGGACCCAAATTCTCTCAAAATTTCACTGTCACTTTGGTCACTATGGACTTACATAAAGACTATGATACATTGATTCACTTGGCCCCAAAAAGGAGATGCTAGAGCTTTGGTCTTCTATCTATGATGCCATATTTAAGAGTATGACATTTATCCATGGTCATACTCTTAAAATAAAAATACATTAAGAGAAGAAAACAATTAACATAGTGAAGAGACAACTCAGAATGGGAAAAATATTTGTAAACATACATCTGATAAGGGGCTAATATCCAAAATACATAAGAACTCAAACAACTCAATAGCAAGAAATAACCCAATTTTTTAGAAAAACGGACAAAGGAGTTGAACAGACATTTCTCAAAAGAAATAGAAATAGCAAACAGATATATGAAAAATGTTCAAAATCTCTAATCATCAGAGAAATGTGAATTAAAATTGCAATGAGATATCACCTCATACCCTTTGGAATAGCTATTATCAAAAAGACAAATGATAAGTATTGGTGATGATGTGGAGAAAAGGGGACCCTGCATACCACTGGTGGGAATGTAAATTAGTACAGCCATTTTGGAAAATAGTATGAAGGTTGATATGGTTAGACTCTGTGTCCCCACTCAAATCTCATCTTGAATTGTAATCCCTGTACTCCCCATGTGTCAAGGCAGAGACCAGGTGGAGGTAATTGAATCATGGGGACAGTTTCCCCCAAGCTGTTCTCATGATAGTGAGTGAGTTCTCACAAGATCTCATGGTTTTATATGGAGCTCTTTCCCCTTCACTCAGCACTTCTCCTTCCTGCCGTCTTGTGAAGAAGGTGCCTTGCTTCCCCTTTGTCTTCTGCCGTAATTGTAAGTGTCCAGAGGCCTCCCCAGCTATGCTGAACTGTGAGTCAATTAAACCTCCTTCCTTTATAAATTACCCAGTCTCGAGCAGTTCTGTATAGCAGTATGAAAACAGGCTAATATAGTAAATACAGTAAATTGGTACCAAGGTAGTGGGCCACTGCTATAAAGATACCTGAAAATATGGGAGCAACTTTGGAACTGGATAACAGGCAGAGGTTGGAACAGTTTGGAGGACTCAGAAGAAGACAGAAAAATGTGGAAAAGTTTGCAACTTCATAGAGACTTGTTGAATGGCTTTGACCAAGTGGACAATGAACTCCAGGCTGAGGTGGTCTCAGATGGAGACAAGAAACTTATGGGGAACTGGAGCAAAGTTGACTCTCACTATGCTTTAGCAAAGAGAGGGGACTGTACCCTACAAAGCCCAGGGGCGGAGCTTCCCAAGGCCGTGGGAACCCACTTCTTGCATCAGCATGCCCTGGATGTGAGACATGGAGTCAAAGGAGATCATTTTGTAGCTTTAATATTTGACTGCCCATCTGGGTTTTGGACTTGCATTGGGCCTGTAGCCTCTTTGTTTTGGCCAATTTATCCCATTTGGAGTGGGTGTATTTACCAATGCCTGTACCCCCATTGTATCTAGGAAGTAACTAACGTGCTTTTGATTTTACAGATTCATAGGCAAAAGGGACTTGCCATGTCTCAGATGAAACTTTGGGCTTGGACTTTTGGGTTAATGCTGGAAAAAATTAAGACTTTGGGGGACTGTTGGGAAGGCATGATAGGTTCTGACATGTGAAAGGGACATGAGATTTGGGAGGTGTCAGGAGTGAAATGATATGGTTAGGCTTCATTTCCCCACCCAAATCTCATCTTGAATTGCAATCCCCATAATCCCCACATGTCAATGGAGAGACGAGGTGGAGTAATTGCATCATGAGAGTGGTTTCTCCCATGCTATTCTCATGATAACGTGTGAGTTCTCATGAGATCTGATGGTTTTATAAGGGGCTCTTCCCCTTTCACTCAGCACTTCTCCTTCCTGCCACCTTGTGAAGAAGATTCTTTACTTCCCCTTTGCCTTCTGCCATAATTCTAAGTATCCTGAGGCCTCCCCAGCCATGCTGAACTGTGAGTCAATTAAACCTCTGTCCTTTATAAATTACCCAGTCTCAGGCAGTTCTTTACAGCAGTATGAAAATGGACTAATACAGAGGTTCCTCAAAAAACTAAATGTAGAATTGCCATATGATACAATAACTCCACTTCTAGATATATAGCTAAAAGAATTGAAATCTGTATGTTGAAGAGCTATCTGCACTCCCAGTTCATTTCAGCATTATTTACAATAGTCAAGATATGGAAGCAACCCAAGTGTTCATCAATGGATAAAGAAACTGTTTTGTCTATACACAATGGAATACTATAAAGCCTTTAAAAAGAAAGAGGCCGGGCGTGGTGGCTCACGCCTGTAATCCCAGCACTTTGGGAGGCCGAGGTGGGTGGATCATGAGGTCAGGAGATCGAGACCATCCTGGCTAACACAGTGAAACCCCGTCTCTACTAAAAATACAAAAAATTAGCCGGAAGCGGTGGCGGGCTCCTGTAGTCCCAGCTACTTGAGAGGCTGAGGCAGGAGAATGGCGTGAACCCAGGAGGCGGAGCTTGCAGTGAGCCGAGATCGCGCCACTGCACTCCAGCCTGGGCGACAGAGCCAGACGCTGTCTCAAAAAAAAAATAAAATAAAATAAAATAAAATAAAAAGAAAGAAATTCTGTCATTCTTGACAATGCAGATGGAACGGGAGGACATTAGGCTAAGCCAGGCACAGAAAGACATATACAGTATGATCCCTTTTATATATGGGATCTAAAAAAGTCCATGTCATAGAAAGAGAGAGCGGAAAGGTAGTTACCAGAGATCGACAGAGGGGGAAGAATGAGGAAAAAGAAAATGTTGATCAAAGAATGCAAAATGTCAGTACTGGAAAAATAAGTTTTAGTCATCTATTGCACTACATGGTGACCACAGCTGATAATAATGTATTATATATCATAAAATTGCTTAAAAATGGATTTTTAACGTTCTCCCCACAAAAAAAAGAGAGTTGGTAAGGTGAGGGATATCAGGTTAATCATCCGTATTGAATCTTTCTGCAATGTGTAAAATATCACATTGTACCCCATAAAAATACACCATTATTATTTGTCAATTAAAAACAAAATAAAGTAAGGTGAGTCTTGTAGACAGAAAAAAATTGAAATATTTTGGGACTGGGTTTGTTGCAAATTGATCCTGTGTTCCTTTTAGGACCCATGAATGAATGAATGAATGAACAAATGAATGAATGAATGAACGAACGAACAAATAGATGATACAGGACATCAGGAGAAGACCTGGAGAGAACAAATCCCCAAGAAGTCCTTGCTGTGCCCTCTAAACTGGGAAATATTACCAACTGTGTGCAACTGGTTATTTCACTTGAGTTTTGATATTGAACCAAAAGGTTTGCGTTTTCATTCCTCTTCATTCTTATTTTTTTTTACTTTTTCTCATCTTTTTAAAGAATTTTCTGGCAAAGTCCAGCCCTTCCAGTCAAGCCTAGATTTGGCTGGGGAGTTGCTCACAGACAGAAAAAGAGACCACACAGAGGCACCGATACAGGATTAACATTTGGCTCTCCTCTTCTCTTACGTCTTTTTTTTTTCTTTTCTGTTTAAGCTCATAGATGATTTCAGCTCTCACTAGAATCTTCACTGAAAGTCAGTACAGTTACACATATGGTGAAGCTCAAAGCAGCCAGTTTTGCCATTTGTTCACACTCCTTAGAAAAAGACTAACATGACCTCCCTCATCTCACCGTATGGAGAGCTGCCTCACACGCATCACCCATGGCTCCCAATGCAGTACCGTGCACATTTTATCCCTGAGATGACACCTATGAGGTAGCATGTCATCTCTTTTTATCTAGGGCACAGATTCTAAAGGTTTCATGAAACTGAGACCAAGATACCATGGCTAATCCAGCTCCACTAGAGAGTACAACACTCACTTTCTCCTCTGAGGCCAATTTTCCTCATAAAACCAAATGAAGCCTCATAAAATAATTTCCTCCGGTGACAAAAAAGTAGCATCACCATAACACACACATAAATCTGGTGCGCCCACCTTTTTAAATCACTTCCTGTGATATAAAAGGCAGTACTTTTTTTTAAACCACCTCCTGTCTCTCCAATATGTTTACAGTCTGAGTCATGTCACCCAGTGGTATACACAGTAATAAAACATGTAAGAAGAAAAAAATGGAAGATGAAAGCTTCTTCATCTCTGGGGTGTTTCTCTCTGAAAATCTTGCTTTCCCTGTCTGGGAAGTCACTCCTCCACTGAGCCACCTCATGTTTACAACCCGGTGATGAGAACATAAATTCTAGACTCCTAAGTCATTTCACATTTCAACTCTTTGAAATGCTTTCCTGTTTGCCAGAAACTGATTTTGATCTCTCTTCTTCTAATTATTCCAGTCTGAAGTCAGAGAGAAATAAAAATGACCCCAGGAATCCTGTCATTCATAGAGAGAGATAGACACTCTTGTTTATTTGTTAATTTTCATATTTTTTCCTGTCCCGTATTTTCTCCCCAGTGTTTAGATCTGCCTTGAAAGGGCTTCATATTTTACTAAGCAAAATTATTTTCTATTTTACTGCAGTTCCATTTTTTTTAACACTTTAAAAGATGGGTTTTTGCTAAAGTAGGCTAAAAGAACTTATTCCTGTTGAGTTCGGTGTTCCTTAAAAAATAAATGCAAACCACAGGGTCATGAAATCAATATAATCGAAAGGGGAAAAGACCTAGGTAGCTAGGTCCATTCCAATCCCTTCCTGCTCCATGACACTACATGTGTCTGTGTTGGTTAGCAAGCCATAACCTGTCAAAGAGGAAGGAATCCCAGCACACACGGACCTGACTTCTCTCTGTGTCCCATACCTGCCCCTTTCCCACGTGCTGTAGGCTTTCCTTGCCTCTAAGCGCTGCTCTGTGCCAAGCTCCTGCTCAGTGCTTTGACTCTGTAGCTCCTAAGGGAGAGCTGGGCAGCATCCCTCCCATCCCCCAGAGTGGGGACTCCTTGACTTCTCTTCCTGCACCCAGCACATCTAACCATGGCTCTCACAGAGACATGTCCTACTATTCAGAAGACTCTGCCATGTCAATAGCATTAATATCTTCCTGAATTTAAAAGGAATGAAGGGAGTGTTTTCCACTGGGGGAAAAAGCATCAATTTTGGAGTTAGACAGACCTCGATTAGAATCCTGGCTCTGACATGTAGTAACTGAGATTCTGTGTGAGTTATAAGCTTCCCTAAACCTCAGTTTCCTCATCTTGGAAATGGGAATAACATCTATTCCTCTGTGCTTTAGAGGATTACAAGAAACAATGTATGTCTCATCTGTACTTCTGGAGATCACATTGTCTGGTACATTATCAGGTGTTCAATAACAAATATTCATTCCCTACCCCTTTCCAGAACTTCCGTCCTTTTCCCCATCAGCTACAGGATAAACCGACTTCTAATTTACATGCTTTGCACTGTCATTGACTAAAACATATCTCCAATCTAACTTTAGAATCTGTTTAAGGAGTGGCATCAGTAATCCCAGCCCACCCTCTCAAGTTGGCTGTAACAAAAGACAGCATCATTTTGCTGGCCAAAGAGAACATCTTTGATGTTGGTTTAATCCGGTGGGCATTTATTGAACCTGCAATCATACTGGGCATTGTGCTAGGTGCTTAAGGACACAGAAGTGCATGGAAGACATAGTAATGAGTATTCTGCTATAACATCAAGCCGTATCCTCTCCTTTCCTCACTGAGCGAATCTCATCCATTGTCCTCATACGTCTTTAGAGAAATGTAAAATTTTCAGAAAATTTGCAGCCATAAAACAAAGAAACGTCCTGCACTAGGCTGTTGCTTGGCAAGTGATAGGAATAGGTGAGGAAATATTGTAATGGAAGCAACTTCCTTTTTTAAATTCCCATTGAAAGCTGAAGTCTCTCGACATGTTTTGGACAATAAAGTATATTGGTCGGGCACAGTGGCTCACACCTGTAATCTCAGCACTTTGGAAGGCCGAGGAGGTCAGATCACCTGAGGTCGGGAGTTCGAGACCAGCCTGACCAACATGGAGAAACCTCGTCTTTACTAAAAATACAAAATTAGCAGGGCATGGTGGCACATGCCTGTAATCCCAGCTACTCAGGAAGGCTGAGGCAGGAGAATCGCTTGAACCCGGGAGATGGAGTTTGTGGTGAGCCGAGATAGCGCCATTGCACTCCAGCCTGGGCAACAAGAGTGAAACTCCATTTCAAAAAAAAAAAGAGAGAGAGAAAGAAAGAAAAGAAAATACATTATATGAGGCAGGACAAAAGTTATTACCATGAAAGTTTCCACCATCTTTCCTCACTTCTCCTGCAGAACCAAAAGGGAGAGAAAGAGGAGTAGTTTGTTTGTAAAATGATTCTGTTGTGTACATTAACTTCTTAGGGAAATGTGTTGAAACTTAATATATCTTTGCATGAAACTGTACACTAGTGAGCTTTAAAAATCTAACCTATACATGCTGAGGTTTGCCAGTTTATGATAAGCTGACAGAAGTATAAGAACATAGGAAACCACTGATGTGGAGGTTAAGAGGACCATTGTCTTTTCTGTGGTGGTTTCATCCATGGGATTGAGCCGATAAGGAAAGCACCTAATTTCTCATTTATTTGTGGCTGTTCTATACAAACCAACTTCTTTTCCATCCTACTGAACAAACCAAGAAGAAAGAACAGTGAGATAGTGAATACTGCCTGTCCTATGCTCAGAGGATCCCAGAAAGTTTGGCTAGATCAGACCCTGAGGCACAATATCTGCTACCCTTCAATGTAACCTCTCAACACCAACTCCTTTGTGTTATCAAAAAATTGCTTTGTATTATCAAAAGAATGTAGTAACAGTGTCTTCTCATTATCACAGGCTGTCTCTGCTTTATACCAGCCTTTCAAAAACTTCTGCCTTAGGTTTAAACTCAATAAGACTTGGGGGAGCACAAATAATTTGCCAAAATTCTTCTAGTGACTCAGTCGGGCCATTTACTTTGTTTTCTTCTGTTCTTTAACGAAAGTCCACTGAGATTTTCATTGAACTTGGGATAGTTGGAGAGGAATTTTGACCAAAATGAACTGGCTGATTTGGATGCCATGGCGACCAAGGAGGTTGGCATCCCAAGGAAGTGCCAAGGTTGAATGTGGAGGTCATCCTAACCGCTGAGGTGTTTCATGTTTCACCTCGGGCATCTTACAATTCTTCACTGCAACTCTTTCTTATAGAATTTCCTTGCCTTTTACTCAAATAAGCGCATCAAGGTTCATCCTTCCCTGCTCCTTTTTGAAAATAGACTAAAGAAAGAGGGCTTGCTTTTTCAGCCCCTACAGACTTACGGCAGTCACCCAATCCTCTGTCGTCACTATGGCTTAAGTCTGGGCTATGGGAAACTCAGGGCACTGCACTGCTTATACTGACAGTCAGCAAAACACACAGCTTCCTTCTGTCTGTATTTTCTATATTTTACTATCGATATACTCCACGGGTTCGATGAGATTGCCATTCTTCTTGCTTTTTAAGTGTTGTCTTCTCCCTCACACAGACACGATCATCTCTTCACATGTGCATAGTTGTCACATGCATGACAGTGATGTGACACAGCAAAGGACACAGCGCAGGAGAGACCAAGAGCTGCTCAGAGCAGGGACCGCAGCAGCTTCCCCGCCGGTAAAGGAAGCTGCCCTGGTTTTCAAGCCCTTAAGAAGCTATGCCCTTGCCAGAATCATCATCACCCCCACATCAGGGTAAGGACTGGTTAGGCTGTGTGAGAGGTTCACCTTCCTCATTCTCGACAGAGGGACTGTACTCTCCTGGCCCTTGGCTGTATTTACTTTGTGTTATTAGATGTTTATGGCATCTGGCAACTGGCAGCAGAATTGACTACTCTAAAGGGGAAGGCTTGCTGGAGGGAGGACTGATGCTTTAAGTGGCCAATTCATTAATGAATATTTTTATCTTATGGCGGTTCCCTTGACAACCTCATATCTGCAGAGACACCAGTAAAAAATAACTGGGTAATAGGCTGGGCACAGTGGCTCACGCCTGTAATCTTATCATTTTGGGAAACCGAGGTAGGAGGACCACTTGAGCCCACGAGTTTGAGACCAGCCTGAGCAACAAAGTAAGACTCCCGTCTCTACAAAACAAAAAAAATTAATTGGCCCAGCATGGTGGCTGGCTTATCCCTGTTGCCCCAGCTACTCAGGAGGCTAAGGCGGGAGGATCACTAGAGCCCAGGAGTTCACTGATGCAAGTGAGCTATGATACTTCCACTGCACTCCAGCCTGGGTGACAGAGCGAGACATTGTCTCAAAAACAAAAACAAAGACAAACTGGATAATTCAGGACTCCCCACAATCTAGAAAAGTGTTGATTGATTGACATTAGTAGGCCATAAATGTGCCAATGCTCTTTGGCCTCTAGCAGCAACTGTACCGCAGTACCACACAGTATCACTGTATCACAGTACCACACAGTACCACTGTACCACAGTACCACACACTACCGCTGTACCATAGTACCACACAGTACCACTGTACCACAGTACCACACAGTACCACTGTACCATAGTACCACACAGTACCACTGTACCACAGTACCACACAGTACCACTGTACCATAGTACCACACAGTACCACTGTACCACAGTACCACACAGTACCGCTGTACCATAGTACCACACAGTACCACTGTACCACAGTACCATGTGGTAGTCCCTTGAGAGAGAAATATGTCTAGTACCTCACTGGAAAATTCTAATAGTGCTGTTTACCATTATGTTGGCATGTAATGAATGGAAATAAGGTGTTTCAAAATGAATTTTCCTATTGAACAATTTTAAAAATTCTTTTGGGGAATTCAAAGCCAGGTAAACCACTTGTCTTAAATATGTTTTTCATCATTCAAAATTATTTCATAATTCTATTTTTTTCCTAATTTTCGTTGTGAAAGGCAGGAAGGAGGAGAGTCTTAGGTAGGAGAAAAGCAATGTTTTTCCCATTTGTTTTTCCTGAACCTTCGTGTCTCTCATCCAGCTAAGTAGCCCCACTACTTTCGCTCTCTTCTCTGTCTTTTTCCTCCTATTCCATCTCCTCTACCCATTGGGACCCAAGGTGTTAAGATGTGTCTACAGCCTCAACACTCTGGCCTTGTCTCTACTTCTCCCAAGCAGCCAAAGACCACCTGTGCTTTCTACAGGCTTTTGTTTTCTACTGCTGCTTAACAGACGCATCATCACACTGAAATCATAGAAGCCTCAGTAACACCTTGAGAAACAGCTTCCATATTAGTCCATCTTTGCGCAAGTCTGGTCAATTTATATGTTGCCCATCTATTTTGTACATTTGAAAAAGCACTTTTCACAAATGGGAAACTATGTCTTGTCAAAAAGACACAAACCTGAAGAAGTCCTGGAAGTTCAAATTTAATTTCTGCTAGAAACAGACACCTCCTGGTGCTCAGCAAATTTAAAGTTGGACAAATCAGTCCTCTCATCCTAACTTTTGACACTGGGGCCACTTGAAACCAAGAATTCTCTGAATCACAGCGCAGCTGTCGGAGCAGCTGGACTTTTTTGTTACTAGACCAGATTTAAATCTATGCCAGAGCTCTGTGGTTCCTTAGCAGAGGGCATTTATACAAACTCACATGCCTGCATGCCTGTGCCCAGCACATCCATGTGCACACGTACACACATACATGAAGTAAAGGCTTGAAGTTTTCAAATGTATTAATTTATCCTATTTTAGCTTAAAAATGTGTTTTCTTTGTATGACTACTCCATAGATATTGACTGCTGATAAATGCATTCTTTCTATTCTGGTATAGATGTTAAACTAAACATTAACATGATTATTTCTGTATGTGTGTGTACGAGCATATGTTTATTTTTGCTCTAAATAGCACCTGCCTATGGCAAACATATTTTTCCCTCACTGGTAGAGTAAATTTGCCTTTACTGACTTTTGCTGAGCCACTGTAAAAAGAATGTTTCCCCTGAATAAAAGATTTTTCCATGTCCTTGCTCCTGACAATAAAATCACGAAGGCAGTTGCACACAACTAAGGCAGAAGCAGCCCAAGGTCCCCATGTGCCTGCACAGACACCTCCTGCTGGACACCTAGGATCTTCCCTCTGTTTCTCCCTTGGAAGCATCAACTGTCAATGAGCACCTGGCCTGGGTTCATCCAGGATGACGAGGCAAGGCTAAGGAATTGCATTGTGATCACTATTGTGCTCAGGGGCCAGGGCAACTAGGCACGTCTACACATTGCAGTATAAACAGAATAAGCAGCCTTGAGGCAGCAGTTGGCTTGGGCCAGCCCTGGCTGAGGAGGTATCACGTGGTGCGACTCCTTCTTTCCCAGGGGTGCACTGGCTCTCAGTTAAAGCAGTGGTTTATCCCTCCAGGGATGAGTCAAGCTCTCTTCTCCTTTTTCTCCCCCCATTGCCTGATCCTTTGCTTGACTCACAGAGTTTGTTATTGCCTTCCCAGCAACATGAAAAGGCCGGCAGGAAACCTTCAGCTGACCAGACTTGCTGCTTGTACCTCCCCACCTCACTTAGCTCACTCTTGCAGTTCTTTCCTTCCATGGTATTTGTGCATCATTTTCCCTACGGGTATTACTTTGCAATCATTCCAGTTTTGCTTAGTAGATGATATCTATCTTACATGAAAATAATGATCCCAGGTAGGAAAGCATTTGACGTTTATTATCTGAATTGCCCACTGAATGTTATCGAAGTGCCCACCCCAAGGAAGTTAAAACAACACCTATTGTAGATTCCTATAATGCATTTTCCAGAGTGTGGTTGCATAATTTATCCAGGTTCATACAAACAGAAGGTGGGAAAACCAAATTGCAAACCTGAGTCTGATCTCAATCCAGCCTCCTTTTCACCACAGAAGGCTGTACTTTTTTCTTTTTTTTTAATTGAGGTAAAATTCATGTAACTTAACATTAACCATTATAAAGTGTAAAATTCAGTGTCATTTAGTACATTCACAATGTTCTGCTACCACCACACTTACCAAATTTCAAAATATTTTTATCACCCCAAAAGAAACTTCCATACACATCAGCAGTCATTTCCCTTTCGTCTCTTTCCCCACCCCTGGCAATCACAAGTCTTATTTCTGTCTCTTTGGATTTGCTTTTAGCAGATATTTCATATAAATGAAATCATACAACATGTGATCTTTTCTGTGTGGCTTATTTCACTCAGCATAATTTTTTTGTTTGTTTGTTTTTTGTTTGTTTGTTTTGAGACCCAGTTTCACTCTTGTTGCCCAGGCTGGAGTGCAGTGGTGTCATCTCAGCTCACGGCAACCTCTGCCTCCTGGGTTCAAGCGATTCTCCTGCCTCAGCCTCCCAAGTAGCTGGGATTACAGGCATGCACCAACACACCCAGCTAATTTTGTATTTTTAGGAGAGACGGAGTTTCTCCATGTTGGTCAGGCTGGTCTTGAACTCCCGACCTCAGGTGATCCGCCCACCTCGGCCTCCCAAAGTACTGGGATTACAGGCGTGAGCCCCCGTGCCTGGCCGGCATATGTTTGAGGCTCACTCATGTTATAGTCTGAATCAGTACTTCGTTCCCTTTTGGACTGAATAATAGTCAGTTGCATGCATTTACCACACTTTGTTAATCCATTCTTCCATTGATGGACATTTGGGTGGTTTCCACCTTTTGGCTATTGTGAATAGTGCTGCTATGAACCAGTGTGCATCTATTTATTTGAGTCTCTGTTTTCAATTCTTTGGGATATGCACCAAGGTGTGGAAGTGCTGGGTCCTACTGTAATTCTATGTTTAACTTTTTGAGGAACTGCCAGACTGTTTTCCATAGCAGCTGCACCATTTTACATTCCTAGCAGCAATGCACAGAGCTCCAGTTTCTCCACATCCTTGCCAATGCTTGTTATTCTCCTTTTTTTTTATTATAACCGTTTCAGTGGGTTTGACATGGTATCTCATTGTGATTTTGATTTGCATTTCCCTAATGACTAATCACGTTGACCATGTTTTCATGTGCTTAGTGGCCATTTGCACATCTTTTTTGGAGAAATGTCTATTCAAGTCCTTTGCCCCTTTTTAAATTGAGTTATTTGTCTTTTTTGGTTGAGTTATAAGAGGTTTTTTAAAAAATATATTCTGGATGCTACACTCTTACCAAATATAGGATTTATAAATATTTCCTCCACTGTATAGGTTGTCTTTTCACTTTCTCAATAATTTGGGTTGATGCACAAAAGTTTTTAATTTTGAAGAAGTTCAATTTATCAATTTTTTCTCTTGTTGCTTGCACTTTTGGTGTCATTTTCCTTCTTTTTTTAACCCAAAGTACCTAAAGTAGCACCATACACCTCGTAGGAGTCAACACAAATGTTTATCAAATAATTTGCTGTAATTATTTGACTGAAGAGAATGAGGTCTAATTTCCTATCCAACTGAAACATTCTGGGACTCTAAGACTGTTTTTAGTTGATGATTAAATCATTTTACCCAAACCAATAATGGTTTCTCATTAGACTTTTAGAAAAAATTCATAGTTTTGCTATACATGTATCTTTGTTTTGAAGAAAGAAATCATTAAATTGCTAGTCGTCCCACTTGGGAATCTTCAATGTCTTTTTTTTTGTTGTTCTTGGCTACTCAACAATTCTGACTTCCCTTAAAAAATATAAACCTTTAGGTATATTTTTCCCAAGCATAAATTATGAGAGGGAGGGAGTAACCTGAACATTTAATTGTGTTATAATTGCTCTTGGATTGCCACACCACCTCTGGTTTATTATGTCAAAGGAAATGATACCATGTCAATCTTTCTGTGTTGATTTATGGTTACACTTTGCAGGAGAGTAATTTATCTGGTTAATAAATCCAAGATAAATTTTCCAAATACATGAGAGAGGAGACAGCCAACATTTGCTTTGTCCCTCATTATTCTTCATCCTAAATGAATGGCATAGATGAATATTACTGCCAAGAACAAGCAATCCCCTCCATTGCAATTACTCCCTACCTTCTTCATCTCCTAGTCAAGGCTTTACAAGGCTTTCTACCATAATTCTTATTCAGGTCACAGAGAAACATGGCTCAGACTCAGTGGCTACTAATCTAATGATCCGTTTAGAATGCTCACATTCATATCTACTAGTTATTTTAAAAGTAATTTCTGGTTAAGCACAGTGGCTTGTACCTATAATCCTAGTGCTTTGAGGGGCTGAAAGAGAAGGATTACTTCAGGCCAGAAGTTCCAGATCAGCCTGGGCAACATAGCAAGAACCTCATCTCTACAATAAATTTTTAAAAATTATCCAGGTGTGTTAGCACATGCCTATAGACCCAGCTACTGAGGAGGCTGAGGCAGGATGATCACTTCAGCCTAGGATTTTGAGGTTACAGTGAGCTGTGATCATGCCACTGCACTCCAGGCTGGGCCACAGAGAAAGGCTCCACCTCTGAAAGGAAGAAGAAGAAGAGGAGGAAGAGGAGGAGGAGTAAGAAGAAGAACAAGAAGAGGAGGAGGAGGAGGAATAAGAAGAAGAAGAAGAGGAGGAGGAGGAGGGAGAGGGAGAGAAGGAGGAGGAGGAACTGAAAAAATAATAAAAAGCAATTTCTCATTTATTTGTGCAACCTAATTCAAGTAATATACTGATCCATCTTCCAGGGAAAATGCGCATCACATAACTATGATTCTTTCTAAAAGAAAAAACTAACGGCTCAGTTGGATCTGGGGAAAATATGAGAACTAGACTTATAATAAAAGCATTGCATTTGAGATGTGCATTTTCTCTGGAAGCCGGGTATAGAAAAGTACATAGAAATCATATAGGAAAATATTTCACAAAATTATAATTATTAGTTTCTCAGGAAATAGAGGCCCTCATAGAATGCTGAATGTATTTCTTAGACCTGGACCAATCACATTTTAATAATGGTGGATGGATTTTTAATTTGAAATGCATATATAAAGCTGGGCATGGTGGCACACCCCTGTAGTTCCAGCTACTTTAGAGGCTGAGGCAGGAGGATAGCTTGATCCCAGAAATTCAAGACCAGACTAGGCAACATAGCAAGACCCTATCTCAAAAAATAAATAAAGCACACAAACACACATAACCTTTAAACAATCAAGAAAAAAAAACCTTTCTGATTACATTTTCTCTTTGTGAAATGAGAATAATGATAATATCTATGCACAGGACAGTTGATGGGATTAAGCAAGTGTGAGTAACACCTTAAAAATAACAAGTACTTCATATATTTTGACCACTTTTTAAAATCTCTTATCTTAGTAACATCAGAAGATAGAAAAAAATGGAGATAAAAGGTGACTGTTTTTAATTGCAGCTCTTCTTTCTGTCCTTTCTTCTGCACACATGACTTTTCTACTGTTCTCTCTCTGTACTAGTGGATATGTGTGTGATATTCTTTGGCTGTGTCCCCACCCAAATCTCATCTTGAATTCCCATGTGTTGTGGGAGGGACCCAGGGGGAGGTAATTGAATCATGGGGGCAAGTCTTTCCCATGCTGTTCTCATGATAGTGAGTAAGTCTCATGAGATCTAATGGTTTTAAAAACAGGAGTTCCCCTGAACAAGCTTCTCTCTTCTCTTGTCTGCCACCATGTGAGACGTGCCTTTCACCTTCCACCACGATTGTGAGGCCTCCTCAGCCACGTGGAACTGTAAGTCCAATAAACCTTTCTTTTGTAAATTGCCTAGTCTCAAGTATGTCTTTATCAGCAGTGTGAAAATGGATTAATACAGTGTGTGTGTATGTGTGTGTACCAGCTCATGTGTACATGTATGCCCAAGCCAGTAAAAGTAAATAATGTGATTCTAATGATTATACCTGATCACAGTGGCCAGATACCAGAATTCACAAGCAATTCAATGTGCATCAATGAGGAAAACAATTTTCTTAAAAGCAATCACATGTGCCACATTTCATAATACTCTGCCATTGTCTGTAGTCCAGTACTTACCACATTGTGCTAACATTTTTATTGTGCTTGTCTCTATCCCCATCCTTACCCAGCTCCCACTGAACTAAGGCAGTCATCTCGTCTTATTCTTCCTGGTGTCTCAAACCCATACAACCACATAAATGTTGACTGGATGAGCAAATGGAGTTAGCAAGTATGAAAGAACTGCTCGAAATATGGTGCTGTTTCTAAAGTGATAAAACAACTGCCATCCATATTCATACTCATATTCATATCCATTGAGGGGAAGGTGTTTCCCTAGCTTCCCACACAATCAGATTCCCAAGTTAATCAGAAATGACACGGCACTGGAGTGTTGTAAAAATTATATATTTTTAGTAGAACAATAGAGTCAAATTGGGTCTTAGAAATCATCTAATCTAGCCACCTCACTCTTAAAAAGGGAGACTAGACCCAGAAAGATTAAGGTTAAGCTGGAATTCATTGAAATTTAAAATGTCTGCTCTGCAAAAGATACTGTGAAGAGAATGAGAAGACAAACTGCAGACTGGAAGAATTTTGCAAAACACATATCTGATAAAGTACTGTTATCCAAATATACTTCAGTGCTAAAAAGAAATAAGCTACCAAGCTATGAAAAGACATGGAGGAGCCTTAAATACATATCACTAAGTGGGAGAGGCCAGTCTGAAAAAGCAATGTACTGCGTGCTTTCAACTATAGAACACCCTGGGAAAGGCAAAACTATAGAAATAATTTTAAAAAATCAGTGATTGGAGGCAGAGCACAGAGGACTTTTAGGGCAGTGAAACTACTCTATATGATATAATGCTAGGTAAATGTCATCTTACATTTGCAAAAACCCACAGAATGCACAATACCAAGAGTGAACCCTAAACTATGGACTTCAGGTCCTAATGATATACAATGTAGGTTTATCAATTATGACAAAGGTACCACTTTGAGGCAAGATGTTGATAATGGGGGAGCAATATACATGTGGGAGCAGGAGATATATGGGAACTCTGTACTTTCTGCTTAATTTTACTGTTAACCTAAAACTGCTCTAAAAAATAAAGTCTATTTAAAAAGAGCAATGACGACAATAGCAACAAAATATCTGAGACAGCAATATGCATCTGACTCACTTTTAATTAGAAGAAAGATTGCCTTTTGGGCTGGGTGTGGTGGCTCACACCTGTAATCCCAGCACTTTGAGAGCCCAAGGCAGGTGGATCACCTGAGGTCAGGAGTTTAAGACCATCCTGGCCAACATGGTGAAACCCCGTCTCTACTAAAAATACAAAAATTAGCCGGGAATGATAGCGGGTGCCTGTAATCCCAGCTACTCAGGAGGCTGAGGCGGGAAAATGCTTGAACCTAGGAGGCGGAGCTTGCAGTGAGCACAGATGACGCCATTGAGCTCCAGCCTGGGAAACAGAGCAAGACTCCATCTCAAAAAAAAAAAAAAAAAAAAAATTGCCTTTTGGAGGTAGGAATGCCAGATTTAGCAAATACAGTCATGAGTCACTTAACATCAGAGATAAGTTCTGAGATATTAGGCAATTTTGTCATTGTGCAAACATCAGAGTATACTTACACAAACCTAGATAGTATAGCCTACTACACACAGGCCATATGGTAGAGCCTGTTACTCCAAGGCTATAAACCTGTACAGCATGTTACATACTGAATACTATAGACAATTGGAACACAAAGGTAAGTATTTGTGTATCTAAATATAACTAAACATAGAAAAGGTACAGTAAAAATATGGTATTATAAGCTTATGGGACCACTGTTGTATATGCAGTCCATCATTGACCAAAACATCCTTATACAGCACATGACTAAAAATATCAGATGCCTGGTTAAACTTGAATCTTGGGTGAAGAATGAATAATTTTTAGTCCCAAATATTATGAGACATACTTACACTAAAACAATTATTTATTTTTAATTTGAAATTCAAATTTAACTTGGCATCCTGTACTTTATCTGGCAACAATATTTGTAGGGAAATTGGCATTTCACAATTGGGCTGTGGCCCCATCTTAATTCCTGAGCCTGAAGACATGTTTCTCTACTGGGAAAGTTTCATTTAACAGTCTCTGAAAGGAAAACTCTTGAGCAATTAGAGAAGAATAGGATGCCTGCCTTGTCAACAAGATTGGCTCTCTCATCCCCCGCAGCAAGTGGGGTCATGGCCACATCCTCCTATCCATCCTTCGTTCCATTTATGAAAGCTAGCTATGTAAAACATATTGCTTTACTCTACAGATGAGTTCCTGAATGGAGTATAAGTGAAATCACATCTTTACTAGAATAGGAGAACATCTTTACTTAAAACAACCATGGAAATAAACACCACACACACATACAAAATCCCATCCTCTCTTACCACAAAAGACCACTCTCTAATTCAAACTATATTGCATTTCCATCACAGTTTTCCTGAAACTGGGAGATACACACAGATATATATAAAATCTTGATCATAGCCTGGCATAAAAGACCACAAGTATTTTTAACTGTTTTCAATGAAAAAAAAAAAATCTGCATTCCCTCCTCACAGCTCACTTCCATTAAGCATTCCAGTACCACCTGCTTCTGTTTAAGCAAAGAGTTGCCCAACGTTTTTTCCCCAAATTGCGTTCAATTTAATTATGGCTTTTGTTTTAACCCACACCACTTGGTGATTAAGGCAATAGCCAAAACCAAAAAGAACCCCAGAAACTGAAATAAAAGTTTGTTTCAAACACTTTGAGAAGTTATCTTCATTTCCATATATTCCTTGTCCCTGCAATACAGCCAACAGTGACATTAAAAACTCTCCAGGGAAAATATCCCTGTTATAACCATTTAGAGATAAGTTACTACCATGCGTTCTCTTGGGAAACCTGAAAGGATTCTCTAAGGTTTCTAGATACTTTAAGTCAGGGTCTGGCTCTTCTTGGTTATTTATGAATTACATCAGAACCACATAAAATTTCATGGCAAAGACACAGTGGAAATGCCTTTATGCATGCAGCTGGTTAATGTGCATGGATTATTCATGAAGCACCACCAACCCAAGCTAGTCTAAAGGAAACAACAGGACAAAGGGCTCAGCAACCAGCCTGACTCACTGGAAATCTGATCGGATGAAGTTAGTGTAGTCATCAGAACTGAGGCCACCATCAGATCTGATTTCCGATGAGTTTCAGCTGAATCTAAGCAGCAAATGGGAAGCAGCTGTCATTGCTGATGCTACAGGGATGGGAACCTGGGCCTCTCTGTTCAGAGATCCAGCCCTCCAAGATCTACAAGTCTTAGGGATTAAAGGACACTCAGTAATATACCCTGAAAAATTCATGGGTATGAGCTCAGCTGCATGACTCTTAATGAACAGCCAGCTCATTTTTTGAAGGGGCAAAGACTGGGAACAAGGCCATGTAAGCATGTGTAAAGAAGCATCCCAACAGAACCTAAAAGACATAAGAGCTTTCTCCAGGGAATGGTGCAAAGCTAAGCATCAAGGACAGAATGTGGCCTCTGGGTTTCTGCCTTATTTAAAATCCAAGCTAGTTTTTTGTGTTCTCTTTTTGTAGAAGGAGATTGAAATATGCTGAGAGCATAATGAACTTTATCAGAGGAAGGCACAGATGCAGTACACAAATGTTCCTTGACTTATGATGGGGTTACATCCCGATAAACCCAGCATAAATTGAAAACGTCATGAACTGAAAATGCTTTTAATACACCTAACCTACCGATCATCAGAGCTAGCCTACCTTAAATGCATTCAGAACACTTACATTAGCCTATAGTTGGGCAAAATCTTCTAGCACAAAGCCTACTTTAAAACAAAGTGTTCAGCCTCTCATGTAATTTATTGAACACCATACTGAAAGTGAAAAACTTCCAGTATTGGTATCTGAAGTAGGGTTTCTACTGGATGTATATTGTTTTCACACCACTGTAAAGTCAAAAAATTGTAAGCAGAACCATCGTAAGTCGGGGAACATCTGTACTCCTGCGGCCATAAAGAAGAATGAGGAGGTTCAGATCGGGCTCCAAAACTTCAGAAAGGTTCAGATCGGTGCTTAAAAGCCAACCTTCAAGCCAGTGTCCAATATGGATGAAGCCACTGAATGCTAACACATATGGTAATGGTTCCGCGTTCTCATAGCTAGAAGCTAGAGGTAAAGAATTATCTTGGAAGAAAGGAAATAGAATAAGATACAGAGCTAAAGAAGATAAGAACAAGAAAGAGATAAGAGGATAATCCCCAATGGAGAGTGGTGAGTGATGCAAAATCACCCACGTGTTTCTCATGGGAATGTGTCATTGGCACGTGGAGCACCATCTGTGTTGGGCATAAGGATGCCCCAACCAGGCCCCCTTTACAGAATGAATCTCAGCCATTGGGAGTGCTACTGGCATAAATCTTCACTGTCAGCCCCTTCCTAGGACTGCCTCAGCTGCAGATAGCCACTTTGTCTGAGGTTATGCCCCTTCCTGGGGCAGCCCATATCTGATTGCTGTTCTATCTTAGCCCAAGTCGGGCCAACTCTGAAGAGCCATCCTAGCTCCAGAGCTGCCATGAAGTCAACTAAGACAGCCATCGGCCTGTATTCTGCCTACTACTGATTCCTCTTCCTTTCTATGACATTTCCCTTCCAAGGGACACTCCTAGATAAACTTCCCACACACCAAACTCCATCACAAAAATCCACATCCTAGGAAACTCAACCTGCAACACCATCTTCATCTGAGATTTCCTTGACAACTTTCTAGGGCAAACTTGCTAAATCTCCAGCTGCATCAATGGGTGATGCTTGGACAATGCATTTCTCATGCCCCAAAATCACTCACAGGAAGCTTGGATCATCAGCTTATTGGAGCATTTGACTTGAGAACATGTGTTTCTTGGATAAGAGAGTCATTGTCATTGGAGAAACTGTTACCAAAAAAAGAGGAGCAGCATAGAGGGCCAGCTGAAATCAGTTTGGCAAGGGGGAACATTGTTTGGTTTTTGGTTTTGTTTGTTTGTGTGTTTTCAGCTGTGTGAATCATTCTGGCCATAGAGACCTGACTTAATAATAGTGATCCACCATAGATCCCTTTAATTAAAAGCCAGGAAGAAAGGAATACTAATATACTATTCCAATTTTGTTTGACATGCATCACTGTCTCCACTTGAAGAGCGTAGGGAGAGAGGGACCTGTGAATACAGACAAGGGCAGAACCTTCTCTTCCTTTAAACCCCTTGTACTCTCTTAGAAGTGTAAACCTGAGCATTAACTTCAGGCTCAGCCCTGAGTCCCAAGAAGCTTGGCCCCTCTCCCACTTTGATCTCTCTTAGCAAACTCCCCACAAGGCTTCCTTAAACACCTAGCAATATACACTTCCATGGAAAAGGCAAAGCTCCATCTCTGAGCCTGAACCTGCTCTCAGCTATTGGCCAGAGCATAGGCATAGGAGCCTGTTTTCAAACCAACAGGGATTCCAGAAGACCATTGCCAGATAGGCTGAGCACCCCTGCATTAGAACAAAACTAGAATCTGAGGTGCTCCCTGTGTTCAGACACTGAGATTGTCATTGGAAAATGGAGAAGCTAGAAGGGACAAAAATTTGGCACTTGTTCTTTGAATACTCAGACATCTCTGGGCTCCATCCAGTCACCACCTGTCACTTCCACGAAGCAGCCCTCAGGACATGCTGTACTCTCTGTATTTTGTTTTAGGGATCATGTTGCTTAGTCAACTTTTCAACAAAGGTGGTCTTCTTGGCCAATGGTCCCAGAAGGACCAATGTCAACCTAAGATGACACAACTGAACAGTTGCGCACACGTCATGGCCCTCCCTGCCAACTGAGAGGGGTGCAGGGAGACCATGAAAGAAGGTTGTGGAGACCAGAAGGCATAGCAGGAAATGCGGGATCAAATTACTTTTCCGCTCCAGCTGGAGGGAACAACTGCCTCTCTTGAACATTCAAGGGCAGTGGAGCCAGAGTAACAAAGCAGACTAACAGGAAGGACGCTGAGAAATGAGTCTGATTATGGCACTGACATTTGGATGTCAGAGACCAATTCGGGGCTCTCTCTGGAATGAGGTCCTTCTGAATGTTAAAAGCCCTACTTTAGGATTTGTAAGGATTACTGAGAATACTTGTTTAAAAAGCTGATCATGGTCCCTACTTCTAGAGTTTCTGATTCAATGAGTAAGGAGTGAAAGCCAGGAGTCTATTGATTTTATTTATTTTTAAAGTGAGCCATAGGTGATTCAGATACATAGATCACAGTTTGAGAAACAGAGTTTGCATCTATAGGGAGGATTTTCCTCTCCCATTTGCTGTATACTTCCTTCCCAGCATGCCAGTCTGGTTTATTTGCATAACAGGCAAGCATAAGTGCCTTAAAAGCTTGGTAGGATTTGAACAAACACAATTGTTCTAAAGGAGAGTTGGATAGGAAGTAATAATAATTAAGCTCTGACTACATGCTAGGAACTGTGCTGGCAGCTGAACTTAATATGTTTATGTAATTCTTACGAGTTCCCTGAGTAAAGAAGCATCTTAGTTTTACAAATGGAGAAACTGAGGCTCAAGGATCATGGAGCTAAAGTGACAGAGCAAGAATTTAAACCCAGGTAAATCTGCCTCTGAAAGCAAACCTTCCTAAGCCAAAGAATCGTCCAAGACATTTGAAGTCCAGATTCTCCATTCACTTCTCTGGAGATTCCTACTCAGTATCTTTGCAGCAGAGCCCTGGAATCTGTAACTCTGATTTACCCTCAGGTGATTCTTACCCTATGAGTTAGGAAAAGGCTCGACTATCCCTACTGCCCCTCATAGAATGCACATATATTGGGGTTCCTTTCAGTAGAATTAGGTGGCTCGAAAAGATACACGTTTACAGCTGGGTGAAGTGGCTCACGCCTGTAATCCTAGCACTTTGGGAGGGTGAGGCGGCCAGATCACTTGAGGCCCGGAGTTCGAGACCAGCTTGGCCAACATGCTGAAGCTCCGTCTCTACTAAAAATACAAACAATTACTCAGGCGTGGTTGCAGGCGCCTGTAATCTCAGCTACTCGGGAGGTTGAGGCATGAGAATCGCTTGAGCCCACGAGGCAGAGGTTGCGGTGAGCCAATGTCGCGCCACTGCACTCCAGTCTGAGTGACAGAGAAAGACTCCATCTCAAAACAAACAAAAGATACAAGTTTTCATCCTTTGCTTTTAGGGCAAAAGCGTTGGTTTTGAAAAGATCTGACAATTTCCTCCAAAACTTGCCTTGAGAAATAGATGTGTTGCTCTTCAGATGGCTTCCTTCCCTACATTATTTCTTTCCGTAGAGGAAAAATCATTGGATTGGGATGAAGGAATTTCTAAAGCTCTGTAATAACATTTAAGTGTGGGCAACATTTTTTGCATGACTCCCAGTAATAAAAAACAGCAAGTGGGTTGAAAAAGTGGCCACAGAATTAGCACAACTGCTGTGTTCCCTGTAGATTAATTGCTTGGTGGAAAGATCAAGTTTCTACACTCCAGCATCCCAATATTCTCTAGTCGTTCTCTAACTTCAGGCTGCATCAGAATTATGAAGAAGAGGTGGTGCTGCTGTTAAAAATACAGGTGCCCAGGCCCCACTCAGTACAGATTTCAATTTAGTGAGTTCATAGTGGGACTCAAAACTCTGCATTTTGGAAGAGCACCTGGGGTTATTCTTATGCAAATGCATACAAACTACAATTCAAAAAACTATGGTAATATGTCAAGACAGCTTTAAATTCTTCTTGGAAGTAAGGGAAGGATGCATGGTAGAATAGATGGATGCATAAGAGAATATCAATCAACACAGACAGATCATGAGATTGATTGGAAAAAGTATTATCATTACTAGTTTAGTAATCCTACCAATTAATAAAAATAATTTAACTGTTGATTCAGGAATAATGCTGAATATATAACAGATATGGCTGCCTACATCCTTAGGGGGAAAAGGGTGTGCTATACTATCAAGGTATGGGCAGGTCTCTCACTCATGGAACAGTACTCCAAGAAACTATCTTGAGGTAGTTATCTGAAGCAAATCCTATTTTACTATCGATGTCTATGATAAAATTGGGCTGTTCTCTAAGAAGAATAATAGTATCCCTGGAATACAATAAAATAGCAGTGGATGACACAATAAACATTTATAATTCAAAATTTCTGGCATTTGAATGAAACAGCAATAGTATTTCACAATTTAATAATAACCCTGCTTTGTGTTATTACATATTGAAGGTTAAAGTAGGGTCATTTTCTCAGTAAAATATGTAATAAAGTGAGCATCACAAATCAAATGGGGAATGAAGGGAGTATTTAATAAATGTCATAACAGTCGGTTAGCAATCTGGGGGAAAAGTCAATTTGGCTTGTTTTCTTATATGATTTACCAAAATAAATGCTAGATAGATAAAGCTTTTAAAACTAGGAAAAATGCAAATAAAAAGGATTTGAGATGCCTTAAAGTATTTATTCTAGTTATTCTACTAAAATATGAGCTTCTTGAAGGCAGGAATTTTTGTTGTTGTTCACTTGACAGACCCACAGTGCCAAGAATGGTACCCAGCATTTTGTTGGTGTTCAATAAATGTCTAATGAATGAACCAATAAGTCAATGGTTTAAGTGTCTTGTGAGAAGAAGGACTTTGTAATTGAAAAACAATAGAAAAAATGACAAAATGTTTTGAATTAACAGATTTGAAAGAGTTGAAACTTGTAAAAATCAAAATATTAAAAGCCAAAAACCAACACAGTGAAACATTTGCAGGATAAATATAATAGTGATTTTATAACTTGACTGTATAAAAAGCTCATACCAGATAAGGTATACATAAATCAACAAACTCTTGTCCTTTAAGATCTCATTTACTGATGATAGGAGTGTCATCAGTATGACATTTCTGGAAGATAATCTAATAATGTATATAAAATATAAATGTCATACCAATTACACACCTATCTGAACACAGTCCTCCCTTGGTATCCCAGGAAGATTGGTTCCAGGATCCCCTTGGATACTGAAATCCACAGATGCTCAGGTCACACATATAAAATGGCATAGTATTTGCATATAGCCTATGCACATCTCCCAATATACTTTAAATCATCTGCTGATTACTTATAACATCTAATAATACCAATGTAAATGCTATACAAATTGTTGTTATACTGTTTTTTACTTGTAATTTTTTTTCTTTTTTAGACGGAGTCTCACTCTGTTCCCAGGCTGGAGTGCAGTGGCGCGATCTCGGCTCACTGCAAGCTCCACCTCCCGGGTTCAAGCGATTCTCCTGCCTCGGCCTCCCAAGTAGCTGGGACTATAGGCACGCGCCACCATGCCCAGCTAGTTTTTGTATTTTTAGTAGAGACAGGGTTTCAATATGCTGGCCAGGATGGTCTTGATCTCTCGACCTCGTGATCCGCCCACCTCGGCCTCACAAAGTGCTGGGATTACAGGCTTGAGCCACAGCGCCTGGCCTGTTTTCTATTTTTACTTGTGTATGTGCATGTATTGTGTACCTGTGTGTGTGTGAACCAGTGTTTGTGTATGTGCGTGTGTGCATATTTACCTGAATAGTCTGGGAACTTTCGCCTATTTTATGTAGGTTTTCATTTTTTCAAATCCCAGCCAGAAGCTAAATACAATTGGTAACCATTAAGCACTAGTTTTACTCCAAAGGAGTGGAATCACCCATATTTACTCTAATAAAAGTATGCAGCCCTTAAGTAAAGTTTTTCTTCATTTAAAATAAAAAAACTATACAGTTAGACTTCCCTTGTATTCATTACACAAAATGAGTTCTGCTTTTAAAACTTTGACACTCAGTAGTTATTTTTACAAGTTAAGATTCCAGTTTTAAAAGAAAAAGGAAGTCCTCTGCTCCAGTACCTTTCCAAATATTTTCCATCTGCAGTTAATTGACTCTGTGACACAAAACGCGAGAATACAGAAGGCCGATGGTACTGTTAATTCCAGCCATCCACCCTCTAGAGATTTACCTGAAGGTGACCCGACAGGTCTGAGATAGTGTATGTGTAAGAACAAAGTAATGTTCATCACTACATGGTTTTTACAGCTGAAAACATTGGAAACATCCAAAAGTCCATCAATAGGAACCCCACACTCAAGACCACATTGGAACCCTAGGGAACCTTTAAAAGCCATTTTTAACTGCCAGTTTAGCATCTTTTTTAAAAGACAATACTCAGTGCTGGTAAACTATGTCTTGACTTATTGGTGCCTCCCAAATACCACACATTTGAAAGATAATTGTCAATTAAAATCTACCTAGTCCTGTCCATGTCCTTTACCCCAGGAATCCCTATTCCATGCTCCACTGTCAGTTTCAAATAAAAAAACCCTTCTCTTCTTAACACCTAGGCCAAGCACGGGTGCCTATCCATTCTTCCCCATCCATCTGGAGCCACTCTCCCACCTGCTTCACACATCCTCACTTTTGACCTCAGGATTTCTTTTCCTGTTTATGGCCTGTCCTCATTCCTCAAATTGAATGGATCATTTTCTTATTAGCTCCTTTTGAATGACGCATAGCAAGCCCTAACACATTCCAACAGAAAGATCATTGTAATCCTTGATTTTCTTTTCGTATATTGTTTTCTACTAGATCACAAAGTTTTGCATCTCATGTCTAGTTTGGAATTAAATTTGATGTAAAAGCTGGAAATTTTAAAATGTCTTGAGACAATTCCCTATGACATAAGTCATTTTTCACTAATAGGCTAACGCTGTGTGATAATTTCAAGTTATTGTTCTGTTTTAGTTTCTGAGTTAATGCTATTTACATGAGTCCTTATACACTGCAAACTGCAATCATTCTTCATCTTCCCACAGATCACACATAACCATCTCCAGACATGTCACATAAGTCACATGGCAATAGAATTAAGGAAGGGAATGAATCTCCAAGTCCTATCTAAAATCAGGCAGAACCCAACAGGGTCCCAAGGCCAACATAGACTCTTGAGCCATTCTATCACAAAGTGACTAGTGTCCTTTGGCCAGATATTCCCAAACACACGCAGAAATGCAGCAATGATTCTTCATTTAAGCAAGCATTTGCATTATTAATGTAATAAGTGTATGTATAAATATATGTAAACTTCTGGAGATCCTGTACATTTGACATTAAGAGTAGAAACTGTATTTGGCTTATCCCTTTACAACAAAAATCTCCTTGAATGCTTTTTTCTCTGTCAATTTTCCATTCTTTAATGGAAAATTTTAAGCAAAGAAAACACCACAGTGAAACTTGTTAGCTTGAGGATGTATTTCTATCTACAGAGAAGATGCTTGAAAAGGCAACCCCACACTTCAGCTCTGCATAGAGCAACCCTTATAATACTTAAAATATTTTTTTTAAAAAAACACGTTTTTAAATATTGAAAACATTTTGGCATGAGGTCTCACTTGTTTGGCAGAGGTTGAGATGAAAGAGCTGTTTACATAACCAGCACATTCTGCCAATAGGTTTCCTTAGTTCTCTAACATATTCACGTTTTACATGGCAAATATGAGTATTTAGCTCCAAGGGAAACTGGTCAGAGCTATTTGGCTTTCCCAAGGGTATCAGAATCATTTTTTCTTAGTAAACCAATTTTATTCATTTGTTGATCCACATCTTCTGAGTCACTCTCTTGGGCCAATCATTGGCCCACAATAAGTGGGCTATGCCTTTTGATCATATTAGCTAGCAAGAGCTCCAGGTTTCCTCTCCATAATGAAAATTTTTGAGCCTAACAATAGTCAAAATCTTCTAAATTATGAAAAAAGTCTAAAGCTTTCAAAGCCTATACCCTTTAAACCCTATTCTCAGCAGCATTCAATGCAACTAAGTATTCCTTCTCTAGAAACATGTTTCTCTCCTGGCTTCTGGGAGGGGATTCCCTCCCGCCTTTTTTCCTACCTTCCTGGGGCCTGAATCTGGATTTCTTTGGTGCGCTTACCTTCCTGCGCCTGATCTCTAAACACTGGAGCTCCGGTGGGCTGCTCACTCCCAGACCCTGGTTCTTCTATTCTTTCTACACTCTCTCCCTGATGTGACCACCTCTATCCCTATGGCTCTAAATACCTTCTAGGTGGTAACAATTCCCCAGTATTAATCAGCTCAAAACCCTCCTCTGACCTCCAGACTCATAAGTCCAGCAGCCTTTTACAGGTTATTTGGAGTCTCCTCTTCATCCGAAACTTAACATGTCCCAACTGAACTCATGACTTCTCCTGCTCCCTAGGAAGCCTGTTCTTCCTTAGAGTTTGCCAACACATAAAATGGCACTGCCATCTGCCAAGCTGTTTGAGCCAAACCCAAAAGTCATTGTTGATTTTGTCCTTTGACCCCACTCCCTACCTTCAATTAAGTATCTGTTGCTACTACCTCAAAAAAAATCTTGATATCAGGTGTGATATTCAAACTATTTAACAACTGGTACTGATGGGCACTTGCCATGGGTACTGCCATGGGTACTGTGTTCCCCACTGGTCCCATTTGGGGAGGCAGAGGGCACATTTGAGACTCAGTGGGCTGGTTAGAGGGCCAGAGGATGCTAGGGTGGCCCTCCTCAGAGTCCACCTTTTGGCTACTGTGAATAATATTGCTATGAACGTTGGTATACAAATATCTGTTTGAGTGCCTGCTTTCATTTCTTTTAGGCATAGGCCCAGAAGCGGGGATTGCTGGATCATATGGTAATTAATTCTACGTTTAATTTTTTGAGGAAAAAATTTACATTCCCACCATCAGTGCACAAGGGAATGTGAAATATGGTATAGCTGCTGTGGAAAACAGTACAGCAGTTCCTCAAAAAATTAAATTAGGCCAGGCACAGTGGCTCACACCTGTAATCCTAACACTTTGGGAGACCGAGGTGGGCAGATCACTTGAGGTCAGGAGTTCAAGACCAGCCTGGCCAACATGATAAAACCTTGTCTCTACTAAAAATACAAAAATTAGCCGGGTGTGCTGGCGGGTGCCTGTAATCCCAGCTACTCAGGAGGCTGAGGCCGGAGAATCGCTGGAACCTGGGAGGTGCAGGCTGCAGTGAGCCGAGATCACACCACTGCACTCCAGCCTGCGCAACAGAGCAAGGCTCCATCTCAAAGAAAAAAAAAATTAAATGAGTCCACCTTCTTCACATCCTCACCAATATTGAGGTTATTTTCTGGGTTTTTTAAAAAATGATAACCACCCTAGTGGGTGTGAAGTGGTATCTCATTGTGGTTTTATTTTGCATTTCCCTAATCACCAATGATGGTGAGCATCCTTTCACGTGCTTCTTGGCCATCTGTGTGTTTTCTTAGGAGAGATGCCTATTCATGTTCTTTGCTGAGTTTTAAATTGTTTTTTTTTTCCTGTCATTGAGTTCTGAGAGCTCTTTATATATTCTGGATATTAACCTCTTATCAAATATATAGTTTGAAAATATTTTCTCCCATTCTGGGATAGTATCCTTTGATCCAGAAAAGTTTTCCATTTTGATAAAGCCTAATTTGTCTATTTTTTCTTTTTTTTTTTTTTCTGTGTCTTTGGTGTTGTATCTAGGAAATCACTGCCAAATCCTATGTTGTGAAGCTTTATCCCTGTTTTCTCCTAAGAGTTTCATAGTTTTAGCTCTAATACTTAAGTATTTGATCCACTTTGAGTTAATTTCTGTATACTGTGTAAGGTAAGGGTCCAACTGCACTCTTTCGGATGCAGACATTTAATTTTCCCGGTACCATTTGTTGAAAAGTCTGTCCTTTTCCCCACTGAATGGTCTTGACACTTGTCAAAAATCATTTGACCATACATGCAAGGATTTACAGTCATGCATCACATAATGATGGAGATATCATCTGAGAAACATGGTGATTTCATCATGCAAACATCACAGAGTGCACTTACACAAACCTATATGGTATAGCCTACTGCACACCTATGCTAGATGGTGTAGCCTATTGCTCCTGGGCTACAAACTCATATGGCATGTTGCTGTACTGAATACTGTAGGCAACTATAGTACAATGGTAAGTACTTTGTGCATCTAGACACATCTAAACATAGAAAAGTTACAATAAAAGTACAGTTTAAAAGATAAAAAGTGGTGCACCTATATAAGGGACTTACCATGCATGGAGCTTGCAGGACTGGCAGTTGCTGTGAGTAAGTTAGTGAGTGAATGGAGCGTGAATACGAAGGCCTGGGATGCTACTGTGCACTACCATACACTTTACAACTACTGTACACTTAGGCTACACTATATTGATACAAACATTTTTCTTTATTCAATAACAAAGTAATTTTAGCCTACTGTAACTTTTTTATTTTATAAACTTTTAATATTTTTATATTTTTGACTCAATAAGGCCAGGCACGGTGGCTCATGCCTGTAATTCCAGCACTTTGGGAGGCCGAGGCAGGTGGATCTCCTGAGGTCAGGAGTTTGAGACCAGCCTGACCAATATGGTGAAACCCCGTCTCTACCAAAAATACAAAAATCAGCTGGGCATGGTGGCAGGCACCTGTAGTCCCAGCTACTTGGGAGGCTGAGACAGGACAATTGCTTGAACCTGGGAGGTGGAGGTTGCAGTGAGCCAAGATCGTGCCACTGCACTCCAGCCTGGGTGACCAAGTGAGACTCAGTCTCATAAAAAAGAAAAAAAAAACACTTAGATTAAAACACACATTGTTCAGCTGTACAAAAATATTTTTTCTTTATGTTTTTATTCTATAAGCTTTTTTCTATTTTTATTTATTTTTTACTTTTTAAACTTTTTAATTAAAAACTAAGACATGAACATATTAATATGGCTTGGCTGTGTCCCCATCCAAATCTCATTTTGAATTCCCACGTGTTGTGGGAGGAACCCAGTGGGAGGCAATTGAATCATGGGGGCAGGTCTTTCCTGTGCTGTTCTGGTGATAGTGAGTGAGTCTCACGAGATCTGAGGGTTTTAAAAACGAGATTCTCCCTGCACAAGCTCTCTTCTCTTGTCTGCCGCCATGTGAGAGGTGCCTTTCAACTTCCGCTATGCTTGTGAGGCCTCCCCAGCCACGTGAAACTGTAAGTCCATTAAACCTCTTTCTTTTGTAAATTGCCCAGTCTCGGGTATGTCTTTATCAGCAGCATGAAAATGGACTAATACACATACACATTAGCTGAGGCCTCCTCAGGGTCAGGATCACCAATATCACTGTCTTCCACCTCCACATCTTGTCCCACTGGAAGGCCTTCCGGGGCAGTAACACGCATGGAGCTGTCATCTCCTGTGATAACAATCTCTTCTGCTGGAACACCTCCTGAAGGGCCTGCCTGAGGCTGTTTCACAGTTAACTTTTTTTATTAAGTGGGAGTACACTCTAAAATAAAAATAAAAAGCATAGTATAGTAAATACATAAACCAGTAGCATCATTTTTTATTATAAGTATTATGTAGTGTACATAGTTGTATGTGGTAGCCTTTTATAAGAGTGAAAACACGGTAGGTTTGTCTATACCAGCATCACCATAAACAAGTGAGTAATGCCTTACACTACAACTTTAGGATGGCTATGATGTCGCTAAGCAATAGGAGTTTTTCAGCTCCATTATAATCTTATGGGACCACTGTCGTATATGCAGTCAGTCATTGACCAAAATATCATATGCTGTGCATAACTGTATCTCTTTCTTTCTTTCTCTCTCTCTCTCTCTCTCTTTCTTTCTTTCTTTCTTTCTTACCTTTTTGAGACAGAGTCTCACTCTGTTGCCCAGGCTGGAGTGCAGTCATGAGATCTCAGCTCACTGCAACCTCTGCCTCCCAGGTTCAAGTGATTGTCCTGCCTCAGCCTCCTGAGTAGCTGCGATTACAGGCACATGCCATCACGCCCAACTAATTTTTGTATTCTTAGTAAAGACGGGGTTTTGCCATGTTGGCCAGGCTTGTCTTGAACTCCTGATTTCAGGTGATCCCCCCCACCTCAGCCTCCCAAAGTGCTGGGATTACAGGTGTGAGGCACCAGGCCCAGCCACGTAACTGTATTTCTAAGACCTCTATTCTATTCCATTGGTTGATGTGTATGTCTTTATGCCAGTACCATACTGTTTTGATTACTGTATCTTTGCAGTAAGTTTCAAAATCAGGAAGTATGAGGCCTTCAACTTCACCCCTTTTTGAAAGATTGTTTTGGCTATTCAGAGTCCCTTGAGATTCCATATTAACTTTAGGATGGATTTTTCTATTTCAGCAAAAAATGTCACTGGGATTTTGACAGGGCTTGTATTGAATCCATAGATCACTTTGGGTGACATTGACATCTTATCTTAACAATACTGAGTCTTCCAATCCATGATAGGATGTCTTTCCATTTATTCATTCTTCTTTTATTTCTTTTAGCAGCGTTTTCTAGTTTTCACATATTAAGCTTCACGGAAGTTTAAATAAGAAAGTAGTAATAATTGTCACCTGGCTAGGAGTGGAAGATGGAATCGGAGCACATGGAGGCCTTTGTCTACTCATTGTACCTTTTTCATACTTCTCATGCTTTCACTTTTTGAATAAGGACCACAGTCTGGATGAGGTGAAGGTGGCACCTGGGGATCAAAATGTAAAGAGGTCCTCACGTCTCATTCCCACGTGCCAACAACGCAGCTCTTGCATGGACCTGAGAGTGAGTGTTTCTTTCAGTTTTGTGCTCCAGGCCCTTGTCCTAGTGCCTACCCCCTCAGCAACATGTCCTTAATAAATGACTCACCCATGAATCCCCATCTCAGGGTCTGCTTCTGCAGAACCTGACCTAAGATGTGCTCTAGTCTCTGCTAACCTGTCAAATCCTACACTTCCTTACTCCCTCTTTCTAAAGTGGGGGACAGAGGTACCTCCTGTTCTTCTCGATCACAAAATGCTGTCTTTTCCTTCACAGAAATTGCCTCAATTCCTGACCGTTTGTTTAGTTACTTATTTTCCACAAGATTGTACCCTTCATAAATACTGGGACCATCGTCCTAGCACATTTTCTGGTACACTGTAAGCATTTAAAATGCATCTGTGGAAGGAAGGAAGGAAGGAAGGAAGGAAGGAAGGAAGGAAGGAAGGAAGGAAGAAAGAAAGGAAGGGGAAGAGGTGGGAGGGACGAAGGAAGGGAGGATTGTAAGCATTTAAATGCATCTGGAAGGAAGGTTGGGAGTGAGGGATGGAGGGAGGGAGGGACGGAGGAAGGGAAGGAGGGAAGGAAAGAAGGAAAGACTTCAGAGTCCTTCTGAAGCATGGACTTCAGAGTAATGTGGCCTATATCAATTTTTCCAGGATTGTTCTTTTGTTTATTGTTGTTTTTTCTCCCTTCCTCCACACTATTTTGTCTTCACAGGATATGAGACTTCACAACCTGCTAAAAATGAGTTTTGGGACTTACCTATCTAGGAATAAACCATCCTAGCCATGAGAGATCAAATGAAACCTGAGACCAGAGACTCATTTTCTTGTAAAATGCTTTCTCCAACAGATTTTAAGGGAAAGGAAGGGGAAGGGGAAGGGGAAGGGGAAGGGGAAGGGGAAGGGGAAGGGAAGGGGAAGGGAAGGGAAGGGAAGGGAAGGGAAGGGAAGGGAAGGGAAGGGAAGGGAAGAGAAGGGAAGGGGTTTATTCTCTGAGTGTCAAAACAAGTTTGAGGAGAACAACTGTTTTCAGTGAGAAAACTGAGACTCTAAATTCAAGCATCATCGTCATACCTTAATAAATAAAAGGATATTTTCTCAAATGTTTTTAAAGGCACAGTGAGATGCAGTACTACGAGGGAAACTATTATTTCTGAAGTTTGTTTCTTATTGTCAAATCCACCCATCCCATATGGATCTCATTTGGTTGGATCTTTGCTGCTTCTTTTTATTTTTTTTTTTTTCACTAAAATATTCTCACATTTCCATTAGGTCATGTATTGTGCAATTGTAGCTTAAATATCTGGTTTCTTCAAAAATTCTGGGCCAGCAAACTGTTTTGCCTCAGATAAACCCCAGATTTGTCACACAGTGACATGACTGATGTACTAGGAACTCCCGTTTTGCTGCCTTACCCATTATACAGAGAAAACTTTCTGTAAGTTTCCAAGACATGAAGACTTTTTTTCCAAAATATTATACAAATAGTAAAGACGCCTTTTACACACACCCACAAGGCTCTTGCAGACACTGGAGATTCCCACAATATTCTTTTGCAGCAAGTAAAAGCCAGAGATTTGAGAAAATAATAGAGGCACTGAGAGCCCAGGCCCTGAGAGCCAATGGCATTTAAGAAAACACTCAGAGGGCTCGGTGTCATGCTCAGGCCTGTAATCCCAGCACTTTGGGAGGTCAAGGTGAGCAGATCACTTGAGGTCAAGGGTTCGAGACTAGCCTGGTCAACATGGTGAATCCCCATCTCTACTAAAAATACAAAAATTAGCCAGTCGTGATGACACACACCTGTAGTCCCAGCTACTCGGGAGGTTGAGGCAGGAGAATCGCTTGAATCTGGGAGATGGAGGAAGCAGTGAACCAAGATCACACCACTGAACTCCAGCCTGGGTGACAAAGCCAGAGTCCGTCTCAAAAAACAAAACAAAAAAAAACATGCAGAGGGTGAAGCCTCCAAGGGAAGCAGCTGCTCCCAACATATAAAAAAGGTTTGCTGGCCCCATGAGCTGAGAGAAAAGTGACCAACCGGACCCTCTGTGTTTGAATATCTTTGTATAGATGCATGCTTTCCATGGGGACGGGCAGGGTGGCTCACGCCTGTAATCCCAGAACTTTGGGAGGCCGAGGTGGGCGGATCATTTGAGGTCAGGAGTTCAAGACCAGCCTGGCCAATATGGTGAAACCCTGTCTCTACTAAAAATACAAAAATTAGCTGGGCAGTAGTGGCGCATGCCTGTAATCCCAGCTACTTGGGAGGCTGAGGCAGGAAAATGACTTGAGCCTGGGAGGCAGAGGTTGCAGTGAGCCGAGGTCGTGCCACTGCTCTCCAGCCTGGGTGACAGAGTGAGACCCTCTCTCAAAGAAAAAAGAAGGGGGGCCTTGCTTTCCATGGATACAGCCTTTGCTCAGATGTTTAATCCTTTGCTCTAGAACAGAGGTCAACAAACGTTTTCTGTAAAGGGCCTGATAGTAAATATTTGAGGTGTTGTGGGCCATGAATGATCTCTGTTGCATCTTTTGGTTTGTTTGTTTGTTTTATACAACACTTTAAACACATGAAAATGATGCTTAGCTTGTGGGCTGTACTAAAGAGGCTACAGGCTGAATTTGACCCACTGGCCATAGTTTACTGACTCCTGATCTAGGCAATGAAGGGAAGAGAGGATTTTATTCATGCTTCTCATAGTTGCCTTTTTGGTTTCTTGTCTAAGCCTTATTACTTGCCTTCTAGTTTATTGGAATAAACCTCCTGACTGGCCTTCCTACCTGTAATAATACTTCTTACCCAGTCATTTATGTGTGCCAGAGCCTGTGCTAGGAACTTTACATTCATTGCAGAATCTCTTTGAACAATCCTTTGAGGTAGATACTATTATTCTCCCCACGTTATAAATAGGAAAACTGAGGCTCAGAGAAGCTACGTAAACTTCCTGGGATCACACTGCTGCAAGTCTCTGAGTCAAGACCTGAAACTAAGTCTGCCTGATACCAAATCCTTAGTTTGCTCTTTCCACTAACACCTGACAATAGCAGTTCTTTCTCTTGTCTATCTACTTCCAATTCATCCTACATCATTGCATCCAATCGATCTTTCTGAGACATCAGTTTGATCATGACATTCCCCTGCTAGGAATCCTTCAGTGGCTCCTGGTGATCTCGAGTGCTTAGTGGCTCCTGGATTTTGTTTTGTTTGATAGTCTGTTATTTGTCTCAAGAGCATCATTCTCCATCAGCTAGAGTTTCCATTGAAGAGACTTTCCAACTGTTCATGACCCAAACCCGATCTTGTGAGATGGAGCGTTGGGTTCAGTCAACACGGAAACCCTCTCCTCACACCATGTCTCCATCAGGCCTTCAGCTTCCTTGACAGCTCCCAGATTTACATGCATCATTCTACCTACATTTTTAAGGTATCTCATACTTGGTACCCTTTTCAAATATATTATTATATTTCATCTTCCTAAAAATCTTGTGAGGTGAGTGCTGTATCCTCATTTTACAGATGAATTAACTGAGGCTGAAAGGAGTTAAGGAAATTGTCCAAGGGTCACAGTGTGTCACCTCAGAGATAGCAAGTGGCAGTGCCACACCCCACCCTGTCATATCCAGAGGAATCTCATCCCTGCACAGTGATGTCAATGCCTGTCGCCAAAATCTCAGGGCAGAAAGGAACAGGCAGGGAGTAAGGAGGGCAAGACATCTCTGAAGGCCTTTCTCTCCCAGGAACCACTTGCCAGTTTCTACAGGACTCAAGCATCTTGCGGTGTGAAGGCAGTTTTTTTCTTACCCTAATGTTTATAACATCTTTTCCCTCTACAGGGCCTGTCTTTGCTTTACCCCAACCTCCAATGGGGATTTGTAATTTGAAAATTTCATTTCTGAATCTGCTACATCAAACGCCCTTAGAGAAGAAAAAGTATGTGTGTGTGATTTATACATAAATATCTATATAAATATCTGTAATAGCTCTTGGGGAAACCACATAAAGTTACCGTGCAAAGTGCATGTAATTGCCACATGGTATTTGTTACACATATCAAGTGTAAAACTGAAAAAGATGTGGCTATTTAACAAAAGTTTAAGCAAAAGAGAAAAAGGCAAATAACAATGAGGTAAGAATTGAAATTGCTTAAATGCTCATTCAGACGGGAGATTCGGGCAACCTCCAGGCCCACCAGCAAGAAGTGAGTCAGGTTTGAAGTTAGAAGAATTGATGTGAATCCCCTGGTTGCCATGGTTTGCAAATAACTTTTCTTCAGGCAAATCATAAATGATTTACAACCTCTAGTAGGCTTGTCCTTGATCAAAATCATCAAGAAGGTAAATATTGTCTTTGGGGAAATTTTCTCATTTCTTTTCTAATATTGTTTCATTCATTCATTCATTCATGAAGCATTTATTGAGTTCTTGCTGGGAGCCAGGCAGCCTGTTCGATTCTACAAAAGTAAAACTGACAGAGATCTAATCAAGTAGGAGAGATGAGGCCTCATGGTTTCATAATAGAAGCAGCAGCTCCGTTTCTGACACGCTCCCCATGTGCTATTAATTATCCCATTACTATGCACAAATACCCCACACTGCAGGCTCTCATTCTTTTAACTGTGCAAATGAGGGTGCTCAGGAATTTACCCAACATCTTGTCTCCAGGGACCAGCTTTCATCTGCTCTGCTCTTCCCCAGCACTGTTTTGTACGAATGTAACATGAGCCATGAGTATAATTTTAAATTTTCTAGCAACCACATTTAAAAAGAGATAAAAAGAAAGAGGGAAAAGTAATTTTGATTATATATTTTATTTAACTCCATATAACTCAAAATTTCATACTTATCCACACATTTACACATACATGTATATAAATATGCACACATATTTACACCTATAAGTCCAAATATGTACGTATATAAATATGCACATATTTGCACATATTTACACATGTTTACACCTTTTTTTCCATAAACCGTGGTCAACAATTCATATTTATCCACACATTTATACATACATGTATATAAATATGCACACATATTTACATTTGTAGATACGTATGCACCTGTGTAACTCAAACAAAGGTTTCACAGAACTGACTCTTACAGAATGTGACACACTCAGGTATCTTCTATTAAATTCTCTTCTAGAATACTCCTTTGATGCTGGCTGTGATCCAGCAACTTGATTTCACAGCCACTCTGGGTTGGAACTCGCAGAGGCTGCTGGGCGGGACATGTGCTATGTGAAGCTCCAATACCCATGTCCCTCTTTTCTGGCAACACCACGCCCATTTCCTTGGTGCAAGTGTGTCAGTGAAGCTGACCCACCTCTGGTTCCAGGACAAAGCCAATAACTCCCACATGGCCCACCAGAGCCTTGTATCTGGAAGCCACCTCGACTGACTCAAGGACGTGCGCATGGCCAATCACAGCTTATCTCACAATTTTTACTTTAGTGATCAGGGTAAAGAAAAAAACTTATACTATATTTGGGAGAAGACAGGAGCAGAGGGCCTGCTGAAAGCAGGAAAACAGAGAAGACAAAGTTTTGAAAGTATTGCTTAATACCTGGATCAAGCCATGCCTGAAACTCCATCTAATTTAAAAGTCGTACTTTTAAATTATATGAGCCAATAGATTACCCTTTTTTTCCTAAGCTTAGTTGAGTTGGGGTTTCTGTCAATTTAAACCAAAAGAAGCTGATTGAAAAAATCCTCATACGTGTCTCGCAGATGCTCAGTGCCTTTTTATTGCCTGATTTGGGAAAGCTCCAGGCATTTTTCTTCCCAGCAATTCTGTGTCCTTTACAATTGTCCTTTGCTTTTCTCTTTAATTCAGGATCCTTTCTTTATGCATTCTTTTCACCATAGTATGACTGTCTCATAACAGTCTTAACTGGGCTACTTCTTCTTGGGAAATTTGCATTTTTAAACTCACCAGTCAAACGAGTTATCTGTCTAAGAATAGAATTTCAGCATTGTGGTACAGGCAGGTAGGGAAAATATTTGGGAACAAAGATTCACCTGGTGCCTGCTCTGAAAAATTGTAAGCCTAGTTCTGTGGCCAGGGGCTGGTATTTTTCAAGTAAAGGTCACACTTTTGTTGTTGTTGTTGTTGTTGTTGTTGTCGTTGTTGTTGTTGTTGTTGCTAAGTGATGAGTTCTTTCCTGAAACTCTACATTTTCCTCCGGGCTTGTGACTCTTCAAAAATCTCTACCTTAATTTGAACAGGGTACCCAAATAGGTATATCCTGTGAAAAGGAAAATATGAAGCTTCAAAAATAAATGGCCTGCCAAGATTTCAGAGCTGCAAAAGGTTGTGCCTAGAACTGTCAAATGTCAAAAATAATTACCAGGTAGAATGTGACTCATACACCCAGCAGGCATGATCAAAACTAATCCTTCCTGCCTTCATCTGTCTGGACAAAGTTAGGTAGGAAACCTGCCTAGCCCAGCGCCTTCAGGCCCCATAGATTTGGAGAGGGATAGCCCTCAACCTCATATTGGAACATTCTCTTTAGCTTCTAGGGGTGATTTTATATACTCACTAGCTAGTTGCTGTTTTGACTTGTGTATCTGTTCTTATAAACATATAACTTTTCATAAATGCACAGATTATATTTACTAGGATGTTTTAGCCTTTTATTGTACAAGAAAACATACTACAAATGCAAAAAAACTATATCAAAAATGGAAATCTTGAAGAATTATTATAACTACCATGCAGATCAAGAAACAAAATTGTGCAGCCACCCCAGATATCCGTGTTTTATGCCCCATCCCAGACACTATCCCTCTCTCCTTCAAAAAATTATCACTACTGGGACTTTTTTTGTTGTTGTTGTTGTTTTGAGATGGAGTTTTGCTCTTGTTGCCCAGACTGGAGTGCAATGGCATGATCTCAGCTCACTGCAACCTCCGCCTCCAGGGCTCAAGCGATTCTCCTGCCTCAGCCTCCCAAGTAGCTGGGATTACAGGCACGCACCACCACCACCACGACTGGCTAATTTTGTCTTTTTATTAGAGACGGGGTTTCTCCATGTTGATCATGGCTGGTCTCGAACTCCCGACCTCAGTTGATCGGCCTGCCTCAGCCTCCCAAAGTGCTAGGATTACAGGCGTGAGCCACCATGCCCAGCCCGGGACTTTTATAATATCTTTTTGTGTGTTTCTTTGACATCTTATCGCTCACGTATGAATCCTTAGACACTACCGCTTGGTCTTGCTCATTTCCTTTTAATTTGAAAGGTCTTCTTTTCTCTATATCATTGGTTCCCTCTCCATCCTTGTCTTTTCCTTACAGGTTATCTATTGCAGAGGCCAGCATGCTATGGTTAAAGGTTCTTTTTCACTCCGTGTATATTTTATACCTGTTACCCCTCATCCTTTTCTCCCCCACCTGGATCCCTATTCAAGCACTTCCCTCCTCCACTTGACACCAAGTAACTCATGCTAACAACCAATGCTGCACCCTTTGGTATTTTTCTCCATTCTCATAAATCATATGCAATTATAGACATTACTGCAATTACACAAGCTATCGTAACAGCCACACTTATTGAGCACATTATATTCCGGGCACCATTGTAAGTCTCTGTATACAATAGCTGAGTTAATCCTCATATCAATCCTAAAGTAGATATTGCTATTGTCCCCCATTTAATATACAAGTATAAAGATCAGCAACACAGAGAGGTTACATTAAGTTCCCAAAGTCCCACAGCCAATAAGAGCTACGTACAGGACCAAACCCAGATATTCTGGCTTCAGAAGTGAATAAGCACGAATTCACACCCACCTCGACCTTTTTATACAAAAATAGGATTACATTAGACATTATTTACGCAATATATTGTGGGAATCTTTCCACGTTAACCAGCTCAAATTCATACTTTTCTGATCGCAGCATAAACATATAGGATATGGATGTGTCAAATTTTAAATCAACGACTGACCTTCATTCATACCACTTTTCACTTTATATCACGTTTTGCTCTAGACATAATGCTACAAATATTTCGACCTCTTTATTTTTGGCCAGTGTGGCAGATAGGGAGGGTCATCTCTTTGCTTTTGTGGACTGAATTTCCCTTTTGAGCATCTTCTCATCTTGATCATTGAGGCTTGCTCTCCCATGCACTGTTCTTCATATCCTTCACTGATTTTTCTCTTGGGGCTGCTTGTCTTGTATTCATAAATCTGTAAGCATATTTGAACATTGGACATGTAACCTTCTGTCTGCAGAGGGTTGCTTGATTATGCACTAGAAAATTAAATTATTTTTTATTTTGTTTTAGAGATAGGGTCTCGCTCAGTTGCCCAGGCTAGAGTATAGTGGCATGATCACGGCTCACTGTAGCCTTGAACCCCTAGTCTCAAGTGATCCTCCCACCTCAGCCTCCCAAAGCACTGGGATTACAGATATGAGCTACCATGCCCAACCTCTTCTTCTTGTTCTTTTTTTTTTAAATAGTTCACTTTTTTTACTTAGTAAAGATTATATATTTAGAGAAGAATTGCGAAAATTGTGGAATTGAAGAATAAATTCTTAAGTAGCGATTTGTATTCACTCATACCAACAAGTTAATTGCATCGTTGATACATTTTATTCTCTGGATAGTGTGAGACATTTCAGGGCTCATGTACCTATTCAACATCTTTACTCACTGAAGAGAAGAAAGTTAATTTATGTAAGAGACCATGAATTGCAGAATGTTCCTGGGTCCACATGCCTTCCTTCCAAACGTTTTCAAGGTCAAAGCACAAATGAGACTGTTCCTGCTAAGATTACACGATAACAGTTTTTGTAAGACAGAGTTGCCAGACTTCCCTCTGGCAAGAATTGGTCAACTAGACAGTTAATATGTATTCCAAAAGGTTCTGTTTTGGGTGTTTTGAATCGTATTCTATTCAATCAAGTCCACATTTCCAAGGAAACCTTTGAAAGTCCCTTTCTTAATTGGGTTTCCTGAAAAGCAGAGCCTGAGACAAGGACTTGGGTGCAGGTGGTTTCTTTGGGAAGTGAGCCCAGGAGGCAGGAGTGAGGGAGCCAGGAGAGGTAGACGGAGAAGACGTGTTATCACACCGGCTACTGCTGTGGGCACCTGGGCTCACCCATCGGGGGAACCGTGTAGAAAGCACCTCAGGGTTGCCCCCTGAAGGAAGGGAGGCTGGAGTGTTTTTCCTCCAGCTCTCATTCCCCTTGGCTGGGGTGGCCTCCAGGGATGGGAAGCCCCGTGTACTTCAGGGACGCTCCTGCACACATGCCCAGTGTTCTTCAAGGCTCCAGAGGAAGCCCTGAAGCAGAACAGAGAGACACTGAAGCCCATGATGAGGTGGGAGGCTGCCAGCCCTCAAGTCACTGTCCAATGCAGAGGTACAGAAATCACAGGAACACCAAGGGGGAGTGACTCAAGGCACAGATTGTACCTGCTGCCACCCCTCCCAGGCCCCATTCGGGCTTCCTGCAACATCTCCCTCTTCTTCTCAAGAGATCTCTTTCCTGCTTCCACCGCCTGGCTAATGTATTGTTTCTCCCCCTGCAATATCCCCCTCTTTAATCTGACCCTAAAATTATCCCACTATCTTTCAAAACCCAGCTGCAAATCCCACCTTTGGGAGGCAGCATAATGGCGCAGAGTTTTGGGGCTTTGGGGTCCAATGTAGTTGCCAAGTCTGGCTTAGCCTCTTCCGGACTGCTTCACGGCTTAAAGAGTTAACCTAGGCTCTCTGAGAGGCGAATGCCATCCTGCAGCACAGACACACAGAAGTCTGGCTCTCCCAGAGCCTCTGCTGAAGACAAGCACGGCCCCCATACCAAAGCTCTCCACGAAGCAAATGCTCAGAATGCTCCAGCCAGATGATCTCTGCTTCTGTAGAAATGAGAAAACAACTGCATAAAAGAAAGCAAAGAGGACTGGAAGGAGCAAAACAGGCTTTGACAGTGAGATAAAACTGCTCTCCTGCACGGTCCTTTACCAAGGTCCTCTGTCCTCCAAAACCCTTCCAACCAGTCTTTCCCCAATCCACTGCCCTGTCACTGTGGCCTCAGTCAGAGAGATTTAATCACACAATCCGAGCAACCACTCAGTCTGCCCAAAACTCAGGTTGCTTCCAGAACATAATAGAAAAGGAAGCTTTTTCCCTCCACAGGGAAACAAATGAGGGACGGAGGGTGGAAGCATTCACCTTCACTCATGAAAGGGAGGATGTCTGGATTTGAGTAGCTGGAAACAATTCAGGTATGTGCCACTGGTCACATTGTGTAAATGTCATTTTCCGCTCATCTCTGAGGCTCAAATATTAAAACTGACACTATGTCATGGCTTGAGAGTTATTCCTTGCAAAATGACGACAAATAATGTTATCATAAACAAGTCCACACAAAAGTCTTTCCCTCCTAATTTAATTTCAGGAGAAACTATGCTAATCCTTTAATTATGCAGCATGCTTATCTGTCAAACTAACTTCTTTCTGCTGAAAAATACTTTGCTATCACAGAGGCTGTTGATGAATATCTGCTGAAAGAGTTTGTAGTGTTACAGAAAAATTCCCTTCTTAAAAAATAATAGCAGAGTGGAAAACTTAATCCTTTTAAGAAAGAAAGCACTGCATAGGCTTAATCAACAGATCAACAGCAGGTTCCACCCCTGTGCTAGCTCGCTGCTGGAAGAGCTTCAGGCAAAGCCCACTGGGAACAGGGTCTCTGTGTTGGACAGTTCCTTTTTTTTTTTTTTTGGAGGTGGAGTCTCGCTCTGTCGCCTAGGCTGAAGTGCAGTGGTGTGATCTTGCCTCACTGGGTTCAAGCGGTTCTTGTGCCTCAGCCTCCTGAGTAGCTGGGACTACAGTTGTGCACCACCACGCCCAGCTAATTTTTGTATATTTAGTAGAGATGGGGTTTCACCATGTTGGCCCGGATGGTCTCAAGCTCCTGACCTCAAGTGATCCACCTGCCTTGGCCTTCTCAAAGTGCTGGGATTACAGCCATGAGCCACCACACCTGGCCAAGAGGAGATTTTCAAAAGGGTGTTTGGCTCAGCTGAGGAATCACCTGCTCCAAGCTGAAGAAGAAACTCCTCGTGGCATGGCCAAGGCTGAGTGGAGGATCCAGTATTCACCCTGAAAATGGTACAGCTGTGGTTTGAAGGAGGACCTGGGGTTGGAGTCTGGGCTGTGCCACTTTGGAGCTGTATGATGCTCATCAAATCTCAGACCTCAACATAAGACATTTTGCAAAAATAGGAATAGCAACCTCTACCTTATGAGACTGTTGTTAGGATTAAAGAGACAGTACATAGGAAAGCACTTTGCAAAGTTTGAAATAAATATGTAATAGTAGTAGAACTTGGCTGTTCACTCCAGTGGCTTGTGTTCTAGAGGTACATAGAGCCCAAACGAGTAATTTTAGCTCATTCATCCTACCCCACTTCCCACACTACCAGATTCCACTGGGTCTCTTGGAAGCTCCAAGCATAGGCAAATAAATTCACTCGAACAAGCTGCACATAGTCTAATACATTTTAAAACTAAAAATAATTAAACCTTTCTAGTACCAGAGCCAGGAACAGACAGACAGATCGATGGGATAGATTACAATGCCTGGAAAAAAAGATGAGGGTCTTTCAAAATCAAAAAAAGACAGTATTGGAAAAACAGGTTAGAAAAAGCATTCAATTCATACCTCACTTTTTGAGTCAAATTAATCCTTAAGGGGTTAAAGACCTACCTTAAAAAAAATTAAACCAGAAAAAGTAGCAGAAAAAGCATGACAAAACATGCTTACAGTTTTGTAGGGGATAGATAAGCATGATGAAAAAAGACACCATAAAAAATTGATAAACTTGGTGGGGTGCTGTGGCTAATGCCTGTAATCCCAGCACTTTGGGAGTCCGAGGCAGGGGGATCACTTGAGGTCAAGAGTTTGAGACAAGCCTGACCAACATGGTGAAACCCTGTCCCTACTAAAAATACAAAATTAGCTGGGCGTGGTGGCGCATGCCTGTAATCCCAGCTACTCAGGAGGCTGAGGCAGGAGAATTGCTTGAATACAGGAGGCGGAGTTTGCAGTGAGCCAAGATGGCGCCATTGCACTCCAGCCTGGGCAACAAGAGCAAAACTCTGTCTCAAAAAATAAAAATTGATAAACTCAACTATAAAAAAGAAATGTCATATGGGGGTGTAAACATATATATATAATACACATATATATTTTACATATATATATTTTTACATATATATTTATATATATATATATATATATATATGTAGTCATAGTGGCCATAACCACTATCACCAAATATAAGACCAGAAACTTTGTGTGTGTGTGTGTGTGTGTGTGTGTGTGTGTGTGTGTGTGTGTATAAAGCACATGATCAACCATGATTTAAAAATTTACAGCATACCATGGAAAACAGAAAATTAATGTAAAGCTCTCTCTTTACAAGAAGAAAAAGTTGGACAATCCAATAAGAGAAAAATGCATAAAGAGTCTAAAAACACAGTGCAGAGAAAAAGAAATCAAAAAAACATAGTTTATAAACGAAGGAGCTCAAACTCACTCATAATAATGAAATTAATATGAAAATAGTAAATATCATTTTTCCACTTATATGGGAAAAAAGTTAGACTATATCCATTCTTTGTTAGAGAATGATATGATAGAAATACTCCTTTTTGGAGAATATCATATGGGAAGCTGTTTGGTAATATCTATGGAAAATTTTAAAGCACATACCTAGCAAGTATATTTTTAGAAATACATCTTTCTCACAGGTGTCTAAAATTTTTAGGAACAAGGATATTTATTAAGCAATGTTTGCTTACAAAAAGAAGGGGGGTGTGGATGAGTCCTAAGTGCCCATTAGTTGGAGAGTAGTCAAATAAGGTAGGAAGTATTCATATAATGGAATACTGAACAGCTACATAAAGAATAAAAGAGGACCGGTCGCGATGGCTCACACCTGTAATCCCAGCACTTTGGGAGGCTGAGGCGGGTGAATCATCTAAGGTCAGGAGTTCGAGACTAGCCTGACCAACATGGTGAAACCCTGTCTCTACTAAACACAAAAAATTAGCTGGGCATGGTGGCATGCGCCTGTAATCCCAGCTACTTGGGAGGCTGAGGCAGGAGAATCACTTGAATCCGGGAGGCAGAGGTTGCAGTGAGCCAAGATGGCACCAATGCACTCCAGCCTGGGCAACAAGAACACAACTCCATCTGAAAACAAAAAAAGAATAAAAGAAAATTGTTTACACTGACATGAAAAAAAAGTCCATATATTATCAATTAACAAAAGCCTATTTCAAAGAAGTATACGATTCATTCAGATAGCATGAAAGCATCTGTGTACTGTGAATATATAAAATATATGCAGAATATATAAGCATTCTTATAAGTGCATAGAAAAGTCTATAGTGTTACACACAATGAGGAGTGAAATTTAGAGGACTGCGGAGGGCAAGAGACTATAATTTAGCACTTAATTCCACTTTATATGCAGTGTGAAAATTTTTAATCAGGATTTGTACAGCTTTTATAATTTAAATTGAAATAAATTACTGTCTTATTCTATATACACAAACCCCAACAAAATTAAACGTAGAACATTCTCAGAAATAAACTAGACATATTGATAGTCCACCTTAACCAGAGATAAAACTCTCTGAAAATATATGAGTTCTTTACTTGGAGAGCTGCAGAACAACAAAATTGTCTAGATAAATTCTTTTTTTTTTAATTTAAAGGAGTTTAATTGAGCAATGAACAATTCACGAATCAGGCAGCCTCCAGAATCACAGCAGATTCAGAGAGTCTCCCACAAAGGCATGTGATGGGAGATTTATAGACAAAAGGGAAGTGGCGTGCAGAAATCAGAAGTGAGGTACAGAAACAACTGGATTGGTGACAGCTCGGCGTTTGCCTTATTTGAACACAGTTTGAACACTCAGCAATGTATGAGTGGTTGAAGTACAAAGTACAGCTGCTGGGATTGGCCAAGACTCAGCTATTGTTACGGGTGCAGATTCCTAAGTTAGGTTTTCAACCTTGTCTGCCTATTAAGTTAGGTTGTAGTTCATCTACAAGGACTCAAATATAGAAGTATGCAGTCCTTCTCAGGCCACATTTATTTCGCTTTAACAATTGCCCCCTTTTGGTCATTTTCTCAATTTTGAGAGATTCACCAAAACTTTAGTCATTGATGTCACTATCACCACTGTAAATATACTTATTTGGTCTTGAAACCCACTGTGAAACAGTGGAACAGTAAGTTTTGCAAAGGTAGGAACCAGGACTTGAGGAGAGGTTACCTCCTTATGCTGGAATGTCTTGTTTACAGGAGAAAACCAAACCTGGTCTGTTCTAGGATCTATGTGTTTCCTTAAAGTCTTGGTTTGATTATGTCACATTCAGCATGAGTAACTCCATTTTGGTTTGGTTTGGTCTGCTGGGGCCTAGTGCATGAGCTCAGTCCAAAGCAATGGCCTTCCGTAATTTTGTTCAAAAAAAAAATTCCCCCTTTTTGGTCAGGTTCTCACTTAGGTGAGAGTGTGACTAAAACTTAGGGCCTGGGCACCACTCTCAGTTACCATCATTTGGGGTTTCCGATCTCAGCATGTCATTCACAGATTAAAGTGTCCTCGTGGTCATACATTTCTTTCAGCTCTTGTCATTCCAGTTGAAGAGAGATCATTTGGCATTCAGAGATGGCTGTGTGCAAACATTTAAAATATTTAAGAGAACACAGCGCACCAGGGAGACTTCTATTATGACTATCGGGAGGATAATACCAAGAGTTTGAAGTATGATTCTTACCCAGGGTCCCCACAAACCAAACCACCTAAAATCAAATAGATCAAAGAATAAGTTAGATAAACAGACTACTTGCTTAACTAAGCAGTCTTTTCATTAATCCCCTACAACTGAATCCCTATAATACCTGATGTATTTCTCCATAGGACATAAGTGCCAGCAGCTGCACAGAACCTTTTCTGTTTAGCCAATTCTATTATTTAGCATAACTTTCATAAGAGAATGTAAAGTCCGTTGTGTAACCATAGCCTTTACAGTAGAATCTGCTATAGAGCCTATCACGAGGGATATATTTCTAATCATTGCCTCTTTTATTCCAAACCGTGGAAAAAAGACCTAACAAATGCTGGCCTTCTAAAAGATTGAATACCCTGTCTCTACTAAAAATACAAAAATTAGCCAGGCATGGTGGCGGGTGCCTCTAATCCCAGCTACTTGGGAGGCTGAGGCAGAGAATCACTTGAACCCAGGAGGCGGAGGCTGCAGTGAGCCAAGATCGAGCCACTGCACTCCAGCCTGGGCAACAGAGTGAGACTCCATCTCAAAAAAAAAAAAAAAGATTGAATGCCTCCTGGCAATGTTCTCTTTAACTCATGATGTGAGTTAAGAGGAGTGAATTGATGTTCTGTTTCTGACTGATTATGAGGCAACATATGTACCATTAAAGTTTCTCACCTTCATTAGGCCTTCATCTTTTATCTATCAAAGTATGAGTTTATCCCTGTATAAGGCTGGCTGCAAAATCTTTCACAAAAACATATAGCCCATAAGTTCACACAACAGACCCTCTTTTCATTTCTATTATTCATAGAGGCATAAACAAGGAAAAAATATTCGAAGATAAGAGTCTCATAATAGTAGAGATGTCTTGATCCATGATCTTGGGAAAAGCTGTTCACATCAAGGATGCCATCTTCTTCTGGGGAAAAACTTTCCTGATTAGCTTTTCCTTAAGAGTTCTAAGATTGTGAGGGATCCTTCTCAGTTGTGACATTATGAACCCAAAGTTCAAGTTTCCCAAGTTTTGTTGCAGTGTGGATGGCAAGGGCAGTCTTTCTCTGATGTTCTCAGAAGATCCAGTCTTCGAGTTCTAGATTGTGAAGAGGTTGACTGTCCTCAGTGAACCTTAAAAAGCTTTCTTTACCTGGGGAAAATACACTGTACCATAATAATCTACTGTTACAACAACAGCCCTCTTGCATGGGAGAGCTTTTATACAACCAGAAAACATGCATTGAAAATGACAATTAGGCTGGTCGCGGTGGCTCAAGCCTGTAATCCCAGCATTCTGGGAGGCCGAGGTGGGTGGATCACAAGGTCAGGAGATCAAGACCATCCTGGCTAACACGGTGAAACCCCGTCCCCACTAAAAATACAAAAAATTAGCCGGGCATAGTGGCGGGCACCTGTAGTCCCAGCTACTCAGGAGGCTGAGGCAGGAGAATGGCATGAACCCGGGAGGCAGATCTTGCAGTGAGCCGAGATCGTGCCACTGCACTCCAGCCTGGGAGACAGCGAGATTCCGTCTCAAAAAAAAAAAAAGAAAAAAGAAACTGACGATCCCTTTATAAATCTTTAAACGGCCCATCAGGTAACCAAATGTACCTGAAGCTTTGATTGTTTTCCCAGAAATATGGATTTGACAAATCAAACATTGGTTATAAACAATTCTAGCAATTTATAAGTCACCACACCAATATATTTAATTTGGATCATTTTATCTTTTCCATGATGAGTCATGGAAATTTTAATAACAAAAGCTTTATGGACTCAGGAAGGACAAGGCAGCTGTTCTGGTTCTCCATGAGTTCATGCTTAATTAACATTAGACCTATATCCTCTTGAATACCAGTTGTTTCTCCAAATTAGGTGCATAGCTCTGATAACTAAGGGGTTAGCATAGGTAATTTGATTTAGACCATGGAGTTCATTCAAGTTGTATATCTAAATAATTTTAGTTTTGGGTGACTTAGCATAAAAATCTGGCAAAATATTTCCTTGGTATTCAAGGAATTTTTTGTTCTATTTGGGTTAGCAGTTTTATAAACCAGTCAGTGTTTTCATTAAAGTTTTGGGAATTGTTACCCAGTCCAATTCTTGTGGAACTGGGGAATTCATGGGGGAATTATTACCCATGATATGATGTTAAAATAATTAGAAACCTGTATTCAAGAGAGCTTTTCAGGGTCCTTTCCATCCTTTCATGAACCTCCTAGAAGACACCATATTCTAGGATTTCTGCGTGCTTGTGAAGTTTTCAGAAACTGCATCAGCATTAAGCAATTAACTGTGGAAATGACTTTAAATAGTTATAGTTGGTGGGGTGCAGTGGCTCACGCCTGTTATCCCAGCACTTTGAGAGGCCGAGGTGGGTGGATCACCTGAGGTCAGGAGTTTGAGACCAGCCTGGCCAACATGGCAAACACTATCGCTACTAAAAATACAAAAATTAGCCAGGCCTGGTGGCAGGTGCCTATAATCCCAGCTACTCAGGAGGCTGAGGCAAGAGAATTGCTTGAACCTGGGAGGCGGAAGTTGCAGTGAGTCAAGATCATGCCACTGCACTTCAGCCTGGGCGACAGAGCGAGACTCCATCTCAAAAAAAAAAAAAAATAGTTATAGTTAAAGACACAATTGACAAGGGAATTTGGTTATTTCTGTGGTCCACAATAACTTAACATAATAACCATAATTATGATTGATTATGAGCATATACTCAGACATAGTAGAATTTTAGAAATCCCATATATTTTTGGAACATACTGATGACATACACTAAAATATAACCTGAAGAAGGTTAAATATTATCTTTTATTTTGACAATCCTTCCCAAGTAACTTAACAAGTCAAATAGCCCTGTTTACCTCTTTTGGATGCTTCAGGGGCCTTCTGTAGCCCCCCAAAGTTACAGGCCAGCAAAGATAATTTTGAAGCTGAAATTTGATTTGGGGAAGCCTATCAGATATGTCAAATGTTTTTCAATTATTATTTTATTTTGTTTTATTTTAAGTTCCAGGGTACATGTGCAGGATGTGCAGGTTTGTTACATAGGTAAACACGTGCCATGGTGATTTGCTGCACCTATCAACCTATCACCTAGATATTAAGCTCAGCATGCATTAGCTATTTTTCCAGCGCTCTCCCTCCTGCCACCTCTCTGTCTAGATAAATTCTTAAAACCTCCAGAAAGTTTCTAGCATAAACATATCTGGCTTATTTTCTCAGGTTTTTTTTTCATATTTTATTAATTTACTTATGAATATTTCCACCCTGTTCCTAAAAGAATTTGAGAATGTATTAAATTTATTTAAAGAATTTTTTTATTTTTTTATTTTTGTATTTATTAAAAGAATTTATTAAAATGTGTATAGATACTTCTATAAGATTAAAATAAATGAAAAAATTAAACAGTAGGGAAATATGTAAAGTAAAATAAATAAAGTCAGAAATAGTGTTACTACAGGAAAAAATGTTATGTTATAACATCTTGGTGTCTCCATAGCTTTGTATGTCTCAACATCTCTGCAAACAGGGAAACACAATAGTTCCAAGCTTCACAGTCCTCATAAAATCAAAGCAAACCAATTTTTTACAAGAGCACCAGGAGGACACAATGGGGAAACGACAGTCTTTTCAATAAATAGTGCTGGGAAAACTGGATTTTTATATACAAAAGAATGAAATTGGACTATTATCTGATAACATATACAAAAATAAACTCAAAATGGATAAAAGACCAAAATATAAGACCAGAAACTATAAAACCCCCAGAAGAGAACATTAGGGAAAAGTGCCTGGACATTGACCTTGGCAATGATTTGTTGGGTATCACATCAAAAGCTCAGGCCACAAAAACAAAAATAAATAAATGGGACTCCATCAAACTAAAAAGCTTCTTCGCAGCAGAAGAAACAATACACAAAATAGAAAGGCAGCCTAAAGATAGGGAAAACGTATTTGAAAATCATATATCTGATAAGGGGTTAATATACAAAATGTATAAAGTACTTATAAAACTCAATAGTAGAAAAACAAAAACAAATTAAAAAATGGGCAAAAATCTGAACAGTTATGTCTCCCAAGAAGACATAAAAATGACCAAAAGGTACATGAAAAGGTGCTCAACATCATTAATCACCAGGGAATTACAAACCAAAGCCACTGTGAGATACTACCCCATGCCCATTAGGATGGCTATGATCAGAGTCAAAAGATAACAAACGCTTGTGAAGGCAAGAGAAAAAGAGAACTTTGATACGCTGTTGGTGAGAATGTACAGCGCTACAGCCATTATGGAAAACAGTATAAAGGTTACTAATTAATTAAAAAGAGGAAATGATGCAGGCTTTTTCTCAGCCCCTTCTTTGGACTCGTGACAGGGGCAAACGTTTACTCAGCCCACCACGCTCAGCCCCTTGCGTGAGGGAGCATGTGAACGAGCGAGTGCAGGACCCAGCCGGCCGCTCTGGGAGTCGACACAGGAGAAGGCTTCATGCACAGCCAGACCAGGCATGAGCCAGCGAGTGCGGGACCCGGCCGGCTGCTCCAGGCGCCGCACATGGGCAGACTAGGTACAGGTGAGCAACTACAGGACCTTTTTGGCCGCTCAGGGCCCCAGGAGGAGCAAGCTCTGTTTACTCGGCCTGAGGTGGCACCCTGTTGGGGATGCCTGCGACCCCGAAGCCCCAAAGGCTGTGTTACAATGCTCTCTTGGCTCCACTGTCCATGAACAGTAGTGTGTTATCAGCTCAATTGGCCCCTTGCCTCGTCGCCTGGGTCCCAAGCTCTTGTCCAGCATCCAAGAAGAATGAGGTTGTGCGGACACTTGACGGATGGTGAAGGCAGAGAATTTTATTTAGCAATGGAAATGGCTCTCAGCAGAGAGGGGAGCTGGAGAGGGGACAGGACAGAATAGAAAATGGGAAGATGTAGATCAGAAAATACAAAGTAGCAGAGGTATAGGATGAACAAGTACAGAGATCAAATGTACAACATGGGGACTATAGGTAATCAAATTGTACTGAATATGGAAAAAATTAAATAAGTGAGAAAATCACACAAAAGGTAACCGAGGAGGAAAATAAATCAGATCAGAAATAGTGTTAGGAGAAAAAAAATGTATGTTTTACCACCTTGGTGTCTCCATAGCTTTAAATATCTCTGAAAATAGGGAAACACAACTGTTCCAGACTCCACTGTGCCCATAAAATCAAAGCAAACTAATTTATTTAGGAAGAGCCCAGTTAATTGAGGTTGGTGATTCCTGAGAGTAACAAGGTTCTCAAGAAATTGATACAAAAATGAGTTTTATAGAGCAGTATCTCCTGGGTTATGGAAAATAGAGGAAAAAAAAGATTTTGTTCTGTACCTTTTAGTATGGGATCTTTTTCAAAGAGCAGAACAGACATGAATGTACCTACTTCATAGTCATAGTGTGCAATTTAGATGGCTACAATCATAAAGAATGCCTAAGACAAAACAGTTTTTGCTAACCCACTATCGCCAGCACCGAGCATAGTACCTGACACATAGTAAACATTCAAAAAAGTATTTTATAGCAGTGTTAAAACATGATGAACTTGGACTTCATGTAGCCGTTCTGAAACTGTTTTCCATGATGCTTTTAATCAGTGACAAACTGGACTGCCAAGTGAAAAAATACACAAAAGAAGCTTGGAATTTCTTTCAAAATATACTCCCTTTCTCTACTCGCTCTGGGAGTTGGGAGGTGGGTGCAAAATCATTAAAAGATAAGTTTTCTGGCATGAAACCAGAAACAGTTGAAAAGGTGCTATTGTACAGCTGTCAGCTCAAGGAACTGTGCTGCAGAACTAATAAGAAAGATATGGGAAACCCGTGATTTAATCAGCTGCGGACTCATTACTCAACGGTACCTGCAGGGAGAAGCATCCATCAGGGTGTCAGGTATATGTTGCATAAAGAGAGGGGAGATTTAGCAACTGGGCAAAAGTTAAAGGTGGGAGCTGTCATTTACCCACATACTTCTCACTGGTAGAAACTTCATGCTGGACCACTTCACCTCCCTTGAAAATAAAGAAGTAGTTCCACCAGGGCCACCCAAAGCATTTCACGGAGGACTGACTTATACTGCCTATATACTCTCTTTTCACCCTCTGGCCACAAAACTCATTGTATAACAGTCAGATGCCTTACACTCCAAGAAACTGATTTTACATTCACCTATTAATGTAGCAGCCCTTCCAAACTGGAGGGCAGGGAACACATGTCCATGGCTGCCTGACAGAGACCTTCAATGCAAAGGTGGGTGCATGAGAATGAGGGGGTCACTGATGGAGAAAGGAAACTAGAAGCATCTCAAAGCAGCCACCCTCCAATACTAACCAATCCTTACTGCCATCTCTAGGACACAAACAAGGTAGGAAGGATGAAAAGAAAGGTGAAATCACTAAACTGGCTTCTGGTAGTATGTTCTTGACCTTGTAAAGTAGTGGACTGAAATAGCATAAAAATGGAGCTCCTTGCATCTAATTGGTGAAACCAGGCTGTATGCCCTCATGTGCCCTCTGCCTGGAAAGAACACACCCATACCATCAGGGCAGGCTGCACACCAAGCAACCCTGGGCTTCCTTTTTCATTTTTGATACTTCCCGTTCTTTCCTTCCCAGCTAGGTTGCAAGTCTGTGCTATGTCTCTCTTTTGCATCTCCATTATCATGGAAGAGTCTTGAATAAGCTAAAGATGATTCAGAAATTATTAGTCCTTTCTGAGCAGTTAATTGAACATGTCGGACCACACCATAGAGACCAACCAAAACAGGAATTTACCCTCTTTTTAAAGACATCCAAAGAACAAAATTCTACATATTTTATTCTCTAATCCAATCCAAAATCTTGCATAGAAAAATCAAACTTACAAAATTTTATCACACAAGGAGAGGGATATGCAAGGGGGAAACTAAATATTGGCAAAGAATGTAATAAAAAGTCTGGGCACGATGGCTCACGCCTGTAATCCCAGCACTTTGGGAGGCCGAGGCAGGTGGATCACGAGGTCAGGGGTTCAAGACCAGCCTGGCCAACATGATGAAACCCCGTCTCTACTAAAAATACCAAAATTAGCCAAGTGTGGTAGTGCACACCTGTAATCCCAGCTGCTCAGGAGGCTGAGGCAGGAGAATTGCTTGAAACCTGGAGGCGGAGGTTGCACTGAGCCAAGATCGTGCCACTGCACTCCAGCCTGGGCAACAGAGCAAGACTCCATCTCAAAAAAAAAAAAAAAGGAATGTAATAAAAATTGACACCCCTTTCCCCAAGAAATCAAGGCTTAGGTTGGTCTCCCTTTACAGATAGAGCCAGCTACAAACTATGGAGCTCAAAGAGGAATGAAATACCAGGGGCAGAGCTGCGACTGGCATGGGAAAGTCAGTTGGGTAGGCCCAAGGCTCTTGCTACTAAATAACTCCCTGTCCCTTCTACCTGAAACCTCAGATCATTTATCTTGCCAGGCCACTGGTGTCTTTCCTACAAAACAATGTACAGACACCCCAGGAAAGTTCCCTTCTGCCAACATTATCTCTTGCTAGACATAAACACCTACTTTCAAAGCTTGAAATTTATTAGCACCCAAATGATGTTTATTACCCTGCAGCTTGTGATCCTGTCATGGATTGTATCAGCCAAGGAGACTGGATTAACTCACATACCTAGGCATTTATGGCTCTGAAGTGAGCCAGTGTTCAAAAAGCGTCCTGAGGACAGATGGAGTTGCTTGACCCACAGGTGGATGAGCTTCGCTGGAGCAGGAAGGCCCTGGTCCTGGCTGAAAGAACACCTAAGACCAAGGAGAGAATGCAAAATGATGAAGCAGGAGCCTGCACCACAACCAGCAGCCAATCAGAGAGGAAAAGGAACCAAATGCTGGGCAATCAAATGCAAGAAAAAAAGCAGTGAGATTTTTCATTGAAATAAAAATGCAAAAAAAAAAACAAAAAATCAGTGTCACTGGAATTTATTTCTAAAGGAACTTTCTGAGTAATCTATGTACAAATATAAGAGGAATTAATTTTTTAAATTGTGAGGTTTAAAAAGCATCTTTTAATACTAGAGATGTGTACGTTTTTGTAAAGCAATTTCAACATCTGCAGACGTAACCAGAACACTTCAAGAGAAAATGAAAATTTAAATAAACACTGAAGGTTATTCAGTGGGTTAGGAATTCAGGGAAAGAGAAAGAAGCAGAGAGCCCAGTGAAATTTATCTAAATTCTAAAACTCCCAAAATGTAGGTGGGAAAAAATACCAATCATTGTATTCTTTTGTTATTTTCTGTGGTAGTTCTTATTTTTTGTTAACTATTATTTGTTGTTATAAGGAAAATACAATGTGACAGTGGCAAACAAGGCATTTATACGATAAGCTCTGGCCTTTGTCTTTGGGTGCTATCTCTGAAACAGGAATAACTATGCTGGGTGTCTGTTGGAAGGCAGTTTGAAAGGGAGACTTCTAGATTTGTCTCCCTAAGTGATGTGTGTGTCCAAGTCCCGTCATCATGGTCCTTCCATTAGTTTGCCCATTTGTGGTCCCCACTGCTGTAGATTATAGGCAGTTGGTTTCAGGTTATTTATTAATTCTAGAGCTATAATAAAGCACTGTTTTCTAAAAATAAAAAATAAAAAAATAAAAAATCTACTTTCTCTCTGATTGCTATCCTTCCCAACACTTACCCTCTCCCCAGCTGCTAGCAAATGAATAAATTATATTTATTAATGAGTTTCTCTTTGCACTTTCTTTTACATAGTTTTTCACCTTCAGAAATTCCAGCAATATTAACAACTATTATATCTGAATGTTCTAGGATTTGGACAAAGATTGAGGTAGGTTCCATTATCCATTTCTTGGCTCAGCGTAATCCCAATTGCCAGATGCCAGTCTATATATTCCTTTCTGGTAGTCATGCAATATTCTCAGCTCTCTGCTTTGCATTTTAAAGTGACATCCTGGAAGAAATTAACCACCAGGTGGGTGATGAGAGAAAAACCTTTGTTTTAGTTTGAAATCTGGATTCAGCCAAGTCTTTGGAAAAGTCAAATCTGATGATTATCTAAATAGCTAAGGGGAAAGGATACTCATCGCCTTTATAATCTGGGTAATTGGTATGATTACCAGCAGGTTCTTGAATGTCCACGGGGTGCATATCCATATGGAAAGACAGACTCAGCCTTGGCGCTTAGACTCCTAATGAGAATGCCTGCAGTGGAGTCTGAATTACCTCCCCTCTGACCCTAATTCTCTACCTTTCTCTCCTAGTGGAGACCTGGCCCTGGGCTTTCTGGTACAGAGCTGTTCTCTGCAGGGCAGTGGTAGAGACCCTGGGAAGGAGAGGAAGGCCACCCAGGGCTGGGGTGTGAGCGAGCTGGGGAAGCAGGCCCCTCTGCTGTGGAACTCCAGAAGCAACAGCGGGGCGCCTGCGGCAAAGCACTTAACCTATTTGTGTCTCCATCTCCCATTTGTAAATGGAGTAATTATAACCTCTCTGCCTTCTGGGGCTCTTGCGAATCTCCATTAAAGTTCATAAATCACTTTGAAGATGGGAGTCATTGCTGGTTGCCCTGGCAGGTGGAAGATCTCTGGCCAGAGTCCTCCTTCAGTATTTCCAGGCAGCTGGCTTTGTCTTAAAGGAGATACAAGTAACATTCTTTCTGCTCCCTTTTTCTACCTGCACTGAATATCCACAGCGAAACATATTCACCCTTTTTCCTAAATGTCTGTGTTCCCAATGCTACATGTTTTCATAACAACTCGGAAAGTATTAGTAATTTTGGATACAATTAACGAAATTAACATCTTTGTAAAAATCCCACCAAGGCTGTGGAACTATCACCAATAGTTATTTCCATGTATCAATATATGCCCATGCTATGTCCGGGTATATTTCTATGAATTCAGAAACGGATGAATCTTGAACACTATCTTTTAGTGAGCCTAACATCTAAATCAATTAACCTTTAAAAAGATAAAATAGCCACATATTTTTAAGTTGCACATCCATACATATTTATACACACAGATGTGAAGCAAACTCTTAGGTTATATTCTTACTTTTCTTTTTTTTTTTTTTTTTTTTTTTTTTGAGATGAAGTTTCACTCTTGTCACCCCAGCTGGAGTGCAATTGCACGATATTGGCTCACTGCAGCCTCTGCCTCCCGGGTTCTAGCGATTCTCCTGCCTCAGCCTCCCAAGTAGCTGGGATTACAGGCACCTGCCACCACGCGCAGCCAATTTTTCTATTTTTAGTAGAAACGGGGTTTCGCCATGTTGGCCAGGCTGGTCTCAAACTCCTGACCTCAGGTGATCCATCCGCCGCTGCCTTCCAAAGTGCTGGGATTACAGGTGTGAGCCACTGTGCCTGGACCTTATGTATTTTTTTAATCCAGAATTTTTACTTTTTGTTTAAAAGCTTTTTAAAATTGACACATAATATGTTGATAAATATGTGCATATTCATGGAGTACATAGCAGTGTTATGATATGTGTAATGTAGGGATCAGATCAGAATAATTCACATATCCATCATCTCAAACTTTTATCATTTCTTTGTGTTGGGAACATTCAAAATCCTCCTAGCTATTTGGAACTATATCATATTTTACTGTTAACCATAGTCACCCTACAGAGCTGAGGAACACCAGAACCTATCCCTCCTGTCTAGCTATAAGTTTGTATCCTTTTAAAAACCCACTGGAGTATTAAAAATGTCTCACAAGAACCACATTTTTAGGGATGCATTAGCTTACTTTGGCTGCTTTTTAAAAGATTCAAACACATGAAGTTTTTTAAAAATAAACTTCTCTAGAAACCATTTTGACTTAAATGACTATCAGTAGGGAGCTAGTTACATAAATTGTGGTACACCCAGGGCATATGAGTGAGCGTATGTACAGTCACACACACGCATGCACACAGAATGCAATTCTAGATATATTTTAAATTTTTTTAGACAGTGTCGAATAGAACTTACGATAGTTTAATATTTATGTTTTAAAAAGAGATACATATTATACATGATAAAAATGAAAGAATACTACAAATTTGTATATGTAATAAAAGAGGTATTTTATATATGTATGTGTAATATAGTATATACACAAACTATCTCTGGAAAAAACTAGTAACAGTAGTTTCTTCCAGAAAGATATACTAGGAAAATTAGACTAATGGTTGTAGGCAAAAATCTAAGAATTAATGTATATTTTCTTTGGGGTTGTTTAATATTTTTTATTAAAAGAATGCATCACTGTTCTAATTTTTAAAATTTGTGTCACTCTAGTATGTGTTGTTATGTGATTGGCATCCTATAGTATTTTAATTTTTTTTTTTTTTTTTTTTTTTTTGAGACAGAGTCTTGCTCTGTCGCCCAGGCTGGAGTGCAATGGCGTGATCTTGGCTCACTGCAGCCTCTGCCTCCCAGGTTCCAGGGATTCTCTTGCCTCAGCCTCCCAGGTAGCTGGGATTATAGGCGCACACCACCACGCCCGGCTAATTTTTGTATTTTTAGTAGAGACAGGGTTTCACCATGTTGGCCAGGCTGGTCTCAAACTCCTGACCTCAGGTGATCCGCCTGCCGCGGCCTCCCAAAGTGCTGGAATTACAGGCATGAGCCACTGCCCCTGGCCAGTATTTGATCTTTAAAACATAGATGTTTTACAGTGTATACTGTTAAGGAAAATGCCAACTACTAGAAAGTAAACTGGTGTCATTGTATTTTTAAATTGCCTGCCTACTACAGGATGAATAGATTGCAAAATAACACCCAAAATGTGTTCAAGTGAGTTACAAAACTTGCTTTGGCACAAAAAGATACAGACACCCATTGGTGAATAGGTAATATATGTGTCCCCTGTTGTAATGAGAGTACACTTAGGGAATTACTTTATACGCCTTCCCTGGAATTAGTCTCCTGGTGGATAAGAAAAAGGCCTTATTCATCTAATTCCCCCCAAAATTCTAGCTCAATACCTGGCAAATATTAATAGAAGGTGTTCAAAAAATATTTATCAAATAAATAAATTAGATTCACAGCTTGATTTCTTGTCTTTTATAACCAGTTTCTTTGATGTTGAACTTTTTAAAACCTTTAATAAATAATTGCACATCATAAATTGGATGAGGTAAATATAATACACAGCATTTGCCAAACTTGTTTCACCATGAAAAGAAAAACACTTTCCCCACAGAGTCCCTTGCAAGACTAGTTGTAATGAAGCCTAGATAAATAAAAGTGGAAAACATAGCGCTGGCTTTTAATTTACACCTCTCTGTCTCCTAAAAACCAAGGGCAGCAGAGGCCATTAGTGCTCACTGAATATTCCTGGGCTCCCTGCATTTCCCATACTTCTTTATTTTGGGGTCTGGGGCACATGACTGTATCTGGCAAACAGGAATATGAGAGGAATTGATGTACCATTTCCATTGCAAGGCCCTTGGGAGCCAGTGTGTCTCCTTCATCTTTCTTATCTCTTGCTAGAACCACTCTGAAAGTCAAGTGTGGAGATGATGGCCTCACAAGTTAAAGGGAATCCCCAACCACTAGATATGGAAACCCCCTGTCAATTCACATGAGAGTCTGTAGTGAGCAAAGAATATATATTTTGTTGTGCTAAGCCGCCGAGATTTTAGAGTTATTTGTTATGACAACATAATTTAGCCTAACCTGACTAAGCATAGCAATTCATTGTCATGGCATATCCTCATACGACAATTATATAGTGAATGCCTACTACGTGTCAGACGTGATCTTTGAGGTACCTTCTAAAAGTATATTTATAAAGTATGAAAAGAGAAATAAAATATGTACAAGGAAAGTGAAGGGATGAACAGCCTGTCACTCAAATCCTGTAACTTGATGCTTTTCATCTTTGCAAGTCTAGTAATTTCAGAAGAATTTGTCAAATTTTTACATATAAAAATGCAAATTTCCCCCAAATTAACTAGTGTTTTACTGTGTCTGAATTACTCTGTACTTTCCTAAAGACTCATCGCTTTTTCTGTAAGATTAGGAAGAGGTAGGTCCAGAAACATTTCTGTTCTCCTGTTATATCTATACAGGATTCTTAGATTTTTTTTAAAAAAAACTACAAATCCAAAGGGATGAGCTGCAACTGGCCTAATATTTATCAGAAGTTACCACCAGACCTTTTTAGTCAATGCTCTTGTGCCTTTGCCATGGTTAGGCAGTATCTATGTGAATTTTCTGGATTAGGGCTACTTAGTAGATCAGAGCCCTTAACAGAGCTATACTCTCTAATGGAAGAAATAGTCTCAAGATGAAATTCGATTACAGCGATGCACTTTGATTCAATATCTATAACTTCCTTGTGATATGGTAAATTAGGGGGGAAGAAAAATGCTGAGAGATGTAAAGGCAGAACGTACAGGAGGCCTGTTAGTTCCCTGTTCCATTTTGAGTGGTGGAAAGTCAGGATAACGGGAGCTCCTCTGTGTTCCACCTCTAAATCCTAAGGATCTCTTTTTAAAGATCAGCAGGATTTACACAATCACAGTGATCCAAATGCAGCTGGAATTCCAGCACAGGCAGCCAGAGAAATACCAAGTGGTAGGAAAACAAAATCTTTCATTAATTTTCTGTCAAATGCTCTAATCAGTTGCATAACTGTTTGATCAAATACCCACAGCCACTTAATGCTGTGTGTGTCCTTCCCTTCCTCTCGGTCCTCCTCCCTCTAAAGCAGAAAGTATTTGTTAAAGGGTTGTTTTGGGAAGGTTGTTCCCAGGTCTCTGTGTACTGGCCAGGGTTTAACCTCGAGTTTATAGAACTCCTGGGACCCTTCATGGAAGCTACAATGACAGTCCAATTTGAAATCTGGTGGGCTGGACAAGAACACAAACCCTGTCTAGATCCTTGATCAGCCAGGCCCTGCCTTTGAAAGATAAGCCCCTTGAAGAAAGAGGTCAGCATCAGAACGAGCTGTTGCAGCTTAGCTCTTCTGGCTAACGCTCACACAGACCAGGACGGGTCTGGCCCGCAACAAGCTCTGGCTACTCACATCCCTTCTTACCATTTCCATTTTTAGCTAATCGTAACTTATTTAACATTGTGTTAAAGTCCATCAAGGCAGGTGACCAGATTCTCTTCTGGCAGAATTAGAAACAACCCCTCAGCCCTTGAGAAAGAACCACTAGCTTGCTTCTTTTTCTTTTCTTCCTTTGAAAATATTTTTGGTTATTTTGAAAGTGTCCTTTATTAAGTATTTTTTTAATTACAAAAATAATCATAAGGCCAGGCATGATGGCTCACACCTATAATCCTAGCACTTTGGGAGGCGGAGGTGAGCAGATCACCTGAGGTCAGGAGTTCAAGACCAGCCTGGCCAACATGGGGAAACCCCGCCTCTCCTAAAATAATTAGCCAGGCATGGTGATGGGTGCCTGTAATCCCAGCTACTTGGGAGGCTGAGGCAGGAGAGTCGCTTGAACGCAGGAGGCAGAGGTTGAGTGCAGAACATGCCATTGCACTCCAGCCTGGGCAACGAGTGAAACTGTCTCAAAAAGTAAAATAAAATAAAATTGCAATTATAATTATAAAAGTATACCATCACAAGATGTATGAAGAAAAGCTATCCAGTGCATCCTTGCTGTTTCTTTCTTTCTTTTTTTTTTTTTGTTAAGACGGAATCTCACTCTGTTGCCCAGGCTGGAGTGTAGTGTTGTGATCTCAGCTCACTGCAACCTCTGCCTCCTGGGTTCAAGCGATTCTTGTGCCTCAGCCTCCCAAGTAGCTGGGATTATAGGCACCTGCCATCACACCCAGCTAATTTTTGTATTTTTGGTAGAGACAGGGTTTCACCATGTTGGTCTCGAACTCCTGTCCTCAAATTCCTGGTCTGTTCTCAAACTCCTGACCTCAGGTGATCTGCCTGTCTTGGCCTCCCAAAGTGCTGGGATTACAGGCATGAGCCACCGCACATGGCCACGTACTTCCTGTTTCTAGGCTCATATACATGTACGCAAGCATATGTAAATTCAAAAGGATGCACACATATCTAAGTAGGTAGAGTGATGGGTTCAGGTTCAGCGGGTTGGTTAGCTTGACTTTACAAATTAAAATACTACTACTCCCATTATTCTGATTTTTTTTTTCAGTATATAACAGTTGTCAAATCAGTAGGTTAAGTTCTAACTCTTTGTTCCTATTTATTTGTACATATCTGCATATGTATATTAATTTTGCATAAATGGAATTATATTTGATGGAGATCTTCTTAGTGCGGCCTTTTATTTTATTTTTTGCTTGCCCCTATTTTCTCTATCCCTATAATTCCCCAGCACCCCATGACTGTAGCCTAGACTATGGTTCTTATTTGTCTCTATGCTCAATCCTCATAGAAATGCAAACACACACACACACACCCCCAGAGGGAATGAGAGAGACAGAGAGAACGAGAGAGATACATGGAATTTTGCTAGTCCATGTTTATTTTACAAGTTGGATCATTTTATACAAATTTCTCCACGTCATTTTTTGTTCTCATTCAATAATACTTTGTAAACTATGATATCTTTTTTTTTTTTTTTTTTTTGAGACGGAGTCTCACTCTGTTGCCCAGACTGGAGTGCAGTGGCATGATCTCGGCTCACTGCAATCTCCGCCTCCTGGATTCACACCATTCTCTCGCCTCAGCCTCCCGAGTAGCTGGGACTACAGGCGCTCGCCACCACGCCCGGCTAATTTTTTGTATTTTCAGAAGAGACGGGGTTTCACTGTGTTAGCCAGTATGGTCTCAATCTTCTGACCTCATGATCCACCTGCCTTGGCCTCCCAAAGTGCTGGGATTACAGGCGTGAGCCCCCGTGCCCGGCCTGTAAACTATATCTTAACCTGTTTTTTTTAACTATCAAAAAACATACCTTGGTGAGGTGATGTCAATTATTTTACCAGTTATTCCCCTACAGCTCTTTACTGCCAGCTTGTATTTGTGGGATTCTTGTTTTTTGTTGTTGTTGGGTTTGTTTGTTTGTTTTTGTCTTTACTAATAATGCTTCAGTAAAAATGTCCTTGTAAATAAAACTTTCCATATTAATGCTTTAATTTCTGAGGAATATAGTCATGGGATTGAACTGCTAAGTTGAAAGACATGGGTATTTTTTAAATTTTAATAGATTCTTTTAATGGTTAAATTCATTCCTGGTTGCCTGGTTGTTTTCCATAAACACAAGAACAATCTTCGAATTTTTGCCAGTGGTATTTAATTTTACTTTAAATTGTATTTTCCTAATTGCCAGTGCTTTTGAACATCTTTTCATAAGTCCTTTGATCACATTGATTCATTCATCTACAAATTGCCAATATTTGTATTGGGCTGTCTTTTCCTGCATTGCCTCTTAAGGGATATACCCACAAGGTGAGCAGAAGGTAGAGGGTATTCACAGCCAGGGTCAAGAATAACTAGAAGGGCATTCTACCTTCACATGGATCTATGGCTGGGCTTTCAGGCACTCTTCTTTTTCAGCAATAGATGAAACAAACTTCTCCACAAGCTCAAGTACTGAATTGGCCTCAATTGTGGAGGAGCAGCTTGGTGGAGGAAAGGGGACAGAAAGCAAAAGGTGAAAAGCAGGAAAGGAGCATGTGGCATCTGCATTGGGCTAGATCCTGGAGTAAGCATCTTATAGGTCTGTTCTCATTTATTCCTGGCAATGTGAGATGAAGTAGATTCTCATCTCTGTAGAGATGCAAACCAGAGTCTTACAGATGCCAAGTAACTTATTCTGCATCATTCAGTTGTGAAGGGATGGACCTAGGAGGGCAACCCAGGTCTATCTGATTCCCACATCTCTTCTTTTCCCAGCCAAAGTGAAGATGCCAGTGGAAACCCAAGCAATGTACTGTGGCCTGCACAGAAGGGCCAGGTAGACACAAGTCTCCATAAGCATCCTAGGAAGCCCTGTTTATGGTTTACAGTGCTTCTTCCCGAACACCTCCATTCTCAGAGTGAACACCGCCTTCACAGGCCCAACCAACTCGTAATTTGGCAAGTTGGTTTCACATCATGTTTTTGGCCTTCAATAATTATTAAGGCTCTGTTGTGAAGCATTCCTCCTTAGGGTGGTTTGTTTTAAAATCACCAAGTCAACAAATTAAAAACAAATATTCATATTGCCACAGACCGCATATTTCAATTTCTGAACAGCTGATGATTACTACCAAATTTATCATTCACCGATTACCATTACAAAACATGTTCTTGAAATGTAAGATAGCTTATGCAACAAGGACGAATGTCAGACATCTATCCAAAGCAATGTCCTTGGAATAATAGCTTCAGATACCAATTTAGATATAACATGTCTACTAAAAATTTCAAAGTCTTTTGGGGAGGGTTTTCTGGATCGCGAATATTACTTTCTCCTTTTGCAACTTAACGCTTACCTCACTATCAGTACCACTGGTCTTGTCTCCTTGCTAATTCAGACTTTTCCTATCACAGAAGTCCACTAAAACTCCACTCTGAAATGAAATCCAATTGTTCAAAATTTGGTCTGCATTTGCCCTCCAGAAAATAACCTTAATATATAAAGTGCTGTTGAATTTTTCCATGAAGTGATTGATTGTGCAAAATAGAAATTGTTACTCATAATATGGATGTTAACAGCACTGTACTAGAGAAAGCACAAAGCAGCCCATCAAAGGTTCTAAGGGGCAGACATCCAGATGAAACATCTGCTTTGACTTCTCATTTTATTGTCAAGCCATATTACATAAAGGTGATTTGTGTTTCACACTAATTAGCTAAGAGGTTTGGACATTAATCCACTACCCAACAAGCAGTCCTCTGCAATGAGGTAGTTTTTAAGAACGAGTAATTCTGGGTTTATTGCTTCTGGATTTATCAGGGTGGGAAAACAGACATGACATGCTCTTGAATGCCAGCTAAAGACATTCATACTTTGTCCTTTTACAAAAGGGATTGTTTTTCCTCTTGATTTCCCTGTGTACCATGTGGGCACATCACACAAGAGTGAAGAAAGTGGGGAATACCATGTAAAAAACTTCAGTTAAAAAAAAAAGCTATGTATATCCGATAAGGGACTTATATATATAAAGAACTCTTACAACTCAAAGATGAAAAGGTAAATAATTCAATTTCAATATGGGCAATAGATTATTCTTCCAAAGAAGATATACAAATGGCCAACAAGCACATGAAAAGATGCTTGACATCATGAGTCATTAGGGAAATGCAAATCAAAATCATAATTCCATGATTCATGCTTCACCTACTAGGGTGGCTAGAATTAAAAAGTCAGATAATATCAAGTGTTGGCATATATGAAAAGAAATTAAAACCCTTATATAGTGGTGGTGAGAATGAAAAATGGTGCTCTGGAAAACAGTCTGGCAGTTTCTCAAAAAGTTAACAAACTATATGACCCAGAAATTCCAGTCCTCCCATGTATATACCTAAAAATAAAAAGATATGTCTACACAAAAATATGTGCATAAATGTTCATAGCAACATTTTTCATAATAGCCCCATGTTAAAAACAATCCAAACGTCCATCGACTGAAGACTAGATTAACAAAAGTGGTATATCCATAAAATGAAATATTATTCAGCCTTAAAAAGGAATGAGAAACCGACACATGCCACGACATGAAAGAACCTTGAAAACATGCAGAGTGAAAGAAGACAGTCACAAAAGACCACATATTATGTGATTCTATTCATAGAAAATGTCCATAACCAGGAAATCTGTAGCAACAGAAAGTATATTACTGGTTTTTTCAGGATGAGGGATAGAGAGGGAGAAAAATAGGGTGATAGCTAAAGACAATGGGGTTTCTTTTTGAGGTGATGAAAATGTTCTCAGATTGACTTTGGTGATGGTCACACACGTCTGTGGATGTAACTAAAAACTCATGGATTCACACACTTTCAATGGGTAAGTTGTATGGTATGTGAATTATATCTTAAAAAGTTCTTTTTTATAAAAGGAAATAAAAAGCAAGCTGTAAGTATAAGAAACACTTCCTGGCTGCCACATGAGTAGAAGTGAATTGCAGGGGATTTAGGAAGAATGAGACTTAGATGTGAAGAACCCATGTCCCCATCCAATAGCAAGTTAGAAAATCAGATGAGCCCTGTAAAATGCACACAGCCCCTTTATCATTTAGTCACTCAATAAATGTTTATTGGGCATCTTCCATGTGCAAAGTTATGTTCTAAGAAATTGGGATATAGCCATGATCAATTATTGGGTTTTTTGTTTTGTTTTTTAAAAAGGAGACTTTTGGTGTCTGGTCCAGCAAATGAGAAGCTTGGAGGTCACTGCATTATCCTAACAAGTGAAAGCTAAACAAACTGAAAAACTGACCAGGCGTAGTGGCTTTTGCCTGTAATCTCAGCACTTTGGGAGGCTGAGGAGGGCGGATCACTTGAGGTCAGGAGTTCAAGCCTGGCCAACACGGTGAAACCCCATCTCCAATAAAAAACACAAAAATTAGCTGGACGTGGTGACGGTCACCTGTAGTCCCAGCTACGTAGGAAGCCAACGCACGAGAATTGCTTGAACCTGGGAGGCAGGGGTTGCAGTGAGCCAAGAGAGCTTCACTGCACTTCAGCCTGGGCAACAGAGTGAGGCTGTCAAAAAAAACAAACAAACAAACAAATAAAAAAAACCCTGAAAAATCAACAACTTTTCTTAGATCTATAAGAGAAGTAAGGTCACAGGACAAAGTGCTGCACCCCTAACTGGAGAGACAGATAGGCAAATACAGAGAATCACAGCCCCCCTTGGAAATCAGTGCCAGGGTGGGGAAACCTGAACTACAATTGACAAGTTGCTGAAGGCTCAGTATGGATGACTGTGAGAGATTAATCGCCGTAGGGGACGCTGTCCTAGGGGAGCCCCCACTTGTGAGTTTTGTCCCCTGGAGCTCTACCAGGTTCTCCTAGTGAATATTATTTTAGAAATTCCATTGTGCTTCCACAGGGCAGAGGAAAAGGAATTATTGTGAAATACACCAGAACATTCCCGTGCTTCTTAACAAGGCCTGCCCTCAGCAGAAACTATTTAAGGAGCTCAGACCTGCTGGGGTTTTATATTAACCTAACTGACCTGGGGGAAGAAAAATAATCAACTCCAGACCCCATTAGCCATTCTGTTCCACCTTCAGCGGGGTGTGGGGTGAGGAGGGACAAAATTACTGAGAAGCATATATGAAGTTCACAATCCTGAGGCCCTAAAAGACTAGGACCTAATCACAGGACAGTAGAACACTTCCCCTAACCGCGCCTGACCTTCACATTGCTAAAGACCTATTTATAGCAGTTCCTTTTACCCAGTGCATTATGTCTGGATATAAAGGAAAAAATTACAAGAAATACTGAAAGGCGAAAAACATTTTGAAGAGACATAGCAAGCATCAAAACCAGACTCATGTGGCAGGAATGTTGGGATGACGATCAGACTGGGAATTCAAAACAATTATGATTAATACAATAAGGGCTCTAGTGGATAAAGTACACAGCATGCAAGAACAGATGTGCAGTGTAAGCAGAAATAGGAATTCTAAGAAAAATAAATAAAATAGTAGAGATCAAAACATTGTAATGCAAATAAAGAATACCTTTAATGGGCTTACTAGTAGACTGAACATAGTTAAGGAAAGATTCTCCAAGTTTGAGGTATCTAAATAAAAATCTCCAAAATGGAAAGGCAAAGAGAAAAAAAGACTTTAATAAAAGAAAAAAGAAAAAAAAAACAAAAACAAAAAACACCACCACCAGGGCATGGTGGCCCACACCTGTAATCCCGGTGCTTTGGGAGTCTGAGGCAGGAGGACCACTTGAGGCCAGGAGTGCAAGACCAGCCTGGGTGATACAGTGAGACCTTAACTCTATAAAAAAAAAAATTTAATTAGCGAGGCATGATGGTGCACACCTGTGGTCCTAACTACTTGGGAGGCTGAGGCATGAGGATCACCTGAGCATGGGAGTTTGAGATTACAGTGAGCTATAATTGTTCCATTGCACTCTAGTCTGGGCAACAGAGCAAGTCCCTGTCTTATACAAATAAACAAACAGAACAGAACAGAATATTCAAGAACTGTGGAACAACTACATAAGTTGTAACACACACATACTGAGAATATCAGAAGGAGAAGAAAGAGGAAAAGAAGAAATATTAGAAACAATGGTGATAGAGAATTTTCCCCAAATTAATCTCAGATACCAAACCACAGATCAGAAAGCTCAGAGAACACCAAGCAGGATAAATGCCCCAAAACACTACACCTAGGCTTATCATTTTCAAATGAACTGCCTATCATTTTCAAAAATGATATGCCTCTCATTTTCATAAAAAAATGATAAAGAAAAACTCCTGAGAGAAGCCAGAGGTTAAAAAAAAAAAAAAACTTTACCTACAGAGAGGCAAAATTAGAATTACATCTACTTTTCCATACAGAGAAGCAAAATTATGAATTACATCTACTTCTCCTCAGGAACCATGCAAGGCATGAATAGGGTGGAGTGAAATATTTAAAGTGTTGAGAGAAAAAGCCACCAACCTGGAATTCTGTACCCTGTGAAAATATTCTTCAAAAGCCAAGGATACTTACAGTCTTACACAAACGAAAATTGAGGAAATTTGTTGCCAGTAGACCCGCCTTGCAAGAAATGTTTTGAAAAAGTTCTTGAAAGGGTAGGAAAATCACATAAGCCTGAAACTTGGACCTACATAAAGAAAGGAAGAACACTGAAGAAGGAATAAGGATTAAATGAAGGTAAAATAAATACCGTAATTTTCTTATTCTTAATCTAAGAGATGAGAGTTTGTTCAAAATAACAATAGCAACAATATATTTAATTACATGTGTGTGTTTGTGTTTATGTGTAAGTGAAATGAATGATAACAATGATACAGGGATGAGAGGGAAAAATTGGGATTATTTTATTATATAAGGTACTCACACTACCTGTGAAGCAGTATACTGTTATTTGGAAATGCACTTGGTGGCCAGATGCATTGACTCACACCTGTAATTCTAGCACTTTGGGAGGCCGAGACAGGCAGTTCACAAGGTCAGGAGTTTGAGACCAGCCTGACCAACATGGTGAAACCCCGTCTCTACTAAAAATATGAAAAAAAATTAGCCAGGCATGGTAGTGTGTGCCTGTAATCCCAGCTTCTTAGAAGGCTGAGGCAGGAGAATCACTTGAACCCAGGAGGCAGAGGTTTCAGTGAGCCAAGATTGCACCACTGCACTCAAGCCTGGGCGACAGAGTAAGAGACTCCATCTCAAAAAAATAAAAGTTCACTTGGTTTCGTTGTAAATATAAATTGCAAACTCTAGGGCAACTACTAAAAAAAGCAGAAAAGGAAGTACAACTGATATGCTAAGAAAGGAGACAAAATGGAATCATATAAAATGCTCAGTTAAAGCCCTAGGAGTTTTAACTGAAGAAAACTCAGTTGAAAGGAGGAAAAAGAGTAGAAAACAAAAAAAGGAACAAAGAACAAGGGCAACAAATAGAAAACAGTAACTAATATGGTATATATTTACCCAATTATATCATTAATCACTTTGAACATCAATGGTCTAAATGTATCAATTAAAGAAAGTGATTGTCAGAGTTGATCAAAAAACAGGACCCTAGAAATCCACTTTAAATATAAAGATACATATAGATTAAAAGTATACAGATGGATAAATATATATACGCTAACCCTAATTTTAAAAATCTGGAATATCTACGTTAATTTTAGAAAGAACAGACTTCAGAGCACAGAAAGTTATTGGGGATAAAGAGTGGCATTAAATGATAAATGGGTTAATTTCTTAATGTGTATACACTTAATAACAGAGTGTCAAAATAAGTGAGACAAAACTGATAGAACCGCAAGTAGAAATAGATGAATCCACTATTGTAGTTGGAGGATTCAATACCCCTCTTTCAGAAACGAACAGATCCAGCAAGCAGAAAATCAGTAAGGACATAGCTGAATTCAACAACACCATCAACCAACAGGATATTAACATAATAGGCATCTACAGATTACTTCAACCAATGGCAGCTGAATACACATTTTTCTCAAGCCCACATGATGCATTCACTAAGATAGACCACATTCTGGGCCATAAAACACACCTTAACAATTTTTTTTTTTTTTTTGAGATGAGGTCTTGCCCTGTCACCCAGGTTGGAGCACAGTGGTGCGATCTCAGATCACTGCAAATTCCACCTCCCAGGTTCAGCCTCCCGAGAAGCTGGGATTACAGGCATCTGCCACCACACCTGGCTAATTTTTTTGTATTTTTAGTACAGACGGGTTTTCACCATGTTGGCCAGGCTGGTCTTGAACTCCTGACCTCAAGTGACCCACCCATCTCAGCCTCCCAAAGTGCTGGGATTACAGGCATGAGCCACCACACCCAGCCCATGTTAACAAATGTAAAAGGATGGAAATCATGCAATGCCTGCTCTCAGACCATAATGGAATTAAACTAGAAGTCAATAACAGAAAGAGAGCTGGAAAATCCTAAAATATTTGGAGATCAAACAACACACTTCTGAATAACTCAGGGGTCGAAGAAGAAATTTCAAGAGAAATTTTAAAATACTTTAAGCTGAATGAAAATGGAAACACAGCTCATTAAAATTTGTGGGATACAGCAGAAGTGGTGCTTAGAGGGAAGTTCACAGAATTGAATGCAAATATTAGAAAAGAAGAAAGAGTTACAATTAGTCATCCAAGTTTCCATCTTAGGAAACTGAAAATAGAAGAGCAAACTAAATTCAATGTAAGCAGAAGAAATGAAATAATTTTTTTAAATGGAGCAAATAAAATTTTTAAAGAAATTAATATAGAAAATCAATAAAATAAAAAAACTGGTTCTCTGAAAATAAGTCAATAAAATTGATGTCTTTGGCCAGTTAACCAGGAAAAAAAGAGGACAAAAATGACTAATATCAGAAATGAAAGAGGGGACAGATCTCATGGACATTAAATGGATAATAAAGAAATATTATAAGCAACTTTATGCCCAAATTTGATAACCTAGGTGAAATAAACCAATTTCTTGAAAGACACAATTTTCTAAAACTCACACAAGAAAAAATAGAGACTCTGAATAGACGTATATTTATTATTTATTTATTGACATGGAGTCTCGCTCTATCACCCAGGCTGGAGTGCAACGGCACAATCTCAGCTCACTGCAACCTCCAGCTCCCAGGTTCAAGTGATTCTTGTGCCTCAGCTTCCCAAGCAGCTAGGATTGCAGGCATGTGAGACCATGCTTGGCTAATTTTTTTATTTTTAGTAAGGATGGGGTTTCATCATGTTGGCCAGGCTTGTCTTGAACTCCTGACCTCAAGTAATTCACCCGCCTCAGCCTCCCAAAGTGCTGGGATTATAGGAGTTATAGACCTATATTTATTAAAGAAATTAAGTACATTATCAACCACCTTCCAAAATAGAAAGCACCAGGCTCAGTCACTAGCGAATTCTTCCAAACATTTAAGAAAGAAATTATACCAATTTCGTATAATCTTTTACAGAAGATAGAAGTAGAAAGAATACTTCTTAACTCATTCTATGAGGCCAACATTACCCTAATAACAAAACCAGACAAAGACATTACAAGAAAATTACAGACCAATATCTTTCATGAACATAGATGCAAAATGCTCAAAAAATAGCAAATCAAAACCAACAATGTCTAAAAGGGATTATAAACCACGACCAAGTGGGATTTATCTCAGGTATGCAAGGCTGGTTCAACATTCAAAACTCAATTGATGTAATACATGACATCTGCAGGGTAAAGAACAAACAAACATATGATCATCTCAAAACATGCAAAAAAAGTATTTTAAAAATTCAACATTCATTCATGACAAAAACTCTCAGTAATCAAGGCTAAATAGAGGGAAACTTCCTCAACCTGATAAGGAGTGTCTACAAAAACCTGCAGCTAACCTCATACCTAATGGTGAGAAACTGGAAGTTTTCCCATTAAGATCAGGATCAAAGCAAAGGCATCCTCTCTCAGTACTGCTTTTCAACATTGTATTGGAAGTCCTAGCTAATTCAATGAGACAAGAAAATGAAATAAAAGTTAAATAGATTGAGGAGGAAGAAATAAAACTGTCTTTTTTCACAGATGACATGATAGTCTACATAAAAAGCCCAAAAGAATCAACAGCAACAACAAAAAACACTCTTGGAACTAATAAGCAACTATAGTAAGTAAGGATGAAGGATGCAAGGTTAATACACAAAAGTCAATCACTTTCCCACATACCTGCAATGAGTAAGTAGAAACTGAAACACAATATCATTTATATTCACACTCAAAAAAAATGAAATACTTAGGTACAAATCTAACAAAATATGTACAAAATCTGTTCAAGGAAAGCTATAAAACTCTAAGAAAAGAACTAAATAAATGAAATATTCCATGTGCATGAATTGGAAGACTCAATATTATCAAGATGCAAGTTCTTCACAACTTGATGTATACATTCAGTGTAATACCAATCAAAATTTCAGTAAGGTAGGGTGCAGTGATGGGCACCTATAGTCCCAGCCACTTTGGAGGCTGAGGCAGGAAGATCACTCGAGCCTAGGAGTTTAAGACCAGACTGTGAAACATAGCAAGAATCTGTCTCAAAAAAAAGAAAGAAAGAGAGAGAGAAAGAGAAGAAAGAAAGAGAGAGAGAAAGAGAGAAAGAGGAAAGAAAGAAAGAGAAGAAAGAAAGGATAAGAAAAGAAAGAAAAAAAATCTCAGCAAGTTATTCTGTGGGTATTGAAACCTGATTTTAAAGTTTATTTGGAGAGACAAAAGACCCAGACCAGCTAACACAACATTGAAGTAAAAGAACAAAGCTAAAAGACTGACACTAAATGACCATAAAGCTACAGTAAGTAAGAGAGTCTGGTATTGGTGAAAGGAGAGACAAAAAGATCAATGGAACAGAATAGAGAGCTCAAAAATAGATCTACATAAAAATAGTCGAATGATTAATTTACTTTTTCTTTCTATATATTTATATTGCCTCATTTGTGCCAACATGCATATGTTACTTTCACAAACAGTAGCAGTAGCCAAAATTGAAAATTACAAATAGAAAAGAGAACACTAGTGAGGTGCCTGTGGAACTGGATCCATGATTCAGATTCATGATTCATTATCTTCAAGTTTTGTTTCATGCGCAACTCTATGGGTTGACTGTCTAGACGTGCACAACCAACCATATGCTAAGGAAGCAGCACAGAAATGGGAATTAGCTGTGAAACCGTCTCTATAGCTGCTCAAAAGGAAACAATAAAAATAGTTTCATAACACTCGAGATAAGACTACTGGACAAATACTGATCACTTGACGTCATTAAATCAAATGCCTTTTGTGTAAGTTCCTTGGGACAAATAAATCCAGAAGTATTTCTTGTGTGACTTGAAATATGAGTTAGGAAATCAGCAAAGATAAGATTTTAGCACTCTGGTGTGTTCAACAGATGCCACTCATCCTCCCTAACTCCCTAACTAAATCCCAGACATTTGCTTCAAGTCTAGAAGAGACTTGGAACTAACAGCCTATGTTGTTTTTAAGGAATTACTTTGTGTGTGTGCTCCTTCTCCTGAGAACCTACAAACATTAGCAGTATCGTAACTTGAAAGGCAGTATGAGATCATGGTTAAAGGTACAATCTCTTTACACAGAATGCCTGTGTTCAAATCTCAGCTCTGCCATTCACTGACTCGGAAAACTCACTCAACCTCCACACATAGTCAGCTTCCCCATCTATAAGGGGGTGATCTATAATCACCTCTAGGGATAGTTATGAAGACTAAATGGGTTAATATAGGTAAGGCATTTAAAATTGTGCCTGGCATTAAATAATGTAAGTTTTTGTGCATTAAAAACTTCTTATAGCCTTGGCACACTTTTCCAAAACTAGATATAATGTGATAATTTTTCTCATTCACTCAACACGCATGTGTTGACTCAGTGCCTCCTGCCTGCCAGGCATTGTGCTGGACATCTAGAATAATAGATGAATGAATGAATAAAGCTCATCATCTCTGTGATGAATGGTCCATTGCACGTTTCACAATGTGTAAAGAAGATCCTTTATAACCACCATCTCTTTTCAAAGCACAGGACAAATGGAAGCTGTTATTATTATGTAATTAGTGATGGAAGAATACACAAGCCAGGAACAGGACAGCTCAAGCTGGGTCCTTAAGGAGGAATACCACTAATAGGAGTGCGGCCACAGGGCTTGACACCCCAACTCAGCATTTGTGGCATGACCATAAATTATTGAGTCTAGAATCACAACAGTTTTCCTGTTACCTTAGAAATTTGGTGAGTTCCTTCAATGTCTGGTTAAGTTTAGAGCACTATGTCTCTAGGTAACCATGCAAATTCACACTGGCCCACATGCATAGGCCTGAGAAATCAGAACTGACCTAGAAAGAACCAGAAAATGGATCTAACAAAAAACAATGCTAAATCATGCACCATTCTTTTTATATTTTTCCCTTGGGTTTCATGGGATAAAGAGGAGAACTCGACAGGGCACGGTGGCTCACGCCTGTAATCCCAGTACTTTGGGAGGCCGAGGCGGGTGGATCACGAGGTCAGGAGATCGAGACCATCCTGGCTAACATGGTGAAACCCCATCTCTACTAAAAATACAAAAAAAAAAAAATTAGCTGGGCGAGGTTGCGGTCGCCTGTAGTCCCAGCTACTCAGGAGGCTGAGGTAGGAGAATGGCATGAACCCGGGAGGCGGAGCTTGCAGTGAGCCGAGATTGCGCCACTGCACTCCAGCCTGGGCGACAGAGCGAGACTCCGTCTCAAAAAAAAAAAAAAAAAAAAAAAAGAGAACTCTTCGGTGCATATAGTTTGTGCTTTTAGGCCTTTGGATAGGCAAACAAAGGAAGAGATAACCATGGAAATGCTCATTGACCATTGAAAACTTATGTCATCAGCAGCATTTTTGTGGCTCAATGATTATCCAAAATCTGTGAGGCTAAACGCAGTAGCTTTTGAAGCTATGGTTTTGATGAGACTTGACAGCAATGCAGCAGGCTCCAAAGAGTAAAGCGTTCAGTGGACCCCAAAAGCATGAAGGCCATTTCATTCACTCCTTTGTTTATTCTTTCTGCAGTAACAGCCCTTTCCATGTGCCTTATAGGATGCTAAAAACCAGGATTACAAAGGTTGTTTTTAATTCAGAGGGAAAAAAATGCACACTAATCTGTATTAGTTTCTTCTTGCATTACTATAAAGAAATACCAAGACTAGACAATTTATAGAGAAAAGAAGTTTGATTGGCTCATGGTTCTGCAAGCTGTACGTTCATGGCTCTGGCATCTGCTTAGCTTCTAGGAAGGCTTCAGGGAGTTTTTATTCATGGTGGAAGACTAAACAGGAGTTGCACTTCACATGCAAAAGCAAGAGCCAGAGGGAGTAGGGAGGTGCCACACTTTAAAACAACCAGATCTCCCGAGAACTCACAATCACTAGGACAGCACCAAGAGGATGGTGTTAAACCATTCATGAGAAATCGCCCCCATGATCCAATCAACTCTCCCCAGGCTCCACATAAGATCTGGACAGGGACAAATATACAAACTATATCATAATCTCAAAAGTTTATACGGGTTCAGTCAGAAAAGAATTAAAGTTTCTGGAAAAATAGATATATAATTCTGTGTTGCTTTTATGGAGGGAGTCATTGGCCTAGTTAATAGGTCATTACTTCAACTGACCATAATTTACGTGCTAATTTCTCGGAAGATGGTATAATCCAAAAGGGAAGGCTCGGGAAGCCAGTAGGTAAGTAACTGAAAGTAAGTCATCTTTCCCCATCATTGCTCCTGAAGGAATGCTAGTCAAGATTATCCTTAGAAATGTCACATCAATTAAGGACAAATAAACAATACCTAGCTGGAAACACTGCAATAACAATATGCACCTTTGTGGTTTCCACAACTCCAAGTTCAGATGGAAGTAACACATTCCCCAGCAGATACTCCTCTTAGCTGGTTTTTATCTGCTCTCCTGGGGGTGGCCCCCATGAGTAAACCTCCTCATCTGAAGATATTCTTTTATGCCTAGACTTCTCTAGGGGCCTCAGAGTCATACTGTCACAAGACAACTATAAAATTTTTATAACAGCAGGAATCTGTTGACCAGTGAGTAAACCGTACATGCAGTAAAAATTCTGTGTGTCAGAATTCAGAAGCCAGGGCACAGCGGGTCATGCTTGCTGCTCGGCTGCTGGTGTAGAGTTTCCTATGGCAGACCATCCTTTCGTTAGTGCATTCCCACCTGTTCACTTACCTCCCCCAAGAAAGATGAATAAATAACCAACCAAAACGTTAAATGAAGACAGCCATTTAAAAAACTATTCCATCAAAATACAAAAATTAAAACGATGAAGAAGTCATCTTTGTTTGGGAACTTAAAGGATCAAGATATAATCCTTGATCTGCCCAATAAAGATGAAAATTGAGGGAGTCGGGACATGGAAGGGAAAGTAATTTGTCTTGGTTACGAGACTGTGTAGGGAGGAGGAAGGAAGGGTCTCCTTTTCAATGGAGGATCACTTGTTTGCACAGTTGCATTGTGAAAACAACTGAGAATGCCTCAGTAGTCTAATTCTGTCATTCACAAAGAGGAGTTCACTGTGGCTTATCTAATAGCCCACCTGTCCTAGGCTTACAGCCAGTCTAGCCCAAGCTGGGCATTATCAGGAACCTCTAGGTATTAGCAAAGAACCTGCTCTGACATGCCCAGCCTAGCAGGCTTGGTGTGACAGAAGATGCAGAAGGAAGAAAGATTCTTCCTCCTCCAAGTTTTCCATTGGTTATAACTATAAGATAAGGAACCCCGCAGGCTTGGTGCACTCCATTCTATCTGAGAGAGAGCTGACAGGGTGCTTTTCAAGTCCTTGAAAACAACAAAACATTTTCTGTAACTCCTCACTAAACAATGTCTGGGCCTGATGAAAGGGAAGAAATGTTCTGCAGCTGTACTGCTCTGAGGGTTCCCAATCATCAGGTCAAGGTCAAATGCAGAAATCTCTGTCTGGTCTAACAGAACCCTAAGATGGCTGCCTCCACCACACTCCTCTCCCCGGAATCCTAGTTGGCGTGGAAGGAGGATAGCTGTTGGGAATTTCCTCTTCCCAGCTCCCTTGAAGGGTGCCCCACCTATACATAGGTGTGTGGTCAGCTTCACAGAAATGAAAAGTGGTTATTCCTCACACAAGGGTTGGGAGTAATTACTTCTAAGGAAATATAATACTCAAGAAAAAGAGGCACTCAGATGAGAACGGTGCCTAACCCCTGACCTCTGTGGGGAGCTGCATGGCTACAGTGATGCAGTAGTGCAGGGTGACCAGGCACATATGATGGGACACCTGTCCTAATTCATTCATTGAGCAAACACTTATTAAGCATCTGCCATATGCCTGGCATCACCAATGCTCAATTTTTCTCACCAAACCTTTTGAGAAGCTGATTCTCAAGTGTGAAGTAATAACAAAGAAAAAGACAGGAAGGGCCCAAAGTTGTACAAGTTGCAAGTCGTGACTGCACAAGAGGACCCAACCAGGCAAGTGACTGGGGACTAAAATCCAACCCACGCTCCTGTTGCTAATGTAGCTACCCATACAGAGGGCTGCATTCATGCAAGGGATGCACCTTTTCCTAATGTGCAAAAAATACTGTCTAGTCCAACAGAGACTCTGTGCAGAAGATATGGCATATGGTCAGACGCCTGCAGGCTGCAGTTGCCCATTATCAACTCTTTCCCTAAGAATAGATGAATGAATTTGTCGTTGCCTCATTTTCCTGATCTGTAAAACAGAGTCAATAGTGTTTGTGCTTGCCTTACACCTTGAGACAGTCATTATGAGGTGCAGACTGCGCTCATCAGAAAGAAGATTCTTGGCTGGAGCAGTGGCTCATGCCTGTAATCCCAGCACTTTGGGAGGCTGAGGTGGGCAGATCACTTGAGCTCAGGAGTTTGAGACCAGCCTGGCCAACATAGCGAAACCCCGTCTCTACTAAAAATACAAAAATCAGCTGGGCTTGATGGCGCACTCCTGTAATCCCAGCTGTCTGGGTGTCTGAGGCAGGAGAGTCACTTGAACCCAGAAGGTGGAGGCTGCAGTGAGCCGAGATGGTGCCACTGCACTCCAGCCTGGTGACAGAGTGAGACCCTGTCTCAAAAAAAAAAAAAGAAAAAAGAAAGAAAGAAGATTCTCAAATAATATAATTATATTAAATAATATATAATAACAAATTACATTCAATAATAGAATACATTTTCTTGCGTTCTTCCAAGAGGGTACTATTTATTAGCTATGGATCATCCTATGGTTAGAAAATAAACCCTACTTTGTAGTCCCTGCCAAGGAAAATTAGTGGAAACTCTTATTTTACCAGGCAAGCAATGGTCCTGAAAAGATCTTAGCAAGGCACTAGCTACACAGCTTAATGCCTATTCAGGGATCCAACTAAAACTTCAGTTCTTCACCAACCATACTCTCAAATGTTTTATGGAAACAGAGGTCACAAATAAGGTTACCAGCCAACTTTTGGAAGGAGATGGAGAAGGGACTTTCGTTCCTTGAGGGCAGACAATGTGTTTTTCTCATCCTTGAATTTCAGGACCCAAACTGAAATGTGGGAGCTCAATCAATGTCTGTTGACATTTGTGTTGCGTGGTCAACATGTGCTTCCAAGTATCTGATCACTTCAACGGAGAGATGTGGACTCAGACATTGGATTAGGAGAGCCCTAAATAATTCATACAAAATAATCTAATTTGGTTAGGCCTGCAGAAAAGGAACTTCAAGTCCCATGTTTAGAAACTTCTTTGTATCTAACCTAAATCTTGCATGTTCCTCTAGTTCTAGCATTAAAGGAGTAAAAAACAAAAATGCTATGAAATCATGACTCTGATTCTGCTTATCCAGGCTATGTATATGGTCTCAGTCCATTTTCTGTTGCTTATAACAAGATAACTGAAACTGGATAATTTTTGAAGAAAAAGAATTTATTTCTTAGTTATAGAGGCTGAGAAATCCAAGGTTGACGGGTCTCATCAGGAGAGAGCCTCTCTGCTGATGGTGAAGCAGGATATTTCCCTGACCCCTTCACAGCACTCAAAAGGGGATGCCTCATTCACTCAGCCTGCAGCTCTCAACTCCTCACGGGAGAGGGCACATGAGAGAGAGGCCAGCAGGGGCGAACTCCACTCACTCAGACCCACTACGCTTCACCTCTCAAGGGAAGGAGCACACAGGTGAACAGGTGCAGGAGCCAAGGCGAGTGCTTTTGGGGACCAGCAGGAGTGAACTCTGTAACGGCCCCACAGCAGTGTCTGGGGGAGCGCCTATGACCCCTGAAGCCCCAGAGGGAGTGTTACAGTGCTCTTTTAGCTTTGCCCTCAGCGCACAGCTTAAGTGTTGAAAGCTCAATGGATCCTCTGCCTTTTCATTTGAGGTGGCTGCCTTCTGCTAGAGAGGGTAAAGGGTTAGTGTGACAGCCTTTTGCATCCACACTCGTGGCACCCAAGCTGTTGTCCAGCATCCAGGAGAAATGAGGTCACACAAACGAATTGAAGGATGGTAAACATGGGGGATTTTATTGCCGATTAAAGTGTCTCTCAGCAGGAAGGGGAGCTGAAAGGGGGATGAGGCGGAAAGATCATCTTCCCCTGAAGTCCAGCTATCTCTGGCCGAATTCTTCACTGTCAAGCTGTCCCTCTGAAGTCAAACCACTTCTCTCCAATGTCCAGCCATAGTCTCCGATGTCCAGCTGCTTCTCCTCTCTGCCACCTGAGTTCTGGGGTTTTTATAGGCACAGGATAAGGGGCAGGGCAGGCCTTGGGTGGTTTTGGAAATGGCAACATTTGAGCAGGAAAACAAGGATGTAAGTTCTACCTTTGGGCAGCAGTTTCAGGCTTTTCGGCTTGAGGGTGGGTCCCCCGCAAGGGCCCCACCCTCTTCTGCCCAGAGTTTCCCTGCCTCCTGGGGGCAGGGAATCAGTGAGGACTCTTTGCAGAGGCCCGAGGCTGCACAGGGCATCACATCGTGAGGGGGCTGAGCATGCTAGCTCCCATCTCTCTTCCTCTTCTTACTAAGCTACCATTCCCACTTTAATGACAGCTCATTGATCCATGAATAAATCCAGGCACCACCTAAAGGCCACACCTCTCAATACTACCACATTGGAGATTACATTTCAACATGAATTTTGGAGGAGACATTCAAATCATAGCATACAGAAACCAAAAGATTGACATTTGAAGATGTTCTAATCTAACTACTCTAATATGCTGTCTCCAAATTATCAATGAATTTATCTTTAAAGGTAAACATCTAAGTAAACTAATATTATTGTCACTGGGCCATTCTATGGCCATTTGCTGTAAGGACACTGTTTCTGAATTTCTTTTTGTCCAACTTATCTTTCAGTTGATTGTATTTTCAGCCTTGACAGCTAACAGGATGGCTTGCTTATTATCTAATTTTAATAAAACCTCAAGATTGTAGTAGAGAAAAAGCAGGTTCTGGGGTCTCCAGTTCAAGGTCCCATTGTCATTTCCTTCCTGAGAGTTAAGGAAGGGGTTTGGAGAAGGAAATTCTCATGAATGATGCTCGATTGATCCTTAAATGTGTTTACTCTGGTTTCAGCAGCATCAGTTCTCCCAGCACAGAGACTAAATAATACTTTGCCATTTCATTCTTCTCCCAAGCAGATAGCCTTAGGAATGTATTTACTGCCACCTTGTGGAATGGAAATAAACTTAAAGGGCCTAGTCTAGTCAAATTTTGTTCCCAACTTCTCCTTTTTTGATCATTTTGCTTTCTCTGGGAAGGAACTTCTAGGCTGATCTTGTTACAGGAGCCTCTTGCACCTGGTGGGAGGTGAGGGGGAAGACTCAGTTTTCTTCATACACTGTCATTCTCTGTCAAAATGGAGCTATAGCATAGAAAAATCAAAAGCTTTCAGTCCTTGGAAAACTCCTAAACCTCACTGACAGTGCCAGGAATTGAACCATAATCCCAGATGATTATATTTACAAGAAAAGGCCTACCCATAATCTCTGCAAAAGATAATATTATTCACATATGTTTTGTATAGAAATCCACATACATTGGCTTAGCATGTTTGGATTTTTATCTTAGACTAGAAAATCAGCCTGACCTAACAGAAGTGTGTAAAACTGCCTGCCCTACAATATATCACATCATTTGCTTTTAATGCTGTGCATGGTCTGGTTTATTTTCCATTGCATTTTTCTGTTGCAAAGACATTTCTATAGCTGTGTATATGTCTAGAGATGGCTCTAAAAAAAGGACTGACTTAAAAACAAGACTGTACCCATGTTGGGATAAACATATCTGTTTTACCTCAGAGTGAATTATCTCATTATGAGAAAGTTTAAGTATGTTAAATATACACCAAAGTTTTTGTTGTTGTTGGTTTGAGACTGGGTCTCAATCCGTCATCCAGGCTGCAGTGCAGTGGCAGCATCACAGCTCACTGCAGCCTCAACCTCCTGGGCACAAGTGATCCTGCCATCTCAGCCTCCTGAGTAGCTGGGACTACAGGCACACACCACCACACCCAGCTAATTATTTTGTATTTTGTAGAGATATGGTTTCATCTTCTTGCCCAGACTAGTCTCGAAGTCCCGCACTCAAGCAATTCACCCATCTTGGCCTCCCAAAGTGCCGGGATTACAGGCATGAGCCACTACACCCGGCCTACACCTAAATGTTTTAAAGGTTTAATTATAAAAACTGCATCTTTTTAATTTTAAAAATGCACAACTTTTTCGCTTGGAAGAAGCTACTTTTGTACAGCTCTTCTTCATAATACCTGAGTAATAACACGTACTACTGCAGCTTTAGCCTGAACCATCACAATAGTTATAATACTGGACAGCAAGGACCTTAAAGCTAAACAGATAAAATATAGGAAGTAACTAAAACCATCTTGCAGCAAAACTTCTTCCTTCATGAAATCTTTTTTTTTTTCACCAAAAGAAGGAATTAACTCTAACTAGGGTTGTAATTTTTGCCACACGATTCTCTTTATATGCCAAAAGGTTCTGGGGCTGAAAGTTCAGGAGAGGAGGGACAGATGACTGAGGCTCTCTCGGGAATGCTTGGGAATCTGGAATACTGAAGCATGAATATTTGGGAGAGAAAAGGTCTGACACAAGGCAGGACCCAGAAAGGGAGCTGAGCCAAGTTCTCCAAGAGCCATGTAAGTCCCCAGGCTCAAGTTTTCAGAGTATTGTCAAAGCTAGAGAGACAGAAAGGGTCAGAAGCCCAGGAGTGAGAGAAGCAATGCGAGGAAAATAAAGACAAAGAGAAGAGTAGACTGAAAAATAAAATGCATTCTTGGTACTAAGTGATTGATCCTACTTGTTTTTTTGTTTTGTTTTGTTTTTTAATGTCTAAGTCCTTAAGAAGAGAAATAAAAGAGAATCCAACTGGAAGTAAAGAAGATCCATGAGATTTCTCTGAGGAGAGAAAGTAAAGTTAGTCACTAAATATTTACTCAGAATGTTGTGGTCCTTGGTGCTGTTCACCAAATATGTCATCTCTCCCGTGCTCTGAGGGAAATTGCACTTCCTGGTGCCCGTGCGGCTGAGTGGGGCCATGTGACTAGTTTTGGTTGATGAGTAGAGAGCAGAAATGACATGTGTCACTTCCAGGACAGGACATTTGATTGTTGCAAGACTTAGAGTTCTTTATTCCCTTTGGGGCAGTGGCCTGAAATTCATGGTGGCTCGGCCCACCTGGACCTGTGAGAGAATGCCACGAGCACAGTCTGTGCTGGACATGTGATGTAAGTAACAAACAAATCTTTATGGTTTAGGCCACTAACATTTTGGAGATGTTTGTCACTGCAGCATGACAAGGTCAATCCTGAGGTATACCTGCATTAAGGAGACAGTATGATCATCTCTTTGAAGTATATAAAGTATTAACATGGTCCTTATGCTTGAGAAATGAATGCCTAAAGCTTGTAGTGGACATGAAGAGAAGGTATTAGATAGTGCCAAGAAAATCTTACATTTAAAAGCTGTTTTCTGGCCAGGTGCAGTGGCTCTTGCCTGTAATCCCAGCACTTTGGGAGGCTGAGGCTGGCTGATCACTTGAGACCAGGAACTCGAGACCAGCCTGGCCAACATGGTGAAACCCCGTCTCTACTAAAAGATACAAAAAATTAGAGGGCCTGTGATCCCAGCTACTCGGGAGGCTGAGGCAGGAGAATCGCTTGAACTGGGATGCAGAGGTTGCAGTGAGCCAAGATTGCACTACTGCAGTCCAGCCTGGGTGACAGAGTGAAACTCCTTCTCAAAAACAGACAAATAAATAAATAAAATAAAAATAAAAGCAATTTTCTGTCTTCTCAAAGGAAGATTGAATTCGCCTTCCAGGCAAACATTTTGCTTTGCTTTAGGAACACCAAAATGTGTCCTTTGGTCACTAATGTAAATCGAGGATACTCACAAAGATTCTTATCGGAGTGTGTGGAAGACCCCACCGATAAAATTTGGCTCTTTTAGAACAGAAAATGCAGCCTGGACTTGGGAAAAATTGGTTCTTTTAGAACAGGAGGCAAAGCCTTGACTTGGAAATGTAAATTGTTACATAGACTTGAGTCGGAGTTGTGGCTCAGGGGCTTTCTTGCTTTCTTGACCGAGGGAAACATATTGCTCTGTCTTAGTCTTGCTCAGATATTCCCAAGGGGTAGGCAGCCATAAAAGACCCTAAGGAGAATCTGGGTCCCTGGGGTTGGAGCAGAACCACTACTAAGAGCTACACAAACCATTTCTCTGTTGTTTGTCTCTTCATTGACTCCTGGGTCTTAATAAGGACCTATCAAAAGTTGTGGCCTGGCTTTCATTTTTTGGGGATGAAGTATAGGGAACAGAAAACGCCCCACTTGAGATGCAATGGTAAGCAGGACTGCGGTGCCTGCGCCTCCAGCTCAGGGGATGGTGATAACATCAGCTAGAGCAAGGCCCACTGCCCATTAGCAAAAGTGCCATGGGAGAGACATGGAGCACATGCCAAGGAGGCTGTAACAAGGAATATGAGGAACTTGATCCAACCACGTGTTAAGGTTGCTGATGATGATAGCTAATGTCACATAGTGCTTACCATGAGCCAGTTACTGTTCTAAGCAAAAATTTTAGAGGTAGCCATACACACACAAAGTGTCACATGGTGACAGCAACCTGAGAGGCTTTCAGAAATACATTGGGAACAATGTGGGAGTGGGTGGAGTTTGATTTCCATAACTCAGCAGAGAGGGACTGGGAATAAGGGGTTAATGACCATCTTTTGAAATAACATGCTGGCAGTATCTGGATACACCACACCCAATTGTTTAGTTGAAAACTTCTGTAACTGAGCCTATATTATAAAAATCATAAGATGTTTGCTTTACTTAATTTCCTTTGTCTTTGTCCTTTCCTCCTTCCATGCATGATTACTTACAGTAGAGGTAGTCACTAACTCACTAATAATTGATTAACTTGATGTCCTGACCTCCTGGAAGCTGCCCACAAGATTAATAAACTTGTTTTTTTCCAGAGGACAATGATCCTTAGGTCATGCAGACCTTCTTTGGCTTGTCTCATTTAATCCTCACAACAATCCTAAGAAGTAAGTTTTTAGTCCCATTTTATACACAATGACATCATTTGCCTAAGGTGACACAGCCAGTGAGCTGAGTAGATTTCACTCATTGTACACATCAATGTAATGTCTTCCCAGCATAATTGCTTCCCAGATAGAGTTGATGGCTGTGTTTCCAAAAAGAGAGACCCCTGAGGGGCCCCAGAGGTCATGCATGGCACCCAGAATCCACAGGTGCACCAAGTATCCTATTCAGACAAAATAAATACTATGCCATGCTCATTTCATCAATGCTTGTTACCAATAAGATATACATTCCTGAAAGAATCACTGAATTTACTGTACCTTTGTGTCATTTTGTGTCTTCTCATGCAACAGATATTGAAAGTACAAGCCACAGCATTTGGAGTCCATTAAATTGTCTGACTTTGAAAAGGAGTCCTCACTCTACAACCACTAAGGAACCACTGGTGTTAAGCAGCAGTTTTCTAGTTTCTTTTGTTTTCTTTTCTTTTTTCTTTTCTTTCTTTTCTTTTCTTTTTTTGAGACAGAGTCTTGCTCTGTTGCCTATGCTGGAGTGCAGTGGCACAATCTCAGCTCACTGCAACCTCTGCCTCATGGGTTTAAGTGATTCTTGTGCCTCAGCCTCCCAAATAGCTGGCTGTGCACACCACCATACCCGGCTAACTTGTTGTATTTTTAGTAGAGATGGGGTTTCACCGTGTTGGCTAGGCTGGTCTTGAACTCCTGGCCTCAATTGATGCACCTGCCTCGGCCTCCGAAAATGCTGGAATTACAGGTGTGAGCCACCACACCCAGGCTTCTGCTTTTGTCTGAGAAGGCTGGAACTAAGAGAGTAGTGAGTGTCTTGTATGTAAGGGTGGCAATGAAATCTCCTCTACAGTCACTACTCCTGCTCCACCCATTGCTGCAGTTCTGAATTCCCCGTCCTCATGTCTCTTAATATTGGCATGCACATGCGTGCACAGTCCTGCATACAGGTTTATCCTAAAGGTGGACTTGAGATGATCCACAATGAGACAAAGTTGAAAGATCACAGGCAAGGTCACCACAGACCGACTGGCCCACGGTAGGCACATTTGATAGTGAAGGTGCCACTTCAGTCTGACTCTTTCATTTCATGGAATTCAACACCAAAAAAGCAAGGCTCCCAGTACTAGCTCCAGCTAGCCACATGTAAGTGAATGAAAGTAAGAGGTTGGTTTACCACACTGTGTGAATGTGTTTAGAACTTGGCACCAGCAAATTTATGTTCTATTTTCCCAACCCAGTCTGTAAAATATACCCTCTACTTGACCCAGAGCGTAATGATATCTATGGCTAAAACTGCCAATGAGAGAAAGGTTTAAGGATTTCAGACATAAACAAGCTGTTGTTTCACTGGATTTTTCAATGTACTGCTTGTTGTATTGGGTGCCTTCCTCAGAATGGGCACTATTATTAAGTGCCTTATCATTATTGCCTTTTTTACACATAACCATCCTTATAAAGCATAAGATGTTATTGTCCCCATTTTATGAGGAAAACAAGGCTAGAGAGGTTAAGTAAATTGCCTGAAGAAATGCAGCTAGTTAGCGTCTCAGCCAAGATTCAATGATTGGCCTATTTTTGAAGCCTGTGTATATGTTTAGTCACACAGTTCTACCTGACTCTCCCAAAAACTACGATCATCTGATTTGAGGAACGTGGAACATATTTTGATTGTTTACAATATTTCTCATTTGGAAATAATGTTGCTATTAGTGTCAGCTTCAAATAAAGGAATGTCAGGGAAATTTGAATCCTGAAATCACAGACCTAGAGAGGGGCGTACAACTAAACCATGACGTGTTGGACTGGATCACTGTGTAACCATGAGAGGTGGACTAGATGGTGACTAAAAGTCAGTACAGCTGTCTCAACAGCTGAGCAGACCACAGCCACTCAAATAAGTGTCATCTACTAGGAAGCCATCATTTGATACTATATCCTAATGATAGGATACTATATCATTGGTGCTTTCAATGCACATATATGGAACATTATGTTTAAAACTGCTTTAAAGTTCATTTACAAGGCACCTAGGATAAGATCTCATTACTCTGTAATCACTTCCCTCTTTGTCTAAATACAGTATTATTGGGCTTAATTACCCTCTCATTTACCAAACTTGGTTCTAAATGAGTCTTGGTTGTTCTCGAAAACAAAAGAGGCTTCTAAATATGAAAATTGACCACCAATCAAGGATATTCAGTAGAAAAAAATGTAAAGAAGAAATACCAAAAATTCTTGGAACAAATCTGCATTTTAAAATACATAAATGGTCTTCCAAGGTGAACGTATATTTTTTCCAGCTGTATTGAAGTATAACTGACAAATAAAAATTGTATGTATGGATTTTTGTCCAAGATGGCCAAATAGGAACAGCTCCAGTCTACAGCTCCCAGCGTGAGCGACACAGAAGACAGGTGATTTCCTCATTTCCAGTTGTGGTACCAGGTTCATCTCACTGGGGCTGGTTGGACAGTGGGTGCAGCCCACAGAGTGTGAGCCGAAGCAGGGCAAGGCATCGTCTCACCCAGGAAGCACAAGGGTTTGGGGAATTCCCTTTCCTAGCCAAGGGAAGCCATGACAGACGGTACCTGGAAAATCAGGACACTCCCACCCTAATACTGTGCTTTCCCAAAGGTCTTAGCAAATAGCACACCAGGAGATTATATCCTGTGCATGGCTCGGAGGCCTGCCTGCCTCTGTAGACTCCACCTCTGGGGGCAGGGCATAGATGAACAAAAGGCAGCAGAAACTTCTGCAGACTTAAATGTCCCTGATTGACAGCTTTGAAGAGAGTAGTGGTTCTCCCAGCACTGAGTTTGAGATCTGAGAACAGACAGACTGCCTCCTCAAGTGGGTCCCTGCACCCCAAGTAGCCTAACTGGGAGACACCTCCCAGTAGGGGCCGACTGACACCTCATATAGCTGGGTGCCCCACTGAGACGAAGCTTCCAGAAGAAGGATCAGGTAGCAACATTTGCTGCTCTGCAATATTTGCTGTTTTGCAGCCTCCACTCGTGATACCCAGGCAAACAGGGTCTGGAATGGACCTCCAGCAAACTCCAACAGACCTGCAGCTGAGAGTCCTGAATATTAGAAGGAAAACTAACAAACAGAAAGGACATCTGCACCAAAACCCTATCTGTATGTCACCATCATCGAAGACCAAAGGTAGATAAAACCACAAAGATGGGGAAAAAACAGAGCAGAAAAGCTAAAAATTCTAAAAATCAGAGTGCCTCTTCTCATCCAAAGGAATGCAGCTCCTCACCAGCAATAGAACAAAGCTGGACGGAGAATGACTTTGACAAGTTGACAGAAGTAGGCCTCAGACGATCAGTAATAACATACTTCTCCGAGCTAAAAGAAGATGTTCAAACCCATTGCGAAGAAGCTAGAAACCTTGAAGAAAGATCAGATGAATGGCTAACTAGACTAAAGAGTGTAGAGAAGACCTTAAATGACCTGATGGAGCTGAAAACCATGGCATGAGAACTACATGATGCATGCACAAGCTTCAGTAGCTGATTCGATCAAGTGGAAGAAAGGATATCAGTGATTGAAGATCAAATGAATGAAATGAAACAAAAAGAGAAGTTTAGAGAAAAAAGAGTAGAAAGAAATGAACAAAGCCTCCAAGAAATATGGGACTATGTGAAAAGACCAAATCTACGTCTAATTGGTGTACCTGAAAGTGACAGGGAGAATGGAAACAAGTTGGAAAACACTCTACAGGGTATTATCCAGGAGAACTTCCCCAATCTAGCAAGGCAGGCCAACATTCAATTTCAGGAAATACAGAGAACGCCACAAAGATTCTCCTCGAGAAGAGCAACTCCAAGACACGTAATTGTGAGACTCACCAAAGTTGAAATGAAGGGAAAAATGTTAAGCGCAGCCAGAGAGAAAAGTAAGCTTACCCATAAAGGGAAGCCCATCAGACTAACAGCAGATCCCTCGGCAGAAACTCTACAAGCCAGAAGAAAGTGGGGGCCAACATTCAACATTCTTAAAGAAAAGAATTTTCAACCCAGAATTTCATATCCAGCCAAACTAAGCTTCATAAGTGAAGGAGAAATAAACTCCTTTACAGACAAGCAAATGCTCAGAGATTGTCACCACCAGGCCTGCCTTACAAGAGTTCCTGAAGGAGGCACTAAACATGGAAAGGAACAACCGGTACCAGCCACTGCAAAAACATGCCAAATTGTAAAGACCATCAAAGCTAGGAAGAAACTACATCAACTAGTGAGCAAAATAGCCAGCTAACATCATAATGATAGGATCAAATTTACACATAACAATATTAACCTTAAACGTAAATAGGCTAAATGCTCCAATTAAAAGATGCAGACTGGCAAATTGGATAAAGAGTCAAGACCCATCAGTGTGCTATATTCAGGAGACCAATCTCACGTGCAGAGACACACATAGGCTCAAAATAAAGGGATGGAGGAAGATCTATCAAGCAAATGGAAAACAAAAAAAAAAGCAGGGGTTGCAATCCTAGTCTCTGATAAAACAGAATTTAAACCAACAAAGATCAAAAGAGACAAGGCCATTACATAATGGTAAAGGGATCAATTCAATAAGAAGAGCTAACTATCCTAAATATATATGCACCCAATATAGGAGCACCCAGATTCATAAAGCAAGTCCTTAGAGACCTACAGAGAGACTTAGACTCCCACACAATAATAATGGGAGACTTTAACACCCCACTGTCAACATTAGACAGATCAACGAGACAGAAAGTTAAAAGGATATCCAGGAATTGAACTCACCTCTGCACCAAGCAGACCTAATAGACATCTACAGAACTCTCCACCCCAAATCAACAGATATACATTCTTCTCAGCACCACATCGCACTTATTCCACAATTGACCACATAGTTGGAAGTAAAGCACTCCTCAGCAAATGTAAAAGAACAGAAATTATAACAAACTGTCTCTCAGACCACAGTGCAACCAAATTAGAACTCAGGATTAAGAAACTCACTCAAAACCACTAAACTACATGGAAACTGAATAACCTGCTCCTGAATGACTACTGAGTAAATAATGAAATGAAGGCAGAAATAAAGATGTTCTTTGAAACCAATGAGAACAAAGACACAATGTACCAGAATCTCTGGGACACATTTAAAGCAGTGTGTAGAGGGAAATTTATAGCAAAATTATAGCAAAAAAAGAGAATTTTAACCTACAGGAGAAAGCAGGAAAGATCTAAAATCGACACCCTAACATCACAATTAAAAGAACTAGAGAATCAAGAGCAAACAAATTCAAAAGCTAGCAGAAGGCAAGAAATAACTAAGATCAGAGCAGAACTGAAGGAAATAGAGACACAAAAAACCCTTCAAAAAATCAGTGAATCCAGGAGCTGGATTTTTGAAAAGATCAACAAAATTGAGACTGCTAGCAAGAATAATAAAGAAGAAAAGAGAGAAGAATCAAATAGATGCAATAAAAAATGATAAAGGGGATATCACCACCGATCCCACAGAAATACAAACTACCATCAGAGAATACTATAAATATCTCTATGCAAATAAACTAGAAAATCTAGAAGAAATGGATAAATTCCTGGACACATACACCCTTCCAAGACTAAACCAGGAAGATGTTGAATCCCTGAATAGACCAATAACAGGCTCTGAAATAGAGGCAATAATTAATAGCCTAGCAAGCCAAAAAAGTCCAGGACCAGACGGATTCACAGCCAAATTCTACCAGAGGTACAAACAGGAGCTGGTATCATTCCTTCTGAAACTATTCCAATCAATAATAAAAAACGGAATCCTCCCTAACTCATTTTATGAGGCCAGCATCATCCTGATACCAAAGCCTGGCAGAGACACAACAAAAAAAGAGAATTTTAGACCAATATCCCTGATGAACATTGATGCAAAAATCCTCAAGAAAATACTGGCAAACCGAATCCAGCAGCACATCAAAAAGCTTATCCATCATGATCAAGTGGGCTTCATCCCTGGGATGCAAGGCTGGTTCACCATACGCAAATCAATAAACGTAATCCAGCATATAAACAGAACCAAAGACAAAAACCACATGATTTTCTCAATAGATGCAGTAAAGGCCTTCGACAAAATTCAACAGCCCTTCATGCTAACAACTCTCAATAAACTAGGTATTGATGGGATGTATCTCAAAATAATAAGAGCTTTTTATGACAAACCCACAGCCAGTATCATACTGAATGGGCAAAAACTGGAAGCATTTCCTTTGAAAACTGGCACAAGACAGGGATGCCCTCTCTCACCACTCCTATTCAACATAGTGTTGGAAGTGCTGACCAGGGCAGTCAGGCAGGAGAAAGAAATAAAGGATATTCAATTAGGAAAAGAGGAAGTCAAATTGCCCCTGTTTGCAGATGACATGATTTATAATTAGAAAACCCAACGGTCTAGCTGGGCGTGGTGGCTCACACCTTTAATCCCAGGACTTTGGGAGGCCGAGATGGGCGGATCACGAGGTCAGGAGATTGAGACCATCCTGGCTAACACAGTGAAACCCCATCTCCACTAAAAATACAAAAAAATTAGCTGGGCGTGGTGGCGGACGCTTGCAGTCCCAGCTACTCAGGAGGCTGAGACAGGAGAATGGCATGAACCCAGGAGGCGGAGCTTGCAGTGAGCCAAGATTGCGCCACTGCTCTCCAGCCTGGGCGACAGAGTGAGACTCCCCATCGTCTCAGCCCAAAATCTCCTGAAGCTGATAAGCAACTTCAGCAAAGTCTTAGGATACAAAATCAATCTGCAAAAATCACAAGCATTCTTATACACCAATAACAGACAAACAGAGAGCCAAATCATGAGTGAACTCCCAAACACAATTGCTTCAAAGAGAACAAAATACCTAGGAATCCAACTTATAAGGGATGTGAAGGACCTCTTCAAGGAGAACTACAAACCACTGCTCAATGAAATAAAAGAGGACACAAACAAATGGAAGAACATTCCATGCTCATGGATAGGAAAAATCAATATCATGAAAATGGCCATACTGCCCAAGGTAATTTATAGATTCAATGCCATCCTCATCAAGCTACCAATGACTTTCTTCACAGAATTGGAAAAAACTACTTTAAAGTTCATATGGAACCAAAAAAGAACCCGCATCGCCAAGTCAATCCTAAGCCAAAAGAACAAAGCTGCAGGCATTATGCTACCTGACTTCAAACTAAACTACAAGTCTACAGTAACCAAAACAGCATGGTACTGGTACCAAAACAGAGATATAGACCAATGGAACAGAACAGAGCCCTAAGAAATAATACCACACATCTACAACCATCTGATCTTTGACAAACCTGACAAAAACAAGAAATGAGGAAAGGATTCCCTATTTAATAAATGGTGCTGGGAAAACTGGCTAGCCATATGCAGAAAGCTGAAATTGGATCCCTTCCTTACACCTTACACAAAAACTAATTCAAGATGGATTAAAGACTTAAATGTTAGACCTAAAACCATAAAAACCCTAGAAGTAAACCTAGGCAATACCATTCAGGACATAGGCATGGGCAAGGACTTCATGTCTAAAACACCAAAAGCAATGGCAACAAAAGCCAAAATAGACAAATGGGATCTAATTAAACTAAAGAGCTTCTGCACAGCAAAAGAAACCAACATCAGAGTGAACAGGCAACCTACAGAATGGGAGAAAATTTTTTTGTTGTTGTTATTGTCTCACATTTAATTTCTTTTTTTTAATTTAATTTTATTATTATTATACTTTAAGTTTTAGGGTACATGTGCACAATGTGCAGGTTTGTTACATATGTATACATGTGCCATGTTGGTGTACTGCACCAGAATGGGAGAAAATTTTTACAATCTACCCATCTGACAAAGGGCTAATATCCAGAATCCACAAAGAACTCAAACAAATTTACAAGAAAAAAACAACACCATCAACAAGTGGGCAAAGGATATGAACAGACACTTCTCAAAAGAAGACATTTATGCAGCCAAAAGACACATGAAAAAATGCTCATCATCACTGGCCATCAGAGAAATGCAAATCAAAACCATAATGAGATACCATCTCACACCAGTTAGAATGGCGATCATTAAAAAGTCAGGAAACAACAGGTGCTGAAGAGGATGTGGAGAAATAGGCACACTTTTACACTGTTAGTGGGACTATAAACTAGTACAACCATTGTGGAAGACAGTGTGGTGATTCTTCAAGGATCTAGAACTAGAAATACCATTTGACCCAGCCATCCCATTACTGGGTATATACCCAAAGGATTATAAATCATGCTGCTATAAAGACACATGCACACATATGTTTATTGTGGCACTATTCACAATAGCAAAGACCTGGAACCAACCCAAATGTCCATCAATGATAGACTGGATTAAGAAAATATGGCACATATACACCATAGAATACTATGCAGCCATAAAAAAGGATGAGTTCATGTCCTTTTTAGTGACATGGATGAAGCTGGAAACCATCATTCTCAGCAAACTATCGCAAGGACAGAAAACCAAACACCACATGTTCTCACTCATAGGTGGGAACTGAACAATAAGAACACATGGACACAGGGTGGGGAACATCACACACTGGGGCCTGTCGTGGGGTAGGGGTAGGGGGGAGGGATAGCATTAGGAGATATACCTAATGCAAATGACGAGTTAATGGGTGCAGCACACCAACATGGCACATGTATACATAAGTAACAAACCTGCACGTTGTGCACATATACCCTAGAACTTAAAGTGTAATAAAAATAAATAAATAAACATGGTATGTATTTACAGTGTACAATGTGATATTTGGGTATACATATACACCATTTCACATAGTTACTTTTCTCAGTACATGTGGTAAGAACACTTAAGATCTACTCTCTTAGCAAATTTCAAGTAAACAATACAGTATTGTCGATGATAGTTACCATACTGTACATTCGGTCCCTAAAATTTGATCAGCATCTCCCTTTGATGAACATCTCTCCATTTCCCCAAGCCCCAGCCCCTGGCAACCACTATTCTACTCTCTGTTTCCATGAGCTCAACTTTTTAGACTCTACTTATAAGTGAGATCATGTGATATTTGTCTTTCTGTGTCTTGCTTATTTCACTTAGCATAATGTCCTCCAGATTCACCCATGTTATCACAAATGGCAATATTTCCTTCTTTTTATGGCTGAATAATAGTCCAGCATACATATACCACATTTTCATTATCTCTCTATATATCAACAGACACTTAGGTCATCTCCATATGTTGGCAATTATAAATAATGCTGAAATGAACATGGGAGTGCAGCTATCTCTTCAACATACTGATTTCATTTCCATTGGCTGTATACCCACAAGTGGAATTGCTAGATCATACAGAGCTCTATTTCTAGTTTTTTGAGGAACCTCTATACTGTTTTTTATAATTACTATACCAATTTACAGTCCTACCTTTTCTCCACATCCTTGCCAACACTTACTGTCTTGTCTTTGTGATAATAGCCATCCTAACGGGTATGAGATGATATCTCATTGTGGTTTTGATTTGCATTTCCCTGATAATTAGTAATATTGAGCACCTTTTCATATACCTATTGGCCATCTGTATGTCTTCTTTGGAAAATGTCTGTTCAGGTCCCTTGCCCATTTTTTAATTGGATTATTTCGGGCTTTTTTGCTACTGAGTTGTATGATTCCTTATATATTTTTGGTATTAACCCCTTATCAGATATATGGATTGCAAATGTATTCTCTCATTCCCTAAGTTGCCTTTTCACTTTTGATTGTTTCCTTTCTGTGCAGAGCGTGCAGAGCTTTTTGGTTTGACGTACTCCCACTTATTTATTTTTGCTTTTGTTGCCTAAACAAGCGTTTTAATGTGTGAATTCTAGAGTGCTTATTTTGCAAACCACACACCTTATACTTCCATTATAATTAATAAATCTAAATACCAATTAAGGACTACAACTACACTACTAATTGTACCATGGCCAAGATAAAATGATCTTCACTTGAAAATTCTTTCCCATATTCATCTTATATATTTTCTCAATGAATATAGTATTAAGTCTTTCAAAGTTGACATATATTTACATATGTTTATTTTACAAATATTTGATTTGGTAGACTTTCTTTTCTATTTTTACTGGTCAAGTTCATTTAAAAAATCACCAGGCTGTTTTCTGTGTTTATCTTAAAAGTGCTAGACAACCCCCACACAACTGGTTATTCACATACTAGACATTTGGTGTTTGATGGTTAATGGCAACATTTGGTAATACTTGGCCCCCACAGCAGAGTTCACATTTTTAACTGTCATCAATAGAAGTCTTAATTTGGTAAACAGTTACTTTTTAAATAAAAACCTATTATATTTTCTTCCTTTTTAAAAAGTAGTTATTTACTTTGAATTAATTGGTTAATCCAGTTCTATTACTCCTACTCAAGTAATTTAAAAAAGCAAACTTCATTAATATTTGTAATAAAATGTGATAATCATTGTGTCATGCAGTCCCCACCAAGCAGTAAAAAATTACTCAGTATGTAAACAAATGAAAATATGAATAAATAATTAAAGCCAAAAATCTTAGTTTTTGTGCATTCAAAGTATTTGTCTAAGAGCAAATAATATGATACTAAACATAGCCTTCAGGTTAGAGATCTTAATTTCCTAGATTAAATAGGCACATATAATAATAAAATGGACAATATATGAATATACATCTATATGTGTGTATATATATGTATATAGTACATTATTTCTCAAATTTTCCTCGCGAAACCTAAATTTATTTTCTCTTTTCTTGTGAATTCTATTCAGATATAACATACATAAAGAAAAGTACATTTTAAAAAAAAGAAAAGTGGCTGGGCACTGTGGCTCACACCTGTAATCCCAGCACTTTGGGAGGCCAAAGTGGATGGATCACCTGAAGTCGGGAGTTGAAAACCAGCCTGGCCAACATGGTGAAACCCCGTCTCTACTAAAAAAAGTACAAAACTTAGCTGGGTGTGGTGGCGGGCACCTGTAATCCCAGTTCCTTGGGAGACTGAGGCAGGAGAATCGCTTGAACTCGGGAGGTGGAGATTGCAGTGAGCCGAGATCGCGCCATTGCACTCCAGCCTAGGCAACAGAGCGAGACTCCATCTCAAAAAACAAAAAAAAGAAAAGTACATAAACCATAAGTATGACACTTCAGTGAAGACACTCTTATAACTAGCACCGAGATCATGAAACAGAACATGACCAGCACCCCCAAAACCCCCTCATGAACCCTCCCACTCACAACCTTCCACAGTGACCACTAAACCCATAGTTTAGTTTTGCCTCTTTACAAACTTCATGTAATTGGAATCACACAGTATGTACTCTTTGTGACTAGGGCCTTCCTTCAATACTGTTTCTGAAATCCGTTCCTATTGTTGCGTGTAGGTGCAATTTATGTCTTCCCATTGCTCTACAGTGTTCTAGTGCACGAATATACTACAATTTATTTATCCACTATATTGCAGGGGACATATGTACACTAAAACATTATGTGTTGTTTATCTGAAATTCAAATTAAACTAAGCTGCCTGTATTTCATCTGGCAATCCTAATCCTTGCCAACACTCAACTTTGTCTGTAGAAGCACCTATTTCTATTTATTCAAAAATAAACAAATTGAAACCATTTGCCACACTTGTAGAAGTTGCATCTACAAAATAAAAGTGAAGATGTAACAGTCATTCAGTCCATCTGAATCCTGCAGACAGAGAAACTGGCTCAAGAGCACCTCCTCCTCCAGGGGGAAAAAGTTCACTTTATATAATGAACTATCTTTCAGCTGTCTACATTTATCAACTCACCTGGAACATGGCCAAATCTTCACTTTATTTTTGATGTATAAATGGCCTCAATTGTCTTAATAGTTTGCTTACAAAATAGTTTGCTTACAAACACAGAAGTTGTAATTACTATAATGTTTAGTATTTTTATAAAGTCCTTTTATTCTTCAAAGCACATTACAAGTTACAAATTAATTAAGCTCTACAATAGCCCTTCACCCCAGGGAAGAAAGAAATTTCTGTACTTCATTTAAAGTTCAGAATCCCAAAGTCAAGATATGAACTAACTGGCCGTGAGCCACAGAGTAGATTTCAAACCTAAAACTGCAGATCTTGGCTCCCCGTTCCAAACACCAAGCTTACATCAAAGGAAAACATTAACATTCTACCAAAGAAAAACCGTTGCCAGTCTTCTTTTCCATCTAAAAATGGGAAGGAGGCTGGGCACAGTGGCTCACGCCTGTAATCCCAGCACTTTGGGAAGCCGAGGTGGGCGGATCACGAGGTCAGGAGTTCGAGACCAACATGGCCAACATGGTGAAACCCTGTCTCTACTAAAAATATAAAAATTAGCCAGGCATGTTGGTGCGCACCTGTAATCCCAGCTACTCAGGAGGCTGAGGCAGGAGAATCGCTTGAACCCAGGAGGTGGAAGCTGCAGTGAGCTGAGATTGCACCCCTGCACTCCAGGCAGGGCAACAGAGCAAGACTCAGTCTCAAAAAAAAAAAAAAAAAAAAAAAAAAGAAGGAGAGCTGGGGGTCGAGGAATGCTGAACTTTTGACAAAGTGCTAATCTCCCTTCTCAGATATAAGGCTCATCAGTAAGATTTCAACCTCAGTAAAATTCTGATTTGTTTTTTGATTCTCATCAATGGGTACTCATCAAGAACACAAGGTTCAGACAAATGATAGTCACAGAAAGTCAGAAACATATAGAGTTAGGAAAATCTAGTGAGGTCCAGAGAAATTTCTAGGAGTAAATTCCAAATGATTATTTGCCAAGGATATCCTGAATTAGAATTATTCTGTTGTTATCTTCGAGTGTGACTCCTGAACTAGTACTGGAAATTACTGAACTAGTACAATAAAGCTGTTCTAAATTTCTCTCTTGACTTTTCCAGCCACAGAAATGTTGGCATGGGAGAATATTTGTTCTAAAATGGATATTGTCCAATCCCAGTCCTGACTGAAAGTGAAGCTCTGAGGTTCTGTTGGGAAACAGCTGGGATATTTCTGTGGAAAGCATTTCAATCTAATTCCATATTTGTCTTCAAATATTAACCAATGATTTATGAAACTTTCCTTGACAACCAATATTTAAAGAAATAAAAATTGTGTAGTTTTCCAGAACAACATCCCCCCTGAATTATTCCCTTAGTTCCTCCAGAAAATGTCTCCATCAAATTGCTTACAGTTAAGATCTGTGTTCCTTTTTATGCACGTGCTTTCTGTTGAATGAAGGGTGTATAGAGCACCCTTGACATAAGTAACTCCATCTTAGAAAAAGACTCCATCTTACATTTCATTGGGCACTTTGCCAACAGAAACTAGATGTTTTGCTTAATAAATAAATGTATAATAAAGACCGCATCCAACCAGATAAGGATGTAAACAAGCACACCCTTCCATTATCAGTCCTCACCAGAGAACTCTGTGGCCATAAAAAGAGAAGGGCTTCAGCAGCTCGAAATGGCCATCTTAGCTGACACTGTCTTCCTGTCACTCATGATGAGTACTTGGCATCTGCCACTGAAGGTTCTGCCAGCATCAAAGACCCTTCCATGCAAGAGAGTCAGACAGCCTGGCTCACACCACAAGATTCTTTCTGTCTTAGTCACTCTCCCTAGTTAATGAAGAATGGTTCATTAACGATTTTTTTCCTACGTCTTTTTCTCTTGATGTTAAATGTTACTTCGTTTGTTGGGGAATGTTTAATCTATAATGTTTACATATTAATCAAGTATACTATTGTGTATGGTTTGTAATATTGACTGACTGGTGGAGTGGCTTGAGCCTGTGCCCGCAGCTCTGAGAACTAAGTAAATGTGAAGTACTAAGGAGAGTTGGCTTCTTAGGAATTCCATGTAGCTCATGGCTTTTGTGATTAAATAGCATCAATAAAAGTTTCACATTATGGAAAGATATAAATGTGTGCAGACCTGTTTATTTCTGACCTTGCACCGCTCAGGAGAAAGGGAAATGGCCATTTAAAAAGTAAAAATGTAAGTAGAATTGGTGTCTATGTACTGAAAAATAAAAGTGTGAGATCTAGAAAATACACTATTGGTGATGATAAAAGATAAACTTCAGTTCACAAGTGCAAAAAGTTAACCAAAATACATTACTTAAATGGAATGAACCAAAGATACACTACTGAAAGCAGAACTCCTTACTAGGTAAGGAAGAAAAGTTGCCAAAGAGTCATAAAATTAAAAAGAGAGAGGTTTCTTTGGTTTTGTTTTGTTTTTTTGGAGATGGAGTCTCACTCTCTCTCCCAAGCTGGAGTGCAGTGGCATGACCTCGGCTCACTGCAACCTCTGCCTCCCAGGTTCAAGAGCTTCTCCTGCCTCAGCCTCCCGAGTAGCTGGAACTACAGGTGCATGCTGCCACGCCCGGCTGATTTTTTGTATTTTAGTAGAGATGGGGTTTCACCGTGTTGCCCAGGCTGGTCTTGAACTCCTGAGCTCAGGCAATCCACCTGCCTCGGCCTCCCAAAGTGCTAGGATTACAGACATGAGCCACCACGCCCGGCCGAGGGAGAGGTTTTTTAAGTGACCGCCAATACACAACAGTCAACTCGAAAACAACACAGACGTAGAAAAATAACCTTGTCTTGAGGTAGAGGGTTATTTAGCTAAAAGGGGATTTTTAAGAGATGAATTAGTGATGCGTCTTCAAGTTCTTGAAAGGTTTGAACCATTCCAATTTACCATAAAAACCTGGTCACCCTTGCCTGGCGCAGTGGCTCATGCCTGTAATCCTAGCACTTTGGGAGGCTGAGGCGGGCAGATTGCCTGAGATCCAGAGTTCGAGACCAACCTGGCCAACATGGTGAAACCTCATCTCTACTAAAGCTACAAAAATTAGCCGGGCGTGGTGGCGGGCACCTGTAATCCCAGCTACTCAGGAAGCTGAGGCAGGACAATCGCTTGAACCCAGGAGGCAGAGGTTGCAATGAGCTGAGATCACTCCATTGCACTACAGCCTGGGCAACAAGAGTGAAACTCCATTTAAAAAACAAAAACAAAAACAAAAAAACCTGGTCATCCTCCAATGCCCCACCCCACCCTTATCTCAGTAAATCTCCCCACCCCCATTTCCTCACGTCACAAACCCAGGAATCACTGTTAATGCCTTCCTTTTCCTCATTCCTCCACTTATTCAGTCTGATACTGAACCAGGCTCATTTTGCCCATGTACAGTCAACTAATCACTATGATGATGAGTTTGGCCAAAAGAGAAAAAATTTATTCACAGGACAGTCCAGCAAGGAGCCAGGAGAAGAGCTCTCATATCAGCCTCCCTGAAGATCAGACTTAGGGACATTTAAGGGTTAGAGAAGTTGGGTGGTCTAAGGTGTGGGGAAGGGCAACTGGCAGTGGAAAAAAATGAGGCAATTCATGATCTCCACAAGCATAGTTGGGATCCATGGATCTTCACAGCATGTTCAGAATATGGAAGCGTTAGCATGATCTGAGGGTGGAGTTTGGGGCTCTCTGATGTCAAAAGGTTAATCATGCAGGCTCAGTCAGAAGGTCAGTTCTAGCCAGTTTAAACTGCACAAGAGCTGCCCGACATTTCTGAAAAACAACTTAAGCAACTGGTACCATGGTAGTACATACATTAGAACTGGTATCTATAAGGAAACTAGTGAAAGCTAAGTTATAACACTTAGTAGCACACTTCAGCTATGTGGGTTAAAAAAAAATCAGCAAGGGCTGGGCTTGGTGGCTCATGCCTATAATCCCAGCACTTTGGGAGGCCGAGGTGGGTGGATCACCTGAGGTCAGGAATTTGAGACCAGCCTGGCCAACATGGTGAAACCCCAACTATACTAAAAACACAAAAAATACCCGGGTGTGGTGGTGCACGCTTGTAATCCCAACTACTTGGGAGCCTGAGTCAGGAGAATCTTTTGAACCCAGGAGGCAGAGACTGCCATGAGCCAAGATTGTGCCATTGCACTCCAGCCTGGACAACAACAGCAAAACTCCATCTCAAAAAAAAAAAAAAAAAAAAAAATCAACAAAAAGTAAGAAGCTAAAAAGAGTAGCCTTTGGCTTTAAATCTATCACCAAATATTATCTTTTCTATCTCCAGAGTATATTGTCAATTCATCCCCTCTTCCCCATCCTGATGGACACATTCCCCTTGTTCAGGTCCCATTGGTGGTCCCCATTTCCACTCCTGCCCATCAATCCACTCTCCACAAGGCAGATACAGGGGCCTTTTTAAACTCTTATCACCAGGCTGCATCCCTTCCTGGCTTTTTAAAATCATTATTATTATTTTTTAAAACAACACTTTTCAGTCATATTTCTTAGTAAAACCCACCGAACCACAAGGAACCACAACCAGCATCATCATGACACATAGGAAGTGCTCAAGAAATATTTGCTAAATAAATATTAAAGAAAATCAAGGAGGATTTCTAAGGGAGACTCCCAAGGAAGGAAGTAGTGCCAACAGAGTAACAGTGAAGGAGGTGGGAAAGATGCCACACGCGGGTGGGTTCTCAGCAGGGCATGGTTCCACAGCAAGCAGTTTGTGGCTTGATCTTAGTGGACAATCTCCAGAGAGGCCACATGAAACTCTTCTGTCTTCAGACGATGCACCTGTCTTCTCCCCAACCCACTTCCCATCTTCCACAATTCTGCTTCCAACACTTCGAGGCAACCGCTGAGGAAGCCAGAGTCTCCTGTGGGTCTCATCCGTGCATTCCTAGATACAGCGGCCTCTCCTAGTTCATCAGTACCATGCACCAGGTTTCCGGGGTCTGTGGGGGCAGTGGCTTCCCCTGGCTCTGAGATAGGTAATGCCATAAACCTCCACCAGAAATGCCAGTGGCTGAGATATGGACACATGGGTCTCAAGAATAATAGAAACCTAGCCCAGAACAAACACAAAGAAGAGTCGTAGAAGAAGGGGCCAATCAAAGAAAAGAATCCAGAGGTTATTGAGAAAAACCCATTTTCCTTAGCCACACCTTCACAAATTCACATTGAGGTAGGATTAGACAATAACCCCAGAAACATGTCATCTATCAATTGCCATCTGCTGTTTAGAATATGCTTCCTGGCAGGAGGCAGAGCTAGATGGTGGAATAGAAAGCTCCGCTGATCCTTGATGGTCACCCTCCCCGCAAGGATGCCAATTTACCAACTATTACACCAATTTACACACACAAAAAAATCACCTTCATGAGAACCAGAAATCAGGTGAACCTCATAGTACTCGGTATTAACTTCACTGAGGCACTTCATTAAGGCACTGAGGAAATAGAAAAAATAGACCGGGCGCTGTGGCTCAGGCCTGTAATCCCAGTACTCTGGGAGGCTGAGGCTGGTGGATCGCTTGAAGTCAGGAGTTCAAGACCAATATGGCCAACATAGTGAAACTCTGTCTCTACTAAAAGTATAAAAATTAGCTGGGTATGGTGGCATGCACCTGTAATCCCAGCTACTAGGAGGCAGAGGCACAAGAATCGCTTGAACCCAGGAGGTGGAGATTGCAGTGAGCAGAGATCGCGCCACTGCATTCCATCCAACTTGGGCCACAGAGCGACACTGTCTCAAAAAAAAAAAGAAAAAAAGAAAAAGAAAAAATAGTCCTGGGGCCTCAATGTCATGCTTCTCTCCCCCAACGCCAGTAGCCACAACATATGCAGAGGGTCTCTGGGCACTGGGGGAGGGAGAACACAGCAATTGTGAGACATTGAACTCAGTGCTGTCCTGTTAGAGCAGAAAGGAAAACTGGACCCAACTCAGCTGATGCCCATCCACGGAGAGAGCATTTAAAACAGCCCTAGCCAAAGGGGAAGCATTGATGCCAACAGTCCAAACTTGAGTTCCCACAAAGCTTGTCACCAAGGGGTGCTATGCTCTGGTTCTCTAAGTAAACTAGAAAGACAGTCTAGGCCACAAGGACTGCAACTCTTAGATGAGTCCTATGACTGAAGTGGCCCAGAGACACCAGGCTGGTGGGGCACACACCAGGGCAGCCAAGGGAGTGCTGGCATCACCCCTTTTCTAACCCCAGGCTGCACAGATGTGGCTCCAAAAGCAGCCAATCCCTCCTTCTGCTTGAGGACAGGAGAGGAAAGAGTAGGAAAGATTTTGTCTTGCATCTTGGATACCAGCTCAGCTTCAGCAGGATGGGGCACCAAAGTTGTGAGGCCCTCATTCCAGGCCCTAGCTCCCAGATGACATTTTTAGACACACCCTGGGCCAAAAGGGAACCCGCTGCCTTGAAGAGAAGGACCCAGTCCTGGCAGCATTCATCCCTTGCTAACTGAAGAGCCCTTGAAATCTGAATAACCGGCAGTGATACCCAAGTACGATGTCGAGGGCCTTGGTGAGCCTCTGAGACTTGCTGGCTTCAGGTGAGACTCAGCACATTCCCAGTTATGGTGGCTACAGGGCAAAACCAAACTCCTTCTGCTTGAGAAAAACAGAGGGAAAAGTAAAGGGGACTTTGTCTTGCACCTTAGGTACCAGCTTTGCCACAGGGGCATAGAGTGCCAAGCAGGATCTTGGGGGTCCCTGATTCCAGGCCTTGACTCTTAGATGGGATTTCTGGACCTGCCCTGGGCCAGAGGGGCACCATTGCCTTAAAAAGTGAGTCCCAGGCCAGGCAGCATTCACCACAAGCTGACTGAAGAGCCCTTGGGCCTTAAGGGAACATGGGCAGTAACCTGGCTGTAGCTTGTGATGGCAGGGGCTGCAGGGTGAGGCTCCTCTGCCTTTGGAAAGGGGAGGGAAGAGTGGGAAGGGCTGCACCTTGTGTGTTGAGTACCCATTCAGCCACAGTACAGTAGAACACCAGGTAGACTTCTAAGGTTTTTGACTCTGGTCCCTGACTCCCAGAGAGCATCTCTGGACCCAGCCAGGGTCTGGGGGAACTTGCTGCCCTGAAGGGAAGGACAGGCTGGGCTGGCTTTACCACCTGCTGATTGTAGAGCCCCGGGGACTTGAGTAAACATAAGCAGTAGCCAGGGAGTGGTTACAGAAGGTCTTGGGCAAGACCCAGGGCTGTGCTGTGCTGGCTTCCGGTCTGACCCAGTGCTGCACAGTCGTGGTGGCCACAGGGGTGCTTGTGTCACTCCACCCCTAGATTTAGGTGGCTCAGAAGAGAGAGAGACACTCCATTTGTTTGGGAGAAAGGAAAGAGAACAAGAGTCTCTGGCTGGTAATCCAGAGAATTCTCCTGGATATTGTCCAAGACCATCAAGGCAGTATCTCTATGAGTCTGCAAGAACCACAGCATTACTGGACTTGGGGTGCCCCCTAAAGCAAATACAGCTTAGATCATAACATCTAAGCCCTTCCCAAGAAAGACAGGTGCAAACAAGCTCAGACAGTGAAGACTACAATAAATACCTAACTCTTCAAAGCCCAGACACTGAAGAACATCTATTAGCATCAACACCATCCAGGAAAACAAGACGTCGTCAAATAAAATAAGGCACCAGGGACAAATCCTGGAGAAACAGAGATATGTGTAACCTTTCAGACAGAGAATTTTAAATAGAGTATGCTTCCCATTTCTAACTATCTGTTCAGTTACTCTTAATGATTCCTTTGCTTGCCATTAGAAAACTTGAGTTAAAGAATCTCTCCAAGAATATCATTACAGATAGACATCTAAACTGGGAAATCACAAGTTGTAGTTAAGTTTTGGTGAGCATCAGGTTAATGACAACCTTCACAAAGTGTCACCTTAACAAAGTGTGAGTAGACCATGCATTTTTAAATGACATTGAAGCAGCAGAAAATTGACATATAGATGTTAGAAGTAACAAACATAATGTGTGCAGTATGGAAGCATGTGACAGTTATGTGTTTTACCTGTTGATAACTACAGGAAGCCCTATTCTAGTTAAGGAGACAGCAGCTGATGAACAGCAGATTGGTAGAACTAATGGCAAAGTTATAACACCAAAGAAAAATAATACAGAGAACACAGATTGATAGTACCAATTTGAAAATACCAGATTGGATAATGCCAATTTGAAAATGTGTTTTCCAGGCCAGGCACAGTGGCTCACACCTGTAATCCCAGCACTTTGGGAGGCTGAGGCAGGCAGATCACCTGAGGTCAGGAGTTCGAGGCCAGCCTGGCCAACATGGTGAAACCCCATCTCTACTAAAAATACAAAAATTAGCTGGGCATGGTGGTGCATGCCTGTAATCCCAGTTACTCAGGAGGCTGAGGCAGGATATTTGCTTAAACGTGGGAGGTGGAGGGTGCAGTGAGCCGAGATCACGCCATTGCACTCTAACCTGGGCAGCAAAAGCAAGACTCCATCTGAAAGAAAGGAAGAAAGGAAAGAAAGAAAGGAAGAAAGGAAGAAAGGAAAGAAAGGAAAGAAAGGAAAGAAAGGAAAGAAAGGAAGAAAGAAAGAAAGAAAGAAAGAAAGAAAGAAAGAAAAGAAAAAGAAAGAAAGAAAGAAAGAAAAGAAAAAGAAAGAAAGAAAGAAAGAAAAGAAAGAGAGAAAGAGAAAGAAAGAAAGAAGAAAGAAAGAAAGAAAGAAAGAAAGAAAGAAAGAAAGAAAGAAAGAAAGAAAAGAAAGGAAGGAAGAAAAGAAAGGAAGGAAGGAAGAAAAAGAAAGAAAAAGAGAAAGAAAGAAAATGTGTTTTCCATTCTTGGTACAGCTCCTAGAGAATATGTAACAACAAATAAGATAACATGGGGTTTCACCATGTTGGCCAGGCTGGTCTCGATCTCCTGACCTCAGGTGATCTGCCTGCCTTGGCCTCCCAAAATGCTGGGATTACAGGCATGAGCCACAGCACCCGGCCAGCTCTTCCTTATTGATCTGTTTCTCTCAGTGTAGAGAATTAGCACTATTTTAAATCTTCCATTTTTGGCTGTCAAATCTGTATTAAAGGATTTAAGCCAAAGCTACTAACTCTGGCTATAGAATGTTAGTCTGAGGGATCAGAAACAGAAACATACCTTCTGTATTAACATATCTCAACTGGATAAGAAGGGCAAAACCCACCATAGTCAGCCAGTTCATTTCCTGAGCCTCACTGCACCTTGAACTCTAATCACCTCAAAAAAAAAAAAAAAAAGTGCTGGTCTTATATTTTTCTTTCTTATTTTCTTAAAATAGACATTATATGAATCATCTATTCCTGATCACCTCTAAGATTGAGTTACTTTTCCTTTACATAATGTGTAAAGATTATCCAAATTTCAAATGGCCTTATTAACCATATTAAGTTGAAGGATTTTGATTGAGGAATTTGAATAAGAAATGTTGTGTCCTTTGAGGACTATGAACTATTAATATGGGATGAGGTGAATATTTCACATATATGTATATAGCTCATTAAATGGATCACCCTAATCACTATATTAACTTTTAGCCCAGGATTATCCAAGGAATACAAGTTCATTTCCTCACTTAATATTATCTTCCTTGTCATTTCTCCTTAAATTCTGTATACGCTTTCTTATACATTTCTACTCTGGTTGTCAGGGAAGGCCCACGTCTTTCTGAACACTTGAGAAGAAAAAGTACTTTTCACTTTATTTGAAATAAAATTTACATTCTACCTTACAACTTACAAATCATTGTTTATATGTGTTTGCCCCATTTGAAATAGTTGTTTGTGAAGGTTAGAAACAGTCGAGGCTGGATGTGGTAGCTCACACCTCTAATCCCAGCACTTTGGGAGGCCGAGGCAGGAGGATTGCTTGAACCCAGGAGTTAAACACCAGCCTAGGTAACATAGTGAGATCCAGTGTATATCAAAAAAATAAAATAAAATAAAAAATAAACTAGGCATGGTGGCACACGCCTGTAGTCCCAAGTACTCAGGAGGCTGAAGCAGGAAGATCACTCGAGTACAGGAGTTCGAGGTTGCAGTGAGCCATGATTACACCACAGCATTCCAGCCTGGGTGACAGAACAAGACCCTGTCTCCAAAAAAAATGTTGAATATTGGTAATTTCATACACTTCCATGTAGTGTTATGTCATTGCATCCTCACAACAACCCGTGAGGCAGGCATTATTATTCCTTTTTACAAATATTAAAACAGATTCAGAAAAGTTATGAAAATAACTGGCATAAAACCACTCAGTAAGTGCATGGCCAATACTTAGGGGCCAAATCTTCCGATTTTAAATCCTATTTTTTTTCCTATTATAATGTGTTGAACTCAATACATAGTTCAGGACTTTTGAGGGATCTTGTTTACAATGTCCAGGATCTAAACAATATATTTTCCCTGTACACACTGAGGTATTTCAAAGAAAAGATTCAAACCCAAGAATCACTGAGCTTACCTTTATTTAAGGTCTGGAAAGCAAATTATAAGAATAAGGGAAAAAGAAGAAAAGGGAATAGAAAGGGTCTTATTGTACTCGTGATTGGCTGGGGCTTTAATTCGTCCTTTATTAAAGAATTAATGCATGGGACTACACGGCTTCCTAGACCATCTGCTTTTCCTTTAAAGTGTTTTCCTTTTTCAAAACTGAATTTTTTTTCTAACTGATGTAAAACAAGGGTCAGTTCTTCATAAAAAAAGAAAAGTCAGCTTTATCTAATTCATAGCCTGGCTCAAAGCCACTATGAGTTTCACTGAAAAATTCTCACGGATCTTGACCCACGCATTGCTGGCCCGAGGGTGACTGAGCAGTACCAGCACTGATAACCTGGAAGGTAGCACCGCCTGCTTTCGTAGACTGCCTCCCAAGAATCAGGACTCACAGGCAGCAACAAGCACCTGAGTGCTCAAGAACTGGAAAATAGTGGATCCGATTCAATCTGACATCCTTTTCATATGGCTTCCAAACTATCAGCCTCTTCTCTATTACATCTTCTGTACCAGAATTCCAGGACTGCACAGGAAATGAAAACAAAGCTCAGGTACATCTTATCTATCCTAACAAAAGACATCCTTAATGACCGGGCTGTTAAAAGAAAAACTTCCGCCGAATTAAATTTAAAGGAGTTTAATTGAGCAATGAATGATTCGTCAATCTGGCAGCCCCCAGAATCACAGCAGATTCACAGAGATTCCAGGGATGCCTCATGGTCAGAACAAATTTATAGGCCAAAAAAAAAAGGAAAGTGATATACAGAAACCAGCAGTGAGGTACAGAAACAGCTGAATTGGCTACAGGTTGACATTTGCCTTATTTGAACATAGTTTGAATAATCGGCAGTGTATGAGGGGTTGAAGTATGGTTGCTAGTATTGGCCAAGACTCAGCTATTGTTAGAGGGCATACTCCTAAATTAGGTTTTCAATCTTGTCTCCCTTTTAAGTTAGGTTGCAGGTCCTCCACAAGGACTCAAATATAGAAATACAGGATCCTTCTCAGGCCATATTTAGTTTGCTTTAACAGGGCATTATGTGAATACATACTGTATTCCATTAAGAGATCCTTGCTCTGAAGAAATTTTAAAAGTGAAAAAAACCTTTCACATCTGGAGAGCGCATCTTTGGAATGCAATGTGAGAGAACATTCCCCAGGAGATGGAAACATATTTATGATCTCCAAGTTATAGGTGAGTAAAGCAAGATAGGAAATACCTAAATTCTCTTTGTAAACGAAACCGGTAAAATACGTTCTATGGAGGTGGGGGGGAATAGTATATACACACATACTCACTAAACCTTCTTGAACTTTCAAGGGTTGTTAAAGTGATAGACTCAAGATACAGAGAGTGCTGATACATCTGAAGATGAATGGTATGAGTACAATGGGTTCTATTTCCAGTTTCCATTTTTGAAAATATCCTTGGCCTGATTTTTTTTCAGATCTGTCTAAAATTCTCTTTGGGCCTGGATCCTGGGATGAGTATCAAACGTTTATGGCCAGATAAAGCAACTCTCTCTGTGTAGAACATTTTTCCTGTTTCTTATTTAAGGCACTAGTAATTAATCTGAACTGTATTTTCTCAGACATCAAGAAACCAGATTTTTAAATTCTCTCCTTTCCTTTCTGCCCCCTCCCCATCCTTTAAGGAGAAACAGGAAACATTTTTCCTGTCATCATAACCTTTTGGTGGGGTGGGTAGGAGATTTTATTTTCTGATGAATCTGTTGCTAAGCTTCAGGCAGTTTGAGCTCTGAGGTATCTGAATGGCAGGAAGTGATTTACTAAGATTTATCCCTGGAGAACAAAGATTGGAACACAATAGTGATTTTGTTAATACTATAAAAAGAGATTTTCTACATATAAATCACATTGACATATGTTTCTAGGTTAAATGTCCATAAGGTTCCAATTTAAACTAGAAAGAAAAAAAATCACACTCAACAATCTCATATTGTAGATTCAATATGAAACGTGAATTTTATCAACAAAATCATTCACCTCTTAAAAAAAAGAAAGCAAAAAACCCTAGCATGAGTTGACTAAGCCCAAAATATTCTTATGGCAAATAGTTAAAATATTTTCAAGGAAAAATTTTGAGGGGAAAAAAAAGTATAAGAATCCTCCCATAAAACACAAGTTTTAGGTTAATGCTAGTTTGGCATTTAATAGCACATTTCTAATTAGTTGCTTTACCAAAAATCTTCCTCCCACCAAATGTTCACAGATAATGCATTCTATGCTTCTTTGTCAAAGAAGAGAGGAAAGAAAAAAAAAATAAGTCTGACATCTAGATTTTTTCAAATTATTTCCTAAAAATGTTTAAGCACCTTTGAAGTTAAGGGACCTGAGTTCATTCATTCACTTATTTGGAAACATGCTTAATGAACCTACTAGATATCAGAGACCAATCAGGCCCTGGCTGCCCTTAAGGAATTCAGAGTCTACTGAAAGAAAATTGCCCGAGAGCACTTAGAGAAGAATGAGGGAGTGCTATCACCAGGACCAAACTCTCCACAAACAAACTCTGTTCATGACTGTTCTCATCCCTTCCAGGGATAAAGAGATTAACAGTAGGATCTCCATATAGGGAAAGCACAGGAATCTATCATAAGCACTTTATAAGCATTAAATCAGGCCCAATTTTCACAATTTGAATAGGTATTATTTGTTCCATGAAGCAGATAAGGAATACCGAGGTTCAGAATGTTGAGGTCACGTAGCTATTAGGCAGGAAAGCCACTCCCTGAAGCTCCTCTGTCTCCACATTCCATGCTGCTTTAACTAAGCCCTGTGCTATCACCTCGTTGTAGATTAAATCAACCTTCATTAGTCCTTTTGTTATACTACCACAAACTAACATCGTTGCAATAAGAGAGGGAACCCCGGACTGAATTCTCGAGATCATTTGCTTTTGTGAAATTATAACTCTTTATTCAGACATAGTGTGAATTATAACAGAGTATATGGAGTTTGGGGACTGAAGAGCTTCATTTTATTGTGAGAGCTAGAAGTAAAGAGCTAAACATTTTGGAGTACCTATGACACTTTGTTTACCTTTTTCTAGAGTAGCTCACTTAGGCATCCTAGTATATCTAAAACCTCATAGAGCCTTTTGTGCTCATGTAAAACTCTTCCTAGAGAGCCCATCAGGGTTTGCAGTAGAAGTTTAGGAGCTCATTGGTTAGATTATCTAGTTAAATTAATGTTCACTCGGATAAACTGTTAATTTACAGGCTCTAATGAACAAAGTCTTTCCTCACTGGGTCCGTCCACCACCCAATTCCACACTAAACCAAACTTACAGGGAAGACGGAGCCCACCATGACACCTGGATATCCAGTCACAGAAAATGTGGAAGTCTGTCTGGCTAGGAGGTCTCCCTCCCTGGCCTACATCCCAGGGTGCCTGTTATGACTTGGAGACTTAACTTCAGCTGACCGAGACAACAGTCAGCAAATAGTAGATTTATCTTCTATTTTAACTGGTTTGTTAAGGGGCATTTACAAATGAGTCACCTTTTCTTTTCAATACTATAAAATGTTCTAAGTACATAATGCAGAGAATAGTCACCATTTTTAAAGCAATTATACATTGTAATTTCCTTACTGTGTAGTAAAGGGGAAAACATGCACCTGTAGCAAATGCACAAAATATGTGCTCCCCAGTTGTACTTATTTTTAGGACAATATGTCCTTTCTTCATGTCCTAAATATGGCCAAATTAAAGCCTCCCTTGCTTTGGCTTTTGAAGATAATAGCAAATGACAGAAAAATCATTTCTATTGGTGTCATTCCATAAAATGTATAATGCAAATCTCTTCCTGTCAGATAGGGAGTATTAGTAAAGTTTCTATATTAGATATTATTAGGTATATCTATTATTAAATATGTTTATTATTAGATATTATTTTCTAGGAAATTTTCTTCCAAAGGAAAAATAGATCCCATAATACCCACTCTTCTATTCCTCTTGACTAATATGAGAATTATCAGAAATTTTGTGTTTAGTTTTGTAATTGAGTTGTCGGGTGAGCAGGGGTGAAAGGATGTAAGGATGATTCTAGCTCAGTAACTGCGTGGATGGTTCATTAATGGAAACAGGAATTAGAGGGACCATTTTGAGGGAAAGATGAGAATTAGAAGCATGGGAGAAAGATCTAGATAGTAATCATAGATTTGTGAGCTATTCCACAAAAGAAGTGTTGAAACAGGCTATAGAAATTTTATCTCATAAACATAGGCCTGTCCTTGCCTATGTAGGTGAAGCAAAGACCTTGTTCCAACCAGAGTGTTGGACAAATTTGCAAGATGCCATGCTGTTAGTTCACATTTGTGCCCTACACAAGTCAAATGCACACAGTCGTGCTAATTAAATTGTACCCACCCTCAGTTTCAGACATCTCTCAAGCATATCAGGCATACCTGGGCATGGCTGAGAACAGAGGCTGCACACACGAGGGACGAAGGAACCACCAGGGAAATAACCAAGGTTAATTGATGTAAGCCTCCTTCCAGGATAGCAAGCCAAGGAAAGATTTCTGAATAAAACATGTGCCTGTCACTCATCTTACCCACCTAGTCCTCAGGGACACATGCCCCATGTCCTCAATTGAGATGGCTTCATTAAAAGGAAGGAAACACAGATATCTCCGTGGGGCTTTGATAGCACAAGATAGAGCCACCTTGGGGCAATGGCTGTCTCTGAACAATTGTGGCAGAGTGAGCACCATGAACAAAAGCCCCCAGACTCCGCGTGAGCTTTGCTGAGGCTTGGTGGGCATCCTGGTTGGCAGTGGTGTCTTGATGGGTGAGGACATCGGGCACTCATGCCCTTGAAAGACCCCAATGACCCAATATCAGGTGTTAAGATTACCAGGAGACTAACTCCTCACCCTGCTGACTAACTTCCCATCCTCCTTACCTCAGCAGAAATGGACCACACTATAGTCTCAAATAAACTATACCTGGGCTGGGCGCGGTGGCTCATGCCTGTCATCCCAGAATCTTGGGAGGCCGAGGCCGGTGGATCACCTGAGTTCGGGAGTTCAAGGCCACCCTGACCAAATGGAGAAACCCCGTCTCTACTAAAAATACAAAATTAGCCGGGCGTGGTGGCTCATGCCTGTAATCCCAGCTACTCAGGAGGCTGAGGCAGGAGAATTGCTTGAACTCGGTAGGCAGAGGTTGCAGTGAGCCAAGATCGTACCATTGCACTCCAACCTTGGCAACAAGAGCGAAACTCCATCTCAAAAAATAAAAAAATTACACCTGGAAAAGTGGAAAATGAAAAATGCCACATCGTGCCCAAGAAGCGCATGTGAAATTGTTCCATGAGGACTCCCAAAGCGATGTAGAAAGAATTAGAGAATCTAAAATGTCTGCAGTTTGTAGAGGCAAAGCCGTAGAAATACTACTCGCTGACTTCTTTTCATCTTATTTTTACCCCTAGTCTAGAGTGACTTCAGAAATACAAGTTGTACTGAAAAACAGGGTTACATAAGTAAGGAAATAAAAAGCAAAGAAATGTATAACTCCCATCATTTCCCCATGCATGAAGATGGGTCTATATCCAAGCACTTATCATAATGCAGAAGTTTCTGAGTTTTTTTCCTAAGAAAATATTTTAAAATTACATTGCAGTTCCCTTTTCACCCCCTGGCAGTAAAATGCTTACAGCAGTTGTTCTCCTCTGAACCTCTCTGGCAGTCCTCTGGGCCTCTTTTGCTTCAATACAAGAAAGAAGAATGTGAGGGCTCCTATTTTCTGATATTCACAGTGATCAGAAAGAATGTTTCTTTGGAAAATTCAAGGTAAACTTGAGACACAATAGCAGGCACTGTTCTCACAGCTAATTGGGAACCTGGATGGTGCCCAGGTTTGAATCACACAGAAGTAATTATTCCTTTCCCTTCACAGATAACTTTGGAAAAGCATTCCCTTACATTCATGAACTTTTCTCACTGCAGCATGAGAAACGTAGGAATGTAGCTCAGCCTGCCTTGCCCAGAGGAAGATCTGTTTCCCAAAACTGAATGCATTTGTTTAAGCCTGTTTCAAAAAGAAAAGTTGAAAGTTTACCTCAAGATTCCCTTTTGGGAAGGTAGATGGATGGAATTTTATCAGATTACTGAGAAAGTAATGGTGAGTATCTGCCAAAAAATCAAATTGCTTTCTTTTTCTTTAAAACGACAACATCATCAACAACAAAACTCATGCCGATTTTGCAACGGGAAGACAGCCCACATGGCCAATTAGTCAAGATGAAATGCGGTGGTTTGGCATTTCTGGAAATTCAATTCTCAGGTTTTGAAAAATCTGAAGAAAACAAGAAATTGTATTGTTAAAGTGGAATAAATTAGCAGAGTGGCAGCAACCCACTTGTAAGAAACGCTGGTTTGCAAACAGGAAAGAACGTTTGAAACAGAAATGTTGTCTGTAAAAACAGCTGTTTAAATTAACTACGTGGAAATCATCTCAAACATGCAAAGAAGCAGCACAGCAATAAATGCCCAAATAAATACATGGAGAGAGTATCAAACATGGGGGAAGAGAAGCACAGCAATAAATAATACCCAGTAGCAGGAATGAGAAGCTGCATTTGGGGAGCTGCAAGTCCTATATATTTTTATCCTTTGCTTCATTTTACACCAAGGTCAGGAGGAAGGCACCCAGGTTCCTTTGACTGGGACTTTAAACAGACCCAGAACAGCTGAACAGGGTTAAAAATATATACATATATATTAAAATCTGAAGCAAAAGAGTATCAGAAAAGAGAAAGCAAGGCTAGGCACAGTGCCTCATGCCTGTAATTCCAGCACTTTGGGAGGCCAAGGCAGGAGAATTGCTTGAGCCCAGGAATTCAAAATCAGCCTGGACAATTTAGAGAGACCCTGTCTCCACACACACACAAAAATAAAAATTAAAAAATTATCCAGGCATGGTGGTAGGGTGGTGGGTGCCTGTAAACCCAGCTACTGGAGAGGCTGATGTGGGAGGATCACATGAGCCTGGGAGGAGGAGGTTGCAGTGAGCTGAGATGGCACCACTGCACTCCAGCCTGGATGACAGAGCGAGACTCTGTCTTGAAAAGAAAGAGAAAGCAAAGTCTGGAACAGAAGACATGAGAACCAGGCCGTCAAGCCAAGATCAGGAACGCTCCAAGTCAGAGTGAAGAGACAAAATCACAGGAGCTCAGGTTCACTTACTAAAAAAGGGCAAGGCTAGTGAGGCCAAGGAGCACCCTAGCATAGGGCTCTTCAGACTTTTCCAAGGGACTCCCAGTGATAGAAGTGAGTAGCTTCATACCCTTGAAGATTCTGGAGGCATGACTGGAAACAGACAGGCCCTGGGAAAGCATTTGTAAATATTATATACTTTAAAAATTAAAAGACAAGCATTTTGCTCTATAAGGTAGCTTTGTTCTTTTCAAAGATTATGTAAGATCGGTTTGTCATCATCAAGTAGAATGTACTGCTGAGACGGTAGCACCATATGAAAATATACAGTCTAAACCCTAGCCTTGTGCACCTGGGAGAATAGAACCTGTGTTTGAAAAGCCCCAGGCTCAACCATTATCCTTGGTTGCACCTCCACGGGTGCTCAAACTATTTGTCTCATGACCAAGCATAATGTCTGATCGTTACAGTCTTTTTCAAAATGCCATGGAAGCCAAACAAGAGTCAAACAAAGCAAGACATGGGGCCATATGAAGCCTTAGCATCATTGTTATGGTCTGAATGTTTGTATCTTTCCCCAAATTCATCTGTTGAAATCCTAACCACCAAGGTGATCGTATTAGGAGGTGGGGCCTTTGGGAGGTGATAAGGTCATGAGGATGGAGCCCTCATAAAGGAGATCAGTGCCCTTATAAAAGAGGTTTCATCCACGTGTGTCAAAATGGCTTTTTTAAAAAGAGACCCCAGGGAGCTGCCTTGCCCCTTCTACCATGTGAGGACACAGAAAGAAGCAGCCCTCTCTGAACCAGGAACAAGCCCCGACCGGACACTGAATCTGCTGCCATCCTGATCTTGGATTTCCCAGCCTCCAGAACTTGAGAAATAAACTTCTGTTGTTTATAAGCCACCCAATCTATGGTATGTTGTAGCAATGTGAATGGACTAAGACAACTATAGTTTACCAACTTCTAGCAGACTATGTGCATGTCCCATAGTAAAAACTCAAATATTTGAATGAAGGACATAGAATCTGAGAGCTAGGTAGCAGATTTTTAAAGGGAAAGAAACTGAGTCCAAGAAAGAGGAAGTAAACAAATAAAAATTGTAACATATTTTATCATAAAAATCTATTTTGTGTGCAGATTACGCATTTTAATAAAGGACAAAGGTAAGCTGGGTATGTAATGGAGTTTTGGTGCAAGTTCCCCAGAAAGATGTAGCCTAAACACAGGTCATTGTTCAAAAACTTTATTGGGGAGTGTGATCCTAGCTAGGAGCAGGAAAGAGGGACAAGGGAACAAAACAGGATCAGGGGAAGCACCAGTACAAAGAGGCTTTGATGAGCTGGCCACCACTCCAAGGACCTAATTGCTTGATCCTGCAGGATTGCCTCAAGAATTGTATGAAGTGATCTTTCCAATACTTCTGGGTTATGCAGCAGTGGGAGCTGGGTGGTTTTGTTGCTTATATTGTTTTTAAAAGGAGAAAAGGTGAGAAATTGTTGAGTTGCATAAGAGTGCAGCTGGCCAGAGGCACTGTGAAACTGACTGTTGCTGGCATTAGTACATGAGGACTCTGAACTCAGAGCTTCTGGAACACTAGGCCAGTGTCCAATGTCTGCAGCAGAGAGGAAATCGGTGTGACTAGAATGGAGAACCCTCTACGAAGGCTACAAATAGTATACCAGGTATAAAACTCCCCCTGAAAGTAAAAATATGTAGATTATGAGTTAGCAAAGAAAGAACAAGAGAGAAATGGGTGAAGGGAAGCACACCACAGCCAAATAAGAAAAAAAATAGCCAATAAAGCGTTTGTGTTCCTAAGATACCACTGACACATATTTACAGTGGGTCCTGAAGAGCGACCGTTCTGAGGCTTTATCTATCAAGATTAAAAAGCTACATCATAGTTACATCTTTTTTTTAAGATAGTATATTCCAAACTCTTCCAAAATAATATTCACACACTGCTATGGTTTGAATGTGTCTCCTCCAAAATTCATGTTGAAACTTAATCCCCATTACAGTGGTATTGAGAGATGGAGCCTTTGGAGAAGTGAGGAAGTCATAGTGGCTCCATCCTCATGAACAGATTTGTGCCTTTTAAAAGGGCTAGAGGGAACTAGCTTAGGCCTTTTTTTGCCCTTCTACCTTCTGCCATTTGAGGACTCAACATTTGTCCCTTCCAAAGGATGCAGCAACAAGGCACCATCTTGGAAGCTGAAGGCAGGCCTTCACCAAACACCAAACCTGCTGCACCTTGATCTTGGGCTTCCAGCATTCAGAATGGTGAGAAATAAATTTCTGTTCTTTAAAATTACCCTTTCTCCAGTGTTTTATTATAGCAACACGAACAAACTGAGACACCCACTTCTTCTTCAACATGATCATAAATCAGAACACACTCCTGAAATGTGTCTTTGGATAAGGCAATGTCTTAATTTGCTCGGCTTCCATAGACAGGGCACAAAAATTTATTTTTTCACCATTCTAGAAGCTAGAAGTCCACAAATAAGGTGCTAGCATGGTCTGTTGCTGGCTTGCAGATGGCTTCCATCTCTCTGCATGCTCATGACATTTCCCCAGTGCATGCATTCGAATGAGAGAGAGACAGAGAGACAGGACAAACAGCACTGGTGACTCTTTAAGGGCACTAATCCCATCATACTAGAATCTCACTCTCATGGCTTCAACTAACCCTGACTACCTCCCAAAGGCCCTAGCTCCAAAGATGGCCACACTGGAGTTTAGGGGTTCAACATATGATTTTGTTTTGGGGGCAAAAATATTCAGTCTATAACAGGAATTAGTTTGAAAATGAAAACCAGTGTTTCAACTAAATCTCATTGTATCCATTTGGAAATTCTTTTCAGCCCACCTCTCAAGCATGACAAGTCAGTTTCATGAGTGGGCATAGGAAGTATTGAGTGTCACTTCATCTCTCAGTTAAAAGTAGGTCTTTTATTGTATGCAAGTAAATTTTCATCTCAGGACTGCTTTTACTATATCCCAGTGTGCTGTGTTTCCATTTTTGTTTGTCTCAAGATATTTTTTGGTTTCCCTTTTGACTTCTTCTTTGACCCATTGGTTATTCAGGGCCAAAGACCCCAACATAGCAAAGATTTATGTTATTTAATTTCCATGTATTTGTGAATTTTCCAAGATTCCTCCCGTTATTTATTTTTAGTCTCATGACACTGTAGTCAGAATAGATACGCAATATGATTTCAATCTTCACAAATTTGTCAAGACTTGTTTTGTGGCCTAACATAGGATCCATTGTGGATGATGTTCCATGTGCAATTGAGATGAATGTGCATTCTGTTGCTGTTGGATGGAATGTTCTATAAATATGTGTTAGGTCCATTTGATCTAAAATATAGTTCAAGTCCAATGTTTTCTTATTGCTTTTCTGTCCAGTTAGTCTGTCCAATGTTGAAAGTGGAATGCTGAAGTTTTCTATTATTATCATGTTGCAATCTATCTCTTCAGATTTATTAATATTTGCATTATATATTTAGGTGTGCTGATTTTGGATGTGTGTGTATACATATTTCAAATTGTTATCAATCACTGATGAATTGATGCCTCTATCATTATATAATGACAATCTTTGTCTCTTTTTACCCTTTTTTACTTAAAGTCTATTTTGTCTAATATAAGTATGGCTACCACTGCTTTCTTTTGGCTTCCATTTGTGTGAAATTTCTTTCCATACCTTTACTTTCAGTCTGTGTGTCATTAGAGGTGAAGTGAGTCTCTTATAGGCAGCATATAGTTGGGTCTTTATTTTTCTTAGTCTATTCAGTCAGTCGATGTCTTTTTATTGAGAATTTAATCTATTTATATTCAAAGCAATTATGCATACATTATGCATACATTTTGTTGATGGTTTTCTGGCTAATTTGTATATCCTTGTTCCCCTCTTCCTTTCTTGCTGTCTTCCTTTGTGATTTGATGATTTTCTGTAGTGGTATCCTTCGAATCCTTTGGTTTCATCTTTTATGTGTCTGCTAAGGGCTTTTGCTTTGTGGTTACCACCAGGCTTGCATAAAACCTCTTATACTAATAACAGGCTGATGTATTTAAGCTGATAATTACTTAACTTTGATCACTTACACAGACTCTACACTTTTCTCCCTTCCCCATTTGTTTTTGATGATGTATTTTCTATCTTTGATAGCCTGTATCTTTTGACAAATTATTATAGCTATAGTTGATTTTGATAGTTTTTTTAACCTTCCTACTAGAGCTATAACTGATTTTCACACTACCATTACAGTATAAGAGTGTTCTGAGTTTGACTGTATACTTACTTTCACCAGTGAGCCTTATATTTTCATATATATATTGCTACCTGGAGACCTTTTAAGAGTTGTGCTCAGGATGGTGTTAGTGCACAAGTGTATCTTTACTTTTCCTATCAATTTTGATGTGGATGTTTTCTCAGTCATCTGGTGTGTAGGAGTCTTTCAACTGGATTCTGGCTTTCTATTGAAGTGTAGGTGTTTACTCAGTGTGTCTGTAGGAGGATGGAAAGTCAGGAGCCTCCCATTCCATCATGTTGCTAACCCACTGCTTTATTTTTTTTAACGACTTTGGGTGGACAACTATCATCCCAGGAGGAAATCTACATTGTATAAAGTAAGAAAAGAACTCTGCAGTCTGGGCATGGTGGCTCATGCGTATCAATCCAGCACTTTGGGAAGCCAAGGTGGGAGGATTGCTTGAGACCAGGAGTTCAAAACCAGCCTCGGCAACATAGTGAGACCCTATCTCTACAAAATAATAATAAAAATAATAACAATAATAATAAAAAGAAAAGAAATTTTCAGGAGAATATGTATATATTAATTTTAGTTTTACAAAAACAACCAAAAATAACTCCCACGTAGATGTATATGGAGTACGTGTGTGTGCATATGTGTGTGTGTATTAGTGTTCCCTGCTTTGTGATGCTTCTATCATCCCCTCACAGAAAGAAGGAGAGAAGTGGAAACATTTATTTTAGAGAATTAACATTCATTTACTGCATACAGAGTTGGGGGATATCATTGACTTGTTCCTTACTTATTTTTATATTGTTATATTAGTTATAATGATCATGAATCCTGCTTGTGAATAACAACAATACAAAAAAGAATAAATAAAAGTAAAAAAGGAAAATGGGGGGGGAAGGGAAAGATGGTGCTAAGAAGTTCTTCTCAAGTTTTAATTACCAATCATTTAGTTCTAGTGACCTAAATTGTTTTATTGTTTTACCTTTTTTTTTCTGCTGGCAATTTAGTGATTTTTTTCTACTTTGAATTATTTTCTCAGGAATATTTTTGATAAATTTATCAAAAAAATCATCTATACATATTCAGGAATAATTTGGCATTAAGTAATGCTGTGTAAAAACAAAGAGCTGGGACAGGTGCAGTGGCTCACGCCTGTAACCCCAGCACTTTGGGAGGCCGAGGCAGGTGGATCACCTGAGATCAGGAGTTCGAGACCAGCCTGGCCAACATGGAGAAACCCCGTCTCTACTGAAAATACAAAAATTAGCCGGGCGTGGTAGTGGGTGCCTGTAATCTCCACTACTCAGGAGGCTGAGGCAGGAGAATCACTTGAATCCAGGAGGCAGAGGTTGCAGTGAGCCGAGATGTCGCCACTGCACTCTAGCCTAGGTGACAGAGAGAGACTCTGTCTCAAAAAAGAAAACAGAAAACAAACAAACAAACAAACAAACAAAAACGAAGAGCTACGTGGTAAGCCATCATAGTTTAAATGTTTCTGATATGAAAGAGAGGACTTGAAAAAACAACACAGGACCATAGGGCTTTGACTTAATTAAGGGCATCTATAACTTGCCAGTGCCGTCAGACCAATCCTTCCAGGAATGTAGTAAGCTGCTGAGATTCATCAAGTAAAATCACCCTCTGAAGTTCAAGTAAGTATATATAAATGTGCCCTAGTGAAAGTGTCAAATGACACTTTGATAAGACTGTAGGAAAAGGTGAGTACTACCTTAAGTACCAGAGTTTGAAAGTACATTATTTGGAAGGCTGATCTTGAACACTGGAGTAAGACGACATAGGAATAAGTGGAGATAAAGAGGCCCATGAACTTCAACACCTTTTTTTTAAATTATTTTATTTTATTTTTTAGACAGAGTCTCGCTCTGTCTCCCAGGCTGGAGTGCAGTGGTGCAATTTCAGCTCACTGCAACCTCCACCTCCTGGGTTCAAACGGTTCTCCTGCCTCAGTCTCCCAAGTAGCTGGGATTACAGGTGCCTGTCACCACGCCCGGCTAATCTTTTGTATTTTTAGTAGAGATGGGCTTCACCATGTTGGCCAGGCTCGTCTCGAACTCCTGACCTCAGGTGATCCACCCGCCTCAGCCTCCCAAAGTGCTGGGATTGCAGGCGTGAGCCACCATGCCCAGCCAGCACCCTCTATTTTGAACACCCTCATTATCTTTAGGCAGAGTACAAGCATAATTCTGACACTATGTACTGCCACCTACTGTAGAAGGCCTGAGGCTGTGGGGTGCTGGTGAGGGCAGGGAAAGTAAACTTAGCCACAGACTGCCTGGATGACCAGAACCATGGGCCAAAGACTCTGGACACCCGAGAGGGAATTTCTACATCTTCTCAGGCCCTAATTTTTTTATGTTGAGTAGAACACACAAAACAATGTGAATATATAACTACATGACTTGATCAAAGGCCGTGAGAGCAATAACAGGAGCTGTTTGGGGCCTACAGCCTCAGGTTGACCCCTTTTTGATAAGTCAAATTCCTTCTCTTCATGACCTCCTTCTTTAAGGAGCAAATCCTCGCAAACACCTCCACAGAACTTTCTTCAAGATGGAGCTAACTAGATTACATATGGCTCTAGATCTGTATACAATATTTGCATGTGGTTTTACTCATTATACAATAATCCTACTACCAGAAAGAACCAAGGCAATCAGGGTCAGAGAAGGCAGAGGCAGATGTTTAATACCACATGGTCAGATATCTACCAGGTGAATGATAGGATGTAAACCAGTTCAGGCATCTTCCTAGTTTCCATCCTTCTCCTTCATACACACACGATACTAATAAAATCATTGATACACTCTCTATTATAATTCCCTATTCTGTTATGTAAGGCACCAACTGCACCTATCCCTTCTTCCTAAGGCGACATAGGTACTCTTAATCAGACCCAATTGCTGTATCCAGCAGCCTAGTTTTGACTATTGATGATAATTCTGAGCTAACTCAAATTGTCCCATTTTTCTTAGTGTTCCCTGCTTTGTGATGTTTCCATCATCCCTTCACAGAATTATCTGGATGCATCGTTCAGGATCATCACTCCAAGTCCCAGCTGGTGTAGAAGTATACTTCTCATAGCCCTGAAAGGAGCCCAAATCACAATTCCACATCCCTGATGACTGGGTTTTCTCTTGCCCCAATTCCGTCTCAAGCCCAGTCCCCATAAGGTGTCAGACAACTCAGGTCATGCCTCAGGGGATACAGGGAATAGCCCAAGCCCATCAACCTCTGTCATATATAGGCCAACAATTAGTTACCTAAAAAACGCATGATGAGGACCACCCTGAGGAGCACAGTTAGGTAACATAAACCATAGGAAGTGCTATCACACAACCCACACATAGCTGTTGTGAAACAGGGCTTTGGGATTCTCCTTGGTACAAATGTGAGGGCTCCCCTGTGCTCCATTTACTCATTAAAATGACCTCTTCTGTCGTAGAAGAAAACCTACATTCCTAACTCGCTCTGCCATCTTCTCATCATGGCTGGAAAGTGCTTACCAATCTAATACTTCTTCCCTTTGGTACAGACACTGACTTGAATTTTTCCTTCAGCTTTCCATGGACAGCAAACATCTTGAGCTGTTGCTATACTAAGAAAGAAATGATGTTGGCCTGGATTCCCTGCCATTCCCCCAAGAAAATGTGTCAATATTCACAACAAACAAACAAATGTGGATGTATGTAAAATCCTTGCCCATGTGTAGCTCATACTTTCCTTTCCTCTGCAAATGGGAGCTGTCAAAAACAAATTAAGTAATGACATGCTGTGGCTGCAGCTGTGTGTATCCTTCATCACATTATATGGCTGTGGTTAAGGGATGACTCTCTCCTGCTTAGTTTTTAAATATTTATAATGGAAGTTGAGTTGTCAGGGCATGTCCAACTGTTGTCAGAAAAAACAAAAAGTAAATGAAAATAACATCGATGGCATGGCACAACTCTATGGACTGTGTGTATGTATGTATGTACAGTAAATGTGCTATCATCCTGTAAAAGTTATCCTGGCTGTTTTTTTCTAATTAACAGAAAAATCCCATCAGTATGCAAACAGAGTTTCTGTCCATTTTTAAATAACAAAAATAAAATATCCTTAGTACAAACAGAATTAACTGACCATATTTTATCATTTCTTTTAAAAATTAGGAATCTCAGTTGGGCACGGTAGTTCACGCCTATAATTCAAGCACTTTCGGAAGCTGAGGTTGGAGGATCTCTTGAGGCCAGGAGTTCAAGACCAGCCTGGGAAACGCAGAGAAACCCTGTCCCCACAAAAAGAAAATAAAATAATAACTTAGCGATTCGTAGTGGCATGCACCCGTGGTCCCAAGTTACTTGGGAGGCTGAGATGGGAGGATGGCTTGAGCCTGGGAAGTCAAGGTTGCAGAGAGCCATGATCACACCATTGCACTCCAGCCTAGGCAACAACAGAGTCAGACCTTGTCTCAAAAAAGAAAAAAAATAGCAATCTCCATTTAAAAATGTTATATAAGTAAATAACAGTTAATTACCCAAAACAATAACATCCTTAAGACCTAATGGTCCTGCAAGGTGAGTGGTATTTGGTTGGGGAGGGGAGCGGGGTGTGTGTGTGTGTGTGTGTGGTAGTTTAGCCTTTGGGTACTGATATCCTTAAAATCCTTAGTTTCAACTTTCAGAATTAATAAGAATAAAAACAAACAGTTGTCATTTCAAGGTTTATGCCCACTTTCTCAAAAAAAAAATTCCTTCAGGGGGATAATTTTAAACAAATTTGACTTTTGTAAGAAGATACGCATTTAAGGGGAATACCAGGCAAAAGGCATCTGGATAAAAAAGAGAGAGGTCACTCGTACTGTCTCATATAGATATAGGTATAGATGATATAGATATAGACATAGAGATATAATAGATATAGATAGAATGGATATATATGTACATATATAATGTACTAAATGCTAACTTTTTAAGACAATGAAGCATATTTAAAACATATCATACTCAGAATCTTAGAGTTTTTCAATGGCAAGCAACAATGGCAAAGACTAAATAATTTAGATAACAAAGAAACACAAAGAAAGACCAAGGAATAGGGCAGAACCAAATATAAAAACCTCTGAGACTAATTGGATTTTCAAGAACATTACTTCCCATGTTGTGAAGGAACTTCCCTCTCACTATGAATGTATAGAAGTAATGAGTAAAAAGTAGCAAAAAACACAAAAAATTAACACGTAGCCATGCCAAAAAAAAAAAAAAATCAGAAAATTCCTGTTTGCCAAATAAACAGAAATCAAGGCCAGACCAGAGGTGACCGACCAGCAGTCTCAAATTCAATCGTAGGCCCTAGAAGCTCAGCACTGGATCCTAATGCTTCCGTGGAGAAAGGAGACACAATATCTGTAGAAGGGGGAAGAGTTGTAATTGTATATCCCATGTAAAGCATGGAGCCTAGAATAGCTCCTCCCACCTGACTGTGAAAGCAGATAGAAAGCCTGCCACCTCTGCAGGGGCTTGGGTTGACAATACATCACCTCTGGGAAGTCAAAACTCCAGGTACCCATTCACATGTGTATAAGGTTTAAATATGTAATATTCACATGGTTAAGGCACCACAACCATGTAGCTGATAGAAAGATTGCTCTGAAGGCACTGTATGCATCTTAGGAAATACAAAACAACTCTTTTTTTGAGACGGCGAAATACCCAAATTTTTCTACCACATGTGTATTTGGTTTTAATACTAGTTTAATGAATCCCATATGGATAGGTTTACTTTTTATTTTATGTATTTATTTTTTTTGAGATGGAGTTTCGCTCTTGTTGCCCAGGCTGCAATGCAATGGTGTGATGTCTGCTTACTGCAACCTCTGCCTCCCAGGTTCAAGCGATTCTCCTGCCTCAGCCTTCCAAGTAGCTAGAATTACAGGTGCCTACCACCATGCTCAGCTAATTTTCATATTTTTAGTAGAGACAGGGTTTTGGCATATTGGCCAGGCTGGTCTCAAACTCCTGACCTCAGATGATCCACCTGCCTCGGCCTCTCAAAGTACTGGGATTACAGGCATGAACCACCACAACTGGCCTAAAACAGTTCTTGACGGATACTTTAAAAACAGATTTAGGAAACTCCCAAAGCAGGGAGCAGGAGCTACCATAAATGAACATCATTTATAAACACAATAAGAAATCAAGGAGGGGCAAGGTGGTGTGTTCCTGTAGTCCCAACTACTCTGGGGGCTCAGGTGGGAGAATCTTTTGAGCCCGGGAGGTTGAGGCTGCAATGAGCCAAGACTGTACCACTGCACTCCAGCGTGTTGTTGTTGTTTTTCAGACAGAGTGAGATCCAGGAAAGAAAGAAAGAAAGAAAGAAGGAAGGAAAGAAAGAAAGAAAGAAAGAAAGAAAGAAAGAAAGAAAGAAAGAAAGAAAGAAAGAAAGAAAGAAAGAAAGAAAGAAAGAAAGAAAGAAAGAAAGAGAAAGAAAGAGAGAGACAGACAGAGAGAGAGAGAAAGAAAGAAAGAAAGAAAGAAAGAAAGAAAGAAAGAAAGAAGGAAAGAAGGAAAGAAAGAAAGAAAGAAAAAGAAAGAAAGAAAGAAGGAAGGAAGGAAGGAGGGAGGGAGGGAAAAAGCAGAAAGAAAGAAAGAGAGAGAGAGAGAAAGAAAGAAAGAGAGAGAGAAAGAAAGAGGAAGGAAGGAAGGAAAGAGAGAAGGAGGGAGGGAAGGAAGGAAGGCAGGCAGGCACTGAGGGAAATTCAGAAGATGCAATAAACAGGAAAATTAGCACTCTCCAAATCTGGATTATACACAACGTGAAAGAGACTACAAACAATTTTATTTAAAATTAATAAAAAGATAAAAAGGAATAAAATTCAAAAAGAAAAGCTCAGATACTGTGAAAAAGAATAGACCAATTTGAAAAGCCAAATAGAACTTCTAGAAATGAAGGAGAAACTCATTGACATTAAAAACAAGTAAAAATATCCATAGCTAGATATGTTATAGAAAAATTTCAGAACCTCAACAACAAAGGATTGAGAAAGTAAAAACATATTATCTATAAATAAATGGCAATTCGAGTGACAGCAAACTCCTCATCAACAACAATAATTCTTGAAGGCTGGGAAGCATCTTGAAAGCAATGAGGGAATATAACAATCAGAGTATATATCCATCTAAATTATATGCACATGAGGTGAAATAAAAGCCTTTTTAGATAGACTGCTTGAAAAAGTTTACTACTCGTAATTTTGCCCCGAGATGAATATTAGTTTAAACAATATGAAATTTCTGATATTTGGCCATTTTGACCCACAAAAATGACAATTTCATATGATTCAAACTAAATCTAAAAGACATATGTGCTTCAGGTAGAAGAAAAATGAATCCGGGGAAGATGCAAGAAGCAATGATGAGTAGTTATTGATAAAACTAAATAAGCATTGACTATAAGGATAATAAAATGACTAGTGGCATTTGGAATGGAAAGGGAGAACTAAGACATATCTGCTGATACGAAGCTAGAGCTAATAATTAACATGAAATCATGGTAACTCATGTATCCATGTTAAAACTTTAAGGTTGACTACTAAAAAACAGAAATAAAATGTAGAACTTCCAAATCAATGGCTGGAGTCAGGGGGTGGGAATAAAGAAAATTCCATCTTTCCAAGAAAAGTTAGAAAAGCAGAATGTGAAAGCAAAAGAGAGAGAGAGAGAAATACAAAATCACATGGCCAAAGTAAGCCAAATACACTAATAATCAAAGTGGCAGTAAATGAAATGATTATGCCCTTAACAAAGGACAGATTCTTAGGATTTTAAGGAACAGACCCCAAAAAACCCAGCAATATATGCTCTTTTCTATAAACATGCCTAGAGCAGCTCAAGAGGGTCAAGAGTGAAAGAATGAAAAAAGGTGAAAGAGGACATACGAGACGAAGACTAAGAAAAAAAAAAGAGGGGGCAGAAAGGAAAGGAAAGAAGGGGCTGGGCACGGTGGCTCACATCTGTAATCCCAGCACTTTGGGAGGCCGAGATGGGTGGATCACTTGAGGTCAGAAGTTCAAGACCAGCCTGGCCAACATGGTGAAACCTGTCTCTACTAAAAAAATTAACCAGATTTAATAGTGGGTGCCTGTAATCCCAGCTACTTGGGAGGCAGGAGAATCGCTTGAACTTGGGAGGCAGAGGTTGCAGTGAGGTGAGATTGCGCCATTGCACTCCAGCCTGGGTGACAGTGTGAGACTCCATCACACACACACACAAAAAAAAAAAGAAGAAGAAGAAGAAGAAAAGAAAAGAAAGAAGGGAGAGAGGAGGTGGGCAAGATGAGGAAAGAAAGAAGCCAGCATAGCAACATTAGACAAAGACACATTAAGACAAAAATAATTATTATTACAAATTGAAAAAGAGGGTCATTATTTAAGGATAAATGAAACAATAAGGCAGAAAAACATCCTTGCTTTAAATCTGCACCTAACCCTGTAGCCACAAAATACATTAAACCAATAGTTGTGAGTAAATATTGACTGAAATTAATATGGCATTTGATGCCCTCTGTTTTTCCTAAGATATTTTTCGCTATTAATTACTTCCTAATTAAGTATTAGTTTGTTCGTTGAATGAATTTTGACTGAGTAACTACTATGTCCCAAAATAGAAATTCAGTGATGAACAAGATAGACAAAGTCCCTGCCCTCATGGACTTTATATTCCAGTGGACAAAATATGTTTATTTCAAAATAAATGTTTAAAACATGTGGCTCACATGTGAGAAATTATACTAATATCTAAAATAATATGCAGTACTCAGATTGCTTATTCAGCCATATTGCCCAATGCCTAAGCGGTTCTCTGATCAGGATATTGTTAAGAGATTGGTTAAATTTTTAAGGACTCCGCTCTGTTCAACGGGCACCATGTATTTGTTTACATATATTTGCTTCTCACTTTTACTAAGTATGATTATAGAGCTGACGCCCACAAGATGGAATAATAAAAGAATTACCTAAAGTTAAATATACAAAGTCTCAAAAGAATCAGATGTAATTGCAAAGTGTGCATGTGGCCAATAGTGTTAAAAATGATGATTTCATAATTACTAGTTTGTTACATGAGAAGTGTAACTGAAAACGGGAAATTCACCACAGTTCATGATTTAAGTAGTACAAATAGCAGACAGCAATTGAGGCCACGTTTTCATTTGTTTTACTGTACTAAGTAAAAACCATTGATTCACTTACAATTCTTCCTTGTACTTATGTGTCTCTTTTGAGTCATATATTAGGACAATATGAAGATGTAAATTCTTAAATCTTCATGGAGTGTATCTCTTTTCATTAACTGCCAAAGTATACATAAAATATTCCAAAAGAACAAACCACAACAAAATGTTTCTTTAGATATGGTCAAAACTTATTTGGCACAAGTTACCAAAAGAAATGTAGTCAAGTGGCAAGTGATATTTAATTTACATCCTGAAATGTTTACAGAAACTATTAAGTATTGTTGATGAATAAGACTGCACTTACAAATGATTTCTGCCATAAATAATATGCACAGTTTAAGCCAGTATAAACACAATTCTAACAATTAGAAAGAAAAAAGGATTGAGATTACATCTGATCCAAAGAAAAGTCAACTTGACACACACACACACAAACTGTACTCTATTTGTTTAGAAAGCTTACCTAGAATAGAAATAAAAGTTTCTAATTAACCTCTTATTTATAGAGCCCCGTTCTGCTGTATGGATGATGGTATGCCAAGTTTGAACTACCACACTTCAACTAGTGGTCAATTCTAAAAGTCTATGGTTTTCTCATCAAAGGAAGTGTCAAGTAACTCTGAGCTACATTCAGGAATCTATGTCCCCCAAAGATCCAGCATTTGATTGGAAAAGGCTTATCATTGGTGTATTAGGCCATTTTTGCCCTGCCATGAAGAAATACTTAAGACTTGGTAATTTGTAAACAAAAGAGGTTTAATTGGCTGGGTTCTGCAGGCTGTCCTGGAAGCATGGGCCGGCATCTGCTTGGCTTCTGGGAAGGTAAACAGGGAGCAGGTGTGTCACATGGCAAGCAAGGGAGCAAGGACAGTTGCAACAGGGAGTGCCACATACTTTTTTTTTTTTTTTGAGGCGGAGTTTCGTTCTGTCACCCAGGCTGGAGTGCAGTGGCATGATCTCGGCTCACTGCAAGCTCCACCTCCCGGGTTCATGCCATTCTCCTGCCTCAGCCTCCTGAGTAGCTGGGACTACAGGCGCCCGCCACCATGCCCAACTAATTTTTTTGTATTTTTAGTAGAGATGGGGTTTTACTGTGTTAGCCAGGATGGTCTTGATCTCCTGACCTCGTGATCTGCCCACATCGGCCTCCTAAAGTGTTGGGATTATAGGCGTGAGCCACCGCACCTGGCCGCCACATACTTTTAAACAACCAGATCTCACAAGAACTCACTCACTATCAGCAGGACAGTACCAAGCCATTCATGAAGGATCTGCCCCATAACCCAAACACCTCCCACTAGGCCCCACTTCCAACACTGGGGAATTATATTTCAACATAAGACTTGGGGGGACAAATATCCAAACTATATCACTTCGGTTTAATTGTCTGTTAATCAGAGCCTTGAAATCACTGCCTTCTCCTTTGCCTCTTTCAATCAACCAAGGCCACCCAGAATTTCTGTACATATGTCACTTAACTTGCTAGCAACCCTTGGGGGAAGGGAGTAGACTACACTCAAGTTCTCTGTACATCCCTAGTCATTGAGTTGCCACTTTCATGTCTGCAAGTGGCCGGCAGCCGTGCAATGAGGGAGACAGGTGGTGGCGCCCAGGTCCTGCCTAGGTAGAAAAGTGATGGAAGATCCCTGCTTGATGCTGAGGCCCCAGCAACACCCGCCCTGGAAAGATAAAAGAGGAACTGGCCTATCCTATCCTTGATGCCGAAGGGAAGGGAGAGAAAGGAAAATCTCCTCTAAGAGCAAAGAGCCACCTGGCCCTCCTACAGTGTGTGGTACCAATTTACAGAGCTTTGATAGTCCAAAACAGCTTCAGTGGAGAATTTGGTTTAAAGTACTTGCAGAAGCAATTCTGAGAGAGAATAAAGGAGACGTTACTTAAACGGAAAATGACTGTATGATGGCTGTAGTTAGCGCGAACCCAGAAAACCTGAGACAGGTCTCAGTTAGTTTAGAAAGTCTATTTTGCCAGCGTTGAAGATGCACCTGTGACACAGCCTCAGGAAGTCCTGACAACATGTGCCCAAGGTGGTTGGGGCACAGCTTCATTTTATACATTTTAGGGAGACGTGAGACATCAATCAGTATGTATATAAGAAGGACATTAGTTCGGTCTGGAAAGGCAGGACAACTTGAAGCAAAGGCAGGAAGACTCAAAGCAGTGGGAGGGGGCTTCCAAGTCACAGATAGGTGAGAGACGAACAGTTGCATTCTTTTGAGTTTCTGATTAGCCTTTCCAAAGGAGGCAATCAGATATTGCTTCTATCTCAGCGAGCAGAGGGATGACTTTGAATAGAATGGCAGGCAGGTTGGCCCTAAGCAGTTCCCAGCTTGACTTTTCCCTTTAGCTTAGTGATTTGGGGGCCCGAAGATTTATGTTCCTTTCACATTTATAATAATCTATTGTATACTTAAAAATTGCTAAGAGAGTAGATCTTAAATGTTCTTGCCACAAAAATCATGAAGCAATGAATATGTTAACTAGCTTAATTGCACAATGTATACATATATTGAAACATCACATTGTATACCATAAATATATGCAATTTTTATTTGTCATTTTAAAAAATTTTAGAAGAAAAAAAATTTAAGAGAGATCATGGCTGAAATTTTTCAGAATTAGTGAAAGATACCAATCCTCAAATTACTGCAATCAATGAAACCCAAAGATATGGGTGCCTAGACATAGCACAGTGAAACTAAAGAACATCAAAGAAGACAAAGAAAGTGTTTAAAGCAGCCAGAGAGAAAAGAGAGACTTACCCACAGAGAAATGATGAAAAGACTGATGGCTTACTTCTTAATATCCATCCACTGGACACCAGAAGAGACAAAGAACTAAAAGAAAGAAGATAACCAAAAACCTGGATCCCTAGTTCTAGCAAATATTCTTTTCAAATATAAATGGTAGCCAGGCACAGTGACTCATGCCTGTAATCCCAGCACTTTGGGAGGTAGAGGTGGGCGGATCATCTGAGGTCAGGAGTTCGAGACCAGCCTGGCTAACATGGTGAAACCCCATTTCCATTAAAAAGACAAAAAATTAGCCGGGTGTGGTGGCGCACGCCTGTTGCACCTGCAATCCCAGCTATTTGGGAGGCTGAGGCAGAGAATTGCTTGAACCCAGGAGGCAGAGGTTGCAGTAAGCCAAGATTGCATCACCACTGCACTCCAGTCAGGGCAACAGAGTGAGACTCTGTCTCAAAAAAAAGAAAAAAAAAACAAAAGACAAAGTCTACAATAAGGCTAAATGGACTAAGTATAAAAGAAAATGAAAACAAAACCGGATTTTTAAAAAGTAAAAGAAGCCAGGTTTACCTATGTTAGAAATGAAATGCTTGTTCTCAGTGCCACAAAGAAATAGCACTTGAACATAATTTTCTCAGCAAGGCAATTTTTACTTCTATAGAAGGGTATGACTGTCAAATGGAGTAATGGCAAGAGCACACCTGAAAAAGGGAGGGGAAGGGGTTCTTATTCCCGACACAGGTAGTCCCTATTGCTGTGTCGTTCCCCTAATGGCAGGCTTGGACCATACAGTCTAAGCTAATTCTGATAGGCTATTTTAAAGAGAGCAGGGGTATGAGCCAGAGTAGTGGGGTCAGTAGTTTTGTGGGAAGGACAATTACGGAACAGGTGACTAAAGGTGACTTAAGTCAGACTTAGGTGACCACAGGTGATTCAGGTCAAAAAAGGTAACCAGGATGAGTCAGGATGGAGCAGGTGACCAGGGGAACAGATGTGAACTACTGATTAAAACTGGCGGAAAATGTTGTTTACTGAAACTACGAGGAAGTTAAACTTAAAAATGGAGGACAAAGAACTGACCATACTGACATAGTGATTCTTTGAAGAGAAATTTAGAACTCACTCTATCCAACATCTAAAACCAAAGGACATACAACATTTGAATAACATGGGAAAATATATATAAGCATGTACCAACAAAATGAATGATAGAGTTGCTATAAAAATATCAGATAAAATAGTCACTAAAGCAGTAGTAAGATCTCAATTTCTGAGAGTAGAATGCTTCATTGAAATTCTTTCACCAAACTTGAAGACTCTCAAGTCAATAGTAATGATTCTTCAGACATGGCACTTTCATTTTTTGTCCTTACTCTCCATAACTCCTTAGACTTCTGTCTTCACCCCCCATTGGCATCAGCCACACTTGGAATCCTCCTCTCATTATCTGATCCCTCATTCCAGGCTCTCTACCTCAGTTCTTCCATCGCTAACCACGACAGCCTTAACCTTGGGCTTTCCCCACTCTACTCACCAGACTTACTCGACTTCCCCAAATCCTCAAAACTCAACTTTTCCCATCTTATCTTGGCATGGAGGGGCTTGAGAGGCACCAATAAATGGTAACCAGTTCCCTTCTTGATCTCTGAACAGAGTGCAAAATAAGAGTAAAGCAAATGGAATCACAAACTATCACCTTTTTAAAGGATAAAGCTGACTTTCCAAAATTCTTATACTTAGTATCTTTTCTGAATACAGTAGCCAGAGGCATTCCTAATGATGTTTTCACTGTAGCTATACTTTAAGAATAGCCAAAAGTTAGTCTCACTCACACAGCGTGTCACGTAAGTGATTAGTGATTGAGTATTGGACCAAGCATACTGATCTGGAATAAGCATAGGGCAGATTCTGACCTGGTAGAGAATGTCTCTCTCTCCTTTCAAAAAAGGCCTAAAAGTGACAGTAAAAAAGAACCAACGAGAACAAGATCAAAATGGAGTTTATTTACTTATAACCCAGATTGACTCTGAAAATGTTAACGTATTATTGGAGCTGGGCATTTACCAAAACCTGTCATAGGAAAAAAGGAAGTAACTTAAATCTCAAATAACACAAATCCTTTTTCTTTCTTCATAAGAGTGGAAAAGGGAATTGCTGATTGGTCCTGAATTTCTCTTTCTTCTCTAAAACACTTTCAGGCAAATGAGAATGGTCTTGACTGTTATGCAGAGGACCAGGATCCTGGGTCAAAAGAGCTTCTTTTCAGCCACAGGTATTATTTCACATTCTAGCTGGAGAGAGAAGGCATAAACAAAAACAAAAAGAAATGGAAAGACATAAATACCTGTTGAAGAAATGGAAGCGACATCACAAGACCAAGAGCTACTGTCAAAATAATTGAATACCATGCCGGGGGCGGTGGCTCACGCCTGTAATCCCAGCACTTTGGGAAGCCGAGGCGGGTGGATCACGAGGTCAGGAGTTCGAGAGCAGCCTAGCCAACATGGTGAAACCCCCGTCTCTAAAAATACAAAAATTAGCTGGGCACAGTGATGTGTGCCTGTAGTCCCAGCTACTTGGGAGGCTGAGGCAGGAGAATCGCTTAAACCCAGGAAGCGGATGTTGCAGTCAGCCAAGATCGCACCACTGCACTCCAGCCTGGCGACAGAGTGAGATTCATTCTCAAATTTTAAAAAAATTAAAAAAACAAAAGAATTGAATTTAAAAAAAGTTAGCAAAGATGGGCTGATAATATTGCTAAAGCATCTGTTTCAATGAAAAAAGGTAAGTGAAGACAAAGAAAAGAACCCCACCTAAGCTATGAGCTGGTAGCTAGAAACACGGGGAGAATCCAATGGTGAAAAGACAAGTAAAATGTTACATAAAACAACAGTTGTTAAAGGGGGTGGAGTGGTGAGACAGGAGTGCTGCCTCCTTTGCTCGGCCCATGGCCCTGTCGCTAAGGAAAAATAACTCCGTGGGAGTGAGTCAGATGAGATAGAACAGGAGGGGTCCTATCTCTGCTAAGTCAGCTAGAGAGACAGTGCGGGACAGACTTTGGAGTCTCGTGGAGTGGAAACCAGTGAGTCAGGGAGGAAGAACTCATCCCAGCTCCCACTCTGCAGCCACATCAAAGTTGCAGGGATTAGCGAACATGCCCACCCGGTTGCGCAAGCTATCCTGAATACCGAGAATCTAATCCACCTGATGAGTTTACTCAGCCAGCTTTTTGTGGACTTGGTACAAAATGCTCAAATGACTTTTAGTTAAAGGAAGCAAAATGGAAGAACAGTCCTCACACAGCAACCTCATCAAAGTTCTTCAATGTAATAAAGCAACTCTGTAACTCTGCTAATACCCTAACATAAAGCCATGATTGCCAAAACAAACAAACAAACAAACAAACAAACAAATTGTAGCCCCTGACTCCCTCTCTCTGGGTGAAATAGTCTTGATTATGCAGATTGTTTGAAATTCAGTCCATCCAAGTAGTTGCAATTCCAGAAATCAAAGAATAGGTACACTGCTCCCTCTACTGGCTTTGCAACTGCAGGTACAGATGAATTTAAACCAGAAAGCAGCCTTTTAGTCTTCATTTAGCTTTCTAGCATTTTCGCTAGAAAGTCTCTAATGACCAAAAAATAGAAGGGTGGTGCAAGTCTCTTAAAGTAAATCTTAAGTAAAGATTTATGGTAATTGTTAACAACAGATCACATTAAAGAGCAAAAAAAAAAAATGCTTAAAACCTTAAATTCTGTTCATGTGATAATTCTTGAAAGTATTGAAATTTTCTGAGGTTGACTACCATAGAGAGTCAAGAATTAAATATAGGGAAAAAAAGAATTAAATATAGGAAACTAAGAAATAAAAACCCTGTTAGATGTTTCAAATAATGTTTCTGATGCATTTCCTAGCATCTCTTCTCTCAGTATTTGAAGAACTTTTGCCACTCTGTTCTTCAGTTACTGAATTGTACAAACTCATAGTGTCCCTATAAGTCCTTTTTCCCTGAACTCTCTGAAAAAGACTATAGATGCATAGATTTTTAAGTAAAAATGAAAACTGTGGCATTCTCTGATTCTCAAAAACTAATAGGAATAATGGCCAAATGATACCAGCAATTGAACTCCTCTTAAAAGGAGCAAGCTGGCTCATGCCTGTAATCCTAGCACTTTGGGAGGCCGAGGCGGGCGGATTGCCTGAGCTCAGGAGTTCGAGACTAGCCTGGGCAACAAGGCGAAACCCCGTCTCTAGTAAAATACAAAAGAAATTAGCTGGGCGTGGTGGCATGCACCTGTAATCCCAGCTACTCAGGAGGCTGAGGCATGAGAATGGCTTGAACCCGGGAGGCGGAGGTTGCAGTGAGCCGAGATCGCACCACTGCACTCCAGCATGGGTGACGGAGAAAGACTGTGTCTCTACAAAAAAAAAAAAAAAAAAGAAAGAAAGAAAGAAAGCAGCAAACTGTGACTCAGATGACCTACCAGCTCTGTTTCCCCCTTATCGATTACCTAGCAAATGGTCCAAAGCTGATGCTCCAGAATATATGTCCTCTCTTGCAAAGCTCCAATTCCATACCTAACTGATTTATTCAACCAAATGCATTCATCTGATCATTTGATAAATATTTTCTGAGCACCTACAATGTGTAAGGCAGTGTTGTAGGTGCTGTGGATACAGAAGTAGACAGATGACCTCACTGAAAAGTCAGAAGCTAGCTTGGTGAGTTCCCATTTATTTTCTTTACATATCAATGAGTTTGTACACTTCCACATATACTAAGGTCAAATTGCAAATCCATGAAGTCTTCCTTGACTAACTTGGGCCATGGGTTTCACATCAACTGATCTTCTGAAATACCCTGTCATGAAGCCACTACACATTTTCTGTCTAGAGTTGTTACTCATATCTGTTATTGCCTTGAATTAGTATTTAAAGATTTGACTGCCATCTGACTTTTCACATATGTTTGGTTTTCTCCTCAACTACATTAGAAATTATTTGAAGTAAGAAATACATGGCCTGACATAGAATGATATGAAAAGTCCTAAAAAGGTATAAAAAATAAATCATACTTAACAACTTAACTTTCCTGAAAAGAATAATATTACATTAAATACGGTCCATCAGCAAAGTTTTATATACTATAAAATTTAATTGGTTTTAATCCAAACTAGATTACTTTATTAATTATAAATTAATTAATATTAATTGTTATCCCCAGTGCAACTTCTAAGAAAATAATTCAAAATATATAGCAAAAGAATGGCAAGAGAATTAAGAGATTTTTTTAAACAGCCTTAGAGGTATAGTCAAAATTGTATATTAAAAAATTTCTAACACAAAAAGGCAATAATGGAGAAATAGTGGAAAAAAAGGACATAAAACATATAGAAAAAAATTTAAACGAAAAGCATAAATCCTACCTTGTTAGTAATTACATTACATGTAAATGCATTAAACACTACAATCAAAATACAGTTATTGACAGAATGGGTTTTGCTTTGTTTGTTTGTTTTGTGAGACAAAGTCTCACTCTGTCGCCCAGGCTGGAGTGTAGTGGCACAATCTTGGCTCACTGCAACCTCCGTCTCCCGGGTTCAAGCGAGTCCCCTGCCTCAGCTTCCCAAGTGGCTGGGACTACAGGCGCCCATCACCACATCTGGCTAATTTTTGTATTTTTAGTAGAGATGGAGTTTCACCATGTTGGCCAGGCTGTTGTCTAACTCCTGGCCCCAAGTGACCAGGCCACCTCGGCCTCCCAAAATGCTGGGATTACAGACATGAGCACCATGCCCCACCAACAGAATGGATTTTTAAAAAAAACAGATCCAACTCTATTGTGTCTACAAGAGACACACTTTAGATTAAAGATACAAAGAGGTTAAAAGTAAGAAGATACCACCCAACAGTAACCAAAAGAGGGCCAGAGACCCATATTAATAGAAGACAAGATAGACTTTAAGACAAAGAAGATTTTTATGATGATAAAAGACCTAACAATTATAAACATATAAGCATCTAATACCAGAGTCCCAAAATCCATGAAGCAAAAACTTGCAGGATTAAAGGAAGAAATGGATAATTCAGTAATCATGGTTGGAGGTTTCAGTTACCCAGTTTCAATAAGAAAATAGGAGACTTGAAAAATACTGCAATAAACTGAATGTGTCCTCCAAAAATGTATATGTTGAAACTCTAACCCCCAGTGTGATGGCATTAGGAGATGGGGCTTTAGGGAGGTAATTAGATGATGAGGGTGAGGTCCTCATGAATAGTATTAGTGCCATTATAAAAAGGACACCAGAGAGCTATCTCATCATCTTGCTGCCACATAAGAGGTACAGCAAGAAGTCAGCATCTGCAACCCGGAAGAGAGCGCTCACCAGACCCAGTCAGGCTGGCACCCTGATCTCAGACTTCCAGCCTCCAGAACTGTGAGAAATATACTTCTGTTGTCTATAAGCCATCCAGTCTGTGGTGCTTTATTATATAGCAGCCCAAAGGGACTAAGCAAACGTTATAAACCAACTTGACCTAACAGACATTAATTGAACACTCCACCCAATAACAGCACAATACATGTTTTTCTTAAATACACATGGAACATTCTCCAGGATAAACCATACACTATGATGAAAACCTTAATAAATTTAAATGATTGAAATAATACAAAGCATGTTCATCAGTCACAATGTAATGACATTAGAAATTAATTAGAAGTAAATTTGAAAAATTCACAAATAGGTAAAAATTAAACAACATACTCTTAATAACCAGTAAGTCAAAAGGGATACCACAAGGAAAATTATAGTTTGAAATAAATGAAAATAAAGATTAAACATGCCAAACTTATGGATGCAGCTGAAGAAGTGCTTAGAGAGAGATTAATAGCTATATAAATACCTATATTTAAAAAGAAGAAATAGCTCTAATCACTAACCTAAACTTCCATTTTCAGAAACCAGAAAAAAGGAGAGCAAACTAAACCCAAAGCAAAATGGAAGGAAATAATAAAGATTAGAATGAAAATAAATGAAGTAGAGTATATATTAATAAAAACAAGAGTGAAAATTCAAAATTGACAAACTTATATCTAGACTGACCAAAAGAGAGAGAGAATACTCATATTACTAAAACTAGGAATGGGGCCACAGGGAGGGAGAACATCAGGATAAATAACTAATGCATGTGGGGCTTAATACCTAGGTGATCGGTTGATAGGTGCAGCAAACCACCATGACACACGTTTACCTATGTAACAAGCCTGCACGTCCTGCACATGTATCCCGGAACTTAAAATTAAATTAAATTTTAAAAATATAATAAAATATAATAAAAAATGAATGGAAGAGAGGGCATCACTCTCAGCCTTACGGAAATTAAAAGGATAATAAGGGAATACTATGAACAACTGTATGCCAACAAAATAAACAACCTAGATAAAATGGACAAATTCCTAGAAAGACACAAACTACTGAAACTGATTTATAAAGAAAATCTGAATACATCTATAACAAATAAAGAGGTTGAATCTGTAACGAAAATACTTTACACAAAGTAAAGTCTAGGCCCATTGGTGAATTCTACCAAACATTTAAAGAAGAATTAACAATCTTTCTCAAACTCATCCAAAAAAAAAAAATAGAAGAGGAAGGAACAGTTTCCAAATCATTCTATCAATATAGACACAAAAATCTTCAACTGAAACTAACAAACTGAATCCAGTCATATATAAAAAGGATCATACACCATGACCAGTGTGTCATAATATAAATGCCAAGTCTGTTTAGCATATGAAGTAAACCAATGTAATATACCACATTAATGAAATGAAGAAAAACAACACATGATCATCTCAATAGACTAACAAAATTCAACAACTTTTCAAAATAAGAAACACTGAAAAAATAGAAATAGAAGGAAACATTATCAATTTGATGAAGGACATCTACTAACATCTCATAGTTAACATCACACTTAATTATGAAAGACTGAATATTTTCCCCTAAGAGGAGCAAGACAAAGGTGTTTGCTGTTACCACTTCTAGTCACCATTGTACTGGAGATTCTAATCAGAGCAAGTAGGCAAGGAGAAGAAATAAAAGCATCCAGACTGGAAAGGAAGTAAAACTATCTCTACTCACAGGTGATGTGATGTTGTACGTAGAAAACCCAACGAAATCCACAAAAAAAAATTTATTAGAACTAATGAATGAGTTTAGCAAGGTTGTAGAATAGAAGACCAATATACAAAAATCAATTGTATTTCTATATACTGTAAATTAACCATACAAAACTGAAATTTCAAAAATTTAGTTTCTAATAGCATCAAAAAGAATATAATAAATAAATACAATGAATAAAGAGGAACTACAAAAAATTAATAAAGGAAATGCAAGAATTATACACTGGAAACTACAAAACATTATTTTTAAAAAAATTTAAAGAAAGCATAAATTAATTGAAACACATCCCAGATCAGAAGACTTAATATTGTTAAGGTGGCAGTATTCACTAAACTGATTTACAGATTCAACCTAATCCCTTTCATAATCCCTGCTGTATATTTTTTGCATAAATTGACAAGCTGATTCTAAGATTCATATGAAAATGCAAGAGACCTGAATAGCCAAAATAATATTGAAAAAGAACAAAGTTGCAAAACTCACCCTTTCCAGTTTCAGAACTTACTGCAAAACTACAGTCATCAAAACAGTGTGGGCCAGGTGAGTGACCCATGCTTGTAATCCCACCACATTAGGGGTCTGAGTCAGGAGGACTGCTTGAAATCAGTTTAAAACCAGCCTAGGCAATAAAGTGAGATCCCATCTCTACAAAAAAAAACTTTAAAAATTGGCTAGGCATGGTGGCACATGCCTGTAGGCTTAGCTATGTAGTAGGGTGAGGTGGAAGGATCAGTTGAGTCCAGGAGTTCAAGGCTGCAGTGATGCAGTGAGCTATGATCATGCCACTGCACTCCAGCCTGCGGGACAGAGCAAGACCCCATCTCCGAAAATAATCATTGTGCTCCTGGCATAGAGCTAAACATATAGATCAACAGAATAGAGTTGAGAGTCCAGAAATAAATCCATACATCTATGGCCAATTGGCTTTGGTCTGACAAGGATGCCCAAGACAATCAGTGGAAAAAGAATAGTGTCTTCAACAAATGGCCCTGGGACAACTGGATATCTATGTGCCAAAGAATAAAGTTGGACTCCTATCACACTGCATATACAAAAATTAAAATGGATCATAAAAAATTTTAATGTAGTAAAGAAAGAAGAAAGAAAAAATAGAACAGCAAGAGTGTTAATTTAGAAAAAAAAATGGATCGATGACCTAAGAATAAGAGCTAGCATCATAAAACTCTTAGAAGAAAACTCTTCATGACCTCAAATTTGGCAATGACACCAAAAGCACAAGCAACAAAAGAAGAAGATAGATAAATCAGACTTCATCAAAATTAAAATATTTTGTATATCAAGGACATGATCAAGAAAGTGGAAAAGCAGCCTACATATCGGGAGAAAATATTTCCAAATCATATATCAAATAAGGGTTTAGCATCCAAAATAAATGAAGAATTCCCACAACTCAACAATAAAAATACAAGCAACCCAATTAAAAAATGGGCAAAGGAGGCCAGGTGCGGTGACTCACTCCTGTAATTCCAGCACTTTGGGAGGCTGAGGCGGGTGGATCATGAGGTCAGGAGTTCCAGACCAGCCTGGCCAAGATGGTGAAATCCCATCTCTACTAAAAATACAAAAAAAAATTAGCCGGGTGTGCTGGTGGGGGCCTGTAATTCCAGCTACTTGGGAGGCTGGAGCAGGAGAGTTGCTTGAACCCAGGAGGTGGAGGTTGCAGTGAGACGAGATCGTGCCACTGCACTCCAGCCTAGGCAACAGAGCAAGACTCCATCTCAAAAAAAAAAAAAAAAAAAAAGTGGGCAAATGATTGGAATAGACATTTCCCCCAATAAGGTATACAAATGACCAACAAGCAATTGAAAAGATGTTAACATCATTAAGCAAATCATCATGGGGAAACGCAAATTGAAACCACAGTGAGTTTTACCACTTAACACCCACTAGGATGGCTATAATGAAAAAGATATATAATAACAAGTGTTGGCAGGGATGTGGAGAAATTGGAACCATCATATATTCCTGGTAGCAAAGTAACGGTACAGCCTCTTTTCAAAGTTGTTTGACAATTCCTCACAAAGTTATAGAGTTGCCATATGACCCAGCAATTCCACTCTCAGGTGGGCTTTGATTTCTTAAGAGAATTTTATTTCTTAAGACAAATCAAAACCTATGTCCACACAAAAACTGGTACACAAATGTTCATAGCAGCATTAATCATAATAGCAAAAAAGTGAAAACAACTCAAATGTCCATCAACAGATGAATGAATCAACAAAATGTGATTATTCATATAAAAGAATATTATTTGGCCATAAAAAGGAATGAAACACTGACACAGGCTGCAATAGGAATAAATCTTAAAACATTATGCTCAGTGAAAGAAGCCAGTCATGAAAGGTCATACATTGCATGATTTAATTTATATGAAATGACCAGAATAGGCAAATCTATAGATACAGAAAGTAGAGTAATGATTGTCAGTAGCTCAGATTGTTGTGGGGGAGCAAAAAAAAAGACTGCTAATGAGTATAGGGTTTCCTTTTGGGGTAATGAAAATGTTCTAAAATCAGATAGTGGTGATGGTTGCACAAACCTGTGAATATACTTAAAACCACTGAACTGTACAATAAATTTAAAAGGGAAAGTGTTATAGTATATGAATTACATCTCAGTAAACTTTTATTTTTTAGAAAATCCAGTCCAAGCCTGGGTAACTTCGCAAGACCCTGTCTTTTCAAAAAAAAAAAAAAATTAGCGGGACATGGTGGTGTGTCCCCATGGGAGGCTGAGGTGGGAGGATCACTTGAGTCTGGTGGGTCAAGACTGCAGTGAGCCATGATCACACCACTGCACTCCAGCCTGGGCGACAGAGTGAGACGCTGTCTCAAAAAAAAAAAAAAAAAAGAAAATCCATTCCATCCTGGAAAACTAGGATGGAAGGATGGTAGGATGGTATAGTTAACTGTATTCATTGATCTTTTTAATCTCTCACAATATATAGCAAGGTGCCTTGTACCCAGAGGCACCAAAATATGTAGAAGGTAGTTCATAATACTTTACATCATTCACCAATCATTCCCAATAGTAGTTGAAGGTTCTCAAATGGTTCACAAACTCCTTGAGGCAAAGTCTGTGTCTTAGATTTTACATACATCCATCACGATTAAACATTGCATTGCAATTACACTGAGCCTCGAAATACTTGCAGTGTAGAAAAGCCCAGTATTTTGGTATCTTGACTAACCTATAACTCTTTTTTTGGAGACAGGGTCTCACTCTGTTACCCAGGCTGGAGTGCAGTGGTGCAATCATAGCGCACCGCAGCCTTGAACTCCTGGGCTCAAGCGATCTTCCTGCCTCAGCCTCTCAAAGAGCTGGGCACATGCCACCATGCCCAGCTCATTTTTAATTTTTTTTTGTAGCGACAGGATCTTGCTATGTTGCCCAGGCTGGTCTCTAACTCCCGGGCTCAAGTGATCCTCCCTCCTCAGCCTCCCAAAGTGTTGGGATTAAAGGCATGAGCCACTGTCCCTGGCCAAACCTATAACTCTTGATTATTCAGGAGGCAGCACCATGCAGGAGTTAAGGGGGAGGATGCTGAGTCAGACTATCTAGGTTTAAATCCAATTTCTACCACTTAATAGTAATATGATCTTGGTGTCATTTGAATGATGCATTAAAAATAATATTAATAGTAATATGATGTTGGACAAATGGCTTAACCTTTCTGAGCCTTTATTTCCTCATCTGTAAGGAGAGGATTAATAATAATAGTCACCACCTGATAGGCTGCGTGAAGGCTTAAATGAAGGAAGGTGTGTAAGGCACGCACTTGGCCCGGCTTGTGATTAGTGCTTATTATTCACTTAACCAAAATTTATTGAGCACTGATTTTAATTTTCTGTCTCAAGGGAGAAAAGTTGAGAAAAAAAAGATATGTAAATAAACCAGTGTAGTAAAGGGCTCTCTGAAAAACATCCAAAGAGCGTAAGAGGGATTGCCAAGGCATGGGAAATCCTGTGTGTATGCGGAATGGGGCAGGGCATAGAATATCAAGGAACATTTTATATGAAAACTACCGCTACAACACAGTGTTTAAATTGTTTTTGTTGTTTTGTTTTTTTTTTTTTTTTTTTTTTTTTTTGAGATGGAGTCTCGCTTGGGCACCAGGCTGGAGTGCAATAGCGCGATCTCGGCTCACTGCAACCTCTGCCTCCAACGTTCAAGCGATTCTCCTGCCTCAGCCTCCTGAGTAGCTGGGACTACAGGTGCATGCCATCACGCCCAGCTAATATTTTTGTATTTTTAGTAGAGACAGGGTTTCACCATGTTGGCCAGGATGGTCTTGATCTCTTGACCTCATACTCCATTTAAATTTTTTAAAAGTATTCATTCCCCAGGTGGACAAAGAAAGGGAAATAAGGACATTCCAAAAGGAGCAGGTGATGAGAGGAAAGCCTCATTTGTTCAGGGATCTAGGGTTAGCTTAGCAGGACAGGAGCACACCTGAGGTGAGGAGCAGTCACAGAAGGAGCCAGCTCGCAGCAGCCTCCTTTTCCCTCTTCATCAGGACTGATTGAATCACCAGGTGAATGGGACCCTCCCCTCCCCGCGCAGTGGAGGCACTTTCTTTGGTTGGTTTTGTTTGTGGCATGGTTGTGTCCAGAGGCCATAGAGCAGAAGACAGGAAGGACAGAATGAACTTTTGCCGGGCTCCAGATGGCTTGAATATTTCTAAATATCCTGGTCCTTTTACTGCTGACAAGGCCCGCCCCTGTTCACTGGTCAGTGGTCATTGTGCACCCAGAGGCTCCAGCACAACGTTTGGGAGTGACTCGTTTCCTTGGTAAGTGCATCTGCATCCTGCACAAGCCCAGTTTCCCTTGTGTGCTCCCAGTATGCATTATTCCCACACTGGGCACCAGAAAGGCTGCAACAGGACGGCAGCTCCCAGAGGAGTCCCCTCAATTACCGACAATAAGCCTCTGTACATAAGCCCTCATCAGACGTGATTATGGCCGCAGGTTAATCTAGCGGTTCCTCCTAATTAATAGCCTGGAGTATTGAAGAAGCCAGAAGTGACCACAACACTCCAAGTTTTTGGAAAACCCCAGCTGGCTAAGTGTCAGCCTTCCTTTAGACCAAACCTTGGTCTGTTGTTTAACCACATCACCCTTTCCTGGAATCCAGCCCTCTGGCTGACACCCTTCTGTGGAGACAGAGTGTCCCTCTTGCGGCTCAGAAATACTACTTAGTCTTTTTTCTGCCTCAGCATTCCCATTCCTTGGTCTTTCAGCTTCCTCCAATCCATTCTTATCGTCTCTTGAAAATTTGCTACATCTTTTCCCACTCTGTCGTTCCAGTTTATTATCTCCAGAGTTGTTTTATTATTTTCCTTCAAAAAACCTGAAGCACTTTTCTTTCCCTACTCCTTGATTTCCCAGTCTCTTTCTTTCTTTCCCTCTACCCCCATCTCTCTTCTCCTACTCCCTCTCTTTCTGTATTTTCTTTTTGTGTTGGCCTCAGATGAAAACAAACAGATTAATCACATTGTGTGTGTCATGGCAGTCTCGCTAGGTCCCATGCATGGTCCTCTATTAGTTGGTTCATGTTTTTTTCTGATTGCTTGATTTTAGTAATGTAATAACCTTCCATCAATCTGACAACCACTGAAACACAAATGAGGATCTCGCCGGGCACAGTGGCTCACGCCTGTAATCCCAGCACTTTGGGAGGCTGAGGCGGGTGGATCATGAGGTCAATAAATCGAGACCATCCTGGCCGACATGGTGAAATCCCATCTCTACTAAAAATACAAAAATTAGCCGGGCGTGGTGGCCGCATGCCTGTAGTCTCAGCTACTTGGGAGGCTGAGGCTGGAGAATCGCTTGAACCTGGGAGGCGAAGGTTGCAGTGAGCCGAGATCGCGCCACTGCACTCCAGCCTGGGTGACAGAGTGAGACTCAGTCTCAAAAAAAAAAAATGAGCTTAACAATGTCCTCCAGCAATCTATTTGGTGGCTGGCTACCCCACCGGCAAGCACCCCACCCAGAGTAACCGGCTTGCTGAGTCTTGGGCTCCATGCCCTCCTTTCTCATTCTATGGCTTAATTCCAGCTACTCAACTATTCTATCTAAACTACTCTAGTTTTTTAGGTTTGTAAAAAGATGTAGCGTTGTATGTACTCTTTTTCTTTGTTTCTAGTGTTATTTTACAGATTATTTTTTACCTTTTATCTTAAAATAAGTTCAGGCCAGGTGCAGTGGCTCACACCTGTAACCCCAGCACTTTGGGAGGCCAAGGCTGGCAGATCACTTGAGGTCAGGAGTTCGAGACCAGCCTCGCCAACATGGTGAAACCCTGTCTCTCCTAAAAGTACAAAAATTAGCCAGGCATCACTTCTCAGCCTTTTGGCTAAGATCGGGTGTAGTATCTGTTCTTATCAGTTTAATATCTGATATATTCTCTATCTGAGGACAATATATTAAATGGATTTTTGGAAATAGGAGATGGAATAGGAGCTTACCCCATCCACTCCATGCATTGACCTGGTATTGCAGTACTTCCAGGAATGGTGCACCAAAAAAAAAAAAAAAAAAAAAATTAGCCAGGCGTGGTGGTGTGTGCCTGTAATCCCAGCTACTTGGGAGGCTAAGACAGGAGAATCACTTGAACCCAGGAAGCAGACGTTGCAGTGAGCCGAGATCTCACCACTGCACTCCAGCCTGGGTGACAGAGTGAGACTCCATCTCAAAAAAAAAAAAAATGAAAATAAAATAAGTTCAAACTTACAGAAAAGTTGCAAGGATAATATAAACAACTCTATAATAGCTTTACCACAATATACAATTATAATATATGGTAATATAACATAATATAGTATTATATGTAATATAAATATATTAATTATATGAATATATAATATATATTATTCTACAAATCATTTGAAAATAGGTTACATATATCTTACTTTTTTACTCCTTAATATATCCATGTGTATTTCCTAAGAACGAGGCAATGCTTATATAACCACAAATGAGGAAATTTAACATAGATACCATACTTGTATCTTATATATAGTCCATGTTTAAGTTTTGTCAATTGTCACAACAATACTTTTTATAGCAATTTTTTCAAGGACATAATCTGGTCCAGAATCACATATTATGTTCAATTGTTGTGTCTCTTCAGTCTTCTTTAATCTGAAACATTTCTCCAGCCTTTCTGTGACATTAACATTGTGAATTTCAGGAGTTTTAACATGTCTGTGACTGGTATTTTATTAATGTGCCTCAATTTATGTTCTCCTGATGTTCCCTTTTGATGGAAATCAGGTTGTGCATTTTGGGCAGAAATATCACAGAAGTGGTGCTATGTTCTTCTTAGGAAATCACATTCAGAGGCCCCTTGTTGGTGATATTAGCTTTGACCTCTTGGTTACAGTGCTACCTCGTGTCTCCAGATTGTAGGTTTGCATATGTTCTTGGGGGAATTACTATTTCACTTAATATTACATTGCTAAGATTTATCCATATTGTTACATGTCACCTGTCTCCCTTAAGCATTCTCTCTCTCTCTCTCACACACACACACACACACACATAAATTTTCTCATCTTTTTCTTTTTCTTTTTTTTCCTTCTTATCATGTTGCTATAGTTCACATATTTGACCCCGTCTAGTGTCATGTTGAAATTTGATCCTTAGTGTTGGAGGTGGGGCCTGGTGGGAGGTGTCTGGATGATGGGAACGGATCCCTCATGAACGGCTTGTTGCCATCCTCATAGTAGTGAGTTCTCACTTTATTAGTCCCCACAAGTACTGATTGTTGAAGACAGCTGGCACCATGCTTCTTGTAGAGCCTGCAGAACCGTGAGCCAAATAAGCATCTTTTCTTTATAAATTACCCACCCTCAGGTATTCCTTTGTAGCAACACAAAATGAACTAAGACACATGTCTTTCATTTTCCAGCCACATTTTTTACTCAAAATCAATTTTGGGAGGATACAACTCCTAGCTAAATTATGTACTTTCTCTTGTTCAATTTCTACAGACTAGGCCAGGCGCAGTGGCTCACGCCTGTACTCCCAACACTTTGGGAGGCTGAGACAGGTGGATCACCTGAGGTCAGGAGTACAAGACCAGCCTGGCCAATATGGCGAAATCCTGTCTCTACTAAAAATCCAAAAAAAAAAAAATTATCCAGGCGTGGTGGTGCATGCCTGTAATCCCAGCTACTCAGGAGGTTGAGGCAGGAGAATCACTTGAACCCAGGAGGTGGAGGTTGCAGTGAGCCAAGATTACACCACTACACTCCAGCCTGGGCAACAGAGCGAGACTCCATCTCAAAGAAAAAAAAAATTCTACAGACTAAATCTCCAAAGATTGATATATAATGTACCAAGAATACGTGTTGCTATGAAAATAGGTGGCCTAACAAAAAAGCAGGTATCAAAGAGATCAAAAAGGGATCCTTCACCCTTTACTCACCCAAGCTGTCAGCATTTATTTACTGAGTAACTATTATGTTCCTAGCACCTCACTTGGCTAGATCAGAGCATGATAAAGAACAAAACTACAAAGGGCTTACAAGCCCAAAGCTCTCCTTCCCAGCAGTGGACATCCTTCTCATGCTTCAAGGCACAGCTCAAATGTCATCTCCTCTGTAAAGCTGCCCTTTACTTCTTCAAACCTAAGTCTTTAACTGGGGACTTAACTATCTTCCAAGCACAGCATTAGATGCTTTCATCACAGTTGTGCTGAAGGGTGGGTGTTACCATCTTCACTTCTCAGTGAGTAGTTTGAGAATCAAAATTTTAAAGGACTTAGATTAAAGTGTAGCCATACACTCATGAGGGGACAGGGCCAAAATTGGCCCAGGCCTGACTTCCAAGTTGATTGGTTTTCTCATCATTCCATGATAAGTACTAGAGAGTTAAGTGCTTTTTCCCAAAAATTCATATAACTTCTTGCTTATAGCTCAATTACAGTGGTTATTGCACTGAATTCTATTTAGGTATGTTTGCATCCCTCCTCTGAAATTGATTTTGAGCTGCTTGAGCGAAGAATTCAGTCTTGTTCATCATTGAGTTCCCAGAACCTAGCAGAGTAACTGCAAATACAGCCAAGCCTCATTATTCACAAATTCCATATTTGAGAATTCACCAAAATTTATTTGTCACTTTCAAATCCATGTTTAGTGCACTTTTGTGGACATGTGCATGTACAGAGCAGTGAAAAGTTGAAACCCTCAATGTGCAAGTTTCCAGCGGACATAAAGCAAGGCTTTGTTTTGCCTTGTTCCACCTCTCATACCATAAACAAGTGTTCTTCCTGCAGTCTGTCTATTGCCATATTTTTTACAATTTATGCTTTTTGTTGGTGATTTCACTGTTTTAAATGGCCCTGAGTATAGTGATGAAGTGTTGTCCAGCATGCCAAAGCACAAGAAGGCTGTGATGTTATTTACAGAGAAAATATATGTGTTAGACAAGCTTTGTTCAGGCACAAGTTACAGCACTGTTGGCCATGAGTTCAATGTCAGTAAATCAAACAGATATTAAATAAGATGTCATTAAACAGAAACACACATAACACAAGGTTATGTATTGATTGGTTGACAAAAAAAAGTGACCAGAGATTTAAAGGAATCTAACCTTGTATTTCTCCTACGACCAATTGTTTAGTATTCACTAATTCATAGAACATAACTACTACAATAAAATCAATAAATGGGTGATCAATAAATGTATAATGAAAGAATGAAGGAAAAAAGACACATGTTAGAGAAATGACATTGACAAGTGAAAAGCTGCTTCATGAACTCACATGAAACCAAACAGAAAGAAAAACAAAATTATATATTGATATAATAAAGAAGGGCCAAATTACATAGTCTAGGCCAAAATTATGTTATCATAAAATAAGGATAGCATACAAAGAAGAAGTAATAAATGTACACTTCCTACTCAATCAGAACAAAATATTTTGCCACAACTTCTTTCCAAAAGAATGGGTTATTTTTATGCTAATTCAAGTGCATCTGGCTGCTCTGGATTTAATACTCCATAGTAACTTTTCTGTTGATATCTCATTGAGCATATTAAAATCCTATATGTTTTATATTTGTAAAAATACAACAGTACTACATTTTGAGCCATTAGAGTTCTCAAGGGCTCACTATCACTGTTTTCCAAATGTTATATTATCAAATGTTTCCTTACTAAATAACACAGCATGATTATCTCCACTTTATTTTTTTTTAATAGAGACAGCTATTTTGCCCAGGCTGGTCTTGAAACCCTAAGCTCAAGCCATCCTCCTGCCTCAACCTCCCAAAGTGCTGGTTATAGGCATGAGCGCTGCGCCTGGCCCAATCTCCACTTAAAAAAAATATATATATGCTAGAATGTTTATCTTTGAGCTCTTCTTAAAGCAAGGAGAAGAAACATATTGAATCTTTCAACTTACTTTATAAAGCAGATTCTACACTGTAGCACACTGGAAGAGGGCCTGACCTGCCAGTTCCACAGCCATGTGATTGTGGTGAAAGCAGACATAACATTATGGCTCAAACAGAGCAAAGATGAGCTTACAAAGTACATGGTTTAAGTAACTCCAGAGCTTTGGGACACAGATCTCTTTCTTCAGGACACGTATCTCATGTAACCATAATCATGATTGGTGGTGGGGAATTTTAAAAACAGAGTATCCCCAAAACCTTCCAGACTTAGTTATACCACAGCTAAATCAGGTGATTCCAACACATGATTCACATCCCACAAAAAAATGAAATGTTTACAAAAACAAGACTCTTAAAGGATGAAGTAGCCTTTTCTCAAAATCCATTCAAAATTTAAGCCAATCTTTCTTTCTGTGTTTTGTTTGACAATTGCTGTTACTTATGCTAAAATAAAAGATTCATACATACAATTTTCACACACATACAATTTTTGCATACAAACACATATGCAATTTTTGCATCTAAGTTTCAGGGTTCTGACATATTTTAAATGCCATTGTCTTAGTATATGTAGGTCATAAATCAAGTCTATTATCATACTGATGTATATGTACTTTTTTATTATGGAAATTTATAATCGTACACCAAAATGGTTGAAAGAATAGTGAAACAAACTACCAAGTACAAGTCACTCAGCTTTAAAAATTCTCAGGGATATTAGATATTACTTTTTTGAACACAAAGAAAAGAGTACACAACAACCTGACCTTTCCTGCCAACATCTACAGCAAACAGTACCACCACTACCAGTACTAAATGCTTTATAGAATATGAGCTGTTTGACCTGAACACACATTAAGTTTTGATCTGAAATGTCCAGGGGATCAGCTGTTTAGAGCAGCTTTCCTAAATTCCTTGAATAAGAAAACTGACGCTAAAAATTCACGTTGATTATAAAAATATGACTTTTAATAAGAGATTTGCTATTTATTATTATAAAGGTACGCATTTCATTTTGTAAAACTTGCAAATACAATCACATAAATTTGCATATAGAAGGGTATTTATGATATTGTGAAATCATAGTTCATTTTCTTTGGTGTGATAGTGTTATAGTTAAGTGGGAATATTACTTTGTTTTTAGGAGATACATAATGAAGTATGTGAGGTAGAAATGTTATAATGTTTGCAACTTGCTTTCAAATGGTTCAGTAAATTTTGGAGGGTGGGTGGGTGTGGGTGTGTGTGTAGATCAGGGATTGGCAAATTTGTTCTGTAAAGAACTAGATGGTAAATATTTTAGGCTATGAAGATCAAGAAGCAAATTCAAAGCTGTTTTATAGGTACCTATATAACCAGATAAAATGTTGCTGTTTAAAATGTAAAACTCCTTTTTAATTAAGAGCTGTACAAAAACAAGTGATGGCCCAAATTTGGCCTTGAACCATGATTTGTCAACTCCTAATATGGACAGATGAGTGGATGGATGGATAGAAGATAGATAGATAGATAGATAGATAGATAGATAGATAGATAATTAATACATAGATGATAGAGAAAGTATGAGAACTTGGGGATATCTGGGCTGTTAAAAAACTATATATGGGAAAACATTAACAATTATTGAATCTAATTGGAGGGTATATGGATGTTCATTGTATTAATCTTTCAAATTTTCTGTATGTTTTTATGTATTTGCATTTTCTCCCTGTTTTCATAATAAAAACTGGGGGTGATGCAAATACATAAAAATATAATGAAAATAAATATCATCCATAATATCTCACACTTAGAGATTAGCACCTTTTGCATCTTGACAAATTACCTTTTATTTTTAGTTCCTCCAGAATGTGTTTTTCTTCCAACCAAGATGAGATCTTACTCCATATAAAATTTTATAGCTTGACATTTTAATTTAAAATTCATCCATAAACATTTTCACATGTCATCATCATGTTAATGGACACATAATATTCTATGGAACAAATGGTTAAAAGGTTTTAACTATTTCTCAATTGATGGACATTTCATTTGTTTCCAATCCTTTACCCTTATAAATAAGTATTTCTTAATGTGATTTTAATCTATTAATGTATTGTCTTCTTAAGAAAAGGTCTTGGTGATCATGAGTATAGATAATGCTATTTTGTTGTGTCACTATGTTTTACTTTTGAGGGGAAGAAAAAGAAAACATGATAAAAAATGAAAATATTGCTGGAAAAAGCATTTCATATCTTAAAGTCCTTATAAATTAGTTACCTTGAGAGGATAAAGTAGATAATATGAATAAGAAAAATCAAGTTTTTAGTTGTATAAAATATGCATAATACAAACATCATCTTAACCATTTTAAATGTACAATTTGATGGCATCAAATAAATTCACAGTGTTGTGCAACCATCACCACCATTCATCTGCAGAACTTTTTCTCAATCCCAAATAGAAACTCTATACCCATTGAACGTTAATCCCCATTGCCCACTCCTGTCAGCCCTTGGTAACCTCCATTCTACTCTCTGTCTCTACAAATTTGCCTATTCTGAGTACTTCATATAAGAGGAATCATATAGTATTTGTCCTTTTGTGTCCAGCTTATTTCCCTTAGCTTAATATGTTCAAGCTTCATCAATGTCGTAGCATGTATCAGAATTTCATTCCTTCTTAAGGCTCAATAATATTCTGCTCTATGTCTCTATCACCTTTTGCTTATCCACTCATCATTCAATGGACACTTAGTTTGCTTCCTCCTTTCGGCTTTTGTGAATAATGCTGCTATAAACGTGAGTGTGCCGGTATCTGTGTGGGACACTGCTTTTACCTCTTTTGAGTATATATACCTAGAAGTGGAATTGCTGTTTAACTTTTCGAGAAACCACCAAACCATTTTCCAAACAAAGCTATTTGATAATAGATGTTAGGCATTAATGATGCTTTTATTTTCAATGTGTGTTGACTTGCTGGCCCACACAGCCAGATCTGGCTCTAGTACCTGTCCATTCTTAACTTCCACCTGACTCCCACCCACACTTCATTGAAGTCACACTCGCTGCTTGCCCATTTCTGGCTCTTCAGGCACATGCTCTGCCTGGAACATCCTTCCCAGATATGAACAAAGTCCACACACCTCACTTCTCAGGGCTCTGCTCCCATGTCCCCTCCTCAGAGAGGCTGTCCTACCTTGACCGCCCTATTTAAAGTAAAAGTAATACCCTGTCACTCTCTATCTTAACTTCCTGCTTCTGTTTTCTTTCTAGTACTTATCACCACCCAATCTATTAAATGCCTATTTGCCTTTTTCTGTCTTTCCAGTTGCATGTGAGCTTTAGGAGAGCAGAGACTTTGTCTACGATGTTCACTGCAGTAACCCCTATTCATAGTCTCACACTTAGTAGTTTTTCCATAAATATCACTTGGATGATGGAACGAATGAATACCAGACCAGGGCCCAGTCACTAGTCAAGACTTGGCCTTCTAGAAAGATCCATCTCATCCAGGACTTCTTAGACTCATATGTTCGGTGTATTTGCTGTAGTTGTGATTATGCTACATAGTAATTCCTTCTATGCATCTATTACCTGTAGGCATTAAGCTACACATTTTGTGATAACTTGTTTCTATTTTCTATTTTGAAAAAAATTAAAATTATGAAAAAGTTACGAGAATAGTAGGATGAACACCATACACCCTCTGCCCAGGTTCATCAATGTTAGCAGCTGAATACAGTTGCTTCATCTCCCCCTCTCCCACGCATTCATTATTGTTAGTGTTATATTCTGAGCATCTTGACATTACTCTTGAACTTCTTGCTAAAACATTTGAACACCACTGAAAAGCTGACTTCCTCAGAGTTTCCCATTTTCACACTAAATGTCCTCTGAGACCTAACCAATCTTGAGCGGACCAGTTAAATGGCATCAAAAAAAGTTAACAAACCCAGAAGCAATTTTAAAGGATAAAGTTAAGTTAACTTGGCTGGGCGTGGTGGCTCATGCCTGTAATCCCAGCACTTGGGGACTCTGACGTGGACAGATTACCTGAGATCAGGAGTTTGAGACGAGCCTGGCTAACATGGTGAAACCCCGTTTCTACTAAAAATACAAAAAATTAGCCAGGTTTGGTGGTGCACGCCTGTGATCCCAGCTATTCTAGAGGCTGAGGCAGGAGAATCGCTTGAACCCGGGAGGCAGAGGTTGCAGTGAGCTGAGATCGCGCCATTGCACTCCAGCTTGGGCAACAAGAGCGAAACTCCGTCCCCAAAAAAAAAAAAGTTAAGTTGACTTTTCACCAACCTAAAGTTAACATCATGTATTAGGAGTCAGAGTTAATGGTTCTCTAATTCTGTCTAGGCTTACCCTGTAAAGACACACAGGCAGAGAAAGACAGAGAGAGGGAGAGAGAGAGTTCTGCCCCAAACACATTTTGCCAAAATGAGCGTGTGACATGTTAAAGCATCATTTCACACCTCTATTGTAATTTAACTTTCTACTTACATAGATTTTGCTCTGAGTTCATCCTCATCGCAGCTTTATGGGAAAAATCACCAAATCCCTGTACAAAGAACTGCTGGGATTTTTTTCTTTAACTCTACTGCCATCTAGTGTTGAGAAAAGAGAATTCTGGACTCTGCAAAAAAGAATGTATATTATTTGCTATTTGCTTGTATATCTAGATTCAAACCTGTTTTATTGCAGAATAAATTTGGAAGCTATATCCACCATGATCTTCTTGTTTTATTTTGGATTCAGTAAAATTTCTAAGAAAAAAACTTCAAAAATTAGGCCATATTTCACATTATCCTGAAGGCAAGATGGACAGTAAGGCTTAGTTTTCCCAGCGACCCTTTGGCCCATTTGGCGTCACAAAGGAGTTCCCCTCTTCCTTCCAGCTATTTGTCTGGTTCTTTGGCATGACTTCTTTGTGATGCTTACTGGTCATTGGCTGTTTCCTGTGACTCCTGTGGGAATGTGAGCTCCCGGAAGGCAGAGATTTTGCCTTTTTTTTTTTTCTTTCCTGCTTTGTTCATTGATATATCCGAAATTACTAGAGCAAAGCCTGGAACATACATGACAAGCATTTAATAATTATTTATTCAATAAATAAAGGAATAAATGAAGGAATGTTGGGAATCATTCTAGAAATGGGTGTAAAGGCATACTAGGGGACTTCGAAAAGGTCATGGGGGCCAGGCACGGTGACTCACGCCTGTAATCCTAGCACTTTGGGAGGCCAAGGCAGGAGGATTACCTAAGGTCAGGAGTTCAAGACCAGCCTGGCCAACAAGGTGAGACCCGGTCTCTACTAAAAATACAAAAATTAGCCAGGCATGATGGTGCACACCTGTAATCCCAGCTACTCAGGATGCTGATGTAGGAGAATCACTTGAACCTGGGAGGCAGATGTTGCAGTGAGCCAAGATCATGCCACTGCAGTCCAGCCTAAACGACAGAGCAAGACTCCGTCTCAAAAAAAAAAAAAAAAAAGAATTAAAAGATAAAAATACCAGCCTGGCCAACATGGTGAAACCCCATCTCTACTAAAAATACAAAAATTAGCCAGGTGTGGTGGTGTGTGCCTGTAATCCCAGCTTCTCGGGAGGCTGAGGCACAAGAATCATTTGTGCCCAGGAGGTGGAGATTGCAGTGAGCCAAGATCGTGCCACTGCATTCCAGCCTGGCCGACAGAGCCAGACTCTGTCTTAAATAAATAAATAAATAAATAAATAAATAAATAAATAAATAATATAAACTTTATTTCCCAACATAAGCTTCATCAAGTTCAAGATACTTTTCTAAGTGATGATACCAACCATTTTGTCCATCCCTAAAGAACTGAGGGTCCTGGGAATTTAACCATGTTCATGTTGTCTTTTCTATGTTATTAACTGAGGAAAAATGGGTGATCTTTAAAGATTTTTTTAAGAATAGAAAACAGAAAGAAGTCAGATGGAGCCAAATCAGGACTGGAGGATAGGCACCTAATGATGTCTCATCAAAACTCTTGCAAGATTGACCTTGTTTGCTGAGAGGAATGAGCAGCAGCATTGTCATGGTAGAGAAAGACTCTCTGGTGAAGCTCTTCCAGGAGTTTTTCTGCTAAAACTTTTGCTAGCTTTCTCAAAATGCTCTCATAATAGTCAGATGTTATTGTCCAGAACATCAACAAGCAAAATGCCTTGAGCATCCCAAAAAACTGTTGCCATAACCTCAGCTCTTGACCCATCGTCTTTTGCTTTGACTGCACCACGTTCACCTCTTGGTAGCCATTGCTTTGATTGTGCCTTGTCTTCAGGACCATACTGGTAAAGCCATGTTTCATCTCCCGTTACTAGTCTGAAGAAATGCTTCAGGATCTTGATCCTATGTATTTAAAATTTCCACGGAAAGCTCGGCTTTTGTCCACAGCTGACCCAGGCACAACTGTTTTGGTACCCATTGAGCGGGAAGCTTGTTCAACTTTAATTTTTTAGTCAGAATTGTGTAAACTGAACCAGTTGAAATGTCGAGAATGTTGGCTATTGTTTGTGCTGTTAATTTTCAGTCCTAATAATGATGTTCCTTTGTCTATGATGATGGCTATTGTTTGTATTGTTGATTAGGGTATGAACAAGAAAATTTTTTCCTTGCAAATTGATGTGGATAGTCTGCTGCTGCAGGCTTCATCTTCAACAATGTTGTCCTTTCTTTTCCTTTTCCTTTTAAGAGACAGGGTCTCACTCTGTCACCCATGTCGGAGTGCAGTAGCACCATTGTAACTCTCTGCAGGCTCAAACTCCTGGGCTTAAGCAATCCTCCTGCCTCAGCCTCCCAAGTAGCTCAGACTGTAGGCATGCACCACCGCACCCAGGTAAATGTTCTATTTTTTGTAGAGAAAGGGTCTCACTTTGTTGCCTAAGCTGGTCTCAAACTCTTGGCCTCAAGCAATCATCCTTGGCCTCTCAAAGTGCTGGGATTATAAGCGTGAGCCACCTCACACGGCCCTGTCCTTTCCTAAAACAAGTTATTCATTTGTAAAATTATCACTTGAAGAATTTTCTCCATAAACTTTTTGTAAAGCATCAGTGATGTTACCATTCTTCCACCCAAGCTTCACCACAAATGTGATGTCTGTTCTTGCTTGAATTTTAGCAGAATCCATGTTTCTCTTATAAGGACTCTTTTCAAACGGATGCATTATCCTCCTTAGTGCCTCAAACTAGACCCTGTTCAGATATATTATAATAAATTAGTACAAGTTTATTTGCTGTAAAAAAAGAATTTTAAATCCATGCACAGTTTTTTCACAATACATATTTTTCATGGACTTTTTGAAGACCCCCTTATATTTGCGGTGTTAGTTTCGCTTTGTGACTGACATCTTTTCTTGTGGGCACAGCACATTTTCATTCACAGGCTACTCCCTGACCTTTGACTCATGATTCCCTCTGGGGAGATGAGCACTATCAGTTATTTGAAGTCTTTGAAATATGATTTGAAATCATATTTCCACTCAAATAAACATTGCTTCTGTTTCTCAAAAACAGAGAGATGGAGAGGAATCATGCAACACTAGATATTACATGAGTAGACATTACAGCACATTATCTGTCCATCAAAAACAGAAATACCAATAGGAACCATGTAATGTTAGAATCAAATGAATTTTTAGAAACCATAAAGCAAACCAGATAAGCTCTTGATTCTCAATTTCAGGCTAAATCTTAAAAATAATATTCTAAAGCAAGAAAAGCAGTTGTAAAGGTTGTTTTGTTTCCTTCTATTTAATATCTAGTTAAAATCTCCTATTTCCTTACATTTTCCTCCTTGTAAATTATACTAAATGTCTTTTCAATCCTTGGCTAAAACAGATAAACTGATAACTTGGAATTTTCTACTCACAGTATAATGAAGAACTCTAAAGAACTCATTTAAAAAATTGGGAATAAGAAGATTACATGAGATGATATCAAAATCTTTACAGGGGGCTATAAAAAGGAAAAGTTTAAGGAAGACAGGTTCCCATCTGAAATTGGAAAAATATCTTTGTGAGGCATTAGAGGAATCTCAGTTCACTACATAAAAATCAAGAAGAGTTTTTCTCCAGTATGAATGGGTGAGTTTGCTTTGGATGGAGATATCAAGGCTGATGTGAAAACCTGGCCCATGAAGCATGCTTATAAAATGATGATGCTGATTCCACACTTGGCCCACACAAGATTGTCTCGGTAGCCTGATGCTAACATTGCTTTCAGATTATACATCATAATTTTTCAAGCACCCACATCTTGGTTACCTAATTTGGTCCTCCTGAAATGCCTATAGTGTAGATGAGACCAGGATTGTCCTTGACTGTACTGTTTTGTGGCTTTTGAGTAGGGAAGCTGGACTCATCTTGTTTTCCTCTCCATCTTAGCCTCCCAGTGTCATGGACATGGTAGCTATGCCAGCACAGGTCCAGGGGTCTCTCCCGCCTTCCCCCAGACCACTGCACATCCTGGGGCACGTTTTACACCACTGCAAATCCTAGGAGGTGAATGTGGCCGGGGCCCTAATCTCAGCTGGAGGCTTCTAGCAGGTTTGATGGAAACAGCTTGCAGCTCTGAGCACAGCTTGATCACCATCTGTGCCCATCAGCAAGTTAAATAAACTCCCTGGGCTTCACATTCCTCTTTTGTAAAATGAGCACATAGATTTGCATGATCTTTAAGGCAGTGGATTCCAGAAGATGAGTCCATGGATCAGTTTGAAAAAAAAAAAAATTAATTGGCCGGGTGATGTGGCTCACGCCTGTAATCCCAGCACTCTGGGAGGCCAAAGCGGGTGGATCACGAGGTCAGGAGATCGAGACCATCCTGGCTAATGCTGTGAAACCCTGTCTCTACTAAAAATACAAAAAATTAGCTGCACGTGGTCGCGGGCGCCTGTAGTCCCAGCTACTCAAGAGGCTGAGGCAGGAGAATGGCGTGAACCCGGGAGGCAGAGCTTGCAGTGAGCCAAGATCGCGCCACTGCACTCCAGCCTGGGCGACAGAGCGAGACTCCATCTCAAAGAAAAAAAGAATTAATTTTGGGAATTCACATGGGCTTGCCAACTCTTTGTTGTTTGAAATACATTAAAGGGCCAGGAGTGGTGGCTCATGTCTGTAATCCCTGCACTTTGGGAGGCCGAGGTTGGCAGATCACTTGAGGTCAGGAGTTCAAGACCAGCATGGCCAACAGGGTGAAACCCCATCTCTACTAAAAATACAAAAATGAGCTGGGCATGGTGGCGGGCACCTGAAATCCCAGCTACTCAGGAGGCTGAGGCAGGAGAATTGCTTGAACCCGGGAAATGGAGGTGGCAGTGAGCCAAGATTGCACCAGTGTACTCCAGCCTGGGCTACAGAGCAAGACTCCATCTCAAAAAAAAAGAAAAAGAAAAAAAGAAATACATTAAAGATAACAACTCTGATCATCCCTCCTCCCACGCTGGTTCCAACCAGTGGAGAATTGACACTGAGATCCAGATGAAGATCAAAAAAAAACAACTTTATTAGTGGATTGGTCAAGTGCCTAATGCCTGCAGAGTAACAGAGGGTCTCTTAAGGCAGACTAAGGAGACACTAGCTGGCATCTCTCCATCAGTGAGATTTCATAAACACACCTGAAGCCAGTGGGCAGAGTAATCTCAGAGCAGTGCCCCTTCCACCTCCACAAAGCTGAGCCCTACTCCCATCCCATGCTTCTCCTTGTGTCTGCTTCTGGGATCTGTAAAATGGGCAGCTCAGCTATTGCCCCAGAAGGCTCTGAAATCAGTAAGGACAGAATTAAGATAACTTTGCTGGGCATGATGGTATATGCCTGTAGTCCTAGCTACTCAGGAGGCTGAGGTGGGAAGATCACTTGAGCCCTGGAGTTCGAGACCAGCTGGGGCAACATAGCAAGACTCTGTCTCTAAAAACATAAAATGAAATAAAATAAAATGGAAAAAAAGAAAGAAGAAAACTTCAAGACTGCACACACTGAAAGCCAAAATTCATTGCTTTTTAAATTTTCCATCTCCAATTATATTCCACCTAATACCCAACATAACTCATGACATTTTATAATAAACACCACATGAAAGTCTAAAATGTTCCAAATAAGGCAAAGCCAACCACACAAAAATGCCCAAATTTACATAAACTCACATCAGTGATTACAGTTTCAAAGAGAGGTTGAAGTCTAAAGATGAAATCCTTTGACTTTGGTAAATTAAAGGCTGAAGACATTAAGGTTCAACATTTTCTCTCACTTGATTTGGGGTATAGTAGAAACTTCTCAAGAACATAATCCTGACAGCAAAACTGTCTCTTTCGTAAGTGCTACAGACAGAGGATTGTAGGATCCCACCAGCACAAAAGGCACTTTCAAGAGCAAGCCAATAGTTTGAGGTACAATCCACAAGCGAGCTTCCAATGGGAGGGATCTTAAGGGAGCAGCCACTGAAATAGTGCCCAGGGACTGGGTAGGCACCCCATACCTCTTTCTTGGTTGCAATAGCTGTTTCTCAGCAGAGATACAGAATTTACCCTGGGCCTCTGTGCACTCTCCAGCTCTGTGCTCAGGAAGATGCTAGAATTGCCCACAAAACTTTAGGCCATTCCCAGAACTATTCATATTAATGTGGCAGGTACTGGCTACCATGCTGAGGGTTTGTCTCAAATCCCTTAGAGAACAAACAGTTAAATACATGCAATAGAATATGACTCAGTCTTAAAAAGGGAGGACATTCTGACACATGCTACAACATTGATGAACCCTGAGGACTTAGGCTAAGCGAAATAAGCCAGATACAGAAAGATAAATACTGCACAATTCCACTTACATGAGGAATCTGGAGCAGTTAAATTCATAGAGAAGTCTGGGTGCAGTGGTATTCACCTATAACCCTAGCACCTTGGGAGGCAGAGGCAGGCAGATTGCTCAAGCTCAGGAGTTTGAGACCAGCCTGGGTGACATGGTAAGACCTCACCTCTACAAAAAATACAAAAATTTAGCTGGGCATAGTGGCACATGCCTATAGTCCCTGCTACTTAGAAGGCTAAGATGAGAAGATCACTTGTGGCCAGAGGTTGAGGGTGCGGTGAGCCAAGATCGTGCCACTGCACTCCAGCCTGGGCAAAAGAGTGAAACCTGTCTCAAAAAAAAAACAAAAAAATCATAAAGACATGCAGAATGGTTGTCAGGAACTGGGAGGAGATGAGAATGGGGAGTTATTGTTTAATGGGCATAGAGTTTCAGTTTGGATAGTAGCAATGATAGCATAACAATGTGAATGTACTTAATGCCATTAAACTGTGGATTTAAAAATGATTAACGTGGTAAATTTTATGTTATGTGTATTTTACCAGCATTTAACACTTTAATCTTCAATAAAAAAAAAATCCTTCTTAGCCCAGCTGTGGAATTAAGAACACTTATGATTCTTTGGATAACTCTAAGCTATCCAATGCTGGCAGGTTGCAATGAAATTCAAGGCTTCTTGAGGCTCTTTTAGTGAATACCGCAGCTTACCCAGCACCCCCCTGCATTCCCCATGTTGATCCATGGAGGAAAGATCTTCCTCCCCGCACACTTCTACCTCTAGACCAATGCGGGGAGGAAAGCTTCCACTCCACTTCCCTGCCATCCAAAAGGAAGAGAAGTACTGAATCTGATGAGTGAGGGCTGGCATCACAGTGCATGGTTCCCCAGTGGGCAAGGTACAGAGTCAGTGTTACCTGTAAATGTCTTTATCTTTGTGTAGCCAGCAAGCTGAGCAGGGCTGACCTCAGCAAATCTGTAATTCACTTTCTGCTCCACCCCCTCTGCCCGTGACCAGGAATGAGTCAGAAGGACCTTGTAGAAGGGACCTGTCTGAATCTGGTTTCAGGGGAGAAAGTAGAAGGCTGCCCTCAGGCCTGCCAACTAAAAGTCCATATCGCAGCTTCACGAGAGCTGGCCTGGAAGCAGGGCTTAACTAGGTCAAAAATGGGACTTTGATTCCCATCTGGATGTCAGTTTCTTGAGGTGCTTCTCCTCTGGCAGAAAAGGGGGCAGAAATGAGAGGGTAAAGGAGAATGGTCTTATTCCCCTAAAATCACCATGAAATGGTCTTTTAAAAATAAGAAAAGTAGGACACATGTTCTAAAGAAAAAAAATTTTTTCAACTGAACACATTTAGCTTTATACAAAGCTCACCTTGTTTCTTTGTCTCTCATTTTGTCCAAATTGTTAATTTCATAATTATCACTAGTCCATGAACCTGCATTTGAGAAATCTTTGAGAAGCATTCCTCTGAAGTACGTTTTTGCTCTCAAAGTCTGTGACATAAATAACTATCACTTCTGCTTCCATCACCCCTCCCAGAACCCGTCATTGAAAGAAGACTAGAGCAGAAACTACGGTTTAGTGCCTTACAGAATGCTTTGTACAAATAAATACTCAACAAATTTTTAAAATACAGCCTGCCCCCTGTGTCGGGGTGACTCAGGAACCCATCTGACCTAAAGTTCCATCTGTTTTTCTGAATCCAGAGTCCAGACACTCACGTGCAGATGAAAAAAAGTATCAGGAGTGGCACATTCCTGAGCCACACTGCACCAAAGATGATTTCACAATAGGTACCAGGTTTACTTTTGTTTCATGAGTCTGCCTGCAAATTCAAGTTTCTCTGGTTCATCTCCTTTGCATTAGTATGTGTTAATTAAAGTGAAATTAGCACGTCTTCCTGAAGCTCTGGCCCTCATTGTATACACACCAGGACTAACATTAAGCTACCTTCACTTCGTGCTCTCTAGGCATTGGGGTTCTTCAGGGCTCATATTTTTTTCTCTGAGAATTATTAGCTCATTCTGCCTACCATGTTCCCCAGCAGAGAGGGAGGAAGAGAACGCTCTGTGTCCCCCACCCCCACACAAAAAGCCATTCTTTTCTTTGCAAGCAACTGGTACATGTTTTCAGCTGACATGTCCTAGATTGTTCTAAAAAGAGCAGCGGCAAGATAAATTGCAAGAACAGATGATTCAAAGACTCCCTGGGAAGTACCACAGCCAGCTCATAATTACAAATGCAGGGTAGGCGGAACATCTGTATCCTGAGTCACTCTGCTTTTCTAGAAGGGAGAATGTCATTAGCCCTCCTGCTGCAGGAACTTTTGAGATCTGTAAGCAGGTTCCAGAACTGGTTCACGGTGTGCTCTGTCCTCTTGAGGCTGCAAGTGACCCTCTCCCCACCCCCGTACAAATTTAACATACCTTGAAGTCATTATAATTAATTACCAGCTGACTATAGCCCAGAGAGCTTCTAAGTCTATATTTTGAATAATAACTCTGCAAAGGTAATGTGCATGTGTTTTGGGGGGAGAACGATAACCTTAAAAATCTTATAAGTGTTTCTGAGCTTGGTTCTCTAATGCCTGGAATGATACAAATTTAGGGGCATTGCCTTTTATGGGAAGAGATACTAGGAAAAAGTAAAAGGAGAAATGGGTTTTTCTGGAAAACTATAAGAACAATTATCTTAAATGAGAGATAGTTGAGGCTCTGGGGTTAATGAATAAAAAAAGATGATGGCAAAAGAAACATAAGACATTGATGAGTGAAAACAAGAGCTAATAGTTTTGGCAGAGCCAAGTTTACCAGTGTGTTGGCAGGAGTTACTGTTCCTTCTTGTGTGATTTCTTTGAGGACATTGCACTGTTTATACAGAGAGTGTAAACATAGCTGTTGATTTAACTAAACACTGTTTTTTGTTCCCCGTCTCTCACAGCCATGGTAAATAGCCTAATATTTAAGCTCAGAGGCTTTGATGTGAGTTAAGGTAAGATTCAGTTGTGCTGGTCATAGCTGTGCGCCTTAGAACAAACTTCCTACCCTCTCTGAGTCCAGTTTCAAGATTGCTACAGGAATCACAATCCTATCTGTCTCAAAAAGCAGTTTTAAGGATATAATGAGGCAATGTGTATAACCACCAGAGTATAATTTCTGGGACACAGCAAATCCTTAATGAATGTTGGGGTGAAGTGGGGTGGCACTTTGCTGTTGTCAATTTATCTAAATAAAGTCCCCACTTACAAACACCTAGTATAGAATAAAACTAACGGTCTCCAGGGTCAGCGCTAAAACCTCAGACTCTGAACAGTATCACACAAAATGCTTGCATAAGGTAGCTTTTCACAAAGAAATGCGACGAACCCTGGAAGAAAAACTGAGGATAACAGAAATGTCCACTTAGGACATTTAGACAGACCCACTCAAGTGTTTGTGAAGGGAAGATGGCACATTACCATCAGGTCTTTCTGAGCTGGCCGCAGGTCCTATCCGGGGATTCTAGAAATTAAAATGGCCTGACATGAGTCTGATTTTGCCCAAGCATCCTCACAGGACCTCTTGAGAATGTAATCATTCTACTACTTTGTCTGAGGGTAGAAACAGGGAAACAAGGGAAAGCTGGAAAGTGATTGTAGGAAGGCCCCGTAATGGGACCATGGTAGGAGGAATGTGTCTCAGGAAAGGTGAGAAAGTTATTCTCACTTCCTCTCATCATTCTCTTCATCAACCTCTCCTCAGACGGCATGGGCTAGGGCACTGGACATCCTCCAAACTTGATCAGTTATATGATATCACTCTAATATAACATAATGTTCTTAGTCTATTTTGGCTTTTATAACAAAATACCATAAACTGGTTGGCTTATAAACAACAGGAACTTATTATTTCTTACTGTTCTGGAGGCTGGAGTGTCCCAGATCAAGACACTGATAGATTCCATGTCTGGTGAGGGCCTGCTTCCTGGTTCTTCTCACTGTGTCTCACATAATGAGGGCGTTCTATGGGGTGCCTTCTAAAGGGGCACTAATCCCATTCAAGAGGGCTTCTTCATCATTGCCTAATCACCTCCCAAAGCCTCCACCTCCTGATACCATCACCTTGGGGGTTAGGATTTCAACATACCCATTTTGGAGGTACACAACATTCAGCCCATAACAATAATGAAATTGTATCCTTTTAGCAGCAGGTACCAGAATTCATCTTGTACAGGATCCATCATTGTTGGGAAAAGACCCTGGGTCAGCCCACTTCAGCCAGGGAGGTACCCATGGGGTCATGGATGTTGGCTGGCACTGTGGCTTCCACAAAATTATCCTGAGAAGGGTGAGATGTCTGTGACACTCCTGAAGTGAAGGAGGAAGAAGAGACTGAAGGAAAGAGAAAGTTAAAAGAGAGAGAAAAAAGAAGAGTCAATGCAGTGATAAAGAAGACAGCCCCTCAAAGTCTCACCAAAGCCACTAAGCCCATAAAGGCTTGGAAGTGGGTTAAGAGTATGAGTGGGGTTTGTGTCCAAGTTGACAGATCATAAAGCAGAAAAAATACAGGCAGAAGTAGAGCTAGAAGGCAATGTGGCCTCAGCTGCTAGCTGGGTTACATAAAATATCATATGATTAAACACATAGTAAGTCCTCACTTAACGTTTTTGATAGGTTCTTGGAAACTGCGACTTTAAGCAGAACTATGTGTAGCAGGTCCTCAAATAGCATCGTTTTGTTCAACATTGTTTTATTATAACGTTGATTAAAAAAAATTGGTTTTGTCACACATCATTTTGCTTAAAGTCACAGTTTCCAAGAACCGATTGAGGTCATTAAGTGAGAACCTACTGTATGTATTTCTACTAAAGGCTCAAAATATTAAGGTGCAAAAAGATCTAGAGATGAGACAGTGTGTAAGTGGCATGCCAAGCAGAGGGAACCCCCGTGCAGATGCACAGAGACAACCATGAACAAAGTCATGCACCCATCAATATTTGCTGAACTCCTGCCATGTGCAAAGGAACTATGCCAGGCTGTGGAACCCCATGTTGAGCAAAACCAGAGTCCTGGCATTCACACACCAATGAGAAAGACAGACACTAATCAAGTCACTGCACAAAAGTCTATAAAATGACAGTGGTCAGGAGGGCTATGCAGCCCTCTCATGGTGCAATGAGAGAATGAACAGGGAAGCTGGCCTCGCCAGGGGGATCAGAGACCTCTTCCACAAATAAGCAATGCTTGGCCTGAGAACTGAATGATGAGACCTTAACTAGGTGAAGAAAATAGAGCAAAGCACCCCAGGAAGAGGAATATGGGTGGCAAGTTGGAGGACTGAAAGAATGCAATGTGTGTTTAGGGCAAAAAGAACGCTGGGGAGAATGAGCAGCATGAAGCCGGGAGGTTGGAAGGAGCAGGTTTCTCAGGGGCTGCAGACCACGTTACCAAGTTTAGTTTTTACCATCAGGGAGAGAGGAAGTCACTGACAGGAAACTGATAGGAACACCCAAGAAAGTCTGAAAATGGCAGATGAGTCCTCTGCATATGCATAAACTGTGTCTCCACTTTACTTAGCATCTCCATAAACTATAAATTTGGCTTACCCTGAGTTGCTGGGCATGCCCCAAATGAAAAAATATTTAATTAACATCATTAACTTAGAAGGTTGGGCACAGTGGCTCACACCTGTAATCCAAGGACTTTGCGAGGCCGAGGCAAGAGGATTACTTGAGCTCACGAGTCAGAGACCAGACAGGGCAACATGGCAAAACCCCATCTCTACTAAAAAAAAACAAAAAACCTGGTGGGTGCTTGTAGTCCCAGCTACTCAGGAGGCTGAGGTGGGAGGATCGCTTGAACCCGGGAGGTGGAGGTTGCAGTGAACTGAGATTGCACCACTGCATTCCAGACAGCCTGGGTGACAGAGCACGACTCCACTTCAAATTTAAAAAAAGACAAAAAGTAATAGAAGGAAAAAATTTTAGCTTACTAACTGCATTGCCATAATCAGTATTTTTAAAATGAGTTTTCTATCAATACACAAGAAAAACCCTAAATTCTGAACTACCACTGAAACGTAAATACCCAGGATGTGAATTCACAATTTAATGTTTAATTTTTAGTGACTTGAAGAATACTGATCAAACAGCCGGAGTTCTATTTCTTTTTTTGTTTGTTTGTTTGTTTGTTTGAGACAGAGTTTTGCTCTCATTGCCCAGGCTGGAGTGCAATGGTGCAATCTCGGCTCACGTTACAACCTCTGCCAGTTTCAAGTGATTCTCCTGCCTCAGCCTCCTGAGTAGCTGGGATTACAGGTGCCCGCCACCATGTCCAGCTAAATTTTTTGTGTTTTTAGTAGAGATAGGGTTTCACTATGTTGGCCAGGCTGGTCTTGAACTCCTGATCTCAGGTGATCCACCCGCCTTGGCCTCCCAAAGTGCTGGGATTGCAGGCATGAGCCACCGCACCCGGCCCAGAGTTCTAATTGTGACTCTGCCTCTTATTAGTCACATAGCCTTGCACAAGTCTCCAAACCTCTCTCAGTCTCAGTTTTCTCATCCATAAAATGGGATAAAATGGGTCCAATGTGCCCCACAGTATTAAAAGTGAGATTCTTGGGCAGGGCGTGGTGACTCACGCCTGTAATCTCAGCACTTTGGGAGGCTGAGCCAGGCTGATGGCTTGAGCGAGTAGTTCGAGACCAGCCTGGGCAACATGGTGAAACCCCATCTCTACAAAAAATACAAAAATTAGCCGGGTGTGGTGGCATACACCTGTAGTCCCAGCTACTCGGGAGGCTGAGATGGGAGAATCACATGAGCCCAGGAGGTTGGGAATGCAGTAAACCGAAATCGCACCAGTGCACTCCAGCCTGGGTAATTGAGGGAGACTGTCTCAAAAAAAGAAAAGAAGCAAGTAAGAGCCTTTTGTAATAGAGTGATATACCAGACAAAGAGATTATCATTAACCTTTCTCCAAATTTGCATGGAGAAAATACAGAACTGTAGAACTTATTCCACTCAGATAGTGACTTTTTTTAACTTCATGCCTCAAACTGTTTTGTAATATTGTTACAAAATCATGCTTTATCTTTAAATCCATTGTTCTCTAATACATCATAAAACTATTTCTTATGTACGTGAAGCCACCAAGATAGAGATTCTTTGGGAAAAAAAGTTTTGTTTCATTTTATTTCAGCCCTGATGAATAATTCAATTCCAATATTATGACCAAAGTTTTATATATATTTTTAAAAAGGAAAAGAACACATGAGGCTGGGTGTGGTGGCTCACGCCTGTAATCCCAGCACTTTGAGAGGCTGAGGCAGGGGGATCACCTGAGGTCAGGAGTTAAAGACCAGCCTGGCCAACACGGTGAAACCTCATCTCTACTAAAAATACCAAAAATTAGCCCTCCACCACACCTGTAATCACCGCTGCTCAGGAGCCTGAGGCAGGAGAATTGCTTGAACCAGGGAGGCGGAGGTTGCAGTAAGCCAATATCGCACCATTGCACTCCACAACAGAGTGAGATTTTTGTCTTAAAAAAAAAAAAGAAAGAAAGAAAAGAAAAAACATGAAAAGATGCTCAACTCATAAAAAAGAAGCACATGTTAAAACTATATGAGATGCGGCTGGGCGCAGTGGCTCACGCCTGTAATCCCAACACTTAGGGAGGCCGAGGTAGGTGGATCACGAGGTCAGGGGATTGAGACCACCCTGGCTAACACAGTGAAACCCCGTCTCTACTAAAAATACAAAAAAAACTTAGCAGGGCGTGGTGGCGCTCGCCTGTAGTCCCAGCTACTCAGGAGGCTGAGGTAGGAGAATGGTGTGAACCCAGGAGGCGGAGGCTGCAGTGAGCCGCGATCGGGCCACTGCACTCCAGCCTGGGCGACAGAGCAAGACTCTGTCTCAAAAAAAACAAACAAACAAACAAACAAAAAACTATATGAGATGCTATTTTGCACCTATCAGATTGGCAGAAATGTAAACTCTTGACAAACAAGAGAGGTTGTGGGAAAGCACACGCTCTCCTTCCCTCCTGGGCGGTACAAAATGTTACCTACGGAAAGGAAACGGGCAATATCTAGCAAAAGTACATTTGCAGTTTCCCTTTGATCCAGAGATCACGCTTCTATGAATTTACCCTGAAAATGCACCTCCAACAACAGAAGAAAACACGTGCACAAAGTTATTCATCGCAACATTATTTGTAATAGAAAAATACTGGAAACACCCTAAAGGCCCATACATAGGAGTTTGGTTGATAAACTCTGGTACAAATATAAAAAAGATTTCTGTTAAACTATATAAACTGATTTCCAGACTATATTACTAAATGAAAAAAGACTGTATATAGTATGCTACCTTTTGTGTGATAAAGACAAAATATATATTCATTCATTTATTTAAAAAAGAAAAATACAGAGGCCGGGTGCTGTGGCTCATGCACGTAATCCCAACACTTTGGGAGGCCAAGGCAGGCAGATCACAAGGTCAAGAGATCGAGACCATCCTGGCCAACAGAGTGAAACCCCGTCTCTAAAACACAAAAATTAGCTGGGCGTGGTGGCATGCCTGTAGTCCCAGCTACTCGGGAGGCTGAAGCAGGAGAATCGCTTGACCCCGGGAGGTGGAGGTTGCAGTGAGCCGAGATCGCGCCACTGCACTACAGCCTGGCGACAGAGCAAGACTCCGTTAAAAAAAAAAAAAGAAGAAAGAAAAAGAAATACAGGATAAATAAGAAATAAATGAATTTGGTTACCTGTGAGGGTTGAGGAAATGGACTGGAAAAAAATGAAAAGGGGATGGGACCTGTCTCAGTATAACTTTCATACTGTCTTGAATTTTGAACCATGCTGGTATTTTACATATTCAAAAAATAAAATTAAATCAACAAGAATGGAGGAACAGAGACCTGACAGTGAAAGAAATGAATAAACTTGATTATAATCGAATTGGTAACATGATTGGAAAGAAAAAAGAATTAATCCAAACAACTTTTGGACACAGCAGGAAAGTATTCTGGCTATACACCTTCAATGGAATAGAGTCTAAGAGTCTAAGACCAAAAAAAAAAAAAAAAAGAATCTTAAACTTGCTAGGTTTGCTTGCTTTTGGTAATAGTGTTGGTGGTGAGGCAATTCTGGAACCATTTTGTGTATATTGCAAGAATGAGCAAATGAGTAAACATCTATTGACATTTTGAGGTACCAGGAATTTCACTGTGGGAGAAAAAAGATACAAATATAGATTAGGGGAAGGAGAGGAGGAAGATCCTATATTATTGGATTGGGTATCAGTTGGTGGTATCATTATGAATTCATGATTTTGACAGAAGTATTTTCCTGTTCTGTGCATTGAAAGGCCCTAAAAGCAATTTTGCCACAGAGTAGTGAGCACACACAGCACCCATATCTTGCTCTCTAAATACCATTCACCAGACCCTTTGGAAGCATAGCTCATTTTCAGGTGAGCCTGGAACATCTTATTGTGCCAGAAATGTTAAAAGTGCTCAAAAACTGAGGAAGATGTGTCAAAGAGATACAAGAACCAGTTTATGGGGGCTGCCACTCATCAAATTTGGGGCAATTCATACTCAATAAAATAGAATTCATGAGTTCATACTGATATTAAGAAATGTTAAAGGGATTAGGAAGAGAAGGGAAGTCCTTTTTATAGAAAAATGCCAACTAATAAACATAGACAAAATGATAGAAATAGAAAATTGTCAGTCAGGCAAAGTGGCTCATGCCTGTAATCCCAGCAGTTTGGGAGGCTGAGGCAGGCAGATCATTTGAGGACAGGAGTTAGAAACCAGCCTGGTCAACATGATGAAACCCCATCTCTACTAAAAATACAAGAAACAGCTGAGCCTGGTGGCACACACCTGTAATCCCAGCTGCTAAGGAGGCTGAGGCAGGAAAATCAGGACCCAGGAGGTGGAGGTTGCAGTGAGCCAAGATCATGCCACTGCACTTCAGCCTGGGTGACAGAGCAAGACCCTGTCTCAAAAAAAGAAAAAATAATAGAAAATTGCCATTTCAATGGCTGGGCGTGGTGGTTCATGCCTATAATCTCAGCGCTTTGGGAGGACAAGATGGGTGGATCACTTGAGGTCAGGAGTTCAAGACCAGCCTGGCCAACATGGTGAAACCTGTCTCTACTAAAAATACAAAAATTAACCAGGCATAGTGGCAGGTGCCTGTAATCCCAGCTACTTGGGAGGCTGAGACAGGAGAATCACCTGAACCTGGGAGGCGGAGGTTGTGGTTAGCTGAGATGGCGCTACTGCACTCCAACCTGGGCAACAGAGCAAGACTCTGTCTCAAAAAAAAAAAAAAAAAAGAAAGAAAGAAAATTGCCATTTCGTAACTACCACAGTAATATATGATTCGCAAAGGAATCATCTGTGGGTACTAAAACCATTGGGAGAAAGATGGGGAAACAGGATATTCACGCAGTCTCAAAGTAGCACATCACTGGTTATATTTTAATTATAAAGAAAAAAAGGAATGATTATGATGGGGAAATCCAGTAGACACCACTTTAATTAAATGAACAAATTCAACATCACCAATTTTTAAAACAATTCACATCACCAGTCCTCTGCTCTGTAATGTACTGAGACCCATGACACAACCACACCCTGTGCAGTATTCTTGCCAATAATGTTTAACCAAAGTCTAGTCATGGGAAAACAATCAGACACGTGCAGAAGAACCAGCCTGAACTCTTCAAAAATGTCAATATCATGCACAAATTTTAAAAGGGCTGGCAAACTGTTTTACATTAAAGAACACTAAAGAGACATGAAAACAAATGCAAGGTCTGATCATTGCCCAAACTTTGAATTAAAAAACAAAAACTGACTTGAGCATAGCAGCACGGACCTGTGGTTCCAGCTGCTCAAGTGGCTGAGACGGGAGGAACGCTTGAGCCCAGGAGTTTGAGACCAGACTGGGCAGCACAGCGGGACCTAGTCTCTAAAAATATAAATTGAAAATTAAAATTAGAAACCATGCTAAAAAGCAGTATTGGGCCAACTGCAGAAATTTAAATATAGACTGCATATTAGAAAATAGTATTGTGTCAATGTTAAATATGACCCGAGTGTGATCTTTGCATCATGCTTATATATAGGAAAATATTCTAATTTTTGAGAGAGACATGCAGAGTGTTTTGGGGCTTGGGTATCATGATATCTGTAACTCTCAAATGGTTCAGCTAAGGATACACACGTACAAAGGGAGAGAAAGGAAGAAAATGTGACAAAAATGGTAAAATTAGTGACATATAAACAGCATATGGAAGTTCATTGTACATTTCTCACAAATCTTCTGTAGGTTTGACATTTTTCAAAGTAAAACATTGGGAATAAGAAGAAAAGGGAGTTTTTTTCACAGTCACGGCAAGATGATAGCATGGTTAGGCAACCTGAGAGCCGGTAAATATTCCTCTGGGTTGATCCTTTCCCAGAGCGCAAGCCCTCACAGAGTAATTAAGCAAAAACAAAATAAATTAAGTGAATACAAAACACCCAGTGAGATTTGAGTTTCAGGCAAGCAATGAACAATTTTTTTGGTACAAGAATGTTCCAAGTAGTGTATGGGACACCCTTTATTTGCTCTGGCAACCCCACTGAGAGGCACTTTGGCCTGTTCCATGCCCAGGGGATAAAGCATACCAGTTCAGGAACCAGGACAGTTCAAGGTTAGGTCCATTTATCTTTTTTATTTACTTTTTTTGTTTCATCGAACTCTATTTTCTTGAATGAAGGCCACTCTTCAATTTTCTCCTTATATATTGGCAGTGCAGCTCTGCCTTAGGCTCAATTTTTTCTTACTGAATTTCCAAGCTTTCTCCTACTCCCACCACATTTGACTTTCAAGTTCTTCCCTTTTCTCATTCTCTTCACTGCTTTCTTCCTTCTCAACTTCCACCTCTTTGGCCCAGGAGGGAATATCACACCTCCTAAACAATGAATGATAGCTAGCAGGGATTGCTTCTGGAAATGTGAATCATTGCATTAACCCCACCCAATATCATTAGTTAAAAGTTCTGACCTAGGCTGGCAGGGGACTCTCCCCTCCCAAGGGAAACCCTGGATGTCTTGAGGTAACTTTTTTATTTTTTATTTTTATTATTTTTTATTTTATTATACTTTAAGTTCTACGGTACATGTGCACAACGTGCAGGTTTTTTACATAGGTAGACATGTGCCATGTTGGTTTCCTGTACCCCTCAACTCATCACTTACATTAGGTATTTCTCCTAATGCTATCCCTCCCCAAGCCCCCAGCCCCCAACAGGCCCCAGTGTGTGATGTTCCCCACCCTGTGTCCATGTGTACTCGTTGTTCAACTCCCAACTATGAGTGAAAACATGCAGTGTTTGGTTTTCTATTCTTGTGATAGTTTGCTTAGAATGATGGTTTCCAGATTCATCCATGTCCCTGCAAAGGACATTAACTCATCCTTTTTTTATGGCTGCATAGTATTCCATGGTGTATATGTGCTATATTTTCTTAATCCAGTCTATTACTGATGGACATTTGGGTTAGTTCCAAGTCTTTGCTCTTGTGAATAGTGCCTCAAAAAACATAAATGTGCATGTGTCTTCATAGTAGCATGATTTGTAATCCTTTGGGTATATACCCAGTAATGGGATGGCTGGGTCAAATGGTATTTCTAGTTCTAGATCCTTGAGGAATCACCACACTGTCTTCCACAATGGTTGAACTAATTTACACTCCTACCAACAGTGTAAAAGCATTCCTATTTCTCCACATCCTCCCCAGCACCTGTTGTTTCCTGACTTTTTAATGATCACCATTCTAACTGGCATGAGATGGTATCTCATTGTGGTTTTGATTTGCATTTCTCCGATGACCAGTGATGATGAGCATTTTTTCATGTCTGTTGGCTGCATAAATGTCTTCTTTTGAGAAGTGTCTGTTCATATCCTTTACCCACTTTTTGATGGGGTGGTTTGTTTTTTTCTTCTAAATTTGTTTAAGTTTTTTGTAGACTCTGGATATTAGCCCTTTGTCAGATGAGTAGATTGCAAAGATTTTCTCCCATTCTATAGGTTGCCTCTTCACTCTGATGGTGGTTTCTTTGGCTGTGCAGAAGCTCTTTAGTTTAATTAGATCCCGTTTGTCTATTTTGGCTTTTGTTGCCATTGTTTTTGGTGTTTTAGTCATGAAGTCTTTGTCCATGCCTATGTCCTGAATGGTATTCCCTAGGTTTTCTTCTAAGGTTTTTATGGTGTTAGGTCTTATATTTAAGTCTTTAATCCATCCTGAGTTAATTTTTGTATAAGGTGTAAGGAAGGGATCCAGTTTCAGCTTTCTACATATGGCTAGCTAGTTTTCCCAGCACCATTTATTAAATAGGGAATCCTTTCCCCATTGCTTGTTTTTCTCAGGTTTGTCAAAGCTCAGATGATCATAGATGTGTGGTGTTATTTATGAAGCCTCTGTTCTGTTCCATTTGTCTATATATCTGTTTTGGTACCAGTACCATGCTGTTTTGGTTACTGTAGCCTTGTAGTATAGTTTGAAGTCAGGTAGCATGATGCCTCCAGCTCTGTCCTTTTTGCTTAGGATTGTCTTGGCTATATGGGCTCTTTTTTTGTTCCATATGAACCTTAAAGTAGTTTTTTCCAATTCTGTGAAGAAAGTCAGTGGTAGCTTGATGGGGATAGCACTGAATTTATCAATTACCTTGGGCAGTATGGCCATTTTCACAATATTGATTCTTCCTATCCATGAGCATGGAATGTTCTTCCATTTGTTTGTGTCTTCTTTTATTTCGTTGAGCAGTGGTTTGTAGTTCTCCTTGAAGAGGTCCTTCACATCCCTTGTAAGTTGAATTCCTAGGCATTTTATTCTCTTTGAAGCAATTGTGAATGGGAGTTCACTCATGATTTGGCTCTCCATTTGTCTATTATTGGTGTATAGGAATGCTTGTGATTTTTGCACACTGATTTTGTATCCTGAGACTGCTGAAGTTGCTTATCAGCTTAAGGAGATTTGGGGCTGAGATGATGGGGTTTTCTAAATATACAATTATGTCATCTGCAAACGGAGACAATTTGACTTCCTCTTTTCCTAATTGAATACCCTTTATTTCTTTCTCTTGCCTGATTACCCTAGCCAGAACTTCCAACACTATGTTGAATAGGAGTGGTAAGAGAGGGCATCCTTGTCTTCTGCTAGTTTTCAAAGGGAATGCTTCCAGTTTTTGCCCATTCAGTATGATATTGGCTGTGGATTTGCCATAAATAGCTCTTATTATTTTGAGATACATTCCATCAATACCTAGTTTATTGAGAGTTTTCAGCATGAAGGGATGTTGAATTTTGTCAAAGGCCTTTTCCGCATCTACTGAGATAATCATGTGGTTTTTGTCATTGGTTCTGTTTATGTGATCGATTGCATTTATTGATTTGCGTATGCGGAACCAGCCTTGCATCCCAGGGATGAAGCTGACTTGATCGTGGCGGATAAGTTTTTTGATGTGCTGCTGGATTCTGTTTGCCAGTATTTTATTGAGGATTTTCACATCAATATTCATCAGGGATATTGGCCTAAAATTTTTTTTTTGTTGTGTCTCTACCAGGCTTTGGTATCGGGATGATATTAGTCTCATAAAATGAGTTAGGGAGGATTCCCTCTTTTTCTATTCATTGGAATAGTTTCAGAAGGAATGGTACCAGTTCCTCCTTGTACCTCTGGTAGAATTCGGCTGTGAATCTGTCTGATCCTTGACTTTTTATGGTTGGTAGGCTATTAATTATTGCCTCAATTTCAGAAACTGTTATTGGTCTATTCAGAGATTCAACTTCTTCCTGGTTTAGTCTTGGGAGGGTGTATGTGTCCAGGAATTTATCCATTTCTTCTAGATTTTCTAGTTTGTTTCCATAGAGGTGTTTATAGTATTCTCTGATGGTAGTTTGTATTTCTGTGAGAACAGTGGTGATATCCCCTTTATCATTTTTTATTGCATCTATTTGATTCTTCTCTCTTTTCTTCCTTATTTTTCTTGCTAGCGATCTATCAATTTTGTTGATCTTTTCAAAAAACCAGCTTCTGGATTCATTGATTTTTTTAAGGGGTTTTATTTGTCTCTATCTCCTTCGGTTCTGCTCTGATCTTAGTTATTTCTTGCCTTCGGCTAGCTTTTGAATGTGTTTGCTCTTGTTTCTCTAGTTCTTTTAATTGTGATGTTAGGGTGTCAATTTTAGATCTTTCCTGCTTTCTCTTGTGGGCATTTAGTGCTATAAATTTCCCTCTACACACTGCTTTAAATGTGTCCCAGAGATTCTGGTACATTGTGTCTTTGTTCTCATTGGTTTCAAAGAACATCTTTATTTCTGCCTTCATTTCGTTATGTACCCAGTAGTCATTCAGGAGCAGGTTGTTCAGTTTCCATGTAGTTGTGCAGTTTTTAGTGAGTTTCTTAATCCTGGGTTCTAATTTGATTGCACTGTGGTCTGAGAGACATTTTCTTGTGACTTCTCTTCTTTTACGTTTGCTGTGGAGTATTTTACTACCAATTATGTGGTCAATTTTAGAATAAGTGCGATGCGGTGCTGAGAAGAAAGTATATTCTGTTGATTTGGGGTGGAGAGTTCTGTAGATGTCTATTAGGTCCACTTGGTCCAGAGCTGAGTTCAAGTCCTGGATATCCTTGTTAACCTCCTGTCTCATTGATCTGTCTAATACTGACAGTGGGTGTTAAATTCTCCCATTATTATTGTGTGGGAGTCTAAGTCTGTTTGTAGGTCTCTAAGGACTTGCTTTATGAATCTGGGTGCTCCTGTATTGGGTGATATATATTTAGGATAGTTAGGTCTTCTTGGTGAATTGATCCCTTTACCATTATGTAATGGCCTTCTTTGTCACATTTCATCTTTATTGGCTTAAAGTCTGTTTTATCAGAGACTAGGATTGCAACCCCTGCTTTTTTTTGCTCACTTGCTTAGTAGATCTTCCTCCATCCCTTTATTTTGAGCCTATGTGCATCTTTGCACGTGAGATGGGTCTCCTGAATACAGCACACTGATGGGTCTTGACTCTATCCAATTTGCCAGTCTGTGTCTTTTAATTGGGACATTTAGCCCATTTACATTTAAGGTTAATGTTGTTATGTTTGAATCTGATCCTGTCATTATGATGTTAGCTGGTTATTTTGCTCGTTAGTTGATGCAGTTTCTTCCCAACATCGATGGTCTTTACCATTTGGCTTGTTTTGCAGTGGCTGGTACCAGTTGTTCCTTTCCATGTTTAGTGCTTCCTTCATGAGCTCTTGTAAGGCAGGCCTGGTGGTGACAAAATCTCTCAGCATTTGCTTGTCTGTAAAGGATTTTATTTCTCCTTCACTTATGAAGCTTAGTTTGGCTGGATATGAGATTCTGGGTTGAAAATTCTTTTCTTTAAAAATGTTGAATATTGGCCCCCACTTTCTTCTGGCTTGTAAGGTTTTTGTTGAGCGATCCACTGTTAGTCTGATGGGCTTGCCTTTGTAGGTAACCTGCCCTTTCTTTCTGGCTGCCCTTAACATCTTTTCCTTCATTTCAACATTGGTGAATCTGACAATTATGTGTCTTGGGGTTGCTCTTCTCAAGGAGTATCTTTGTGTGTTCTCTGTGTTTCCTGAAATTGAATGTTGCCCACCTTGCTAGGTTGGGGAAGTTCTCCTGGACAATATCCTGAAGAGTGTTTTCTAACTTGGTTCCATTCTCCCTATCACTTTCTGGTATACCAATCAACGTATATTTGATCTTTTCACATAGTCCCATATTTCTTGGAGGCTTTGTTTATTTCTTTTCACTCCTTTTTCTCTAATCTTGTCTTCTCACTTTATTTCATTAATTTGATCTTCAATCACTGATATCCTTTCTTCCACTTGATCAAATCGGCTATTGAAGCTTGTGCATGCGTCACGAAGTTCTCATGCCATGGTTTTCAGCTCCATCAGGTCATTTAAGGTCTTCTCTACACCGTTTATTCTTGTTAGCCATTCATCTAACCTTTTTTCAAGGTTTTTAGCTTCCTTGCGATGGGTTAGAACATGCTCCTTTAGCTTAGAGAAGTTTGTTATTACTGACCTTCTGAAGCCTACTTCTGTCAACTCGTCAAACTCATTCTCCATCCAGTTTTGTTCCCTTGCTGGCGAGGAGCTGCAATCTTTTGGAGGAGAAGACTCCTCCAAAACACAGAGAAAACTCTGTGTTTTGGAATTTTCAGCTTTTCTGCTCTGGTTTCTCCCCAACTTTGTAGTTTTATCTACCTTTGGTCTTTGATGTTGGTGACCTACAGATGGGGTTTTGGTGTGGATGTCCTTTTTGTTGATGTTGATGCTATTCCTTTCTGTTTGTTAGTTTTCCTTCTAACAGTCAGGCCCCTCAACTGCAGGTCTGTTGGAGTTTACTGGAGGTCCACTCCAGACCCTGTTTGCCTGGGTATAGCCAGCGGAGGCTGCAGAACTGAAAATATTGCTGCCTGATCCTTCCTCTGGAAGCTTCGTCCCAGAGGGGCACCTGCCTGTTTGACATGTCTGTCAGCCCCTACCGGGAGGTATTTCCCAGTCACGCTACACAGGGGTTAGGGACCTGCTTGAGGAGGCAGTCTGTCCATTCTCAGAGTTCGAACACCATGCAGAGAGAACCACTGCTCTCTTCAGAGCTGTCAGACAGGGATGTTTAAGTCTGCAGAAGCTTTCTCTACTGCCTTTTGATGTACTAGTCCCTGTTCCCATAGGGGGAATCTATAGAGGCAGTAGGCCTTGCTGAGCTGTGGTGGGCTCTGCCCAGTTTGTGCTTCCTGTCACTTTGTTTACACTGTGAGCTACTCAAGCCTCAGCAATGGCAGATGCCCCTCCCCACTGGTCAAGCTGCCGCATCACAAGTCAACCTTAGACTGCCATTCTAGCAGTGAGCAAGGCTTCGTGGGCGTGGGACCTGCCAAGCCAGGCACAGGAGGGTATCTCCTGGTCTGCCGGTTGCTAAGACTGTGGGAAAAGTGCAGTATTTGGTCTGGAGTGTACCATTTCTCCAGGTACAGTCTGTCACAGCTTCCCTTGGCTAGGAAGGGGAAATCCCCTGACCCCTTGTGCTTCCTGGGTGAGGTGACCCCACCCTGCTTCAGCTAATCCTCCATGGGCTGCACCCACTCTCCAACCAGTCCCAGTGAAATGAACCAGGTACCTCAGTTGGAAATGGAAAAATCACCCTTCTTCCGCGTCGATCTCGCTGGGAGCTGCAGACCAGAGCTGTTCCTATTTGGCCACCTTGGAAGTGACCAAAAAAAAAAAAACGGTAGCTTTTTTGATACATTTGGCAACCATGCAGTTAGAGCAGCACAGCACAAGGACTAATTATGTTACACTCTTAATTTCCCTCTTATGACTCAACCCCCTCCTTTTTTGGCCTTCTTTTTCCAGTTCCTCTTATTTTTCTTAATGTCCAAATGTTAGACAGCATCACTGTTAAATCCTGAGCATTTTCTCATCTCTGTCTTAGACCTAGTACTTCCTAAAGTTCAGTCAGATAATTATCAACTTCATGATTTTTGCCATCTCTGGATAATTATTTACTTATTAATAATTTTCTGTAAATAAATTTGACTTTAAAAAATTTATACATTTTAAAAGAAAGCTTTATATCACAACTCTAATTTAAAATCCAGTTTCAAAAATAGAAGATAAATCTAAACATAAAAACAAAAACCACAAAATATATAATTTAACTTTTTACTTAAATTTCAAATAATCAATAAGAACAAATCATTATAAATACAAAAATTTATAAAAATGCACACCCTAATGAGAAAAATTGAAAAAATTGAATTGTTCATGATTAATTAAAAACAATAATGTTTGGCTTCATGTTCTTTGACTCTTGCTTACAGTTAAGGAAACCAAAGCCCACGAGGGAAAACAACTTGCCCAAGATCAAAGCAAAATGGAGGCAGAGCTGGAACCATGGTCTTGAGACTACTGAGTCCCAGTTGCAGATGGTGATCACACAATCCAGAAAGGAACAGTAGCTCTTTGAGGTATGAGGATTCAGTCAGGTGACAGGAGCTTGGCGCATGGCGTAGTAAAAAAATATATAAACGTTGAAGTCAGAAAGACCTTGGTGAAGTCTCACATAGACCAGTAAAATCATATTGCCATCTGCCTGTGATTCTACCTCTTTAAGCCTTTGTTTTCTTTTCTTTTCTTTTTTTTTTTTTTGAGACAGAGTCTCACTCTGTCACCCAGGCTGGCGTGCGGTGGCACAATCTCAAGTCACTATGACCTCCACCTCCTGGGTTCAAGCAATTCTCCTGTCTCAGACTCCTGAGTAGCTAGGACTACAGGCACCCACCACCACGCCTGGCTAATTTTTGTACTTTTAGTAGAGATGGGGTTTCACCATATTGTTTAGGCTGGTCTCAAACTCCTGACTTCAGGTGATCTGCCCACCTCGGCCTCCCAAAGTGCTGAGATTACAATTGTGAGCCACCGCACCCGGTCTAAGCCTTCATTTTCTAGTATAACTCACAAATTGTATAATTTTGAGAAGACTATCAGACATATATACTTAGTTTTCAGCCCAGTGGTTATCCAATCAGTAGAAATTTCTTTCCATCCTCCCCTGTCTTTATCACCCACACAGCTCAGATCTGCCCAACACCAGCTCTATTTCCTTTTGAAGGAGATACAGATTCTCTAAAGAATCTGTATTTCTTTCCATCATATCTCTGTGTCCAGGGCTAGGAGAGGGACCTCCATCTGTGCACAGCTGATTGATAAGGTGGGAGGCAGCAGTTTCTTGGCCTCTGCTGCAGGGTGAGTCTTTAAAGATGAAGATAGCCTAGAGATGCGTCTGAAAGCCAGAGGATAGCCCCAGCTTTGAGCAGTGATGGGTGATCTACAGGCTCTGTGGAAGTAGCCCTGTGGCCCAAGAATGGACTCAGCTTCCAGATCTAGTGAATTCTCGGAGACGTTTAGAAAAGTCTAACCCTGGGCAAGCCCTGAGGTCCAGTCCATGGTTAGCAAGAAGTCTATAGCATTTGATGAGTGTGGAGAGAAGAGAGCTATTCCCATGGAGACAGTTTGAAAGGCATAGCTGTGGGATCTAAGAAACAGCTGGGAGTTGGGTATTCAATGTCCACAGAAAAAAACATGGCTGAGACTTAGAAGTGGGGAGAGGAGGGAAAGACAGGGTGGCTGGTCTCCATGGCAACAGGAAGGAAAGCAGAACTTCCACCAATCACTTTGGGGGTGAGATTAGTTGAGGGCAAATTGTAAAGCAGGTGACCCATGCCCAGCATGGAATCGGGGGAAGTAGATCACTTAATGGAAACGTAGGATGGTTTCAGCATTGTAAAAATAACAGCAGGGAATGGTCAAAAAGGGAAAGCCAAAATTGGAACTTTCAGGCATACTTGAGATTTATGTGTTCTTGGAAGGAATCCAGGTGTGTCTGGATTCTTTATGGTGCCATGGAAGACAAGTGGCAAAGTAGCCAAGAGATTACCACACCTAGGGTGAAAGGGTGGACCACGCATTCTGAAAGTGGGCCTGAAAGTGCAGGGTGGGTCAAAAGGAGCAAACCACTGGAGATGAACTAAGGCAAGAGAACGTGCCATTAGTTCATGAGTCTTAAACCTCAGGATCAGATATCAACAAGATGGCTAAGGAGAGAGACTGGAAAGACCAGAAAAGCAAGAGAGCTTCCCAACGAACCTATGGATATGTATTTAAGGACTCTTTTTACCAATCATACAATTGTAGCTCATCTCATCCTCAGAGGGCATCCAAGGGGAGTGAAGAAGGAAATCTGAACAATGAGGCATCTATCCAAAAAAGGTGGAACCAGAGAAGACATCATTTAAATTTGAAAAGATTGAGATAAACTAACTGGTAAGTTCAAGATTTGTTTCCATAGTTCCTAGAGGCCAGTAGGGTGCCAGAGCAGGAATAGATCAATTTTAGGGGAGAAAGTACATTCATCTGAGTCAGGTCTTAGGTGTTCAATTTCAGGACATGTGTTGCCTTTACCAGATATTCAACGCTGCAAGAACTGGGACTTTGTTTTCCTCACATAACAGGCACATATCAGGCACTCAACATTTGCTGAATACATAAAATGAATGAATAAATAAATGACTCATTCTAGAATAGCAAATCCTAGGTTTTAATTACTACAAGTATGCTATCTCACTGATTTTCCTAAGATTTAAAAACGTGCTCTGGAAATAATTTTTTTTTTGCTTTACACAACATATCTGGAATAATTTAAACTAAGAGACTCTTTGGCAGGGAGAATCAGGAGATCCTGATAGTTCTTTGCTATTCCTCAAGCCACAGAAGTCAGAAAAGTCCAGTCTAAGCCTAATTTAAAAGAAGGTCTTTGCAAAGACTGTATAAGTAGACCCCAAGGACCCTTAGGAAGGTTGCCTCTTTCCCAATACAGCATTGTAGAGCTTCTCTCTCCGTCTTCCACCAACCATAGGGCAGAAAAAGGATCCTCTGTCTCCTTTGATATTCTAAAAATGGTTGATGTCTTACTGGAAGTTCTTCTCTGCCCAAACATCAAAATTCTAAACATATTTTTCAATTTTCCCACATATAGCCTGATTTACAGGAAAGCTGAAATATGTTCCAGATCTGGAGACATATTTGATTAATGTAGGTATAATGAACGTTGTTGGCTGCCATCCATTCTCACCTTTCTCCTTCAGGAAAGGACCCAGATTTTATTCAATATCTCACTCTCCCTCATGTAACTCAAGTGCCCTTAAAGCAAGCTGGCCCATGCCCCTAGCTCCAGGGTAGACCTGATGGTCTAAGGCAGTGGTTCTCAACTTAGTGGTGATTTTCTCCCCAGAGATATTCGGCAATACCTAAAATGTGACATTTTTGAGTGTCATAATGTGAGGGGAGGCATCTAGTGGGTAAAGGCCAGAAATGCTGCTAAACATCCTACCATGCACAGGGCAACCCACAACAAAGAATTATCCAACCCAAAAAGAGAATGGTCCTGAGGTAGAGAAACCCTGGTTTAAGGCTTATGGCATCCCCCTTACAAGGGACTGATTTAAGAAGAAGACTTTTGAGTTAGGAAAAGAAACAGCAAGATGCCTGCCAAGAGACACCAAACATTCAGAACCCCACCTCAGCAAGAAAGGACCAAGGCAATAACTACAGAGCTAAGATTTGAATGGAGTGTCAAAGGGAGAGTGCTAGAGTGCAGTGGGTGAGTTAGAGGTACAGCTGTGGTGATTAGAAGTGGAGGAGGACAGCATGGAGGCACCAGGACTCTGTAGCCTCGTTTCCCCAACATGGGTCACATCTGCCTGGAGTCAGAAGAGACTCTGCATTGTAGGGAAAAGTCAAGCAGAAGAGCCCCACCTATCCCCATTGCTGCCACAAACACCTATAAGTCCTTACATCAGAAGAATCTCACAATCCTTGCAAGCCCTGAATCCAGTTTGGAAAGCTGGTGGGAATTCACACAGCTGCATTGCCCCAGATTAGTAGGATAAGGTGTGCACCACCCAACCACTCACCCACTGTGAGCCAAGGTGTTGTAGCACAGCACTGTCTTGAGACCAGAGCCCCCCTCTGGAGTGGACCCTGCTCTGGGGTCCAGTAGCCAATGTGGCTCTCCAGCACTGGGGCTCCATCCTCATTCCACCAAGCCCACATAGGTGGCTGAATGTCACAATCCTAGCTGTACAGAGCATGGTCCCAGGACCGCTGTGACTCTGGTCCTGTGCAACAGGGTAACCAACTCCCCCTACCCTCACCAAACTTCCAGCTGGAGGAACAGTTGGCCAGTACCATCCAGGGAAAATCTACCCTTGAGGTGGCCAAATCACTGCCAGTTACCCTCCCCCAAGCAGGAAAGGCCTCAGAGCCTCCAAAAATCCAATATATCCTTGAGCCAGAGGGATGCCTATGTACATGTGTGTAGAACCTGGCAAAGCTGCACTGCCATCACCACAAACTCTCTCATCATAGGCCACTGAGAAACACAAACACCACTAGTGTGGATTACAACTGAGTAAATTACACAGACTACACTTCTGTATCAACCTCGAACCAAGGCCAATACACACCACACCAAACCAACACTCTAAGGCCCATTCATCTGAACAAGTGTTTTCATACAAAGCCTATTCTGTAAAATACAAAGAGGCTACTTTTCCTTAAGATGCATAGAAATCAACGTAAGGGCACATCAACCATGAAAAAGCAAGGAAACATGTCACATACCAAAGGAAAATAATAATTCTCCAGTAACAGGCCCCAATCATAAGGAAATATATGAAATACCAGAAAAGGATTCAAAATAATAATCTTAAAGAAACTCAGTGAGATATAAGAGAATACAGATAGACAATTCAACAAAATTTGGAAAACAATTTAGTATTTGAATAAGAAATTCAACAAAAAGATATATATCAATAAACAGACCCAAACAGAAATCCTGTAGCCAAAGAATTCAATGAATAAGAGAGCTTCAACAACAAACTAGACTGAGCAGAGGAAAGAATTTCTGAACTGGAAGAAAGGACTTTTGAAATAACACAGGTATGCCAAAAGGAAAAAAATAATAAAAGAATAAAGAAAGCCTACAGGATTTATGCAACACCACTAAGTGAAAAAAATACATATATTGTTGACATTCTAGAAGGAGAAAAGAAGAAAAAAGGTGAGAGAAACATACTTAATGAAATAATATCAGAAAACTTCCCAAGTCTTGAGAATGAGATAGACATCCAGGTTCAAGAAGCTCAAACAACCCCAAATATATTTAATCCAGACAGGTTCTCTCTGATGCACATTATACTCAAATTGTCAAAAGTCAAAAACAAAAAAAAAGAATTTTAAAAGCAACAAGACAAAAGCATCAAGTCAACTATAAGGGAATCTCCACTAGACTAACAGTGAATTTGTTTGCAGAAACCTTTCAGGCCAGGAGAGAACAGGATGATATATTCAAAGTCCTGAAAGATAAACTATTGGCCAAGAATATTGTACACAGCAAAGCTTTCCTTCAAAAATGATGGAGAAATAAAATCTTTCACAGACAATCAAAATCTAAGGGAATTCATCACCACTAGACCAAACTTACAAGGAATGCTCAAGAGACTCTTACATCTGGAAGTGAAAAGAAGATAACCACCATCATAAAAACATACAAAACTATAAAATTCACTGGTAAAGCCAATAAGCAAAGGAAAAACAGAAAGGAATCAAACCTTATCAGTACAGAAAGGCACCCAACCATAAAAATAAACCACATGAGAGGTAGTTAAGAAACAAAGGATTTACAAAACAACCAGGAAACGATCAATACAAGGGCAGGATTAAGTCTTTACCTATCAACAATAAGCTTGAATATGATGAATTAAATTCTCCATTTAAAAGATATAGACTGGCTGAATGTATTTTTTTAAACCCAATACCCAACTCTATGCAGCTACAGGAAACTTACTTCACTTATAAAGACACACATAGAATAAAAGTGAAGGGATGAAAAAAGATATTCCTTGCAAATGAAAATAAAAGTGAGCAAGAGTAGCTACATTTATATCAGACAAAATAGACTTAAAGTTAAAAGTTGTAAGAAGAAACAAAGAGTGGGGAGGAGCCAAGATGGCCGAATAGGAACAGCTCCGGTCTACAGCTCCCAGCGTGAGTGACACAGAAGACGGGTGATTTCTGCATTTCCAACTGAGGTACCAGGTTCATCTCACTGGGGAGTGCCAAACAGTAGGTGCAGGACAGTGGGAGCGGTGCACTGTGCACAAGCCAAAGCAGGGCGAGGCATCACCTCACCAGGGAAGTGCAAGGGGTCAGGGAATTCCCTTTCCTAGTCAAAGAAAGGGGTGACAGACAGCACCTGGAAAATCGGGTCACTCCCAACCTAATACTGCGTTTTTCCAACGGGCTTAAAAAACGGCACACCAGGAGATTATATCCCTCACATGGCTTGGAGGGTCGTATGCCCACGGAGTCTCACTCATTGCTAGCACAGCAGTCTGAGATCAAACTGCAAGGCAGCAGCGAGGCTGGGGGAGGGGTGCCCGCCATTGCCGAGTTAGTTGTTTGATTAGGTAAACAAAGAAGCTGGGAAGCTCGAACTGGGTGGAGCCCACCACAGCTCAAGGAGGCCTGCCTGCCTCTGTAGGCTCCACCTCTGGGGGCAGGGCACAGACGAACAAAAAGACAGCAGTAACCTCTGCAGACTTAAATGTCCCTCTCTGACAGCTTTGAAGAGAGTAGTGGTTCTCCCAGCATGCAGCTTGAGATCTGAGAGCGGGCAGACTGCCTCCACAAGTGGGTCCCTGACCCCTGGGTAGCCTAACTGGGAGGCACCCCACAGTAGGGGCGGACTGACACTTCACACGGCTGGGTACTCCTCTGAGACAAAACTTCCAGAGGAACGATCAGGCAGCAGCATTTGCGGTTCACCAATATCTGCTGTTCTGCAGCCACCACTGCTGATACCCAGGCAAACAGGGTCTGGAGTGGACCTCTAGCAAACTCCAACAGACCTGCAGCTGAGGGTCTTGTCTGTTAGAAGGAAAACTAACAAACAGAAAGGACATCCACACCAAAAACCCAACTGTACATCACCATCATCAAAGACCAAAGGTAGATAAAACCACAAAGATGGGAAAAAAACAGAGCAGAAAAACTGGAAACTCTAAAAATCAGAGTGCCTCTCCTCCTCCAAAGGAACACAGCTCCTCACCAGCAATGGAACAAAGCTGGATGGAGAATGACTTTGATGAGTTGAGAGAAGAAGGCTTCAGATGATCAAATTAATCCGAGCTACAGGAGGAAATTCAAACCAATGGCAAAGAAGTTAAAAGCTTTGAAAAAAAATTAGACAAATGGATAACTAGAATAACCAATGCAGAGAAGTCCTTAAAGAACCTGATGGAGCTGAAAACCAAGGCACGAGAGCTACATGACGAAAGCAGCAGCCTCAGTAGCCAATGCAATCAACTGGAAGAAAGGGTATCAGTGAAGGAAGACGAAATGAATGAAATGAAGCGAGAAGAGAAGTTTAGAGAAAAAAGAGTAAAAAGAAATGAACAAAGCCTCCAAGAAATATGGGACTATGTGAAAAGACCAAATCTACGTCTGATTGGTGTACCCGAAAGTGACGAGGAGAATGGAACCAAGTTGGAAAACACTCTGCAGGATATTATCCAGGAGAACTTCCCCAATCTAGCAAGGCAGGCCAACATTCAAATTCAGGAAATATAGAGAATGCCACAAAGATACTCCTCGAGAAGAGCAACTCCAAGACACATAATTGTCAGACTTACCAAAGTTGAAATGAAGGAAAAAATGTTAAGGGCAGCCAGAGAGAAAGGTTGGGTTACCCACAAAGGGAAGCCCATCAGACTAACAGCTGATCTCTCAGCAGAAACTCTACAAGCCAGAAGAGAGTGGGGACCAATATTCAACATTTGTAAAGAAAGAATTTTCAACCCAGAATTTCATATTCAGCCAAACTAATCTTCATAAGTGAAGGAGAAATAAAATCCTTTACAGACAAGCAAATGCTGAGAGATTTTGTCACCACCAGGCCTGCCGTAAAAGAGCTCCCAAAGGAAGCACTAAACATGGAAAGGAACAACCGTTACCAGCCACTGCAAAAACATGCCAAATTGTAAACATCATCGAGGCTAGGAAGAAAATGCATCAACTAATGAGCAAAATAACCAGCTAATATCATAATCACAGGATCAAATTCACACATAACAATATTAACTTTAAATGTAAATGGGCTAAATGCTCCAATTAAAAGACGCAGACTGGCAAATTGGATAAAGAGTCAAGACCCATCAGTGTGCTGTATTCAGGAAACCCATCTCACATGCAGAGACACATATAGGCTCAAAATAAAGGGATGGAGGAAGATCTACCAAGCAAATGGAAAACAAAAAAAGGCAGGGGTTGCAATCCTAGTCTCTGATAAAACAGACTTTAAACCAACAAAGATCAAAAGAGACAAAGAAGGCCATTACATAATGGTAAAGGGATCAATTCAACAAGAATTGATCCCTAACTATCCTAAATATATATGCACCCAATGCAGGAGCACCCAGATTCATAAAGCAACTCCCTAGTGACCTACGAAGAGACTTAGACTCCCATACAATAATAATGGGAGACTTTAACACCAAACTGTCAACATTAGACAGATCAACGAGACAGAAAGTTAACAAGGATACCCAGGAGTTGAACTCAGCTCTGCACCAAGTAGACCTAATAGACATCTACAGAACTCTCCACCCCAAATCAACAGAATATACATTCTTTTCAGCACCACACCACGCCTACTCCAAAACTGACCACATAGTTGGAAGTAAAGACTCCTCAGCAAATGTAAAAGAACAGAAATTATAACAAACTGTCTCTCAGACCACAGTGCAATCAAACTAGAACTCAGGATTAAGAAACTCACTCAAAACCACTCAACTACATGGAAACTGAACAACCTGTTCCTGAATGATTGCTAGGTAAATAATGGAATGAAAGCAGAAATAAAGATGTTCTTTGAAACTAACGAGAACAAAGACACAACATACCAGAATCTCTGGGACGCATTCAAAGCAGTGTGTAGAGGGAAATTTATAGCACTAAATGCCCACAAGAGAAAGCAGGAAAGATCTAAAATTGACAACCTAACATCACAATTAAAAGAACTAGAGAAGCAAGAGCAAACCCATTCAAAAGCTAGCAGAAGGCAAGAAATAACTAAGATCAGAGCAGAACTGAAGGAAATAGAGACAAAAAAACCCTTCAAAAAAATTAATGAATCGAGGAGCTGGTTTTTTGAAAACATCAACAAAATTGATAGACTGCTAGCAATACTAATAAAGAAGAAAAGAGAGAAGAATCAAATAGATGCAATAAAAAATGACAAAGGGGATATCACCACTGATCCCACAGAAATACAAACTACCATCAGAGAATACTATAAACACCTCTACATAAATAAACTAGAAAATCTAGAAGAAATGGATAGATTCCTTGACACATACATCCTCCCAAGACTAAAACAGGAAGAAGCTGAATCTCTGAATAGACCAATAACAGGCTCTGAAATTGAGGCAATAATCAATAGCTGACCAACGAAAACAAGCCCAGGACCAGATGGATTCACAGCTGAATTCTACCAGAGGTAAAAAGAGGAGCTGGTACCATTCCTTCTGAAACTATTCCAATGAATAGAAGAAGAGGGAATCCTCCCCAACTTGTTTTATGAGGCCAGCATCATCCTGATACCAAAGCCTGGCAGAGACACAACAAAAAAAGAGAATTTTAGACCAATATCCTAGATGAACATGGATGCAAAAATCCTCAATAAAATACTGGCAAACCGAATCCAGCAGCACATCAAGAAGCTTATCCACCATGATCAAGTGGGCTTCATCCCTGGGATGCAAGGCTGGTTCAATATACACAAATCAATAAATGTAATCTAGTATATAAACAGAACCAAAGACAAAAACCACATGATTATCTCAATAGATGCAGAAAAAGCCTTTGACACAATTCAACGACCCTTCATGCTAAAAACTCTCAATAAATTAGGTATTGATGGGGCATATCTCAAAATAATAAGAGCTATCTATGACAAACCCACAGCCAATATCATACTGAATGGGCAAAAACTGGAAGCATTCCCTTTGAAAACGGGCACAAGACAGGGATGCCCTCTCTCACCACTCCTATTCAACATAGTGTTGGAAGTTCTGGCCAGGGCAGTTAGGCAGGAGAAGGAAATAAAGGGTATTCAATTAGGAAAAGAGGAAGTCAAATTGTCCCTTTTTGCAGATGACATGATTGTATATCTAGAAAACCTCATCGTCTCAGCCCAAAATCTCCTCAAGCTGATAAACAACTTCAGCAAAGTCTCAGTATACAAAATCAATGTACAAAAATCACAAGCATTCTTATGCACCAATAACAGACAAACAGAGAGCCCAATCATGAGTGAACTCCCATTCACAATTGCTTCAAAGAGAATAAAATACCTGGGGATTCAACTTACATGAGATATGAAGGACCTCTTCAAGGAGAACTACAAACCACTGCTCAATGAAATAAAAGAGGATACAAACAAATGGAAGAACATTCCATGCTCATGGGTAGGAAGAATCAATATCGTGAAAATGGCCATACTGCCCAAGGTAATTTATAGATTCAATGCCATCCCCATCAAGCTACCAATGACTTTCTTCACAGAATTGGAAAAAACTACTTTAAAGTTCATATGGAACCAAAAAAGAGCCCGCATCGCCAAGTCAATCCTAAGCCAAAAGAACAAAGCTGGAGGCATCACGCTACCTGACTTCAAACTATACTACAAGGCTACAGTAACCAAAACAGCATGGTACTGGTACCAAAACAGAGATATGGATCAATGGAACAGAACAGAGCCCTCAGAAATAATGCTGCATATCTACAACTATCTGATCTTTGACAAACCTGACAAAAACAAGCAATGGGGAAAGGATTCCCTATTTAATAAACGGTGCTGGGAAAACTGGCTAGCCATATGTAGAAAGCTGAAACTGGATCCCTTCCTTACACCTCATACAAAAATTAATTCAAGATGGATTAAAGACTTAAATGTTAGACCTAAAACCATAAAAACCCTAGAAGAAAATCTAGGCAATACCATTCAGGACATAGGCATGGGCAAGGACTTCATGTCTAAAACACCAAAAGCAATGGCAACAGAAGCCAAAATTGACAAATGGGATCTAATTAAACTAAAGAGCTTCTGCACAGCAAAAGAAACTACCATCAGAGTGAACAGGCAACCTACAGAATGGGAGAAAATTTTCACAACCTACTCATCTGACAAAGGGCTAATATCCAGAATCTACAATGAACTCAAACAAATTTACAAGAAAAAAACAAACAACCCCATCAAAAAGTGGGCAAAGGATATGAACAGACACTTCTCCAAAGAAGACATTTATGCAGCCGAAAAACACATGAAAAAAATGCTCATCATCACTGGCCATCAGAGAAATGCAAACCAAAACCACAATGAGACACCATCTCACACCAGTTAGAATGGTGATCATTAAAAAGTCAGGAAACAACAGGTGCTGGAGAGGATGTGGAGAAATAGGAATACTTTTACACTGTTGGTGGGACTGTAAACTAGTTCAACCATTGTGGAAGTCAGTGTGGCGATTCCTCAGGGATCTAGAACTAGAAATACCATTTGACCCAGCCATCCCATTACTGGGTATATACCCAAAGGATTATAAATCATGCTGCTATAAAGACACATGCACACATACGTTTATAGCAGCACTATTCACAATAGCAAAGACTTGGAACCAACCTAAATGTCCAACAATGATAGACTGGAGTAAGAAAATGTGGCACATACACACCATGGAATACTATGCAGCCATAAAAAATGATGAGTTCATGTCCTTTGTAGGGACATGGATGAAACTGGAAACCATCATTCTCAGCAAACTATCGCAAGGACAGAAAACCAAACACCGCATGTTCTCACTTATAGGTGGAAATTGAACAATGAGGACACATGGACACAGGAAAGAGAACATCACACACCGGGGCCCGTTGTGGGGTGGGGGGAGGGGGGAGGGATAGCATTAGGAGATATACCTAATACTAAATGATGAGTTAATGGGTGCAGCACACCAACATAGCACATGTATACATATGTAACAAAACTGCACGTTGTGCACATGTACCCTAAAACTTAAAGTAAAATAATAATAAAATTAAAAAAAGAAGAAACAAAGATGACCATTATATAATAACAGAAACATCACTTCAGCACAATAATATGACAATTTTAAATATACATACACCCAACACTGGAGCACTTAGATATATAAGAGAAATATTATTAGATTTAAAGAGAGAGATAGACTGTAATTCAATAATAGTTGAGGACCTCAATGCCCCATACTTACCATTGGAAAGATCATCTAGACAGAAAATCAACAAAGAAACATCAGATTTAAACAGCGCCACAGACCAAATGCACCTGAGAGACATTTACAGTACATTTTACTCATCAGCTGCAGAATACACATTCTTATTAGCACATGGAACATTCTCCAGGATTAACCACATGTTAGGACATAAAACAAACAAAAGAGTCTTTAAAAAAATTGTAATCAAAATCATATCAAGGCCGGGCCAGGTGTGGTGGCTCACACCTGTAATCCCAGCACTTTGAAATGCCAAGGCAGGTGGATCACTTGAGGTCAGGAGTTCAAGACCAGCCTGGCCAACATGGGGAAATCCTGTCTCTACTAGAAATTCAAAAATTAGCTGGGCATGATGGCAGGCACCTGTAATCCCAGCTTTTATTGAGGCTGATGCAGGAGAATCTCTAGAACTCGGGAAGTTGGAGGTTGTGGTGAGCCAAGATCGGGCCACTGCACTTTAGCCTGGGTGACAGAGTGAGACTCTGTCTCGAAACAACAATTAAAAAATCATATCAAAGCTGGGTGCAGTGGCTCACACCTATAATCCCAGCACTTTGGGAGGCCCAGGTGGGCAGATCACCTGAGGTCAGGAGTTCGAGACCAGCCTGGCCAACATGGTGAAACCCAGTCTCTACTAAAAAATGCAAAAATTAGCTGGGTGTGGTGGCATACACCTGTAATCCCAGCTACCTAGGAGGCTGAGGCAGGATAATTGCTTGAACCCAGGAGGCACAGGTTTCGGTGAGCCAAAATCATGCCACTGCACTGCAGCCTGGGTGCAGAGACCAGCTTTGTTTCAGAGACCCTAACCCAGTGGCACTGGAGAAATTAGACACACACACAGAAATATAGAGTGTGGAGTGAGGAATCGGGGCTGACAGCCTTCAGAGCTGAAAGCCACGAACAGAGTTTTACCCACATATTTATTGACAGCAAGCCAGTGATAAGCATGGTTTCTATAGATTATAGATTAACTAAAATGGGAAACAAAGGGATGGGCCAAAACAAAGGGATGAGCTTTGGCTAGTTATCTGCAGCAGGAACATGTCCTTCAGGCAGAGATCGCTCATGCTGTTGTTTGTGGCTTAGGAACACCTTAAGCGGTTTTCCACCCTGGTTGGGCCAGGGGTTCCTTGCCCTCATTTCAGTAAACCCACAACCTTCAGTGTGGGTGTCATGGCCATCACGAACATGTCACAGTGCTGAAGAGATTTTGTTTATGGTCAGTTTTGGGGGCAGTTTATGGCCAGATTTGGGGGCCTGTTCCCAACACTGGGTGACAGAGTAAGACTGTCTCAAAAAAAAAAAAAAATCATATCAGGTATCTTATCTGACCACAGTGTAGTAAAACTAGGCATCAATAACAAGGGGAACATTTAAAATTATACAAATATACGAAAATTAAGCCACATGCTCCCTAATGGCCAATGGGTCAAAGAAGAAATTAAGCAGGAAATCAAAAAAATTCCTTGAAGCAAATAAAACTAGAAACACAACATATCACTCTTTTCCATGGCTCCGCGGAGGCATTCAGCTACTTCAAGATGAAGCTGAGCATCTCCTTCCCAGCCACTGACAGCCGGAAACTCATTGAAGAGGAACTCAAACTTCGTACTTTTTATGAGAAGCCTATGGCCACAGAAGTAGCTGCTGATTCTCTGGGTGAAGAATGGAAGGATTATGTGGCCCAAATCAGTGGTGAGAACTACAAACAAGGTTTCCCCATGAAGAAGGGTGTCATGACCCATGGCCGTGTCCGCCTGCTACTGAGTAAGGTCCTCTTACAGACCAAGGAGAACTGGAGAAAGAAAGAAAGAAAATCAGTTTGTGATTGCATTGTGGATGCCAATCTTAGCATTCTCAACTTGGTTATTGTAAAAAAGGGAGAGAAAGATATTCCTGGACAGACTGATACTACGGTGCCTCATTGCCTGGGGCTCCAAAGAGCTAGCAGAATCCTCAAACTTTTCAATCTCTCTAAAGAAAATGATGTCCACCAGTATGTTGTAAGAAAGCCCTTAAACAAAGAAGGTAAGAAACCTAGGACCAAAGCACCCAAGATTCAGCATCTTGTTACTCCACATGTCCTGCAGCACAATCGGCGGTGTATTGCTCTGAAGAAGCAGCGTACTAAGAAAAATAAGGAAGAGGCTGCAGAATACACTAAACTTTTGGCCAAGAGCATGAAGGAGGCTAAAGAGAAGCCCCAGAAACAAATTGCCAAGAGATGCAGACTTTCCTCTCTGTGAGTTTCTGCTTCCAAGCCTGAATCCAGTCAGAAATAAGATTTTTTGAGTAACAAATAAGATCAGACTCACATCTCTCTTGACTTTTCATTGATGATAGACAACTACATAAATGAAGAGAGGGAAACTTAGGTCATAGAAAATGGGGATATGTATATAGTAATCCAGTCATGGATAAAATCAGACTGACTATTGTGTGGTAGAAGAAGACAAGATCATAATAAAGGGATTCTTTTGGGTGGATGGGTGGTGCAGGAAGGGATTCTGAGCATAAGACATCTGCCTCTTCAGAAAGGCATGGAACTTAGGGGAAATAAATGAAGAGGACTTTTAATCTTTTTTATATAGTTTATTTTGAGGAATATAGCTCTTTAAAACACTATACACAGTTTAATACATGAAAATTGCCCTTGGGAAGATTAACAGTGTTTTTTTAGAAAAGCTAACTTTTAAGGCATAGTTTCAGTGGATAGCATCTTAAAATACTTCAGGAAGTTTTGTAAACCAGTGCAAATTTGCTTTAACAAAGCTTTTCAACTCAAAAACAAAAGAAAGAAAGAAAGAGAGAAAGAGAAAGAAAGAAAGGCAATGTATCAAAATTTGGCTGCATGCAGTGACTCATGCCTGTAATCCCAGCACTTTGGGAGGCTGAGGCAGGTGGATCACGAGGTTAGGAGTTCAAGACCAGCCTGGCCAACATGGTGAAACCCCCATCTCTACCAAAAATACAAAAAAAAAAAATTAGCCAGGTGTGGTGGCAGACACCTGTAATCCCAGCTACTTGGGAGGCTAAGGCAGGAGAATTGCTTGAACCTGGGAGGTGGAGGTTGCAGTAAGCCAAGATCATGCCACTGCACTCTAGCCTGGGTGACAGAGCAAGACTCCATCTCAAAACAAACAAAACAAAACAAAACAAAAAACAAAAAAAAATCTTATGGGACACAACAAAAGCAGTATTAAGAGGCAAGTTTATAGCAATAATGCCTACATCTAAAAACTAGAAAGATTTCTAAGATTTCTAATAACGTAATGGCACCTCAAGGAACTAGAAAAGCAAGAACTCAAAATTAGTAGAAGGAAAGAAATAACCAAACCCAAAATTAGTAGAAGGAAAGAAATAATAAGAACAGAGCAGAAATAAACAAAATGGAGACTTAAAAAAAAACACAAAAGATAAATGAAACAAAAATTTGGTTTTTGAAAAGATAAACAAAATAAAAAAACCATTAGCTAGACTAAGAAAAAAAGAGAGAAGATCCAAATAAATAAAATCAAAAGCCAGAAATGAAGATATCACAATGGATACCATAGAAATATAAAGACTCATTAGTGACAACTATGCACAATGATGTGCCAATAAATGAGAAAGCCTGGAGGAAATGGATAAATTCCTGGACACATGCAACCTACTGAGAAGAAATAGAAAACCTGAACAAATCAATAACAAGTGATGAGATTGAATCACTAATAAAAAGTGCTTCAACAAAGAAAAGTCCAGGACCAGATGGCTTCACTGCTGAGTTCTACCAAACCTTTAAAGAATTTTTTTTTTGAAACAGAGTCTTGCTCTGTTGCCCAGGCCTGAGTGCAATGGTGTGATCCCAGCTCACTACAATCTGCCTCTCAGATTCAAGTGATTCTCCTGTCTCAGCTTCCCGAGTAGCTGGGACTACAGACGCATGCCACCACACCCAGCTTATTTTTGTATTTTTGGTAGAGATGGGGTTTTGCCATGTTGGCCAGCCTGGTCTCGAATTCCTGACCTCAGGTGATCCACCCTCCTCAGCTTCCCAAAGTGCTAGGATTACAGGTGTGAGCCACTGCACCCGGCCAAATCTTTAAATGATTAATACCAATTTTTCTCATACTTCAAAATGTTGAAGCAGAGAGAATTCTTCTTAACTCATTCTATGAGGCCAGCATGACTCCAGTTCCAGAATCAACACAATAAACAAAGAAAACTACAGGCCAGTGTCTCTGATGAACACAGACGCAAACATCTTCAACAAAATACTAGCAAACAAAATCCAATAACATATCAAAAAGATAATAAGCAGTGATCACACGGAATGTATTCCAGGAAAGTAAAAATGGTTCAACATATGCATATTAATAAATGTTATATATTGCATCAATAGAATTAAGGACAAAAAGCTTATTATCATCTCAATAGATGCAGAACAAGCTTCTGATAAAACACAACATCCCTTCAAGATGAAAACCCTTAATAAATTAGGTATAGAAAGAAAGTACCTCAGCATAATGAAGGCTATGTAAGACAACCCTCAGCTAACATCTCACTGAATAGGGAAAAGCTAAAAGATTTTCCTCTAAGAATTGGAACAAGACAAAGTTGCCAGCCGGGCATAGTGGCTCACACCTGTAATCTCAGCACTTTGGGAGGCTGAGGCAGGCAGATCACTTGAGCCCAGGAGTTCAAGACCAGCCTGGCCAACATGGCAAAACCCTGTCTCTACTAAAAATACAAAAAATTAGCCAGGTGTGGTGGCGCATCTGTAGTCCCAGCTCCTTGGGAGGCTGAGGCATAAGAATTGCTTGAACCTGGGAGGCAGAGGTTGCAGTGAGCCAAGATTGGGCCACTGCACTCCAGCCTGGGAGTAGATTGAGACTCTATCTCAAAAAAAAAAAAAAAAGGCAAGGTTGCTCACTTTCATCACTCCTATTCAACATAGTACTGGAACTCCTAGCCAGAGCAATCAGGCAAGAAATAAAGGGCATCCAAATGGGAAAGGAGAAAGTCAAATTGTTCCTGTTTGCAGACAACATGATTTTACATATAGAAAAACCTAAAGATGCTACCAAAAAACTTAGCACTGGTAAACAAATTTAGTACAGTTGTAAGATAAAAAACTAATATACAAAAATCAATGGTGCTCCTATATATGAACAATTAAATAGCTGATAAGGAAATCAAGAAGGCAATCCCATTTATGACAGCTATAAAATGAAATAAAATACCTAAGTATAAATTTAACCAAGGAAGCAAAAGACCTCTATGAGGAATACAAAGCACTGATTAAAGAAATTGAAGAGGATACCAAAAAAATGGAAAGACAGCCAGGTGCAGTGGCTCCCTCCTGTAATCCCAGCACTTTGGTAGGCTGAGGCAGGCAGAACACTTGAATCCAGGAGTTCCAGACCAGTCTGGACAACACAGTAAGAACCCATCTCACAAAAACTACAAAAATTAGCTAGGCACGACAGCACATGTCTGTAGTCCCAGCTACTGGAGAAGCTGAAGTGGGAGGATCTCTTGAGCCCAGGAGGGAGAGATTGCAGTGAGCCAAGATTGCACCACTGCACTCCAGCCTCCAGCCTGGGTGACAGAGTGGGACCCCATCTCAAAAAGAAAAAAAGGAAAGATGTCTCAAGCTCATGGACTGAAATAATTAATATTCTTAAAATGACAATACTCTCCCCTAGTAATCTACAGATTAAGTGCAATTGCTATTAAAATAACAATGACCTTCTTCACAGAAATAGAAAAAAAATCCTAAAATTTGTGTGGAACCACAAAAGACCCCAAGTATCCAAAGCAATCCTGAGCAAAAGAAAAAAGCTGGAGTCATCACACTACCAGAACTCAAAATATACTACAAACCTGGAGTAATCAAAACGCATGATACTGGCATGAAACAGACACATAGACCAATAGAACAAAATAGAGAACCCCAAAAGTAGTCCACATATCTACAGCCAACTGATTTTTAACAGAGGTGCCAAGAACACTCATGGGGGAAGGGACAGTCTCTCTAAAAAATGTGTCTAGATAAACTAGATATGCATATAGAGAAGAATGAAACTAGACCCCCACCTCTCACCCTATACAAAAATCTACTGAACATGGATCAAAGACCCAAATGTCAAACCCAAAACAATAATACTGCTAGAAGAAAACATAGAGAAAATGCTTCAGGACATTGGTCTGGGAGAAGATTTTATGAATCAGACCTCAAAAGTATAGGGAAAAAAAGCAAAAATAAGCAAATAGAATTATATCAAACTAAAAAGCTTCTGCACAGCAAAGGAAACAATCAACAGAGTGAAAAGACAACCTACAGAATGAGAGAAAAGATGTGCACACTACTCATCTGACAGGAGATTAATATGCAGAATATACAAAGAACTGAAACATCACAACAGCAAAATAACAAAGAATCTGATTTTAAAATGGGCAAATAATAGAAATAGAAACTTCTCAGAAGAAGATATACAAATGGTCAAATCCAACAAATATATGAAAAATGCTCAATATCACCAGTCATCAGGGAAATGCAAATCAAAACCACAGTGAGGTATTATCTCACCCCAGTTAGGATGACAATTTCAAAAAGACAAAAAACAACAAATGCTGGTGAGGATGCAGAGAAAAGGGAATTTTTCTTTCTTTCTTTCTTTTTTTTTTTTTTTTTAGAGATGGAGTCTCGCTGTGTTGCCCCGGATGGTCTCGAACTCCTGGGCTCAAGTGATCCTCCTGCCTCAACCTCCCAAAGTGCTGGGATTATAGGCATGAGCCACCGCACTTGGCCAAGAAAAGGGAGCTTGTATACACTGTTGGTGAGAATGCAACCCTTACAGCCACTATGGAGAACAGTATGGAGCTCCCTTTAAAAATGACAAATAGGAATGGGCACAGTGCCTCACACCTGTAATCCCAGAACTTTGAGAAGCCGAGGTGGGTGGATCACCTGAGGTCAGGAGTTTGAGATCAGCCTGGCCAACATGGTGAAACCCCGTTTCTACCAAAAATACAAAAATTAGCTGGGCATAGTGATGTGTGCCTGTAATCCCAGCTACTTGAGAGGCTGAGGCAGGATAATCACTTGAACCCAGGAGGCAGAGGTTGCAGGGAGCTGAGATGGCGCCATTGCACTCCAGCTTGGGTGACAAGAGGGAAATTCCGTCTCAAAAAAAAATAAATAGAACTACTGTATGATCCAGCAATCCTACTACTGGGAAGTTATCCAAGGCAAAGGAAATCATTACATAGAAGAGACATTGGCATCCGCCTATTTATTGCAGCGCTATTCACAATAGGCAAGATAAGGAATCAACCTAGGTGTCCAGTAAAATAAACAGATAAAGTAAATGTGGTTTATATACCTCATGAAATACTACGTTCTGGAGGACATACAGGTTAACCCAACAGGAAAATCTCTGCCCTTGTGGTATTTATATTTTAGTGGAAAATAAAATAAAAGACAAGAAATAAATAACAATAATAAATAGCTACATGATGTAGCAGGTAACAAGGTATATATAGCTCTATAAAACTGTCAACCTGAAATAACCAAAAGAATGAGAATTCAGTTTTAATGAGTTTATTCCAGCAAAAAACTGGGAATAGCCATCCTGGAAATACAGACTGCAAAAAAAATGAAGTCAGTGCTCCAAAGTTAAAAGAAATTTAACAGGATCAAAACTGTTCCTATAAACTTTATAAAATTAATCAGTGAAAAAGGGAGATGGAGAAATGAAAACAAACCAACCTTGCAGCACATTCAGCATTAATCATTAGGCCAGCTTGTTCTCTGACCTGTTTCCTCATAGTTGTTTACAACCTACTGCGCTGGAATCACACAAACTCTGTCACAAGATTATACTTCCCCTGAACTGTTCTAGAGATAGCAACTTAAGCATTGTGAAATATTGTTTTCCATTTCAGATATTCTTTCAGATCCTGCATACTGAAACTACTGATGCCAGCTGGTCTGTAGGATTCTATGAGAAGTTGACTCACCAATGAATGAAGTTTCCACATCCTGATGATCTCATCCCCTTGCCACAATGAATCAACAGCCCCAATTTTCCAGCCCCTTGCCCTCCAAAATCTCCTTAAAAACCCCAGTCCAGAACTCCCCGGAGGATATGGATTTGAGGATTCCTCTCGTCTCTCTACTTGGCTGCCCTGCAATCATTAAACTCTTTCTCTGCTGCAAACCATGCTGTCTCAGTGTATTGGTCTATTACTATGCAGTAGGCATATGATCTTGGCATACCTGTAACAAGATTGTAACATTTTCTTTGTTGAAATTTATTACTGGGCATGGAGGCTCACCCCTGTAATCCCAGCACTTTGGGAGGCAGAGGTGGGTAGATCACCTGAGGTCAAGGGTCTGAGAACAGCCTGGCCAACATCATGACATCCCATCTCTACTAAAAATCCAGAAAAATTAACCAGGCATGGTGGTGGGTGCCTCTAATCTCAGCTATTTGGGAGGCTGAGGCAGGAGAAACACTTGAACCTGGGAGGCAGAGGCTGCAGTGGGTGAGATTGTGCCATTGCACTCCAGCCTGGGCAACAAGAGTGAAACTTTGTCTCGAGAGAAAGAAAGAAAAAGAAGGAAAGAAAGAAAGAGAGAGAGAGAGAGAAAGAAGGAAGGAAGGAAGGAAAGAAAGGAAAGAAGGAAGGAAGCAGGAAGGAAGGAAGGAAGGAAAGAAGGAAGGAAGGAAAGAAATAAATTTATTTTTATGTATTTTTTTTTGAAACAGGATCTCGCTCTGTCACCCAGTCTGGAGTTCAGTGGCATGATCAGGCTCACTGCAGCCTTGACTTCCCAGGTTCAAGTGATCCTCCTACCTCAGCTACCCAAAGTGGGACTACAGGTGCATGACACCATGCCTGGCTAATTTTTGTATTGTTTGCAGTTATGGGGTTTCGCCATGTTGCCCAGGCTGGTCTAGAACCCCTGGACTCAAGTGACCTGCCTGCTTCCACCTCTCAAAGTGCTGAGATTACAGATGTGAGCCATGACTGTGCCCAGCCAGGATTATAAGCTTTTCTTTTCTTCTTTTCTTTCCTTTTCTTTTCTTCTCTTATCTTCTCTTTCTGATACGAGTCTCACTCTGTTGCCGAGGTCTGAGTGCAGTGGCATGATCATAGCCCATTTCAGCCTTGAACTCCTGAGGTGGGAGGGCTCAAGCAATCCTCCCAGTTTAGCCTCCAGAATAGCTGGGACCACAGGCACATGCCACATCTGGCTAATTTTATAATTTTTTTTTGTAGAGACAGGAGTCTCACTGTTAGATATAAGTTCTAAATTTCTTTTCAAATAATCAATATGCCAGTATGTTCAATTCTTTGCCTTCTACTTTTAAACTTAACTTCCTCATAAAGCAACCTTTTTCGATTACTTACTCCACCCTGACTCATTCCAATTACCTGCTCTGTCATAGCCATTTTTCCCGCCAAACCACTCACCCCATCACTCTCTTTAAATTAGCCAATTGGAATTAGTTTAGCCTGTGTGGTCTAACCCTAGCCAATAAGGGAAGGATACAGCAGCAGGGTCCACATGAGTCAGGGATAAGAACTCTTTCCCCTCCCTTGTCCAAGTGTGTGCTCACCATTGCTCCATCTGTAAGGTTGCACCCTTCTATAGAAGTACATTGCCTTCCTGAGAATCAAAAAGAAAATTTTATATTTGAGTGCTATTTCTTTTGCGGCACTGAAACTTTACATATAACAATTTGGGGGCTCGCCCGTGATTACATTCCCCTCCAGGGATAGTGTCTGGTTCTCTCTCATGAGGAGGTGCACCCCGTCCCCTTGTGGCGGCCTCAGGGGTGAGAAATCAAGACCCACCCAGTGTGAGGAATAACCTGAGCAACACGGGAAGAAAAAAAAAAACTGGCCAGCAACCTAGCTTAAAGGATCTTCACATACTGTGGTGATGACTCTGTGCACAGACCAAGGAAGGAGAAGCTGTGTGAGCTGGTAAAGTATTTCCTTGGTGGTCAGGACTAAGGTAAGAAAGCTGCAGGGGGGTGGGGGGTGTGGTGAAGTACTCCTTGGTCAAGGTGGCTTAGAGGTTAAAAAGAGGCAAGACATCCCTCTTGGCAGGGATTAAACCTCACACAAACCTCCAGCAGTAGAAAAGGCAAGAAATTTCCAGTGGGGGAAATTGAGCCTCACCCCAAAAGGTGAAAAATGTCCAGTAAGGGAAATTGAACTTTGAACCTTACCCCAAAACCATCAAGATGGGAAATATCCCAAGCAAGAGAGGGAGCAAAGGGGATAAAGATGGTAACAAAGATATCCCCCCAGATAGCCCTCTGGGTCTCATGCTAAAACACTGGAAGGATAATGAAAGGACTAAACATAGGAAAAAGCAACAAATGATAAAATATTGCTGTTATATTTGGACTCAGGGACCCATCCTCAAACCCTCAATCTTCTGGCCAAAGTTTGGGTCGAATGAGGATGTGATGTGCCAACTTCTAATCCGATATGGTAATGATAAAGGTCCACTGTCTCAAGAAGAAGTAGGCTATGCCCTTTGTTGGAGGCAAGGCGCAGCCCTCCTTTTTCCCTTAAAAACAAATAGGGAAGAACCCAATCTAGCACCTCAAACTGAAAAGTTAGAGAAGCCAGCTCTCATGCCTAAAGACTCCAGTGCATGGTATCCCCTAGACTCAGTGTCCCCCACTCAGTGTCTCCAATCTTTTCCCTCAGACAGCCACTGCTGCCTCAGATCCCATTCCAATTCCCCCTGTACTCATGTTATTCTTCCTCCTTATAACCCTGACTCTTGAGAATTACCATCCCACCAGCCTGTTCCCTCCCAACCTAAAGACCCCTCTCTAAAAGGACCCCAGCCTCCATCTGGAGGACCAAGGTCCTCGTCTACCAGACCCCCTAAAGAGTATGGGGGAGCAGGGTTAAAGAATCCCAGAACTAAGCGGGAGGAAAGACAAGATAGGTGCTATAGATGTGGAAGAACAGGCCACTTCAAGAAAGGATGTCCTGAACTAAGAAAGGAAAAAGAAACCCTTCCACTCATGACTTTCAAGGAAGAATAGGGGGGTCAGAGGCTCTGTCTCTTTTATCTTGAGTACCACCAGGAGCCCTTGATAAATTTGTAGGTGGGACCTAAACATGAGCTTATCACCTTTTTAGTCAACTCAGGGGCTGCTTGCCCCTCTGTTTGTTCCCCACCCCCCATCTAATATTGTCTCCTCCTCAGAGGAACTTTTAGTCTCTGGGGTAAAAGGGGGAGGATTTAGAGCAAAAATTTTAGAAAGCACAGAAGTTAGATACCAGGATTGCTCAGCTTATATTCAGTTCTTGTTAATCCCTGAAGCAGGAACTAATTTACTGGGGAGGGATTTAATGTTAAAGTTAGGCATAGGTCTGCAAGTCAGCCCAAGAGGATTCCTCACCTCATTAAACCTACTCACCACTACAGATGAAAAATATGTTAATCCTAATATCTGGTCCAAAGAAGAAAACCGAGGGAAACTCCAAGTCCCTCTGATCCACATCAAGCTAAAAACCCCGGGAGAAGTAGTAAGTAGGAAACAATACCCTATTTCCCTAGAAGATAAGATAGAGTTAAAACCTATAATCGAAGGCCTTATTAAGGACAGGCCTCTTGAGCTCTGTATGTCCCTTTATAACACCCCAATAGTGCCAGTCCATATAATCATCAATGGTTTACTATGACAGATTTGAAGAATGTTTTTTGGGCATGTGCCTTGGATGAAGATAACCAAGATATATTTGCTTTTGAGTGGGAGGATCCCCACTCAGGGCAGAAACAACAACATTGATGGACAATCTTGCCCCAAGGGTTCACAGACTCCCCTAATCTTTTTGGTCAAATTTTAGAACAAGTATTAGAAAAAGTTGTCATCCCAGAACAAATATGCCTTCTTCAGTATGTGGATGACATTCTTATAGCTGTTGAAGATAAAGAGAAGGTAACTGACTTCTCTACACATATTCTTAACTGTCTGCAGTTTGAGAGGCTACAAGTCTCAAAAAGAAAGCTTCAGTATGTACAGCCCGAAGTTAAATATTTAGGCCACTTAATAAGCACAGGCAAGTGAAGAATAGGGCCTGAATGGATCAAGGGAATCATGTCCTTACCCTTGTCTCAAACTAAACAAGAACTCGAAATTTTTAGGGTTAGTCAGATACTGCCACTTATGGATTGACTCATATGCACTGCACAGTAAACTGTTATATCAAAAGCTTGCCCAGGAGAAGCCTAACCATCTCCCGTGGACTTCTGAGGAAGCTGATCAAGTTGAGAAGCTGAAGAAAAGGCTCATAACTGCCCCTGTTTTAGCCTTACCCTCCCTAGAAAAGCCATTCCACCTTTTTGTTAATGTGGACAGTGGGGTAGCTTTAGGAGTGCTGACTCAAGAACAGGGAGGCCACCGGCAGCCCGTAGCCTTCCTATCAAAGGTCTTAGACCCAGTCACTTGTGGATGGCCTCAATGCATTCAGTCCATCGCAACTATGGCAATACTAGTGGAGGAAAGCATTTTGGAGGAAAATTGACAGTAAGCAAGCCTCACCAAGTTAGAACTATCTTAAACCAAAGAGCAGGGAGATGGCTTACTGACTCGAGAATCTTTAAGTATGAGGCCATTCTGTTAGAAAAGGATAATTTAACATTGACCACTGAAAATTCACTCAACCCAGCAAGTTTCCTGACAAAGAATCCAAATCTAAGGAATGAACATACATGTTTAGATTTAATTGATTACCATACAAAGGTTCGACCAGACCCAGGAGAAACCCCCTTCCGGACTGGACGGCACTCGTTCATAGATGGTTCCTCCCTGGTGATTGAGGGAAAAAGACACAATGGTGTTCAGTGATTGATGGAGAAACTCTCTTAGAAATAGAGTTAAGAAAATTGCCCAACAGTTGGTCTGCTCAAACGTGTGAGCTGTTTGCACTCAGCCAAGCCTTAAAGTACTTACAGAACAAGGAAGGAACCATCTATACCAATTCTAAGTTAATTTGGACTAAACAAGGTCTTATTAACAGCAAAGGATAATTGAAATCCCAAACTCACAAGGTTTTCAACAAAAGCAAAACTTGCTAAAAGTTAACAGTGTAACATGTATTATCCTAACTTCTAATCTTGTGGCCTTAGGCAATCTAATCCACAGACCCGAAGGAAGTTCGCTTTGGAAAAGAATGGTTATCATCTTTGGGGAAAAAAAAAGGATGGGGGAGGAGAATTTATGTAAAAAGAATGTTATATGGTAAATTCTTGTCCTAAAATAAATTGTTTGTTTAAAGAAAGGGACATTTGCAACAAGTCAGAAAGTTGAGGCATGTCAAAGAATTGTCTGGCATTTCATCAACCAGAGGAAGGAAAAATAAGATATTGTAAAGCGTGAAAAAAAATGTGTTATAAAAGGGAATTTATGCAAGAAATGTTGTATAATGTAACAGTAATTAGGCGTCCTGAATGTAAAACTATTGACGAAACAGTTTATGTGCAAGGTGTATAAGGAAAGTAAAATATACTTTTAGTAAAAGAATTATAAAGAGGCATAAGAATGTGGATTTTTACCTACATTAAAAGGTGAAAAAAAAACTTTGTTTTGAAGGTTTAAGCAAGTTTGAAAACATTAATTATAAAGGAAATTCTGTGTGTAAACACACTGGCTAAAGTTAAAAAGGTATCATCCAGTTTTTCTGTGAACTGGACATTAAAATAAAAGCACAATGGATTTTTCTTAAAGCACTAACCTGCTCTTTAACAAAAATTATAAAAGGTTAAAAAGAGTCTATGAAAATCTTATCTTATGGTTAGATGTTAAAATTGGATAAATATGTCTACACGGTTTTATTAAAATTGATTTTAACATTAATAGCACACTAATATAAAGGTGAAATTTAGCTTATCTGGTATAAAAGTCATACAGGAAGCATTGTCAAATATAAAATGGTGTTTGGCTTTCTTTGGTCTAAAAACTAATAAAAATAGGTGCTAAAGGAAATTTCTTAATAAGAAGGCACCAAGGACTATAATGTCCAATGCTGATGTCCCTGCATTTAAAACAAAAGATCAATTTCTTAGACCTTATATACTTGGTTTATCTTCCTCTTTCCTTTCCCCCAAAACTAAAAGTCTTTTAGCACAGGTACCACCCCTAGAATTTCCAGTAAACCAGCACCAGCCTGAGGATCACATTCTCATCAAAGGGTGGAAAGAAAGAAAACTCGAGCCAGCCTGGGAAGGACCCTACCTTGGGCTGCTAACCACCGGGACTGCTGTTCATACAACGAAAAGAGGATGGACTCATCACACGTGAGTCAAGAAAGGGCCACCCCCCCCGCACCCCCGCCCCCCCACCCAGAGTCGTGGGCCATGGTCCCAGGGGAAAACCCTACCAAACTAAAGCTAAGAAAAATTTAACTTTCTTTCATCTATTCAATTACTCTTGCTTCTTTCTTCGCTCTATTGCTGACCGTCTAGTTATAACATAACAAAGTCAATTTCGCCTCAAACTATTGCATTTGATGCTTGCTTTGTTATACCCTGTGGGGACTTGCCAAGTCAAAGACAGCTCTCTACTTCAAAAAAGTACCTCTGTCCTTCCTGACTCTCCTCAGACTGGGCCTCAGACTGGGCATTTAATCCGGGGAGATGTCGATAAAACTCCAGTGTCAACCAGGAGTCTTGCCCCCGATGTAGAGCTTTTATGCCGTAGTTGGTCCTACGTTCTGTGGACCACTGAAGAGCAAGGATGGACTGCCCCAACCGGTTTTTGTAATTTCCTTAAACCATACATTCATTTTACTAGAGGATCATAAAAGTTAAAGACTTAAAATAAACTTTGGCAATTAAGATACCAAAGATACCAAGGATACCAAGATGCAAATGCCTGGTGGAATAGATCAAATATTCCGTCCGCACATTAAACAAAAGCAATTGTTATGCTTGTACGCACAGCAGGCCAGAGTCCCAGACTGTCCCCTTTCCACTAGGGTGACCCTCCACTTGACCAGGCATAGGCTGCATGGCAGCTCTTTTCCAGGATTCTACAGCCTAGAGTAATAAGTTGTGCCAAGCTCCCTCTCTGCTATATCCCGAAGTCTGGCACCCTGTGGGTCAGCCCCCGAGGGCTATCCAGCTTCCGTCTCCCAACACTAAGTTCACTTCATGTCTCTCACAACAGGGAGGAAACAGCGTTCCTTGGAGACCTGAAGGGATGCAGTGAGCTTAAGAATTTTCAAGAGCTTATCAATCAGTCAGCCCTTGTTCATCCCCAAGTGGATATGTGGTGGTATTGTGGTGGACCTTTACTGGACACTCTGACAAATAACTGAAGTGGCATTTGTGCTTTAGTTCAATTGGCTATCCCTTTCACCCTGGCATTTCATCAACCAGAGGAAGGAAAAATAAGACATCATAAAGCGAGAGAAGCCCCTTATGGGTCTTTTGACTCTCACATCTATTTAGACACAATTAGAGTCCCATGGGGAATACCAGATCAATTTAAAGCCTAAAATCAAATAGCTGTAGGATTTGCATCAATATTTTGGTAGGTGACAATTAATAAAAATGTAGATTGGATAAACTACATCTACTACAACCAATAGCGATTTATTAACTACACTAGAATTAGGAGTTTGCATCATGATTAAAACTCAATGTTGCACCTTCATCCCAAACAACACTGCCCCTAATGGAAGTATAACAAAAGCATCGCAAGGTCTGACTGCTCTATCCAACAAGTTAGCCCGCAACTCAGGGGTAAATGACCCTTTTACAGGATGGCTAGAAAAGTGGTTCGGTAAATGGAAAGCAATAGTAGCCACAATTCCTACTTCCCTCACAGTCATAATAGGTGTACTTATTCTTGCTGGCTGCTGTGTCATACCATGCATCTGTAGGTTGATGCAGAGGCTCATAAAAATGGCACTCACTAAAACCTCCCTTAACTATCCTCACCTTATCCAGAGAAGCTTCTTCTTTTGCAAAATCAAGCAAAACAACTAAGCCAAGACATGTTTAAAAAGTTTGAAAAGAAAGCTGTAAGGAAATAGAAGAGGAGGGGTTGTTAGATATGAGTCCTAAATTTCTTTTCAAAGAATCAATATGTCAGTATGTTCAATTCTTTGCCTTCTACTTTTAAACTTAACTTCCTCATAAAGCAACCTTTTTCGATTACCTACTCCACCCTGACTCATTCCAATCACCTGCTCTGTCATAACCATTTTTCCTGCCAAACCACTCACTCCATCACTCTCTTCAAATTAGCCAATCGGAATTAGTTTAGCCTCTGTCGCCTAACCCTAGCCAATAAGGGAAGGACACAGTAGCAGTGGCCACATGCATCAGGGATAAGAACCCCTTCCCCTCCCTTGTCCAAGTGTGTGCTCACCATTGCTCCATCTGTAAGGGCACACCCTTCTATAGAAGTACCTTGCCTTCCTGAGAATCAAAAAGAAAATTTTATATTCAAGTGCTATTTCTTTTGCAGCACCGAAACTTTATATATAACATCACTACGTTACCAAGGCTGGTCTCAAATTCCTGGGCTCAAGAAATCCTCCCACCTTGACCTCCCAAAGTGCTGGGATTATAGGGTAAACAACCACGCCCAGCCTATAAGCCACTGTGCCGGCAAAATTTTGCATAGAAGGCTGATTTATGGGTTATAACAACAATTTAATTAGTTATGGCTTGTTTTCATTTCCATACAGCTTGTTTTCATTTTCTTCTCAACTTAAGAGTATATTTAACATTCCCTCTTAGACAATGTGCTAGTCATAAGCCTTAGTGTGAGAGAGTTAAGAGGAAAGGTAATCTATAATGAAGATCAACAGTAAAGAGAAAAGGGGTCTTCTCTGGAGCCCATTAGTCATTTACAACATTTTACAAAACAATATAGGTAAAGAAGAAGGTTAATCTATAATGAGAGAAACAAAGGCTACAGCTGCCTAGGTTATAGCTGCCTGTCAAGTGACTCAGGCTCCATAAGCACATTCCTTTAAGGTTCAAAAAATTTAAAGTTTCAACAGCTTAGATTTTTAAATTCTTTTTACAAGACAAAAAAATACACCGGGTAAAATGTTAGATTAAAATTTAAATGGGTGGTCAGGGCTGGGTGTGGTGGCTCACGCTTGTAATCCCAGAACTTTGGGAGGCAGAGGTGGGTGGATCACCTGAGGTTGGGAGTACAAGACCAGCCTGGCCAACATGGTGAAACCCCATCTCTACTAAAAATTCAAAAAACTTAGCTGGGTGTAGTGATGGGCACCTGTAATCCCAGCTACTCAGGAGGCTGAGGCACGAGAATCGCTTGAACCTGGGAGGTGAAGGTTGCAGTGAGCTGAGATCGCGCCACTGCACTCCAGCCTGGGCAACAGAGCAAGACTCCATCTCAAAAATAAATAAATAAATAAAATAAATAATAAATAAGTAAATACATAAATAAATTGGTGGTCAGAATAGGCTGCATTAAGAATGTGACCTTTCAGCAAAGACATGAAGGGAAAGAGGAAGTGACCAATATAGATGTCTTAGGGAAACTGTTTTAGGCTGAGGGAACACCCAGCGCAAAGCCCTGAGGCTTGTGATGGAAGAATTGCAAGGCTAGCATAGTCGGGGTGCAATGTGTGTGTATGGGAGGGGATGTAATGAAAAAAATAGTTTCCACTCTATTCTCACATTCAATACAGCACATTTCTGTGACCAGATAAGTGGAGATTGGTGATTTCCCCACATACCAAGTGTTGGAGCTTAGAAAATGATGCCCCAACATGTGGCACTTTGGCATGCTGTGTGCCTTTAACAAGGAAATTGAAAGGGCTCAGAAATAAATCTCAGAACCAAGGACTGTCTGATTTTCTCTTGCCTCACCCCACCACCCTCACCCACCTACAGGAAGGGAGGGACTTTCTCTAAACTTCCTTTATCTGATTAAGGGAAGTTTCTCCAGAAGAAATGCAATTGTCTTAGACCCCCTCCTTGGAATCTACACTAACTAGAGAAGATGAACTCGTATCTCAGGAGAGCCCAGGACAATGTACCTGGACAGGCTTTTTTTTTTTTTCTAGACAGAGTCTCACTCTGTTGCCCAGGCTGGAGTACAGTAGTGCAATCACAGCTCACTGCAGCCTCGACCTCCCTGGGTTCAGGTGATCCTCCCACCTCAGTCTGCTGAGTAGCTGGGACTACAGGTGTGTGCCACCATGCCAGGTTAATCTTTTGTATTTATCGTAGAGATGGGGTTTTGTCATGTTGCCCAGACTGGTCTCAAATTCCTAGGCTCAAGTGATCCTCAGGCCTCAGCCTCCCAAAGTATTGGGATTACAGGTGTGAGCCACCACGTCTGGCTGGACACACTTTTCACCTATTTTTTTAAAACCATTTTTCTAGTCTGAAAGACTTTATCTGTATAAGAAGAAACTTTTGCTCAACACACACTTACTCTACCCTCACCTTTCAATGACTGTGGTCACCACCTCCCCATCAGAGGCCCTGGTTTCTTTCTGTAGCTCAGGGTCCCATTTAAGCTTCAGCCATTTGGCCCTTCTTTGAGTTTCATACTTTGTTTGGGTCTCGCTAGCTTGCAAGTTAATAAATCGATATGTTTTTTCTCCTGTTAATCTGTCTATTGTCAGTTTGTTTTATAGATTCAAACCATCAAAGCTTCTGAGGGTATAAAGTTCCTTCTGCCTTTACAGAAGCAATTATACCAACTTGGTGTCCTATAATCCATTTCAATTCTATCTACCTGGCAATAGTGTCAGATCCCACAGGTGAGGGCTCAGCCCTACGAGTTTGCCCCCACTTCAGATACCAGTCACAAGTCAAAGCCACCCATACTTCTGACTGACTGGTTTCTGAGGTTCCCGTGTCCCCAGTGGCCCAGAGAACTCAGGGAAACACGCTTACTGGTTTATTATAAATGATATTATAAGGTATACAGATGAACAGCCAGATGAAGAGGTACATAGGGCAAGGGCACAGAGCTTCCATGCCCTGTCTAGGTGAGCCAACGTTCAGCACCTACATGTGTTCAACTATAGGGAATCTCATCAAATCTTTTTGTTCAAGACTACTTAGAGAGCTTGATCTCCGGCCCCCTCCTCCCCTTCACAGAGGTCAGTTGGTGAAGCTCAAAGTTCTAACCCTCTAATCCTCCAATCACTTGGTCTTTCTGGTGATTAGCCCCATGCTGAGGCTATGTAGGGCCCCCATCCTAAATCATCTCATTAGCATAAACTCAGGAGTTTAGGGGCTCACTATAAACACGGAAAGACACTTCTATCACTCAGGAAATTTCAAGGATTTTAAGAGCTCTATGACAGAAACTGGGGACAAAGGCCAAATATATTTTATATTATACCACTGGGGTAAGAGGAATAAGGGCTGAGATCGGGAGGTAAAGGGAAAGGCCCTGAGTCATTGAAGGATTTTGGTTTTTACTCCCAGAGAAATTGGGAGCCAGTGAAAGGTTTTGAGGGGTAACTCAGTCTGATTTTTAATATGCATTTTCTGGCTATTGTGTCAAGAGTAGATTGGAGGACAAGGTGGAAGCAAGTGATAGTGGTGAGCATTTGGCTGGAAGCAGAGAAAGTAGTGATAAGTTACTGGACTCCAGACAGATTTGAAGGACAAACCAACATAACTTGCTAACAATGTGGATAAAAACCGCTGGCATTTAAGCATTAGAGCTCTAAAAACCGAAAACCAAACCAAACCAAACAAAATAAAACACTGGGGAAAGAATTTGGCTGATAAAGCTATGAATATAATTCCTGTATTTCTGACTCCATGGCTGTATAGAAAAAAAGCACTGGGTTTGTTCAAAGTTGACTTGTCAAGATGTATTACAATGTTAATTTCAAGATAGAATTACAAGAATGTCAAGATGTATTACATGTGTTACAATGTAAACTTCAAGATGTATTACATGTATTACAATGTGAATTTCAAGATAGAATTACAAAAATGCCAAGATGTATTACATGTACTACAATGTTAATTTCTAGATAGAATTACAAGAATGTCAAGACATATTATGTATTAAATGTTAATTTCGAGATAGAATCACAAGATTTCAAGTTGTATTACAATGTTAAGCTCAAGATAGAAAATATATTGTAACATATGGAGCAGTATTAAGGTCCTCTGAACATTGCTTAACAGTATATGGCAGCCTTTGCCCTCACATTTCTGCTCCAGGTTGTTGGAAATATGTCAAGACCGTGAAGCAATCACCATAAAGATTCTGAGAAACTCATTAATCCTTCCAGTGACATCCAAAGAAAACTCAAATCAAAATTTCCAACCAGATTGTAAGAATTCCTAGGACCAATTTAAATATCCATTACAGCATAATATGGACAGAAAAAGGTATATTCTGCTGTCAATATATTTTGATTAGTACTGCATCTTATTTGAGAGAGCCTGATTTGTCCTCAAAATGAATCTTAAAAGCAACCATTAGAATAAAAGAAGTTGGGCTTTGGGAAAGACGTTGAAGAAAACGCAAATTCAAAACGTTTTATTTTTTAAATTTATTTTTGAGAGAGACAGGGTATTGCCCTGTTGCCTAGGCTGGAGTGTGGTGGCACCATCATAGCTCACTGCAGCCTCCAACTCCTGGGCTTAAGGTATCCTCCTACCTCAGTCTCCAGGGTTGCTGGGACTACAAGCAGGAGCCAAAGTGCCTGGCAAAAGTATTTTAAATCGGGCCAGGCCTGGTGGCTTACGCCTGTAATCCTAGCACTTTGGGAGGCCAAGGCCGGTGGATCACTTGAGGTCAGGAGTTCCAGACCAGCCTGGCCAACATGGTGAAACCCCGTCTCTACTAAAAATACAAAACTTAACCAGGCATAGTGGTGCCTGTCTGCAATCCCAGCTACTTGGGAGGCTGGGGCAGGAGAATCACTTGAACCTGGGAGGCAGAGGATGCAGTAAGCCAAGATCGCACCACTACACTCCAGCCTGGGCAACACAGTAAGACTCTGTCTCAAAAAAAAAAAATTAAATCCTTAGAAAGATGTATCCTCTGCTGCTGCTCTAGAACTCTAGGTGGAGGCAAAGGTTGCAGCCAGCGGAGATCATGCCACTGCACTCCAGCCTGGGCAACAGAGTGGCACTCCATCTCAAAAAAAAAAAAAAAATCCTTAAAAGTATGTATCCTCTGCTGCTACTCTAGAACTCTAGGTGGAGGCAGATTTCTAAACCAGTTCTTTTGCACAGGAATTACTGGTTTGGGTGGGGCGTGGTGACGCTGCTGTCTCAGAATTAATGTAATCATGCATCTCCACACTCCCTTTTGGACTATATTTTCAAGGCCACTGTCTGCCTGTTGAAGAGACTATCAGTTTGATCCTCACGTATTTTCACAATCAAAATATCTAAGTAAGGAATTATATAAAAGTTGTAGGAATGTGTTTTATATCACTTTTAGTATAGCCACATGGTTAATAACAGCCTCATATTCAGGGTCTGGATTGCAGCAGTGCCATTTACTTCACTGCAAGTGCTAAATGTCCTCATCTTTAAAAGTGGGATAATGATATAGTCTTCATGAAGCTGTGAGGATTAAAGAAGTTAAGGCTGGGTATGGTGGACCACCCCTGTAATCCCAACACTTTGGGAGGCCAAGTTGGGCGGATGGCTTGAGGTCAGGAATTGGAGAGCAGCCTGGGCAACATAGGAGACCCCTGTCTCTACAAAAATATAAAACAAAGGAGTTAATATTTGTAAAGCCTTCAAAACAGTTATTGGCATAGCCAGAACTTTGTGTGTTATTATTTTAAGACCATTGCTCCACAGGACCTGACAGCTTTCAATTTACATGCTTTAAAAAAGCAGAGAAATGAAAACTGTCGATTTTCCCAACGCTCCCTAATTTCACTAGTTGCTTGATGTTTTTCAAAGCATTTAGAACACTGTAAACAGCAAGGAAGGTCATACAGTAAAGAAAGAAAAAGCAACCCCGAGTTCGAGGTGTGCACTCTTCAACTCAAAAATTCGAATGTAACGCTCTCTGGTCATCCCTTGCCATTACACATATTCTTCGAAATGAACTGATTTTTTTTTTTTCCAAGTAAAAGTAATCCTTACACAACCTAAGAAAAAAGCAGAGCATTTTCCTTGACCACTTTGAGATCTGGGTGAGCAGTGGATGTTTAAATGCTGGCATTTCTACAAGGTCGGCAATTAAGAATTCACGAAAACATTAATCACTACGAATTATCAGAAAAACACCAAGAGCGCTACGAGGCCTCGGAGCCTTTACTCCCCCTGGAAGTAACCGGGGAGCACCCAGGGGCAAAGCCGAGGCCCCAAGCGCGGGGAATGCGGCTTTGCCCGACCGCTGGCTCCGCGTCCCTCTCCGGGTGCATAAGTCTTGGCTCCCGCGCCTCTCCCGAGCACTTAGCCTCCCGAGCAGAGAGGGGAACCAGAGGAGCGTCGAAGCCGGGAGAGAAAAGGGGCGGGCGCCGCTCTGGTAAGAAGTTCGGGCCTGGCCCCCAAGCGCCGGCGAACCGGCTATCCGGCGAGCCAGTAATTAGCCCGCTCCGACGGTTGCGCCCGGTGGCCAGACCCGGCGCCCGACACCTGGAGCGAGTGCGCTGGGGCGCCGGACAGGAGAGGCCAGGCTGGCAAAGGCGCGGGAGGCGGGGTCGGAGCGTGGGCGGGGCACCGCGGGGCGGGGCGCGTCGCTCGTTTCCGGTGTGCGCGGCGGAGCGCTAGGGCGGGGGCACAGTCGGCTCCCAATCGCGCACAATGAGACAGCGCTGAGCGCCGGAAGTGGGGCCGAAGGAAAACACGGAGAGGGAGCCCGGCCGGGACAGGAAGAGGCTGGGGACCGCGGCGAAGGTGGTGAGTGCTCTTGGGCGCCTTCTCCCAACGTCCCTGCCAGACTCGCCTCCGGGCTGATTCTCCAGTTGGTTTCCTGGACTCCAGAGTAGCTGTCCGGCCTGGCCCCGGAGGTACGTTGGTTCCATCCCCCGCCGGCCTCCTCGCACCAGTTTGGGTGACCGAGGAACCCCCAGGCCGGCAGAGGCTGAGCCCTCGGGTTCGAGTCCGTGTTTTCACTTTTTGTCAGACTGCGGGCGCAGAAGACGGGATTTGGGTCAAGACATTCGGCTCTGGCCCCCTGGCCGGCCGGGGGAACCCTGGAACCCCATGGAGACAGCAGGTCACTTCCTGCTTCCTGGTCCCCACGGTGGCTTCTTGGCCAGGAGTGCAGGGACGCCTCCTCTTTCTCCACGTCGGGCTCAAAAGGGTGGAAACTAAGGCAGATCGGTGGTGGAGCGGTCAGATGGGGATTGAAGAGGAGTGTCATTCCTCAGGGAATTGCTGTTCCTGACAAAACCAAACTTGTTTGGGGTTGGAGAACGGGGATTGAGGAGGTTAGATGGAGTTGTCCCTTGATCGGAAACCCAGCCTCTTTAATTACAGCTGCACCTTGGTCGGAAGCCCAGCCCCTCCGTAACCTAAGCGCTCAAAGCCGGTCTGTCCAGAATAGGGGTGGTGAAGGGACGGAAAATTGGAGTTGAGAAATGTAGTACTCCTTTCACGTAAAGTTTCGGTGTATAACACTTACAAGTAATTGCCAACTTAAAAAACAAAAGACTGTTTCGGTAGTTTAGTAATAATATTGGCTTGGGATGAGGTTTTCTTTGAAGAGAAACGCCTTGTTACAGAGGGAAAAGCCGACCATACTTGATATGAGTAATATTCTACTATGCTACAGTTCTGGAACCTATAGAGCTTCTCTTATTCACACATTTAATCTTCATGCTAAATAGTAAGTATTAATTTTCATGAAGAATATTAGAGGACCAAGCCTCCCAACCTCTAGGGTAAAGCACTGATTATTAAGAATGTGATAGAATTTTTATTTTAAAAAAATAGGGAGTTTCTTTCTTACAGGCTTTGGGGCATCTGTACGATAAATTGTTATTTTGTATACTTGTATGATATCTTGTTATATAGTTTGATATTTCCCCAAAATACCTTCTTTCAGGTGCAAAGTAAGAAAATTGAAGTCAAAGACCATGGGAGATACAGCAAAACCTTATTTCGTGAAGCGCACTAAAGACCGGGGGACTATGGATGATGATGACTTCAGAAGGGGTCACCCCCAACAAGATTATTTAATAATAGATGACCATGCTAAAGGCCATGGCAGTAAAATGGAAAAGGGCCTTCAAAAAAAGAAGATAACACCAGGGAACTATGGGAATACCCCCAGAAAAGGACCATGTGCTGTTTCCAGCAATCCATATGCATTTAAAAACCCAATCTACAGTCAACCCGCTTGGATGAATGACAGCCACAAAGATCAGAGTAAGAGATGGCTGTCTGATGAACATACTGGTAATTCAGACAACTGGAGAGAATTCAAACCTGGACCTAGAATTCCTGTTATAAACCGACAAAGAAAAGACTCCTTTCAAGAAAATGAAGATGGTTATAGGTGGCAAGACACAAGAGGCTGCAGAACTGTAAGACGACTGTTTCATAAAGACCTAACAAGCCTAGAAACCACGTCAGAAATGGAAGCAGGAAGTCCTGGTAATGTTTTCCAACTTGTCAGATCACAACCCCAGAGTCAGCAATGTTTTATTCTTTTTCATCCAAATGAGTTTTGTTATTTTCAGCAATTTAGTTTCAGTTTTTCACAGTTTCTGTTTTAAGAAATGGTCACTTAGTGTGATTATTTTAAGGATAGTAATCATGATATTTGAGCAGCTAAAACACATTTCATATGTTGATCCCTTTAAAAGTTTACTTTGCCCCAGGGCTCACTTTACGTCAGTAAACATGTTTTCTGTAACGTGTTTTTTACAGAAGAGGGTAGCTATATGCTCCAGGGGACCATATCGTAATTGCTCAGTGGTTTGTGTGTTTTCAAAATTGTGATTATAATTTTGTATTTGAATAATTAATGTGTTCATAATATAAATGACAGAATATAAAGCTTTTTTTAAAAAAAAAACTTATTTGTTGATGTAAAAACACAGTATACACTGCGTATATCTCCTGCCACAAGAGATATATCTTTTGGATGTAGTGTCAGTGTCCCGAGATGGATAATCTGAGATCTTTGTTTTTCAAAAGGGATCGTGACAAACAGGTTGAGAAACAAGTTTAGAAAGTCAGAAATAGATTCAAGCTTTGCTGTTTGGTTTCAGTAAGACCAAAACTAATTTCTCGGTGCCCTCACATGCTTGGTTAATTGCCCCAAAGGGATAATAAGGAGATAATATGTTTTTCTAAAAGTAAAAAGTAGATTTTATCCATGTGGCAACGATTTCTGCAAACAGGAAGGTTATTTTTATCTAATGGGAGATATATACCGAAATGAAATAAAGTCACAAATTGGATGGAAAAAATGAAACAATATCACAGTTGGAAACATGGACTTGTAAGTTTAGTGGCTGAAAGCGTTTTTTAGTGGTTGTATAGAATGTGTTTCAAACTGGCCAGCACTTTTAAATAAATTTTTTTAGTTTAAATGCATTCAGGGAATATGGACACTTTCTAGATCACCCGATGCCTTTTCTCTTCATGTTATCTCACAGTGGCCAGTTCATACACTGGTTACCTATAAGGTGTTTGAATTTGTGTCCCATGCGTATAGAATACTTAAAAGCCAAAAGGTCGTCTTTTATCTTTACAAGGTCTTAGGATAAAAATGAAAGTCTCAAGCACTTATTAATATTAAATGGGGGGAAATGTGCTACTTGATTTTTTTTCTTTTTTCACAGATACTTCTAGTTGTCAGATCTGTTTATTTATATTTTATTTTATTTTTTGAGACGGAGTCTCGCTCTGTCACCCAGGCTGGAGTACAGTGGCGCGATCTTGGCTCACTGCAACCTCTGCCTCCTGGGTTCAAGCGATTCTCCTGTCTCATCCCCCAAAGTAGCTGGGACTACAGGCACATGCCACCACATCAGGCTAATTTTTGTATTTTTAATAGAGACAGGGTTTCACCATGTTGGCCTGACTGGTCTCAAACTCCTAACCTCCAGTGATCCACCCACCTTGGCCTCCCAAAGTGCTGGGATTACAGGCGTGAGCCACCACATTCAGCCTGATTTTTTTTTTTTTTTTTTGAGACAGTCTCACTGTGTCACCCAGGCTGGAGGTGCAGTGATGTGACCTCCTCTCACTGTGGCCTCTGCCTCCCAGGATCAAGCGGTTCTCATGTCTCAGCCTCCCAAGTAGCTGGGACTACAGGTGCACACCACCATGCCCAGCTAATTTTTCTGTTTTTTAATAGAGATAGGGTTTCTCCCTGTTGGCCAGGCTGGTCTTGAACTCCTGACCTCAAGTGATCGACCTGCCTCTGCTTCCCAAAGTGCTGGGATTACAGGCGTGAACTACCGCGCCTGGCCCTCAGATATTTTTAAATTTGAAAATTAAGAGTATATATTAATATCAAGTAGCAGAAACAGAATGAAGTGTTATAAAGGCGTTAAGTAGTAGGGAGACATAAAACTTAAATCTTTAAGCTAGAAATAGCTTGAGGAATTATCTGATGCAGTACTCTGTTGTAATATATCAAAAATGGAATCACAGTTTTACAAATCAGGCAGCTGCAGCTCAGAGAGGTTAAATTTCCACAGACCTGTTTATGCAGCGCGGTAAATGAGGAAGTAGAACTAAAATTGGGGACTCTGCTACTCTGGCCATTAACTCAGCCTCGCTGGACCTGAAATCCTGACGGCGGAGCCGAATATTTCTTGATAATTTCTGGGCTTTTGATTTGTGTTTTTCTTTATTAAAAATTGTGTATATTTAAGTGTTTCTGTATTACTGTCCAGGTGGGATGTGGGTATTTAATTTTGTTACCTATAGTCTTGTAGAAGTTGATCTTGAAAACCATTTCATTTTATTATTATTATTCTCTTTTTTGAGATGGAGTCTCGCTCTGTAGCCCAGGCTGGAGTGCAGTGGTGCGATCTTGGTTCACTGCAACCTCCATCTCCCAGGTTCAAGCAATTCTCTTGCCTCAGCCTCCTGAGTGGCTGGGACTACAGGCACGTGCCACCACACCTAGCTAATTTTTGTATTTTTAGTAGAGTTGGGGTTTTAGCATGTTGGCCAGGGGTAGTCTCGATACCCTGACCTCATGATCTGCCTGCCTTGACGTCCCAAAGTGTTGGGATTACAGGTGTGAGCCACTGCACCCGGCTGAAAAGCATTTTAAAAAGAAAGTTTATAGATCAAAAATTTGCAACTAGACATTAAAAGGAACTGTTGGCTGACCACAAAAACTTTTATATGTTTTCTTATTTTATGTGTATTCTTATAAAAGCAACTAAAGAAGTTGCTTTTAAGTGTATTTGAATAGGAAATGCATTTTGCTATTTTTTTATTGGAGGTAATTCAAAAGTTTGCATGTTTTTGCTGTATGACATACAGGTATATGCTTTCACAGTTATTAAGTAAAGAATTATTCAGTTTCTATCCCTTGAAAATCTTCATATAGGAAGCATTAAGCTTCGGTATAACATTATTTAGTTTAGAGAGATTCAACTGAAAGTATAAACTAAAAAGGATCTCATTAAAGAGATCGAAATTTCTTTATCAAAATTGTGTCTTAATAAGGAAGGGTATTATTCAACAATGTGAGAAGATATAATGGAAATTATGGTGGAGTTGCTTTTTTCCCCCCCACATACGGTACTACCTTCTGTTTTTTTCAGCTCTACATTACTGCCCCTACTTTAGCCTTCAAATGTCCTAGATTGCCAGTTTAATGTATTTGGGACATTGCCATTAATGATCTTAGCTGGAAAGCATCCACTCAAATACACATGTCCTTTGTGAACCATATGCAAATAAAATATGGGAAACTTGGAATGCCGAATATAGAGAACTCTTATTACAATAAATCTGAGGTAAGCCAGGTAGTCTTCCTCCAAGTAATTATGAGAATTTTTCTTTTTTCTTTTTTTTTTTTGAGATGGAGTTTCACTCTTGTCGCCCAGGCTGGAGTGCAATGGCATGATCTCGGTTCACTGCAACCTCTGCCTCCCGAGTTCAAGCAATTCTCCTGCCTCAGCCTCCCGAGTAGCTGGGATTACAGGTGCCTGCCACCACGCCCAGCTAATTTTTGTATTTTTAGTAGAGACAGGGTTTCACCATGTTGGCCAGGATGGTCTCGAACTCCCGACCTCAGGTGATCCACCTGCCTCGGCCTCCCAAAATGCTGGGATTACAGGCATGAGCTGCCACGCCTGGCCAAGAATTTTTCATCAGTACCTAGCTTTACCCTCCAAGAGTCCCTCCGGTGAGATTTTGACAGTTTTTACCATGCATGCCTGTGAAAGTAGGTTTAGAAGGTTATATTGCCTTTCAGTGCTAGTCCACTCTAGATGTGAATGGGTATGTTCCAAGAAGGGATTTTAGTAATTTCTTTCCAGTTTTTATGTTGTTAGTTAGAAGGCTGAATTTCAGGATTTCATCCTTTTTTTGTTTGTTTGTTTTTTAGACAGAGTCTCACTCTGTCACCCAGGCTGGAGTGCAATGGCGCAATCATGACTCACCACAGCCTCACCTCCTGGGCTTAAGCAGTCCTTCCGTCTCAGCCTCCTGAGTAGCTGGGACCACAGGAGTGAGTCATCTTGCTGGCTGATTTTTTTCATTTTTGCTAGAGATGACATCTCACTATGTTGTCCAGGCTGGTCTTGAACTTCTGAGCTCAAGCAGTCCTCCCACCTTACCCTCCCAAAGTGCTGGGAATTACAGGCATGACCCACTGCACCTGGCCCCATCCATATTTTAATCTATATTTTCAATCCCTTTACTTTGATTTAGCCATGTGTTCTTGGAGAAGTTATTCTCTTGGATTCGCATTGTCCCCATCTGTACAATGGGGACAGTATTAGCAGGATTGCTGTAGGGATTAAATAAGGCAGTACATATAAAGTGCTTTACATCTGTTGCATAATAAGATACACCATCATGGTAGCTGCCATTATCTGACAGAATTTCTGCAGCCATCCACTTCTGTATAAAAGCAGTAGGAGTTGATTGAGGTCTTTGGAGGAAGAGAGAAGTTACTCTTTCTAGAAAATGACAGCAAATATGGTTATATGGAGAAACCTTTGTGACCAGAAGAGAGGAAGAGTTTAAAAAAGGAATTCGGTTCCCTATCACTTACTGGCTTGTGAACTAATAGGGGCTTTTCTAAAGGGTATTGCAGTATTATTTTAAATTTATAGAGTTTTTGCCTAAGAAACCTGTAATAAACACTGAAGTTAGATGCAGTTTTTTTGATAATGTTTATAATGATAAGCAAACTAAATGAGAATGGATACATCTCTAAGTAAAAGAAGTGCTTATCTGAAAAAAAAAAATTGTTCAGACCAGAAATACTGGCCTTAAAAGATTATGATAATTTAATTGGGAGTCGGGGGAGTATTAAAAAGGAAATATTAAGGTAGCGCAAGGTAGCCTGATTTTCTGTTGAAATGACAACTTACCTTTTAGTATTTTATTTGTTCAGTGTATTTTGATTGATTTTTTAAAACTACTTTTCCAACACTTTAATTTTTTTTAATTTTTTAATTTTCTTATATTGTGGAAGGTGTTTGCAGAATTTTGAGATAGTCATCTCAGGTAGTTTTAGCACAATGCTTGCTGCTTATCCTTTAGCGCTCTCAGCAAGCTTTTTATAAAATTGGAGGTCCTATATTTCCTTTTCAGCCTGCCAGTTCATTGTAATTGCCATACTAGTAGTAATGAGTTCCTCTGAAAACTTGATGGAGGAATTACTTCATGTAGGGCTTTTCAGTAGGTTTATGTTTCCAAGCACTAATGTGTTACTAATAGTTTCATTTTTTAAAACTCGATATAAGTTATCAAAGCTATCTAAAACAATTTTTTATGGTTTAATCCCACAATCACTTTAACAAGTTGAAAAGTTATAAGTTTTAAAAAGGAACAGGATGATTTTTATTCATTATAAGGATTATAGAACTAATAGCAGAGTTTATAAACAAATGTACTTAGAGAAAACTTTTGTTTCAATGGCCAGTTGTTTTTTTCCTTTGAAATATGCTCAGTGTACAGGCCATTCAAAGAAGCTAAAATGAAGGTAAAGGTAAAATGAGAGATAGTTGTCCTTAGTAAATAAAATTTTGGCTTGGACTTCTTCATATTAACGGAGGGACCCGGCTTAGGTGTTATTGATGGCTAAATTTGCAACTAAATGATGATTTTTCACTCCAGATGAGTATATAGTTGATTTCTGAGTTGTCCAGGGGTACATTTTGCATTTTGCCTTATTGAGATTGTTCACTTATAGAAGATGAAAGCAAATGTGGCTGGTTTTAATGAGAATAACAGGTGTACTTACAGATATTATAGAATATGTAAGATATATTTACAATATGTATTGTAATATTTTAATATAATAGAATTATAGATATACTTGCCTTCAGAGTATAATTTTTCTGTTGCTTTGCTATGCTCAGCAGTATACCAGGAAGAGATAATAAAAATCAAATTGTATGATTGAAGTAGAATTCTTTTAAATTTTCCAAAAAGATGATTTCTATGGCTTAATGTCTACAGGTGATGTGCTCACTGAATACAGTATTAAAGCATTTTGTCCATAGGACAGCTACCTTTCCTTCTGCTCTGCATGCAGATGTGATTTATTCTCTCACATGATTTAATACATATGTAAGGTCTGCTTTTTACTCAGGAGTGGCATTATTTAATATTGCCAATAATATTTTTCCCCCACCTTAAGAAAACAAGAAGCAGAGGTCCAGACCTAGGAAGCCACGGAAGACTAGAAATGAGGAAAATGAGCAGGATGGAGACTTGGAAGGCCCTGTGATCGATGAGTCTGTACTTTCAACGAAGGAGCTGCTAGGCTTACAGCAGGCTGAGGAGAGACTGAAGAGAGACTGCATTGACAGGCTAAAAAGGGTAACATCCTTATATATATATTTGTTGGTTAGAATCCTGGTTTTAGCCTCAATTTTGTTGTTAATTGAGTATGCATGCTCTGATCAATTAGATATCCTACTTTGGTTATCAGTATTTAAGCACTACAAGTTAAAAGTGATGTCCAGTGTGATTTAATAGGATTAGGAGTCATTGCTATTATACTTAAAATGACTGTTAGGGTAGTGATAAAGGGAACAATAACAGTAGCAATTTTAAAAGTGAAGAAGAAGCCAGGCACAGTGGCATGCCTGTAGCCCCAGTTACTTGTGAGGTTGAGGCAGGAGGATTGCTTGAACTCAGGAGTTTGGGGCTGTAGTATGCTATAATGGTATCTGTGAATAGCCAGTTCACTCCAGCCAGGGCAACATAGTGAGACTCCTGTCTCTTTAGAGAAAAGAAATTGAAGGGGAAATCATTTCCTGGCTGATTTTGTTTATCTGAATGTTTGGTTTTACTTATGTCTCTCTCTAAATAAATCTCTTCAAATTATAGCGACCACGAAACTACCCTACAGCAAAGTACACCTGCAGACTCTGTGATGTTTTAATTGAATCCATTGCATTTGCCCATAAGCATATCAAGGAAAAGAGGCACAAGAAAAACATTAAGGTAAATTGAATGTAACCCAAACAAGTCTGCTTACTTGTTAGTTGTTATTACTTGTCATCTTTGTGGCTTTCTTCTCCTTAAGGCTATGATATTGATAACTTTACTGCTTTATTTATTGAATATATTTGAGCCAAAATACATAATACTGGTCAGATGTATTTTACTGGTTAATCTTGTGAATTTCCTTAAGGGCAGCATCAGGTTATATGAAGTCATTGATAGGACCCAGGTATATGTCCTTATACTAGTATTAAAGCAAACAATGTTTGTAAGTGCTGTTTTTAATATTCTTTCCTTACACTTTCTCCTTATGCCCACCTATCCTCTGTTACCACTGATCCACATTATGTGCATAAGGAAGTATGTATATGTTTGATAGGATGAAAACTAACACAGCTAAAATGAGAAGGGAGGGCTAAGAAAAAGAAAACTCTATAGGGTGTTGTCTTCATGAGTGGTAGAAGGTCAAAACTATGTGTAAGTCATTTTTAATCTCAACATTTGATCTTAAAAGGAGAAGCAAGAGGAAGAGTTGCTCACTACGTTACCCCCACCAACACCCTCCCAGATAAATGCAGTTGGCATTGCCATTGACAAAGTGGTACAGGAATTTGGCTTACACAATGAGAACTTGGAACAGAGGCTGGAAATTAAACGTATCATGGAAAATGTGTTCCAACACAAGTTACCAGGTATTTTCTAGATTTGTTTTTCTATTTAACTACCTAAAAGTACCTCATTCATTTCTCCTACCAATAGTAATTTTCATCAAATAAAAATTTATTTACCATGTCATGAAGCTCTTGTGTTTTCTATTTTTTTGTTTTTTGTTTTCCCTGGCTTTCCCTAAGGTAACAAGGACTTTCATATGCATTGTCATTATAAACCTGTTTCCATTATAAATTTTACCCTGTGTGTGAACTTTAAGTTGAATGCCCTGCATTATTGGGGCACTGTGGGACTCTTGTGTATGTATGTTTCCCTTTCCGCTCATCTAAATTGACACCATATTTTGAGTTAAAATCAAGAGAAGTATCCTGAAGTTATTTTCAGGTTATTCATGTCAAAAAAAAAAAAAAAGATTTTATTTAACTGTACTTAAGAGAATTGCAGCATCTAAAATGAACTTTGAAAACTAGTTTTAAGAAATTTGTATTGGATTTTGTGCACTGTTGAATTGATTTTCCAAGTTATGTCTGTCTTCTGCCTGTTTTTAACTTTAGACCTTTGGCATGATGGGGAGGGGGCACAACTATTTGGAGTGTATTACTATGAAAATTTAAGGTCAGGTATGTTCAATGCCTGACACAACTGCTGTCAATCCTTGATGGCAACAAACCCCACCCCACATCATCCCCCAACCCCCACTGGCCATTGCTGTTTAGGTAAATGGTTGGAATAGCTTCATCATTCTCAATTCTTGCTGTGCATCAGAATTATCTGTGAAGCCATGGACAACTATTTTTACAAAGCTCGACAAGTGATTCTGATCCACAGCTAGGGTTGGAATCATTATTTATATTTGTCACCTTATAAATCTTAAAACTGTTTGTTCTACTGAAAGATCATACATATAGTATTTGTAACGCATATACTTTCATAAGAATAAGGGAAAATAATCTCATTTTATTATACATGTATTTCCTGAAAAGTCAGTTGTAATTCTGATGATTTTTACTGTAAAATTTCATGTAAAAATGAATGTACTTTGTTGTGGAAAACTGCTAAAACCCAAAGAAATCACTTGAATTTTAGCAAACCTTAAACAAACAAGAAAACCAACCCCTGATGAGAAAGGATACTATTTTGGCATCATAGTAAAACACTGAAAATAAATGCTATACTATAGATAGTACTCATATACACACACATCTTCCTCTGAAGAGTGAAGTGTCTGCTACCTATGTCAGTGATATTGTAATTATTTTTCAAAAGTTTATTGGGATTTTGTTACAGCAAACGCTTTTTGTTCATAATATAATGAGAAATTCATATTAAATATGTCAAAAGATTATTTTTATTATTGTTTTACTAAAACCTCCTTATAGTAAATTACACCAATGGGTGCATTCTAAAAGGTGAAAAGAAACGTTTGCATTAGCTCTTGAATATACTATCAGGTTTATAAATTTAAACAAAGACATTCTTTTTCAACTGGCACATTTAAAAAAATATTTTAAATAGTATTTTCTTCATAAAATGTGATATTTAGATAATAGTATTTTATTCATAAAATACATGATAACGTAGCAATTTGACGTTTTACAACTGACATGAAGCGTGGCTGTTAAGCTAAATCATAGTTGATGCAGCCTTCCCTATTAAATTAAGTGAAGAGCAAAGAGCCACCTATTTCTGTCCTTTGTTTATGCTAGTCTTGAATACAAGTTTGCTTTTGTGTGTAATTTTAATTGATGGTTCTGCTTCTGAAATAGCAGTGTTTTGTTATAACTTTTGAGAAATTCTACTGTATTTATTACTTTTATTTATTTATTTATTTTTTAGATTGTTCCCTAAGATTATATGGGTCATCCTGTAGCAGATTGGGTTTCAAAAATTCGGATGTAAACATTGACATCCAGTTTCCAGCCATTGTAAGTACAAAATGAAATGCTGGCACTTTCAGAGTGGTATGGAAATTCTTTCTTACAAATGTAAACTGTCTATGAATATATTTTAGATATTTGAAGATATTTTAAGTGTAATGACAGCATCCGCTTGCCTTCAGTTTCAGAGCTTTTTTTTTTAATACTCTGCAAATTTTCATACTTATTTTAGTCTATAGATCTTTTATACATCCAACACTGGTTTTTCAACCATGTGCACCTGATGGGGGTGTTTAGGTTCTGTTACTTAAAAAGAGTAAATTTTCTTGATAAAATCAACTTTCCAGTGGCAGAAAGGGAATTCAGATTTTAAAGTGTAGATATTTAAACATTTATGATCTGCAAGCTTAATTGTCTCTGGAGTTTCCTCTTTTTGTATACCTATTTTGTTAAAATAATTAGGCTTTTAAAGAATCACACCTAGCCTGGATTTCTGGTTTAAACATGATTTAAAAGTATGTTGATGAGTTAGAATTTTAAAACTGGAGTGTAGCTGGACACGGCACAGTTCTGTAGTCCCAGCTACTCTGGAGGTTGAGGCGGGAGGATCACGAGCCCAGAAGTTCAAAGCTGTAGTTAGCTGTGACTGCACTTGAGAATTGCCACTGCATTCCAGCCTGGGCAACATAGTGAGACCCTATCTCTTAAAAAAACAAAAAACTGAAAGGCACTTTAGTAGATTATCCATTTCTCTGCTGTTAGTTCCCACAGGCCTGTTTATAGATGATGTGTTTGCAGTTACTTGGGTTGCTTGTTAAAAATCCATATTCTGAGCTGGGTGCAGTGGCTTCACCCTCTAATCCCAGCTACTCGGGAGACTGAGGTTGGAGGGTTACTTGAGCCCAGGAGTTCATGAACAGCCTGGCCAGCCCCACCTCTCTCAAAAAAAATCCAGATTCTGGGGCCCCAGAGGTTCTATTTTACAACCTCTTACTTCTTGCTAAACCTGAGTGCTGTAGCTACCTGGTAAGCTACCCAATAGACTGTTTTTTTAACCTTAAATTCTGATCAGTGATTTACCAGCCATAGCAGTTATTTTGATCCGGTGTCATTAATTCATTTAGCAAATATTCACTCATCCCATTTGTATGGCAGACATACTAGGTTATAAAGGACAAAACAGAGATGGTTCCTCTTTATGGAACTCATCTAGTAAAGGAGATTAGTAATTACCTTGTAATTATAGTGAGAGCTGTGCAGGTAAAGGTTCAGGGATAGAAAATGACAAGGTCTGGGCAGAGATACAGCAGTCATGAAGGCTTCTTTGAAGAGGGAACATTTAAGCTGAGTTCTAAAAGACGAAAAGGAGCCTGCAGGAGAGGGGGAAACGGGAGGGAAAAGAGTTTCAGGCAGGGGGAGCAGCATTTGCAAATACCCTAAATCAATAAAGAGTTTGGCATATTCAAGGAGCTAAAAGAAAGGTTGTGTAAGTATGGTGAAGGGACCAAGAAAAAGAAGAGCAGGAGATTAGGATGGCTAGGTAGGCTGGGCTTGACTGGCCGAATTGTGTAGACCATGGTAAATAAAGAATTTGGTTTTGACCTAAGGGCAGTAAGAAGTCATTGAGAGTTGTAAGGATACAGTTTATGATTTTAAATGGCCCTGGCTCCATTGCGAAACAAGGATTTTAAAAAGAAGTGCAAGACTGACTCCGGGACCAGTAAGCTATCTGTTGCAATGGTATTAGAGTGAAAGGTAATATTGTTAGCAGTTTGACAAACTTCCAGCTACCACTTTGAGACTTGCTGAGAGGCAGGTTAACCTCAATAATTAGTTAAATCAGAAGTTAGTTGTATAGTAGGTCTCTTGCCCACATTTGTCTTCATTTGGTGTTGATCTGTCTGTCTTTGACTGACATATGCAAACAACATAGTGAGTAATTTCTTTACTTTGATAGCAATGTGCATTTCTCATTTAGAAAGGAATTTGGGGAACTTCGGATGACTCTTATATCAGTGAAGCAAAATCACTTAGGAATAATTTCATGTATTCATTGATTTATTTCCTAGATGTCTCAGCCAGATGTCCTCTTACTTGTTCAAGAATGTTTAAAGAACAGTGGTAAGGCCAAATTCCACATTTAAAAAATTTTTATGTTGTCTATAATTTGGATCTATCTTATTTCTCAAACTTTGAAAATAGCAAGGCATGCTTTTAAAATTATTTATGTGGGTAATATCCAAAGCAAATGCCCATGAATTATTAACTAGAGTCCTGTTAGTAGTTCTACTATGCAGAATAACCATTTCATAAGTAAAGCTTTTAGCTTGATGACATCATCACTATTTATAAAGATTAAATGAGTCCTAGATGTGACTAAGAAATGCAAAATATGTAAAATGTACTCTTGAGGGTAAAACTGAAGGATAATCTGCTTTTATCAATGGTTAAAATCAGTATTTTACCAACAGTGAATAGGTGTAACCCAACCCTAATTAATGAATCCACAGAGTGGTGCCCATTTAGGTTTATCAGTTGTCTAATACAATGTCCAGCTTGGGGCTTTATGGCTCTTTGTGTTTTACATAGTCCTTATGAAACTGTGTCATCTCTTGAATTAGTCATCCCCATCCTCCTTGTTTTGGTTAAATTTTGTCTTCGATCAATACATATTTTGACACTGAATATTTTAGTAGCTTTTACAGCAACTTTGTTTTTAAATGTATTACCTATATTTCTAATTGTTATCCATATAACATTTGAATTTTCTGATCCAATGATGTAGTCACTTATAATGAAACATTCACTTTACAAACTAAGGGTTTTACACTAATGTGATAACTTGGTTTTTGAATGTAATATTTTTTCCTTTTCAAGTCATTGCAGAGCATTATTTAGTAGTGGTCTTTCAAAAGACTCAACAGCTAAGGGACAACTGGTACTTGTACTTTATCTGGTTCTGCTTTTAAACAAAGCTTTAATTAACCAACTTAATATTTTTCTTCTTCTTTCCTCAGACTCCTTTATTGATGTTGATGCAGACTTCCATGCTAGGGTGCCAGTGGTGGTGTGCAGAGAAAAGCAAAGGTCTCATTTCTTTAAACTGTTTATTTACTAACTCTCAACTTGCCAAAAGCACAAGTACTTTACTACATCTTAATGTCCAATTTCTAGAATTATAAGCTTTTTATTTGGTTATCACACATGGTTCCTACTAACATTCTCCCTATACTTTTGGCATTTGATGTAAAAGGGGAAAATCTCATTTTAAAAATAATAAAATGACTTAAAAGAAAAAATATAGCAAGGAAGTATTTCGGTCCATTTCAACTCGTTAAAAAACAGCCTTATTAAATAGTTACTTGCTGTAATCACCTGTATTTTGCCACCCTTTTTGGCAGCATTTATGGCAGTGCTGAGTAACAGTGTGACCTCTCTGGTTTATCTCTCTCTGCCTCTGTGTGAAAGCATTACTGTCACTACTGTAAATGGGTGGTTTATAGGCTGTAATGATTCTTCATTAGGTACATTCCTCCAACTCTTGGGAAAACACTCTTTTATTGTTACAGAGATGAATCATGCTCCCATTTGAAACTTTTTTTTTTGAGACGGAGTCTCGCTCTGTTGCCCAGGCTGGAGTGCAGTGGCGCAATCTTGGCTCATTGCAACCTCCGCCTCCTGGGTTCACACCATTCTCCTGCCTCAGACTTCCGAGTAGTTGGGAGTACAGGTGCCCACCACCACGCCTGGCTAATTTTTTATATTTTTAGTAGAGTCAGGGTTTCACCCAGGATGGTCTCGATCTCCTGACCTCATGATCTGCCCGCCTTGGCCTCCCAAAGTGCTGGGATTACAGGCGTGAGCCACCATGCCTGGCCCGAAACATTTGATAATATTTTCCTTATTTGCATTTCCCCCCAAAAAATAATATTTGAAAACAAAATTATTAATCCGAAAAATAAAGTTTACTCAGAAAATAGCCACGATATCTTTTTTGTAAAGAAAATTTATTAAATTACTCATAAAGATGTAGTTTTTTTCACTTTTAAGCTTTTTATTTTTGAAGTATTTATTATGCATGTATATTAGTTGTTGGCATAAAAGACACTTTGAGACCTGTGTAACACTTTTTTCTTTTTTTCTTTCCCATCCTCCTCCCCCACCTCTCACCAGTGGTCTTCTGTGTAAAGTGAGCGCAGGAAATGAAAATGCTTGTCTGACAACAAAGCATTTAACTGCCCTTGGAAAACTAGAACCAAAGCTGGTTCCTTTGGTGATTGCATTTAGGTACTGGGCAAAGGTAGGCTTGAGGTCTTTATGCATGAATACATTCTACATATGTATAAGCAGTATGCTTTGATTTTTACTTAATTTAATCTTCAGTGTTTAAATGCAAATTTATAGACATCAAAAGAGAAAGACATCTGAATTTTGCAACAGAAACGTACAGACGGAAGATTCAGTGTTTCTGTTTCACTTTAACGGTATTGCTCAAAAGATCAAAATGATTTATAGGGCTTATTAAAAATCAGATTTGTGAGTTAAATCTCAGAGGATAAGGCCCAGGAATTTACATTTTAACTAGTTTACCACAGTGGTTGTTAGGCACAGGAACGTTGAGATAAAGCTTCTCATATCATGTCCAATAACATACACAGAGACGGCAAAAAATAGAAGATACTCTCTGATCTTGTTTACATTTCCATAATGTTTTAAATATATTTCAATTAAAATACTCAAACAGTAGAAGATTTAACGTTCCCCCAAAATGTGAGGTTGAGTCATGATTATAAAATTGAGATTCTGTCGCTTGAACCTGGGAGGTACAGGTTGCAGTAAGCCAAGATCGTGCCACTGCACTCCACCCTGGGTGACAGAGCAAGACTCTGTCTCAAAAAAAAAAAAAAAAAAAGAGATTCCATGTATGTGCTTTTAGAGAAAATCAAAAGCTTTACTGATTCAGGTATATCAATAACAATAGATACTTCCCGTTTCTTGGATCCTGAATGAACAACGGATTTCCCACTCTTCACTGGCTAAATTATAATTATAATATGCTATCCTTTGAAAACCACCGCCTGCTTCATCACTAAGTAGAACATGCCCTTTTAGTTGTTATTTCCATTAGTGGTGATGAGTTTGTCCACGTTCTCTCCCCACGCCAATCTTTGTGACCAAAGCATGCATATGCAAGACGCTATGGGTTAGGGTAAGAGGACCATTGAACTGGCTTAATGTGTAACTGAACAATCGTTTTTAATTCATTAACATGTATTCTAAACAAATGAATGAATTGACCATGGATATCAAAAAATAAAATAGGAAATAATATTTTAGGGCCATCCACAAGTGAGTATGGTTAACAGGATTAAATATTCAAAATTGAAACTATCACTTAAAACCACAATATGTGGTTGCTGCAAAAGTATAAGGAAGTTGTATATTTTGTAACTGCTATTTTCAGCTGAAGAATTACCGTAAATCATGTAGTAAACAAGAATGAGGTTACAGGTTTTAGGCCAAATCGTGTAAATGACAAATTCATACAAAAAGAATGCTTAACTTTCTTTTCTCTTGTTTGTAGCTTTGCAGTATAGATCGCCCTGAAGAAGGAGGTCTGCCACCTTATGTGTTTGCCCTGATGGCCATTTTCTTTCTTCAGCAGAGGAAAGAACCCCTTTTGCCTGTATATCTAGGATCATGGGTATAAAACATTTTTTTTGCTTATATATCTGAACAGATTTTATTACAGGTCCACAATTAAATTTTGCATAATTTCAAAATCTAGACACCTAACCAGAACTGACATGGATTTATTTATTCTACTCATGTGAATATTCATACCTTTCACTGCTGAAATACTAATGTGTTTGATTTCAGTATGTTGCCCTATAACCTGCTTAGGGATATTATTACCTTTCTAGACTGCAAAATCTCTTAATTTTTGAAATATGTATGGTCCTGAGACGAACAAGAGACTGACCCTGTAAATTTACCATTTGGTACATTCTTTCTTTGGGTACAGTTTTCTAAATTGATACTTGAATTTACATATCACCTCCAGACAGACAGACTGTGGGAAGCATTTGGTTCACTGTAACTTACTTTCTGTTTCTAATCTATTTCTCCCCATAACCTGTAAAACAAAAAAATATATAAACATTGAAATTGCTACCTGTACCACAAGATGCAGAACCTAGTAGTCATCTCTTGAATAATATTTTGACATTATTTTAAAGATGAATTAGAATTCATGTGATCACTCTTTCTTTCTGGATAAATTAATGTTGAGTTGATTTGTTCAAGTAAGATTTAAGAAGAGACCATCTGAAAGAGTCAACATGATATTAGCTCATCCTCTTAGAAACCTTGTTTGTAATCCCTTGGTATTACCTTGATACACTTTTATGTGTAGAAAAACTCCCATTTTATAGAAAGACCCCTTAGTGAAAAGCTTACTTTGACACATTGGCTATTGTAACTACTTTTCTTAATGCACACAAGTTTCTCTCATCATTTAAGGAGTTCTTAACAATGAGTACACATCAAAAAATACATTTAAAGAGAATTTTTTCCTTATACTGAATAAGGTGAGATTAAGCAGGGACTTCTGTCTACCAGGCCGTGGGAATAAAGACTGAAGTAGAATAACTCACTTAGAAAACTATCCTGGCATAAGGGATTATTGCATGCTGTGTATCCTAGTAACCTAAAGGTAGTTCTCTTCGTGCCTGTGGTACTGAGAGAATTCAGAGCCATGAGAGGGTATCTCTACCAGACTACTGTCCTGGTAGAAAAAAGAGCAAGAGAACAAAGTCAACCCTTAGTTGATAAATAACTCTTTCCAGCACACCCAAGTAGGAATGTGTGAAAGTCTTTGAAGTTTTCCTTTCACCTTGATCTAAGAGAGATAGGAATTTAGGATAGGATTAAATCAGGTGGACTCCTGCACCTAAAAAAACCCTGGCACAAGTTGGATAAGTTGCCTTGCTCACTACCATCTTACTGAATGAGATCTGCTTTTTCATGTGTCTTGATCTTCTCTAAGTAGTCATCTGTCATTAACATGAGAATGCAGGAAAAAGAAAAATCTCTTCTGGTGATGAGATTCTCCTAAGGATACTTCAGGGTAGTATGGATACCCTTTCCTATGGCCAGCATATTATTTCCTTGTTAGTGATACCGGAAACTCTCTAAAGTGATACTGAATTTGATTTTGATTGGATCATGTTTGTTCAAAATTTAATGACAAAAGCAGGTATGCAGTGATCAAACACTGGATTGAAATCATTGGATCCATTAAGGCACACTACCACCCGAACCAAAATGATCCTGCGGTGTTCAGCATTTTAAACTAGTTAGGAAGTGAAGAGAATGGAACTAATACTTACTAAGTATCTTTATGCTAGATATTTTACATACATTATTTCTGCAGAAAATCCAATGAGGTCCTCATAATTATGTACATGAGAGTATCTAACTGTTAATTCCTTCAAAATATTTAAAGCACTGTGTATACTAGTCATTGTAGTAGTGCCTGAAATACAAAGATGGACAAGACCAAATTCCCTGTCAGGAAGTTTAGTGTATTGTGCCTGTGTTCTCTGATCTGTCTTTTCACAAATCTTTTAGTCATTCTGTCCCGACCTACCCAGATCTCTTCCATGTTGGAGACTCCAACCCTCTCCAACCTTTATTCCCAATCATAATTCCCATTTTATTGTCATTAAATCTTGATATGATTGAAGTTAATCATAGTGAGTTGTGAATGAAGAATAATTTTATATTATAAAAACCTAGTCCTTAGCAGATATTCATACTTTAGAGATGCCAGGTAATATAGTAGAAAAAAGGGTGATTTTCAAGTTTACCAGCACTGGGACTCATCTCTGTTTTGCCACTCACATCCTTGTGACCTTGAGCAAGTTATTTAATCTCTGAGCCTCAATGTCATTCTGAACCTTGAATGAGATAATGAATGTAAAATTCCTGAAACAAGGAAGGAGAACAAATGTTATAGTCCTTTTCTCCTTCAGTAGAAAGTCAAGTTCCACTTATGGTGTGGAAGTGTGAACTCCTAATCAAGTGATCCTTCTGCAAATAACAACTATAAACTCTGGGCAACATACAGAAACAACAGCATCAAAAACCTGCAGACTGAACAAATGCAAACAGTCTTTAGAGGGGAGTCAAAACTTGGAGCAAATGACCAACACAGAGTGAGTCTCCTGTTTTTCTGTAGCTCTACCCCTAAAGGCAACTCTGATTTAAGACAAAAATCAGTCCTCTTCCTGGCCAGAGGAACCAGGGCCACCAGAAGATAAGGTGTACAAGAGGAGGAACTGAAAGGAAAGATAACAGATAAGTGGAACCCTTAAAACCCTTAAAAAGAACCCTGGGTATAAAAACTCAGGATGTCTCTGCCCAACTCCTGAACCAGTTTAGTTTGGCATGAAAGGAGCCCAGAAGTCGTCACTCTCATCCTCACAAGAAAAAAAACTGAACAAACGGAAAATCAACAATTCTTTTTGGATCCATCAGACAATTGATGTCATGGGCAAACCACTGCCCCCAGAATTAGAGAGCAGGGTAATACAGTGAAGCACAGCTTACCAGAGCAGAAGGCCAGGAGCGGAATCCTGCCACTGAAGCCAATACTAGGGTAGAAAAATTTAAAGTGTAGTTGACAAATTTCCGAAGGCTCAGTTTGGACAAGCTTGAGGGTTAAAAATTTCTCCCATTCTTAGGAGGGCTTCCTCAGACTTTTGTGTGAGTTATACCTCCAGGAATCCCACTAAGCTCTGAGGGTAAAGACCTGAGAAAAATCTCCCAGTGCTTCTGGCAGGATGAGAGGAAAAGTTGCCATTTAGAAATAATGCCCAGAGCATTCTTTAATTATTGAAAGCCTGCCCTTCGGAGGTACTCTTACTGAAGCCTAACCACCTTGGGTTTTACTTGCCACGGGAAGGGAGGTACCTAGCTCCACTGCTCCAGCCTTCCTTTCTCATCTAAGTAAGGGTGGTAGTAGGAGAACTGGGAAATAGTTATGAAGGTCACTGTCTAGGGGCACAAGCTCACTAAAAGACTGAGACCTAATCTTAGGACTATACAGTGTTTCCCCTCTCCAGGGATCACAAGGTCTGAACTACAAGTCTCAGACCTTTTTTAAGAAGTCTTTAGGGAAACACAGAGGCAACAAGGGAGACAAAAACAAGGACACCAGAGGAATTTTCAGCTACGACAGCTGCAGAAAACAATAAACATCCTAACTCCTAGCCAGATAAACATAAAACCTCACCCTAAAAGCCTGTTTACCCAGTACATCGTGTCTAGCTTTCAACAAAAAATTACAAAGCATGCTGAAAGGCAAAAAGCACAGCTTGAAGAGACAGAGCATGTGTCAGAACTTAAGTTGGATATGACAAATGTTGAAATTGTCAGACCAGGAATTTAAAATAATAATGATTAATATGCTAAAAGCTGTAATGGAAAAAATGGACAACATGCAAGAATAAATGGGTAATATAAGCTGAGAAGCAGAAACTCTCAAAAGATTTAAAAGGAAATGCTAGAAATCCAAAAAATTATAACAGAAATGAACAATGCCTTTGGGCTCATTAGTAGACTAGACATAGCCAGGAAAAATCTGAGTATGAAGTGATAGCAACAGAAAATTCTCAAACTGAAAAGTAAAGAGGAAAAAGGAACAAAATACCTAAGAACTGGGTCAGTTAGTCAAGGTTGAAACATATGTATAATGGGAATACCAAGAGGAGAAAGAAAAAAGAACAGAAGAAATAGTAGAAGGACTAATGACTGAGAATTTTTCAAAATTAATGCCAGACTCCTAAACCAGGCCTGTGTGGGGCAGATTGAATATAGTTGGGGGCCAAGGCTTAAAGAACTGATGCAAGAGCTGAGCCACAATCTACTGGAGGTGTGATAATTTCCAGTTTGCCTAAACAAGTTAATTACCTGCTGCTAAAACAAAAACATCACTTTTTGGAGTAAAATAAATGATTAAAATTTTAATAATATAATATTTACAATGTCTAAAATGCAATCCAGAATTACTCAGAAAGAGTCAAGAAAGTGAGACCTACTCTCAAAGGAAAAGAAAATGAACAAAGGCAAACTCCAAGATGACCCAGATGCAACTGTCAAAGACATTAAAGCAGTTATTATAGCTGTGCTTCATGACAGAGGAAATAATACATGTGGAATAAATGAAGAGATAGGAAATGTCAGCTAGAGAAGTAGGAAATATCAAAAGAACCAAATGGAAATTTTGTCTGAGTGGACAAACAGAAAACACTCAAATGTTAGACCTAAAACCAATGATATCAGTAATCAACTTAAATATTGACAGACTAAATATCCCCACTAAAAAGCATAGATTACCAGAATTTATTTATTTATTTTTAACTTTCAGGTTCAAAGGTACATGTGCAGGCTTATTATATAGGTAAACTCATGTCACGGGTTTATTGGACAGATTATTTTATCACCCAGGTACTAAGCGTAGTACCCAATAGTTATTTTTTCTTGCTCCTCTCCCTCCTTCTACCCTTAACCTTCAAGTAGGCCCCAGTGTCCATTGTTCCCTTCTTTGTGTCCATGAGTTCTCATTATTTAGCTCCCACCTATAAGTGAGAACTTGTGGTATTTGGTATTTGATTTTCTGTTCCTACGTTAGTTTGCTAAGGATAATGGCCTCCAGCTTCATCCATGTTCCTGCAAAAGACATGATCTTGGGTTTTTTTATGGCTGCATAGTATTCCACGGTGTATATGTACCATATTTTCTTTATCCAGTGTGTCACTGATAGGCGTTTAGGTTGATTCCACGTCTTTGCTATTGTGAATAGTGCTGCAGTCAACATTCGCATGCCTGTGTCTTTATGGTAGAATGATCTGTATTTCTCTGGGTATATACTCAGTAATGGGATTGCTGGGTTGAATGGTAGTTCTGCTTTTAGCTCTTTGAGGAAAGTGTTCCCTTTTCACTGCAACCTTGCCAGCATCTGGTATTTTTGACTTTTTAATAGTATTCTGACTGGTGTAAGATGGTATCTCATTGTGGTTTTGATTTGTATTTCTCTAATGATTGGTGATGTTGAGCTTTTTTCATATGCTCATTGGCTGCATGTATGTCTTCTTCAGAAAAGCATCTGATCATGCCCTTTACCCAAACTTTTTAATGGGGTTATTTTTTCCTTGTAAATTTGTTAAGTTCTTTATAGATGCTGGATATTAGACCTTTGATATATAGTTTGCAAAAATTGCCTCCCATTCTGTAGGTTGTCTGTTTACTCTGTTGATAGGGCTATGCAAAAATTCTTCAGTTTAACTAGATCCCCTTCAGAATGAATTTTAAAAGCAAGACTATATTCTAGAAGAAATAAATTAAATATAAAGACATATAGGTTAAAAGTAAATGGATGGCAAAAGATGTAAATTGTAACCAAACGAGAGAGGCTATGTTAATATCAGATGAGATTGATTTCAAGTGGAAAAAATATGCCAAAGACAAAAGGGACATTTTATTAGGGTAGGGTCAATTCATTGGGAAGACAAAACAATCGTAAATGTTTGCAACTATTAAGAGGGCACCAAAATACATGAAATAAAAATTGATGGAATATATTCTACCATCAGACAAGGAGATTTTAACAGCCTTCATCAATTGACACCTGTGTTAGCTAAACAAAAAATCAGTATAGATAGTATAAACTGATACATCATATCAACCGCCTTGACCTAATTAATATTTATAAAACACTATACCCAATAACTGGAGAATACATATTTTTTACAAGTCCATATGGTACATTCATCAAGATATACTACATGCTGGTTCTTTTGTTTTTTTAATTTAAGAGACAAGGTTCCACTATGTTGCCCAGGCTGGTCTCAAACTCCTGGGCTCAAGCAATCCTGTGTCAGCCTCCCAGAGGAGGGCCTATGCTGGTTCTTAAAATAAGTCATAGTACATTTGAAAGGATTCCATGGATTAAAGAGGAATTCAAGTGGGACATTAAAACATATTTTGAACTAAATAATAATAAAAATGTAAGATAGTTTGGCATAGTGGCACACACCCTAGTCCCAGCTACTCAGGAGGCTGAGGTGAGAGGATTGCTTAAGCCCAGGAGGTTGAGGTCGAGGCTGCAGTGAGCTATGATCACACCACTGCACTCCAGTCTAGAAAACAGAGCAAGACCCCATCTCAAAAAAAAAAAAGAAAGAAAAAAATACAAGATATATAAAATTTGTCAGATGCAGCTAAAATAGTGTTCATAGGGCAAGTTTTAGATTTAAATGCTTAAATTCAAAAAGAAAGGTCTAAAATCAGTGACCTAAAGGTCCACCTCAAAAAGCTGGAAACCAAAATGGGTGAAAGACCTAAATGTAAAAGTTAAAAACTCTGAAACTCCTAGAAGACAACCTAGGGAAAAACCTTTGCAGAAAGGATTTCTTAACATACTAAAATCAATAAAGAAAAACATTAAGAAATCAAACTTTATCTAATTCTAAAACTGCAGCTCTTCAGAAAATATCACTAAATAAACAAAAACTCAAGCTACCCAGTTGAGAAAAATATTGAATACATACATCCAACCAAGAAATAGTCACTACGCCTAATATTTTCCAAAGTGTTTTCTGTGGAAGACTAGTTCAGTCTGTCAACAAATCTTTACTGAGCAGTTACCATGGCCAGGCACCAACTAATTCTGGGTGTTACTGTTAGAAGTGGTGAACAGGGCCGGGCATGGTGGCTCACGCCTGTAATCACAGCACTTTGGGAGGCCAAGGTGGGTGGATCACCTGAGGTCAGGAGTTGAAGCAGCCTGGCCAACGTGGTGAAACTCCATCTCTACTAAAAAAATATAAAAAAATTAGCTGGGCATGGTGGCAGGCGCCTGTAATCCCAGCTACTTGGGAGGCTGGGGCAGGAGAATCGCTTCAACCCAGGAGGTAGAGGTTGCAGTGAGCCGAGATCATGCCACTGCACTCCAGCCTGGGCAACAGGGTGAGACTCTGCCTCAGAAAAGAAAAAAAAAGAAGTGAACAAAACACAATTCTTGCCCTCGAATTTATACATCCAATTGGGGCAAGAGACTAATAAATATATATGCAGTGGTGGTACTTTCTCTGAGGAAAAATAAACCAGGGTAAGGAGGACAGAGAATGATAAATGTGGAGCTCCTTAGAGAAAACATTTGAGCAGAGCTGAATAAAGTGAGGGAGAATGAGTCATAGTCTCCCTCACTTTGTTAGGGGGAAGAGCATTTTAAGCAGAGGGAATACCAGGTGTCATCTCTGAGCCAAGAAGATAGAAGGATCAGAGAAGTAGAAAAGAGCCAGGTTACTCAGGCCCTGGAAAGGACTGCACTTCATCTAGAGTGAGACAGAAACCACTATGAACAGGAGAGTGTGTCTTCTGTTTTAGAAGGATCACTCTCTTCTAAACCAATGAAGTAGCCCATTTGGTATAAAAATACATTTGGGAAATGTGATGTCACATCCATACTCCATCCCATATTATTTTGTTCATTAACCTGTTTTTGTTTGTTTTTTGTTTTGTTTTTTTTTTTTTGAGATGGAGTTTCGCTCTTGTTGCCCAGGCTGGAGTGCAATGGCACCATCTCGGCTCACTGCAACCTCTGCCTCCCAGGGTCAAACAATTCTTCTGCCTCAGCCTCCTGAGTAGCTGGAATTACAGGCATGCGCCACCATGCCTGGCTAATTTTGTATTTTTAGTAGAGACGGGATTTCTCCATGTTGGTCAGGCTGGTCTCGAACTCCTGACCTTAGGTGATCCGCCCACCTCAGCCTCCCAAAGTGCTGGGATTACAGGCATGAGCCACCATGCGTGGCCTGTTCATTAACCTGTTTTAAAGGCTGTGATAAATCCTATCATACGATGAAGAAACCTGTTCAGCTCCGTTTGACATTTCACAAGCCTTTTCAACTAGACCATTTTCTTTTGCATTAATATTCATTAATAGCACATAAAATTTACTTTGAAAATGTCCAGCATACCCAGAATTAATAGTATTTAAAATTATTTTCTAATTAGCTGGATCTAGTTCTTGTAATTTTCATTTTCTAGCAATATAGTTGTCTTGTATTTATTAAGCAGTTACTATGTGCTGTATGCTACAAGCAGATACTACCTCTATCTGAGTGCCTTATGGTCATTTTTTTTATATCATAACCATCCCATGAAGGAAGTCCTAGTGTTACCCCTTTTTAAAGGAACCTGAGGCCTACAGAGAGTAAGTACCTTACTCAAGGTTATACAGCTAGTATATGAAGGAGCTGAGATTTGGGACCAGGCAGTTTTACTTCAGAACCCATGACGTCAGCCACTAGGCCATTTTGCCTACTCTTAGAATATTTACTGAGGAATTATTTCACAAAGTCACCATTTCTTTTGCAAATCAAAACCTTGTTTTTTACTTTTAAAAATATTTTTAAATGTATAGATGTCTCTGTGATAGTCCATAAATTATATCTTTTGTATTTTCGTTGAACTATGAGTATTTTTTTATTCCAAGATTAGTAGACTGTGTTTGATATAAGATTATTTCTATCTTATTTTAGCATGTGTCTAATTTTTCCTAGATTGAAGGATTCTCATTAAGCAAACTAGGGAATTTCAACCTTCAAGACATTGAAAAAGATGTTGTGATCTGGGAACATACTGACAGTGCTGCAGGGGACACAGGCATAACAAAAGAAGAGGCACCAAGAGAAACGCCGATTAAAAGGGGACAGGTCTGTTCTCTTTTGTTTCTAGTTGTCAGTTTCACTTGCCAATTGTGAAGTTGTGGATTAGTCAGTCTTGTCTTCTTTCCTTAACTATCTTTACTATTTCGTGGCTCTTTCATTTGCCAGTCTGTTTAGTACCTCGAACAGACAAGTAATGAGAAAAGGTTAAAAAAAATATTAGATCACTAAATCCACAGTTATTTATGTAGTTTCTTTGTGCTGGTTCCTTTGAAAGAGACTCAGAATTCAAAGGTAAATCCATATCTATCCTCAAAGAGCTTAGTCTTAGGTGGTATTATGAGGTTTAAATGTATGAAAGGTTAACTAGCTTTCAGTTACTAAAATAACAGTGAATGCATATATGATTTAATGTACCGGTCCCATACTGTTGGGGGTGGGCAGGGGAATTTATGCACAAGGAAAGAATAGCCATTAGAATTTCAAACAAAAATCTCTGCAATGTCATTATCCTAGTAATAAGAATAAGATTCTCTCCCAAATAGGTGAAAGGCCCCTGATCTTCCCGTTACCTTTTGGGGTAAATTGACAGTAACATCCACAAAATTCTTGGAATCGAATCCCAGCTTTATACAAACAAGTCATGTCACTCCTCCAGTTCATGTTTTACTCATGCCTAAAATGAGGAGTTAGTGGTGAATCAGATTTTCCAGTTGTGTTTTCTAGAATCCTTGAACACTGGGAGGAGGAGGAGAGTGGTGGTACCACCCTACCTCTGCTGCCACCAGAACCACTTTTATCTGTTTCTTATTTGGAGTCTCTGTAGTGGAGAAGAGTATAGGCTGTGGAGCCAGAATATGTGAATTTGTATCCCAGCTCTCCCACTTCCCAGCTGTGTGTCCTTGGGCAAGTGACTTCGCCTTTCTGTGCACCAGTTTCCTCCCTACTCATGGGGATAATATTGGTACCCTCTCATAGGGTCACTTACAGAATGCTTAACTCAGTGCCGAGCATGTGGTGAGCACTCAGTAAATGTTAGCTGCTATTCTTATTTTATTTGAAAAAGAAAATGTTCTCTGCTTTAAAGAAAACCAGTTTAAGTTCCTGTAGTCTAGATATTTCAAAGGTCTCTCCAGTTTCATGTTATGGTATTATCAAGTCATTTCAGTGAGATGCTTAAAAATCCTTTGTAATGCCGCTATGGATAAAGAGGTAAAATGTAATAATGCTTAAAATTTCTGGGGGGTTTATTTGTGTCCTCAAACTGTAGTGTTTGGGACTTAGACAACTTCCATTTTTAATCAGTTCTGCCTTGTAAAGCCACCAGATGACTTTGTATTACTTGACAGAACCTTTGTGATTGAGAAAAATAGACCACTGATTTTGAAGCTTAATATAATAAAGTATGATTGAAAACAAATTTGTGCACCTTAGAGGAAATTACTTTTTTCAGTGTGAATTATAGGAAAAGCTATTGCTGTAAATCCATTTAATGCTTTATTTTTACATTTTTATGTTATTTGGAAAGATTAATCATGCTGCCACTTCTGAAATAAAGTGAGCTTCAGACATTATGGGGTTGCATATGGTGTGCACTGTACTGAGATCAGGAGACATTGAGACATTGTTCTCATCCGGCCACTGCCAGGCAGTGCAACCTTCTGACAAGCCATGGGCACTCGTGGGGCTTCAGTTCCTTCTCTTGTAATATACAGGAGTTGAACTAGATTACCTCTTAAGAGCATCTTACAGTGGTGACATTGTGTTTCAGTGATATATGGATTTCTTGTACTTAAAAAGGCTATACCTACGTGGAAAAAATACAGAGAGCAACCAAGTCTGCCAGATGCTTTCCCTTGTTTCTGATTTAATCCTCATCACTATCCTGTGTTATAGGTGGTATCATCCCTACTCTGCAGATAATGATAGCGACCATTTTTTGAACACTGTGTGCCAGGCACTGTGCTAAGCACTTTACAGACACTATCTCACTCAGTCCTCCCAACAACCCTATGAGGTGGGTACTGTTATCCCCATTTTTCAGATGAGGAAACCCAGACTTAGACAGATTATAGACCTTGACCCAGATCATACACAGCTAGTACATGGCAGAGTTTGGATTTCAGATCTAAGCTTGTCCCAATTCCAAAGCCTGTTCTCTTAGCCACTGTGCTGTGCTACCAGTCTGAGAATGAAGAAGCTAAGTCACAGAGCAATTAAGAGCTATGACGTGGCAGAATCTCTATTTGGGCCCATATTTTCCCCTATCCTAAGTAATATGTACTTTCTAATATATTACATCGCAGTTATGTTCCAACTTGTCAGAAGTCTGTAACTGTAAAACCAGTGTCAATTTCTGATGGCAAGAGTTATTTGACTTTAAAATCAGTTGTCACTGACAGAGTCAATGTGCTTATGTAGCTTCTCAGGGCAGTGAGAGGAGTGTTTTTCCTTTTTCTCTATGCCTTTAGCTACTGTCCATTTTTGTGTGTCTGTGACTGTAAAGGTGCCTCCAGCAGCAGTAACAGGAAGAGTTCAGTGCTGAGAATATTAGCAACCCATGCACAGTCCTCTCCACCTGTTATTAACAGTTCAAAATTAGGAGCTCTGTCTGGTTAAATAAAACTGATCCTGTCTATTCCTGTGATAATGACTGGATTATAGCATACTCTAATCCTAATAGTGCAGTGAAGTAATGCTGTTTTACCACAAACAAAATAGAAGTTAGAATTGATTTATCTAGATGGATTGTCAGGCTTATATCTTTGTTAAGGTTTTCCAGATTTTTTTAATTTGATGCTTAAATGATCTTTAATTTTCCAGATTGTACTTACATCTGAAATAACCTGTATGTTTCTCTTTGCTATTAATAGGTGTCATTAATATTGGATGTGAAACACCAGCCTTCAGTACCAGTTGGGCAGCTCTGGGTGGAATTGCTGCGGTTCTATGCTTTAGAATTTAATTTGGCTGATTTAGTGATAAGTATTCGTGTCAAAGAATTGGTATCTCGGGAATTGAAGGATTGGCCCAAAAAGCGCATTGCCATTGAAGGTATCTCAAAATGTTTATCTTATTCCCCCCCACTCTTTTTTTTAAAGGTACCAGTCTAACAGCATGCTTTTTATTTCAGTCTCTTTTCAGCTCCTACAAGTAAGGTAGGCCTGCCCTCAAAGGGAAATAAATAGTTAGAATCTTGCATGTGTTAACAGTGGGTCATTTCAAGGAATCAAACTGTTCACCCTGGGTTTTTAAAGTATAAACAACTTGAATAATGGCTGGCTGAGTCCTTGCTTTCTTTGTAGATTGCTTAACCACTTAAATGCCTAAAGTATGTTTTTCACAGTGATGTGTAAATCCCCCTTTCCTCTTTACCATTCTCACCTCTGGATTTTTTAATTCAGTCCTTTTGTGGATTGTTGAAGTTGTTTAGTTTTGCAAAGGTGAGGACAATACTTTTTCTCGTCAAAAATGTCATTCTCCATTGGATTCCTCTCCAGTAGAGAGAATGAGTAGTTATTTTTGACATATCTACAGTAGCATTTAGAACTTATTCATAAAAACACATTTTTAGTGAAGCCTCATTTAACTGAAATCACTTTATCAAAGACACACTGATGTGCCCTGTAGACATCATTAAATGGACTAGCTCTTCTCAGCTTTGCAAAGTCAGGAGGTTGAAACCCCTCTAGAAATCTTAATTCTCCTCCTTTAAATAATTTAAAGAACCTCCTAAATGGAATTCTCTTATTTTTGCTTGATTTTTTTTTCAAGCTTTATGTTGCATAAGAGGGTTTTTTGCATTTTGCATAAATTCTGTGTGCAGTCATGGGGATCTCACATTTTTAAACCCTCCCCTGCAGTTTCTGTGGCTCAGCTCTTCTGGCCAATTGCCTAACCTGCTGGAGTTCTAGGGGAGGAGAAAAGATTGAGAGAAGTGGTGTCTCCTCCTGGTGCCTCCCTCTCGCCCCTGAAATTCAGTCCAGCCAATTCAGTGATGGGGCTTCCCAGGGCAGAAGAGTGGAGGTAAGCTCGATAAACCACAGGGCCTGGCTGAGTGGGGAGGCAGAGCACTCAGCAGCAGCAGAGCCTGGTGGGAAGATCTTCCTTCCCAAGGGCCTGAGAGCCACGCTGATAACATCTTTTCTACCTCCACAGTCACAGAGCACAATAGGGAGAAGGGGTACTGGTTCTGAACAGAATGGGTTCCCTTCATAGAGCCGATGTTTCAGAAAATACTGCTTTTTGTTCTTAAACTCTGTTTTCTTACTCCCCACCCCCAGTTTTTTTTTAAGTCTATAAAATGCAAGATAAATTTTACCATTGTTTGTTGTCTGTTTTTATCTGCAGCAGGCTAATTTTTAAAACATGAAATATAGTAACATATGAAGAGATGGATTTTTCTTTCTTTCTTTTTTTTATTACAGATCCCTACTCTGTTAAAAGAAATGTGGCAAGAACCCTAAATAGTCAACCTGTGTTTGAATATATACTTCATTGTTTAAGGACAACATACAAGTATTTTGCTCTTCCACACAAAATTACAAAATCCAGCCTTCTAAAGCCTCTGAATGCAATTACATGTATTTCAGAACATTCTAAAGAAGTAATAAATCATCATCCAGATGTACAAACAAAAGATGATAAGCTCAAAAACTCAGTTTTGGCCCAAGGTCCTGGTGCTACCAGTTCAGCTGCAAATACCTGTAAGGTACAGCCACTTACTCTTAAAGAGACTGCTGAAAGTTTTGGAAGCCCACCAAAAGAAGAAATGGGAAATGAACACATCAGTGTCCACCCTGAAAACTCAGACTGTATCCAAGCAGATGTTAACTCTGATGATTACAAGGGTGATAAAGTATACCATCCAGAAACAGGAAGGAAAAACGAGAAAGAGAAAGTTGGAAGGAAGGGCAAGCATCTGTTGACTGTTGATCAGAAACGTGGAGAGCATGTTGTCTGTGGCAGCACACGTAATAATGAGTCAGAGAGCACTTTGGATTTAGAAGGCTTCCAAAATCCCACAGCTAAAGAGTGTGAGGGACTTGCCACTTTAGATAACAAGGCTGATCTTGATGGAGAAAGTACAGAAGGTACTGAGGAACTAGAAGACTCTCTAAACCACTTTACCCACTCAGTACAGGGCCAGACATCAGAAATGATTCCCTCTGATGAAGAGGAGGAGGACGACGAAGAAGAGGAGGAGGAAGAAGAACCTAGGCTCACCATTAACCAAAGGGAAGATGAAGATGGCATGGCTAATGAAGATGAGTTAGACAACACCTACACTGGGTCAGGGGATGAGGACGCCCTATCTGAAGAGGATGATGAGTTAGGCGAAGCTGCTAAGTATGAAGACGTGAAAGAATGTGGAAAACATGTAGAAAGAGCTCTCCTAGTGGAACTTAATAAAATAAGTCTCAAGGAAGAAAATGTATGTGAAGAAAAAAATTCACCTGTGGATCAGTCTGATTTTTTTTATGAATTCAGTAAACTTATCTTCACCAAAGGCAAGGTAATCAGTACCACCACTAGTCATAGAACTAGGAGACTTTAAGGACTTTGAATGCATTTAATTTCAATTTTTATATACTAGGAATTTTCCTATTTTGGTAGTGTTGAACAAGTTGGCCTTTCATTCTGATATGACTGCTCGGTCTGCTTTTCTCCTTAAGACTCATGGGAATTAGCAGAGGAAGGGAATGCTATTAGTAGTGAAAATAGCCACTATGTTCTCCTAATGATACTATAGGATGTCCCCATCTCTCAGATCATTTGAGTGGATGCATGTTATATTTTCATTTCCTTTGGAAAGTGAATAGGTGACTGTGTACTTTTAAAACATGATTCCAGACTCCTTTATTTGGCAAATAAAGTGTTAAGTCTTGTTTTGCTTTGCCATATTCCTGCAGTCTCCTACGGTAGTGTGCAGCTTATGCAAACGAGAGGGTCATCTAAAGAAGGACTGTCCTGAAGACTTCAAAAGAATCCAGCTAGAACCTCTGCCACCATTAACACCCAAGTTTTTAAATATCTTAGATCAAGTCTGTATCCAGTGTTATAGTAAGTTATTCACATTTCTTTTGATTTGTCAAAATATTAAATTGACATTTACTCGAGTCTTTAGAATCACTATCCTATTTAGGTCTCTAAACATTATTAGGGACCAAGTCTATTCCATTCTCCATTGTATCCTCAAGCGTTCCATGTCATGTCTGTTCTGTTTGGGACATGCAATAAATGTCAAAGAAGGATGAGGAGAGATGCAGGGAGGATCTTTTTTATTTAAAAAAAAATTTTTTTTTAAATTTTGAGACAGGATCTCATTCTGTCACCCAGACTGGAGTGTAGCAGAGCAATCATGAGTCACTGCAGCCTCGACCTCCCAGACTAAAGCAATCCTCTCACCTCAGCCTCCCAAGTAGCTGGGAGCACAGATGCATGCCACTATGCCTGACTAAATTTTTCATTATTTGTAGAGACACAGTTTCCCTGTGTTACCCAAGCTAGTCTTGAACTCCTGGGCTCAGGCAAATGGAGGATCTTTTATTTTTCTTTTAATATCAAGTGCCTTCTGTACTTCCTTTTATTAACAGCATAGTTGTTGCATCAAGATACATAGCAATCATAGCAGGTTTCCTTTTTTGGAGGGTGATGGTGAGACAGGGTCTTGCTCGGTCCCCCAGGCTGGAATGCAGTGGCGCAATATCAGCTCTCCACAGCCTCTAACTCCTGGACTCAAGCAATTCTTCTGCCTCAACCACCCAAGTAGCTGGTATTACAGGCATGCATCACCACACCCAGCTCATTCTTATATTTTTTGTAGATACAGGGTTTCACCACGTTGGCCAGGCTGGTCTCAAACTCCTGACCTCAAGTGATTCATCCAACTGAGTCTCCGAAAGAGCTGGGATTACAGGCTTGAGCCATGGCGCCTGGCCAGCAGGTTTCTTTTTAAAGCTTAGTATTAAATATCTTTCCCCATTTAAATTTTCCATTACTCTGCCAAGAAAAAAAATTTTTTTTTTTTTGAGACAAAGTCTAGCTCTGTCACCCAGGCTGGAGTGCAGTGGTGCGATCTCAGCTCACTGCAACCTCCACCTCCTGGGTTCAAGCAATTCTCCTGCCTCAGCCTCCTGAGTAGCTGGAATTACAGTCATGCACCACCATGTCCAGCTAATTTTTTTTTTTTTTTTTAGTAGAGATGGGGTTTCACCATATTGGCCAGGCAAGTCTCAAACTCCTGACCTCCAGTGATCCGCTCGCCTTGACCTCCCAAAGTGCTGGGATTACAGGCGTGAGCCACCGCTCCCGGCCAAAAATTAAAATTCAAGTTACTTGAAGCCTGGACACACTTCCCTGGCTAGCTGGGCTATGTAAAGGTTGGTGGTGTTATTCTTCCTGCTGTGTAAGCAGATCCAGGCCCCAGAAAGAAGGGACCAGGTTATATAATTGTTTTTGAAAAGTTTGCTACAAAAATGCATGGCCTGTTATAAGCCAGGATACAAAGTAAGGATGAGGGTAAGGGAGCGACATTTTTTTCCAGAAGAAAGATATTTTCTGAAGAGTCTCAGTTCATAATTTTCCCAAAATCGTTGGAAGAGAGGGTAAAATCTCAATATGAATTTCAAAGTACTGTCTCTGTGAGGGGCCGAAAGTTGCCTTGCTGAGGATCTTTTATTAAGTCTTAAAATTAGAGTAGTAGCATTTCCCAGCTGGCATTCTTTGAAATGTTTTTCTAGATGGCAGTTAATAATATTTCATCACCAGAAGTATACCTAGGCCAGCGAGGGAATAACACTACACACTCCCTTCTCTCTTAGAATTCCTGGGTTATTTCCAGGACATATTAGCATATTGAAGGTATCTGAGAAATATTATTTCTAAAATTTGAACATAGAATAATTTTTGAGTAACGCTAATTAATAGCCTACTTAACAGCCCTTTAAGGAACACAAATTTGGGGAAGCATTGGTGTAGAGAGCCTTAAAGTTTTACAAAAGAAAATATTTAAAGGATAGATGTTCAGCTGCTTAAAATGAAGGAACTTGTTTCACATGGCTTCATCATAAGGTGTTCATCCGTGTCAGAAGACACGTGTTCTTAACAAGTCCTTTTTTTTTTTTTTTTGGGAAATTTTTTTTTTTTATATTATGAGCTATTAAAAAAACTAGGTTCTCCTTAGGGAAAAAAATACATGCAAATGCTCACAAACTTTTAAATTCACACTTTAGCGGGGTGGTGATTTCTGAAGGCCCTTTCTGTAACCCTGGTGTCTTTCAGGAAACCCAGGTGGAGATCCCATGTTTAAATTACTTTCCGTTTCAAGAGCACTTCTTAGATTCTTTAAAAAAGGACATCTTAAATTTTACATTACTGTTACAAAAATTAGCCAGGCATGGTGGTACATGCCTATAGTCCCAGCTACTCGGGAGGCTGAGGTGGGAAGATGGCTTGAGCCTGGGAGGCAGAGGTTGCAGTAAGCTAAGATCACACTACTGCACTGCAGCCTGGCCGACAGAACCAGACCTTATCTCAAAAATAAATAAAAAACAAACTTTACCTTGTTAATGCTATCTACTGAGAAGACACAATGATTTAGGAATTTTTAAATTTAAGCTTGTAAGTTTTATTTTCTAAAAAATAAATTTTTTTCAGCTTTTTCTAAGAGTGTCAACCGGCTTATTTTGTCAATATGTCTATTTATTTTTAAACAGAGGATTTTTCTCCAACAATTATAGAAGATCAGGCTCGTGAACATATTCGGCAAAACCTAGAAAGTTTCATAAGACAGGACTTTCCAGGTAAATGATTTATTTTTTATTTTTAAGAAAAGTAGTGTAACCTTTTTTCCAAATCAGTTCATGTGTTACAAGCACACTGATTTTGAGAATCAGGATTTCCATTGTTTTGCAATATACCCAGGATGGTCCTTGGTCTGCCAAATCCTCATTTACCAACAGAAACAGTGTAGGGTTTATTCTAGCAAGTGCCATAAGTGAATTTCATTTAATACTATGTTTAGAGTCAAAGTTAAGCTTACATTATTAAATGTGTTGAGGTGATCTAACATTTTCCTTGAAATGTCTTTGCATTTAAGAATAAAGGAGCACCTGGTAATCTTTCTTGCCATATACAGCTTGTATGTAAAGGAAGCTTTGAGAGAAAAAGACTTTAGCATAAATGACCAGTTAATCAGAGAACATAAGTATGAGATTAATATAGGATAATTAAACAACTGGGTGTTTTTGATTCATGAGAGGGCCATTTTGATCAAAAATTAAATGTACTCAGGTAATTAGTTATTACTTTTCATATATCCCTAACAGGAACTAAATTGAGCCTGTTTGGCTCCTCCAAAAATGGATTTGGGTTCAAACAGAGTGACCTTGACGTCTGTATGACAATTAATGGACTTGAAACTGCTGAGGTACAGTGACCACATAAAACTTCCATTTGCTGTGGCAGTGTGATTTAACCAATCTAGACTGGCATTACAGCTTGGTATTTTCCAAATTTATCAGGGCATACCATATAGAGTGTGCTGTTTGGCACAGTCTCTGGCCAAATACATTAAGAGGCTTGGAAAGGTTGTGAGGAATGTGAGGAGCAGAAAGGTTATACTTTCACTCTGTAGCAAAAAGTGGATTGGAAAGTGTTGCCTGGGAATTCTACATAGCCAAACCAGCCTCTTCAGTGTCCCATTGGCTTGGCTACTATGCTGACTTGGATCACACACTCACATAAGGTTACCTGTAAAGTTTGTTACCAGACAGGCAGTGTGGTAAATCATAAGAGTACTAACCTTAGAGTCCAGAGGCCTGGATTTGAGACAAACTTGTTTCATCAGTACCTAAACATGTGGTCTTTGGTAAATAATCGATAAAGTATAATATCTGTTCCTCCTGCCTCCGCTGATTTTTGTACACATTATCATGGATCATGTGGGTCAGGAGTTAGCAAACGATGGCCCTTGGGCAATTCAGCCCCCCACTGCCTGTTTTTGTAAATAAAGTTTTATTGGGACAGAATCACACCCATTCACATATGTAATGTCTATGGCTGCCTTCACTCTTAAGTACAGAGTTTAGTAGTTGTAAGAGACCATATGGCGTGCAAAGCAAAACAAACTTGCCAGCCCCTGGGATATCTGAAGGCATTTATAAAATATAAAACACTATATAAAGGTATAAAGTCTAGGAAGTGCTGAGTCCCTATTCTTTTAAATCCTTAACAGCAGTCCAAATGCTAAATATCCAAATGAATGATGCTGCTGTTGCTGAAGACCTTTTTGTACCTTTTCTTAGTTTCAAGTCTTTCTATTTTGAGGATGTATCTGATTTGGGAAAATAGTCAAAAGTGATCTAGCCTGAATTTGAATAAAGTATATAAGCAAGATTGGCTCAACATATGGAATGACCCTATCATACATCCTCAAGGTTTATTTATTTATTTATTTTTTTACATGGCTTATAAACTAGTTTTGAGGGCATTTCTAAAGTAACATTCCACGTATGTTCTGGGATTTTTATAACCATCAAAAAGGCGTATGTTGAGTCAGCCCAAATGTTTTTAAGAATGATTTATCAAATACTATTTATATTTGCTGTATGACTTTAGTTATATGCATTATAATTCTGGCTAGTCCTATAGGGAAATAATTTGAGCTTAATCACTCTCCACAGCAATTCATCAACTCTTAAACTATAGAAGGTCTGCTTAGAATGAATGAGCTGGGGCACAGAAGCCTCCTCTCATTTATTCTGGGACATGGGGTACATCCGAGTGATATTATGTGGAGGGGAAGAAATGAAGGTCCTCAACCATGGTTCAGAGACTTTTTTGGAAGCCCTAGGTCCATAAGCTTCCTGACTGATTTTAGCCTTTGTTGCACACCCAAAAACAATTAGGAAGTAGGGTATTTAGTGGTTTTTGTACCGTCAGGATATTTCCTGTGAATACTGACTCTAATACCCAACTAGAAAGGAAAAAAATAGATATAGACTGACTTGAAATTAATTACATTATTTCTGAAGGTAATGGAAACTATAGCCAGTTTCAGAACCTGTCTTCCAGTTTTGGTTAAGTTCTTTATGCCTTCTTTGTTGTAGGGATTGGACTGTGTCAGAACTATTGAAGAATTAGCAAGAGTCCTCAGAAAACATTCAGGTACCTCTGTAAACTTTTTCTAAAAATATTTCTGACTTTTTAATTAGTGTTTTCTATAGTCTTCCCTTGGTATCCATGGGGTATTTGTTCCAGGCCCACCCATCACCCCTCAACCCTCCCTTCCCCAGCAGATAAAAAAAATCCTTAGATGCTCAAGTTCCTTATATAAAATGGCATAGTATTTACATATAACCTATATGCATCCTTCCATATAGTTTTAGTCATCTCTAGGTTACTTATAATACCTAATACAGTGTAAATACTATGTAAATAGTTGTTATACTGTATTTTTTATTTGTATTTTTTTATTGTTGTATCGTTAGTTTTTTATTAGTTGCTTTTTTCTCTTAAATATTTTTGGTTTGTGTTTGATTGGATATGGGGATGCAGGACCCACAGACATGAAAGGCCAATTGTATTTAGAGTTTATTAATGCCATGAAGCAGTATAGTGGCTCATTCATAGAATAATTGCAATATTAATGTCTTTTTAAAATCTTGTATGCGTAAGTATGAAAGACTGAGGAATTGGTGATAATTTATATGCATATTGTTGCCTAGCTCAGTTTTATTTCAAGACAAAGCCTACGCCAGACAGGCAAGAAAGGCTATAAATCCTTTTCCTTTGTTGGCGTTGTATAAGTCAAAGTGTAGGAGTTGCTAATTGTGTGAAGTGTCAAGGAAAGCACCCCGGACTGGGCTTGTGGGTTGAATTTGCAGCTGTTCTGCTCAACAAGCTGTATATGACCCTGAACAAGTCCTTCACTTGAAGCGATCTCTTTTTTTAAGAAATGGGATCTTGCTAGGTTGTCCAGGCTAGTCTCTGAACTCCTGGGCTCAAGTGCCTTGGCCTCCCAAAGCACTGGGATTACAGGTGTGAGCCACTACGCTTGGCCTGATCTCTTTTTTTCATTGATAAATTGAGGCAACTGGACTGGATAATTATTCTAGAGTATTTACAGCTATAAAATGTATAGATTTTGTAAACCATGCACAGAATTGAAATGCTGTTAACGTATCCTTTTGTTGTCATGGCAGCTATGGATACCATTAACAGTGAAAAATCTTCTTTTAAAATGTAGTTCAGCAAACTTCTGTGCTAAGAGCTGAAAATGAAAGTGAACAATATATGGCCCCTATCCTCAGGAACTTAAAATCCATGGTCTGTCCATGAAAAGTTTTTGTACATTTCGGTTAGGAACAGACTTTAAGTCACAGCATGAACGTGCACACACACCTAGACACACACATATATACACCTTGGGTGCCACTTTTCTTTGAAATTTTTTCCCCAGGAGTTAATAAAGTACATACCATGTTGTTTAAATAACAGGAGGAAAAAAAATCTTAATTTTGGTTTATTCCCAATAAAAATTAACCTAAAGTATACAGAAATTGGGTTAGGCTTTGTTTTTTTAAATGTACATTGATTTGTTCACAGAGGGCAGAACAATATAAAAAAAAAAGAAAAAAAGTGCATTGATATACTTTTCTTTGGTCATTGAAGTAAACATTTCCCTTAACTTGGGAATTCCACCTCTAAAGATCATGTGTTTTGTTTTGTTTTGTTTTGTTTTGAAGGTCGTGCAAAGAAACTGAAGTACTAAGTTAGCGTGACTATTAATTTTTTAGTACTGAGCTAGATTTTAACTTTGTGTTTTGAAATAATTTAATTTCACATTTAAAGGAAAGCAGCAAAAGTTGCATAAAGAGTTCCACATATAACTTTTATTCAGATCCACCAATTAACATTTTCCATATTTGATTCATCATTCCATCTTTTGCTTGCTCTCAATTTCTTCCTGTACCATTTGAGATTAAGCTATAGACATTATGTCCTTTCCCCTAAATACCTCAGTATATATTTCCTAAGAAGGAACGATGTTAAAAACAGATCATTTTTAGATTAGAAATGACTTAGGCACACAGATGATTTATAATAATAATGGAATGCAGATTGCCTGGAACAAGAATTTCGTAACAGCTAGAGGGCTGTGTTTAAAACTTCATATCTTTAAAACAGTCTCCCCAGGTATTTTATTGGGTGCCTCCTATGTGCACAGCACTGTGTTGGGCACTTAGGGATGGTGGAAAAGTAAAAAAATCTGTATGTTTTTTTTGTGAAAGCTTCCATATCTTAAGAGGTAAGGTAATCTTCCAAACTATGTAACAATGTAAGGTAATATTCAATTAAATAACTTCTAAGAAGAGAGAATGTGGGAAAGAGTTGCACAGGGGAGGTTGATGGAAGAGATGGAGGTTGCTATGATCTCAGATGATGGTGAACACGATTTGAAAAGGATGGGAAAAGAAATCATTTCTAAGTGCATAGATGTGAATGTGAGACTGTGGGATATTTTGGAGAGCAGTGAGAAGATTGGTACATTTGGAGATTTTCAAATGGGAAATACTAGGAGATAAGATGAAGTCTATAGATATTTGGAAGCACTGAAGTTTCTTCAGGAGGGAAAGGACCCAATAAAAGCATAACATAAGGTTTTTAGGCAGCTGGTGTGGTATTTTAGGGAAGGTATAATGTAGACAACAGGGCAGCAGGACCTCAGCCAGGGTGCCACTGGTGCTAACAGGAAAAAGATATGAGAGATTCCAAGTGGGAAAATTTCCTAGATTTGGTACCTGCAAGTAGGAAGTAAGGATTGAGGTCACTATCTGGGTTATTTGAGAACCAGGAATGTTTGCAGAGAACACCTGTGTGAAAGTGTTTAGTTTGCCATGAGCATATAATCTCCAAGACTTAACATTCCAGAAAACAATTAGAAATATGGGGTTGCCAGTCAGAATTGAAGATGAAAATAAAACAGTTTTTTTGCATTGAAAGCCTTGAAGAAAAAGAGAGAGATTGAGAGAAAGAGACTAGACAGAAATTAAGAAAAGAGACTGAAAAGGAACTGGGAAGATATGCTGTGAATAAATCCGAGACTTTGAAGTGTGGTAATGATCAACAGTGTCAAATTCCAGAATGGGAAGGATGTGAAGAAAAGGGCCTCTGTCTAATTTAGAGGCGAGATAGCAAAGTACTAGGTGGAGGTTCTGGAATCAGACTCTGATTTTAAATTCTGTCTCCCCCTTGCTGGCTGTGCAATCCCAAAAAGTCACTCAGCTTCATAACAAGCACTCAGTTCCTCATCTCTAAAGTGGAAATAACAATTCTATGGCATTTAAGAAAGATAATACGTAAAGTGCAAAGCCTAGCATATTCTAAGTATTCAGTAAAGTGAGCTTCCTTGCCCCCTTTCCCCATCAGATTAAGTTTCATTTCCTCTGTCTGCCACACAGATTTTTTCCTGAAATGTCTTCTACCTACTTATTTTCTCCTGTGTTCTATGATGTGATCACTATGTATCTGCTTTTTAGGAACCACCACTTAGCTCTCTCAGAAGAAACTCAAACTCTGACATCTCAGAATGAGCTTATCTTTCACTTTACCGCTTCCCTTCTGCAGGAACCAACTCCATTAATCTGCCCTTCCTTGTGAATCCTTTTTCATGGTTGTTGATATTGGCATCCTTGGAATCAATAAAACGGGTGAAATGATAATTAGCCTGACCCACACTAGGTTCAGTATAAGTTGGGAGTCAATCTTACCTAGATTTGAATTCCGGCTCCACAATTTACCAGCTGCATATTCCTAAGCTAGTGAATCTTTCTGGGTCTCTGTTTCCTCATCTGTAAGATGAGGGTGATAAACCTAAGGAGGTAATGTTTGTAAAGGACTCTTCACATATCCCTATCACACATTAGGTGCTCAGGAAGTGGTAACTCTTACTCTGAAAGCCCTGATCCTCTCTTACTACCCCTAGCTTCCCATCCAGTTACAGATGCTCTCAAACATGCCTTGCTTCTTCTGTGTATTCCCATGCCACCATGAAAGTTCACACCCAGTTGTTTTTCATAAGTGGTCACCCTGCCTCTGTTCCTGGTGCCTCCAGTCTGTCCACTGCCAGGGTTATTGTCTAACTAGATGTGGTCAGTGATTCCTCCCAACTTAGACCAGTTCATTGGCTCCTCTTTGATTCTAAGGATAATTCTTTTTATTTATTTATTTATTTATTTATTTATTTATTTATTTATTATTGATCATTCTTGGGTGTTTCTCGCAGAGGGGGATTTGGCAGGGTCACAGGACAATAGTGGAGCAGCATAATAAACTTGTTTATCTGGTCAGCAGATAAACAAGTGAACAAAGGTCTCTGGTTTTCCTAGGCAGAGGACCCTGCGGCCTTCTGCAGTGTTTGTGTCCCTGGGTACTTGAGATTAGGGAGTGGTGATGACTCTTAACGAGCATGCTGCCTTCAAGCATCTGTTTAACAAAGCACATCTTGCACCGCCCTTAATCCATTCAACCCTGAGTGGATACAGCAGGTTTCAGAGAGCACAGGGTTGGGGGTAAGGTCACAGATCAACAGGATCCCAAGGCAGAAGAATTTTTCTTAGTACAGAACAAAATGAAAAGTCTCCCATGTCTACCTCTTTCTACACAGACACGGCAACCATCCGATTTCTCAATCTTTTCCCCACCTTTCCCCGCTTTCTATTCCACAAAACCGCCATTGTCATCATGGCCTGTTCTCAATGAGCTGTTGGGTACACCTCCCAGATGGGATGGTGGCCGGGCAGAGGGGCTCCTCACTTCCCAGTAGGGGCGGCCGGGCAGAGGCGCCCCTCACCTCCCAGACGGGGCAGCTGGCCGGGCGGGGGACTGACCCCCCCACCTCCCTCCCGGATGGGGTGGCTGCCGGGTGGAGACGCTCCTCACTTCCCAGACGGGGTGGCTGCCGGGCGGAGGGGCTCCTCACTTCTCAGACGGGGCGGCTGCTGGGCTGAGGGGCTCCTCACTTCTCAGACTGGGCGGTTGCCAGGCAGAGGGTCTCCTCACTTCTCAGATGGGGCGGCCGGGCAGAGACGCTCCTCACATCCCGGACGGGGCGGCAGAGCAGAGGCGCTCCCCACATCTCAGACGATGGGTGGCCGGGCAGAGACGCTCCTCACTTCCTAGATGGGATGGCGGCCGGGAAGAGGCGCTCCTCACTTCCTAGATGGGATGGTGGCCGGGCAGAGACGCTCCTCACTTTCCAGACTGGGCAGCCAGGCAGAGGGGCTCCTCACATCCCAGACGATGGGCGGCCAGGCACAGATGCTCCTCACTTCCCAGACGGGGTGGCGGCCGGGCAGAGGCTGCAATCTCAGCACTTTGGGAGGCCAAGGCAGGCGGCTGGGAGGTGGAGGTTGTAGCGGGCCGAGATCACGCCACTGCACTCCAGCCTGGGCACCATTGAGCACTGAGTGAACGAGACTCCGTCTGCAATCCCGGCACCTCCGGAGGCCAAGGCTGGCGGATCACTCGTGGTTAGGAGCTGGAGACCAGCCCGGCCAACACAGCGAAACCCCGTCTCCACCAAAAAAATACGAAAACCAGTCAGGCGTGGCGGCGCGCACCTGCAATCGCAGGCACTCGGCAGGCTGAGGCAGGAGAATCAGGCAGGGAGGTTGCAGTGAGCCGAGATGGCAGCGGTACAGTCCAGCTTCGGCTCGGCATCAGAGGGAGACCGGCATCAGAGGGAGACCGTGGAAAGAGAGGGAGAGGGAGACCGTGGGGAGAGGGGAGAGGGAAGAGGGGAGAGGGAGAGGGAGAGGACTAAGGATAATTCTTAGCAAAATGTGTATGTTCTGTAGTTGGACCTTTCCCAGTTTCTCCACCATCTCCTATGCCTCATATTCCATTCCCTCAAGTTCATTCGGCAACCTATGCAATTCTCTGGAACTTCCCTGAACGTACCATTCTATTTCAGGCATCTACACTTTTTGTGTACAGTTTGCCTTGCCTGGTAAATTTGCTCAACTGCCACTATTTTTGCTGGTTTTTCTCCCTCTTTTTCAAAGCTTAGCTCAGGCAATTTCCTCTCTCCTATTGAAGTTAATTCCTATTAACTTCATAACTTCTAGCTTTAAGGTGAGTAACTTGTTTGGAGGATAATCGTCCCTTAGGCTGTTCTCCAAATTAGATATAGTCACATGGAGAGAACAGGTGGGAACCACATAGTTCAGACTCTATAGTAGTTTCCTCTGTTTGGTATTTGTCTTAGTGACAACGACATACACATGCATATACACACATGCACACGTGTGCACATACGATCCAGTAAGTTCCCAGAGGGGAGTGACTGTTTGATTCTTGTAGTTCTAATATCAATATGTTTAATAAATGTAAACTTTGCCAGACTAATCTTCCCAGATGTTTGTTAATAACAGAATTCTTTGACAAGTCCTAATGAATGCAATGAAACAGGCCAAAGTTAGGTTTACACCATTTTATATTGGAACATTAACATAAGAGTTACTTATATCCCCAGCTGCTGTATTTAATGATAACATTTTATTTCCCAACTTAGGTCTGAGAAACATCTTACCTATTACAACAGCAAAGGTGCCAATTGTGAAGTTCTTCCATTTGAGAAGTGGTCTGGAAGTAGATATCAGTTTGTATAACACATTGGTAAGATTTTTTTCAGGCTTTTTGTTTAGAGAGGTTAAGGGAACAAATGTCTCACCTTGCAAAAACCTCAAGTTAAAGAAGTCACATTCATTTCATCTTAGTGAATCTTTCAAGAGTTATTATGCTTACTTGCTGTGAACCTGGCAGTGTTCTGAGGCTGAGGATTCTAAGATAATTCAGATATGTTTCAGGGATTTATAGGACCTCTCTGACCCTTTAGGGGTGTTTGTGCAGAGAGATCTTATATCTACTGAAAGGGAACTGATTGTTTATTTCACCAGCCCTTATTTTCTAGATGTTCAGACCAAGGACGTATAAAAGCCATGAGGTCAGATGTTACTTATAATTCTTTATTATTATCTAGTAAGTTAATGAAGATTGTCTTTAGGGAAAAAAAAAAGGTTAATTTCAGTTGAAATGTCTTCTTCCTAAAATGAATCAGACTGTAAACCTATTTAAAATATTCCAGTTTAAAATCTTTTCATCTAGGCTCGCATGGTGGCTCATGCTTGTAATCCCAGCACTTTGGGAGGCTGATGGGGGAGGATCACTTGAGCCCAGGAGTTCATGACCAGCCTGGGCAACATAGTGAGATCCCATCTCCATTATTTAAAACAACAACCAAAAAAAAAAAAGAGACCCTTTACACTTCATTGTTAGTCTTATAGTGTTATTTTCCTTTTAACAGGCCCTTCATAACACAAGGCTTTTATCTGCTTATTCCGCCATTGATCCCAGAGTGAAGTATTTGTGCTATACCATGAAAGTATTTACAAAGGTGAGTATGCTTCCTATTGTGACTTATCAGGAAATTTCATTGCATCTTTAAACACTGTTGAAAACATAAATCTATTTTTTAATGAACTGTAGTCATGTGAAATGCTTCATGTAGCTATTTGGGAGACCCTATGAAGAAAGCTAAAATTTTGTTCTGAATTTTATACAATGACCTGATCTTGCACGTAGCCAGCTGTCCACTGCTTTGCTAGGTTGGATTGGTTTTGCCTTTGACAATGTGATTTTTATATTAGTTCTCAAAATATGCACTTTACTTTTAGTGATAACAGAATGGATGCAAAGTTAGCAGAAAACAGACCTTTCCTTTGTTCTTGGTTTTCCTTCTGTCTAGATGTGTGATATTGGTGATGCATCTAGAGGCAGCTTATCATCGTATGCATATACTCTTATGGTGCTATATTTTCTCCAGCAGAGGAATCCACCAGTCATTCCTGTCCTTCAAGAGGTATTAGTGAATGAAATTGTATTTCTTATCTGGAAAACTGGTGATCTCTGAGCCTTTCTCCTCCTCTAAAATTCTGTGGTTCTGTAGTTAATTTTTTACCTATTTTCCTAGAAGTTTTTGTATCAATGCATTAAGTTTGTAATCCATACTAATAGTTTAAAAATTAATTTCAGATATACAAAGGTGAAAAGAAACCTGAAATATTTGTTGATGGCTGGAATATTTATTTTTTTGATCAAATAGATGAACTGGTACGTATTTTAAGAGTAAAGATTTTCCTATATCCTTGACTAAAAATTAGCTATACTACAGTGTAGATGTTCAACAACTATTTTATTGCTTGTTGTATTTATATATCTTATGATAGTAAAAAAAATAGTGTTTTCAGATGCTTTCTTTGATGTGAAAATATTTTTACTAAGCCAAGTGAATTTCTAGGGCCTATATCCAGTATTTCTTTAATGCCTAATAATTCCAAATGGTTAAGTAACTTTATTCCAAGTGAATGAATATTTGTTCTGTGGTTTTTGTACCCAGAGTTTAGAAAGACTTTCAATGAGCTAAAGAGATCTAATAACCTACGTATTACCAAGGCTCTTAGAATCTATTTCTGGATCTTCTGACTAATATGTTCTGAGACTTGACACTGAAAACTCTGAGCTCTTCCTACTCCAAGTCACAGAGTAGAGATTAATAAACTTATGTAAATTATGTTTTTAAATATGAAAGAAAAGTTGCATAATTGAGCTCTAGTTAATTAGAAATAAATCCAAATTTACTCCCTAAAATACAAATGAATATTGATATTAACACTTCACTAAAGACCATGGTATCCCTTGTTCCCTTCTATTTCTAGCCTACCTATTGGTCAGAATGTGGAAAAAATACAGAATCTGTTGGGCAGTTATGGTTGGGCCTTCTTCGTTTCTACACAGAGGAATTTGATTTTAAAGAACATGTTATTAGCATCAGGAGAAAAAGTCTGCTTACAACTTTTAAGAAACAGTGGACCTCAAAATACATTGTTATTGAAGGTACGAATAAAATTAAACTTGAAGTCGAATAGACTATAGAGCTTGAACTATAAGGACATTGTTCTTCCTCCTTGCAGAGCTCTTCCAGCTGCTTGGGGTGTGCAGTGCCCCAGTCTCATTGTCCATACCAGGCCAACTTTTCTCTTTCCAGCCTTAAGATTTGTTTTTTAAATGACTGAAGCCATTTCACCATGACAAATTTTTTGCTATTGTTGGACACATACTGAAGGATAAGGCAGCAGTAGTGATAAGGCAGCTTCAAGAAAGTGGGACTTCTACAACCTTCCTGTTGGGGGGTTTGAAGAGTGCCGCTAAGTGAATTTTCAAGATCTTCATTCGCTATTGATGGAGTTCACCTATAAGTAATTGTATATAAATTTTGACATTTATTTTGACCATATGGAAGCCTTTTCTTTTTCTATTTTTTAGTTTTTGAGATGGAGTTTCGCTCTTGTTGCCCAGGCTGGAGTGCAGTAGCGCTATCTCGGCTCACTGCAACCTCCGCCTCCTGGGTTCAAGCAATTCTCCTGCCTCAGCCACCTGAGTAGCTGGGATTACAGGGACCCACCACCACAACTGGCTAAATTTTTGTACTTTTAGTAGAGATGGGGTTTCACCATGTTGGCCAGGCTGGTCTTGAACTCCTGACCGCAGGTGATCACCCACCTCGGCCTCCCAAAGTGCTGGGATTACAGATGTGAGCCACTGCGCCTGGCCACCTTATCTTTTTCTATTGAATGTAGTGATCTATTGGAGCCATTGATGCTAATAGTTGATTGTTTATTTCCAATTTGTGGGATTCTTATTTTAAGACAAAATGGAATTTAAATGCTTTAGCTGAGAAATGACCTAAGAAATATTTTTTTAATTTTAATAAGATTTTTAAATGTTTATCTTTTAATATGTTTGTATCACATAAATAATACGTACTATTCTAAGTTGTGGTTTTATTATTATTTCTGCCTATTGGCAGTATTAAAATACAATGAACTTTTGTAAAATGAATTTCAGATCACCATGGGTTACAGATATAGTTTTGACTTTTTAAAGATCTCATGTGTCAAACACATAGAATTTTTGACTTACTACGCCTTTTCGTTATCACTGCAGTTCTTATCATCTGTCACTTATTAAGGTATTCCTTTTTTTTTTTTCTTGAGACAGTCTCACTTTGTCTTCCAGGCTGGAATGCAATGGCGCAATCTTGGCTCACTGCAACCTCCACCTCCCGGGTTCAAGTGATTCTTGTACCTCAGCCTCCTGAGTAGCTGGGATTACAGGTGCCGTGCCACCACGCCTGGCTAATTTTTTTGTATTTTTAGTAGAGACGGGGTTTCACCATGTTGGCAAGGCTAGTTTCGAACTCCTCAGCTCAGGTGATCCGGCCCACTTCAGCCTCCCAAAGTGCTGGGATTACAGGCGTGAGCCACTGTGCCCGGCCTATTAATGTATTCTTTTTTAAGTTTTGAAGGTTTATTATCTTTTGCTTCTAATTCTTACATTACTTTCAGACAAGCAGTTAGTAATAGGCTAAACTAAAAAGAAGGCTTCATTCATAATCATATAACCAGCTATTTTAGAATTGAGGCATTTCAGTGGTGATAGTAGTCGTTTGTTTTTGTTTTTGCGGGGGACAGAGTCTCACTGTCTCGCCCAGGCTGGAGTGTAATGGTGCGATTTCAGGTCACTGCACCCTCCGCTTCCTGGGTTCACCCGTTGTCAGCCTCCAGAGTAGCTGGGACTACAGGCACACACCACCAAGCCTGGCTAATTTTTGTATTTTTAGTAGAGAGAGTGTTTCACCATGTTGGCCAGGCTGATCTTGAACTTCTGACCTCAGGTGATTAGCCCACCTCAGCCTCCCAAAGTGCTGGGATTACAGGCGTGAGCCACAGCACCCAGCCAGTAGTAGTTTCTTTAACTGCACAGTAGCTAATATTGTAGTATCTCCACTACACCAAGCAAATAACCAAAAATACACATACACATATAAAAATCACTTGAAGAAAGAATGACCAAACTGATGAAGGTAACCTTCTCATAGCAATAATTACTGCAGGGTTGAGCTGAAGGAAGGGTCCTATACTTCGATAAACTGATAGTCTCAATCTCAATATGGTACACCTCAGTTACCGTTCACTAGAAGCATACCTGGCAAGTGGAAGATGCCACTTTTTACTTCTTTACTTCTCTTGTGTATGCTATATCCATGCAGTCCTTCATTTTCTCAATAAGAGGATTCCCGAAAAAAGGTCATCGCTTTTTTCTCTTTGCCTTCTTGAATATTGTTTTAGGGATGTGAAAAATAGAAGTTAGATATCTACACATAATGTCTAAATTATGAATCATGGGTGTATGTTATTTTAGATCACTTATAAAACAGTATTTGGATTTAGAAATAGTGCTTTTAACCCCATTTATTTCATGAGACAGTTTATTCACACCTCACATAAATCTTTGACATTAGCATTGTTTTCATCATTCCTACCATTTTCTGGGTTATTTAACAAACAGTATTCCAAAACATATCCTATATACAGCTATCTAAGATGTTTCAGATGCAGACATGTAAGATCAAATGAGAGTCTATATTAAGCTTTTACTAGAAATTGTATCCCAAGATCCAGGTAGCCAATGGCATGCCATTGGGACAGATGTATATATCTGTGTGTTTTATAAGTGTGTTTTGTAATCTCCATCATGAATTATTTTCTGAAGTGATCTTTAAGAAATTTGTTACATAGTGGGAACATTTAGTGCCAAAATGTTTTAAATGTATTTATAACTTCTATATACATCCAAAACTAGTGTCATTAAGTAATATCAGGCTAATGTGTCTTCTGCAAACAGTATTTTGTTCAAAAATAGGCAGCCAGTCATAACATAAAGAGCTTTATAATGATTTAAATATAAAGTAGTACACTCTATTCTGATGAACAGTGTAGTGGAAAAACTTGCCTTCTGTTTAGGAATATGTATTGCTTAGCTTTATTATAACTTCTAAGCTCATTTAACAGGTGTCATTTTAAACTTTTTTTTGCACTTCTTTTCTATCATGTGAATTTAAAACTTATTAATGATAAGCAAAGTAGATGATATTCTTGTCTTGTTTTATGAACTTTACTTATTGGATGAATGGTGGCATTTTCTATTTGATTACCTTATTTGCTCTTAAATTTTTTTGCTTAGATCCCTTTGATTTGAATCATAATCTTGGAGCTGGATTATCAAGGAAAAGTGAGTTACTTCGTTTGTCAATTTTATTTTTTATTTTACTTATGTATTTACTTTTATAATAGAGACAGGGTCTTGCTTTTATTGCCCAGGCTGGTCTCAAACTCCTGGGCTCAAGTGATCCACCTACCCCAGCCTCCCAGAGTGCTAGAATAACAGGCGCCACCAGGCCCAGGTAGTTTGTCATTTGTAATACAATCTCTTTTCCTTTTAACCCGCCTAAGTGAGTTCTTACTCTTCTTTTTAGTGACAAATTTTATAATGAAGGCTTTTATCAATGGTAGAAGAGTATTTGGTATTCCTGTCAAGGGATTTCCAAAGGACTACCCCTCAAAAATGGTAAGTGTGTTGGAAATACCAAAAAATAAAAAATAAAAAAAAGTGCCTAATTTGTACACATCACTTCAGTAGTAACTTAAATATTTAGAAAGTCTGTGAGTCTAGCCAAAGTAAATGACTATTGTACAGAATGATTCCCAGAGCCCCCCTTTTTCTTAAACATCCCCGGGTAGAGGCCATCAGAATAGAGAGAAATAGTAAGAAGTTGGATTTAAGGTTGTTAAATTCTTGTTTTCCTCTTTGATGCCTTTTTTTTTTCTGGTTATCTGTGCTAGCCTTCATAGGTGCATTGCTGTTCTGCCAGCATTCGGCTTGATGCCAGCCTTGGCCAAGCCCAGTTTGTACATATCTAGAATCTAGATTTTCCAATCTGCTTGCAAAAAGTAGTAAATCTTTTGCTGGGACTAGGGGGTTAACAGTGCTTCCTGTAGCAGACAGCTATCTCTTCTCATGTAACTTGATACTCGAGTTTTTCAGGAACCACATTTATTGAAAACAAAGCAAAATTATGTCAAAAAAATAATTTCAGTGAGAGAAAAATGGCTAGGGACTAGATGATCTTGCTAAGAATAATATTATGTTCTTCTGCATTAATTTCCTTATACTTTTTATTCTTATTTTTAATTGACATACAGTTTATGGAGCACAACGTGATGATTTGATACATGTATATGGAATGATGAAATCAAGTTAATTAACATATATATATCACCTCACCATTTTTTGTGGGGAGACATTTGAGATTTACTCTTAGTTATCTTGAAATATACACTATTATTGACTATAGTCACCCTGCTGCGCAATAGATCTCAAAACTTATTCCTCCTGTCTATCTGAAACTTTGTACCCTTTGACCAGCAACCCCCTATTCCCTCTGTACTCCCAGTGAAGACTTTTAAAATTTAACGTAAGTGTATTGCTTTATAGGCACATTCAGTGTTTGATTACATCTGTACATCTGATTTATGGTAGATATTGATGTGGCTTCTACACCAGTGCTTCTGAAACTTGTTCGAACAAATCACCTGAGGATTTTGTTAAAGTGCAGATTCTGATTCAGCAGGTCTAGGATCAGGCTCAAGACTGCTTTTCCAGCAAGCTCCCTGGGGATGCTCATGTTGCTGGCCTCCACCTTAATTTTAGTACAAAGAGGCTACAGGCTAGACCATTATCTTTCCTTTGTTCTGTTATTTTTCCTTCAGCAGCCACAACTAAGCAAAGTAGAAACACATAGTTTTTTTTCTTTTCTTCAATATAATCTGTATGATGCAAATCATGTTTCTCAATTCATTATGTTTTAGCCTTTTCATTTGATGAGGAGACAAAGCCTGTGTACCTGGCCTCAACTCCCTCCCACATCCTGAAAAGCTGACTCATCCGCTTCTTTAGAAGTGTGCTTAAACCTTTAGGGTTAGGGCTCACGAGTGCTCTGCATGACTAAAAGGAATAAACAAAAATGGATTTAGTTAAAACTATCCTGAGTTAGACCTTGATGGTCTTAGATTTTGTTTGGAATTAAGCAGTATAAATAATATTTATTAAAAGTAATGTTATATCAACATTGAATTGTAAGATAACTGTTTAATATCTGGTTAGTTTTGTGTTCCGATCTCACGTGAATAGTTCAGGCTTTTATATATTTATGTTCTTCTAGGAATACTTTTTTGATCCAGATGTGTTAACTGAAGGAGAGCTGGCCCCAAATGATAGATGTTGTCGAATTTGTGGAAAAATCGGACACTTCATGAAGGACTGTCCTATGAGGAGAAAGTAAGTAAATGTTCAAAGGGGTTGGTTGTGTTTTTATTTTCTTAATGTCCCAATTTTTAAATGAGGTACTATTATAACAAAGAAAATACACTTGTGTAAAATCCAGCAGTTTTCAGATACATTTAAGTTTTTTATTTTATTTTTTAATGAAATGAAGTGATTTAAAACATGACTTTAGGCCGGGTGCAGTGGTTCACGCCTGTAATCCCAGCACTTTGGGAGGCCAAGGCGAGTGGATCACCTGAGGTCAGGAGTTCAAGACCAGCCTGACCCACATGGTGAAACCTCATCTCTACTAAAAATTAGCCAAGCATGGTGGCGGGCACCTGTAGTCCCAGCTACTTGGGAGGCTGAGGCTGCAGAATCGCTTGAACCCGGGAGGCAGAGATTGCAGTGAGCCCAAATCACGCCATTGCACTCCAGCCTGGGCAAAAGAGCAAGATTCTGTCTCAGAAAAAAAAAAAAAAAGCCCAGGTGTAGTAGCTCATGCCTGTAATCCCAGCACTTTGGGAGGCCAAGGCAGGCGGATCACTTGAGGCCAGGAGTTCAAGACCAGCCTTGCCAACATGGTGAAAAGAGGAAACAAAAATTCTTCCTTTTTACAGTAGTGAGAAGTTCAGAATCATTTCAGTCAGTAAACAGTCAAATGAGTTCCTTCAGGATCTCAGTTACATCTCTAATGCACAGTAACTGTTCAGCACGTTGGGATATATATTCACAAACAGTTCACTGGATTTTAGCACTCTTTGTTTGTATTCCACTTAACCCTTAATAATTGTTGTGAGTAGGTAAGCCATGCAGTTTAGTCCCCATGCTTTCTTCTGGTGGCGTTTATTGGGGGGCAAGAGAGACATGTTTTTGCTTGCTTGCCTTGGGATACGTTGTTTTGGGTGGTAGTGGTGGTGTTTTTAACTGTACAGCAATATTTTAAAACATGGTGCTCAAATTAGGTTACCATCTGGAATTTGAGAAGCTTTGTTTTTCAGTCCTTTTTTTCATTACTCAAAAATCAGTGATTATTAGGATAAGGGAGAAATGATTTTGACATTTTAAGAGCATAAATCTTAAAACCATTGTTCCTTTGTGAATTTAAGCCTTCACATCTAAAATTTCCAGTGCCAAGTAAAGAAAGAATGCTAATGTGCCAGAAAGGCCGTTCAAGAAATCACTCCATGGATGATTTGCCTTTCATTACATCAGTGTCAAAGTAGGCATTCAGCCAAGGAGTGCCACTAATTGCAGTCATTGGTTTTACAGCACTAGAGCAACTTTGAAAATGAAGAAGAAAAACTGCACCCTTAAACCCTGAGGGAGCATCTTAACAGAGAAGATGGATTTTCATTTAGGTTCTTGCTTTTCCTTTTAATACTTTCTATTCCTGGTCATCTCTTAAATCTAGAATTGCCTTAATATTTTGGGAATTGCCTTAATATTTTGTTAGGCTTCTGTTTAGATTTTTGCTACTAATATGATATCTTCTACAGAGTAAGACGGCGGCGAGATCAGGAAGATGCCCTGAACCAAAGATACCCTGAGAACAAGGAAAAAAGAAGCAAAGAGGACAAAGAAATTCACAACAAGTACACAGAAAGGGAGGTGTCAACAAAAGAAGATAAGCCCATACAGTGCACACCTCAGAAAGCCAAGCCAATGCGGGCAGCTGCTGACCTGGGGAGGGAGAAGATCCTCAGGCCACCAGTAGAAAAATGGAAGAGACAGGATGACAAAGACTTAAGAGAAAAACGTTGTTTTATTTGTGGAAGAGAAGGGCACATTAAAAAGGAATGCCCACAGTTTAAAGGCTCTTCAGGTATGGACACCTATCACACCTTGATGTTTGCTCTAACATCTCAAGGGAAATCTGCTTTTTAGAGCTCTTTACTATTTTAGTTATCTTTATTTCTTTATCAATATATTTACTCAAAAAAGATCTTGTTTTTAAGAAAGTAAAATCCCTTCCCCCTCCTTTAATGTTGATCCTCCATATATCTTATTCCTGGCTTTATTTAGAGTCTTATGAGAGTCATTTGGTGAACTTTTCTAAGATTATCAGTGAGGTGAAAGTGTAATCATCCCTGGTACCTGCACATGTAGCCTCAGTGACCAGAAAAGAAGCTGCAACTTGAGCTTTGCTACTTGATATATGTACTTGTGAAATCAAATCACAGGGGTGGCGGTAGCCAGAGTTATCTCAGGACACCATGCTCTGTGCACAGGTGAGCCACACACAGGCACATGCATAGAAAAGGGAACAGAAAGAAATAGGCTGCATAGTTAGCAGTGGGTGAATCTGCAGAGGGGAATTATGGAAGATTTTTTTCTGTAGATTTTGTCATTTTGATTTTCTACAAGTGAGCATGATTATTCTTATGACGAAGAAAATATCTATTAGCAGTCATTAACAACACCATCCACAAATCTGGCCCCTTTGAGTTGTTAAATACAAATTGGCCATTTTTGCTAAATGGGTGAAATGTCTATTGTGGGCACCTTTTAAACAGACTACTAACTATAAGGGTACCTTGTGTGTGTATAATAAGTAATGATTTACAAAGCAATTTACATTCTCACTTCTCAGAACTGTGCAAGTGATGAAATTTGATAAGCATAGAAAAGAAATATTTGGAAGTAATTTTTTTCTAATTAAAGTAGTCAATCCTGTCGCTATCCTCAGTTGTATATATATGTTTGTGGACAGCATAAAGTGTCAGCTGCTTTACAGTTTCCCTAAAATACTCCATGTGTATAGTTCTTGGAACAAGAATACCTCTCTTCTATTTTATTTTATCATATTCAGCAATATAGTGTATCTTTTTTTAAGACAGGAGATTTTTAGATCATACCCATTCTTTTTTAAAGGAGCTTTATATGAAAAGATCAAAATACTTAAAAATTTTTATCTATTATTTTTAGAGTAGGGTTTAAATGTTTATGAAAGATACAGCTTTAGCTGCTCACATGGGACATATACCAGAATAAAGTGATTTTCTTTTGTTGTTTTAAGAGGAAAATGTATTTAAAAGAAATTACAATAATAATAGTTGCTAACATTCATTGAGCATTCACTATGAGTTAGGCACTATTTTAAGTACTTTACATGGATAATTTCATTTAATTTTTACAACAGCTTCATTAAATACATTAATATCTGCTGTTTTACAGGTAAGGAAACTGTAAATAGTATAGATAACTTTTAAATAGTATTCCCAAAATTATTCCTAAAATTACTCGAGGCCTGTGTTGATTACTCATGACTGAAACATTATTACAGTCTTCCTCTTTGGTACAACAAAGTGGAGAATTTGCCCCAGCTTTGATGAATTTCTTTTTTCTCGCTAGCAGCAAGTTTTAAGTTGTGTACTAGGGAAGCTCTCACAACAGTTAGACCAATGATTTTGGCAGCCTGTGGGGACAGCAGCAACTCAAAAAGATGCGGGGCGGGTAGTCCGGGTGGCAGGGGAATTATCAAGCATAAGGAAGAGCACTTATCTAGAAATGTGGTCCCTTCAGAATGCAGTCTTGACACATTAAAGTTAGTAGTCATCATATTTTAAAAGTGAAATGACAGTGGAGGCATGGGGATAGATACAGGGAATTTCCTTTGGTGGCAGTTCAAAAATAATCAGCTGCTTCTTCCTCTCTCAAAATTATGCTGCTCTCTCTTGTTTCTTCAGATATATTGCTCCTTTGTCCACACAATATACTGAGTGGAGCTTCTGTCACACCAACAGACAGTCTCTCTGTGAAAGTTTGAAAACAGGGCTACTGCTTTCAATTTAAAGTAGGAACAAAAAGTGCTAATTTCTTTTTTAGGAATGTCTAAATCAGATTGTATGTTTGGATCGCCCTCACCTGTCCCATTGAAACCAACTGGTTTATTTGTTCAGGTAAACCTAGCTCAAACGGAGAAGGAGGCGTGTCTGTCATCTGTTCACTCAGGAGCTGCTCCCTGAGTGCTCTCAGCTCTGCACCATGTCCTTGCGCTGTGCTGGCAGTGCGGGCCCTCCTTCCTCTGGCTGACCTGCAGCACTCCTGTCTGTCCTGCGCGGGTGTGGTGCGTGGTGAGGCTTACTGGGCACCGGATGGCGGGGCCTTGTTTCAGAACTCCTGCCCATGGTCTTGCTTTTCAGTTAACTTGCAAAATTCTGCCACCCACATGCCTTATTTCAGCTCTCCTTGGATATGGTTTCGGTTTTAAGGCTGTTTCAGATGCTCTTCCTTTCGATTTTGTAAACCAGTCTATTTCATTTTTTAGGCAGTGCTTTTACATGAAGACAAAAAGAAACAAAAAACAACAATATTTTTGAGTCCCCAGTCAGGTATGTGGGTTTTAAAAAAAACAAATGTGTGTTATTTTATTTACTGCATACTTTACCACATGCCTTTTGAGACTTTTTCTCCAAATATGTGCTTTTAACAGGGATTGGACATCAGAATCACTTGGGGGAACTTTAAAACATATAGTTGCCCATCCTCTACCTTTATTTCCTAAAGCTAATTCTTCAGTGGTTAAGCATGGGCCTGTGTGTTTTGTAAATTCCAAGTGATGTTTATACCACCCATGAGTGGCAACCAGAGTCTTCAATTATTTGTTCCAGTCCCGTGCTTTTTGTTGCTGCTGTCTTGCCAGCAGTGTTTTCTCCTCCTGGAGAGTATTTGCCACACACAAAGTAAGGAAAAAAACTAATCTCTAGCCTGAACTCCACTGTTACCTCTCAGCTACTTCATTTATTCATTCTTTCAACAAATAGCTATCCAGCCTCTCCCCTCCCTTTCCAAGTTCAGGACACCAGCCTCAACACTGAAGATACAGCAGTGAACAAGCAAAGCCCCTTCTCTCATTTACTCTGCATCCTTTTCAGAAGAGGTAGACAATAAAGAGATACAGAAATAATATGTCATGTGGTGGCAAATGCTAGGAAGAAATAACAAAACAAGAAAAGGGAAAGAGAATGGTTGGCTAAGGAGGCAGCATCTCTGGTAAAGTAACATTTAAGCAAAGAATCAAATGAAACAAAGGGGCCAGTCGGGGGAAATTGGTGTTAGACTGGTAAACTCAGAGATGGAAACAGGTGTTGTCCTGCAGCATCACTGAGGCAGTGTGGCAGGAGTGGAACAGGATTGGAAACTCGAGAGACAGAAGAAATTTGAAAAAAAAAAAAAAGTGGAGCAGGCAGAAGGGTGAGTGAGTGGTAGAGGTGAAGTCAGAGGGTGGATAGATCTGGGTTATGAAGCGCCTTCAGCAGTGGTAGGTACCGTTTTTGTTGGTTTTTTTCTCCCTCAAAGTGAAATGAGAGACTATTGTAGGGTTTTGAGCCAAGGAGTGATATTATCTGAATTCTGTTTTAAAAGGTTCATTATGGCTCCTGTGTGGAGGCAGGGTAGCTACTTAGAAACCAAGCCATCTCAGCCTCCCGATTTGTAGAGATGTGGTCTCACTATGTTGCCCAGACTGGTCTTGAACTCCTGGCCTCATGTGATCCTCCCACCTTGGCCTCCCAAAATACTAAAATGATAGATATGAGCCGCCACACCTGGCCATAAGCTTCAGCCTTGAGCAGATACTTTCTAAACACTTTATATAGGGAAAAAAAACTAATTCTTGCGTAGCCAAGGTGTTCATTTTGCCGAGAATAACGTAGCATAGTGTTTACAATTACGTGGGTGTAATTTCTAGCTTTGTGATCCTGAGAGACTGCCTTATCCTCCATATGCCTCAGTTTTCTCATGTGTAAAAAGGGGGTAATAATAATACCTGACAGGGATGTTGAGAAATCCATGTAAAAGTACTTAGAACAGCGCCTGCATATAGTGAGAGCAGAGAAAAGGGAAAAGGTTCGTGGTGGTGATTGCATTGATGTTATTATTCCTTCAGGGTATCACCAAGTCTTCCAGTGCCAGCATTGTTCAGTTGAGAGAGAAATATAGATGCTAGGCATACACCTAGAAATAGCATTGACAGTAAGTTACGATTTCTGTAATTATCTTCTTAGTAAAAAACCTACATATTTATAAATCTTTTGAGCAACTGGAAAAAAAGTATTAACTTAAATTTACTACAGGAAAAATGTATTGCAATAATTATGTTACTTTATACCAGAAAAAAGAAAACATTTATAGGTGGTTAAAATCGATCCTATCCAATAAATCAGACTCTTCCAAATAAGTATATGTCAGATGATATAACTGTCTAGTTTATCTGTGATATATGTATCCAAATTATCTATGTTGTTATAAATGTGAACTGTATCTCACCTGTAAGTGGTGTTAATTTCCCCACAGCTCTTCCTTTCCATAGTATTAAGTATGTCTTTGGCCCACTTGTAGTTTCTCAAGAAAGCATGTTGATACGGACAGCCCCTACTCTCATATATGGTGTATTGACCTTAGGCAAGAGATGTGGTTTCTCTGAGCTCCAGATATGTCATCTATAAAATTGGTGTTAACACCGTTTATCTCATAGGGTGCTAAGAAGATTAAAGTACTGCCCAGAGTAGGCACTCAGTCAAGTTCTCTTTCCTCTCCTGATACCTACCCCCATCCTTTCCTCTAGGTTGCATATAGTTCTTTACTCCCAAAGGAGATCACAGTAGATAGAAAATCCCATGAATGTCCTTGCTCTTCGTTGTTACCTCCCTCCCCCTCTATCCCCCACACATAATGCCTTAGATATTCAGTAGGTTTTATTGATTAGAGGTGAACTTATTTGGAAGGAATAAAAAGACAAAGCAGGAGAATGGTCAAGAACATGAGTTTTAGAGTGAGACACTTGAGTTTGAAATCCAGCCCAACCATTTACTAGTTGTGTGACCTCTATCAAGTTATGCAACCTCTCTGTGCCTCAGTTTCCTTTTTGGCAAATTGGTGCTAACACCTCACAGGACTATTGTAAGGATTAAGTTCATGTAGATAAAGCACTTAACACAGCATCCGACACATCTCATCACTCAATAAATTATCACTGCCCTTTGTTACTGTGGTTAACAAACACTTGCTGTAATTTCTCTCTTCTAACTTATAGGACAAACAAATAATGGAAATTTTTAACATAAGTATGTAGAGATTGTGGTACCACAGTGATAAACTGATTTTTATGCTTAAGTTAATGACTCTGGTTTATGTATGACAATTTATTCAGTATGAGAATCTCAGAAAACTAATGTTTTTTTCTATTCCTTAACCTTCCTACCCTTTTTTTGGTAAAGAAAATTACCGAAAAAACAAAAAACAAAAAAAAAACTACCTCTGTCTATTTATTTATTCCATTTTAATCTCATGGCTTGAAATCTGAAAAATTGGAGTTGCTGTAAGAGATTGGTGGATGTCTTTTTGCCCTCATGGTGATGTATTCTTTTACAGCTTTTATCATTGACCAGAATTTTAAGGCCTGCTTATTTTAAAAAACGAAAACCAGTGTTCTTTATGATAATAAGCTTAAAATAATAGAAATACTTTTTAAAATAGTATGGGGAGAGCTCATTGTCAGTGAATATAGATCATTCTTGTTGATACCCTTCTTTGAATATTCTAGTGTATTAATATACCATTGTTTATTTAATCATGTCTTATTAATGGACTGGCTGTTTTCACATATTTGATATATCAAGTGTCTTCACAACTTGTGCTTGCATATTCTTTCCCAAAATATTGAAAGTCCATATATTTCCTTGTACATTTTTAAAGTTGATATCTAAATCTTTCATTGTAGTTGCAAAGCATGTAATTTCTTGGGGGAGGGGGGCTGTAAATATTGACATTTTAAAATAAAACTTTTAAATCAGCCTTAAATGTATCAAATGAAGTATAAATATTATTGCTTTTTCATACCCACCATCATTTATATACAGCTCAGCTCTTCTTTAACAGGCAAAAATTATATATCATTTCCCTTTCCTCCTTGAATTCCTTTGTTGTACTTCTACAGAATTTCAGCATAAGATGATATATTTTGTTTGTTTGTTTGAACTTCTCCCTGAGATGATATATTTTTATTACACATATTTTCAAATATTTTATTGAGTAGCTTATCATGCTTATCTGCAACAAAAATGACAGGGGCAACAAGCTAGGCCCTATTTTCTATAAATTGAATTTTTAAGCTTTTTATTAAATCTCAAAGGATGAAAATATCTTCTATATTGAGTTTTCACAATTATTAGAATATATAATTGATCAAAACAAATGTTACAAATTTTAATTAAAAATTACTTTTTTTTTTTATACCTAATGCTAAATGACGAGTTAATGGGTGCAGCACACCAACATGGCACATGTATACATATGTAACAAACCTGCATGTTGTGCACATGTACCCTAAAACTTAAAATATAATAATAATAAACAAATATTAAAATAATAATAATAATTACTTTTTATGTTTACTTACAACGACTTTAATAAGAAAGATGAGATTTTTTCCCTATACATTCACATATCTTTGGGTCGACATTATTTACTGCGTGAATGAAACTGTTCCTTTTCTATCCCTAATTTTTTTTTATAGTTGATAAAAATGGAAAAACCCCAATATTCTTTATGATAGCAAATTAAAAATAATAGAAATACTTTGAGTTTGGGAATAGAAGATATATTACAATAGTGCCACTCAATTATTTTGATTCCTTCTTAATTACATGACAAAAAATCACAGTGATGTATCATCAAAAATTATTTGTAATGATCATCCACTATCAATGTAATTTTATGAAAGCTAAAAATTTGGATTTTTATTAGAGGCATTTACATTCACCACAGACACCAGCATTTTGTTTGCCTCTCCTCTTCTCTGGGTTTTTTTTTTTTTTTTTTTTTGCCTCATGGCAATACACCACAGTAGGATTTGGCTGGTTAGGAGATACGCCTTTCTTTTGTAAAGTAGATAAATAATTGTGAAAGGGGAATTAGAAAGGACAGGTGGAGTGATTCCTGAAAACCAGCCTAAGCCTTGACCACAAAGGCATTCACAGACATATAATTTTTAAGAAAGAGTACACATGGAAGTTGAAGAGCTAGAAATTGACTCTCTTAAAACTATCCTTGCGGCCGGGCGCCATGGCTCACGCCTATAATCCTAGTACTTTGAGACACCGAGGCGGGTGGATCACCTGAGGTTGGGAGTTCCGAGACCAGCCTGGCCAACATGGTGAAACCCCATCTCTACTAAAAAGACAGATTTAGTCAGGTGTACTGGTGTGCGCCTATAATCCCAGCTGCTCAGGAGGCTGAGGGCAGGAGAATCACTTGAACCTGGGAGGTGGAGGCTGCAGTGAGCCGAGATCAAGCCACATGCCCTGTCAGGTAGGCTCAGGAACACATGGGCCCAGGTTGGAAGAGCACCATTTATATAAAACACTCTAATGAATAGTCGCATATTTGTCTAGTTATTTCATCAGGATAAATTCCCGCTCATAAGAATGATAGGTTTAAAAGTATGCACATTTTGACAGTGATGCCAATATTCCCAAATTGTGATTGTTGACAATCCCGGAGAGTCAGTGACATTGTTTCCCATACCCTGACTTCATTGGGATAGTCTTTTTTCATTTTACACCTGCTTGAATTCCTATTATTACCATTGAACTTTACCATTTTTTTTTACATGATTTCATCTATCTTTCTTTGTACTTTTGTATTGGAGTATTCTTGACAGGGTCTCACTGTCGCCCAGGCTGGAGTGCAGTGGCTCAATTATAGCTCACTACAGCCTTGAACTCTCAAGCGATCCTCCCATCTCAGTCTCCCGAGTAGCTGGGACCATAAGCTAGTGAGACCACACTCAGCTGATTTTTAAAATTTTTTTGTAGAGACAGGGTCTCGCCATGTTGCCCAGGCTCGTCTTGAACTCTTGGGCTCAGATGATCCTCCTCAGTTTCCAGAAGTGTTGGGATTACAGGCATGAGCCACTCCACCCGGCCCAGTTTATTATTTTAACCTCACTTATATGTGTTTGCCATACAGATGAATGTTTGTTTTAATAGTGTGATCTAGCCAACTTTTGCATGGTTTCTTATCATGCTTACCAAATTTTATAAATGCCATATTATTCCTCTATATTATATAAAAATTCATTCATGTGTTATTTCTAGTACTTTTGTTTTTTTACATGCAAATATTTTATATTCAGGTATAGTGAAGATTTTTCTGATATAGTAGATTACATGTTTAAATGCTACAGTAGTAAAACTACTAGTACTATACTTACCAAAGGGTTTAACATTTTGGGAAAAACAGAAACGGGCAAGTAGCAGTATAACAATAACTAACTTACCTTCTAGAGAATTGGCATTGTTTTTCAATTTTTTTTTTCTTTTAGAGAGAAGGGTTTCACTCTGTCACCCAGGTAGGAGTGCAGTGGCACAATCATAGCTCACTGCAACCTCGAACTCCTGGGCTCAAGAAATCCTCCCACCTCAGCCTCCCAAGTAGCTCACAGGCATGAGCCACCTGTGCCTGGCTCAATCTCTTTTTTTTTTTTTTTTAATAAAAGACCTGTCACTGAGGTAGTGGAAGTGCCTTGAGTACCATCACCAACATCGTTTCCTCTGTCATGTCCCTCTCAACCCTAGAAACATCCATTATTATGAGGTTAAGTCTCCAAGTTTCCTTTTTTTTTTTTTTGAGACAAAGTCTCCCTCTGTCACCCAGGCTGGAGTGTAGTGGTGTGATCTCTGCTCACTGCAGCCTTCACCTCCTAGGTTCCAGTGATTCTTCTGCCTCAGCCTCCCAAGTAGCTGGGATTACAGGTGTGAGCCACTGCACCCAGCCCCTTCTGGTTCATTTTTTATACTCTTTCATATGTACTCCTTAACATATGTTTCTCCTTGGTGAATTTTTAAATTAAAATGGCATATCATGGCATATAATAAGAATGTCCTACAAACCAGGGATGGTGGCACGGGCATGCAGTCTCAGCCACTCAGGAGGCTGAGGCAGGAGGATGGCTTGAGCCCGGGAGATCTGACACTGTAGTATGCAATGATAGTGCCTGTGAATAGTCACTGCACTGCACTCCAGACTGGGCAACAAGCTAGACCTCATCTATTTTAAAACTTTTATATGGTGCTGTTTTTATATTTGGGTTTTTTTCTTTACAGTATTCCACCCTGTGAATAAAAAATATTCTATGTATTTATTACCCAGTTTTAGGTTGTATTCAATATTCTGCTGTTATTAACAGTGCTATAGTGAACATCCTTGTGGAAGTCCCCTTGAGCATGTATGAGAGATTCTTTAGGGTTTGTGTGTCTACAAGTCAAATCGTTAGGTCATAGCTTATGTGCATTTTAGTTAGATTCTATCAGATTACGCTTGTATTGGCTGAAATAATTAGAACTCCCACCAGCAGTGTGTGGGTCATTTCTATGTATTCTTCCAAATACTTTATTTATTAATTTTTCAGAATTTTCATTTTTGCAAGTCTGATGGATGAAAACTACTTTGGTGTTGTTCTCATGTGTATTTGTATGACTCTGGTGATGCAAGGGGCCCTTTTACTTTTTTTTTTTTTTTTTTTTGAGATGGAGTTTCGCTCTTGTTGCCCAGGCTGGAGTGCAATGGCACAATCTCGGCTCACCACAACGTCTGCCTCCTGGATTCAAGCGATTCTCCTGCCTCCTGTCTCTCGAATGGCTGGGATTACAAGCACATACCATGACACCCGGCTAATTTTTGTATTTTTAGTAGAGACAGGGTTTCACCATGTTGGCCAGGCTGGCCTTGAACTCCTGACCTCAAGTGATCCACCTACCTCAGCATCCCAAAATGCTGGGATTACAGGCCCTTTTTACATGTTTATTGGCCATTTGGAGTTCCTCTTCTGTGAATTGTCTGTCCAAATCATTTGCCCATTTTCCCATTGAATTATTTCCCTATTAATTTTTAAAGGTTCTTCATTTATTCTGAATACCGCTCTTTTATTATTATATAAATTTCAAGTGTCTACCTGCAGTATATCTTCTGTTTCAACTTTTTGTGTGTATTGCCATTCCAAAGTTTTTAATTTTGAGATAATCAAATTATTAGTTTTCCATAATTAGTTTTCATCATCATTTGGTTCATAATTTAGGGTCATCTTTAAGAAATTCTTCTCTAACCTGAGGTCATAAAGATATCCATCTGTATTTTCTTCTAACAGCTTTAAAACTTTGTTTTTTCTATTTAGACCTTTAATCCATCCAGAGTTTGTATGTGTATGAAGTATGAGGTAGTCTCTTTTTTTTTCTTTTTTGAGATGGAGTCTTGCTCTGTCGCCCAGGCTGGAGTGCAATGGCATGATCTTGGCTTACTGCAACCTCCACTCCTGGGTTCGAGCAATTCTCCTGCCTCAGCCTTCCGAGTAGCTGGGACTACTAGTGTGCCACTGCCATAACCCAGCTAATTTTTTTTTTTTTTTTTTTTTTTGTATTTTAGTAGAGACGAGGTTTCACCATGTTGCCCAGGCTGGTCTCGAACTCCTGAGCTCAGGCAGTCTGCCCGCCTTGGCCTCCCAAAGTGCTAGGATTACAGGCATGAGCCACCGCCTGGCTGAAAAGCCAAATCTCCATACTTTGTGCAGTTCACAATATCGAAGATGGGTGCCTACAGACTAGTAGACACTTTGTGGCATAAATAATACAGTGGTAGAACAATAGAGTACTTTGTTTCTTCTTGACTGAAATTTCTTACTGAATTCCCTGGCTGATATTTTTCATTGTGAGTTGCTTATCTCGATGTCCTGCTTTGAAAAGTATGTGTTTAGGGAATGTTTTTATTTGCATACTTACTATGTTTGCTATGGAAAATTTAGAAAGTAATGTTAAGTAAAATGAAGAAAATAAAAACCATCTGTACTCCCTCCATTCTAGCATTAACTACTATTTAGATTTTGGGGATAAAGTTTTCCTGTCTTTTTACATTAATACAATAATAGTTAACATTTATTAAGCATTTTCTAGTACCAAGTACTATTCCAGTTGCTTTACATGTATTCGTCTAATCTTCACAATAACTTCAAGGGGGCAGGTATTATTGTCCTCATTTTACAGATAAAGAAAATGAGGCACCAAATACATGATTGGTGGGGTATATTTTAGTTTTTTGAAAATGCTATTTATATAGTTTTATACCTTGTTTTTTCATATTATTATCCTTCTGTGTATACCTAATATTCTATTATGTGCATAGTTCCTCATATACTTGGTCATATCGTAAGTTTTGGATTTTAAGTTCTTTGCATTGTTAATTATAAGGTTTTTATGAATATTTATTTAGCAGAATTTCTACCCACCTCCTCCTGATCTTCTTCCTTCTAATAATTTGGCAACCAAAAATTGATAGTTTTAATTTGCATTTCATTGATTACCCCTGATATAGAATTTTTTCATATACTTATGCCATTTTTTTTTCTATTTTATATATTACCTTTTCATTACCTAGTTATCTATTGGTGTTCATTCTTTTCTCTGGTGACTTACAAGTTCATTAAGTATGGTAGTGTGCTTAGGAAACTCTTACCCTACCCCAGGATTACCTACAGGATTACTCACTCTTTCTTACGCTCTGACTTTCTTATAGTTACATTTAATTCTGTATTCACTTGGAAATGGGTAGAGAAGAAGGATATGGTGTGAGGAGGGAAACTACCTCCTTTCTTCCCCTCCAAAATTACTTATTTGACATAATACAGTTATTGAATAATTCATACTTTCCCCCATTGGTTTGAAATGCAAACTTCATTATGTATTACTTTGTTACATATAATCACTTAAGAATTTCTCAGGTCTCTTCAGTTTTTTCGTTGATCTATTTGTTCAGACTCCAGAACAAAATTTAGTAACTATTCTGTGGTATTGGTTTTAATCAGTAATCCTCATTTGTGTCCTCCACCTGTAAATATAATAAATTTCCCTTTTTCCTTTTATATCAATAAGTTATTGCTACAATGATTACCATCCACAGCTTCGTATCTGCAGAGTAATGATCTAAGATATTTATTTCTGGCCAGATAATTCTTTGCAATCTATTATGTTTGGCTGCAAATGAAGATACTGAATTATACAAGGCAGAACCTTAAGTTCGTCTGGTGCTCTGTACCAACATGGAAATAGTGAATATGTAAATGTATTAAAATGAGATCACTCTAGGAACCTGTCTGCATTCAGAAAGAATTTTGACTAAGCTTATATTTAATTAATCATGTGCATATATACTTTTCAATATCAAGTCTTATTACTTGATTCAAAACAAGTGACCAATTCTAGTATGAAGTTTTTGTGACTACTTAATAAGAAGTAATTTTATGGCTTTTGTCATAAAGCGAGGCTTGTTTCATTTATATTGGGTTTTGTTTCTTCCCCTCCTCTAGGTAGCCTTTCCAGTAAATATATGACTCAGGGAAAAGCCTCAGCGAAGAGGACCCAGCAGGAATCATGAGGGAAGGAAAATGCAGCACTCTAAATGGCCACTCAGGCGTTCCTATTCACTCGGAAAATTAGGTTCATTTCACAGGACACAGCAGTGTAGATCAGGCTTCAACTTAACATTTAAGGGAAATGTCAGATTTTTTTTTAATTTAATGAAATTGTTAATGAGGAAAAATTTTTAATATAGTCTTATCTACCACACATCCCCATAGATTTAAGGATTTTAATAGAAAGACATGATGTATGTATTTAAGCCACGTTAAAAGAAAAAATATAACTATGGACCGGTATTCAGTGAATACAGTTTCATGGTTTTTAATTCTTTCAAAGCACATTAAAAATGGTGTGCTGATAAACCCCAAGTAAATTAACCCTTTTTCCGTATAAATCCATTTTTTGTTTTGAAGAGGGGAAATTATATTTATTGTTGTTTACTGAATCCTGGTGTGAAAGCATATCAGATATGTATGAACTGCTACTGCTGTACTTCCGATTTACGGACATCATTTTATTGCTATTTGTAGACGTGATAACATGAACATGAGTACCTATTTATGTGGGCCTTCAGTGGATGGGCAGTGCCACTCAGGTCTCTGGGGTTTCCCTCTCTAATTTTAAGTAAATTGACATATAACTACTATGCTTATAAAAATGAAGTAAGGAAAACAAGTAGTCCTGTTTGCCACTAAAAACATTTTCAAAGGAAAAATAAAATGAAAGTACTTTTTACTTTTTATGATACTCAGAAATTAGGATGAAGAACTTTTAAAATTGCTGAAGATCAAAGAGGTTATCTCTGCCAGTCACAAGTGTGGCTGGTGTCATTCTGGGTCTGACTGGAGCCCTCCTGGACTGTTTCTTTAATTTCAAAAGCCCTGCAGACATAGTACCTGGTCAGAACTATGCCTCGGTTTATTTATCATTTTGAAATAAAATCAGAATTTCAACCTGTAATTTTATCTACATTATTTTCTAGTGAAAGATTCCTAAATTTCCTGGGGAAAAAAAAAAAAGATCAAGGAGTGAGAACATTGGGAATGATAGTAAGAGGCGTTTAACAAAAAAGAAGAAAGGACAAATATACTCCCCTAAAATAGTGTACACAGACTTCCCTTTGACTTGTGCCCTTGCAATCATTGGTGTGTGTTAACATCCAGTGTGTTCCAGGCTCTGGGAACGTATAAATTTGTTATTATAAAAGGCACAGATGGGGGTGGGGGGGCGGGGAATTTGTAGGCAGGGAGGCTCAGGGGGTGCTTGCTGGACGAACATTCTGGATGTTTGAGGACTCAGAAGACGCACATCCCTGTGCCCTTCTTTTTTAAACAATTATTTGAAGACAGTCTAGCTAAAGACGAATCATATCAAAATTAAAGACTTCAGAATTTGGAGGCCATGGTAGAAAGAATTAGTGATCATTCCCTACTCATTTTGAACGCAAACTAATGAATGACGCAACCTGGGCTGATGCTGCTCTACGTGACCGTCCTCAGCTGCCCCCTTCTGGTTTCTTCTCTCTAACTCATGCATGAAAGTCGACTAGGCTTACAATGCTTGTCACACTTTTCTTTGAAAAGCCCATTGATGCTGTTCTGTTGTTTTCTAGCATTATAGCAGAAGACAAGTCTAAGACCAGGCTGATTTTTGTTCTCTTGTAGGTTTTGTTTTTCTGCCTGGGTGCTTCTGTTTTTTAATTTTATCCCTGTAATTCAGAAAGAAAATTACCTCAATATAGAAATACATCTATCCAGTGACTTTTCATGCTAGGAAAACTTCAAGTTTAATCTCTACATGACTGGCTTAATTTTTACTGTCATTCTGGTGCTTCCTGTTTCTAATATGGATTTTCTCATTGCACTTCTAATTTTCTGGAATTTGCCTCACTGACCTTCCTTTACCTCTCATTTCTTTAGTTTACTTATATTCTCTTCCTTTTCATAGGAGCCATATTTTCTTGTATCCCTTTAAGGATGTTAAAAGTTTCCTACATTTTAATCTGATCCTTAAGGTAGCTTCTGCCCAAAGTACTGGGTCTTTTGTTTGATTTTCAATACCTCACACTGGATCCATGGGACAATGAGCAGTATTTGCCAGCAGGCCTGGATAATGGATTGCCCTTGATTCTTTACCTGGATGTGGTCGCAGCCCCATCTTGCTGCCCCAGCTGGGATGCCAAAACGTCTGCTCTTTGCTAAGTCCATTGGCCTAGCTATCTTTCAAGTGCAGCCGGCTTATCTATCTTAAGCTGTACAAATGCCCCATTACCAAGGTTCTCCTTGCCACCTTCTCTCAGGAACAAAAATATGAAATCTCTTTTGTATAGCAGTGGTCCAGTGGCCCCAATCTATGATGTTTAAAACTCTTGCTTGGCTGGGTGCAGTGGCTCACCCCTGTAATCCCAGCACTTTGGGAGGCCGAGGCGGGCAGATCGCTTGAGGTCAGGAGTTCGAGACCAGCCTGGCCAACATGGCAAAACCCCGTCTCTACTAAAAATACAAAAATTAGCTGGGCTTGGTAATGGGCATCTGTAATCCCAGCTACTCAGAAGGCTGAGGCAGGAGAATCACTTGAACCCAGGAGACGGAGGTTGCAATGAGCCAAGATTGCACCACTGCACTCCAGCCTCGGCGACAGAGCAAGACTCCATCTCAAACAACAACAACAACAACAAAACTCTTGCTCAATGTGTGCAGGATCAGCAGTGTGCAAAAATGTTTTTAAATGTTCTTAGATAACTTCAGTGTATTTTTCTTCTTGAAATATGTTTGACAAATGGCTTCTACTTTTAAATCTTTCCTGAGTGGAAAAGATCCTGGATAAATACATCAATAGAGTTCAGTGTTACAAGCAAAAATATACACACACACGTTGAAAACAGAATTTATCAAACCCCTGTAAAACTGTAAAGCCCTCAGTAGTTTTTTCTTTGGAAGCAGGCATATTTGGACAGCAGCAGTCAAGAACTACATAGACTTTCCACTGAATGGAACTCTAGACTTAGACAAGGTCTGGCCCACCTCGTTTTCCAGCTGTGTGGCAGTCCCCTAATCTCAGGCAGTTCAGTTTCCATTCCTATAAAATGGAAACCATTCTTGGCTTTCCACACAGTTGTGATAATCAAGTGAGGTCTTACCAGGAAAACACTTCTTTAAATGTCTAGAACTATGAAACTAATGCCTGAAGTGCGGGGTGAAACAGTTCCCTATTGCAAGTTCTGTCACATATTAGTGGAAATCTAAAAGTGGTTACAGCTTGTAACTCTTTTGACACTTCCCATACCCACCTCATTTTGACACCACTGGACAGCTGCTGCTCTGAGATAAGCTCACATACTGCTTAAATAATCGTGAAAATTATTTATTCTAACATAACATTATTTCAGGGACTTGTGCCAGTTTCAAGTGATATTAGAAACTAACAAGTAGATTATGTGACTTAATGCTTATGTGCAAAACAACTAACCAAGTTAAAAACTGAATAGTGGGGTTTTCTTTTTTGTTTGTTTTTGTTAAATAGTGGGTATTAAATAGAGGAAAGAAGTCTGTTAAACATACACAGGATCCTGAATCAGAAAATTGAGGACTAGATGTTTTCAATAGTGTCTAATGCTCTCTACTAAAATCCTTGAGTTTCAGCATCTGTAAAACTGCCATGCCAGTGCTTCTGCCCTACTCAGTTCAAAGTTGTGAGGCTAGTATGAGATAATATAATATGCTCATGGAGTTTTCTGAATCTTGTAAAGTGCTGCACAACTGTGTAATGTGTCAATAACTGAAAAAAAAATGACAGCATCTTTTATTTTTATTAAATTTTAATTTTAGGGCTGTTTTAGGTTCACAGCAAAGTTAAGCAGAAAAACAGAACTGCATATATCCCTTGTTTCCACATGTGCCTCACTGTCACTCTGCACCACAGTGGTACACTTGTTACAATCTTAAACCTACATGGACACATCATTAGCTCTCAGTGCCCATAGTTTACCTTAGGGTTCACTCTTGGTGGTGTACATTGTGTGGGTTTTGACAAACGCATAATGATATCTATCCACCATTATAGTAGTTTCACAATACATGGCATCTTTAAATACTCATTAACAATTACCATTTGAGTGAGGCTGTGTGCCTTGCACCCCTCTAAGGGCTTCTCCTGTATTAACTCATTTAATCTTCACAATATCTGTAGGAGGGAGGATATGAGATCCCAAACCCCCAGGTAGTCAAAGATGAAGGCCAAGAAACAAACCCACCACACCACCACCTCTCTATGTCCCTCCCTCCCTCCCTTCCTCCCTCCCATCACTTTTTCAGTTTCTTTCTTTCGAGATGCAGTCTCGCTCTGTCACCCAGGCTGGGGTGCAGTGGCGCAATCTTGGCTCACTGCAACCTCCGCCTCCTGGGTAGCTGGGATTACAGGTGCCCGCAAACACGCCCGGCTAATTTTTGTATTTTTAGTAGAGACGGGGTTTCACCATGTTGGCCAGGCTGGTCTAGAACTCCTTATCTCAAGTAATCTGCCGGCCTCCGGCCTCCCAAAGTGCTGGGATTACACGTGTGAGCCACTGCGCCCGGCCCCCAGTTTCTTTTATTTTCTTTCTTTCTCTCTCTTTCTTTCTTCTTTCTATCTGTCTGTCTGTCTCTCTCTTCCTATCTTCCGTTCTTTCTTTTTTTTTTTGAGACAGAGTCTCACTCCGTTGCCCAGGCTGGGAGTGCAGTGGCACGATCTCAGCTCACTGCAACCTCCGCCTCCCAGGTTCAAGCGATTCTCCTGCCTCAGCCTCCTGAGTAGCTAGGATAACAGGTGTGCACCACCACACCCGGCTAATTTTTGTATTTTTAGCAGAGATGGGGTCTCACCATGTTGGCCAACCTGGTCTCGAACTCCTGACCTCAGGTGATCTCCCCGCCTCGGCCTCCCAAAGTGCTGGGATTACAGGCGTGAGCCACGCGCCCGGCCCCCAGTTTATGTGCAGATAAGGCTTAGGGGAAAAAAAAAAGCGTCCTCTTATTGTCAATGCGATTGCATTTCTGTAGCAGGAAGTCAGAACTACTTGATGGAATTTTGAACTATCCTTTCAGAAACTGCAGGAGATCGAAGATAAACTTGGCTTTAAAAAATGTTTCACTGATTAGTTCTTCCCACATTCAAACACTGCGAATCTGTCCTCCCCAGGACTGCTTCATAGACCCCTCCTGCCCTTTTTCCTTCACTTCTAGCACTTCAATGACAAATGCCACCTGTCTTGATGTCCTCCTCTCTTCATCTGCTAGCCCTGTCCTGCCAGTATCTCATTCTTCCCTGGCCCCTCTTTACCTGGCTTCCTGTGTATGCCTGGGTACCGCGCCTGTGCAGTGTCTGGTGCTCAGGAATACTGCATCAAAAGGCAGAATTAAGCCCCTGAGCAGCCAGGACAAGGTCTGACAACACGTTTTAAATCGAGTAATTGTTGCTCGCTATAAATGTGACTATTCACACTGCTGCCCAGTCACATTTTCAAGTAGGGTTGGTTCCCAGTTCAGCACCAGAATGAAAACTGCATTAGTCACCACCCTTCAGCATCCCCAGCAGTACAGCACGCTGGGGAGAAGGGTGGAGGGTGGCGATTATACAACTCTGCGGTAACGCCATGCTCTTAAGAACAGCCTAATTGGACCACAAAAGAAGAATGAAAATGGATGTAGATGTCTGGGCATCGGAACGATCACTCTGCATTTGAGAGCATAAGCTCCCAGTGCAGGGTTGACTTATGCGTCCTTAAGTGTCACCGCCTATGATGGTGTTTGTCACGGTGAGTATTAAAGCAGGGGGTGACGCTGCACCTTGCCCCGGGGGCAGGTGGTGAAGCTACGTGCATCCGGAGTCAGCAGGTCTGAGGTCATTCCTCGCCCCCTCCCGCCCGCTCCCCGACGTCACGCCGACTCCGTCCTCGGCGGTGAAGACATTCCTCCCGGGCCCTGCGCCCTGCAGCGTGGTAACCCCACTGCCGGAGACCGTGCGCAACCCAGCTGCTAGACCCCCGGCGTTGAGCGGCAAAACCCCGCCCCGAGCGGCTTGCCCCGCCCCCGGCTCGTCACTCATGCAACTCACCCAATGGTGGCGGCGGGGGGCGGGGCTAGGACTGAGGGCGCCGTGCGCCGAAGCTTGTGGCGTCAATGCGCCCGCCGTGTCCATGGAGAGAAGCTGAGGCGGCCGACCTTCGGCCCGAGGCACCGGGGCGCCGGGACGGCGAAGATGTCGGCTTCCTTAGTCCGGGCAACTGTCCGGGCTGTGAGCAAGAGGAAGCTGCAGCCCACCCGGGCAGCCCTCACCCTGGTGAGTGCTCGCGGCGCGCGGCGGGGCCCGTGACATTGCTCGTGTCCGCCCCGTGCAAGGGGAGGTCACGGCGGCCGGGAGTGGGGCCGCAGGGACGCGGACACGTCAGACCTCGGCGTCGCTCCGACCCGCCGCACAGCCTCGCCGCCTCCTTCGCCTCCGGCCCCTCTTTGCAACGATAAACAAGTCCCGGGCGGGGCTGCTCTCTTGGCCCCGGAAACTACGTTTCCCGTCAGGCCGCGCGGCAACCGCGTGCGGGCCGGAGGGGATCCCGGGGGTGGGCGTCCCCGGGGGCCGATCGCCTCCACACTCCTGCCGGCCTGCGCTGTTCGGCCGTTCCGGTTAAGCAGAGGCTGAACGTGCCCGGTGGCGGGGGTTCCCGGTGGTGGCCCGGAGTCCTAGCCTGGAGGTGCGTGGGGTGGGGAGGGACCAGGCTGTCCGAAGGACCGCTGTGTCGGGGCGACAGCGTTCGCAGAGGGCGAGCACAGCGACAACAAAGCCCCCGGCTCCTGCCGAGGTCACGGCCGCGGCGCGCAAAGCGTTACTTGCCGGTGTCCTGGGTGATTGAGGCCTTTGAAACTCCCTCTGTGCCTCTAGCAAGCCTAGGCTCTTAGGACAAAAGATGATTTCCCAGAGTGAGTTTACAGCCTTTTCTGGGTGAAAGGTCAAACACTCAGAGGGCACCAGAGTGCAACCATTGATTACTTAGAGAATTCACTGAGCTCAGTGTTCCGGCCGCACCGTTCAGTTTTTTAGTGGAAGGAAAATCCACATAACATAAAATTAGTCCTTTTAAAGGGTACAATTCAGTGCCATTTAAGACATTCACAGTGTCGTGCAACCATCACCTCTATCTAGTTCCAAAATACTTTCACCCCAAAAGAAAAATTTATGATCACGTTCCTACATACACTCCCCTTTTAGTGAAGGAGACGACTTTATGCAACCATTCGCTTAGAGACTGGGAAAAAAAACGATTTAAATTGACTCATCGATTCTGTTGCATCTAATGCCAAAAGGGCCTATTACCAGAAAATAAGTTTGTAGCAAAGTAGAAGAAAATTGTGATCAGGTGAGAGAATTTATTTTTATAATCAATTTTTTAGGCCTTTGATATTACCCTGATTATATATGGTACTACTAGTGTACTGATTATGTATCATTCTATATTACCTCTTTTCTGTAGGAGCAAGCTTATTTTCATACACCGTGGGATGTAGAATTAAACAAGGTTTTAAGAACTAGAGGGCACAACTCATTCTTTGTGTCTCTTTCAATCTCAGTAAGAATTATTCAGAATTCTTCCACTGGTAATGGTAGATCCAGGAAGAGCCAGAAGGTTCAGGAACAGTTTTTGCCTTTTCTTTTTTGCTTTTTAGCAACCCTATTAACTGGGTTTTTTGTTTTTTGTTTTTTGTTTGTTTGTTTGTTTTTGTTTGTTTTGTTTTTGGAGACAGGGTCTCACTCTATCTCCCAGGCTGTAGTTCAGTGGTGCAATCATGGCACACTGCAGCGTCAACCTCCTGGGCCCAAGCGATCCTCCCACCTCAGGCTCCCAAGTCGCTGGGACCACCGGTGTGCACCGTCATGCATGCACCTAGGGTCTCCCTGGGTTGCCCAGGCTGGTCTCGAACTCCTGGGCTCAAGCAGTCCACTGCCTCAGGCTCCCAGTGTGCAGGGATTACAGGTGTGAGCCACCATGCCTGGTCCCTGATGTCTTTCTCCATCACCATTTGACATGTTACCTCTTCCTTCAGAATTTCTTTTTTTTTTTTTTTTTTTTGAGACAGGGTTTCGCTGGGTTGCCCAGGCTGGAGTGCAGTGGCGTGATCTCAGCTCACTGCAGCCTCTGCCTACTGAGTTCAAGCAACTCTCTGCCTCAGCCTCCTGAGTAGCTGGGATTACAGACGCCCACCACCATGCCCAGCTTATTTATTTATTTATTTTTGTATTTTTAGTAGAGATGGGGTTTCACCATCTTCACCAGGCTGGTCTTGGACTCCTGACCTCGTGATCCACTCGTCTCAGCCTCCCAAAGTGCTGGGATCACAGGCATGAGCCACCGTGCCTTGCCCTTCCTTCAGAATTTCTATGTCAGTCCCTTTCTCTCCATTCCTAGTCATTCAGCAGACATTTATCAAGATCTGCTGTGTTTCAAGACAAATGAATGAGTTATACAGTTCCCAGCCTACGGGGCACAGTCGCAGGCCAAGCCTTTGCCACCTCTTACTAGGAGTAATAGCACTGCACATTCTCAGGCTTGGTCTCTCTCCACACTTGCTCCCCTCTGCTTCAGTACATGTTATCATAGCAGTTCTCAAGGTATCCATGTTGCCTGACTCAGCTGTTTTGATTAACTTGCAGGAGTCTACTGTCTGTACTCTGTTGTCCTACTTAAGTATGGCTGACTTTAGAAGCTTCTCAGAAGCTGTACCAGAGAGAAGGCACATCAATGCTGTTTTCCACACAGCCTGTGTTGGTGGGCTTGCAGTCATTTTAGTTCCAGCATTCGTGCCCTAGTCAGGACACTATGGCATGTATTGCTCTTTGTGCTTAGTTTATCATCAGCATGTATCGTCAAGTGCAAAAGTAGTGATGCCGTCAAAGGCCTAATGAATGGAGACAGATAAGAGAGCAAACAAAAGTATACGTAATTCAGTAAAACTGATTGGAAGAGGTAAATGTTACTTGGGTCTAATAAGTAGAGACAGATAAGAGCAAACACAAGTATACCTAATTCAGTAAAACTGATTGGAAGGGATAAATGTTACCTGGATATATAAATTTTGATGTTAGGAATTTGACATGTTGCAACATTTGAAAAGTGCTATATGTGTGGAGTCTACCAGATGTCAACAAAAGGCTAGGAAAAGTAACTGATAATATAACACAGTTCAATGCTGTCATTATCAGATTATCTACATCTTCCCTATTTCCCTACATATCTAGAAATTGACAAGTGGAATTGAACTTGCAGGAGCCAGATGTGATTAAAGAATCTGAAGAGTAAATAGTGCCCTGCTTGCAGACAGATTTATTTCCATCATTGTACAAGTCAGAGCAACTCTAATTTGTAGGACTGGGGTGGATCACAGCTGTGCATTAAAACTCAACCAAGTTCTATGAGAGAATGATGGTGCACAGCCACTATCATTCTTGATGAATTCATTGTGTACGGAAGGTGCCTTAGGGCTTAACTTTCTATTGGAGTCCAGTTGAGAAGCTAGGAAATGCTTAATGCTCAGTAAGGAACTGTGTGTTAGTTCATTGGACTAGAACCAGAAGTCCTTTTGAACAGTGACCAAGCACTAAGATTTCTATACGAAGGCAGTTTAGGAAATACTACACAAGAAGCACTGGAAGTAGCCTAGCAGTCTAACAGTGAAAGAACGGTTAAGTACGTGAGAGTAGATCCTGTTGGTGAAGGATGTAGTCATTGTAAATTATGGTTTTTTTTAAGTTTCAGCGTTATAAATCTTCATTCTTTGACTTATGCTGTGCAAATTATTTAATCTTTAATACCTAAATCACAATGGCAGGAATAAAAAGATGTTACGTTTAAACCATTAAACACTTAGAAGGTGCTCAGTAAATGGTGAATATATGTTTATTACCATGTATCAAATGAAAAAATAATTTGTTAAATTGTTTCAATGGAGGCTGCAAAATTATGTATATATGCCATGATTACAAACCTTTTTCTTTTTAGAGACAGGATCTTCCTCTGTCACCCAGGCTCATATGCAGTGGCATGATCATGGCTTACTGCAGCTTCAAACTCCTGGGCTCAAGCAATCCTTTCACCTCAGCCTCCCAAGTAACTGGGACTACAGGCACATGTCACCTTGACTGCTAATTTTTTTTTTTTAATTTATTGTAGAGACAGGGTCTTGCTCTGTTGCACAGGCTGGTCTCAAACTCCTGGCCTCAAGCCGTCCTCCCACCTTGGCCTCCCAAAGTGCTGGCATTACAGGCATGAGCCACCACACCTGGCCTACAAATATATATTTGTATATTATATGTATTTTGGATGTGTATATACACATATACACAAATAAGAAAAGACAAAAGAGAATGCTTTTGTCTTTTCTTATTTTGACACTCTAATGCCAGCCATGGCTGTTAAAGAATGATTTTAATAAAATACACTGTACTTGTTCACTGGCTCTATTTATTTACCATCTTTTGTTCCCCCAGAAAATTGATATGTTGACATTAAAATGCCATGTTTGTAGAGAAATTAAGTTGTAGTTGTTGGCACATGTTTAGTATGCATAATCACAGAGTTAACTTTAGCTTTGAATTTAATTTAATTTTCTTAAACAGCAAAAAATGAAAATTGCCTGGGGAGTTACTTAAAGAAATACAGGATTGAGAATGAAAAGTTTCTCCTACAAGGATTAGAAAGCGTGTTGCTATGAAGTAGTGATAAAACATTCATCTACAATGCCTTTTCCCTTAATTTTAACAGCGGAAACATCTTGGAAATATATTTATTTTTCAATTAGGCCAAAATACCTTACCTCAAAGATAACCTCTCACTTTAAAAGTCATATTCCTGTGATTTGCATGTGAGTAAAAACCATCATATTTTAGTGGGCTTCAGGAAGCTCTTAAATTTTAAAACATGGGCCAAATCTCAGGTAAGCTATATTCATTAATAGTACATAAATTTCTTGAGAATTACATGTTTCTTAGTTGTTCTGGGAAGTGCACTGGTACTGGCAGGCTGCTAGGCCCTGCAGCATGCTGTGTAGTTGAAGATTTTATGCTGTTTCTCACATGAATTTTACCTAAGCACAAAGTTGCCAGAGTATGTAGACTTAAAGCAGGGTAGGATTCTTAGCCTCTCCCTGGTACTGAGACACAAAAAGTACCTCTTATAGCTCGATTTTTTTTAAGTCCCAACTCTTCCCTTTTAACCACTCTCCCTTGTTCTGAAAATCAGATCAGTCACTTTGAAAGTTCTAAGAACCTTTTCCCTTGGTTGAGTACTGACCTGGGTTGTCCATCATTAGTAACACCCTCCCAGTGGAGTAGGTTTGGTTTTGGCCTGGCACAGGAAAATTAAGACATATTTTAGTTCCTGTAACAGCAGCTTCCCAGGCACACAGGTTCCTGTTGAATGTTACTTTTCCCTTAAAGAGTCCTTCAGTATGAGATGTGAACATCAGCAACTTGGTGATAAGTAGACCAATCCCCACGAATTGCTTTCATTTACTGTATTTAAGTGTTTCCTGCTAAAAGTTGAGAAAATAAGAAAATAGATGACTTTGTAAAACCAAATTAGATAATTTAGAAAACCACTTGGAGATAAAAAAAATTATATATTTGGGGCTGGTAAACGGAGTAGTGTGACAGACACATTTGTTTTGTTTAGATCATGCAGTGGTGTGCCCATCTGTGCCTTTGATCCACTCAGATTAAACCAAGACCACGTTTCAGATTTTAGTTCCCGCGGATATTTTCCATGGCTATGCCTTTTTTTTTTTTTTTTTTTTTTTTTTGAGACAGAGTCTCACTCTGTTTCCCAGGCTGGAGTGCAGTGGCATGATCTCGGCTTACTGCAGCCTCCGCCTCCTGGGTTCAAGCGATTCTCATGCGTCAGCCTCCGGAGTAGCTGGGATTACAGGCGCATGCCATCATCCTCAGCTAATGTTTGTATTTTTAATAGAGACGGGGTTTCACCATGTTGGCCAGGCTGGTCTCAAACTCCTGACTTCAAGTGATCCTTCCACCTTGGCTGACCTCAAGTGATACTTCCACCTCGGCCTCCCAAAGTGTTGGGAATATAGGCATGAGGCACCAGGCCCAGCCAGGCTATGCCTTTTTAAAATAAACTTACAGAAAGCTATTTTTATTTGACAGTAAGTGATTAATTTCTTCAGCATGCACATAGGAAAATATGGTGAAAATTTACATGTGGTTGATAAGAAAGCTAGCTTTTATTGACAATCACTTAGAACAGGGGTCCCCAGTCCCTGCGCTACAGACTGGTACTGGTCCATGGCCTGTTAGGAACAGGGCCTCACAGCAGGAGGTGAGAGCAGCAGGCAAGCCAAGCATTACCACCTAAGCGAGCTCCACCTCCTGTCAGATCATCAGGGGCATTAGATTCTCATAGGAGCACAAACCCTAGTCTGAACTGCAGGTGTGAGGGGCTAGTTTGTGCACTCCTTATGAGAATGATGCCTGATGATCTGTCACTGTCTCTCATCACCCCTAGATGGGGCCATCTAGTTGCAGAAAAACAAGCTCAGGGCTCCCACTGATTGTATATTTTGATGAGTTATATAATTATTTCATTATATATTACAATGTAATAATAGAAATAAAGTGCACAATAAATGTAATGCATTTGAATCATTCAGAAACCATTCCCCTTATCCGTGGAAAAATTGTCTTCCACGAAACCAGTCCTTGATGCCAAAAACATTTGGGACCACTGCTTTAGAAGGGTAATGAGCACTTTAAAAAATAATAACTATTTCTGTAACTATTTAAAGTTGGTATTCTGTGACTCAAAAAACAAAAACAAAACCATAATCCTGCTCTTCCCTGTTTTCTCCTTCCACCCTGTGTGCTACTTCCTGCGTTGGAGGACTGCATGCCTCCTTTTCTGACAGAACCATGGGAAACCATGGGCCTTTAGAGGCCCACCTACTGGTAGTGGTTTGTTTTTTTACAGTGACATGTAATAAGAAATGTATATACACAGATACTATATATTAATAACTGAATTAAAAGTTTTACTAAACAACATTCACGTTTTTAAGTGCAGTGCATTGTTTTCTATTTAAAATGTTTAAGACATGTTGGTCTTCACATTCCAAATTGCTTTCATGCCCTTCTAAACTGGGTCTGTACTGTGTTTAAGCATGCTCATCTAGCTGAGCCCCAACCCCGACAGGGCAGGAGAGCACACTCTAGGGCCATCCATTGGGCTGGCTCTTCCAGGTGTCAGTCCTGGCCTCAGTTTACTACCAAGTCTTAGGTCGTAATATCCAGACTTTGAGACTTCACAAGCAGTCTCAAAGACTTTACTGTACAGTAAAATGTCAGTACAAGGGACTGGAGGGCCTGCAGAGCACTGCCAGCTAGAGGAGCTGATAAAGTAGGAAGGACGCACATAATGTCTTCATTATGATGTACTCTCATAATCATAATAATACTTGGTATTTTTGTGCCTGGCACTGTCCTGAATGCTTTCCATGAGTTTAAATATTTAATCCTCACAAGAATCAGGAGGAGGAGGAACTGTTATCCCTGTTTCACCAGTAAGGGAATAGAAGTCAGAGAAGCCACTTAGGGTGACTGCCCTGGAGGCACAGCTAGGAAGTGGGCCAGGAATGTCGGGGAACAGTCTCCTTCCCAAAGAAGTGGGGTTGGCAACACCGACCTATTTCACACAAACTGTGATGTTTTTCTCATTTTGAGGCCCGCTGAGCTATGTTAAAACAGCATTTCTCTGGGAAACAGCTCCTCCTTGTTCTTATTTCTGTCATTGACTAGCTTAGTTTTGTTCATCTAGATCTCCTGAGATGTTGGTTTAATCCACGTTGAAAAAAATCTATGTGAGCATTTGGTGGGACTGGTGCAAGAAGCACACCCTGGGTTATTTTATGCTGGTAACACTGTTTCCTCAAGCTATGCATTTTGATGGATTAGAAATGGATTGTGAGTAAGAAAAAAAAAAGCAGTAGGATTAATAATCAACAGGAAAAACACCTGAAGGTTGGCCTTCCCAGTGAGATACTTGATTCCTTCATTGGCTCTTTGTCGTAGGCAACATGCTGGTTCCTGGGCATAGAGTTGGTGCACAAAATAGATGCTGCCCAGAAAAATAGCATTTGTAATGTGAGTGAATAGCACCATAGAGAGAAGGACAGGGAACCAACCTGGACTGAGGAGCAAGATTAAAAGGATGTTGCTAGCAGATTTTTTTTTTAAATAAAGAGGATATTTTGAATTAGGTATAGTTTATGTGTTTCTATATAAAGTCCATAAGGTACCCTGGCAAGAATGGAACATAAATTTGTCACATGAATTTGCTAAAGACAGACTTACGAAGACTGATAAATATGAGGCTTTGAATAACAAGTTTTGTAGCTAAAAACATCATTTTCTTTTTTCAGACACCTTCAGCAGTAAACAAGATAAAACAACTTCTTAAAGATAAGCCTGAGCATGTAAGTAAAACCAGTTAATTATTCAGTAAAAAACTGAAGCTGCATTTTCAGAATGAATTTATCCCATGATATACAGTATTATTTCATTTAGGGGTTTTTATTTAAAATGTAAAATATACTCAGGATTTTTAAAAAATTCAAATAATACAAAAGGGTATTTAACTAAAAGGAAGTCATTCTTTCAACCTGACTCTTCGTCGTCATTCTTCCTTCCAAGAAGCAATCTCTTTGGTATCCTTCCAGGGATAATGTATACATTTGAAGCGGCTAGACCTGATTTTCTCAGCCTCCTCACAGTTGACACTTTAGGGCAGATTGTAGAATGTTTGACAGCATCTGTGGCCTCTGTCCATTAGATACCAGTAGTACCCCCTCTTTGCCTCAACCAAAGAATCCACATATGTGGAACCCACCGATACGGAGAGGTGACTGTATAGAGTAAAAGTATGGTGAGTACTATTTCACCAGCAGTTCCTGATTCCACAAAGCTTTGGTTGTCACAACCAAAAATGTCTCCCTGAGGGCAACCACTGGCCTAGACTGGGCTTGTTATTCCTGTGTATATCTCTTCCTACCATAAATTTTTTTGTTACACTTTGCTTTTTACCCTTAATAATGGCTTGAAGATCTTTCCATGTCATTATGTAATGATCTGCCTCCCTTTCTTGGCTGCATGTAGAGTATATTCCATTGAACAAGTTTGAGTTCTTTAACCAGTCCCCATATTAAAGGGTCGTTTTCATTCAGTGCTGCCGCAAACACCATTCAGCAACTATTTAGTGTCTGCAGTGTGCCAGGCTCATTGTTCTAGAACTGTAAGCATGGCTTAGTCCACCTACATAGGATCCATTCCTAGATACAGAATTGTTGAGTTAGGGATGTGTGTATCATCTTAATTGTACATTGTTAGTTGCCGATGGAATGCTGTAAATCATTTCAAGTAATGGATTGCAATATTTAATAATTAGACGGTGGGGTGATTTCTGGTTTCTGTTGTTAACCTACTACATTACAATGTAATGGAAGTTCTCAAACCTACCTTTTAAAATTATTAAATTTCAAAGGATATCAGTGTTCTGATTCAATTTGGATAGACCGATGAGTAGACTACAAATTGGCCTAATGAAACAAGAATTCGGCTTTGTAGAATCAGGAACTGCTGGTGAAATAGTACTTATGATACTTTTGCTGTATACAGTCACCTCTCCGTATCTGTGGGTTCCGCATACGTGGATTCAATCAACCATAGGTCAGAAATATTTGGGAAAAAAATAGAAGGTTGCATCTGTATTAAACATGTACAGACTTTCATTCTCTAAACAATACAGTATAACAACTGTTTATGTAGCATTACATTGTTACAGGTATTCAAGTCCTCCAGAAGTTATTTAAAGTACAGGGGAAGATGTATATAGGTTATATACAAATGCAGTGCCATTTGCATAAGGGACTTGAGTATCTGCAGATTTTTGTATACTCAGTTAGTCCTGGAACCAATTTCCCATGCATACTAAGGGATGACTGTATTTAAATGAAAAATCAGCTCAGCTCTAAGACAGAGAACTTAGGTAGATACTGTTTGAAAATTGCATTAATGTAAACATTGATACTTTTAAAGTGCTGTTTGGTCACTTTTTTAAACTTCTTTTGTCTGTATTGACTGCAGTCTTTTGCTTTCTGGTATTTGAGACTGTACACAAGTCTGCACTATAATTCAGATCCCATGTAGAGGTAGGATTGCCAGATGGTGGACTATGAACCCTGGTGAATCCTAACCATAAGGAAACATTCAGAGGATATCTCACAGAACAAGGTAGAGCAAAGACATTTTAAATAAAGTCCCAGGCTGGACGGGGTGGCTCCTGCCTTGTAATCCCAATGCTTTGAGAGGCCGAGGTGGAAGCGTTATTTGAGTCCACGAGTTTGAGACCAGTCTGGGCTACATAGTGAGACCCTGTCCTACAAAAAATAAGAGAAAGTCCATTTTGGTACGAGGAGGCTACTGTCACTTTATTAGTATAATTGTTTAATCTGTACTACTTTAAAACCAAGTTTATATTTTCACTTCTTTTTCAGGTAGGTGTAAAAGTTGGTGTCCGAACCAGGGGCTGTAATGGCCTTTCTTATACTCTAGAATATACAAAGACAAAAGGAGATTCTGATGAAGAAGTTATTCAAGATGGTGAGTTTTTAACAAACATTTTTTGGGCACATTGTTTTGCCTAAAATTATTAGCCTTGCACAGCACAAAGTAAAAAATAAGGATAGTAGCAGGAATTATGTAAATAATGCTCACTGTGTGTGTAGGTGTTGTTTGATGGAATTTCATGTATTAACTGATTTATACACAATGCTGAATGTGGGTGGTACCATATTATCCCTGTTTTTCTGATGAAGAAACTGAGGCACAGAGGGGTTAAATAGTTTAAGGTCATAATAAGTGGCCTAGTAAAATTCTTTCCAGAGACTGCTCTTAGTAACTAATTGATAAATTATTATATAAGCTTGTTTTAACTATGAAAGATCATCGTTGTGTCCAAAAAGTGAACCAGCCTTAAACCTCACAGTGAACCAACAGTTTTTGTGTAAGCAGTAGTTTTATATCTGTGTCAAATAAGTACGAGTTGAGCATTCCAATCCAAAAATCTGAAATCTGAAATGCTCCCAAATTCAAAACTTTAAAAGTGGGTGCTGACATGACACTCAGAGGAAATGCTCATTGGAGCTTTTTGGATTTGGGATGCTCAAGCAGTAAGTATAATGCAGATACAGTCATACATCACTTAACATTGGAGATACATTCTGAGAAATGTGACGTTAGACAAATATCCTGGGGTGTACTTAGACAAACCTAGACGGTCTGAGAAATGTGACATTGGACAAATATCCTGGGGTGTACTTACACAAACCTAGATGGTAGAGCCTACCATATGCCTCAGCTAGATAATATAACCTGTTGCTCCTAGGCTACAAACCTGTACTGCACGTGACTGTGCTGAATACTGTGCACAGTTCTGACACAATGGTAAGTATTTGTGTAAACGTACCTAAACAAAGAAAAAGTATAGTGAAATTTCTTTTATTATTATTATTATTATTATACTTTAAGTTTTAGGGTACATGTGCACAATGTGCAGCTTAGTTACATATGTATACATGTGCCATGCTGGTGTGCTGCACCCATTAACTCATCATTTAGCATTAGGTATATCTCCTAATGCTATCCCTCCCCCCTCCCCCCGCCCCACAACAGTCCCCAGAGTGTGATGTTCCCTTCCTGTGTCCATGTGTTCTCATTGTTCAATTCCCATCTATGAGTGAGAACATGTGGTGTTTGGTTTTTTGTCCTTGCGATAGTTTACTGAGAATGATGATTTCCAATTTCATCCATGTCCCTACAAAGGACATGAACTCATCATTTTTTATGGCTGCATAGTATTCCATGGTGTATATGTGCCACATTTTCTTAATCCAGTCTATCACTGTTGGACATTTGGGTTGGTTCCAAGTCTTTGCTATTGTGAATAGTGCCACAGTAAACATACGTGTGCATGTGTCTTTATAGCAGCATGATTTGTAGTCCTTTGGGTATATACCCAGTAATGGGATGGCTGGGTCAAATGGTATTTCTAGTTCTAGATCCCTGAGGAATCGCCACACTGACTTCCACAATGGTTGAACTAGTTTACAGTCCCACCACCAGTGTAAAAGTGTTCCTATTTCTCCACATCCTCTCCAGCACCTGTTGTTTCCTGACTTTTTAATGATTGCCATTCTAACTGGTGTGAGATGGTATCTCATTGTGGTTTTGATTTGCATTTCTCTGATGGCCAGTGATGACGAGCATTTTTTCATGTGTCTTTTGGCTGCATAAATGTCTTCTTTTGAGAAGTGTCTGTTCATGTCCTTTGCCCACTTTTTGATGGGGTTGTTTGTTTTTTTCTTGTAAATTTGTTTGAGTTCATTGTAGATTCTGGATATTAGCCCTTTGTCAGATGAGTAGGTTGTGAAAATTTTCTCCCATTTTGTAGGTTGCCTGTTCACTCTGATGGTAGTTTCTTTTGCTGTGCAGAAGCTCTTTAGTTTAATTAGATCCCATTTGTCAATTTTGGCTTCTGTTGCCATTGCTTTTGGTGTTTTAGACATGAAGTCCTTTCCCATGCCTATGTCCTGAATGGTAATGCCTAGGTTTTCTTCTAGGGTTTTTATGGTTTTAGGTCTAACGTTTAAGTCTTTAATCCATCTTGAATTAATTTTGGTATAAGGTGTAAGGAAGGGATCCACTTTCAGCTTTCTGCATATGGCTAGCCAGTTTTCCCAGCACCATTTATTAAATAGAGAATCCTTTCCCCATTGCTTGTTTTTGTCAGGTTTGTCAAAGATCAGATAGTTGTAGATATGCGGCGTTATTTCTGAGGGCTCTGTTCTGTTCCATTGATCTATATCTCTGTTTTGGTACCAGTACCATGCTGTTTTGGTTACTGTAGCCTTGTAGTATAGTTTGAAGTCAAGTAGCGTGATGCCTCCAGCTTTGTTCTTTTGGCTTAGGATTGACTTGGCGATGCGGGTTTTTTTTTTGGTTCCATATGAACTTTAAAGTAGTTTTTTCCAATTCTGTGAAGAAAGTCATTGGTAGCTTGATGGGGATGGCATTGAATCTATAAATTACCTTGGGCAGTATGGCCATTTTCACGATATTGATTCTTCCTACCCATGAGCATGGAATGTTCTTCCATTTGTTTGTATCCTTTTTTATTTCATTGAGCAGTGGTTTGTAGTTCTCCTTGAAGAGGTCCTTCACGTCCTTTTTAAGTTGGATTCCTAAGTATTTTATTCTCTTTGAAGCAATTGTGAATGGGAGTTCACTCATGATTTGACTCTCTGTTTGTCTGTTATTGGTGTATAAGAATGCTTGTGATTTTTGTGCATTGATTTTGTATCCTGAGACTTTGCTGAAGTTGCTTATCAGCTTAAGAAAATTTTGTAAAAGATCAAATGTGGTCGGGTGTGTTAACACAAGCCTGTTGTCCCAGCTACTCAGGAGACTGAGGCAGGAGGATTCCTTGAGTGTAGGAGTTCAAGAATGTAGTGCACTGGCCAGGCGTGGTGGCTCACCTGTGTAATCCCAGCACTTTGGGAGGCCGAGGTGGGTGGATCATGAGGTCAGGAGTTCACGACCAGCCTGGCCAACATGGTGAAACCCCATCTCTACTAAAAATACAAAAAATTAACTGGGTGTGGTGGCACACGCCTGTAGTCCCAGCTACTGGGAGGCTGAGGCAGGAGAATCGCTTGAACCCCAGGAGGCGGAGGTTGCAGTGAGCCGAGACCATGCCATTGCACTCCAACCTGGGTGAAAAAGTGAGACTCTGTCTCAAAAAAGAAAAAAAGACATCATAGTGCACTGTGTTCTTACCTGTGAATAGCCACTGCCCTTAAGCCTGGGCAACATAGCGAGACCTCCATCTCTTAAAAAAAAGAAAAAAAAAGGAAGAAGAAGAAGAAAATAAAACATGGTACACCTGTTTGTGGCAGTTACCATGCATGGAACTTGCAGGACTGGAAGTTGTCCGCGTGAGTCAGTGAGTGAGTAGGGAGTGATAAGTGAATGTGAAAGCCTAGGACGTTCCTCCGTAGTACTATAGACCTTATAAACCTTGTACACTTAGTCTTCAATAATAAATTAACCTTAGTTTACTGAAACTTTTTTACTTTGTAAGCTTTGGGGTTTTTTTTTTTTTTTTTGACTCTTTTGTGATAACATTAGCTTTGAAACACATTGTACAAATAACAAAAATTTTTTACGTTCTTATTCTATAAGCTTTTCTCTATTTTTAATTTTTTCTTTATAAACATTTTAATTAAAAACTAAGACAAAAACACACGTATTAACTTAGGCCTCCACAGGGTCAGGTTCATCAATATCCCTGTCTTCCACCACCTCCCCTCATCCCATTGGAAGGCCGTCAGGGGCAGTAACACTCATGGAGTTGTCATCTTCTGTGATAATGATGCCTTCTTCTGGATACCTCCTGAAGAACCTGCCTCAGGCTGTTTCACGGTTAACTTTTTTTTTTATAAGTAGAAGTACACTCTAAAATTTTAAACAATAAAAAGTATAGTAAATACATAAAGCAGTAACATAACCATTTATTATCATTATCAAGTATTATGTAGTGTACATAATTGAACATGCTTAGACTTTTATATGACTGGCAGTATAGGTTTGTTTACACCAGCATCACCACAAACACCTGAGTAATGGGTTGTCTTGTGATATTATGGTGGCTACAGCATTGCTAGGCAATGGGAATTTTCAGCTCCATTATAATCCTTTTTTTTTTTTTTTTTTTAATTTGAGATGGTCTCGCTCTCTCACCCAGGCTGGAGTGCAGTGGTGTGATCTCGGCTTGCTGCAACCTCCACCTCCCTGGTTCAAGCGATCCTCCCACCTCAGCCTCCCAAGTAGCTGGGATTATAGGCGCCCACCACCATGCCTGGTTCATTTTTGTATTTTTAGTGGAGCTGTATTATCAACTCATGTTTTTGAGGAATCCTGTATTTCCAATTTTTATTCAAAGCTATTTATTATAATTTAATTTATAATTAAAATTAATTATATTTGCTGCTGCCCCCTTCTTCCACCCTATAATCTGTTAAAACCTATCTAAAATAAATAATTTATCTTGTCATTGGAAGTATGCACTTAGCTTGCAGTTCTTACCTACATGGGAGAATGAGGCCTAGATTCCTAAGTGTGCTTTCTTATTAAACTAAAGTTATAACTATCAATAAAGACCTTTTAAAAATGTATTATTTTAAAAATTATAACACATTATAAACCTTAAGATTTTCATCTTAAAGAAGAGGTGACTTAATTATATATTGTTTATATTTAGCTAATGGCTCAATTTCTTGTAAGGAAGAAAGTTTTTTTGTTGTTTCGTTGTTTTGTTTGTTTGTTGAGACAGAGTCTTGCTCTCTTACCCAGGCTGGAGTGCAGTGGCACAATCATGGTTCACTGTAGCCTCTGTCTCCCGGGCTCAAGCAGTCCTCCCACCTCAGCCTCCCGAGTAGCTGGGACTACAGGTGCCCACCACTGTGCCCGGCTAATTTTTGTATTTTTAGTGGAGCCAGGGTTTTGCCCTGTTTCCCAGACTAGAAAGCTTTCTTAAATTGATTGTATTTGTTGGCTGGGCACTGTGGCTCACACCTGTAATCCCAGCACTTTGGGAGGCCGAGGTGGGAGGATCACTTGAGCCCAGGAATGCAAGACCAGCTTGGGCCACGTGGTGAAACCCTGACTCTAAAAAAATTAGTTGGTCCTGGTGGTATGTGCCTGTAATCCTGTGGGAGGATCGCTTGAGCCTGGGAGGTGGAGCTTGTGGTGAGCCATGATCATACCACTGCACTCCAGCCGGGGTGACAGAGTGAGACTCTGTCCAAAAAAAAAAAGATTGTATTTACAAAGATGCTGACCTCTACCTGTGTAATTACTAGGGAATAGTACCTGTTTTCCGTCCTGTAACCAGAAAAGACTATTGTTGTACTGATTGATGTTATTAAAATAGCCCCATTGTATCACAGTCCTTTGTACATCTTTAAGCTTGAATCCGTGTATCTAGTGTATTGCAGAATTTTCATAAATTTTTTTTTATTTCATAAAACTCATCGAGAATATACATTTTCTTCATGTTGCAAACTGGAAAAATGAGTGAAGTATAGTGAAAGGTAAATTCTAATTTTGCATAAAATTGTCATGGAATTTACTTGTATAAAATTCTCCCCTAATGTGATTGTGACATAAATTCATGTGTGGGAAAGAAGGGGCAGACAGGAAACTGAATGCTTAATTCCTTAAGGAAATAATTTAAAATGTTCAAGGCTTCTTGTTTGACTTTCATTGATAGTCACTATTTCAAGTTCACTTGTGCTTTGAATCAGCAAGTTCCATAAGGCTGCAGGCTTTCCATGACACATGTTTTCTTTTCTCCAAGGAGTCAGAGTATTCATCGAAAAGAAAGCACAGCTAACACTTTTAGGAACAGAAATGGACTATGTTGAAGACAAATTATCCAGTGAGTTTGTGTTCAATAACCCAAACATCAAAGGGACTTGTGGCTGTGGAGAAAGCTTTAATATTTGAAATCTCAGGACTCTTCTGGCCGTAGGTTCCAGGAAAGCTCGTGGAAGCTTTGGGGCTCACTGCAGAAATCATGTGACTGTCACGTGCTGGAAAATAAAGTGATACATCTTGAAAATGAATCCAGTGTGTTGGATTCCAGAAGAAATGATATTTATATTCTCTATAGGGGACAGAAAATGAGAAGCCATCACTCTTTTTGGATCATTTAGGTCTCTTGTATCCTTTGTTTTAGAACCAGTTTCATTAAAGTTGCCTTCCTGGGCACCTGTTTATCCATTTCCTGAACTGTGTGCACTCCTTAGATCGCTATTGATGGCTTGATCATCCCTCAGCATTTCTCCCAACCAGATCGGTGACTCCTAAAATCTGAGACAGGACATCGTGACTGCTGGTAGTAATATGGTGGTGCATTGTTTTTTCCACCCAAACTTAACATAGCCTTTTTATACATTTTTATGAAAAATTTCATTGTCAGCTGCCTCACTGCATACTCTTTAATAGTACCAGGCAAAGATTTTCTTCAACTATAGTACAGATTAGTTCTGAGTGATGGTATCAAAAGGTGAGAAAGACGTCATCCGCCTTTTTTTAATCCATTTCTTTTGCCACCCTATATGTCTGTTCAGAGATGGGCTCTCAAGCTGACTTTGATTCTTTTAGTTGAGAAGTCTCTTAAAGCCATCTAGCCCACCTCCATCAATTCCCTATGTGAGGAAGCAAAACCCCAGGGAAGCCAAAGGGCTCCTGTCCACCCTGACACCACAGGCCGGGGGAGAGTAGGGACTCTACCCCCCTCTCCCCTTGTAGGTGACACATGCTCTGCCCTCTGAGGCAGTCAGCGAAGGCAAATGGTCTGACTTCTTTATGTGGTCAACATTTTGATAGAATTTCTTTATAATTTGATAGAGATTATATTATTTTTATTTTATTTTGAGTGGGAAGAATTTTAAAACCTTTTTATGTCAATTACCATCTTGTTTCTTTCACCTTTGAAACAATGGTTTGTAGCAGAGATGACATTGTAGCAACCCAGAATTATGCTTTTGGAATGTGGTCCTCACTGTACAGGAGAATGTGTAATCTTTTGTTAAAATTCCCAGTGTGCATACATTTTCTGGTTCCTCGGTCCAGTTGCTAAAGTTCTTAGTATTTTAGCCTAACATATTTATCACCAACTTTTCTTTAAAAGTGTTCCTTTTGTCACTTAGTTACTGATTTTCCTGGGTTTGACATAAGTATTCTATGAGATGATATATATGCTTTTTTTGAAAGCTGATTCTCATGAATTCAAGTAGCTGAGTTCCTTTATGTTTCGTTTATTCACTAAAGTAGCTGACACAAAACACACCAAAACCTAGAGCGGTAGTTTTATGTAAATGCTCATGAGTTTGTATCAATAATATAATTGTTGATCCACTTATAATTCGTGCAACACTGTATGTATGTAGAGATTGAGTTGTCAATTAAAAAAAATGTGGCCTCTTTGTGATCATAAAATTGCCTTTTATTATTGAGGGGAGAGGGTTTGGGACAGCAGCTGCTAAAGCCAATAAAAAAATGACTGTCTTTTTTGCCTAGGCTGCCTGTCACCAGGCGTCCTCCCTACCTGACACTGTTTCGTCCAGAGTCCTAGCTGCTGATTCTCCACACAGCCCTGGAGAGACCATCTCAGGTGTCTCTCATCTCCCTGGCTTTGCTAGCCTCTTTTTCCTCCTTGTTCCCCATGAGGGTCATCCATCCCCCAAGCAGGTTCCTCATGTCCTTAGGACGAGAGCATTATCACTACCTGGAGTGCTTTTCCCTCTGTCATCTGAGCTTTTATGTGAACCTCCTCCAAGAAGGTTCTCAGCTGTTCACTCAGGCACAGTAGTGAGCACTGACTCTCCACTAGCCCTGAGCTTTCACAGGTCATCAAAGACAGTCCCAACCTCAGAGAGCTTCAAGTCGGCAAATGAGACACCAGCGAAGAGCATCGATCACCATGGTAAGTGTTGTGAGCAGCTGGTGGTGATGGCATGCTCACTGCATGCCAGGAAGTGTTCTAATAAACATCATCTCAGCAATCGAGAATGCAGGTCTGACTACTGTCTTTTTCATAGATAAACCAAAACACAGCTTAAATAAAATAGCTAAGGTGGCCAAGTCAGAATCGTACCCTGTGTCTATGGCTCCAGATGCTGTGCTCCCAGCTGTTAGGCCATACTGCGTGTCCTGATAGAACCAACGGAGTGCGCTTCTAAAAAGGTAGCCTACAGGTTATGACCCCTGCGCCTAGTTGAAAGAGATTTGGGGAAGAGGGAAGACAGTGAACAGTACTAAAGAGGGTTGAAAAAACACAGAGGGCGTGTTCTCACTCATAGGTGGGAATTGAACAATGAGAACACTTGGACACAGGGCAGGGAACATCACACACCAGGGCCTGTCGTGGGGGAGGGATAGCATTAGGAGATATACCTAATGTAAATGACGAGTTAATGGGTGCAGCACACCAACACGGCACATGTATACATAAGTAACAAACCTGCACGTTGTGCACATGTACCCTAGAACTTAAAGTATAATAAAAAGTAATAATAAAAACACAGTGAAGCTAAGCACTCCGGAGAATGAGGCCCGGAGAGGAGCAGTAAGGCTGGAGGGCAAGGTAGATGCCTGGGGCGTTTGGGCTTTCTGCAAGTTCTGTAGGCCTTGGGGCCACTGAAAGTGTTTAGGGGCACTCATTAGAAAATTGCATTTGGAAGTGTTTCCATGGCCTGGACTAGGCTGGCTGATGAGGACAGGAAGAAGCTACTGCAAAGCCCGCTATAATAGGACCTGAGCAGGGACCCGTGAGAGAAAGGCTTAGGAGGCAGAAAGGATGGTACTCTATCCGTAGCCCAACCTCATCAGCCAGTGTTCTGTGACTCATTTCTATTTGTACAGGCAGTACTTGTACTGTTCATTGGTTTTGGTTCTTGTCTCTTGTACAATATTGAAAGGATCTTGGAGACAGGAACGCAATTGCTTCTTCAGTGTTCGTTTAGCATCGGGCAGGTCAGAATTATTTTTGCAAAATGGCTCCATCCTACGGCCATGTCACACCATGTCATGCAAGCCTTAGCCCTCACCAGGAAGGTTCTGTCTGTTGCACCACATTCATCCACATTCTACTCACAAACACTGGTCATTGTGTTAGGCGATTTGGTAGTGCCCCTGGGTGATGTGTAGGCCAGCAGATCTGTCGCTTAGCAGCAGACTTCAGGCTTTTCATGATCAGTTATAAGCCCACTCTTCCACATCAGGATGCTAAATTGAATGAATCAGGCCATGAGGACAGAGGCCTGCTGTGCTTCATTGTTGCAGGGCGCCTCCCAGCCCTCTGTCACCGGACCCACCAGAATGATTTTTTTTTTCTCAAACAGGAAAGGGTTGGGAACAATCCCTACAAGATCAGATGTCCCTAAGATTTCCAGTATTTCCTAGGTTTCACTCAGCAGGAAATACCTCAAAAAAAAAATGGCCTTTCTTGTCATGTTTTGATACCTGAGAAATCAGGAAATGGAAAAGCCTGTGCTAAGCTGAGCTGTAAGCAACATCAGTGTCTCATTTGAGCCTTAGAGCAGACGTGGCATGGGCCAGACACAGCATCGACCCAGAATAAACCCAAATACAGCTCACCTGAGCTCAGTGCAGGCTGGGAGGCTGGCCTGGAAAGGTGTAGGTTTGGGGTGAGATATGCCTGGATTTGAATCATGGTTCCTGTCATTTTGTAGCCATGTAACCTTCTGTAAAACAGTCTCAGAATTTGGGGGGATGTGATGAGCTAACTACACATAAATGGCATCCTGCTAAGGGTAGACGTTTCATACGTTGTAATTCTTGTCCCTTTTAGCCATTTTCTTGTGCAAAAAGGGATAATATGTTAATGGATTATCAATCAAAGCAAGAGCTTAGGGAAAGAGTTTCAACACATTTAGGGAGTTATTGTCCCATATTCAAATCTGGGGGAAATTTGCTGTATTTCCTTCAAATAAAAGACCACAGTAACTTCTTTGAAAAGAACCATAAATTTCAAATATAAACATTCGGAGAAATTTCATTCTCTTAGTAGCTGATTAACTATAGACAAACCTGCCTTAATTGAGGAGCTGTTTTGAAAGCTCATTCCCCAGTAGGAACTCAATCTCCTGGTCCCAGGTGGGTCTCATCAGACAAGAGATGGAGGAGAGAGGGAGGTGCACCCTAGCCTCAGCCTCTATTGAAATACAGAGCCATGTGGTGGTTACATCACTGTGGACTCCCATCCTCCCTTGCTGCTGTGCAGTGTTCAGGGAAGGCTTCATTTCACACCAACCTTTAGCGGGGCAAGGGCTCTGTACCAGCGGTACTCAGCTTAAAACTAGCCTACTTTGAGGGCCTTGATGGGTTACTGCTTTTACTTCCACTAGCTAGTGATTCCGAAACTTTTCATGATGAAGTGCCCATTTATTGGGCCAGGTGTGTTGGCTCAAGCCTGTAATCCCAGCACTTTGGGAGGCAAAAGTGGGCAGATCACCTGATCCCAGGAGTTCAAGACCAGCCTGGGCAACGTGGTAAAACGCCGTCTCTACAAAAAATACAAAAATTAGCTGGTCATGGTGGTACATGCCTGTAGTCCCCGTTGCTCAGGAGACCAAGGTGAGAGGATCACTTTAGCCCAGGAGGTAGAGGTTGCAGTGAGCCAAGATCGTACTACTGCACTCCAGCCTGGATGACAGAGCAAGACCCTGTCTCAAAAAAAAAAAGAATAAAAAATAAAGTACTCATTTTTTGTTCTCCATGGATTCTATGTCTTGAAGCAGTCCTCAAACTTTAAGGTGCAAATAAGTCACCTGGGGGTCTTGTTAAAAAGCAGATTCTTGGCCGGGCGCAGTAGGTAGCTCACGCCTGTAATCCAGCACTTTGGGAGGCTGAGGCGAGTGGATCACTTGAGGTCAGGAGTTCGAGACCAGCCTGGCCAACATGGTGAAACCCCATCTCTACTAAAAATACACAAAAATTAGCCAGACATAGTGGTGGGCGCCTCTAGTCCCAGCTACTCAGGAGGCTGAGGCAGGAGAATCACTTGAACCTGGGAGGTGGGGAGGTTGCAGTGACATGAGATGGCACCACTGCATTCCAGCCTGGGTGACAGAGCAAAACTGTCTCAAAAAAAAAAAAAAAGCAGATTCTGTAACAAAGGTCCAGGGCAGAGCCTGAGATTCTGCATTAGTAGCAAAGGCCCAAGTGAAGCCAGTGCTGTTGCTCTGCAGAACACCTTTGAATGGCAGGCTTTTGAAATATTTTCTCATTGGAAGAATCTTCTGTATTTATTAAATTCTGCTTAAAATTATTAACTTTCTTGTATATCCATGTTCATAACAGCATTATTCACAATAGCCAAAAGGTAGGAACAACCCAGGTGTCCATTGACAGGGGACAGGGGGTGAGAAATTTATTTCATGGACACAGATTCAGGTGGAAAAGATGAAAAAGCTCTGGAGATGGAAGGCAGTGCAGGTGGCACAACAATGTGAATGTACTGAATGCCACAGAACTGTGTACCTAAAACGGCTTAACACGGTAAGCTTCATGTTATGGATATGTTGCCACGGTGTTCACAAGTTATTAACTCAATCAGACTATTTAAATGCCCAGTAGATTGCATTCTGGGGAAATGGCTGTTTCAGGAAAATTTTCAGTGATTGCCACAGGGACCTCCCATGGGTGGGGAATGGAGTCTGGAGCACGGCTGCATGGCTCATGGAGAGAATTTGCACAGCCAGGTAGCCCCTGGTCCACTTCTACCCATATCTGGCCAGGTGCAAAGAGCATAGCTGTACCTTCTATTATCTCTCTCAATTTCTTATTTGCACTTTGCCCATGTCTATAGAAGGAAAAACTTGACTGATTAAAAATTACATTCACGGCACCTGTAGTCCCAGCTACTCAAGAGGCTGAGGCAGGAGAATGGCGTGAACCCGGGAGGCGGAGCTTGCAGTGAGCTGAGATCGTGCCACTGCACTCCAGCCTGGGCGACAGAGTGAGACTCCATCTCAAAAAAAAAAAAAAATTATACTCACGCCAGCCTGGGCAACATGGCGAAACCCCATCTCTAGAGAAAAATACATAAATTAGCCAGGCGTGGTGGCGTGCGCCCGGGGTCCCAGCCACAAGCTGAGGCAGAAAAAAAAGTAGCTACTCAGCTACTCAATGTTCACTCTTTAAAAATGCTTTTCCATCATCCTCCACCGTCTCCCACCCCCCACCAAGCAGCAAGATAATTCCCCATCGCTTAGCATCATATAGCTGCTTATGTGACCTTGAGAATGTCCACATGTCACAATGGACAGTCACTTAACACTAAGCAATGACACATGCTAGGAGTGGGGCTGGGCCTTGGGGCTGCTGGATGAATGAGACCCAGCCTCTGCCCTGGGAGTGCAGAGACTCAAGACAGATATGACCACGTGAAGAGACAACTGTAAAACAAGTGGTAAGTGCATCTACAGCCATAGCCACGGGGCACTGTGAGACCACAGAGCAGTGAAAACTAAGCCAGTCTAGGCTTGGCAAGGAGAGATGGAGTGAGGTGGGCAGTGGCTAAGGTGGGAAGACCAGAGCTGGGAGGTGAGATGGGATTTGGGTTTATCTTTACCAATAAGGATGAGGAGCCTGTTTCATCTTCCTCCAGGCAGGTCACAGAAGCTGGAACCAGTTGATCGGGCCGAGCCTGCAGACTCCCTCATCCTTTCCGGCCTTCAACACTGATAGCTCTGCTCTCTCTCCCCAACCTCAGTGCCTTCATCCTCCCCTGTGTTCCCATGGATGCTTGGTCCTGACTTTGCACCTCTCCCTCACACCCAGTGTCCTTTGTTTTTCCTCTGCCACTTGGGAGGCTGATGGGAGGATCACCTGAGCCTGGGAGGTTGAGGCTGCAGTGACCTGTGTTCACGCCACTGCACTCCAGCTGGGGTGACAGAATGAGAGCCTATCTCAAAGAAAAAAAAAAAACACTGCTCTGTATGATACTATCAAAGTGGATATATGTAATTGCACATTGTGAAATCTCATAGAATGCACAACACCAAGAATGGACCGTAATGTAAACTGTGAAGTATGGGCTTTAGTTAGTAACCATGCATTGATACCGGCTCATCAAGTATAACAAACGTACCACACAAACATAAGTAGTAAAAAAAAAAGGGGAAAGCTGTGTGTATGGTGCAGAGAAGGGGGGTTGTGGGAACATTGTACTTTCTAACCAATTCTAAAATTGCTCTAAAATTTAAGTATATTAATATTTTTAAAAAAAGTTTCGTTAAATTAGCAATATAATAGTTGCTTACCCAAGAAAATTCAGGTTTTCAAATATTGCGTTTTAAAAGCAATTATTTCCGGATGTGAGGGTGATCTGGCTGCAACATCTGTCACCCCACTGATGGCCAGGGTTAATTTGTCTGATCTGGCTGGCTAGGTGGATGTCTCCTTCCTCCCTCATCCGTCCACATGCGTCCTTCCAGACGCTGCGGACAACCTTCCCCAACAGAGGAGGGCCGTTCTTTGGGCAAGGGTATATGAGTAGCTGCACTCCCCTGCTAGAACCTCCAAACAAGCTCTCTAAAAGTAATTACTTCAAAGGAAGGATTAAGAGTTTCATCCTCTATGACAAAATTAATTTTTCCTTTTTTTTTTTTTTTTTTTGAGACAAAGTCTCACTCTGTCGCCCAGGCTGGAGTGCAATGGCACGATCTCGGCTCACTGCAACCTCCGCCTCCTGGGTTCAAGTGATTCTCCTGCCTCAGCCTCCCGAGTAGCTGGGACTACCGGCGCCCACCACCATGCCCAGCTAATTTTTGTATTGTTAGTAGAGACAGGGTTTCACCGTGTTAGCCAGGATGGTCTTGATCTCCTGACCCCGTGATCTGCTCCCCTTGGTCTCCCAAAGTGCTGGGATTATGGGCGTGAGCCACCGCACCCGTCCTACAAAAATTTTAGTAATAAAGGTTGTCCTTAATAGTTGAATGTGCACAGCTATAAAACCCACACAAGAAAGCAATCTGGCCTCCGCATCTAATATCTGCTCAAGATTGATGAGCTCTCTCCCCCTCCACGTTAGCCCCAGATGGGTTGTTTGAGCTGCCCACACCGCTCATTCCCTGAAGCCATCGTGACAGGACACTGTCACCTTTGTCATCCATTGTGTTGGTATATAAATCCACTCAACTGATCTGTTCCTGGCCAAGACCACAGACTTTTCCCCTCTCTGAGGAGCTAAGTCTGATTGTCATATTTTCAGTTCTGGTTGTTATATCAGCAGTAGTAAATTGCATTCCCTGTCAATCAATCGTGTTGTCAATTCACCCTCTGACAACTAAAGCAGAAGGCCTAAAATTACTGAGTGCCTACTCTGTGCCAGCTGCCATGTCAGACAAGCGGCTCCCCTGGGAAGACAGCCAGACTCAAGGGTAAGGGATCAAGGAAATCAGCCAGGAAAGTCCATTAGGCATTTTGGGGAAAGACCAGGCAGGAGCTAATGAAGTCTAGATGAAAAGTGACAGCTGAGAGAACTGAAAAAGGGGCAGATGTCTTGTTTGGCTTGATGGAGCCTCCAACTGATTACAAGTGAAAGCCAGGAGGGAGGAGCTTAAAAGGCCTGCTGTTCTGCAGGGGAATCTTCAGGTTCCTATGGGCTCCCATCTCCTCCCCAAGGAGTCTTCTCACTTAGACTAGCATTCCCAAAGCATGGAACCCAGTAATCGCTGCAGTGAGCCACAGGTGCTTTGGGGTTTCAGAAGAAAAGGCAATCTGTTGGCCTAAAGGAAGAAGCCAAGGCAAAATTAATATAAGTAGAGAGCTTATTTGAGCCAAGTTTGAGGACTGCAACCCTGGGGACATTGATTCAAGTTGCCCAGAATATATGCTCCAATCGGCAATTATAAGTGGGTTTTTAAAGGGAAAAAAGAAGAGGTAGTTCTAAAGTTGTTTACCAAGTATTTACATTGGTTCATTAAAATACCGTAAGCTTCTTTTTTTCTTCTTCTTCTTGTTGAGACAAGGTTTCCCCCTGTGTTGCCCAGGCTGGTCTTGAACTCCTGTACTCAAGTGATCTCTCACCTCAGCCTCCCGTGTAGCTGGGATTACAGGTGCATGCCACAGTGACTCACTCAAAATAGTATAAGCTATTGACTGGCTATGCGCTGTTCTTTGTATCACAAATTCCAGAAAAATGAAGATATGGGTGAGGGTCACATTGTGCAACTCATAGCATTTTAGGTAATTTATCAGCTGGTCTGGAAACTATAGGCAATAGAAGAAAAATACAAAATGCCTTTAAACAATTAACCCTGGGCATAGGGTTAATGAGACTCTCCTGTCTCTCTGATAAATTTTGCATTCCTCAGATTCTTCCGACTGCTCTGAGCTACTTTCCTTTCCCAAATGAAACAGTTGTAGTCACACTTCATAAATTGAAAATAACATAGTAATGATTTCCCAGAAATCTCATTTTGTTCCTAATAGCTCCTGCGTATTTAAATGTTGAGCATTTTCCACGAAGATGACATTAATCAAATGTTCTTAAATAACATTCAATTAGCAGGATACAGTTCATTCTGGTTAATATATTTTTCACAACATTTGCTTATTTCTGTTTAGTAAGTCTGCAATCTTTATCATTGCTATTGGGTTATATTAGATTGAATCAGTGGCTCGAAGGTATTCATTGAAACCTAAAATAATGATGGAGACAGTAGTGGATATTCCACACATCAGAATCATCTGTGAACGCACATAGTGCTCACGATTCCAGAATGATGTAGGATGGCAACCAGGACTCACTGAGTCAAGCAAATCTGCAGGTATGATGATCTTACATAAGCAGCTGAAGAGTGAAAGTAAGAAGTGAGAAGACAGTAGTGGATATTTCACGCATCAGAATCATCTGTGAATGCACATTGTGCTCATGATTCCAGAATGCTGTAGAATCACAACCAGGACTCACTGCGTCAAGCAAAGCTGCAGGTGTGATGATCTTACAGAGGCAGCTGATAAGTGAAAGTGGGTAAGAAGTGCCACAATGAACATCTGAAAAACGTGTTAGATTAAATCAAAGTTCTCCTTCCCCAAGTCCCCTGAGCAAAATATAAGACCTGGCCAGATGAGCTTATTATGGCTCAGAAAACAACACCCCTGTAGGAGCCAAGGGAAAAATGTCCTTTTTGCCCTCTGAAGGTTTGCTGAAAAAAATAACTCGCAAAAGGCAGATTCACTGGAGAAAAGGCATACGAATTTATTTATGTGCACATAGGAAAGAACCACAGAATGATTGCTCCAAACGCCCAGTGGGTTACAGAAGCTTACATACCATCTTGAGGTTACGAAGAGAATGGGAGCTCAGAGAATGGCCCAAAACAAGTTATGGTGGTAAATCAGGTTATGGTGCATGACAGGTTATGGCAGGGAGAGAAGAGGAGGCCTGGCTAGCAAAGGTGGTCTTGCTATGTAGATGAAACCTCACAGGTAGCAGCCTTCAGAAAGAATACATGGTAAATGTTTCCCACCTTCAAAGGTGTCAAACTCTCAGTTAATCTTTCCTACATCAAACAAGGGAAGGCTCAGAAGAAGCCAGGCTGCATCAAGGCAGATTGTGTACGATGCAAATCTCCCCACGAAAGACAACTTTGCAGGGCTACTTCTGTTTGCTGGCTCTCTGAACAGACACCTCAAAATGTATCAAAGAAGGATATTTTGGGGGTAAAATATTTTTATTTCTGTCAGTCCTACTTTGAAACTTTAAAAAACTTTCACATATTAAAAGCCATGTTGATGGCTTTGGAGAGATTTGGGTTAGAAGTTGTTAGATAGAGATAGGCAAAGGAGTGGGAAAAATTTGGGACAAGCAAAAAAGAGCAAATTTAAATATATTGTCCATATATTCTTGAATTAGTCTCATTTCTTTTTCTCTCTCTTTTTTTTTTTTCTGAGACAGCGTCTCACTGTCTTTCAGGCTGGAGTGCAGTGGTGTGATCTTGGCTCACTGCAACCTCCACCTCCTGGGTTCAAGCCATTCTCCCACCTAAGCCTCCTCAGTAGCTGGGACTACAGGCATGCATCACCACACCCAGCTAATTTTTGTATTTTTGGAAGAGACGGGGTTTCACCATGTTTGCCAGGCTGGCTGGCTGGTCTCAAACTCCTGGCCTCAGATGATCCACCCATGTTGGCCTTCCACAGTGCTGGGATTACAGGTGTGAGCCACTGTGCCCGGCCAAGTCTCTTAGTTCTGAAAATACATCAGTTCAGTTAAACCATTTTCTCCCATTCCAGAAGATGGCATTGCAGATGGGCTAGGCCTCTCTATACAATGCAGGTAAACAGATCTTTAATAAGAGGCATTTCTATGGAAACAGAAGAAAAACAGAGTAATGTCTGAAGTGGTCTATCTATAAACTAGCTGTTCTAGAGTTTCTGAAGTATCATCAGATTGCAGTAGCAATCTGACAGATTTTTCTGGTTTATAGTTCAAATCAGGTGTTCAAGCAAACTTTCTGAGTAGTTTACACAGCAGCAGACATGAAGACTGTTTTTATATAAGTTGCTGTGGTGATTTTTCTCAAAGTTTATACCAGATTGTTTAGCATCAGTTTGCAGAGCTCTAATAAAGAGCAGAGTTTTAATTTCTAATAATTCCAAGTCAGCAAAATGAGATGCAAATCTGAAAATATTACTTTGGAGACTTGTTGCCAGCAAAGAATTCAGCATTCAGTCCAAACCGGAGGCAAATAATAAAAACGCAAAAACAATGGACAAGGTAAGAATCTAACAAGTGTACTACAGTTTTCTTCTGAAACATAATTTTTCTCTCTGCAGTTCCCCATTTCTACCAAGGTTAAAATATAGTAGGACCAATTTATTTGCAAAATAAGTTGCAGTCTTTTTTTTTTTTTTTTTTTTGAAATGGAGTCTCGCTCTGTCTCCCAGGCTGGAGTGCAATGGCGCAATCTCGGCTCACTGCAACCTCTGCCTCCCAGGTTCATGCCTTTCTCCTGCCTCAGCCTCCCGAGTAGCTGGGACTGCAGACACATGCCACCATGCCCAGCTAACTTTTTGTATTTTTAGTACAGACAGGGTTTCATCATGTTAGCCAGGATAGTCTTTATCTCCTGACCTCATGATCTGCCCTCCTTGGCCTCCCAAAGGGCTGGGATTACAGGCATGAGCCACCACGCCCAGCCAAATTGTAGTCTTATTATACTTGCTGACTTATTGCATAAAGTGAAGCAAGAGCTGGGCACTGTGGCTTGGTACTATAATTCCAATTACTTGAGAGGCTGAAGTGGGAAGATCTCTTGAGCGCAAGACTTTAAGGCTTTAGTGAGCCATGATCGTGCCACTGCACTCCAGGCAGAGTGACACAGAGCAGGATCCCATGTCTTTAATAAACAAAAAAGTGTAGCAAGAATAATGATTGGTTGGTTGGTTATATGGGCTCTTTTAAAGTTGGCTTTTCTGGGGCTTTTTCATAAAGAATTTCAAATTAGGCTTTTAAAAGCCTCTTGAAACTAGGAACCCTAGCCAATGATTCACCATCAAACTGTGCCTGTAATACCTGTATGATTTGGGTTAATTCCTCTCTTCTAGAAGTCCCCAAAATATCTTGAGTTTCTTGGACCTGTCAGAAAGTAACATTCTTTACTTATTGCAAGTTCAGGAACCTTGTAAAGAAACTGTAGACAAGATACCAGGCCAGTCTTTCCAAAGGGCTTTTTATCAGCTGCATAAAGTCAACCATGATTCCTCAAAGCAGTCTGCTCATATCCAAAATTATGTCATTCCAGTCAAAGTCTTGGTAAAATAACCAGTGTATTCAATTATGTCCATTACAAAAGAAAACGGGTTCTTATTGAATTTTTGCAAATAACTGTAATGCCATAAATTAAGAATACTCACAAATAGTTTCCAAATTTTGAAGAAATCAGGTGGTGAGAAAGGTAAATGTTTCAGTTTTTCTCACAAAAGTGTACTTTACCCAATAGCTTAAAAAAAAAAAGTTTTCTTAACTCTGGAAAACAAAACCTAAAAAGCATCAGCAATGTTTCAAACAAAAAGTCATAGAAAAGCATTTCAGTTCTCTATCAGTTCAGCTCCAGGTAATTAACTTTTATTTTGCTTGATGTTGGGTTAGCAATCTTCATGAATCTGTAAGATTTGTATTTATAATTCTGGAAGTTTTTACTGAATCCAGTGGTAGGATCTCTAAAGTTATCAGGAACCTGTGCTCAAGAGTACTTACCAACACATATCTGAATTTTAGGCATCTCATACAATTTGGGGACAAATACTAGTAACAACACATTTATACAAATATAACTAAAAAATGTTAAACACCATTTCTTATTTGATAATGCTTCCTGAATGATTTTAACACAACAATTAAGCCTAATATATCAATCCTGGACTTCCAGGGGCCCCAATAGTAAAAAAGTTCATTTGAGGTCAAGAAGATTGAATTTAGAATTTAAAATTTGTTTTAGGGAAGTTTATCAAATATCAAAGGTTTAAAACACTTGATCAGAATAGGATAACAGGTCACTGTAAAATAAGTCATTTGTCTAGCCAAAGTGATAATTTAAAGATTTCAAAAAGCAAAAATCTTTACTTTTTGGTGGAGAGGAGACTCAGTTTTCCAAACAATCAAAAGCCAAATAAAGGGCCAGGTGTGGGGGCTCACACTTGTAATCCCAGCAATTTGGGAGGCTGAGGCAGGCAGATCATTTGAGGTCAGGAGTTTGAGACCAGCTGGCCAACGTGGTGAAACCCCATCTCTACCAAAAATACAAAAATTAGCTGGTTGTGGTGGCACACACTTGTAATCCCAGCTACTTGGAAAGCTAAGGCAGGAGGATCACTTGAACCCAGGAGGCAGAGGTTGCAGTGAGCCAAGGTGGTGCCACTGCACCACAGCCTGGGCAACAGAGTGAGACTCCATCTCAAAACAAAACAAAACAAAACAAAAAAGACCAAATAACGACAGCATGAGACCAACAGAATCTAAGAATCTGTCTCGTCTTCTCTCTTCTCCCCCTCTCCTCTCTCTCTCTCGTGTGTGTGTGTGTGTGTGTGTGTGTGTAGTTTACCTAAAGCTAAAGAAAAACCTTTTACTATCTCTTGTTAATGCTACCTGGAAATCTTGTTTAAAAGAGGAAAACGAATTTTACCTTTGCATCAGTGTATTATTAATGCTAAAACTAATAAAACCTGATAAACGGATCCATTCAATTATAATCAGTTTTGACCACACGCGATAAGGTTTCCATAAACCTTTTATAACCTCTTACAATTTTTTTATTCTTTCTTTCTCCAATTTTTTATTTCCATTTAGGTTTATCTATTTTTTATTCCTTTAATTAAAAAAAACTTTCAAAACCTCTAAACTGACAAAATTATATTCCCTATAACAAAAACCATATTCTCATGATGTTGTATAATTTTTTCCCAAAACCACATTCTACTTTTCTTATTACACTTTGCATACAAAATTGTTTATCTTATACTTGGTGGTTTTAGTTTATATATATATTAATTACAAAGTTAACTCTTAGAAACCCTAATTTTCAGTGAAAAACCTAGAAAGTAAGCAATTTTAACTGTTAGTCACATACTAACAATTTATGATACACATTTTATTATTTTTAGAAACATAGACTCTAACGAAAGTTTTTCAGTGTGAAACAGGACATATTTACTAACAGATCTAAATAAGTTTTATTTCTCTAAAATAGGAAGCCAAAAGTATAGGAGATTAAACTCATATTTAATCATTAATGTCTTGGCATTATATCATATTTGGATATCATCTAGATAGTTAATGAATATCCATTATTTAATTTAGCTTAGCAAAACTCTAGGAGTTTTTATTACCAAAAAGGTTTGAGAAAACTTTTCTAAGTAAACATGTTCTAAAAAACAATTATTGTTAAACATTTGGCCAGCTGCAGTGGCTCACACCTGTAGTCTCAACTATTTGGTAGGGCGAGGCAGGAGGATTGCCTGAGCCCAGGAGTTTGAGGCTGCTATGAGCTATGACTGCATCTGTGAATAGCCACTTCACTCCACCCTGGGCAAAATAGCAAGACTCTGTCTTTTAATAAAAAAGGAAGATTAAAAATTTGTATGCCTTTTTCACAATTCGTTTTCAACTACCATTCTGAGGGTAAAGGAGAAGCTTTCCCTTTGTTCCTACGTTACCACTGAAACTTCTGATTGATTAAATAAACAAACACAGTAGCATTCTAATAAACCAGTAGAGTTTCTCCGTAAAAAAACAACAAAGAATTACCTTCTAGGACAAAACTGATTTCATTGCTAAATAAAATAAAGACAAAAATGTCCAACACATTATTCAAATGTCTTACTTATTGAAATACAAACGGATGTATATTACATTATTGTAAAGAATCATAAACCCGGCTACAGAGTTAATCATGTATGTTCTTAGAGAAAAATACAATGAGCTATTGGCCAAACAGCTTTATCAAAGATCTTATTGTATAAATATGGTACTGTTGGGGCTCAGAAACCAATACCCCAAAATATGGCCCTTTGACATGCTGAATGGAAGAAGCCTCAAGGCCTCTGTGACCTTTCCCATGTGCTATCTCTCAATTCTGTATGACCTCCCACAAAGCACAGGCTAAAGTTGTTCTCTGAAGTTCCCTTACCTCCCTGGAGTCCAGATTTGCCAAAGAAAACAATTACCTCCAAATCCTGTCCCTGAGTTTTCATTAACTGAACTCATATCACATGAAGAAAGACTGTCTCTCAAGAGCAAAAGAAAAACAAAGTTTAAAAAGAAAAAAACATTAAGTCTGTCAACACACTTGGACAGACTTTTGTCAGAAACCATTGTCTGCTCTGTGTGTCCAACATACTCTGTCCCAGGCCATTGTACATTCTTCAAGCCTGTAGAATTCCACCCTCTCAAATCTTTTACTGTCCCCATAAAATAATCCACACGGCTCCATCACCCTTGCCCCCAAGAAGACGAACGTATAACCATCTATACCCCATTGAGTGGTAGGGTAATCACTATGGTTTTCCCCCTATGTACTCTAGTAAATTTCTATGCCATTTCTCCTATCGATCTGCCTTTTGTCAGTTGATTTTTCAGCTTAACTTCAGAGAGCAAAGGGGAAGGTGGCCAAGTGCAGTGTCTCATGCCTGTAATCCCAGCACTGTGGGAAGCTGAGGCAGGCAGATCACTTGAAGTCAGGAGTTCAAGACCAGCCTGGCCAACATGGTGAAACCCTATCTTTACTATAAAGAAAAATAAGTCGAGTGTGGTGGTGCACACTTGTAATCCCAGCTACTCAGGAGGCTGAGGCAGAAGAATTGCTTGAACTCGGGAGATGGAGGTTGCAGTGAGCCAAAATCGCGCCACTGCGCTCCAACCTGGGTGACAGAGTAAGACCCTGTCTCAAAAAAAAAAAAAAAAAAGGTGGGAGACGTTTTCCTTTGGCCTCTACCGTTTGACAATATACAATGTGACAAAGCATTTACAATAGCAAATGTGAGCTAGTTTACTGCTTTTGATACGTATTGTATATATACATGAAGAAGAAAGACACAACAATGCTTTGTTCTCTTTGTCACCAGTTACTGTGGGAGATGGTTTGTAGGCTTAAACAGATGCCCAGATTCTCCTACCAAAGGAACATCTGGAAGGGAACAGGAAGGAAGACTCCTGCTCTAAAAAGAAAGGAACAGTCTCTGAATGGCTGTCCACACTCTGTCTTACTCCCAGGGAGGCCTTTCTTGGTTGTAATTTAGTTTTAGAAGACACTGTGAAAACTGAACACACAATCAAATGTGGACCCTGCATTTTCATCCTGCCATAGACAGAAAGGAGTAAAGAATGAGGCTAATGAATTTGTAAGTTAAGATGATGGATTGAAATCTGTAAATAATTTTATACTTACTGAAACCTGGACCAAACTTCGACACCAGAATTTGCTTTTAAAGACATCACATAAAATAAAGATGCTAACAGCAATAACATTTTGGAAGCTGGCAGGCAGATGGCTGTGACGTTGCTGGCGTGGCAGACTTGAGAAAGCTGAGAACCAGATGAGATTACACCTCAGAATCTTCCAACAACTGTGCTACAGGCAACACGAGGAGCCACTGGAACTGGGGTGATGGGGAAGGTGGGCTAAGAGAAGGTCCTTGATGAGAAGGTTGACCTAGTGCCTGCCCACATTTCATGACTCTGGGTAAATGCCCCTGCTTCCACCTGGTGGAAATCTAAAGGTTTTTTTTTCTACAGAGAAACTAAAACAGGTTCAGGTCACCCAACTGGGGGAGTGCCAGGCCCAGCAGGGGGTGTAAATATCATACCAAAAAACAATAAATAAACCCACAGACAAACAAGGAGTTGTGTGAATGTGTAAGTGCTAGATGCAAGGCCCCCAACTCAGCATTCAACATTCTCTAAAAATGAGACCCTTTGTGTACAAATGGTCTCACTTTAGAAAACTCAGTGACATGCAATTAACTCATGTAACAAACCTGCGCGCGTACTCTCTGAAGCTAAAATAAAAGTAGAAAAAACAGGCTGGGCACGGTGGCTCACGCCTGTAATCCCAGCACTTTGGGAGGCCGAGACAGGCAGATCACCTGAGGTCAGGAGTTTGAGACCAGCCTGGCCAACATGACGAAACCCAGTCTCTACTAAAAATACAAAAATTAGCCGGGGGTGGTGGCAGGCACCTGTAATCCCAGCTACTCTGGAGGCTGAGGCAGGAGAATCGCTTGAACCCAAGAGGTGGAGGTTGCAGTGAGCCGAGATCTCACCACTGCACTCCAGCCTGGGCAACAGAGTGAGACTCAGTCTCAAAAAAACAAAAACAAACAAAAACAAAAGTAGAAAAAATAAATAAAGTGCAACCCCTACCCTCAGTGCAGACAAATGGAAATCTCTGGAGAATCCTACCAGCTCAGGAAAAACCTAAACATACTCATCACATCAAGGGACCCTCCCACAAAGGGTTCACCCAAAGTCCGTGAGTCCCACCAATGCGTGCAGAGCCTCCTGCCAGCTTTTGAGCACTTCACTCTTACTGAGCAGATGACCAATGATCCCCAGACCGTCAGAGGACTGCCTCTATAATGGAAGGTAGGGGCCAAAACAAACAGGGACAAAAAAGAGAGACTATGTTGGCAGAAGAAAACTTCAAAAGAACAATCAGTGTATCTTTGAGGGATAAGAGAAGATAATTTTGCACCATGAAACAAGAATGAATCACATGAAAAGGAACATTTGGGATAAAAATAGCTCTTTTTAAATCTTCTTCTTATTTATTTATTTAGAAAGGGTCTCACTCTGTTGTCCAGGCTGGTGTGGAGAGGCATGATCATGGCTTACTACAGCCTCAGTCTCCGGGGCTCAGTGGATCCTCCCACCTTAGCCTCACATGTAGCTGGGACTATAGGTGCACCACTATGCCTGGCTAAGTTTTGTATTTTTTGTAGAGATAGGTTTTTGCCATGTTACCCAGGCTGGTCTCAAAATCTGGGGCTCAAGCAATCCACCCGCTTCAGCCTCCCAAAGTGTTGGGATTACAGATGTGAGCCACCACGCCCAGCCTAAAAACAGCTCTTATAAGCTAAGTGAATGAAAACAAAATAGAAAGGTTAGAAGATAAAGTAGAGGAATGTGCACAAGAAAAAGATGAAAAAGACAGCCTGGCAGCCTGGTGAAAAAAGAGAGAGAGCAAAAAGACAGAGAGCATTCACTGTACCCCAAAGAGTTCTGCTTTGATCCACTCCTGAGGTTTGATACTTGGCCATAGGGAGCAAAAATTACAGAAAATACAAAAAATGTAGAGCAGTGCCCGTTCCCTGACTGCATTTTGGCTGAATTGCCATCTCTGGCCCACTGTGTAGTCCTACCAGATGTCCTGACAGTGGTGCTGTTATCCCAGACTCAGTCAAAACTTTGCCCTTTGGCTTCCCCAAAGAGACCCGTGTGAACTCGCAGGAAGTGGAAACCAGACAGGGACCTGCCTCTGTGCAGATCACAGTCCCCTGGGAGCCTGCCTCTAGCTTGGGAAACATTGCTTTCCCTTTCATCCATGGCTTGCTACTCCGTTTTCAAAAGTAAATACTGTCATGTTAGGGACATGTAAATCAATAGCAAAACTATAGAGAATAACAAGGCAGTGACGTCCACAGAACTGAGAGTGGGGTAGACTGTGGTTGGAGGGAAGGGATTCACTTGGAGACGGCCATCCAGAGGTCTCATGATACTGTTTCTTAACCCATTGGTGAGTGCATTTTTAGTCTTTGTTCCTTGTCTTTTTATTCTTTAAATAACACATATACATTTTATACCCTGTTTTCATGCTCAAGACAATTAGATGTTGAGAGAAAAGTAGTACTTGTTAAGGTTTTTGAAATGCAAATGAGATTTAAAAAAAATTATTTCATGTGTTAATCCACGAGTCCAGTTTGGCTGCTTTAATTGGCTGCTTGCGGCCCCGAGGGTCTTCACCAAGTAATCATGACTTTATATAGCCTGCTCTGCTTGTCAGGACTGAAAAGTCTGCACTATTAATGTGGAAGATGCCATGTCAGACTGGCTTAGGAAGTCCAAGCTGTAGTACAATGGCTGCACTGCAGAAGGTTTCACTTTTCCCAAATCCTTAGTAAACTCCTTCACCCCTCAGTGACAGAAATCAATGGCATGCGATTGAGTGTCCTTTAAAATTACATTCAAATGCTGCAAGAGAACCTGAAAACATCTTTCCAAGGCAAATACAACCAAGCATGGATTTATTATCTCTTTGCCAAGCTGTCCTCAGCTGAGACGATCAACTGCTCAGCAGCTGAGAGGAGACTTCAGAGGGAAATCACCCCATCATGTTTGCTTTTGTAGAGAACTCAGTGACATGTTTGTTACATGAGTAAATTGTAAGCCACCTGGCAGGGCCACCAAACACTAGCTGTCATTGCAGGAGACTTATAACTGAGAGCTGAAGTTTTGTAAATTAATAGAAATAAGGTGGAAAGAAAGCTGTGGGATGTGGAAACTGACAAACTGACCCAGTGCCCAAGTATCATCAGGATTCTTTAGGGGAAAGCAGGAATGTGAGCATCTCCTCTCACTCACAGGAAACAATCATTTTTTAAAGTCATGCTTTTACTTTGAGAATTGTGATAAATCTTTTCTTTTTATTTGTTAGAGTTCTATTCTATTTATTAGAATTCTGTGCTGATGCCCTGAATAGGTCAATTAGAGTGATTTGCGGGCCAGTAAAAAAGAAAACCTCATTCCAGGTGACACTAAAAATAGGAAGCATACACCTTCAGAGCAGCTTTATTCACAATCGCAAAGAGGTAGAAGCTACTCAATCGCCTCCCCACAGATGAATGGATAAACAAACTGAAGCGTGCAACCCACAATGGAGTATTACTCTATAACGTGGATGAACCCGGAGGACATCATGCTAAGTGAAATAAGACAGTCCCCAAGAAACCAATATTGTATGATTTCACTAATATGAGGGTCCTAGAGTAGTCACGCTCAGAGACAGAACGCAGAATGGTGGCTGCCAGGGTTCGGGAGAAGGGAGAAGTGGGAGTTTTTCAGTGGGTATAAGGTTTCAGTTTTACAAGATGAAAGGCTTCTGGAGATGCGTTACACAATGATGCGCATGCAGTTAACACTACTGAATATTACACTTACAAATGGTTATGATGGTAAATTTTGTTATATGTTTTTACCACAATTAAAAATAAAATGTTTAAAAGGGAGATGTGACTGGGCACGGTGACTCATGCCTGTAATCCCAGCACTTTGGGAGGCCGAGGTGGGTGGATCACCTGAGGTCAGGAGTTCAAGACCAGCCTGGCCAACACGGTGAGACTCCGTCTCTACTAAAAACACAAAAATTAGTTGGTTGTGGTGGCAGGTGCCTGTAATCCTAGCTACTCAGCAGACTGAGGCAGGAAAATCCCTTGAACCTGGGAGGCGGAGGTTGCAGTGAGCTGAGATTGTGCCATTGCACTCCAGCCTGGGCGACAAGAGTGAAACTCCATCTCAAAAAAAGAGAGGTGTAAGTTTGCAGGAGATATCTATAGGATGCTTTTGTTTACGTAAGGTTCAAACACATGCAGAAATGACAATAGAGTATGTTGTCAGGGATACATGCACATGTGAAAAATAGAAATAAAAAAGGAGGAGAATGCTAAACACAAAATTCAGGAGGGTGGTTATCCCTGGGATTAGGGAGGGAGAAAGATGGAACTGAGGATGGAGACAGAAGGCTTCAGTGGTGTTCCCGATATTCTTCGTCTGGGTTTGGGGTGCACAGATCTTCATAAGTATTCATTCGCCAAGAAAGAACACACTCCCATTTAAACTCTGACATGCTCTGTAATCACTTATAATTTTTATTTTATATCTACTTTGTTTTAGAGAAGAAGAGCTCTTTTAGATCTATTTAGGCATTGGTTTTTATCATACATCTGCTGCCGTATTCAGTGCCTACCATGACCACTACTAAATCAGTGTTATCTTTGAGATCAGCCTTGTCCAATAGAAATAGAATGCAAGTCACTGATGTGATTTTAATGTGATCTTCCAGGTAGCCACATTAGAAAAGGTGAAAGAGGCCAACATAATGGCTCACATCTGTAATCCCAGCACTATAAGAGACTGAGGTGGGAGGATCATGTGAGGCCAAGAGTTGGAGACCAGCTGGGCAACATAGCAAGACCCTGTCTCTACAAAAAAAATTATTTTAAAAGAGAAAAGGTGAAAGATACAGGCAAAATTAATTTTAACGCTATATTTTATTTAACTCAATGTATCTAAAATATTATCTTTATGTAATTGATATGAAAATCCCTAATGAGATACTTTTCATTCTGTTTTCATACTTCAGCACATCTCAATTTGGACTACTCACACTGCAAGCTCTCAGTAACCACATTTGGCTAGTGGCTACCATATTGGATGGTACAGATCTAGAAAGCACTTGAAAGCAATTAAACTCAACTTGTACACTCCATAATGTGTGTATATATAAGGTGAATGGATGGCCTTATGAACAGCTATGTCCAACTTCATGCAGATCTAGGCCATAGGAACTAGTCTTGAGGCCACTGGGCCAACATCAACTGTGAGACCAACTGATTGTGAGATGCAGCCTGCTTTTCAGAAATGTGAAAATGTGAAATTGATGCAATATGGTAGTTGCAAAGCAACTGTCTGTGAGTATGGGGACCAGTTCTTATTAGAAAAGCCTAAGAACAATGTAGCCAGATGGTGCTGGAAGCCTGCAAGAAAGTGAATCTGGACTCTGAATGTTAGATTCAGGCGATGTGGCTTGCTAAATGCAGTTTTGTCACCTGTTAGATGGCTAGAGCCTGGGGGATCACAGTTAAGGGTCTGAGAGGCTGAGGCAGGAGAATCGCTTGAACCTGGGAGGCAGAGGTTGCGGTGAGCCGAGATCGCGCCATTGCACTCCAGCCTGAGCATCAAGAGTGAAACTCCATCTCAAAAAAAAAAAAAGAAGAAAAGAAAAAGAAAAAAAAAAAATTCAGGGGTTTTAGGTGCTCTATGGCCAGAACTGGGGACAGAGACCAAATATATTTCAAATTACACCACAGTTGTTTCTGTTGTAGTGAAAGGTTTATACTTGAACATCTAATTTATTCTCTATCATCATGTTGAATTCAGGAAGGAGAGAGAAAATCCCCTATGCCCACTTTTCTATCTTGAAAAGTATTCTCAAGAGTAGGAATTGCTTCAAATCTTGTTTCATGTTCCCAAAGGGCCTGTCATGGGACTGAGTACAATAGTAACTCGATAGACACTTTCCATAGAGACTAATTTCTCCTCCAAACAGGAAGGCTGCCTGGTCTGTAACACATCACCAAAGGAACACATGCTTTCTGTAAAAAACAAATCCAAATAGTGGAAAACATTCAAAATAGTAAAGTGCCAAAGCCCCTCTTTCATGCCTTCGCACTAACTCCCTTCTATTAAGAAGTGGCCTGCGGGGCTGGGCGTGGTGGTTCACGCCTGTAATCCCAACACTTTGGGAGGCTGAGGTGGGTGGATCACCTGAGGTCAGGAGTTCGAGACCAGCCTGGACAACATGGTGAAACCCCGTCTCTACTAAAAATACAAAAATTAGCTGGGCGTGGTGGTGGGTACTTGTAATCCCAGCTACTCAGGAGACTGAGGCAGGAGAATCACTTGAACCCGGGAGGTGGAAGTTGCAGTGAGCCAAGATTGCACCACTGCAATCCAGCCTGGGCGACAGAGTGAGACTCCATCTAAAAAAAGTGGCGTGCGTCCTTCCAGAGGATGCTCTGTGAATTCACAACTATGCATAAATTCTCACTTGACAGACAAACGTATTTTCTTTCCTACATAAAATACATATTTGGCCTCATTTTTTATATGGTGGACTCATACTGTACAATTACTGTTAGTACATATTCAGCATTTTTAATTAATAAGTTTCTAATTGATAAATTATAAGCTGTACATGGCAGCCAGAGTGCTCCTTTAAGAATAAATGTAAGTTAGAAAAACAAAACAAAACAAAGCTGTGCCAACTACTCAGCTCAGCCTGCTGCACAAAGAAAGTCTTGCGGCAGCAGAAAAAAAAAAGAATGTAAGCCAGATCCTGTCTTCCTTTGAGCCTGCAAAAGCTCCTCAGTTCCCTCTCTGCAAGGCTCTAAGAAGGCAGGGCTCTCTTACTTTCCCCTCCTCTCTCCCTCTTTCCTGTTTCTCTTGCAAGCTGCTCTTCCTCCAGCACATGGCCTTTGCCCCGGCTGGTCCTTCTGCCTGGAAGATTCTTCCTGTTTTTCTCAGGGCTCAGTGTCACCTCTACAGGCTTTGGCTCAAATGTTACCTTCCCAGTGAGGTCAACACAACCACCCTATTTAAAGTTGCAACCCTCCATCACCACACTCCCAATCCCTTTTACCCTGATCTCTCTGATAACCTTCATTGCACTTAATGGCTTTCAAACTTACGAATTCACTTATCTTGTGTATGATGTTCTATAAGTTCCCCCTTGCTAGCCTGTAAACTCCACAAGAGGCCGGGCATAGTGGCTCACGCCTGTAATCCCAGGACTTTGGGAGGCCAAGAGGGGAGGATCACTTGAGGCCAGGAGTTCAAGACCAGCCTGACCAACATGGTGAAGTCCTGTCTCTACTAAAAATAGAAAAATTAGCCAGGCCTGGTCGTGGGCACCTGTAATCCCAGCTACTTGGGAGGCTGAGGCAGGAACATCACTTGAACCCAGGAGGTGGAGGTTGCATTAGCTGAGATCTTGCTGCTGTATTCCAGCCTGGACGACAGAGCAAGACTCCATCTCCAGAAAAAAAAAACAACGAAATGTACGACTTTTCCTATAAAACCTTGTCTATGTAAGCCATCAGGGAGTTTGGTTCTTAAGCATGAGAATCGCCCAAGTCTCCTTGCTTGACGTCCTGTAATACATGCCTCACTTTCTCTTGCTACAATCATGATGTCAGTGTTTGGCTTTGCTGTGCTCGGCACAGACCCAAGTTCAGTTTGATAACAATCTCCCTCCCACAACCAAAGCTATTCTTAGCACCCTGAAATAGATGGGGATCCCCCACCTGGAGAAAAGAAGATGAGTATCTACCACGCAGGCCAGCTCCGGGCAGGACCTGGAACATGCAGCCCCAGTTCTCTCCTGGCATCTCTGGCTTGTGCCCAGGCAGAAGGGCCTAGGATGTGCTAAATGACAGGGCTGAAGTGGAAATCGGAACACGTTCCTGTAAAAATAGTATAAGGCGGCACTCATGATGAACAGAGGTATATATACTAGGTGAGTTGGTGGACTTTCCATCATTAGTAAGAAAAGCAAAGAGGGGGCTGTCTCCATAAGCATAGAAAAAATAAGCTCAATATATAGGTTACCTGATGAAAGCGTTAATATGAGAAGCCAGGGGAGAGGGGGTAGGGGCACAAAAGAAAAGCAAATTAGGGCCGGCACAGTGGCTCACGCCTGTGATCCCAGCACTTCGGGAGGCGGAGGTGGACGCGTCATGAGGTCAGGAGCTCCAGACCAGCCTGGCCAATATGGTGAAACCCCATCTCTATTAAAAATACAAAAATTAGCCAGGAGTGGCGGTGCACATCTATAGTCCTAGCTACTCGGGAGGCTGAGGTAGAAGAATCGCTTGAACCCGGGAGGTGGAGGTTGCAGTGAGCCAAGGTCATACCACTGCACTTTAGCCTGGGCAACAGAGGGAGACTCCATCTCAAAAAAAAAAAAAAAAAAAGAAAAAGAAAAAGAAAAGAAAAGCAAATTAGTGCGGTTGCGGTGGCTCACGCATGTAATCCCACCACTTTGGGAGGCTGAGGCAAGTGGATCACTTGAGGTCAGGAGTTTAAGACCAGCCTGGCCAACATGGTGAAACCCCGTCTCTCCTAAAAATACAAACATTAGCCGGGCGTGGTGGTGTGTGCCTGTAGTCCCAGCTACCTGAGAGGCTGAGGTGGGAGAATCGCTTGAACCCAGGAGGGCAGAGGTTACAGTGAGCCGAGATAGCGCCACTGCACTCCAGCCTGGGTGACAGAGCAAGACTCTATTGCCAAAAAAAAAAAAAAAAGGAAAAGAAGAAAGCAAATTAAATTGCACTGAAATGCATGTGCGGCAAGATCATATTTATCCACTATAGCATAATATATAAAACTGTGGGTTCTCATGTCAAACTACTGGTTTCATCTCAGATTCGCCACTTATAAGCTCTTTGATGCTAGGGAAGGGGTGCTTACCTTGTCTGTGTTTCAATTTCTTCAAATGTAAAATGGGGATTATAATTGTACATGTGTCAGAAAGTTGTTGGGTGGATCAAATCAGATAATATATTTAAGTTCTTAGAACCATATGATTATAAAGGCATATAGTAAATGTTCACAGAATATCAGCTAGTATTCATAGCTCTTAGTAATGGTCAGTATCATCGAGTTTGTGTGCACCAGTGCCTTCATTATCTATAAGACACATAATGCTCAGGGCACTGAACTGCTCCACCATCGGGGTGTCTTACCCTGAGTGGTGCTGGGTGCATCCTGGAAAATTCTAACAGCCCAGATTCCCTTTTATACATACCAGGAAGGCCCTTCTGTTAACACAGTTTTCCTTCAAGCAGATCACAATGTAACTGACTAGATTTTTGTTTTCTTTTAAAAACAGCTTTATTTAGGTATAATTTACCTAAGATAAAACTCACTCTTTTTAGCATACAATTCAGTGATTTTTAGTAAATTCACAGAGTTGTTCAACCAACAATATAACTTGAGAACTTTTCTGTCAGCCCCAAAAGAAGCATGGTGCCCATTGGCACTCACTTCCAGTTACCCCTCTAGCCCCAGGCAGGCTGTAAGGGTTTGCTGCTGAGCCCCAGTCCAGCCATCCAGGCCCTTCAGGGAGTGCAATAAGCCACCTTATTTGGACTTCTCTAAACTATAACTCCTCAGTGAAACATTATAAGCAATCTCCTATGATGTGTAATTTCTACAGACAGCTGCCTTCATCCATTTCTTTTTTTTTCTTTCTGCTGATCTGAAAATGTGTCTTTTTTAATTGCAAAAGTAATAAATCTTCATTGTAAAATACATAAAAGTGCAAAGAATTGTAAGAAAGAAAACACAAATTTCTCATAATCTTACCACTAGATGGAACTGTTAACATTTTTAAATGAATCATATATGATTTTTTTTTTTTTTAACAGAGTCTCACTCTGTCGCCAGGCTGGAGTGCAGTGGCACAATCTCAGCTTACCGCAACCTCCGCCTCCCGGGTTCAAGTGATTCCTTTGTCTCGGCCTCCTGAGTAGCTGGGACTACAGGCATGCGCCGCCACGCCTGGCTAATTTTTTGTATTTTTAGTAGAGATGGGGTTTCACCATGTTGGCCAGGATGGTCTCAATCTCCTGACCTCGAGATCAGCCCTCCTCGGCCTCCCAAAGTGGTGGGATTACAGGCATGAGCCACCTGGCCCATATATGTTTGTTTTTTTTTTTTACAGAAATAGAATTATATTACAGATACCTTCTCATAATTTGTTTTTGTTTAGTATAAATATTATTTTAAAAATTTCCTGTCATTAAACATTTCTGTACAGTTTTGTAATTTCTCTAAATTTGTTCAATTATGAGCTCATCATTGGATATTTTTTCTTATTTTTTTCTTTAAATACATACTACCTTTTTCACATCTCTGGAGATCTATTTCAGCACACATCTCTGCCATTTGTTATACTAACTTCTCTCATTCAACTTGGAATTACTTCTTTACTTACTATGCTAATTCATGAAAGAAAAATTTAAACATACAAGGAAAGTAAAAGTTCCACTGCAACCCAAACTCTTAGGGACTACTGTTTGGGCAGTCCCTCTCTTGGGGTATGTCGTTCTCTATTTTAAAATGAATATATAAGCCTTCACTATAGATGTATTTTAAACAAAAACAAGATCATATTCCAGGTATTTTGAAAATTTCCAGCTTTCTGTTATTGGCATCTAACTTAACTCCACTGTAGTATGAGAACAGACGTTGTATGATTTTCTATTCCTTTAAATTAATTCATGTGTGTTTTATGGCCCGGAGTCTGGTGAATGTCCCATGTGGACTTGATCTTGAGAAGAATGTGTAATCTGCCATTGCTGGATGAAGTAGTAGTCTATAGATGTCAATTATATCCAGTTGATTGATGGGACCGTTCAGTTCAACTATGTCCTTACTGATATTCTGCCTGCTGGATCTGTCCATTTTCGATAGAGGGGTATTAAAGTCTCCAACTATAATAGTGGGTCCCTCTATTTTCTTCTTGTACTTCTATCAGTTTTTGCCTCCCATGGTTTGTTTTGGGTTTTTTGTTTTGTTTTGTTTTTTGGTTTTTCGTCAAAGTCTCTCTCTGTCACCCAGGTTGGAGTGCAGTGGTGTGATCTCCACTCACTGCAACCTCTGCCTCCAGGGTTCAAGCTATTCTCCTGCCTCAGCCTCCCGAGTAGCTGGGACTAACTACAGGTGCCTGCCACCACACCTGGCTAATTTTTTTACGTTTTTAGTAGAGACAGGGTTTCGCCATGTTGGCCAGGCTGATCTCGAACTCCTGACCTCAGGTGATCTGCCCACCTCAGCCTCCTAAAGTACTGGGATTACAGGCATGAGCCACCATGCCTGGCTTGCCTCACGTTTTGACACTTTGTTGTTAGGTGCATACATGTTACAAATTGTTATGTATTGACCCCTTTATCATTATGTAAAGCCCCTCCTCATCTCTGATAAATTTTCTTGCTCTGAAATCAGTATAGCTCCTGTATTCTTTCAAGGATAATATCTCTTTCTGTATCTCTTTACTTTTGATCTATGAGAGTTCTTATGCTTAAAGTGTGTTTCTGGCCAGGTACAGTGGCACGCACATGTAGTCCCACCTACTTGGGAGGCTGAGGCAGGAGCATTGCTTAAGCCTAGGAGTTTGAAACCAGCCTGGGCAACATAGACCCCATCTCATTTAAAAAAGTAAATAACAGTGTGTGTCTTGTAGACAACATATAATTAATTGGGTCTTCTTTTTGGTCCACTCTGACACTCTCTGTTTCTAATTAGTGTATTTAGACCATTGACATTAAAAGTGGTCGTGACGGGTTTGTATTAATATTCACCAAATGTTTTACTGTTTTTTTATTTTTTGCCCTTGTTCCTTGTTTCTGTTTTTGTCTTCCACACTTTCTGCCTCTTGTAGTTTTAATAGGCCATTTTATATGATTCAATTTTTCTCCTTTCTTAGCATATCAATTATATATTTTTTTTACTTTTTAGTGGTTGCCCTAGAGTTTGCAGTATATGTTTACAACTAACCCAAGACCACTTTCAAATTACACTACACCTTGCAGGCAGTGTGAGTACCTTATAATAACAAAATACTCCTAATTATTTCTTCTTGTTCTCTATGTCATTGTTGTCATTTGTTTCATTTTATAATAAGCTATAATTGTTTGAATACATTCTTGCCATTATATTTTGTTTTTTTTTTTTTTTTTATTTAGAGACGGGGTCTCCCAATGTTGCCCAGGCTGGCCTCAAACTCCTAGGTTCAAACGATCCTCCTGCCTCAGCCTCCCAAAGTGCTGGGATTACAGGCATGAGCCACCTAGTCCAGCCTGCTATTATTATTTTGAACAAACTGTTATCTTTTCATCAATTAAGAATATGAAAAATAAACATTTTTATTTTAATCTTCATTTACTCCTTCTCTAATACTTTTCACTTCCTTATATAGATCTGAGTTTCTTACCTACATGATTATCCTTCTCTCTGAAGAACTTCTTTAACATTTCTTGCAAGACAGGTCTACTGGCAACACATTCCTTAAATGTTTGTTTTCCTGAGAAAGCACCTCTATTTTTCTTTTCTTTTTTTTTTTTTTTTTTTGAGATGGAGTCTCGCCCTGTCACCCAGGCTGGAGTGCAATGGCGTGATATCGGCTCACTGCAACCTCTGCCTCCCAGGTTCAAGCAATTCTCCTGCCTCAGCCACCTGCGTAGCTGGGATTACAGATGCACGCCACTAAGCTGGCTAACTTTTTGTATTTTTAGTTGAGACACGGTTTCACCATGTTGACCAGGCTGGTCTCGAACTCCTGACTTCATGATCCACCCACCTCAGCCTCTCAAAGTGCTGGGATTACAGGCATGAGACACCACGCCTGGCCCTCTCTCTCTTTTGCTTTTGAAGGATAATTTCACAGAATACAGAATTCTAGGTTGGTGGGTTTTTTTCTCTCAACACTTTAACCATTTCATTCCATTCTCTGCTTCTTTGCATGCTTTTTGAGGAGAAGGAAGAGGTAATTCTTATCTTTGCTATTTATAGCAAATAATTACTTTTAATCTTCCTGTGGCTTCTTTCAAGATTTCTTTTCTTTATCTTTGGTTTTCTGCAGTATGAATATGATATACCTATGTGAAGTTTTTTGTTTTGGGGGGTTTATGCATTTAACCTATTTGATGTTCTCTGAGCTTCTTGGATCTGTGGCTTGGTGTACAACATTAATTTGGGGAAATTTTAAATCATTATTGCTTCAAATATTGCTTTTGTTTCTTTCTTCTGCTGGTATTCTCATTATGCATATGTTATACCTTTTGTAATTGTCCCACAATTCTTGGATATTCTGTTACCATTTATTTTCCAGTGTTTTTCTTTCTCTCTCTCTTTTTTTTTTTTTTTTTTTTTTTTTTTGAGATGGAGTCTTGCTCTGTCACCCAGGCTGGAGTGCAGTGACGCGATCTTGGCTCAGTGCAACCTCCGCCTCCTGGGTTCAAGCGATTCTCCTGCCTCAGCCTCCCGAGTAGCACATGCCTCCACGCCTGGCTAATTTTTGTATTTTTAGTAGAGCTAGGGTTTCACCATGTTGGTCAGGCTGGTCTTGAACTCCTGACCTCATGATCCACCCGCCTCGGCCTCCCAAAGTGCTGGTATTACAGGCATAAGCCACCACACCTGGCCTTTTTTCTCTTGATTTTTCAGGTTTGGAACGTTCTGTTGAGATATCCTCAAGCTCGGACATTCTGTCCTCAGCCATAGCCAGTCTACTAATGAGCCCATCAATGGCATTCTGCATTTCTCTGACAGTGTTTCTGACCTTTAGCATTTCTTTTTGATTCTTTCTTAGAATTCTCATCTTCTGCTTATATACCTGTCTATTCTTGCATGCTGTCTACGTTTCCCATGAGAGTCCTTAGCACATTAATCATGGTTGTTTTACATTCACAGTCTGGTAATTCCAGCATCCCTGCCACATCTGAATCTAGTTCTGATGCTTGCCCTGTCTCTTCAAACTCTGTTTTTTTGCCTTATAATCTTTTGTTGAAAGCCGAACATGATTCCTGTACTGGCTCTTCTGGAGGCTTCTGCCCTGTTCTCGAGGAGCTTCCTACTTCAGTAAGCTGCAATTCCCTGTATTTGCCTGTCTGTTTCTCCAATTTTAGGTCAGCAATTTGCCCTGTGACCTTACTTCTCTGCCAGATCTAAGAAGAGTTGCTGGTACTTCCAAGCTCCTTGCATGCCAGAGGAGAAGCCACACTAGAAGTCCCGTTGCCCATATTTCAGCTGGGTTGTCTTTTAATTGCTGATTTCTAAGTGTTCTTTGTACATCTGTATACAAGTTCCTTGTCAGATGTATGATTTGTAAATATTTTCTCTCATTCTGTGATTGGTCTTTTCACTATTTTCACTAAAGCACCAAAGTTTTTAATTGTGATGAAGTCCAACTTATTTATTCTCTTCTTCTGTAGCTTATGTTTTCGTGTTATACGCAAGAAACCATTGTCTAAGCCAGGGTCACAAAAATTTACCCTTATGTTTTATTCTAGGAGTTTTATAGTTTCAGCTCTCATACTTAGTTCTATAATCCATTTTAGGTTCATTTTGTGTAAGGATTGAGGTAGGGGTCTAATGTCATTCTTCTATGTGTGGATATTTAATTGTCCCAGCACCATTTATTGAAAAGACTATTTTCCTCCATTGAATTATTTTGGCAACTTTGTCAGAAAATCGATTCACCATAATTGAGTTCTCTTTAAATAATTTTTAGCCTTTATTTCATTTCCTGTTATTTATGTTTCCCTTTTATATGACACAATAGCTATTCAACATTGTGGTTCTCTCCATTTCAGCTTCAGTTCTACTATGTTTTTATTTAGATTGTCATAAAAGAGAAGGAAGGACATTCTGTCTGACTAAATGGGAAATCAGAGTGAGCATAAGCTCAAAGAAAGAATGCACAGAAGCGCAGAAGATTTTTTCAGAAAAAAATGAGCCCAGCTGGCTAAAGTACAGAGAACATTTATGGCATTGCGGTAGCATTGAAATATGGTCATTATTATTATCATTTTTTTTTGAGACAGAGTCTCACTCTTTCTCCAGGCTGGAGTGCAGTGGCTTGATCTCAGCTCACTGCGACTTCCACCTCCCGGGTTCAAGCGATTCTCCCGCCTCAGCCTCCCGAGTAGCTGGGACTACAGGGATGCACCACCATGCCCAGCTAATTTTTGTATTTTTAGTAAAGATGGGGTTTCACCATGTTGGCCAGGATGGTCTTGATCTCTTGACCTTGTAATTCACCCGCCTCAGCCCCGCAAAGTGCTAGGATTACAGGCGCCAGTCACCGCGCCCGGCCGAAATATGATATTTTTAAATGATAGAAAAGTGTCAGAAGCAGATTGTGAATAGTCTTTGTAAGTCTGGTCAAGAAATTTATAAATTGGACGAGCACAGTGGCTCACACCTGTAATACCAGCACTTTAGGAGGCCAGGGCAGGTGGATCACCTGAGGTCAGGAGTTTGAGACCAGCCTGGCCAACATGGCAGAATCCCGACTCTACCAAAAATACAAAAATTATCCAGACATGGTGGCACATCCCTGTAATCCCAGCTACTCAGGAGGGTGAGGCAGGAGAATTGCTTGAACCCGGGAGACGGAGGTTGCAGTGAGCCGAGACTGCGCCACTGCACTCCAGCCTGGGTGAGAGAACCAGACTCTGTCTCAAAAAAGAAAAAAGAAAAGTGAGGACTGTAAAAACTACACTAGAATTGATAATTAAGAAGTCACTATTGTTTTTAAGAATTCAATTTTAGTTCATCAGCCAGGTGGAAGCTAAATGTCATTATACTGAAGATTACATGATGAAAATATAAATACAGCAAGTTCAGAGGTAAAGAAGAGACAAGAGTCCAGGGTTAGTGGTAGGATCACAGTCAAGAGAAGTTGCATTATTACCCCAAGTGGAAAACATTTTACATATTTGCAAAGAAAGGAAGGAGCCATTGGGGAACATGAGACTGAAGATAAGAGAATGATAGGAAGCAAGAAGGAAGACAAGAGGAGTTGTTGTTGGAAGGGAAGGGAGGATAACTGAGGGGAAATATTCCACAAGAGTTATGAGGAGGGGCCGGGCGCAATGGTGCACGCTTGTAATCCCAGCACTTTGGGAGGCTGAGGTGGGTGGATCACTTGAGGTCAGGAGTTTGAGACCAGCCTGGGCAACATGGCAAAACCCTGTCTCTACTAAAAATAAAAAAATTAGCCGGGTGTGGTGGCGCTTGCCTGTAGTCCCAGCTGCTTGGGAGGCTGAGGCAGGAGAATGGCTTGAACCCGGGAACTGGAGGTTGCAGTGAGCTGAGACTGTGCCACTGTACTCCAGCCTGGGTGACAGAGTGAGACTCTATCTCAAAAAAAGAAAAGAAAAGAAAAAGAATTACGAGGAGGATAAAATATACACCCTGGGTGGGAGAGAGAAAAAATTAACATTAGATGAGCAGAGAGAACTTTTTTCCTTCTGATTTGGAGGGAAGGGTGAAAAGTTGGGGGTGAGTGCAAATGGAGAAGAGGATACCATCCCCGAGAGTTTCTGTGAGACGCCCTTGCTCTTCACAGTACAAGGAAAATTTACTGTAGGAATCTGTGGGAGTAACGATGAAGAGAAGTGCCACAGTCCCCTGCAAAAGCTTCACTTTACTCACACAAATCTGTAAACAGGCCATTGGCCATATTTCCATGACTTCACCAGGAACACTCTCCATGAGAGATTGGGTCAAAGGGCTGGTCTAGATTTAGGCATTGACTTGGATCAAGCAAAAACTGAGGTTAAAAGTTTGCTAGTCAAGTCAACCTTTAAGTGTCTAAAAGCATTTTCGGCTAGTGATCTGTTTCAGCATTCGGAATCCTGACACTTCAGTGAGAGGGAAATGCACCCAACGGTAGTTTAGCAAAGAGAATGAGCAAGAATCTAAACTTATTTGTGCTCCATTCCTTGTCATCATCAATACTATTGTAATAACATGAGGACATATTTCTTAGCTATTGCTTTGACTCCATGTATAGAGAGTTGGAGATTGGCCATTGAAGTTGGATATTGGCACTGCTGATTAAAATTGGGAGGTGGCAGGGAGAGAGAGAGAAAAGGGGAGAGAGGCGAGAGATTACATCTTTCCCTCCTCTGAGGGAAGGGAGGAGAAAATTTATTAACCCTTGGTGATGGGAGAAGGCAACCTTCCTATGGTGGACAACTCTGAAGCTGTCTGAAAGACAATAGCAATGATTGACTGGAAGACATTGACAGGTTTTAGGTAAAGCACATTAGAGAAATATTTTCCTTTGCAGAAAAAATTTCCTTCCTTTGCAGGAGGAAAGCACAATCAAGTCTCATTGTAATTGCCTAGAGATAAACAGGTCTGTGGCAGGCATGCTGCACTGTATTGCTTTTCTAGTCCTGTATATCAATATAGTGATCTCAGTAGTGACAAATAGTGACAAAAATGTATTTGAGATTTTATATATATATGTATATATGCATATACATACATGTATATATATATATATATCCATGTTTGTGTATGTGTGTGTGTGTGTTTTTGTGTGTGTGTGTATCCATTCTGGGTTTTTCTACTTTACTCAGGAAGGAAGAGAAACATAATTGTTTTCACTTCATTCCAAATACCAAGTGAGTGTTTTTGGTTCATCTCAGACACTCATCCCAGTGACCACAGCTGCCAGTCATGATACAGTGGTACCCTGTACCTAGAAATATATTTTCCATCCATATATTCTCTTACCTACCAATAAGGGTTTCACTGGAATAAATTAAGCCAAGAATGTGAAGTTTTATGGGGTTTATCTGTATTTATTGCTATATAACAATTCATGCAAAGCTTAGTGGTTTGAAACAATAATAATTTACTCTTTGTCAAAATTTTAGAGTTGCCTTGCTCAGCTGGGAGGTAGTTCTTCTCCATCTGGGATTGGCTGAGGTTGCTTATGCTGCTGTAGTTATCTGGAGGCTCGTCTGGGGCTGGGTGAACCAAGATGGCTTTATCTACATGTCTAGTGGTCAATACTGGCTGCTGAGTCTGCATGGTCTCTCCAGATAGGCAGCCAGATCTCTCTTTACATGGTGGCTCAGGCTCCCAAGAATGTGTAGGAAAGCCGCAAAGCCTCTTAAGGTCTGGGTTCTGGCACTCACACTATGTCACTGACACAATGCCACAAGCTATTGATCAAAGCCAAGCATAGGCCAGCCCAGTAAAATGTGGGAGAGAACTTAACTGCCACTTATCAATGAGATGAATTGTGGAGATTCCATGGCCATTTTTAACGTCTTGCAGAAAAATTAAACACAATTCCATCTGCAAAATGCCTTATAGTGTATCTGACACAAAGTAAATTATTTTCAAAATATTTATTGTTTTTATTATTATCATTACATATGAGCCTTTTCCTCCTGAATAAAAAACACTTTTTGAGTGTAAGGAGGTGGGTGAGTTTTTCTTTAGATGAACTGAAAGTTGATCAGAATATGTAAGACAAGAAAATAAAACTATCCAGCTGGGCGTGGTGGCCCACACCTGTAATCCCAGCATTTTGGGAGGCCGAGGTGGGTGGATCACCTGAGGTCAGGAGTTCAAGACCAGCCTGACCAACACGGTGAAACCCTGTCTCTACTAAAAATACAAAATCAGCCAGGTGTGGTGGCACATGCCTGTAATCCCAGCTACTTGGGAGGCTAAGGCAGGAGAATTGCTTGAACCCGGGATGCAGAGGTTGCAGTGAGCCAAGATCGTGCCATTGCACTCCAGCATGGGCAACAAGAGTGAAACTTCATCTCAAAAAAATAAATACATAAAATAAAAAATAAAACCATCCATATAGGATTTGTTACACTAGTATTAAAACTAAATACACATGTTGTAGAAGAATTTGGGTATTTCAGTGAAATGCTCAGTTGAAGCATGACAAATTTGGCAGACCTAAACTACGAAAAAGCAAATGAAAAGTTTAAATTGTATTGATATGCTTTGGATTTGTGTCCCCACCCAAATCTCACATCAAATTGTTATCCCCAGTGTTGGAGGTGGGGCCTGGTGGGAGGTGACTGGATCATGGGGGAGGATTTCCCCTTGCTGTTCTCATGATTGTGAGTTCTCATGAGACCCGGTTGTTTAAAAGTGTATAGCACTTCCCCCTTTGCTCTTTCTTTCTCCTGTCCTGGCCATGTAAGACGTGCCCTGCTTCTCCTTTGCCTTCCCCCAATAATTGTAAGTTTCCTGAGGCCTCCCCAACCATGCTTCCTGGACTGTGTGCAGAACCATGAGCCAATTAAACCTATTTTCTTATAAATTACCCAGTTTCAGATATTTCTTTAGAGCAATTCAAGAATGGACTAATACAGGTATAAAATTTTCAAAATGTCCCACTCACAAATTTATTAAGATTTAAGAAGTCTCACCTCCCCCTTTGTATTCTATCTGATTTTTAATCTTTGATTTTTGTCTTTTCTCATATTGCTTTTTTTAGGAATTAGAGAATAAAATCCCAGCACGATGTTCCTCACTGGAGACACCAGTCCAGCTGAGGACAATAGAGAAGCCACCCTTCCTCAATGTTCAGTATGTACTTAACATTGTACAACGAGGTGTACACAGGGAGCTTTACATTCAAGAATCATAAACATTCAAACTATTGAACGCACAGTGACACACTTGGGAGCCATGGGAAACTCCAAAATGTCACTTTAATGACTTAACATTCTTAGTCACAGAGAAGTGTAGCTCTTCCCAGGGCAGGTGGGCAGAAGTGCTGAGCTGTTTTCGTGATAGTGTGGTTGTATAATTCGTTATAAAGAGCCATTCACCAATGTTAGCACACTTTCTTTTTTTTTTTTTTCTTTAGGAAAAGATGTATTAACCAGAGAACAATCCAGCCCAATTTCCAGGCTAAAGATTTCATGATATCGGTCCAAACATCACACTATTTAACTCCCCAAAAAAACACTGGAAAAAAAGACTATCAGTGCTAACACATTTACTTATAAAATCTCCACCTATGTACCAATTTCTAAAACAGTTACAAGACAGATACACAATTTGGGGTAAACTAACAAAACAGACTATTATAAAATATTAAAAGCAATCCTCCTGGTCCACGGGCCCTTGTCGCCTCTTACTTGAAGTTGGCGTAACTGAGAATGCATCCATATATTCCTGCACCACCTTGTAGCAGAGCTCATACTGGTTCCAGGGTCTGGACCACTTGTGTAGCCTCTGTAGCCGCAGACTCTTGACATTCTGGAAGACGTCCAAAGTCCCTTCTACTTTCCCACGCGTTAGCTCACTTTCTATTTGTTGCCCTTGCAATAAAATTGACTAGGATTGAAGGAAAACTCTGCATTGGGCTAAAGGACCTAAATTTCAGCCCTAACCTGAGACTATGGCCTCTTTGGCCTTCCAGTGTAATGGCCTAAGAAACCTCTTAGAAAGGATAGGATTTGTAGGAAGTATAGGATTTTAGATGGGGACAGGTCCTCTCAGGGATCTGTTACTGTTTTTTTCTGCCAATAACTATTCCCAGATACTCAATGTATGTCACCATTTGCTCTGGTCACATATCCCAGTGAGCAATGACTATTGTCGCCTCCTCAGCACTGGATTCCTGAACATTATGGGCTCTTTGGACAACAGGATGAAGCTCTGATATCTAAGTGATCTGGCTCGCTTTCTTCCTTCAAAGACATAATAGCATTGTTCAAAACAAGCAAAGGCCACAGTCTCCCACAGCTATTTCTCTCCGTGGTCACTCATAGAATTTCAGAGTTGGAAAGATCTTCAAGACTTCTTAGTTCAATTCTAACTGCCTAATTTTATAACAAGCATTTATAAGACGTGTCTAAATAATACATCTTTAAGGGAGTGAATCGGAGATTTGACCTCTCTGTTCTCTATTCCACATTGCCACAATTGACTTGCTTTAGTTAGGCAAAGATATCTTCCAAAGATAAAAATGCTTTTGTCTTTATGGTTATTTATTGTCCTATGGTTTTTTCTAGGGTTTGTAGGTCTGCCAGAATATTACATTTTTGTCAGTCTCGTGACTTACCACTTTTTTTTTTGTCCACAGCTTCCAGAATTATATGCATGTATTGAGAATTTTAATAAGGAGAGCAAGAAATCAAATCTTCTAAAAATGCATGGTATTTCACTTAACGAAGCACAGGAAGTACTTGCTAGAAACCTGAATGTCATGTCATTCACCAGGGGCGCTGATGTGAGAGGAGATCTCCAACCTGTTATCAGGTGCACAGTGGTTAAAAAAGAGAAGCAAGCATCCATGATTGAGCTCCTCTACCGCAGCTTACTGGCAAGCTCACTCTCTCCCATGGAGAGGCTCTCCAGGTCCCAGCAGAGGCTGTCACAGTGTGGGATCTCCCCTCCCAAGCACACTTTTCCTTATGAAATTCTCACCGATCACTCGAATGCCTTGGCCCAAGTTACCGTACAGAAGGTTCCAAGCCCCAAAATCTTATGCAGCTTAGGCATTTCCAGTGCCACCCCAGAAAAGTTCATTTCTGAAGATAAACTTTGTAGATCCTTCTTAGTTGACCCAGGTAATTTAAACAGATGAGGCCATGTGGGAGAAAAGGAATGGAAATCTCATTGCAAATTTACTAGAGCAGAAATGGTCCAATACTGACCTACAGCAATTTTGTAGTTCTGAGGTTCATGGCTGCTATTAATATGTTTGCTTTATACAGTGTCAATAAAATGAACAAGCCTGGAAAACATAGAAAGACCCCATCTCCAAAAATAAATAAATAAATAAATAAATAAATAAAAATTAGCTGAGCTTGGTGGCATGTGCCTGTAATCTCGGCTACCCGAGAGGTTTAGGTGGGAGGATCACTTGAGCACATGTGTTTGAGGTGGCAGTGAACTATGATCACACCACTGCATTTCAGCCTTGGCAACAGAGCAAGACCCTGTCTCTAAAAAATGAATAAGTAAAAATAAAAATAAAATGCAGAACAGAGAACCCAGAATTCCAGGATCAAGTCTCAGATTCACTCTTAAAAAGATATATTGTTGGGCCAGGCATGGTGGCTCATGCCTGTAATCCCAGCACTTTGGGAGACCGAGGCGGGCAGATCACCTGAGGTCAGGAGTTCGGGACCAGCCTGGCCAACATGGTGAAACATGGTCTCTACTAAAAATACAAAAAATTAGCTGGGCGTGGTGGTGGGTGCCTATAATCCCAGCTACTTGGGAGGCTGAGGCAGGAGAATTGCCTGAACCCAGGAGGTGGAGATTGCAGTGAGCAGAGATCGCACCATTGTGCTCAAGCCTGGGCCACGAGGACAAAACTCTGTCTCAAAAAACAAACAAACAAACAAACAAACAAAAAACCATGAAACTTATGATGCTGAATTTTAATGAGAAGGGAGTGTCTTACACTTTAAGTCTCCATCTTATATAATTTGAGAGAGGTAATATTTTGTCATTTTTTAATAGATTACATCAATTTGTGATAACCCTCTGAAGCAGTTTCTTGATTCAAGATAAGACCATTTTCACAGCAAATATTTTAACACCACCATTTTTATATTAAAAGTAGTGGGACGGGGCAATATGGCAAAACCCCGACTCTACAAAAAAATTTTAAAAATTAGCCAGGTGTGGTAGCATGCACCGGTAGTCCCAGCTACTCGGGAGGCTGAGGTGAGAGGATAACTTGAACCCAGGAGGCAGAGGTTGCAGTGAGTCAAGATTGTGCCACTGCACTCCAGCCTGGGGAACAGAGCAAAACTCTGTCTCAAAGAAGAAAAAAAAAAGTAATGGGAGAGGCAGAAGGAGCAAATTTAAAGGAATAGATTGATTACTGTGAGTATATTTGGTCCAAAGAGTTGGAAGAGCTTTTGCTGTAACTCCCTACATTGACATCTTAACAGAGCCAAATGCAGGCTTCGAAATCCTTTCATAGAGTCCTACGTTGCCTAAGTAGCAGTGCAATTAAAGCAATGATAGGACTGGCCTAGATAATTCGCAAAGTACACAAGTAAAGCCTGGGACCAGAGAGGAAAAATCATGAAAAGTGTTGAGACTCAGTAAGAAGAACTAATCAAAAACCTACTGAAGAAGGGTTTTGGATGTTTGATAAGGTCTTGAACATTTATGACTTTCACATGTATACGGGCCAAGTTTTTCTTTCTTCCTAATGCATGAATTACCTGCTGGTTACCTAACTTCTGGAGGTCTCTGATGTGGTCTCACAAACTGTGTTGGAGTCTCTTCTCTGCCTCCATATCTTCATTTCCTGAGATCCCAGAGGTAAATTTCTGGTACATGTCATGTCTATTCAAGAAATATGCTGGCTGGGCATGGTGGCTCACGCCTATAATCCCAGCACTTTGGCAGGCCAAGGCGGGTGGATCACCTGAGGTCAGGAGTTCAAGACCAGCCTGGACAACATGGTGAAACCCTGTCTGGACAACATGGTGAAACCCCGTCTCTACTAAAAATACAAAAAAATTAGCTGGGCGTTGCGGCGGGCACCTGTAATCCCAGCTACTTGGGAGGCTGAGGCAGGAGAATCGCTTGAACCCAGGAGGCAGAGGTTGTGGTGAGCCAAGATCGCGCCACTACACTCCAGCCTGGGCAACAGAGTGAGACTCCGTCTCAAAAAAGAAAGAAAGAAAGAGAGAAAGAGAGGAAGGAAGGAAGGAAGGAAGGAAGGAAGGAAGGAGAGAGAGAGAGAGAAAGAAAGAAACGAAAGAAAGAAGGAAAGAAAGAAGGAAGGAAGGAAGGAAGGAAAGAAAGAAAGGAAAGAAAGAAAGAAAAAGAAAGTGCATGGAGTCAGGCAGGAATCTAAGTGAAGGGTATCCAGTAATCCCTTAGGGGTAATTAGTATTGCAACAATTCATCTTCTACTCTCCTACTCAGTCCAGAAGAACTTTAGGATCCTGGTATTCCAAAGTATACTAAAGAACATATTCCTACTGGCACCAAGCACCGGGGGAGGAAAAGAGAGTGGGTGTTGCCGTTTTGCTCTTCTATCGTATGAGCTCCTCTTGTTCAGGCTAAATCCCATAGAATCATATAGCTTAGGAATCAAAAATAACAGAAAACCAAATAGTGGTTATTTTTCTTACATAATTAGAAGTCTAGGGGTACGCAGACAAGGGCCGGAACAATGCTTTTTTTTTTTTTTTTTTTTGAGACGGAGTCTCGCTCTGTTGCCCAGGCTGGAGTGCAGTGGCACAATCTTGGCTCACTGCTACCTCTGCCTCCCAGGTTCAAGCAATTCTCCTGCCTCAGCCTCTCCCATGTAGCTGGGACTACAGGTGCCCACCACCAAGCCCAGCTAATTTTTTTTTTTTTTTTTTGTATTTTTAGTAGAGACGGGGTTTTACCGTATTAGCCAGGATAGTCTCAATCTCCTGACCTCGTGATCCGCCTGCCTCAGCCTCCCAGTGCTTTTTATGTCTCTATTTATTTAATGAACACATTGTCATTGTACATATATATGGAGTACAATATATGTTTCAATAGTGTTATATAGTGATCGAATCTGTGTATTTATCCTGACCTCATGCACTTACCATTTCTTTGTGGTGATGACTTTGAAAAGCCTTCCTTCTAGCTATTTTGTAAGATACCATATCTTATTGTTAACTATCCTCACCTTACTGTGCAATAGAACACCAGAATTTATTCCTCTTATCTAACTGTAACTTTGTTCTCAATTATTTATTTACTTCAATTTTAATTTTTTTTTTTTGAGACACTGTCACCCAGGTTGGAGTGCAGTGGCACAATCTCAGCTCACTGCAGCCTCAACCTTCTGGGCTCAAGCAATCCTCCTATCTCAGCCTCTCAAGTAGCTGGGACCTCAGGTGCATGCCACCACAACTGGCTAATTTTTGTATTTTTTGTAGAGATGGGGTTTCATCATATTGCCCAGGCTGGTCTTGAACTTCTGAGCTCAAGTGATCTGCCTGCCTTGGCCTCCCAAAGTGCTGGGATTACAGGCGTGAGCCACTGGTCCTGGCCCATTTTACATTTTTTTGAGATGGTATCTTGCTATGTTGCCCAGGTTGGCCTCAAACTCCTGAGCTCAAGGAATCTTTCTCCTTCAGCCTCCCCAGTAGCTGGGACTACAGGTGCATGCCACTATGCAGGGCTTCTAATTATAACTCTGAACCCATTGACTTATCTCTCTCCATCCTCCCCTCCCACTCCCTACTCTGTCTCTGGTGACCGTGATTCCACTCTCTGTGGAGCGATGCTTTCAAATGTCTCCAAGGACCTGGGCTCTGCCATTTTTTTGTGTGTAGCTTTTGTTTTCATGTCCAAAAGACATCTTCACCCTCGGAGGCTGTGGCCACATTCCAGTCAGGAAAAGGTGGGATAGGATGAAGAGCCACATTGACACTTCTGTCCTCTTTTAATACGGAAGCAACGATTTTCCAGAACACCTCTCCTTAAGTGATTTCTTTCTACATCTTCTTGGCCAGAATTGTGTCCAATCATCACCCCTTCCTGTAGGGAAGGCTGGTGAATAAGAGTTCTTAGCTCCCCCCTCTATAGCAGAGGAAGGCAGAAGAGGATTGCAATGCGTGTGGAGTAAGCCAACCTAAAGTGTCTGTCAGAGATCATGACGTGAAGCTTCTTTTTTTATTATTTATTTTTGACAGAGTCTTGCTCTGTCACCCAGGCTGGAGTGCAGCAGCACGATCTCGGCTCACTGCAACCTCCGCCTCCCAGGTTCAAGTGATTCTCCTGCATCAGCCTCCGGAGTAGCTGTGATGACAGGTGCCCGCCACCAAGCCCAGCTAATTTTTTGTATTTTTGGTAGGACCAGGTTTCTCCCTGTTGGCCAGGCTGGTCATTTTGGGAGGCCGAGGTAGGTGGGTCACCTGAGGTCAGGAGTTTGGGACATGAGGCTCTTTAGTCATCAAAATCATCAGCTCTAAACCTTCTCTTGTTAAAGATCCCCTTCCTTCCTTTTGCCACCACTTCTTGCTATGCCAGGCCTCCAAAGATCTTGTCAAACTCCCTGAAACTTGGCAACTGGCCTTATGAATGGACTGCTGAACACCATGGCAGTATCTGTTCTACTTGGGGAGGTATGAGCCCAACGAAGAGTCTCTGGCACCTGTCTTCTACTTCAGACATGTACAAAGTCTATATAAAGACTTCCCACCAGGCAGGCCCAGGCCCTCCCAGTACAGGGATGGAGGACTGATTGGAGTGGAGTGGTGCCTGCTCAGTCTTTGGACTACAGGTGACATGCTCAAATGTCACCACATGTGGGACAGTAAGGTCACCCACCAGAAATAGACCAGTCATCCTGCTTGTCTGCTGTGACCATAATTCTCCTTATACTTGTTCCCGTGGCCCGTTGGCTCCTGGTTTTACACTCCAACCCATGCCTTTAGCCTTGATTTGTTGTTGTTTTCAGCGTTATTTAGCCATGAAAAGGGTGGAAGAGAAGGGAGAGGGGAATCGCTGCTGGTGGGGAGAACATGTGCTGTGTCTTTGCTTGATTCTTTCTCCTTGGCTCATTGGCTACTTGAAGGAATTGTAACTGCTAATGACACCTCAAGCTTGTGGTTTCTGAATGAGTATGGAGAATGGCCAGATTCTAGCTCAGCCACTGCCCTTTTATACTTAGGGCTTACATTAGCATCTTGGAAGAAATGACACTAACAATCTGTGCACTTCTAACCCATCTTCCTCCCTGTTTTTGGATCCTTTTCTCCTCCCTGCTGCTTTCGGTGCTCTGCAGAGCTCTCCATTTGCACATTCTGTTAGGATCCAAGCACAGAATGAAATACTCCGTCCACCTGCCGGGGCTCTGCAGGGTCCACTCAAGCCCAGTTAGCCAGACCCACTCAATTGCTGTTTAGGGGCAGGCTTTACATGAAATTGACATCACAGGGTCTCCCTTAAGTTTATAAAGCTTTAGGCCGGGTACAGTGGATCACTTCTGTAATCCCAGTATTTTGGGAGTCTGAGGCGGGTGGATCACCTGAGGTCAGGAGTTTGAGACTAGCCTGGCCAACATGGTGAAACCCCGTCTCTACTAAAAATACAAAAAAAGTAACCGGGTGTGGTGGCGGGTGCCTGTCATCCCAGCTACTCAGGAGGCTGAGGCAGGAGAATCATTTGAACCCGGGAGGCGGAGGTTGTGATGAGCCGATATCGCACCATTGCACTCCAGCCTGGGCAACAAGAGCAAAACTCCGTCTCAAAATAAATAAATAAATAAAAATTAAAAATAAAGCTTTAGAAATGGCTTTCTGCCAGAAAGAGGGGACTCGAGTTCATCAAAGGTTTACCCTGTCCATGAAGCATCTCTGAGTAATGAAAGGCTGAGTAACAACACCATGTGATTCTTTGAAAATATGATTCTTTTCAGGAAAACAATTCATGAATCTAAGGGATCTGGAATGGAGATATTTTAAGGGGCTTGCGAAGTGGAGGCGCACTACTGCAATTTCATTCGGAGACATAAAATACAACACTGAGAAGAGATTTGTAGAGAGCCAGGACATGCCTGACGTTATTTTCCCCCCTATAGTTCGCAAGTCTTTGGTCATTTATCCTCAAATTGATTATCAAAATGAAGGAAGTTATTCTCTTAAATGGAATATGTAGTGTATTAAAATATTTTGGACGTAGATTTTTGCTTTTGAGAGCATTGATTTAATACACAAAAAGTAAAGAAGCCAAGTACCCAATAGAACATCTGAAGTGAGTGTGTACAACACACATGAAGGTATATTGTAAAATTAAGCCGTTAATACAGAGCAAAAGGTCCGATTTAATCTGCTAACGTGAGAAGTGGTTTGGACGGTGCAACCCATTTGGACCAGGGCTAAAGCAAATATAGGTCATATGAAAAGAAAAGGTGTAACTGAAGAACACTCAAGCAAGCATAGCTTTTTAAGGAATTTTAAGCACACAAGGAAGTTCATCATCATAAAGTATTTGGTACATTCAACAAACAAATTAACATCTGAGCATATAGAGATCAATATGAGAACTTAAATATAATCTATTAACTGTCCAGTGACAAAGAAGGAAACAGCATCCATGAAATAAGAACAGAAAGATTTGTAAAAGAACAAATTGGAAATCTTGGAAATGAAAGATATAGTCATTGAAAATTATAATAATAACCCTTGATAATTATCCCAGTGGTAGCCTGGATATATCTGAAGAGAGAGGGCTAACAAGTTGGAAGACAGCATTGAAAAGCTTAGAGATCATAGCACTGTAAGACAGAAAAATAAGAGTATTGGACGGTAGAATGAGAAGTTCAGAAATGTATACGATGGAATTAGCAGAAAAAAAATAGGAGAATGGAAATTAAGTGATATGTGAAAATAAAATGACAGAAAAATCTCAAGAAACACATGAGACCTTGAACTGAAAAATCTCAGACTGATTAGCAAGATATTGAAAATAAATCTATACCCAGAAATACTGTAGCAAAACTATGGACCACTAAGCAGTAAAGGAAAATATAATCTACGAAAGAGAGATGGATTACATACAAAGAAATGACAAATTGACAATAGAATGCTCATTAACAATAGAGGTCAGAGGACAATAGTGTCATATACTTACAATGCTGAAGGAAAATAGCTGTCTGTAATTCTATAAGCAGCCAAACTCTCTCTGAGGAGTAGGGGGTAAAATAAAAATGTTAAAAAATACATGGGCCTAAAAATGTTTACTATCCATAATCCCTTGCTTAAAAAAAACTACTAATAAAGTATGTATTTTAGTAAGAACCCAGAGGGAATGCAAGAAATAATGGCAAGCAAATTGTTAACAATATATGTGTGTATGATTGTGTAGATATTAAAATACATTTCCGGATCCTGTTTCCTAATATGCTATTTTTAAAAGTCGTCTCCATATAAATGAAATTATTCTGTAGTCTCCACTTTTTGCACTATTTTTTAAAACCAGATTTTGGTATTAAAGTTTATGCTGTGGCTCATACCTGTAATCCCTGCACTTTGGGAGGCCAAGGCAGGCAGATCACTTGAGGTCAGGAGTTCGAGACCAGCCTGACCAACATGGGGAAACCCCCATCTCTACTAAAAATACAAAAATTAGCTGGGTGTGGTGGCGTGTGCTTGTAATCCCAGCTACTCAGAAAGCTGAGGCAGGAGAATCGCTTGAACTCTGGAGGCAGAGGTTGCAGTGAGCCCAGATCATAACATTGCACTCCAGCCTTGGCGATAGAGTGAGACTCCAGCTTAAAAAAAAAAAAAAAAAAAATTGTGCTGGCTTCAGCACGTGACTATCTTCAGCAGAAGATACTGTCTAAAATGAGCATGGGGTGGGTATCTGGGGTGCACACAGTGTTCTAGTTTTTAATCTTTTTGCACAGATGTGTTCAGTATGCAAAAGTTATTCAAGCTACACACAACTATTAATTTTTCTCCATGCATATTATATTTCAAAAAAAAAAAAAGGTTTTAGAGCCAAGCACAGTGCTTCACTCCTGTAATCCCAGGTATTGAGGAGGCAAAGGCAAGAGGATCACTTGAGACCAGGAGTTCAAGAACAGCCTGAGCAATGTGGTGAGACCCTGCCTCTAAAAAAATAATGTTATGGCTGGGCATGGTGGCTCACGCCTGTAATCCCAGCACTTTGGGAGGCCAAGGCGGGTGGATCACAAGGTCAGGAGATCGAGACCAGCCTGGCCAATGTGGTGAAACCCCATCTCTATTAAAATACAAAAAAAAAATTAGCCGGGCATGGTGGCGTGTGCCTGTAGTCCCAGCTACTCGGGGGGCTGAGACAGGAGGATTGCTTGAACCTGGGAGGTGGAGGTTGCAGTGAGCAGAGATCGTGCCACTGCACTCCAGCCTGGTAACAGAGCAAGACTCCATCTCAAAAAAAAAAAAGAAAAAAAAGTTACAAAAATTAGTTGGGGGTGGTGGTGTGCACCTGTAGTCCTAGCTACTTGAGAGGCTGAGGCAGGAGAATTTCTTGAGCCCGGAAGATTGAAGGTACAATGAGCTATGATCATGCCACTGTACTTCGATCTAGGCAACAAAGTGAGACCCTGTCTCTTAAACAAAACAAAACAAAAAAGTTTATTAAAAGTTATGCTAGCTTTATAAAATGAATTGGGGAGTTTTTCATCTTTTTTAAGATCACAGATATTTAAACAATATTAGAAATATTGAAGTCTAGCTAGAACTCAGGTATAAAACCATCCACTCCTGCTATCTTTTCTTGTTTTTATGAAAATGTTTAAACACTCATAAAAATGAATAGGATTCTACAATGAATTTGCATATATCCATAATCTAGATTCAACAGTTATTAAGATTTTACCACATCTGTTTTATCTGTTCCTTTTGTTGTGTTTGTTGTGTCTGCTGAAGTACTTTAAAGCAAATCTTAGACCCCATGTCTCAGTTGTTACTTTTGTTTGCATCTCAGAAAAATATGGACATTTTCTTTCATAGCTACAATGCATTATTTACTAAAAGATAATAATTCCTTAGTACCACCTTTGTATCTATATTCAAAGTCACCTTATTATAAAATTATCTTCTTCTAATTGGTTTGTTTGAATCAGTATCCAAGCAAGATCTAAAGATTGCATTTGATTGTTAAGTCTCTTAAGACTCTTTTAGTCTAGAGCAAGTCCTCATTTTTTTCATGCAATTGACTTACTGAAGAAATAGGTCCATTGACATGTAGAAGGTCCCACCTTCTAGATTTGTATCCTCATGGTGTCCTTTAACTTGTTCTTCTATCATATATATTTATTTAGAAATAAACTGATAGATTTATTTCTTATAAAATGGATGTCTGTTAAAGACTTGATTGGTTTTGAGCTCACCTCTTTTTGGAAAAAGTACCTCATTAGGTGGTGCTATGTACTTCAGATTGCTTCACAGTACAAGGCAAATAATGTCTATTGTTCTTTTAGTGAGTTTAAAGTTGAGTAAAGGATTCAGGTGATGACAGTCTGATGCCTCTGTTTTATAAAGTCCCCATCAACTTTTCATCTAATAGCTTCCATCCTTTGATGATGATGGTAGGCAATGTTGAAGTCAAATAAAATATAGAAACAAATATCTAAATTTAAGACATTTTATTTGGGAAGCAAGAATTGCAATTTGAGTCATAAACACACACACACACCAGGTGGTCTTCAGTATGTCCAAAGAACAAAGAGAAGGTTGCAGGTTTTATAAAAAGAAGAAATGTTACATATTGTTCTAAAAGAAAGTTCACTGGCACTAGCAAAGTTCTGGGGAACTGGCAAGCTCTAATTGGTGAGTGACCATGGTGGCTAAAACTAGTCTTAGAGTCTAAGCAGGTTGTTCCAGTAGCCATTAGATACAACTGGTTTTAGGTTATACCAGGTCGTTTCAGCATCCAGGCTTGCAGAGAATGACATTCCTGGAGCAATGTTATGTGTCTTGGTGCTTTTTCTCCTGGCCCCTCAACTCTCATTTAGTTCGGTATGACAAGAACAATCCAATTTGTATGATCAACTTTTATAGCAGCCTCTAAGAGGTTCCCTGTGATCGCCGCCTTCTGGTATTGACTTTCTGTGTATGTAATCTCCTTATCTTGACTCTAGTCTGGACTTAAGACTTCCAGAATAGAGTGCAGCAGAGGTGATGCGATGTCACTTCAATAATAAGCTACCAAAAAACTGTGGATTCCACCTTGGGCATCTTCTCTTGCTCTCTTCTTCACTGCTAGCTCTTAGAGAAGCCAGCTGCCATCTTGGGAGATGCCCTATGGAGAAGCCCATGTGGCAAGTACCTGCTGTTTCTGGCTAACAGCCAGCAAGAACTTGAAATCTGCCAGCAACCCCATGAGTAAGCTTGTAGGTGAATCCTCCCCAACTCAAGTCTTGAGATGACCGCAGCCCTCGTTGACATTTGGTTGTAGTGTTGAAAGACTGAACCAGGACACCATGTTAAGCCATGCCCTGATTCCTAACCCACAAAAACTGTGAGATGATAAATGTTTGTTGTTTTAAGCTGCAACATTCTGAAGTAATCTGTTACACAGCAATAGATAACTCATATTATGACCTTTGCCTGAATTATTTCATTAGTGGTTACTCGTTGGTGATTATCTAATTCTGCCATTAATTCCACATTTATTAGTTGGAAATTATTTGTAAAGAAAAACTTTTCCTCATCAACTAAAGTTATTTACTTTACACTGAAATACAATCTACAAGAAAGCAGGTTAACTGCTTATGTTTTTCCTGTTAGTTGTCAATTTTTAAATTAAGGAGTTGATGTTCTAGTTACTTCAAAAGGTTGCCAAATAAGTATTTCTTTCCTTCTCTCTTTTAAAATAGCATTGTGGCTGGGCATGGTGGCTCACACCTGTAATCTCAGCACTTTGGGAGGCCAAGGCGGGTAGATTGCTTGAGGGCAGGAGTTCAATACCAGCCCGGCCCACATGGCAGAAACCCCGTCTCTACTAAAATAAAAAATAAAAATAAAAATAAAAAATTAGCCAGATGTGGTGGTGTGCTGGCTATTAATCCCAGCTACTCCGGAGGCTGAGGCAGGACCAATTGCTTGAACCCAGGAGGCAGAGTTAGCAGTGAGCCAAGATCGCATCACTGCACTCCAGCCTGAGCAACAGAATGAGACTTCGCCTCAAAAAAAAAAAAAAAAAAAAAAAGTATTGTGAACTTGTAGGTGTTTGCTTCATTTTTAAATAACTTTTTTGAAGTATAATGTTATACAGCAAATCACAAGCTTGATGAATTATAACAAGCTGAATGCACCTATGGAATCACTACCCAGGGCATGAATCAGAATTCTGCCAGTACGCCCCTCTCTGGCCCTCTCTTAATCATTACTCCATCCCTCCCTTCCAAAGATAATCAATATTTACCATAGATTAGTTTTGCCTATTTTTATACAAATGGAATCATACAGTATGGATTCTTTTGTAAGATTCATCCATGTTTTGTTCCTGGAGAAGAAACGTGTGTCTAATAGAGTCCTTACAGGGAGAGAACAGTCAAAGCCTGGGCCTGGTGCCCTGGGCCCCTTGCTACTATCTGTGATACATATCCTTACCTTAATGCTTTTGCTCTATTGAATCCTTTTGTTATTGATTTCTAACTTGATTCCACTGTGGTCAGGGAACATATTTTGTATAATTTCCATCTGATGAAGTATGCTTTATGGTCTGATATATAGTTAATTTTGGTAAAATTTCAAGTGTACTTGAATAGAATGTATATGTCACAATTACTGATTATAGGTGTTTGTTTGTTTGTTTGTTTGTTTTGAGAGTTTCGCTCTTGTCGCCCAGGCTGGAGTGCAATGACACGATAACGGCTCACTGCAACCTCCACCTCCTGGGTTCAAGTAATTCTCCTGCCTCAGCTGCCCAAGTAGGTGGGATTACAGGCATGTGCCACCACATCCGGCTAATTTTGTATTTTTAGTAGAGACGGGGTTTCACCATGTTGGCCAGGCTGGTCTCAAACTCCTGACCTCAGGTGATCCACCCGCCTCGGCCTCCCAAAGTGCTGGGATTACAGGCATGAGTCACCATGCCCAGATGAGTATAGCTTTTTTATCTATATCAATTATGTCAAATTTGTTAATCACGTTGTTCAAATCTTCAACAGGTCTACTGATTTTTGTTTATCAGTTATCAGACAAGGAGTGTGTTAAAAAGTCCCCATTCTCATTCAAGGAGCCTCTACTTTTACTTTCATTTCTATTAATTTTATTGTGTCATTTATAAGACTCTGAAAATGTTATAGCTTCTGGATGAATGAAAACTTTTATGATTAATAAATAATCTTTACCTCTAATGATGCTTCTTAACATTGACTTTGTTTATATTAATACGGGCATATCAACTTTCTCTTAGTTGATGTTTATATGCTGTACCTTTTCTATTCTTTTACATTGAACTTTTTTGTATTCTTATATTTAGGTAATGTCTCCGGTAAACAGCATGTTGTTGTTGTTTTTCTTTTCTTTTTTTTCCTTTTTTTTTTTTTTGAGATGGAGTCTCACTCTGTCACCCAGGCTGGATTGCAGTGACGTGATCTTGGCTCACTGCAACCTCCTCCTCCCGGGTTCAAGCGATTCTCCTGCCTCAGCCTCCTGAGTAGCTGGGATCACAGGAGCACACCACCCCACCCAGCTAATTTTTATATTTTTAGTAGAGACGGGGTTTCACCATGTTGCTCAGGCTGGTCTCAAACTCCTGACCTCATTATCCACCCCCCTCAGCCTCCCAAAGTGCTGGGATTATAGGCATGAGCCACCACGCCCAGCCTGTTGGAGATTTTTTAATCCAGACTTAGAACCTTTGGCTTTTTTTTTTTTTAAGACAGAGATGAAGTCCTACTCTGTCACCCAGGCTGGAGTGCAGTGGTGCAACCATAGCTCACTCAGCCTTGAACTCCTGGGCTCAAATGATCCTCCTGCCTCAACTTCCTGAGTAGCTGGGACTACAGGTGCATGCCACTGTGCCCAGCTAATTTTTTTTAATTTTTCATAGAGATAAGGTTTCACTATGTTGCCCAGGCTGGTCTCAAACTCCTGGCCTTAAGCAATCCTGCTCCCTCAGCCTTCCAAAATGCTGAGATTACAGGTGTGAGCCACCACTCCTGGCCAATTTTTGGCTTTTAACTGAGGCATTTATTCCATTTGCACTTAATTTAGTTATTGATATACACCATTTAAACATCTTATTACTTGCTTTCTGTTTTTCTCGCCTTAACTATCTCAATTTTTCTTGCCAGTTTTTGGATTTGTTTACTTTTTAATTTATTTTCCTTCTTCAATGCTTGTTAACTATACATTATCGGCCTATTATTTTAGTGGATACCTTAGATATTACAACAAACATCTTTTTTTTTTTTTTTTTGCTGTTGATGCCCAGGTTGGAGTGTGATGGTGCAATCTTGGCTCACTGCAACCTCCGCCTCCCAGGTTCAAGCGAATTTCCTGTCTCAGCCTCCTAAGTAGCTGGGATTACAGGCATGTGCCACTAGGTCCAGCTAATTTTGTATTTTTAGTAGAGACAGGGTTTCTCCATGTTGGTCAGGCTGGTCTTGAACTTGTGACCTCAGGTGATCCTCCCCCCCGGCCTCCCAAAGTGTTGGTATTACAGGCGTGAGCCACCATGCCCAGCCTCAAACATCTTTAACTTAGAAGAAAACATTGTATACTAGTGCTTTTACCTCATCTCAGACATGCTACTGCCTTAGGACCCTTTAACTCCATTTATCACCATTCCAAATTATGGACTATTGTTTGTGTGTGTGTGTGTGTGTGTGTGCACGCGCATATATATCTTTTTTTTTTGAGATGGAGTCTCACTCTGTCACTCATGCTGGAGTGCAGTGGCGCAATCTCGGCTCACTGCAACTTCCATCTCCCAGGTTCAAGCAGTTCTTCTGTCTCAGCCTCCCAAGTAGCTAGGACTACAGGCGCGTGCCACCACACCTGGCTAATTTTTGTATTTTTAGTAGAGATGGGGTTTCACCATATTGGCCGGGCTGGTCTCAAACTCCTGACCTCATGATCCGTCCACCTCAGCCTTCCAAAGTGCTGGGATTACAGGCGTGAGCCACTGTGCCTGGCTGTTTTTGTATATTTTAATTCTATGTAGAGAGACCTGCCCCGTAACCAATTTTGGGGCTCAGACAAAGAGTACAGATGGAGACCTACACACCATATATCTAGATAGTTTAAAGAATAAACCAAGCTAACAAACTATTGAATAAAATGGGTGCTATTTTCTACATTTACCAATAATCCTTCATGACAACTTGAAGGGCCAAATTCAAATTCTAAATTCTAATTTAGAGCTCTCTGTAGTTCTGTGCTAAAATGGTATGGCACAAGAGAGATAGCCTCTGGTACCTGATGCTCAGTCATCCTTCTCTTCCCACTTCCAGCTCTAACACTGTGAGGGCCTCATGCATGTGCGTATGGACAACCCAACTCTGCAGACACTGGCTACAAACAGCCTCCACGTGTCCACTCCTAGGTGCTAGGTGCTGGCAGTGTGGTTTGCCCTTGGAAGGAAGGAGCCAGGGAAAGGGCCCACACAAGCCGGGAAGAATAATCAGATCATTTTGAGTGGGAAATTCTGAGGTCTCAGATACCTAACTGTGCTCCAGATGGAGTGATAAAGGCTCCAGGTGGGCATGTTCCCTGGGCCCCCTGGATTCCTCATCCTGTAAGGTAGGGCATGGCTGAAATAAGGCCAGAGTTCAGGGCCCAGGGAAAAGTACCTCTTGCCAATGTCTAAGCTTAATGACTATATGTATAATATATATTTGCTAATATGTAATAATATTATATATCCCTACAAGCAACTATAGTGACTGTATGTATCTGAAAACGTATTTTCTAATATATAATAATAAGTATCCCCACAAGACATTATTTACAGTTTTATAAGGTTTTATATAGTTACTATTCATTTAGATTTACCTACATATTCTTTCTTTCTTTCTTTCTTTCTTTTTCTTTCTTTCTTTCTTCTCTTTGATGGAGTCTCGCTCTGTCACCCAGGCTGGAGTGCAGTGGTGAGATCTCAGCTCACTGCCACATCTGTCTCCTGGGTTCAAACAATTCTCCTGCTTCAGCCTCCCAAGTAGCTGGGATTACAGGCGCCCACCACCATGCCCGGCTAATTTTTTGTATTTTTAGTAGAGATGGGGTTTCGCCATGTTGGCCAGGCTGGTTTCGAACTCCTGACCTTAGGTGATCCGCCCACCTCAGCCTCCCAAAGTGCTAGGATTATAGGCGTGAGCCACCACACCCGGCCTTGTTCTTAATTTCTTTCTACATCTCTAAGCAAGTTTTTATCTGGCTTAATTTTCCCTCTGCCTGGAGGACAATCTTTAATATTTCCTTTAGAGTGGGTAGGCTGGCAATGAATTTTTCAATTTTTTGTTCATTCAAAAATGTTTGGGCCGGGTGTGGTGGCTCACACCTGTAATCCCAGCACTTTGGGTGGCCAAGGCAGGTGGATCACAAAGTCAGGAGATCAAGACCATCCTGGCTAACACAGTGAAAGTCCATCTCTACTAAAAAAGCAAAAAATTAGCCAGGCGTGGTGGCATGTGCCTGTAGTCCCAGCTACTCAGGAGGCTGAGGCAGGAGAATCGCTTGAACCCGGGAGGCAGAGGTTGTGCCACCATACTCCAGCCTGGCCAACAGAGTGAGACTCCCTCTCAAAAAAAAAAAAAAAAGTTTGTATATCACTTTCATGTGGGAAGGATATTTTCCTTGGATCCAGAATTCTAGGTTAGAAGTTATTTTCTGTCTGCTCTTTGAAGATGCCATGCCATTGCTTCCTTCCGCTTTGTTTCTTTGGACTGTTCAGCAATGTTACTGTTTTTTGGGTTGTGTTTTGTTTCGTTTTGTTTTGTTTGAGACAGAGTCTCAGTCTCTCAGTCTGTCGCCCAGGTTGGAGTGCAGTGGCAGGATCTCTGCTCACTGCAACATCCGCCTCCCGGGTTCAAGCGATTCTCCTACCTCAGCCCCCCCGAGTAGCTGGGATTACAGGCACCCGCTACCACGCCCAGCTAATTTTTGTATTTTTAGTAGTGACGGGATTTCACCATGCTGGCCAAGCTGGTCTCGAACTCCTGACCTCAAATGATCCACCTACCTCAGCCTCCCAAAGTGCTGGGATTACAGGCATGAGCCACCACGCCTGGCAGCAATGTTACTGTTTTAACTGTAAAAAGCAAATAGATACTTGATATTAGGATGATAATCAACCAATTTTTAAAAATAGAAGATTTGAGCAGAATTTTTACCAAAGATGAAGTGATATTATATCGCATATTAAGAGAATTTCATAAAATTTGGTTCACACAGCAGGCCTTGTAGTAAGGCATCCTAGGTTGAAATTTTGGCTCTTTGATCCTCACAAATCATTTAAGCTCTCTCTATCTCAATATCTTCATTTGTGAAATAAAGATAATAATTGTGAAGGTTGCTCTTAGGATTCAATAATTTAAGATGTGGAGTGCTTAGGAGAGTGCCTGGTACATGGTAAGCACTTTAAAAATGTAAGCTGGCTTTGCTGCTAGTGTGTATTATTATCTTTATTAGTAGTAGTAAAATTAATAGTAGTACGAGTAGTTGCATTGAGAAAGTTCCTCTTGGTTTTGGTTTCCATACTCCTTGAGGCCAAATTTCAGAAAGATAAGACTACCTTTGCCTTCTTCTGGGTTACTATTATCCCTGGATTATTTTAACCAATATTTTCCCCAGTTCCTTAAACAGTTATTTTTTTCTATTCTGTGTTGTATGGTTTAGCATGGTGCTTGGTTACAAGTATGAAAATGCATGGATGCCAGCACCTAAAATACACATTAGTTTATTGTGTCCAGCAAAATGTGCAGAGGTCAGCAGGGCTGTGCAGCGCGGTAGGCTCAGAATACCACCAGTCTCCCAGACTCCTGTCTTTCTCTCATCTCATTTTTTTATTTGTGGTTTCATTGGCATAGTTATAAGGTGGCTGCTATCCCCACAGACATTGCATCAGTGCGCCAGACAGGAAGAATGAAAAAGCATGAAAAGCCATCTTCTCGAAGTTCCCTGTTTTATTTTGGAAGGGAGGACCTTCTCATCAGCATTCTGGATACATATCATATCCAGAACCATGTAGTGTGACCACCCCCAGCTGTAAGGGACTCTGGAATTACGGGTGTGTGTTTGTTTGAGACAGAGTCTTGCTCCGTTGCCCAGGTGGAGTGCAGTGGCACCATCTTGGCTCACTGCAACCTCTGTGTCCTGGGTTCAAATGATTCTCCTGCCTCAGCCTCCCATGTAGCTAGGACTATAGGCACGTGCCACCACGCCTGGCTAATTTTTGTATTTTTAGTAGAGATGGGGTTTTGCCATGTTGGCCAGGCTGGTCTTGAACTCCTGACAAGTGATCCGCCTGCCTCAGCCTCCCAAAGTGCTAGGATTACAGCCATGAGCCACCGTGCCTGGCCTGGAATTGGGTGTTTTTAATTGGGTACTATGCAACTCCAAACTAAATTGGAGCTCTTGAGAAAGGGAAGAAATGGGAATGGATGGTTACAGGGGAGGTACCCAGCACTGTCTGCCACACAGGGGTACATTTAAAACTTCCGGCCAGGTGCGGTGGCTCACACCTGTAATCCCAGCACTTTGGGAGGCTGAGGCGGGGGGGATCACGAGGTCAGGCGTTCAAGGCCAGCCTAGCCAACATGGTGAAACCCCATCTCTACTAAAAATACAAAAATTAGCCCAGTATGGTGGCGCGCATCTGTAATCCCAGCTACTTGGGAGGCTGAGGCAGGAGAATTGCTTGAACCCGGGAGGCGGAGGTTGCAGTTAACCAAGATCACGCCATCGCACTCCAGCCTGGGCAACAAGAGCAAGACTCCGTCTCAAAAAACAAAAAACAAACGAACAAAACTCCTCAAATCCTGTTTAACAATGCGGTATTTAGTAGAAGTTCACAAAACTCTAGTTTTCTAGTCTCTCCACACCCGCTAGCTTCACCCTGTGCCCAGTGCCCTCAACCATTACCATCCAGCCACACCAGCTTCCTTGTAACTCACTAAGCTTGGGACCTTTCCCATATGGCTGCTTCCTTCTCTCTCTTCACAGCTCAGATTCTTTACTTTTTATGTTTTGTTTATTTCACACTTTACTCTCATTGTGTTGGGTTAGGCAAAGAGTCATGCACCAACGTATAGAACATATTATTCTGTTGATTTCAGACAGAATTGGGATCCAGGTTCTAGTTGTTGCTAAGTTCACAATCTGGATCAGAATCAGAAGAGGTGGACCACTGCTTCAGAGGGCTTGAGGGCTGGCTGCTGGGGAAAACCAAACAGGCAGGGGGCTTACCATGGAGGGTTCCTGTTCCAAGTTTCCCATCTGGGTACCTGAGGATCCTCCGTGGAGCTCATGCCTGGAGGAGCCCACAGCAACGCCTCAAAGTGAAACAGGGATGCCATAGGCCTGGGGCTGGAACTCAGAAGGTAGAAGGATGACCAAAACCGCACAGGGAGAACCTCAAAAGACACTGTCCTTCCATCCTTATCCCAAAATCCTGTGCAGAGCCCCTCCATAAGTACAGGGCCAGGGTGGCTCGTTGGCATCTGTGTGGCCTCATGAGTGGCCCAGAAAAAGCCCTGCAAACGTGTCATCATCTGGAGACATCCGTGCCAGCTTCCTCTTCATGCCCTTCTACTTGAGACGCTGGGCAATTGCTTTAGACTGTTCATGATTCTTCTCCCTCAACTCTTCAAAGCCAAGAAATTTCCATATCCTTGGAAGCTCTGGATCTCTTTGTCACTCCAAGGCTTAATTAACTGATAGGATTTTTTTTTCTGGTTTCTTTTTCCTTCTTTACTTCCTGGGGATTTCTAATAATTTTACTTTAAAGTCTTACTTTCTCCATTTTTATTCCTGAATCTCTCCTGGGATTTTAAGATTTATTATTATTATTTTAATGAGGAAGCCTCTGGAGCCAGAATGTGTTCAGCGTGAGTCCCTCTTCTGGGATTCTTTTCGCTGCAGCCACAGGGCCGAATTCTGGGTTGGCAGAGAACGAGCGCTTACTCTGTCCTAATGGAATCAAGGAGTCAGCAGGTGCCCAACTGCAGAAATGCATTTGTTTCTTTCTGTTTCTGGTGGTCTCTACCTCTCAGATTCTAATGCCCCATCTCAGAGGACTCCCTGGCCAGCTAGTCTCAAGAGGCCACTCAATTACTCTCTAAAATACCATCTTATTTTAAATCTCCACTTTATACACATATGATTGTGTAATCATACGAGTATCATATATGATTATACAGATGGTATATCATTTCTGTCTTTTTTTTTTTTTTTGAGATGGAGTCTCCCCCTGTTGCCCAGGCTGGAGTGCAGTGGCGCGATCTCAGCTCACTGCAACCTCTGCCTTCTGGGTTCAAGCTATTTTCCTGCCTCAGCCTCCCAAATAGCTGGGATTACAGGTGTGCACCACCACACCCAGCTAATTTTTGTATTTTTAGTATAGACGGGGTTTCACCATGTTGGTCAGGCTAGTCTCAAACTCCTGACCTCGTGATCCACCTGCCTCGGCCTCCCAAAGTGCTGGGATTACAGGCGTGAGCCACTGCGCCCAGCCCTATAATTTTTTTCTTGTTCACTATGTAATATCAGTTGGTCTGTCTTTCCCAATAGGAATCTTGTCATTCTGTTTGTCATTGTATCTCCAGTGCCAAGGACACTCCTTGACACATATACTCAATGATTATTTGTGGAATGAATCATCATAGATATTTACTGAGTGAACAGGAGTATCCATGTGGAACTACAGTTTTTCCCTCCATGATGTAACACATTTTCTCTCTTCATATTCATTTTCCCAGAAATTTGCCAGAGAAGGTAAAATTTCTGCAGCTATTGAAGTGCCCACAGATAGTATCTGGACCTAGTGACAGATATAATGATTCGTGTACTGAATTCTATTAAGGGTGGTGAATAGATGGGTTTTCTTTGTACTAGGCCTTAAAGATAAAATAATATTTCTTCAAGAGCTCTCATTTAGTTAGGTGATCATTGCCGCTACCTAAACTTTTTCCACTTGTGATAAATTGCCCCCAAATTTAATGCATCATGAAATTGAGAAACTATTGTGCCAATTTTGTTTCTAATTTTCCTCTAATTTGTATCTGTTTCCAGAATGGTAATAAAATTAAACCTAAATCATATGAAAAAAATGAAATTAGGGGCTGCAGATACACATGGAGTTTCATTAGAGTATGTAACGTAATCAAGATTCTGAGATAACAAAAAGTAACGATCTGCAAAATTACCATGGGAAAACTAATGTTTGAAAGATGCAGTCGTATGATGAAAATAGGAGGCATAATAACTGAATTTGCGTGGTTTCTTATGATTAAAGGGTAAATGGGTCAATTTAAAAGTAACTGTTGAGGTCTCTTACCAGGCTCCAAAACAAAACAAATAATCAAATTACTGCCATGTCTGAAAATAGAATTAGAAACTGTGATTTTGAGAAAGCGATATATGATGTCAGTTGAAGCAGAGGGTGATAATAAAACAGACCTTTTGGTGACACCAATTAACGCATTTGGAAGACATATGAATAGAAGATACGAAAAAGATAAGCCAAAAAAAAAAACAGGAAAAAGAAAGGCAACAAAAACCTATTGTAATGAACTAAGTCTTTAGGCTTTTAAAACACAAAACCACCTCATACATTGGGATTCAACTTATGATGTGACTTTTATTTAGATAACCCCTCCCCAAAATTATAATAATATATTTAAGTACCTATTTATCTCCATCAAACAGCATATCCTTTTTGATGTGCCTTTATGCTCTCTAAGTAGTAGTGAGGATGAAGATTCTTTATTTAGAGTTTTACCACTTAACAAAACAATCTCGATTTATTGTTTCACTCGAGATGCTATACTGAGATAGCTTTGCTGCGTAATCAAGCAAATACACTAGGAGATGGACACCGTATTTTATTCACTTATATTTTCCCACTCCCTGTAACTAAGAGAGGACTGCCACCATCCAGGAATTTTCCAGAGCAAAAGGGAAATCTCCTCCCTCGGCAACAAGAAAACAACCCTATTTTAAAATGGGCTTAGGATTTTCTTGGCAATGTGGGCTTTTTTTTGGTTCCATATGAACCAAAAAAAGTAGTTTTTTCCAATTCCATGAAGAAAGTCATTGGTAGCTTAATGGGGATGGCATTGAATCTATAAATTACCTTGGGCAGTATGGCCATTTTCACGGTATTGATTCTTCCTACCCATGAGCATGGAATGTTCTTCCATTTGTTTGTATCCTCTTTTATTTCGTTGAGCAGTGGTTTGTAGTTCTCCTTGAAGAGGTCCTTCATATCCCTTGTAAGTTGGATTCCTAGGTATTTTATTCTCTTTGAAGCAATTGTGAATGGGAGTTCACTCATGATTTGGCTCTCTGTTTGTCTGTTATTGGTGTATAGGAACGCTTGTGATTTTTGCACATTGGTTTTGTATCCTGAGACTTTGCTGAAGTTGCTTATCAGCTTAAGGAGATTTTGGGCTGAGCTGATGGGGTTTTCTAAATATACAATCATGTCATCTGCAAACAGGGACAATTTGACTTCCTCTTTTCCTAATTGAATACCCTTTATTTCTTTCTCCTGCCTGATTGCCCTGGCCAGAACTTCCAACACTATGTTGAATAGGAGTGGTGAGAGAGGGCATCCCTGTCTTGTGCCCATTTTCAGAGGGAATGCTTCCAGTTTTTGCCCATTCAGTATGATATTGGCTGTGGGTTTGTCATAAATAGCTCTTATTATTTTGAGATACGTCCCATTAATACCTAGTTTATTGAGAGTTTTTAGCATGAAGGGCTGCTGAATTTTATCGAAGGCCTTTTCTGCATCTATTGAGATAATCATGTGGTTTTTGTCTTTGGTTCGGTTTATGTGATGGATTATGTTTATTGGTTTGTGTATGTTGAACTAGCCTTGCATCCCAGGGATGAAGCCCACTTGATCGTGATGGATAAGCTTTTTGATGTGCTGCTGGATTTGGTTTGCCAGTATTTTATTGAGGATTTTCACATCGATGTTCATCAAGGATATTGGTCTAAAATTCTCTTTTTTTGTTGTGTCTCTGCCAGCCTTTGGTATCAGGATGATGCTGGCCTCATAAAATGAGTTAGGGAAGATTCCCTCTTTTTCTATTGATTGGAATAGTTTCAGAAGGAATGGTACCAGCTCCTCCTTGTACCTCTGGTAGAATTCGGCTATGAATCCATCTGGTCCTGGACTTTTTTTGGTTGGTAGGCTATTAATTATTGCCTCAATTTCAGAGCCTGTCATTGGTCTATTCAGGGATTTAACTTCTTCCTGGTTTAGTCTTGGGAGGGTGTACGTGTCCAGGAATTTATCCATTTCTTCTAGATTTTCTAGTTTATTTGCCTAGAGGTGTTTATAGCATTCTCTGATGGTAGTTTGTATTTCTGTGGGATCGGTGGTGATATCCCCTTTATCATTTTTTATTGCATCTATTTGATTCTTCTCTCTTTTCTTCTTTATTAGTCTTGCTAGCAGTCTATCTATTTTGTTGATCTTTTCAAAAAACCAGCTCCTAGATTCATTGATTTTTTTGAAGGGGTTTTTTTTGTGTTTCTATCTCCTTCAGTTCTGCTCTGATCTTAGTTATTTCTTGCCTTCTGCTAGCTTTTGAATGTGTTTGCTCTTGCTTCTCTAGTTCTTTTAATTGTGATGTTAGGCTGTTAATTTTAGATCTTTCCTGCTTTCTCTTGTAGGCATTTAGTGCAATAAATTTCCCTCTACACACTGCTTTAAATGTGTCCCAGAGATTCTGGTATGTTGTGTCTTTGTTCTCACTGGTTTCAAAGAACATCTTTATTTCTGCCTTCATTTCATTATGTACCCAGTAGTCATTCAGGAGCAGGTTGTTCAGTTTCCATGTAGTTGTGCAGTTTTGAGTGAGTTTCTTAATCCTGAGTTCTAATAAAAATGGGTAAGGGACCTGATGAGACATTTCTCAAAAGAAGACATGGAGATGGCCAACAGGTAGATGAAAAACTGCACCAAATCACTAATTATCAGGGAAATGCAAATCAAAACCACAATGCAATATCACCTTGCTCCTGCTAGACTGGATACTATAATAAAGATAAAATATAACAAGTGTCGGTGAGGATGCTGATAAAATGCACCCCTGTACACTGTTGGTGGGAATGTAAATTAGCACAGCCACTTTGGAAAACAGTATGGAGTTTCCTCAAAAAAATTAAAAACAGAATGATCATGTTATCCAACAATCCCAGGAGCTCTGGGTAACCCTTTCAACAAGATGCACAGAGGCGAAGTACACACTGTTCACAGCAAGAGAATAACATAGGAAGGGTCAGACAAGAAACAATCTGACTTGAGAAAATAACCAAGAGAATGGATACTTGGTCTTCAGTAGCTTCCCAGTTCCTCAATCTATGCTTTTTCTGGCTACGGCCCTGCTTTCCAGCTCCATGAGACACACCTGTGTAGGGGCCAAGGAAGAGCTGATGAATCAACTCACAAAAGGCAGATTAATTAGAGAAAAGGAATGCAAATTTATTTAACATGTATTCCTTGGGAGCCTTCAGAATGAAGACCCAAACATACAGGGGAGGGCCGTGCACAGTGGCTCATGCCTGTAATCCCAGCACTTTGGGAGGCCGAGGCAGGTGGATCACCTGAGGTCAGGAGTTCGAGACCAGCCTGGCCAACATGGTGAAACTCTGTCCCTACTAAAAATACAAAAAATTAGCCAGGCATGGTGGCAGGAGCCTGTAATCCCAGCTACTCGGGAAGCTAAGGCAGGAGAATCGCTTGAACCCGGGAGATGAAGGCTGCAGTGAGCTGAGATCACGCCATTGCACTCCAGCCTGGTTAACAGGGCAACAAGAGTGAAACTCTTTCTCAAAAAAAGAAAAAAAAAGATACAGGAGAAATTGTCCATTTTTATGCTTGGGTTCAACAAAGTACGGACAGCGGTGTAGAAATGTGATTGGACAAAATATGATTTTATGCTAACAGACAGAGGCGGGTAACCCTGCAAGGCCTGTCTGCCTAGATTCTTCTTGGCCTTTCTGAGCAGCATTCCTTCCTTCGGGGTGTGGGGCAGGGCCCTCTCTGGAATGGGGGTCTTATGACTTATAGTCAAACAGCGTTGGTCAGATAATTTCTTCACAGCTAGTTTTTGCACAGAAAGGTAGAGGGAAGGTTAGAGTAATATTTTTAGGTTTATGGCTGGCTTTGGGGAAAAGGGATTCTGGTTTCTCTGACTCACCCTGGGGAAGGGGAATCCTAGTTTCTATGGCTAGCCTGGGGGAGAATGGGACCGAGAGACAGCAGGGCAGGAGGCTGGAGAAACACTTTTGCTTCTGAGGCCTTCATTTTGGAGTACTGTTTTCTGAGCCTCAACATGTGAAATATTATCATAAACTCCCCTATTTTGCTTTAAGCTGGATTGAGTTGGTAGCTGTTATTTGCCACCCAAAGAGTCTTAATTAAGATAATATCAAATAGGAGAAAAAAATCAAAGAGACTGAGGACAGTAGAGAAGTTAGGAGAAATAAAATGCTTTGAAGGGTTCTGGAATAAAGGCATTGTTTACACTCTGTTTTTCCATAAAATAAATTCAGGTATTTGAAATAGACACATTTTACTTGTTCTTTTATTTGCTTTATAGTGATATAGAAATATGGAAATGAATCCCAACAAATCAAGGAGTAGTGATCACAACATAATAGAACATACATGATCACAAAGAGTAGTGATCACAACATAATAGAACGCATGCTATTAATCTAATAAGAATTTTAATATTATTATTTTGTACATTTTTATATATCCCTAACAAGTGGTAAGTAAACGCAGTTTTGAAAAAAAAAAAAGTGAATCTTTTTTTAACATACTCAAGTTTGCTTTTTAAATGAATCCATGATGCTGTGAACATCTCTGCCCCGAATAAAAGTTTATTTAACTTTAACATTTGAAGATTTTGAAGCTTACATATCTCTAAAATTAATCATATTAAGGGTCAAAGTTGAGTAGCATCCTCAGCATGCTATTGCCCCCTAGTGGCTAATAGTAAGAACATGGATTTGAGTCAGGCACTGCCCCAGCATGCGGCTCAACCAGCTATCCAAAACTACCCACTTCAGCTTAGCCATCTCACCCTGTACTAAGGAGATAAACTCGACCAACTGACTGTTGTTGGTTTCCATCCCCTAACCCCATCAGTAGTTTCTGAAGGGATTCCGTCTTTCCCTAGAAAAATCTTGCTCCCAAAATTCTGACCTCTTTCTGAGTTTTCCACTGTCTGCCTCCCAGGACCGGGAGCTCTAAGTCGTGAGCAAGCCAGGGAAGCTTGGGAGGTCACTCAGAGAAAGCACCCCAATAGTATCTTATCTGGCTGCCATGCCATGGGACATATCTTGAAAACAGCAAAAGCAAAGTGAAATGCTTTCCACTCCACCTTGCAAAATGCTGCATAGAGTGAAAACTACTGAGATTCATGGACTCGTGAATAAGGCCACAGGCAAGCTCTCACCTTGTTAAAAAGAGAGGCTGTCCTGTGTGTGCAAAAATACTTGGTGTCCACACTTCTTGATGAGTTACCTTGGGAGAATTCCTCAATTTATCTGGGTTGGGTTTCACTTGTGAAATCCTACCCTGACAAATTTGCCCCACCTGCCAAGGCACAAATAATCACTTACACTTCTGTGCACCCAGAGCTCTTTAAGTCTTTTCTTTCTTTCTCTTTCTTTCTTTCTTTCTTTCTTTTTCTTTTTCTCTCTTTCTTTCTTCCTTTCTTTTTTCTTTTTTCTTTCTTTTCTTTCCTTCTTTCTTTCTCTTTCTTTTTCTTTCTTTTTCTTTTTCTCTCTTTCTTTCTTCCTTTCTTTTTTTCTTATTTCTTTCTTTTCTTTCTTTCCTTCTTTTTTCTTTCTTTCTTTCCTTCTTTCTCTCTCTCTCTCTCTCTCTCTCTTTCTTTCCTTCTTTTTCTTTTGAGGCAGAGTCTTGCTCTGTCACCCAGGCTGGAGTTCAATGGCACGATCTCAGCTCACTGCAACCTCCAGGTTCAAGTGATCCTCCTGCCTTAGGCTCCCGAATACCTGGGATTACAGGTGCCTGCCACCACACCCGGCTAATTTGTGTATTTTTTAGTAGAGATGGGGTTTCGCCACATTGGCCAGGCTGGTCTCGAACTCCTGACCTCAAGTGATCCACCCACCTCAGCCTCCCAAAGTGCTGGGATTACAACTGTGAGCCACCGCACCTGTCTAAGCCGTTTCTATTTAAGTTCTTGCACATTGTATGAATTCTGCTTCCTCCATCAGGCTTTAAGCTTTTGAGGGAAAAATATTGTGTCTCAATCACTTTGGTCATTTTGTGGGCAGTCCTTGTGCATTATAAAAACTGAGGCTGTCACCTCTGTCTGAAATCTTTGGGCAGTTCCTTATCTATTTGCCCTCAAAAGAAAAGTACCTAGCCAATGAGACTGTATCCTATAGCCAGGGCAAAAGAAGCTGTTCTCAGAACAAGGAGTCTTTACTTTGCTGCTAACTAGCTCTAAGACCCTGAATAGCCCCTATCGAATTGCAGTTTTCTCACCAGTTAAATAAACAAGTTGGATGACAATGTGTGACAGGTTCTCCAAGATTACTTTCAGTTCTGTAATAAGTGAATATATTTTCCTCTAATTCTATATGACCTAATTCTGCCCTGATCATTTCCTTTTCTCACTCTCTCACTTCCGATCTTTCATTTCTGAAGAATCACCCTCATGAAGGTGAGAATGAATTAAGTGGTACTAGAGTAGAGTCAGAGACATCATTATGAACTCACACACACACACACACACACACACACACACACATATATATATATATATACACACACACACAAATAATTACAGATAAGCTGGGTTAGCATGCATACATATGTTTCCTAGCCCTGTCCACTGAAAGGTTCTAGAAGCAATGACACCCCAGTAGCAACAACACACCCAGTGCACAAATCTTGATTTCTAATAAAATTCTCCAATCAAAAGAATCAGGGTTCCTTGAGAAGAAGCTGATTCTAGGGTTAGAGCAGTGTCTTCATCCATTTTCTGCTGCTATAACAGAATACCACATACTGGGTTATTTATAAAGAACAAAAGTTTATTTGGCTCACAGTTCTGGGACATGGTGGCTCATGCCTGTAATCCCAGCCACTTGGGAAGCTGAGGCAGGAAGATCCTTTGAGCCAGGAGTTCAAGATCAGCCTGGGCAAAGTAGCAAGATCCTGTGTCAAAAGGAATAATAATCTCTCCTTTTTGTTGTAAAAATAAATTTATTTTGTAGTAAAAAATATAAATAAGTAAAGCAGATTTTGAATTGGCACAAGAAAAAAAAACAACTCTCCAACATAATTTCATATTATATTCAGATGTAAAACGAAATGTACAAGTATGTAAATGTATTCATATAGTCAATTAGTGCAGGTACATTGAAAAAGTATATATAATCTTGAGCTCCCCAAAACAAGTTCCAGAAAGGGCCCCTCACACTCCTCCTATACCAGATCTCTGTGTAAGTGGTAACACATCCAAGCTGAGGAATGGCTGAGCAAGTGACAAGGAGAAAGAACCAATGGATGGAGAAAACCAGAATCAAGCCCAGAAGACAACAGAGCTGTGTGTGCCTATACCAGGCAACTGGAGGGGCATCACCTTCTATCCCTAGGAAGGAGAGTCCATATGAACCTCTCAATCCTTGCCTCTTCTGGGCCTCCCTAGGCTAGTCAGTTCCATGACATTGAAGGAGACTCTAATCACTCCTTATTTAGGGAGCCCCCTCTCATAAGTAGTCCCTCTTTGCTAACCAGAGCAATTCATCCCCAAAAGCCCCGATAGCACTTAGCCTTCTAAGTGAAAAATAGAATTACTATTCATTGTAATGAAAAAAATCCATTCATGCTAAAACAACATCAAATGCCATCAAAATGAATAATGCATCAACAGTGAACATCAAGTTATCACACAACAGAAAAGGCAGGTGTCCTGTTATCTGTAACAAGCCTACAGGCTTGCTCAAAGTGCTTTCCAGTCTGTGGCATCATATAAAGCAAAGACCATGGGCCCCAACACCACCAGGTATACATGGAGTTGTGCAACTAAACCCTCATGCTGGTTAGAAATGAACAGAAAAGAGAGGACTAAATAAATGGATGACAGACTGCAAGTAATGGGCAGATGGATTGTCACTGCTAGACACTACTAAGCTGGGGTGACCACTGGGGGAATCATCAAGTGTGAAGCTGTCTCTGGGAGAAAGGTTTTATGTTTAAGGTTATTGGATTGAGGTAACAGAGGGACGAGTTCTACAGGGAGCTGGCAAAATATTCTGAAATACTTGTCTAAGAATTAAGGGGTTTTTGTTGTTGTTGTTGTTTAGACAGAGTTTTGCTCTTGTCGCCCAGGCTAGAGTGCAATGGCACGATCTTGGCTTCCTGCAACCTCCACCTCCCGGGTTTAAGTGATTCTTCTGCCTCAGCCTCCTGAATAGCTGGGATTACAGGTGCCCACCACCATGCCCAGCTAATTTTCATATTTTTAGTAAAGACAGGGTTTCACCATCTTAGCCAGGCTGGTCTCGAACTCCTGACATTAGGTGATTTGCCCCCCTCAGCCTCCCAAAGTGCTGGAATTACAGGCATGAGCCACTGCACCTGGCTAGAATTAACTTTTTCAAGAGATTCACATAACCAAAGCAATAGAAAATTCTCCTTGATTACTTTACCAAAAAGCAACAGCGATCTAAAAATAGGATCTTTGTACATTCCAGTTGGCCTGGAACAATCCCTGTTTATGCCTGTTGTCTGGACTTATTAATAATGTTTCCTTTTCTCTCCAAAGTGACCTGGTTTGCTAAATTACATTATTAGTCTACCTAAAAAATGATTCCTAGAGTTGTTTGAAGAATAGTATAAAGTTTTCATTGTTTCTGTTTTGATTTTTTTGTTTGTTTGTTTTATTATTATAGAACTTGGCATATATAGGTTTGTGTTAGTCCATTTTGTGTTGCTATAAAGGAATACCTGAGCCTGGGTAATTTACAAAGAAAAGAGGTTGATTTGGCTCACTGTCCTGCAGCTGTACAGGAAGCATGGCACCAGCATCCGCTTCTAGTGATGCCTCAGGAAGCTTCCACTCATGGCAAAAGGTGAAGGGGGAGCAGGCATGTCACGGGGCAAGAGACAGAGCAAGAGAGAGAGAGAAGGAAGTGCTAGACTCCTTTAAACAACCGACTGTCTTGTGAACTAATAGGGTTAAGACTCACTTATCACGGAGGAGATGGCACTTAGCCATTTACAAGGGATCTGCCTCCATGATCCAAACACCTCCCTCCAAGCCTCACCTCCAACTTTTGAGATCACATTTCAACATGAGATTTGGAGGAGACAAACATCCAAATCATATCAATGTCCACTTCCTATCATGACCTCTCTCCAGCCTGTCCAGTCCAGGTAGTCCCCCTTGTGTTCCTGTGCCCCTGACTTCATCATTCATGCTTGGAGACCTGGATTCACCTGTCATGCTCCCCTGTTATACAATTCCCCTTCCTACAGCCTTTAAACATGCCCAAATCCTGCCCCTCCGCATTCTAGAGCCTATGTCTTCCCCTATCATCTAACCATCTTAAAACATTTTTTCCTTTTGTATCATCTTATCTTTTGCAAAAGATCCACACTTTTCACTCTGCACACTCACCTGGGTGATCACATCCCTCCTCATGGTTCCAGACATCACCAATATTCTGCTGAATCTCAAATCCATTATCTGCAGCCACTTCTGCTCACCTGCATTTCAGGCATGTAGATTCGGCTGCCTACTGAACATCTTCTGCCACAGGCACTTCAGACTACATTCACCACCTTCTCCTCTCCACTGCAGCTCCTACTCCATTCCCTAGCTCAGTTAATAGGCCCATCATCCAAAAACAGAACCAGTAGGCATGTGCATGTGCATGTGTGTGTGTGTAAAGTGGGGGAGTTAAAAAGAATTGGCTCACATAACTATGGAGTCTGAGAAGTCTCAAGATCCGTAGTTGGCAAGCTGGAGACACAGGAGAGTAGATGGTGTAGTTCCAGTCTGAGGGCAAGAAATGACTGCTTGACCTAGCTCAAGTAGTACCAGTCAGGCCAGAGGAGCCCCCTCCTTTTTGTCCTATTCCGGTCTTCAACTGATTGATTGGACAAGGCCCACCCACATTAGAGAAGGCAATCTGCCTTCTTCAGTTTACCAATTCAAACTTTAATCTCATCCAGAAATACCCTCAGGGACACTCCCAGAATAGTGTTTGGCCAAAAGTCTGCACCCCATGGCCCAGTGAAGTTAACACATAAAAGTAACCATCACATAACCCTAGACTACTGCTCTCCCACACCATCCACATCTACGTGACACAAAATCCAGTTGGTTTCACCTTCTAATATTTCTCTTGTCTGTCATGTCTGCACGATCAATAACTCTGTCCAGTTTACCCTCCCCCATAATTCTTACATCCTTCCTAGTACTGCCTCCGAAGGACAGCCTTCCTGCCTCCATTCTTGTCCACTTCAAATCCATGCTACACAGGGTAAGTAGGGAGTAGACTATCTAAAAGACAGACTTCGCTGGGTGTGGTGGCACACACCTGTAATCTCAGCTACTCAGGAGGCTGAAGCATGATAATTGCTTGAACCTGACAAGCAGAGGTTGCAGTGAGCCAAGGTGGTGCCACTGCACTCCAGCCTGGGCAACACAGTGAGACTCTGTCTCAAAAAAAAAAAAAAAAGACAAACTTAATTGCCTCACTCAATACTAAAACCTACAACTATAGGAGAAAATACCAGTTCTTCACAGTAGAGCTTAAGGCCTCCCCTCCCTCCTATTTGCCATCCTCCTTGCCTCACACATTACCTCCAGCCATACTGGACTACTGGGGGCCTCTACCAGCTGTATCTACCTTGGCCTGTGTCCACTGCCTGGAAGCTTCATTACGCAAACACTTAGCCTGGCTAATTCTAATCATTAAATCCCCTCCAGAAAACCTTTTCTCATCACTTCTCCCCCTCGTCTCCTGGGTCCAGACTGGGTTAGGACCCCCTCCTCCCTGCTTTCAGAATTCCCTGGCCATGTCTCCATCATGACAATTAACTCATTTATTTACTCACCCAACAAATACTTCATGTACAAGGCACAAGAGCTAGGGCAGAAGCCAGACAGCAGAGCGAGGGTTGGGGGGCCCAGTGAAGAAAGTTGATGCCAACAGAGGCCATATGAAGTGTGGACTCCACGCATCCCCTGCATATATCCAAAAGGAGGCCTTCTCTGTTTCCTGTCTGCTTCACCACTGGGCTGTGAGCCTTAAAGGTCAAAGTTTTCTTCTATCTGACAATCTACCTTCCCAGCTTAGCACGGGATATGGCCTAGAGTACTCTTCATAGTGCATGGTGGATGAAGAGAAAGAGAACAGCCAACTCAGAGCTCACTCTGCTCTGGCTTGCTCTCTTGACTCTTTAGAACTGGAAAGGATCTGGCCGGGCATGGTGATTACAGGTGTGAGCCTGTAATCTCAGTACTTTGGGAGGGAGAGGCGGGTGGATCACCTGAGGTCAGGAGTTCAAGACCAGCCTGGGTAACATGGTGAAACCCCATCTCTACTAAAATTACAAAAATTAGCCAGGCGTGGTGGCACACACCTGTAATCCCAGCTACTTGGGAGGCCAAGGCACGAGGATCTCTTGAACCCGGGAGGCCGAGGTTGCAGTGAGCCAAGGTCATGCCACTGTACTTCAGCCTGCCTGGGCGACAGAGTGAAACTCTGTCTCAAAAAAAAAGGACTGGAAAGGATCTTACAGATGAGGTCCAATCCCTTATCTGTTAACAGATTAAAAAAACTCGAAAAGTAGCAAGGTGAGCAGAGAGGAAAGTCAAGTGTCAAAACCAAAACTTCTGCTTTCATAGCTTAGTACCTTTTTTTTCTAAACTGTGCTGCCTCTAATTTGAGTTGAACAAAATGTGTACTTCAGTAAAATTTCAGTTATTAATATTTAAAATCACTTATTATATAATAACTTGAACATTCTGTTTGTTTGTTTGAGATGGAGTCTCACTTTGTCACCCAGGCTGGAGTGCAATGGTGCAATCTCAGCTCACTGCCACCTCCACCTCCCAGGTTCAAGTGATTCTCCTGCTTCAGCCTCCCGAGTAGCTGGGATTACAGGTGCCCGCCACCATGCCCAGCTAATTTTTGTATTTTTAGTAGAGATGGAGTTTCACCATGTTGGTCAGGCTGGTCTTGAACTCCTGACCTCAAGTAATCCACCCACCTAGGCCTCCCAAATTGTTGGGATTACAGGCGTGAACCACCATGCCCAGCCAACTTGAACATTCTTAATGTTCTTGCTCCTTCCTTCCTTCTATCCTTCCTGCCTTGCTTGCTTCCTTCCTTTATTTTTTTCTTTTTCTCTTCAAATCACATAGTCACTTTGTTCCCAAAAGGATTTTAGAGTGAAGTGCCTACCATGAGAGAGGCATTCTAATGGATGCTTGGATGTGAAATGAACAAAGCAGGTACCTGGGGGACAGCTGTCTATGGGGGACATAAAGATGTGTAGTCCAGTGTAAATGCAATCTTTGAGTTGGGGCTGGCGTAAATGCAATCACTGAGGGATAATTAAGGTAGGAGCCAATGTAAATGCAATCATTGAAGTTCTCCAGGTTTGGGTGGATCAAGAGAGGCTTTAAAAGGTGGACATGTTTAAGCTTCATCTCAAAAAATGAATGGGGATTGTCTAAGTATTTGAGGTCCCAGGAAAGAGGATGTTCTTATCAGAAGTACAGCAGGTATGAGACAGGAACAGTAGATACTTTAGTCCTTAGGTTGATGTTTGCTATGCTCTTTAGACTTAAAAAAAAATCTATTTCTAACTGTATTAGTCCATTCTTGAATTGCTATAAAGAAATACCTGGGGCTGGGTAATTTATAAAGAAAACAGAATTAATTGGCTAATGGTTCTGCAGGCTGTACAGGAAGCATGGCACTGGAATCTGCTTGGCTTCTGGGGAGCCCTCAGGAAGCTTACAATCATGGTGGAAGGCAAAGCAAGAGCCAGCGTATCACACAGTGAGAGCAGGAGCAAGGAGAGATGGAAACTTTTAAACTTTTTTTAAACTTTTAAACAACCAGATCTTATATGAACTCAGATGGTGATGGGGATTGTGCTAAGCCATTCATGAGGGATCTGCTCCCATGATCCAAACATCTCCCACCAGGCCCCACCTCTGATACTGGGGATGACATTTCTACATGAGATTTGGAGGAGACAAATATCCAAACCATATCATTCTGTCCCCTGGTCCCCCAAATCTCATGTCTTTCTCATATTGCAAAATACAATTATCCCTTCCCAACAGTCCCCCAACATCTTAACTCATTTCAACTCATTAATCAAGTCCAAAGTCCTAAGTCATCTGAGACTCATCTCCTTCTGCCTATGAGCCTGTAAAATCAAAACAGTTATTTACTTCCAAGATACAATGGTAGTACAGGCATTATTTAAACATTACCATTCCAAAAGAAATAAATTGAACAAAAGGAAATGGCTACAGGCCCCATGCAAGTCTGAAACCCAGCAGGGTAGATATTAAATCTTAAACCTCTAAAATAATCCTTGATGCCATGTCCTTCATCCTGGGCACATTGAAGTAAAGGTTGAGCTCTTTGGGCAGCCATGCCCCTGTGGTTTTGCAGAGTTCACAGGTTAGAGTTCAGTGCTTGCAACTTTTTCAGGTGCAGGAGGCAAGCTGCTGGTGGATCTACCATTCTGGGATCTGGAAGGCAGTCGCCCCATTCCCACAGCTCCACTAGGCAGTGCCCTGGTGGGGACTCTGTGTGGGGGCTTCAACTCTACATTTCCCCTTGGCACTGGCCTAGTAGTGTGCATGGGATCCACCCCTGTGGCAGGGTTCTGCTTGAGCACCCTGGCTTTCTTATACATCATCTAAAATCTAGATGGAAGTTGCCAAGCCTCCTTTACTCTTGCATTCTGAGCACCTGCAGGCTTAACATCACATAGAAGCCACCAGGGCTTATGGCTTGCACCTTCTGGAGCTGTGACCTGGGCTGTACCTGGGCGCTTTGGAGCCAAGGTTGGAGCTGGAGTAGCCAGGATGCAGGGAACAACTTCCCAGGGTGGTGCAGGGCATCAGCACCCTGGGCCTGGCTGACAAAACCGTTCTTTCCTCCTAGGCCTCTGAGCCTGTGATAAGAAGGGCTACCTCAGAGATATCCGAAATGCCTTTGAGGCCTTTCTCCCAATATCTTGGATATTGGCACTTGGCTCCCTTATAGTCATGCTAATCTCTCCAGCAAGGGTTGTTCTGCAGCCTGCTTGCTTGTATTCTTCCCCCAGAAAATGGGCTTTTTTTTCTATCACGTGGCTAGACTGCAAATTTTCCAAATTTTTATGCTCTGATTCCCTTTTAAATATAAGCTCCAACTTTAAGTCATTTATTTACTTCCAAATTTAAGAATAGGCTCTTAGAAGCAGCCAGGCCACATCTCGAATGCTTTGTTGCTTAGAAATTTCTTATGCTAGATACCCTAAGTCATCATTGTTAAATTCAAACTTCTACATATCACTAGGGTACAATACAGCCAAGTTCTTTGCTAAAACATAACCAAGGTGATCTTTGCTCCAGTTTCCCATAAGTTCCACATTTCCCTTTGAGATCTCATCAGCCTCGACTTCACTGTCCACATCACTATCAGCATTTTTATTACAACCATTTAACTAGTCTCTAAGAAGTTCCAAACTTTCCCTCATCTTCCAGCCTTCTTCTGTGGCCTCCAAATTCTGCCCATTACCCAAATCCAAGTTGCTTCCACATCTTCAGGTATCTTTATAGCAATGTCCCACTCCCAGTACCAATTTTCTGTGTCAGGCCATTCTTGCTTCACTATAGAGGAATATCTGAGGCTGGGTAATTTTTTGGGGGGTAGGGGGGAGATGGAGTCTCACACTGTCACCCAGGCTGGAGTGCAGAGGCACAATCTCAGCCCACTGCAACCTCCACCTCCCAGGTTCAAGTGATTCTCCTGCCTCAGCCTCCCAAGTATCTGGGACTACAGGTGTGCGCCACCACATCTGGCTATTTTTTGTATTTTTAGTAGAGATGGGGTTTCAGCATGTTGGCCAGGCTGGTCTCAATCTCTTGACCTCAAGACCCACCCACCTTGGCCTCCCAAAGTGCTGGGATTACAGACGTGAGCCACTGTGCCCAGCCAAGGCTGGATAATTTATAAAGAAAAAGAGTTTTAATTGGCTCACAGTTCTGCAGACTTTACAGGATGCATCAGCTGATATATGCTTAGCTTCTGGTGAGGCCTCAGGAAGCTATCAATAATGGCAGAAGGTAAAGGGGGAGCCAGAGTATGACATGATGAGAATGGGAGCAAGGGAGGAGATGCCACACACTTTTCAACAACCAGATTTCAGGTGAATTCATAGCGAGAACTCACTTATTACCAAGAGGATGGAGCTAAGCCATTCATGAGAGATCCACTTCCACGATCCAAACATTCTCACAAGGCCCCACCCCCAACACTGGGGATGATATTTTAACATGAGATTTAGAGGGGACACACATCCAAACCATATCACCATATACCTTCTTTTGTTAGCTCACTTTTTGATGGGATTGTTTTTTTTCTTGCTGATTTGTTTGCGTTCTTTGTGGATTCTGGATATTAGTTATTTGTCAGATGTATAGATTGTGAAAATTTTCTTCCACTCTCAGTTGTCTGTTAACTCTGCTGATTATTTCCTTTGCTGTGCAGAAGCTTTTTAGCTTAATTAAGTCCCGTCTATTTATCTTTGTTTTTGTTGATTTGCTTTTGAGTTTTTGGTCATGAAGTCTTTGCCTAAGCCAATGTCTAGAAGGGTTTTTTTCAATATTATCTTCTAGAATCTTTACGGTTTCAGGTCTTAGATTTAAGACTTTGATCCATCTTGAGTTGATTTTTGTATAAGGTGAGAGATGAGGATCCCCTTTCATTCTTCTACATGTGGCTTGCCAATTATCCCAGCACCATTTGTGGATTAGGATGTCCTTTCCTCACTTTATTTTTTGTTTGCTTTGTTGAAGATCAGTTGGCTGTAAGTATTTGGCTTATTTCTGGGTTCCCTATTCTATTCCATTGGTCTATGTGCCTATTTTTACACCAGATGCTTTTTCTGCATCTATTGATATGATCATGTGATTTTTGTTAGTTCTGTTTATGTGCTGTATCACATTCATTGACTTACGTATGTGAAACCATCCCTGCATCCCTGATATGAAACCCACTTGATCATGGTGGATTATCTTTTTGATATGCTGTTGGATTTGGTTAGCTAGTATTTTGTTGAGGATTTTTGCATCTATGTTCATTAGGGATATGGGTCTGTAGTTTTCTTTTCTTGTTATGTCCTTCCCTGGTTTTGGTATTAGGTTGATACTGGCTTCACAGAGTGATTTAGGGAGGATTCCCTCTCTGTCTTTTGGAATAGTGTCAATAGGAGTGGTACCAATTCTTCTTTGAATGTCTGATAGAATTCAGCTGTGAATCATCTGGCCTTGGGCTTTTTTTGTTGTTGGCAGTTTTTTAAATTACCGTTTCAATCTTGCTGCTTGTTATTGGTCTGTTCAGAGATTCTATATCTTCCTGGTTTAATGTAGGAGGGTTGTCTATTTCCAGGAATTTATCCATCTCTTCTAGGTTTTCTAGTTTATGTGCATAAAGGTGTTCATAGTAACCCTGAATAATCTTTTGTATTTCTGTGGTATCAGTTGTAATATCTCCTGTTTTGTTTCTAATTGAGCTTATTTGGATCTTCTCTCTTCTTAGTTAATCTTGCAAATGGTCTATCAATTTTATTTATCTTTTCAAAGAACCAGCTTTTTGTTTCATTTATCTTTTGTAACTTTGTTTGTTTGTTTGTTTCAATTTCATTTTGTTCTGGTCTGGTCTTGGTTATTTCTTTTTTTTTTTTTTTTTTTTTTTTTTTGAGACAGAGTCTCACTCTATCGCCCAGGATGGAGTGCAGTGGCGTGATCTCAGCTCACTGCAACCTCCACCTCCTGGGTTCAAGCGATTCTCCTGCCTCCGCTTCTCAAGTAGCTGGGACTACAGGCGCACTTATTTCTTTACTTCTGCTGGGTTTGGATTTGGTATGTTCTTGATGTTCTTGTTTCTCCAGTTTCATGAGGTGTGACCTTAGATTGTCTATTTGTGCTCTTTTAGACTTTTTGATGTAGGCATTTAGTGGTATGAACTTTCCTTTTAGCACCGCTTTTGCTCTATCCCAGAGGTTTTGATAGTTTGTGTTGCTATTATCGTTTAGTTCAAAGGATCTTTTAATCTTCATCTTGATTTCATTGGTGCTGCAGTGATCATTCAGGAGCAGGTTATCAAATTTTCATGTACTTGCATGGTTGTGAGGGTTCCTTTTGGAGTTGATTTCCAATCTTATTCCACTGTGGTCTGAGAGAGTACATGATACAATTTCAGTTTTCTTAAATTGTCTGAGACTTGTTTTGTGGCCTATCATATGATCTATCTTGGAGGATGTTCCATGTGCTGATGAATAGAATGTATATTCTGCAGTTGTTGGGTAGAATGTTCTGTAAATATCTGTTAAGTCCATTTGTTCTAGGGTGTAGTTTAAGTCCATGTTTTCTTTGTTGACTTTCTGTCTTGATGACCTGTCTAATGCTGTTAGTGGAGTATTGAAGTCTTCCACTATTAGTATGTTGCTGTCTATCTCATTTCTTAGGTTGAGTAGTAGTTTTATAAGTTTGGGAGCTCCAGCATTAGGTGCGTATATATTTAGAATTGTGATATTTTCCTGTTGGACTAGTCCTTTTATCATTATATAAAGTCCCTCTTTGTCTTTTTAAACTGCTGTTGCTTTAAAGTTTGTTTTGTCTAATATAAGAATAGCTACTCCTGCTTGCTTTTGGTGTCCATATGCATGGAATATCTTTTTCCAGCCCCTTACCTTAAGTTTATGTGAGTCCTTATGTGTTAGATGAGTCTCCTGAAGACAGCAGAAACTTAGTTGGTGATCCATTCTGCCATTCTGTATCTTTTAAGTGGAGCATTTAGGCCATTTACACTCAATGTTAGTATTGAGAGATGTGAGGTACTATTCTTATTTATTTATTTTTTTTCGAGATGGAGTGCCACTCTGTCACCCAGGTTGGAGTGCAATGGCGCAATCTCGGCTCACTACAACCTCTGCCTTCCAGGTTCAAGTGATTCTCCCTCCTGCTTCAGCCTCCCGAGTAGCTGGGATTACAGGCGTGTGCCACCACACCTGGCTAATATTTTGTATTTTTAGTAGAGATGGGGTTTCACCATGTTATCCAGGATGGTCTTGATCTCCTGACCTCATGATCCACCCACCTTGGCCTCCCAAAGTACTGGGATTACAGGCGTGAGCCATGGCGCCCCACCGGTACTATTCTATTCATGGTGCTGTTTGTTGCCTGAATACCTTGTTGTTGTTGTTTTCTCATTGCATTATTGTTATATAGGGTCTGTGAGATTTATGCTTTAAGGAGGTTCTATTTTGTTGCATTTCAAGGATTTGTTTCAAGATTTAGAGCTTATGTTAGCAGTTCTTGTAGTGCTGGCTTGGTAGTGGTGAATTCTCTCAGTTTGTCTGTCTGGAAAAGACTATCTTTTCTTCATTTGTGAAGCTTAGTTTTGCTGAATACAAAATTCTTGGCTGGTAATTGTTTTGTTTAAGGAGGTTAAAAATAGGACCCCAATTCATTCTAGCTTGTAGGGTTTCTGCTGAGAAATCTGCTGTTAATCTGATAGATTTTCCTTTAGAGGTTACCAAATGCTTTTGCCTCACAGCTCTTAAGATTCTATTCTTGGCCGGGCGCGGTGGCTCACGCCTGTAATCCCAGCACTTTGGGAGGCCGAGGCGGGTGGATCATGAGGTCAGGAGATCGAGACCATCCTGGCTAACAAGGTGAAACCCCGTCTCTACTAAAAATACAAAAAAATTAGCTGGGCGCGGTGGCGGGCGCCTGTAGTCCCAGCTACTCGGGAGGCTGAGGCAGGAGAATGGCGTGAACCCAGGAAGCGGAGCTTGCAGTGAGCCGAGATTGCGCCACTGCAGTCCGCAGTCCGGCCTGGGTGACAGAGCGAGACTCCGTCTCAAAAAAAAAAAGAAAAAAAAAAAAAGATTCTATTCTTCATCTTGACTTTAGATAACCTGATGACTATGTGCCTAGGCAATGATCTTTTTGTGATGAATTTCCCAGGTGTTCTTTGAGCTCCTTGTATTTGAATGTCTAGATCTCTATCAAGGCCAGGGAAGTTTTCCTTGATTATTCCCTCAAATACGTTTTCCAAACTTTTAGATTTCTCTTCTTCCTCAGGAACACCGATTATTCTTAGATTTGGCTGTTTAATGTAGTCCCAAACTTCTGGGAGGCTTTGTTCATTTTTTAAAATTCTTTTTTCTTTGTCTTTGATGGATGGATTCAGTTAATTCAAAAGCCTTGTCTTCGAGCTCTGAAGCTTTTTTTCTGCTTGTTTGATTCTATTGCTGAGGCTTTCCAGTGAATTTTGCATTTCTCTGAATGTGTTCTTGATTTCCAAAAGTTGTGACTGTTTTTTATTTATACTCTCTATTTCACTGAAGAATTTTTATTTCATATTCTGTATCATGTTTTTTATTTCATTAAGTTAGACTTCACCTTTTTCTGGTGCATCCTTGATTAGCTTAATACTTGACCTTCTGAATTCTTTGTCTGGCAATTCAGTGATTTCATCTTGGTTTGAATCCATTGCTGGTGAGCTGGTATGACCTTTGGGGTGTTAAAGAACCTTGTTTTGTCATATTACCAGAATTGCTTTCTGGTTCCTTCTCATTCAGGTAGACTATGTTGGAGGGAAAATCTCAGACTCAAGGGCTGCTGTTCAGATTCTTTTGTTCCACAGGATGCTCCCTTAATGTGGTGTTTTCCCCCTTCCCCTAGGAATGGGGCTTCCTGAAAGCCAAACTGTAGTGATTGTTTTTGCTCTTCTAGATCTAGCCACCCAGTGGAGCTAGCGATCTCCATGCTGGTACTCAGGAGTGTCTGCAAAGAGTCCTGTGATGTGATCTGTCTTCAGGTCTTGCAGCCATGGAGACCGACCCCTGCTCCCGTGGAGATAGCAAGGAAGTAAAGTGGACCCTGCAGTGTCCTTGGCTGTGTTTTGTTTAGTGTGCTAATTCTATGTTGATTGGCCTCCAGCCAGGAGGTGGCCCTTTCAAAAGTGCATCAGCAGTGGTCCTATATATAGGGAGGATGCAAACTTGCCCTAGTGACACCTGCTTAAGTATTCAGGTTTCTCAGGTGGTGGGGAGGGCCATAGAGCTCCCAAGAGATTATGACCTTTGTCTTTGGCTACCAGGGCCAGTAGAGAAAGACCACCAGGTGGGGGCAGGGATAGTTGTGTCTGAGGGCAGCCTCTCCTTGGGCAGGGCTTGCTGCAGCTGCTGTGGGGAATGGGAGTGTGGTTCCCAGTCCAGTTGAGTTATATTCCTAGGGGGATTATGGCTGCCTCTGTTGAGTAATACAGGTCACCTGTATTACTTTACCAGAGGAAAAGCTGGCAGTCAGAGGCCCCACCCTGCCCCCATGCAGCCCACAGTCCTAGAGGCTGGTCTCACTCCCACTGTGCCCTCCCAACAGCACCGAGTCTATTTCCAGGCAGGTGGTGATCAGGGCCGAGAACTTGCCCCAGACCACAAGCCTCCATGTTGAGAAAGCAAGCCAACTCACAGGTTTTCGGCATCTCAGGGAGCCTGCAGCAGTCATCAGTTCCTTCAAAGGGTCTGTGGATTCCCTCGGCTTTCCCAGTATGTTCTTGCGGTAGGTCTTGGAGCAAAAGTTTACGATGTGAGTCTCCACACGCTGCTCTGTCCATCGGAGCTGGAGCTGCAAGCTAGTTCTGCCTCCTCTAAGCCATCTTATCCAGAATACCTCTCTCTGTTCCTGTCTCTCTGTCTCTGTCTCTCTCTTTCTGTCTCTGTCTGTCTCTCTCTTTCTGTCTCTGTATCTCTGTCTCTCTGTCTCTGTCTGTCTCTCTCTCTCTTTTTTTCTCTCTCTCTCACACACACTAGGATTTGCCCTCTGTCTTCCTGGTGCAGCCTCCCCACCACTCCCTAAGGAGAAAGAAATGCTCTTCATAAAGAAACTGAGGATGCCTGAAGCCCCTTGGAATGCCTTGACTTCAGGCTCCCTCCTCTCCGGACAGCAGTCCTCACACGATTATTCACAGCAATCTGAGGAGACAGAACTGGAAGGTCATTTACAGACATGTATCTGATTTTCAAAGTGTACTCTCAGGGCTTCCTGGGGAACCCACGAACGCCGAGTGTTCAGTAGGACCGGAGACACTAATAAACAGGGGCCCTTTATGTGTGACTCACTGGGGAGGGCAGCCAGCTGCCTTTTGAATACAAAGATGCTTCACAACATTCCAAGTCATCTTCTTCCTCATGGTCACGATTACCCAGGGCCTTTCTCCTCAGTTCAATTTTGCAACTTTCAGGTTGAACAAAAAGCAACAGAACTCATATAAGGAACTCCTTTGAGGATTGTGCATAGAAGAACTAAAAACTGCAGTGTCAACTTGGAAGAGAGCAAAGAAGGCATCCAGTTTCCTTTCTCTCATACCTGAAATTCAATAACTGACATCTTAGGGAAATTATAATGGCGCTAATCTGAGCCAAGCCTATTATAAAATGAAATTTTTCCATCCCACTGCCTGGCCAGCTTCTATTTATCCTTCAAAACCCTGCTTGGGCATTACCAACCAAGGTAGTTCTGTGGATTGCTCCTGTTCTCCATTTCTCCCTTCATGCTAAGACTATGCATCCCCTCTCTGCCTGGTGACTGTGTCACCTTCCACTAGAGTGGGTAGAATGTATTTCTCCACTCCATGGAGGTTGAGCTTGGCCATGTTCAGTTGCTCTAGCTGATGACATGTGGGCAGACATGGTATCATGACAATTTCAAGCCAAGCCTTTAGAGACATTGCATATGTCCACTTCTCCTCTTGCATTCCTGCCATTTGCCATGACAACATATCCTGGAGTAGCCACTGGTTCAAAGTGGATGAGAACCCCATGGAGCAAATCTGATCCCCTTCCTACCAATGACTTTCAGATCATGGGTGAAAAAAATTGTTATTGCAAGCTACCAAGTTTTGGGATGGTTTGTTATGCAACATGGTTGCCTCTAGTGAGCCATTCCCAGCCCCTTCTCCCCATACTCATCCACACACATTACCACTTGCTCTCAACCACCTTTGCACCTCCCTCACATGGGCAGGTGCACATGCTTTTCAGCTGTATTGTGGCAGTACTGCACATGTCTGTCTCAACCAGCCAAGCACCTTTTCTCAGTGATAGCCCAATGTGGGCAGCTGAAAATTAAATGTTTATTGAACCCAAATGAATAAAAAAAAAACTCCTTAAATTTTGCATTAAATCTCATCATTCTTTTGCTTTAAGTCATATGTTTCTGATTCCTAAAAAATATTTCAGCCCTTCATGAGTAGGCTGTGTTATTGGAAAGGGGCTTGCTTTTCTTTCTAGATGTTTAGGTCTTTATTCTGAGCACCTCCCAACAGACCTTGAGTTTATGTTTTTCCTAATCAGCATCAGATATTAGAATATTTTCATTACTCCATAATCCCACTTTTTTCACAACTGTGTTGTGAAACTATTCTGTTTCTGTGTTGAGGAACTACTATAGTACAAGAAAGCTAGATTTTTCACTGCCAATGTTGGGTTCTTATTAAGAATATAACTTGCCCTTTGCCAAACACAATCTTTAGATTTCCACTAGGCTTTTCATTTCTACATATGTGGCTAAAATGAGACAGAGAATGCCTTGATATCATTAATAACCTTTCTCTCTGTCCAAATTATGGTTCTTCCCAAGACATTCTCATTCTCTTCTTTCCACATCTCCATCCATGTTCCTTATCTTCTGTAACCAGAAATCTAGTCCTCTTTGCCTCCTCTCTTGAGCACTGAACCTATATCCTCCCTAAGGTCTCTCTGTCCTTTCCTCGCTCTCCTGGTGGCCCCCACAAACACCACAGTGCCCCCTTGCAGCCGCCTCTGCCAGCGAACCCCAGACTTCCAGCTGGCTCCAGGAAGGGCAAGCCCTGTGAGCTGCTCTTGCTTCTGAAGTTTGATTATTTGGGGCAGAAAATGAGATGTGAAAAGGATGAGAGAACTGCTGTGAACAGGCAATATACAGCTGTGACAAATGTAGGAAAGGAGAGTTATACAGTGCCACTGTTACCAGAAAGAGGTCCCGATCCAGACCCCAAGAGAGGAATCTTGGACCTTGCAGAAGAAAGAATTCAGGGAAAGTCCACAGAGTAAAGTGAAAGCAAGTTTATTAAGAAAGTAAAGGAATAAAAGAATGGCTACTCCATAGGCAGATTAGCAGCATGGGTTGCTTGACTGAGTATATTTATGTTAGTTACTCCTTGATTACATGCCAAACAAGGAGTGGATTATTCATTTTCCAGGAAAGGGATGGGCAATTCCTGGAACTGAGGGTTCCTTCCCTTTTAGATTATATAGGGTAACTTCCTGATGTTGCCATGGCATTTTAAACTGTCATGGAGCTGGTGGGAGTGTATTTTAGCATGCTAATGTATTATGATTAGTGTATAATGAGCAGTGAGGACAACCAGAGGTCACTTTCACTGCCATCTTGGCTTTGGCCAGTTTTGGCCAGCTTCTTTACCGCATCCTTTTATCAGCAAGGTCTTTGTGACCTGTATCTTGTGCTGACCTTGTATCTCATCCTAAGACTAAGAATGCCTAACCTCCTGGGAATGCAGCCCAGTAGGTATCAGCTTTATTTTACCCAGCTCCTATTCAAGATGGAGTCTCTCTGGTCCAAATGCCTCTGACACCACCAGAGGCTAGCCAGAGACATGAGGAAGCTCTTCCCTGAGGAAGTTATATGTAAGCTGAGAGATGAAGAATACATGGCAGTTTCCCAGACAAAGAAGGAAGGCCACAGCATTGGCCAAGGTCATGTGATATGAGTCAGAAAGGCCAAACCAAATGGGAGGCATGACATTGTGTTTGCATTGCAGGGGGAAAATAATCTGCCAAAGTTCACTTTTGAAAAAAAGGTATTAGAAAAATATTTAAATAACATATTAAACTTATGCCATTGTATTGATCTTACCACAGATAATCCCATGATGTAGGTATATACTTACATTATTTTAAAATATTCAATTTAGAGAAAATATTAGTACACATGATATCAATACATAGCAAAAAGAAAATTCATGATTGTACATAAATGACTGACATTTAGGAAACATAATTTTACTCTAGCCATTAAAATATAATTTACCATGGCATTTTAACATAAAGTTTTTATTTTGGAATAACTAGATTTTACAGAAGAATTGCAAAGAAAGTACAGGGTACTCTTGAGTACACCTCACCCTAACACTTTATTTCATTTCCTCCAATATTATTATCTACATCACCATGGTACATTTGTCAAAACTAAGAAACTAACATTGGTACATTACTATGACATAAACTCCAAATTCATTCACATTTTATCAATTTTTCCATTAATGTTCCTTTTCTGTTCCAGAATTCCACCCAGGGCACCACAATCCCTTTACTCATCACATCTCCTTAGTCTCCTCTGGCCTAAGTTTCTCAGTCTTTCCTTGTTTCCCATAACCTTGACCCTTTTGAGGAGTCCTAACCATAAAACATACCCCAATCTGGGTCATCTGATGTTTTCTTATTATTAGACTGGTGTCAGGGTTTTTGGAAAGAAATTACATTTTTTTCTTTTTCTTTTTTTTTTTTTTTTTTGTGATGCAGTCTTGATCTGTCACCCAGACTGGAGTGCAATGGCGCAATCTTGGCTCATTTCAATCTCTGCCTCCCAGGTTCAAGTGATTCTCCTGCCTCAGCCTCCTGAGTAGCTGGGATTACAGGCATGTGCCACCATGCCTGGCTAATTTTTGTATTTTTAGTAGAGACGGGGTTTTACCATGTTGGCCAGGCTGGTCTCAAACTCCTGACCTCAGGTGATCAGCCCACCTCAGCCTCCCAAAGTGCTGGGATTACAGTCATTAGCCACTGTGCCCAACCAGAAATCACTTTTTAACATGTTATTCTGCAGTGGAAAGAGAACAGTATAAGTTTCCAACACCAAAATAAAAAATGGATGTTTTTATGGCCTTTGAATAAAAGGGGATCAGAATATGCCAATCCCAAATATGCCACTTTGGCTTAAGAATTATTTTGAACTGAAGCCAATGAAGAAAGATCAGATGGGCCAGGCACAGTGACTCACACCTGCAATCCTAGCACTTTGAGAGGCTTGAGGTGGGTGGATCACTTGAGCCCAGGAGGTTGAGGCTGCAGTGAGCCAAGGTCATGCCACTGCACAGCAGCCTGGGTGACAGAGTGAGACCCTGTCTCAAAAATTAAAAAAGGAAAAGAACAAGAAAAATTAGATGTATAAGAAACACTCGCCCCTCCTCCTTTCCGCCTAAAAGAAAAACTAACTTTCCCTTTGTAAGGTGTTTCTCCTACTCTCTCCATACTAGGAAGAGAACATAGCTCTTATTATTAAATGAGATGGCATCGACTTGAGTCTGCATAACTAACCTTACAAATAGTCCCTGTCTTCCATTAGTTTTCCCCATATATTTACCTTCCCATAATTTACCACACCTAGAAGCTCAAACACATTTTCCTTGTCTTGTCACTTCTCCACAATTTTTTGCTGTTTGTTAAAAGGTATATAAACTGCCAGGCCTAACTGCTTTTGGGGGTCTTCACTTCTTTTCTGTGAAGCTCCCCCTATACATATGAAAAACACCTTTGTCCTGTTAATCTGTCTTTTGTCAGTTTAATGTTCAGGCCCCAGTTACTAAACCTAAGAGAGCAGAGGAAAACATTCACTGCTGAATCAATTATAACAACTGATAGATTTTTGGTGACTATCATTAATTTTCATAGTATTGTTTCATAAATTTTCTAAACAATAATTCACAAACATTTGAAATAAACTAAATCATATGAGAAGTCATAAAGTGTGTGATAAAAAAAAAGTAAAACAAGTTCATTGGTAGCAGGACTGTTTTGAGGAGTCCTAGCCAGGTATCCTATAAAACATCCCCAAACTGAGGTGTCTGATGTTTTCTCATTATTAGACTGGTGTCAGGGGTTTTGGAAAGAAATTACTTTTCTTTTCTTTTCTTTTTTTGGATGAAGTTTCACTTTTATTGCCCAGGCTGGAGTGCAATAGTGTGATCTCGGCTCACTGCAACCTCTGCCTCCCAGGTTCAAGTGATTCTCCTGCCTCAGCCCTTGAGTAGCTGGGATTATAGGCACCCACCACCATGCCCAGCTAATTTTTTGTATGTTTAGTAGAGACGGGGTTTCATCATGTTGACCAGGCTGGTCTTGAACTTCTGACCTCAGGTGATCCACCCACCTCAGCCTCCCAAACTGTTGGGATTACAGGCGTGAGCCACTGTGCCATGGCTGTGCAATGCACATCCCTTGGGAGACACCTCTGTGAGGAGTAACTCAAAGGGGTGGGAAAAGGGCTAGAAAAGGTATTAGTAAACTTTTTCTCTTGTTGATCTTTTGTGGGTCTAATTTACAGGGCCTCAGGCAAAGGAAAAGTGTTTCCTCCCCTACAATCTCAAACTTTAGCATGCATCAGGGTCACCCAGAGGGCTTGTTAACACACAGATTGCTGGCCACCCCCAGAGTTTCTGATCCAGTAGGTCTGGGCCAAGGTCTGAGAATTTGCATTTCTACCATGTTTCTGGTGATGCTGATGCTTATGATCTGATCCAGGGACCACATGTATACAAGAAAGGACTCTACTAGGATGAAGTCACCTCCTAATTAACTCTGGGACCCAGGTCAGTTGATAACTCTCTGGAGTCCTTCTGCTTCTCCCCTCATAAAATCCTGTGGTCTTTTCAGTCTCCCGATGTTTGGCACTGCTGGACAATGTGCAGAGAAGAAAGCTACAGACCATGTACCCAGAGGCAAGGACCAGCCTTTGTGCTTGCTGGGTTCCTGTGAAAGGAGGACGCGGAGTCAGGTGGTTTATTTGGAGGCAAGCTCAGCAAGCAGGAGTACGGGAGCAGGGAAAGCAAGATGGGGAAGGAGAAAACGCCAACATCAGAGCACATTATTGTGGTCCCTCAAATCTCCTGGGACCTCTGAGAAGGTGAATGCCTTCCAAAATTGTCCACGGGAAAGATGGGCAGCCACAGCATTATCCACCAGCTAGACCCCATTGGTCCAGGGTTGTCTGGGGGCATTAGCCCTCCTGCACTTGTAGACCAAGACAGCTGCCACAGCACCAGGTGAGAAAGACAAGGGGCAGCAGTTACGTGATTGAGTCATGACTCCGGTGAGGCAGATCTCCCATGGGACTGTCCAGCACAGCCACAGCAGAAGTCAGAAGTGGACCTATGGGGCATGAAATAGGCAAGAGTGGTGTCTGCCACCTGGCTGTAAGTTCAGGTATGCATGAGGGCTGAGAAGGCCCAGATTTTTACAGGTGCTGCAGGCTCTCCTAGGCTCTTAAAAAAAGCTTTCTCCAATTGCATATCCATATTCTTAGCAGCACTATTCACAACAGCCAAGAGGTGAAAGCAATCCAAGTGTCCATCTGCAGAAGGGATAAATAAAATGTGGCACAGACAAACAATGAAATGTTATTCAGCTCTAAAAAGCAAGGTGGGCCAGGCACAGTGGCTCATGCCTGTAATCCCAGCACTTCAGGAGGCCAAGGCAGGCAGATCACTTGAGGCCAGGGAGTTCAAGACCAGCCTAGCCAACATGGTGAAACCCTGTCTCTACGAAAAATACAAAAATTAGCCAGGTGTGGTGGTGTGCACCTGTAATCCAAGCTACTCTGGAGGCTGATGCACAAGAATTGCTTGAACCCGGGAGGCAGAGGTTGCAGTGAGCCAAGATCGTGTCACTGCACTCCAGCTGACTCAAAAAAAAAAAAAAAAAAAAGGAGAGAATGAGAGACAGAGCTTTCTTACGCACAGAGCCTGGTGGAACCCACAGCCCCAGGACACAGGCTTGTTCCTCCTTAGCCTCGTGACTTTGTCTTATCCTCTCAAAGGAGGGGAGCGCCCTGCCTATCTGCCTCGTGTTTCACAAGTTACCTTCACTTATGGTTGAACAGGAGGTGAGGGTACAGATCCCCTTTTCTCAAATTATATTATTTGAAGCCACCTACAATTCCTCTCTTTATAGTTCTTTATGCCAAATTTAACAAAGCCCCAAAGTGAGGTCCCAGGACAGGCAGCATCAGTATCCTCTGACAACTCATTTGAGACACAAATCAGAATCCTTGGAGTAGGGCCCAAAGATTTAACCCTTGATAAATTTATGTTTTAATAAGCCCTCCAGGTGATCCTGATGCACCCCTATGGTTTGTGAAGGATGGCCCCGGATGTCAATTTTTAGGATATGCATTTTGTTAAAGTAGTAACCAGTTGATTTTTCACCTTGCTATGGTTTCAATGTGTCCCCCAAAGTTCAGATGTTGAAAACTTGATCCTCAATGTGCAATATTGGAAGGTGAGACCTTTAAGAGGTGTTTAAGTCATGAGTTCTCCCCGCTCAAGAGTGGATTCATGCCATTATCATGAAAGTGGGTCTCTTACGAAAGGATGAGCTCAGCCTTCTCTTGCGCGCTCTCTCTCTCTCTTAACCTTTCTGTGCCCTTCCGTCTTCCACCATGGGATGTTGCAGCACAAAGGCCCTCACCAGATGCTGGCCCTTTGATCTTGGACTTCCAAACCTCTAGGACTGTGAGAAATACATTTCTGCTCTTTATAAATTACCCAGGCTTTAGTATTCTGTTCAGCAGCACAGAACAAACTAAGACACATCCCCAATTTAAAAATACATTATCATGGATTGCCTATTATAATTACTGTAAAATGTTATCATCACTTATTCAGAATAGGATGAGTTTCTCTGCTCTTTTAGCAAACTACAAGCTAGCAAAACATCTCTCATAAACACTTGCAGGATGCCTTAGCAGACAAGAAATCATTTCACAACATAATCCAAATCCAGAGACATCTCAGATAAATTTTCAAACTCTCCTTGCTGGGAGTTTTTTCTTTATATTGTCTTCACTTACTCTGTCCCTCTCTCCTGGTGACCAGAAATAGAAAGCAGACAGTGCAAGGGTCACAAAGTCCTGTCACACTTCTATCTTTACAAATAGTCCTGTGGACTAAAGGCCAAGAAAGGTGAAGACATTTATGTCCTATGATTTACTGAGTCCCCTCTAAAACCCTGTCCCATTTAGAAACAAAGACAAGGATTTATACATGTTAATAATAACAACAAAAATGAAAAACAATCTGAATAGCCAATGTTCGGGAAATAGCTACATAAATCATGTATATACAATCACACAGTGGAATATTATTAAGTCATAAAATGATGTTTACAAAGAGTTGCAGTGAAGTGATGAAATGCTTATGATATAGAGTTAAACCAGAAAGCAGAATATGAAATTGTGTATACAGTATGATCTCTACCATGTAAACAAAAAGGATGAAAACATTCTAAGGAAATAGTAAAAATGTCAAAATGTTAACAATGGTCATTATTAATTATTATTATTAATTTTTGGTGACGAGATCATGAGGATTTTCTTGTGCTTCTTTAAACTTTGTACTTTCTCTGAAGGAATAGATTTAAGTTTCACTCCCTGGAGGAAAATTGACACAAGAATCATTTCTCTTCTTATCTATTGGTTCAAGAAATATTCTGGGTTCCACCTCCAAAAACAGTTTTGTGACTCCTCAGTCACCAGCTAAACTTATGTGACAGAGACTGGTCGTATTGTGTGGCTGCCCTGTATCTGCCTCTGTGAACCTCCTTCCTCCAGTGGATGAATGCCCCCCATGGGACCCCATCCCCAGGGAAGAGCCAGGTGCTGCCTTGTAGGATCCAGGCTCCTACAGCCAAGAGCAGCCCATCCAGGAAAGAGTGATGTGGGGAAGACAGCACAGGCACTCAGCCCCAAGTGATCAGGACTTGGTCAATAACTGCTAGCTTCCCAAAATTTTGATTTTATTTCTTTTTTATTTTTATTAGCTTATTTATTTATTTATTTATTTTGAGACGGAGTTTTGTTCTTGTTGCCCAGGCTGGAGTGCAAAGGCGCGATCTTGGCTCACTGCAACCTCCACCTACAGAGTTCAAGTGAGTCTCCTACCTCAGCCTCCTGAGTGGCTGGGACTACAGGCACACGCCACCGTGCCCGGCTAATTTTGTATTTTTAGTAGAGATAGGGTTTCACAATGTTGTCCAGGCTGGTCTCAAACTCCTGACCTCAGGTGATCCACACTCCTTGGCCTCCCAAAGTGCTGGGATTCCAGGCATGAGCCACCATGCCCAGCCTTATTTGTTTTTTTGTTTGTTTGTTTGTTTTTTGTTTTGTTTTGTTTTAAGATAGAGTCTCATTTTCTTGCTCATGCTGGTCTCCAATTCCTGGGCTCCAGCCATCCTCCCACAGCCTCCCTCATAGCTGGGATTATAGACGCATACCACCCCACTGGGCTACTCCTAAATATTTGCCTCTACTTCCATCTCAGGACCAACCTGAGAAAGCCCCATATGCTCCTCTAACCAATTGAATAGGCTGCCCCATCTCTAATTCACCCACCATGCCAACAGCCTCCAATCAGGGATCCCGGAAGCTTATCAGCACACAGCTTCCCCACTCCCCTGACTGCCCTTGAGCCTCTGCCAAGTGCAAATGATGGGGCTGACTCTCTCATTATACCATGCTCTGAGTCAACAGCCTCTGGCTACTCTCGTTGAGGGTGCTTCAGTTACTTCCACTGGGGAAGGCGGTGGGGGGCAGGGGGTGTGGGGGGACAGCAGCGCCCAGTGACAGCTCTGTGGGGTGGGTGCCTGGCCCTGCAGCAGTGGAGTGCTCCCTGGGATATCTTATGGTGTGGCCGATGCTCCAGCCCTCCCAGAAGCTATGTGAGCCCCCTAATATTCTATAATAATTCCCATTCTACTTCATTCAGCTAGCGGGCACCCTTGGGCTCACTGCCAAGAACACTGGTAAAATGTAAACATCCAGCACTGTCTACCTTTTGGGACAGACATCTCCCCTAAGGTCTGGGTACTGCAATGGCAGCAGAAAATATGTGTGCTATTGAGGCTGCTAGCCAGCTGTGCCCTCTGCAGCCCCTCACCAGGGAGTGCAGCCTGAATACCAACTAGCCCCAACTGTCTGATTCACAGCTTTCTTTAAGGCAGGCTGGAAGTGTCAAGGATTTTATGCCCCCGGAAGCAGCCCTCAACCACTGGCTGACCAGAATTGGTGAAAAAACATTCCGGCTTGCTCCCCTCTCTCCTCACTGATAAGTTAATTAGGTTCATGCCACCTAGGTGTGCTAACTCAGACCAAAGCAGGTTTCACAGTGACTCAATAAAACATTTACACTAGGTGTGCTAACTCAGACCAAAGCAGAAGGTGTTGCAATGACTCAATTTCACATATGTGCTCCAATTCATGGTTTATTGTGAGGGCTTCACACACCATCAATCATGCAATTAATATTCAATGCACAGGCAGTAATAAAAAGAGGATAAGGAGCCACAATGATAGCTCTGGAGACCAAGGCACCCACCGATGAGTTGCATGGGTCCAGATGCCCTTCCAACACTGGTTGGGGGGATCTCTGCTTCTCTCTGGCACAGCCTCGCCAAAGTTGGGAGAAGGCCTCAGAGTTCTCAAGGGCAGAGCCTCTGAAGGCATCTTGGAGAAGGCCAGATTTTTGCTGTCTTTATGATCCACAGTAGATGGGTCTATTCTCATTATCTCAGCCATCTTCCACTTCCCGTAGGTTGGTTTCAGGCCTGGGGTGACACCCGGCAGCAGCAGGTGCAATATTATGACCTCAGGCCATCCCATATGTTTATTGTGTTGAAGGGGAAATGACTTCACTGTGGGCTCAATGCCACTTGACGTGAGTGACTCCATTTGGAGACATTAGTGTCACAAATCATGACATCACTCACAGGGGCTACTCTGAGGTTTCCGTTCTGCATTCTCCCCGAGGCTTTCCCAAGGGGACCAGACAGAGGTACCTTTTATTGGCTTCCTTCCCTGAGTCACATTCCCACTCCACAGTAGGGATACCTGAGATCACCTCCCATTGAAAGGCTCGAACATGGATCCTCTCCTCAGGGTTGGCTTCTGGGGATGCCCAAATCTTCACAGACCTGAAAATTTTCTAACTACTTTCTCTGGTGTCAGCTCTTATCTTTTCTATGTATTCCCCCTGTTTTAAGTACTGGTGATGGTTCAGTAAGCATTATTAACTAATCAATGCACTTAAATTATGCCCAATTTTCCCACCAAATGAGTTACTTTTTGCAGCTGGTGTTATTTCTCAACTCCTGAACTTAACCCTTTCTTTCTCTCACCACCAGAATAAAGAATAGTACAAACAGTACTCTTTAGGCCAGGAGTCACAAACTCAGATACCTTCCAGGATCCAGCAGGTAATATTTGTGTGTATAGAGGCATGTGTAAGGCAACAGGGAGGATGGAACTGGGACAGCCTTGAGACGAATTCTAACACAAAGTTTATAAAACCATCTTTCTGGATGAACAAGACAAATGAGGTGGGCCTGTGGGTCCAGATTCCACCTTCTAGATTAGGTATTTTGTAGAAAACATCTCTTTCTCTTCTGTTTGTTGAGTCTTCCCAAGGGCCATGTCTAAAAATTGTCTGACATCACGGTCATGGGCACATAGGCCCCCAAAAGGATTGATAATGTTCTGGAACTCCAGTTTTGAATACACTTACCTCTGCTCAAGCAGTCTAGTTTACTCTGGGAGTCAAAAACATTGTGTTGAATGAGTCTATTATTACCTCCTAACCATTACCCTCATTCTGTGACACACTCCAACCCTATGTACACACAGGTATTGCTGAGGAGTAGGCATGGGGGGCCAACTATTTGAGTTTGCCAAGGACTGAAGAGGGTTGGGATATGTGGGACTTACAGTACTAAAACCAGGGAAGTCCTGAGCAAACCAGGATGAGTTGTTCACCCTAGATGTGGCCCTTAGCAGCTACGTGCATACTGCATGCCCCAGCCACCACGTGCATACTGCATGCCCCAGCCTTCTACTCTAGCCATAGCTGATTGGACCATAGCAGACACCTGACTGAAGAGAAGCCAACCCCTAGCCTTGGCTGAGCCAGTCAGATTCTCTCTTTCTAGGACTAGAGAGAAACAGGGAATTACAGGATGATGGAGCCTTTAAGAGATCAAGCAGATCCAGGGCCAAGATGGTCACATGGCATACAAACATGGGCTGCAATCATGAAGTCACAGAGAGACAGAGGGATCTCATCTATTAGCATTATCCTTAATGATGGAAGCCTGCATGATTTCTCCCCTAAGATCAGGAATAAGACACGGATATCTGCAATTGCTACTTCTTTTCAGCCTATAATCGAGGTTCCAGCCAGAAAAATTAGGCAAGGAAGAGAAATGAGAAAACAAGGTAATCTCAGCCAGGCGTGGTGGCTCACACCTGTAATCCCAGCACTTTGGGAGGCCCAGGCTGGCAGATCACTTGAGGTAAGGAGTTCGAGACTAGCTTGGCCAACATGGTGAAACCCCGTCTCTACTAAAAACACAAAAATTAGCCAGGCGTGGTGGTGGGCACCTGTAATCCCAGCTACTCAGGAGGCTGAGGCAGGAGAATCACATGAACCCGGGAGGCAGAGGTTGCAGTGAGCCAAGATCATGCCATTGCGCTTCAGCACTCCAGCCTGGGCAAAAAGAGTGAGACTCTGTCTCAAAAAAAAAAAAAAAAAAAGAAGAAGAAGAAAAGGAAGAGGAAGAAGAAGGGAAGAAGAAGAAAGAACAAGAGGAAAAGGAAGAAGAAGAAGAAGAGGAAAAAATCTGGAATAATTTTTTTTCTAGCTTGAAAAAAATAAATAAACTGATCTCTATTTACAAATGATATGATCTTTTATATAGAAAAAACTAAGGAATACACAAAAATATCCTAATACAAAGTTATTTTGTATTAGAACTAATACAATTGTTTATTATTATTAGAACTAATACAAAAGTTCAGCAAAGTTACAGGATACAAGATCAACATATAAAAATCAATTGTATTCCTACATATTAACAATGAATAAGAAATTTCATTTACAATAGCATTAAAAAGAATGAATACTTAGGAATATGTTTAACTAAAGGAGTATAAGACTTGTACACTGAAAACTACAAAATATTATTGAAAGTAATCAAAGACATTAATAAATGGAAAGACGGCCGGGCGCGGTGGCTCATGTATGTAACCCAGCACTTTGGGAGGCCAAGGTGGGCGGATGACCTGAGGTTGGGAGTTCAAGACCAGCCTGACCAACGTGGAGAAACACTGTCTCTACTAAAAATACAAAAAATTAGCCGGGCATGGTGGCACATGCCTGTAATCCCAGCTACTCGGGAGGCTGAGGCAGGAGAAAGGCTTGAACCTGGGAGGCGGAGGTTGCAGTGAGCCAAGATCATGCAATTGCACTCCAGCCTGGGCAACAAGAGTGAAGCTCCATCTCAAAATAAATAAATAAATATAAAAACATTCCATGTCTATGTATTATTAGAATACTTAATATTGTTAATATTAAGTTAATATTGTTAATGTAATAATACTCCCTAAATTGATGTAGAAATTAAATCCAGGGGCCGGATGCAGTGGCTCACACCTGTAATCCCAGCACTTTGGGAGGCCAAGGCAGGTGGATCACCTGATGTCAAGAGTTCAAGACCAGCCTGGCCAACATGGTGAAACCCTATCTCTACTAAAAATACAAAAAATTAGCTGGGCATGGTGGCAGGCACCTGTAATCCCAGCTGCTAGGGAGGCTGAGGCAGGAGAATCGCTTGAACCTGGGAGGCAGAGGTTGCAGTGAGCCCAGATAGTGCCATTGCACTCCAGCCTGGGCAACAAGAGTGAAACTCTGCCTCAAAAAAAAGAAAGAAAAGAAAGACATTAAATCCAATCTTTATCAAAATCCCAGCTGGCTTCTTTGCAGAAATTGGCAAGCTGATTCTAAAATTTTCATGGGATTGCAAGGGACCCAGGGTAGCCACAACAATCTTAGAAAAAAACAAAATTGGAAAAACAACATTTCCCAATTTCAAAAACGTACTGCAAAGCAAGGGTAATCGAGATAGGGTAGTACTGGCATAAGAATAGAAAAATAGATCAATGGGATGGAATTGAGAGTCCAGTTATCTACCTTCATGTTTATGGTCAATGGATTTTCCACAGGAGTACCAAGACAATTCGATGGGGAAAGAATAGTCTTTTCAACAAATGGAGCTGGGACAACTGGATATCCACATGCAAAAGAATGAAGTTGGGCATCCTACTTCACACCATATACAAAAATGAACTCAAAATGGATCACAGATCTACCTGTAAGAGCTAAAACTATAAGATACTTAGAAGAAAACAAAGGAGTAAATCTTCATAACCTTGGATTAGACAATTGTTTCTTACATATGACAGTGAAAGCCAAATAACAAAAAATAGATAAACTGAATTTTATCAAAACTAAAAACTTTTGCACTTCAAAAGATATCATCGAGAAAATAAAAAGACAACCTATGGGATGAGATAAAATATTTGTAAATCACATAGCTGATAAAGAACTTGTCTCTAGGATAATAAAGGAACTTTACAACTCAATAATAAAAAGTTGAATAACATTAAAATGTAGACAGAGGATCGAAATAGATATTTCTTTAATGAATATGTACAACTGTACAGTAAGCACATGAAAAGATGCTCGAAATCACTAGTTACTAAGGAAATGCAAATCAAAGCCACAGTGAGATGGCTAAAATAAAAAAGACAATAAGAAATGTTGACAAGGATATGGAGAAATCAGAACCTTCATACACTGTTGGTGGGAATGTGTAACATAGTGAAGCTACTTTGGAAAACAGTCTGTCAGTGCCTCAAAAAGGGCTGGGCATGGTGGCTCATGTCTGTAATCCCAGCACTTTGGGAGGCTGAGGCAGGTGGATCACCTGAGGTCAAGAGTTCAAGACCAGCCTGGCCAACATGGTGAAACCCCATCTCTACTAAAAATTAAAAAAAAAAAATTAGCCAGGCGTGGTGGTACATGCCTGTAGTCCCATCTACTTGGGAGGCTGAGGCAGGAGAATGGCTTGAACCAGGGAGGCGGCGCTTGCAGTGACCCGAGATTGCCCCATTGTACTCCAGCCTGGGCGACAAGAGTGAGACTCTGTCTCAAAGGAAAAAAAAAAAAAGGTAAACATAAAGTTACTATGTGACCCTGCAATTCCACACCCACTTGCCCAAGAGAACTGAAACATAGGTCCATAGAATGGAGAGTCCAGTTATCTATCTTCATGTTTATGGTCAATGGATTTCCCACAGGAGTACCAAGACAATTCAATCGGGAAAGGATAGTCTTTTCAACAAATGGAGCTGGGACAACTGGATATCCACATGTACACAAATGTTCATAGCAGCATTATTCATAATAGCCAAAAAGTTAAAACAAACCAAATGCCCTCACCTGATGAAAGGGTAAACAAAATATGGTACATCCACAGAGTGGAGTATTATTCAAATGTTAAAAAGGAATGAAATACTCAGAGATGTTACAACATTAACGAATCTTGAAAACATTAAGCTGAGTAAAAGAAACCATTCAAGCTGGGCACAGTGGTGCATGCCTGTAGTGCCAGCTACTTGGAAAGCTGAGGCAGGAGGATCGCTTGAGCCCAGAAGTTCAAGGCTGCAGTGAGCTATGGTTGCACCATTGCACTCCAGCCTGCACAACATAGTGAGACCTTCTCTTTTAAAAAATGTATTAAAGAAGCTACATGGTGTATCATTGCATGTATGTGAAGTATCTGGAACAGAAAATCCATAGATATTCATAAAGTAGGTTTGTGGTTGCTGGAGCTGAGGGGAAGAGAGGAAATGAGGGGTGACTGCTAATGGGTACGGGATTCCTTTTGGAGTGATGAAATATTCTGAAATTAGATAGTGATGATGGCTGCATTATTCTGTGAATACAGTAAAAAACCAAGGAATTGTATCCTTTCAAATGGTGAATTTTATGGTATGTGAATTAAACCTAGTAAAGCTATTTTTAAAAATCAGCAGAAGATGCCGGGCGTAGTGGCTCACGCCTGTAATCCCAGCACTTTGGGAGGCCAAGATCACGCCACTGCACTCCAGCCTGGCGACAGAGTGAGACTCTGCCTGGGAAAAAAAAAAAAATCAGCAGAAGAATGCAGCAGACCAAGCAGGTGGCCCATGTGAGAGGAGCCGCTGAGCCATGCCGCAGGTTCTCCAGCTCCATTTCTGTATGGCCAGCGCTGCTGCGTTCCCCTCTTGGATGTCTGAGCGACTGCATGGTGACTTCTCTCCATGAATCCCTTCTGACCTGAGCTAGCTCAAATGGGTTTCTGTTGCTTGTCCCCTAACAATTCCTAATACACGCATCATTTCTGTCCTTGATTCTGCCTGGCCACCTGTAGTTCATGTTGCCCTTCACGCCAGGGGAGGTCAAGGTTCTTGAATTCAGGCTTTAGCCTGGTAGGGAAGCATTCAAGTGTCCTCACCATCACAGACCTAGAGTGGATTTGTTCTCAAGGTTCACATTTATGATCAACATATTCATGTGGGAGAGACATGGCTGAGTCTGAAAGGATATTGTCAAATCTTTCCTGAAGATCAACAGCTTTCAAAAAGACAAATGTTCACTTGACCACTTTCCTACATCCATTGGGTAAAGACAATTTGGTGCTACAGGTCCCTGATAAGTTTTGCCTTGAAATCCATGTCTTCCTCTTTTGGTATTAGGTCCTACCTGTGTATTATTTGATTAATGTTCCTCTGATTTCCTGCTGTACAGCAAGACCCACTCGAATATGAATCTGTAATATTGTTGCACAATATTCTTTAAAACTGATTTAAAATGTTGGGCTTTCAGAAGTAACCTTCACCATCAGTAAAACAAGTCATGAAAAATTCCCCGTTTCCTTGAGACCCTTTTGTTGAGCTCATTTAGTTCAGCATGTCTTTTGTGCTTGGGAGAAAATCGGTTTTCTGTTAAGAACAAATCATTCTGTACATTTTGCCTTGATTGTAGGAGACAGTGCCTAGCTCCTTTTGGGCTTATTGTATTCAAACATCTGCAATTTAATAACAATATAAATTCTTAGCATCAGGGAAAAAACCTGTAGCTTCTTTTGCTTTTATTTTTCTTTTATGTGAGGAACTAATTGTTCAAAATCTTGCTAATTTGAACATGTGTTGTGTGAAATAAAAATAAAATCCTAAGCCCCCTGACTGATGGAACCAACCTCTCTCAACTAAGGAGGCCCCAGAAAAACCTTAGCACTAAGCTTCCCAGCCATGATGAGACAGGAGGTCAGTCATGTCTCAGTCCCCCCTACCCCACTGACCACCATTAGACACTTTCCTAAGAGAGAAACAGAGGCCAGGTGTGGTGGCTCACACCTGTAATCCCAGCAGTTTGGGAGGCTGAGGTGGGTGGACCATCTGAGGTCAGGAGTTTGAGACCAGCCTGACCAACATGGCAAAACTCCATCTCTCCTGAAAATACAAAAAGTTAGCCGGGCATGGTGGTGCGTGCCTGTAATCCCAGCTACTTGGGAGGCTGAGGCAGGAGAATTGCTTGAACCTAGGAGGCAGAGGTTGCATTGAGCTGAGATTGCGCCATTGCACTCCAGCCTGGGCAACAGAGTAAGACTCTGTCTCAAAAAAAAAAAAAAAAAAGAGAGAGAGAGAGAGAAACAGAAACCAGCCCTGGAAAACAAAGAACAGACGGCTCCCCCACTGACCAGCCTGATGCCACGGCCAGACTCCCCTCCCTATTCATGGTCTCAAAATGACTGCTGACCTGCTTGCAGGGCATTCCTTCCTGATGAATGCCCATCGAACAGGGGACTGGTCCCAGCCAGGGTATGGGGGCTGTGCACAAGGCACCTTTGTGTCTTTGGTCTCACCTTTTGACATACAGATCCTAATTTTACTGCATTTTAATGTTAAATCTCCACCCCAAAGTGAACATGGGTCATATGTAACAGGTATGTTTGCTCGTCATGCATGCTTGAGAACCTCTTTCTTTTTTTTTTTTCCCTGAGACAGAATTTTGCTCTGTCACCCAGGCTGGAGTGCAGTGGCATGATCTCGGCTCACTGCAACCTCCACTTCCCAGGTTCAAGCAATTCTCCTGCCTCAGCCTCCCAAGTAGCTGGGATTACAGGCGCCCACCACCACACCTGGCTAATTTTTGTATTTTTAGTAGAGAGAAGGTTTCACCATGTTGGCCAGGCTGGGAGACCCTCTTTCATAAATATTCACAGCGTCTCCTATAACCTGTTAACTAACCTGTTATGTTAACCAGCCTGTCTGGCATAAAACGCTTGTTCCAACCTTCCTCTCTGAAAGTGCCTCCTTTTGGTCTCGGCCAGAGGCTCGCTTTCCCAACCTGCAGGTTGCAACCCTTCTCAGAAATAATGTTCTCTTTTTCAACTTTATAGATTTTGTGATTTTTAGTTGACAGTTGCCACAGAGGATATTTATGAGTTCCTGGTAGGGATTGCTCTTCTCATTCCCTTCCCAATGGAAGGCCAGTGTTGGTTTCTTCAGGCTGCCTGCACCTATACCAATGTCCCTCTGCCTCACTGTCCTGTCCCACCTTGTCCACTACCTGCAGCATTCATCTCATCTCCTCTTAGACATCCCTGCTCCCCAAACTGAGTCAGATACTTCTGAAATCCCATATTAAAGCCTATGCAAATATCTCTTCAGTACTTATCATATTGTATCATAAATAATGAGAATGTGAACTCCCTGAAGGCAAACTCTCTGATCCTAATAATGGACATAGTTCCTGACACAGAGTAAGCATTCCATTCATGATTGGCCAATGAATAAATAAATAAATGACTGTAAAGATTTTCTTCTGCCACCCCCGCAAAAGACTTTCATTTTAAACCTTCCAGACAATCTGTTTTCTGCCACTTATTGTATGCCCCATATGTTTGATGAAAATAGATAATATCGCCAGATGCAATGGCTCACACCTATAATCTCAGTGCTTTGGGAGGCCAAGGCAGAAGGATCACTTGAGGCCAGGAGTTCAAAACCAGCTGGGGCAATGTAGTGAGGCCTTGTCTCTGTAAAAAATGTAAAAAGTAGCTGAGTATGGTAGCACATGCCTATAGTCCCAGCTACTCAGGAGGCTGAGATGGCAGGATCACATAAGCCCAGGAGTTCAAAGCTGCAGTTAGCCATGACCACACCACTGCACTCCAGCCTGGGTGACAGAGCAAAGCCTTGTCTCCAAAAAGATAAAGAAAAAGAAAATAAGTATGTCCTTCATAATGAAGAGCATTGATTCACAAAGAAAAATGCAGGTTCTGAAGCTGGTTTATGGTAGATCATTTACCAGTCAGCTGCACAATGAGAAAAGTAAGGACCTGTGTTTAGTTTTCATGGAGCTTGTTAAGTAGGAGGCCATTGTTTTGGACTGAGCTCTTGCACTAGGCCCCGGTAGACCAAAACAAAATGGAGTCACTCTTGCTAAGTGCCACCTAATCAAACTGAAACTTGAAGGAAGCCAGAAAATCCCAAACTAGACCAGGTTTACCTAAAAACAGGAGACTCACAGCAACCAATCAGAAGGGGCCCAGTTAACCTCAGCTGACGTGATAAGGAAGTCCTCTCTGCTTTAACTCTTCCAAGGAAAGTAACCTGAGATAACCTGAGGTTACCAACCTGCTTTTTTGTATTTTTCTGTTTTCTTGTTCCTGCTCAAGCTGTTAATGGTGGAGGGTGTCCAGGTTCTTGGCATCTTGAACAAAGAATTGGACAAAACACACAAAGCAAGGAAAGAATGAAGCAACAAAAGCAGCGATTTATTGAAAATGAAAGTACTCTCCACAGGGTGGGAGCAGGCCCAAGCATAGGGGCTCAAGAGCCCCATTACAGAATTTTCTGGGGATTAAATACCCTCTAGAGGTTTCCATCGGTTACTTGGTGTACAACCTATGTAAATGAAGAGGATGAAGTAAAGTTACAGTAATTTACTCGGTGTAGGCCCTATGTAAATGGAGAGGATATTTCCTGTTATAGCTGAAGTGTTTCCATTTGATTTAGTTCAAGGAAGTCCGCATGAATCGGCCTTATGTTCCCTGCCTCCAGACCCTATCCTCCTGCCTCAAAGCTATGTGTTTTAGGCCTTCTTGCATTGCTATAAGTACCTGAGACTGGGTACTTTATAAGGAAAAGAGATTTAATTGGCTCACAATTCTGCAGGCTGTACAGAAAGCATGACGCTGGCATCTGTTCAGCTTCTGGGGAGGCCTCAGGGAGCTTTTACTTACAGTGGAAGTTGAAGAAGGAGCAGGTGCATCACATGGCAAAAGCAGGAACAAGGGCAGAGAGGTGCCACGCGCTTTTAAACGACCAGATCTCATGAGAACCCATTCGTTATGGTGAGGAAGGCATCAAATCATGAGGGATCTGTCCTGATGGCCCAAACACCTCCCACCAGGCCTCACCGCAATCATGGGGGATTACAATTCAATATGAGATTTGAGCAGGGACAAATATCCAAACTATATCACTGCTGTATACAAACAAATTGTTCTTTATTGCCCAACTGAGCTTCTTTTATTTGTAGAGAGATGCTGCAATTCATGAATTACTAACAAAAACCAGTTTAATCTTTAAATTTGTTGAAATTTTGGTTTAACAGGCTAAATTGCCACTTTTTGCTTCTGAGATAATCCCTTTCCTACTTTTTTGTAGGAAATTAAGATGGCTTTATTTAAGTGCTTCTCTTTCAGGAACTGGTGATGCAACTAGAAGGTAAGGCACACACACATGTGCAATATAGGTGAGATAGATATATAACAATACAAGGTATTGATATCTCTGCTATACATTAATATGTAACATAAATACGTACATTGATACTGACATACTGTATTATTCAGAGTAATGGCCAACTGCTTTTTCAGCCAAGAAGGTCCCCAGATTCAGTGTCTTGAGAAAAGAAGATTATTCCTCTCTTACATAATTATTCCACAAAGAGTAGACCAGGTTGATGGGACAGCTCCTCTTTTTTTTTTTTTTTTTTTTTTTTTTTTTTTTTTTTTTTTGAGATGGAGTCTCGCTCTGTCACCCAGGCTGGAGTCCAGTGGTGCGATCTTGGCTCGCTGCAAGCTCCGCCTCCTGGGTTCACGCCATTCTCCTGCCTCAGCCTCCCGAGTAGCTGGGACTACAGGCGCCTGCCACCATGCCTGGCTAATTTTGTTTTTTGGTTTTTTTTGTATTTTTAGTAGAGACGGGGTTTCACCGTGTTAACCAGGATGTTCTCTATCTCCTGACCTCGTGATCCACCCACCTTGGCCTCCCAAAGTGCTGGGATTACAGGTGTGAGCCACCACACCCAGCTGACAGCTCTTCTTCAAGCAGTTATTCAGGAATCCTGACTCTTTCCATCTTGTCTCATCCCCTCAAGTTAGATTGTCAATGGCGTTTGAACCAGAGCAACTCCATCTTGAATAGGGGCTGGGTAAAATGAGGCTGAGATGCACTGGGCTGCATTCCCAGATGGTTAAAGCATTCTAAGTCACAGGATGAGATAGGAAGTCAGCATAAGATACAGGTCATAGAAACTTTGCTGATAAAACAGGTTGCAGTAGGCCAGGTGAGGTGGCTCACACCTATCCCAGTACTTTGGGAAACTGAGGCAGGTGGATCACCTGAGGTCAAGACTTTGAGACCAGCCTCGCCAAGATGGTGAAACTCTGTCTCTACTAAATATACAAAAATTAGCTGGGCATGTGGCAGGCACCTGTAGTCCCAGCTACTTGGGAGGCTGAGGCAGGAGAATCACTTGAACCCAGGAGGCGGGGGTTGCAGTGAGCTGAGATGGCACCACTGCACTCCAGTCTGGGTGACAGAGCAAGACTCTATCTCAAAAAATTAAAAAATTAAAAATTAAAAATTAAAAATACATAAAACAGGTTGCAATAAAGAAGCCGCTAAACCCCACCAAAACCAAGATGGTGACGAGAGTGACATCTGGTTGTCCTCACTGCTACACTCCCACCAGCGCCATGACAGTTTACCAATGCCATGGCGACATCAGGAAGTTACCCTATATGGTCTAAAATGGAGAGGCATGAATCATCCACCCCTTGTTTAGCATATAATCGAGAAATAACCATAAAAATGGGCAACCAGCAGCCCTCAGGTTGCTCTGTCTATGGAGTAGCCATTCTTTTATTCCTCTACTTTCTTAATAAACTTGCTTTCACTTTATGGACTCACCCTGAATTCTTTCTTATGCGAGATTCAAGAACCCTCTCTTGGGGTCTGGATCAGGACCGCTTTCCATTAATAGGTTGTCCTTGTCTGCATGGTCAAACCTGGGTCACAGACGCATGTGTTCATATATCCAAAGGCAAGTCTACATGTATGTCCAAGTGGGAAGGAGAAAAGAGAGAACTCCAGGGAATGAGTCTGTCCTTTGGGTTGGGGATGACGTAGGAGTGACACACTTATTTCTGCCCACAGTCCATCAGCCCGACCTTAGTAACAGAACCACATCCAGCTGCACAAGAGTCTGGAAAACATGTTCCCTTACTCAGCAATTTTGCAACCAGCTTAAACTCTACTGCTATGGAAGAAACAGAAAACAGATCACGGTTGACAATTAGACTATAAGGGTAAAGAGAAATCTAAAAAAAATATGAATTTTCTCTGATGCCAAAAAAGAAAGAAGAAAGGCTGAGCACAGTGGCTCACACCTATAATCCCAGCACTTTGGGATGTCGAGGCAGGAGGATTGTTTGAGGCCAGGAGTTCAAGACTAGCCTGAGCAACAAAGCAAGACCCAGTCTCTATTTTTAAAAAAAATTTAAAATTAACTGGGTGTGGCAGTCCATGCCTGTAGTCCCGGCTACTCAGTGGGCTGAGGCAGGAGGATTGCCTGAGCCCAGGAGTTCAAGGCTGCAGTGAGCTATGATTGCACCACTGCACTCCAGCCTGGGCAACAGAGCAAGACCCTGTCTCTGTTTCAAAAAGAGAAAGACATAGAATGTACACACACATACTTTTTCTTAGAGCATTTCCCTCAGGAAAGTCTTAATTGTTAATAATTAATTTGTTTTTTTCAGATGTACATAAATCTTTTGTTTTGTTTTGTTTTGTTTTTTATTATACTTTAAGTTTTAGGGTACATGTGCACATTGTGCAGGTTAGTTACATATCTATACATGTGCCATGCTGGTGCACTGCATCCACCAACTCGTCATCTAGCATTAGGTATATTTCCCAATGCTATCCCTCCCCCCGCCGAACCCACAACAGTCCCCAGAGTGTGATATTCCCCTTCCTGTGTTCATGTGATCTCATTGTTCAATTCCCACCTATGAGTGAGAATATGCGGTGTTTGGTTTTTTGTTCTTGCGATAGTTTACTGAGAATGATGTTTTCCAATTCATCCATGTCCCTACAAAGGACGTGAACTCATCATTTTTTATGGCTGCATAGTATTCCATGGTGTATATGTGCCACATTTTCTTAATCCAGTCTATCATGGTTGGACATTTGGGTTGGTTCCAAGTCTTTGCTATTGTGAATAATGCCGCAATAAACATATATGTGCATGTGTCTCTATAGCAGCATGATTTATAGTCCTTTGGGTATATACCCAGTAATGGGATGGCTGGGTCAAATGGTATTTCCAGTTCTATATCCCTGAGGAATCGCCACACTGACTTCCACAATGGTTGAACTAGTTTACAGTCCCACCACCAGTGTAAAAGTGTTCCTATTTCTCCACATCCTCTCCAGCACCTGTTGTTTCCTGACTTTTTAATGATTGCCATTCTAACTGGTGTGAGATGGTATCTCATTGTGGTTTTGATTTGCATTTCTCTGATGGCCAGTGATGATGAGCATTTTTTCATGTGTTTTTTGGCTGCATAAATGTCTTCTTTTGAGAAGTGTCTGTTCATGTCCTTCGCCCACTTTTTGATGGGGTTGTTTTTTTCTTCTAAATTTGTTTGAGTTCATTGTAGTTTCTGGATATTAGCCCTTTGTCAGATGAGTAGGTTGCGAAAATTTTCTCCCATTTTGTAGGTTGCCTGTTCACTCCGATGGTAGTTTCTTTTGCTGTGCAGAAGCTCTTTAGTTTAATTAGATCCCATTTGTCAATTTTGTCTTTTGTTGCCATTGCTTTTGGTGTTTTAGACATGAAGTCCTTGCCCATGCCTATGTCCTGAATGGTAATGCCTAGGTTTTCTTCTAGGGTTTTTATGGTTTTAGGTCTAATGTTTAAGTCTTTAATCCATCTTGAATTGATTTTCATATAAGGTGTAAGGAAGGGATCCACTTTCAGCTTTCTACATATGGCTAGCCAGTTTTCCCAGCACCATTTATTAAATAGGGAATCCTTTCCCCATTGCTTGTTTTTCTCAGGTTTGTCAAAGATCAGATAGTTGTAGATATGTGGCGTTATTTCTGAGGGCTCTGTTCTGTTCCATTGATCTATATCTCTGTTTTGGTACCAGTACCATGCTGTTTTGGTTACTGTAGCCTTGTAATATAGTTTGAAGTCAGGTAGTGTGATGCCTCCAGCTTTGTTCTTTTGGCTTAGGATTGACGTGGCGATGCGGGCTCTTTTTTGGTTCCATATGAACTTTAAAGTAGTTTTTTCCAATTCTGTGAAGAAAGGCATTGGTAGCTTGATGGGGATGGCATTGAATCTGTAAATTACCTTGGGCAGTATGGCCATTTTCACGATATTGGTTCTTCCTACCCATGAGCATGGAATGTTCTTCCATTTGTTTGTATCCTCTTTTATTTCCTTGAGCAGTGGTTTGTAGTTCTCCTTGAAGAGGTCCTTCACATCCCTTGTAAGTTGGATTCCTAGGTATTTTATTCTCTTTGAAGCAATTGTGAATGGGAGTTCACTCGTGATTTGGCTCTCTGTTTGTCTGTTGCTGGTGTATAAGAATGCTTGTGATTTTTGTACATTGATTTTGTATCCTGAGACTTTGCTGAAGTTGCTTATCAGCTTAAGGAGATTTTGGGCTGAGACAATGGGGTTTTCTAGATATACAATCATGTCGTCTGCAAACAGGGATAGTTTGACTTCCTCTTTTCCTAATTGAATACCCTTTATTTCCTTCTCCTGCCTAATTGCCCTGGCCAGAACTTCCAACACTATGTTGAATAGGAGTGGTGAGAGAGGGCATCCCTGTCTTGTGCCAGTTTTCAAATGGAATGCTTCCAGTTTTTGCCCATTCAGTATGATATTGGCTGTGGGTTTGTCATAGATAGCTCTTATTATTTTGAAATACGTCCCATCAATACCTAATTTATTGATAGTTTTTAGCATGAAGGATTGTTGAATTTGTCAAAGGCTTTTTCTGCTTCTATTGAGATAATCATGTGGTTTTTGTCTTTGGCTCTGTTTATATGCTGGATTACATTTATTGATTTGCGTATATTGAACAGCCTTGCATCCCAGGGATGAAGCCCACTTGATCATGGTGGATAAGCTTTTTGATGTGCTGCTGGATTCGTTTTGCCAGTATTTTATTGAGGATTTTTGCATCAATGTTCATCAAGGATATTGGTCTAAAATTCTCTTTTTTTGTTGTGTCTCTGCCTGGCTTTGGTATCAGAATGATGCTGGCCTCATAAAATGAGTTAGGGAGGATTCCCTCTTTCTCTATTGATTGGAATAGTTTCAGAAGGAATGGTACCAGTTCTTCCTTGTACTTCTGGTAGAATTTAGCTGTGAATCCATCTGGTCCTGGACTCTTTTTGGTTGGTAAGCTATTGATTATTGCCACAATTTCAGATCCTGTTATTGGTCTATTCAGAGATTCAACTTCTTCCTGGTTTAGTCTTGGGAGGGTTTATGTGTCGAGGAATTTATCCATTTCTTCTAGATTTTCTAGTTTATTTGCGTAGAGTTGTTTGTAGTATTCTCTGATGGTAGTTTGTATTTCTGTGGGATCGGTGGTGATATCCCCTTTATCATTTTTTATTGCGTCTATTAGATTCTTCTCTCTTTTTTTCTTTATTAGTCTTGCTAGCTGTCTATCAATTTTGTTGATCCTTTCAAAAAACCAGCTCCTGGATTCATTAATTTTTTGAAGGGTTTTTTGTGTCTCTATTTCCTTCAGTTCTGCTCTGATTTTAGTTATTTCTTGCCTTCTGCTAGCTTTTGAATGTGTTTGCTCTTGCTTTTCTAGTTCTTTTAATTGTGATGTTAGGGTGTCAATTTTGGATCTTTCCTGCTTTCTCTTGTGGGCATTTAGTGCTATAAATTTCCCTCTACACACTGCTTTGAATGCGTCCCAGAGATTCTGGTATGTTGTGTCTTTGTTCTCGTTGGTTTCAAAGAACATCTTTATTTCTGCCTTCATTTCTTTATGTACCCAGTAGTCATTCAGGAGCAGGTTGTTCAGTTTCCATGTAGTTGAGCGGTTTTGAATGAGATTCTTAATCCTGAGTTCTAGTTTGATTGCACTGTGGTTTGAGAGATAGTTTGTTATAATTTCTGTTCTTTTACATTTGCTGAGGAGAGCTTTACTTCCAAGTATGTGGTCAATTTTGGAATAGGTGTGGTGTGGTGCTGAAAAAAATGTATATTCTGTTGATTTGGGGTGGAGAGTTCTGTAGATGTCTATTAGGTCCGCTTGGTGCAGAGCTGAGTTCAATTCCTGGGTATCCTTGTTGACTTTCTGTCTCGTTGATCTGTCTAATGTTGACAGTGGGGTGTTAAAGTCTCCCATTATTAATGTGTGGGAGTCTAAGTCTCTTTGTAGGTCACTCAGGACTTGCTTTATGAATCTTGGTGCTCCTGTATTGGGTGCATATATATTTAGGATAGTTAGCTCTTCTTGTTGAATTGATCCCTTTACCATTATGTAATGGCCTTCTTTGTCTCTTTTGATCTTTGTTGGTTTAAAGTCTGTTTTATCAGACACTAGTATTGCAACCCCTGCCTTTTTTAGTTTTCCATTTGCTTGGTAGATCTTCCTCCATCCTTTTATTTTGAGCCTATGTGTGTCTCTGCATGTGAGATGGGTTTCCTGAATACAGCACATTGATGGGTCTTGAATCTTTATCCAATTTGCCAGTCTGTGTCTTTTAATTGGAGCATTTAGTCCATTTACATTTAAAGTTAATATTGTTATGTGTGAATTTGATCCTGTCATTATGATGTTAGCTGGTGATTTTGCTCGTTAGTTGATGCTGTTTCTTCCTAGTCTTGATGGTCTTTACATTTTGGCATGATTTTGCAGCGGCTGTTACCCGTTGTTCCTTTCCATGTTTAGCGTTTCCTTCAGGAGCTCTTTTAGGGCAGGCCTGGTGGTGACAAAATCTCTCAGCATTTGCTTGTCTGTAAAGTGTTTTATTTCTCCTTCACTTATGAAGCTTAGTTTGGCTGGATATGAAATTCTGGGTTGAAAATTCTTGTCTTTAAGAATGTTGAATATTGGCCCCCACTCTCTTCTGGCTTGTAGGGTTTCTGGCGAGAGATCCGCTGTTAGTCTGTTGGGCTTCCCTTTGAGGGTAATCCGACCTTTCTCTCTGGCTGCCCTTAACATTTTTTCCTTCATTTCAACTTTGGTGAATCTGACAATTATGTGTCTTGGAGTTGCTCTTCTCGAGGAGTATCTCTGTGGCGTCCTCTGTATTTCCTGAATCTGAACGTTGGCCTGCCTTGCTAGATTGGGGAAGTTCTCCTGGATAATATCCTGCAGAGTGTTTTCCAACTTGGTTCCATTCTCCCCATCACTTTCAGGTACACCAATCAGATGTAGATTTGGTCTTTTCACATAGTCCCATATTTCTTGGAGGCTTTGCTCATTTCTTTTCATTCTTTTTTCTCTAAACTTCCCTTCTCACTTCATTTCATTCATTTCATCTTCCATCGCTGATACCCTTTCTTCCAGTTGATCACATCAGCTCCTGAGGCTTCTGCATTCTTCATGTAGTTCTCAAGCCTTGCTTTTCAGCTCCATCAGCTCCTTTAAGCACTTGTCTGTATTGGTTATTCTAGTTATACATTCTTCTAAATTTTTTTCAAAGTTTTCAACTTCTTTGCCTTTGGTTTGAATGTCCTCCCATAGCTCAGAGTAGTTTGATTGTCTGAAGCCTTCTTCTCTCAGCTCGTCAAAGTCATTCTCCATCCAGGTTTGTTCCATTGCTGGTGAGGAACTGTGTTCCTTTGGAGGAGGAGAGGCGCTCTGCTCTTTAGAGTTTCCAGTTTTTCTGTTCTGTTTTTTCCCCATCTTTGTGGTTTTATCTACTTTTGGTCTTTGATGATGGTGATGTACAGATGGGTTTTTGGTGTGGATGTCCTTTCTGTTTGTTAGTTTTCCTTCTAACAAACAGGACCCTCAGCTGCAGGTCTGTTGGAATACCCTGCCGTGTGAGGTGTCAGTGTGCCCCTGTTGGGGGGTGCCTCCCAGTTAGGCTGCTCAGGGGTCAGGGGTCAGGGACCCACTTGAGGAGGCAGTCTGCCCATTCTCAGATCTCCAGCTGCGTGCTGGGAGAACCACTGCTCTCTTCAAAGCTGTCAGACAGGGACATTTAAGTCTGCAGAGGTTACTGCTGTCTTTTTGTTTGTCTGTGCCCTGCCCCCAGAGGTGGAGCCTACAGAGGCAGGCAGGCCTCCTTGAGCTGTGGTGGGCTCCGCCCAGTTGGAGCTTCCCGGCTGCTTTGTTTACCTAAGCAAGCCTGGGCAATGGCGGGCGCCCCTCCCCCAGCCTCGCTGCTGCCTTGCAGTTTGATCTCAGACTGCTGTGCTAGCAATCAGCGAGACTCCGTGGGCGTAGGACCCTCCAAGCCAGGTGCGGGATATAATCTCGTGGTGCGCCATTTTTTAAGCCCGTCAGAAAAGCGCAGTATTCAGGTGGGAGTGACCCAATTTTCCAGGTGCCGTCCATCACCCCTTTCTTTGACTCAGAAAGGGAACTCCCTGACCCCTTGCGCTTCCCAAGTGAGGCAATGCCTCGCCCTGCTTCGGCTCACGCACAGTGCGTGCACCCACTGACCTGCGCCCACTGTCTGGCACTCCCTAGTGAGATGAACCCGGTACCTCAGATGGAAATGCAGAAATCACCGTCTTCTGCATCGCTCATGCTGGTAGCTGTAGACCGGAGCTGTTCCTATTCGGCCATCTTGGCTTCTCCCCTTTTTTTTTTTTTTTTTTGACAAAGTTTCACTCTTGTTGCCCAGGCTGAAGTGCAATGGTGTGATCTCGGCTCACTGCAACCTCCGTCTCCTGGGTTCAAGTGATTCTCCCAAGTAGCTGGGATTACAGGCATGCACCACCATGCCCTGCTAATTTTGTATTTTTAGTAGAGATGGGGTCTCTACATCTTGGTGAGGCTAGTCTCGAACTCCCAACCTCAGGTGATCTGCCCTTCAAGAACCCACCAGAAGGAACCAATTCCGGACACACTTTGGCACCCAATGTGGGGCCAATCGACTATCACCAAGCAGTGAGCACCATCGGACCCCTTTCACTTGCTATTCTGTCCTATTTTTCCTTAGAATTTGGTGGGTAAATACCGGGCATCTGTTGGCCAGTTAAAAGTGACCAGCATGGCTGCTGGACTAAAGACACGAGTGTCAGGCTTTCTGGGAAAGGGCTCTCTAACAACCCCTTACTCTTCGGAGTTGGGAGCGTTGGTTTTCTTGGAACCAGCTTCTGCTTTTCCTGTACTTCTGGGCTGAGCAGAGGGTTGACAGAGAAGAAAGCCATTCAGCTCCGGGGTCCCGACAACAAGTTGGTTGACCCTGCAGCCATGAACAGAACTCTCAAAGTCGTATCACCTAACCGAGGCTCACCCATCTATCCTGTCTACCCTGACCCTTGCCTCCTGGGTCCTAATGCCTGTCAGACAAACTTCCTCTTGCCTCTCTTCTCCAAGGCTAGTCCTGCTTCTAAAAACCACTCCCTGTCTCTGGTGCTTTTCTAGTTTCTCCTGTAAGAATGATTTCTAGTATAAACTTCAGGACTCTGTTACCTTCTTTAGGCACTCGGGCTCACCAATCAGAAAGATATAATTTTTGCCCAAAGCCCCATCATAGGGGGAACTATCTGGAATTTTAGGATCCCTCCTCAGACAAGCAGGCCTAACAAAAGCTATTCCTGAAGCTAGGATATGGGGAGCCTCAGAAATTGCATCCTTCCTATTCATATAAGTGAGGACAAAAGGCATCACTCTTCTAACTCTGGAGATCCCTCCCATCCCTCAGGTTATGGCCCTCCACTTCATTTTTGGGGCATAGCATCTTTATAGGACATGAGTAAAGTCCCAATACTAACGGGAGAATGCTTAGGACTCTAACAGGTTTTTGAAAATGCATCGGTAAGGGCTACTAAATCCAATTTTTCTTGGTCCTCTTTGTGGTCTAGGAGGACAAGCAAGGGTGCAGGTTTTTGAGAATGTGTTGGTAAGGGCCACTAAATCCAACCTTCCTTGGTCCTCCTTGTGGTCTAGGAGGAAAACTAGTGTTTCTGCTGCTGCATTGGTGAGCACAACTATTCGAATCAGCAGGGTCCAGGGACTGTTGTGGGTCCTTGCGCAAGAGGTGTTTCTGCTGCTGCGTTGGTGAGCGCAAGTATTCCAATCAGCAGGGTCCAGGGACCATTGCAGGTTCTTGGGCAGGGGGAGAAACAAACCAAAACCACAGGTGGTTTGTCCTTCACATGGGAAACACTCAGGCATCAACAGGCTCACCCTTGAAATGCATCCTAAGCCATTGGGACCAATTTGACCCACAAACCCTGAAAAAGAGTCAGTTCATTTTTTTCTGCTTTATGGCTTGGCCCCAATATTCTCTCTCTGATGGGGAAAAATGGCCACCTGAGGGAAGTATAAATTACAATACTATACTGCAGCTTGACCTTTTCTGTAACAGGGAAGGCAAATGGAGTGACATACCTTATGTCCAAGCTTTCTTTTCATTGGAGGAGGATACACAACTCTGCCAAACTTGCAATTTACATCCCACAGGGGGACCTTTCAGCTTACTCCCATATCCTAGCCTCCCTATAACTCCCCTTCCTATTATTGATAAGCCTCCTCTAATCTCCCCCACCCAGAAGGAAATAAGCAAAGAAATCTCCAAAGGACCACAAAAACCCCAGGGCTATCGGTTATGTCCCCTTCAAGCTGTAGGGGGAGAGGAATTTGGCCCAACCCGGGTACATGTCCCCTTCTCCCTCTCTGATTTAAAGCAGATCAAGGCAGACCTGGGGAAGTTTTCAGATGATCCTGATAGGTACACAGATGTCCTACAGGGTCTAGGGCAAACCTTCGATCTCACTCGGAAAGATGTCATGCTATTGTTAGATCAAACCCTGGTCTTTAATGAAAAGAATGCGGCTTTAGCTGCAGGCTGAGAGTTTGGATACCTGATATCTTAGTCAAGCAAATGATAGAATGACAGCTGAAGAAAGGGACAAGTTATCTGCCGGTCAGCAAGCCATCCCCAGTATGGATCCCCACTGGGACCCCGACTCAGATCATGGGGCCTGGAGTCATAAACATCTGTTGACCTGTGTTCTAGAAGGACTAAGGAGAATTAGGAAAAAGCCCATGAGTTATTCAGTGATGTCTACCATAACTCAGGGAAAGGAAGAAAATCCTTCTGTCTTCCTCAAGTGGTTACGGGAGGCCTTAAGAAAATATACTCCCCTGTCACCCAACTCACTCGAGGGTCAGTTGATTCTAAAAGATAAGTTTATTACCCAATCAGCCACAGATATCAGGAGACAGTTCCAAAGGCGAGCCCTGGGCCCTGAACAAAATCTGGAGGCATTATTAAACCTGGCAACCTCGGTGTTCTATAATAGGGACCAAGAGGAACAGGCCGAAAAGGAAAAGTGAGATCAGAGAAAGGCTGCAGCCTTAGTAATGGCCCTCAGATAAACAAACCTTGGTGGTTCAGAGAGGATAGAAAAGAGCAGGCCAATCACCCAGTAGGACTTATTATCAGTGTGGCTTACAAGGACACTTTAAAAAAGATTGTCCAACAAGAAATAAGCTGCCCCCTCGTCCATGTCTGCTATGCTGAGGCAATCACTGGAAGGTGCACTGCCCCAGAGGGCAAAGGTTCTCTGGGCCAGAAGCCCCCAACCAGATGATCCAACAATAGGACTGAGGGTGCCTGGGGCAAGTGCCAGCTCATGTCATCACCCTCACTGAGCACCGAGTATGTTTAACCATTGAGGGCCAGGAAATTGACTTCCTCCTGGACACTGGTGCAGCCTTCTCAGTGTTAATCTCCTGTCCCAGACGACGGTCCTCAAGGTCCACTACCATCCGAGGAATCCTGGGACAGCCTGTAACCAGGTATTTCTCCCACCTCCTCAGTTGTAACTGGGAGACTTTACTCTTTTCACATGCCTTTCTTGTTATGCCTGAAAGTCCCACATCCTTATTAGGGAGGGATATATTAGCCAAAGCTGGAGCTATTATCTACATGAATATGGGGAACAAATCACCCATTCATTGTCCCCTACTTGAGGAGGGAATCAACCCTGAAGTCTTGGCATTGGAAGGACAATTTGGAAGGGCAAAAAATGCCCACCCAGTCCAAATCAGGCTAAAAGATCCCACCACTTTTCCTTATCAAAGGCAATATCCCTTAAGGCCTGAAGCTCATAAAGGATTACAGGATATTAAACATATAAAAGCTCAAGGCTTAGTAAGGAAATGCAGCAGTCCCTGCAACACCCCAATTCTAGGAGTACAAAAACAGAACAGCCAGTGGAGACTAGTGCAAGATCTTAGACTCACCAATGAGGCAGTAATTCCTCTATATCCAGTTGTACCCATCCCCTATACACTGCTCTCTCAAATACCAGAGGAAGCAGAATGGTTCACTGTTCTGGACCTCAAGGATGCTTTCTTCCATATTCCCCTGCACTCTGACTCCCAGTTTCTCTTTGCCTTTGAGGATCCCACAGACCACACATCCCAACTTACGTGGATGGTCTTGCCCAAGGGTTTAGGGATAGCCCTCACCTGTTTGGTCAGGCACTGGCCCAAGATCTAGGCCACTTCTCAAATCCAGGCATTCTGGTCCTTCAGTATGTGGATGATTTGCTTTTGGCTACCAGTTCAGAAGTGTCATGCCAGCAGGCTACTCTAGATCTCTTGGACTTTCTAGCTAATCAAGGGTAAAAGGCATCTAGGTCGAAGGCTCAGCTTTGCCTACAACGGGTCAAATATCTAGGCCTAATCTTAGCTAGAGGGACCAGAGCCCACAGCAAGGAATGAATACAGCCTATACTGGCTTATCCTCACCCTAAGACATTAAAACATTTGTGGGGGTTCCTTGGAATCACTGGCTTTTGCCAACTATGGGATCCCCGGATACAGCAAGATAGCCAGGCCCCTCTATAATCAAGGAGACCCAGAGGGCAAATACTCATCTAGTAGAATGGGAGCCAGGGGCAGTAACAGCCTTCAAAACCTTAAAGCAGGCCCTAGTACAAGCTCCAGCTTTAAGCCTTCCCACAGGACAAAACTTCTGTTTATACATCACAGAGAGAGCAGGGATAGCTCTTGGAGTCCTTACTCAGACTCGTGGGACAACCCCACAACCAGTGGCATACCTAAGTAAGGAAATTGATGTAGTAGTGAAAGTCTGGCCTCACTGTTTAAGGGTAGTTGCAGCAGTGGCCATCTTAGTGTCAGAGGGTATCAAAATAATACAAGGAAAGGATCTCACTGTCTGGACTACTCATGATGTAAATGGCATACTAGGTGCCAAAGGAAGTTTATGGCTATCAGATAACCACCTACTTAGATACCAGGCGCTACTCCTTGAGGGACTGGTGCTTCAAATGCTTATGTGCATGGCCCTCAATCCTGCCACTTTTATCCCAGAAGATGGGGAACCAGTTGAGCATGACTGCCAACAAATTATAGTCCAGAGTTATGCCACCCAAGATGATCTCTTAGAAGTCCCCTTAGCTAATTCTGACCTTAACCTATATACCAATGGAAGTTAATATGCGGAGAATGGGATACGAAGGGCAGGTTACACCATAGTTAGTGATGTAACCATACTTGAAAGTAAGCCTCTTCCCCCAGGGACCAGCGCCCACTTAGCAGAACTAGCAGCACTTACCCAAGCCTTAGAACTAGGAAAAGGAAAAAGAATAAATGTGTATACAGATAGCAAGTATGCTTATCTGATCCTACATGCCCATGGTGCAATATGGAAAGAAAGGGAGTTCCTAACCTCTGGGGGAGCCCCCATTAAATACCACAAGGAAATTATGGAGTTATTGCATGCAGTGCATAAACCCAAGGAGGTGGCAGTCTTACACTGCCGAAGTCATCAGAAAGGTGAAGGAGAAAAGGCAGAAGGAAACTGTTGGGCAGATGCTGAGGCCAAAATTGCTGCCAGGCAGAACCTCCCATTAGAAATAGCTATGGAAGGACCTTTGATAGGAACAACCCCCTCCAAGTATTCCCCAACTGAAACAGAATGGGGACTTTCACGGGGGTATAGTTTTCTCCCCTCCGGGTGGTTAACAACAGAAGAAGGAAAGGTACTTATGCCTGAAGCCAACCAGTGGAAAATACTTAAAACCCTCCACCAAACTTTTCATATGGGTATTGAAAACACTCTTCAAATGGCCAAATCCCTATTTACAGGGCCAAATCTCCTCTGGACCATCCGACAGGTAGTCAAAGCCTGTGAGGTGTGCCAAAGGAATAATCCCTTGGTCCATCATAAGGCTCCTTTGGGGGAACAAAGAATAGATCACTATCCTGGAGAGGACTGGCAGTTAGACTTCACCCATCTGCCTAAGTCAAAGGGATTTCAATACTTGGTGGTCTGTATTGATACCTTTACAAATTGGATAGAAGCTTTCCCCTGCAAGACAGAGAAGGCTCAGGAAGCGATTAAAGTCCTAATTCATGAAATAATTCCTAGATCTGGGCTTCCCCAAAGCTTACAGAGTGACAATGGTCCGGCTTTTAAAGCCACGAAAACTCAGGGAATTTCCAGGGTGTTAGGGATACAATATCACCTTCACTGCACCCTGAGGCCACAATCCTCAGGGAAGGTCGAGCAGGCAAATGAAACACTCAAGAGGCACTTAAGGAAATGAACACAAGAAACTCATCTCCCATGGCCTACTCTTTTGCCCATGGCCTTCTTGAGAATCCAAAATTCTCCTCACAAAATGGGATTCAGTCCATATGAAATGCTGTATGGATGACATTTGCTCACAAATGACCTCATACTTGATCAGGAAACAGCCAACTTGGTCAAAGATATAACTTCTTTGGCAAAATATCAACAAAACCTTAAAAAACTACCTGAAGGATGTCACAGAGAAAAGGGAACAGAGTTGTTTCAATCAGGAGATCTAGTGTTAGTCAAATCTCTCCCCTCTACCTCCCCACCTACGGACTCTTTGTGGAAAGGATCATACTCGGTAATCCTCTCTACCCCCACTGCAGTTAAGGTGGCAGGAGTGGAATCTTGGATTCATCACACCCGAGTTAAGTTCTGGACATCCCCTGAGGAACCTGCAGGACCATCAGCTCAGGAGTCCCAAGATCAGCCAGACAAGCCTCCATACACCTTTGAACCATTGGAGGATTGCATCTCCTATTTTGGAAGGAAATAACCCAGACTTAAAAGGCTCCTACCATTGATCCTGAAGAAAAACCCCTTCCTCCTTAAAAAGATAAATGAAGACCTACATAATCTTTATCTTTAACACCTCTCCTTACCCCTTTAATGGAATCCTTTTATTATTTCATCATATTATTAAGCAGCATACTAACCATACTCTTTGCAATAGGGCTATATACTGTAGCTCCTGCTGGGATGAAAATCTTAATCACATCAACCTTCTCTCTATCTTCCTTCCTTCTGACAGCAATTTACTCCTAGCTTTAACTCAGCCTGGATAAAATGATCTCGTCTTCCAGAGCACCCTCTTGACCTTCCTATTTATGCTTTGCCTATCTTTCCCTTCTGCTTCCTTGGATACCTCATGCAATCACCCCTCCCCTTCCACTAGCTCCTAATTACCTCTACAAGACTCTCAACTTAACCCACTCTCTGTTAAACCAGTCCAATCCTTCCCTGGAAAATGACTGCTGGCTTTGTATCTTTCTATCAACCTCCGCTTACATTGCCATTCCCATTCCCGCAAAAAACTGGGTCTTTACCAACTTAATCTACCACCCTCATTATGAAGGAAAAGACCATTTCTGACTTCTAAATATGCAATCATTAGCTGACTTCCCCATCTCTGATAGGACCAAGAATACCCTAACAGGATGTGCAATCCAACTTTTGCTTTCTTACATTTCCAACCTCACTTATTACACAAGCAATGAAAAGCCCATACACGGCCCTGTAACTATGAATACTATCTTAACTTTCCAAGCCCTTTTATGCATCCAATGCAACCTGTTATCAGGCCTGCCCCTGGGGCACCTACTACCCCATCAGTGTAATTACACCCCACAACTTCAAGCCCCAACTGATCATAGTAACTTCCAAGTCACCCAAACAGCTCCATTCAGATGGCTTGTCCGCTTCTCAGGGCTCCCAAAAATCATCACCTCCCCCCTGCTTAACAAACAGTCCAGGTTTTATAGTGGCAAACATACTCCCTGCATGACCATTCACCCCTGGACCCCCTGCAGCAGCGCCCCCACCACTAGTGAATGCCTTCTCATCCTCTCTTTCAATTACTCTCTCAAATGGTTCCTAGCAGATACAAAATGGTTTTTTCTCCAATGGGGAAATAGAACACCGGGAGCAACTCAGTTTGCTCCCAACACCCCTTTCCAGCCACTCACCAGCACTACCTTGGCAAGTACTCTAGGAGTATGGAAAAATGAAAACAACAAACTCACACAACTTTTTAACATACACAACAAGTTCTGTCTACCCAGCCAAGGTATATTCTTCTTATTGGGAACGTCGACCTATATCTGCCTCCCCTCTAACTGGACAGGCACCTGCACCTTAGTCTTCCTAAGTCCCAACATTAACATTGCCCCAGGAAATCGGACCCTATCAGTACCCCTCAAAGCTCAAGTCCGTCAGTGCAGAGCCATACAATTAATACCCCTACTTATAGGGTTAGGAATGGCTACTGCTACAGGAACTGGAATAGCCAGTTTATCTACTTCATTATCCTACTACCACACACTCTCAAAGGATTTCTCAGATAGTTTTCAAGAAATAACGAAATCTATCCTTACTCTACAATCCCAAATAGACTCTTTGGCAGCAGTGACTCCAAAACTGCCGAGGCCTAGACCTCCTCACTGCTGAGAAAGGAGGACTCTGCACCTTCTTAGGGGAAGAGTGTTGTTTTTACACTAACCAGTCAGGGATAGTACGAGATGCCACCTGGCGTTTACAAGAAAAGGCTTCTGAAATCAGACAATGCCTTTCAAACTCTTATACCAACCTCTGGAGTTGGGCAACATGGCTTCTCCCCTTTCTAGGTCCCATGGCAGCCATCTTGCTATTACTTGCCTTCAGGCCCTGTATTTTTAACCTCCTTGTCAAATTTGTTTCCTCTAGAATTGAGGCCATCAAGCTGCAGATGGTCTTACAAATGGAACCTCAAATGAGCTCAACTAACAACTTCTACCAAGGACCCCTGGACTGACCCACTGGCCCTTTCACTGGCCTAAAGAGTTCCCCTCTGGAGGACACTACAACTGCAGGGCCACTTCTTCACCCCTATCCAGCAGGAAGTAGCTAGAGCAGTCATTGCCCAATTCCCAACAGCAGTTGGGGTGTCCTGTTTAGAGGGGGGATTGAGAGGTGAAGCCGGCTGGGCTTCTGGGTCAGGTGGGGACTTGGAGAACTTTTCTGTCTAGCTAAAGGATTGTAAATGCACCAATCAGTGCTCTGTGTCTAGCTAAAGGTTTGTAAACACACCAATCAGCACTCTGTGTCTAGCTAATCAGGTGGGGACATGGAGAACTTTTCTGTCTAGCTAAAGGATTGTAAATGCACCAATCAGCGCTCTGTGTCTAGCTAAAGGTTTGTAAACACACCAATCAGCACTCTGTAAAAATGCACCAATCAGCACTCTGTGTCTAGCTAATCTAGTGGGGACCTGGAGAACTTTTCTGTCTAGCTAAATGATTGTAAATGCACCAATCAGCGTTCTGTGTCTAGCTAAAGGTTTGTAAACACACCAATCAGCACTCTGTAAAAAAGCACTAATCACCACTCTGTGTCTAGCTAAAGGTTTGTAAATGCACCAATCAGCACTCTGTAAAAATGGACCAATCAGCACTCTTTAAAATGGACCAAACAGTGCCCTGTAAAATGGACCAATCAGCAGGATGTGGGTGGGGCCAAATAAGGGAATAAAAGCTGGCCACTCAAGCCAGCAGCGGCAACCCACTCGAGTCCCCTTCCATGCTGTGGAAGCTTTGTTCTTTCGCTCTTCGCAATAAATCTTGCTGCTGCTCACTCTTTGGGTCTGCATTACCTTTATGAGCTGTAACATTCACTGCAAAGGTCTGCAGCTTCCTTCCTGAATCCAGTAAGACCTCAAACCCACCAAGAGGAACAAACAACTCTGGACACGCCACCTTTAAGAGCTGTAACACTCACTGCAAAGGTCTGCGGCTTCACTCCTGAAGTCAGCAAGACCACGAACCTACTGGAAGGAAGAAACCGTGGACACATCTGAACATCTGAAGGAAAAAACTCCAGATACACCATCTTTAAGAACTGTAACACTCACCACGAGGGTCCACGGCTTCATTCTTGAAGTCAGCAAGACCAAGAACTCACCGGAAGGAACCAATTCCAGACACAAGGTCAGACGGGTCCACAGAAAAGAAGGATTCAAAGGACTCAGAGCTTGGAGTGGAGACTGAAGCAACAGACAGGAGAGAAAGAAGAAAGATTTGGGGCAATTCGCATTGGGAGCAGAGACTAGGGAGGGACTATGTGCAAAAGAATGCCTGGACATCAGGAACCTCAGACCATTTGCCCATTTTTCGACAAAAATTATCCAGGTCTCGTAAGATGGAGAAATCAAAAGTGCCATTTTCTGGCCATTTGGAACCATTGTTGAGTTTGTATTGGGGCCAAGCAGTATTGCAGAAGAAAATAAAGCATTTAGGTTTTAAGTCAGGTGTGAGTTGAAGAGGTTGTAAGTTCTTGAGAACACAGGCTAAAGGAGAAGAAGGGGGAATGGAGGGTGGAAGGTTGCCCATAGTGAAGGAGGTAAGTTTAAAGAGAAAGGTAGAGACCTGGAGAAGGGGGTGGTGAGCAGCCAAAGCAGGCATCCCCACAGTTGACTTGCCACCAAGGGAATGTGGGTGAATGACCAAGGCAGGCATCCCCACGGTGATCAGACACCAATGGAATGTGGGTGAATAATCAGGCAGGCATCTCCACAGTGATTAAACACCAAGGGAAGACTGTCTTCCTGAGTCTGTGACCGGTGCCGGAGTTTTGGGTCCATGGATAAAATGTGTCTCCTTTGTCTCTACTAGAGAGGAAAAAGAACTGGAATTGGAAGGATAGGGAGATTGAACGGTAGTGAGAGAGGCTGAAGAAGAGAGTGAAAAGACCACTTACCCAATTTGAAATTGGTGAGATATTCCTTGGGCTGGTTGGTCTGAGGACCCGAGGTTGTAGGTGGATCTCCTCATGGAGTGAGGGTGAGGACAGGGGACCAGTCTCCCAAAGGAGTCCCCCTGTCCTGGGTCTTTGGCACCAAATGTTACGCACGTCTGTGTGAAGAGACCACCAAACAGGCTTTGTGTGAACAATAAAGCTTTTTAATCACCTAGGTGCAGGTGGGCTGAGTCCGAAAAAGGAGTCAGCAAAAGGAGATGGGGTGGGGCAGTTTTATAGGATTTGGATGGGTAGTGGAAAATTACAGTCAAAGGAGGTTTTTCTCTTGCAGGCAGGGGCAGTGGTTACAAGGTGCTCAGTGAGAAGCTTCTGATACTCATTGCCCAGGAGAAGGAATTTCACAAGGTCAATTGATCAGTTAGGGTGGGGCAGGAACAAATCACAATGGTGGAATGTTATCACTTAAGGCAGGAACTGGCTATTTTCACTTCTTTTGTGGTTCTTCAGTTGCTTCAGGCCATCTGGATGTATACATGCAGGCTTGGGCTCAGAGGCCTGACAGTTTCACCATCTTGGCCAGGCTGGTCTTGAACTCCTGACCTCATGATCCACCCACCTTGGACTCCCAAAGTGCTAGGACTACAGAAGTGAGTCACCATGCCCGGCCCCTTCTGTTCTTCAGCAGCTCCCACAGTCCCAGCTCTGGTCTCCTGGTCAATCCCTTAGTGTCTGTTCCATTTCTAGATTCCATTCCTCCTGTTACTGAACTGAACCTGTGTCTGCTCATCCAGCACAGCAAAGCCAAACACTGATACTGAGGTTTGCAGTGAAAGAAAGAAATGAGTTTATTGCAGAGCACCAAGCAAGGAGAACAGGCAGGTAATGCTTGAGATCCGACCTCCCCTATGGCTTACAAGCAAGGGTTTATAAAGGCAGTGAAAATGCCTTTGCAAAACTACAACTGAGACAGTGAAAGAGATCCAACTTAACCAAATCCATCTTGCTTCTAATCTCCAAGCTGTCCTTGTTCATTCCTGGGCATAGGCTTGTTATGGGAAAGAGGTCTCAATCCAGACCCCAGGAGAGGGTTCTTGGATCTCATGCCAGAAAGAATTCAGGGCAAGTCCAAGGTGCAAAGTGTAAGCAAGTTTATTAAGAAAGTAAAGGAAGAAAAGAGGCTGGGTGCAGTGGCACATGCCTGTAATCCCAGCACTTTGGGAGGCTGAGGCGGGCAAATCACCTGAGGTCGGGAGTTCAAGACCAGCCTGACCAACATGGAGAAACCCCATCTCTACTAAAAATACAAAATTAGCCGGGCATGGTGGCGCATGCCAGTAATTCCAGCTACTCAGGAGGCTGAGACAGGAGAATCGCTTGAACCTGGGCGGCAGAGCTTGCAGTGAGCCGAGGTCGAGCCATTGCACTCCAGCCTGGGCAACAAGAGTGAAACTCCATAAAAAAAAAAAAAAAAAGTAAAGGAATAAAAGAATGACTACTCCATAGACAGTGCAGCCCCAAGGGCTGCTGGTTGCCCATTTTTATGGTCATTTCTTAATAATATACTAAATAAGGGGTGGATTATTCATACCTCCACTTTTTAAACCATAAATTCCTGACCGTAAATTCCTGATGTTGCCATGGCATTTGTAAACTGTCATGGCGCTGGTGAGAGTGTAGCAGTGAGGATGACTAGAGATCACTCTCGTCGCCATTATGGTTTTGGTGGGTTTTGGCCAGCTCCTTTACGGCAAACTGTTTTATCGGCAAGGTCTTTATGACTTGTATTTTGTGCTGACCTCCTATTTCATCCTGTGACTTAGAATGCCTTAACTGTCTGGGAATGCAGCCTAGTAGGTTTCAGCCTCATTTTACCCAGCTCTTGTTTAAGATGGAGTTGCTCTGGTTCACAGGCCGCTGACAGGCTGAACTAACTTAGGGAGAAACTTAGTTTGTAGTTTATAGTTTAAACAAAGACGGTAACAGCCCTTTCCCAAAGCAGACCTCCTTCTTGCCTGGGGACTAAACTAACATTAGCCATAAGATTAGAAATTATGGTTTAGGAGTCATGCAGCTGGAGGCTACAAGACTCCGACCTTCCTTAAACTGCTCCTAAGATCAGAGCTTGAGATATTTTGCAGACCTTGCACTTGATGGATCAGCTGGCTCCACCCAGATCAATAAACTGGCTCATCTGATCTTGTGGCCCCCCCCCAACCCAAGAACTGACTCAGCACAAGAAGGCAGCTTTGACATCCCTGACCAGTCAGCTCTTCTGGCTCACTGGTCTCCCCCTGACCCACCAAGTAAACCTTAAAAACTCTGCTCCCCCAGCTGGATGCCGTGGCTCATGCCTGTAATCCCAGCACTTTGGGAGGCTGAGGCAGGCGAATCACCAGAGGTCAGGAGTTTGAGACCAGAAAGAAACCCCTTCCCAACTAAAAAATATAAAAAATTAGCCAGGCGTGGTGGCGTATACCTGTAATCTCAGCTACTTGGGAGGCTGAGGCAGGAGAATCACTTGAACCTGGGAGGTGGAGGTTGCCGTGAGCCGAGATGGCACCATTGTACTCCAGCCTGGGCAACAAGAGCGAAACTCTGTCTCGATTAAAAAAACAAAACAAAACAAAAAAACTCTGCTCCCCGAATGATGCTTGGGGAAACTGATTTGAGTAATAATAAAACTCTAGTCTCCTGCACAGCCTGCTCTACGTGAATTATTGTTTGTCTATTGCAATTTCCCTGTCTTGATGAATTGGCTCTGTCTAGGCAGCGGGCAAGGTGAACCCCTCGGGCGGTTACAGCAGGGGTACATTTCATGAAAGTGGGAGTTACAGGGGCTAAAAGAAAAATCTCAGCTGAATTAAACTTAAAGGAGTTTAATTGATCAGTGAACAATTTGTGAAGCCGGCAGCCACCCATCCCCCAGAATCACAGCAGATTCAGAGAGACTCCAACGCAGACACATGGTGGAAGATTTATGGACAGCAAAAGGAAAGTGAGGTACAGAAAACGAAAGTGAGGTACAGAAACAACTGGATTGGTTACAGCTCAGCATTTGCCTTATTTGAACATGGTTTGAATAGTTGGCTACATCTGATTGACCAAAACTCAGTGATTGGCACAGGTGTGGGCTATGGTTGGTTTATACCTCCACTTGTATAGTTCACAATGTACAGAAAAATTTTAGGCTGAGCTTAAATATGTAAGGAGGCAGCTTTAGGCTAAACTTGATTTAACACAGGCAAAATCGTAAATCAATAAATGCAGGATATCTTGAAGCAGGGGCTTACAGGTCATAGGAGGATTCAGAAATTCTTTGATTTGCAGTTGGTTAAGGGAGCAAGGCTTTGTCTAAAATCTTTAGGCCAGCAGGAAAGGAGTGTAAAGGTTTGGCTTTAACATGTTTGTTAGGATAAGGAATCATTGTGCGTTGCTATGCCATAGTCAGTTTATGAGAGCAAGCCATAGCATACTGTGTCAGAGTGACCAGTTAACAAGATTGATGGTCTGCAGGCATGACTGTCTCCAGGCTCCATCATAAAATTTTAAACAAAGAACAATAGTCAGAGTTCAGCCCTCAGTTTCCCCTTACCTGAAGTCTACGTGACAGCAGTTGGCATTTTCCATCTGGTGGGGGTCCTTGCTTCTGAAAAACAACTTAAGATGTTATCTTTTGGCTGGGTGTGGTGGCTCACATCTGTAATTCCAGCACTTTGGGAGGCTGAGGTGGGTGGATGACCTGAGGTCAGGAGTTCAAGACCAGTCTGGCCAACGTCGTGAAACCTTGTCTTTACTAAAAATAGAAAAATTAGCTGGGCATGGTGGTGCATGCCTGTAGTTCTAGCTACTCGGGAGGCTGAGGCAGGAGAATCACTCGAACACAGGAGGCAGGAGAATTGCTCAAACACAGGAGGCAGAGGTTGCAGTGAGCTGAGATTGTGGCACTGCACCCCAGCCTGGGCAACAGAGAGAGACTCCATCTCAAAAAAAAAGATTTAATCTTTTAGTTTCTACAGAGAGCCAAACACTTTGTGACTCTGACTTACTGGGTGGTTATTGTTTAAGCTATTATTGTCTTCTTGCTTCAAATGCTGTTCATTTACTTCTCTGATTGCTGGTTGCAGGGTTAGCTAGGTGACTAGAATTTCCTTGGAAGAACTCAAAATTTTTCTTCATTTCCATGCTTGTGGGACCCAGCAAGCCCCTAAGAGAGGTCCCGGCTCCATCTCACTACCACCCCAGGGCCTTAGCTTTTGTAGCCACAGCCCCTGAAATGCCAGGAGCGTATCTGGTGTTGGCCTGGCCTGCTGCACTCTGGCCCCCAAACTTCAGGCCTTGTATGCAAGAAATACATGCTCATGAAGGGGGCCAGAGTATGCCACCTTAAAACATGCCAGTTTGACATATGGATTGTTTTGAGTCGAAGGTTATTGGGAATCAACAGATAGAGAAAGAAAGCCTTGTTGTAGCTTCCCTTATCTGACTAAAAGCAGAAACTTCCGAGAAATTAGGTTGCCATAAATCCCTTCTCTCCCCAGGGGCGTTTTATGTCCATGAAAAAGATGGAAAGTTGACATTGAGATGAATCTGCACAAAGAAGCCTTCCTAAAATAACCCTGTCTTCCATTAGTTTCACCACATATTTACCTTTTGACAATTTATTGCCCCTAGGGGCCCAACCCCCACCCTTTCTTTGCTAGTCACTTCTCCACAATTTATTGCCCTTGTTAAAATGGTACATAAGCCTCTGAGCTTAACCACCTCTTTGAGGTTTTACTTCTTTTTGTGTAGCCCCCATGCACATAAAATTAAAACATCACCTAAACGTGTATGTCTTTTTCTCCTATTAATGTCTTTTGTTAGTTTAATTTACACTGAGAATAAGACGGTAGAGAAAAAGTTTTTTCTTCCCAGGTACTTGCATATAATGATGAAAACTTGGCCAGGCACAGTGGCTCATACCTGTAATCCCAGCACTTTGGGAGGTCGAGACTGGTAGATCACCTGAGGTCAGGAGTTCAAGATCAGCCTGGCCAACATGGTGAAACCCTATCTCTACTAAAAATACAAAAATTAGCTGGGCATGGTGGCATGCACCTGTAATCCCAGTTACTCGGAAGGCCGAGGCAGGAGAATTGCTTGTGACCAGGAGGCAGAGGCTGCAGTGGACTGAGAGCTTGCCACTGCACTCCAGCCTGCATAGCAGAGCAAGACTCCATCTCAAAAAAAAAAAGAAAGAAAACTCTTTATCATTACCCAGTTGTAGTATTTTGATTATATAACATATGACAGATTCTAAAATGTGGCACTGATGGTACAGCTAGAATATGAACCCATAACTACACATTATAACTAAATGACATAGCTCCCCTAAGGGAATATTTACAGCCATATAAATTAACTGTGTTAAAATTTCAGTTTCCTGGTGGAACAAGAAGTTGAAACTGCCCTTGGTCTGGCATTTCCTATGATTTGGGGTACTGTTCCCTGGACTTCCTAACCATTGCTGCTACCACCTTGAACCTATCTCCCATAAGGAAACCCTGAAAACTTCCCTTATCTAGTGCTCCCTCCTTGCTGAAATCTGTGTCTTTAGGCTTGATGCAGGCGAATGTAATTTGCACACTATCTCTGTGCCTGAGGTTTTATTCTCAGGTTTTGGATTATCAGAGTGGACCCTAAATGAAGTCACTTATAGCCCTATTAAAGGGAGGCAAGAGGCTGGGTGCGGTGGCTCACGCTGGTAATCCCGGCACTTTGGGAGGCCGAGGCAGGCAGATCACGAGGTCAGGAGATCGAGACCATCCTGGCTAACATGGTGAAACCCTGTCTCTATTAAAAATACAAAAAATTAGCTGGGCATGGTGGTGGGTGCCTGTAGTCCCAGTTACTTGGGAGGCTGAGGCAGGAGAATGGTGTGAACCTGGGAGGCGGAGCATGTAGTGAGCCGAGATCCCGCCACTGCACTCCAGCCTGGGCAACAGAGCGAGACTCCATCTCAAAAAAAAAAAAAAAGGGAGGCAAGAGAGATTTTTTTTTTTTTTTTGGAGACAGAGTCTCACTCTGTCGCCCAGACTAGAGTGCAGTAGCACAATCTCGGCTCACTGCAACCTCCACCTCCTGGGTTCAAGAGATTCTCCTGCCTCAGCCTCCCCACCAGCCACTGTGCCCAGCCTATTCAGTTATTTAAAAGGTGCTAGACTTTTAGTTAATCTCTTCAGGATTGGGAGGACCTGGAAGAAAAAGATCTAGCTATGTTAAGAGACTCTTTACAGATCTAGATTTTCCCCCAGAAAGGATGGCTTTGCAGGGCCATTTAAAGATATGGCAGAGAAACATGTTTTGGGGTAAAATATTTTGATTTTCTTCCTTGTCTTGTAATGTTATGCCAGAGTCAGATTGGAAAGTAAGTCACAATATATAGGGTTAAATAAAATCCATCTGATGGGAATTTATGATTTGTAGGAGATGACTCCCCAGACCCCTTAGATAGGAATTTGGGCAAGATAAAAAAAATCAGAGCTTAGTACCCGTTTGCTACAGTGGCTCCAGGAAATAAATCAGATTGTCTAAATGATTCTTATATCCATATAATAAAATACTATTAGCCCATTGCCAATGATCATGAAGAAGTATACTTAGTGATATGGAAGATATACTGAGAGGACAGTGCTTGCTACAAAACTGCAGGACTGATTTGTCACATATACAGTTGATTCTCATTATTCACAGATTCCATATTTTGTGAATTTGCCTACTCACTAAGATGTATTTGTAATCCTAAAATAAATGCTTTTGTGGTCGTTTGTGGACACCTACAGAGTAGTGAAAAATTTCAGTTGCCTTACGAGCACATTCTCAGCGAGGTCAAACAAGGTGATGTTCCACCCTCTTATTTCAACTCTCACACTGTATCCAAAAGTCCTTTTGGCTATTTATTTATTATTATTATTATTTGAAACGGAGTCTGGCTCTGTCGCCCAGGCTGGAGTGCAGTAGTGCGATCTCTGCTCACTGCAACTTCCGCCTCCTGGGTTCAAGGGATTCTCCCACCTCAGACTCCCGAGGAGCTGGGACTACAGGGGCACGCCACTACACCCAGCTAATTTTTGTATTTTTAATAGAGACGGGATTTCACCATATTGGTCAGGCTTTTCTCAAACTCCTGACCTCAGGTGATCCACCTGCCTCAGCTTCCCAAAGTGCTGGGATTATAGGCATGAACCATTGTGCCCAGCCCCTTTTTGCTGTTTATTTAGTGCCATGTTTTTCACATTTTTGTGCTCTGTGTTGGTAAATCCATTGTTTAAAATGTCTCCCAGTGTAGTGCTAAAATGTCCAGTGTTTCTAAGTCCAAGAAGATTAGGATGTGCCTTACAGATAAATCATCATCATGTATGTTAGATAATCTTTGTTCAGGAGTGAATTAAAGTGCTCTTCATCATGAGTTCAGTGTTAATGGATGAAAAATATATATTAAATAAGGTGTCTTTCAACAGAAACATGCATAAACCAAGACTATGTATTGCTCAGTTGCTGAAAATGTTGTGACAAGAGGCTCACAGGCACCTAACCCTGTATTCCCCTAGGAGTAATGTTTTAGTATTCACTAATTCAGTGTCAGTGGTGACTTTATAGAATATAACTGCTGTGAATAATGAGAATCAGCTATACAAACATTAAATGAATTTTTTATGATACATGTGTACAAACACATAGACAAATCTGAAAGAATATGCACAAACCTATGATCAGTGATTATCTCAAGGTAATGCGTAGAATTCTGGTCTTTTACATTTTCCTCTTTTTGCCAGTTTTCATTTTCTAGTTTTTCTTTCTTCTTTTTTTTTTTTTTTTTTTTTGAGACAGAGTCTCGCTCTGTCACCCAGGCTAGAGTGCAGTGGCATGATCTTGGCTCACTGCAAACTCCGCCTCCCAGGTTCAAGCGATTCTTCTCCCTCAGCCTCCTGAATAGCTGGGATTACAGGCATGCAACACCATGCCTGGCTAATTTTTGTGTTTTTAGTAGTGACGGGGTTTCACCATCTTAGCCAGGCTGGTCTCGAACTCCTGACTTCAAGTGATCCGCCTGCCTCGGCCTCCCAAAGTGCTGGGATTATAGGCATGAGCCACCGCGTCCAGCTGAGATTACTTCTTTTTCTCATTTCTCTTCCTTGCCTAATTTTTCTGGCTAGAGACTCAATTACAAGGCTGAAAAGAAGTAGCAATTGCAGATATCCTTGTCTTCAACTCCATCCAGGTTGCTGTGAATGCCATTATTTCATTCCTTTTTATGGCTGAATAGTATTCCATGGTATACATATACCACAATTTATTTATCCACTAATTAATTGATGGGCATTTGGGCTGGTTGCATATTTCATAATTAAAATAAACATGGATAAATTCACTATCAAAATAAAATAGGGTCAAGCAATTCTTCTGCCTCAGCCTCTCGAGTAGCTGGGATTACAGGCATGTGCCACCATGCCTGGCTAATTTTGTATCTTTAGTAGGGAGGGGGTTTCACCATGTCGGTCAGGCTGGTCTCGAACTCCTGACCTCAGGTGATCCTCCCATCTTGGCCTCCCAAAGTGTTGGGATTACAGGCATGAGCCACTGTACCCGGCAACCAAAAATTTTAAAATATACAACCTTTCAACTTATTAAGAATATATTTTATCCTTATAGGGATCAAATTTTGCCCTGATAAAAAGAAAAGAAACATTAAAGTGTTGCCAATTGAATAAAAACAAACACTGATATGGTTAGAAATATTAGTTTTAGATTTAAAATCCTGGATTTAAGTCTCAGCTTCATCACTACAACTGTATGATGTTGGCCAAGTTATAAAATTGACAAGAGCCACATGTCAAGTATAAGAAAATTTAAATAGCAAGAGAAGTCTGAATGAAAATGCTTGCTTTGTCATTTGCCTTTGTATGTCCTTGGACAAGTGACTAAATTTCCCCGTGCCTCAGTTTCCTCCTCTGCAAAAAAATGGGGGTTGACAACCTTCTAGGTTTTTGGTCAGGATTAAATGAGTGAACACATGCAAAGCATTTAGAGCAATTCCAATCCCATGGTAAGCCCTTCCATAAGTGCTATTGTTCCCTCTCCACTAGGTAACTACCAAATCTTAAATGAGTTTATAAATATCAAGCACTTCACACAGTACCTAGTGCACCAACTCATGATACCTTTCATGATAATCCATCAATCCAGGATTCAGTGTTGTTGGTTTTGTTGTTGTCATTGTTGTTGTTTTTGAGGCAGAGTCTCGTTCTGTCGCCCAGGCTGGAGTACAGTGGCATGATCTCTGCTCAATGAAGCCTCTACCTCCTGGGTTCAAGTGATTCTCCTGCCTCAGCCTCCCGAGTAGCTGGGATTACAGGCACATACCACCATACCCAGCTAATTTTTTGTATTTTTAGTAGAGACGGGGTTTCACCATGTTGGCCAGGCTAGCCTCGATCTCCTGACCTCAGGTGATCCACCCGCCTCGGCCTCCCAAAGTGTTGGGATTACAGGCATGAGCCACCACGCTTGGCCCAGGATTCAGTTTTGATGTTGACATTGTTGAAAGCTGAGCAACTCCTTCAACAGGTTGAAGGACTACCAATCTGTTGATCAAGCAAGACCATGGTGGCTACCAGCACAGTCACAGCAGTGTCTCAAGGGTAAGGCTTCAGAGGTTTGGTGTAAGGTAGGTCCTTCAGTGCAGGTGTGGGACCTGACCAAGTGTAGGCAAGATTTGTACTTTAATAGGTGCAGAGAGGGCAGGGCATGGTGTCTCACGCCTGTAATTCTAGCACTTGGGGAGGCTGAGGCCAGTGGATCACCTGAGGTTGGGAGTTTGAGACCAGCCTGGCCAACATGGCAAAACCTCGTCTCTACTAAAAATACAAAAATTAGCTGGATGTGGTGGGTACCTGTAATCCCAGCTATGCAGGAGGCTGAGGCAGGGGAATCGCTTGAAGCTGGGAGGCGGAGGTTGCAGTGAGCCGATATCATGCCACTGCACTCCAGCCTAGGCAGCAGAGCGAGACTCCGTCTCAAAAAAAAAAAAAAAAATTCAGAGAGGAGATTTCAGCTTTGAACTGAGCCTTAAGGAACAAAGAGTTGTTTGATAAGCCCAGTCGATCAAACTGCTTTTCTGAAAAGGGAGCTATTAACCCTGATAATAAGAGATAGTTGAGTCCACAGTTCAGATAAATGGGTTTCCAGGAAGTTTTTGGCATAAACCATAAAGTCATTTGCAATGTTATCTTCCTGGGCAAGAATTTCCTGGAAGAATAAAGTCATGTTAATATTGATCGTCTCAGCCTGGCCCAGTGGCTCACATCTGTAATTCCAGCACTTTGGGAGGCCGAGGCGGGTGGATCACTTGAGGTCAGGAGTTTGAGATCAGCCTGGCCAACATGGTGAATCCTTGTCTCTACTGAAAATACCAAAAAAAAAAAAAAAAAAAAAATTAGCCAGGCATGGTGGCTGTGATCCCAGCTACTTGGAAGTCTGAGGCCCTACAATCGCTTGAACCAAGGAAGGGGAGCTTGCAGTGAACCGAGATCGCTCTACTGCACTCCAGCCTGAGCAACAGAGCAAGACTCCATCAAAAAAAAAAAAAAATATATATATATATATATATATATATATATAAAAAACAGTCCGTAGTCTTAATTAAGCTGTGTGACTGTGAATGGTTTCAGATTAGTGTCCTTTAGTGCCATTGTTCTTAATCAAAGCAAGCCTTTCTAGAGCTTATGAAAGCAGGAAAACCAATGAAATTGAACTTGCATATAGGGACAGGCATTTGGAGCTGATCGTGTCTTCAGAGACCAGATCTAAACACAAGGAGACAGATGAAAGTCTTCACATATCTCAAAGAAAACCTGTTCTATTTGTCCAGAAATGTGTCTTTATTAAATGTGAGACTTAATAAAACTAGCAGTTAAAGTGATAAAACATTGATTGTAGTTTATGACAGTGCAGATGCCAAGCATCTTTGAGATAGATGTCCCTGGGACCTGTAGTTGCAAGTGAGCTCATGTACCTGGGTGTAAGAGCAGGCCCAGGAACCACGTGACCACAACGCGGTTGAGGCTGCAACAGAAGCTGCAGTGATACGCCTTTCTCACAGCTGTTGCTGTTGCCTCTTCCCACTCTGCCTAATCTAAAATACATTTTCTCCTTGAGCCATCCTTGCTGCAGGGAAGCGTCTGTCAATACTGCAGTTTGCCTTCATTTGTGAAATTCTAGTTGTTTTTTTTTCCCCACTGCTCCTTCCATAGTGAGCTAAGTCAGTTCCTGATCATGCATTTCTCTTTTTTTTATATGTAAGTAAACATTTATTAGACAAAGCCATTAGCAAGCAGTGGAGAAACAGTTTATACAGTCTGTCTGCTACACTCAGGGCACTCTGTTCTGTATTCCTCTAGATGCTTCAATCATACCTTCCAAAACTGGGTCTCTTTAGGGAGATGCAACAGCATCCTAAAAGCATAATTGCATAACTGCTTAGTTTATAGTCAGCATCAGGCAATTAAAAATCTTCAAAATCAATTCCAGACTTGCTAACCCTAAGAGCCATTCTGAAAGGTAGGAGGATTAATACGGATTTTTTTTCTTTTTCTTTTTCTTTTTCTTTTTCTTTTTTTTTGTGACAGAGTCTTGCTGTCTCCCATGATAGAGTGCAGTGGCACGATCTTGGCTCACGGCAACCTCCACCTCCCGGGTTCAAGCAATTCTCCTGCCTCAGCCTCCTGAGTAGCTGGGATTATAGGTGCATGCCAATTTTTAGTAGAGACTGGGTTTCACCATGTTGGCCAGGCTGGTCTCAAACTCCTGACCTCAGGTCATTGGCCCGTCTCAGCCTCCCAGAGTGCTAGGATTACAGGCGTGAGCCACTGCACCCGGAGAGTTTACCAGATATTACGCCCTGTTTATAAGGGAGGGAATATCCTCAAAATATTTAAGACAGTTCACATATTATATTGAATGCCACTAATTTCAATGACAAGAGTCCATTTCTAACATTCCTCATATAAAGCCTTTAGGGCTAGCAGGGATAGCTTCTCAGGTACTTACAGTAGCTGCTGTGGGAATGTGGCCTTTCTGGTTAAATACTAGCTGATCACCTTTAGAATGCAAATTCTTCTTAAATAAAATTTCGATTTAAATAACAAATGAGAATGTAAGCTCCACAAAGGCCAGAATTTCTGTCTGTTTTGTTCATTGCAGCGTCTAAAATAATGCCTGATGAATAGTGAGGGCACAAATATTGGTTGAATGAGTAAATATCACGCTGATTTTGCTGAAGTATTTAAGCAAGTTACAGACATTGTAAAAATAAATGTTTTGGGACGGACGCGGTGGCTCACGTCCGTAATCCCAGCACTTTGGGAGGCCGAGGTGGGCAGATCACGAGGTCAGGAGATCGAGACCATCCTGGCTAACACGGTGAAACCCCGTCTCTATTAAAAACACAAAAAATTAGCCGGGTGTGGTGGCGGGCGCCTGTAGTCCCAGCTGCTCCGGAGGCTGAGGCAGGAGAATGGCGTGAACCTGGGAGGCGGAGCTTGCAGTGAGCCGAGATCGCACCACTGCACTCCAGTTTGGGCAACAGAGCGAGACTCCGTCTCAAAAATAAATAAATAAATAAAATAAAAATAAAATAAATGTTTTGGCCACAAGCATACTTACTGTAACAGTAATAAAAAATATGCTTGAACTACATACTCCTTAATTTTAGGGGGCTCAAGAGTTTAAAGGAAAGGGGGAGATATCCAAGTAAGAGAGCATGCATGCTAACTTTCCAATAGCTGGATGTTATCTACTTTTCTTAAGACTATATCAACCTGTTGATCATGACCTGTCTTTTCATAAGAGTCCCACTTAATCTAAAAATTAGGCTGGAACTTAGAGCCAATAAATACATTATGGGCCTGCATTTCCTGTATATCTTTTGTATTATAGCCTCCATGCCGTCTAAGAGCACTTTGTTCCTTCTCTCAAAATGCTTCCCCGCTTTTAAATAATTTACTTTTGAATTAATAAAAACATCACCTTATTAATCATCATATTATTTGCATCATATTAAACCCTGATCAGCCCTTAAAATGTTAAAGAAAAGACATTACTATGTTTCTTAATGAATACACAAAATCCTTCAGTACAAATACTTTTATATTCAGCCCCTGTAAAACCATCAGCTGTTGGAAACGTTTTTAAACATGAACCAAAGGGTCTAGTTTTAACAACTTAGCTATGAGTGGGTGAAATCCTACCCATTTCATAGAGTTCTCCAAATTAATAACAATATATATTAGTCTATTCTCACGCTGCTATAAAGAACTGCCTGAGAATGGGTAATTTATAAAGAAAAGAGGTTTAATTGACTCACAATTCCACAGGGCTGGGGAGGCCTCAGGAAACTTACAATCATGTTGAAAGTGGAAGCAAATATGTCCTTCTTCACATGGCAGCAGGAAGGAGAAGAATGAGAGACAAGCGAAGGGGGAAGCCCCTTATAAAACCATCAGATCTCATGGGAACTCATTCACTGTCACGAGAACAATTACCTCCACCTGGTTCCACCCTTGACACATGGGGATTATTACAATTCAAAATGAGATTTTGGATGGGGACACAGCCAAACCATATCACAGTGTAAAATAAAAGGATGGTCCCTTAGAGCTTTGAAATTCTTCTACTGACAGTCCTATCTTCTTTATTCAAGAAGTATGTAGTCATTTTCAGAATTCACTCCAGGGCCAACTTCTTAATGTAGATGTCAGTAAATCAGTGATGGCAAAAGGTATGCAAAGAAGAAAACCACATCAGAAAGGATGCAAAGCCAGAGATCCAACCAGCCGGGGTGTTGGGGAAGCCCGTTTGCCCCGGACTGAGGCTGCACATCGAGGTTCTGCTGCTATCTCCCAGCCTTGCTCAAGCCTTGCCACTTCCAGGGACCATCTCAACCATCTACAACCGGTGCGGCCACCTTCATCTCACTGCAACTTCGTTGCAACCCTAGTCTCTGTCTTATTTTGACGAATGTCAGCATTTGCTGTTTTCTTCTCCATCCAAATACAAAGCTGTTCACTTCTTCTCCTGGTCTCATTTTCCACGCTTGTTCAGCTTTCTCCCTTGTTGGATTTTCCCTACTGCCTTCAATAATCATAGATGTACATACAGTGGATATCTATGTATCTGATGGCTGGAAATTCTAGAGTACTAACATTTGCAAACAGTGATAAAAGCTGGAATTTATTTTGAAGGGAAAATTTCCATCAGTTCAAGGAGGAATCACATTGGTGAGCCCTTTTAGTCACATGGATATAAATGAAGCTTCTACACAAAAGTAGGTGCTGTCTACTGAGACATTAAGCATGCACTGTAATTGGTATGTTTTGAAAGGCCATCCTTGTTATGGACTGGCATGGCTCTGCAGAGATTACTGGGTTGTTTAGCAATTTTGGAGGGTGGGCCAGAGAGTAGCAGAATGAGAGAGGGGGACTCCTAAGGAAGAAGGAGAGGTGCTGGCCCCAGCATTGCAGTAGCAGGAAAGGGGGAAGAAGGGATAAGTACCCCTGAAGAGACATGGCCCACTGACTTCCAGAGCTAGGATATCTGATGTCCAGTGTTAAACTTTTCTTTTCTGTATTTTTAGTTTGTGAGTGGAGTTGGTTATAGCTAACAATGTTGTATTCTTGGTGCCTTAGGGGAAAAAGAGAAATAAAGGCCTGTGCCCCTACTTTGGAAGGAAGCAAACCCATTGTATCAGTGAGACAGCCACAATATCAGTAAGGATTAGGTTCACTTGCAAGTGAAAGGTAATGGAATATGACAACATTTCAATAATGTAAACAAAGTCCAAAGTCAAACAGCCTAGGACTGGTGTGGGGACTCCATGACCATCAGGAACCTGGGGTCCTTTTATTCTGTTGCTCCACCATCTTCAACATGTCACATCCACCTAGGGTCCAAAATGACTACCTGACTGACAGCTGCCAGGTCACATTCTCAGGAAGGGGGAAGGCAGTGAAGAAGGTTACTCCCCCATGTTTGAGGGATAGCTCCTCAAGCCCCACATGATATCTCCATATCTAATTGACCAGAACATACTCCCATGACAGCATCTAGCTGCAACAGAGGCTGGAAGATGTAATTTTTATTTTGGATGCCCATGTGTTCAATTAAAAACCAGAAAAACCAGAAGTTCTATTAGTACAGAAGGGAAGACTGATGTCAGCACTGTGGTATACATAGTAATCCCCCTCCCCCAGAGTGTTCATGCCCTAATCCCAGGACCTGTGAATATGTTATTTTACATGGCAAAAGGGACTTTGCAGGAGTGATTAAAATATGTATCTTGAGATGGGGAGATTTTCTCATATTATCTGGTGGACCCAATGCCATCACATGAACCCTTAAAAGCAGAGAATGCTTCCTGGCTGTAGTCAGAGGGAAACATGATGACAGAAGGAAGGAACAAAAAATGCAACGTTGCTGGCTTTAGCAAATGGAAGGGGACCCTGAGCCAAGGCATACAGGTGCCCTCTAGAAGCTGGAGGAGGTAAAAGACCAGATTCTTCCCTAGAGGCTTCAGAAGGAATACAGTCTTGCTGACGCCTTGATTTGAGCCCAGTGAAACCCATGTCAGACTTCTGACCTACAGAATTGTAAGATAATAAATTTGTGTTGTTCTAATCCACTAAATATGTGGTAATTTATTATAGCAGCGTAGGAAACTAAATCAGGCATACAACCTGCATTCAGAGTCTCTGCTACAGCCATGCAGGCATCAGAGTTATCCAGGGATGGCCAGAGGCGGGAGAAACCCAGAGCACACATCCACAGCAAGAAGTGGAAAACAACAACAAATGAATGTATAGAAATTCGCAGACTCACCAGGATCCTTAGAAGTGATCCCGGGCTTTCTGAAGAATGAGGCCTGCATTGTTACTATTTAAGTATTAAAGGAAAGGATGACTCTCCCTTCTTGCATAATGCAAAGCTAGTTATATTACCCCCTCTCATCCTCAAAATCTGTATTCTTAGACAGAGAACTGTGGCAGGAAATAGATGTTAACTATCTAAAGAACGCGGGTGGTGTGGTGGGAAGCTAAGGCTAAAGGACCCAGATTTCATCCATCCATCCATCCATTCATTCATTCAGTACCTACAGAGTATTTATAAAGTCTGGAAACAGATTTTACAAGTTGCAGATGTCCTTGATGACACTGTGCACGTTTGCCTATGTGTTCAGACTTTGTGGACATCTTGCTGTGTGCCCAAGAAAGCGGTGAAGCAGAGAGTTGGGGGCCTGCCTGCAAGGAGCTTACAGTCTACCAGGAGGGCAAACAACTAACTGAGTGATGGCTCAAGAGAAGGAGGAGCTTCACATGACGGATGCATGCTCACTAGTTCAGAACATGGCTCAGCACTTACTATAGTCTGACCTTGAGCAAATTTTTTTTTTTTTTTTTTTTTTAGATGGAGCCTTCCTCTGTCACCCAGGCTGGAGTACAGTGGCACAATCTCAGCTCACTGCAACCTCCACCTCCCGGATTCAAGCAATTCCCTGCCTCAGCCTCCCAAGTAGCTGTGATTACAGGCATCTGCCACCACGCCTGGATAATTTTTGTATTTTTAGTAAAGATGGGGTTTCACCATCTTGGCCAGGCTGGTCTTGAACTCCTGACCTCATGATCCACCCGCCTCAGCCTCCCAAAGTGCTGGGATTACAGGTGTGAGCCACTGCACCCAGCTGACCTTGAACAAATTACTTCTCTGTGCCTTTATTGTAGAAAACAACTTCTAGAATTGTTGCTAGGATTCAATGAGTTAACACACACATAGAACAGCTCCTAGCACATAATAAGCAGCTAAATACTTATTAGCTACTACTATAATTGGTACCAGCCATGTGACCTGGAGAGTGGGCTTCATTTCCTCATACCTCCCGGGGTCTGCCAGGTCAGATGCAATAATGGGTGTAAAAGACATTTATGTACTGTTAAGGTACATCACAAAATGTATAGTATCATCACCACAGATTTAGTTACTTCTAATGTTGATTGTTTACTGTCCCTACAGGTAAGCTTACAATGTAGGAATCTTTTTGTCTTCTGTCACTGATGCATCCTGACCTCCAAAAACAGTGCCTGGTACATAAAGCACTCAATAGAGAGTTGTTGAATTTCTTGAATGGATCAATAAATTAATGAACAACTAAATAAGTGATCCTGGCTGTCTGAGTCAGTTCAAATGGCCATAACAAAATATCACAGATTAGGTGGCTTAAGAAACAGAAATTTATTTCTTACTCTCCTGGAGGCTGAAGTCCAAAATCAAGGCACTGGCCATTTTGGTCCCTGGTGAGGGCTCTCTTCCTGGCTTGCAGGTGGCTGCCTTCTTTGTGTGTCCTTACATGGCAGAAAGACAGACAGAAAGAGAGAGGGACAGGGAGAGATAGTGAGGGCTGGTGTCTCTTCTTACAGGGGCACAAATCTCATCACTAGGGCCCCACTCTTATAACCTCTTTAACCTTAATTACTTCCTCAGAGGCCCTACCTCAAAATACTGTCACTTTAGACGTTAGGGTTTCAACATATGCATTTTGGGAGGACACAATTCAGTCCATAACACGGCATGAGTGCACACATAAATTTCCATAAACATAGAAACAAAAATTCCGTAAATTCACTGTGGCTTGTCACCTCTTGACATGAACTTCTCTGAGCTCTGGCCATCTCAGGATACCTGCACCACCACCATTAGCACCGTGGCCTTTGTCTTCTTCGCAAGGTGAGTCTCTCCCAGGTTCCCCTGACTGCAGCTCTAACAAGCCAATTGTCCAGTGTGACCAAGGAAGAAGAGTCTTGCAGATTTTAACCAAGAAAGGGAAGGTCCAGTTGGTCTTGTCAAAAGACAAAATTCCAACAAATATAGTTATAGATCTAATTGGCTTTTATTTGCAATTCATGAATCAGGGCAGCTTCCATTCTACAAAACAGCATGAGGGTTCCTGCTGGACAGCAGCAGAACAGTGGGTTTTGTAAGGTGAGAACAAGGAAATAGGAAAAAAAAAATTTTAAAGTCGGATTGGCTAACATGAGGTTACTTTTTGTGTAAAAATTAAAGCAGAGAGGACTTCCTTATTGCACTGACACAGGTAGACTGGAATCTTCTGTTCTCAAGAAAAACTAGTCTATGTTGGATCTATCTGCTTCCTTAAAGCTTCTATTTGATGACGAGGCATTTAGCATGAATGACTCCATTTTGGTTTGGTCTCGTCTGTTGGGGCCTAGTACAGGAGTTCAGTCCAAAATAACGGGCTCCCATAATTTTGTTTAACAGCCTAAACTTAAGTTCTTCAGTGATCTGAATCCTCAGCTAGACCAAAATCTTCTGCTAAGTTGCTCTCCTTTTGACTGTCTGGCTGAGCTGTTGAAGGCCACAAAATATTTAGCAGGTAAAAGTACTGTTCAGGAACTATAATAATTTATTTTGTATTCATGGTGCTTTTCTGGCTTATAGAACATTGTTAATAAGTTGCTGTAATGTGCGCTTATATTTATGAATTTATAAACATTATGAATAATGTGATGATTATTGAGAGGCATATTGCCAAATATCCATAAACTGATCATTAGTCTATCTATGTATTTATCATTGTATATAAATATGTCAGTTTTGTTTTCAGGGAAAAAACTGTTTGCAATCTATAACTTCCAGGGCTCTTATCTCTGAATTGAACATGTGCCTAGGGGTATCAAACAGAACAAGACTCCAGATAGTAAGTAAATAGTCCTTTTTCTTATGACAGCTACTTAATCTGTAACAAAACAAGCAAACATAAAAGCTAAGTGATATCTAAAGCTTACCACCAAGAAAATAAGTTAGCAACTGAACAAAGCGCCTTCCTTCAGGCTAGATCTTACATACACACACAGTATCGACTTCAAGCCACTTCAGAAGAGACTCAGAAAGCTGCTGCGCCTGGCCTTGCCCTTAGGTTTGTTAGCTTCAGGGTCACAGTCCCAGCGGGGAGCTGACCCATTAGTCACACCTGCTTCACAGCCCTGCCAGCACTCACGGGGCCCAATGAGAAGCCACAGGCATGTTGGTAGCCAGGCCAGGAGACCCAAGGGCCACGCCCATAGTTCTACAGAGTCATGTTAACCGTGGTTGTTATGGAGACAGCCAGTGTTCTTCATGAATGTGTAGCTGTTTTGTCACTCTGCCTGGGTCCGGGGACAGGCTGGCTCGTTACAAAGGCACCCACTACTGAAGACAGGCTCAGAGGCAGGAGTGGCCCAGCCCTGCCTTGTAGATGCTGATTGAGCTCTGCTACAGAAAATGCTTGATACAAGACTGTGCACCCCACCCCCATCCCAAACATGACTTGACTCTTAAAACAGCCCTGTATAACCACAATTGGCTTGTTGCCCTTTTGTTGGCTGCACACACTGATTTTTCCACAACCTTCAAAACCCTTCCTGAAGGGTGTTGTGGAGCAAATCCCAGAAGATAAACACCGTGTGAATGAACCCAAACACAGAGGGCTGTGATTACAGACCCTAGAGCAGCCTTCGAAGTATGCAGTGTTCTTCCCTAAGGCACCACCTTCTCACTAACCAAAATGGGACTGACTGGTGCTGAGTCCCTCTCGCTTATTCTGCTGGGATGAAGCCTGCTGGATGCGAACTTTGTGCTGTGCTTTTTGTATTTGCTATTTGCAGAGCAGAACATTATTTTTTGGTGGAAGATAGAGATGTGGATATGTGAGTCCCTGCCCTCAATTAACTCATAATCTCTTGGACTCACATATTAACAATAAGAGGGTGGAATAGAAAAGCGGCTCCTAACTGATACAGGGTTAAGCCTGCGTAATGACAAATTTCAGAGCTGAACAAGCAGAGGACAAATCACTTAAATGCATGGCTTTAGAGCACTGAGGTCAGAACTACACAGCCACCAAAAAGAATGAGGCAAAGCCTGTGTGCTGATATGGAATAAGCCTAAAACACACCAGAGACTGACAAAGTAAGGAGCAGTACAGCCTGTGTGATGTGTTCCCTTTTGTGGAGAGGAGAGGGGGAGGAGGGGAGAGGCAGGGTGGGAAAATGCAGAGAATAAGCCCAGAGCATTCCTAGGAAACTGGCAACAGATTGTTTGTTTGTTTGTTTGTTTTGTTTTGAGACTGAATCTCACTCTGTTGCCCAGGCTGGAGTGCAGTGGTGCGATCTCGGCTCACTGCAATCTCCGCCTCCCAAGTTCAACCAATTCTCCTGTCTCAGCCTCCCGAGTAGCTGGGACTATAGGCGCATGCCACTATGTTCAGCTAATTTTTGTAGTTTTAGTAGTGACAGGGTTTCACCATATTGGTCAGGCTGGTCTCGAACTCCTGACCTCAGGTGATCCACCCGCCCCCGCCTCCCAGAGTGCTGGGATTACAGGCCTGAGCCACCGCACCCGACCCCCCCACCGCCTTTTTTTTAAAAAAAGCAACTTTGTTGGGGGTGTAACTGACAGACAATAAGCTGCACATATTTAAAGTATATAGTTTGATAGATGTATACACCAGCAAAACTATCATCTCAAAAAGTACACATCTTCATCCCCCTCAAAGTTTTCTTGGACCCCTTGGCAATGCCTCCCTCTTGATCTTCCCCACCCATTCCTCATTCCCTAGCCAACGCTCCAACACTGATATGCTTTCTTTCAATACAGATTAGTTGGTGTTTTCTAGAATTTTTTTTTTTTTTGAGATGGAGTCTCACTTTGTCACCCAGGCAGGAGTTCAGTAGTGCGATCTCAGCTCACTGCAACCTCTGCCTCCTGGGTTCGAGCGATTCTCCTGCCTCAGCCTCCTGAGTAGCTGGGATTACAAGCACGTGGCACCATGCCCGGATAATTTTTGTGTTTTTAGTAGAGACGGGGTTTCACTAATGTTGGCCAGGCTGGTCTCAAACTCCCGACCTTAGGTGATCCACCAGCTTATGCCCCGAAAAGTACTGGGATTACAGGCATGAGCCACCATGCCCAGCCTAGAATTTATATAAATGGAATTATACGATATTTGCTCTTTTTTGTCTGGCTTATCACACAATAATTATTTTGAGATTCATCCATGTTGTGTGTATCAATAGTTCCTTTCTTTTTAATGTTGAGTAATATTTTATTATACGGATATATCACAGTTTTGTAATATACATTTGCCCATTGATGAGCATTTGGGTGGTTTTCTGTTTTGGGCTATTACAAATAAAGCTGCTATAAACATCTGTATACATATTTTTGTATGGATTTATTTTTTCTTTTCTTTTGGTTAAATATCTAGGCTTGGCATGGCTAGGAATTCCTGTAGGTACATGTTTAACTGTTTAAGAAAATGCCAAATTCCTAGTTCTAGTAATTCCTTTGCAGAGGCAATCAGGTTTTCTGATGCAATTTCTAATGGAAAATCCAATCCAATTTTCCGATAGAAGGATCTGACAAATGCTCATGTGTGTAAAGAAAGATTGCTTTACTTGTTCTTTTCCAGTCTAGATGTCTTTTATTTATTTTTCTTGCCTGATTGCCCTGGAAAGAAGCTCTCACATAATGTTAAATAAAAGTGGTGGGAGCAAACATCCCTGTCTTCTTCCTCCTGTTAGCGGGAAGTATTCACAGTCTTTCAACAGTAACAACATAGGACTTTTGCAGATGCCCTTTATCAAGTTGAAGAAATTCCCTCTTATTCATTTGCTGAGAGTTTTTATCATGGATGAATGTTGTATTTTGTCAACTATTTCCATTTACTGTGATTATCATATAATTTTTTCTTTTTCTTTTTTTTTTTTGAGACAGGATCTCACTTTGCCACCCAGACTGGAGTGCAGTGGAGCAATCACAGCTCACTGCAGCCTCGATCCCCCGGGCTCAAGCAATCCTCCCATCTCATCCTCCCAAGCAGCTGGTACTACAGGTGTGCACCACCACACCTGATTAATTTTTAACTTTTATTTTTATTTTTGTAGGGACGAGGGCTTACTATGTTGCTCAGGCTGATCCTGAACTCCTGGGCTCAAGCAATCCTCTTGCCTCAGCCTCCCAAAGTGCTAGAGTTATAGGTGTGAGCCACTGCTCCCAGCCTGATGTGGCTTTTGTTATTATTGTCATTTTTGTTAGTTAATATGGTTAGTCAATTAATAATAATTGACATTATTAATATTATGAGCCAGATGCTTTTGATCCCTTCCCAGAGAAGAGCAACTTATCCAAATTCATACATCTCTATCTCAAAGCGCTTAATGCAAGTATACGTTGACAGATCTCTACTCCAAGAGGTAAATGGCAGGACTTTCCTTGGACACACGTCTGTGTTGGGATTTACCAGAGGAGAATGTCTGGTGCAAGCTACTATCAGTCATTAAAACCTTAGTCTGAAAGAGCAGCCACAGACAGACAGAAAGGCTGCTGTGTGGATCACTTGCTGTGTGAGCAGGAGGCTGCCACTTATGCCACCTAAACCAGTTTTCCCTTATGAGAAATGAGGACTTCTGCCCCTCCTACCTGGTAAGGGCTGTCATGACCACCACAGGGCATGAGGGAGTAAGAGGCTAGTCCTGATGCACAGGAGCCCTCTGGCAGTCCCAAGGGAGGAAAAGCCACCTGCTTCTCTGCTTGCCTGGAGTCTACACTGTCTGGTGGTCTTTCAAAAACTGCCATTAATTAACTGTAGCTGACTTGGTTGGCTATTCTTTTTAATTATTTGCTTGGGGGTGACTCTTTTATTCTGTGCAAAATTAGTTTAATACTCAGAATAACCAGCCCCTATAGAGTTTTTTTTTAAAAAAAAAAAGACTTTAAAATGCAAATTTCCCTCCCCGTTCTTCTCCCTTGATCCCAAGCATCCACAGCACTTTGAAGGAGTTTGATAGTGATATAACAAGTGATGTAAAGGCTCCTGGAGAACTTAACATAAATGCAAGTAAATCTGTAAAATTTAAAACCAACCCAAGTGAAAAAAATCAGAACTGTTGCTTTTCTGGGATAGGTGGGGATTGACTGGAAAGGTTGCATGAGGCAATTTTCTAGGGTGATGGTAATATTCTGTGTCTTGGTAGGCTTTTATGGTTACAAGGCAAATGCATTTGTCAAAATCTAATGAATGACTGTGCATTTCATCGTATGCAAGTTTTACATTCAAGGTAAGAGATGGATCTAACAAAACGTTTCTTTCCTACCTCATGAAAACACCACCTTTTGGCAGACGTGAAAAGAATACTGCCACCGGATAGAAATGGGTTCATTTGCCCATGCAACAGAAAGCCAAACACCAAAGCACCAGATTTTTGTAGGGAGAAAGGATTATTGCCAGGCAGCCAAGCAAGGAGACGAGAGTCAGGCTCAAATCTGTCTCCCCATACAAGACTTACAGTCTTAGATTTAAGAGAAAGATCTTGGAGGTGGAATTTTGGAGCTGGACAATGATTGGCTGAAAGGAAGCAGAGTTTGGAAAGTCCCTGGGTATGTGCAGTTGCCTCTTCAAGCTTCTTCATGGGTCGCATGTGCAAATTTGGAGGGAACTGGTTGTGACATAAAAAGGTCATTCATTGGCCGGGCATGGTGGCTCGATGCCTGTAATCCCAGCACTCTGGGAGGTTGAGGTGAGAGGATCACTTGAGGTCAGGAGTTTGAGGCCAGCCTGGCCAACATAGTGAAACCCCATCTCTAGTAAAAAAAAGTACAAAAATTAGCCAGGCATGGTGGCACATGCCTGTAATCCCAGCTACGTGGCAGGCTGAGGCAAAAGAATCGCTCGAACTTGGGAGGCAGAGGTTGCAGTGAGCTGAGATCACGCCACTGCACTCCAGCCTGGGTGACACAGTGAGACCCTGCCTCAAAAAAAAAAAAAAAAGGTCACTCATCTGGCCTCCAAGTCTATGCTGTGCAGACTCCAGTCAGCCATATTGGTTCCAGACTGCTTCAGCCAGCTTTGTAAGCAGATGGGATTATAGCAAACTGTTTCTTTATCTGTCCGCCTGCAAGACAAGCTCAAGCTTTCTGTAGGTTACCAGTTTCTTTAACCCTGTGGGGCACTGTGACAATGCTAAGCTACTGAATGGTGACTCCGCCTTGCATTAAAAAGCATAGCCTGGCCTGAATCCCTGTTTTCTAGCCACCAGGAGGCTTCAACACAAAAGGCTCCTGCTGGTGTCCATAAATTTCTAGCCCCATCAGAATATGAACAATGTCCAGTGTAGCATAACAGTCACTAGTCTGGGTTCTGGAGCCTGACACCTGGTTTTCAACACCACCTCTACCCTTCTTATGATTTGGAGCAAGCCACTTAACTTCCAAGCCTTTACTCATTCATAGAACAAGAATAATAATTGTATCTGTATCATAGAGTTGTTATGACAGGGATTAAATAAGAATTTAGCACAATGTATAATGCGTGGTAATCACTAGAAATCATTGGCTATTGTCATAGGTTATTGTATTAGTATTTATTAGACTTCAAAGTCTCAAAGTCTGTGTTGGTTTGGAAACTTTGCTTTTTTTTTTTTAAATAGGAACAGAGGTAGTAACTCCATGTAGTGAAGAAATTATGTCTCTTTAATTCTGTGCTGTCATAACCAGCACCTTTAGAAAGGTGGTTGCAAGTAACAAACACCCTATATTATTATTATTATTATTATTATTATTATTATTATTATTATTATTATTTTTGAGACAGAGTTTCACTCTTGTTGCCCAGGTTGGAGTGGCTCCTGAGTAGCTAGGATTACAGGTGTCCTCTACCACGCCTGGCTAATTTTTTGTATTTTTGGTAGAGATGGGGTTTCACCATGTTGACCAGGCTGGTCTCAAACTCCAGACCTCAGGTGATCCACCTGCCTTGGCCTCCAAAAGTGTTAGATTACAGGCGTGAGCCACCGCACCCAACCCAACATCCTATATTTTATGTAAATATTATACTATGGACCGACTTGTGTCTCTTCAAAATTTATATGTTGAAGTCCTTACCCCCTGTACCTCAGAATGTGACTGTATTTGGAGGTGGGGATTTTAAAGAGGTGGTTATGGTAAAATGAGGTCATATGAGCGGGTGCTTATCAAATATGATATAAGCCGGGGAAATCTGGACACAGACATGCACAGAGGGAAAGCATGTGGACACACAGGGAGAAGACAGCCATCTCCAAGCCAAGGAGAGGCCTCAGGATAAACCAACCCTGCTTACACCTTGATCGTAGACTTCCAGCTTCCAGAACTCTGGGAAAATAAATTTCTGTTGTTTAAGTCACCCAGTCTGTAGTACTTTGTTATGGCAGCTCTAGTAAACTAATGGAAGTACATATTAATAAACAATTTATTAAAAGATAAAGCATGGGCTGGGCACGGTGGTCACGCCTGTAATCCCAGCACTTTGGGAGGACGAGGTCAGCAGATCACTTGAGGTCAGGAGTTTGAGACCAGCCTGGTCAACATGGCGAAATGCCGTCTCTACTAAAAATACAAAAAATTAGCCAGGCATGGTGGTGTGCACCTATAATCCCAGCTACTCAGGAGGCTGAGGTAGGAGAATCGCTTGAACCCGGGAGGCAGGGGTTACAGTGAACCGAGATCGCACCACTGCACTCCAGCCTGGGCGACACAGTGACTCTGTCTCAAAGAAAAAAAAAAGATGAAGCATGATTAAGTGACCTTTTAATTCTAAGAACATGATCTGTCATTTTTAAAAATGCAACATTGCATTGAAAATGAAAACTGTTCTTGGTTGTGTTTTATAAACAAAAAGAGTAAGTCACAAAGCAAGCTTTAGTTCCCAGGCTAGGCTTCACATTATATGACTTAAATTTCGATAAGTAGAATTTTTTGGTTTCCAGAGCATTGTTTCAAATTTCCCACTGAAGACATGTTATTCTCAAATTGGATGACTACAAACCTAATTTTAGCTCAAAATCTACAACAGGTACAGGCACTATTGAAATTGTCGAAGGAAATGAGCTGGGAGATTTCAACAGCATGTGCTTAGGAGGCACACAGGACAACACAGAGCACACAGTGACTGCTGGTGTGTTTATTAACCATTTCTTCTCATTCTCTGTATTCTTTTTTTTTTCCTTGTTTTTTGTTTTTGAGACAAGGTCTCACTCTGTCGCCCAGGCTGGAGTACAATGACATGGTTCACTGCAGCCTCAACTTCCCTGGGCTCAAGCGACCCTCCCACCTCAGCCTCCTGAGTAGCTGGCCTACAGGCACATTTTTGTATTTTTTGTAGAGATGAGGTTTTGCCATGTTGCCCAGGCTGGTCTCCAACTCCTGGGTTCAAGCATTCCTCCTGCCTTGGCCTCCCAAAATGCTGGGATTACAGGCATGAGCCACTGCGTCCAGCCTTATTTTCTGTACTTGTGATGCTCTGGCATTTGGGGGCCAGACTACTGACTAGGTAGAGTCCAACCCTCTCAGGATTGGATTGCTAGAGATAGCACATGACTCCCTTTTGATCTGAGTGTGCCTTTCTTCGTCTTTTTTTTTTTTTTTTTTTTTGAGACAGAGTCTTGCTCTGTCACCCAGGCTGGAGTGCAATGGCGCGGTCTCGGCTCACTGCAACCTCAGCCTTCTGGATTCAAGCGATTCTCCTGCCTCAGCCTCCCGAGTAGCTGGGACTACAGGTGCATGCCACCACACCCAGCTAATCTTTTGTATTTTTAGTACAGACAGGGTTTCATCGTGTTAGCCAGGATGGTCTCGATCTCCTGACCTCGTGATCCGCCCGCCTTGGCCTCCCAAAGTGCTGGAAATACAGGCATGAGCCACTGCGTACAAAAGTGTGTACTGCATATTGAAAGTGTGTATTGCATATGAAAGTGTGTATTGCATATGAAATTGTGTATTGCATATGAAAGTGTGCCTTTCGTATGCAAACCAACCAATCCAAAGCCAGTTACCCACCGACACCCCCACAACCTTCTCTATCTGGCTCTCACACTCTAGGTCACTATCCACCTACCCTAATCACCCCAGAGCCAGGTGCCAGGCAACCAGGGACAACCCCTGGGACCCAGAGCTCACTGTACTCAAACTAGACAATCCTAAATGTGCTTACCGTGCCTTGCATTGACTTTTCTGTGGAAACCACGCTAAAGACTATTGCCCAGGTTTTCCCCTTGCTCCCTCTGTCTCCTGACCAATCCTGTTGTTTCCCATGAGGCCCTGCAGTGCCTGGCCTGCCGCCTTCTGCGAGAACCAAGAGTCACAAACTGTCTTTCAATAGCAGTCATCCCCTGAACTGTTGGTCTCACTATACCTGAATATAAAGAAAATCTTGGGTACATTGTAAAACAGGAAGCCCACTCAGAGGGGTCTACGCAGGAGGCCTGTGGTCTCCTCTTAATCTGGATGGAACCACCTAGTCTGTAGGTTTCTACTCATCACGAGGCTCTTACCTCCACACTTCTTCCCCCAGGATGCCCCCCAAATTCCAAGTTAGATCTTCATTCCTTCAGTTTGAGCCTTTAGTTTCTTATTACGTGCAGTGCCCCTGGATGTAGACATGGCTATGCTTTCATCATTTATCCAACCCTTCCAGGATGTGACAGCAAACTACACAGGCACTGGGCTGAGAACTAGAGAGGGATGGAAGAGACGCCGCTGCTGCCATTGATAGACTTCCTTGTCTAATTTTTTAACTTATTTTGTCATTGATGATTAAGAAAGGGATTATGGGGATATGAACCTTGATTTTGACCTCATTTTTCCTTTCTTCCTTGTCTGTTTCTTTCTTACCTTTTAGTTTTTGGCTTCGTTGGTTATCACTATAGCTAATCCAGATAAAGAATTACAAGATTTCCTTAACTAGTTGGAAAACAACATTTCAATGATTACTTATCTCTAAATGATAATAATGCAAATTGTAAAAATGGTAAGGCTGGTTAAAACCAAACTCTTGGGATAAACAAGGAACCTGTGGAATAGGCTTCAAACTCCCATTTTTCTAAATGATTTCTACAAATACATTTATCTATTTTCCTTCCCTCCGCCCCTCCCTCCCTCTCTCCCTCCCTCCCTCTCTGTCTCTCTCTTTCTCTCTTTCTCTCTTTTTTTTCTGACATGGAGTGTTGCTCTGTTGCCCAGGCTGGAGTGCAGTGGTACTATCTCATCTCACTGTAACCTCTGCCTCCTGGGGGTTCAAGCAATTCTCCTGCCTCAGCCTCTCGAGTAGCTGTGATTACAGGTGCACGCTGCCATGTCCAGCTAATTCTTTTTTTTTTTTTTTGAGACGGAGTCTTGCTCTGTCGCCCAGGCTGGAGTGCAGTGGAGCGGTCTTGGCTCACTGCAAGCTCCGCCTCCAGGGCTCACACCATTCTCCTGCCTCAGCCTGCCGAGTAGCTGGGACTACAGGCACGTGCCACCACGCCCGGCTAATTTTTTGTATTTTCAGTAGAGACGTGGTTTCACCGTGTAAGCCAGGATGGTCTCAATCTCCTGACCTAGTGATCCACCCGCCTCGGCCTCCTGAAGTGCTGGGATTACAGGTGTGAGCCACCGCGCCTGGCCTAATTTTTTGTATTTTAGTAGAGACGGGGTTTTACTGTGTTGCCCAGGCTGGTCTTGAACTCCTGAGCTCAGGTAATCCACCTGCCTCAGCTTCCCAAATTGCTAGGATTGCAGGCGTGAGCCACCGCACCCACCCTGCAATTGCTATTTTTACATATTATCTCAGTGCTCTAAAATTATCCTAGCCTACATGCAAGAATGGGTAAAGGCCCCATAAACAAAAATGGAGTGAGTTCTGTTAGTTCTTTTGCTGTTTCGCTGCTACAATGGCCTCTTAGAATTACAGTCGCCTCATTTAACTAGGGCCCGATTTCATAATTTGAGGTCTTGGTGGATAAGAATCTTCAGGAGAAATACCTAATTTGAGCTGTGTTGATGTCTTCAAGCATGAGGACAGGCTTGAAAGAAAACAGGCTGTTCCTAACCTGCAGGAGAAGTGAATCATGTTAACCTGGGGCCTTGGAAATGCTCATTTTGGGAGCTGTCCTTCAGGAGGTCTCAATCACTGAAGGTCTTGCCTTTTGAGTTTTCTCATCTGAGAACGGCCTCAAAGGGACAGAGACGGTCTTGGGACTCTGCCTGGCAGCAGTCCATCTTCATCAGCCCCTTCCTACCTCCCCTCATCCCTCCCTCCTCTTCCTTCTTTACCCCACATAATTCCCTTGGCCCCTTGCCAGCCGTGCTGTCCATATGTGAACAATGCTCTACTTTGATGGAGGAAAAAAAGGGTCTTTAATTTTTTTTTTAATTATCATAAGTATTGGTACCTTGTGGCTCACGCCTGTAATCCCAGCACTTTGGGAGGCCGAGGCAGGTGGATCAGTTGAGGCCAGCAGTTTAAGACCAGCCTGGCCAACATGGTGAACCCCGTCTCTACTAAAATCACAAAAATCAGCCGGGCTTGGTGGCGTGCACCTGTGATCCTAGCTACTCGGGAGGCTGAGGCAGGAGAATCACTCGAACCCAGGAGGCGGAGGTTGCAGTAAGCTGAGATCGCACCACTGCACTTCACCCTAGGTGACAGAGCAAGACTCCATCTCCAAAAAGAAAGTATTAGTACCTTGATATTTTTTCTATCTCTAGAGGTTTGCTTACAAATACACATATCTATATTAGGGAGAGGACTACATAAACACTCAAAGAGATAAAACATTAATGATGCAACATCAGACATTCTTCAGGAAGGCAGTGAGGGTAGGATCCACCAGGCCCAGCCTCCCAAAACTGTCCCCTCTGCTCCCCCCAGCTCCTCCACGGGTTAGGCTGGCTCCACTCTTGTGTTCTTTCCATCCTTAATTCAAACTCCATGTCCCTCTTCTCTGACTGTTCCCAAATTTCAAACTGCATCCCTGATGGATCCTTTCTTGTAAGAAGGCTGCTCTTCCTGGGTAGCCTGAAAATCTTCCCCGGCTCATTACCATAGCAACGAGAGCACGCCGCTGAAATCTGCAGCACGGAGGGGCTGGCAGCGCAGCTCCCACACACTACGACTCAGATGGCAGCTTCCTCAGGCCACTAAAGGAGCAACCCTTTCTGAGCTCATAGATATTAAAAATAGAGAATGGTATCCCTTGATCAAATTACTGCGTGCCTCCAGATCACTTTCCTCTCCTATGTGTGACAGAAGTGAGTTTTTCTTTCATTGCGGAGGAAAATCTAGAGATGGTTCTGTCTAATCCCACCCAAAATGGCAGTGACTCAGTATACAGGTCGGGAGGACCCTCTATTCGGCAATCATCACCCCTCTAAGGGCTTAGAGCACCCTGCACCCGGGGTTGTGGAAAGCGGGGAGAAGTGAGCTGTTTGAGACCAAACACAATTTGGTGGCTGATACTGGCATGATCCTCCTTCGCAGTGCATGGGGCCTTTTGGCTGCAGAGGGAAGTAACCCATACTGAGAGGGAAAACAGAGGTTCTGTGGTTTTGGCGAGCACAGGGGCCACTCAGATGGTGACAAGGTGGGCCGCAGGCCCTGAGGAGGCCTTGACAAGACCTGTGTCCAGTCCTCTCCCTAACCCAGGGAATCCTTTCTAGAGTCACTGCAGCCTCCAACGCCGGGCTCGAGGGATCCTCCCACCCCAGTCTCCGGAGCAGCTGAGACTACAGGTGTGTGCCACCAAGCCCAGCTAATGTTTTGTAGGGGGGTGGGAGTGGTCTCGATTTTCCCGCTGGCTGGTCTTGATTAGAATTCTTTCAAGGCATTTCTTCCAAATCTTTTTTTTTTATACTTTAAGTTTTAGGGTACATGTGCACAAGGTGCAGGTTTGTTACATATGTATATATGTGCCATGTTGGTGTGCTGCACCCGTTAACTCGTCATTTACATTAGGTATATCTCCTAATGCTATCCCTCCCCGCTCCCCCCACCCCACAACAGGCCCTGGTGTGTTCCCCTTCCTGTGTCCAGGTGTTCTCATTGTTCAATTCCCACCTATGAGTGAGAACCTGCGGTGTTTGGTTTTGTGTCCTTGCAATAGTTTGCTGAGAATGATGATTTCCAGCTTCATTCATATCCCTACAAAGGACACGAACTCATCCTTTTTTATGGCTGCATAGTATTCCATGGTGTATATGTGCCACATTTTCTTAATCCAGTCTATCATTGAGGGACATTTAGGTTGGTTCCAAGTCTTTGCTATTGTGAATAGTGCCGCAATAAACATACATGTGCATTTGTCTTTATAGCAGCATGATTTATAATCCTTTGGGTATATACCCAGTAATGGGATGGCTGGTTCAAATGGTATTTCTAGTTCCAGATCCTTGAGGAATCGCCACACTGACTTCCACAATGGTTGAACTAGTTTACAGTCCCACCAACAGTGTAAAAGTGTTCCTATTTCTTCCAAATCTTTTTCTAACTGTATGCATCCCTCCATTTCCCCCTCACGCCTCTGGCACTGCGGCTTTTAAAATTCAAAGACCAATAAATGAACCTGTTTTTCTTTCTGTTTTTCCCCTGTGCTATCCATGCCCTTATGCAATGCACACAGACTGCCTAGATCAGGGGCTTATTTGAAGCTACTTTTTGCAGGCTGGTGGAGTCTATAGGCCCCTTCATTTTAAATGCATAAAAATAAAAAGGAAACCAGTCATATTAAAAGACAAATTGCCAATATATTAAAAAAAAATGTGTGATATCGTAATATATGTGCTTCTTTATTAACACATTATTAATAAGGTTAAGTTTTTTATTTCAAATTGTTGACATGCATAAGTGTTATTTTGAAACATGTGCCACAAATCTAAAGTGCTATGAAAATACCTGTGTTTTCTATTGGTTGCAAAGTTATGAGTACTGTGAAAAAGGTCAGCTGCCTACGTTAAAATGGAAGGAAATGCTAAATTTCAGTTAGGTGTTATATCAAGAACTGTGAAGCGTCTGAGATTTTACCCTACCAGGAAGGGTAACAAATTAGCATGAGACAGTTTCAGGGATGCTGATAGAAGACATGAGACTCCTGGGTCAGACGTAAAAGACTGTTTGCTACAGCAACAGCAGTATCCAGAATATCAGCATTTGTGCTCGTTCTCTGAGCCCCATTTCTGGCAGGGTAATGCAAAGAGGGCTAGATGATCCCTGCACACATTGTGGGTTGCATTACATTATTTATGTTAACATGTAATGGATGTATCTCTTTTAAATAAATTAATATTTTAAATTTTTCTCAGTTTTTTTGTTTTTGTTTTTGTTTTTGTTTTTGTTTTGTTTTGTTTTGTTTTTGAGATGGTGTCTCTCTCTGTTGCTCAGGCTGGAGTGCAGTGGTGCAATCTTGGCTCACTGCAATCTCTTCCTCCTAGGTTCAAGCGATTCTCCTGCCCCAGCCTCCTGAGCAGCTGGGATTACAGGTGTGCGCCACCATGCCCAGTTAATTTTTGTATTTTTAGTAGAGATGGGGTTTCAACATGTTGGCCAGGCTGGTCTCGAACTCTTAACTTCAGGTGATCCGCCCACCTCAGCCTCCCAAAGTGCTAGGACTACAGGCATGAGCCACCGCACCCGGCCTCAGTTTTAATTCCTAAAATATTGATAGATTCACATGATCAAAAACTCTTTGGGCTCATCAATAATTTTTAAGTGTGTTCATTTTAAAATGTTGGTCCTGAGACTAAAAGCTTGAGATCATCTGGTTTAGATTGTTACATTGCATGGTTGGGAAGGTAGGCCAGGGGCAAAAAAATAAATAAAAAAATAAAAATAAATATGCTGGCTGGCAATGAAAAAGCATATTAGATAATAATAAAAAAATTTTTAAAGAAAGTGTTGGGTGAGGTGATACCTAGGGTGGCAACATTAGGATTCTGTGACATGGGAGGGTAAAACTCTTTTCAAGACTGAAGTCGAAGACACTTTAGTGGAAGGAAGCAACATGTTAGGAAGGAATGAATCCTTCCGGCAGCCTGGTGAATCCAAGGTTAAATTCTTCCCTATAATACGGTATCACTTTAGTCTCCACTAGACTCTCCTAGAAAGAGCAGAGGATCAAGGAAGAAATCAGAAAAACTGAGCATTTGTCCAAAAGAGACTGAAGTCAGCATTAACTGGCTACTTTATGGTTCTCTTCCCAACTCCACACCATTTCTCCATGGAAACTCAAGAGGAAGATGGGCTCTATTCCATAAAAGAAAGCAGCAGCATTCTCTGTACACATGCAAGTCACTGTCTCTCATCCTACACCACTGTAAACACCCAGGGTCTGGGTGTCTAAATAACTGAAGTCAGGGGTTTGCATCTTCAGGCTTACAGATCAATGCTGCATAATCATTAGCTAACAAACCCGTGGTGGTGGTGGCGGTGGTGGTTGGTGATGGTGGTGTCTATGCCTCCAAAGGCAGAAACTGAGTCTCCAGAAGGCTGAGGTGGTAGACAGGGGCAAAACCAGAAGTAGAGGCGCCCTAATGTAAAGACCAGAGTTTCCTCCTTTATGATTTTGCCTAGAATGAAAATGCAAGACGGGAGTGCATATAATTTAGACTTTTGGATGCTTGCCTTTCTCTATTTCCAGTCATAAACCCTTGACACATCGAACACAACTTTTTTTTTTTGACATGAAGTTTCACTCTTGTAGCCCAGGCTGGAGTGCAATGGCACGGTCTCGGCTCACTGCAACCTCTGCCTCCTGGGTTCAAGCGATTCTGTCTCAGCCTCCCAACTAGCTGAGATTACAGGCATGCACCACCATATGCTTGGTGCGTATTTTTAGTAGAGACAGGGTTTCTCCATGTTGGTCAGGCTGGTCTCGAACTCCTGACCTCAGGTGATCTGCCTGCCTCAGCCTCCCAAAATGCTGGGATTACAGGCGTGAGCCACTGCGCCTGGCCTAACACAACTTTTTTTTCCCCGCTTTGCTTTGGCTCCCTGATTCCCCCCATTTTTTTTGTTCTCATAGTGTGGTTTCTTTTAGAAATTCGATGTGAAAAACAAGGTGGGTGGTGGAAGATGCCCTTGGCAAAGAAAATAGCTACATCTCTTTCCATGCAACCTCCTCCTGCCCCCCACAATCTCCATCCTCCCCCTTGGCCCCTGATTCACTGTGTCCCTGACGTCTCTCCTTCTGACTGATTTCCACTCACTGCCCTCAGGAATGTGCTCGAAAACTAATTACCAAAGTATCAATGCCCTGCTGGCTGCTCTGGTTATCCATTGCTGCATAACAAACCATCACAATATCCAGTGGCTTCAAACAACAGTCATTTTCTTATCCTCCCTCTGGTTCTGAGTGCTGACTAGTGCAGCAGGCCCTTCTGGCTCAGGGTATCTGCTGCAGTTGCAGTCAGATGGAAAACTCAGTGGCAGGGGGTGGTGACTCCAGAGCTGACAGGTCTCCGTGTCTGGCAGGTGATGCTAGCTGTTGGCTGAGACCACAGTTGTGGTTCGTGGACAGACGACTACACGTGGCCTCTGCATGTGGCCTGGGCTCCCTTACAGCATGGTGTCTCCTCACAGCAACAGGAACCTCCCAAGAGATAGCCAGGAGGAGGCTGTGCTACCTTTTATGACCCAGCCTCGGCCTCAGATCTGTTGTAGTTCATCTGTTGGAGTAGTCATAAGCCCTCACCCAGATTCGTGACCCAGCCTCGGCCTCAGATCTGCCGTAGTCCATCTATTGGAGTAGTCATAAGCTCCCACCCAGATTCATGGGGAAGAGACACAGACTCCAGTCTCAATGGAAGGAGTGTCCAAGAGTTTTGGGGCCAAAGCAAGTCACAACTTTCCCCTTGCCCTCCTTAGTGAAGTCTGGACCATTGAAACTCCAGCTTTACTAAGATACTAGGGGCCAGGTGTGGTGGCTCACGCCTGTAATTCCAGCACCTTGGGAGGCTGGGGTGGGTGGATCACCTGAGGTCAGGAGTTCGAGACCAGCCTGGCCAACATGGTAAAACCCCATCTCTACTAAAAATACAAAAAAAAAATTAACCGGGCATGGTGGTGGGCACCTGTAATCCCAGCTACTTGCGAGGCTGAGGCAGGAGAATCACTTGAACCTGGGAGGCAAAGGTTGCACTGAGCCGAGATTGCACCATTGCACACCAGCCTGGGCAACAAGAGCTGAACTCCATCTCAAAAAAAAAAAAAAAGATACTAGGGCTTCACTTGCCATTAACCTGCCTCACTAAGAATGGCAGAGAATGGTAGCTGTCACAAAACATCTCTTCTTCCTTTCTTACTTAGGAAGTTTTTATCTGGGCACATTGCTTCCCACAATATGAGACTCTATTTCCCAGATGCCTTGCAGCTAAATGTGGACATGTGACTAAGTTCTGGAGAAGGAAAGTAATCAGAAATGTCATATGCAACTTCTGAGAGGTGGCCTTAAAGGAAGGGAAGAAGCTCTTTTTCCTTTCTGCTGAATGGAATATAGAAGTGACAGCTTCGGCCTCACCAGCCGTCTTGGATTACAAGGATGAGGGCCGTATCTGGAGCCATGGAGCAGTGGAACCTGAGTCCCTGTGGACTTTCAGACCTGCCCTTTCATCCCAAGACTGCCCACTAAAGACTTACTCTGTGAGAAGATAAAACTTTGCGGGCTTAAGTCACTATCATTTTTGGCTTCTTGTGGTGATGAGACAGCTGAGCTTAATCCTAAAATGGTATACAAACCAAAGCTCTTTGTCTTGGCTTTATGTCCTAAAGAGCAGAACCCTAAAAAGAAAAGAGATCTTCCCCAGATCCAGTTGAATATCCTTTTACTACTCACTAAAACATTAGATTCTCTCTTGTATCTGGTGTTTCTCAGTAAGTGTGCTACTCATATGAAGAGACAGAAGCATTTTTGTTGTTGTTGTTGTGCAGGACACTGAACTAAATCAATGGCAGGCTGGGCGTGGTGGCTCATGCCTGTAATCCCAGCACTTTGGGAGGCCAAGGTGGGTGGATCACCTGAGGTCAGGAGTTCAAGACCAGCCTGGCCAACACTGTGAAACCAACCCGTCTCTCCTAAAAATACAAAAATTAGCCAGGTGTGGTGGCACAGGCGTGTAATCCCAGCTACTAGGGAGGCTGAGGCAGGAGAATCACTTGAACCTGGGAGGTGGAGGTTGCACTGAGCCGAGATCGCACCATTGCACCATTGCACTCCAGCCTGGGTGACAGAGTCTCAAAAAAAAAAACTATAATAAATAAAAATAAATATGAAAATACTTTTTAAAAAATTAGCCAGGCATGTTGGTGTGCGCCCGTAGTCCCAGCTACTTGGGAGGCTGAAGCAGGAGAATTGCTTGAACCTGGGAGGTGGAGGTTGTAGTGAGCTGAGATCACACCACTGCACTCCAGCCTGGGCGATGGAGCAAGACTCTGTCTCATAAAAGGAAAAAAGAAAAGAAAAAAGGTCAATAGCACACATTCCCTCACCCTCATGCCCACAAATCACTGTTAAAACACAAAAGTCTGCACGGCGCAGTGGCCCACACCTGTAATCCCAGCACCTTGGGAGGCCGAGGCAGGTGGATCACCTGAGGTCAGAAGTTTGAGACCAGCCTGATCAACATGGTGAAACCCCATCTCTGCTAAAAATACAAAAATTAGCCAGGCATGGTGGCTGGCGCCTGTGATTCCAGCTACTCAGGAGGCTGAGGCAGGAAAATCGCTTGAACATGTGAGGTGGAGGTTGCCGTGAGCCAAGATTATGCCATTGCACTCCAGCCTGGGCGACAAGAGCAAAACTCTGTCTCAAAAAAAAAAGTCTCCCCAAATTTCCAAATGCTCTCTAGGTACACAATATCACCCTCAGTTGGAAACCACTGCTTTGTGTATGTGTGTGTGAGTGTGTATGTGTGTATTATACAATACTGGTCTGTTTTTAATTTTTTTTGATACATAATAAATGTACATTTTTCAGGGTACATGTGATAATTTAATACATTCATATATTTCTAAAGATTAAATCAGTGTGATTAGAATATCTATCACATTAAATATTTGTCTTTGTGCTAGGAACACATTCAAATTATTGTCTTCTAGCTATTTGAAATATACAATAAACTACTGTAAACTGTAGTCACCCTACTGGTCTATCAATTACTAGTTCTTAGTTCTTCTATCAAACCATGTATTTGAACATTCATATATTTCTAAAGATTAAATCAGTGTGATTAGAATATCTATCACATTAAATATTTGTCTTTTCTTTGTGCTAGGAACACATTCAAATTATTGTCTTCTAGCTATTTGAAATATACAATAAACTACTGTAAACTGTAGTCACCCTACTGGTCTATCAATTACTAGTTCTTAGTTCTTCTATCAAACCATGTATTTGAACATTCATATATTTCTAAAGATTAAATCAGTGTGATTAGAATATCTATCACATTAAATATTTGTCTTCTCTTTGTGCTAGGAACACATTCAAATTATTGTCTTCTAGCTATTTGAAATATACAATAAACTACTGTAAACTGTAGTCACCCTACTGGTCTATCAATTACTAGTTCTTAGTTCTTCTGTCAAACCGTGTAGTTGAACATTCATATATTTCTAAAGATTAAATCAGTGTGATTAGAATATCTATCACATTAAATATTTGTCTTCTCTTTGTGCTAGGAACACATTCAAATTATTGTCTTCTAGCTATTTGAAATATACAATAAACTACTGTAAACTGTAGTCACCCTACTGGTCTATCAATTACTAGTTCTTAGTTCTTCTATCAAACCATGTATTTGAACATTCATATATTTCTAAAGATTAAATCAGTGTGATTAGAATATCTATCACATTAAATATTTGTCTTCTCTTTGTGCTAGGAACACATTCAAATTATTGTCTTCTAGCTATTTGAAATATACAATAAACTACTGTAAACTGTAGTCACCCTACTGGTCTATCAATTACTAGTTCTTAGTTCTTCTATCAAACCATGTATTTGAACATTCATATATTTCTAAAGATTAAATCAGTGTGATTAGAATATCTATCACATTAAATATTTGTCTTCTCTTTGTGCTAGGAACACATTCAAATTATTGTCTTCTAGCTATTTGAAATATACAATAAACTACTGTAAACTGTAGTCACCCTACTGGTCTATCAATTACTAGTTCTTAGTTCTTCTGTCAAACCGTGTAGTTGAACATTCATATATTTCTAAAGATTAAATCAGTGTGATTAGAATATCTATCACATTAAATATTTGTCTTCTCTTTGTGCTAGGAACACATTCAAATTATTGTCTTCTAGCTATTTGAAATATACAATAAACTACTGTAAACTGTAGTCACCCTACTGGTCTATCAATTACTAGTTCTTAGTTCTTCTGTCAAACCGTGTAGTTGAACATTCATATATTTCTAAAGATTAAATCAGTGTGATTAGAATATCTATCACATTAAATATTTGTCTTCTCTTTGTGCTAGGAACACATTCAAATTATTGTCTTCTAGCTATTTGAAACATACAATAAACTACTGTAAACTGTAGTCACCCTACTGGTCTATCAATTACTAGTTCTTAGTTCTTCTGTCAAACCGTGTAGTTGAACATTCATATATTTCTAAAGATTAAATCAGTGTGATTAGAATATCTATCACATTAAATATTTGTCTTCTCTTTGTGCTAGGAACACATTCAAATTATTGTCTTCTAGCTATTTGAAATATACAATAAACTACTGTAAACTGTAGTCACCCTACTGGTCTATCAATTACTAGTTCTTAGTTCTTCTGTCAAACCGTGTAGTTGAACATTCATATATTTCTAAAGATTAAATCAGTGTGATTAGAATATCTATCACATTAAATATTTGTCTTCTCTTTGTGCTAGGAACACATTCAAATTATTGTCTTCTAGCTATTTGAAATATACAATAAACTACTGTAAACTGTAGTCACCCTACTGGTCTATCAATTACTAGTTCTTAGTTCTTCTGTCAAACCGTGTAGTTGAACATTCATATATTTCTAAAGATTAAATCAGTGTGATTAGAATATCTATCACATTAAATATTTGTCTTCTCTTTGTGCTAGGAACACATTCAAATTATTGTCTTCTAGCTATTTGAAATATACAATAAACTACTGTAAACTGTAGTCACCCTACTGGTCTATCAATTACTAGTTCTTAGTTCTTCTGTCAAACCGTGTAGTTGAACATTCATATATTTCTAAAGATTAAATCAGTGTGATTAGAATATCTATCACATTAAATATTTGTCTTCTCTTTGTGCTAGGAACACATTCAAATTATTGTCTTCTAGCTATTTGAAACATACAATAAACTACTGTAAACTGTAGTCACCCTACTGGTCTATCAATTACTAGTTCTTAGTTCTTCTGTCAAACCGTGTAGTTGAACTGTATTAGTCAACCTCTCTTCATCCTCCCCTCCACCCTTCCCAGCCTCGGGTGATCACCAATCTACTCTCTACCTTCATAAGATCCACTTTTTTTTAGCCCCCACATTTAAGTGAGAACATGTGATTTTTGTTTTTCTGTGTTTGTCTTTTAACACCTAACATAGTGACACAACCACTGCTGTAGACCAAGAAAGCAGGACTGGCCCTCTCTCCCACCTACCTTAGATGTTCTATGTTCTTTCTTTCTGATGACTAATACTGGGCATGACTCATTTCAAAACCCACATAGATGTGACCTCACCATGTCACCCTTGGTGGATGCCTTGGTTCACTTTTTTTTTTTTTTTTTTTGAGATGAATTCTCACTCTGTCGCCCAGGCTGGAGTGCAGTGGTGCGATCTCGGCTCACTGCAAGCTCCGCCCTCCTGGGTTCACACCATTCTCCTGCCTCAGCCTCCCAAATAGCTGGGACTACAGGCACCCACCACCACACCAGCTAATTTTTTGTATGTTTCATAGAGACGGGGTTTTACCACGTTAGCCAGGATGGTCTCGATCTCCTGACCTCATGATCCACTTGCCTCGGCTTCCCAAAGTGCTGGATTACAGGCGTGAGCCACTGTGCCCTGCCTTCTTTTTTTTTGAGACGGAGTCTCACTCTGTGCCCCAGACTGGAGTGGAGTGGCGTGATCTCAACTCACGTAACCTCCGCTTCCTGGGTTCAAGTGATTCTCTTGCCTCAGCCTCCCAAGTAGCTGGGATTACAGGCGTGCACCATAATGCCCAGCTAATTTTTTTTTTATTTTTAGTAGAGACAGGATTTCACCATGTTGGCCAGGCCGGTCTCGAACTTCTGACCTCAAGTGATCCACCTGCCTTGGCCTCCCAAAGTGTTGGGATTACAGGCGTGAGCCATAAAGCCTGGCCGGTGCCTTGATTCTTAACTCAGGTTATGAGAAAATTTTTCTAGGTGCAGAGAACTCGTCAAGTTTCATAACATGAGAGGTCTATGGGCACACAAATCAAGGTAGGATGAGAAGAATTGGGTGCAAGTGCTCTATTCCACAGCCCATAAGCACATGCTTGTGTGAAAAACAAATACACATCAAAACAAAGGACTAAAACCACTGAAATACAATTGATGTTGATATTTCAAACTTTTTTTTTTTAATTTTTTGAGACAGGGTCTCACTTTGTCACCCTGGCTGGAGTGTAGTGATGCAATCTTGGTTCACTGACGTCTTGACCTCCTCCTGGGCTGAAGCGATCCTCCCACCTCAGCCTCCCAAGTAGCTGGGAGTACAGGCGTGTGCCACCACACCTGGCGACTTTTTTGTTTTTTTTTTTTTTTGTAGAGACGGGTTTTCCCCATGTTGCCCAGGCTGGTCTCGAACTCCTGAGCTCAAGCAATCCACCCACCTTGTCCTCCCAAAGTGTTAGGATTACAGGCGTGAGCTACCACACCACGCCAGCCCCAAACTATTTTAAATAAGTATCCTCCTTTCTCAAAAGTCATTTAAAAATAAGCTATAGTAGAAGAATCATTGAGCCAGGCAACTTCTTAAGTTTGTAAGTTTACAAGTATTCTTAATATTGCTGCACAGTTAAAATAAACCATGGAATCTCTCATTCCACCGTTATAAGCCTCAAGGTCAAAAAGCTAACCTACTTCAGAAGCCTTTTGAAGGAGCTGAGGGAGTATTCTGAGAACAAAAGGCATGCAAGCATTAGTAAAGTAGAAGAACATTTTTTGTACAACTTCATCTTGATGCACAAACACACACCTTTCCCATATACACTGGACCAGGGTGTTACCTTATATTAGCTTGGTGCAAAAGTAATGGCAAGAGCCCCAATTATTTTTGCATCAACCTAAAAAAAGTAATTGTGGCTTTTGCCATTACTTTTGCACCAACCTAATATATACCAGACCTCACATCTTCAAACTGGTCCCCATGTAACAGGATACCCTCCAGCATGGTCCTTTTCCTTCCTACTTGCTCAAGGAAACTGACAGGCATTGCACACAGCTCTGCCCTGCCCCTCTGGCTGGTTCCTCTGCAGTCCTTGGCATTTGGACCTGTCTCTAACGTGTACCCCACACCAAGAAGAGCAAATGGTGAAGGCAGCTCTGTAAGAGCATCAGTCAAAAGATGTTACAGGTCTCACAATACACTACGGCACCTCTTTACTAAGCGATGGGAAGCTTTTACAAACTAATATGTCCTTCTCAATTCCAAATCACATCCAGGTTCATGACACCATGGAGGTACAATCACACTGTTTTACAACCCCAATCAATACAGAAGACTGAAGGCAGTTACTTGAATGCTTAAAATTACAAGAGCCATCTACTCTAGAATGAGGATGGATCAACGTCCAGGAATTTCTACTTTCCTTTGTACTACAACAACCTGACCTTTCAAAGGTTTGGAATAATCAGTAAAAAACCTTCTTCCAACACAGGATTTCCAGAGAGCAAAAACAAAACAATGGCAAAAACCAAACAGGATACCCGGTTAAATCTGAATTTCAGAAAAACAACACATAATTTTTTTAGTATCTGTCCCATGGTACATTTGGGAAATACTTGTACTAAAACAATTATTTGTTGTTAATCTGAAGTTCATATTTAACTGGCAAACCTACCAGGTAACAAAAGGATTCTAAGACTCTATTAGTCAGGATTATTTTGCCTGCTTGTGACAGAAACCCATTTCATTACTGGCTTAAGTAAAATGAGAAGTTAATTGGCTGATAAAACTGCTAAGTCCAGGGATAGACCTAGCTTCAGATATGGCTTGATCCAGAAGTTCAAATGACATAATCAACACTAGGTATTTGTCTCTATCTTTCTCCACATATAAGGCCCAGGTCTCTCCGTGATGGCCATAAACAGCTTGAGGCCTATATTCTCCCAATATGGGCTGCCTTCATAGGAAAAGATAACTTTTCTGTCTCAGTAGTTCCAGGGATTGTCCTATAATGGAGTCTTACTGGACTAATTGGGTCATGTGCCTCTCCCTGAACCAATTACTATAGCCTATAGAATTGGACATTGTAACAATTTCTTATGGCTGTTATAACGAATTACCCAACCTGGATGGCGTAAAACAATTGAAATTTTATTCCCTCATAGTTCTGGAGGTGTTCTTCCAAAGGCTATAGCAGGGAAACCGTTCCAGCTTCCCGTGGCCGAAGACATCCTTGGCTTGTGGCCCCATACTCCAGTCTCTGCCCTCCGTAGTCACATTTGCCTTCTATTTTCTGTCTCAAAACTCCCATTTCCTTTCCATTATAAGGACACTTACGGTTTATTCATAGCCTACCCAGATAATCCAGGATAAGAGCCCCCTCTCATGATCCTTACCCTAATTACATACTTTGCCATATAAGATAATATTTAAAGGTTCTGGGGATTAGAGCATGGATATATCTTTGGCAGGGGGCAACTGTTCAGCTTATGACAGATATTTAGGATTGAAAAGTCAGGGAGAAATAGTTCTCCAAAAAATGATGATGTTGGTACCTGAGAAAGGAAATAATGGATACTGAAAGCAAACACAGCAAGATATTTACAGCAAATACTTTTTAGTCTGTTCAATTCAATTTATTTCATGCAGTTTACCCTTGAACAATCTACGGGTTAGGGACACCCCCATCTCTGCACAGTTGGAAATCTGCATTTAACTTTGATTCCCCCAAAACTTAACTACTGATAGCCTACTGTTGACTGGTAGCCTTACTGATAACATAAACAGTTAACACATATTTTGCATGTTATATGTATTATAAACTGTATTCTTACAATAAGGTAAGCTAGAGAAAAGAAGGCAGCATTTAAGAGCAATGAACTAGGATATCTAGCAGAAGAAATGTCTAAGCAGTAAAGCATTCAAGGTGTTGCATGGATTGTTTTGGCTGCTTACAGTAAAATTAGAGAAGAAATAAATGATTAAAAGATGAAATTTATAACTAAAAAGGAAGCAGAAAAAAATTTTGAAAATTTTCAGCCTGGCCAAGAGTGCAAAGGCATGTTTGGGAGAGCCTCATAAAGATGTAAGTCCTTGTAGGGATATAGTCCAGTGGACCCCTTGCTAAAGAGATTACCATGGCTAGAAAGGAGTCAGGTGCTATTCATCAAGACAAGAAAGACCCCAATGGCATTTCAGAGATTTTTTAGGTTGCCCCTTCCATCACAGGCCCAGAGCAGGACCTTGAAGGCAAGGTTTCCAGAGACGTGGCCACAGGACCTCAGCATTTGCTACCAGGCACTGCCTCAAGTATCTGCTCCCCGCTTTCCAGCACAGCACTCCACAGCTGTTGCAGCTGTGTGGCTCAAGTGGGCCCAGCTGTGGCTTAGGCTACTGTTCTAGAGGGTGTAAGTGGTGGGCCTTGGCGGCATCCATGTGGTGCTAATTCTGAAGGTACACAGAGTTCATGAGCTATGGGGCTATGGCAGCCTCCACCTAGATTCCAAAGAATGTACTGGACAGCCTGGGGATACAGGCAGAAACTTGCCGTAGGGGCAGAACTGCCACAGAGATTCCCTACCAGGGAAATGCCTAGTGGAGCCATGGAAGCAAAGCCATAGCAGGGAACCACCACTAGGACAATGACCAATGGAACTGTGGGGTTGGGGCTGTCCCAGAGCCCCCAGAACTGTAGAGCTACCAGTGTGCAACACAGCTTGGAAGAGCTTTAGACATGAGACTACAAACCATGAGGTTCTGTGACATGACTACACCCAGCCAAGTTATACAGATGGGGCAGCCCAAGACCTTGGGGGTCCAACTCCCACCCTAGTATGCTTAGAAGGTGAGATATAGTCAAGAAAGGCTATTCTGAGGCTTTGGGATTTAATGTTATTTTTTCCCTGTTGGGTTTTGGACTTACTTGGGACCAGTTACCCCTTTATCTTACATATTTCTCCCTTTGGGAATGTGAATACCTATACTGTGCCTGTGCCACCATTGTATTTTGGAAGTAAATAATTTGTTTTAATTTCACAGGCTCATTGCTGGAGGAATTTGTCTTAGGATGAATTGTGCCTTGAATCTTGCTCATATCTGATTTAGATGAGACTCTGGACTTTCTAGTTGGTGCTAGAGTGAAGACCTTAGGGCTGCCAGGTGCAGTGGCTCATGACTGTAGTCCCACCACTCTCGAAGGCTGAGGCAGGTGGATTGCTTGAGCCCAGGAGTTTGAGACCAGCCTGGGCCACATGTCAAAACCTCATCTCTACAAAAAATACCAAAAAAATTAGCTGAGCATGATGGCATACACCTGTAGTCCCAGTTACTCAGGAGGCTGAGGTGGGAGAATCACCTGAGCCCAGGAGGTTGAGGCTGTAGTGAGCCATGATCACACCACTGCACTTCTGCCGGGGGGACAGAGTGAAACCCTGTCTCAAAATAAATAAATAAATAAATAAATATTAAAGCCTTTAGGGCTGTTGGGATGGAATAAATGTATTTTGTATGTGAGAAGGATATGAACTGGGGGTGGTGGGGGGCATAGAAGCAGAATGCTATGGTTTGAATGTGTGCTCCATAAAGCACGTGTTGAAAACTGAATCTCCAGTGCAACAGTGTTGGGAGGTGGGGCCCAAAGGGAGGTGTTTAGGTCATAAAGGCTCCACTCTTATAAATAAATTAATGCCAATTATAGAGGGTTTGAGGCTGCAAGTTCAATTTCACATACACCCTCTTGCCCTTCTGCCTTCCACCACAGGCTGATGCAGCAAGAAGGCCCTTGCAAGATGCCAGCACCTTGATATTAGACTTCCTAGCCTTCAGAACTATGAGAAATACATTTCTTTTCTTTATAAATTACTGAGTCTGTGGAATTGTGTTATAGCAACACAAAATGGACTAAGACATTAAGGAAAGGATGCTTAACAGGCAAAACATGGATGCTTCCTTCAACCAACCACTGTAGCCCCTTGCACATTGTTTAATCAAAACCCATCCAATTGAATTTTCAGGGCCAGCAACTGATTAGCTTTTTTATAAGGAATGTAAATTATGTATATAGATATATATAAAACTGCATCTTAAAATTTTCAACTTTTGTCATAAAGAATCTAACGAAAAGGACTAATTCATCTTCAATTAAAATATAGCTCATTCAGCCAGCTGCCTTAGCACCTAGACATATGGACCTGTTCCATAAAGTGTTTAAGAATCACTGAGTGAGTCGCTAATTAGTTGCTGATAAATGAGAGACTAATGGAGACCCTCCTTAGAGCCAAATGATATAGAAGTTACAGTCCACCAGTCTAAGAATGTAAACTATACTAAGAGAGCTAAAATGGGCAAGAAAGGGAATTTCCTGTACCTGTCCCCGATTATGGTTATTTAAGCTCACTAGAAGATCAAAGTGACACAACTTAAGTCTGCAAAACCAGGGCTGACATCTGATACAGCCTCAGCTTCTGAATGCTTTGGTCTGACCCTACAACAGTTTAACAGTTGCAGATAACAAAAATATCATTTTGGAATATAGTAGAACATTCCTCTAAAGGGGTCATGTATGGTCAGCTTCTAATTCAGCTAAGAGGTTTTAGCTGGTAAAGATACGTTTCCTGCAGTTAAGAAGCTCCATGCTCAGGTAGCAATAGGGTATCTTGATCACCTTTTTTAAGGTGACTCTTTGTTCTGGTTAAAATCAATTTCAGCTGTGAGCATTCCTTTAGGTGTTCATGTATTTACTTGTTTTTTTATTGTGATTTGAGAGAGGCGCAGAGGAAGGAGTTTCCTTTCCCAGACACCAGAGCTAGGAAGACATGAAGACATGATTCTAGGAAAACTGTTCTCAATCTTGGCCGTATACTGTATTAGGATTATCTGGGAAGCTCAAAACAAACAAAAAATATCAAGTTCACTTTGAACTCTGGAAGTGGGACCCTGGTTCCTAAATGCTCTAAAAGCTCCCCAAATAATTCTAATGGATGGCAGGTGCTGCCAGAGTTAAGAACCATTGCTTTAGAATTTTCTAGCATGGTTTCCCTGTAGGTCACTAGTTTTGTGGCATTCTCTCCGGGAGGTACGGCCTCATAGGGCTTCTCAAACATCAGTGCGCCTGAGCGTCATCTGAGGCGCTGTTTCAAATGCAGCTGCCCGGGCTATAAGATCACACCCGAAGGCGTCCGGGAATCTTCACTTTTTCCGTTGCTAGCAGTGGAAGGGTCACAGACCAAACACTAAGGCCTGAGCGGTGACAACCGAGGCGAGATGATGGTCAACAGGGAATGCCTCGTGGGAGAAAAAAGACAATTTTGTGAGTATAAGCCCCCTAAAAACCTGTTTTTCGTTCGCTTCCTTCTCTGGGCAGTTTTGACCCGACGACTTTTATAAAGAAGGTAACGTGAGTGTGGCGCTGGGTGCGGTTGGCTGTTCGGGAACATTCCCTCGGGGCGGAACGTGGGATGGGGGCTCCCCCCAGGTACCCTTTCCCCACAGCCGCTTCCCCGCTCCGCGTCGCTGCTCAGGCGCCAGCTCCCGCGTCGGAAGGGGCGATGGGGTGGCCCGGGGGAAGGGGCAACGCCCAGCGGCGAGAACTGGGCGCACGCTGGCGTTCCTGCTCCCGCCGAGGGGCGGCCACCGGCCGGGGCGCGCGCACCGTGGGGCCGGGAGTCCGCGCGGCCCCGGCAGCCCCTGCCTCGCTTCTCCGCGCTCGCGGCGCCGCCTCCTCCCTTCGCGCCGCCGGCGCTGCTCGGGGGCGGGGCCTTGCCGCTGCGGAGGCCGGAGACGCGGCGGCGCTGGACGCGGAGGCGCTGGGCGCACGGCGCGGAGCCGGCCGGAGCTCGAGGCCGGCGGCGGCGGGAGAGCGACCCGGGCGGCCTCGTAGCGGGGCCCCGGATCCCCGAGTGGCGGCCGGAGCCTCGAAAAGAGGTGAGTGGGCGGCGCGCGGCCCCAGGCTGCCCGAACCGCGGTCCATCGCTTCCTCCCTCCTTTGCCCAGGGCCCGTACCCCGCGCGCCGAGACCTCGCGTCGGTCCCCGGAGCCTCCCCGCGGCTTGCGCCGGGGCTGCAACCTTCGCTGGCTGCGCTCGGGGCTGGCTCCGCACCTTCCTGCACCGAGTAGCCCGCGGCTGCCTGGGCCCCTCGGCTCGCTCCCCAAGACCGGGCGCGCGGCCCCCTTGCCCTGCGATGAGGGGCCTCGCGAGGATTCCCTGCCCTGCAGTCTCAGGCGATGCGGGGCCTGTCTTTTTGTTCTGAGCTTTGTCACGCGCGTCGGCATCCAAAGTCAAAAGCGTGCACCCCCTAAGTCGCACTAGTTCCAGTTCTGCAGCGTGATTTGCACCAGGCGCGGGAGGCTGGCCGAGCCGCGAGTCTCTCGGCTCCCGCCGCCTCTTCCTCCCCTCCAGCCCCAGGCGCGCTCCGGCCGCCCTGGGGTCCACGTTGCCGCTGGGCCTCGTGGCTGGTGACCCCGGAGCTTGGGCTCCGGGTCCTCCCGCCGCGCGTCCAGAGCGCGGCTGCATCCCGTTCTCGTGGATGCTCGGGGTTTTCTCGCATACCTGTGTTTCCACCTTTGCCAACGTGGAGGATCCACACAACTTTGCCCTGCTGTAAAAATCATATCCCATTTAATATTTTTAATGATTTGCTTTTAAGAAACAAAATGTGAAGAATAACAATTTTGATGAAATTTTTTAGCAAAATTTAAGAATTATTATATTTGAAATACCATGATGATGCTGGACAATTTCAGATGTCCCATAGCCAGATTTGCAAAACTAAACTTGTGTGACTTTCACGATTTTGAGGTTTTCTTTGTCTGATTTGGGGTCCCTAGGCCCTACATTATGCACATTATTGAGGAACATTTCTAGGGCTGGATTAGTGAGATACACAATAACCTGATGAAGTATTTAGCAGCGCTTGAGTGGCTTTGTTTAGCTCATGGCCATCAGGTTGGCTCAAATCTCAGTTTTAGTATTTCTGAATTTTGGAGGGCATGGGACAATCTCTTGTCAGTTTTTGTGGGTCTCCAAAGGCATCCTAGCTTCTTCCAGTTGTGTTATAAAAGATGAAGCTAAGCTCATTACTTTCTTTCTTAATAGAAACTAGTAACTTGCTAAGACTTACTGTTTTTAGGCCAGACACTCAATTCTTAAGGTGTCAGTGAACAAAAATTGAATTGTTAGGATGGTTAAAGAAAAGAGGTTAGCTTTTAAGATACATTTTGTTCTCCTATGGAGAGGTTATCCAATTTTCACATTTTTTTTTAAAGTTGGTTTTACAGGAAAACGAAAGAAATGAGAGGAAAGTAGTGCTGAGGGTGGGGCCAGGAAATTGTGGTGACTTGGATATTAAGGGCCAGGGATACCATCTGCTTTCTAATGGCTGGTTTAGGTCCAGTTATTGATGGGAAATGAAAAGATTTTGCATTTACATTCCACCCGCTGTTGTTGTTGTTGTTGAGGGCTGGGCAGAAACAACAGTTAGGACAGCTGACCATAGCAGGCCCAGGGCTACCCGGGTTTATATATATATGGCCACCTTCCCCAGGAAGGAGGGAACTGCTACCCTTATCCTGTGAAAGTGCGAGCTGGCTTTCTGCATTGGAAGTACAGAGGGCAGAACCTGGGGAAAATGCGTCTGCGTGGATCAGTAGGAAGGGTGGAGCATCACTTTAGGCAGGTGTGCTGAGAAGAAGACAGGTGTCAGTTGATGGGCACTATTGGTGGGAGGGAGCTTGAAGGCAGCGTGGTCCCTGAGGTCCAGCCGCCTTTCTCAAAGGACCTGGGGTGGCCATTGGGGGCGGGGGAGCGGTGTTCTGTGCCTTTGGCTTAAATTCTGCAGCATTATTGTTATTACTTGTTTTTTCTTGAAATAAAAAAAAAATAAGTTGCCCTATGAAAAAAGATACATTTCTTTTTCAGTGACGTAATGTGAGAAATAACATTTGTAATTGGGATTTTTTAAAAGCACTTCTGTTTTTGTAAAACAAAACAATTTTTTAAACATTTGTAAAAAAGTAGAAGGAACAGAAGGAATGGTGCTACTATGCTTTTGCTCTCACCTTAGAAAAGGGCGAATGATATTTCACTTGCTCCCCAAAAACTGTTCTTAAAGATCATGGTGGTTTTCTGGACTTCTCACGTTATTGATGAAGTTACATTAAAAGAGAGACTTGTCTCCAAATTTATGAAGTGTTTCTTAAATTTCCAGAGAGTCTTTCCTTTCTTTCACACAGATATTTCTCACACTTTCAGGAAAAAAAAAAAAAAAAGTCCATGCCTTCTCAGATTTTTACATTTTGGTCTTATTTTCCTTTAAAACCCTTAAGCACTTTATTAGTAGGACTTCCCTTGCTAAGATTTTGAAGATTAGTGCCTGACAGAAAAAAGTACATATATAAATACTATATAATATGATTATAGTTGTTTATATTGTAATTTGCTATCGTTTCCCAACTTTTTTGATGTTTCTTAGTAATAAAAAAACTTTTTTAACACTCTTCTGTATGTGCATTTGTTGCTTATTTATAAACTACATGTATTTGCTGTTATGGTTATATTGTGTCTCAAGGCCCAATATACACATAGGGCTGGATTTGTTAACAACATTAGAGGTAGAAACCCTGTTTTAAATACTCTTTCTCTTAATTTTAAGTATTTTGGGCCTGTGTCTTGTCAGATCTGATTACATCAGCATAGTTTCTACTTCATGAGGTATCTCATGCAAGGCTGACTCAGTATAGAGCTTTGCCAGCCACGGTATTTTGCTGTCCTGTGTTTGCATTTATTAGTGGAATAAACAGACCTCTGACTTGGTAGGTCTGGGGTCGGCCACAAAATTTGCATTTCTGACAAATTCCAAGGTAATGCTGATGCTGCTAATATGGGGACCACACTTTAAGGACCATTGAACTACAGCAGGAGTTGGCAACCTGTTTCTGAAAAGGACCAGATACTATTTTAGATGTTGCAGACCCTGTGGTCCCTGTCACAACTACTCAGCTCTGCTGTTATAGCCCAGTAGCCACAGATAATATGTAAATGAATGGGCATGGTTCTGTTCCAGTAAAACTTTATTTATGGATACAGAAGTTTTAGTTTCATGTAATTTTCATGTGTCATGAGATATCCTTTTATTTCCAAACCAAAAAAAAAAAAAAAACCTATCGAGCAGTTATCATGTGGTGTGTACTTTATTGCCGCTGTAATTTTTAATCCTCACAACAAAAGGTTTTACATATTTAAAGTCTCATATCACTGCATCCTAGAACATGGGGTCAGTAGTAAGCCTACTTCAATGGACTTTTACAAGGATTGAATAAGATACAGAGAGGGGGATTATACAACTCACCAAAATTCATGCAAATAGTAAGAAAGCTAGGATTAAAATTCCTTTTGGCCTGACCCACATCAGTACTCTTTTCCTAAGCCACACTGCCTCAACAGTACCGCTAAGGAAGCACTCAAAATAACAGGTAGCTAAACTGACATCTAATATCACTTCATGGCATCCAAATTCTCCAAGGAGCACTGAACCAGGAGTCACCTGCCAGGTCAGTCTCCATCCCTCTATCAGTAGGTCTGTGTGCGAGTTGGGGAACACTGCAAGTTTCAGCTGGTTCTCGGTTCTTCTTGGTTTTCAGCCCTGCTGGGCTCTTTTGGGTCTTTCCCACGCGCGCATAATCTTCCAGGCAGCCAGGAATATGTGGAGAATTTATCTCAGCCCTTTGAAGCACTCTGTCATGAAATATTATTCTTTTAACTTTCTTCAACCATTGAAAATGTAAAAACTGGCCAGGCACGTTGGCTCATGCCTGTAATCCCAGCACTTTGGGAGGCTGAGGTGGGCGGATCACTTCAAGTCAGGAGTTCGAGACCAACCTGGCCAACATGGTGAAACCCCATCTCTATTTTAAAAAAAAAAAAAAAGGGAAAATACAAAAATTAGCTGGGCGTGGTGGCATGTGCCTGTAATTCCAGCTACCTGGGAGGCTGAGACATTCGAATCACTTGAACCCAGGAGGCAGAGGTTACAGACAGCTGAGATTGCGCCACTGCACTCCAGCCTGGGTGACAAAGCAAGACTTCGTCTCAAAAAAAAAGAAAAAAAATGTAAAAACTATTCTTAATTTGTGGGCAGTGTACAAAAATAGATGGCTGGCAGGATTGGGCCCTTGGGCGGCAGTTTGTGACTCAAGGAAAAATTGAGCTCCTACTGAGATGTATTCTTTTTTCTTTTCTTTTCTTTTTCTTTTTTTTTTTTTTAGACGGGGTTTTTGCCCAGGCTGGAGAGCAATGGCACTATCTCGGCTCACCGAAAACTCCGCTTCCCAGGTTCTAGTGATTCTCCTGCGTCAGCCTCCCAACTATCTGGGATTACAGGCATGCACCACCACGCCCGGCTAATTTTGTATTTTTAGTAAAGACAGGGTTTCTCCATGTTGGTCAGGCTGGTCTTGAACTCCCGATCTCAGGTGATCCGCCTGCCTTGGCCTCCCAAAGTGCTGGGATTACAGGCATTAGCCACCGTGCCTGGCCCAAGATGTATTCTTTTTTAAATATTTTTTTGTAGAGACAGGGTCTCCCTGCATAACATTGCCCAATCTGGTCTCGAATTCCTGGGCTCAAGTGATCCTCCTGCCTCAGCCTACCAAAGTGCTGGGATTATAGACGTGAGCCATCGTGCTGGCCCCAGGATATATTCTTGACGGTGGTTCAACCTTTCTTCAGAAAATTTCAAAACAGGAAGAATTTGGTTCCCTAGTTCATTTTCACTCATCCACCTCGCTTTTTGGTGTTTCTACTACCTACCACTATACATTCATTTTAAAAGTTTTAATCTTTAGACACTGTCAGCTTCTAGCATTGGGGAAAAGATGGTGTTCATTTTGGGGAAGTGAGAGGAAGAGAGTCTGTGTATTTCCTAGTAAGTTTTTAAAGCAATTTAAGCAGAACACAGTGACCTTGGTCATTTAATCCCAATGGGTTAGAGGCAGAGTTGACAAACTGTCTAAATGGTCAGATGGTAAATGTTTAATCCTCACAATACCCTATGGGCAGAGTTGGTCTGTGAGTCTCTGTCTCTGTCTCAACTTTTCAGTTCTACTTTGTAGCCAGAAAGCAGCCATAGGCAGTATTTATGGCAGTGTATAGTAAAACTTTAAAAAAAAAAAAACCAGGCCCGGATATGGCCTGTGGGCCATAGTTTGCTCACCCCTGGCTTAGAGACATTCTTGGGACAGGGTGGAATATTTCCAGGCCATCAGAAAACTTGGTGACTGATTCTTTCCCGGACTCCAGGCTGCGCCGGGGTGTGCTCAGGTCTGTTTGCTCATTGCAGTGACTTCTGAACTTCCTGCTGAGCCGCTGGGGCCATTCCTCTGAGAAGGAGTTAGAGGTGTGGCTCCACCACTGTTTGGAGAAGCCCAGTTTCTGCACTGGTTGATGTTGGTCAAACATGCTAATCTGACGCGATTGCTCCTATATATTTGCTTTTCTGATTTAAAGCCCTATATGAAAATAAGGAAATGTTAAACATAATATTTGACTAGGAGGGTCAAGGGGCTCGTGTATTTGGCATGTTGTCCATTTTCATATGCCTTTTCTTTCTTTTAAAAAAAGTAATTAGAAGGCTTTGTTAAATTACAAACATTTTGTCTTAAAAGCAAATAATAATTTTAACCAATAGGTTGAATTTTTAAATTAAGCCAGTAGGTAAGAATATGCAGTTTTTTCCTTTTCTGATTTATCAAGTGATTTTTTTTTTTTTTTGACAGAAATCTTGCTCTGTCGCCCAGGCTGGCATGCAGTGACGCAATCTCAACTCACTGCAACCTCCATCTCCTGGGTTCAAGCAATTCTCATGCCTTAGCCTCCCAAGTAGCTGGAATTACAGGTGTGTGCCACCACACCCAGATAATTTTGGGGTTTTTTTGTTGTTGTTTCTTTTTTTTTTTTTTTTTTTGAGGCAGAATCTCGCTCTGTCACTCAGGCTAGAGTGAGTGGCGCAATCTTGGCTCACAGCAACCTCTGCCTCCCAAGTTCAAGCGATTCTCCTGCCTCAGCCTCCCAAGTAGCTGGGATTACAGGCACACACCACCATGCCCAGCTAATTGTATTTTTAGTAGAGACAGGGTTTTGATATGTTGGCCAGGCTGGCCTCAAATTCCTGACCTCAGGTGATCGTCTGCCTTGGCCTCCCAAAGTGCTGGGATTATACACATGAGCCACTGTGTACACCCAGCCTATCAAGTGATTTTTAATGTGAAAACACACCACTTGTTTTAATTTTGGGAAAGCCTGGAGCCTCACAGAGTTTAGCTGATTTAAGTTAATCATTTTCAGTATGTTGGAAGCTTATAACCAAGTATGAGACAAACATATTCTGAAGCTTAAATGAAAATGAATATTAAATTAATACCTCTGTTTGATGCAGTATATCACTCACCCACTTCCATCTCATCCGCAATCCAAATAAATTCTAAGGTGGGAGAAGGGAGAGTGTCTGATGTATTTGACCACCATAAACTCTGCCTGTGAGTTCCTGCCACCAGCCTTCATCAGTCTTGATCATTTCTCGCCAGTGTGTGTCCCTTATCCTTCAGCAGCAAGGGTTTCTACAGTCCTGGAAGCCTGTGAGGAGGCACCTTGCAGGCCTGAAGCCTCATTGTGTTACTTCCTTTCCTTGTGTCACTATTTACCTGGGCAGCCCTGCTCCCATTGGGAGCCCAGGGCTCTCCTAAGAGTGCTGTCTAGACAGCTGCTCACCTTCCTGGCCAGCCAAGCACTGGGTGACAGTGAGGGGCTTCCAGGATTGTATGACTTCCAGGACTGTTTGAGGCTTGGCTTCCTCAAACCTTTTTCATAATATGATCCTGGTCTGGGATGTCCACGGCCTCAGTGGCAACTGTAGGTCAGCCCCAGGTAATGGCAGGTACTGCTATTTTAGTTGGTGGCAGAGTCAGGAGAAGGAAAGAGGAGGACTGGTTGCTATAAAGTAGAATGGTTATGGAAGGAAAACATGCATCACTGTTTCCTCATAAAATGGAAAAAAGATTGAATCTAGAAATGATTTGTTGTTCATCTTTCCATCCCTAATAGTTGTCAACATTTGTTGAGCAATTACTATGTGCCAAATGTAGCTCTAAGCGCTTCTCACTCAACTCACTGAATCCTCTTAAAAACCTTGTGAGCAGGACAGTGATGCACAGACAGGTCCTGTGTCCCCTGAGTGGTAGAGCAAGGGTCAGACATGGTTGTGGGGTTCCAGTCTTGGAGTTCCTGAGTGGTGGAGCCAGTGTCAGACATGGCTGTGAGGCTCCAGTCTGTGGGGTTCCTGAGTGGTGGAGCCAGGATTCAGATATGGCAATGGGATTCCAGTCTGTGCTCTTAATACCACCCTGAGCTGCCTGATGTGAATACAGCACCTGACTCATGGTAGCTGCTCAATAAATTTTTTATTGGCTGTTTAAAGAAAAGAGAATATTAAATGGTTATCTGTACACTTCCCTTGAAGTGAGAATGGAGTTTATTTTCTGCTTTCAAATTTATAATATACCCCACCCACTGACTTACCTCTACTAGAATAACAAAAGGCCTTGCAAGGGTCACATCTAAAAGTATTTTGTCAAGCCATGTGCGGCAGCATGTGCCTACTCGGAGACTGAGGTGTGAGGATTGCTTAGGTCCAGGAGTTCAAGGCTGCAGTGAGCCATGATTGTACCACTGCACTCCAGCCTGGGCGACAAGATTCCATCTCTTTAAGAAAAAGTATATTGTTAGAAAATTTAGTATATAACAAAGATAGTTGTTCAAAGCAGTAGGTAAAAATAGATTATTCAGTAGAGGGCCCTGGCAGAACTGGCTTGTCACTACAGGAAAAAAAAAAGCTGCATTCTTTGTATTTCCTTACTTCTGCATTCTTTGTATTTCCTTACTCCTTACATCAAAAAGGAGTTTTAAATGGATGAACAATTTAAATGTAAATATGAAACTGTACATTGGAAAAAAATGTGGGTAAGTTGTTTATAAACTTAGAATAGGAAATGCCCTTCTAAATATAACAACAATCGAGAAGTAATAAAGGATTGACAAGATTAGGTTATTTAAAACAACAACAGAGTGGCTGGTAAGATGGCCAAATAGCAACAGCTCTGGTCCGCAGCTCCCAGCGAGATCAACACAGAAGACAGGTGATTTCTGCATTTCCAACTGAGGTACCTGGCTCATCTCACTGGGACTGGTTAGACGGTGGATGCAGCCCACAGAGGGTGAGCAGAAGCAGGGTGGGGCATCGCCTCATCTAGGAAGTGCAAGGGGTTGGGGAACTCCTCCCCTAGCCAAGGGAAACTATGAGGGACTGTGCCATGAGGGACAGTGCACTCTGGCCCAGATACTACGCTTTTCCCATGCTCTTCGCAACCCACAGACCAGGAGATACCCTCAGGTGCCTACACCACCAGGGCCCTGGGTTTCAAGCACAAAACTGGGCGGCCATTTGGGCAGACACTGAGCTAGCTGCAGGAGTTTTTTTTTTTTTTTTTTTTTTTTTTTTGGTACCCCAGTGGCACTTGGAACGCCAGCGAGACAGAACTGTTCACTCCCCTGGAAAGGAGGCTGAAGCCAGGGAGCCAAGTGGTCTAACTCATTGGATTCCACCCCAATGGAGCCCAGCAAGCTAAGAAACACTGGCTTGAAATTCTTGCTGCCAGCACAGCAGTCTGAAGTTGCCCCGGGATGCTCGAGCTTGGTAGAGGGGAGGGGCATCCGCCATTGCTGAGGCTGGAGTAGGTGGTTTTCCTCTCACAGTGTAAAGAAAGCTGCCAGTTCGAACTGGGTAGAGCCCACTGCAGCTCGGCAAAGCCACTGTGGCCAGACTGCCTCTCTAGATTCCTCCTCTCTGAGCAGGGCATCTCTGAAAGAAAGGCAGCAGCCCCAGTCTTACAGATAAAACTCCCAGCTCCCTGGGACAGAGCACCTGGGGGAAGGGGTAGCTGTGGGCACAGCTTCAGCAGACTTAAATGTTCCTGCCTGCCAGCTCTGAAGAGAGCAGCAGATCTCCCAGCATAACACTCAAAGTCTGCTAGGGGACAGACTGCCTCTTCAAGTGGGTCCCTGACCCCTGTGCCTCCTGACTGGAAGACACCTCCTAGCAGGGGTTGACAGCTCACCTCATACAGGAGAGCTCCGGCTGGCATCTAGTGGGTGCCCCTCTGCGACAAAGCTTCCAGAGGAAGGAACAGGCAGCAATCTTTGCTTTTCTGATGCCTCCACTGGTGATACCCAGGCAGTGTCTGGAGTGGACCTCCAGCAAACTCCAGCAGACCTGCAGCAGAGGGGCCTGACAGTGAGAAGGGAAACTAACAGAAAGGAATAGCATCAACAAAAAGGACATCCACACAGAAACCCCATCTGAAGTTCACCAATATCAAAGACCAAAGGTAGATACATCCACAAAGATGAGGAAAAACCTGCACAAAAAGGCTGAAAATTCCAAAAACCAGAATGCCTCTTCTCCTCCAAAGGATCACACCTCCTCGCCAGCAAGGGAACAAAACTGGACAGAGAATGAGTTTGATGAACTGACAGAAGTAGGCTTCAGAAGGTGGGTAATAAACTCCTCCGAGCTAAAGGAGCATGTTCTAACCCAATGCAAGGAAGCTAAGAACCTTGAAAAAAGTTTAGAGGAATTGCTAACTAGAATAACCAGTTTAGAGAAGAACATAAATGACCTGATGGAGCTGAAAAACACAGCACGAGAACTTCGTGAAGCATATGCAAGTATCAATAGCCAAATCGGTCAAGCGGAAGAAAGGATATCAGAGGTCGAAGATCAACTTAATGAAATAAAGCGTGAAGACAAGATTAGAGAAAAAAAGAATGAAAAGGAATGAACAAAGCCTCCAACAAATATGGAACTATGTGAAAAGACCAAACCTATGTTTGATTGGTGTACCTGAAAGTGAGGGGGGGAATGGAACCAAGTTGGAAACACTCTTCAGGATATTATCCAGGAGAACTTCCCCAACCTAGCAAGACAGGCCAACATTCAAATTCAGGAAATACAGAGAACACCACAGATACTCCTCGAGAAGAGCAACCTGAAGACACATAATTGTCAGATTCACCAAGGTTGAAATGAAGGAAAAAATGTTAAGGGCAGCCAGAGAAAAAAGTCAGGTTACCCACAAAGGGAAGCCCATCAGACTAACAGCAGATCTCTCTGCAGAACCCCTACAAGCCAGAAGAGAATGGGGGCTAATATTCAACATTCTTAAAAGAACTTTCAACCCGGAATTTCATATCTAGCCAAACTAAGCTTCATAAGTGAAGGATAAGTAAAATCCTTTACAGACAAGCAAATGCTGAGAGATTTTGTCACCACCAGGACTGCCTTACAAGAGCTCCTAAAGGAAGCACTAAATATGGAAAGGAAAAACCAGTACCAGCCACTGCAAAAGCGTACCAAATTGTAAAGACCATCGACACTATGAAGAAACTGCATCAACTAATGGACAAAATAACCAGTTAACATCATAATGACAGGATCAAATTCACACATAACAATATTAACCTTAAATGTAAATGGGCTAAATGCCCCAATTAAAAGACACAGACTGGCAAATTGGATAGACTCAAGACCCATAGGTATGCTGTATTCAGGAGACCCATCTCACACGCAGAGACACACATAGGCTCAAAATAAAGGGATGGAAGAATATTACCAAGCAACGGAAAGCAAAAAAACAAAACAAAAAAAAAAAAAAAACAAAACCAGGAGTTGCAATCCTCTGAAAAAACAGACTTTAAACCAACAAAGATTTAAAAAGGGCATTACATAATGGTAAAGGAATCAATGCAACAAGAAGACCTATCTATCCTAAATATATATATATATATATATATATATATATATATATACACCCTTCAAAAAAACAACGAATCCAGGAGCTGGTTTTTTGAAAAGATTAACAAAATAGATAGACTGCTAGCCAGACTAATAAAGAAGAAAAGAGAGAAGACTGAAATAGACACAATAAAAAATGGTAAAGGGGAGATCACCACTGATCCCACAGAAATACAAACTAAAATCAGAGGATACTATAAACACCTCTACGCAAATAAACTAGAAAATCTAGAAGAAATGGATAAATTCCTGGACACATAAACCCTCCCAAGATTAAACCAGGAAGAAGTCAAATCCCTGAATAGACCAATAACAAGTTCTGAAATTGAGGCAGTAATGAATAGCCTACCAACCAAAAAAAGCCCAGGACCAGACGGAATCACAGCCAAATTCTACCAGAGGTACAAAGAGGAGCTGGTACCATTCCTTCTGAAACTATTCCAAACAATAGAAAAAGAGGGACTCTTCCCTAACTCATTTTATGAGGTCAGCATCATCCTGATACCAAAACCTGGCCTAAACACAACAAAAAAAGAAAATTTCAGACCAATATCCCTGATGAACATCGATGGGGAAATCCTCAATAAAATACTGGCAAACCAAATCCAGCAGCACATCAAAAAGCTTATCCACTACAATCAAGTCAGCTTCATCCCTGGGATGCAAGGCTGGTTCAACATATGAATTAGTAGACGTAATCCATCACATAAACAGAACCAATGGCAAAAACCACATGGTTCTCTCAATAGATGCAGAAAAGGCCTTCGATCAAATTCCACACCTCTTCATGCTAAAAACTCTCAATAAACTAGGTATTGATGGAATGTATCTCAAAATAATAAGAGCTATTTACAACAAACCCACAGCCAGTATCATACTGAATGGGCAAAAGCTGGAGGCATTCCCTTTGAAAACTGCCACAAGACAAGGATGTCCTCTCTCATCACTCCTATTCAGCATGGTATTTGAAGTTCTGGCCAGGGCAATCAAGCAAGAGAAAGAAATGTATTCAAATAGGAAGAGAGGAAGTCATATGATCCCTGTTTGCAGACAACATGATTGTATATTTAGAAAACCCCATCGTCTCAGCCTAAAATCTCCTTAAGCTGATAAGCAACTTCAGCAAAGTCTCAGGATACAAAATCAATGTGCAAAAATCACAAGCATTCCTATACACTAATAGACAAACAGCCAAATCATGAATGAGCTCCCATTCACAATTGCTACAAGGAGAATAAAATACCTAAGAGTACAACTTACAAGGGATGTGAAGGACCTCTTCAAGGAGAACTACAAACCACTGTTCAAGGAAGTAAGAGAGGACACGAACAAATGGAGAAACATTCCATGCTCATGGATCGGAAGAATCAATATCGTGAAAATGGCCATACTGCCCAAAGTAATTTATAGATTCAATGCTATCGCCATCAAGCTACCCTTGACTTTCTTCACAGAATTGGAAAAAACTACTTTAAAGTTCATATGGAACCAAAAAAGAGCTCATATAGCCAAGACAATCCTAAGCAAAAAGACAAAGCTGGAGGCATCATGCTGCCTGACTTCAAACTGTACCACAAGGCTACAGTAACCAAAACAGCATGGTACTGGTACCAAAAAAGATACATAGACCAATGGAACAGAACAGAGGGCTCAGAAAGAATGCCACACATCTACAACCATCTGATCTTTGACAAAACTGACAAAAACAAGCAATGGAGAAAGGATTCCCTGTTTAATAAATGGCACTGGGAAAACTGGCAAGCCATATGCAGAAAACTGAAACTGGACCTCTTCCTTACACCTTGTACAAAAACTAACTCAAGATGGATTAAAGACTTAAACGTAAGACCTAAAACCATAAACACCCTAGAAGAAAACCTAGGCAGTACGTGGGCATGGGCAAAGACTTCATGACTAAAACACCAAAAGAAATGGCAACAAAAGCCAAAATAGACAAATGGGATCTAGTTAAGCTAACGAGCTTCTGCACAGCTAAAGAGGCTATCATCAGAGTGAACAGGCAGCCTACAGAATAGGAGAAAACTTTTGTAATCTGTCCATCTGACAAAGGGCTAATATCCAGACTCTACAAAGAACTTAAAGTTACAAGAAAAAAAAACCCATCAAAAACTGGGCGAAGGATATGAACAGAGACTTCTCAAAAGAAGACATTTATGCAGCCAACAAACATATGAACAAAAGATCATCATCATTGGTCATTAGAGAAATGCAAATCAAAACCATAATGAGATACCATCTCACGCCAGTTAGAATGGTGATCATTAAAAAGTCAGGAAACCACAGATGCTGGAGAGAATGGAGAAATAGGAACGCTTTTACTCTGTTGGTCGGAGTGTAAGTTAGTTCAACCATTGTGGAAAACAGTGTGGTGATTCCTCAAGGATCTAGAACTAGAAATACCATTTGACCCAGCAATCCCATTACTGGGTATATACCCAAAGGATTATAAATCATTCTATAAAGACACATGCACACGTATGTTTATTGCGGCACTGTTCACGATAGCAAAGACTTGGAACCAACCCAAATGCCCATCAGTGATAGACTAGATAAAGAAAATATGGCACGTATACACCATGGAATACTATGCAGCCATAAATGAGTTCATGTCCTTTGCCAGGGACACGGATGAAGCTGGAAACCATCATTCTCAGCAAACTAACACAGGAACAGAAAACCAAACACCACATGTTCTCATTCATAAGTGGGAGCTGAACAATGAGAAAACATGGACACAGGGAGGGAAACATCACACACCAGGGCCTGTGGTGGGGTGGGGAACTAGGGGAGGGGTAAGCATTAGGAGAAGTAACTAAATGTAGGTGAGGGGTTGATGGGTGCAGCAAACCATCATGGCACAGGTATACCTATGTAACAAACCTGCACGTTTTGCACATGTATCCCAGAGCTTAAAGTATAATTTAAAAAAAAAGTAGAACCTTCAAAAAAAAAAAAAAAAACAAAAACTTTGGGCAAAATTTCTGTAAAGTAAAAGAATAGATGAAAAATTGAAAAAAAATTATTCAAATGAAGGACCAAAGATTGGTTTACCTTTAATAGACAAAGAGCTTTAGCAAATCAATAAGATGAACACCCCAGTTTAAAACTGGGCAAAAAATATGAAAAGGCATTTCACCAAAATGAACATGCAGATGGCCAATAAATGAAAAGACACTCATTTGTACTCACAATTAATGTGCTTGAAAATATCACTAATGAGATTGTCAGGCATTAAAAAGTTTGTTTTCTATGTTACCATGTCGGAAAACAGGCATTCTCCTGCTGCAGAAGATTGTGATTAAAACCTCTATATGAAAAGAAGGAAAATTTTTTTTGTAGGCCTAACTGTCTTTTTGTTTGTTTCTCTGGGACAGAGTCTCACTCTGTTGCCCCCAGGCTGGAGTGCAGTGGCGCGATCTCGACTCACTGCAACCTCTGCCTCCCGGGTTCAAGTGATTCTTCTGCCTCAGCCTCCCGAGTAGCTAGGACTACAGGTGAGCACCACCCCCGGCTACTTCTTGTATTTTTAGTAGAGATGGGGTTTCACCATATTGGTGAGGATGGTCTTGAACTCCTGACCTCGTGATCCGCTTGCCTCAGCCTCCTAAAGTGCTGGAATTACAGGCATGAGCCTCCGTGCCCAGCGAAAGGAAGGAATTTTTTAAAATATTAATATTTAACTAGAAGGTTCAAGGGGCTCATGCATTTGACAGGTTGGACCTGTTTTGGATATGGTTAAGATCTATCAAATAATTTTTTATATAGTTTAGACTTAAGGAAGGGTTGGAAAATAGTACATATAGTTCCTATATACCCTTTACCCTGTTTCCCCTTAACCATAGAATTTATCAAAATTAAGAGATTAACCTTGGTAATATCTTTTTAACCGTGCTGGCCAAGTGTTTTATAGAATGTCTGACGCGTTGACTTCCTCTGAATTTTCTCCTGATAAGATTGAGGTTATGTATCCCTGGCAGGAGGCTGTAGAGGTGCCGTGCCCTCCTAGTGCACCATATCAGGGGGTATGTGATGTCGATGTGCCTCATTATCAGGGATACCAAGCTTGAACATGTGGCTAAGGTGGCATCTGCCAGAATTCTTCATGTAATAGAACTGTTTTTCCCTTTGTAATTTGCCAACTATTTTGGAAGAGAGAAGCTCTATCAATATTAAAAACATACATTTTTGACCCAGAAATAGATCCACAGAGATGTGATTTATTTCATCTCCTGCAAAATGGGGATGATAATGCCCCCAAAGCTGATACGAGCCCCTGTATTGAGCAGTGCCTCACAACAGTAAGCTTGCTGTTGGTTCATCTCAAGCTCCTTGAGGCCAGCTAGGTTTGGAACTCAGGACTTTTTTCAGAATTCAGATAACATTGGGCATTTATTATATATTATGTGACAGCCCCAGGAGGATCTAGGACAGCACCGCATGCTCAAACACTCATCTTTCTGCAGTGAAATGTATGAGCATTCACATGAAAGGAGGAAGATAAAGACTATCAGTAGCTTCAGATAAGTTCTGATCAGACCTTGATCTCAGTTCAGGTTTTGTTGCTGGAAAAGTTTTTAAAACTTTCTCTGAGTTTTTAGAGACCGTTTTGGATTTCAAAGTTGTGAATAAGGGACTGTACACATAGGTAAGAGTTCGTAAACACAGAGATGGATGTACAGTTCCACATCTGCAGATTAAACTAGCTGTTCAAAATGTACTTAAGCCTGGCTGGGCATGGTGGCTCATGCCCATAATCCCAGCACTTTGGGAGGCCGAGGCAGGCAGATCACTTGAGGCCGAGAATTCGAGACCAGCCTGGCCAACATAGTGAAACACTGTCTCTACTAAAAGTACAAAAAAAACTAGCTGGGTGTGGTGGTGGCCACCTCTAATCCCAGCTACTCAGGAGGCTGAGATGGGAGAATCCTTTGAACCTGGGAGTCGGAGGTTGCAGTGAGCCAAGTTCGTGCCACTGCACTCTAGCCTGGGTGACAGAGCAAGACTCCCATCTCAGAAAAACAAACAAAAATTAGTTAGGCCTACTGTGGTTGCATCTGTACTGAACATGTATAGACTTTTTTGTGATTAGTTCCTAAACATATGGCTTAACAGCTAATTACATAGCATTTATATTGTACTAAGTATTATAAGTAATCTAGACATGGTTTAAAGCCTAGAGGAGGATGTGCCTGGGTTGGATTCACATAGTATGCCATTTTATATAAGAGACTTGAACATCCTTGGCTTTTGGTGTCCTCAGGGGGTCCTGGAACCAATCCCCAGTGAATACTGAGGGACAGCTGTGTAAGGTTGTTTATGGTAGCATTGTTGGAAATAAGCCTGGAAAACCTTGACTGTTTCTCTGTAGGAGATCAGTTAAGCAGATCTTGGCACACAGTGGTGCCCTATTCAGCCCTTTGAAAAGAATGGAGCAAACCATAATGTGCTACTAAAAAAGGGGAGGCAAGATGTGTTACTAAGAAATACACAGCATTTACAGAAGAGTGTGAATGGTGTGATCTTGTTTGGATTAAAATAAATATATTGATGCTTATATATGCATCTAGAAACATCTAGAATAGCGGCTATACATATGAATCACCTGGGGAGGTTAAAAAATACAAATATCCGGGCCTTGCCCTAAACCCCATTGAATTAGAAATGCAGGGCTGGGGGCCAGGTGTGATGGCTCACGCCTGTACTCCCAGCACTTTAGGAGGCTGAGGCGGGAGGATCACTGAGCCCAGGAGTTTGAGACCAGCTTGAGCAACATAGTGAGACCCCATCTCTACAAAAATAGAAAAAATTAGCTGGGCGTGGTGGCACACACCTGTAGTCCCAGCTACTTGGGAAGCTGAAGTGGGAGGATCACTTGAGCCCAGGAAGTTGGGGAAGCTGAGGTGGGAGGATCACTTGAGCCCAGGAGTTGAGGCTGGGATCACACCACTAGGCAGCTATTTCAGCCTGGGTGACAGAGTGAGTGTGTCAGCCTGAGCAACAGAGTGAGACCCTGTCTCAAGAAAAAAAAAAAAGGAAAGAAAAGAAATGCAGTGGTGGAGCCCAGGTATTGATATTTTAAAAAGTGTCAGGCTGGGCACGGTGGCTCATGCCTGTAATCCCAGCACTTTGGGAGGCCGAGGCGGGCGGATCACAAGGTCAGGAGATCAAGACCATCCTGGCTAATGGGGGAACTTCGTCTCTACTAAAACTACAAAAAATTAGCCAGGTGTGGTGGCAGGTGCCTGTAGTCCCAGCTACTCGGGAGGCTGAGGCAGGAGAATGGCATGAACCTGGGAGGCGGAGCTTGCAGTGAACCTAGATCACGCCACTGCACTCCAGCCTGGGCAACAGAGAGAGACTCCATCTCAAAAAAAAAAAAAAAAAAAAAGTGTCCCAGGTGATGCTGATGCCCCTTGAGTGTTGAGGACCACTGGAACAGAAGGACCCAGATGTTAGAAAATGTTATCCCTTTCCTTTGGAGTAGGATGAGGGGGATGTAATTTATCCTTTTTTCTTTTTTTTTTTTAATCAGAGTCTCGCTCTGTCGCCCAGGCTGGAGTGCAGTGGTGTCATCTTGGCTCACTGCAAGCTCCGCCTCATGGGTTCAAGCTTTTCTCCTGTCTCAGCCTCTTGAGTAGCTGGGACTACAGGCATGTGCCACCATGCCTGGCTGCTTTTGTATTTTTAGTAGAGATGGAGTTTCACCACGTTGGCCAGGCTGGTCTCAAATTCCTGACTTCAGGCCATCTACCTGCCTTGGCCTCCCAAAGTGCTGGGATTACAGGCATGAGCCACTGCACCCGACCAATTTATACTCTACTGTGTGTAGTTTCCTATTTTTTCCTTAGCAAAAGCCATTTGGAAAAGTCCCTGCCACCCCCTCTTGTATTTGTACTTTTATATTTTAAAAACAAGGTTAGCTGGGCACGGTGGCTCATGCCTATATTCCCAGCACTTTGGGAGAACGAGGCAGACGGATCACCTGAGGTTGGGAGTTCCAGACCAGCCTGACCAACATGGAGAAACCCCGTCTCTACTAAAAATACAAAATTAGCTGGCCGTGGTGGTGCATGCCTGTAATCCCAGCTACTCGGGAAGCTGAGGCAGGAGAATCGCTTTAACCCGGGAGGCAGAGGTTGTAGTGAGCTGAGATCACACCATTGCACTCCAGCCTGGAAAACAAGAGCGAAACTCCGTCTCAAAAAAAAAAAAAAAAAAATCATTGAGGCTGGGTGCACTGGCTCATACCTGTAATCCCAGTACTTTGAGGGGCCCAGATGGGAGGATCACTTGAGGTCAGGAATTTGAGGCCAACCTAGGCAATAGTGAGACCCTGTCTGTACAAAAATTGTTTTAAAAAATTAGCTGGGCATGGTGGCCCATGTCTGTAGTCCCAGCTACTTGAGAGGTTGAGGGCAGGAGGATTATTTGAGCCCAAGAGTTTGAGGCTTCAGTGAGCCACAATTGCGTGACTGACTCCACCCTGGGCGACAGAGACCCTGTCTCTAAAATAAATAAACAAAAATTTTAAAAAGTTTAAGAGTCAAAAAAGAGACTCTTGTGATCAAGAGTCTCTTGAGTATATTCAGTGCTTGCTGATATCAGCTGATAATTGAAAGAAAAACGTGGTTTCCCCTTTCATCCTGAGAGGCCAGAAGCTGGTAAGACATGAGCACAGGTCAGAATTTCCACCCGTGGGAATTCTGGGGGTGCTTTATTTTAGATGATTCGGCTAGATTGCTTCTTTATCCCCTGGCAGGCCCCCATACTAGTAGCTAGCTGTTAAGAAAAAAGAAGCCTTTTGGTGACCCACCTGAAAAGACCATAGGGTGAGGATCAGTTCTCCCATGTTCTCACTGGTGAGAATTGGGTTTTGCAGGTGAATCCTTGGTGGTATCCTCTTCCTTACCCGTCCCTTGTCTTTTTTGCCCACCATCCCCTTTCCTCCTCTGTTGCTAGACACCCCTGGTGTAAAAGGCTCTCTGTGCTCAAAGGCTGTTTGTTGCAGTGCAGCCACGCTCACTCTGATAAGGTTCTGTTTTATCTGGCTTGGGAAAAGCCATTTGGAAAAGTCTACTTTCCTTGTTCCTAGAGACCAGTGCTTGCATCCAGGCAGACCTGGCTTTGAATTGAAGCCCATTAACAAAATTTATGGCATCTTTCTTCTAAGCTGTATTTTTGTGCACTCTGTAGCTCTCACACAGAGGCACTGTTTTTCCTAACATGAGGTGTACAATGCAGCAGTTGCACAGATACGGTCCCTAAAGTGAGAAATGAATGTTCGAAAGAAGGTGCTCTCGTTTGGCATGGAGTGAATGCCTTGTTTCCACCTCAAATCCTAAGATGGAACACATTTTTCCTGGTGACTTCAGGCAGATGGCACACCTCCCACTTCCGTTGTGTGTCATGAAGGAGGAGACACTTCTATAGCCAGGGCTGTGCCTGAATAATGATGTACATGGGGGGGAGTTCACATTCACCTCCAGAATGGGTTTCCTGCTTTGCTTGAGAAATGCTTTAATTGGGTGTCATTAGTAATCCTGTCAAGGGTAAAAAAAACCTCCCTTGTTAGGAATCAAAGCAAAAAGCTCTCTCTGAGGAGTAATGAGGAATATACTCTTTCTAATATGATGCGGAAGCACTTAATATTTGTTATTGGTGTTTACAGAAATGATTACTTCTCAAACATTGCTGCTTACAGAAATGATTAATTCTCAAACTATGCCGGGAAGGTGAGTATGGTAATGATTTTACAAGGGAGGAATCTGAAGTGTAAGAGGAATCATGTCTTGCCCCAGGTCTCGAGCTAATCTGTGGCAGGTTTCGGGGCGGTGCCTGCTCCTCCGAGCCTGTCCTGGGAACTGGCCACACTGCCCTGGGTTCACAGCACCATGGGCTCTGTGCGTGCCGTTCACATACTCTTCTCCCTTGACAGCTTTGCACGTCAAGGAGAAGCTACCAGCCCACGCTTCTTGGCAAGACTCCTTTCCTCTTGGTTGTAAGGATGATACGGTCTGCTTCGGAGATGATAAAACTAGTATTGATGTTTATTTATTTGCTTTTACTTGGCAGATTCTCAGCGCTGATTTTGAGATGATGGGCTTGGGAAACGGGCGTCGCAGCATGAAGTCGCCGCCCCTCGTGCTGGCCGCCCTGGTGGCCTGCATCATCGTCTTGGGCTTCAACTACTGGATTGCGAGCTCCCGGAGCGTGGACCTCCAGGTGTTTTGTTTTCTTTATTGTTATGTTTATTTTATGTTTATGTTTTGTTTATTTTGTTATGATGGGGTCCCAGGGGTTTGTTGTTTATTGCCAGCCAGGGCGTTTTGTGCAGGGCACACGCTTGTAAGGTGAGTTTAGGGCTCTGCACACCCCCACAGCCCTGGGCCAGACCCCAAGCAGCTTTGGGTGGGAGAGGTCCCCTCTGTGGTTGTGTAGGATTGCGGTTGTGGTATCCCTCCCTGCCTTTCCTGTGAGTTAACAGCATTCATTTGAGCTACTGGGGTGGTTCTGGGAAGACAGCTTGCTTACATACACTGGCCATAGTCCGTTGTTTGCGGTCCTCCGGCGCCCAAGATATCGAAGAGTAGTATTGGAAGTGTGCTTGGATGATGGGTGTAAGAAATATGTTTTTAAAGGTACCAATCTTTATCTTCATTACTTAATGATAATAATAATTTTAACTTCCTCATTTACCGGTGCAGTCATGGGTCAGGTGCAGTGCTGAGCAGTGACAAAGATGCTCCTCTTGATTGAACTTGAGTCGGGCCCTTCTGAGCCGTCTTCTTGACTAGGCCTTGATCTTGGCACCTCCCAACTCTCACTGCCTGTCTTTGGCCTGCCCAGCCCAGTCCTAGCAAAGGATCCCGCTAAGCCATCCTTCTACCCCTGATCCTTGACCAAGTTCCTCATCCCTACCCTTGCTGTCTAAGTCCTTGGCCTGTGTTTAGCAAGAATCTTGTTAGGCCAGTTTAGCAAGAATCCCCCTACTCTGGGGGCGATTTCCATCCACTGACTCCCCGCACTGTGCTCGTTGGCTATAAATCCCTAGCTGTCTTTGATGTGTTCGGCATTGAGCACAATTTCCCTCTCCTATTGCAATCGTTTTGAATAGTCTTTCTTACCATTTTAATGAATGTCAGAATAATTTCTCTTTCACAGTACTTTATACAAATTATCTCCTTTTGTGCACAAACCCTACAAGGCTGGGACTTGACTTTCCTCATTTCACAGGGGGTCAGACTGAGGCACCAAGAGGTTGAGGTGGAGCAGGGATTCCAACCTGCATGGGCTTAGCCGTGGCACCCCAGCACGTCTGTGCTCTGTCCTGTTCTCACACTTACCCTCCTGGGCTTGTACTCCCTGTGTCTCAGCTTCCACGGGAGTTCCTGTTCTCTGGGCAGATGAGGTCTGCTTGTCTGGAGTTGGAGAACTGAATCTGTTTTCAGAAATTGTATCTGCTAAAGAGTTGTTAAGTGCTTTGTTAGCAGCGAAGAAGAACTAAATATTTGAGCATCATCTTATGCCAGGTAAAGCATGAGGCATTCTGTGCACTTAGCACATTTAAGCCTCACAAAAACCCAGTGGGAAGTGTGGTGTGAGTGCACAGAGCCTTCCTTCACTTACACTGACAGAGACCATTTTTTCCAGAAGAAACCGCTCCAGCTTCTGTCCAGTTGACTTAAAACACAGCCTTGGGCACTTGTGTGTATAAGACTGGTGCTGGCCCTGGGCCCCAAGGTGGTCTTTGTGGAGGGCGCTCAGGTGGTCCAGGCTCCTCAGGTAACTTGGCATCAGCCCTAATGCCACGGTCTCCTTGTAGACACGGATCATGGAGCTGGAAGGCAGGGTCCGCAGGGCGGCTGCAGAGAGAGGCGCCGTGGAGCTGAAGAAGAACGAGTTCCAGGGAGAGCTGGAGAAGCAGCGGGAGCAGCTTGACAAAATCCAGTCCAGCCACAACTTCCAGCTGGAGAGCGTCAACAAGCTGTACCAGGACGAAAAGGCAAGGCCTGCTTTGTTTCCTCTCAGTTCTTTTCTAAGGGATGGTGTCTACATTGTCTGTTTCTTCTTGGCGGGAGGATGAGCAAGCGGCTGGGTTTAGATTTATGTAATTATGTGGAAAGAGCCTATTGATCAAGCTTTGGGCATTCTCTCCCTTTCCCCTCCAAGTCCCTGGCTGGGCTTGCGGTGAAGCCTTTTGCAGTGGTAATAAACAGGAGAAATGCAGAAGAACAATTTCAGATTCATCCTCCTATTGGCTTTTTTTTTTCTCCTATTGGGTTTTTTCTTCCCACTTTCCACAAACATGTATTAAATACCTACTCTGTGCCAGGCCTATGCCAGGTGCTTATATCTCAGAGAAAAATAATATTTGTGCCCTCCAAGTATCTAATGGAGGAGAGGAGAGGCAGACTCTACTAAATACTAACAGAGAAAGTAGGGGACTGCACCCTTGCTTTTAAGCTAGGAAAAAAACCAACAAATCCTGCGTAGATTTAAAGGGGCCTTCCTGCTAATTAAAATATCTAAGCTTTATGTGTCTTTTTTTTTTTTTTTGAGATGGAGTTTGGCTCTGTCGCCCAGGCTGGAGTGCAATGGTGCAATCTTGGCTCACTCTGCCTCCCGGGTTCAAGCGATTCTCCTGCCTCAGCCTCCTGAGTAGCTGCGATTACAGGTGCCTGCCACCACGCCCAGCTAATTTTTATATTTTTAGTAGAGATGGGGTTTTCACCATTTTGGCCAGGATGGTTTCGATCTCTTGACCTCGTGATCCACCTGCCTCAGCCTCCCAGAGTGCTAGGATTACAGGCATGAGCCACCGTGCCCGGCCTGGTTTTCTTATGTAGGAATATATGACTATACTTTCTTTATTAAATTGTGTAACTGTGTGAGTTACTAATATCTCCTGTCCCAGAGTGCATCAAACTTTGGCCTCTATTATTAACTAGAAAAATTTGGCTTTTTTTTTTTTTTTTTTTTTTTTTTTTTTTTTGAGATGGGGTTTCCCTCTTGTTGTCCAGGCTGGAGTGCAATGGCGCCCTCTTGGCTCACTGCAACCTCTGCTTCCCGGGTTCAAGCAATTCTCCTGCCTCAGCCTCCCAAGTAGCTGGGACTACAGGCATGTGCCACCACGCCCAGCTAATTTTTTGTATTTTTTAGTAGTGATGGGATTTCGCCATGTTGGTCAGGTTGGTCTCGAACTCCTGACCTCAGGTGATGTACCCGTCTTGGCCTCCCAAAGTGCTGAGATTACAGGCATGAGCCACCGCACCTGGCCTGAAAAATTTGGCTTTTATAATGCGTGTACCTCTCTCTCTGGAGTGGCTAATTTATTGGAAGAATGTTGTAGCTCAACTTCCATTATCTTGAATTGTCTCAGAAAATGAATTATTTCCAGGAAGGGACTCAGACTTTTCTCGCATAACTGATTTAAAATTCAAGAAGTACTTTTTTTGTTGTTTAATTTGCAGAGTACTTTCCTATATTTGCAAGCTCATATTTCTTCTCTGGGAATTGTGCATAATGTTGTTGTAATAAAGTGCTTCTTTATGTTTCTTCCCTTTTCTTACTGGTGAGATATGCTTTTTGTGCTCCTGAAATCCCCTTTAACCTCATCTCTCAAAAAGAAAAAGAAAAAAAAGAGCATCAAGTAGTTATTTGAAAAGAGAATCTGTTTCCACAGTTTTTCTCTTTTAGAATATGCGATATAAATGTCTTTTCATTTTGGTGAGCAAGGGTGGGTTCTCACATCAAACCTTAGCTGCAGGAGGATTTTAGCTGTGGTTTGGTGGTAGGAGGCATGGAACTTGTGAGTCAGGCAGACCCGGGTTTAAAGTTCCCTCAGCTGTGTGATTTTAGGCAAGTCACTTAAATTCTCTGGATCTGTTTTCTCAACTGTCAAGTGGAAATGAGAAAGGAATCTCACAGGGTGCCTGTGAGGATTGAATGAGATAATATTTATAAAGCGTTTAACCCAGTGCTCAACCTAGAATGAAAGCTCAGCAGCTGGTGGTTGGTATTATTACACCTAATTGTACCAACGGCAGTCGAGGCCATGATCACAGCAGCAGTGGTGGGCGCAGTCGTAAGCCACCGCAGCAGCGGTGATAATGTTATCTCTTTCTGTATGGACTTTGTCTTAGTCTGTTTAAGGCTGCTATAACAAAATATCATAAACTGAGCAGCGTATAAACAACAAGTATTTATTCTCACAGGTCTGGAGGCTGGGAAGTCAGAGATCAAGACGGGGCAGATTCATCTGGTGAGGGCCCACTTCCAGGTTCATGGATGCCTTCTTCTTGCGGTGTCCTTGCCTGGTGGAAGGGGCAAGGCAGCTCTCTGGGGCCTCTTTTATGGCACTAATCCCATGTATGAGGGCTTGACTCTCCCAGAGGTCTCGGCTCCTAACATTATCGCCTCCATTTGGTATTTGGTGATTTGGTTTCAATGTGTGGATTTTGAAGGACACCCACACTCAGACCGTAGCAGATTTTTTTTTTCCTCCCAAATTGAAACCATGAAACCAAATTGTGCTAGCTTTAAAAAGAGTTAGGAAGACACTGAGGGAGGTGGAACCAAGAGCAAGCAGTGTGGTGGGGCTATGGAAGGAGAACGATGACAGGCACCACACCAGCCACAGGAGTGAACGTTTCCTGAGCCTGTGCTTGGCCAGACGTGAGGCTGAGCATTTCACAGGGACTGTTTCATTAATTCCTCCCAGCAGTCTGACGAGATTGGGGCTCATATTATTAGTGAATGGAAGCTCAGAGAGTTAGCAGCTGTCACCAGGATGACACCTAGACCCTAGAGAGCCCCCAGGCCAGCCTCCACCCCTGCACACTGGCCGCCGCCTTCCTTCAGTGCAGACACAACTTCTTGGCTGCCCGCACCTGAAGGGCGCCAAGGTGGAGGGGAAGGGGGATAGAGGAAACCAGATGGGCTTGAGTTGGTCAGTGCTGAAGCTGGTGATGGGTACATGGGAGTTCAGCATGCTAGCTTGTTTACCTTTGTCTGCATTAAAGACTTCACAGTAGAAACTTTAAAAACATCTTCTTTAGATCTCCTTGCTTCCAAAGACTGCTGTGTTCTAACTAGCTCTATTTTGGCTACATGGATGGGCTTATCCTTCACCTAAATACTTTTTTATACATTGTCTGTCTTTTTTTTTTTTTTTTTTTTAAATCTTAGAAGGTTAGCATTTGTGGTTAGAACTGGAACAAGTCTCCTTAAAAAAATTTTAAAGAACCATGGTGATTCTCAGCCATGGGAGGAGCTGGGGTGTGGGGACCTGTGGCTGGGGGTGGTTTGCAAATGACACCTGACCTAGAGATTTCCCTGCCTGTCTCTGCCAGCGTTCCTCACCTCAAGCAGTCACTGTCACTCTGGGTAGGTGTTATATCCCTCAAGTTGGGGGCTGGACAAAAGCTTGGAAACCAAACCTGTCATCAGGGAAAATGTGAACAAACACCTGTTCATAATGAAATTACTGCTTTGGGTAGGCCCTGTCTGATAGAATTTTCTATGATGGCAGAAATGTTTATAGTACAGTAGCCACCAGCCACATGAGTCTAATGAATACCTGAAATGTGGCTAGTGGGACTGAAGAACTGAATTTTATTTAATTTTATCGAACTTAAATGTAAATAGCCAAATAATGGTCACATTGGACAGCACGGGTTTGTGTGGTTGGCAGAATGCTGGGGAAAACCTTGTTTGGGCCTCTGAGTCATAGGGAGCCATGTTCCTCAGTGGAGCGGAGGGCAGAGTCTGAGTCTCCTGTGGTTCCTTGGTGCCTTTCCCCCTTCTCTGTAAGGTTCGGGAGCAGTGTGGGCAATTGGGCAATGGAAGATGAAATCACCTTCAACCTGGGGAGTTGTGCACCCCCCTGAAAGTAAGTCTCTGCAGCTTGCTGGTGTTCTGATGCAGAATGATCTGTTCAGCTTATCAAATCAGCTTTTGTTTACACCCCAGCTTGGGGTTTTGATCTTATTTGTTATGGAAGTTGTTTCAGAGCAATCCGTCCTCACCTGGCTGCTCGTGATAACCACCTGCGAGCTTATGAACAAAATACAGATTAAAAATATACACTAGATCAGACTCTCTGGATGTTTGGGCTCAGAATATAGAATTTTTAAAAATATCTCACATATATATAAACATACACATATTCATACATGTACTTTTTTTTTTTTCTAAACTTCCAGACCACTGTGATGCAGCTAGCTGATCTAGAAACCGGTGATTGAGATCAAGTGTTTTGCAGAATTACACTTTTAAAAATAAAAATGCATTGTCAAGGTTATCTTTTTTTCAGTTTCCTTTTTACCCTTCTTCAGTGAAGTGATTTAAAAATTAAAGGGCATTGTAATTAAGATGTATGCAGTCATGCGCCACATGTGATGTTTTGGTCAATTATGGACCCATCAAATTCTAATCTTTTCTATGTTCAGATACACAAATACTTACTACTTTTACTGTATCTTTTCTGTGTTTAGATACACAAATACTTACCACTGTGTTACAAGGCCTGCAGTATTCAGTACAGTCCCATGCTGTACAGGTTTGTAGCCTGGGAGCATTAGGCTGTAGCATACAGCCTAGGTGTACAGTAGGCTATAATATCCAGGTTTGTATAAGTGCATTCTATGATGGTTACACAAAGACAAAATCTCATAATGATGCATTTCTCAGAGCCTATCCCCATCATTAAGCAATGCATGACTGTAATTCATCTAAATGTAATTTGATAGAGCTGTTACAAAGTAATTGAGTTAATGCTTGTTTTTCTGAGGGATTTCTTTCATCTTTACCCACATTTACTGGAATCCTTGAACATTTTTCAAAGCTGTGCCAGATTGGAAACTTACTCATCACTGCTTTTTTCCCAGAATAGCCATCTCACCCAGGATTTGTGTATACGTGGATCTCGAGGTCCTCAGCACTGAGACAGGCTTGCTCAGACACCCCTTAGAATGTCACCCAGGGTGGGTGGGCAAGTGTAAGACATTGCATGAGCTTCTCAACAGCTGTGTGATGGTGACATAATGAGACATAGAATGGTTTTCTTATGAAATAGCTGGACATGCAGAGAGGTCAGATGAATAATAAGCTCACACCTGCGTGCCCCTCACCCAGATATTATTTAAAGCAAAAAACATCATAAATACAGTCAAGGTTCTCTATGTTCCCCTTCTCCGTCTCTTCTCTCCTTTCCCTCCTGCCTGTACAACCACTGTTGTGAATGTTAATGATTGTCTTTGTAGCTTATATTTCTGAACTATTACTATACACGTTCAAAAACAACATGTATATTTTTTCTCTGGTTTTAATGTATATGTTTGGTCACTATCATTTTATAACTTGCTTTTTGTAGTCACCATTGTTTTTGAGGTCTTTATTGATTTGATAGATTTAGTTCATTCTTTCTCACTGCTGTACCCTCTTTCTTTGTATAAATATACCCCAGTTTATTTACCCACTCCTTATTGTAAGCCTTTGTTTCTAGTTTTTTACTCCTTGAGAGAAGGTACAGTGAGTATACTCATACAGTGCTGCTCAGGCACCTGGGGGTTTTCCAAGCTTGCAGTGTTTGCCAACTACAGTTTGGGACCTTTTAGTGAGCTATGCTTAATAATTTAGTGGATAATGACCCACGTCTTAAAAAACTAAAAATATTAGAGTGTTATTGTATATGTTAACTGTTGCGTTATGAAACTATTATTGCTTTTTTTTTTTTCTTTTTGAGACAGAGTCTCACTCTGTTGCCCAGGCTGGAGTGCAGTGGCACGATCTCGGCTCACTGCAACCTCCACCTCCACCTCACAGCGTTTCTCACAGCCTCCCGAGTAGCTGGGATTACAGACCTGCACCACCACACCCGGCTAATTTTTGTATTTTTAGTAGAGACGGGGTTTCTCCGTGTTGGCCAGGCTGGTCTCGAACTCCTGACTTCAAGTGATCCACCTGCCTTGACCTCCCAAAGTGCTGGGATTACAGGCATGAGCTACCATGCCTGACCACCATTGTTGCATTTTATATTAAAAAAAATAGGTGCTTTGGGAGGCTAAGGCGGGAGGATTGCTTGAGGCCAGGAGTTCAAGACCAGCCTGGGCAACATACTGAGACCCTGTCTCTACAGAAAATTAAAAAGTAACTGGGAATGGTTGTTGCATGCCTGTAGTCCTAGCTACTCAGGAAGCTGAGGTGGGTGGATCACCTTGAGCCCAGGAGTTTGAGGTTCAATGAACTATAATTGCACCACTGTGCTCCAGCCTAGGTGACAGAGCGAGACCCTGTTTCTAAATATACGTGTGTGTGTGTGTGTGTGTGTGTGTGTACATGTATATATGTGTGTAAATGTTTGTACTGAATCACAAGATAAAATTTATCATTGTGGGTCATGGTCAAAAGAGTCTGGAAAGATATAGAGATACACCTGGACGTTAAGTAGCTGGATGGTTGTACATCCTCTCATTTTTATTAGCTGTTGCCACAGAACGTTCCTGCTGTTATATTTCACTTTGTACAACTTCCTGGCCTGCAGATCAGATCCTTTGGCCCTACATTTCTGTGTGTAATATTTCACTCTTTTCTTATTTCTTGCAATCTAAGTTTTGCGCCTGATCAATTAGCTTATCTCATGGGTTTGAGACTGTTACTTAGTAAAAGTTCGAGTTCGTGGTAAATGAATGAATGGGAATCTCAGTCCATGTACCAGTACTTACTGGATGTCTAGGATGTGCCTGGGGCCCTGTGTCCTTAGCAGCTTGAATGCTGTTTTGGAGGAAGATGAGATTCCCTCACATATCTAGAGAATAATCAGGTTTTTTTTGTTTTTTTTTTTTGAGGTGGAGTCTCGCTCTGTCGCCCAGGCTGGAGTGCAGTGGCATGATCTCAGCTCACTGCAACCTCCGCCTCCTGGGTTCAAGCAGTTATTTGCCTCAGCCTCCCAAGTAGCTAGGATTACAGTCACGTGCCACCACACCCGGCTAATTTTTGTGTTTCTAGTAGAGACAGGGTTTCACCATCCTGGCCAGGCTGGTCTTGAACTCCTGAGCTCGTGATCCGCCCACCTTGGCCTCCCAAAGTACTGGGATTAGAGGCATGACCCACTGTGCTGGGTGAAAATAATCAATGTTTAACAGCAGGTGGAGTTACATGAAAGGAGAGATGGGTATTGGCTAAAGCAGTTGCAGTTTTGTTTTGTTTTTTTCTCTAAAAAGATTGGCTTTAGGTCGGACACGGTGGCTCACGCCTGTAATCCCAGCACTTTGGGAGGCTGAGGCAGGCAGATCATGAGGTCAGGAGATCCAGACCAGCCTCGCCAACATGGTGAAACCCTGTCTCTACCAAAAATACAAAAAATTATCCGGGTGTGGTGGCAGGCACCTGAAATCCCAGCTACTCTGCAGGCTGAGGCAGGAGAATCGCTTGAACCCGGGAGGCGGAGGTTGCAGTGAGCCAGGACTGCACTACTGCACTCCAGCCTGGGTGACAAAGTGAGACTTCATCTCAAAAAAAGAAAAAAAGATTGGCTTTGAGCCTTGGAGACTAAAATGGGATTTAGAGAAGGGTAGAAGGACAGCATTTCAGTGCAGTCAGAGGATTAGAAAAGGAATGTGGAGGTGTGACAGGTCCCACCTAAGTTGGGAAGAGTGTTGCGAGATAAAGATGTAAAATGGCAGGTGTCATTGCTGGCCTCAGCTAACCCTCTGCCCATGTGGAAGGCTAGGTGGCCATGTGTGTTCCATTTTAACGACCCCACACCCATAGCCCACTGGATGAGAGGAGGAACCTCACACAGGAGGAATCCGTCCACTGGCTAGAGTATTAATGGGTTAATTAGATTATGTCTCGTTAATCTGAACCAAATCCTGCAGACTGTGCTCATTCGAGAGTAAATACTTCAGATGAGTGAGACTCAGTTCTTGGGGATTGAGCTGCCATTTCCGTTTCCTTTCTTTTTTGCCTCCCTGTCTGTTGCAGTAGTAGGTGTGGTGAAGATGGTTTGACTGCATCAGTGCAGTTGTGCAAGTTCATGAGAATTTATGTAACTTAGTAGAAGCACCACACTTCCTTTTCTGTGTATAAGAAAGGATATTAAGCCGCCTTTTGCAATGATTGTGTATGTTAAGTAACTTTCCAAAAAAGTTGGCTTTTCCTTAATTAAAATAATGTTATAAGCAAATTTGAAAACAAAAAAGAAAAATTCACCTGTAGTTCTCACTCAGAAATTAGCTATTGAGAACTCTCCACTCCCTTTCTTTAAAAAAAAAAATAGAGATTACATGTAAGCTTTTATTAGTTACTACTTAATAATATACTTATAATACTTTATAAATGTAGGTATGCCATGAAAATTGTAGAATATAAGTGGGGTTCTTTAAATGATAAAACGTTTAGCCATTTCTGGCTTTTGCATATTGTTAAAAAAAAAAACCCAGACATTGTTGGCTTATTGTACCTTACTATCTTAGTTGAGGCAACCACTTTGTAAGTAGACACTGAGAGGTATAATTGCAGACAAGAGGACTCTGCATACCTGTTTGCAGAAGGGAGCTTCTGTAGACTTCCCTGATACCCAGTTGGGACTGGTAACTATGTTTTGAACACAAAGCATACGTTTGGTTCTGGTGAATTTAGACACACGTGTTGTTTTTGTTATCTGTTACTGCATATCAGGTTATCCCCAAACATAGTTAAACCCATAACAAACATGTATTTTGCTCCTGCATCTGCAGTTTGGGAAAGCTCAGTGGGAACGGGTTGTCTCTACTCTGCACTGCATGTCTGGGGTGCCTTGAAGGCTGAGGTTAGAATGATCAGAGAGTCCCTTACTCAGGGGCCTGGCAGTAAGTGCAGCTGTCACCTGAGACCTGGGCAGGGGCAGGGGCCAGGACCAAGACACCTACACTCCCTTTTCCACGTGGCAGTGTGGCTTCTTTTCAGCAAGGGCTGGGTTTTGAGAGTTAGCATCCTCGCTCACAGCAGACCTGACCAGCGGGAGGAAGCTGTGTCATCTTTTGTATTTGGGTCCTAGGGCTGCGTACAAATTAATACAGACTAGATAGCTTAAAACAACAAAAATGTATACTTTTACAGTTTTGAGGGCTAGAAGCCTGAAATTCAGGTGCCAGCAGGGCTGTGGGAGGACACTACCTCGCCTCTCTGGCTTCTAGTGTTTGCTGACACCTTTGACGTTCCTCAGCTTGTAAGTGCAGTTTTGTGCAATTTCCACCTCACATGGCCTGCTTGCCTCTCAGTCTTTCTTTTCGCCTCTTCTCCTCCTCTTATAAGAACACCAGTCATATTGGATAGGGCCCACCTAGCGACCTCATTTTAATTTAAGTACATCTGCGTAGACCTTGTTTCTTTTTTTTTAAATTTATTTATTTATTTATTTATTTTTGAGACGGAGTCTCACTCTGTCGCCCCAGGCTGGAGTCCAGTGATGTGATCTTGGTTCGCTGCAACCTCCACCTTCCAGGTTCAAGTCATTCTCCTGCCTCAGCCTCCTAAGTAGTTGGGACTACAGGCACCCACCACCATGCCCAGCTAATGTTTTTTGTATTTTTAGTAGAGATGGGGTTTCACCACATTGGCTAGGCTGGTCTTGAACTCCTGACCTCAGGTGATCCGCCCGCCTCGGCCTCCCAAAGTGCTGGGATTACAGGCATGAGCCACTGCGCCCGGCCAACCCTGTTTCTAAATGAGGTCATTCATGGGCTCCTTCACAGGTTCAACATGGACATGAATTTTAGGTGTACACTGTTCAACCGACGGCCCCTTTTGTTGACCTTGCCTTGGAAATGAGTGTGGTCACTTCTACATTCATTAGAAGCAAGTCACTAAGGCTGCCCCGAATTTCAGGGGAATTGGACTCCCCCTTTGGGAGTTAGTGTCAATTAATTTGTGGTAATGTTTTTAAACTACCACATTCGTGTGCATAGAAATAATCTTCACGCAACCACCAGTGAAATACTGTTTTCTTTTTTACAGATTCATATATGTGTACATATAAAACAGGTTTTTAAGGGGCCTAACTAGAAACAGATACTTGGGTTTTAGTTTTTGGTAGAAGCCAATGGAGATTCACTTGTAAAGGTGTGCATTCTCTCCTAAGGAGGGCACAGAGTGGTTTAATTCATTCTTTTATGTTGTTAACACAGGCTGATTAATAATTTGGGTCTGGGCCAGGCATGGTGGCTGATACCTGTAATCCCAGCACTTTGGGAGGCCAAGGCCGGTGGATCACTTGAGGTCAGGAGTTCAGTCAGCATGGCGAAATGCCGTCTCTACTAAAAATACAAAAATTAGCTGGGTGTGGTGGTGCATGCCTGTAATCCCAGCTACTTGGGAGGCTAAGGCAGGAGAATGACTTGAACCTGGGAGGCAGAGGTTGCAGTGAGCTGAGACCATGCCAAGCACTCTAGCCTGGGTGACAGCGAGACTCCATCTAAATAATAATAATAATAGTAATAATAATAATTTGGGTCTGAAGACTTCCAAAGATCCTGGGTCCCCTCTTGGCTAACTGCTGTTCAGTGGCCAGTAGTGGCCACAAAGGCTTGGGGGTGGCATCACCTGCCCTCTGAAATGCTTGGGGAAGAGTCTGGGAGACCCTGAATTACTTACTAGCACTTCGTGAAGGGAAAGGCACATCTTCCTGCTATTGTGTTCATTTTTGCTTGCCAAAAGTTCAGTCACAAATAGCTTCATTTTCAGCATTTGCACTTGTAACATTCTCGCTCGGCTGGTTTCTCGCAGCTGCACATCCACTTTGACATTTATACTTTTTACTTATTTGTTAAAATATGTGCATTAATATTGCAGAGGTGCAAAGGTAATGTTTTAGCAACAGTTCCTTTGTCATGAAAATAGAGTTCTTGTATCTTTCCTGAAGGGGAGCAACTGAGTTAAAACAAAAAGATTGCTGAGTGGAAGAACAGAGGTGTTGGTGACTTGCTTATCGTTTTGTGTCCAGAAGAAGAAAAGCTTAAAGAGGCAGTGGGAAAGTGCAGGGGGCGCTCAGCCTCACTGTTGTCATGCTTGCCTGTGTGACCTGTACCCATGTCCAGGTGGTTTCAGGGAGCTGCCCGGTTTCTCCTCTTGCACAGTAACTTGGGGTACGAGGAGGCTCTGAGGTGTTTACAGTGCTTTTCTCTTGTAAAGAGCTGGTTCATGGAGTGCGTTCTTGAGTGTCTTCTGAGCCTGGGATGGGGTCACTTCCCTCAAATACAACAGCATTTGTTTATGAGTGACTTTTGCTGAAAGATTTTGCCTCTTCAAAATAAAATAATTAACAAGTCTGGTCATTGGTCCTACTTGAGAGTTTCAGAGTGCTTTTGTAACATGAACATATTTATTTATTTTCTGGAGACAGAGTCTCACTGTGTCACCCAGGCTGGAGTACAGTGGCGTAATCTTGGCTCACTGCAACCTCCGCCTCCCGGGTTCATATGATTCTCCTGCCTCAGCCTCCCGAGTAGCTGGGATTACAGGCAGGTGCCACCACGCCTGGCTTATTTTTGTATTTTTAGTAGAGATGGGGTTTCACCATGTTGGCCAGGCTGGTCTTGAACTTCTGACCTCGTGATCTACCCTCCTCAGCCTCCCAAAGTGCTGGGGTTACAGGTGTGTGCCACCGCACCCAGCCCGACATGAACATATTTAATTTCTAACTTCATTTCTTTAGGAGACAGTCATTCTTGTCGCTTGAGACAGAGGGGAAGAGAGTGAGAGCCAGAGAGGTCATGGAAGGCTCCCGGCACCTGAGAGTGGCCGGCGTGGGGCTGCCGGGGGCTGCCAGGTCTGCTCGTCACACTGGCCCCACCAGACTGCATTCTCCTGTGGCCAGATGCAATTCTCAGAGGGTTCTGGTGTCTTCTCTCTGGGCCAGCTTTGCTTGTGCACCTGCGAATGTAATGATTGTCTTCTGGGGGAACCAAAGCGATCTTGTGCAGATAAAAGTGGTGTCTTTGATTTTTATCACCTTTAATCGCTGTGATTGATGAATCCAGAGTTCTAGAGCAGCTTTTCTGTTTTTATTCTCACCGATTTTCCGGGTCCAGTTCTGTCAGTCCGTTCAGTATTTGTTCTGTTCTGCCCTGGCCTGTGCCCAGTGGTGGGGAGGCTGTGTTCATTGCACATTTACCATTGAGTGCTGGACAAAGATGAGGAAGTGAGTGTAGTGGGGTCAGTGTAGACAGAGAAACCACCCAGATATTTTAAGCAGGAAGGATTTGATACAGGGAAATAGATACTGTAAGCTGTGGGAAGGGCCTGCATTGAGGTGGGGTGGCTCTCAGGCACTATCTCAGGACCTGCCCCTGTGCCCAGCGTAGAGCGTGAGACCAGCGGGGTTCTGCTGCAGTGCAGGCCCAGAGTCAGGGGCACCCCACTTTCTCTGTTCTGCACCTCCCACACCCTCACTCTGTTCCACATTCTAGCCTCCAGTAAGTGCATCTGATTGGAGGCAGAATCCCACTGGAAATGATTCTGGAAGGTGCATTTTAGCTTCCGAGCCTTTGTGGTTCAGGAAAGCACAGCAAAAGGCGTGTGGAACCGACGTGGAGGAGCCGATCTGCTGCATCCCCCACCAGGCAGGCGGCTCAAGGGCCATGGGAGTCAGCAGCGCTGTCCCCCACAGTGTCTAACCTGGAAGGGTGCCTAGGGAACTGCGAGTGGCTGGGCCCGAGCAGAGTGTGATGTTGGGGTGCAGGAGTTTGGACTTGAGTTTGAAGGAGTTTGGACTTGAGTTCAAGACCGGGGAAGCCGTCATAGGGTTTAAGCTGTGATGGAGCAGTGTGGTCAGATGTGGGATTTAAAAGGCAGGCCCTGGCCATGTGGGGAGAGGGCTGGGTGGGGAGCAGGGCAGAGAGGAGGCAGCACAGTGAGGCAGCTCTTGAAATACTTGGAGTAAAAAGTGATGTTGCACTGAATTTGGGCAGGAGTAGGATGAGCTCTGCAAAGTGAGCAGATTTGGGAGGCAGCCAAGAGGAGGGATCAACAGGCCCCGTGACAGATGGGATAGGTGCGGGAAAGTGTGAATTGAGCAGAATGGAAGCAGGTCAGTAAAATCCATTGAAAATTTGCTGCCCTGAAAATAAAAGTGTTTGTCTCAGAAGACTTCTAGTCTTTTTAGATTGGAAATTCTCCAGTTTGTCAATTGGATTCAACCTTCAAATACAGGTTTATAATTAAACTCAAGTAATTTGCTTCCCACACTTAAAAATACATTTGTAGGAGAAGCAGCAAACATGCCATTCAGGTAGATGTCCTTCACTGCAGACTGTGCCTCAGTGGGTGTCCTAGTGCTGGGTCCTCACCTCCCACCTCCAGGGAGGGGCCTGAGCCTGTCATGGGATGTCCTGGACCTCAGGAGAAGACTCAGATGCCTATTTGATTCAGGACGTGGTTTGATTTTTAAACATGCCATGGACAAGTTCCACATGGAAAGCATTGTCGTGCAATGTGAGGTTGCCCACGATGGTTAGCGGCTGACCAGACGAGGCATGGATTTCATGTGCATTGATCTCTGTTCCTAATGGGACAGAACCAAATCCTGCAGGTGTCCTCGCTCTTGGCCTTGGCTTCATACGCACTAGAAAGAGCGTTGGCGTGTTTGATTGCCATAGAAGGCGTAACGGAGGCTTTGGGTTTTGCTGTTGTGGTTGGCTTTTGTCTTGTTCTCTCTTCACACAGAAAATTGCTTGAGTGACTTGGAATTGACTCCGTTTACCTTCTGTAATTCTTAACCCAACCCAAGACAGGCGTTTGATGGGAAATACGTAAAGAAAATAGGAGGTAGCTGTTTTTTCACTTACCGTCTCTGGCAGGGATCTGCAGTCATTCATGTTTAAGAACAAACAGTAAGTAGGGTCTGTTAGGTGCCTTGACTGTGACGCTGTAACCTGTACACTTGGTTCAGTTTTAGTTTCTCTTTCATCCCCAAAGGTCTGTGTACGCCTTTTTACCTGTCTGCAGAAAGTCAGAATGTACAAAAGTGTCTCCTCTTCCGCAGGTGGGAGCAGGGAAGCTGCTAGGATTCCCGTTTGAAAATGGAAACCCCCAGTGCCCTCAGGTGGCTCAGCCCTGGGGTGCCCATTGAGATTGGGAGTCTGCAGCCCCAGGCCTCCAGCCCTTGCACAGGGCATTTCCTGGCTGGTTAAAGAACAGCCAGGGAACGAATATCCAGATTGCTGGTGCTGTGTTGTAATCCGGCATTCTTCTTCCTCTAAAAACGGAGCTGGAGCTTTTCAAGCCCCCGCTCCTGGGTCAAGCCCTGTTGGCAGTGTGTGGGGTGCTCCTCTGGTTCGGCAGCTCCTCCCCTGCCATCTCCTTAAGTGTTCAGGAGTGAGAGCAGCGGGAAGAGCTGAGGGGCAGCTTGGGTGGTGCTGCAGAGGGGACAGACCAGTGTGAGCTGCTTCAGGGGCAGCCAGGTTCCCTGGCAGCTGGGTGATGAGGAGACCTTCAGAAAGATCCAGGGTCAGGGACTAAGAAGACAGGCGCTCGTCCACTGCTAGAGAAGCCTCAAAGTGCATTCTGGGGTTCCCACTGTCCTTCAGGTTTGGATCCTCCTGGAAGTTTTATTTGACCCAAGTCACGTGTAGGTTAGAGGCACAGGGGCAGGCTGCTACCAAAGGAGACAGTGTAGCAGGTTCTCAGAGGCAAGGGCAGCCCCCCCCGTTTGCTTCTCCTCCTTTTTCCTTCCTCCTGCCTCCCCTCCCTCCATCCTTCCTCTTCCTTTCTGTCCCTCCACCCCTCTCCCTTCCTTTGTCCTTTTCCTCCCTCCATCCTCCTCTTGCCCTCCTCCCCTCCAGACCCTGTCTCTCTCCTCTTCCTTCCATCCCTTTCCTCCATCCTACTCTGTCCTCTTTTCTTCCCTCCTCCTCTCCCTCCATTCTCCCTCCTCCTCTTCCTCCCTCCTCCCCCGTCCTCCCTTCCCTCTGTCCTCCTTTCTCTCCCTCTCCTCACCATCCTTTGCTCTCTCCTTCCTCCCCTTCCCCTCCTCCCCATCCTCTCTCCTCCCTCCCCAAAGCACCTGCAGTGTGCCCTGTGCAGGAGATGCTGGGGGAGGGTGTGAGCCAGTCTTGGGTTCAGGCCCCCTCGCCATCAACCCTGTGCTTATGTCTGTGATGGCCACCACACCTCATGGACCTTGTTCTGCCAAGCTGGGCACCCGGGTGACCCCAGGGCGGGTCCTGGGAGCATCCTGCACTCTCCCAGCGAGGTGCTTTCCCACACCCGCCAAGCTGCAAGGTGGATGGGGTGGGAGGATGTTACCTTCCCTGTGACAACACAGGGATGTGTTGGCAGGAGCTATTCTGGGCGTGTAGCAACTGTGTCTGTGTGTCCTACGTGTTTTCCTGGATAGATGGTGTTTTCTGAAGCTTTGTAGAAAGTTACACTTAATCTCCCGACGCCCTTCCATTTAAACTTGGTGACTTGTGCACACTGTCCCATAGCTGCAGGTCCAGACCCGCCTTTCTGCCCATCTGGGTCCCCTGCCCTGAAGCCTCCTCAGCTGCTCTCTGACCAGGATCCTACCATTTACGCTGACATTTGACTCTATCCCCTAAACCTTTAGCCACTCCTCTCCTCCTGTTGGTATTCTCACACTCAGTTCAACTCACACTCACAGACACTCATTCACACTCTGACCCATGCCCCCATATTTGGGTTCCCACTTGAGGTGTCTGTAAGGTGCCCCTTTAAATAAAACTCAGCAGGCCACCCTGCTTAGGTTCCACTTTGGGGAAACAGAGGCACAGAGAAGTTAAACGAAGCGTCCAAAGTCAAGGAGCAAATTAGCAGCAGATCCCAAACCGGATGCCACAGTCTCAGGTCTTCAAGAAAATCTCTCCCATCCCGGTCTTCCCTCTGCTGCCCTCTTTCTCTGTTACTCGTTTTTCTTTTCTTTTTCCTCCCTTTATCCTCATTAGTGAGCTTCGAAGGCCATTTGTCATAGTTGATAATTGTTGATGGAGCTATACTATGAAAAGAAAATTGCTTAATTTTAGGAGTGAAATTACAAATGAGAAATACTGCAGCAAAGACCTGCCCTTCTAAAAGTTCTTGAATCTACCTCAAATTTCTCCAGACAACAGGTTTATCTCAGCATCTTCTAATTCACCTTTCTTTTCCTCTAAAACCAGCCTTGAAGTTAAGATTTTTAAAAAATTGTACTTGGCAGATTTAATTATCAATGTGGCAAGCTTATGTGTGCCTGTGTGTGTTGGCTGATTGTAGAAAACCGTAAACATGAAAAGGTAGACAGAGTGACCCAGTGAGCCCCCACACATCCAGTGCCAAGCTTCAGCGATTACAACTCGTGCCGTTTTAACCATGACTATTTCAGCACACGTCCTGAAAAGGTGGGATTGTCTGTCTCTCATAGCCACAATACCATGATCATACCAAAACATCCAGGAATTCCTCATGTCAAGTATTCAGTGTCAGTCACAACATTTCTGTGTTGTGTAACTTCTTCTTCTTCTTCTTTTTTTTTTTTTTTTTTTTTTTTTTTTTTTTTTTTTTGAGAGAGTTTCGCTCTTGTTGCCCAGGCTGGAGTGCAATGGCACAATCTCGGCTCACCGCAACCTCTGCCTCCCAGGTTCAAGCAATTCTCCTGCCTCAGCCTCCCAAGTAGCTGGGATTACAGGCATGCACCACCACACCCAGTTAATTTTGTATTTTTAGTAGAGACGGGGCTTCTCCATGTTGAGGCTGGTCTGGAACTCCTGACCTCAGGTGATCCACCCGCCTCGGCCTCCCAAAGTGCTGGGATTACAGGCGTGAGCTGCTGCGCCCGGCCTGTGTGTTATGTAACTTCTTAACCCACAAAACATAATCATGTCATCTTTAGGGGCTTGTGGACTGGACTAGTTTCCTCATCACTTTGTGCCCTTGTCCCTATGGGAACATGCATCCAGCGACCCACCATTTGGCTCAGTGGTGGCTGTAGGCATGAAGCATTTGGGAGTCACTGCTTGTCTTGTTGTTTGTGTGTGTGAATGAGTGTGTGAGTGTGTAATCTTAGCAGGATGCCATAAATGACTTGTTTGCAAGTCTCTGCCTCTCTCTCCTTCCCTCTCCCCGCTTTCCCTGTCTCCCTCCCCTTCTCTGTCTCCCTCTTTGCCCCCACCTTCTTATTCCTCTGGAACTTGCTGTCCCTAGCTGCAGGTGGCTGTGAGCACTTAGCATGTCCCAGCTGAGATGTCCTACAAGTGTAAGATATGCTGGAGTGCAAAGATTGAGTGTGAAAATGCCAAATTTCTCAATAATTTTTATGTGGAATACATCTTGCAATGATAATTGGGATACATTAGGGTAAATAAAATATTAATTTCACCTGTTTCTTATTTTTAAAGTTGGGATAAAATTCACATAACATACAATTCATTATTTTAGCCATTTTTTAATGTATCATACATCTCAGTGGTTTGGGTATGTTCACAATGCCATGCAACTATAACCACTGATTCCAAAACTTTTTTTTTTTTTTTTTTTTTTTTGAGATAGACTCACACTGTGTCACCCGGGCTGGAGTGCAGTGTTGCCATCTTGGCTCACTGCAACCTCCACCTCCTGGGTTCAAGTGATTCTCCTGCCTCAGCCTCCCGAGTAGCTGGGATTACAGGGATTACAGGTGCCACCATGCCCAGCTAATTTTTGTATTTTTAGTAGAGACGGGGTTTCAGTATGTTGGCTAGGCTGGTCTCGAACTCCTGACCTCAAGTGATCCACCCACCTCGGCCTCCCAAAGTGTTGGGATTACAGGTGTGAGCCACCACGCCCAGCCAGAACATTTTTATCACCCCACAAAGAAATGTGTACCCATTAAGCAATCACTCCCCATTTCCCTCTTCCCCTAGCCCCTGGCAACCACTAACCTGCTTTCTGTCTCTAGAGATCTGCCTATTCTGGACGTATCATGTAGTATAGAATCATGCAGTACGTGGCCTTTGTTTTGTGTCTGGCTTCTTTCGCTTAGTGTAATGTTTCCAAGCCTCATCCGTGTTGTAGCATGTGTCGGTAATACTTCTCTCCTATGGCTGAACGATAGTCCCTTAGGTGGATATACCATGTTTGCTTTATCTGTTCGCCTGTTGACGGACATTTGGATTGTTACCACTTTTTGGCCTTCATGAATAATTCTGCTGTGAGCATTTGTGGACAGGTTTTCCAGTGGGGATATGTCTTCTTTCTCTTGGGTGTACACCTACAAGTGGGATTGTTGGGTCATATGGTAGCTCTGTGTTGAACTTTTTGAGAAACTGACAGACTTTCACAGGGATTGCATTTTACATTCTTAGCCACTGTGTATTGGGGGGGGGTTCTAGTTTCTCTCCAGCTTTTCCACATTCTTGTCAACACTTGTTATTTTCCTTTTTTATTTTTATTTATTTATTTTTTTGAGACAGAGTCTCACTCTATCACCCAGGCTGGAATGCAATGGCTCAATCTCGGATCACTGCAACTTCCGCCTCCTGGATTCAAGCGATTCTCCCTACCTCAGCCTCCTGAGTAGCTGGGATTACAGGCACCTGCCACCACATCCGGCTAATTTTTGTAGTTTTAGTAGAGATGGGGTTTTGCCATGTTGGCCGGGCTGGTCTTGAACCCCTGACCTCAGGTGATCCGCCCGCCTCGGACTTCCAAAGTGCTGGGATTACAGGCGTGAGCCACCTCGCCCTGGCTATTTTTTTTTTTTTTTTTGAGACAGAGTCTTGCTCTGTTGCCCAGTCTGGAGTGCAGTGGCATGATCTCAGCTCACTGCAACCTCCGCCTCCTATGTTCAAATGATTCCCCTGCCTCACCCTCCCAAGTAGCTGGGACTACAGGCACATACCACCATGCCTGGCTAATTTTTGTATTTTTAGTAGAGACAGAGTTTTGCTGTGTTGGCCAGTTCTGACCTCAAGTGATCCACCTGCCTCGGCCTCCCAAAGTGCTGGGATTACAGGCATGAGCCACCGCGCCTGGCACCTTTTTAAAAATTATAGCCATACTGATAGATGTGAAGTGGTATCTTCTCATTTTGATTTGCATTTCACTAGTGACTAATGAGGTTGAGCATCTTTCATGTACATATTGGCCATTTATGTCTACTTTAGGGAGATGTCTTTGCAAATCTTTTGCCCAACCTGTTTCTTTTTACTTAATTCAATGTGGCTATTAGAAAATTTTTAATTTCCGGGTACAACTGACATTTTATTTCTATTGAATAGCACTGTTTTGGATAGCACCATTTTGAAATTGCTAAGAGGTAAAAAGATTCCAATGAATACTTGATATTCTTCCCTTCATTCTTATGTCATTCCTAGGTTACTAAGATTAACTTTTTCATTCTAAGGTAGTAACAGGAGTAACTCTGAAGCAGTAACAGGAATTTCAGTACAAAGAAGTTTTCCAGGCATCTGATTGCAGAGGGTTGACTTGGATTAGATAAGGGTCCTTTTTAAGGCTGAAAGTTAAGGTGGACTCACGCCCTCAAAGCAGGTTGGTTATTTTAATGAGCCAAAGAAATACAGTAGTTAAGTCACCTTCTGGAGGGGACAGCTGGCTTCAGCCAGGCTCGGTGGACACCCTGGCCCTCTCGGGACAGAGCCGCCAGTCTCCAGTGTTTCTCAGGGATGTGACTGAGGCCCAGGAGGGCCCTGCTTGGCTGTGGGGTGCGCACTGCCCCAGCACCTTCTTGCCCTCCACGCTCACCCAGGGCCGCAGCATGCCTATGGCTCCGCTTCCAGCCGGGAGCCCTGAACACGGGTGTGCAGACCCACCCTAAAGGGTGGCCCAGGCCCCACGCTAGGCAAGGCTGACAAGGAACCGAAGGCAGCATGTGAGGCCTCTCCTGGGAGTGGGGGGTTCTGTTTCCCACAGTGGCCTCAGCTGCACCCCGGCTCGGGTGAGCCCACAGGTGGGAGCCGGGAGGCACTCCTCCCAAACACTCCTCTCAGACCATAAAGCACTCCTGTTTCACTCAAAAAAAAAAAGTCACCTTCTACTTTTTACAGTGTGATCAGCATCCTTCTTCCAAGTGAGTGTTTCAAATATTAGTATTTTTAAAATTAGTCACTACATCTTATTGAGCTTTCATAATGTGATACTTTATTGTAGATTTGTTGCTTTGAAAACTTATGAAATATTGAGCTTATTTTTCTAGGAATCTAATACAGAAAAAGTTTGATCCAAATATACTTGTTTCCCAGAATGGAATGGTCATAATAAATTTGTACATGGGTAATTCACCCAGATTCTTTGAGGTTTAGTTTCCAGTTAATTTCTGGTGGCGCTTATTGCCTCCTTGTCTGTGTTTTTAGGGGACAGCTTACAAACACCAGGAAGTACAGCTACCCCTAAAGTCCCTCTGCACCAAAATGTGAAAAACAACCTGGCTGTTTAGAGTAGAATATATAATTCATTTAAGAACAATTTTGTTGAATTATGGCCCAGCACCATGGCTCAGTCCTGTAATCCCAGTGCTGCAGGAGGCTGAGGCAGGAGGATTACTTGAGGACAGGAGCTGGGGGCTGCAGTGAGCTATGATAGCGCCACTGCACTGCAGCCTGGGCAACAGAGTGAGACTGTCTCTTAAAAAATTTTTTTTTGGCTGGGTGCAGTGCCTCATGCCTGTAATCCCAGCACTTTGAGAGGCCAAGGCGAGCAGATCACGAGGTCAGGAGATTGAGACCATCCTGGCCAACATGGTGAAACCCTGTCTCTACTAAAATAAAAAAAATTAGCCAGGCGTGGTGGCGGGCGCCTGTAGTCCCAGCTACTCAGGAGGCTGAGGCAGGGGAATTGCTTGAACCCGGGAGGTGGAGGTTGCTTTGAGCCAAGATCACGCCACTGCATTCCAGCCTGGGCGACAGGCGAGACTTCGTCTCAAAAAAAAAAAAAAAAAAAATTTAAATAAAAAATAAATAAAAATCATTTTGTCGAACTCAGGGTTTTTTCTTCTTTATAATATGTTGAACCCTGAAAGAAGCTAAGAAGCATTTTCGTAGTTTCCCTGAAAATGATTCAACAAAATTTCTATAAATATAAAATTATATATAAAAGATCTTGATGGCATTTTATGATCCTTTTTTTATTTTCCTAAGTGGAGGCTGTATTTTTCCATGCATAAGTAAGTAGATAGGGGAAGATAACAAAAATATATTTTTTTGGAAGAATAAAGTCACATGGAGACAGAAGTATCTTTAGATATTTCAAATTGCAGTAGTATCTGAACCCTCAGATAGTTGTAAGCACTAATGTGATTTGGGTCGGGAGGGGAGCTAAGGGGAATGGACAGAAAAGGACACATCAAATTGCCATAATTTTCATAGAAATTATTTACCCAGGAGATGTGAAAGATATTATTTACCCAGGAGATCAACTCTGGGGGTAAACACTGTGTAATAATTTAAGTGTTTTTGGTTTGTTTTTGTTTTTTTTACTGTTCGGTTTTCACTCTGATTTCCAGAGGAAACATGGTTTTCACACCGATGCAAGGTGGAAATTTCAGTGTACAGATCAGTGATGTGAAGGATATTCACGCTGTTGTGCAACAGATCTCTAGAAATTAATTCTGCAACCCTGGGTCTCGATGCTCACTAAACACCAATTTCCCTCCCCCCTCTCCTATCCCTGGACAGCCACCTTTCTATTTTGTTTCTGTGGTTTTGATGACTTTAGGTACTTCATATGAATGGAATCCTACAGCATTTGTCCTTCTGTGACTGGCTTATGTTTTCACTTAGTGTAATGTTGTCTGCATTCATCCATGTTGTAGTATGTGTCCGTATTTCCTTCTTTGTAAAGGTAGCATAATATTTCATTGTATGTGTATGCCACATTTTGCTTATCCATTCATTCATCTGTGACCCCCTGGGTTGCATTCGCCTCTTGGTAACTGTGAGTGATGCTGCAGCGAACATGAGAGTGCAGACATCTCTTAGGGATCCTGCTTTAAATGCTTCTGGGTTCATACCCACAAGTGGGGTTGTGGGATCATATGGTAATCTTTTCGCTTTTCACGCAGAGCGAGCTGTTTCCAAGAGTAGCAGGTGCTGCGTAAATCTGATTCCTACTGTGTGGATCCTCCTTTAATTTCCTAGTCTCTCTCCCCGCAAAATCCCTGATGTACAGCATACCTGTACACACCCCTTCGGATTATCTTTCCCTGAGGGATGACTTTTACAGGTATTATCGCCATAACTTCTCTCCTGTTGCCCCAGGAAATGTTCCATATCCTCAGAGCTCCCAAATACCAGATTTGTTTGATGCGATTTCATTTGTGGGCATGCATCCCTGTGTTCATAAACACCTTACTCCAAAAGGCTGTTGTTTGCCTAAGCCTTGTTTCTGTCCAGGCCTGAGAAAACAGGATGGTTGCATAGAAAGGTCCCAGAGGAGGAAGAGGCACTGTGCTTGCCATCGTCCACCACTAAGCAGGAATGGGACACAAATGTGTCTCCACGTTATGGGCAGCATGTCAAGTAATGGATTATTTGCAAACTTTGTGGATGATGACACAGTAAGAAATGTTTGCATTGTGGCCCAGCACACATACATGCTGTATGTGTCTGTCTGTGAGATGGCATTTACCTGTGCAGTGCACTCTGATATTTAATATTCTGTTCCCTGCTTTTTTCAGGCTTTTGTTTGTTTTTAACATTAGGTACAGCCTACTACGTTGGTGTCCTGCTTGGGTTTGTAGCAATTTGGCAAGTAGCTTTGAAGAACTTGCTCTCTGGAGCACACTTGTTGGAGCTGGAGTTTGGCTTTGCCTCTTAGTAGGCGGGTGACCATGAGCCATTTAAGCAGCCAGTGCCTCCGTTTCCCTTTTCCTAAAATGTGATAATACACTACTACCTCACATAACTGTCAAGAAGAATACATGAGGCCGGGCGCAGTGGCTCACGCCTGTAATCCCAGCACTTTGGGAGGCCAAGGCGGCCGAATCACTTGAGGTCAGAAGTTTGAGACCAGCCTGGCCAACATGGTGAAACCCCATCTCTACTCCCAGCTACTTGGGAGGCTGAGGCAGGAGAACTGCTTGAACCCAGGAGGTGGAGGTTGCAGTGAACCGGAGATCGCGCCATTGCACCCCAGCCTGGGCAACAGAGCAAAACTCTGTCTCAAAAAAAAAAAAAAAAAGTCAATGAGTGAGTAGATGTGGGGTGCTTAGAAGAGCTCCTGGCATAAAGTGACTTGTCAGGGCATACTGGCCAGTTGTTACATTGAGCTTGACACTCATTCTTCCTACTTTTCACTTTGTCGTTGTTATCTGGATTCTGTGTGGCTTCTGTCCTCCTCTACTGTTGACTTTCCCAGCATGGTGAGACTGTGTGTGAAACCCTCCAGTTCCTAAGCTTATAGACTCTGTGGACAGGAGAAGGAGGCCAGAAGTTAAAGTGCATCGAGAGGTCTTGTTAGTGGAATGGCCACTGCATTCCCTTTTCTTTTTTAGTCAGCCTGGAATTTGGAGTTTGAGCTCTGAGGCAGGGAGACCTGGGCTGGTGTGGAGTGGAGTGGTGCAGAGTTGTGCAGTTGTGAGCTGGTGTGGTGTAGAGTGGTGTGGTGTGGTGTGGTTTGGTTTGGTGTGTGATGTGTGGTGTATGGTGTTGTGTGGAGCGGTATGTGATGTGTATGGTTTGGTGTGGTGTGTGCAGTAGTGTGTGGTGTGTGTGGAGTGGAGCAGTCTGTGATGCGGTGGGGTATGTGATGTGTGTGGTGTGTGTGGAGTGGTGTGCCGTGTGTGGAGTGGTGTAGCATGGTGTGGTGTGTGTTTTGTAGTGATGTTTGGTGTGGTGTGTGATGTGTGTGTGGAGTGGTGTGGTGTGTGGTGTGTGTGATGTGTGTGTGTGTAGTGTGTGTTTGGTGTGGTTTGGTGTGGAGTGGTGTGTTGTGTGGAGCAGTGTGTAGTGTGGTATGTGATGTGTGTGGTATGGAGTGGTGTGGTGTGATGTGGTTTGGTATGGAATGGTGTGTGGTGTGGTGTGGTTTGGTGTGAAGTGTGTGGTGTGGACTGATGTGTGGTTTGGTGTGTGTGGTGTGGAGTGGTACGTGGTGTGGAGTTGTGGCGTGGTGTAGTGTGGTGTGTGGCCTGCTGTGGTTTGGTGTGGTGTGTGGTGTGGAATGGTGTGTGGTGTGGTCTGGCGTTGTGGTGTGGAGTCATATGGCGTGGTATGTGTGGTGTGGAGTGGTGTGATGTGTGTGGTTTGGTGTGGAGTGGTGGGTGTGGTGTGTGGTTTGGTGTGAATGTGTGGTGTGGAGTGGTGTGTGGTTTGGTGTGGTGTGTGGTGTGGTGTGTGTGGTGTGGAGTTGTGGCATGGTGTAGTGTCGTGTAGAGTGGTGTGTGGTGTGGTCTGGTGGTGTGTGGAGTCATATGGCGTGGTGTTGTGTGGAGTGGTGTGTGTGGTGTGGTTTGGTGTGTCGTGGTGTGGTTTGGTGTGGAGTGCTGTGTGGTGTGGTGCGGTGTGAGGTTGCTGATTAGCCCTCTGGGTGCCCAGAGCCTCTGCTGTGTCGGGCAGGAGGAAGGAGGGCCTGGCTGGCCCTTTCCTGGAGGAGCAGCGTTTCCTGGGCTGGAGTGGGGTCTGGACCCGTTGGCTTTTGCTCGGGTCCAGAGGCGGTGGTGGGGAGCGGATCTCTAGGTCGGCCTGTTCCTTTTCAGCAGCAGACATGGGAGGGCCCAGCCTGAGCGCTGAGTGCGAGCTCCTTCCCTGACAGCAGCGCTGGGTTGGGGACAGGCCCCATCATTGGTTTGTATCACATCTGGCTGTCAGGCTGAGGTGTTGGTTTGGGTGTTTCATGCGAGTTTATCTTCGTTGCAGGCGGTTTTGGTGAATAACATCACCACAGGTGAGAGGCTCATCCGAGTGCTGCAAGGTAAGTTCCGCTCGCTCCTCCACACCAGGCACTGGCCTTTGAGGAGGAAACTCCCTTTCTCTCCTTCTCTAGGCCCAGGTGGGTCTCCATTATAATCTCATGGCGGATAGTGTCATGAGTCATTGAGCAATCTTTATTCTTTTTGCCTAAGTCTATCTCCTTAAGAGGCTTTTCCTTTTAAAAAAAAATATTGCCAAATACATTGCAAGCTGTTAGGTACAGAAGAGTTAAGAGTGTCACTCATGAATGTGTTAAGAGATAGTATTTATGATAGGTACATGTTCTGTTATATATACATATGGTATACATGTGACCTGTTAATTTGGTCATGCTGAATTTAGATTGTCTGCATGAAACTTAGAAAAACTGTCCAGCCCAATTTAATTCCCCCTCTTTGCCGCTCTGACTCAACTTGGCAGCTGGGGATTGGTCTTCCTTTGAGTCCTTCTGAAGCAGCCACAGAGCAGGAAATGGGGTGCTGTCCTTTGTCGGGGGCTCCTTCCACTGTGACAGGAGTGACAGGAGGGTCAGCAGGGTCCATGCTACTGGGCTAAATCATCTGTTGGGTTGAATAATTTTTACTCTAAAAATGTGGTTACTGGGAAGTTAAAAATTCCTTATATGACTTGCATTATAATTCTTTTGGTCATTGCTGGTTTCGAATTCTAGTTCTAAGTCAGGTTCTAAGAATATTAAAAAGTCTTATGTGAAAAGGGGTCACTTTGTGAAATGTGTTTGTGTAACCCTACGTTTCCCACAAAGTTGAAGAGGCTGCCTGGCTGCGGGGGTGGGAGTTGGGGGGTCTCACATAAAGGTTCAGTTTGACAGCGGTTTTGATAGAGCATACATGTCAAGTAACTCCACCAGAGTCAACACAGGGAGCATATTCATCACCCCCAAAAGCTTGCTTGTGCGCCGTGGTGATCCACTTCCCTCAGGCAGCCTCTGGTCTGCCATGTAGACTAGTTTGCATTTTTAATAATTGGGTGCGTGCCCCAGATTCATAAAGCAAGTCCTTAGAGACCTACAAAGAGACTTAGTCTCCCACACAATAATAATGGGAGACTTTAACACCCCACTGTCAACAGTAGACAGATCAACGAGACAGAAAGTTAACAAGGATATCCAGGACTTGAACTCAGCTCTGCACCAAGCAGACCTAATAGACATCTATAGAACTCTCCACCCCAAATCAACAGAATATACATTCTTCTCAGCACCACATCGCATTTATTCCAAAATTGACCACATAGTTGGAAGTAAAGCACTCCTCAGCAAATGTAAAAGAACAGCAATTATAACAAACTGTCTCTCAGACCACAGTGCAATCAAATTAGAACTCAGGATTAAGAAACTCACTCAAAACCGCTCAACTACATGGAAACTGAACAACCTGCTCCTGAATGACTACTGGGTACATAACTAAATGAAGGCAGAAATAAGGATGTTATTTGAAATCAATGAGAACAAAGACACAACATACCAGAATCTCTGGGACACGTTTAAGGCAGTGCATAGAGGGAAATTTATAGCACTAAATGCCCACAAGAGAAAGCAGGAAAGATCTAAAATTGACACCCTAACACCACAATTAAAAGAACTAGAGAAGCAAGAGCAAACACATTCAAAAGCCAGCAGAAGGCAAGAAATAGCTAAGATCAGAGCAGAACTGAAGGAGATGGAGACAAAAGAAACCCTTCAAAAAATCAATGAATCCAGGAGCTGGTTTTTTGAAAAGATCAACAAAATTGATAGACCACTAGCAAGACTAATAAAGAAGAAAGGAGAGAAGAATCAAATACATGCAGTAAAAAATAATAAAGGGGATATCACCACCGATCCCACAGAAATACAAACTACCATCAGAGAATACTATAAACACCTCTATGCAAATAAACTAGAAAATCTAGAAGAAATGGGATAAATTCCTGGACACATACACCCTCCCAAGACTAAACCAGGAAGAAGTTGAATCTCTGAATAGACCAATAACAGGCTCTGAAATTAAGGCAATAATTAATAGCCTACCAACCAAAAAAAGTCCAGGACCAGGCAATTCACAGCCGAATTCTGCCAGAGGTACAAAGAGCTGGTACCATTCCTTCTGAAACTATTCTAATCAATAGAAAAAGAGGGAATCCTCCCTAACTCATTTTGTGAGGCCAGCATCATCCTGATACCAAAGCCTGGCAGAGACACAACAAAAAAAGAGAATTTTAGACCTATATCCCTGATGAACATCGATGCAAAAATCCTCAATAAAATGCCGGCAAACCAAATCCAGCAGCACATCAAAAAGCTTATCCAACACAATCAAGTTGCCTTCATCCCGGGGATGCAAGGCTGGTTCAACATACGCAAATCAGTAAACATAATCCATCATATTAACAGAACCAAAGATAAAAACCACATTGATTATCTCAATAGATGCAGAAAAGGCCTTTGACAAAATTCAACAGCCCTTCATGCTAAAAACTCAATAAACTAGGTATTGATGGGACGTATCTCAAAATAATAAGAGCTATTTATGACAGACCCACAGCCATTATCATACTGAATGGGCAAAAACTGGAAGCATTCCCTTTGAAAACAGGCACAAGACAGGGATGCCCTGTCTCACCACTCCTATTCAACATAGTGTTGGAAGTTCTGGCCAGGGCAGTCAGGCAGGAGAAAGAAATAAAGGGTATTCAATTAGGAAAAGAGGAAGTCAAATTGTCCCTGTTTGCAGATGACATGATTGTATGTTTAGAAAACTCCATTGTCTCAGCTCAAAATCTCCTTAAGCTGATAAGCAACTTCAGCAAAGTCTCAGAATACAAAATCAATGTGCAAAAATCACAAGCATTCCTATACACCAATAACAGACAAACAGCCAAATCATGAGTGAACTCCCATTCACAATTGCTTCAAAGAGAATAAATACCTAGGAATCCAACTTACAAGGGACGTGAAGGACCTCTTCAAGGAGAACTACAAACCACTGCTCAATGAAATAAAAGAGGACACAAACAAATGGAAGAACATTCCATGCTCATGGATAGGAAGAATCAATATTGTGAAAATGGCCATACTGCCCAAGGTAATTTGTAGATTCAATGCCATCCCCATCAAGCTACCAATGCCTTTCTTCACAGAATTGGAAAAAACTACTTTAAAGTTCATATGGAACCAAAAAAGAGCCCACATTGCCGAGACAATCCTAAGCCAAAAGAACAAAGCTGGAGGCATTACGCTACGTGACCTCAAACTGTACTACAAGGCTACAGTAACCAAAGCAGCATGGTACTGGTACCAAAACAGAGATATAGACCATTGGAACAGAACAGAGCCCACAGAAATGATACCACAAATCTACAACCATCTGATCTTTGACAAACCTGACCAAAGAAATGGGGAAAGGATTCCCTATTTAATAAATGGTGCTGGGAAAACTGGCTATCCATATGTAGAAAGCTGAAACTGGATCCCTTCCTTACACCTTATACAAAAATTAATTCAAGATGGATTAAGACTTAAATGTTAGACCTAAAACCATAAAAACTCTAGAAGAAAACTTAGGCAATACCATTCAGGACATAGGCATGGGCAAGGACTTCGTGTCTAAAACACCAAAAGCAATGGCAACAGAAGCCAAAATAGGCAAATGGGATCTAATTAAACTAAAGAGCTTCTGCACAGCAAAAGAAACTACCATCAGAGTGAACAGGCAAGCTACAGAATGGGAGAAAATTTTTGAATCTACCTATCTGACAAAGAGCTAATATCCAGAATCTATAAAGAACTTAAACAAATTTAGAAGAAAAAAATCAAACAACCCCATCAAAAAGTGGGCAAAGCATACGAACAAGCATGTCTCAAAAGAAGATGTTTATGCAGCCAACAGACACATGAAAAAATGCTCATCATCACTGGTCATCAGAGAAATGCAAATCAAAACCACAATGAGATACCATCTCACAGCAGTTTAGAATGACGATCATTAAAAAGTCAGGAAACAACAGGTGCTGGAGAGGATGTGGAGAAATAGGAATGCTTTTACACTGTTGGTGGGAGTGTAAACTAGTTCAACCATTGTGGAAGACAGTGTGGCGATTCCTCAAGGATCTAGAACTAGAAATACCATTTGACCCAGCCATCCCATTACTGGGTATATACCCAAAGGATTATAAATCATGCTATTGTAAAGACACATGCACACGTATGTTTATTGTGGCACTATTCACAATAGTAAAGACATGGAATCAACCCAAATGTCCAACAGTGATAGACTGGATTAAGAAAATGTGGCACATATACACCATGGAATACTATGCAGCCATAAAAATGGATGAGTTTATGTCCTTTGTAGGGACATAGATGAAGCTGGAAACCATCATTCTGAGCAAACTATCACAAGGACAGAAAACCAAACACCGCATGTTCTCAGTCATAGGTGGAAATTGAACAATGAGAACACATGGACACAGGGCAAGGAACATCTGGGGCGTGTCGTGGGGTGGGGGGAGGGGGGAGGGATGGCTTTAAGAGAAATTACCTATTGTAAATGACGAGTTAATGGGTGCAGCACACCAACATGGCACATGTATACATATGTAACAAACCTGCACGTTGTGCACATGTACCCTAGAATTTAAAGTATAATTAAAAAATAATAATAATTGGGTACATGCATACAGATGGAATCAGACCATCTGTTATCATTTTTTGCCTGCCTTTTCTCTCTCAGCATAGTTATTTGCGATTCGTCCATGTCACTGTGATACAAGTCATTCATTTCTTTGACTGCTGAGTTGTATTCCGTTATCTCTTGCCTAGTTGGATTGTGGGGTGTGTTCAGTTACGCATATTAAAGTATCGTTTATATACAAGAACATTTACCCCTCGTGGGTACAGTTGGATAAGTCCTGACAAATAGTCTCGCAGATCACCACTGCAGTCAACATGGCAGCTGCCCACCGCTCCAGGACCCCCCACCCATGCCCTGCGAAGTCACCAGTCCCCTCTCTGTCTAGGCCCAGCACCCACCCAGCTGTTCTCTTCGCCACAGCTTTGTCTCTTGAGGGTGTCACGTGTGTGCTTTTGGGATGAGTCCGTGTTGTGTGTATCGTAATTCACGGAACGCTTCCATTTTATTTCACTTTATTTTCCACCTGAGACTATTGTAGGTCTAGTGTTGTGAGGGCCCACCTTGGGGATGCCTGCATCTGTCCTGGCCTGTCTGTCCTGGCTGTGTCCGGGCCTGGCTGCTGCTGCCGCCCACTGTGGTATCCGCCTGGTGGCTGCCTTCCCCTCTGCCCCAGCTTGGCCCTTTGTCCGCTAGGGCTCTTTTATGAGCCAAGTCATCAGGGCAGCAGGGATGGGGCTGATTAATTTCCTTAAAGAAAGCCGCTCTTTCCCTGATGAGAGTGTTGGTTGATTAAATGGGCACAGGGCCTTGGAGAGTGGCTTGGCTGTGAATAAATGACGAGGGAGGATGCTGGCAGGTAGCCTGGTGGCCGAGGGCAGGGTGTCCAGCAGGAGTGGCTGCTTATCTGACCAAACATCAAAAATCAGTGTTTTACAGATGGAAGGATGAGTCGGCCAGGGATGAGGGCAGGGTGGTGTGTGTGACCTTTGGGGACAGCTCGGGGCTTATGATGTCTACAAAAGAGACAGGCACACAGAAGCTTCCAATATACATTAAAGGCTAGCGGCCAAAAAGGAGATTTAAGAGAGACATTTGGGAAAGGATCAAGACGCAGCTTCTTTCGGCTTGCTGCTCTTGCAGAGCACTCTCCACAGCTGGGGTTTAGTGACTCTGGGGAGGGACTGTGTTTTCAGCTTTTTCTCTCTCCCCTCCTTTGTCCCAATCTGTCCTTGCCCTTTATGGTCTGATGTGTGAGTCTGCCTCTGTCATATTTTGGCTGAATGGCATGACAGCTGTGCCGGTGACCTGTGCAATTCCTTGTCCCCTTGGTGTAGACCAGTTAAAGACCCTGCAGAGGAATTACGGCAGGCTGCAGCAGGATGTCCTCCAGTTTCAGAAGAACCAGACCAACCTGGAGAGGAAGTTCTCCTACGACCTGTGAGTACACCTCAGAGCGCGTGCCACAGTGCAGGGTGCACGGCACCTGGGAGGCGGGGATTAAGCTGAGATGTAACCTCCGATAGAGCATGCACCTTCTGCTCCGTGCGGGACTCTGAGAAAGGCACGGGCCCCTCTAGGATTCATGTCCTACACAAATGCACAAGGAGGCCAGCTCTCAGCAGGAAATGAATTTCTCAGCATGCCTTAAAATGTAACTTAAAACTCTGTAAGGCACAGGTGTACTGGTTAAGTCAACAACATAAAGCTTTAAAAATGTGTTTCATAGGTGCTCATGCGTGAGCTAAATCAAATTCGTTGACTAAAAGACATTTTGGCAAAATATTGATATAGTAATAGTTTATTGCCTGGCGATCACATTGTGGACATTGTTTTCTTCAGACTTTTCAGTGATTTTCCCAATTTTTACAGTGAGAATGGAATACTTTGATAATCAAAACCAAGCAATATTAAACTATTAAAAAGTGAGCTAAGCCCCGCAGGAAGATAGTAAAAGCCAGTTTGCAAGCCAGAGGATAAAGTTGTGTTTATTTTTTCCTCATAAAAACAATATAGCTAACGTGTGGGAAGTTTGGGATTCAGAGAGAACCAACCACCCATGGCCCAGCCCTCATGACTGTCCTTTTCCCTTTGACTTACCTCTCTCCAGTCCATGCCCAAGTTCACATGAATGTTTACTTAATTGCAGTCATCATCAAAAAAATTTAATCATTTTTTTACTTGCGTTATGTACGTGTGTGTGTGTGTGTGTGTATATACTTTTTTTTTTTTTTTCTTGAGCGGAGTCTCGCTGTCCCCCATGCTGGAGTGCAGTGGCACAATCTCAGCTCACTGCAACCTCCATCTCCCAAGTTCAAGCAGTTCTCATGCCTCAGCCTCCTGAGTAGCTGGGACTACAGGTGCCCACCACCACACCCAGCTAATGTTTGTATTTTTTTAGTCGAGATGGAGTTTCACCATGTCAGCCAGGCTGTTCTTGAACGCCTGACCTCAGGTGATCCACCTGCCTTGGCCTCCCAAAGTGCTGGGATTACAGGTGTGAGCCACTGTGCCCGGCCATATTCTTAGTCACAAACATTTTATTTTATTTTATTTTTTGAAACAGAGTCTTGCTCTGTCACCCAGGCTGGAGTGCAGCGGTGCAATCTCAGCTCACTGCAACCTCTGCCTCCCAGGTTCAAGCAGTTCTCCAGCCTCAGCCTCCTGAGTAGCTGGGACTACAGGCGCCCACCACCACGCCCGGGGTTTCTACTAAAACCCTGTCATTGGTCAGGCTGGTCTCAAACTCCTGACCTCATGATCTGCCTGCCTCAGCCTCCCAAAGTGCTGGGATTACACGCATGAGTCACCGCACCCAGCCACAAAAATTTTATTTATAAAAGTAAAATTAGATAGACATGCGATGATAAAAGGGATTTTAAGGATAAAAATATCCATTGCCATAATTTGTCTCCTAAATAATGACAACACATTAGCTATAGCCTCTTTTTTTTTTGAGATGGAGTTTCACAGCTCGTTTCCCAGGCTAGAGTGCAGTGGTACGATCTCAGCTCACTGCAACCTCTGCCTCCCTGGTTCAAGTGATTCTCCTGCCTCAGCCTCCCGAGTAGCTGGGATTATGGGCACGTGCCACCACACCTGGTTAATTTTTGTATTTTTAGTAGAGATGGGGTTTCACCTTGTTGGCTAGGCTGGTCTCGCACACCTGACCTCAAGTGATCTGCTCGTCTTCGCCTCTCAAAGTGCTGGGATTACAGGTGTGAGCTACTGTGCCCGGCCAGCCTCTTATTTTTTAATTTTTAAATTTAAAAAATTACATTACTTGCATTATATTTAAAACATCCGTATAGCTCCTAATTGTCTTAAAAATTACCATTTTGGATTATTTCCTTCTAAAAGGCTCATCTGTAGTTTAGCTTGTTGCTGGGTGTGAATTGTCAAATTGCATTCTGAAAGGATTTGAGCCATCTGTGTGGTCACCAGCAACCTGGGAGAATCAGTTGCCTCACGTGCATTGCGTTCTTCGGCATTTCCATGTTCCTCCAAAACATTGTCCACCTGCCGTAATATCTTCCTACTAACTTTATAACCACATACAACTGAAAACATGAAGCCCCAAGTACACGTCTCTGTAGAGGACATGAGCAGCCAGTCAATAGAAGGGAAATGTGATTGTCACTTGTGTGTGGAATCTTATTCAGCTATGCCAGTGGTTCTCACGTGGGGGCAGTCTTGTCCCCAGTAGGCCTTTGGCAATGTTTGGAGACATTTTTGTCTGTCATGGCTTACAAGGAGGCTGCTACTGGCATCTAGTGGGTAGAGGTCAGGGACACTGCTAAACATCCTATAATCCACAAGACAGCTTCCCACAGTCACGTTTTATCTGGCCTAAAACATATACAGTGCTAAGGTTGAGAAACCTTGAGTTAGGCTCATAATTAAAGAATTGCATTTAGACAGAAATGAAGTACCTCAGTCTTATTATTCATCCTTAAAGAAACCTTAATGCAAATATTTCCCTCATATAGATTGAAACACAAAAAGCCATAAATGGCCTCACTTGATAAATGTTGGCCGAGAAGGTTTTGACCTAGCTGGCAATCAGTCAGGATCCAGTGACAGGGAAGGAATCTCTGCTCCCCATGTAGGAAAGCTTGGGCCGAGGCGATGGGTGGACACCTCTGAGCTGGGCTGGAGACACATGTAGGATGCACTCCTTTTGCTCCTGGCAGGTTGATACCTAGATTGAAAGCTCTTTCTGGCTGACTGTGCCTATTTCACTACTTGTGCCCAAGGCCGTGTACCAGATATGCAGTGCTTCCCAGGGATAATGTTCGTGGAGTGTTGGAAGCAAAAAAAAGCTAGTTATTCTTCACTTTCTTTGGATTATAGGCCCTTTTAGAGAATCTGATAAAAAGTACGAACACTTTGTTAGCAAACTTATAAATGGACACCTGCCTAAAGTGTGCAATTTGTGCAAATTATATGGGCCTCTGAAACATATCTGCACGCCCTCCCTTAAAACATCCTGTCTGGTCTAATCCTTCTATAGAAGGCAGTGCCGAGAACACAAAAGCTGATGGAGAGGCCAGGTTTCCTGATGTACAAGGTAGTGTTCTTTCCGTTTGAATCAGTCAGCACACATCCCACTTTTTACTCTCCTACACCTGTGGCAGGCATCACTAAGCAATCACTGCACTCCATCCGAAAATAGCCTTGCGTTCTTTCTCCCTGAAGCACCTGGAGTCAGCACATGAGATGAACCGCTCGCCATCTCATCTCCCTGCTATGAGGAGACAGTTTCCAATGTTGACACTGGCATATAAAGTAATACAGTGATGGTCGGTGCCCTGGGTGATGGGATCACCTGCCCTGATAGATCCTTGTACTTGAACACATTCCATCAGTGGTACTCTGGCCATCAATTGCACCAGTTAGAATAATCACTAGTGGCCAAGTCCTGTATTCCTCTCCAATTTAGCTCCAGTTAGTGCTGGAATATTTGCCACTTACATGTAAGAAAAAGCCAACCTAAGTCCTCAGGAAGAAACACTGTCACAATCTGCATGACCTTTGTCTCAGAATTGAGGATGGAGGTAGTTTGTTCCTGGCTCTCAAGTTGGAACATGGAAAGCCCCAGTTGATCTGCAAGGCTGTGAGATAAAGGCTCTTCGTACTTGATTTTAGCAGGGCTGGGAGCAGGTGCAATCAGTACTTCCCTTTTGCAGGTTTAAAGGTTCAGGGATAGCAAACGACCTGCTCATTTAGTTCTACAGTATACAGACAGCTTTTTGTTCGCTATGTTTCAGCTCCTGTGCACTAATCTACCACCTGTGGCTTGTATATTTGTGAGAATTGTATTTAAATGAAATTTTCACCTGATCTGTCAGCTGTTCAAGGTCAGGAACTCGGCACTGCATTATTTCCATAGCACCTGGTTCCCTTCTCTGTGTGTGGTACATTGTGACCCAGTGGTGCTTTGAACTCAAGGGTATATTCCAAGAGTCAGAGGTTGATGTAGTACTCACTCACATTTGGCTCTGAAATGCCTGCAACTCAGAAAAGGTGAGCTGTGTGGTGGAGAGGGCACAACAGTAAGGAGCCCTGGAGTCTGGCTTCAGTTTCCACCTCCCTCTGACCCTGGTCCATGCCAGACAACCATGTCACCCCTTAGTATTCTTATTTGCAAAACGAGTGGGTAATTCTCTTAATTACTTCATAGCTCTGGCACTTGTCAAAATACTCTTAAAATAAATCCAGGCAGCAAGCTGAAGCAATGCAATAGCAATTCAACCGAGTGTCCTCCAGTTCAAGTTTTGTTTTGTTTTTTTTGAGACGGAGTCTCGCTCTGTCGCCCAGGCTGGAGTGCAGTGGCGCGATCTCGGCTCACTGCAAGCTCCGCCTCCCGGGTTCACGCCATTCTCCTGCCTCAGCCTCCCGAGTAGCTGGGACTACAGGAGCCCGCCACCATGCCCAGCCAATTTTTTGTGTTTTTAATAGAGACAGGGTTTCACCGTGTTAGCCAGGATGCTCTCCATCTCCTGACCTCGTGATCCACCGCCTCAGCCTCCCAAAGTGCTGGGATTACAGGCGTGAGCCACTGCGCCTGGCCCCAGTTCAAGTTTTGATACTACCCACTTAGCACAGACCCCCTAGGTTAAGGGGCTCCCTCCCATACTACTGCTCCCACCTCAGATGCCAGCCACAAGTCTTGATGTGTCCCCTAGCCACCCTCACTTCTGCCTGGCTGGCTACAGCTTTAGGGTTACCCGCCACCCCCTCAGTTTGATAATTTGCCAGGATGACTGTCACATGATTCAGGAAAGCTGTTTTGACTTTTACAGAACAGCCCAGTGGTAGAGTCCTAAGGTGAGGGCAGGCGCCGGGGGGAGACAGGAACGGCTGCCCTGTGGAGTCAGCCGCCCCCATCCAGTGCATCGTTAGGCTCCCCAGCCAGAAAGCTCCCCAAGCCTTCTGGTCCGGAGTTTGTCTGAGTGTTTTATGTAGGCATGATTGATTACACCATCGGCCACAGGGTTGAACTCAATCTCCACTCCTCCCTTCCCTGGAGGAGGTGGAGCTGAAAGTTCCAACTTTCCAGTCATGTGGCTAGTTCCTCTGGCAGTCAGCCTCTGTCCTGAAACTATCTGACGCCCATCCTTCCCCACCTCCAAGACCCCCTTATTAGTATAAACTCAAGTATGGTCCAGAGGGGCTTGTGAATCGCCAGATATCCACTCAGGAACTTCCAAGGCTTTTAAGAGCTCTGTGCCAGTAGCCAGGGACAAAGACCAATACATATTTTTTTTATTATTCTACAGATTGTATGTTAAAAAAAAATTTTCTGCCTAATCAGTAAAGTTCACTGTTTTAGAACAATGGGATGATGATTTTTAGTGTGTTTCTTTTGGTCATTTAATTGTTGAACACACACCCGTGTTGCCCTGTCTTAAGTGCCCTCTTCAGATGAAGTGCCTGAAGCAGGAAGAGGGTCTGTGTCTCTTATGGAAGTGGATGTCACCGTCCAGCAGAGACACAGTCATAGACGTCAGGCCCTTCCTTTGCTTTCTTTCACCAAAGGAGCCAGTGCATCAATCAGATGAAGGAGGTGAAGGAACAGTGTGAGGAGCGAATAGAAGAGGTCACCAAAAAGGGGAATGAAGCTGTAGCTTCCAGAGACCTGAGTGAAAACAACGACCAGAGACAGCAGGTAACTGGGGAATTTTTGCCAAGAGTTTCTAGAAGGTACCCCTATCTTCAGGCATTTTGTTTCTTTTATGTGCCGCCTGGCTTTCTCTGGATTCTGCCCTCCTTTGCGGGCTTGGCTCCCTGAGATATAACAGAGCAGAACCTGGTACTGGGATGACTGGACCCTAACCAAGGGTTCTGACCTCCAGCCCCGCTTCACAAGCTCAGGGCTTTACGGGAATTATCGTATTTAAAGCTCGCAGCCAGCCTGGGAGAGAGTTGCTGTTTTCCTGACTTGAGGACCCCAGCCCCATGGGAGGGGTTAAGTTCTGTGGCCAGTGTCACACCACCTGGTCAGTGGTAGAGCCCATCAAGACCTCAGGTCTGGCCGACTCCATGTCTCGTGCTGTCATTCCACCTCCTGTGCAGAGCACAGCCCACGAAGCTGCTGCTTGAAGCCTTCTGGGTGATCTTTGAGTAGTTTTTTAAAAATATAGCAGCTTTATTAAGATATAATTTGCATTCCCTATGATTCACCCATAGAAAATTTACAATTCATGGGTTCTGAGTATATTCACAAAGTTATGCAGCCATCACCACAGTCAATTTCAGAACATTTTTATTGGCACAAAAGAAACCGTGTATCCCTTAGTTCTCTCTTCAGTCCCCACAGCCCTAGACAGCCAACTGCTAATGTACTTTGTGTCTCTTGATTTGCCTAATCTGGACAATTTCCTGTCAATAGAATCATATATGTGTGGCCTTTTGTGTCTGACTTTTTTTTTTTTTTTTTGAGAGGGCATCTCGCTCTCTCACCCAGGCCAGAGTGCAGTGGCGCGATCTCAGCTCACTGCAGCCTCTGCCTCCCAGGTTCAAGCGATTCTCCTGCCTCAGCCTCCCGAGTAGCTGGGATTACAGGCACCCACCACCACACCTGGCTAATTTTTGTATTTTTAGTAGAGACGGGGTTTCATCATGTTGGCCAGGCTGGTCTTGAACGGCTGACCTCAAGTGATCCACCCACCTCGGCCTCCCAAAGTGCTGGGATTACAGGCGTGAGCCACCACGCCCGGACTGTCTGGTATCTTTGACTGAGTATGAATACCTCAGGGCTCATCGGGGTTGCAGCATGTGTCTGTACTGCATTCCCTTTAATGGCTGATTAATCCATCCTGTGGATAGACCACATGTGGATTATTCATCATCAGTTGATGGGCATTTGGAGTGTTTCCATGTTTTGGCTATTATGAATAATGCCGTATGAACATGAAGCTTTTGTGTGGTCATATGTTTTCATTTCTCTTGGTTAATACCTAGGAGTGGAACTGCTGGGTTATATGGTAATCTATATTTAACCTATTGAGGAACTCCCAGACTTCTTCCAAAGTGGCCATACCATTTTCGACTGCCACCAGTAGTTTATGAGGGCTCCAGTTTCTTCACATCCTTGCCAACTCTTGATACTACCTTTTTCATGATACCCTTCCTAGCAGGTGTGGAGTGGCAGCTCGTTGTTTGGGTTTGCATTTCCCTAATAACTGTGATATCCCTGATGATATTCAGCATCTTTTCACATGTTTCATTGGCCATTTGTATATCTTCTTTGAAGAAATGTCTATTTGGGTCCTTTGCTCATTTTTTAATTGAGTTATTTTTATTATTGAATTGTAAGAGTTTTTAAAATCTATTTTATTAAAGATATATGATAATGGATATATGATTTGCAAGTTTTTTTTCCCAATTCTGTGGGGTTTTTCACTTTCTTGCTGGTGTTTAGTTGAAGCACAGAAGTTCTTAATTTTGACAAAATCCCCATTTTATTTATTTTTTCTTTTGTTGTGTGTTCTTGGTATTATATCTAGTAACACTTTGCCTGACCCAAGATCTTGAAGATTTACTGTTACATTTTCTTCTCAGAGTTTTATCGTTCTTAGTTCTTACGTTTAAGCCTGTGATTCATTTTCAGTTAATTTAATTATTGCATATGGTGTGAGGTAGAGCTCCCACTTCATTCTTGTGTGTGTGCGGTTATCAAGTTGTCTCAGTAATCACTTGTTGAAAGAAAGACTGCTTTTCCCCCACTGAATTGTCTTGGCACCTTTGTCAGAAATCAGTGTGCTGTAAGTATGAGGGTTTTTAGTGAGCCTGAGTGTTTTAGTGAGCCTGAGTCCCTTGGCTGTGAATGTCCCCTATGCTTCTCTTCAGTACCCACTCCCTACCCCAGTGGGACAAAGTGGCTGGAATGGGCTGGAGTTGAGTAGCTTCCTTCTCCCACGTGGAAGTCTAGAGCTTACTGGAGTTGGGTGTTTCATTCCCCCAGGTCAGTTAGGCTCAGATAATATGCCCGCAGGAGCTCTGGGTAATGCGCTCCTCGTGAGGGCCGGCCTGGTTAAGGAGAATAGAGCACTCTGGCCTGTTTCAGAATGGTTCCTTTCCCCGCCACACTGCTGGAAGCACAAGCCGATTTTTCTCTGATGTTCACTGAGAGCCTTTCTCTAATATTCACTGAGAGCCTGGTTGAGCTCCTAGGGGTAAAACTCATAAGTATGGGAGTCCCTTATGACTGGGGCAGGTTTTTTCTTTTTCTTTTTTTTTTTTTTCTTTTGGTGTTGGAGTTTTGCTTTTATCGCCCAGGCTGGAGTGCAATGGCGCAATCTTGGCTCACCACAACCTCTGCCTCCCGGGTTGAAGCAATTCTCCTGCCTCAGCCTCCCGAGTAGCTGGGATTACAGGCATGCGCTACCACACCTGGCTAATTTTGTATTTTTTAGTATATCGGGGTTTCTCCATGTTGGTCAAGCTGGTCTTGAACTCCCGACCTCAGGTGATCAGCCCGTCTCAGCCTCCCAAAGTACTGGCATTACAGGCATTAGCCACCACGCCTGGCTGGGGCAGGTTTTTAACTCTCAGACTCATCCACACTGAGCCTCAAACAGTTCATAAATGACAGGGTCAGGCTCTCCCACCCTGACACCAGTTCCCGTGGTGATGTCTGCCCAAGCCTGTCCTGGTGAGCCGGGACTCTCTGTATTGGGCTGTCTGTCTCCAGGCTTAAGGACAGTGATTTACACTCTGTCCTCACCTCTCCTATGGATCCAAGAAGAGCTGATAACTTTTCAGTCTGTTTAGTTTTTTACTTGTTAGGACTAAGTGGTGACTTTTAAGCTTCTCACGTGAGGAACAGAAAACTGGAAGTCTTCTAATACAGATGCTTGAAGGTGTACATTTCTTCTAAGCACTGCTGGAGCTGCTTCCCATAAGTTTTGGTATGCTGTGTTTTTGTTTTGTGGCAAAGCATTTTCTTTTTTTTTTTTTTTTTTTTGAGAGACAGTCTCGCTCTGTCGCCCCAGGCTGGAATGCAATGGCATGATCTTGGCTCACTGCAACCTCCACCTCCCAGGTTCAAGCGATTTTCCTGCCTCAGCTGGAAATCACCTCCTTGCCTCACCTCCCAAGTAGCTGGAATCACAGGTGCCTGCCACCACACCTGGCTAATTTTTGTATTTTTAGTAGAGATGGGGTTTCACCATGTTGGCAAGGCTGGTCTCAAACTTCTGACCTCTGGTGATCTGCCTGCCTCGGCCTCCCAAAGTGCTGGGATTACAGGTGTGCGCCACCGCGCCTGGCTGTCCAAGCATTTTCTAATTTGTGTTGTGGTTTATTGTTGGACTCACTGGTTATTTAGGAGTGTGTTGTTTAATTTCCAAATATTTGCAAATGTCATAAGTTTCATCCTGTTATTGATTTATAATCCATTCCATTTCTATTAATTTACTTTGTGTGATTTTAGTTAAATATTTAAGTGTATGGAGGCTTGCTTTGTGGCCTGCCATTTGTCCATCCTGGAAAATATTGTGTGTGTGCCTGAGAAGCAGGTGTGTTTGCCCTTGCTAGGCTGAGGGTTCTGCAGATGTTTGTTTCGTCAAGGAGTATTGTGTCGTTCATGTCTTTTTTGTTGTTGATCTTCCGCCTAGGTATTTTATTATTCCGTAAATGCTTCCTCTCAGCAGAATCACTGCCCAGTTTTATTCTGTATTGACAGTACTTTCTGGGAGACCTTGACTCAACCTCTTGTCTTCTGATTTACGCCACATGACCAGGGCGTGACCAGAGTAGACTGTGGCGTTTCTCGGGGTCTTGGTTGGAAGGATATGGTGGTGGGATTGGTGGGATTCATTGCATTGGTAGGATTCTTTTACGGCTTCTGTTCACAGAGCCCTGCCCTGGCTGGCTGTCCTGTGCTTCTGTTTCAGCTCCAAGCCCTCAGTGAGCCTCAGCCCAGGCTGCAGGCAGCAGGCCTGCCACACACAGAGGTGCCACAAGGGAAGGGAAACGTGCTTGGTAACAGCAAGTCCCAGACACCAGCCCCCAGTTCCGAAGTGGTTTTGGATTCAAAGAGACAAGTTGAGAAAGGTAAGCAGAGCCCAGCAGTTGCCCTGTTCCCAGCTCTCCAGAGCCCCATCAGAGGAAGCAGTCCCAGCGAGCTGCTGAGGCAGTCAGTGAACCCGGCAGCGGCGCAGCCAGGAGCAGGGACGTGTCTCTCTGGGCCCCTGGAATTGGGGCTTTGGGGCTTCTCTGACAGATGTCTCCTCCTTGTAAACGAAGTGCCTTGTTCCTGGGCAGCTGTGTAGAGAAAGGCCCAGGCTGCACCTTTATGCAGGACATTGGTGGGCTTGTGGGACTCGGGGGAGGCGGCTGAGCCCCAGACACTGGGAACCAGGAGGCTGCTGTGTCTGTGAGCAAGCCCTGGGTGGGCCTGCCTGCCCTGGCTCCCAAGTGCTTGCTCCAGCGGACCCGATGATCAGGTCACTCAGCAGGATACCCTTTTCCCTTTGTACCTTGTCAAGGTAATTTAGTCCAGGTGTTTTTTTTTTTTTGTTTTGTTTTTTTTTTTGGTAAGCTACTTTTCCCTTTGTCGCGGTTCTGACGATGAGCTGCAGGCACAGAAAGGCCTGCAGTCTGTGGCTGAGGTCACAAAAGGAGCTACCTGGTTGTTCTCCTGTGTGCAGCCCACCCCACCCCCACTCCTTGGGAAGGCTCTGGGAATTGAGTGGCACCAGGTTTTGCTTTTTTTTTTTTTTTTTTTTTTAAATCAAATGCTGGCAAGGTCACAGCTAACTGTGTTCTGTGCACAGAGGAAACCAATGAGATCCAGGTGGTGAATGAGGAGCCTCAGAGGGACAGGCTGCCGCAGGAGCCAGGCCGGGAGCAGGTGGTGGAAGACAGACCTGTAGGTGGAAGAGGCTTCGGGGGAGCCGGAGAACTGGGCCAGACCCCACAGGTGCAGGCTGCCCTGTCAGTGAGCCAGGAAAATCCAGAGATGGAGGGCCCTGAGCGAGACCAGCTTGTCATCCCCGACGGACAGGAGGAGGAGCAGGAAGCTGCCGGGGAAGGTGGGTGTGAAGTTTCGGGGGCCGCTGTGGACTCCCTTCCACCAGACACCCAGCCCACCTCCATGTCCTTCCCAGCACCAACATATCACCCTGAATTTTACCAAACAGCAGTCCACAATTTGCCAATTCCTTTTCGTTTGAAGGTTTCTTATTCGTTATCAAGAGGGAGGCAGGAAGGAAGAGCAGCATATGCTCTAGAACTCGAGGTTTTAGATGCAATATTGGCAGGGAGTCGAGGGGACCTTGCAAGTGGATGGCCTGCAGATGGGTGCTTAGCATCAAGTGGACGCCCCCTCCTGGCAGGCAGGCCACATGCCCCATTTTTGTATGTCCACCGTCGTGCAGTGTCTGGTGCCATTTAGACAATCAGTGCCTAGTGAATGAATGAAGGAAGGAAGGAAGGAATATTGGGTAGATGAAGGTTAATGCATATGTGAACATTGAGAAAAAATGACATGTGAATCACTCCTTTTTGGTTTGGTTGACTCTTTTCTTTTTAAAGAAATAAAGGGTAGGAATTGGAGATCAACCGACTATTCCAGGATGTATTTCAGTCCCTTCAGATATGGAAAATGTCCTTCCCACCTGAGCCAGGAACACTTCTGAGGACATGACACCTGCGCTCTGGGGTGGACCAAGTCACAGAAGTTGGAGAATACACTTATTTGCAGAAGTTACCTTGATTCCATTTAAATCTAATTTTCACTTCAGTGTCTTACTGAAGAACGTGTCCTTCCAAGTTCCAGTTAAAGAATTGGATTTTGTCAGCCTCCCCCTAAGTATCCCTGCTCTGTCCTTGTGTTCCGTGCTCACCCAGCAAGAAGATGCTTGTGGTGTGTGAGGCGGGGAGATCTCACTGGCTCGCTCAGCCTGTGGCGCTCCAGTGTCAGACCCCTCAGCGGCTGGTCACAAAGCGTAACAAAGGTGGGCCTGAGATGCCACAGTGCCTGCAGGATGCACCTGCTTCTAGATGCAGGTGTGGTGACCTCATTTGAAGAAACGCGGTGGACACATAGGCCTGTGCAGTTTCCACCCCAGGCAGTGAGCCAGAGAAAGAGACTAGAGCTGCTTTTCCAGGTGTGCACTTTTAAAAAAGATTTTGTTTGGCCGGGCGCAGTGGCTCATGCCTGTAATCCCAGCACTTTGAGAGGCCGAGGTGGGCGGATCATGAGGTCAGGAGTTCAAGACCATCCTGGCCAATATGGTGAAACCCCATCTCTTCTAAAAATACAAAAATTAGCTGGGCATGGCAGCACGTGCCTGTAATCCCAGCCACTCGGGAGGCTGAGGCAGGAGAATCGCTTGAACCCCGGAGGCGGAGGTTGCAGTGAGCCGAGATTACGCCACCGCACTCCAGCCTGGGCGACAGAGTGAGACTCCATCTCAAAAAAAAAAAAAAAAAGATTTTGTTTACCAGCCTGCATACACATATAAAATATGTAAGTTAAACCCTTTGAGTAGGTCTCTTGAAAGCCTTTTGTCCTCATCTTCTCTGGCTGCTGCCCACTCCAGGGAAGAATAGAGTAATGGGTGCTCTCATGCTCTAAGTATGAGGGACACCTTCTCACGTGTCTCACAGTGGCAGCTCCATTTCCTCTCTCCATTCTAAGGAGATGCTGTCATTAGCTGTAGATATCCGTTCCTTCCTAAAACAGTGGCACCTTTCTTTTATCTTGAGTTGATTATCTCTTTAAAAAATTGAGATTTGGGTTGTTAGTTTCTCCATGTTCTGCCTAGAATGCACCCTTGTATTTAGGGCCATGCTGTCTGTAGATTCCGAGTCCAAGTGGAGTACACATAATGCATGTGCTTGTCCTGGAAGCCAGCCCTTGCGTCCCTACCATTTCCAGAGAGGCAGCAGACAGATCTGATTGTGAGCAAGTATGGCTAACCCCCAGCACTTGTGCTCTGATAGTCCTGTGACATCAAGACAGAAATGATGTAGCTTATGTTTTATGTGCTAATTTTACAGGGAGAAACCAGCAGAAACTGAGAGGAGAAGATGACTACAACATGGATGAAAATGAAGCAGAATCTGAGACAGACAAGCAAGCAGCCCTGGCAGGGAATGACAGAAACATAGATGGTAAGAATGGGGCCTACATCGGTGACGAGGTCACCTTTCATTTCTCTTTCCTGGTCCTTCACCGTGATTATCCAATGAATCCCCAAAATTATATTGTAATTAATGGGTCATTTCAAGGAGATCGTCTGTTCTTTAGGAGCTTTTAAACCAGGGGCAGTGGAGGGAAGTGAGGGTTGAGAAGCCCAAGGTGATGAAAACCATTCGGAAAGTCTGCATCGTTTCTAGAAACATATTCAGTGTGGCTCAACTCTTTAAGTAGGATGATTTTTCAGTGACATTTAGGGATTTCCCAACAAAATGGCTAGGTCACTACTTGATCAGTCTGCCTCCCAGATGAGAAGCCCCAGTATGTGCATAGAGCTTCCAAGCAGCTATGAAAGCTGCCCTTTGTATTATTATTTTGAATTTTTGAAGAGTCCAGGCCAGTATCTTGTAGAATGTATCAAACTCTGGCCTTGTCTGTTTGCTTGTGGTGGATTCAGGCTGATGAATTCTTGCTTCTCCCCAGGAGGCATAACAGCAGGTGGTCCTACAGGTGATTGGTTGATCCCTTAGCTAACATGGTGCCCACAAGGTCTCAGAAGGCCATTTTCCTTTTGATATTAATACGTCATCTAGAAGAGGATGCTTTGAACTTGTGTAGCTTTACCATCCATTGATGAACATTGCCCAAGTGGTGACATTTTACATGCTGCCATCACAGCACATTTATTACCTGACATTTTTTAAGGAACTCCTCTCCCTCCTCCAACACACTTGTTTGTTTTGGTATCACTATGGACTCATAGTATTCTTTCTTAAAATTCATTTTTCTGGGCCAAGTGTGGTGGCTCACACCTGTAATCCCAGCGCTTTGGGAGACCAAGGCAGGCAGATCAGCGGGTCAAGAGATTGAGACCATCCTGGCTAACACGGTGAAACCCCGTCTCTACTAAAAAGAGAAAAAATTAGCCAGGCGTGGTGGTGGGCGCCTGTAGTCCCAGCTACTCGGGAGGCTGAGGCAAGAGAATCGCTTGAACCCGGGAGGCAGAGGTTGCAGTGAGCTGAGATCGCACCGCTGCACTCCAGCCTGGGCAACAAGAGTGAAAATCCATCTCAACAACAACAACAAAAGAATCCAAGCCATGTGACTGTAGTTTCCCACAGCCTGAATACTGCTGATTATAGAGTCATGGGGGAGTTGAGTGAGTTCGCCTGGTCTCTGTTTTCTGTAGAGTGGCAGCTATACCCAGAGACTTGATGAGACTCAGGTCCTGGCTCAAGCCCTCGGTAAGGTGAGTGGTGGTGTGTTCTTTGGTTCTTTCATCGGGAGGCACGTCATGTCTGGCGTCTTTTTTTTTTTTTTTTTTTTTTTTTGAGATGGAGTCTCGCTCTGTCACCCTTGCTGAAGTGCAGTGGCGCGATCTTGGCTGACTGCAACCTGGCGTCTTTCTTTTTGTGATGCCAGTTGATGGTCAATGCCTGTATCAATTCATTTTTATGTTATTTGTTAATTGGAATGTTCTTAGAAATAGACACTTCAGCTGGGCGTGGTGGCTAACACCTGTAACCCAGCACTTTGGGAGGCCGAGGATGGTGGATCACCTGAGGTCAGGAGTTTGAGACCAGCCTAACTAACATGGTGAAACCCCGTCTCTACTAAATACAAGAAAATTAGCCAGGCGTGGTGGCACATGCCTGTAATCCCAGCTACTTGGGAGGCTGAGACAGGAGAATCGCGTGAACTCGGGAGGCAGAGGTTGCAGTGAGCCGAGATTGTGACATTGCACTCCAGCCTGGGCAAGAAGAGTGAAACTCCGTCTCGGGGAAAAAAAAAAAAAAAAAAAAAAAAACCTCAGTGGTATTGTTTGTATAAGGTAGATAGGATAAATGCTTGATTTCTTTCCTTTTTAACAGTTTTCATGACTATGAATTACTTCCCCATCTTCTCTGAGGGTAACTGCTTTTAAAATATCATCATAAACTTCAGAATTCAGCAGAAATCCTCAGGGCAGCAGGAGTCGTTGTAACAACTACTTCACTTCAGTTTCGGCCTTGCTGATCCTGCCGATGCCCTTTTTTTTTTTCTTCCTCAGATGGAGTCTCACTCTGTTGCCCAGGCTGGAGTGCAGTAGTGCGATCTCGGCTCACTGCAACCTCTGCCTCCCGGGTTCAAGCGATTCTCCTGCTTCAGCCTCCCGAGCAGCTGAGATTAGAGGCGCACGCCACCACGTCCAGCTAATATTTGTATTTTTATTAGAGACGGGGTTTCACCATATTGGCCAGGATGGTCTCCATCTCCTGACCTCATGATCCGCCTGCCTTGGCCTCCCAAAGTGCTGGGTGGCGTAAGCCACCACGTCTGGCTAACAATACCTTCTTTTATTACCATCTGGGCAATGCATTATTCATTTAATGTTTTAATACTTACATTTTTTTTACCTTTTCATTTTGAAATAATCTAGACTTCTTTAAAAAGCAAAAAATTTCTGTATACCCTTCACCCAGGTTCCCCAAATGTTAACATCTTATATAACCACAGTAAAATTACCAAAATAAGGAAATTAATGTTTATACAATGCTATTATCTAATCTGTAGACTTTGTTGAAATTTAGTGAGTGTCCAATTCATGTCTTTTTTTCTGGGTTCAGGATTATACACTGCATTTATTGTCAGACCTCTTTAGTGTTCTTTATCGTGGAGCAGTTTATCATTTATGTTGTTGGTCTTTTTTGAAGGGTAGTGGCTCAGTTATTTGGTTGAAAGTCCCTCAATCTGTGCTTGTCTGATTTTTCAACAATGTCCCCCTAAAAATTATCTTTTATATTTCTCCAGGATGTCAGTTGTTTCAATTGGCAGAGTTGTTTGGAATTTTTAGAATCCAAGTCCTAATTTGAATTTTCAGCTGTCTTCATTTAGGCAATTTTTTAAAAAGGCAAATGGCAAAATACACTAGCAGCCAGACTTTGAAGCAAATACAAACTCTCTGTTGTCATTGACTCCACTCATTTATGTTCTTGAGCATGTTTCACGGTCTGGTCACTGTCTTACTTCTATTCTTTTTTTTTTTTTTTTTTTTTTTTGAGACAGAGTCTCACTCTTCTTGCCCAGGCTGGAGTGCAATGGCACAATCCTGGCTCACAGCAGTCTCCGCCTCCTGGGTTTAAGTGATTCTCCTGCCTCAGCCTCCTGAGTAGCTGGGAGCTGGGATTACAGGCTCATGCCACCATGCCCAGCTAATTTTGTATTTTCAGTACAGACAGAGTTTCACCATGTCCACTAGGCTGGTCTCGAAATCCTGACCTCAGGTGATCTGCCTGCCTCAGCCTCCCAAAGTGTTGGGATTACAGGTGTGAGCCACCACCCCGGCTCTAACCACCTTTTAAATTGGGCCTAGTTTCCTACTAAATGATGGGCTTTGCGGTGAAGCCTTTTTGGATCTCTCATTCCCTACACTCAGGTGTCCTAAGGACTTGACCTTGTGCAAGGTTTTAAACAAAGTAAGTAGGTAAGGTAAAGAAAATGAGTGCCTTGTCAGCTCTTTGAAGAAGCTGAAGAAATGTCAACATCAGCTTCAACATTATTTTAAGATTGTGTCATTGAAACAGTGAGACCTTACTTGCTCCAGGGAAATTAGAAGAAAAAAGCATTAGCTCCAACTTTATTAAGAGCCTTTAACAGATACCGTTAATTTAATATGGCAGGTATTTAATGGTCATTAAACTACCATTTAATGTGCCATAGTTATAAATCAAGACCGTGGTTTTAGGTTTTATTTGTGATGTGCCTTTTTATGTTTTCTGTGTGTTAAAAGGATAGAGTAAGATCAGATGGTAGAAGCTACATACAGACATCAGCTCTGTAAAGGGAGAGCTTTGGAGTCACAAGAGCTGTCTGAAGCTGCAGACAGCTCTCAGGAGGCAGCGTGTGCCATTAGAAGTGCAGTAGCAAGGGAGTCACGCCGCACAGGAGCGTGGTGATTATATTTAAAATGTCATGAGTGCACTTGATACTGTCCATTTTCTATGGCATATGGGGCATTATGTCACTGTTACAAACAAGTATGGAATCTTTAGGTGCTTCAGCTTTGTTTCATGGCACATTGTTGGTCATCCATTTGGACACTTTGAAAGGGGAGGAGTTCCAGCTGGGCGTGGTTGCTCACGCTTGTAATCCCAGCACTTTGGGAGGCCAAGGCGGGCGGATCACGAGGTCAGGAGATCGAGATCATCCTGGCTAACAGGGTGAAAACCCGCCTCTACTAAAACTACAACAACAAAAAGAAATCAGCCGGGCGTGGTGGCGGGCGCCTGTAGTCCCAGCTACTCGGGAAGCTTAGGCGGGAGAATGGCGTGAACCCCGGAGGTGGAGCTTGCAGTGAGCTGAGATCGCACGACTGCACTCCAGCCTGGGTGATAGAGCCAGACTCCGTCTCAAAAAAAAAAAAAAAAAAAAAAAAGTTCCCTTATCCCCTTCACAGGGCATGCAATGGGGGTATGGCTTTCTTCTTCAGTGCCCCACAGCTCAAACCCCTAGGGGAAGCATGCGGACGGACAGGTTGTGGGGAGGATGGGTTTCAACCCCGCGGCAGCATCTAGGGTTGAGTGGTTACAGCTCCTGGAGCCCCACTGGGTGTGTGTTGCAGTGCGTTCTTTCAGCTTAGCTGTCCACAGGCAGCTTGTGTTAATCAGTTCAATTAGACCCTCTGCCTTATCGCAAGGACAGAGGGCTTTCTGTATCCCAGGTTCTTGCCCTAGTGTACTGAAAAAATCAGATCATGTGGGCTTGGAGAATGAATGCAAGATTTATTGAGTGGTGGAAGTAGCTCTCAGCAGATGGCTGGGGAGCCAGAAGGGGGATAGCATGGGAAGGTAGTCTTCCTCTGGAGTCTGGCTGCTCAGCAGCCGGGATCTCCTACTGTCCTTGGCCGAATTTCCCTTGGCGTCCGAATCGTTCCACCATCAATGGCCTGCCAGCGTCTTTCGATGTGTTCTTCTGCCAGTGTGTTCCTCTTGACGTCCAGCCGCTTGTGTGTGTGCCCGCTGGGGTCTCAGGGTTTTTATAGGCACAGAATGGGTGGCATGGCAGGCCAGAGTGGTCTTGGAAAATGCAACATTTGGGCAAGAAGACAGGAGTCCTTGTTCTCATTAGGTCCATGGGCACAAGCCTGAGGGTGGAGCCCTTGCCAGTGACCCTGCCCTTCTCTACCCAGCACTTCCCTGTCCCCCTCCCATATCACCGTTGCCATCTTGTCCTTGATGAGGAATACAACTCCCAATTACAGTGTTGCTGTGGGAGATGCAGTCCTCTTTATGACAGTTTCTAGAAGTTGATAAGAAAATGGGACCTGCCTAGGGCTAGTATCTCATTTAATACTCTATAGAATATTATGTGTTTTTCCTTTTTAGTTTTTAATGTTGAAGATCAGAAAAGAGACACCATAAATTTACTTGATCAGCGTGAAAAGCGGAATCATACACTCTGAATTGAACTGGAATCACATATTTCACAACAGGGCCGAAGAGATGACTATAAAATGTTCATGAGGGACTGAATACTGAAAACTGTGAAATGTACTAAATAAAATGTACATCTGAAGATGATTATTGTGAAATTTTAGTATGCACTTTGTGTAGGAAAAAATGGAATGGTCTTTTAAACAGCTTTTGGGGGGTACTTTGGAAGTGTCTAATAAGGTGTCACAATTTTTGGTAGTAGGTATTTCGTGAGAAGTTCAACACCAAAACTGGAACATAGTTCTCCTTCAAGTGTTGGCGACAGCGGGGCTTCCTGATTCTGGAATATAACTTTGTGTAAATTAACAGCCACCTATAGAAGAGTCCATCTGCTGTGAAGGAGAGACAGAGAACTCTGGGTTCCGTCGTCCTGTCCACGTGCTGTACCAAGTGCTGGTGCCAGCCTGTTACCTGTTCTCACTGAAAAGTCTGGCTAATGCTCTTGTGTAGTCACTTCTGATTCTGACAATCAATCAATCAATGGCCTAGAGCACTGACTGTTAACACAAACGTCACTAGCAAAGTAGCAACAGCTTTAAGTCTAAATACAAAGCTGTTCTGTGTGAGAATTTTTTAAAAGGCTACTTGTATAATAACCCTTGTCATTTTTAATGTACAAAACGCTATTAAGTGGCTTAGAATTTGAACATTTGTGGTCTTTATTTACTTTGCTTCGTGTGTGGGCAAAGCAACATCTTCCCTAAATATATATTACCAAGAAAAGCAAGAAGCAGATTAGGTTTTTGACAAAACAAACAGGCCAAAAGGGGGCTGACCTGGAGCAGAGCATGGTGAGAGGCAAGGCATGAGAGGGCAAGTTTGTTGTGGACAGATCTGTGCCTACTTTATTACTGGAGTAAAAGAAAACAAAGTTCATTGATGTCGAAGGATATATACAGTGTTAGAAATTAGGACTGTTTAGAAAAACAGGAATACAATGGTTGTTTTTATCATAGTGTACACATTTAGCTTGTGGTAAATGACTCACAAAACTGATTTTAAAATCAAGTTAATGTGAATTTTGAAAATTACTACTTAATCCTAATTCACAATAACAATGGCATTAAGGTTTGACTTGAGTTGGTTCTTAGTATTATTTATGGTAAATAGGCTCTTACCACTTGCAAATAACTGGCCACATCATTAATGACTGACTTCCCAGTAAGGCTCTCTAAGGGGTAAGTAGGAGGATCCACAGGATTTGAGATGCTAAGGCCCCAGAGATCGTTTGATCCAACCCTCTTATTTTCAGAGGGGAAAATGGGGCCTAGAAGTTACAGAGCATCTAGCTGGTGCGCTGGCACCCCTGGCCTCACACAGACTCCCGAGTAGCTGGGACTACAGGCACACAGTCACTGAAGCAGGCCCTGTTTGCAATTCACGTTGCCACCTCCAACTTAAACATTCTTCATATGTGATGTCCTTAGTCACTAAGGTTAAACTTTCCCACCCAGAAAAGGCAACTTAGATAAAATCTTAGAGTACTTTCATACTCTTCTAAGTCCTCTTCCAGCCTCACTTTGAGTCCTCCTTGGGGTTGATAGGAATTTTCTCTTGCTTTCTCAATAAAGTCTCTATTCATCTCATGTTTAATTTGTACGCATAGAATTGCTGAGAAATAAAATGTTCTGTTCAACTTATAAAACTTGTCACAGCTCTGTTTTTTTGCTTTTCCCCTTCATCCTCTATTAGATCCTTAAAGAATCCACCCTCAAACTGTGGACTAAGGATGGCAGTTTGCCTTAAACCTTCTGTGGAATGAGATGGGCTGTCAGGACGTCTTCAACCCACAGTACCCCGAAAGCTTTGTGCTCACCACGTGTGCACTCTGCATGCTTTCTCCAGGCTGCCCTAGGGATCACGACAGATTCAGCCAACAATGGAGAGGGCTGTGGGCTGTTCCAACAAAATAGAACAGTCACCTCTGGTGACACGCATCTGTAGTCCTAGCCTCCCAAGTAGCTGGGACTACAGATGCATGTCACCATGCCCGGCTAATTTTTTGTATTTTTAGTAGAAATGGGGTTTCACTTTGTTAGCCAGGATGGTCTCAATCTCCTGATTTCGTGATCAGTGTAAAGACTCAGAGAGCTGTTGCATAATAACTTCATGTGAGTCTCCAAAATTTGATACTAAAGGCTTGGTGGTCTCAGGGGGCCAATGTGGCTGCAGCCTGAGGGGCCAAATGGAGAGGGCAGAAACGAAGTAGGAGAGGCAGAAGGGGTCAAACTGGCATTCTGGGTAAAGACTAGGTCATTCATTAGAGAACAGTGGATTTTAAGTAGAGTTGTCAAGTGACCATGCTTGCATTTTATGATCTTTTAAGATCATACCAGCCACTCCACAAATAGAGTGGGGCAAGTATGAATATGGGGAAGTCAGTTCTTCAAGCCCAGTTGAGTCGCTCTTTCCTCACTGCATGGTCTACACCTCAACTGACTTTCCAGCTTCTGCCCCACCCCTTCAAGAAAGAGCTCGCCCCAGTCGCCAGCAATCTTTACTTGCCAAGTTCAATGGGCTCTTTTCAGTCCTTCTCTTAATGGCCTCTGAGCGGCATATGGCCCTCATTCTGCTTATTTTCCTGATAAGTCTCCTTTGCAGGCTTTTTCCAGTGCCCAGAGCATAGCCAAAGAGGAACAAGGAAAACACCCACCTCTCCTGAACTTTTCCAAACAGGGTGCACTTTATTTAAGGCAGTATACTGTCTTAGAGTCTTGTGCAAACAAAACGGTGAAACAGGCACACTTGTCAAAGAGTGGCCTCGTATGATTTTGAGGTATTCTTCCCTGCAGCCTGTCCCACCACCTCAGTGGCCTCCCCATTCCCTGGCCCTCCCAAGTCTATTCCTTGGGACCTATCTCAGTCCCTTACTCTAGGAGCTCCCTGAGCAATGGCAACCCCCAGAAAATTACAGTGACTATAGTTACTGAGTCCTCAGTTCATCTCCACCCCAGATGGCACCTCCCAGTTTGAGACCAAACTACCTGCCATCTTCACCAGGATGTCCCAAAGATATCTCAATGTCTAAAGCAATCTTTATCCCAAACCTGGTCTCCTACCTTGCCTAGATATCTACACAAGTGGCACCACCATCGTCTAGTTGCCAAAGCCAAAAAAATTTCTGAAAAATCATCCTTGATTTTGGCAGAAACTCTCATTCACCATGTCCCATTAGCTGTACCTCTGAAAACATTTGATTTCATCCACTTTCTTCCACCTGCTCTGCCACTACCTTTGTTAAGACCAACATTTTCTCTCACGTGACTGGCTTCCCTGCCTCCCTTTTCAACCATTCTCAGGCAAGCAGATTTGACTTGATCCCATCATGTCCCTGCATACAAGCCTTCAGTAGAATCTACCAATATCAGAATAAAGTCCAAAATCTTTAACCTGTGGCCTCCCAGGGTTTTGGGTATCGGCTTCTCCTTGCCTCTCATCTCCGCCATCCTTTTCCTGCTCTATACTTCGGCCAGGCTGCTACCCTCTCCCCTCCAAGCCTGTGCACATTCTGTCTGGGACCCTTTTCCCAGCAGTGCCTCCTGAATAGATGCGATGGGGATTTGTCACCTAAAGTTTCACGTGGGGCAGTTCTCCTACCCAGCATACAGCATATTCTTCACTGCATTTTCAATACCTGTTGCTTTTCTGTATTTGTCGTAAGATGATAAAAGCTCTATGACAGGAGACTGTCTTATTTCTCCTATTGTTTTTTTCAGTAAGTACCTTGAATGGCAGATTACTTTAAAAATTATAAAATGGCAAATTTGTTTTTATAATTAGAAACCTGCTGTTTAAAAACAAAAACTAGCCAAGCAGGCATTTGCCTATAATCCCAGCTACTCTGGGGGCTGAGGCAGGAGGACTGCTTGAGCCCACAAGTTTGGGTCAGTTTGGGCAACATAGTGAAACCTCCTCTCTAAACAAACTAAAAACCAAAAATTAAAGCTACTTAAAGGAAACCACATGATTCTGTCAGTAACATACACTGATAAATCTAACACTAATCAATCTTTTTTAGTTGATAATGGGTTAATAGGAAAACTTTTACTTAGGAAGACCTACTTCAAAATAACCTAGATGCTCGTCTATACCAGCAGACCCAATCAGACATAGTAGCTAAAAAATGCCAGCACACCCTCTTAATTAAAAGTGATCCCATCATCTAGCAGGGCCCTTGTTGCATTAATCTACATTCCTTTTTTTGCTTTTAAGGGGGACATATTTTTTATACTTTGTATCTTGGCCACTGGGAAAGAATAATAATTTCTCAGCTTTCTAACTTGCTTCAGGCTCTCTTCTTGGTTGTTTGCCAAATGTCCATGCTCATTCTGTTTTCCTCTTTGCTTTTTCTTTTGATTCTTTGTTTCTTGTCTTGCCTATTTCCTACCATTCCTTTGCCTTTTTTTGTTTAAAGCATTCAGTAATTACCAGCCAGAAACAGTTTTCATTCTCAACAAAGTAACTACATCAGTAACAGGTATACTCTTTGTCTCTCCATAATTGAAGTTTCTATTGTACAGGCTACTTAAAAAATAATTTTTTTTAAGATTTTTCGGTTCTGAAATTTCAGGACACCTAATGGCTGTTCTTGAATAACACAAGTATTACCGCTCTTGGAAAGGAGAGCCAAGAGGGCTCATTAGCTGCAAAGAGGGGCAACAGGAACACCCTTAGCAAGTTCAGTCAGGTTAGCTGCTTTAAAGTACTGCCAGAAAAGTTTCACTATACTATCATGTTTTTATGAAAGGTACCAAATCAGAGTTAAGATATTTGAAGCTGAGAACCCTTTTAACCACAGACCAAATATAAAACTGTCACTAGTCTTAGGCTAAGCCACCAAAGCCAATTTACACCACAGAGTAACTCATTTTGCTAAGAGTATTGCCTGCTACAGAGGACAAAAAGGAAGGCCCAAGAGGCCTAGAAAGCTGCCACCGCAAACATCAGAGCAGACACAGGACAAGCAGGAAAGGAAGGGGAGGGCCTCTGGCAGCAGGCACTTGCAAGCACAGGGGGATGTAGTCAGTTTTTCAAAGCCAGAGGATACTGAACAGACACCCATTTGAAAATGTTTCATGGGTTAAACTGAATATGAAGTAAACAAAAAGTACACCACATTTAAACCTAGTCCTAAATTTTAATCTATATACATTTCTATCTGCCTCCTTTTTGCATGTCACCAGCAAACAATGTATAATCTTTTAAAAGTGCTAAAAGGATTTTTTTTACACATCTGTATTCTTACAGATATATAATTTGTGATGTCATGACACATAAAAATCACAATTTTCATGTAATTTAGAGGCCCTCCCAAAAATCCCTTCTAAATGTATTTTACCAAAATCTCATACAAGTGTTTAATTAATCCCTTGATTTGAAACTTCTTTTGGATAACGTTTTTGGAACTACTCAAATGTTAAAGAGCATACACCTTCTTCAGTTCTTAACATGGACAAAGACCTACTGTTTTTCATCTCCAGCAGTGCATTTTTTTTTTGTCAAGAAATTTATTAACCTTTATAAACACTATTTTCACTCAATCATTCATAAAAAATGATTTGTGATTAAATCTGTAATAAAACCATATAACGTTCATCAATGCATTCAATAAGACCAGTTTCTTCCATGGAACATAATAAACCACTTTAAAACAGCAGTTTTCATTCATGTCATATAAGGCTGTCAAACTAAAAGTATTCCTTATAATGAGTTGTTACCCAAGAAATCCATCTCACTTCCCGTGATGTGGAGCCTGGTGATGTGCCCTCTAAGAGTTGGGTCTGAAAGAAGACTCTGCCCCTTTATGGCCACCTCCCCAGTCTCTCTCAAACAAGTTTCACAACAGGAAAATATTTATGAGCAGAGAAATCAAATTCAGGAGGAACCTGTTAAAGAAAAACGAAACTCAATTAATGTATCTACAAATATTCAGATGGTACACAAAACAAAGACTATTTTTATTTTAGAGTTTCTTGTGTTCTTAGAAACAAGGCAGCACAAAATAGATTTTAAAAACTAGGTTAATGACAAAAAAGGTAGGAACTAACCTGGAAGAAAAACGATTAATTTGTTTTTGAGTTTTATGAAGATCATAAGAAAACAGGCTGACCAGCTGTTTTCTATCTTCAAAGAACAGTTAAAAGATAAATAGTCAAAAATTATAGGAAAGGCATTCAGTTAGATCAGGGGTCAGCACACTTTTTAGCTCCAGGTAACTGATAGAACTAAGCAATGAGATGAGAGTCAGTCAGTAGGAAACCAGGGCAGGAGAGGAGGAAGGCAGATCACAGGAAACAATGGAAGAAAAGGTGCACAACACACACAGGCAAATGCCCCCACGGTGCCTCCGCGGCTGGCCTCTCCACAGCGCAGAATCTCTGCTCTGAAATGATGACGTAGCATGGATGATATAACATTACCAAGAAAAGCTTAGACTCTTCCTCTTCTGAGCCATTACAAAGAAGTCTTTCATTATTAAAGCATTCACTTTCCCAAAGGCAGATGACTTTTAAATACCTCATACTTCTCCCATAAAATTTCTTTACATAAATTTTCTTTTTTTACCCCAAGTTATTCAGTAATTTACACAGCAAGGAGATGGAAAACGTATAGGCAGACTTTAGAAATTTTAACTCAACAAAATACACATCTCAAGACAAAATGGCAAGCTCTAATTTTTTGCTGCTGAACTAAAATTTTTAGAATGATTTTTGTTCAGTGGTTTAATTTTTCCTGTAATATTTACACATCTTATTGCAAAACTTATGAAACTTCACAATAATCTAAGACCACTTATTTTTCCCACAATGTACTCACTTTAGATTCCTTTTTGTGTCCTCCTGCCAATAACTTCATAACCACAAAGTTGGGTTTGGCAACCTTTAAAATTCTATTAACCTGAAACATGAACATAAAACTACTGAAACATTAACTTCATAGTCAAAATTTCTCTTTTTCTTTTTTGAGACCTGCTGTCAACCCAGGCTGGAGTACAGTGGTAAGAACACGGCTCACTGAAGCCTCAACCTCCTGGTTCAGGCAATCCTCCTACTTCAGCCTCCCAAATGGCTGTGCACCACCACACCCAGCTCATTTTTAAATTTTTATAGAGACAAGATCTCACTGTGTTGCCCAGGCTGGTCTTGAACTCGTGGGTTCAAGCAGACCTCCCACCCTGGCCTCCCAAAGTGTTGAGATTATAGGCGTGAGCCACTGTGGCCAGTCAAAATTTATTAATTACAGATACTAATAGAAACTTTGTATAATGGAAGTGTTGATGTTTTATTAAATAAAAGCAATTTAAAATTATAAATATATTTCTTTTAATAATATAGAACTTCATTTCAATTAACTCTGAATTGAAATGGCTACCTTATCTTGCTTTCCTGAATAACAAAAAAATTAGGCTGCAAAGTCCTGAAAAGGCAGCACAGCATAGTATTAGGAGCACAGACTCATCTTTGAATAAATGAAGTTTCACTAAATGAAATATGTCATCATAGGTAGCTCCTCAAATTTTTAGACTCCCCCTTTATATTTTCTTAGATGGTACATATAATTTTTAAAAAGTGTCTCTCCTATCTCTCTTCCAGGCACTCTGCTTCCCTCCAAGGAAGGAAACAAAACTACCAATTCTGATATTATCTTTATAAAGATATTTTATACTCGCACACATACATATAGGCTTCCTTGCCCCCTTTTATTGAAACTGCACCATACTATGCATATTAAACTGCACCTTTCTTTTTAGATTTCTTAAATCATAAGGAGCATTCCATCACAGTACATAAAGATCTTCCTCATCCTTCTTAAGGCTGCACAGTATTCCACTGTATGAATGTATCATAATTTATTAGTCCCCTGTTGATGGATACTACTGTTTCTTCCTACTTTTTGCTATTAGAAATCCTGCTGCAATGAATACTCTTATATTCGTCACTCTCACTTCCTATATGTGTTCATGTCTCTATATAAATCCCAAAAAGCAGAATTGCTGACTCTAAGCATTAATGATTTTTGACAAACACTGCTAAGCTACGCCTCTATGGAAGCGGTCCCAAGATATACTTCCCAAAACAGTATGTACACGTTACAGTAACTTTTAGAAAATAAATGTATTTCAATAAAATTAGGGATATGGTAAATTATTAAAATACCAAAAGCCTGAAACAATTTTTTTCCAAGTTTATTTTGATATCTCAGAGTTTTCAAAAGCAGTAGCCTTTATTTTAAATGGTCAAGTGGAATAAGGTTGTTCCGGTGATAACTGACCCGGTCATTTTTCATACTTATGTAAGACTTAGTTACATTTTAATAATTCTTTTTTGAGATGGAGTTTCGCTCGTCACCCAGGCTGGAGTGCAATGGCACAATCTCGGCTCCCTGCAACCTCCGCCTCCCGGGTTCAAATGATTCTCCTGCCTCAGCCTCCCCAGTAGCTGGGATTACAGACAGGCATGCACCACGCCTGGCTAATTTTTTGTATTGTTAGTACAAATGGGATTTCACCATGTTGGCCAGGCTGGTCTCAAACTCCTGACCTAAGGTGATCCACCCACCTCGGCCTCCCAAAGTGCTGAGATTACAGGTGTGAGCCACCACGCCTGGCCCCTTTAACAAACTACTGATTAAAACAGAAATGTTTCAATGCTTACATTTTGAGCTATGAATCAGATCAGTCTGGATCTTATGCTTATCCTTCTTTATGATTTTGAGTTGTAATTTGTCTTTGCATTGACTTCTAAATTTATACAAAGCAGATATTTATATCACCTCATTCTTAAAATAACTTGAAGTCTGACAACGTTAGTTTGACAAAACTACCTGAAATCCTTCGCAGAAACACGCCAAGTTCTATTCACTAACACTATTAAAGTTCACTTTCATAATTAACTTTCATCCAGCAGTAAGAGATGTATTTCCTGCCACGCTTTTCCCCTAGAATTACTGTGAATCCAGTCTCACCTCATGGTCCGGGTTAGGAATATTTTCCAATATCATTTTTGCCTGTTGAAAGTGCTTACTAGCTGCCACATACAGTTCAGGAGACTGAGGAGGAGGGCTATATTTATTGAGGTCAGACATTTCCTAAAAAGAAGGGGAAGTATAATTCAAAACACGTTTAATATGAACAACTCTAAAATCCCATTTCTAATTATTAAAGAATTCTACATTTTCTATCCACTCATACACAGACACTGGGGCAAACATTCAGCACATCTCCCTATTTTTTCCTAGGTAATATATAATTCTCAACCCTCATATGCTACCTCATATTATTCTTATGATTTAAATAACTGTTAATGTAACAAGATGGCTAGGTACAAACAGCATCTCTCTAAGAAGGTCTAAGACTAAAGATTTCATAACAAGTTCATTGAGCAGGTTCACCTTGAACTGTAAGTAGTGCACTGGCGGCGGGGTCATCACACTGTTGAATGGAGCAAACCTGTGTTCATACCGAACTTGTTCACTATCAAGCTCAAACTTCGGTTTACGTACTTTGCCGTCCATGTCAAATGCTACCATGGTCTAAATGAAAAAGGGAATAAGAAAAAAGATGAAATCAATATGAAAAAAGTGAACACTCATCAATACAGAATGGAAGACAAGAAACAGCTATTTAAAACCTTCAAGCAAACACTTCTGAAGAAATGAGGACATATAATTGTCATAAGCACAGGTCCTATTTTCAAAGAGAAGTCCATGTTCTGCTTTATGCATTTTAATGTGAGTCACCTCAAATGATTTCTTGGACTGCCAAGTACAACTTAAGAGTTAGTACCCACTGCCTTTTGAAAAGACCTGCTTTTGCTTAAGCCATTCGTTGTGGAGCTCACCCTCTTCCTAATACACTCCTAAAAAACCTAAATTCCATCTCTTCCACGAAGCCTTGCCTGATCATCAATCAGAAGTACTCTCTTCCTTTTCTTACTACCTGTCACAGATACATCAACTGGCCTGTCACTGGAGACTTCAAACAAGGACCATATAGAATTGGTATCTCCTGCAATGTACTCAGTACAAAGTGTCTCACACATAAGCAAGGGTTCAAATGGTTGTTGAAAAAATTAATGATAATAAAGGTAATCTTCAAGCAGACAGGAAGTAAAACAAAGGTGAAATTATAATATGGAAAGAATCACAGAAAACAGTTTAAATAAACTATATAATAGGGATATAGCTAAAAGGCAAAAAGAACTTCACTTTCAACAACTTACTTTAAACATTCCAGCACACATGTTCTGATATGCTTGGCTCATTGTGATCTCTCGGCTCAATGGGCGAACTGTAATTAGAAAGAAAAACGTAATCTTCCATAATCTTTTCCTCCTCCCTCTTGCATTACTGCAAAAGAAAATCTAATTTTAAAAAATCTTTCAGCTTGTATACTAAATTAAAACTTCAGTGTGTTCCTACAGGTTAAATTTTATTTATGGTCAAAATCTACAAATAAAATATAATAATCATGTCCCCAAATAGCTAATACTATAAAATTCCAGTATAAAGTAATTATAACTTTTCTGAATTCACCAGAGATTTAACCTCTTATATAGGAAACCCACAAATACAGTGATTTAATGACCCATCCAAACTGCTTTAAGTCCTAAGGAAATATGAAGTAGTATTTTATAATAATTGCAGCCATATCTATAGCCTTCCCTAAGTGATCAATAGGGCAGTCCCTTTGAAACGGTTCTCTGTCCTCATGGTTCTTGGGTGATGCCTCAAGGCGCTCTGTAACCACCTTTCGGTGCCCGCTACCACAGCACAGCTCCAGAACTACTGCCCTCCTGAGCTATCTGGCTCTGTCAATAGGTCACTGGCCTCCTGCTGTCTTGTTCCCTCACCGATATCTTGCTTGCACACTCCACGTGGCTACTTCTTGATCAAAGATTCTCTGATACACAGAACAGCAAAGAAATGAAAGCAAAGAAAGGAACCAAAAAGCTTATGTCATTGATACTGGGACTCAGTCTCTACCTTATAGTTTCTGAAAAGAGGAACAAGAACTAAAATATAATGACCAACTCACGAGTAGCTCTCCATCTATTTATCTGTAGAAATTAAAGTACACTCTGTTCTTAAGTTTAAAAATAATCCACAGCACCTTTCTTTTTTTTCTTTGTTTTTTTACTACTACGGCCTTTCTGCTGCTCTTCCATTATCCTTTCCTCTGCCATTTGAGAGCCATCGGCACGACTCAATGTTGACATCAACCATGCGTAAAGGAATTCAGAGAGATACCTTAAAGGATACAAAATGTTAGTTAATGGTAGATGTCTAAATGAGACAGCTTTATCAACACATATATTAACGATAGATATTTCAAATAATGCTTTAGGTCTTTAAAAACAGATCATTCATTAGATAATAGATTAGATCTTACAAGAAATGAACATAAGGATTAATTTTCCCTTTCTACATTTTACAACTTTCCAGAAGATTTCTTGATAATTATACATGTACATATGCAAATCAAATGAATGCCCATTAAGTTTTTATTATATCAGAACACAGTTCAGTTCAGTCTATAAATATTTTCTTTTAATCACAAAGCAAATAAAATCAGAAAAAGATAAAAAATTATCGGCATTATATAAAATCATTCTTAAAAATTAAGAACATTCACATTTACAATTTACTTGAGTTTATTTAATAAATGAAATATAAAACAGAACATTCTCTACCAGACACTAATTTTTCAGAACTTTAACACTGCTAAGCCAGAAAAGTCTTCAAATCTACGAGATATATATATATATAAAAATATATATGCATTTCATAACATAATAAGGCCTATAATTTCATATGGAGAGTAAACAATTCCTGGCCCTGAATTTAAGAAAAACATTTACTATAGTACCCTTTTATACCATATAACTGAATTTTGTTCCCTGCCACCCTACAAAATGTGAGAGTCCATAACAACTCATATATCTTAATTCAAGTGAAGGATTTCTATAGGCAACTGATGATGTCTTCTACCTTCTGTTTATCTAACCTAAGGACACATGAGTGAAGGGGACAACTAAGATGCAGCCTTTTCTTCTCAAATATCAGGTACCTCAATGATCTTTTATTAAGTGCTTTATCAAAATTAATATACATTTATGTCTAAGAGAGTGCTGATATTCTATACCAATGGTTCTCAAACTGTCATCTCTGGGCCAGCAGCAGTTCACCTGAGAACCAGTTAGAAATGCAAATTATTCGGTCTCACCCTAGACCTAACAGGTCAGGAATTCTAGGAACTTAGCCCAAAAATTTGTGTATTAATGCACTTTCCAAGTGATTATGATGCATGTTAAAGTTTAAGAATCACTGTTTTTGCTGATGATTTAAAGAGTCCACATGCTTCAGGGACCGTATGCATGAAAAACAACTAAAGGTTATCTCGGGGAAATGCAGGAGCCCAATCTGTAATTTTGAAATTAAAAAGCAGTTCAAAACCAATTATGAAAAGACCACAAGGGTATTTATGGGCAGACTAAAGTTCTTTTAACAAGAAAAGAAACAAATCTACTTATGTATATAGACAAATGTGTAATGGAGTATTTATCTGCGTCTCATTTATTTGCTCAATTAAGATCCCAATTCTCTGTGCAAAAAAGCATATAAAAATAATATTTTGATCTGAGAAATCAAGAACAAAGGTCCCATTAGCTGCTTCAAGCCACAAAAGAACCTGAGCATGTTCCCCTATAAAAAGGAACAAAAGTAGCCAGGTGCAGTGGTGCACATCTGTAGTCCCACCTACTTGAGAGGCTGAGGTGGGAAGACTGACAACCCAAGAGTTCAGGACCAACCCGGGCAACATGGCAAGACCCCACCTCAAAAAACAGAAACGAAAACAAAACCAGAATTGTCTACTATGAATAACAAAATGTAGTATCCAAAGTAGCTATATAAATACCTGTTAGTAAGGATTATTTGGTATTATCTATATAAATGTTGAAGAATATATAGCAAGGAAAATTATTCTCATACTGCTATAGTTGATGCTCAAATTCAGTTTTCACAGGCAAGAGTTGTCTGTCAAAAGCCTTCACTGCTCATAACAAAATCTACATCAACAGCATGGAAGAGAATTACTTTCCCTCCCACAGCAGTGACTTCAGAGAATACAGAATAACTTAATTACTAGGTAAAATTTAAACAAGTTTAAAAGTTGAACTCTATTAAAGTCTAATACACTAAACCTGAGTGTTTGTGATGAGTAACACAGGTCATTAGTTTAAAATTATGTGCCAGACTGAGAAAAAAATTCAAAATAACTGAATTCATTAACACTCAATCTTATTTTCTTTCTATGACAGCTTTTACATGCCTAAAATATGCTCAAACATCCTCTTTTCCAAACATCCTCTTACTAGGTTTATTTTGTCCGCAAGTGAAAGGGAAGAACTACTCTGCCGAAGATCATCTTTTATCAACTCCAAAGCTCCTGAAGTGAATCCTCAGCACCACGGTTTGAAACAGTTATGCTCCCAGTGATCACCTTGGTCATGATTTCTTCCAAGAAGACAGACCTCATTCCAATTTGATGTTTAACTGTCAAGTACATCCACAGCTAGTGCCACCAAATTCAGGGCAAAATGTGTTAATTTTTCTCCATAGGAGCAAATAAATGATCTTCAATTAATCCATTTACTTTGGAGTCATTTTTTGTTAATTTTTACATAAACATTTGGAAAAATACACTCATGCAATATTATAGCACTTAAAGATATTCAAGATGATCTAGCTCTAATTTTCAAATTTTTCCAACTGTCCCACAACTAAAGATAAAATATACTAAATGAAAAAGTACCCTGAAATTAACTCTGAATTCTCAGATCTTATCCATTGCACCCACCACCAATTTTAACTCAAACTGTGCTCTTACCAATATATGTAATAGTACTCGTGCATACTGTAGAGTTCCAATTCAAAGCCACTTAGAAGGTACTGTATCATAATGCGAAGGTTATGGTAAAGGACCCAGGTACCTAAACAGGCCAAATGTTGCCTTTGGGGTTCCTGTTTCAACAGCATGGTGTGAAGCGCTGCATCAACCTTCTCTGCCTATTAAAATAAAATGTCATAAACTGTGTTCGTTTTGTTTTCTTAAGGTAATGACAGAACTTTAAAAAAACGTACAGCTAAAAAGAATATGAGCAGAAAATTTAAATCTGACCACCCAAAGAAACATTTTTAAATGCATTTTTAGTTAGGTTTACATTTGAAGTTCTCATTTCACAATGGTTAACATTTACCTAAACATGCCTTAAACCAAATCAATTTTAAAGGACAAAAATACAAATACACTTCAGGTCTTATCAATATTGCTGCTGCACACAAATTAACTTTAAAATTAATGTATTAATATTTTTTATAATGTAAGCTTGTAAAACTATCATTTTATACATATTTCATAATTTATTCCTATTATCAAAGAAATATTTAAGATATCTATCAGTTTGGATTATTGTTCTGTTTCATTTTGTAAACGTTGGTGTAAGAAACTGTTATATTTTAAGTGAAAAGTGGATCATGTTGAAAAATTAGTCAAAATATTGTTCTGAATTATTGTTTTTAAAAATCTGGACAAAGTGTGTGCATCATTTAATTTTAGAAGAGAGGGGAACCTGGCTCTTACCTCATCCTGCAAGGTGGCAAATTCCTCAAGAATATGACCAAGCTTATCTCTCTGTCGAGCCCTGTTATGTCCATGGATCTGAATAAGACTACAGAATGGCTGCAATACACATATAATTTGTCAACTGTAAATATGAAATTTCCTAGTACCAAAGAAACTTAACATTCCAAGTTCACAATCTGGTTTAAGGGAAAAAAATGCTGTGTATGTAAGAATTAGGTCTATGTATACTTTTAATTTTACATAGGTGTTTGTTTTAAGGAACTCAACACCAGAATTTATCAATAACTGGAAAAAAACAGCTTCATGTGAAACTTGCTTTCATATGATAAAAATAGCTTCCTTCGATCTTTAGATATCTTCTTGCAATTTCACAAGGACAATTTCTTTCCTGCTTGAGTCAAAAGCCAATGTTCAAGGCTGACATTCCTGTGCTGCTATAAATATGTCAGAATGCCTAATAATTATTAGCTTAAAAAGAGCTAATAGCCATAAAGCTTGACTATGGTTCTTTATTCCTGCTTTCTCCATAAGGTGTTCTCATCTAAAATACTATGTAACATTCCACTAACCAGGCAAGAGACATGGATTTGTAAGTCTGAGTTAGAAGATTCTCAAAGTATAATACTGTTTTATATTTGCATACTGTGACAGATATTATCTCATTTGATCAGTAACTACCCTGTAAGAGGTCAGAGAAGATATAAGCATTTTACTCTTTAGAGAGTGGAAAGTTGGGTCGGGCACAGTGGCTCACCCCTGTAATCCCAGCACTTTGGGAGGCCAAGGCAGGTGGATCATGAGGTCAACAGTTGTGACTGTTGGTGGTGAAACCCCGTCACTAATAAAAATACAAAAATTAGCTGGGCGTGGTGGCAGGCGCCTGTAATCCCAGCTACATGGGAGGCTGAGGCAGAGAACTTCTTGAACCTGGGAGGCGGAGGTTGCAGTAAGCTGAGATCGCACCACTGCACTCCAGCCTGGGCAACAGAGTGAGACTTCATCTCAAAAAAAAACAAAAAAAAAAGGGAAAGTTTAAAAATTAAAGTGATATGCCTGATAAAATATTAATGATAAAAATGAAATAAATTCTGGTCTTCTATTGTTTTTTCTTTCCCCATACCATGCTGCCTTTCCATTATATATTATTATATATAATATATATTATATATTATATACATTATATATTATATACTATATTATATATTATAGTATATATTATATGATATATAATATATATTAATATATATCATATAATATATATTTATATATTTAAATAAGTTTAAAAGTTGAACTCAAAGTCTAATATACTAAACCTGAGTGTTTGTGATGTACATATATAATGTAATTATATATAATATATATTTAGTAACTGGAAGTAGATATATATATGAAATATATATATATTTAGTAACTGGAAGTAGACCCAAAAAAGCTGCCTGTTGGAGTTCTCTAAAAGAAATACATCTAATTAAATAAAAATGAAGCCGGGTGCGGTGGCTCCTGCCTGTAAGTCCCAGCACTTTGGGAGGCCAAGACGGGCGGATCACTTGAGCTCAGGAGTTTGAGACCAGCCTGGCCAACAGGGTGAACCTGTCTCCACAAAAAATACAAAAAAATTAACCAGGTGTGGTGCCATGAGCCTGTAGTCTCTGCTCCTCCGAATGCTGAGGTGGGAGGATTGCTTGAACCCAGGGGGTAGAGGTTGCAGTGAGCCAAGATCACTGCACTCCAGCCTGGGCAACAGAGGGAGACACTGTCTTAAAATAAATAAATAAATAAATATTTTAAAAAATTAAATAAAAATGAATAATTCAACTCACTACAAGATTTGCATTTTTTCCTAATTACTTGAGATGAAAACAATTTGTGACCTCATTTAAATTAATAATTTTAATTTTTTTTTTGAGACAGTTTTGCTCTTGTTGCCCAGGCTGGAGTGCAATGGCGTGATCTCTACTCACTGCAACCTCTGCCTTCTGGGTTCAAGCAATTCTGCCCCAGCCTCCTGAGTAGCTGGGATTACAGGCATGCACCACTATGCCCAGCTAATTTTGTATTTTCAGTAGAGACAGGGTTTTTCCACGTTGGTCAGGCTGGTCTCGAACTCCCGACCTCAGGTGATCCACCTGCCTCAGCCTCCCAAACTGCTGGGATTACAGGCGTGAGCCACCATGCCCAGCCAATAATTTTAATTTTATTATAACTCAGTTCATTAATATAATACAAAGATAAGTGTACAAGGATGTTAAAAATATTCTAAGGTTAGGCCAGGCGCGGTGGCTCACGCTTGTAATCCCAGCACTTTGGGAGGCCAAGGCGGGTGGATCACGAGGTTAGGAGATCGAGACCATCCTAGCTAACACGTGAAACCCCGTCTCTACTAAAAATACAAAAAAAAAAATTAGCCAGGCATGATGGCGGCGCCTGTAGTCCCAGCTACTTGGGAGGCTGAGGCAGGAGAATGGCGTGAACCCGGGAGGCGGAGCTTGCAGTGAGCCAAGATTGCGCCACTGCACTCCCGCCTGGGCCACAGAGCGAGACACCGTCTTAAAAAAAAAAAAAAAAAAAAAAATTCTAAGGTTAAAAAAAAAAGTAAAGTTTTTATGTCCATTCACAAAAAATTTTGAGGAAGCAACTGCTGTTTTCCCAGTTGAGAGTCATAACATTCCCTATCTATGGTCCCCACAGGCTGCAGTGGGAGGTCATCCAAGGCTGCCTCTGTAGCTAATAACCTATCAGAAGACCTTAGGATATAAAACCATCCACTCAAGTGTTAGGAGGAGACAGTTTTTATTTATTCACTGAAAGTAAACAAGAAATATTAGATGAAAAAAAGCACAGACACTGAAGGAATTGCAGTCCAGCAATTTATTATTATTATTATTATTATTATGGTTATTGAGACAAAGTCTCACTCTGTCCCCCAGGCTGCAGTGCAGTGGCACGATCTTGGTTCACTGAAACCTCCTGGGTTCAAGCGATTTTCCCACCTCAGGCTCCTGAGTAGCTGGCACTACAGGCGTGCGCCACCATACGCTGATTTTTGTATTTTTAGTAGAGATGGGGTTTCACTATGTTGGCCAGGCTGGTCTCAAACTCCTGACCTCAGGTGATCCACCTGCCTCAGCCTCCCAAAGTGAGCCACCGTGCCCGGCCACAGCCCATGATTTTTAAAGTACCCATTATGACAATCCAAATTGTAGCTCTTACCCGAACACAGTGAGTAACAAAGGAGTCGATACAGTCCTTAGCCTGGTGATTATTATATAGGTAGCACCTGCAAGATAACAGTCACATCATTAAAATCTATTCAGCCCAAACAAAAGCAGCAGCAATTACTGCAGATGCTACCAAATGACAGAGAAGGTGAATAAAAGAGAAAATGGAACCGATACCTAAGTTAAAGAATTTCAGTATTAGATTAAGAAATATTTTACAATTATTATGTAATTCACACAATAAATCTGTGATATTTCCAATTCCTATAGGTCTATATTTGAACAATCAGAGTTGGATCCAGTAAGATCAAATTAGCAAAGAGAAAAGGAAAAGTCTAAAGCTCTACTTTTTCATGACCCTACTTCAGTGTCACATATTTCCCTACAATTGATTTCCTCATGGACTGTGCTCCTAATAATAATCACAAAGAAAATACTATACAGGATCCTAATTTTTTCTGTATCCCCACTCCTCACCATTGGTTATAAATCACCTATACCTCCCTTTGGCACGTCATCTCTTCTCACAAAGTGGTTTCCTTTACGGTGTTCCTTATCTCTGATTAACAGAGTCAAGGTCACACAATGGCAAAGACAGTGCACCCAGCACCCAGGAGAAAGAAAAAAGGTCAACACCTGGAACAGGCAGTTGGTGAAATGGGAAGTGCTGAAGGTTCATTACATCTTTAACCCTAAAGCAAGAAAATTACTTGAGATTAAAATAAAGCTTTTAAAAGGCTCTTTAAAAGCTTTAAAAGGCTCTCTCAATCTAAAAATGATTATTTTCAAATTTAAAAATTCAGTAGAAGAAATATGTTCATTAGTAGCCTTGAAGATCAAGAGGAAGAACTTTCTCACAACACAGCAAAAATAACAAGGAGATGACTGTCATGAGGCATAGGTAAGAGAGCTCTAGAAGACCCTAGTATGCTAGGAGCTCTAAAAAAGGAAAAATCAAAACAGATGAAGGTGAAGCAATAAATAAGTAATAACAGGGACAAATGATCTGACTAAAAACCTGAGTCTTTAATGACTGAATTCCAGATAGCACTAGCTGAAAATCACACATGAATATTCTGGTAAAACTTCTGAACTCCTAAAATAAAGAGAAACTCATCAACGCTTCAGAAGAAGTTTCAAATCACTTACAAAGGAAAAGAGGATTCTCATCTATAACACTGAAAGTTTTAAAACAGTGGAACAACTAGACTACCACACAATAAAGTTTTCCATATATACAATTATCATTATTTGTGGTATTTATGTTCCATAAAGTTTCTGAAGATACTAAATTAGACTATTAAATCATTGCTAACATGGGAAATAAAGGGTTAGATTCCTATGAGTCTCTGGTCACAACATTTCCATGCACTGATCAATGAATAACCTTATTTTATGTGTATTTCTGTTTAAGACACCTCATTTAATGGATTAATATACTGTTGATTTATTAACATCAAACTCATGACCCAATAGTGTATACCAAATGTGAACAGGCTGAATTCTGCTTTCAAAAGATTTGAGCTAACAAAAATTACACCACCATGTAAAAGAAACATATTAGGCCGGTGCAGTGGCTCAAGCCTATAATCCCAGCACTTTGGGAGGCCAAGGTGGGCAGATCACTTGAGGTCAGGGTTTGAGACCAGCCTGGCCAACATAGCGAAAGCCCATCTCTACTAAAAATACAAAAATTAGCTGGGCATGGTGACATGCACCCGTGATCTCAGCTACTCAGGAGGCTGATGTGGGAGAATCTCTTGAACCTAGGAGGCGGAGGTTGCAGTAAGCTGAGATGATGCCACTGCACTCCAGCCTGAGCAACATTATGTACATGCAAATACTTCAAAAATCCAAAAATATCAGAAATCTAAAACACCTCTGGTCCAGGGCATTTTGGATAAAAGATACTCAACATTTATTATGAAATATTTGGCAGCCATTACATATAATTAATTAGATCTACCATGAAGTAATTTGTGATAGAAAGCCATCGTGTATCTTTCAGTGGAAAAAGATACACTGTTAGGTGTATCTTTTTTTTTAACAAAGTGTAAGTGCTTTGTTAAGAAATGATGACTCCTTTCTTCCCTTCCCTGTTGGAAAAGCCTGACATTTCTCAGAATGCCAGCTTTCAAATGATGATTCTTTCTGCATGCAATCCTTTCAGCCTCTGATGGCAGCATGTTTTCGGGGCAGTGCCTCTACTACGGCAAAGTTTAAGGACTTACGCTGGAGACAAAAAACTTGGAGTTATCAGAAATTTTGTCAACCTCATAAAAACCTTAGTTTTAATCTAAACAATGTGGCAGAGATCAATTAATTTTAACACTATTAAGTTACTTTACATGGAGATTTGGTCCCAATTTTGATACTTTGGCTATAAAGAAGGAGTACAGAGAAGTTGGGCTTTTAAAGGAGCACATACATACAACTCTAAAATGTCTTACAATACTTACTTGGGGGAAAGCACCGGAGGACTGACAAAAGACCGAAGTGCATCTTTCACCATGTCTTGCATGAGATGAGTTCCAAAGACCTTTTTGTTATCCACCAGGAAAGTGGTCTTAAAACAAATGTTATATATTAGTTACGGTGTCACGCACAGAATTGTCATTAGTGTAAAATCAGTATACTTATAAATGCCACAGACTACGCAAGTGATTAAAATATAAAAAGTTTGTGAAAATTTTTTATAAGTTGCTGTCTCCACAATGAGTGTTACTTATTAATCCTTACTGAAGGTGAATTCTGATGTAGGATAAAAAATGTACAGAAATAAAAACCTCCCAAGAGTAGTAATATTAAAATAGTCAAAATAAACTGACTAATCTGATTATGTCAAATGAGCTAATGTATTAAAAAATGCTTCATAAACTATGAAATAGTAAATGGCTATACATGTTATTTGATAATCCTGTTTACCTCTAATGAATGTTTTGTAACATATACAAATATTTTTAATATTTTTTATGTTCATTTCTGAACATGAAAAAATTTAAAACAACTTGCATTTAATAATTTGTTTTAATTTCCTTTCCTTTCCTTAACAATCCACTGTATTTTAGTATTTAATATACCATACCTTGATTTCCTAAGACTGTTTTTAAATTTTAAAATTTACATATGGTAAAATTTACATGTTTGTTGTACAGTTATAAGTCTAACAAAAGCATAGTTTTTCAAATCAGTCTCACAATCAAGATACAGAACAAACTGTATCACCTGTATCACCCTAAAAACATTCCCTCATGTGATCCCTTTGTGGTCAAACGCTCCTCCCGCCCCAAACCCCTGGCAAGCACTGATCTGCTCTCCAGCTCTATCAGTTTTGCCATTTCCAGAATGTCATTAAAACGAAATCATATAGCCTTTTGAGTCCAGCTTCTTTTACCCAGCATAATGCAGTGGAGATTCATTGGCATTGTTAAGTGTATCATGCTTCATTTTCTTTTTATTTCTGAGTAGTATTCCACTGTGCATGTACCACAGTATGTTTATCCACTGACCAGCTCAAGAACATTTGGGTTGTCTGTTTTTGATGATCATGAACAAACAGCTCTACACATTTGCAGAGGTTTCGAGAAGAATGTCAAATTTCACTTCTCTTAGGCAATCAACTAGGAGTGTGAGCTGCATGTTTAATTTATAAGAACGTGCCAAGCTATTTTCCAAAGCAGCTGAACCACATTACATTCCTATCACCAAATACATCCTCACCAGCACTTGGTATTATCAGACTTTTTTTTTTTTTGAGATGGGGTCTCGCTCTGTTGCCCAGGCTGGAGTGCAGTGGTGCGATCTTGGCTTACTGCAACCTCTGCCTCCTAGCTTCAAGCAATTCTCTGCCTCAGCCTCCCGAGTAGCTGGGATTACAGGCGCCTGCCACCATGCCAGGCTAATTTTTGTATTTTTAGTACAGATGGGGTTTCACTATCTTGGCCAGGCTGATCTTGAACTTCTGACCTCGTGATCCAACCACCTCCGCCTCCCAAAGTGCTGGGATTACAGGCGTGAGCCACCATGCCTGGCCAGATTTTTTTTTTTTTAAAGATATTCTGAAAGGTGAATAGTATTTCTGTGATTTAATTTGCATTTCCCTAATATTTACCATGTTGAATTTGAATATTTAATATATTGAATATTGCTGAATATTAATCATATTAGATTTGCACCTATGTATTTCATTTTGTTATTGTAAATAGTTTGGTTTTTAAAATTTTGATCTACCATTGTTCATTTCAAGTATATAGAATTACAACTGCTTTCTGTATAATGACTTCATATCCTATAATCTCACTAAATTCACTAATCAGTTCTAGGAACTTCCTTGTAAAATCCATGGGCATTCTACATGGAAAATGATGTCATCTCTAAATAGACAATATTTTTTCTTCCTTTCCAAATCTGTGTGCCATTTATTTCTTTTTCTTGCTTTATTGCACTGGCTAAGATTTCCAATGTTCAGTAAGAGCGAAGTGGGCATCTTTGCCTTCTTCCCATTCTTGGAGGAAACCATTTAGTCTTTCATCATTAAGTATGATGTTAGCTGTAAGGTATTTTTGTATATGTCCTTTATCAGGTTTAGGAAGCTCTCTTCTGTATCTAGTTTTGCTAAGAGTTTCAAATCATGAATGGATGTTGAATTTTGTCAAATGCTTTTTGTGAATCTACTAAGACTTTAGATAATATGGTATATTATGCTGACCAATTTTCAACTGGTGAACCAGGCTTGATTCTTAGGGTAAATCTTATTTGGTCATGGTGTATTACCTCTTTTTATATATTGTTGAATTTGATTTATTAATAATTTATTGAAGATTTTTACATCTGTGTTCATGGAATAAGATTTTTACATCTGTGTTTGTGAGGAAAATATGGTCTATAGTTTTCCATGTTTGTAAAGTTGGTTTGGTTTTGATAGAGTAAATTCTGGCTCATATGAGTGTTCTTGCCTCTTTTATTTTCTGGAAGACACTACATAGAGCTGGCCTGCAGTTTGCATTGTTAGGTTTTTAACTATAAGTCTGATTTATTTAATAGATAAGAGATTATTCAAATTATCTGTCTCTTCTTGAGTTTTGGTAGTCTGTATCTACATTTAAAGGAATAGGTCCATTTTATCTGCTTTTGCATTTATGGACAGAGTTGTATATCCCATTACTATTCTTTTAATGTTTACAGAGTCTGTAATGATACCCCTTCTTTCATTCTTGATATTAGTCATTTTTATCTTTCTCTTATTATGCCTCATTAGAGGTTCATTGACTTCATGAATATTTTCAAAGAATGAGCTTTGGGTTGCATTGATTTTCTCCATTGTTTTTCTGTTCTATATTTTACTAATTTCTGCTCATTATTTCCTTCTGTTTGTTTTAATATGCTCTTCTTTTTCTGGTTTCATACAGTGGTAGCTTAAATTACTAACCGTAGACTTTTTTTTTTTGACAGGGTCTCACTCTGTTGCCCAAGCTGGAATGCAGTTGGTGGGATCACAGCTCACTGCAGCCTGGATTTCCCAGGTTCAAGCGATCCTCCAACCTGTAATCCTAGCACTTTGGGAGGCTGAGACGGGTGGATCACCTGAGGTCAGGGGTTTGAGACCAGCCTGGCCAACATGGTGAAACCCCGTCTCTACCAAAAATACAAAAATTAGCTAGGCATGATGGTGTGCGCCTGTAATCCCAGCTACTTGATAGGCTGAGGCACAAGAATCACTTGAACCCGGGAGGCGGAGATTGCAGTTAGCCAAGAGCATGCCACTGCACTCCAGCCTGGGCAACGAGTGAGATTATCTCAAAACAAAAACAAAACAAAAAAACATTCAATGCTACAAATTTCCCTCTAAGCGCTGCTTTATTTGTATCTCACAGATTTGGGTACATTTTAATTTTCATTCAGTTCAAAATATTTTTGAACTCCCCTCAAGACCTCTGTCTTTGACCCATGTGTTACTTACAAGTTGTTTAATTTCAAAATATTTGGAGATTTTCCTGGATATCATTCCCTTGTTGGTTACTAGTTTAATTCTAAAATGATAAGAAAGATACTTTGTAGGATTTTGATTGTTTTTAAATCACTGAGGTTTGTTTTATGACCTAGGATATGATCTTGATGGATGTCTAATGCTTAAAGTTAATACTTCAATTAAAAAAAAAATACACAACACTAACTGGAAAATCCTTTAAAAGCATCTACCTTTTGTTCAATCAATCAATAAAACAATGTCAATACACATATAATGTTTAAATAAGTATTTTGATACTAAGTGGAACTTACTTGTAACAGAGATCTTGAAAGAACACATGGTGACTGTTCACTAAATTCACAGAAAAAATCCTAACAGATATATAAAGAAAAAGCAATGTCATTAATAGATTAAATAAAAGCTAAAAACACTTCATCAGACTGTAATTTTTACTAGACCTTCTGGAAATGACATAGTACCAGAGTTAAAATATGACAAATAAAGGTCATTTCTATAGAAATTATTTAATTATATAAAAGGGACAATGGATAATTCTAGACTCTAAAAACTTTCCTTAAAAAAACTGACCAATCATAGAATTGTGTGGATACCAATATTAAATTTGTATACCATAAAAATAATACCAATAATAATTTACTAAGTCATGGCAGAACTTTAGTTCCTATTTCACAGAAATAAATTCCAAGTAATCAAGTCAACTGGATGCACATTACTGATTGTTGCTGACTATAGGGAAAGACCAAAAGATACAGGTTTTTGAGCAAGAGTCTACCAAGTGATCAATAAGCCTAAGTGTCACCAAAGCTTCAACACCAAAAGTACCTCACTAACATACCCCACTTTGAAACCAGAGACAAGAAGTCAGCTTCAAATAAAGACCCTACAGAAAGCCTCGGCCCAGTGAAAACATCCAGAAAAGAAGTCTATTGACTGTACTCAATCTACACTGCAGTTAAAGGAACATCCACACACAGAGATGAGAAAGAACCTAGGCAAGAACTATGGTAACTCAAATGGCCAGAGTGTCATATGTCCTCCAAATGACTGCACCAGTTCTCCAACATGAGTTCTTAATCAGGCTGAACTGGCTGGAATGACAGAAATAGAATTCAGGACCAAAGATCATAGAGATTCAGGAGGATAGCAAAACCCAATCCAAGAAAAATAATAATAATAAAGTGATACAGGAGCTGAAGGATAAAATAGCTGGCATAAAAAAGAACCTAAAAGGTCTGACAGAGCTGAATAATACAAGAATTTCACTATGCAATCACAAGTATTAACAGCAAAATAAACTGAGGTGAGGACAGAATCTCAGAACTTGAAGACTGGTTCTCTGAAATAAGACAGTCAGACAAAAATAAAGAAAAAAGAAGAAAAAGGAATGAAAAAAACCTCTGAGAAGTATGGGATTATGGAAACAAGCTAACTTTGAATCACTGGCATCCCTGAAAGGCAAGGGGAGAAAGCAAACATCTTGGAAAATATATTTCTGGGTATTGTTCGTGAAAACTTCCCCAACTTTGCTAGAGAAGCCAACATTCAAATTCAGGAAATACAGAGAAGTCCTGCAAGATTCTACACAAGCAGATCATCCCCAAAACATAAAATCCTCAGGTTTTCCAAAGCCGAAATGAAACAAATGTTAAAGGCAGCTACAAAGAAAGGGCGAGTAACCTAAAAAGGGATCCCCATCAGGCTAAAAAGGAGACCTCTCAGCTGAAACCCTACAAGAAGAAATTGGGGTCCTATATTCAACATTCTTTTAAAAATCTTCAACCAAGAATTTCATATCCCACCAAACTAACCTTCCTAAGTGAAGGAGAAATAAGATCCTTTTCAGATAAGCAAATGTTGAGGGACTTCATTACCACCAGTCCTACCTTACAAGAGGATCTTGAAAGGAGCCCTAAATATAGAAAGGAAAGACTACTACCAGCTAATACAAAAACACACTTAAACACACAGACTAGTGTCACTATAAAGCAACCACAAAAACAAGCCAACATAATAACCAGCTAACACCATAATGACAGGATCAAATCCACACATATCATACTAACCTGAATGTAAACGGGCTAAATGGCCCACTTAAGAAACAGAGTGACAAGCTGGATAAAAAAGCAAGACGTACTGATGTGCTGTCTTCAAGAGACTCATCTCACACATAATGACACTCATAGGCTCAAAATAAAGGGATGGAGGAAAATCTTCCAAGCAAATGGAAAACAGAAAAAAGCAGGGGTTGCAATCCTAATTTCAGACAAAACAGATTTCACACCAACAAAGATCAAATAAGACAAGGAAGGGTATTACATAAGGGTAAAGGGTTCAATTCAACAAGAAAACCTAACTATCCTAAATATATATGCACCCAGATTCCTAAAGCAAGTTCTTACAGACCTACAAAGAGACACAGACTCCCACATAACAACAGTGGGAGACTTCAACACTCCAATGACAGTATTAGATGGATCATCGAGACAAAAAATTAACAAAGATATTCAGGACCTGAACTCAGCACTGGACCAAATGGATTTGATAGACCTTTACAGAAGTCTCCACCCAAAAACAACAGAATATACAACCTTCTCATCACCACATGGCACATACTCTAATATCGACCACATAATTGGACATAAAATACTCAACAAATGTAAAAGAACTGAAGTCATACCAAACATACTCTTGGACCACAGCGTAATAAAAATAAAAGTCGACACAATGAAAATCGCTCAAAACCATGCAATTACATGTGAATTAAAAAACATCCTCCTGAATGCCTTTTGGGTAAATAATGAAATTAAGGCAGAAATCAAGAAGTTCTTTGAAAATAATGAGAACAAAGATACAACATACCAAAATCTCTAGGACACAGCTAAAGCAGTGTTAAGAACGAAATTCATAGCATGTAATGCCCACATCAAAAAGTTAGAAAGATCTCAAACAACCTAACTTCACAACTGAAAGAATCAGAGAAACCAAGAACAAAAAAATCTCCAAGCTAGCAGAAGGCAAGGACTAACAAAAATCAGAGGTGAACTGAGGGAAATCAAGACATGAAAACCCATTCAAAAGATCAACAAATCTTGCTATTAGTTTTTTGAAAAAAAATAAAATAGGCCACCAGCTAGACTAAGAAGAAATGGGAGAAGACCCAAATAAACACAATTAGAAATGATGAAGGGAATGTTACTACTGACCCCAAAGAAATAAAAACAACCATCAGAAACTACTATGAACATCTCTACACATACAAACTAGAAAACCTAGAAGAGATGGATAAATTCCTGGACACATACACCCTCCCAAGACTGAGCCAGGAAGAAACTGATTCCCTGAACAGACCAATAATGAGCTCCAAAACTGAATCAGTAATAAATAACCTACCAACCAAAAAAAAAAGGCCAGGACGTGATGGATTCACAGGTGAATTCTACCAGATGTACAAAGAAGAGCTGGTACCATTCCTACAGAAACTATTGCAAAAAACTGAGGAGGGACTTCTCCCCAACTCCTTCTATGAGGCTAGCATCATCTTGATACCAAAACCTGGTAGAGACTCAACAAAAAAAGAAGACTTCAGGCCAATATCTTTGATTAATATCGATGCAAAAATCCTCAACAAAGTACTTGCAAATCGAATCCAGCAGCACATCAAAAAGCTAATTCACCATGATCAAGTAGGCTGCATCCCTGGGATGCAAGGTTGTTTCAACATACAAAAAAATCAATAAATGTGATTCATCACATAAACAGAACTAAAGACAAAAATCACATGATTATCTCAATAGATGCAGAAAAGCCTTCTGATAAAATTTAACATCCCTTCATGTTACACTCTCAATAAACTAGGTATTGAAGGACCACACCTCAAAACAATAAGAGTCCAAGGCAGGCCAAGTGTTTATTTATGTAAGAAACCTTCACATGTACCCTCAAATGTAAAATTTTTTTAAAGAAATTTATCTAAAAAATGAAAAGATATGGGTTTATATGTAGATATAAAACCAGATGACAAAATACACCGAAATGCTAACATCTACAGAGTGTGGGACAGCAGTTATTTATCATCTTCACAGTTCTCTGCATCTTCCAAATTTTATAGTTAAATAATAATGTATGTATTTTAATATTTGGACTTGGATTTGTTAAGGAGAACTGCTTGGGACAGCAGCTCTTCAGAAACCAAAATCAGAATAAATGCCTATTCGGGCATCTATCTGATCAAGCTCTTTATTAAGAAATCCTGCAGCTTGCTGAGAAAATTCTAAAGGATCACTGACAATGCCTCAGCTACCTATCCTTGGTTAGAACCAGTGTGGGTCCCCCTAAGGTACCTGGAATGGGCCATGGTTTCCTCAGAGGGTTCAGTGAAATTGACCAACAATAATGGCAGACAACTTAGCCTTCAATATCAGGAGCCTGTCACAACCCAAGTCAGCCCTGTTGCTTACTAAAAAAATTATTTTAAAGTCCATTTGCTTACCAATACAACTGGTAAAACAACTATATACATTAAAAGCATATTACCTTATGGTTGACATGGGTTTACAGGTTGATTTTACTTAAAGACCTTGCAATTAATCTAGTGAACACAAATGTATATTCATGTAACAATTAAGATCAAAAAAGTCAATGTGGCAGAAGAGAATAAGAAAATATCTATTCTCATTCCAGATATGCTACTATAGTCATCTAATTTGGTTACTTTAGAACGTCTGAACCTTAGTTTGTTTAACTGTAAAACTGTCTTTCTATGATCTTTTTCCTAGGAACTTTTAAAATTCTGATTCTTATGACAGAATAAGAGCAATCTAATAAGAAAGCAAATGCAACAGAAGGTATTAAAGGCATAATCAGTGAAAGTTTTACTAAGGAATGAAGACTTAAGCTGGGTTTTAATGACAAAGAATTAATAGAAGGAAAAATAAAGAACATAAACAAAAGCACAAATCTTTACTATCAACTATTTCCCAGAGACTGCTGCTAAATGCTGGGAGTATAAACTATATACTGTGTGAGCTCAAGGAACACAGGTACAGTGGCAACCAGCAACCAAAGGGGAAGATTTCACAGAGAAAATGACATGGGGCTGACAATTCCACACCTCAGTGTGTAAGGTAACAACACTCAAATGCCTAGCTATGCCACAGATGTTAGTGTACTTATGTCCTAAGAACAACAGTACTGTCTTGCACATTTTCTACCTTTCCTACTAACCTTACATGTGCTACTATAATCCTACCAATTAAAAAGCTTTTCTGCTGTCAGTGGGTACAGGAGAGAAAAACAAAAAACAAAAAAAAGCTCCATCTCTGAATGTTCTTAAAATGAGCCTTGTTTTTCTATATTTTAACCCATAAAAAATATTAATCCAAAATATGATAGTTAAAAGTGTACCTAGCAGCTTCATTTTTTAGGAATTTATCTTAAGGGGAAAGGAAGCATACAATAAAAAGAGTTACCTATAAATATATTCATCTTAGTATTGTTTGTAACACTGAAAATGACCTAAATGTAATTTAATATGAAATTTAAAAAACTGTAATATATGCTTAAAATGGAATACCACACAGCCATTAAAATAATGTAGAATTTGTCATGTATTTGTTGACATGAAAAGGAAGATGTTCATGATACAGAGACAAGCAATTTTAAAAAGCAGGTTACCAAACACCATGATCCCATTTTTACATGTAAAACTATATACACACTTAAGGCCGGGCACAGTGGCTCATGCCTGTAATCCCAGCATTTTCGGAGGCCAAGGTGGGTGGATCACGAGGTCAGGAAATCAAGACCATCCTGGCTAACACGATGAAACCCCGTTTCTACTAAAAATACAAAAAATTAGCTGGGCGTGGTGGCGGACGCCTGTAGTCCCAGCTACTCGGGAGGCTGAGGCAGGAGAATGGCGTGAACCTGGGAGGTGGAGCTTGCAGTGAGCCAAGATCACACCACTGCACTCCAGCCTGGGCGACAGAGTGAGACTCTGTCTCAAAACAAACAAACAAAAAAAATATATACACACACACACATACATAAATATATATGTATGTATGTATGTGTATACCAGCATATATATACACATTTATATGTTTTGAAGACAGAATCCAGAGTTCAATCCCCACTCTTAAAACTAAGGTGAGGCCAAGCACACTGGCCCATGCCTATAATCCTGGCACTTTGGGAGGCCAAGATGGAAGGATTGCTTGAGCCCAAGAGTTCGAGAGCAGCCTGGCCAGCATGGTGAGACCTTGTCTCCACAATAAATAAAAATTTAAAAATTGACCGGGTGCAGTGACTCACACTTGTAATCCCAGCACTTTGGGAGGCCAAAGCAGGTGGATCGCTTGAGTTCAGGAGTTAGAGACCAGCCTGGGCAAAATGGTGAAACCCTGTCTCTACCAAAAATACAAAAAATTAGCCATGCATGGTGGCACACGCTTGCAGTCCCAGCTACTTGGGAGGCTGATGTGGAATGACAGCTTGAGTCTGGCAGGCGGAGGTTGCAGGGAGCTAAGATCACACCACTGCACTCCAGCCTGGGCAACAGAGGGAAACCCCCTATCAAAAAAAAAAAAATTATCCAAGTCTAGTGGCATGTGTCTCTCCCAGCTACTTGGGAGGCTGAAGTGGGAGATCACTTGACCTCAAGAGTTCAAGGCTAGGCAGAGCGCAGTAGCTCACACCTGCAATCCCAGCATTTTGGGAGGCAGAAGTAGGAGGACTGCTTGAACCCAGGAGTTCAACACCAGCCTGGGTAACATAGTGAGACCCCATCTCTACAAAAATAATGATTAAACTAAAACATTGTTGGGCATGGTGGCACACGCCTGTGGTCCCAGCTTCTTGGGAGGCTGAGAGGCAGAAGGATTGCTTGAGCCGAGAAGGTCCAGGCTGCAGTGAGCTGAGATCATGCCACTGCACTCCAATGTAGGTGACAGATCAAGGCCCCCATCTCCACAAAAAAAATTAAAAAAAAAAAAGAGTTTAAGTTCACTTTGAGCCAAGATCACACCACTGTACTCCTGCCTAGACAACAGAGTGAGATCCTGTCTCAAAACAAATCTTGGATGAATTATCTAACCCTTCAACATCGGCTTCTTAATCTCTAAAATAGTGTAAAAGCTTTTGAGGATTAAACAGTATGTATGTATAGTATTTATGAACCACTTAATCCTCTAGCTATCACAGAAAATAGACAAAGAGTAGTATTTACCCTTGGTCAATGTCTATAAAGCAATCAATTATTCTGTTGTTAAACCAAAGTTACCACATAAATATGTACAATTATTATGTATCAATTTTTTTTAAATGGAAGTTACATTCTGGAACAGAGATTTGTACTTACCAGGATACAATGTAAATTTGTTAAATTCACAACCTCACAGACAGTTTTTATTCTATCTATTAATCTTGCAAAATAGTTCACCATTTCTTCCCTTTTAATTATTTTTGCATATCGAGGGAAGGTAGGTGGAAGTAGCCTCTGGTTCACAAGGGGTTCAAAACCCATCATAATTGGATGATCTAAAAAGAAAAAAATGAAAGTAAAATTTTTCAACTTTTCTCTGAATTTTAAACTGCAAATGTTATTAAATATAAAAATGCCAGTTTAAAAAGCTTTTCCAAACAAATTCTAACCACAAAATCCTCTAAATAGATTTTATAATTTAGAATATATCTATACATATACATTTTTTAAAAACTAAACAAGTAGATTTAATAACCTAAAACTGTACCTCCTACCTACATGGTGGTGATAGTGGTGATGGAGGGGAGTTTCTATGTCAAAATGAACTCAAAGAAAAAACTCTGAGGATAAAATAGGGTCAGTATATTCTTTCAAAACAGAGGAAATGATACATTAACCATGAGATTGTGAAGAAAGGTAAAATGGGAACACAAATAATATAAGCTTCTCTTCCCCTCAATTACTAAACAGTAGAATCCATTCAAACTTAGCTATATAATAATCCTGAATAGCAGAGCAGAGCAGCACTGCCCTCAACCCTCAATGAGCCCAAAATGCATTTGGAACAGAGATGTAATTACAGAAATCCACAATATTTTAAAGACAGTATTGTAAGACACCTAAGAGTGAGTTCCTCTTTCTTCTCTGTCCACTGGTGATCTCACTTTTCACACTAGTGCATAGCTCCAAACTAAGTCTTTCTCAACTTGAAATCTCAAATGAGGGAGTATATCGCTAAAATGATACATGAATAAGAATTTTTTATTCAAAGTTCTCCTGCTAGTCTACAAACTGGCCACAACCTAAGAAAAAATATGGTTTCAGATGCCAATTAAAGATAAAATTAAAGCTGAATAGCTGTTGTTATTAAGAATTAAAAGCAAGACTGACAACCATATTATAATGCCCCTGAGATATATAAACCATAATTGTTCTTTAGGACCACGCAAATAAAGATGTTCTCAAGGTTCTTGGTCTTTTTCCTCTTCTCTGTATTTTCTCCCTAAGCAACTGGTTGATGTTACTTATTCTAATATAAATTGTGATTTAAATTATTCCAAACTAAAATCTTTAGCCTACAATCCTTCTTAGTTCCAAATCCCATCTCAAATAAAAAATAATTTTTTATTTTAAATAAATAAAATAAAATAATTTAAATAATTATTTTAAATAAATAAATTTTAAAAATTAAAAATAAATAAATTGCTAAAAATCACTCAGTACAAGAGGGCCAAATAAGATTATCTTCCCTTCAACTAGCACTCTCTTAAAATAATAAAGTATAACTGATATTTTCAAAACATTATGATACATGGGTTTAAACTGTTGAGGTACTACAATTCCTGTTAGGTCACTGGTCTTCATTACTAATAACAGAAAAGTATTACCAATAGCACATGGTCATTACATAATAATTTTTTCTTTTTTAAAAACTGATGTATGATAGTTGTTATGTATTTTTGTGGTATATGTGATATTTTGATACATGTACACAATGTGTAATAATCAAATCAGGGTAATTAGGATATCTGTCACTTCAAACGTTTCTCTCTTCTTTGTACTGGTAACATTCCAATTCTCTGCTAGCTATTCTGAAATATACAACAAAATATTAACTATAGTCTCCCTTCTGTACTATCAAATAATAGAACATATTTCATCTATCTAACTATTTTTGCACCCATTAACCAACTTCTCTTTACCTTCCCCTTCCCCCCGGATAAAAGATTTATGGTAACAAGTACTTTGGTTTTACTGAGCAAAGTAAGTTATTCTAAAAGTAAATCAGATGTCAAAATTAAAGATCTGGAAATGTATTAGTCAAGAGAGACACTATATTATTTATTCAACATATTTTCCAGAGTTACATAGGCAATTTATAGTCAGGTTTATTAAAATAACGAGTTTTGGCTGCCCTTAAATTGGAAGGAATTCTGGAAAACAACATAAAAGCTGCTGAGCTTTGGTTATGTTATTCTGCACTCCTTGGCTATTTTATTTCCTTTTACAAAAAGTTGTAGAATTATACTAAGCCAGACACAAAAGGACAAGTATTGCATAATATCACTTGTATGAGGGACCTAGAACAGTGAAATTCAGACAGAGAATAATGGCCGTGAGGGTTTGTGGGGAGGAGGGAACTGGGAGTTCATGTTTAAGGGGTAGAGTTCCAGTTTAGAACATAAAGTTCTGGAGACAGTGGTGATAGTTGCACAGCAATGTGGATGTAATTAATGCTAGTGAATTGTATACTTAAAATGGTTAAAATGGTAAGCTTTACGTTTTATTTAACCAAAATGTTACAAAATAGTATTAAAACACAACTGTTAAACTCAAGGCATGGCCTCAATAAATATTATACCCTAGTCATTGGTGAGAGTAACCTAGGATGTAATATCATACAAATCTACGTATCTAATACTGTTTAGCATATATTTTTAAACAGGTAAAACCCAGTCACTACAAAAAAAAAAAAAAATTAGCCGGGTGTCCTGGCTCATGCCTGTAGTCCTGGCTACTGGGGAGGCTGAGATGGGAGGACAGCTTGAGTACAGGACGATGAGGCTGTAGTGAGCCGTGACTGCATCACTGCATTCCAGCCTGGGTGACAGAGTGAGACCCTATCTAATAGATGCAAAGGGTTTTTTGAAAATCTCATTCTTACCACTGAGTTTAAGAGAAAAAAAAGCCATCCACTTGTGATCCCCGGTTTATCTCTGGAGAAATAACCACAACTACAAGTTTCTTCCACGTGTGGGAGAAACTTCCCTTTTCTAATTTTATTGAGGCGCAATTCACATACAATACAAACATTAAATGTACAGTTCAATGGTCTGAAAAATATGTACAACCATGTAACTACCACAATCAACAAAAAGAACGTTTTTACCACCCCGAAAGGTTTTTTTGTGCAATTTCTCAGTCTATCACTCCAATGCTCAGTAACCAAGGAACTTCTTCCTGTCCCTATGGATTAGCCTTTCCTAGCCGGACATGGTGGCTCACACCTGTAATCGCAGCACTTTGGGAGGCCAAGGTGGGCAGATCACTTGAGGGAGTTCAAGACCAGCCTGGCCAACAGGGTGAAACCCCATCTCTACTAAAAACACAAAAATTAGCCAGGTGTGGTGGTGTACGCCTGTAATCCCAGCTACCCAGGAGGCTGAGGTGGGAGAATCATTTGAACCTGGCAGGCAAAGGTTGCAGTAAGCTTAGATTGCGCCACTGCACCCCAGTCTGGGTGACAGAGTGAAACTCGGTCTCAAAAACAAGATTAGCCTTTCCTACTTTTAAACAAACAAAACAATCAGACAATTTGTACTCATTTATATCTGACTTCTTTGGCTCAACATAATGTTTCCAAGATTTATCCATTATGTTGCATGTATCAGTATTTCATTCCATTATAATATCCATTGTGTAGATATATCATAACTTATCCATTCACATATCAAAAGCACCAACATATTATTGATCTATTTTGCTTTGAGGTAAGCTTTTTTCTTTTGAAACAATCTCAAAAGTTCCAAGCACAGTCAATAGTAAACCACCCTCAAGTATGTTTAGAGTGTTATTCCTACAAAGACATAGTCTTACATAATCACAATACAGCCATCAGAATTAGAAAACTAACACTGAGCAACTACTATCACCTAATCCTCACACTTCATTCAAGTTTCACAAACTTCTTCATAACCATGTCAACTGCATTTAATTTCACTGCCTCTTATTCTCCTTCAGTCTGACACAGTTCTTCAGTCTTTCCTTGACTTCCATGACACTGACATCTTTGAAGACTAACAGACCAGTAATTCTGTATACTGCCTTCCAATGTGGATTGTCTTGCTTCCTCATGATCAGATTCATATTATGAATCTTTGGAATATTACAGAATTAATGTTATATTCTCATTGCACACTATCAGCAAAATGAGGATCTTACTACTGGTGATGTGAACTTTAATCACTTGATTAAGGTGTATCCAACAGGCCTCTTCATTGTAGTTACTCCCTTTCCCTTTGAAATTAATAAGTATTTGGGGGTTGGGGGGACACTCATATAAATATTTTCATCAAACTGTCCATTTCATTTATTTATATCAGGGTAGAATAATGGCTTTATCTTTTATTCAATAAGTTATGATCTGTCAGAATTATTTACTTTGATGCTTAAGTTTTTGCTAATTTTGACCACGTGAGATCCCCTTCAAGTTCTTTTCTATATCCAACTGATATGTTCCTATTATTTTATTCATTTATTTTTTATTATTTTTTTTTTTTTGAGACGGAGTCTTGCTCTGTTGCCCAGGCTGGAGTGCAGTGGCACAATCTTGGCTCACTGCAAGCTCTGCGTCCTGGGTTCACGCCATTCCCCTGCCTCAGCCTCCTGAGTAGCTGGGACTACAGGCGCCCGCCACCACACCCGGCTGTTTTTTTGTAGTTTTAGTAGAGACGGGGTTTCACCGCGTTAGCCAGGATAGTCTTGATCTCCTGACCTCGTGATCCGCCTGCCTTGGCCTCCCAAAGTGCTGGGATTACAGGTGTGAGCCACCACGCCCGGCCCATCCACCTCTTTTAGAAGGACACTTATGATATTTGGGTACAGCCAGACAATCCATGATCACCCCCTCATCACAAGACCCTTAACAATCACATTTATAAAGATCCCTTTCCCAAATAAAGTAATATTTACAGGTTCTGAGAAGTAGAAATAGGACCTTGATAGCTTTGGGACCATCATTCAGTCCACTACAATCTCCTATCATTGACATGTTAGGCCACCATAACCTCCACTCCATTTGGCACTCCTCTAGAGATGCTCTCCTCACCCCATCTAAGCTCTGATACCCCACAACAGGCCACCTTTCTGCACAGAAGCTTTTCATCAGTGTGCTTAGGCTACAACTTCCCACATGGAGCCACCTTTCTACTTTTCTCTTCCTGCTTAGGCTTTGACATCTCATGCCATCCAGTCCTCCTGGACAGCCTCTTCCCCCCACTTATGATCTGACACCCCATACCTGGGAAACCTTCCACAATGACACCTTTTTCAACATGCTTAGGCTCTGAAACCCTGTACTTGGTCACCCACATGCACAGATGCCCTCATTACCTGGCTTGGTCTCTGACAGCCCTGCACACAACCACCTCCATGAATTTACCTCAGGTTTCACCACCCTACTCTGCCAGGCTCCATTAACATGAGCCTACCCTGCCTGGACTCCCACACCCCATGCCTCTCTCTACTCCCTGCCTTTATACTCCAAAACCCTGTACTAGACTGCCTTCCCATAGACACACCCTCCTCATCCTACTTAGGCTCCTGACATACAGTGCCAGGTTGTTCCCACATGGTCCCCTTCTCAATCCTGCTTAGGCTCAGGCACCCCAAGCTCAGCTACACTCCTGTGGAAATACCCTTCTCCACTCACTTTAGAAGCAGTGAATCCAGTTAGGCTACCGATTCACAGTGATGCTCTCAAGGTATCTTGAACTATTCCAAACTCCTGCTCTAGGTTTATCTCTTTGCAGATGCCCTCCCCATTCCACTACCATTCTACATGGACACTTCCTTACTCCACACAGACTCTGATGGCCCATGCTAGGCCTCACCCTGCTACAAGTACACTCCACCTACCCACATGGTTACAACACCTTATGTCAGGCTACTCCTATCTCCCATGTGGACACCATCATCATCCCTAAGGCAGGCTCCAAAGTCTCGCTCTAGCGCACATGCCCATTGTGCTCAGGCCCATCTCATGGCATTAGGAGTGAATTTTTTCAAGAAGAGAAGGAAAGAAGAGCAAGAATCAGAACTGAGTTTTGTTATCACTAAATTGGAAATACATGGTTCCCTTTGTTATCTTTAAGATCATTCATTCTTTGCTGTATTTTCCTTCTGATAATTGAGAAGTCTTTTATTAATTTTGTATCTACAACTTTATTAATATCTCTAAAGTTCTATTCCTTCAGAAAGGTAGCTGTTAATCTTCTTACCAATAATAAACAATGATAATGCTAAAGACCTCCCTTTACCTTCCTTTGGTCATTGCTATGGTTTGGATGTGTTTTCGTCCCCACCAAAATTCAAGTTGAAGTTTAATTGCCAGTACAACAGTGTTGAGAGATGGGGCCTAACAGGAGGTGTCTGAGTAAAGGGGGCAGATGTCTCCTAAACAGATTAATGCCTTCTCACTCTCGTGAGACTGGATTAGTTCTCACAGGTACGGATTAGTTCCCATGATAGTGTATTGTTAAAAGGGAGGTTCTTTCTGTTTGGTCCCTCTTTCCACATGTCTGCTTAACTTCTCTGCCATGTTTTGACCCAGTGCATGGCCTCACCAGAAGCTGAGCATGCACCATGAATCTTGAAATTCCCAGGCTGCAGAACCATGAGCTAAGTAAACCTCTTTTAAAATAAATCACCCAGTCTCAGGAACTCTGTTACAGCAACACAAAATGAACTACGACAAGCACCAAACTTGAATAATCTTATCTCTATCGCCATTGGTTACCTCCACATGTTGAAATATACCTATCTTTATATTACAGATGATTTCTCAGCTTTAACCAGTATCTCTGGACCCCTGCATATAAAAGAAAATTAGTCTTCCCCGTTACTTCCTGACTTTGGTTAATTACTTTTATATTGTCAAGATTCTTGACAGTTATGTTACATTATATTTAGTAAAACCAATTTCCACCGTTTTAACCACAGTTCTACAATGAAACAGAATCAATGCTCAATGCCTGTCCTTCTGCCACAGCTTTTCCATTTATGTCTCAGTAGGCTGAATTTCATTCCTGATTTCAGTCTTTCTCCTCCAGGAAAAAGGTCTTTGGAAAAATATTCCAAGTTCTTGCTAGTTTAAAAATATTTCTACGAGTGTCACTCAAAGACCTTTGGAATGGGTGTAAAACTCTTAGGTCACAGTTTTTTTGTTTTGTCTTTGTTTTTTTTTGTTTGTTTGTTTTTTGTTTTTTGACAGAGTCTCACTCTGTCACCCAGGCTGAAGTACAATGCTGCGATCTCAGCTCACCATAACCTCTGCCTCCTGGGTTCAAGCGATTCTCCTGCCTCAACCTCCCGAGCAGCTGGGATTACAGGCGCCCACTACCACGCCCAGCTAATTTTTCTATTTTTATTACAGACAGGGTTTCCCCATGTTGGTCAGGCTGGTCTCAAACTCCTGACCTCATGATCCGCCCACCTTGGCCTCCCAAAGTGCTGGGATTACAGGCGTGAGCCACCACGCCCAGCAGGTCACAGTTCTTTACTTGAGGACTTTGAAGATATTGTTACACTACTTTCTGTGTTGATGTTGATGTGAAGAACCATGAAGCCAATATAATAGTTGCTTTAGATCTTAATTTACTAGGCTCTATTTTACTATTAATAATTCTTTATCAATTTATCCTGGAACACATTATACTCTTTCAATGGACACTCATGGATTTAATTCTAGTTTCTTCTAGAAATGTCTAACATTTTTTTCTGTTCCATTATACTGTTCACATCTTAAGGGACGCCAATCATATGTATACTGAGACTTCTTTTGCTATTACTTTCTCATCATACTTCACATCTCCTTTGCTCACTTCTGCTTCGCTTAGTTTTTTCCTCAATCCTGACCTCCATGTCCTTTTTTTTTTTTCGAGACGGAGTTTCACTCTTGTTGCCCAGACTGGAGTGCAATGGCGTGATCTCGGCTCACTGCAACCTCCGCCTCCCAGGTTCAAGCGATTCTCCTGACTCAGCCTCCTGAGTAGCTGGGACTACAGGCATGCACCACCACAGCTAATTTTGTATTTTTAGTAGAGATGGGGATTTCCCCATGTTGGTCAGACTGGTCTCAAACTCCCGACCTCAGGTGATCTGCCTGCCTCGGCCTCCCAAAGTGCTGGGATTACAGGCGTAAGCCACCACGCCCGGCCCTCCATGTCCTTTACGGCTTTTCAGCAATGTCTAGAATGCTTTTGCTATTTTCAATGAGATCTCTCAGGATTTTTCTCTTCTACTGCTTTCCTGAACTCTGCCTGGTCACTTTTACTCCCTTTCTATTATTCATTACTTCTTCTTTTAGTCTTAATATTTTCGCTTTCTGCTCTTGTTCTATAGAGGCCATTTTTAAATAAATTCTTTCAATTTCTGTACAAAAGTGTTTCTGAGCAGTGTTTTTCATCTGCTTCTTTTCTTGGAATATTTGTGTATAAATACTATGCAGTTTCTTTTTTGATTATGATATCACTGAAGGAGTGCTTCTTGAACCAGTTTTTTGAGTGAGGTGTTAGAATAGCACTCTAGGCTAGCTGGAGGCCTCATTGACTTTCCTTAAGCCACATGTGATGTGCCCGTGTGCATGTGTTTCTTTTACTGACACAAAGATTACCAGTTAACTAGACTACTAAAACATCAACAGCATCTCCTCTATCTTGCAGCAGAAACCAAGACAGTACATGTGCATGTTTTCTGGCAGAGCCCCACCTCCTTTGCCTTTCCAAGGTATTATTCACATAGTTTAACACAGTCAGCTTGTGTACTCCACACCTGTGATTATTCCAAGAGAATCCCTAGTTTTTTCCCTTCAAGTTTTGTCAACTTCTTGTGAGAACACTGTCCTTTGCAGGTCTACTTATGTTTACACTAAGAAAATCTATCCATTCTCAATGTTCTCCCTCTCCTGGGTCCCATTCTATTTTGATTCTGGTTATAAGTGTTCCCTATTTTTTAAGACACTGGAAAGATTCTATTTCTCATATTCCTTACAGATTTTGGCTGGTTTTAGAGAGTAGAAACATCAGAGCCATCTTCACAGTACCATCCCCAAACTAGAAATCCTCTAGATTAGATACACACAAGCACACATGTGTGGGTATGCACGGACTTTTTTAAAAACAGAAAAAATTTTGAACTAAAAGAATAAACATCTCAAGCTCCTGGCACTAGCACATCATGGCCTAGTACTCTCTAACGGCTTGTGATTTTAAAATGAAGTCAGCTCTACCTCTGTTGCACAATACACTGCCATGGTGGGCAAGTTAAGCCGACTGGGTTGTAATAGCATAGTTTTGTCTTTGGCACCAAGGTCAGTAGTCCTCAGGAAGTTAAAGGAGCCATATCACAGATAATGTACCATCATATTCTACATATTTTAATCTATTTTTAATACACACAACATTTTTAACTTTTTTCAGTCACATATGCATGTGGCTCAAGAATCAGTTGAGCAAGGCTTTTATTAAAACCAACAATCAATCCTCTAACCATGTTTTCCACCCAACATGCCTCTCTCCCCAGAGGCAGTCTCTTCCATTTCCTCTTAGTTATCTCTTGTATTTCTTTTTTGGTATTATCTACCTCAAGCTTGTCCCACTTGCAGCCCAGAACAAGTTTGAATGCAGTACAACACTAGTTTGTAAACTTTATTAAAACATTATGAGATTTGTTTTGGTGATTTTTTCTTTTTTTGGCTCATCAGCTCTCATTAGCATATTTTATGTGTGATGCAAGACCAATTCTTCTTCCAGGGTGGCCCTGGGAAGCCAAAAGATTGGACACCCCGGTCAGGCGCAGTGGCTCACGCCTGTAATCCCAGCACTTTGGAAGGCCAAGGAGGGCGGATCACTTGAGGTCAGGAGTTCGAGACCAGCCTGGCCAACATGGTGAAACTCCGTCTCCACTAAAAAAAGAATACAAAAAGTTAGCCGGGCATGGTGACAGGCACCTGTAATTCCAGCTACTCAGGAGGGTGAGGTAAGAGAATCATTTGAACCCGGGAGGCAGAGGTTGCATTGAGCCGAGATCACGCCATTGCACTCCAGCCTAGGCAACAATAGTGAAACTTCGTCTCAAAAAAAAAAGATTGGACACCTCTGATCTACACATTGGCAAAAAACAAGCTTAGAGTACTCCTTCGTTTCTTTTCAGTTTTACACATTATCTCTGACTTCCACCTCCATCTCTAGAAGATGTCAGAGACCTGAAAAGGAGGAAGTCAGAGACAATGTGTAAAACAAAAAACAAGTAGCACTGTAACCACATACAAATTACATGCCTGCACACACTTCTGTCCCCTCACCTACAACACTGTTAGATCATAATTTTGGTTATAATCCATATTCAGCATTTGCACCACTATGATCAAGTAAATAAGTCAGCATTAGCACCACTATGATTTAAGTTATCCATTGCCCCAGATGTGAAAATTTTAATTTTCATATGCATTCTGAAGTTTAATAATTGTCTCATAAGGCTTAATTCAACCCCAAACCATTTGTCAGTTCTCTCAATCTCTTCTGAATACATCAAATGCAACAGTGGTCTTGTATCTTCGAGACATTTTCCCTAGAGCCTTGGGGCTTCCTCCAATCTGGACTTGTCCATACATGGTGCTCAGCTATTATCTTGTGTTTTTCTCCCTTCACCACCATCCTGGGGATTTCCTTCATTATTTTCTTATGATGGATTCTCATTTTCCCTAAACCTCATGCTTCCCTCTTTCTTGATTTATTCCCATGTTTTAATGGAGCACATCTTCCAAAACTTTTGTGAGATAAATTCTGAGACTTTAAGTGCCTGAAATTATCTTTCCTCAAAACTAAATGATGGTTTGTGTCTAGAATTCAACATTAAAAACCATTTCCCCCCAGTCTGAAATCATTTCTCTAGTGATTTTCTTTTACTCACAATTCTAATGAGATATAATTAACATACCACATAACTCACCTATTTAAAGTATACAATTCAATGGTTTTTTTAATACATTAACAGAGTTGTGAAACTATCACAATCAAATTTAGAACATTTTCATCACCCACGAAGAAACTCTATACCCATTAGCAATCACTCTTACCTGCCCATGATTCTTCCCCCAATCCTAGGAAACCACTAATCTACTTTGTCTCTATGGATTTGCCAACTTTGGACATTTTATATAAATGGAAATCATACAATACATGGTCTTTTCTGATTGGATTCTTCCATGTAACACAGTGTTTTAAAGGTCCTTCAGTACTTCATTTCTTTTTGTTGACAAATAATACACCACTACATGGATATACCATTTTATGCATCCATTCATCCACTGATGGACATTTGAGCTATTTTTCCCTTTTGGCTATTATGAATAATGCTGCTATGAGCATTAGTGTATAACTTTTTGTTTGGATGTTTTCATTTCCCTTGGATAATTCTATGTTTAACATTTGAGACACTACCAGACTATCTCCAAGAGAGCTGTATCATTTTATATTCCAATCAGTACTGTATTAGGGCTCCAGTTTCTCCACATCCTTGCCAACACTTTTTATTATCTTTTTTATTAAAGCAATCAAGTGGGTGGGCCGCAGTAACTTTTCATTTTGATTTGCATTTCCCTGAAGACTAATGTTGTTGCACATCTTTTCATGTACTTTTTGTCCATTTGCAAATCTTATCTGGAGAAATGTCTGTTCAAATCTCTTGCCCATTTTTTTATGCAGGTTTGCTTTTTTTAACCTGGGTGTAAGATTAATGCCTATGTTTTAAGAGTTCCATAGCTTTAGTTCTCACATTTAAGTCACTGATCCATTCTGAGTTGACTTTTGCATAAGACCAGCAGGGGTGATGGGGAGTATCCAACTTTATCCTCCGGCATGTGGATATCCAGTTGTCTTAGCATCTTTGATGAAAAGACTTTTCTTTCCTCATTGAATTGTCTTGACACCCTTGTCAAATAGCAACCGAGAACATGAGTGTTCATTTCTGGGCTCTCAATTCTGTTCTATTCCACTGATCTGTATCTATCCAGAACTACACTGTCTTCATTGCTATAGCTTTGAGTAAGTTTTGCTTTAGGAAGTATGATCTTGGTTTTCACTTCATTGACTTCTAATTTCCACTACTGCTGCACATGTGACACTCTGTCTTGATTCTGTGTAACTTGGTTTTGCCTCTTTTCTCTTAGGATCTTCCATTTGTTGCCACTTTTCTAAAGTTTCATAATCATATGCCACCTCAACACAAGTCAATTTTCATTCTGGTGTGCTGGGTGGCTCTTTATTGGCCCTTTCAATCTGAGCATTCATATCATCTGTCTCCAGGAAATTTTCTTACATGTTTGTTTGTTTGTTTGTTTGTTTTAAAAAGACAGGGTCTCTCACTGTCGTCCAGGCTGGAATGCAGTGGTACAATCATAGCTCACTGTAGCCTCAACCTCCTGGGCTCAGGCAATCCTCCCACTTCAATCTCCCGAGTAGCTAGGACTACAAGGCACATGCCACCACACCTGGCTAATTTTTAAATTTTTTGTAGAGATGGGGTCTTGCTATGTTGTACAGGCTGGTTTTGAATTCCTGGCCTCATGCAATCTTCCTACCTTGGCTTCCCAAAGTGCACTGGGATTACAGGCATGGGCTACCACATCCAGTGATTTTTTTTTTTTTTTTTTGCTTCTATTTTCTGATCTATACTTCTGGAACAACTTTTATTAGTTTATCCTTTATATGTTTTATTTACTTACCTTTATTAGATAGTAGACCTTTCTTGACTAAGCCTAGTATAATCTTTATCTTTCCTATTTTTCACCTTTTCATTTTTGGCTCTAAGATTTCTGCAACTTTGTATTCTAAACTTCCTACTTATTTTTGTCATTTCTGCTCTTCTATTTTAAGTTCTGGGATACATGTGCAGAACATGCAGGTTTGTTACATAGGTATACATGTGCCATAGTGGTTTGCTGAGCCATCAACCCATCATCTACATTAGGTATCTCTCTGAATGCTATCCCTCCCCTTGGCCCCCACCCGCCGTGCTCTTCTATTTTCAATCTCAAAGAACATATTCCCCTTTTTTCCTTTCATATAGCATCCTATTTTTGTTTTACATACGTACTGATTTTTCTCATTTCTCTTAAGGTACTTTGTTTGCCTGTTTTATTCTTTCTTTCAGGCTAGAGATTTCCACCCTTAACTATATACTCAGATTTGAAACTAGAGCACATACCAAAAAAAAACCATTAAGAGCACTGTGAATACAGGTCAAGCTTTCAACCAAGCCATTTTATCAAGGGAATTGCTGAAATTAGCATATTTAGAATTTGCTTTTGTTTTTCCCCATCTCTTGGACTTTTCAGATTTCCCTAAGAAGAATCTTCTAAACTCTTAAGTGGAGAGCATGTGCCTGGCTACACTGTTCTGAAGGCCGAGTGGAGCGAGGAGAGGAGCAGATGGGGAATCAAAGTAGGTCACAATAATGACTACTTAACTTTCACTTAACTCTCTCATAATGTGTACCCTTCAACTGGGCCTCATATACCCTCAAGTACAGAATCCCTCTGTCCCCCTCCTCCAGAGAATAAACTTTTAGTATTGTGAGGTTCAGGAATGTCACTCAGCAAAAAGGGGGATGAAATTTCTGCTTCTGAACAGATTATCAACCAGTTCTCATGTTTTCAGCTAAATTTCTCATACCCATTTCCAGAAGTATCTGGCAAACCAATAATGCAGCCTTGAGGAGATCCACTGTATAAACTGGGCTGCCTTTGACTTCCTCTATCAGTGGCTAAAAATAGTTATTTGGAGATAGGTAAGTCAATGTCCTTCTGTTTTCCAGCTTCTAAAATAATTTTGTTGCTATTTTCTCCTTTCCCTGTCTTTTTCATCTTTATCAATTATGCCTTGAAAGAAAAAAATCACTTCTTCATTGCTTGTTTGGAATTTCAGAAAGCAAATACATGTGTTCAACCCACCAAGTTTATTCAGGTATCTTTTAATTTATTTTTAAAAGATGACAAGTCCTCTTGAAACTGTGTGTTAGATTTGAAAATACACTCCCCAAGAGTATCTATTAATTTCAGGCAACATAAATTTAAATATATTATTTCCATTGGCAACTGTTAAAGATGCTCATAATCTAAAGGGTAAACTAGACCCAATTCACAGATAACTATGAGTGAACATGGAAAGAGAAACATATTTTGACAAATAGAACCAGGAAAGTCTCATTGGAGGAGGTGATGTGAACATCATTTTAAAGGATGAGCTAAACTTCCACAGACATATTAAAAAGAACTGTAAAATTCAAGACAGCATAAGCAAAAACAAAGAAAAACATCAGTTTCACTGGATTTTTTTGCTCCTTTCTTCCTTCAACAACAATATAACCCAAGGTCACATCTTTGAATCCAGTAAGTCCCAAGTAAATACCATCTGCTCCCTCAATAAGCACTGAAAATGACTCCAAAATCTGCTTCTCTATCCATTTTCCAGGGCCAAATACTTTACTAGTACAGTGCTCCATGTAACCACGTCAAAAAAATCCCATTATCAGTAAGCTGCCCTCCTTATCCACCTCCAAAACCACTTTTGCATTCTGCATCTTCATAAAGATATTACTATGCATTGAGAAAATGCACCAGCAAGTAATTCTCAGATCAAGTTTGATTATTCCTACTTTCTCCCTTAATGCCAGTTTACAATTCATACTGAATATCTACCTTTCAATGAGAAGCTAAAATGAATGCTCAGTGATTTCAAGATTTACACAGCCATCTTGTCACCAGCTGGAGTTGTAATATAATCAGAAGGCAAAATGAGTAGAGACCAAAACTAATCTATACTATTATTTTCTCATCATTCTTCTACTAGAATAGACATTAAGAAGGCATTAACTTTTTAATTATAGAATCGTACAGCTTATGATTAAGGGATAATTAGAACGTTAAATTATGCCAGCTAAAAGGTATTACCCATACAAGCACAGGGTGAGTACTTGTTAAATTTAAAATTTCACTTGCTTAGTCGTAAGATTACATTTTTAAAAGGTTTATTCAAGCCAATTTTACATAAACAATTTTCCTGAAGCCTGTCAGCACACTATAAAACCAGAGTAATAGAGGAGATCATATGCACAAGCTATTTTTAACACTGGTCTGAAATATAGAAAAGTCACAAGCTGTAGCTACTAATGATCCCACGGAAATTATCATCTCAGAGTTTGATTACAGATACAGAGCAGAATAGCCCAGGAGTAGTCAGACATGGCAAAAAGAAACATCCAGATTCCAATCATCTGGAAGATTCTTGCTTTGCATCATCTTTTTGATACACAAACCAACAAATTACTTTGAAGTCATTTATTATATAGTGGTTTTCATAAAAGTATTATTGCTGTAGATTTCAAAGCATTTCAGAGTTGTGGACATTTTATCCCTCTCTGTAAACATGTACTACTACGTTGCTATGCATAACCACCTCCTTATGTCCTATGGTACAGAATGCTACCTAGTCACTCATCCTATAAACACACTCCCTCTTTTGGAAAAAGTGAAAATGATGATAAATACATACAAAGTCAGCACAACTAGTAGAAACACAAAAATTATGACAATACTGATTTCCTAACCCAAATTACCTTCTGGGTTGCTGTATTACCTAACATTTTAGCACGGAAAGAAAAATATATGGGAAGGGGAACACAATGTCTGTCTCTAAATGGAGGGTAGGTGTGGAAAAGGAATGAGGTGTCGATCAGTAAAAACTTGCCTTTCTGGTTACAAGACTGACAACTGGGTAACACTAATTTGAAGCATATAAATTTCTCTTCCTCTCTACTGGAATGGCCAAGTCGTTGAGGGGCGAAAAAAGGATATAAATGTCATCTCATTTTAATGAGTTTTAAGGACAATCAAAATTGCTACACATTATCTACAATGTTAACCCACTGTAAACTTTACAACAGAGGTACACTATTCTTTTTAAGGCATATTTCATAAATAAAATCTGAGTGCCAACAATATGCCAAGCATGGCAATACACAAGAAGAGAGTGCCTGGCCTAAAAGTGCTCAAAATCTCATGGAAAGACAAATGGGTAAAAAACTAAAATACAAAGTACAAGAAAATGTAACAGAGGCCTGTATGAATGCAGTGAGAACACAGAGGGTGTGACATTATGAAATATATATTTGGTCTTCCTTCTTGTTTCCTAACGTTAACTCCTAAAATCCTTAGACTCTCCGAGTGCTGTCTTTTGATATGCGAATGACTGATAGTTTCAGGGTAGGGCAGATAACCAAAAAGACAGGCATGAGTACAAGGCTGGAACTTTCAGCCCCACCCCACAACTTCCAGGGATGGGAGAGAGGCTGAAGGTCCAGTTGCTCACCAATGGCCAAAGGTTTAATCAATCATGCCTATGTAAGGAAACTTCTGTAAAAATTCAGGAGGACACAGTTCAGAGAGCTTCCAGATATCTGAACATGTGGAGGTTCCTAGGAGATAGTACACCCAGGGAAGGCATGGAAGCTCCGAGACCCTTACCCATACTTCACCCTATGCATTTCTTCATCTGTATCCTTCACATCCTATAGCCTCCACAATAAACCAGTAAACACACCAAGTGTTTCCCAGAGTTCTGTGACTCGCTCCAGCCAATTAGCTGAAACCAAAAAGAGAGTCGTGGGAATCCCAACTTAAAGCCAGTGGGTCAGAAGTTCTGGAAACCCAGACATGGAACTGGTGTTTGGGGAGGAAGAGCAGTCTTGGGGACTGAGCCGTCAACCTGTGGGATCTGGCATTACCTCCGGGTAGATAGTAGAGGTTGGAGTTTGTGTTTTCCACACTACCACAAACACTCCTTCAATGGGAGTTTAATTAGAGGGCATCCAGCTGGTGTGTGTGGAAAAACCTACACAGTTATCACTCAAGTCTTCTGTACTGATGACTGTTGTGGTGGTGTGAGAGCACAGGAAAAATACAGAGTGAAATCTTTTCCAAAACAGGGAGAATATCTAACGCCTGCCTGGTGTTCAGAGTAGACTGTGTGTAAAAAGCAAAGTAGAAGTTCCTCTTCAAAGACTTTCCTCCCCATCTAATTAGGAATAAATAGTAACTTCTCTTAGAAGCAAAATTTATTCAAAAACCTGTGCTAACATTATTAAATATCTGCTAGCCATAATAAATCAATGTACTTTATGTTCTTAGCTCCCAGAATTTAGCCTAAATATTTGCCCTGGCATGCTTTTACTGGTCCAAGCAAGCATTAGGTCATAGCCTGTTCTTCTTTCTTATTTGAAGGAGTTTTTACTTTTCTCAGCATTCCACAAGTTACTTCCTCCTTCCTTTGTTCTCCTCTGCCTTTGCCTCTTTTAAAAAGTTCTAAGTTGCTAGCCAATTGGGACAAATACAGAAATGTAAGGTCCTGTTCCAGCCAATGGAAACCGGACACAGCAGTAGGGTGGACGTGTCAGGTTATAAATGATCCTGTCTCCTTTGCTTAGCGTACTCTCGTGGCAAAACTGCTGGTGAGTGTACCCTTTCTGCAGAAAGTAAAAATGGCCTTGCCAAGGAAATTAAATTTATGTTCAAGTGCTATTTCTTTACAGCACTGGGGAACAATCATTTCTAACATGTGTAATCGAAGTGACAATCTCTCAGACAAAAAAGAGGAGAGGTGATTAAAAAGGTGATTCATTATTATTGAAATGGCCTTTGTAAAAATTATGAGAGAAACCTGACATAGCTGACTCCATCTTGCTTCTAACCTCACAAGCTGTCTTTGCTTATTCCTGGTGTAGGCCAAGCAACTATGGGAGAAATTTAGTTTACAATTTAAATAAAGATGGTAACTGTCCCTTCCTGAAACAAATCTCCTCTCCTTGCTCACCCACTGCCCGCCAAACTATTCTTCAAAAACTCTAGTCCCTGAATTCTCGGGGAGGAAGATTTGAGAAACAGCTGTCATCCTTCCACTTGGCTGACTCATGATAATTAAACTCTTTCTCTGCTGTTCTCATTGCGCTGGCTTTTCTGGGCAGCAAGAAGAAGCTGCCAGACTGTAACATCACAGCATGGACATAAGACAGGATACATATTCCAAGTCTAAATAGTAATATACAGGAAACGGCCAAGTTCTACAGTATTGTTTTTTAGTCTAGTATATATTTACAGAGAAGAGCCTAAACACTGTAAGTCTCTGGATTAAAACATCCCAAGGTACAAGACTGACTTGAAAAAACTTTAGTACAAGCTAAGCACTAAATATTTTGGATAGAAACGAAGAAAAGAAAGAGTAGGAGCAAATTGAACAATTACCTCCTTTTGTAGTATCATTCTGGGCCTGGATGCCATGATGCAATGAATTATGAATGGCAGAAAGAAGATCTGCTGCTTGAACCATCAATTTTTGAGCTTCTGCAACAGCACTGGTCTAGCAAATAAATCACCAAAAACATTCTTACATATTCTTTCACTGAAAGATATACATTAAATAGGAAAATCCTATAAACAATAATGAAATTAAATGCTTGCTGTAATGACATTGGTTTTCATAAACTATGCACTTAATACAGGATGTCCAGATCCTGTTAGGATAGAAAATGGTTTTTTTACTCACATCTATAACTTGTAGGATCAATTAAAATAATAGAAAATATTTTTGGTTTTTTTTTTCACAATAAAAACCAAAGAAGCAATCAACTAGAAAATGAAAAAATTTTCAACAATTCTACCATGTCATTCATCAAGGTAGGAAAAAAAAAATGGGAAGAAATAGAATTACAGAAATTAAATTAGTGGTAAAAATTGGATCCCTATTCACCACTTATAAATTATTCACAAATTAATCTGTAATTGACTTGAATTAGTGCAAAAATACAAAAAGGAAAAAATATTCACCATCTAGGGCTTGCTTTTGGTTCTATACAAACCCAACAGTTAATTATGTAACTGAAGGTAAGACTAGGCCTACCTAAAATTTTACTTTCTCCTTTTCAATTCACAAAATATAACAACCTACAAGTAATTTCAGCTTCTAATGTATTATTTACAAATAAGTAAAAAATAAAACAAAATTCATGTGATTTCTTGAGAAAGTCATCAGTGTTACACTGGTATAAATATACCAAATGCTGAGTTCTGTATATCTGGGATCAGGAGCACTTCAAGGGAGAAGTTTCAGAACTGCTTCACTCAGGAATTCCAGCCAAAATCACTAAAACAAATAGACATATTATATTGAATGCCCTTACCTCTTTCTTAGTAAAGGCTATAAGCACTGTCAGTAACACACGAGTAAATTTCACTCTGCTGAATACTGCTAAACATTGTTGGTGCTAAAAAAACAAGAAAGGACTAAAAGTTAAAAGATGCAAAGCCCGTGAAAGGAATTTCATTTAAAATATATTAACTCCTAAATCTCAATGTTAATAACTTACTACATTACAGGCACCTTCACTTACAGGCTTTTAAAAGCCTGAAAAATGAGCTGCAGAAAACAAAACAAAGCCTATTCTTTTGAAATCGGAATGTGAAGTTTCTATATCAACAGCACTGATCTTGTCCTAAGTCAAAATTTACACTATTACCTCAAAAAACTGATGTTATCTGCATTTTAAAAAGGACTGATTAAAATGTGCTTTAAGCAGAGTCAGAAAATTTAGAATCTCGACAAAGGTTCAGCAACTTTTGATACTGTGGCGCTCTGGTGCATCATCTGTGAAAGATCGTATTTTTCTTCCTACCTCACAGGAATACTGAAGAGTTTTGAAATCATCTATTTGAAAGAGCTGTATTATCATTCTATCAAAATAAATACAAGGGAAATAAAATCCCTTGCAATGTCCAATTTTTAAAGAAATACCTTAAAAAGGGCTTCCATAAATTATAACGCAGTTCATAAAACTACAACATTAACAGGTAGACTTCTCTGATATTATCTACCAGAAAATAAGTTCAATTACTTCTAGTTCAACTTCTGGATCTCTTTCTTCTCCTTGTCGACTTCGAGTACTCTAAAATTTTAAAAAAGGTGAATTAAACACAAACCTGAAAAAATATTACATTACAAATACATAAGGAAAAACACTGATTTTTTAAGTATACACAAGAATCTGTTTTTGGGGAAAATAGTTGGGGAAAAAAAGCCGTGTCTAGTATTTACATTCCTCCTATTAATCCTATACACAGAAAGGTCATTTTGACATAAATTATAAAGATCATGGAAAAGAATTAAGTATTCAAACAGCAAAAGCAAAACAATGAAATAACATAAGCAGAAGTATATGGCACATAGTATATTTTCCTTTAAAAGGAGATATTAATTGAAATTCCTGATGCTCTCAAAACTAACCCTGTTAGAAAAAAACTGTAACCTTCACAAAAATCACATTATGAAAAAATAAAGTTCAATGGTCAATACCGATCCATTTTACACTAAAATACACAATTTCTTAATACAAATGTTATAGTGGACAATTTTATTTGACCAAATACCAGGGTGGTACTACAGGAAGATCTACTAGAAGTTGTGGGTTCTAGCCCTAAAGCTGCCATTTACATGCCCTTTAGTAAAGCTAAGACACAGGTTATTTAACTCCTTTGATCTGTATTTTCCTCATCTAAAAGTGGAGCACTGTGTGTGTCTAACTGCTCAATTCACTGAATTGTAAAAATCAAAAAAAGAGAATATGAAGTTTGACAACCATACTGTCATACTAGTGTTAAAAAAAAAATGTAGAAATATAACTTTTCCCCCATCTCTATGAAAAGCAGCAAATCATCAAGGTCATCTAGAAGGTTTTCACCAGATTTGGGATATCACCACTTACTGAGCTCACCTACTGTGTTCCAGACACTGTACCAGCTATTAAAGATACAAAGGTGAACAAGATAGTCCTTACCTTGAGGAACCCAAAACAGTAGTGGGAGAAAAATACTATTTTTAAAATACCATAGTAAAAATCTAAAACACTGGCAAAAAGTTGAAAGAATCAAGTGGGTTAAATTTTAATATACTCATCTCTCTGTATCCATGGGTTGGATTCAACCAACCGCTGATTGAAAGTATTCAGAAAAAAATTTTAAAATAACATTAAAAAATTCAAATTTTAAAAGTACAGTACAACTATTTACATAGCATTTACATATTAAATATTATAAGTAATCTAGTGATGATTTAAAGTATACAGAAGGACATGAACAGGTTATATGCAAATATCACACCATTGTATATAAGAGACTTGAGCATCCTTGAGTTTTGGTATTCACAGGGGTCCTGGAACCAGTGCCCTGAGAATACTGAGGGATGGCTGTACTTGAAAATGACATTAATTTGTGCTCGCTTCGGCAGCACATATACTAAAATTTGAAAATGACATTAATTTATCAGAAACTCCTCTAGCAGTGTTCAAATTCATTACAAAAAAAAAATACAAAGCACATACAGGAGAAAGGTGGTTCTACACATTTTTAATTAGGTAAAGTTAAACTGACATTTAGAAGTGTACCAAAACCCCACACCAAACAGAAAACATATATACCTTTACTCTTCTTTGCATGTCATCCTCCACATCTTTTAGCATGCCTAGAAAAAGAAACAATAAGTTTTAAAAGGAAACATATGAAAATGTAAAACTTGTGAATTAACTTTAAAAATAATTTTACCTGTAACTCGAAGATCTGTCACACTGTTAGCCATTTTAAATCCATAAGTCATTGACTGAAAATCTTCCTATACAAAAAGGAAATAATCAGGCTCATGAATAGCAAAAAACCTTAAATAGCGGCAAAATATAAAACTTTTCTTTATATTTCTCTTACAAAATCACTATTTAATAAACAAAGAGAAATGGGAGGTCATCCTGCTTGTCTAAATATTGCTAGGATACACACAAGCTTTTCTTGAAGGCATACACTTAAAACACCATATTCAAATGTTGTCTCTGTCCTTACTTTCAATTGCTTGTCCTTAGGCAATTTAATACGTTCACTTGCCATATAAGGGTAATGCTTAAGAAAATATCGCACAGTAATAATTCTCACAAAGTAGTCTCACATTCACAGGTGAACAGTAAATATGTAATAATTACTGTTAAATGACCGTGCTGCAAGATTTAGATAAGACTACTTAAAAAATTATTAAGTGACTGCTTGCACAGTTAAGATTTCTCAAACAGAATTATTCAAAGTGAGAGTAAAACCATGTTCCACTATAGTCCATTGGAAGGAAAAAAACTGAGTCATTCAGACATAGGACCCCCATTCCCCAAATCATTTTTTAAATGATTTCATTGCTGAGTCATTAACAAATTAAGTGATTTGCTGGACTTCCTTTGAAGAAAATACATTTACTGTCATCTGGCTGATTTGATTAACAAGTCATATGCCCCATTAAAAGAGTGTTTCTGCCTACTATAATTCCTATAAAAACATAGCTAGGGGCTGGGCATGGTGGCTCGTGCCTATAATCCCAGCACTTTGGGAGACCGAGGCGGGTGGATTACCTGAGGTCAGGAGTTCACGACCAGCCTGGCCAACATAGTGAAACCCCGTCTATACTAAAAATACAAAAAAATTAGCCAGGCATGGTGGCATGTATCTGTAATCCCAGCTATTTGGGAGGCTGGGGCAGGAGAATCACTTGAACGCAGGAGGTGGAGGCTGCAGTGAGCAGAGATCGAGCCACTGCAATCCAGCCTGGGCGACAGAGTGAGACTCTGCCTCAAAAAAAAAATGTAGATAGAATCCTAAAATAACAGAACAATAGTTTCAAAAGGGGATGGAGCTACAGCACAATTTCTGGATTCTTAAAAAAAAAAACAGTGAGCATCAAATTCAAGTGAGGTACTATACCCCACAAACAGTAAGAAAATAAACCCAATGTCCTTGGTCTCAAAGAACTCAGGTGTATTTTATGACTTACATGATCAAATCCTTAAAAAAAAAAAACACTCATCATATTACAGAGCTATATAAGCTTATTCTCTTTTATAGTCTGTCTCTACTTGGACATCAAACAGGATTCTCAAATTTTACATCTCCAAAAAGGAGCTTGACGCCTACTTCCTAGTGTTTACCATACCACTAAATGGCACTACTACCTATCTAGAGTTGCTCAGGCTGAAAACCTGGCCTCTACTCCTCTCGTTTTTCTACATCCTGTATCAAATCTACCAGAAAACACTGTAGGCTCTATCTTCAGATTCTAGTCTAACTACTTTTCACCCTTTCACAGCTCTCTCTAGTTTAAGTCACCACTATTGCTCACTCTTGTAACCACCTCCAGACAACTCCCCCACCTACCACACTAGTCCCTGCTATAATTTATATACCACCAGAAGGCAGAAGGATTGTCTGAAAATAAGTCACATCATGTCATTTCCTATTCAAAACCTTTCAATAGTTTTCTACCTCATAGCAAAATCCCTAAGTCCACCATGGCCTCTATGGCCCTACATCACATGGCCCGGTCTCCCTCGCCAACTTTATTTCCTACCACTTCACATTCACTGCACTGCAGTCTGACAGGTCTTTCTTGTCATTCAAACATACCAAACACGTTCTCCTCTCACGGCTCCCACACCAAAATGATTTTCTTCAAAATATTTACAAGGTTTCATCCCTTATATTCCAGCCTCTGTTCTAATGTCAATTCCTCAAATAGAGATTTTCCCCATGCATTCTAAGACAGCACCATCCACCATTTTATATCCCCTTAGCCTGCTTTACTTTTCTTCATGGCACTTAATCACCACCTGACATTATATGTGTATTTAATTACATATACATTGACTATCTGTCCCAAGAAAGGTATAATCCATGAGATCACGGCTTTATTTACTACTTCACCTATAGGACTTAGAATAGTGCTAAACAGACTTCTATTCAATAAATATGTGTTCAACGAATGACTTATTCCAGGGCAGGGGTCATGAACTCAAAAGGCAGGTTATCTTCCTAAATACATCTGGCTAGCTACAACATACACTAGGGAATGGTAGAGACTGGCAAATTGGAAAACATATGCTTCATTTAAAAGGAGTCAGCCACTACTTATCCTGTTGTGGCTATGAATGAATACAGGGCCAGTGTGGTCAGGTCTCCTAATTTTTCAGAAAAAAATTTAGGTTTTTCTTTTTCAACATAAAATCTCCACCCCCCGACCCTTTTTTTTTTTTTTTTTTTTTTTGAGACAGGGTCTCACTGTCATCCAGGCTCGAGTGTAGTGACGCAAACTTAGCTCACTGTAACCTCCACCCCGCTCTGGGCTCAAGCAATCCTTCCACCTCAGCCTCCTAGGTAGCTGGGAATACAGGCATGCACCACCACACCGGGCTAAATTTTTTTGTATTTTTAGTAGAGATGAGATCTCGCCATGTTGTCCAGGCTGGTCTCGAACTCCTAAGCTCAAGTGATCCACCCATCTCAGCCTCCCAAAGTGCTGGGATTACAGGTGTGAGCCACCACATCCAGCTTCCTCTTCCTTTTTTAAAAAATCAGACAAACACTGTGGAGGAAAAACAACAAAACAAAAATATCCATAAAACTTATCTGTAAGTTTGCCAAGAAGAGTCTTAGGAAAACTTTCTGGAAGAACATCACAAGTCCTGGGAATATAAACCTCAGTAATAAGAATTTAATCTAAGTTATTGGATAAGTGAGAACAAGAGAGTCATGTAAACAGACTGCTACCATTAAAGATCACTCTTGAAGATTTGTGGACTTGAGGACAGAAGTCAGAGTGAAACTAGGGAGATCAGACATTGGACTCTATCCAACAGTCCAAGCAAGGGCTGATGATGACTTGGATTGGGATTGCAACAGTGGGGAGAGTAAGAAGTTGGTTAAAAAAAAAAAAAAAATCAGGATATATTTCAAAGGTAGAGCTAACATGATATGCTGATGAACTGAATGTGGATATGAGGTAAACTATACAATCAAGCCTCATTTTTAGGGTTTTGGTCTAAGCAGGTGATGGTACCATTTCCTGGGATAAGGCAGTATTTGGGAGGAGCAGGTGTAAGGGCAGAAATGAAGTATAATTTTGGTTATATCAAGTTTGTAATTTCTTTGATCATCCAAGTGGAGATTTCAGATTTCACTTGCTTGAGACTGAAGTCAGGGAAAGACTCAAGCCTAGAGGTATAAATTTGGACTTCATCATTGTATAGTTAGTTGATACTGAATGCCACAGAACTAGAGGAAATCAACCTAGGGAACAGTTATGGAGGAGGGAGGGAGTCCAGGAGTACTCTAGCAATTAGAGACGTAAGCACAGGAACTAGGCTTACCAGTGAGGCAGAAAGAAATCCAAAAGACTGGTATTAAGAAGACAAAGAGAAAAAAGTATTTCACAGTGTGTCAACCGGGTCTAACGATGCTCACAGGTTGGAGAGGGAGGGGTGAGAACACTGAATTTAGCAAGATGGGTAAAGACCAGTTCTCTGTAGTGGTGGTAAAGAATGACCATTTGGAGTAAATAAAGATAAAATGAAAGAAAAAGTAACATAAGCAAATCATTAAAGACATTTTTCCTGGCAAGTAGCTGGGAAATGGGACTGTAGATACAAGGAGCCATGGGATCAAGGAAACTGTGGTGTTTTCAAATGAATGTAAAGCATGTTTACATGCCAATAAGAGTAAGCGAGTAGTGAAGGAGAGCCTAGTAATGCAACACAAGTGGAGGAGCTGAGCTTAGATTATAACAGGAATGCTTTCATCTTAACAAGTGAGAAGACAGTTTGTGAGTATTAACAAACAGGTTAGCACTTGTGATAATGACAAAATGAAACCTTCAAGATTAAGTTGCAGACTATGACGCCCCTTTACTTCTAAACACTTCAGCGTGATTTCCTAAAAACAAAATCTTCCTCTTGCATAATCACAGTACAATTACCAAATACAGAAATTCATGTCTCTAACCTCCTTTAATCTGGAGCATTTCCTCTGTCCTTAACATTCATATCTGACACTTGGAAGTATCTTTTCAAACAGTACTTCAAAATAGTATATTTTGAATAGTACTTTGTAGTATACATTTTGTAGTATATCCCTCAGTAATGGGTGTGCCTGATATTTCTTCAAGATTAAATTTAAGTTATATCATATTTGATAGGAATGCCACAGAAATGATGATGTGTCCTTCCTAGAGCACTGTATAAGCCGGCACGTGTCAATCTGTCCAATTACTAATGGTAATTCTGGCCACTTGACTAAGGTGCTATCCGCCAAGTTTCTCTATCACAAAGCTATCATTTTTCCCTTTGTAATTAATAAGTATCTGGTGGAAAGATATTTTGAGACTAGGTATATATCCTGTGGTGTCTCATTATACTTCTGTCCAGTAGTTGCAGCATCCTTTGATTGCCAGAAATAAGTATTCAAAAACTGTACTCTTCACACAATACTATGCAGCCAAAACATTAATATTTTAGATATACTGAATTAAATAAAATATAGCATTAAAATTATTTTCACCCATGGCCACTAGAACACTAAATCGAACTATACATGTGGCTTACATTATATTTCTATGGTATAGTTCTGGTTTACAGAAAGAGATAACAGTCAAGAACCACCAGTGAGGTAGCAAACCAGGGAAGAAAAGCATCTTAAAAGCCATGCAAAGAATGTATTTTGAGGATGGAGTGATGACTACGTCAAAATCTGCTGGTAATTCAAGTTTAAGACCAAATCTAACCACTGAATTTAACACTGAGGTCTTTGATGACTGTGACACAGTAGTTTTAGTGAAAGGTGTAAAGCCTGACTAGAGCAGAGAGAAAAAGAAGAAAACCAGAGACACTGAATATGAACACATCTTTTTTTTTTTTTTTTTTAAGAGACAGAGTCATTTGACCATCCAGACTGGAGTGGAGTGCAACTGTAGCTCACCATAGCCTCAAACTCCTGGGCTCAAGTGATCTTCCTGCCTCAGCCTCAAGTGGCTGGGACTACAGAGGTGTACCACATCACCATGCCTGGCTAAATTTTTTATTTTTTGTAGATGGGGTCTTGCTGTGTTGTCCAGGCTGTGGGTACCCCTTTTAAAAAGGATCTGGCTGAAAAGAATTAAGGTATGTGCAGAAGATGAAGGACAATATTATGCTAAGAAATGATAGATTTAACAAGAGGAATATAAAGCACGTTTGCATGCTGATGTAAATTATCTAGCAGAGGGGTAAATTCATTATGCAAAGAACACAGGGAAGAATTGCTAGAGTAGTATCTTTGAAGATAGAGCATGGGATCAATGCACAAACAGAAGTTATCACCCTTAGGAATACAGAAGGTCCATCTATATAACAGAAAAGCAACAGAATATAGGGCACATTTTGGCAGGTAGGAAGACTACTTCTATTTATATGGTAAATAGCAACTTACCAAATAAGTGTGAGGATAGGGAAGACTTTTTTTTTTTTTTTTTTTGACATACCAGGTCTCAAAATCTACCTTCTTGTCTCTCTGAAGAACTGGAAATATTCCACCAAGCAAAACAATAAACTAAGAATAATAAAGGCATGTGGGCCAGATAACAAGGGACCTAACAAAACAATGAAATTCCTGGAGAACAGAGAACAAAAAACTAGAATGACACAGCTGTGTAGTGGGCATAGCACACAGTGATGCAGACTGAAGCTGGAGAACAAGACTTCAAGAGGAGCATTTTCAAAAAAATATATACAACTGACAGATTATCTGATAGGTTTCACAATAGAGGGCAAAAGAACTGGGGAGAAGTACATAGAAAACTAAGCAAATCAAAAAGAGAGACAATTATCACATATAAGAAAAACAAAATTTTGTATGAGAAGGGAAATATAAGCATATACTACTTTGGTTCACCTCTCATTAATATTTATACAATCACAACAACATTGATGCTCCATAATGATTTAACCAGCTTTTAGATTACTAGTTGGGGCAAGGGCAGAGGTAATATATGATATATTCTGATCTAATCTAACATATCAAAGCTAAAGTTAGTAAATCCTTAAATCCAGAAGTTAGAATATTAGGTTATATCCAGATATATGGAGATAATATGGAACAGTAAAAAAAAAAGAGCAGAGAACTATTTTTCCTCATAAGTGGGCTATTTAACTTTTTAAACTACATACAAGTATTAGTACTTTTATTAAAATGTACATACACACACACCCCACTTAAATTTTCACATAACAAATTTGGCCGGGCACGGTGGCTCACACTTGTAATTCCAGCACTTTGAGAGGCCCGAGGTGGGCAGATCACGAGGTCAGGAGATCGAGACCATCCTGGCTAACACAGTGAAACCCCATCTCTACTAAAAATACAAAAAATTAGCCAGGTGTGGTGGTGGGTGCCTGTAGTCCCAGCTACTCAGGAGGCTGAGGCAGGAGAATGGCGTGAACCCGGGAAGCGGAGCTTGCAGTGAGCCGAGATAGCGCCACTGAACTCCAGCCTGGGTGACAGGATACCTATTTTTAGGAAGATAACTGCTGGTCACATGGAGAATGAACTAGAAAGAAAATACTGGACCAGAGAGAAGAGTTCAGAAACTCCAAGGAAGCCAAACCTAAGGTTGACGAACTAAAGCAGAAAGGGTGAGAGAAAAAACAGTGCCCCGATTCAAGGCATCTGCAAGCCAAAGCAAAATAATCCGAACGTAAGGGGTAAGAAGAAAGAGGTAATCAAAGATAACACTGGCAGTATGATATTGCAAGATACAGAATGCCAAAAGAAAAGTAGTTTGATAGGGTTCCTATTTTGGGCATGTGAGCAAGATGTTAAGAAAGAAATCAGAAAACGTCTCCAGATCAGGAGACACGCCTGAGAACAAAATACACCAGCAGCTAGGAACTCCAGAAATATCCAATTTAAATCAATAATTTGCTCATTATAAATCTTTTTTTTTTTTGAGACAGTCTCACTCTGTCACCCAGGCTGGAGTGCAGTGGCAGGATCTCAGCTCACTGCAAGCTCTGCCTCCCGGGTTCACGCCATTCTCCTGCCTCAGCCTCCTGAGTAGCTGGGACTACAGGCACCCACCACCATGCCTGGCTAATTTTTTGTATTTTTAGTAGAGACGGGGTTTCACTGTGTTAGCCAGGATGGTCTCGATCTCCTGACCTCTGCCCACCTCGGGCCTCTCAAAGTGCTGGAATTACATGCGTGAGCCACCGCGCCCGGCCAAATCATTCTTATTCATCACTAGGTCTCTTGAGGACTTTACTAGATTCGTATTTTTTTCTAATTATAAGACTAAGACAAACTTATCTGGAAAATCTGAAAAATTTAGCAAAACGAAGAAAACAGAATCTTTTGGCCCAGAAGCAAACTTCTGGTTTTCTCTTTCCAGTTTTATTTTTACACAGTTGGCTACAATGCTGCTTTTTTTAACCTTTTGACATATGCATTTCTCCATGTTATTAAGCACTCTTTCATCATGTTAATAACTACATACTCAATATACATAATAAATTATGTGTAATCAATTATCCATAATTTATTTCAACCATAACCCTATGTGGCATAAAGTACCCACATTTCTAATTACTTCCTTTTTTGTTATTGTTGTTGAGATGGACTCTCACTCTGTCACCCAGGCTGGAGTGCAGTGGTACAATCTTGACTCACTGCAAGCTCCGCCTCCTGAGTTCAAGCGATTCTCCCACCTCAGCCTCCCGGGTTCAAGCGATTCTCCCACCTCAGCCTCCCAAGTAGGTATGACTACAGGCATGTGCCACTACGCCTAGCTAATTTTTGTATTTTCAGTAGAGACGGGGTTTCGCCATGTTGGCCAGGCTGGTCTCGAACTCCTGACCTCAGGTGATCTGCCCATCTTGGCCTCCCAAAGTGCTGGGATTACAGGCGTGAGCCACAGCGCCCGGCCTAATTATTTCTTTAAGGCTGAGTTATAGAGGTGAAATAACTAGTTTAAATGATATCAGTATTTTTAAGATTCTTGATATACACATTATTAAACTGTTTGCCAAGACAGCTGTGCTAATGTATACTAGTAAAAACAGAAGTGTCAACTTACTGCATTCCTTCCAACATTGAACATTTTCATTTTTAAAATTATATTCATGAAAATCAATCAGTTCTAGGAGCCGCGAAATCTGAGATCAAGAGGTGGGTGAGGTTAAAAAAAAAAGAAAGAAAGAAAAAATCAAACTACATTTTCATTTGTATTTCCTGGATTATAGTGAAGCTAAATTTTAAAGGTGTTATAAACATTCGATAACCTTCCTTCATAAAATAAGCAACTTATTTTATTGCCCATTTATTCATTTGGGCCTGAGTGTTGTACTTTATTTGAACACGATCATAATTCATAAAAATTGTCTTATCTTTGTATCTTTATTTTTCCTAAAAGTTTTTCTATCACTCTTGTCCTATTAGTCTCTTCCTTTAAGATTTCTCCCATTTCCTAGTAAGACCTTCATCCAGAATATAAATGGATGTTCAATTACAGGTCAGGTGTGGTGGCTCACAGCTATAATTCCAGCACTTTGGGAGGCTGGGGTGGGAAGATCACTTGAGCATTGCAGTTTGAGACCAGCCTGGCAAACAAAGCAAAACCCAGTCTTTACAAAAAAAATTAAAAATTAGCCACGTGTGGTGGAACACATCTGCAGTCTTAGCTACTCGGGAGGCTTGAGACAAAGTATCGCTGGAGCATAGGAGTTCAAGGCTACCAGTGAGCTACGATCATGCCGCTGCACTCCAGCCTGGGTAACAAAGTGGAACCCCCTAGAAATAAAATTCAATTACAATTTCTTCTGTTACTAAAAAACTTACTTTATTTAAAAACAAAATAATGCAGACACACCCTAAAAATCCCAACAGTGCAAACAAGTGTATACCCCAGCCCTTAAAACCTGTTATCCTCTTATGTATGAAGATTTAGCTACCTCCCTTTTTAAAAAAGAAAAAAGTGGTAGCAAGCTATATACATGCTTTACTACACCCGACTTTTCTCACTTTAGAAATCTAATCTTATCTCTACACATAAATCAATCTCATTTTTTTTCCAATTTTTTTTTAATTGACCTCCATCTTAAAGGCAGTAAAATACCCTTTTTTTGAGACAGGGTCTCACTCTGCACACAAACTGGAGTAAAATAGCACAATCACAGCTCACTGCAGCCTTGACCTCCCCAGGCTCAGGTGATCCTCCAACCTCAGCCTCTCTAGTAGCTGAGACTACAGGCACACAGCACCACACCCAGCTAATTTTTGTATTTTTTGTAGAGACAGGGTCTGGATATGTTGCCTAGGCTGGCCTCGAACTCCTCAGCTCAAGCCATCCGCCCACTTCATCCTTCCAAAGTGCTGGGATTAATAGGCATGAGCCACCATGCCTGGCCAGCAGCAAAGCACTTGATTGTATGAATGTAACATCTTTTAATTAGTCTCCTACTGATGGATACTGAGGTGGTTTCCAAACTAGTTACTACAAACAATTCTGTAAGTAATATCCTTGTACACAGGTCTTTGTGTACAAATACATTTGTAGGATAGAGTGCTAGAAGTGAAACTGCTGAGTCAAGACGTGCATTTTAGATTATGATAGATATCACCACATTGCTCTTTTCTGAAGTCGTTAAGAATTTACACTCCCATCAAAAAAGTATGAGTCTTGCTTAGAGTAGGATGTCAAGTGCTGACTGATCAATGTGGAAAATGAACTAGAATAAAAAAATACAAATTTTGCAACCATCACAGTAAACATTAGTCCAGGCAAGCACCGTCAATGGATATTTGATCTAAGGGGAGAGACTTCAGTCAGTAGGATATTTTTATGGTCTTAAAGTGTATCCCAAGATTGCTTAAATACAAAGGGAAAAAAACAGTAACCATATGGTAATAAGACAAAATCTTCATGGATTGATCAAAATAATATCGCCATTGAAAGACAGACAGTGTACCTCCAGTTGTGACACCCTGAAAAACACACATCACTTATGTTATATTCCAGCCAAGATTGCACAATCTTAATCTAATCGTAAGGAAAGAACAGATAAACCCAAGTGAAGCATAGCCTATTAAGAAATGAAAAGCAGGATAAGGTTGTGTTCACAAAAATATCAATGTCACCAGAGACAAAGAAAAGCTGAGGATCTGATGTGGCTTAAAGAATACTATAGAGATACGCAATTAAATGCAGGACATAATTCTAAACTGGATCCTGTATTGTAGGGAAAAAACACTAAGGATTGGGTCAATTAACAAAAATGGAATCTGAATAGTGCATTGTTATTACAGATTTGTTGAAGTTGATAATTGTGTTGTGGTTCTGCAGGACAGTGCCCTTTTTCTTCGAAGAAACACACTAAAGTGTCACAGCGAAGAAGGCTTTAATGGGCACAACTTACTAACAGGTCAGGAAAAGACATACATACATATATACATGAGAGAGAGCATGAGCAGGAGCACGCGCATAAGTGAAAAAAGCAAATGGGACAGTATGTTAATAGTAGCTGAATCTGCATACGAATCATATGTTCTTTGTGCTGGTTCCCATAATTGCTGTTAATCTGAAATTATTCCCCAATAAGAAGTTCTAAAAAAAAAAAAAAAAAAGACTAAGAAGTGGGAAATAATGACTGCTCATATTCATTGACACACACATAGAGTATTTGAGTGCCTGTTTTCCCATCCTCAACAATCTTGTTATAAAAAATTTCTAATCTTTGCCAACAATGGCTAAAAACATGACATTTCAGTTTTAATTTGCATTAAAATGAGGTTAAGCACCTTACATTTAAAGGCCATTTTATTTTCTGTGAACTATCTTCTCCTGATTTTTAAGTAATTTTTTATACTTAACACATTTCAGCTATCTGAAATTTTGATATGAAATGATGATAAAGTAACTTTCAAGGGTGCTAATCACCTTGTTCACACACTGTTGTTCAAGGAATCCTCTCTCTGCCCCATTGATTTTGATGGCCTTTTAGTTGTACTTTGAAAATACTAGTATTTAAAATAATCTGTATATCTCTAACTCAAACTAATCTTTTTAAAATTCCATCCAAATGAGTAAGATTTTCCATAATGATACCCATATCAATACAAATATGTAAATAACCACCAACTGTATAAAAAGTAGACACTATTTCAAACAACTCACAAAGCCATACAGCCAGGAACAGTGGTTCATGCCTGTAATTTCAGAACTTTGGGAGGCTGAGGCAGGTGGATCACCTGAGCTCAGGAGTTCGAGATCAGCCTGGCCAACACAGTGAAACCGGGTCTCTACTAAAATACAAAATTAGCCAGGCATGGTGGTGCACGCCTGTAATCCCAGCTACCCGGGAGGCTGAGGCACAAGAATAGCTTGAACCCGGGAGATGGAGGTTGCAGTGAGCCGAAACTGCCCCATTGTACTCCAACCTGGGCAACAGGACTAAAACCCCCTCTCAAAAAAAAAAAAAAAAAAAAAAAAGCCATACCTTCAAATATGGACAAACATATTGGGTATACATTTAATTATTCTCACATACATAGTATAAATTGAGAAAAGTTTTACATATTATACACTGAACCACTGTTGGATCCTAGGAAATTTATTCTGGAGCAGTAACAGCACTAAAAAGAAATATCAGTTTCAACAGAAGAATTTAACAAAAATAGTTATCAATAATTTCAAATGCTATCACATTTTCCCTTACAATTCTTTTTTTTGTAGTCCTAGGTTGAGATGCAATTCCCTGAAAATTATCAGCGTCTGAAAGCTTATTTTTTATACTAAAGGGGAAAAAAATCTTTCTATCTCTAAAACTCACAATACTTCCTCAGGTGAGGTACTTAGGACAAACTAAAGGAAAATGTCTATACCCTAAAATATTCATATCTTTGTTCTCCTTAGCTCCCTTTTTGTATTATAACTTCTAAGAGACTTGAGGACAAGGGCTGTCTCTTTCATTTTTCTCTGGGAATCCCCACAACATCCAAAAACAGCACTCTGCACATACGGATATTCAATGAATGGTACTACAGAAAGAACATATGCTAAGATGAAAGCCCTTTCTTGGAGAGAACTGAATTACTTTACCCAATATATCTGTAAATGGCAACAGCATTACTTTTAAAAACTGTTTTTAAATATACACGTAGACGAAAGTACATATCACAAAATCATTTAAATACATCACAGTGAATAAGGTAGTCAATGAACTTCAGAAATTCTTTTTTCTTTCTTTTTTTTTTTTTTTTTTTGAGACAGAGTCTCGCTCTGTTGCCCAGGCTGGAGTGCAGTGGCACAATCTCAGCTCACCGCAACCTCTGCCTCCTGGGTTCAAGCAACTCTCATGCCTCAGCCTCCCAAGTAGCTGGGATTACAGATGCATGCCACCACACCTGGCTATTTTGTGTATTTTTAGTAGAGACAGTGTTTCACCATGTTGGCCAGGCTGGTCTCAAACTCCTGACCTCAGGTGATCTGCCCACCTTGGCCTCCCAAACTGCTGAGATTACAGGCATGAGCCACCGCACCTGGCCAAGGATTTCTTACATTACGAAATCTTACCTCTTCAAAAACAGCAGCTTTATTTACTTTTTCCCTTGCAATGTCACAGATTTTCAAGATTCCCAGAGCAAAAGCCTTCATAGCAGGATCTTCTATAAAGTCTGGATTATGAATGTAAAGGCACGTAAATACTGTCTGTGCCAGTGAATGGCCTTCTAACCACGTTATCTATAAAGAAACAAAAGAGTATATATTTAAGGTGATAAACTGAGTCTGCAAAGTCTAAATTGATCCTAGAGTCAAAGGCCAGAGCACCATAGACCCAAATAAGATTAATCACAAGACTTAAAAAAAAAAGACACGTTAGAATTCACTTTCATTGACTAACATTTTTCAAGTGTCTATGGGAATCATTGTCGTACATCAATCAGTTTGCAACATATTAGAGATTAATGAAATTAAGACTGCCTCTTTATGTAGCATCCAAAAGAAATCAACTCCACAATGTAGTCAATAAAAAAATCCATAAACTGGAAAATTCACAATTATAGAACTAACCAGATCCTTAGACACTCATTGAACTTTATAATCCTTACCACCACAACCCAGCCAACACCGTATCTCACCTAGATTATTTCAAGAAACTAGATAGGTTTTCCTGCCTCCCATCTCTAATTTAATACCCCCAACTAGAGATCTTTCTAAAACACTAAGATAATTGTTTTATACTATTTTACTAAGTGACCACTATATGTCTGGCACCATGTACTAGAGGTTGGGAATACCAACAATAGGCAAAATTGGGTAAGTACTGTGTCTCAAATATTATACTAGGTTATTTTCAAATATCTTATCTCATTTTTTTCCTAGCACTTTGAGAAAGGTGGTATTTTTCTCCTTTTATATGTAAAGAAACAGAGTAAGAGTTTAAATCATTTGCCCAAGTTTATAGTTATTTTTACCTTAAGCCCAAGAATTCTGCAGTAGAGTAAGACATACGCTACTGCATTGCAAAATGACAAATGTTTGTGGAAAACTCTGTAATTAAGGTGTGTATTTGGTATTAACTAGTGTGCAGAAGACAGACTTTCCAGACTAAAAACCATCTGCCTTTTAAAGTCCAAATTTTTAAATACAGTCCCAAGAGTCTCACAGAATAGTTCCTCAACTTTGGCAAAAATCCTCCCTCTGTTTATCCTTTCCTCCTTCTCCACCACTCTCCACTAATCCCACACTCCTCCTACTTGGCTCCCTGCCAGACTTAAGCAGCTATTTATGATTTTCCAAAATGAACATTTTCACATTGTCATGCCCATGCAATATACCCTCTTTGCCTACTAAACCATGAATCTTCCTGTCATACGCCTACCATTCTTTAGTACCTCACACCAGTATTAATTCCTTTCTACAGCCTTTCTTACTCTCTCAGACATAATTAACTCCTCCTCTCTGTTCCCACGGCACCGTCATAAAAGCATTTACATGTTGTCAGAATTGTTTATTCACATGTCTGTTCCCAGCAATCCTTTGACTCCTTTCTTTACTCCACCCACTAGGACTGTAAACTGCTAAAAGGTAATAAAGAAATCTTTGAGGGGGTAAAGAGACAGCTTTGGAAGATGAAGGATCAGGATTAAGATTCTGGCTAGGCCCCTCCCAAGCAATGTAATCACAGGCAGTAAGATAATACAGATATCTAATAAAGCTCATGTAAAACATAAGTGAAAACTATACATATAAAACACCTAATACAAGTACACACACTAGCAATCAATAAATGCTGAATGAACAAATGAATAAATTTTACATATTTCTAAGGAAAATGATTTAATGTCAATATAAAAAGAAAGGGATGGTCAGAAAGTGGGGCGGGGGGGAAGCAGTAGAAATGAGAATTTCTCGACAAACAGTACTTTCTAGGGAAGACATAATTCAGCATATACAAATCACTAAAAAAATTTTCTTCACAGGAGATGGCCAGTTTACTACAATTTATCCTAGATTAGAAAAAATCTCTCCAAAGCCATTGCATAATAGCTCTCTTTTGTTTCAATTCCATGCTTATTTATGAAACCTTCCAATTACAGACTTATCACTTGAGTAACTTGAGAACGAAAAGGGTATTATGAACCACGGCTATAATATTATCTTCATTGAAAAGAAAATATCCCTTCACCCAGAAAATTAGAATGTAAAATCAAGTAGATAACAAGATGAAATGCTATTACTAGGCCTGTTAATCTTATGCACATCTTTACTAGGGCAAGTATTACATTTATTTCATACTCAACATTAGTGTATAGGCTTTTAAATCACAAGATTCAGGTAAGTCACAGTTTTAAAATTAACCAATAGTCTTATTTCCATTCTTACCAAACAGCAAAAACATGTATCCATAATCCCTATCAGTTCAGGCAAGGTGAGATCTTTAATTTTAATAGTGCCATCCTAAAAAGGAGGAAGAATGTGACATATAAGCAGAAATTTTTTTAAACTTATGGTTACTATGTATAGTAGCATTTTGGATTTCTAACATTCAATATTTAAAAACAGCAATTCTAAGAAAATGCTATCTTATCATCTGATAAAACTATCACACCAAATTAACTCTGTACTCTTAAAAACAATATATCTTCTTATAAATTTTATTTTTAATTGACAAATAATAATTGTAAAAACAATATATCTTAGGTCTTCAACAAGAAATATCAAAATAAAGGCCTTTATATAAAATGAAAAGCCAAATCAACAAGTATTTTAAAAGCACAGTTCAAACCAGCTTTAAGTATTAATATAAATCATTTTAATGACCCAAAACTACTTAGAAAGAAAACTAAAGTTTTTTTTTTTGTTTTTTTTTTTTTGAGACAGAGTCTCACTCTGTCGCCCAGGCTGGAGTGCAGGTGGCGTGATCTCGGCTCAATGCAAGCTCCGCCTCCCGGGTCCACGCCATTCTCCTGCCTCAGCCTCCGGATTAGCTGGGACTACAGGCGCCTGCCACCACGCCCAGCTAATTTTTTGTATTTTTAGTAGAGACGGGGTTTCACTGTATTAGCCAAGATGGTCTTGATCTCCTGACCTCGTGATCCACCCACCTCGGCCTCCCAAAGTGCTGGGATTACAGGCATGAACCACCGCACCCAGCCGAAAACTAAAGATTTTTTAAAATGCTTCACTTAAGTTGGTTAACTATACTATTTGTAAATTTTGTTTACGATATCCATTTGCCTAGTAAATCTTTCTTTATAAAATATGTAAAATCAAACTCTATGGCAAGTATAAATGAATTTCTAAAGCAATTTTAAATTCACTACCACAAGTATTTTACTTGTGTAAATTTACTTTTATATATGAATATATTAATACACAAAATTTAACCCCCAAGCCAATTTTCCTATTTGAATATATAGTCAAATGCTTTCAAAAATTAAATTTAAAAGTACACAAATGCACAAATTTAGAGCAAGATTTTAATGAAGACCTCAATTTTCAGACTTTAACATACAAAGGTTATAACTAATTCTTGTTTATATGCTTGAGCTGCTTTGAAGGAAACAGACTTTAATACAACGTTTCATTTCATTATTAAGCACCATGTTTTAACAGGAAGTAACAAAAGATAAATGGAAACACAAAAAGTACAATGGTAACTACCTTGATAGCTTGTTCAAAATTGAGAACTTTTCGATTAACTTGGTTTCCAATCATGCCAGCATCCATCTTGGGATCCATCATTTCAATAGCAGACATGGCTTCAAAAAGACCAAATCTGCAAATAAAAAAATTGAGCCAACAAATTGTTTTTGAGCCAGTAAGCTTATTCATATTTTCACAACGGTATAAAATTATACTACTTTTAATAACTAAAGTATTCTATGCATTTAGTCTTCTCAACTTGCTAACACTTCTATTTCAATTAACTGTCGACTGACACAGAAATTATTTCATGTACTTGCCACTCAAATTATTTCACATGCACTGTGAGGAAGAAAAAGATTTCTGCCGGGTGTGGTGGCTCACACCTGTAATCCCAGCACTTTGGGAGGCTGAGGCGGGTGGATCACCTGAGGTTGGGAGTTCAAGACCAGCCTGACCAACATGGAGAAACCCCATCTTTACTAAAAATACAAAATTAGCTGGGTGTGGTGGTGCATGTCTGTAATCCCAGCTACTTGGGAGGCTGAGGCAGGAGAATCGCTTGAACCCGGGAGGCGGAGGTTACGGTGAGCTGAGATTGCACTGTTGCACTCCAGCCTGGGCAACAAGAGTGAAACTCCCTCTCAAAAAAAAAAAAAAGAAAATATATAAGATGTCTGTGGTCTCACACTAGACCTAATAAAGAATTCTCGGGGTAGGACCCAGCAATCTACGCTTTAATAAGCCCTCCAGACAATTCTGGCACACGCTCAAATCTGAGAAGAACTGAATTTCAGATTCTACTTCCCCTTCCCTGCAACCACAATGTCCAATCTTGTCTACTTACTAATTAAAAGTTTCATATTCCTAACCTTGAAAATTGAGCCTGGCCATGGCAGTATAGGAACTGGGGCTACATATGGGCATATAAAGACGAACAAGTATTTCCATTTATTTTGTTTTTCCAAGGTGCTATTGTTTGCATGTGGTTTGCCTCCACCAAAATTCATGTTAAAACTTGATCCCCAATGCGGCAGTGTTGGGAGGTGAGGCCTAGTGGGAAGTGTCTGGGGCATGGGGAAGAATCCCCATGAATAGATTAATGCCCTCCCAGGGAGGTGAGTTCTTGCTCTCCCAGGAACGAATTACAGTTGACCCTTTCACAACATGTGTTTGGATTGCAGGAGTCCACCTAGACAAAGGTTTTCTTGCACCTGTGCCACCAGAGACTGCAAGACTAACTTCCTCTTCCTTCCTCAGCCTACTCAACATGAATATGACAAACATGAAAACCTTTATGATGATCCACTTAATGAACAGTAAGTATATTTTCTCTTCCTTATGATTTTCTTCATTACATTTTCTTTTCTCTAGTTTATTCTAAGAATACAGTATATGGCACATATGACATACAAAATATGTGTTAATCAATGGTTTATGTTATTGGTAAGACTTCCAGTCAATGATAGGCTACCAGTAGTTAAGCTTTTGGGGGAGTCAAAGGTTATACGTGGATTCTTGACTGTGAGGGGGTGGGTCGGCACCCCAATCCCCAAGTTGCTCAAGGGTCAACGATACTACCCAAGAGGGTGGTTTGTTTTAAAGACTCTGACTTCCTCGGGTTCTCTCTCTTGCGTCCTCCTCTGCCATGTGATCTCCTTGCACCACATGCCACTCCCCACTGCTCCCCTTCTGCTTTCCACCATGAGTTGAAGCAGCCTAAAGCTCTCACTAGACGCAGTTGCCCAGTCTTGAACCTTCCAGTCATCAGAATTGTATGCCAAATAAATCTCTTTATAAACTACCCAGTCTCAGGTATTCAGCTACAACAACACTAAACTGACTAAGACACAGGGATTCTCATTTACTTTTATCTAGGCACTTAGTCACCCAATTTCTGGTTATCAAGCAACCTATCACATATGACATACAACTGATATCTTTTATTCAAGAAATTCCACATTCATTACATCTGCTCTCAAGGAAAGGACCATAAGTTACAGTTTCCCTAGGTATAACCATTTCACATCACAACTAGGGTCAGCTGCCCCAAAATAGCTCATCACAGTTAAAAATATATTTATAATTAGTTTTATTTTCACAATTTTGAAACGTAAATTTACTCAAACTTCAGGGAATATTACTCCACATGAGGAAAAAAAAACAGACTGAAACATTACACTACACTATTTTCAAAGGATAAATACTTACAGCTTATCATGAAGTAGTTCTCCCAACTTTAATTCTAAAAAAAAAAAGAGAAAAACCCTTTGAACATATTTATATTTAACTTTTAATTCTAAGAAAAAAAAGACATTAGCACCTGAAAAGATGTGCTTGTATTACTTTAAAATTCATTTTCTAAGAAATACTTATTTCTACTCAATTACTAATATAATGCATTCTATACAGTGAGTACTTGTGTAAATACAAAAGAATACGATAAATCAAGTGGTTTAGGAAAAAAATAATACTTTTGAGAATAAGTGACCCATCGCAGGCCATAATATTCCAATCAGAATTACCAACCCCATTTTTAAAAATCACTAGTATATTTCGCCAAGTAAACTTTTACATAGAACTGACTGCTACTTCTCAAGTTTTTAAACCACGTTACCATAATCTAATTTCCTTTTGTTCCAGTAACAGTGTCAAAACCATTTTTTAAAATCCTATTTTGTTTAAATCATGTAGAAGACACTTGAGTAAACAGGTAATCAAAACAGTGTTCAATCCCTATAAAGCAGTGGTCCTCAACCTTGGCTGCATATTAGGGTCAACTGAGAAACTTTCTAAATCCCAAAGTCCAAGCAGCATCCCAAACCAATGAAATCTAGAGTTGGGACCTATACAGTGGTTTTAGAGCACTCCAGATGATTTTAATATGCAGGTAAGTCAGAAATCACTGCTATAACATGCTAAGTAGATTAAATATTGATGGCAGCCGGGCCAGGTGGCTCACGCCTGTAATCCCAGCACTTTGGGAGGCCAAGGCGGGTGGATCACGAGGTCAGGAGATCGAGACCATCCTGGCTAACACAGTGAAACCCCATCTCTACTAAAAATACAAAAAAATTAGCCAGGTGTGGTGGTGGGCACCTGTAGTCCCAGCTACTCGGGAGGCTGAGGCAGGAGAATGGCGTGAACCAAGGAAGTGGAGCTTGCAGTGAGCCAAGATCACGCCACTGCACTCCAGCCTGGGCAACAGAGCGAGACTCTGTCTGAAGAAAAAAAAAAAAAAAAATATATATATATATATATATATATATATATATATGTATATAGATGGCTAAATCCTGTGGAAGGTGTAAAAAAGCAGTTTATAGAACTTTAGCCAATCTTCCCTAGCCAACTGTAAGTTAAATAATATTAATTTCTAACAGTTCCAGGTACTGAAACAGATAAGAATCATGTGTGAAAATACACCAATAAGGCTGAAGTTAGTGGATCACCTGAGGTCTGGAGTTTGAGACCAGCACGGCCAACACAGTGAAACCCCATCTCTACTAAAAATACAAAAATAGCCAGGTGTGGTGGTGGGTGCCTGTAATCCCAGCTACTTGGGAGGCTGAGGCAGGAGAATCACTTAAACCCGGGAGGCAGAGGTTGCAGTGAGCCGAGATTGTGCCACTGCACTCCAACCTGGGTGACAGAAGGAGACTCCCTCTCAAACAAAACAAAACAAAACAAAACAACAAAACATAGCAGAACACATACTAGTAATCCAGCAATTCTCGAAGAGTGGTCTGGGAACCCAGGAACTTGCCATGTTAAAATTACTTTGATAATCATACCAAAACATTCGTTGTCTTTTTTTATTGTGTTGACACCTGTACTAATGATGCAAAAGCAATGATAGGAAGGTAAAAAGGCAATGGAGGGCAAAACTGCTGCAGCTTCAGCACAAATCAAGACAGTGGCCCCAAGCTAAACTAATCATGTACTCTTCACTTCCATGCACTTACGGCTAAAAAAAGACAAAAATTTTCTTCAATCTAAGAATGCCCTTGATGATCACTATTCATTAGGAAAGTGCAAATTAAAATTACAATGACACCACCTTACACTCATTAAGATGGGTACTACAAAAAAAAATCCCTGCAGAAAATAAGTGTTATGAGGATGTGGAGAAACTGAAACCCTTGTGCACTGCTGGTAGGTTTGTAAAATGGTCGAGACACTGTGGAAAACAGTACAGCAGTTCCTTGAAAAATTAAAAACAGGACAGATGCAGTGGCTCACACCTGTAATCCCAGCATTGTGGGAGGCCAAGGCAGGAGGACTGCCTAAGCCCGCGAGTTCAAGACCAGCCTGAGCAACACTGTGAGACCCTGTATCTATAAAATATCTTCTAAAATTAGCCAGGCATGGTGGTGCACACCTGTAGTCCTAGCTACTGGGGAGGCTGAGGTGGGAGGATTGCTTGAACCCTGTAGTTTGAGGTAGCAGAAAGCCACAACAGAACCACTGAACTCCGGCCTGGGTGACAGAGTGAGACCCTGTCTCTAAACACAAAAAAAAATTTTAAACAGAATTACCATATGATCCAGCCAATTCAAATTCTGAGCATATACCCAGAAAAGTTGAAAACAGTCTCAAAGAGGTACTCGTATGCTCATGTTCACAGTAGCATTATTCACAATCAAAAAACATGGGAAACAACCCAAGCGCCCATTGACAGATGAATGATAAACCATGGTCTACACATACAATGGAATATTATTCAGTCTTAAAAAGGAAGGAAATTCTGACATGCTACAACATAGATTAACCTTGAGGACATTATGCTAAGTGAAAAAAGTCAGGCACAAAAAGACAAATACTGTGTGAGTCCATTTAAATGAAATACTTAAAGTAGTCAATAATAATACTGTAGGGCCAGGCATGGTGGCTCATGCCTGTAATCCCAGCATTTTGGAAGGCCAATGCAGGCAGATCACCTGAGGTCAGGAGTTCAAGACCAGCCTGGCCAATGTGGTGAAACCCCATCTCTACCAAAAAAAATACAAAAAGTAGCCAGGCATGGTGGTGGGTGCCTGTAGTCCCAGCTACTTGGAAGGCTGAGGTGGAAGAATCACTCAAACCAGGAGGCAGAGGTTGCAGTGAGCCGAGATTGCACCATTGCACTCCATCCTGGCCAACAGGGTGAAATTCTGTCTCAAAAAGAGAAAAAAAGTCATAGTGTAGACTGCTGGTTGCCAGAGAATGGGGAGAGGAATGATGAAGAGTTACCGTTTGTTTAATGGATAGAGAATTTTAGCTTCACAAGATAAGAGTCCTGGATATGAATGGTGGTGATGCTTGCAAGACATTACAAATGTATTAAATACCACTGAAGTGTACACTTAAAAATGGTTAAGCCGGTAAAAAAAAAAAAAAAAAAAAAATCTCTTGAGGCAGGTCTCACTCTGTTGCCCAGGCTGGAGAGCAGTGGTGCTATCACAGCTCATTGCAGCCTTGACCTCCCAGGCTCAGGTGATCCTCCCACCTCAGCCTCCTGGGTAACTGGGATTACAGGTGCAAACCACCATGCCCGGCTAATTTTTTTGTATTTTCTTATAGAGACGGGGTTTCATCATGTTGCTTGGGTTGTTCTCAAACTTCTGGGCTCTAGTGATCTGCCGCCTTGGCGTCCTAAAGTGCTGGGATCATGGGCATGAGCCATCACGCCTGGCCTAAGATGGTAAATATTATGTTGTTTAATTTAACACAATAAAAAAGCTGGGCAAAATAAAAAAACAACCTTGATAAAGCAGTAAAAATTATTACTCTCAGGGCCAAGGTGCAGTAAGTGAGGTACCTACAGGGCAAAATGTACTCACTTTTAGTTCTTGACTTCTTAAATTTTGCACCATAAGGTACCTCACTCACTTCACCCTAGTACCAGCCCTGATTAATCTTATTCAGTTTCAACCTTGTATAAGTTTTTAAATATTCTACTTGAAAAAAATGGGAAGCAGACAAACACTTCTGCTGCATATCAAAGAAAATAGTTGTCTTGGGAAAAAAAACACTTGCACAGCCAGGCACAATGGCTCACGCCTATAATCCCAGCACTTTGGGAGGCCGAGGCAGGTGGATTACTGGAGGTCAGGAGTTCAAGACCAGCCTGGCCAACATGGTGAAACCCCGTCTCAACTAAAAATACAAAATTAGCTTGGCATGGTGGTGTGCGCCTGTAATCCCAGCTACTCGGGAGGCTGAGGCAGGAGAATCATTTGAACCCAGGAGGTAGAAGTTGTAGTGAGCCGAGATGGCGCCACTGCACTCCAGTCTGGGCAAAAAGAGCGAAACACCGTCTCAAAAAAAAAAAAAACAAAAAACACTTGCACAATTATCATGGAACACTACTTTTACCTGAAAAAAAAAAAGAAAAACAATCAACAGACTATGGTTATTCAGACTTGAGAATGTGGCATTTTTAAAAAAAATACATGAGTCTGTCACTTCAAGAAAAACTGACGTCTGTTGCCAATAATAAAATTTGAGCTTTCAAGCAAAATCTAAAATTTTGGTAAATACGTATCTGCCACTGTAAGTCTAACAATTTCCCAATACTTAGAAGAGCTTTCTGTACTGGTAGTGATAACAAATGTGCTTATTAATATTGTATAATGAAACGTGTTAACATTTGGAAGATCTAGCCAGGCGCAGTGGCTCACGCCCGTAATCCCAGCATTTTGGGAGGCGGCCAAGGCAGGCAGATCACTTGAGGTCAGGAGTTCCAGACCAGCCTGGCCAACATGGCGAAACCCCGTCTCTACTAAAAATACAAAAATTAGCCAGGCATGGTGGTGCACACCTGTAATCCCAGCTACTCTATTCAGGATGCTGAGGCAGGAGAATCCCTTGAACCCAGAGGCAGGGGTGGCAGTGAGCAGAGATCATGCCACTGGACTCCAGACTGGGTGACAGAGCAAGACTATGCCTCAAAAAAAAAATTTTTGGAAGATCTGCATAACTTATTGAACATTCAATATTTGGAAAACAATATTTTCCAAATGGCAGTGCATGTTACAAAATCAGGCATGGATTAAAGAGCCATTCAAAGTTCAAGAAAGAGCAATGAATTTTAATGTAACAGAGCATAAAGAGTCCATTACCAGGGTTTCAGATTCCAGACTGCAACTAACCTTTAAGAAACTACCACCTGTCAAGCTTTTGGAGTATCAAAGAGGAATATCCAAAATTATCTGAAGATTCCCCCATTTTTCAACTACATATTTGGTGAGGCCAAATTTACATCAGATACTTCAACCAAAACAACATGTGGCAACAGACTGAATTACAGAAGCAAATATGAGAATTCAATTGCCCTCTGTTATGCCAGACATTGAAGTGATTTGCAAAAATGTCAAACTCTACTTTTGTATATTATTTTTTTGTTTTGGAAAATACAATGATTTCTCATTTTTAAAAATGTTATTTATGTTAACATGCAACGGGTTATCATTTTTTTTTTTTTTTGAGATGGAGTCTCACTCTGTCGCCCCGGCTGGAGTGCAGTGGTGTGATCTCAGTTCACTGCAACTTCCACCTCCTGGGTTTAAGCAATTCTCCTGCATCAGCCTCCCAAGTAGCTGGGACTACAGGTGCACACTGCCACGCCCAGCTAATACTTTTGTATTTCAATAGAGGCAGGGTTTCACCATGTTGGCCAGACTGGTCTTGAACTCCTGACCTCCAGTAATCCACCCGCCTTGGCCTCCCAAAGTGCTAGGATTACAGGCGTGAGCCACCGTGCCCGGCCCATCATCATTTTTAAATGGATATTTTTTAAATGTCTCAGTTTTAAATTATAATAAACACATATATATATGTAATACATACATAGACTATAATTTTAAAAAGTATAATGGGGTCCTAAGACCGAAAAGTTTGGAAACTGCTGTAATAATCTATCATGTATTTAGGGTAAATGTGGGTACCAAATAGCTTCATCAAACTTAAAAACACCCCACAGATCTAGAAGCAAGTCAAACACTCTCGGCCTTGGTTTCCTCATCTGTAAAATGAAAGGTTAGACTAGATGACTCGTAAGATTCCTTAGAACTTCAGTAATCAGGGGCGCAGTGGCTCACACCTGTAATCCCAGCACTTTGGGAGCCAAGGCAGGCGGTTCACCTGAGGTCAGGAGTTCGAGAACAGCCTGGCCAACATGGTGAAACCCCATCTCTGCTAAAAATACAAAATTAGCCAGGTGCGGTGGCACATGCTTATAATCCCAACTACTTGGGAGGCTGAGACATGAGAGTTGCTTGGACCCAGGAGACGGAGGTTACAGTGAGCTGAGATTGTGCCATGGCACTCCAGCCTGAGCAAAAAGAGCGAAACTCCACATCTAAAAAAAAGAACTTCAGAAATCATATCTCTCACTATTAAACTTTATAGACAGTAAACTTAAGAATTTACTCATGAAGCAGAGTACAAGCCCCACCCTGCATGATCAATGACTGAACACAGAATCATGATCTTGTATAGCCCTATAGAACTGAGTAAATTGGGCCTTATCCAACCAGGCAGCATTTCTCAAAAAATTTAATGAGAAAGATAATGTTTCAAATTATCATTAGCCATCAGAGCAATGACATCATCACACATCATGTAGCCTCTGAAAAATTCCACCGTATACTAACAAGAGAGTAACAGTCAAAAAGGCAAGTACCTTTTTAGTATTACCACCAAACTGTTTCAACTCTGCATATCCTGCAAAACAGTCTTGGGGATCCCAGCAATTCTAGACGACACCAAACAACTGAACTAACAGTAACATGATACTGTTTTTTTTTTTTTAAAGTTACTTCTACTTTTAAGTTAAAGCCTTAAGTAGGCTCAATAGTATACAGCTTACACCATTCAGAGCAAAGGGAAAAATCTGATATGAGGAAAATTGGACTCAAGCCATAGTTGTAATGATTCAAAGTTAAAAATATCACAGGAGAAAAGAAAAGTGCAATGAAAGATCTGGAAGATGAAGTTGAGGAAAAAGACATAAAAAATAGGAAAGAAAGGGGCCAGGCACAGTGGCTCACGCCTGTAATCCCAGCACTTTGGGAGGCCGAGGTGGGTGGATCACAAGGTCAGGAGTTCGAGACCAGCCTAGCCAACACAGTGAAACCCCGTCTCTACTAAAAATACAAAAATTAGCCGGGCATGGTGGCAGGCACCTGTAGTCCCAGCTACTCGGGAGGCCAAGGCAGGAGAATCGCTTGAACCTGGGAGGTGGAGGTTGCGGTGAGCCGAGATTGCGCCATTACACTCCAGCATGGGCAACAAGAGTGAAACTCTGTCTCAAAAAAAAAAAAGAAAAAGAAAAAAAGAAAAATAGGGAAGAAAGGATAAGAAAAAAATCCAGAGGACAAGTTTAGGGAGATTCAATATCCAAATAACAGACATTCCATAAGGAGAGTATAGGAAAAAGTTAGGATAATTCAAGGATGCTTCCTAGAACTGAAGCATCAAAGTGAAAAGGCTCCAGACCACAGTGAAAGTTCTGGACAAGGAGGACAAACAGAAGATCCTAAAAAGTTACATATGAAAGGTATCAAGGTCAGACATGGTGGCTACCACCTGTAATCCCAGCACTTTGGGAGGCTGAGGCGGGTGGATCACCCGAGGTCATGAGTTCGAGACCTGGCTGGCCAACAGGGCGAAACCCCATCTCTACTAAAAATACAAAGATTAGCTGAGCATGTGGTGGGCGCCAGTAATCCCTGCTACCCGGGAGGCTGAGGCAGGAGAATCGCCTGAACCCGGGAGATGGAGGTTGCAGTGAACCGAGATCATGCCATTGCACTCCAGCCTGGGCAGCAAGAGCGAAACTCCACATCAAAAAAAAATAAAATAAAATAAAGGTATCGACATATAACTTTCACATGTATCAGAATGTCATCAGATTTCTTAATAGCAAAAGATCAATGGACAATGCCTGCAAAATTCTCAAAGGCACCCAGACATAATATCAGTCAAGTGGGAGGACAGAATAAAGACATTTTCAGATATTAAGAGCCTCAAAACATTTTATCTCCCATGCACTTTACTCAAGAAGATAATAATGATATCCAATCACAACAAGAGAGAAAAGACACCCCAGGCTGATGAAGAAAGAAGATCTCAAAATGAAGTTACATACTAGGTACAAAAGGCAATAAGCCTAGACTGCAGTTAAGAGGATCAAGAAGAAAGTTCTATAAGGAGATGAAACCAACAGGATCTCCAATGAGTCTGAATGTCTTAAGGAGATTTAGACAACTGGTAGAATTAATGAATTCTAGATTCATTAATCTAGAAGTAGAATTAATGATAAGTACACCAATTTTTGGGTAAAAATTTTTTGTGTAAAACAGAAGTATGCAGGAAAGAAAAAGTAGTAATGGTTTTACTCCTTGGCTCAGCTATGAATAATATTTGCATATCCACAGTGTAGCTACCTATAACTATAAGGGGTTAAGTCCACAGATACAGCCTAAACTGGGGATGAAGGGAATCAAAAAGTAGTATAAAAGCAAGCTGCCCAAAACCAGCAAAATAAATATCAAAATAACCAGCTAAAAGGAGGAACGCAGTGTCTTCTAGAAACTCCTTTTTCATTAACTAAAGCTCCTAAGATGAAGCAAGATATATTATACGTGATTAAGGGAAAAATCTGATAAGATGTATTCAACACTGCAGAAGAGCCCTCAAAGTACATCAAAGGTCCCATTCACACTGCTTGCTCTATGTCAATGCTAGTTCTTAAGGGTGTTAAGTCCAGTATCCATGTGTTCCTTTCCTGAAGAATTCAGGGTTTGAGAGGTTAAGTGATAGCTGAACCTTCTTGAAAGTAATCTAAATGCAGTGAACTAAGCAGCATTATTGATATTTTGAGGAGGATAATTATTTGTTTGTGGGGGCTGCCCTGTGTGTTGAATTGAATGAGCAGTATACCTGGCATGTACTTGTTAGATGCCAGTAGCACCACCTCATAGACACTGTGACAATCAAAAATGTCTCAAGACATTAATGCCCCTTGAGGTGAAAAATCACCCCCAGTTGAGAACCACTAATCTAAAGTGATCCATAAATGCCAGCGCTGGCCATCTCACCCATGCTCCACCTCTTGGTAACATTCTGGATGGCACAGAACACGGAAAACAATTTTACATGTTGCCTAGATCTTTTGCCAGGACAATTTCCATCCATTCATCCTTTTCCTCTTAGAATCAAGTGCTAACAAACAGTAAATTCCTAGAACAATGACTCTCACCCCACACAGATGGGGCTGTGGGGGGCAAAAAAGATTTCACTGAAAGTTTCACAAAGAATTTGTATTTTTTCCATAATTTTTAAAAGCTATATAATCATTTCAATGATAGTCTTTAAAAAAAAATCACAGAATATTCCAGATCACCTAGATAATAACATTATAATCAAGTATCAACATAATTTCAGTGTCCACGCTTGTGGTTCATAATTATGCTGGTTACAGGCAATCCCCCAAAATGACAGCATTTAATGTACTGCAGTGGTTCTCAAACTTCCGTAGTCCCAGATCCAAATATTCTCCAGTTTGAAGAAACATGGCCTTAGAAAATTCATTCATTCTTAAAACAAATATATATATTGAGCACCTACAAATGTTCTGGGTGAGAGAAGATAGAAAAGAAAGGAAGAGCAACAAGAAGCTTAAGAATCCCAAGTTTTACAAGAGGCAAGAGAAAGTGTAAAAGGAATTTTCCTAAAGTACTAAGCAAGAACTGAAGAAGATGAATGGATATGGAAGGCCTTAACCAATGGTGCTAATAATAAAGACTGACTACGGAGGAATGAACAAAGCCAGGCATGTCCAATATTTTGGCTTCCCTGAGCCACACTGAAAGAATAATTGTCTTATGCCACACATAAAATACACTGATAGGTGATGAGCTTTAAAAAAAAAAAATCGCAAAAAAAAAAATCTCATAACGTTTTAAGAAAGTTTACGAATTTGTGTTGGGCCACATTCAAAGCCATCCTGGGCCACATGCAGCCCTTGGGCAATGGGTTGGAGAAGCTTAAACTAAGCCATCAAAAAGAGAAGAAAATGGAATGAAAGATTGGGCCCATATCCTCCTAGACTAAAACATAAAAAGAATGGAAGTCAGCATGGCAGATTTTGGATTACTCCTGGGCTCCAGATACCACTGGTGCCATCATCCCAGGAGAGAATGTTGCTATCCATAGTGTGGATAAAGCCTAGAAGCTGAGGCAAGAGGATCCCTTAAGGCCAGGAGTTTGAGACCAGCCTACGTAACATAATGTCTCTACAAAAAACAAAATAAGCCAGGCATAGCACTTGCCTGTAGTCTCAGCTACTCAGGAGGCTGAGATGAGAGGATTGCTTGAACCCATCCTATAGTCAAGGCTGTAGTGAGGAATGATCATGGCATTGTATGCACTTCAGCCTGGGTGACACAGCAAAACCCTAACTCTAAAAAGAAAAAAAAAATTTAACTTACTAATTTTTTTTTTAAGAAAGCAAGCCTAGAAGTGTTACTTAAAATAATCACATATTTCCTATCAGGCAAAACAACAGTAATGGCTAAATTATAAATAATTTAGAAAAGAAAAAAATTAGAGCCTCAAGAGTAGTTATAAGGAATGTGTGCCACCTGCCTAGTAGGAAATAAAATAAATCATAAAAGTTGAAAGTTTGTATTTGATTCAGGACTTTAAAGAGCCACTACTTTTAGTACAAATGTGCATGAAAAACAACTTCGCCATCAGTATGCCAACTATTTTGTGGTACTAAAAAAATCACCAGAGTCAGGCTGGGCACAGTGGCTCATGCCTGTAATCCCAGCACTTTGAGAGGCCGAGGTGGATGGATCACGAGGTCAGGAGATCGAGACCATCCTGACTAACACGGTGAAACCCCGTCTCTACTAAAAATACAAAAAAATTAGCCAGGCGTGGTGACGGGCGCCTGTAGTCCCAGCTACTCGGGAGGCTGAGGCAGGAGAATGGCGTGAACCCGGGAGGTCGAGTGAGCCGAGACAGCACCACTGCACTCCAGCCTGGGTGACAGCGAGATTCCATCTCAAAAAAAAAAAATCACCAGAGTCTAGCCAAATGCCATTACATTCTTACCAAAGGGGAGAGATTACTGCAAGTTAAAAGAAAGAGTGTAATCATATCTGTTTTAAATTTAGTTTTTAGAAAGTCACTAGAACAGAAGCCTAAACCATAATCAAGACTACAAATCTGATTATTCCAAGACGGGAAAATAAATACCACAGGCTCAAGAAATGCCAACAGTCTTTAGTCCTAAATCTACATATGAAGATTAATTCTACATCAATTTTTTTTTAGTTCCAAGAAGGATACCTCACATTTGCGCCACTCAACACAGTGCAAGAGCTAATTATGGAAGAGTTAATAGGATGGTATGTTGGCCACAAAATGGCATGTCACCCCCTCTCTATCCACAGTGAAACATGGATTAAACTTTATCTCCCACTCAAGGTTCCTTCACAAAGAAATAAGGCTAATTTATGATATAACTCGAAGGCAAGCCAAAACATCTCTCCCACCAGTATTCTAAACTGCTTTCTTGGGTTCAATTTTTCTTACAATCAAAAACAAGTAGAGAATGTATATATGAAAGAAAGCTGCAAGACTAAAATTAAGAGGACCTTTATAGTCGTATTTCATTGAGACTAAATTCTGCCGACCTGTGGTTTTCAAACTGTGGTATGCAACCACCCTGGGTGAACATCATGTCCCAGGGGATTCAAAGACACAGGATAAAAATTTGTACAGCTGCCTAATATCAAATTAATGTGATGATGTGGGAAGCAAAAGATCTTTAACATAAATGAAACATAAGTGTTCCCCTCAAACAACAAACATGTTGTAAAATGCAAACTTTTCCATGAATTTCTAAGATAAAACAGGAAATTATCAAGATATCTTGTACCTATGAATCAAGGTACTTTGAACTCCACCCATAAGATCTGGGAAGGAAAGGGTGAGAAGCAGTGTACGTGTTCACTCTCTTCTGCTGTCACCAAGGGAAAAGTTTAAGGCACACATCATCTCTCTTGTTTCTTTCACCTCTCCAGCAACATGAACTTATTTGTTCTCATATGTTACCCTTCTAGTCCATTCTGTCAAGGCCTAGTCCAAGGCCTTAACGCCCAAATCTGGGCTGAGTGCAAAACCTTGTCTAAGTAGACTCTTTTCATCCTAATCCATCATAAATTATGCTGGTAGAGAAACTTCTTTATATGCTTTCAACTCTAAATTAAATACCTTGAGTAACAACAGTTACCATCATTGAATGCTACTATAGAGTACTTTACATCCACTATCTCATTTAATCCCCAAAATTCTCTAAAGTAGAAGCTCTGTTTTCCAGAGTAGAAAACTAAGATTCAGATTAATTAAACTCCAAGGAAACTAAACTAGTAAGTGACAGAGTTAGGACTCCAGCTCATATCTGACTATAAAGCTTACTACATTACTTACTGAGAAGCTACTTGGTCCAAGCCACTGTACTGATCATCAAGGGGAACAAACTTTCAATCTTATGCTCAAATCCATTACTCCTACTGCCTATAAAACAAGCTCAAACCAAAAAAACAAAAACAAACAAAAAACATCAATGGCACTAAAGACGCTCTATAATTCCCAGCATTTAAAATTGTTTTGTGGCCAAGTAAAATTATTTACTGTTCCCCTAACATAAAAACCTCACCAAACTCTGACTCACATAGTTCATCTCAGTCTAGAATAACTCTATCACCTCCCTTTGCAAAAACTTGATCTCTCCTTAAGGCCCAACCCAAGCCATATAACCTTCAAAAACCTTCCCTATTTAGGTTAATAATGACAGCCCCCTAATAGAGATTACTTAAAATCAGTGCAAGATGACAGGTATAATCCACTTAATAGTCTAAGATCTCTGAGCACAAAAACTACACTGTAACTTGACATTTCTTTCTCTCTTCCTTAGATAGACATACATAGGCAGTCACCCAACTCCCAGTCTTACGTCCTTTCCACTGTCTCACTGAGGCTATAAAAAGTGATTTCAAAACAAAGGATGGCACATGATTTATCATTTTGCTTATACACAGCTGGCTCCCTTTCCACCTGCAGGTGCCCCAAGTCTTTACTCCTCCCCTTCAGAGCACTATCCAAACACACCCTACCTATCATCAAAAGACCTAAGCTGCTTGAGACAATACAAGCCATCAGGAGTGAATTCCTTCACCAGTCCTCCTCTGTCACTTAGAAATATACTTTTATCTTCATCCTAACTTCAGTCCTTCCTGTCTCAGTGTGTCCCTGTGCTTTTCCCCAATTTCTCTACTATCTCCTTGATCTCATCCTCTCTTTAACGTTCAAGCTCTCACTCTAGTTAATTTGTTCCTTTCTCTTATCTTCAGTCTCTCCCTAGACTCTTTCCCCTCAAGCAACAAGCATGTTCATTTCTCCAATCATTTACTCCTATTTATTGAATTTACTATGTGCCAGGAACTGTTCTGTATACTAGGGTTACAGAAATTATCTCTGCCCCCACGGAGCTTATATTCCAGTGAGTGAGACTGAAAATAAACAAGAAATAATTGACAATTATGGCTTCTGAAAAAGATAAGCTGTATGAAGAAAATAAAAAGTGATTCAACTGAGGTGGAATTGCAGAGGAGAGAATGAGTGGTTGTTTTGAGGTCCTCACCAGGGAGGTTAACACTTAAGAAGAATTGTGTGAAAGCGAGGGGCAAAGCAATTTAAAAGAAAGAAAACAAAAAATGCAAACACCTGGGAGAACCACCTTGGTGTGTATTACGAAGAGATAAAAAAGACCTGTGACTGGAATGTAATAAGCCTGGCGGGGACAGTGGCACATAAATGAAACCTGAGTGGCAGGCAGGGACCAGATTTTATAGACCCATAGGGAAGGAGGGTGGATTTTATTCTACCTGCAACAGGAAGCCACTGGACAATCTTAAACAAGGAATGATGTGATCTGATCATACTGAAACCTCAAACATACAAAAATACTATTATCTTTTAGATTAACAAAGTGTTTTCCACAGTTAGAAATTACTGCTCTCTCTAACCTGTTAAAGCAAGAAAAATTCAATTTTAAAATACTGCCTCAACATCTGTATTTAATGCTGTATCAAATATACATTTGCTTTAAAGTTAAAATTAGAGGATACAGAATAAGTGTGGCTAACAAACTCAACAAACCACATTTACCTGTTGATTTCATCTAATGAGGTAAGTTTAGAAAGCACAATCGTCATTCTACCCCTTCCAGATGCTGAACTTCTAATCCAAAAATCAGACTCACCTCGACAAGCTTCTTCAAAATCTTGGGTAATGTCCACCCAGTTTGTATTGCTTTTCTCCATTTTTTCTGGCATACTGAGCTCCCATCCTGAATCGTCATCATCTACAGAAGCTTTCATAACCATTATGCCTGTAAAATTAATACTGATGTAAGAGAGAGGATGTAGCTTTCAGGGCAAGAGTATTTGCAGAAATGGGTGTTTGTTTCAGCATAGGATGAAGTCTTAACTAAACTCTTTAAAGCAGAACTCTTCTGAGTCTAAGGACAGTACTGCAAAGAATAACCTTAATGCAATCAAATCGCACGTCAATTAACACTCCTGCTGCTTACTATTAGCCCACCACCTACCAGGGCCCATAAACATTTTGCCTTCCTACTGTTTAAGAAGAAAAATCACAAACCATCTCACCTCTGGCCCGAAAAGAACAACTCCAGAGCTTCCAACTTTCAATAATAGCCACAAAAGACCAAGGCACTATTCAGGGTCCCCTCTCGCAGCCCAGGACCCCATGCGGCAGCTACCGAAGTCAATCAAGGTAGCCCTTCATCTGGCCAGAGCTCGCTGGGACCTCTCCCGGGCCAGAGCCGGCCCGGACCCAGGCAGAACCTCGCCGGGAGCAATGAGGAGCCGGCAGGCACCGCAGGGTCCCGCCGGCCGGGCCTAGGGCCGAGGCACACCTGAGGCGGGCACACGCTTCCCTTCCGCCCTGCCCGGGTCAGCCCAGCCCAGCCCCGGTCCCACTGGGCGCATAAGCAAGGACAGAGCTGTCGCCGCGCGGGAGGGCGGGCACGTCCGGCGCCGGGTCGTCGCCTCGGCAACACCGGGCAAGAGTGGGGCCTCGGCCGACAGCGGGCACTGGGGAGCCCGCCGCTCCTACCTGACGCGCAGCGGGAGGGCCGGGGCCGCAGGGTGACCTGGGGTCCCCAGGATCTGCCACACGCGCGGGGGGCTGCGGCTCTCGGACACACGAGCGAGAGGGTTTCAATGGCTACGCAGGGGCGGTCCCTACCTACTTCTCCCGTGGTCACCCGCGCCGCCACGCACTGTCCGGACCACGGAAATAACGACGCCGCCTCGGCCGCCGCCGCCCCCTCCCCTCTCAGCCCAGCCCGACCGGCAGCGTGCACGCATGCGTATGCCCGGGACGCGCGACCCCGCCCCCTCTCCCTTACTCCCGGGGACTTCGCGCTCCCCGGCCACACCCCCTCCCTCGCCACCGCCTCCGTTCGGCCGATGGCGGCCGCCTTCTCTTCTCGCGAGATTAGAGACGATCGCGAGACCGGAAGTTATCTTTTTTCACCCTCTGTCGGAGTCCTGGGTAGTGGGCGGTTCCCGGAAAGAGGCGGAGCCCGGAGTCTCAGAGCCCGCCCCGTCTGCGCTGCCCTCTGGGAATTTCTTAGAAAGGTGACGCGAAGGCGGAAGGAAACCGTGGAGGTTTGCGTAGACCTTAGTGGTTGCGAGCACGAACGAGCAGCCAAGCTCCGAGAGCAACAGCGTGCTACTGCTGCCTGACAACGGATTTATGTTTCCTATACAGCGCCTGGGAGTTTCGTGAGGAAACATAGATTCAAAATATCTGCAAAGTCAAGCCAGACATTTAATTTCAGATTCTTATATGTTTTAGATTTTTTTAATTTATTAATAAAATGATCAGTTTTTAAATGGGGTTACATAAATAGACGGGCGCAGGTAAGAAGCACATCTTTATCACCACCTGTTCTTTAGGATGGCCCAAAATTAAAAGATGGAAAAGATAATACCAAATGTTGGCAAGGATGCAGAGCAACTGGACCTCTGTTATGTTGGTGGTGGTAATGCAAAATGGTACAACCACTTTGGAAAACTTAACAATCTCTCCTTATAATCATATACTTATCATTCGATCCAGTAATCTACGAATTTACTTAGGAACAAAAACATATTCATACAAAGGCTTGTACGTTAATGTTCATACCAGCTTTGTTTTGCTTTGTTTTTGTTTTTGTTTGAGACAGAGTGTCACTCTTGTCGCCCCTGCTAGAGTGCAGTGACCTGATCTCGGCTCATTGCAACCTCTGCCTTTCAGGTTCAAGCAATTCTCGTGCCTCAGTCTCCCGAGTAGCTGGGATTACAGGCGCCTGCCCCCACACCAGGCTGTTTTTTGTATTTTTAGTAGAGATGGGGTTTCACCATGTTGGTCAGGCTGATCTCAAACTCCTGACCTCGTGATCTGCCCACCTCAGCCTCCCAGAGTGCTGGGATTACAGGTATGAGCCACCGTGCCTGGCCCAGCTTTGTTTTTAATCATCAAAAACTACAGACAACCCAAATGTCCATCAACTGTTGAATAAAAACAATTTGTGGCATATCCATACAATGTAATGAATGTAATTATCAATAAACAGGGATAAACTACTTGACATACAACATGAATGAATTTCAAAAATATATTGAGTAAAAGAAATCAGGCTGAGCTTGGTAGCTGGTAGCTCATGCGTGTAATCCCAACACTTTGGGAGGCTGGCAGTGGAGAGGTCGGGTTGGAGACTAGCCTGACCAATATGGTGAAATCCTGTCTCTACTAAAAATACAAAAAAATTAGCCAGGCATGGTGGCGTGCGCCTGTAATCCCAGCCACTTGGGAGGCTGAGACAGGGGAATCCCTTGAACTCAGGAGGCAGAGGTTGCTGTGACCCGAGATGGTGCCATTGCACTCCAACCTGGGCGACAGAGTAAGAAATCAAATGCAAGAGTATGATTCCCCAAGTGAGACCCCAGGCTCTTAAAAGACATCTATAGTGACAGAAGACAGATTAGTGGCTGCTCAGGGCTCAAGAAGAGACTAAGTTGGATAGAGCTTGATTTGAAGTGATGTAAATATTCTGTTTTCGATTAAGGTAGTGCCTGTGTGGGTGAATACATTTGTAAAATTTCACTGAAGTATATACTTACAATGTGTACATTTTATTGTTTGTAAACCGAACTTCACAAAAATTGGTTTAAAAAATTTTTAAATGGCCGGGCGTGGTGGCTCACGCCTGTAATCCCAGTCCTCTGGGAGGCTGAGACGGGTGGATCACATGAGGTCAGGAGTTCAAGACCAGCCTGGTCAACTTGGCGAAACCCCATCTCTACTAAAAATACAAAAATTAGCCGGGCGTGATGGCGTGCACCTGTACTCCCAGCTACTCAGGAGACTGAGGCAAGAGAATCGCTTGAACCTGGGAGGTGTAGGTTGCAGTGAGCCGAGATCATGCCACTGCACTCCAGCCTGGGCAACAGAGCAAGACTGTCTCAAAAAACTTTAAAAATTAAGAATGCATATCTCTCTTACAGAATAATTTCCCAAAGGCAGAAGTTTTGCCTGTTTTGATCAAAGCTGTGTCGCCAGGACTTAGGGAAGTGGTTGGCCTATAGTAGGTACTCACTAAATACATTTGAGGATGAGAATGTAGAAAAGAGTTACAATAAAGTAGAAACATATATGCTAGTTTTCCAAAACTGTTTAATGATCTCTGCAGGACCATGAGATATCTAGAAAAGGATGAGCTGACTGCATCTGAGTTGTTCAGGATCATGTATAGGTTGTGACAAAAACTGATAGAGGAAAAAACACTCTTTTTTTGTAAATAAGACTGCTTCAGAACTTATATATATTTCAAATATACATATATATCTCAAACACAAATATACACATATATATTTTAAATACACAAATATACACACATATATATTTCAAATACACATTTATAACCAGAACACGGCAGCCAAGTGAAACCATTTTATTTACTAAAACTATAATTTATTTGAAATCCATATTTGATTTCTCCTAACCTCTCTGATTTAAAAACCATTTTCCCTGAGAAACCTTTAACTTCTGATGACATCCAATATTCGTTCTAATGTTGAAAAAGCAACGGGCATTTTAGACATAGACTATGTGATGAATGGATGCAAAGGAACTGATTGACAAATAATGATCTACCCAAACAACATAAGAGTAGATGGCCATTTTTGGAGAGATGGAAATTAATTCCTACAAGTCTAAATCTTGTTGTTGCTAGTAGATAAAATCCTAACTATTACGTGATTCAACACTTGTGTTGAGATGAACTTTAGCTCAATGGCATCATATTGTACTGACACTGGAACCCAGTGTCACATGAGTTTGATAAGAGCAGAGCTGCAAGTCAAAGTGGATTTTACATCAGTTTTACCATTACATAAAATAAATTAAGGAGGACCTACAGGCTGCTCAGAGAAATATTTTCAGAAAAGGAAGCAGAAAGAGTTAACATATCCTACTGTATCATGTGGCAGAAAGAAACATGGCACTGTTTTTGTGAGTTTTTAAATTAAATATGGATAATATCAAAATATCAGTTTAGTTCGTCCTACTATATTTATTTATGTATTTTTGAGACAGGGTCTCCCTCTCTCACCCAGGCTGGAGTGCAGTGGCACAATCTCAGCTCACTGCATCCTCGACCCCGGGCTCAAGTGATCCTCCCACCTCAGCCTTCAAACTACTTAGGACTACAGGTGCATGCCACCACACCTGGCTAATTTTTTGTATTTTTGGTAGACATGGGGTTTTGCCATGTTGCCCAGGCTAGTCTCAAACTCCTGAGCTCCGGCGATCCACCCACCTCAGCAGGTGAATGGCGTGGACCTGGAGGGCGGAGCTTGCAGTGAGCCAAGATCACGCCACTGCACTCCAGCGTGAGTGACAAGAGTGAGACTCCGTCTCAAAAAAAAAGAAAAGAAAAGAAACTCCTCTCATCTCTCTAACAGTTTGAGTGACTTATCGGTAAAGGTGTCTGTGCAACTCCCCTTATCTTACGCAGCTGTGGGTATGTCTCTAGACAAGCACAAAGAGCTGCTTCTCTTGTTTGTATAACTGTGGGTTTGTTTTAGGTAAGATCCCCTCCTTCCTGTGCAGGCTCCCAACGTGTATATGCCTGAAAAGAGGAGGAAACTTTTTCCTGGGAGCTTGCTATTAATACAAAGAACAAAGGGCCTCTGTGCTGGACCCTGTCTGCTTCTCTGTCTGCAGGTGCAGCCTGAGATTTTTTTCCTAGGTTATTTTATTTTTGCCTGTTGCTGTGACTTTTCAGGCAGGCCACTTCTGCAGTCTGAATTTTCCCCAAATAAGTCTTCCTTTCCTTCTCCCGCATTAGTACTATTAACTACTAGTCCTATTGTTTAATAACAACACTTATGTAACAGAAAATTAAATAATGCAGAATATGTAATTTCAAATAAACCTCTATTAAAATAACACATCATATGTCAGAATTACCTATGGACCTATGGAGGCTTTAAGAAATCTTTTTTTTTTTTTTTTTTTTTTGAGACGGAGTCTCGCTCTGTCGCCCAGGCTGGAGTGCAGTGGCAGGATCTCCGCTCACAGCAAGCTCCGCCTCCCAGGTTCACACCATTCTCCTGCCTCAGCCTCCCGAGTAGCTGGGACTACAGGCGCCCGCCACCACGCCAGGCCAATTTCTTTGTATTTTTTTGTAGAGACGGTGTTTCACCGTGCTAGCCAGGATGGTCTCGATCTCCTGACCTCGTGATCCGCCTGCCTCCGCCTCCCAAAGTGCTGGGATTACAGGCGTGAGGCCCCGCACCGGGCCAGGACCCTAGTATTTCTAAAAAGTTCCTCAGGTAGTTCTAATGTTTCCTTCCAGTTGAATCACTGACTTTAGGTCGACTGGGGTACTTTGGGTTTTTGGGGTCGTTTTGAGGGGCTATGGGAAGCTTTTCTCACAGATTTACGAAGAGTAGTAAAAAACTTGGCCTCTGGCTTTTTTGTACCTGTCTCAGGCTTTTTTCCCCAGTGAAGTATTTTTTTTCCTTCACTGACTCATTAATTTTTGGCTTCTTCCCTGGGCCTTTCCACGGGATCTCAGACTCTGCAGCCTTTGGGGTCTCAGAGGCTGGGAAGGCCTTTCTCTTCTTCCCACAAGGTGTGTTGGGATCAGGACTCTTTTCTGGAGACTTCTTTCTATAGCACGTTTTCTTCTTGTTTTCTTTTTTTTGTTTTTGTTTTTTGTTTTTTGTTTTTGAGACAGAGTCTTGCTCTTGTTGCCCAGGCTGGAGTACAATGGCGCGATCTCCGCTCACCGCAACCTCCGCCTCCTGGGTTCAAGCGATTCTCCTGACTCAGCATCCCGAGTAGATGGGATTACAGGCATGCGCCACCACGCCCAGCTAATATTGTATTTTTAGTAGAGACCGGGTTTCTCCATGTTGGTTAGGCTGATCTCAAACTCCCGACCTCAGGTGATCCGCCCGCCTGGGCCTATAGCATGTTTTTCAATCTGTATATTTTCAAGAGCTGGAGTTTTTCCTATGGTTACCAGTTGTGGAATTTCATCTTTTGATTCATTTGTCACTTTATCTTGGGCTTTTCCTCTGCCGCATTTTTTATTCTCATGCTCTGGAGTCTGTTTCTTCTTTAATTATGGTTTCTTCACTGCAGTGCCACCACTTTTAGGTGCCACGTCATCTTTACTTAGGATTGATGCAGGCTTGCCAGCCTGTTGCCTTTTCTTTTTGTTTTTATTCCTCTCCTTTTGTTTTTCAAGATTTTCTTCCCTTCGTTTTCTCCTTGCTGCTTTTTTCTACTTATTAAGCATAAATTTTCTGGTGGCTTCATCTCAATTGTTGACAAACAAGGAAAAAATAGGAAGGGCAACCGATTTCTCAGTTTTCACAAACAGAAGTTTCACGCTCTCCCACTTCTCTGGCAATTTTTCTGGAAGTCCTTTTGTGACAGCAACAATGTTTTCAACGATGTACTCAATCTGCATCCCAGTGTGACCGATGTGTGTAGCACTGCAAGAACCACTTTTAGGAATACTTAGACGGTTCCACCTATACATTCATTGATCTCTCTTGATAAATTCCTGGACAGAAGGTTTACAGATACTGAAACTTTCTTTTTTTTTTTTTTTGAGACGGAATCTCGCTCTGTCGCCAGACTGTAGTGCAGCGGCGCGATCTTGACTCACTGCAACCTCTGCCTCCCGGGTTCAAGCGATTCTCCTGCCTCAGCCTCCTGAGTAGCTGGGAATACAGGTGCCCACCACCATGTCCGGCTAATTTTTTTGTATTTTTAGTAGAGACGGGGTTTCATTGTGTTAGCCAGGATGATCTCCATCTCCTGACCTCGTGATCTGCCCTCCTCAGCCTGATACTGGAACTTTCTTTGTTTGATAGAAATGTCTCTTAATGTGTGAAGGTAAGAGCCACCTAATTCTGGCATCAGTAAGGAAGAAGTCAAAACTGCTCAGAAGGTGGAGCTTGGCTTCATAGGCTTTATATTCCTTTTTTAAAGTTTTGGAGGGGGATAATCTGAGACACGGTTTTAATTCCATGCTTGTTCAAAAGCTTTCTATAGAACTGTTATGTCTTTTCAGGAGTTGAATTGAGTTCATCCTTGGTAAATAAACAGATTTCTTCTAAATGTGATTGAATACCATGAGGCAAGCCCAATCTGACCCTCAGTTCTTTACTTGGAATTTTCCATAATACCACCATTAAAAATACATTTTCATTCTTGTTCAAAAGCAATCCATGATCATTTTTCCTGGACTTGCAATGTGTCAACAGAGTGTCCACTGCCTTTTCAACCTGCTCTTTGTCCAGCTGCTTCAGTGCTTTTGGGGACTCTGGAATCGAGCTAGAGGTTGCAGTCACGCCTGAAGTTGATTTTGTTTTCATCTCATAAAGATGCGCCTAGAATTTGATTTTTATTTCCACAAGCTGTGTATGAGAGAGTGCTTGCTTTCCCATAGCCTTTATCAATAAAGTATATGGTCAAACTTTTGGAATTTTGCCAAGCTGTTAAGTGATAAAAATGTTCAGTATAGCTGTAATTCGCATTCTTTTATCATGAGTGGGGTGGAGAATCTATCTTTTTAATGACTATTTGCATCTTTTTCTATGATCAGTCTGTGCCTGTCTCTAACCCATTTTTCTATAGGATCATTGATTATTATTATTATTATTATTATTATTATTATTATTATTATTATTTTGGAGACAGAGTTTCGCTCTTGTTGCCCAGGCTGGAGTGTAGTGGTGCGATCTTGGCTCACTGCAACCTCCGCCTCCCAGGTTCAAGCGATTCTCCTGCCTCAGCCTCCCAAATAGCTGGGATTACAGGCACGCACCACCACACCTGGCTACTTTTTTGGGGTTTTTTTGTTTGTTTTTTTTTTTGAGATGGAGTCTCGCTGTGTCGCCCAGGCTGGTGTGCAGTGGCACGATCTCGGCTCACTGCCAGCTCCACCTCCCGGGTTCACGCCATTCTCCTGCCTCAGCCTCCCGAATAGCTGGGACTACAGGTGCCTGCCACCACGCCCAGCTAATTTTTTTGTATTTTTAGTAGATACGGGGTTTCACCGTGTTAGCCAGGATGGTCTCGATCTCCTGACCTCGTGATCTGCCTGCCTCAGCCTCCCAAAGTGCTGGGATTACAGGCGTGAGCCACCACACCTGGCTGATTATTTTCTTTTCTGTTTTTAAGAAGCTGTATATATTAACTCTTGATTGAAGCTGCAGTTTTTGTAAGCCAGTGTGTCATTTGCCCTTTTTACTTTGTTTTGGTATTTGCTATGTGAAACTGTTTTTGGTCCATTTTGCCAATAAAGACATCATTTACAACTAGGGGTATTACAGTGATTTCATTAAAAAAAATGATGCAAAAGAAGTGAGCTTCAAATGGCCTACTGAGGAACCCCAACATTTAGAGGTCAGGTAGAGTAAGAGGACCTAATAAAGGGCTCAGAGTAAACAGCAGAAGAAAAACCAGAAGAGTGTGGTTCACTGAATCTGAGAGAGACGTTAACTCCCAATTATTATCCTAATAATATACATACATAACATAATATTTAATATATGTTTTCCTTTTAAAATTCCTATTCAAATAACTTTTACATTAGTAATTTTCAAGCAGCTTCCTGGGGTCTATCAATATGTGAATTTTTTACTAAAAAAATAACTACTACATTTATAGATTTTTTTACATTTCATCAATGAATTGTCTAATGCATAGATATTGAAATTCTTAAGTTTCTTTCAAAAGGGAAATGAACATAAGACAAATATCAACCAATTGCAGATACAATGTAAAATTAATAAACTTAGGCTGGGTGCAGTTGGCTCACGCCTGTAATCCCAGCACTTTGGGAGGCTGAGGCGGGGAGGATTGCTTGAGCCCAGGAGTTCGAGACCAGCCTGGGCAACCTGGGAAAACCCTGTCTCTACAAACAAACAAACAAAAAAAAAAAAACCCACAAAAATAATTATCCAGGCGTGGTGGCATGTGCCTATAGTCCCTGCTACTTGGGAGGCTGAGGCCAGAGGATCACCTGAGCACAGGAGGTCAAGGCTGCAGTGAGCTGAGATTGCACCACTGCACTCCAGCCTAGGCGACAGTGAAACCCTGCCTCATAAATAAATAAATAAATATAAATTTAAAAGTAGAAAGAATAAATATTGAAAAGACTTATGAATTAGATAAACTTTAGGTCCTATTTGAAATAAACTGTAAACAATTTGAAGCCATTGAATAAATGTGAACACTGACCGGATATTTGATGATATTAAGAAATTAAAATTGGCCAGGCGCAGTGGCTCACGCCTGTAATCCCAACACTTTGGGAAGCCGAGGTGGGTGGATCATGAGGTCAAGAGTTCAAGACCAGCCTGGCCAAGATGGTGAAACCCCATCTCTACTAAAAATACAAAAAATTAGCCGGGAGCGGTAGCAGGCACCTGTAATCCCAGCTACTCAGGAGGCTGAGGCAGGACATCGCTTGAACTCGGAGGGCAGAGGTTGCAGTGAGCCAAGATCGCACCACTGCACTCCAGCCTGGGTGACAGAGTGAGACTCTGTCTCAAAAAAAAAAAAAAAAAATAGAAAAAGACATTAAAATTTTCAGGTGGGATAATGACATTGTAGTAACCTTTTTAAAAAATGTGTGTCTTTCGGAGAGCCATACTGGAATACTTATGAGTGAAAATATATGATGTTTGATATTTGCCTCAGAATCATTCAGTGGGGCTGGGGATGAGTGGATAGAGGGAATAAGATTTGCTGACAATTGTGGAAGATGGTGATGAATATAAGAGTTCATTTTACTACTCTTTCTACTTTTGTACTTATTTAATGTTTTCATAATAAGAGTTTTCAAAACTGGGCACAGTAGCTCACACCTATAATCCCAGCACTTTGGGAGGCTGAGGTGGGGGGATTGACTGAGCCCAGGAATTCAAGACCAGCCTGAGCAACCTAGTGAGATCCTGTCTCTACAAATTTTAAAAGTTAGCTGGGCATGGTGGTGTGGCCTATAGTCCCAGCTACTCAGGAGGCTGAGGCAAGAGGATCCTTGAGCCCAGGAATTCTAGGCAGCAGTGAGCTATGATCACACCCTAGCCTGGGGCACAAAGCAAGACCCTGTCTCAAAAAAAGAAAGAAGTTTTCTAAAAGAGAAAATAATAATCAAATTTCAGTTTCTATTGGCTTTATCTCATTGAAGGAGAAAATAATCATTACTCTGCTGTATTACCATTGTCCCAGAAATACGAGTAACATGAAGCATTGCAACAGGTATGTTGCTGCAAAATCAAACATGTTGGTGTGGAAACTGCAAAGTAAATTGGGGAATTTAAAGTCATCTTTCCTTAAATGTTACATCGAACAGTTACTGTTCAGTGACTTAAATTCTCTTTTAGTGCTTATTATAATTTTATTATATATAATATATTAATATAATATATATTTTATAGCAATATATATATTGCTATAAAACCAATATATGTTTCAACAGAAAAGTTACCCATGCATATCAGCAAAACTATCAGGATCACCCATAATTTCATGCCTAGAAATGACTTTTGTTCATACTGTTTATTTTCCATACATATATCTGCTTTTATTTATTTAAAAAAATTCTCACTATATATGTTTCCCATTCTATTTTTAACTTCAAAATGGATTATATCTTTCACACTAGTGAAAATTATTCTAGACCACTCAGACACAAATATTTTTCTCCCACTCAAGATTTTTTAAAATCTCTCTCATATCTGTGGTTATTTCTCCTTTTGATTTCTGATCTTGTCAGTTTCATTCCCCAACCCCGTGCTCCCCACCATTAGGCTTGTACGAAGCTTATTTAACTCATAAGATTTTTCCCATTTGTGTTTTTCTTAAAAATTAGGTTTTTATTTCTTAATCCTTCTTGTATGTTTTCTAATGTATTAATGTCTTATTTTATCTTTACTAATACCTTATCAGGCTGTTTCCATAGTCCTCTCCTAATTTCATAAGAGTAGTTTGTTCCTTCAATTTTTAATCATTTGTATTTAATCATGTGGACATTTGAGACAATAGTTTCCACCTAAAGGCTTTGATTATAAAATATTCCTATTTCCACTGACTTATTGATTTCATCTCTCTCTTAAGCTCCCCCTTGATCCAATGATTATTTCAAAGTTTTTTTTTTTTTTTTTTTTTGAGACGGAGTCTCGCTCTGTCGCTCAGGCTGAAGTGTGGCGCGATCTCGGCTCACTGCAAGCTCCGCCTCCCGAGTTCACGCCATTCTCCTGCCTCAGCCTCCAGAGTAGCTGGGACTACAGGAGCCCACCACCACGCCTGGCTAATTTTTTTTGTATTTTTTAGTAGAGACGGGGTTTCACCGTGTTAGCCAGGATGGTCTCGATCTCCTGACCTTGTGATCTGCCCACCTCGGCCTCCCAAAGTGCTGGGATTACAGGCATGAGCCGCCGTGCCTGGCCAACTATTTCAAAGTATTTGAAATTTTGAGGGGTCATCAATATATTATGCATTTTGAATTTTATTGGCTAATAATCAGTTAACATCCTAAAGCACTGAAATTTCATGATGATATACTAAAGTATGAGTCTATTTTCATTTATTTTGTTAGGCACACGGTGGACCCTTTGAGTGTGAAAACATGCATCTTTCAGTTCCAGGGAATTTCCTTAAGTTGTGTTTGATGTCATCTCATCTTTTTTCTCTGTCCTCAACTTCTAGAAATCTTACTATTCAAATGTCAGATTTCCCTAACCGATCCTTTAATTTTTAAAACATTTTCTCTAATTTAGATGTTTTTGCTTTATTTACCAGGAGACTTTTTCAACTTTATTCTCTAACCTTTCTATTGAGTTTTCATTTTTACTATCACATTTTCAGTTTCCAAGAGCTCTTTTTTGTTCTCTGAATGTTTCTTACTGTAATACAACACTGCTTGTCTTCCACATATGCATTAGCTTCTCATCTCTCATATATTAATGATAATTTTGTCTTCTTCCTGCATACTTTATTTCCTCTAAGTTTTTTTTTTTTTCCTAATTATTTCAGTCTCTGTCTTTCATATAGAGATTTCTTCAGTCTGGTGATTCTTGGCTAGAAGTTAATGGGGTTCCAAAGAGTGGATCTAAGGCTCTGTGCTCATGATAGGGGTTTGTCAAATGTTCGCTTCACTGCTGGGAGAGCCAGCTGGACCACTTAGTCAGTGAATCTCTGACATCATTACTGTTGGGTTTTGTGTCTTGGGCTGGTTCAGTTTCTCAGAAGAGGTGCCTCTGCTCCGGGACCTTTACGTATGACAGTGCAAACTAGACCCTGCATGACTCCAGGGGACGTCATTCCCATAACCATGTGTATGAAAGACTCCTCAGGAGCTGTGCCACTTAGCCCTGCCCTAAAAATATGCAAGCTGCCAGCCATTTGGAGAGGAGGAAGAAGGTTGGGAAGTGGTGGGGGGTGGGAGGCGGGGAGTGGAGAATCTCAACATCCATTATTATTTTTTTCACTTAATTCCCTTTTTCATAAGGTACCCCAACTCTCATCTGTTCTGCTGTCTCCTCTCCAACCCTCACTAGCCTCTCCTTGCCAGAGATTTTCTCTTCACTCTTGCCAGTCATTTACAGACATTGAGGAGGGGCAGTCATAAGCAATATGGAATCAGGGAGATGTCAGGTCCTAGTGCTTCTTAAATACACTCTCTTGTTTCAACTTCACCCTAAACTCTCCCTCTGGGGGTACCTGGCTCCATCAGTTCCTGAGTCTTCTGGGCAGTTCTGTGGTACAAAACAGGTGGCTTCCCAGATTTCCCACCAATGGTTCATGAGTCAACCTTCCTGAATGGCTAAGTCATTGTCCCCCTCCATCTGTCTCGTACTTTCAAAGATTTGGTTTTTCTTCACCCATTCATTTTGTCCTTGTGTCTTTTATAGAGATTAATACCTTTGTTCAGTTCTCCATATTTAACTGGCTTAGGATCTTGAGCAGGTGTCCTGAATATGATAAATCCCAGTGTCCTCATTTGTGAAACAGACTTTGCATTGCTTAAAGTTCGAGAATCAGAGAATTTGATGAACCTATATAAAATTACATAAAGTAATAATTTTCAATTTTCTGATATCTCAGTTATTCAATTCCACTTGACCATATTATCTAGAGGCTATTTATCTTGGTACTGAAAGTTAAATTCAAGTAGTTTTCTTTTGTCATATTCATGGCTGCTGATCCTATTTTTAATTTTTTTTTAATTTTTAACTGTAATTTTTTTTTTTTTTTTTTTTTTTTTAGAGACAGAGTGAGGGTCTCCCTCTGTCACCTGAGCTGGAGTACAGTGGCTATTCACAGGTGTAGTCATAGCTCACCACAGTCTCGAACCCTGAGCTCAAGCCGTCCTCCTGCCTCAGCTTCCCCAGTAGCTAGGACTATAGGCACACGCCAGTATGCCGAACTTGATCCCCCCCCACCTTTTTTTTTTTTTTTTTGAGATGGTGTTTCATTCTTATTGCCCAGGCTGGAGTGCAATGGTGCGATCTTGGCTCACTGCAACCTCCACCTCCCCAGTTCAAGCGACTCTCCTGCCTCAGCCTCCCAAATAGCTGGGATTACAGGCATGTGCTACCACGCCTGGCTAGTTTTGTATTTTTAGTAGAGACGGGATTTCTCCATGTTGGTCAGGCTGGTCTCGAACTCCCAACCTCATGTGATCTGCCTGCCTCGGCCTCCCAAAGTGCTGGGATTACAAGCATGAGCAACTGAGCCCAGCCTGATCCCATTTTTAAACATCTTTGAGGAGAAGACCTACGACCATCTCTTTGAAAAAGCTTTCCAGAGGATTCCTTGAGCCCAAGAGTTTGAGGTTACAGTGAGCTATGATTTTGCCATTGCACTGCAGCCTGGGTTACAGAACAAGACCAAGAAGGAGGGAAGGAAGGAAGGGAGGGAAGGAGGGAGGGAGGGAGGGGAGGGGAAGGGAAGGGAAAAGAAGGGAGAGAAAGAAAGGCAGGAAGGAAGGAGAGAGAAAGAAAGGGAGAAAAGAAAAAATTCATTCTATTGATTGAGTTTATAAAACTATTAAGGCGCTCCTGCTTCAGAGTCAGTACTTTACAGGTACTCGAAGAAAAAACCATTTCAGGTTGCCTGAAAAGCAGCCTTTCAGATACTTGAAGATTTATATTGTGTCTGATGATTGTCAGCCCTGAGATAAAATGTAAAACCACTTTTATTCTAAAATAAATAGAAACAAAAGTATAGATGCTTGCATGAGACATAATCTTTTAAATTTCTCTCTTTATCCTTTAGACATGCTTTTTTAGAAGCTATAAAAATCATGTTTACCTTTTAGAACGGAAATATGAAATGCCACCCTAATCTATGCAATCTCTACACATCTTAAATCTTTGGAGAACTTTGTCAACGTTAAAAAAAGTAGAAATCTATGAAGATAATTTTGTTATTTATAGAATGGTATATTTCCATCCTTCTGTGCCAGTTATCCTTAACATATATTTGGCAACAAATGAGATTTATATTCATTGGTATTATTAAGTGGGAATATATTATGTGAAGTTAAGACTAAGAATATGACTCATTCAAAACTGGAAGGAGTAGCTAAAAAAGGATCCAAAATGAAACCTACTGTAACAATCTTTCCTATCAAATCATTGCCAAAATAATTTGAAAATAATCCAGATAAAATATTTTGGGTAGTGTTAAGGGAGAAAATAGATCCTCTGTTACAAACTATGATTAATAACATTTCCAGTGTTTTTCAGCCTTTTCCTCCTTAGGGATGTTCGAGAAGTAGGATTGCAACAGATATGCTAATACATGAAATTTGGAATTAACGGAAATTATAATAGCAGCACATGAGTGTTGGAATACCTGGAGTTATACTAAAGAATCCCAAGAAACATCATAACTTCTAGATTCTACTAGAATCTAAGTTAATCAAGACATACACTTCCATGCACATATTACAATGAAAACAGAGACAACTTAGAAGACATCTGCAAAACACTTGCAGTGCAAACTTTCTGGAAATTAAAGAAGACTGAAGAAGATATTAAATGCCTATTTCTTAGGATTTTGGTCTGGAACATTTACTTCTGCACATAGTCTTTGTTCTGCTGATGGCCAACTACATTTATGTTTCAGAAACTTTCTCCGCAACATAGACCTCGAAAAATGATTCCTCGAATCTTTACATGGTGCTCGACTTTCCTCCATATGAGAAAAATATAGAACAATATTACCTCTTTTACCCTGAAGTCCATAACTGCATTCCAGACTCTACTTATTTTTCCACTGTGATGCTTTCTTTATTGATTACTTATCTAACTCAACAAATATTTATTAAGCGCCTTTTTTGTACCAAGTACTCTTCTGTGCAGTGGTGATAATCTCTGTATAGAGGACAAACAAGACCCCTGATCTTGTAGAAATTAAACATAGGCAGAGAAATTGTCTAGGATTTTACTATTAAAATAAATCTAAGCAAATTGGAGGTAATTCAGAAGAAAGAAAAGCAGAAAAAAAGTAAATCCACATGAACAAAATTATTGTTAGGATTTTGGTTTCTTTGTTTTCAGTTATTTTTTTTCCTCTGCCAGGACTTTTGTTTTTATTTTGTTGCTTTCCTTTGTTGAGTGTGTATGTTGAGGGGGTTCTGTTTAACATCTGAGATCCTACATTCTTCTGCTTATAAACATGTGCCTATGTAACAGCATAATCTTCATGGCCATCATTTTGATAGGGCATAATATTCAAACATTCACTTTTCTTTGAGATTGGTATTTGGGTAGGACCCCTGACTTAAATTCACACGTCCCATCCCTAGGAATAACTGGTCTCCACTAGGGTTTGTTAGAAATGCTCCTTATAGCTGGGCGCAGTGGCTCACGCCTATAATCCCAGCACACTGGGAGGCCGAGGCAGGCGGATTACCTGAGGTTGGGAGTTTGAGACCAGCCTGACCAACATGGAGAAACTCCATCTCTACTAAAAATACAAAATTAACTGGGCCTGGCGGCACATGCCTGTAATCCCAGCTACTAGGGAGGCTGAGGCAGGAGAACCACTTGAATCTGGGAGGCTAAGGTTGCGGTGAGCCGAGATCGTGCCATTGCACTCCAGCCTGGGCAACAAGATTGAAACTCCATCTCAAAAAGAAAAGAAAAGGAAAGAAATTCTCCTTATATTCCCAAATCCTCTTTTAACTTCAGGCTTGCTGACCAGAAGTCACTGGGTCTACAACACATGTACACAGACAGAAGACACATGTTTATGCAGCTGCTCGATGCCCTAACACACTTCCTCATGGATATCACATGATGATATCCATCTTTCCCAGGCCAGACCAGATCATGAAGGGCTCTTTTGGCCTATGATGTACATGCTTACAGCAAGCTTCTTCAGAAATGCAGTTGGCTTTGAGTCCTAGAATCGTACACTGAGCCATTGTTATCACATTGGTACTAGGTGAAAATATGTTCATATGTTCAGCACTACAAATAACTGCCATACAAGTGAATTTTTGGAATACAGCTTATTTATGAAATGGTGACTCACATGGCAATGCTATTTTTTTTCTTGGTAAAGGGAACAATTGTTAATGGATAGAATCAATTGTGTTCGCCCATTTATTTTATCCAGATACAAGGCAGCTGGGTTGTCTTGATGTGGAAAACAAAATGTCTGGCTTTAGTAACACTCGAAATAGTTCATACAATAGGATCTGGCATGCAGGCCTCAAATCCCAAATGCACTATTCATGTGCAGAAAGCAATCTAGGTTTCTGGTGGTATACAAAAACAAAGATATGCACCTCAATTAGCTTCTGATTTCAAAGAAGAGTGGTACATGTTAACAACTCACTATAACATGAGCCAGCATGAAGCAGAGTATCACAAGAGTGGTAGAAGCTTTAAAGAAAGTCCAAAGACAACCCAAGGAATGGAAGATAATTTTTGCAAGTCATATATCTGATACAAGACTTGTATATAGGACATATAAAGAACTATTACAACTCAATAATAAATAGACAAGTAACCCAATCTAAAAATAAGCAAAAGATCTGAATAGGCTATTCTCCAAATAAGAACTACAAATGGCCAGTGTACACATGAAAAGATACTCAGCATTAGCCATCAGGAAAATACAAATGAGACACCACTTCACATCATAAAAGAGATCCATAATAAAAATTGTTGATAAGGATGTGAAGAAATTGGAACCCGCATACGTTGCTGATAGGAATGTAAGATGGCACAGCTGCTTTGAAAAGAATAGCAGTTCCTCAAAAGGCTAAAACAGGCCAGACACACTGGCTCACACCTGTAATCCCACCATCTTGGAAGGCCAAGGCAAGTGGATCACTTGAAGCCAGGAGTTCAAGACCAGTCAGAGCAACAAAGTGAGACCCAGTCTCTACAAAAACATTTTTAAAAATTAACCAGGCATGGTGGTGCACGTCTGTAGTCTTAACTATTAAAGAGGCTGAAGCAGTAGGATCACTTGAGTCCAGGAATTCAAGGCTGCAAGGCTGTGATCCCACCACTGTACTCCAGCCTGGGCAACAAAGTGAGACCCTGTCTCAAGAAAAAAGAAAAGAAAAGAAAAGAAAGCTAAACATATGTTACCCTATAACCCATCTATTCTACTCCTAGGTATATACCTGAGAGAAATAAAAACTTATTTCCACACAATGTGTACATGAATGTCCTGTTAAAAGAAAAACTTTAGACAAATTAAACTTAGAGTTTAATTGAGCAAAGAACAATTAACAAATCAGGCTCTGGGGCTGCCACATAGTCACATGACATTTATGCACAGAAAAAGAAATGATATATGGAAAACAGAAGTGAGGTAAGGAAAAAGGTGGATTGGTTACAGCTCTGCATTTGCCTTATTGGAACGTGGTTTAAACAGTTGGCTGCCTGTGATTGGCTGAAATTCAGCTTCTGTGATTGGCTCTCTGCTACTTGTTACAAGACTAGGTTACAGTCCCTTTATTCCTAAGAGCCAAAAAGTGAAAACAACCCAATGTCTATCAATTGATGATGGATAAATAAAATGTGATATATTCATACAATGGAATACTATTCAGCAATAAAGAGAAATGAAGTATTGATACATGCTATAACATGGATGATGAACCTTGAAACTCTGATGTTCAAAGGAGAAGCCAGTCACAAAAGACCACATCATTATATGATTGCATTGATGTAAAATATCTAGAGAAGGCGAACCTCTAGAGACAAAAAGTAGACCAGTGGTTGCCTAGGGCTAGGGGAGTTAGAAGGTTGGGAGTGATGGCTAAGGGGTACAGGGTTTCTTTCTGAGGTAATGAAAATGTTCTAAAATACATTGTCATGATGGGCCCACAACTCTGAAAATACTACCAGCCCTTGAACTGTACACCTTCAATAGATTAATTGCATGGTATGTGAGTTATATCTCAATATAGCTCTTTTAAAAAAGAATTTGACCAGGTGCGGTGGCTCATGCGTACAGTCCCAACACTTTGGGAAGCTGAGTGGGGAGGACTGCTTGAGCCCAAAATGTTGAGGCAGCGGTGAGCCATGATCGTGCCACTGAACTCCAGCCTGGGCAACAGGGAAAGACCCTGTCTCCAAAAAAAAAAAAAAAAAAAAAAGTAGAATTTGAGCATGGTCAGGAGTGCGAATGGGGAGTGATTGTAAGGGGTCATGAGGGATGTTTCTGGGGTAGTGATAGCTTTACAACTTTGTAAATTTACTAAAAATCATTTAACTGAAGCTGCAATACAACATTTTTTTAAAAAATTAAGCTCTCAGAGGGCTTGGGATTCCAGCTCAGAGAGGCAAGAAACATTCCTGGTTAGAACTCAAACTCCTGGAATAGTCCCAGAAGCAGAAGGTCTGGAGGGCAGCATATTTTATGGCCAACCTGGTACCATTGGAGGGATTTGTGGCCACCCACAAGGCCCAAAGAGCTGCTAGCAATAGTATCTCATAAGTTGCAGCTAACCAGTCATATGTTGATTTCAAAGTGGGTAAGTGTCAAAGAATGGGCAACTTGGGAAGATCCACATTTCTCCTGGCTCCACCTGAACCTCCAGAGCACAGGGTAATGAAAGTTTTTAGAAACCCACCAGGTGATTCTGATGTGAAGCCAAAGTTGAGAATCACTTCTCTAGAGAAAGCTGGCTGATACGGTTTGGAGGTTTGTCCCCTCAAAATTTCATGTTGAAATGTAATCCCCAATGTTAGAGGTGGGGCCTGGTGGGAGGTGTCTGGGTCATGGAGGCAAGTCCCTCATGAAATGGCTTGGTGCCATCTTCATGGTAATGAGTGAGTTCGATCAATAGATAGATAGGTAGATAGATAGACAGACGGACAGACAGACAGATAGATGATAGATAGATAGATACAGAGAGATAGATGCTCTATCTATCTCTCTAGGCTGACACACATTCACTCAAACTGATGCTCCCTTCTCTTTCAAGTCACTAGATGGAAGAAACAATTTCCTATCCTGATCAGTGTGGATCGGGTGTGACTTGGTGTGTCACACAAAACAGCAAACATCACTTGACTTCTACCTTGATTTCTGAACAGCACACAAATGAAAAAGGAAGGAATGAAGTAGCTTAGGGCAGGAGAAGATGAGAAAGACATCACAGTTTTAAGGTGAACTCATACCTCTTACATTTTAGTAAAGAGGCATTACTTATTACTATGGCTTTTAGATTAAATAGTGAATATTTGTTTATAAATTAATTTTTCCATGGGTCTACTGGACTAGGAGCCATGAAAGCAGAGCTTTTCAAACCCAAGAGTGCATCAGAATCACCTGAATGGCTTGTTAATATGTCCTGCTCCTTCTTCCCCAGATCCTGATTCAGCAGGTCCAGGGTGAGGCCCATGACTTTACACTTCTAACAAGCTGCTAGGCAATGGCTTGCTTCAGACCACACCTCAGCCCTATGCTAGAAGGCAGAATCCACCTATACCTCAACGAGTCACACATTTAATCAGTACACAACATATTCAAGACCCTACATTAGCTACTTAGAAAAAAGGGACATAATTGGTTTTTAACAGGTTCATAGTCTTGTAGAAGCAAAAATGTAAAGAATTTCTGTCTTTTGTCAACTTTAAATTTATTAGAAAACTCAAATAGGATAAAGATGAGCTATAAAATCAATAGAATTTTGACACCAAGAAGACATTTACATCCAAACCCAAGACATTTTTAATAAATGTGCTCCCTTCTTACATCAGCAAGGGTCAGTTTCTGTCATTTATAACCAGGAACCACGGAGTCTCTTTCCTTATTTTGAGGTGTGACTGAAATGGAAAGAATTTCAGTTTCTTCCATTTAGGGAAAGGTAATAATATGGGGAAGATAATAATAGCACCCATTTTTTAGCATAATTGGAAAGATGAAATAAGATCATATATAGAAAGCTTGAAATATAAAGAATTTATTTTAACAATGTCTGGCACATAATAGATGCCTAAATCTTAGCACTTGGAGCTGATTGTATGGGAAAGGGGAAGCGAGAGATTATAGCTGCTGGTGGAATTTTAAAGAATCCCTTGGCCAGGCGCAGTGGCTCATGCCTGTAATCCTAGCACATTGGCAGGCCAGGGTGGGCGGATCACTTGAGGTCAGGAGTTCGAGACCAGCCTGGCTAACATGGCAAAACCCTGTCTCTACTAAAAATACAAAAATTAGCCAGGCATAGTGGCAGGTGCCTGTAATCCCAGTTACTTGTGAGGCTGAGCCATGAGAATCGCTTGAACCTGGGAAGTGGAGGTTGCAGTGAGCTGAGATTGTGCCACTACACTCCAGCCTGGGCAACAGAGCAAGACCCTGTCTCAAAAAACAATAATAATAATATAAATAAATAAATAGTCACCTACCTGAGGCTGTGGGTGCACTCACTGATGTCCACAACAGCAAGTGGATAAGGGGACAAAATGTACTGTGTCAGACAGAGGTATAAAGAGTTCCCCCAAAGAAAGAGGTGGAAAGCACAACTCGAAAATTCAGCCACAAAACTTAGCAGACAAAAGAAAACAGAAAAACACAAAAAGAAAGTAAAATATGTATTCTGGACAACTCCTGGAAACACTGCTAACTGCAGCCTATTCCTGAGCACCAAATGCAAATTGGAATGGCACTGGGTTGCCTGCTTTTAAAAGCCATGCACAAGATCAGGCAAAGTGGCTCACACCTATAATCTCAGCACTTTGGGAGGTCGAGGCAAGCAGATTGCTTGAGCACAGGAGTTCGAGACCAGTCTGGGCAACATGGCAAAACCCTGTCTCTACAAAAAATACAAAAATTATTTGGGGCATGGTGGCACAAATATGTAGTCCCGACTACTTGTGAAACTGAGATGGGAGCATCGCTTGAGCCCAGGAGGTTGAGGCTGCAGTGAGCCGTGATCGCACCCTGAAACTCCAGCCTGGGTGACAGAGTAAGACTTGATATCGTTAAAAAAAAAAAAAGAGGCATACACCACATGAACTGAATAGATCCATAATCAAGAGGCGAAACTGGCAGAAATTATGTTTTGTGTGTGTGTGCGTGTGTGTGTTTTTTGGTTTTTTTTTGAGACGGAGTCTCGCTCTGTCACCCAGGCTGAAGTGCAGTGGTGCGATCTCGGCTCACTGCAACCTCCACCTCCTGGGTTCAAGTGATTCTCCTGCCTCAGCCTCCTGAGTACCTGGGACTACAGGCACGTGCCACCACACCCGGCTAATTTTTTATATTTTTAGTAGAGCAAGGTTTCACCGTGTTAGCCAGGATGGTCTTGATCTCCTGACCTTGTGATCCACCTGCTTCGGCCTCCCAAAGTGCTGGGATTATAGGCGTGAGCCACCGCGCCCGGCCTGGAAATTACGTTTAATCACCCAATGTAATTGTTTCTGCTTTCAAAGCCTTTGTTTCTACATAAGCAGTGGTTCTCAACCTTGACTGTAGATTAGAATCACCTAGAGAGCCCACCTCCAGAGACTCTGATTTAACTGCTCAGGATGCAGGCAAGGCATAGGCTTCTCCAGTGATTCTCATATCCAGCCAAAGTTGAGAACCAACTGTCAAAGTCTTTATAAATATCCCATGCTCAGTTTCTATGAAGAAAAAACAAAGATTTTATTTCAAAGAATTCATTATTCCACTATTCAAAAATTTCTAAGTAGGTGTTCAAAATCACCCTCATATTGAGGCTATAAAAGAGTCAAAAGAGAATTTGTTAGGAAGGTTTCTTTGGAAACAGTTGTTCTTTGACTCTCATTCCTAGAATGGAGAGAGAGAGAATATCTGCCCCTTCACCTTAGTTAAGAGAGAGAGGCTTCAGCAGTACTACTTAGAGAGTTTTATATTCATTCTACTAGCCAGGGAGACACAGTGGACTGGTATCTGACCACTGGAAAATTGTGAAGGCAGAGGTAGACTCACTAACTACTCCAGTGCTGGAAAGCAAGAAGTTAGCTGCTTTGGGATGGGCCTGTACTTCCAGTTGGTCAGGGCAATGGATGCCTATGCCGACTGCTCAGGGCAGCCCTGGAGGCTGATTCCCTGTGTCCTTTCAGTAGCCTGGTAAAGAGCTGGCTCACCAGATCTGAGTTCACTCAATAGGAAAACAGGCTAAAACATGAAAACTGATCTCAGAAGTTGCTTCTTTCTAATAAAGCCTGTTTGCAATCAGAGGTTGTCCATCACTACAAAGGCACGTAGATGATCCTTGTCTCTATTTTCCTACGAATATGGAATGTAGGTGGAAGTAGAGCTCTTCATTATGGGACCATGGCCCCACTGAGTCCAGCCCACCCACAATCAGTCCAAGCATCATTCCTGGAGGACTCATGACAGTAGGAACTGTCAACTATGCACATTTCTGCTTATCCATTTCTCCCAATAAATGTTATTTTATATTTGTACCATGTGGCATTGATGGAGTGCATGTATTCATGCTACCTTTGCAAAATGACCACTAAGGAGAAAGAGCTAATCTGGTGCCTTTTAAGTCCCAAGAAGGGCTGCCTGGGGGAGCCACAGGATCTTAACAGAAAAAGTCTGTGAGTGCCTCCCGAGTAGAGTCAGTCAAAGGACTAGGGGCTAAGAGGGGAGCAGCAAGTCAGAGGAAACTCCAGTTCCCCTATCAGGAAAACACCATTGAGCATTCCCAACAGAATCCTCTGAATACTCCCACCCCAAACATTATCAGCTCTAAACACTTATTAGGTCCAGAGAACACCATCTTACAATACCAGTCATCATGTTCCTAACGCTTTTTACCTCCTCTGCCTCCCCATTCTTAGAGGAAATCATACTTAGCAACATAGATGGAGTGGAAGGTGAGCATAGAGAAAAGAAACATCACAGTCCCTCCCCTGGTTCCTGCCTGTAGAAGGTTCCATCAAGGGAAGGAGAAAGATTTTAACTTAATTTAAATGCAAAGATTTTATAATAACTTAACATAGTGTACTTTTAGTTACTGAAATAAGACTGTGTTTTTGTTCAATGTCACCAAGATATTTTTATTTCCTGAAAGTAAGAGAAATGTCATGGGAATGCGTACATTTTCAAGTTGGAACAGAAGGTACTTTCCCACTAAATAAATTTAAAGGGAGCAGAAGTCAAGAAAGAATTAGAGAAAGAAAGAGAAGGAAAGAAGGAAGAGAGAGAGAGGGGAGAGGGAGGAAGGAAGGAAGGAAGGAAGGAAAGAAAGAAAGAAAGAAAGAAAGAAAGAAAGAAAGAAAGAAAGAAAGAAAGAAAGACAGAAAGAAAGAAAGAAAGAAAGGTGTTTTCTGATTACATTCTTTGAATCAAGTTTTTCTAGTTTCCCTAAATATTTCACGAATATTTTGCATTATCTGATATTCTAAGTTTTACACCCATCAGATCAGAAAAACTTAGAATATCAGATAATGCTAAATATTGGTGCGAATGTAGGAAAATGGAACCCTCCTACTCTGCAGGGAGCGTCATACAGCCACACCCATTTTGGAGAGTAGCCTGAGAGTACTTATTTGTATATGTGTACTATGTCTACTACGACCAAACAATCCATATTGAGTACACCCAGAGGAACATGCACACGGGTCCCAAAGGGGATATGTACAAGGATGTTCATTGCAGCGTTGTTAGGGGTGACCAGCAATTGTTGGGAATGAATAAAAGACAGCCTCGCTTCCAGCTTCCATATGGAAAGCACTCAGGGAGTAGAGTGATCGAGCTGTTGAATCAGGCAATCTGCAGTATCCACACAACACGTAAGTCCAGTTTAAACTGCAATTTTTAAGATCACACAAGAATATCTAAAGAATCTTAGTGGACACCTAGAGTCCATGTCACCTCTAACTGGACACTGACAAGGTCCCACATATTTTCTCCAAACAGCAAACCCCTATGCTATGACCTTTTAAAAATGTTAATACCAATAATATAATCAATGACTTGGTTTATTTTCCATGTAGGTTCTGCATTCTCTGCTCAGTTTTTTTTTTTTTTTTTCAGAGATGGACTTTTGCTCTGCTGCCTAGGCTGGAGTGCAGTGGCGCCAACTCGGCTCACTGCAACCTCTGCCTCCTGGGTTCAAGCGATTCTCCTGCCTCAGCCTCCTGAGTAGCTGGGATTACAGCCCCCTGCCACCACACCCACTTAAATTTTGTATTTTTAGTAGAGATGGGGTTTCTCCATGTTGGCCAAGCTAGTCTTGAACTCCTGACCTCAAGTGATCTGCTGCCTTGGCCTTCCAAAGTGCTGGGGTTACAGGCATGAGCCACCGTGGCCGGCTTCTGCTCATTTTGAAGAGTTGTATTGTCTGTATTTTCAGAGCACGTTGCTACTATATATTACACATTACACCGTTTCTCTTATAAGCATCTTTTTTTTTTTTTTTTCAGACGGAGTCTTGCTCTGTTGCCCAGGCTGGAGTACAGTGATGTGATCTCGGGTCACTGCAACCTCCACCTCCTGGGTTCAAGGGATTCTCCTGCCTCAGCCTCCCGAGTAGCTGGGACTACAGGTGTGCACCACCATGCCCGGCTAATTTTTGTATTTTTAGTAGAGACGAGGTTTCGCCATGTTGGCTAGGCTGGTCTCAAACTCCTGACCTCAGGTGATCTGCCCGCCTCGGCCTCCCAAAGTGCTGAGATTACAGGTATGAGCCACTGCACCTGGCTGCGTCATTTTGTTTTATTAATAGTTCTACAGAAAGGGCACACTTAAACCTCACCACAGGCTTTATTTCAATGTTTCCCTTCTTTTTCTTTGTCTGAAGCTCATTAACCCCCAGGTTTCTCAGGAGGGATCACTGAAATAGTTTCTAAGTTTGTTGCATATTCTTCAATATTTGCAGTGGACTATTTTGATTTAGGTGAAATTCACATAATACAAAATCAATCATTTTAAAGTGAACAATTCAGTGGCATTTAGTATATTCACAATGTCGTTCAACTACCACATCTATCCAGTTCCAAAACATTTTCATTAACCCCAGAAGAAACTCTGTCTCCAGAGTTACTCCCACAACTCCTAGCAACCACCAATCTGCTTTCTATTTCTGTGAATATTCTGGATATGTCACATAAATGGAATCATACGTTATGTGATTTTTCTGTGTCTGGCTTCTTTCACTTAGCATAATGTTTTTGTGGTTCATCCATGTTGTAGTATCCATGTATCAGTCCTTCGTTCCTTTAATGATATTTCATTGCATAGCAGCTATACCACATTTTGTTTATCCATCTGTTGATGGATCTTTTGCTCATTTTTAAGTGAAATGAGGTTTCACATAATAGCGAGAGGGAGGGTGTATTAGTCCATTTCCACACTGCTGATAAAGGCATACCTGAGACTGAGTAATTTTTAAAGAAAAAGAGGTTTAATATGGACTCACAGTTCCATGTGGCTGGGGAGGCCTCACAATTGTGGCAGAAGGCGAAAGGAATGTCTTACATGGCTGCAGGCAAAGAGGGAAAATGAGAACCAAGCAAAAGGGGTTTCCCCTTATAAAACCATGAGATCTCGTGAGACTTATTCACCACCATGAGAACAGTATGGGGGAAACGGCCCCATGATTCAGTTAACTCTCACCAGGTCCCTCTCACAACACACAGGAATTATGGGAGCTACAATTCAAGATGATATTTGGGTGTGGACACAGCCAAACCATATTAGAGGGATAAGCCAGGGCGGATCTTCTGTCTTCTCAGCTCTATAGTTTGCTCTTTTGATGTTCTCATAAAGTGATCACAAATATGAACTCATTCTTTCTGATATCTGTCTCTTCTGTTGCCCTCTTCAACTTTTATTTGAACTTTTTACATTTGCTTTGTATTGGTTTCCCATTACTACTGTTAATACCTTAACACAAAGCTATTATTAAAACAATAGAAATTTATTCTCTTACCATTTGGAGGCCAGAAGTCAAAGTAAGTGTTATGAGGCTAAAAAATCAAGGTGTCTGCAGGGCCACACTCCTGCTGGAGGCTCCAGGGGAGAATCTGTTCCCTTGCCTTTTCCATTGAGTACGTTGAGGTGTTGACTACAATTGAGTGATTGAGAACCACTGCTTAAGTTTGCAGTAATGAAAACTGAAAAAACCTGAAAGTATAATCTACCAATGGATTTTTTTCTCCTTTCACAAAGACATTTGAGACCTTTTGCTTTTTTTGTAAAGTTAAAAATCTGCAATAGAGGCAGTCCCTATTTCCAGGTCATATTTGAGGTACATTTCTCACCAAGTAATTTCAAAACTTCTTAAAATCCATGTCTCCTGGGAGTTTCAGTACTGAATTTAGTGACACGGTGTCTATTCTCTCTAAAAAATGGGCCTTTTTAGGCAGGAGCCACAGTATCTATTTTTTCTGCTGATATCATGTAAGAGCAAGAAATAACTTAAGATTTCTAAGAAAGAAATCTTAAGTGATTTCTTAAGATGACCACATGATTTATCATCCAAACTAAGACATGTTTGAGAATGAAAGGCACTCACTTCATAATTATTACAAGGACAGTTGATGAAAATTAGGACTATCTGAGGCAAACTGGTATGGCAGTCAACTTACTTATCCATAATTAACCAATCCAGACAGGATAACTGTTGAGCCCACTGACAAGTGACATGAGTCCAGGGTTAGATTGTCCACAGTAATACAATTAACATTACATGCCACCCATACCCATATTAACACACAAAATATTCCGATCACCCCAGAGAGTTCCTGTGTGCCTCCTTCAGTCAATTCCTGCCTACTCCCAGAAGTAGTAGGTTCAGATGTCTATCACAGTAAATTACATTTGCCTCTGCCAGGACTTCATATACAGGAATCATCTTAGTATACACCCTTTCGTGTTTGGCTTCTTTTACTCAGCATGTTTTTGAGATTCATCCAGGTTTCTGCATGTGCCAGTAGTTCAGTCCTTTCTTACTGATAAGTAGTGTTCCATTGTTTGACTATACCACAATTTCTTTATCCTTTCTCCTTTTGGTGGACATTTAGGATTTTTTTTTCCCCAGTTGTTAGCTATTATGAATAAGCCAGCTACAAACATTATTGTACAGTAGTTTGTGGACATAAGTTTTCATTTCTCTTGAGTAATACCTAAGAATTGGATTGATGTGTTTATGAAAATATAGTCTGGTGGTTTTCATATCCTGGATTTAGTTTCTGTTTCACTATGCTGCCCAGGCTAGTCCCAAACTTCTGGCCTCAAGTAATCCTCCCAACTCAGTCTCCCAAAATGCTAGGATTATAGATGTGAGCCACTGCATCCTGACAATGTTAGTACATTTTTAAAAATCCAGTCTGTTCATCTTTATCTTATAATTGGAGTGTTCAGCTTTTACATTCAATGTAACTATGAATGTGGTTGGGCTTAAGTCTACCATTGCTATTTGTTTTCTGTTTGTCTCATGTGTTCCTTGTTCTTCTCTTTTTTATTTTTTCCTGTCTTCTTTTGAGTTAATCAGTTTTTGTTTTTAGAATTCCATTTGTCACCTCCACTTCATGTATATGTATAGTTGACCCTTGAACAATGCGGGTTTGGGCTGCATGGGTCCACTTATATGTGGATTTTTAAAAATAAATTTGTTGGAAAAATTTTTGGAGATTTGCAACAATTTGAAAAAACTTGTAGACAAACTATATAGCCTAGAAATACCAAAAAAATTCAGAAAAAGTGTCTCACAAATGCACACTAGTCTATGTGTTAATCAACTATTTATGTTAATGGTAAGGCTTCCAGTCAACAGTAGGCTATTAGTAGTTGAGTTTTGGGGGAGTCAAAAGTTATGTGCAGATTTTTTACTGCACAGGGGTTGGCACCCCTAATTTTTGAATTGTTCAAGGGTCATCTATAAATATATATTTTTATTTTTATAATAATTGCTTTAGAGATTATGGTATGCATCTTTAACTTATGTTTACCTTTAAATAATATATTTCTTTTTTTTTTTTTTTGAGGCAGAGTCTCACTCTGTTGCCCAGGCTGGAGTGCAGTGGCACGATCTCGTCTCACTGCAACCTCCATCTCCTGAGTTCGAGTGATTCTTGTGCCTCAGCCTCTGGAGTAGCTGGAATTACAGGCATGAGCCACCACGCCCAGCCTAAAATAATATTAAATGACCACAAACAATGTAAGAACCTTACAATTGTATAATTTAATTTTCCTCCTCCTCATCCTTCATCCTCTTATTGTCATGTATTATAAACCCCACAATACATTGTATGTTAAAAGCCCCCATGATATATTGATATGTTCATATTTTTACTTTAAAAATCAATCGTCTTTTCTAGAAATGAAAAAATGTGTGATACGGTTAAATACAAAATTAAAAGCTTTTTCCCAGGAGGCAGAGGTTCCAGTGAGCCGAGATTGTGCCACTGCACTCTAGCCTGGGCGACAAGAACGAAACTCTGTCCCAAAAAAAAAAAAAAAAAATTAAAAGGTTTTTAAAATGTTTATGTACTAATTTACTTTTTCTGTTATCCTTCATTCCTTATTGCAGATTTGATCTTCCATCTGACTACATTGTCCTTCAACCGAAAGACTTCCCCTTCCCCTAGCATGTCTTATGGCACTGGTCTGGGGATAAATTCTTTCCATTTTTGTTTATAAATGTATCTAATTGGCCTTAATTTTTTGAAGGATATTTTCACTGTATATAGACTTCTAGGTTCAGCCTTTTTTTTTCTTTCAGCATTTTAAAGATGCTGTTCCATTGTTTGCTCATCTCCATTCTTTCTGATGAGAAGTCAGCCAAAAATTTTGTTATTATTCCCCTGTTTAAGATTTGGGATCTGTGAGTTGCCACCACCACCCTCAATCCCCCATCAATTTTGCAAAATTCTTGGCCATTATTTCTTCAGGTATTTTTCCTTCCCCACTCTCCCTTTCCTGTTCCTCTTAGGCTCCAATTACACATCTATTAGTTGATTTGATTATTACCTATAAGTCTCAAAGATTTGTTCGGTTTTTCCATTCATTTTTCTCTTTACATTTCATTTTAGACACTTTGTATTCAAATTCCCTGATCATTTCTTCCACTCTTGTCAAGTTGGCCATTAAGCCCAACTGATGAAATCTTCATTTCTAATATTGTACTTTTTCAGTCCTAGCATTTCCATTGCATCTTTTCTGTAGTTTCCATTCCTGGAATGAAATTCCCTGCCTACATATTGTCTACCTCCCTGCACCCCAATCTTTTAAACATATATACTATTGTTATTTTAAAGTCCTTGTCTGCTAGTTCCAACATCTTTTCCATCTCTGAGTCCACTTTTATTAACTGTCACATTTTCTTCCTTCTTTATGTCTCAATTACAGCAGCCCTAGCAAACTAATATATTGCCTATTTCTCAATTGATTCGAAACTTTGGGGGTGGGGGAAGTGTGCTGTTTATTAGGTGCAGTGAAATCCCCCAACTGCGTGGCAAATTGTAGTGTTCAATAAATGTTTGTAGAATGAGAAATTTAACACCTTATTAATAAGTCTAAAAATATAAATTGCTTTTCTGATATTTGTTCTGAATTTGCTCAACTTAGAGGAGTTTAGACTGTGGCAGTAACATTATTTGTAGCTACTTCTATAGTTGACTGTGACGGCCTTGGGAGAGCAGTTTATGCCACATTAACAAGGGTAAACACAGGTCATGAATCATTGCATGGGAAGATGGTGGCTATACTGAACATAGATACGTACTCAGGTGACTTTCATATTCCCACACACAAGATAGCATATCCTAGGGGTTAAAACCGCAGCCTTGACATCATATTCCCTTGATTCGAATTATGTCTCCAGAACTGAGTGGCCTGGAAAATTGTTTAATATTTTGGTGTCTTAATTTCTTTTTTTGAGACTCTCCTGCCCAGGTTGGAGTACAGTGGCATGATCACGGCTCATTGTAGCCTCGACCTCCTGGGCTCAAGTGATCCTCCCATATCAGTCTCCCAAGTATCTGGGACTACAGATGCATGGTACTATGCCCAGGTATTATTTTTTTTTTTTTCTGTAGCAATGGGGTCTCCTTATGTTGTCCAGGCTGGTCTCAAACTCTTGGGTTCAAGTGATACTCCCATCTCAACCTCCAAAAATGCTGGGATTACAGGTATGAGCTACCACCCCCAGTAGTATCTTAATTTCCTTACTGAAAGGTGAAATGATATTAGGGCTTTGGTGAGGACTAAATGAGATAGACTACATAAAACGCTTAGGACATCAAACGGCACATGGTAAGTAATAAATGTCAGCTGTTGGGCTTTTGAGGAGTTCAATATACAGCACCTCTCTTTCTTGCCTGAATTGTGAATCATTTCAGGTATAAAATGGTAGAAGCAGCAGATGAAACATCAAAATGACATCTGTGTTATTGGTAAAGCTAGGTTGGAGAATTTAACTCATTGTGAGAGCAAGAGAGTCCTGAACTCCTTATTCTAGTGGTCCTCAAAATATATTCCAGTATCATCAGTCTCACCTAGGAACTTGTTAGAAATTGGGGCCCCACCTCAGCTATACTGAATCAGAAACTCTGGGAGTGGGGCCAGCGATTTGTGTTTTCACAAGCCCTAATAGTTTGACAACAACCACCTTCTCCATCCCAGTCTGGGACTTAGGAAGTAGCATTCTAGGGGAAGACTGTCAGATCAAAACCCCTTTCTCATGGTCCAGATGAAGGAAAGAGTGAAGAGGAAGAAGCAAACTAGACCATAGCCAAGAAAGTTCCAAAACAGACAAAAGATGTCAAGAAAGAACAGAATTAATGAGTAGAGGTAGCCCTTGGAGGAATTTTGCTATAAAGAAACAGAGAAATGGAGTGGTTGATTGAGGGGCATGTAGACTCGATACAAAGATTATAAATAAAATTGGCTGGTTAGTTTCTTCAGGAATTTATATATCTATCATATCACTTACAGATGACTCCCATGGAGGTAATTCTTTTTTTTTTTTTTTTTGAGACAGTGTCTTACTTTGTCTCCCAGGCCGCAGTGCAGTCATGCAATCTGGGTGCTGGGCTCACCGCACCCTCTGCCCTCTGGGTTCAAGCATTCTCCTGCCTCAGCCTCCCTAGCAGCTGGGATGACAGGCGTGCCCTACCTTTCCTGGCTAATTTTTGTATTTTTAGTACAGACGGGATTTCCCCATGTTGGCCAGGCTGGTCTCAAACTCCTGACTTCAAGTGATCCACCCGCCTCGGCCTCCCAAAGTGCTAGGATTACAGGTGTGAGCCGCCGTGCCTGGCCTATGGAGATAATTCTTATAATTTAGAATTTTTGTGGCTGCAGTCTTGGCAATAGAATCATCAAAACAAGAATTCATTTGATTTTAGGAGTGAAAATCATTTAATAGCCTAAAGCTTGTTGAAGGTCAGACATTTTACATATATTTATTTAAGATTCACGGAATTAAGTGTCATTATCTCCATTTTATAGAGATTAAGTAACAGGACCTAAATTGAGAGGAGAAATTTTCAACCAGGCATTCTGGCTTTCATGTACTTATTTTTACTCCTACCAGGTCTTCTCCTGTAAAATAGAGCTTAAAAGACTCTTAAATCAAGGTCTGATGCCTAAAAATCTGTATGTACTTCAGCAGAAGGATATAAATACTGACAGCATTTTCATTCATTGGGGAATTGAGCCGAGATCAGAAGAAGCATATTACTTACTATTACAGAGTCACAAGATCTCAGGTATCAAATGTCAAATTAAGTGACATTAGCATGACTGGCCAAGGTTTATCTCTGCCACTCTTTTTTCCTTCAGTAAATCCAGAAAGAATCAAAGGATTCTTTGATTCTTATTGGATTGGATAAAGGATTTTTTTTTAAATACATGGAGAGAGAACAATGCTTTATTCATACTGGAGTGTGGGGTCCCAAATAGGCCCTAATTGGATAATGAGAGATCTGTGTGTTATGTGTAGGAGAAAGCTAGAAAAGCAGCTCCTTCCATGGTAAAACCCTCCTGGGGTGGAGAGTTCATCTGCAGCCCAGCTCTTCTCACCACTGCTGCTAGAGGAGGAAACTGGGAAGGTTGCACGTGGAGAAAAACTCAAAAACAGATGATGGAAGGGGAAGCAGTTGGTGAAAGTCGTGTTAGGGAAGCGATGACATGAGATCCCAGCATTTCCTGTTGGACATACTTCTCTACCTTCTTTGAAGAATCTTTTTTTTTTTTTGAGATGGAGTCTCACTCTGTCACCCAGGCTGGAGTGCAATGGCGCCATCTTGGTTCACTGCAACCTCCACCTCCTGGGTTCAAGCAATTCTCCTGCCTTAGCCTCCCAGGTAGCTGGGATTACAGGCACACGCCACCATATGCCTGGCTAATTTTTGTATTTTTAGTAGAGACAGAATTTCACCATGTTGGCCAAGCTGGTCTTGAACTCCTGACCTCAAGTGATCCACCCACCTTGGCCTCCCAAAGTGCTGGGATTACAGACATGAGCCACCGCACCCAGCTGAAGTACCTTACTCAGAGTTTTAACACTACTTAGTGGCCTTAGAGGCAATAATCCAGTTCTTTTTCAGCCACTTCCTGGGGCCTCCAAAAAAATATTTCAGCTATAAGACAATGGGAAAAGAGAGACAAAAACTGCCAAATTATCACCCTCCCCATGTCCCTGGTCCTACCCTTCTACTAGGGTTGGATGGGTGGGTGTACCCGATGGGAACAAACCTCAGGGAGCAGATTTTCAAGCTGGGTATGTTTTGAAGCTGGAGAGAATTAAGTCCACTTCTAGTTGAAAATGACAATGATGCCCCACCCACCTTGGGTGTTCTTGAAGCTGGTGGGAGTGGGAAAGAAACCATGAAGCACTCTGCTCTTGCCTGTGGCTCCAGGCTGGACCAGGTTCTTGTGGTGATGTCCACAGTGCAGCTCCTCACCCAAGACTGGGAAATGGAATTGAAGTGTGGAACAGGGGTAGCCTCAGGGTAGGCAGTGTTAAGGGAACTGGTTTTGAGTCTGACCCTAATTACCCATGTGTCCTTGGATACGTTTGTGATAATGTTGGTTTATGCAGGTGCAAGTGGCCTTTCATTTTCCTCATGGCCATGAAACTCCCTTCCAGAGAGGGGATTTATAGAAGCCTCCCGCCGAGAGAGAGGGGATTCTGGGAGCCCCAGCAATTGCTGCTTTTAGTCAGATAAGGGAAGGTCTGAGAATGCTTCTTTTTGCATTTGTTGAATTTCAAATATTTTCAGCTTAAAATAATCTTCATACAAACTCTGGGGTTCTGAGTAGGTCCCCTCAAAATGCTAAAAAGCTAAAATGACAAGAAAAAAGAGACATATAACAAAAGATAGAAGAGATATAAATAAATAAGACATGGTAAAAGATGAGCATAATTTTAAAATTTTAAAATCAAAGATAAGTAAAAGGAAGAATAAAATAAACTGCTTATATAATAAAATAAGATAAAACAGTAAAAACTAGACAATATACAAAGCAGCAACATTGAAAGTCAATAAACTAAATGAACATAGGAATAATAAAATAATAATTAAACCAACAGGTCCAGCTACAAGTATGTATAAGAAAGGAAAAAATTAGAGTGCAGAACAGTGCCAAGGGAATGTGACAGGGACCAGGGATAAAAAGCTGGTTGCTGGCCAGGAGCGGTGGCTCACGCCTGTAATCTCAGCACTCTGGGAGGCCGAGGTAGGTGGATCACCTGAGGTCAGGAGTTCAAGACCAGCCTGGCCAACATAGTGAAATCCCCTCTCTACTAAAAAATACAAAAAATTAGCCAGGTGTGGTGGTGCATGCCTGTAGTCCCAACTACTGGGGATGCTGAGGTGGGAGAATCACTTGAACCCAGGAGGCAGGTGGAGGTTGCAGTGAGCCAAGACAGTGCCACTACACTTCAGCCTGGGCAACACAGTGAGAGTCTGTCTCAAAAAAAAAAAAAAGAAAAGAAAAAAAAAAAAAGCAAGCTTGTTGCTTTGGAACAACCAGCAGTTCCAGTGTCTTCCATTCCACGTTCTTTTGGAGTATAGGGTCATTGAAGGAAAAAGCCTAGGCTTTAGAGCTTTAGGGCATAGAAAAGCTGCCATAAGCCTGTGTGGTGTTGTGTACCTGTAGTCCCAGCAACTCTGGAGGCTGAGGTGGGAGAATCCCTTGAGCCCAGGAGTCAGTCTGGGCGTCATAATGAGACCCTATCTCTAAAAAGAGAAAAGAAAAGCAGCTATTCATCCAGAGAGTTCCTTGAAGGAGAAAGAAAAGCTAGCTGTGGTTTAATCATAATTTCCATCTTGATGCATTATCGTGACATTTTTCTGGCTTGGTTAATGAATGCCAGCATGTTATACAGAGCAATAGGCCTAAATCAGAGTTGGTATTATTATTCTTTAAGTATGCAAATGCACCGTCTACTTTTAGAAGTGGGACAAGTTGGAATGGGAACAAAACTTTCATAGAAATAGTGAAAAAAAACTTTCAATTGGAAGTTTATCTTGAATCTTAAAATTAAGGAATGTAAAAACTTTACCTTAGTTGGATAAAATTGAGGTTATAATTTCAACTAAGCATCAGATCACAGAATACATAAAAACTAAAACAAGTACTGATTTTTGCAGGATAGTAGGAGATGCCGTTCTTCATAACTGACATTTGCAGCACAAGTATTTTTGCAAAAATACTTAAAGACGTTATCAGATTTCTCAAGAGGCCTATCTTAATCCTTTGATAGTTAGCTCCTTTTTGAAGCTCCTCTCATGTCTTAATCATCCTCGTTATATTTTTTCCCTCATTTATTAACTGACCTAGATACACCAGATCATGTGGTATCTCCTCTTTCTCGCTCTCTTTTTTTTTTTTTTTTTTTTTTGAGACGAAGTCTCGCTCTTGTCCCCCAGGCTGGAGTGCAATGGCGCGTTCTTGGCTCACTGCAATCTCCTCCTCCCGGGCTCAAGCGATTATCTTGCCTCAGCCTCCTGAGTAGCTGGGATTACAGGCGCCTGCCACCATTCCCGACTAATTTTTGTATTTTTAGTAAAGACGGGGTTTCACCATGTTGGCCAGGCTGGTCTCGAACTCCTGACCTCAGGTGATCTGCCCGCCTCAGCCTCCCAAAGTGCTGGGATTACAGGCATGAGCCACCGCGCCCAGCTTGTCACTCTCTCTTTTTTTAAATCAATTTTGCTTCTCTTCACAACCTTGTTACTTCAGGAGTTAAATAACAAGTATTCAGAAAATGCTTCTGGTAAATAATGAATATTCAGAAAATATTTTGGACAATAGCATGTGTACTTCTGTTTTTGACTATGCCAAGTTCACACATACAGTGGGAACAAATGGAAATGTTTTGCAAATGGATGTGTGTCTGAGACCTGGGAAAGATCAGCTACTGCCAACTCTTGTTATTGTTAAGTAACTTGTATCCCAACTTAAAATCAAACGAGAAAGCAGGCAAAGACACTGACATTTGCACAAAGCATCTGATGAGGCTACAGTAATTAAAATTGACTAGTAAAATAGGAAATAGAAGTTAGCAATTCCTTCTTCTTCCTTAAATCCTCAGTGACCCTCAATAAAGATGTCAGACTATAGCATCCTGGAGCAGGTGCTAAATTTGTCCATATTTTTCCATGACAAATTAATTTCTACAGGCCTAAGTATTTTATTGTAAATGTGACAGTTTTTCAACTAAGCAAGTTTTGGAGCACCAACCAGCTATAAGGAAGAAGGCATTGTGCCAGTGCTGCAGAGTTCTTTTGCATATATTATTTCTCTCGGAGTAAATAAAGATTTTTGTGCACATGTCTGCCTCCCTTGCATTATTTCAGTTTCTGCTCAAATATCACCTCCTCAAAGACTTTCTTTGACCAGCTCATACTGCACTCCTACCTCACTGTCTATTATATCACCCTGTCCCACTGCCTTATCACTATTGGAAATTATCTTGTTCATTCAATTGATTGGTTATTTCCTGAATGTTATGTCCAAGAATGTAATGTCCACAAAGACTAGGACTGTGCCCATCTTGTTCACTACCGTACCCGCAATGCCTAAAGCAGTGCACCTGGCGCATATCAAATTTTTTGAACAAATTAATAAATTATAGTCTCTAAGGGATAGTCAGCTAAATTAATACATAGGAGGCCGAGCGAGTCTGAAAGTTTCATTGAAATATTTGCTTTAAAATGTTAATTTGCACAATATTAACTTGTAGTTATTTACAGAATGCAATGCAAACATCAGATATGTGGCCTTCTCTAACCCAAGATTTCATTATTCAAATATGTTTCATCAGCTCTTCAGACAGTGTCCTTGCATGGGATAGCTAAATTTGGAATAAATGCCAACATTTGCATGCAAATCCATCATTCTCCCTGTCTATTTCTTAGAAATTTATATGCTATCCAAAGGTAGGGAGACTAGACAGAAAATATGTGGCTTGAATGAAAATTGCTTCAACTGGAGGCAATTGTAATCCTTGAAGTCAATAGAAGTTACACATTCATCTTACTCTAGAAATGGAATTCTCTTTTCAATGCTCATCTTTGAAAGAGCAACACATATGACTAAGACAAACATACATATCTAAGAACATCGAAATCATTCTATGGGAAAAATCAGTTTCATGTTTGGTAGTTAATAGTTTCTCTTTTTAGCATGCATTGTAAATTTAGTATATATGACAAATTGAGCTGTCAAAAATATTCCCCTGGCCGGGCACGGTGGCTCATGCCTGTAATCCCAGCACTTTGGGAGGCTGAGGCGGGTGGATCACTTGAGGTCAGGAGTTCGAGACCAGCCTGGCCAACATGGTGAAACCACATCTCTACTAAAAATACAAAAATTAGCTGGGCAGTAGTGGCACGTGCCTGTAATCCCAGCTACTCGGGCAGCTGAGGCGGGAGAATCTCTTGAGCCTGGGAGGCGGAAGTTGCGGTGAACCGAGATAGCACCACTGCACTCCAGTTGGCGGTGACAGAGTGAGACCCTGTCTCCAAAAAAAAAAAAAAAAAATTCCTCTTTTTAAAAACACTTCAATCATTAAGGAATAAAGAAAAATATTATAGCTTATAGTACATAGCTAGCTCTTATACCTTCCTGATCAAAGGTAGAGGTAGCATAAGTTAATGAAAACAATATCCCATTCCTTAGTTTATTCATTAGTTCCAGCTTCTCTTCACTAAATCCATTATTGAACAGCCAATAAAATCATTCAGTTTATGTTTTACCATTTGTTAAAATTAGTCTAGGCTGATTTCCAACTGGAAAGGTACCTGGGTGTCTTTCCCATCTTGATTTTCTGCCTTAAACTTCCAGAAGAAAAGAAAAGTTTCTATACACATTGCATCCATGGAACAAAGGTTTCCCCACCTGCATCCCAGGCCTCTGTTTAGAATTCAAGAACTGTGTTACTACTGTGTTGGAGAAGATCATAGGACTGTATAGAGGTATGTTCCTAGGGGTAAAGCTACATGCCTTTGGGTGTATTCTTAGGTCGGCCAATTTATATCCTTGCCTTTAATCTTATCGCCCTTAGGGTTGACACTACCCTAAAAGTCAGGAAAGAAAACCTGGCTTAGAACTAGGAGTGCTATTCTACATTCAACATTCAAAAACTCTTCTGTTGGTCGTTGACTCACCAACATCCATTCATCCCCAGAAAACAGTCTAAATCAATTTTAGTAATCCTATTTCTCTCCCAAATTGGAATCATGAAAAATATTCCTGGGTTGCCAATGGCAGAATTGTGCTACTGAATCCACCAAGCCTGAAGCCTGCTCTGCCTCTTGGAGTTTGATTTATTGAAATAATGAACTTCTTTATTGTCTAAGCCAGTTTGAGTCAGTTTTTGTTACATACAGCAGAAAGTATCCTAACTCATGCAGCTCCACTAGGAAAGAAGTCCACTGTCATGATTCCAATTTACTAAGAAGGACATCAGAGTTCTGGTTCAGGGAGCATCTTTATCTAAATTATCTGAGACCAGTGCCCTCTGAGCCTCAGATGAACCAGTTTGTAACTTTTCGAGTACAGTCTACCTTGACTATGGCCCCTGGAGTTTCTAAAGGCTATTACCAGTTTTACTTATTCATGCTTTGGAACCCATTGAGTTTCTCCAGGGGTTCAAAGGTCCAGTGTGTTCCATTGTGGCATTTTCTTTAAAAATTCATGTCTAGGCCAGGCGCAGTGGCTCATGCCTATAATCCTAGCACTTTGGGAGGCCAAGGCGGGAGGATCACGAGGTCAGGAGTTTGAGACCAGCCTGGCCAACATAGTGAAACCCCGTCTCTACTAAAAATACAAAAATTAGCCAGGTGTGGTGGCACGTGCCTGTAGTCCCAGCTACTTTGGGAGGCTGAGGCAGGAGAATTGCTTGAACCTGGGAGGCAGAGGTTGTAGTGAGCCAAGACTGCGCCATTGCACTCCAGCCTGGGTGACAGAGCTAGAATCTGTCTTAAAAAAAAAAAAAAGTGATGTTTAGCAGCTTCAGTGCCCATAGATGCATGAGGCACTGGATTATCATACTTTTTCTAACCTAAGTCTGCAGACTTGTATATTATTTATAGTTGACTCTCTGTCCCCATAAACAAATGGAAATGAGATGTGCACTCCCTTCTGAGATCACATCTAGCTTGATAAGCAGACCTAAGGTATTTGAATTTATTTATTTATTTTTGAGATGGAGTCTCACTCTGTCGCCCAGGCTGGAGTGCAGTGGCACGATCTCGGCTCACTGCAACCTCCGCCTCCCAGGTTCAAACAATTTTCCTGCCTCAGCCTCCTGAGTAGCTGGGATTACAGGCACATGACACCACATCTGGCTAATTTTTAATATTTTTTTGTGGAGACAGGGTTTCACCATGTTGGCCAGGCTGGTCTCAAACTCCCGACCTCAGGTGATCCGCCCACCTTGGCCTCCCAAAGTGCTGGGATTACAGGCATGAGCCACTGTGCCCAGCCAGGTATTTGAATTTAAGCAAGGCATCTAACAAGGACTCTTATGCCAACTCAAGACGTCTCAAGGCCTTTCATGGACAAGTTGGAGAAATGTGAACTGGCTACACAGGCAAATTTATTAATGTTTAAAACTGCATACCTGCAGAATGTTGATTCATGGATCACGGTCAATTTAGAAAAAGTTCTCCAAAGCCTGCTCTGAAGCACAGTCATCAGATATGTTCTATTCAACGTTTTTATCAATGAATAAGATGAAAATATAGAAAGCATGCTTTTTGTATCATTTCCCTATGATACGAAATGGAAGAAAGTGACAATATGATGGCTTACTGAAGCAAAGTCTGAAAATAACTTAACAAGCTGGATCAATGAGCCAACTGTACAAGGAGCTGTTTTCATAAATGATATAAAAATATGGTGAAGATTATGTAAAAATTATTTTTTTAAACTAGGGATATATAAATAGAAAAATTGGTATCCATATTCCTATATCTGATGGACTGTCATATGAAATGAGAGAGAGATATTGTCTATGTCTCAATAAAGTAGGTCTAAGACAATTTTTTTGGCTCAATAATGAAGGGATTCTTTAACATTTGAAGACAAAGGAAAAGAAGAGAATTACCTGAAAAAAAAAGAAAAGAAAAGAATTACCTGAAGCCAGGTGCAGTGGCATATGCCTGTAGTCAACTTCTTGGGAGGCTGAGGTGAGAGGATTGATTGAGCCCAGGAATTTGAGTCTAGCCTGGGCAACATAGTGAGACCCTATCTAAACAAAATTTTCTGAATTAGGATCTGGTGATAAGTGAGATTGCTATGGTTTATAAATTCAAACCAAATCTGAGGGGCTATAGATATTTTGTTTTATAGATAACTTGGAGGAGATGAAATCTAAACTTTCTTTCCATGGGGTTTATTTTTTAAAACTAGCCTCTCATTCTTTGTGTTTTAATTGTAGCATTTAGTTGCTTTACATTTGCTATAACTATTGATATATTTGGTTTTAAATCTACCAAATTATTATGTGATGTACACTTGTTCTGCCTGTTCTATGCTCCTTTTTCTCTCCATTCTTGTCTCTTTTATATTGATCTTTTTTCTTTTCTTTCCTTTATTTTTTATTTTTTGGCAGAGTCTTGCTTTGCTGGCCAGGCTAGAGTGTGGTGGTGCGATCAAGTGATTCCTGCCTCAGCCTCCGAAGCAGCTGGGACTACAGGCACCTGCCATCATACCAGGCTAATTTTTGTATTTTTAGTAGAGACAGGATTTCACCATGTTGGCCAGGCTGGTCTCGAACTCCTGGCCTCAAGTGATCTGCCTGTCTCGGCCTCCCAAAGTGCTGGGATTACAGGTGTGAACCACTATGCCCAGCCGATAATTGATATTTTTAACAATTCTACTTTTAATCTCTATTTGCTAGGACATTATACAGCTTTTACTCTTCCTTTGGTCGTTGCCTTAGAGACTATAGCATGCAGATTTTTAGCAAGCGTTAGACTTGACAAAGTCTAATGTCAACTGGTATTTTTACCCTTTTCCAGTAGGAGGCTTTTAAGCCCTGTAACTCCATATACCTCCCTCCCAAATTATATACTGTTGTGGTCTTGTATCTATAAATATTTTAAACTGCACAATACATTATTTTTGTTTTATATAGTTAACTATTTATTTAGAGTTACTAGTTGCTATGCTCTAAGGTGTCCCTGATAATTTGTGTTGAAAACTCAAGTCTCAATTCAACAGTATTGGGAGGTGGGGCTTTTGGGGAAGAAGTAGGTGAATGGATTAATGGGTTTGTGGGAGTAGGTTCACTCTCTCTTGCCCTTCCGTCTTCTGCCATGTGAGGGCGCAGCAAGAAGCCTCTCAGCCCCTTGATCTTGAAATTCTCAGCCTCCACAAGCATGAGGAAATAAATTTCTGTTCTTTATAAATTACCCAGTCGGAAATATTCTGTTATACCAGCACAAATGAACGAAGACCCTAGCATAATTATTATTTTATTGCTTCGTCTTTCTTCCTCTATTTCTGACCTTCTGCGTGGGTTCATTTTCCTTTTAGCTGAACACCTTTTAATACTTGTAGTATGGGCTTGCTGGGGATGAATTCTCACTCTATTTTTTTCTTGAAATCCTTATTTCTACGTCATTTCTAAAGAGTATTTTCACTATTTATAGATGCTTGCTAAGTCACTATGGCAGTTATTTTCCTTCAGGACATTGAAAATGCCATGTTATTGTCTTCTGGCTTCCATTGCTTCTACTGAGAAGTAAGCTATCATTTCAGTTGTTGTTCCTTTTAAGATGATCTGTCTTTTTTTCCTCTGGCTGACATTTTTGTTTTAGACTAATTAGAGATCTGAAGTGATTTTACCTTTATTTCCTTCAGTTTAAGCCAATTATGAAATTTCACAGTGATTTCTGATGTAGGGGCAGAAGGAAGGCCGTGTTAAGAATCATCGGGACGGCCGGGTGTGTTGGCTCACGCCTGTAATTCCAGCACTTTCGGAGGCTGAGGCGGGTGGATCATGAGGTCAGGAGTTCAAGACCAGCCTGGCCAAGATGGTGAAACCCCGTCTCTCCTAAAAATACAAAAAATTAGCTGGGCGTGGTGGCGTGGGCCTGTAGTCCCAGCTACTCAGGAGGCTGAGGCAGGAGAATCTCTTGAATCCGGGAGGCAGAGCTTGCAGTGAGCCGAGATTGCGCCACTGCACTCCAGCCCGAGCAACAGAGCGAGACTCCGTCTCAAAAAAAAAAAAAAAAAAAAAAAAGAATAATCGGGGTTGTGGCCCAGTTGGCCCTCGGAGGTGCAGGCAGGGTGGGCCCTCACCAGCGCAGCTGCAGGGGCATGGACTGCCCTGCCCGCAGGTAGGTGATGTTCCGAGAGCGTAAAAGCTGGTAGGTGATGTCCTCCACAGCTTCCAGCTTGCGCAGCTCGATCAGGGCGTCCCCTGCTGTGGCCAGTGAGTTGGTGATCAGCTCGGCCACCTTGGAGTCGCCCTCAGCAGAGATGATGGCCGCCTTTTTCTGCTGCTCAGCCTTTTCCACCACAAATCTGGCCCTCTCTGCTTCCTGCTGAGCTATCTGTTTGGCTTCCACCGCTTCTATGAACTCCTTCCCGAAGGTCAGATATGTCAAGGACACGTCGTCCAGAATGAGCCCAAAGGTGGCTGCTGGCTCCGTAAGGTCATCGCTCACCTGCCTGGAGATCTGCTCTCTCTGGGTGATTAGTTCTCCAGCTTCAAAGCGAGCCACCACTGACTTGAGGATCTTGTTCGTGATGGACGGCGGCACACGCTCATCATGGTCCTCTCCGCTGCTGGTGAAGATGTGAGGAAGCTGGCTAGCTACGGGCCGGAAGATGATGCGCAGTGTGAGGTTGACATTCTGTAAATCTTTGCTACCGGTGATGACTGGCACATTACGTGGCTGAGAACGGCAGTCAAAGATATTGATTTCTGTAACCATGGGATGAGACAGTGAGTCCCTTTGCCTACCACAATGTCCTGTACTCCACGGAATCGGTCAAAGACGACAGCTCTGTGCCCAGCATCCACACTATATAAGGCAGAGTTCACCACGCCTCCTGCAACAACTAAGGCCAGGCCAAACTTGCCGATGAACTCAAACATTTTGGCAGCCATGTTTTCTTCTGCTGGACCCTCTCACACCCGCTTCCACCCTGACGTCCACACGAATTCTCTAGCCACATATACTGCGCGTGCGCCGCACTGCTTCTCCTCGGCCCGCTCTCCTTCCCTGGCTGCTTTTTAAGAGTTTCTGTCTTCCTTGGATTTTCAGCCTTTTTACTCCAATGTGCCTAGGTGAAAACCTTTTCCTGTCCTGCTTTGGGCTTGTAGGGCTTCTGGAATTGGTTGGACTGATGTCTGTACAAGATTTACTTCTGTGTTACCCCAGATCCATGCGCTAACCTTATTGACACAAATTCATATCTGCCCTCTGTGGTGGCTGTTCCCTGATCCTTGTCACACTTGAGCACAAACTGCCAGCGGCTTATCTCACACACTTGCTATGTGCTTTCATGTCCTGCCCTGGGGCTTTCCCGGTGGGCTGAGGCATGAGATACATACCATGGTACCCACTCAGCGCTCACGTGTACACAATCTTGAAGTGTGGGAGGTATCACGCCATATAGTGGGTTCTACCCAATGGGAGGGGAAAACTCCTGGACAGTTTTCTCTCCCTTCCTCCTCAGAACCAGATTGTTGAAGTAACAGTTGCTCATACCTTTTCTGATGATGGGTTGCGAGACGAGGTAATAGACTTTACAATGGGTGTATGCCCACGTTAGTGTAACACACGCTACATCTGTACTACATCCTTCTCTATCTCACATCAATTTTGCCCCACTCGTGCACTTGTAGGAATACACTTACCAGTAAAGTATACATGTAAGCTTTTGCCTCAGGCTCTGCTTTTTAGAGGATCTGGGCTATGAGCTCCTCAAATACTTATTCTGACCCACTTCCTCTTTCCTTTTTTTTTCTGGAACTCCTGTAAAATGCATGTTAGTTTTTTTCCTTCACCACATCCTCTGGGTTTATTATTCTCTCTTATGTAATTTTTATCTGTTTGTCTCTCCAGGCTTCATTCTGGGTTTTTTTCTGTCCGCTCTTATAGTAATTCTCCTTTAAATCTGATGTCAAACCTACCTACTAAATTCTTGGTTTCAGTTATAGTTTTTAAAGTTCGAATATTTCTGGGTACTTCTTTTTTTAAATTGTCTATGTTATTTCTGTGCAGTTTTCAACTGTATTTTCTATCTTAGGTTTGCTTACTTGGCTATAGTAAGCATAGTTATTTTAATATCTAGATCTGTTAGTTCCAATATCCAGAATCCCTACAGATCTAGGTCTATTGCTTATGGTTTCTTTCAGTCTTCATGTTGTCTTGTCACCTCATGTGCCTGGGTACATATGAGTGTGTGTTGGACATTTTATTTGAAAGATTGTTCACATAATTTGAGCCCTAGGAGATACCTCTCCCCAGAAAATATTTTCATGTGTTTTGATCAGGTCCCCATTAGCACTGTCGTCTTGAGCGACCTCAATCTGATTTCAGAGACTAGACTTCGAGATCACTGGAAGCTGGGCTGCAGTCTGAGGAGGGGCTGCTTTTCTTTTAGTTCTCCCTACAGTTGGGGTACTATCATTTAGATAAAAGTGTGTATCGGGTGTGGGGGGTTGTGCTAATAGGACATTTCCCTTAGTGGGACCTGGACTCCAACTTTCGTACCCCTTTTACATTACAGCTGTCAAAAGAACCACTCCTCCATTTAGCTGGAAAATGTCCTAAAGGTAAGTAACCCCAATTGCCAGGATTCCTATCTTCTAGATTTTGCTAAAATCTAAATTAAATGAAGAACACGTTGTCAAATTATGTGCCAGCAGAGTCAAGTTGGCAATAATTCTTTTCTGTACTGATAAAGAAATATGATAAATATTTTTAAACTTTAGAAATATAGAGATGATCCTAAAAGAAGCTACCACATTGCAGCTTCAACTCAACATTATGCCCAGAAGTACAATTTATCAAATAAGAAAATGTATCCAGTAAGAAAAGTAATCAAAAGTACAGATTATGGTGGAGGTTATTTTCAAAGGATTTAATAATAATTTCTAGTACGTGTTTCACAATGACTCTAGTCAAATAATACTTCCTGGAAAACTTTACATTAATAGACGACAAAGCATAGATAACATTAACTCAAATTCACATGAATCTCTGTCTCACAAAGAGAACAAGACGGGTAATTCTTGTGAAAGTTTGCAATTTAATGGCCGGGCACAGTGGCTCACACCTGTAATCCCAGCACTTTGGGAGGCTGAGGCAAGTGGATCACCCGAGGTCAGGAGATTGAGACCAGCCTGGCCAACATGGTGAAACCCTGTCTCTACTAAAAATGCAAAAATTCATTGGGCATGGTGGTGCATGTCTGTAATCCCAGATACTTGGGAGGCTGAGGCAAAAGAATTGCTTGAACCCAGAAGGTGGAGGTTGCAGGGAGCCGAGATCGTGCCACTGTACTCCAGCCTGGGTGACACAGTGAGACTGTGTCTCAAACAAAAGAAAAAAAAAGTTTGCAATTTAACATGTTACCAAAGAATATTCTTTGAACTTGATTTATGACACAAAGCAAAATCCTTCTGTTGCTGTGGGGGAGATGGTACATCACCTTTATTTGTTTTTAGATAGATCCTTAGTTAATTACAAGGACACAAATTAATTAGCATTTTTTATAAAAAGCAGCCTGTGGAGATCGAATTTATTTGCAGTTATGGAGAAAACACTTAAGGATATTACCTACTAACAGTGAAATCAAGAAGTTATAGCATTTTTTTTCTCTAGTCTTCCATCTTTGTTGTTATAAGACCTAAATCTGCATATGATCTCTTATTACTTGAGCCTCAAATTTGCTTTCTCTTAAATACATAATGTACAGTTTCAACACTTACACAAGAAAATTTTTGATGCATTCCTTTAAGACAATATATACAACATTTTATCAGTATTACCACTATATACAGGCTTATCATAGTCCACAATATTGCTAATATGCCTTACACAGTTTTCTGAAAGGCTACCAGCCCATGCAACTCAGTTCCTTCTCTCCGACTGCTGAAATGTGGTAGTTTCTATTTGAATGGGAATATGCAAATCCTAGACAAGTTCTCATTGACAAGAATATCGATAGCATATTCATTGCCAGTAAGAGCACACACTACTCTTCTATTGATTAAGGTGAAATCTAGAGTCAAGAAGTTCCAAAGGACCATGGCCCTAGTGGCCACTGTGTCAGTACTGAGCAGATTTTAGAGATGTAGCTGAGGCATTGCCAGATTGTTCCAAAAAGGCCAGCGCGGTCCTTAATCCTTGAATAGAATGTAAAACTCCATTTGATGAAAACTTACTATTCTATTCTTCCAAACTGTAGTGTTTCATTTATGTCATGGAAGCTGTGAACCTTTTCAATATGGAGAGTTGGGAGATGACTTGTGTTGGAGGTACTATAACATACATGCATAAGATGAACATATAATTTCTCATCCAAACTGGGATACTTCTGAAAGCATAAGGTACTATTAATATTTATACTATACTGAGATATAAGGTACAAACTGAAATTTCACAAGAGCAAACAGTACTGTGCAAACTCAAACTAGACTCACCCTACCTATAATGCAAGAAATGGACCAAACACATGGTAAACATGGGCAAGCATAGTTTCCACAAGTAGAATAGGTGCTCTTATGAGCTGTAATAAAGCTGCAAGTTTCATCCCAAGAACAAAAGAGAAATCTACTTTGCAAGGGTTATATTTTTAGCACAGCCTAGGCCAGGTATCACCATTGATATATCACAACAATTCAGGAACACCGTTTTTTCTCAACAGGATGAAGCAGACAAGCATCAATTATGCAAAATTAGAACTCTGCTGTACCCAAATCAATATTTAGCTAGATGTTTGCCTTCTTTTGCCCGGCTATCACACCTGTCATCCCAGGTGCAAGACAAGGCATCAGAGACGTTCCTCACACAGTGATGAATGGAGTATAAAAGCAGATATAGAAATGAGAGATATTTATAACATTTGCTCATTGATATAACAATAAAAATTGCATTGTTATTGTATTCACAGGCTACCAACTCATGTAAATAGTCATGGTTACCAGTTCTGGCCCCATGATTTTTTGTTGTTTGTTTTTTGAGATGGAGTTTCACTCTTCTTTCCCAGGCTGGAGTGCAATGGCGGGATCTCAGCTCACTGCAACCTCCATCTCCTGGGTTCAAGCGATTCTCCTGCCTCAGCCTCCTGAGTAGCTGGGATTACAGGCATGTGCCACCACGCCCGATGAATTTTGTATTTTTAGTAGAGACAGGGTTTCTCCATGTTGGTCAGGCTGGTCTCAAACTCCTGACCTCAGGTGTCAGGTGATCCACCCACCTCGGGCTCCCAAAGTGTTGGGATTACAGGTGTGAGCCACCACGCCTGGCCTGGCCCCATCTTTTAGAGAAGGTCAACTTTACTCTTTCCTTGACAGAGAACCTTGATCATCTTACAATTGTGAATTAAATTCAGGTAGAATGCTGTGGTATCAAGCAAATATCAGGGTACTGGATTGCTGACACACACATTTTACTCTTTATTAATAGAAGAGAGAATTAACAATCTTACTCAATCTCTGCATTGTGTAAAAGATCCCAAGAAAGAACTTATTTCCAGATGAAACAGAAATTTAATCAGTTTCTGGCAAAAAATAGGTTGTCAGTACATGAGGTTGCCCAGCATCTGGTCTCAGTTCACAGACAAGCAGAGCAGCTTTGACAAGACTAGAGAATTCCAGAAAAAGAACTAGGGATGGAAGCATCCCAGTAATATCTGATTATTTCTAGCATGCTCCTTGGGTTACATGAGCAAGGTGAGGAGCACACCTTGGCATTGCCAGGTAGCTCCAGAGGATACAGCAAAGAACAGCAAAGATGTCTAAGAACAAGAAATAGCCATAACCACGGCTGGATTATTAACAACAGAGTAACAGCATTTTATAACAGCTATAGCAGAGGTAAAATGCTCCAGTAGAATTTTTTTTAAAAAACACAATAAATCGGCCGAGTGTGGTGACTCACACCTGTAATCCCAGCACTTTGGGAGGCCAAGGTGGGCAGATCACTTGAGGTCAGGAGTTCAAGACCAGCCTGGCCAACATGGCGAAGCCCCGTCTCTACTAAAAATACAAAAATTAGCTGGGCATGGTGGCGGCACCTGTAATCCCAGCTACTTGGGAGGCTGAGGCAGGAGAATCTCTTGAACCCGGGAGGCAGAGGTTGCAGTGAGCTGAGATCAAGCCACTGCACTCCAGCCTGGGTGATAGAGTGAGACTCTGTCTCAAAAAAAAAAAAAAAAAGCAGTAGGCTAGGCGCAGTGGCTCATGACTGTAATCTCAGCACTTTGGGAGGCTGAGGTGGGCAGATCACTTGAGCCCAGGAATTCAAGACCAGCCTAGGCAATGTGGTGAAACCCCATCTCTACAAAAATGAGATGGGTGTGGTAGTGCATGCCTGTAGAACCAGATGCTTGGGAGGCTGAGGTAGGAGGATTGCTTGAGCCTGGGAGGAAAAAGTTGCAGTGAGCCGAGATTGTGCCACAGCAATCCAGCCTGAGCGACAGAGCAAGACTCCATCTCGAAAAAAAGAAAGGATTAATTAGTACATCCGTTATGAAAAAACAGTATGGCGGTTTCTCAAAAAATTAAAAATAGAACTACCATATGATCCAGCAATCTCACTTCTGGTTATATGTCCAGAGGAAATAAAATCAGTATGCTGAAGAGATATTTGTACTCCCGTGTTCATTGCAGTGCTACTCACAATAGCCAAGATATAGAATAAACCTAACTGTCCATCCCCTGATGAATGGATAAAGAAAATGCAGTATATATACACAATGGAATATTACTCAGCCCTTAAAAAGATGAAAAACGGCCGGGTATGGTGGCTCACGCCTGTAATCCCAGCACTTTGGGAGGCCAAGGTGGGTGGATCATTTGAGGTCAGGAGTTTGAGACCAGCCTGGCCAACATGGCAAAACCCCGTCTCTACTAAAAATACAAAAATTAGCCAAGCATGGTGGTGCATGCCTGTAATCCCAGCTACTCGGGAGGCTGAGGCAGGAGAATCGCTTGAGGCTGGGAGGTGGAGGTTGCAGTGAGCTGAGATCACGCCACTGTACTCCAGTCTGGGCAACAGAGTGAGACTGTCTCAAAAAAAGAAAAGATGGAAAACTTGTCATTTGAGAAAACATGGATGAACCAGGAGGACATCATCATGCTAAGTCAAATAAGCCACACACAGAAAGGCAAATACTGCATATTCTCACTTACATGTGGAATCTAAGAAAGAGGAACTCATGGAAGCAGCATGGCATGGTGGTTACTAACGGACAGGTAGTGGTGAGGGGATAGAAAAGAGGTTGGTCAAAAGAGAAAATTTCAGTCAGACAGGCAGAATATGTTCAAGAGATCCATCCTGCAACATGGTGACTATAGTTAATAACAATGTATTGTATATTTAAAATTGCTAAGAGGGTAGATTTTAAGTGTTTAAGTGTTCTCACCACAAAAAAATGATAAATGTGAGGTAATGCATATGTTAATTAGCTCAATGTAGCCATTCCACAATATGCACATATATCTCAAAATATCACATTGTGTACTAGAAATACATACAACTCTATCTGTCAATTTAAAATAATAGTAAAAGAATTTATCAGAAAAATAAAACACCCAAAAGCATCACCAGGATTGTGGTGTTGATCCTGGAGAATCTCTGTAGGTCCACATAATCTTCAGTAGTGCTTGAAATTTGCAAAAGCCAATTTTATAACAATAATAGTTTAAGAATTCAGTTTACTGAATTCATATTTACTTTTACATACTTTAAAATAATAGTGTAAGGCCGAGGTGGGCGGATCACAAGGTCAGGAGATCGAGACCATCCTGGCTAACACGATGAAACCCTGTCTCTACTAAAAACACAAAAAATTAGCCAGGCGTGGTGGCATATGCCTGTAGTCCCAGCTATTCAGGAGGCTGAGGCAGGAGAATGGTGTGAACCCGGGAGGCAGAGCTTGCAGTGAGCCGAAATCAGGCCACCGCACTCCAGTCTGGGTGACAGAGCGAGACTCCATCTCAAAAAAAAAAAAAAAAAGTCACATAATGATGTTTCAGTCAATGACAGACCGCATGTACAACTGTGGTCCCACAAGACTATAATACTCATGTTTACTATTCATTTGCTATATTTAGATATGTTTAGATACATAAGTACTTATCACTGTACTGCAACTCCTACAGTATTCAGTACAGTAACCTGTTGACAGATTTGTAGCCTAGGAGCAATAGGGTATACCATAGGATATGGTTTGGCTATGTCCCCACCCAAATCTCATCTTGAATTGTAGCTCCCATAATTCCCATGTGTTGTGTGAGGGACTCAATGGGAGGTAATTTGAATCATGGGGGTGGGTTTTTCCCATGCTGTTCTCATAATAGTGAATAAGTCTCACGAGATCTGAGAGCTTTATAAAGGGTAGTTCCTGTGCACATGTTCTCTTGCCTGCTGCCATGTAAGACATACCTTTGCTCCTCCTTCACCTTTTACCATAACTGTGAGGTCTTTTCAGCCATGTGGAACTGTGAGTTTGTTAAACCTTTTTCTTTATAAATTACCCAGTCTCTGTTATGTCTGTATTAACAGTGTGAGAACAAACTAATGCACCATATAGCTTAGTTGTGTAGTAGGCTATACCATCATGGTTTGTGTAATTACACTCTATGATAATGACACACTATGATGAAATTGCCTGACAATGCATTTTTTAGAAAGTGTCTCCTTCATTAAGTGATGCATGACCATGTAACAAATGTTGGCAGTTACAATTACTGAACTTCTTGCAAAAAAACAAATTCAAACGTTAAAGTACAATGTCATGTCTGCATTTAATTTTTGCACTATGGTAAAAATCAGAAGACATTTAGCCATCTTTTAACCCCATTCATAAAATAAACTTAAGTAAACTTAACTAATTCTTAAAATAGAATTCTTCAAATTAATTTTATGGTCTAGTATTAAAACTCTGTAAATCTTAGCAAAAGGTCTTAGTAAAGAAAAGTTCTTGAAGACTTCTCACAACTACTAATCATTGGTCTAGTGTCAAGTATGCTAATTTGCATTTCTTTGGTCATGATCTTATAACTGATTAGTAGGGATACCGAGCAATACCTTAATAAACCAAAATTACATTTTTATTTGGTAAAAATAGCATTTATCTTTAAGCAAAAGTCTCATAACTCAATTGAGTAATTGATTTTCACTTAGAACAGAAAAAGGATATTTTCCAAAGTAAAAAACCATTGCAAAATTTAGTTCTCTAAAGACTGATCTTTTTAATGTATTTTAAAGCATATGTGCAAATTATAGAGCAAAATGTACTGCTTGGCTCTTTCATGAAGTCCATAATTTTATTTCTACCACCCTGAAAAGTTTTTCTTAAAGAGCTCATATAAAGCAGTAACAGTTTTGACTTCATTTGTTTCTTTGCTTTTTTTTTTTTTTCCATTTCTTTTCTTCCTGGAAGTCTTTCAGACCTGATATTTTAAATTTGTATAAGTACTTAATACCATCTAGAACTCAATCAAAATAAGAGCTTTATTGAATCTGAGACTTGATAACTTTACTTGCCAACTGTCTATGGAATAACCATCCTGTCTTGTTTAAAAGTAGCTTCTGAGGTAAACACACTTTGTTTTCCATCAGTGGCATATCTATACTAACCTGGTACAGATTCCTTATCCAGGGGGGGATGATTATTTATTCATAAAGCAGAAACAACCTATAACAATCTGACTTTAAGGAGGCCCTCCTTGGAGATCAAGAGTTCATATTCCTAAGTCTGAGAGAGGGGAATTTAGTGAGGATCTGAGCAGGGTGATTTTAAAGTTGTTCAACTATGAATACAGCAGATGCCAGAATGACCAGATGGATGCCAAACCAGCACACACCAGCAGCATATCAGAGCCGGAGCCCAACCAAAACAGGTACTGGTTTTTGACTAGGGAATTCTTAAGTGAGTAGTTTATAATAAAAGTTATTTTTCCCTATTTTATTATTATTATTATTATTATTATTATTTTTTTTTTTTAGATAGTCTTGCTCTGTCACCCAGGCTGGAATGCAATGGCACGATCTCAGCTCACCACAACCTCTGCCTCCCAGGTTCAGGTGATTCTCCTGCCTCAGCCTTCCAAGTAGCTGGGATTACAGGTGCACGCTACCATGCCCGGCTAATTTTTGTATTTTTAGTACAGACAGGGTTTCACCACGTTAGTCAGGCTGGTCTTGAACTCCTGACCTCAGGTGATCCACCTGCCTCAGCCTTTCAAATTTCTGGGATTATAGGCGTGAGCTACAGCGTCCGTCCTCTCCAGCTTCTTGACTGTGGTCTGATAGGTGTACCTGTTCCGTAATGACTGCAGACTGAGCAACACTTCAGATGCTTGCGGTGGATAGTATGAAATCTTGAAGGCAAAATGAAATTTTATTCTTGACTTTGGTGAGTCTATTAAGTCATTAAATTCATATTTCATCTTTATATAAGGAATGTGGTCATGATGGCAGGATTTCATGGTCAAAAAACAGTTTCCAGCTTTTTAATGATCATTTTGCAAGGTCTTTTATTCCTCCCTTCTAAGTGGGGGCATGTATTTGTGCAAATATTATTGCTATAGACTAAGATCCTTGGAGATATACCTACTTTCATGCCCCAGTAAAAGTGATCTTAATTTGGGGGAATAGAGGAGTGTGTTTTTCTAACTCCTAAGAGCTTTTCTTCTTTGTTTGTATGCTAGATTTATTTGTCAAATAAGTAACAGTTATCTGCTAATTGAACAAAACCAGAAAAAATTATAAATAGATATTAATGAAATATATTTTTAACATTTGCATTTTCCCACTTCTCCAGAGTGGAGGTCTAGCATACTGCATGGATTTAAATTAAAAAAATTTAAATACACATATTGACAAAAAAGAAAACAGATTGCAAATATATATTTTTATACATATATTTTATTGGTGTCAACAGATTTTTTAAGAATAATTTTTACTAAATTCAATATTTTTTAATATTGGAACCTAACTTCCAGGTATGAAACAATTCTACAGTACCTAATTTTTGAAAATACCATTACCAGCCAGGCGCTGTGGCTCATGCTTGTAATCCCAGCACTTTGGGAGGCTGAGGCAGGTGGATCATGAGGTCAGGAGATGGAGACCATCCTGGCTAAGATGGTGAAACCTCATCTCTACTAAAAATACAAAAACAACAACAACAACAACAATTAGCCAGGCGTGGTGGCATGCGTCTGTAGTCCCAGCTACTCGGGAGGCTGAGGCAGGAGAATCGCTTAAACCTGGAAGGCGGAGGTTGCAGTGAGCCGAGATTGTGCCACTGCACTACAGCCTGGGCAACAAGGCGAGACTCCGAATCAAAAAAAAAAAAACAAAAAGAAAAAAAGAAAATACCATTACCAAAAGAAAACTGAAGCTTGGCAACTTTCCCTAAGGTGTAAGCTAACTTCGATTACATATATATATATATATATATATAATTTTTTTTTTAAGATGCTGTCTCACTCTTTCACCCAGGCCGGAGTGCAGTGACGCAATCTTGGCTCACTGCAACCTCTGCCTCCTGGGTTGAGGCAATTCTCTGCCTCAGCCTCCTGAGTAGCTGGGATTACAGGCACCTGCTGCCATGCCCGTCTAATTTTTTGTATTTTCAGTAGAGACGGGGTTTCACCAAGTTGGCAAGGCTGGTCTTGAACTCCTGACCTCGTGATCCTCCCACCTCAGCCTCCCAAAGTGCTGGGATTACAGGCGTGAGCCACCGCACCTGGCTGATAATATTTTTTAAAGTTTGTACATGACAACTACTATTAGCTTTACAGTCTTTACTGTAATTTTACTAATTTCAGATTTAGTAAAGAAAAAGTCTTTTAACAATCTTAAAGGTTAAATACTTAATTACCTAAAGAAGTCTGGACTTGTTTCTGCTGAATTATCCTTGTCTCCCAAACAGTGAGAACATTTCCTTCTGTTGCTTAGAGAAGTTCCCAGCCAGCAATCATTGTTTTCATTTTGTCTTTTCAAATACTTTTGGGCTAGCTGCTTGATTTCATGATGCACTTAACTTTTGAGATACTATTCTTATTCTACAGGCAGTCTATTTTAAAATCAGCATTTTCATCAAGAAGCAATTATTAAGTACTTTCTATGAGTCACTATGCTTGGGGAAAAAGAAGAGACAGTCACATCTCTACATTTGTAGTAAATATTTGTGATTCATGGAAAAATGAGCTTTTAAAGAAACATGAGATATGGGTTCTCAATAATAAATAGTTAATTCCAACCAGAGAAATATCCGGAAAGACTTCAGGAGGAGGATATATTTGAACTGGACACTGAAGGATAATAGTGATCACTATATGCCTAGATGTCTCAAGTCATAAAATCAGTACATAAAAATTTGATTTTTAAATTTTTCTAAAACTGAACTTAATTTCTATCTCAAGTCTCCATTTCTGCCTGCTATGGCAAAACTTAATCTAGACATTTCCAGATAAACTCAGCCAAATATTGAGATTTCTTATGCATTTTAAAATTCAGTCAAACACATCCTTGCTACTCGAGTTGTGGTCCATGGACCCAGCAGCATCAGCAGCATCTGGGAGCTTTTTAGAAATGCAGAATCTTGATCCCCACTGCAGATCTTCTGAGTCAGAATCAAGATTTGTATTAAAAATCCCTAAATCAGAATCAGTAGTTTAACAAGATTTCCAAGTGATTTATATGCACATTAAAATTTGAGAAGCCCTGAAATACATTACTGTCACTTTCCTCTTCAAAATAGAATCTGAGCTCCAGGGCTTCGGAAGTGTGCTGGGATCAGGGGCAGTCCTCTAGCTGTGCATTGGCAAGGTCAGCCACTGAATTTGCTACAAGGAGTCAACCAGTCTGCTTCTGAGATGGTTGAGCCTTCCATGGTGGCTAGCCTCAGTTGGGATGGAAGCTGGTCTCCATCTAACCTCAGTCTCAACTTTCTTGCTCTACCATAGGTTTCTCTCTTTCCCTGGCTGCAAGACCTTTAGAGATCTACCATATCTCACTTTTCACTAATCTCACATCATTTCTCTCATTTTTCAAAATTTCTCTACTTTCCCAGAAACTTTCTGGTTCATTCATCTTTGTGGAAGCCTGCTAGCTCAGGCATCTGAAGTTCAACTAGTCAGTGACCACAGGTACAGGTTGGCCTTCTTGTGGTTGGGACAGAAGTCAGACAGGCTGTGTCTAACTATATATTGCTGAGTTCATAATCAACAATACATAGTGAGTGGAAGGAAAATGGAAACGTTGCTGAGTATGAATCCTTAATCACAACTGCAAAGACAAATTTTTCCAAATAATGTAACATTCACAGGTCCCTAGGAATTTGAGGTAGATATCTTTTAGGTGGCTGTTCTTGGCCTACTACATACAGATTAGTATATACACATATATTTCTTTGCTCTGTCGGCTGAGAGGGCCTAAAAAGAAACAAGGTAGCACACGGTGACTATTCAGATCTTGGTTTCTATTGTAATACCATTCTCTAGTAGAAGAAACCAGGGCTATTTGGAGAAATGGCTGATTCTAGTACTGGGCAGGATATACACATGATGGGCCTAGGGCATCCTGTAGTGCTAGAAACAGGAATTTCTCAAAAATGAACAAATGAAACCCTATCTCTACCAAAAAATACAAAAATTGCCGGGCGTAGTGGCATGCACCTGTAATCCCAGCTACTTGGGAAGCTGAGGCAGGAAAATCGCTTGAACCTAGGAGGCAGAGGTTGCAGTGAGCCGAGATCGTGCCACTGTACTCCAGCCTGGGTGGCAGAGCGAGACTCTGTCTCAAAAAAAAAAGGCATTTCAAAGGGGCCCAGGAGCCAACTGAAAGAGTTCTCAATGGCCAAAGCTGGAAGAATTAGAGAAAAAAAAGTAGTATTGAATTATAACCCAAGTATAATAAATACCCAGCAGTTCCTACTGATCTAAATAAATTAATAAATGGGAGAGAAAAGACAAATGTCCTGTAAAGAAGAATTCAAAATCACCTAAGTAGATACTTCACTCTAAAGACGGGGAGCATAACTTCTTGCCTTTTAAGTGCGGGCTGCACATTTTTACTTCCTTTCAATAATACAGCATAGAAAAGGGGGGAAAGAGTAACTTCCCAGTGGAGAAACCTGACAAACGTCCTTCAGCCAGGTGACGAAGGTCAACACCAACAGTCACAAATCACACAGACAGTCTGTACCATTGACATGATGTGAGGAGAGTGACACTTTACCTCTGTGGTCTTCCTCCCCCACACCCATAGCCTTAGTCTCATCATTGTAAAAACATTCCATTTAAATTTAAATTGAGGAACATTCTTTAAAAAATAGCTGATCAGTACTCCTCAAAACTGTCAAAATCATTGAAGACAAGGAAAGTCTAAGAAACTGTCACAGCCAAGAGGAACCTAAGGAGATAGGACAACTAAATGTAATGCGGTATCCTGGATGAGATTCTGGAACAGAAAATGGGTATTAGAGGCCGGGAGCATGACTCACGCCTGTATTCACAGCACTTTGGGAGGCCGAGGTGGGTGGATCATCTGATGTCAGGAGTTCAAGACCAGCCTGGCCAACATGGTGAAACCCCATCTCTACTTAAAAAAAAAAAAAAAAATTAGCTGGGCATGGTGGTGGTACACACCTGCAGTCCCAGCTACTTGGGAGGCTGAGGCAGGAGAATTGCTGGAACCCAGGAAGCAGAGGTTGCAATGAGCCGAGATTGCACCACTGCACTCCAGCCTGGGCAACAGAGCAAGATTCTGCCTCAAACAAAAAAAATGATATTAGAGAAAAACTAAGAAAATCTGAATAAAGTATGGACTTTGGTTAATAATAAAGTAATTATATTGGCTCATTAATTGTAACAAAAGTGTCAGGCCTCTGAGCCCAAGCTAATTTATCATACCCCCTGTGACCTGCACATTTACATTCAGATGGCTTGAAGCAACTGAAGAATCACAAAAGAAGTGAAAATGGCTGGTTCCTGCCTTAACTGATGACATTACCTTGTGAAATTCCTTCTCCTGTCTCAGAAGCTCGCCCACTGAGCACCTTGTGACCCCTGCCCCTGCCCGCCAGAGAACAGCCCCCTTTGACTGTAATTTTTCATTACCTACTTTATTGCTCACACATAGCCTGTTTGGTGGTCTCTTCACACGGACGCGTGTGACATTTGGTGCCAAAACCCAGGACAGGAGGACTCCTTTGGGAGACCGGTCATCTGTCCTCACCCTCACTCCATGAGGGGATCCACCTACAACCTCAGGTCCTCAGACCAACCAGCCCAAGGAATATCTTACTTTCTGTTTGGACAGAAAGGCTACAGGGTGTGGTCTGGCTCTTGTGTAAGAATTCCGACTGCACAGCCCTGCACTTCAGCTGTGTGTAACGAAAAGGGCTGCGATGAGTCAGGGAGAGCTAGTGTGGGAACAGTCTCTAAAGCTGTCTTCAAGGAACGGAAAGAGGAGTGGCAAACGGATTTAGGATCTATGGGGTCAGCTAGGTTTGGTTTTGTGAGTTTATATAATGGTTCTGTTAGGATGGCAAAACCAGGTATCTAAAGGCGAAAGTATCCTACCATGCCCAGGAAGGAAAGGAGTTGTTTTGTAGAAGGCGGTGAGGTTTGAGAGATCAGTAGGACATGATCGGCAGGGAGAGCACATGTGTTTTCATGAAGAACTATGCCAAGATAGGTAACAGATGAGGAAGGAATTTGGGCTTTACTGAAGTAATGGGGGCTGTCCGTGAAGGCTTGTGGCAGTACAGCCCAGGTAAGTTGCTGAGGCTGATGGGTGTCAGGGCCAGCCCAAGTGAAAGCAAAGAGAGGCTGGGATGAAGGATGCAAAGGAATAGCAAAGAAAGCATGTTTGAGATCCAGAACCGAATAATGGGTTATGGAGGGGTTGTGGAGGGAGGTATTGAGGATAGGAGAGTATATGGGTTTGGCACCGCAGGTTGGATAGGCAAAACAATTTGCTTGATAAGGCGCAGATCCTGAACTAACCTGTAAGCCTTGTCTGTTTGTTGGACAGGTAAAATGGGGGAATAGTAAGAAGAGTTTATAGGCTTTAAAAGTTACATGCTGTAACAGGCAAGTGATAACAGGCTTTAATCTATTTAAAGTGTGCTGTGGGATGGATACTGGTGTTGAGTTGGGTAAGGATGATTAGGTTTTAATGGGATGGTAAGGGGTGCATGATCAGTCGTCAAGGAGGGAGTAGACGTACCTCATACTTGTGGGTTAAGGTGGGGGGATATGAGAGGAGGATGCAAAGGAGGCTTTGAACTAGGGAAAAGGGCGGCAATGAGGTGTAGCTGTAGCCTAGGAATAGTGAGGGAAGCACATAATTGGTTTAAATGTCTCGGCCTAATAAGGGAACTAGGCAGGTGGGGATAACTTAAAAAGATTGCATAAAAGAATGTTGTCCAATTTGGCACCAGAGTAGCGGAGTTTTAAGGGATCTAGAAGCCTGGCCATCAATACCCACAACAGTTACGGAGGCAAAGGAAACAGGCCCTTGAAAAGAAGGTAATGTGGAGTGGGTAGCCTCCGTATTGATTAAGAAGGGGACAGACTTACCCTCCACTGTGAGAGTTACCTGAAGCTCAACATCTGTGATGGTCTAGGCGGCTTCTGAGGCGATCGGCCTGCATCAGTCTTCAGCCACTAAGCTGAGAAGATGTGGGAAGGAGTCAGTCAGAGAGCCTTGGGCCAGAGTTCCAGGGGCTCTGGGAGTGGCTGCTGGGTGAGTTGGACAGTCCGATTTCCAGTGGTGTCCCGCACAGATGGGACATGGTTTAGGAGGAATCCTGGGCTGCAGGCATTCCTTGGCCCGGTGGCCAGATTTCCAGCACTTAAGGCAAGATCCTGGGGTAGGTGGTCCTGGAGGAACGCCTGGCCACTGCAGTTCAGGCGTTTGGAGTTCTTGTGTGCTGGAGATGTGGCTGGGGTTTGTCTCACAGTGGAAGCAACGAATTGTAACTCAGAAATAGCTACTTGGCTGCCTCTACTCTATTATTGCACACTGTGAAGGCGGGGTTAATTAAGTCCTGTTGTGGGGTTTGAGGGCCAGAATCTAATTTCTGGAGCTTTTTTTAATGTCGGGAGTGGGTTGGGTAATAAAATGCGTATTGAGAATAGACAGCCTTCTTGCCCCTATGGGTCTAGGGTGGTAAAATGTCTAAAGGTTGTTGCCAAACGGGCCATGGACTGGGCTGGGTTTTTATATTTGATGAAAAAGAGCCTAAATGCTAACTGATTCGGGAAAGGTCAGATACAGAAAAAGGAGCATTAACCTTGACTATGCCTTCAGCTCCAGCCACCTTTTTAAGAGGAAATTGTTGGGCAGGAGGGGGAGGACTAGTCACGGAATGAAACTGTAAGCCAGACCAGGTGTGAGGAGGGGAGGTGATAGAAAGATTATAGGGTGGGGGAGCAGAGGTTGAGAAAGAATTGGGACCTGGCTTGGCCTGTCGAGGAGCAGCCTGGGGAGGAGAGGTCAGATGGGTCTGTAGAAAAGGAGGATTCAAAGGACTCAGAGCTTGGGGTGGAGACTGAAGGAACAGAGAGGCGAGAAAAAAGAAAGATTTGGGATGAGTCACATTGGAGCAGAGACCAATGTGTAAAAGAATGCCTGGAAGTCAGGCACATCAGACCCATTTGCCCATTTTTTGACAAAAATCATCCAAGTCTTGTGAAATGAAGAAATCAAAAGTGTCATTTTCTGGCTATTTAGAACAATTATCAAGTTTGTATTGGGGCCAAGAGGTGTTGCAGAAGAAAATAAGATGATCAGGTTTTCGGTCAGGCGAGAGTTGAAGAGGTTTTAAGTTTTTGAGAACACAGGCTAAGGGAGAAGAAGGGGGAATGGAGGGCGGAAGCTTGCCCCTAGTGAAGGAGGGAAGTTTAAAGAGAGATACTGACACGGAGAAGGGAGTGGGTGAGCAGCCCTGGGCTGTAATGTAGGTGAGCAGCCAAAGCAGGCATCCCCGCAGTTGACTTGCCACCAAGGGAATGTGGGTGACTGACCAAGGCACGTGTCCCCATGGTGATCAGACACCAATGAAATGTGGGTGAATAATCAGGCAGGCATCCCTGCAGTGATTAAACACCAAGGGAAGACTGTCTTCCCGAGTCGGTGACTGGCGCCGGAGTTTTGGGTCCACGGATAAGATGTGTCTCCTTTCTCTCTACTAGAGAGGAAAAAGAACTGGAATTGGAAGGACAGGGAGATTGAAGGGTAGTGAGAGAGGGAGATTGAAGGGTAGCAAGAGAGACTGGAGAAAAGAGTGAAAAGACCGCTTACCTGATTTGAAATTGGTGAGATGTTCCTTGGGCTGGTTGGTCTGAGGATCTGAGGTCGTAGGTGGATCTCCTCATGGAGTGATGGTGAGGACAGGGGATGGTCTCCCGAAGAAGTCCTCCTGTCCTGGGTTTCGGCACCAAATGTCATGCACATCTGTGTCAAGAGACCACCAAACAGGCTTTGTGTGAGTACCAAGGCTGTTTATTTCACTTGGGTGCAGGGGGGCTGAATCCGAAAAGAGTCAGTAAAGGCAGATAGAGGTGGGGCCGTTTTATAGGATTTGGGTGGGTAGTGGAAAATTACAGTCAAAGGGGGTTGTTCTCTTGCGGGCAGGAGCGGGAGTCACAAGATGCTCAGTTGGGGAGCTTCTGAGCCAGGAGAATGAAATTCACAAGGTTAATTGCTCAGTTAAGGTGGGGCAGGAACAAATCACAATGGTGAAATGTCATCAGTTAAGGCAGGAACCGGCCATTTTCACTTCTTTTATGATTCTTCATTTGCTTCAGGCCATCTGGATGTATACGTGCAGGTCACAGGGGACATGATGGCTTAGCTTGGGCTCAGAGGCCTGACATCCTCCATCATTAATGCCTCTTTAATAAAAACTCTGCTCAAGGCCGTTTTACTTCCAAAGGAAGCTGGAGTCATTCACTGCAAGGGCCATCAAAAGGCATCAGATTCCATCGCTCAGGGCAACACTTATGCTGATAAGGTAGCTAAAAAAGCAACTAGGTTCCAACTTCTATCCCTTATGGCAGTTTTTCTCCTTCTCAGCTGGTCACTCCCACCTACTCCCCCACAGAAACTTCCACCTATCAATCTCTTCCCACACAAGGCAAATGGTTCTTGGACCAAGGAAAATATCTCCTTCCAGCCTCACAGGCCCATTCTATTCTGTTGTCATTTCATAACCTCTTCCATGTAGGTTACAAGCTGCTAGCCCACCTCTTAGAACCTCTCATTTCCTTTCCATCGTGGAAATCTATCCTCAAGGAAATCACTTCTCAGTGTTCCATATGCTATTCTACTACTCCTCAGGGATTGTTCAGGCCCCCTCCCTTCCCTACACATCAAGCTCGGGGATTTGCCCCTGCCCAGGACTGGCAAATTGACTTTACTCACATGCCCCAAGTCAGGAAACTAAAATACCTCTTGGTCTAGTAGACATTTTCACTGGATGGTAGAGGCCTTTCCCAAAGGGTCTGAAAAGGCTACCATGGTCATTTCTCCCCTTCTGTAAGACATAATTCCTTGGTTTGGCCTTCCCACCTCTATACAGTCTGATAACGGACTGGCCTTTATTAGTCAAATCACCCAAGCAGTTTTTCAGGCTCTTGGTATTCAGTGGAAACTTCATACCCCTTACCGTCCTCAATCTTCAGAAAAGGTAGAATGGACTAATGGTCTTTAAAAACACACCTCACCAAGTTCAGCCTCCAACTTAAAAAGGAGGACTCTGTCAAGGATAAGCCCAAAAACTCACCAACCAAGCAAGTAATTACGCTGAACCCTCCTGGGCACTCTCTAATTGGATGTCCTGGGTTCTCCTAATTCTTAGCCCTTTAATACCTGTTTTTCTCCTTCTCTTATTCAGACCTTGTGTCTTCCGTTTAGTTTCTCAATTCATACAAAACTGCATCCAGGCCATCACCAATCATTCTATATGACAAATGCTTCTTTTAACAACCCCACAATATCGCCCCTTACCACAAAAGCTTCCTTCAGCTTAATCTCTCCCACTCTAGGTTCCCACGCCGCCCCTAATCCCGCTCGAAGCAGCCCTGAGAAACATCTCCCATTATCTCTCCATACCACTCCCCAAAATTTTCGCTGCCCCAACACTTCAACACTATGTTGTTTTATTTTTCTTATTAATATAAGAAGACAGGAATGTCAGGCCTCTGAGCCCAAGCTAAGCCATCATATCCCCTGTGACCTGCATGTATACATCCAGATGGCCTGAAACAAGTGAAGAATCACAAAAGAAGTGAAAATGGCTGGTTCCTGCCTTAACTGATGACATTACCTTGTGAAATTCCTTCTCCTGGCTCAGAAGCTCCCCCACTGAGCACCTTGTGACCCCTGCCGGTGCCAGCCAGAGAATAACCCCCTTTGACTGTAATTTTCCACTACCTACCCAAATCCTATAAAACTGCCCCACCCCATCTCCCTTTGCTGACTCTTTTCAGACTCAGCCTGCCTGCACCCAGGTGATTAAAAAGTTTTATTGCTGACACAAAGCCTGTTTGGTGGTCTCTTCACACGGACTCGCATGACAAAAAGTACTATATTAATGTAAAATATTACTCAAAGGGGCAACTGTGTGCAGAGATTGGGGTCACATATTGGCACTCTCTGTAGTCTCTGCTCAATTTTTCTGTAAATGTAAAACTGTCAGAAAAATCATAACATCTTTATTACTATTTCACTTTTTTCATAGTCAGCATCTATTTTTTTCCTTTGGTAATTTAAAGAGCTTAACTTCCTAGCTGGCTAATGCTGATCAGTGGGAATACATATGTGTGGGGTCTGGAGTGAGCTGCGGATCCTGCCTCCCTCAGTGATCTGTGTGGATTTTGACAAGATTTTTAACCTCTCCGTACCTCAGTTGCCTGTGGGTATAATAATGACATTCCTCAATTGCCTCACGAAGATAATAATAAAATTGTACCTTTACCTCCAGATTTGTTATGAGATTTAAGTGAAATAATGTTTTTTTTTTTTTTTTTTTTTTTGAGAGGCCGTTTTCGCTCTTGTTGCCCAGACTGGAGTGCAGTGGCTTGATCTTGGCTCACTGCAACCTCCACCCCCGGGCTTCAAGTGATTCTCCTGCCTTAGCCTCCCAAGTAGCTGGGATTACAGGCACATGCCATCATGCCCAGCAATTTTTTTTTAATTTTTATTTTTAGTAGAGATAGGGTTTCACCATGTTAACCAGGCTGGTCTCGAACTCCTGACCTTAGGTGATCCACCCGCCTCGGCCTCCCAAAGTGCTGGGATTACAGGCGTGAGCCACCGTGCCTGGTCAAAGTGAGATAATGTCTTGTTGGTAAATTCTATGAAGCAAGGGATCTTGTCTGTTTTGACTCACCAGTCAACCCTGTACAGGGATTGGAAAACATTTTCTGTAAAGGGTCAGGTAGTAAATATCTTAGGATTTGTTAGCTATATGGTCTCTGCTGCAACAATTCAATTCTGCTGTTACAGTGCAAAAGCAATAGACAATAGGTAATGAATGGGCATGGTAAAGTTCCAATTAAACTTTACAGACACTGATATTTGAATCTCATATATAATTTTCACGTGCCATGAAATATTATCCTTCCTTTGATTTTTTTTCCCCCAATCATTTCAAAATGTAAAGTCATTCATAGGCAGGATCTGAAGCTCACTCCAGATCCCATGCATATGTGGTCCTACATACATATCAAAGTTAGTTAGCCAGAGCCAGGCACAGTGGCTCTGGCCTGTAATCCCAGCACTTTGAGTGGGTGGATCACTTGAGGTCAAGAGTTCGAGACCAGCCTGACCAACGTGTTGAAACCCCATCTCTACTATATTTTTACAAGCCTGGGCACGGTGGCTCATGCCTGTAAGCTCAGCACTTTGGGAGGCCGAGGTGAATGAATCACCTGAGTTCAGGTGTTCAAGACCAGGCTAGCCAACATGGTGAAACTCCATCTCTACTAAAAATACAAAAATCAGCCAGGCATGGTGGCTGTTGCGTGTGCCTATAATCCCAGCTACTTGGGAGGCTAAGGCAGGAGAATCACTTGAACCCAAGAGGCGGAGGTTGCAGTGAGCTGAGATAGGGCCACTGCACTCCAGCCTGGGCAACAGAGCGAGACTCCATCTAAAAAAAAATAAAAAATAAAAAAATAAATTAGCCAGGCGTGGCAGTGTGCACCTGTAGTCCCAGCTACTCAGGAGGCGGAGGCAGGAGAATCACTTGAACCTGGGAGGTGGAGGTTGCTGGGAGCTGAGATCGCACCACTGCACTCCAGCCTGGGCGACAGAGGGAGACTCAGTCTCAAAAAAAAAAAAAGCTAGCCAAAAAGTTAAGCTCTTTAAATTGCCAGAAAAAGAAAAATAAATTAGCTGACTACGAAGAGACTGAATAGTAATGAGAACATTACTTTTTTAAGATCCTAAATCCAGACAGTGGGCTGGATTTAGCCTGCAGGCCATAGTTTGCTGACCCCTTGTCTTGTACAAGGTAAGAATTCACTAAACTCAAAATATATTTTGTAGTTTAGTGACAGCATTAGTATTATCACTATTTATGTTTATAGAGCTTGAAGGTAAATGTTGTCAAGGTCGCGTAATTTTGCTTCATAAATTTTAACTGTATATTTACAATGAGCTCCTTTAAAAACACCAAACAAACATCTTCCTATTCATAAACCCTGTTTTACAATGACAGATCTTTGCACCCTTAACTTACTAGAGTTAACAACATTGAAAAAAAAAAGTGAAATCATTTTGCCTTTTCTTAAGTTTCTTTCCTAATTATGATATTTTATAAGTAAAATGTGAAATTAAAAAATTATTTAGTGAGTTTATTTTTAATCATTCATGAAACTGTTTTAACCATTTTTGTTTTATAGGGGGTTCTCTGGAGAGTCTAGTTAAAAACCTCAAAGAGAAAACAGTTGTTGCTATGTGGAAATACAACATAAATCTTTCTGACAGTATGTTTAGCTTCTTCTCCTCTAGGTTCTGTTCACAGTAGGAACATTCTGTGTTGGAGGGACTGCCTGTACATTACCTTATTGCTCTTACCCTGCATAGTAATGTTGAAGCTCTTTCTAGAACCAGGGTTACAATCCTAAAGTCAGAAGACAGTTTTTCCACAATTAATCTGAAGACAAAAAAGCAACAGCATTTTAATTTATTCTCAAACCCTGGTTCAAAGACTTCCATTTGATGAAGCTCTCCAGAAAATAAATTCTATGCAAAGTAGGACTGTTTTCAATGAAGAAAAATGTTTGGATTGTTGAAATGTCTTTTTAAAAATCCACTTGAGTCTGAGCTTCTAGAGTCAAGCATTGGGCTTTGCCTTTTGTCATATCCCCTACAACACCAAGCAATCATTTTCCAAACTGTATGGACTGCATTGTGGAAGTGAGTTTAAAATTTCTATAAATTGGCCGGGCGTGGTGGCTCAAGCCTGTAATCCCAGCACTTTGGGAGGCCGAGGTGGGAGGATCACGAGGTCAGGAGATCCAGACCACAGTGAAACCCTGTCTCTACTAAAAAAATACAAAAAAAAAAATTAGCCGGGTGCGGTGGTGGGGACCTATAGTCCCAGCTACTCGGGAGGCTGAGGCAGGAGAATGGCGTGAACCCAGGAGGTGGAGCTTGCGGTAAGCCGAGATTGCGCCACTGCACTCCAGGCTGGGCAACAGAGCGAGACTCTGTCTCAAAAAAAAAAAAAAAAAATTCCTATTAATTTAATTTAGCTATTGGAGCGGAACCAAGAAAGAATAGAGGGATCTGAGCCAAATAACAGTTGGAAAGAAGCATTGATTATCCTACCTCTGGCACTACCTTTATTTCTCAGTAGGCTTGCCTCAATACATTGGCATGCATACCCCTATGTGATGACTTGGAGGCAAAAAAGCACAAATTTCCTAAGTCTTCATAATTTTCAGAAGAGGAGAATGTGCATCTTTTAGCATCACATCTCACTTGAGAATAGGTCCATACAGAGACTCAGTGGTACATTTTCTTCTGGAAGCTTCTTGTACAATGCAATTGTCAATCAAAGAGGACCTCTGTAGACTGTGAAATTCTAGGCAAATGTAAAGCTTAACAAAATTATTCTTATTACCACCGGGCGCAGTGGCTCACGCCTGTAATCCCAGCACTTTGGGAGGCCGAGGCAGGCTGATCACCTGAAGTCAGGAGTTTGAGACCAGCCATGATCAACATGGAGAAACCCTGTCTCTACTAAAAATACAAAATTAGCTGGGCGTGGTGGCACATGCCTGTAATCCTAGCTACTCAGGAGGCTGAGGCAGGAGAATCGCTTGAACCCGGGAGGTGGAGGTTGCGGTGAGCCGAGATAGTGCCATTGCACTCCAGCCTGGGCAACAAGAGCAAAACTCTGTCTCGAAAAAAAAAAATTATTCTTATTACCAAACAAAGTGATTTATTTTATTTTAAATTGCTTAGTGAAGTGATTTTAAATTAACGATAAAATGGAAGGACAAACTATTAAAATTTTAAAAATAGGTTACCTATAGGGAGGAAGAGAACAGTGAAGACAGAGAGAGAAGCTAATTTCTTCAAACACATTTTGTTTATATATTTGATTTTGGAAGCATATAAATTTTTAAAAATAATCATAATATGGCTGGGCGTGGTGGCTCACGCCTGTAATTCCAGCATTTTGGGAGGCCGAGGCGGACGGATCACCTGAGGTCAGGAGTTCGAGACCAGCCTGACCAACATGATGAAACCCCCTCTCTACTTAAAAAATAAAATTAGCTGGGCGTGGTTGTGCATGCCTATAATCACAGCTACTCGGAAGGCTGAGGCAGGAGTATAGCTTGAACCTGGGAGGCGGAGGTTGCAGTGAGCTGAGATCATGCCATTGCACTCCAGCCTGGGCAAGAAGAGCAATACTCCATCTCAAAAAAAAAAAATCATAATATAAAATTAAATGTAAAATTAAAATGTAAACAAATGAACTTAAAATAAGAGATCCAGTTGATTGCATAACTAGAGAGAGAGAGAGATTGTTATGAATGTCTTTAAAATACAGATGCTCTTTGGCCGGGTGCGGTGGCTCATGCCTGCATTCCCAGCACTTTGGGAGGCCGAGGTGGGCGGATCATCTGAGGTTGGGAGTTCAAGACCAGCCTGACCAACATGGAGAAATCCCGTCTCTACTAAAAGTACAAAATTAGCTGGGGTGGTGGTGCATGCCTGTAATCCCAGCTACTCGGGAGGCTGAGGCAGGAGAATCGCTTGAACCCGGGAGGTGGAGTTTGCGGTGAGCTGAGATCATGCCATTGCACTCCAGCCTGGGCAACAAGAGAGAAACTCCGTTTCAAAAAAATAATAATAATAAATAAATAAATAAAATAAAACAAAAAACAGATGCTCTTCAACTTATGATGGGGTTTGATACAGTTTGGATTTTGTCCTCTCTAAATCTCATGCTGAGATGCGATCCCCAGTGTTGAAGGTGGGGCCTGGTAGGAGGTGCTTCAGTCACGGAGGTGCGTCCCCTATAGCTTGGTGCTGTCATCACTATTGTAAGCGAATTCTTACAAGATCGAATTGTTTAAAAGTGTGTGGCATCTCCCCCACTGTCTTTCTTGCACCTGCTTTTGCCACGTGACATGGCTACTCCCACTTTTCCTTCTGCCATGAGTAAAAAGCTCCCTGAGGCTTCCCCGGAAGCTGAGGAAATGCTGGTGCCATGCTTGTATAGCCTGCAGCACTGTGAGCCAATTAAACTTATTTTCTGGTTTTGTTTTTGTTTTTTTTTTTTTTTTTTGAGACAGAGTCTCACTCTGTTGCTCAGGCTGGAGTGCAGTGGCGCGATCTTGGCTCACTGCAAGCTCCACCTCCCGGGTTCACGCCATTCTCCTGCCTCAGCCTCCCGAGTAGCTGGGACTACAGGCGCCCACCACCACGCCCGGCTAATTTTTTGTATTTTTAATACAGACAGGTTTCACCGTGTTAGCCAGGATGGTCTGGATCTCCTGACCTTGTGATCCGCCCACCTAGGCCTCCCAAAGTGCTGGGATTACAGACATGAGCCACCGCGCCCAGCCCACTTATTTTCTTTATAAATTACCCAGTCTCTGGTATTCCTTTATAGAATTGCAAGAACGGCCTAACACAAGGTTACGTCCTGATCAACCTATCATAAGTTGAAAACATCGTAAGTTGAAATGCATTTAATACACCTAACCTACCGAGCTTAGCCTCATCTACCTTAAACGTGCTCGGCTGCGTGCGGTGGCTCACACCTGTAATCCCAGCACTTTGGGAGGCCCAGGTGGGCAGATCACGAGGTCAGGAGATCGAGACCATCCTGGCTAACACGGTGAAACCCCATCTCTACTGAAAATACTAAAATTAGCCGGGCGTGGTGATGGGCATCTGTAGTCCCAGCTACTCGGGTGGCTGAGGCAGGAGAATAGTGTGAACCTGGAAGGCGGAGCTTGCAGTGAGCCAAAATCGCGCCACTGCACTCCAGCCTGAGCGACAGAGTGAGACTCCGTCTTTATATGCAAAAATAAATAAATAAATAAAATAAAGTGCTCAGAACACTTACATTATATATAGTTGTGCAAAATTATCTAACAAAGTCTACTTTACAATAAAGTATTTAATATCTCATGTAATTTATTGAATACAGTACACTGCAGAGTACAGTATTTGTTTACCCTCATGATGGCATGGCTGACTGGAAGTTATGGCTCATGGCCACTGCCTAACATCTCCAGAGAATATTGTACTGTGTATTGCTGGTTGGGAAAAGATCAAAATTCAAAATTTGGGGTGTAGTTTCTACTGAATGTGTATAGCTTTTGTACCATAGTAAAGCTGAAAATTGGTATGTTGAACCATTGAGCTGAGGATCATCTGTTCAACAGCTTGATTGCATGTACCTAGAGGCACATATACTAAGGACAAAAAGATATATAAAAATAATCCTGTTTTCGGGAACTGTATTTTGGAGACTGGAAGACATGGAGAAGTGCTGCTCAGATCCTCCTGCAGGGAAGATCTTGCTACTGGGAGTGGACAGCCTCAGACTATTAGCTCCTCCAGGGTTGATATCATATGCAGAGTTGCCATGCATAAAGTCATGCGCTTCCTGGTACAGCCCACATCTGGTGGCCAAGTATGACAGGAATATAAAGTCTGACCAGTTTGGCCCAACATGAGACATCTATGACGGGTATTACTCATTCCAGAATTCCCTGCTAGGTTGGCCAAAGTTTTGAACGGCCTGATCATACGGTATCATATTAATTGGTCTTCTGCTCAGTTCTTCCTGATCCCCGCTTCTTTCTCATGTTGTACCCCAAATTCCATCTCAGTGTCTGCTCCACAAAATGTAACCTGTGACAGAGGTTGTATTAGTATTATCATTCTGAGACCTCTTTATATGTAGATCGAGATAAAACAAATGAGTTATTCTGTTTATTTTGTTTACAATTGGAATTTTTAGAGTAGGAGAAAGAAGTTTCAGTGAAAGATCAATAAAGGGCTTAAAAAACGCTATAGATTTGGGTTTTAGTTTAAAGTGTTAATGTCAATATATATTTTATCTTTAAAATACATATTTTTTAGGCACGCTTTTACACTGTTGGTGGGAATGTAAATTAGTTCAATCATTGTGGAAGACAGTGTGGTGATTCCTCAAAGATTTACAACAGGAAATACCATTTGACCCAGCAATCCAGAATATAAATTGTTCTATTATAAAGATACATGCACGTGTATGTTCACTGCAGCACTACTCACGATAGCAAAGACATGGAATCAACTCAAATGCCCATCAATGATAGACTGGATAAAGAAAATGTGGTATATATATACCACAGAATATATGCAGCCATAAAAAAGAACGAGATCATGTCCTTTGCAGAGACATGAATGAAGCTGGAAGCCATTATGCAAACTAATGCAGGAACAGGAAACCAAAGACAGCATATTCTCACTTATAAGTGGGAGCTGAACAATGAGAACACATGGGCACAAGGAGGGGAACAACACACACTGGAGTCTGTCGGGGAGAGCAGGGGGCGGAGGTGAAGAGCATTAGGGAAAAGAGTTAATGTATGCTGGGCTTAATACATAGGTGATGGGTTGTTAGGTGCAGCAAACCACCATGGCACAGGTTTACCTATGTAACAAACCTGCACATCCTGCAAATGTACCCCAGAACTTAAAACCAATAACAACAATAAAATAATTTTAAAAAAGAAAAAATACATATTTTTATATCAGTCAGCTTTTGCTTTTTTGGGGTTTTACAAACCACCTCGAGGCTTAATGGCTTAAAACAACAAATGTTTTTATTTCTCATTATTCTATGGGTCAGCTGGCTAGTTTATGGTTTTGGCTGGCTAGTTTGGGGACGGATTGTAGGATGGCATAATTCACATCTGTGCTGCAGCTGGGACAATTAGGATGGCAGGTGCCTCTCTCCATGTGGTGTTTTATTCTCTAGGAGCTTAATCAAGGCTTGTTCCCAGCAGTGTGGTGAGCAAGCCCCATTGCACATGTGCTTTTTAAGTCTCTGCTTTTGTCACCTTTGCTGTTTTCCATTAGCTAAATCAAGTCACATGGCCAAGTGCAGATTCAAGGTGTAAAGAGGCACGCCTCTCAATGGTAGAAGTGTCAAAGCCACATTACAAAGAGACATGGGGTATGCAGGAGGGAGAGGAATTTGTGTCCATTTCTGCAATTTACCATCATTCTCTAGCACATTTTACAATGCCTAGAAGCAATGATTTACTGAAAAAATGCTATTTAGAGACCACAATCTAGCCACTTCAGGTGTTCATTGCTGTTCAGCTGGTCACTGTCTCTGGGTTTTTTCCTACTGATTAGGAAAGAGCACCAAGACACCTTGGCAAAATTGGTGATTCCATGTTTGGGGCAGGGAAAGTAAAAGATGAGGCTGGAATATCTTACAATACCAGACAACAACAAAGCTATCAAAGACTACTAGGTTTGCATTAAAGGAACCTGAAACCAACTTTAATAGACTTTCACTGGCCAAAGAAGGAGAAATTTTAACATGAATAACAATAATATCTTCAAGGAATTGAATACCTCGAATATTTCAATATTGTTTAAAATATTCAAATATGTTTAAAATCAATGAGTTCATAATGATGCTAAAGAAAAAAATACCATTGGTCATTTTTGGAGGATGTTAGGAAACTAACTCATTATGCTGAAAACTGGTAATTAAAGGGAAAAGAATGAAGCATTTATTTTGTCTTTCTTATATTGCTTGTACCACAGGGTAACCCAGTAGTTGATGATGAAAAGTTTCTCTTTATAGTTATATTCCCTCTAATAAATAAAGAAGAATGGTAAAATTAGAGCATCACCATTTTTCAATTCCTAATAAATTAATCAACATAGGCAACTGTCATCATCAACTGCTAACACACACACACACACACACACACACACACACGCAACTAGACACAGTGCCTCCTGAGGGAAAAAGGTAGAGGTAGCACCACCTGTGAAACAGTCTTTCCCAAAAAAAAAAAAAAAAAAAAAAAGGAATCTGATCAAGACTTTAAATTAAACTCCAGTGAAAAGGTTAGAGGAATGTGTTAAATGACACCCTACGACTGGTGTGCGGTGGCTCACGCCTATAATCCCAACACTTTGGCAAGCTGAGGTAGGAGGATTGCTTGAGGCCAGGAGTTTGAGACTAGTAGGGTGAACACAGTGAGACACTGTCTCTACAAAAATTTTAAAAAATTAGTCAGGCATAGTGGCACGTGCCTCTAATCCCAGGTACTCAGGAGGCTGCGGTAGGAGGATCCTTCGAGCCCAGGAGTTCAAGGCTGCAGTGAGCTATAACTGTGCCACTGCACTCCAGCCTAGGTGACAGAGCAAAAACTCATCTCAAAACAACATCAACAACAACAAAAAACCCTAAGGATGCAACCAGAAAATCTAGCCTGCGAAAAACAATCTTGCTTTTTTTTTTTTTGACAAAAAGTTGAGTTGTAAGGCATATTAAAAAACAAGAAAAGAAAAAGGAAAAAAATAGAAGGGGGACATAAAGATTAAAAGATATATCAACCAGTTAAAATACATGGACCTCGGCCAGGCGCAGTGGCTCACACCTGTAATCCCAGCACTTTGGGAGGCCGAGGTGGGTGGATCACCTGAGGTCAGGAGTTTGAGACCAGCCTGGCCAACATGGTGAAACCCTGTCTCTACTAAAAATACAAAAAAATTAGCTGGGCATGGTGATGGGCGCCTGTAATCCCAGCTACTTGGGAGGCTGAGGCAGGAGAATCGCTTGAACCCAGGAGGCAGAAGTTGCAGTGAGCCAAGATCATGCCACTGCACTCCAGCCTGGGCAACATATATGTAACTACACACACACACACACACACACACACACACACACAGATATACACACCTCATTGAGACTCTGATTCACAAAGTGTAAAAACAAATTCTGTAAGAAAATCAGGAACCTGTAAAAGCTGACTGCATATTTGATGATATTCAGCTGCTAAATATGGTTCATTTTTTTTTAGATTTGATAATGATCTTATATCTGTGTTTTAAAGAGTCTTCATCTTTATTATATGTATGAAATATGTATGTATAATGTCTGGAATTTGCTTCAAAATAATCTGAGTAGAGGGAAAGAGTTGAATTATAGAGAAGATTGGCCAAGTGTGTTTTAATTGTTGAAACTGGGTGGTGTAATGGGAGTTTATTATATCACTCTACTATGTTTGAAATCATCTATGATAGTTAAAACATTTATACTTAAAGAAAACATTAAGAAATGAGGACAATAATAAGGTTCCAGGGGAAAAATAATGAATATACCTACTACAAGAAGAAAAACTAAGAGAGTGAAGGGTAACAGAATTAATACTCTGTTTGAAGATTCCTGTCATATTTGACTTTTTCCTTCTCTTCTGTGGTCTATTTTCTTTATTCTTTCAATAGAACATTCTTTTGTATCTCTGCTAGTTGTTTTCCATTTGACCATCCAAGATTCATTCTCTGCCATTCTCTGCCTTTCTCAATGTTCCTGGAAGCCACGGATTGTGTTACCTATGCTCCCTTATCAACTGACTGCTGGCCGGGTTTAGCCAGGGGAGTGTAGAGGAGACAGTGGTGAGAGTATTAATTCCACCAATTCCTCCTTACTTGGGCTCTGTGTGGTTTTCTTCTTACATATAATTTCAACTTTTATTTTAGATTCCAGGGGTACATGTGCAGGTTTGTTACATGGGTATATTGTGTGATGCTGAGGTTTTGGGTACAAAATGATTCCATCACCCAGGTAGTAAGCATAACAGCCAATAAATTCTTTTCAACTCTTGCACCCCTTTCTGCCTCCTCTTTCTAGTAGTCCCCAGTGTTTACTGTTCCCATCTTTATGTACACGAGTACCCCATATTTACCTTCCACTTATGAGAACATGCAGTTTTTGGATTTCTGTTCGTGTGTGTGTGTGTGTGTGTGTGTATGTATGTGTGTGTTTTTTTTTTTGTTTTGTTTTTCATTTAGGATAATGGCCTCCAGCAGCATCCATGTTGCTGCAAAGGACATGAGCTCACTTTTTTTTTTTTTTTTTTTTTTTTTTGAGATGGAGTCTTGCTCTGTCGCTCAGGCTGGAGTGCAATGGCGAGATCTCGGCTCACTGCAACCTCTGTCTCCTGGGTTCAAGCTATTCTTGTGCCTTAGCCTCCCAAGTAGCTGGGACTACAGGCGTGAGCCATCACACCCAGCTAATTTTTTTAGTAGAGGTAGGTTTTCACCATGTTGGCCAGGCTGGTCTCGAAATCCTGACCTCAGGTGATCTGCCTGCCTCAGCCTCTCAAAGTGCTGGGATTACAGGCGTGAGCCACCGTGCCTGGACCAGCTTTTTTTTTTTTTTTTTTTTTTGAGATAAGTTCTTGCCCTGTTGCCCAGACTTGAGTGCAATGGCAAGCTCTCGGCTCACTGCAACCTCCACCTTCCAGGTTCAGGTGATTCTCCAGCCTCAGCCTCATGAGTAGCTGGGATTACAGGTACCTGCCATTATGCCCGGCTAATTTTTGTATTTTTTTTTGTGGAGACAGGATTTCACCATGTTGGCCAGGCTGGTTTTGAAGAGCTCATTCTTTTTATGACTGTGTAGTATTACATGATGTGTATGTACCACATTTTCTTTATCCAATCGACCACTGATGGGCACCTAGGTTGATTCCAGGTCTTTGTTATTGCGAATGGTGCTGTGATGAACATAAGTGCATGTGCCTTTTTGGTGGAATGATTTATTTTTCTGCGGGTATATACCCAGTAACGGGATTGCTGGGCCTAATGGTATTTCTGTTCTAAGTTCTTTCACAAATCTCCAAACTGCTTTCCACAGTGGCTGAACTAATTTACACGCCCACTAACAGTGTAGAAGCATTCCCTGTTCACAGAAATATCGCCAACATCTGTTATTTTCTAACTTTTTAATCATAACCATTCTGACTGGTTTGAGATGGTATCTCATTGTGGTTTTGATTTGCATTTTTCTGATTATTAGTGATGTTGAGCATCTTTTCATGTTTGTTGGCTGCTTGTACATCTTCTTTTGAGAAGTGTCTGTTCATGTCCTTCGCCGCCCCCCCATTTTAATGGGGTTGTTTTGTTTTGTTTTTGTTTTTGAGACAGACTCTCACTCTGTCACCCAGGCTGGAGTGCAGTGGTGCGATCTCGGCTCACTGCAACCTCTGCCTCCCAGGTTCAAGCGATTCTCCTGCCTCAGCCTCCCGAGTAGCTGGGATTACAGGCATGCATCACCATGCCCAGCTAATTTTTGTATTTTTAGTAGAGACAGGGTTTCATCATGTTGGCCAAGCTGGTCTTGAACTCCTGACCTCAGGTGATCTGCCTGTCTCAGCCCCCCAAAGTGCTGGGATTACAGGTGTGAGCCACTGTGCCCAGCCGGGTTATTTGTTTTTTGCTTGTTGATTTGTTTAAATTCCTTCTAGATTCCGGACACGAGAACGTTGTTGAGTGGATAGTTTGCATATATTTTCTTCTATTCCATAGGCTGTTTATTGATAATTTCTTTTGCTGAGCAGAAGTTCTTTAGTTTAATTAAGTCCCACTTGTCAATTTTTGTTTTTGTTGCAGTTAGTTTTGAGGACTTGGTCATAAACTCTTTCCCTAGGTTTTCTTCTAACATTTTTATAGTTTGAGGCTTTACATTTAAATCCTTAATCCATCTTGAGTTAATTTTTGTGTATGGTGAAAGGTAGGGATCCAATTTCACTCTTCTGCATATGACTAACCAGTCCATCCCAGCACCATTTATTGAATAGGGAATCCTTTCTTCATTGCTTATTTTTGTTGACTTTATTGAAGATCAGGTGGTTCTAAGTGTGTGGCTTTATTGCTGCGTTTTCTATTCTGTTCCATTAGTCTATGTGATCTGTTTTTGCAGAAGTATCATGCTGTTTTGGTTACTGTGTCCTTATAATATAGTCTGGAATCAGGTAATGTGATACTTCTGGCTTTGTTCTTTTTCTTTAGGATTGCCTTAACTATTTTTAGGTTCTATATGACTTTTAGAATAGTTTTTTCTAATTCTGTGAAAAGTTACACTGGTAGTTTTGCAGAAATAGTGTTGAATCTGTAGGTTGCTTTGGGAAGTATGGCCATTTTAATGATATTGATTCTTCCAATCCATGAACATGTAATGTTTTTCCTTTTGTTTGTGTCATCTCTGATTTATTTCAGCAGTGTTTTGCAGTTCTTCTTGTGAAGATCCTTCACACCCTTGGTTAGATGTATTCCTGTGTATTTGTGTGTGTGTGTGTGTATGTGTGTGTGGCTATTGGAAAAGGGATTGTGTTCTTGATTTGGCTCCCAGCTTGAATATTATTGGTGTATAGAAATGCTACTAATTTTCATACATTGATTTTGATCCTGAAATTTTACTGAGGACATTAATCTGTCTAGGAACCTTTTGGTGGAGTCTTTAGGGTTTTCTAGGTAAAGAATCATATCATCAGCAAAGAGATAGTTTAACTTTTTATTTTTCTATTTGGATGTCTTTTATTTCTTTCTCTTGCCTGACTGCTCTGGCTAGGACTTCCGTATTATGTTGAATAGGAAAAGTGAGAGTGGGAGTCCTTGTGTTGTTCCAGTTCTCAAGGGAAACGCTTCCAGCTTTTGTCCATTCAGTATGATGCTGGTTGTGGGTTTGTCATAGATGGCTCTTATTATTTTGAGGTATGTTCCTTTGATGCCCAGTTTGTTGAGGGTTTTTATGATGAAGGGATACTGGATTTTATCAAAAGCTTTTTCTGTGTCTATTGAAATGACTGTATGGTTTTTAGTTCTGTTTGTGTGATGAATCACATTTATTGATTTGCATATGTTGAACTAAGCTTGTTCCCCAGGATACCTTGATTGTGGTGCATTAACTTTTTAAAGTGCTGCTAGATTCAATTTGCTAGTATTTTGTTGAGGATTTTTGGGTCTATGTTCATCAGGGATATTGGCCTGCAGTTTTCTTTTCTCACTGTGTCTTTGCTGTATTTTGGTATCAGGCTGATACTGGTTTTGTAGAATGAGTTAAGGAGGAGTTGCTCCTTCTCAATTTTTTTGAATAGTTTCAGTATAATTGGTAGAAGCTCTTCTTTGTAAGTCTGTTAGAATTTGGCCATGAATCTCTCTGGTCCAGAGCTACTTTTGTTTGGTAGATCTTTTATTACTGATTAAATGTCAGAACCCAATATTGGTCTGTTCAGGGTTTCAATTTCTTCTTGATTCAATCTTGGGAGGCTGTGTGTTTCCAGGAATTTATCCATTTCTTCTAGATTTTCTTGTTTATGTGCGTAAAGGTGTTCATTTTAGTCTCTGAGAATCTTTTACATCTCTGTGGGATTGGTTGTAATGTCACCTTTGTAATTTCTGATTGTGCTTATTTATATCTGCTCTCCTTTTTTCTTTGTTAATCTAGCTAGCAGTCTATCCATTTTGTTTATTTTTTCAAATAACCAACATTTGGTTTTGTTGATCCTTTGTGTGAATTTCATTCAGTTCTGCTCTGATTTTAGTTATTTCTTTTATTCGGATAGCTTTGAGGTTAGTTTGTTCTCATTTTTCTAGTTCCTCTAGAAGTGATGTTAGATTATTAATTTGAGATCTAACTTCTTGATGTAGGTGTTTAGAATCATAAACTTTCCTCTTAACACTGCTTTTACTAACAAAGAAATTCTAGACTTAAATTGAACACTTGACCAATTGGACATAATAGATATCTAGAAAATACTCCACCCATCAACCATAGGATATATATTTTCTTCACATGGGAAATACTCAAAGATTGACCATGTGCTCAGCCATAATGCAAGTCTCAAAAAATTAAAAAAGATCGAAATTGTACCAACCATACTCTTGGACCACAGCGGAAAATAGAAATGCCAAGAAGATCTCTCAAAACCACACAATTACATGGAAATTAAGCAACTTGCTCCTGAATGACTTTTGGGTAAACAATGAAATTAAGGCAGAAATTTAAAAATTATTTGGAATAAATGAAAACAAAGCCACAACATAACAAAATCTCTGGGATGCAGCAAAAGCAATGTTAAGAGGGCTCTGTGGTTTTGACAGTGGCAGCTTCATTGCACAGCTGTAGCTCTTGCAAGATGGCCCATCCTCTCCAGCTCTGCACTATCTGTGCTCCGGTAACACTATTTCCTCCCCTGCATCTTCAGCCTTAGAAATGGTAACAGAGTCCCACTGTTGCAAGCTCTAGGTGGCTCAATGTTCTTTGCTTGGTCCTTTCATGAAGGAACTCTTTAAGTAGTTCCCTCATTAAAGACTTTTCATTTGATATATTTAAGCCTCATGCCTGTAATCCCAGCACTTTGGAGGCCGAGGCAGGTGGATCACCTGAGGTCAGGAGTTCGAGACCAGCCTGGCCAACATGATGAAACCCTACCTTTACTGAAAATAAAAAAAATTAGCCGGGCGTGGTGGCGTGCATCTGTGATCCCAGCTACTCAGGAGGCTGAGGCAGGAGAATCGCTTGCACCCGGGAGGTGGAGGTTGCAGTTAGCTGAGATTGTGCCACTAGACTCCAGCCTGGGCAACAAAGCGAGACCTTGTCTGACCAAAAAAAAAAAAAAAAGAAAAAAGGAAAAAAATAAAAAAAAAGAAATATTTGAGCCTAATTTTATTTATTGCCTGGACCTCAAAAAATACAGCTCACCTTATTTACATTCTATTTTCAACATTAATATTGTCTTTCTTAGTGTATTTTACACTATTCTACTTAAAGATGGAACTGAATTATTTAAGTCAACAAATATTAATTGAGCACTTACTGTGTGCAAGGTACTATGTGACTATTTCAACATAGTGGTTATACGGTGGTAATTGAGACAATAAGGTCTCTGCCCTCATGGGGCATGTTTTAGTCACTTTGGGCTGCTAAAACGAAGTACTATAGACTGTGTGTCCTTGATCAAGCAGCCCTCAGAGTCTAGTGGAGGCAACAGATGTACATAAATGGCCAGCTGAAGACATATCAAGGGAACTGTGTGGTTACAGGCATAATTCTAGGTGCACAAAGACACTTAGTATAGGTCATTCATTCATTCATTCACCATTTACTAAACCTTATACCTTCTACCAGATCTTTAGGAGGAACTATCTCTTTATGATTATTGTGATTCGAGTGCAAAATAATTAATGCATCTCCAAAAGCGAAATCTTCGTACAGCTACCTGCCAATTCTCTACCTTTGCTATAAGCATCTTTTCTGCCTGAGACTCTCCAAAGAGAGCTCCCTATTTGTTTTTTCCATGGCCTCCCACATATATTATCTGAGGGTTATGAAACCTCTCCCTCTAGAGAATGCAAATGATACTCTTACAGATTAACAGAATGTTAGCTCTGAAAGAGATGTTATTGTTTCTCATAAAAGTTAATATTTGTCTTCATATCATGAAAAATGAATAGGGTGGTTTGTGATTAGAAATGGCAGGCTCAGGACCTCCAGCTGCCCTGAGGGCTGAGGGCTCAATACTTCTGCATATCTATAGCCAGAGCAAATACATTACTAACAACTTTTACTGCACAGGCACCTACCAATCAGAATGAGCACAGACACCGATGTCAGACAGGGGCATCCAGATGACTGGCAGCCTACCCATAAGCCATTCCTGTTACATTAATGTTTCTTGGCCCATCTGCTTAAAAATACTACCTTAGAAGCCAATAGACACATGAAAAAATGCTCATCATCACTGGCCATCAGAGAAATGCAAATCAAAACCACAATGAGATACCATCTCATGCCAGTTAGAATGGCAATCATTAAAAAGTCAGGAAACAACAGGTGCTGGAGAGGATGTGGAGAAATAGGAATGCTTTTACACTGTTGGTGGGACTGCAAACTAGTTCAACCATTGTGGAAGACAGTATGGTGATTCCTCAAGGATCTAGAACTAGAAATACCATTTGACCCAGCCATGCCATTACTGAGCATATACCCAAAGGATTATAAATCATCCTGCTATAAAGACACATGCACATGTATGTTTACAGCAGCACTATTCACAATAGCAAGGACTTGGAACCAACCCAAATGTCCATCAATGATAGACTGGATTAAGAAAATGTGGCACATATACACCATGGAATACTATGCAGCCATAAAAAAGGATGAGTTCATGTGGTTTGTAGGGACATGGATGAAGCTAGAAACCATCGTTCTGAGCAAACTATCACAAGGACAGAAAACCAAACACCGCATGTTCTCACTCATAGGTGGGAATCGAACAATGCGAACACTTGGACACAGGGTGGGGAACATCACACACCAGGGCCTGTTGTGGGGTGGGGAGACGGGGGAAGGATAGCATTAGGAGATATACCTAATGTAAATGACGAGTTAACAGGTGCAGCACACCAACATGGCACATGTATACGTATGTAACAAACCTGCACGTTGTGCACATGCACCCTAGAACTTAAAGTATAATAATTATTTAAAAAAAAAAAACTACTACCTTAGAAGGCTGGGCACGGTGGCTCAAACCTGTAATCCCTGCACTTTGGAAGGCTGAGGTGGGCGGATCACCTGAGGTCACGAGTTTGAGACCAGCCTGACCAACATGGAGAAACCCGTCTCTACTAAAAACACAAAATTAGCCAGGCGTGGTGGTGCATGCCTGTAATCCCAGCTCGTCGGGAGGCTGAGGCAGGAGAATGGCTTGAAACCGGGAGGTGGAGGTTGCGGTGAGCTGAGATCGCACCATTGCACTCCAGCCTGAGCAACAAGAGTGAGACTCCATCTCAAAAAACAAACAAACAAACAAAAAAAACTACCTTAGAGATTGTTTAGTCCAGCCCTTCTGTTTATTTTTCAGATCTTTTGTTTTACAAAAGAGAGACCTAAAGTCCTTAGAGGTGACAAGACCTACCCAAGGGCATATACTGAATCTGGGTTTCTCCCCACTAACTCCATCTAGAGATGGCACCTCTTTATTACTGTAAAGTCCTTCAGAAAGCTCTTTGTCCCAACTCTCTGATCCTTTTTTCATTTTCTTCCTTTTGGCTGCAAAGCCCTCCATTCCATTTATCCACTCCCATTTCCTTCTTCCCTCTTCGTAACTTCCTATTCTTCCTTCAAAGCCCTCAGTTCTAACTAATTAGCATACTGAAGCTGAAGCAGCATATTTTGGGGTGGCACTCGAAAGCCAGAACTGACCTTAGGTTTCTCATTCTAAGAAAATGTATGTAAATTGTTCAGCACAGTTTCAGCAAATGGTAATAAATAATAGCAATTATTATTATTATTGTTCTTTTCAGCTCTGTGACTGTGAATAGGTTACTTAACATCTCTGCATCTAGTTTATTCATATGTAAAATGAGAAACTTCCCCAGGGTCTTGCCCACAATGCTGACAGGCTCTATGAGGGTCGTCCAGCAGTCACGTAGGGAATTGGTGGGGGATGCTCTCACAGTGGTCAATTAAACCATGGAGGGTAGAATTTGAGAGTTGTTGGGAATGATGTGCTAAGCCAATGCAGGGAGAGGAGTGCTTAGGGAGGAATGCAAAAGACAGACTAGAGGCTGGGTGCGGTGGCTCACGCCTGTAATCCCAGCACTTTGGGAGGCCCAGGTGGGTGTATCATGAGATCAGGAGTTTGAGACCAGCCTGGCCAAGATGGTGAAACCTCATCTCTACTAAAAATACAAAAATTAGCTGAGCGTGGTTGAGGGCGCCTGTAATCCCAGCTACTCGGGAGGCTGAGGCAGGAGAATCACTTGAACCTGGGAGGCGGAGATTGCAGTGAGCCAAGATCGTGCCACTGCACTCTAGCCTGGGCGACAGAGCAAGACTCCAAAAAAGAAAAAAAAGAGACTAGATTGTGTCTGTGCAATAAGGATGTGAAGTAGACAGGCAGTGGGAAGCTGGGGAGGCAGGGATACAGGCGGCAGCAGTGAAGTGAACCCAGAGTTACATGCAGAAACACAGGGTCCAGGGCACAGCATTCTTTTGAGTTTCAGGAAGCTTACTCAGGATGGGCTTAGGTGCTGCAGCAAGGGAATTATGATAAATCTCCCAAAATTAATTTGGTTTGGAGCTAAGGATAGCTAGCCAGCCTCAAGGTTTCACATGCCCTTTTCCTGCAGCCCTTTGCTAATCAAATTAAAGCCTTCCTGGCAATAAGGGAGTTTTCTGGAGAGCTAACTGGAAGAGTCAATTCCACACATATGATTTGGCTTTCCACTTGCTTCAGGCTGCATGCCTCAGGTCAAATTTCTTTTTCATTTTGCTACTATCACCTTTCATCTTCCTGTAATCATTGGTGACACCTGATCCAATTACATGCCGGTGACTTTCCAGGAGTGCTAGGTTGACTAATACTCATGATTGCTGCTAATTCATAGAAGAAAGGGCTCTGTACTGGGCTGGTAGGTTTTCACAGTGGTGTCATCCACTTTTCAGTTTCAGCTGCCATACCAATAGAAATGAAAGCACTTTAGTTAGAAAAGAGAACACTATGCTTTATTTTCCAGAATCATGTATGTGCTAGAACGAAAGCCAGCAGTAGGAAAAAAGTCACAGAATTAAAATCTGTCTTCCACTCCCTCACCTCCCATTACTGCTTCTGTTACTTTCAAAGCTTGTTGCCTCTCTGTGCCTCATTCAGCCCAGAGTCTGAACACATCATTCTTTCAAACTCTAAACCATTCCTTCATGATAATCTCTCCTTTGTGGCTTATTTCTTTTTCATTGAATCCACAAATACCTGAAAATTGTATTTCTAGCTGCAAAGGTATTTCCCTCATAGGTTAAATATTTCACAGCTATAAAGTCTCCCAGAGAATTGTAATTTACCTCAAACAAGAGACTGCTAGGCTGAGAATTTTAGGCAACTTGATATAACTGTAGTGAAGATATTTTGGGAGGCAGTTAAGGTTTTTTTGTTTTGTTTTGTTTTTTAAAGCATATCAGTCACTAGTGCTAGCTAGCATTGCCTAGAAGATAAGCAGAAATATTTTACAGTGTCTGTGATTCTGCACAAAATGTTAATTGATCTTACACAACTCTTTACAAAACTGAACCAGGAGCTACTTTATTATGGAAAACAGAAATTGTCATCTAGGTCTTCAGTATAAACTAAGGCACTGAATGAAAAACAGTAAAACTAGACTAACCCAATTATTTGTCCAGGTCCAATTCTTCCAGAGCCATGTGAACAAAACATTTATTAAAAATTGTCAGCCAGGCATGGTGGCTCACACCTGTAATCCTAGCACTTTGGGAGAGTCGAGGTGGGCAGATCACCTGAGGTCAGGAGTTTGAGACCAGCCTGGCCAACACAGTGAAACCCCCGTCTCTACTAAAAATACAAAAATTAGCCGGGCATGGTGGTGTGTGCTTGTAATCCCAGCTACCTGGGAGGCTGAGGCAGGAGAATTGTTGGAACCTGAGAGGCGGAGGCTGCAGTGAGCCAAGATCGCCCCTCTTGCCTGGGAGACAGAGCGAGACTCTGTCTCAAAAAAAAAAAAAAAAAAAAAAAAATGCCCATCTGGCCTCCAGGAAGAAACAGCAGCATGATTCATAAGGGAAGAAAAGACATTTAGGTATGAAATAATCACAAGGCCGAAGGGATGTCTAAAATTTGTCAGAAATCGCTGCTGTCAATAAATAATGGGGCTTTTGTTATCTGGCTGCTCTCTGAGCAAAGCCAGTAACAATTAACACATGACAAGTCGATTTGCCTTTTACAGAAACCATCCAGAGATGGTTTGTAGGTATGTGATTGTTAGAGTTTCAGGAAACTCCTACATCCTATAAAGTTGATCCAGATTTATTACTGAGGCAAGAACATCCCCAAAGAAAGCTATAGCCTAATAAGCTATGTTATAACCCAAGTGTATGAAGAAATAAAGAAGAAACAGCAGGTTGGGTTCTGTGTGGAGCACACATATAATAGAATTAGTTAGCGGTTTTCTGCCAGTGCGTGCCAAAAGTCAGCTAGTAGAGGTTTACAAGAACTAACATTTGGGAATTTTGCAAGCTGTTGTTAAATTCTGCTGATAGACCACTGTGGGAGTGTCTACACCACAGAAAATGCCAAATTGCTGTAGACCAGGGATTTTTGGGTTATTTTGTTTGTTTTCAGCAAGCTGGTTTACTAGCCCACTATTGTTTAGCACTGTTGAAGGCAGAGTGATTCTTTCTGTCAGGAATGTATATTCCTATCTCTCAGAGAGGCATGTACTATTGTGGAACTAGAAAAACTCATCAGACATTTCCCAGAATCTGGATTTAGTATTCCTCTAATTTTGTTTGCTTCAGGTCTATGCTCACCAAACAATCTTCTGCTTATCCATTTGGTACCATCAAATGAGTTGGTGTTAAACTGCATTCTTTGAAGTCTTGGGGATTCTGAGGAGCCCTCTTAGGGAACATCTTGGGGAAGGGAAAGAAAGGGGAACTTGAGGCTGGGCAGGTCTGTTGTCTGTCTTCAATCAGAGCAGCTTTGTTTTCTGTTATGTATTGGTTGTCCATAAAAACAAAACAAAACACAGTTGCTTGAAGAAAGCATACCGCTGCTAAATAAATAAAGCAATAGCAAATAACTTTTGAAGATGGGCCAGAGCTGTTTGTTCACCAGAAAAGCACATCCCTTTTTTTAATACGTTATTAATCTGGGTATAATTCAGCCATTCATGAGTTCAGTTAACATCAATTAGTTTTCAATCAACTGATAATGTTTGGATGCACCTACTGAAAAAACCCAAATTTATTGTCTAACCATATTGAAGACAAGAAGAATTGCTCATCTGGGATTTTTTTTTGTTTTTTTTTCGAGACGGAGTTTCGCTCTTGTTGTCCAGGCTGGAGTGCAATGGCACTATCTCGGCTCACTGCAACCTCCGCCTCCCAGGTTCAAGCAATTCTCCTGCCTCAGCCTCCCGAGTAGCTGGGATTACAGGCATGCACCACCACGCCCGGCTAATTTTTTGTATTTTTTTTAGTAGAGACAGGGTTTCTCCATGTTGAGGCTGGTCTCGAACTCCTGACCTCAGATGATCGGCCCGCCTTAGCCTCCCAAAGTGCTGGGATTACAGGCGTGAGCCACCGCGCCTGGCCTCATCTGGGATTTTTATCAGTGTAATCAGCAAGCCAAACTGTCTGGTAGCTTTTTTTTTTTTTTTTTGAGACAGAGTCTCACTCTGTCGCCCAGGCTGGAGAGCAGTGGCGTGATCTCAGCTCACTGCATGCTCCGCCTCCTGGGTTCACGCCATTCTCCCACTTCAGTCTCCTGAGTAGCTGGGATTACAGGCGTCCACCGCCACACCTGGCTAATTTTGTTTTTGTATTTTTAGTAGAGACAGGGTTTCACCGTGTTAGCCAGGATGGTCTCGATCTCCTGACTTCGTGATCCGCCTGCATCAGCCTCCCAAAGTGCTGCGATTACAGGCATGAGCCACCGTGCTCGGCCAGCTCTCTCTTAAATGTAGCAGCTGGAAACATTCTTTTTGCTACAAGGAAATGGGAAAATAAATCAATCGGGATAGCTGGGCTCAAGTCATGGGAAGATTTCATCTTTTAAACTGGCTTTCCTTCTAATTACAAAAGTGATCTATGTTCCTTATAAAAATGTAGAAAAAAAAGTAAAAGGGAGAAAATAAAAAATCACTTAGCCACATTCAGAGATAGTTATTATTTTTGGTATATAAGCTAGCTGTTTATACAAATATATATATTCATACATATACATATGACTTTTTTTTTTTTTTTGAGACAAAGTTTCGCTCTTGTTGCCCAGGCTGGAGTGCAATGGCACGATCTCGGCTCACTGCAACCTCCACCTCTGGGGTTCAAGCGATTCTACTGCCTCAGCCTACCGAGTAGATGGGGTTACAGGCGCCTGCCACCATGCCCAGCTAATTTTTTTGTATTTTTAGTAGAGATGAGGTTTCACCATGTCGGCCAGGCTGGTCTTGAACTCCTGACCTCAGGTGATCCACCCGCCTTGGCTTCCCAAAGTGCTGGGATTACAGGCATGAGCCACTGTGCCTGGCCTACACATGACTTTCAAAAGGAATTTCTGTTTTTAATTTGAGTGCACAATGTAATGCCACTCTTGACTGGTTTTTAACAGTTTCCTCATCTATATACATGTGTATTAGTCCATTCTCACACTATAAAGATACTACCAGAGACTGGGTAATTTAGAAAGGAAAGAGGTTTAATTGATTCACAGTTCTGCATGGCTGGGAGATCTCAGGAAACTTACAATCATGGCAGAAGATGAAGGGGAAGCAAGGCACATCTTACATGATGGCGTGAAAGAGAAAAGAGAGAGAGCGCAGGAAAAAACTCCCACTTATAAAAACCATCAGATCTCCTGAAAACTCACTCACTATCACAAGAACACTATGGGGGAAACCACCCCCATGATCCAAGCACCTCCCAGCAGGTCCCTCACTTGACATGTGGGGATTACAGGGGTTACAATTGGAGATGAGATTTGGGTGGGGACACAGCCAAACCATATGAAATGACTGTGGGTTAATCTATACATGAAAAGCTTTTTCCCTATATAAAATGCTGAATAAAAGCTAAACCACGGCCGGGCACGGTGGCTCACTCCTGTAATCCCAGCACTTTGGGAGGCCGAGGCGGGCGTATCACCTGAGGTTGGGAGTTCAAGACCAGCCAGCCAAACGTGGAGAAACCCCGTCTCTACTAAAAACACAAAAAAATTAGCCGGGCATGGTGGCCCATGCTTGTAATCCCAGCTACTCAGGAGGCTGAGGCAGGAGAATTGCTTAAACCCGGGAGGCTGTGATTGCAGTGAGCCGAGATCGCGCCATTGCACTCCAGCCTGGGCAACAAGAGCGAAACTCCCTCAAAAGAAAAAAAAAAGCTAAACCAAAAGCCACAAATTTAAAAATAATCAAGTAAATTAAAAAAAAAAATCAAGCAGGTACTATGTACACGACATAATCTAAAGTCATGATATAGTATTCAATAAACATAAGTCTCCCTCTCACCTCCACCAGATAGCCTCGCAGTTCTCTCCAGAGGCAACCATTATTATCGGTTCCTTATTTAGCTTTCAGTGATATTCTGTGCATATCCAAGCATGTATATGAATTGCAATGATTAATAAGATTTCTGGTTTATATGTAGAAGTAGAACCCAAATATTTTTTTCCTTTCTTATTTATTTTTGGTTGAGACAGGGTCTCATTCCACTGTCCAGGTTGGAGTGCAGTGGTGATCATAGCTCACTGCAGCCTCAAACTCCTGGGCTCAAGGGATCCTCCTGCCTAAGCTTCCTGAGTAGCTGGGACTACAGGTGTGTGCCACCATACCCAGCTATTTTTTAAAAAATTTGTGTAGAGACAGGGTATTGCTATGTTGCCTAGGCTGGTCTCAGACTCCTGGACTCAAGGGATCATCCTGCCTTAGCCTCCAAAGTGCTACGATTACAGGCGTGAGCCACTGAGCCCAGTCACATTTTCTCTTTCTGCCTCCCTCCCTCCCTTTTTTTTTCTCTTTCTTTGTCTTTCTCTCCCTCCTCCTCCCGTCCCTTCCCCGCCCCCTGCTTCCTCCCTCCCTCCCTTTCCTTCCTTCCTTTTCATTTCAGTAGGTTTTTGGGGAACGCGTGATGTTTGGTTACTGGATAAGTTCTTTTGTGGTGATTTATGAGATTTTGGTGCACCCATCATCACCCTAGCAGTGTATGCTGTACCCACTTATAAGTGAGAACATATGATGTTTGGTTTTCCACTCCTGAGTTACTTCACTTAGAATAATAGTCTCCAATTGCATCCAGGTTGCTGCTTATGGCTGAGTAGTATTCCACGGTATATATATACCACACTTCCTTTATCCACTCATTGGTTGATGGGCATTTGGACTGGTTCCATATTTTTGCAATTATGAATTGTGCTGCTATAAACATGCAAGTGTAATGTGTTAAGTGTCTTTTTCATATAATAACTTATTTTCCTCTGGTAGATATCCAGTAGTGAGACTGCTGGATCAAACGGTATATCTACTTTTAGTTATTTAAGGAATCTCCATACTCTTTTCCATAGTGATTATACTAGGTTACATTGCCAACAACAGTGTAAAAGTGTTCCCTTTTTACCACATCCATGCCAACATCTATTATTTTTTGATTTTTTAAATTACAGCCATTCTTGCAGGAGTAAGGTGATATTACATTGTGGTTTTGATCTGCATTTCCCTGATAATTAGCAATATTGAGCATTTTTCCATGTTTGTCACTTGTATATCTTCTTTTGAGAATTGTCTATTCATGTCCTTCGCCCATTTTTTGATGCAATTATTTGTTTTTTTCTTACTGATTTGTTTGAGTTCTTTGTAGATTCTAGATATTAGTCTTTTGTTGGAGGTATAGATTGTGAAGATTTTCTCCCGCTCTGGGTTGTCTGTTCACTCTGCTGATTTTTTTTTTTTTTTTTTTAATGAGATGGAGTCTCGCTCTGTCGCCCAGGCTGGAGTGCAGTGGCGTGGTCTCCGCTCACTGCAAGCTCCACTTCCTGGGTTCACGCCATTCTCCTGCCTCAGCCTCCTGAGTAGCTGGGACTACAGGCGCCTGCCAACATGCCCAGCTAATTTTTTGTACTTTTAGTAGAGACGGGGTTTCACCATGTTAGCCAGGATGGTCTCAATCTCCTGGCCTCGTGATCCGCTTGCCTCAGCCTCCCAAAGTGCTGGGATTACAGGCATCAGCCACCACGCCCAGCCTGATTATTTCTTTCTCTGTGCAGAAGCTTTTCGGTGTAATTAAGTCCCATCTATTTATTTTTGTTTGTTTTTTATTGCATTTGCTTTCGGGTTCTTGTAATGAAAGTTTTTGCCTAAGTCAATGTCTAAAAGAATTTTTCCAATGTTATCTTCTGGAATTTTTATGGTTTCAGATCTTAGATTTAAGTCTTTGATCCATCTTGAGTTGATTTTTGCATAACAGGAGAGATGAGGATCCAGTTTCATTCTCCTACACGTGGCTTGCCAATTATCCCAGCACCATTTGTTGAACAGGTTGTCCTTTCCCCTACTTTATGTTTTCATATGCTTTGTCGAAGATCAGTTGGCTGTAAGTATTTGGCTTTATTTCTGGGTTCTCTATTCTGTTCCATTAGTCTATGTTCCTATTTTCATACCAATATTATGCTGTTTTGGTGACTATAGCCTTGTAGTATGGTTTGAATTTGGGTAATGTGATGCCACTTGGATAAATTCTTTAGGATAAATTCCTGTAAGTGAATCAAAGGGTATGCCAAATTTTAAAGCTTTAGATTTGGCAGGAATATTTAAGTTCCACTTCATAAACAAAGAATGTGAGGGTGGCCAGGAACAATGGCTCACACCTGTAATCCCAGCACTTTGGTAGGCTAAGGTGGGTGGATCACCTGAGGTCAGCAGTTCGAGACCAGCCTGGCCAACATGGTGAAACCCCATCTATGTTAAAAATACAAAATTAGCTGGACATGGTGGTGCATGCCCGTAATCCCAGCTACTTGGGAAGCTGAGGCAGGATAATCGCTTGAACCTGGGAGGTGGAGGTTGCAGTAAGCCGAGATTGCACCATTGCACTGCAGCCTGGGCAACAAGAGCAAAACTCCATCACACACACACACACACACACACACACACACAGAATGTGAGTGAGGGTGTAGTGGTTTATATGTATGGATCTTTAAACACTTATTTATTCTACATAACTGCAACTTTGTACCATTTGACCAACATCTCCCCGTTTCCCCTATCAGCATTTCCCTATTTCCCACTCTGACTGATTTTTGATAAGGGTGCCAAGTCCATTCAATGGAGGAAAGAACAGTCTCTTCAACAGATGCTACTGGTACAACTGGAGTTCCACATGCAAAAGAATAAATCTGGACCACTACTTCACACCATATATAAAAACTGACCCCAAATGGACCAATGACCTAAATATAAAAGCAAAAACCATAAAACTCTTAGCAGAAAACATCAATCTTCATGACCTTGGATTTAGGCAATGGATCTTAGACATGACACCAAAAAGCACAAGCAACAAAAGAAAAAAATAAATTGGACTTCAACAAAACTAAAAATTTCTGCATATCAAAGGATATTATCAAAGTATAAAGAAAACCTACAGAATAGGAAAAAGTATTTGGAAATCATGTATCTGATAGAATTTAATGTCAGAATATATAAAGAACTCATACAACTCAACAACAAAGACAAAGAACCAAATTAAAATGTGGACAAAGAACCTGAATAGACATTTCTCCAAAGAAGATTTATGAACAGCCAATAAGCACATGAAAAGATGCTCAACATCATTAGTCATTAGGGAAATGCAAACCAAAACCACAATGAGATACAACTTCATCCATCCTGGCTAACACAGTGAAAACCTGTCTCTACTAAAAATACAAAAAATTAGCCGGGCGTGGTGGCGGGTGCCTGTAGTCCCAGCTACTCGGGAAGCTGAGGCAGGAGAATGGTGTGAACCTGGAAGGCGGAGCTTTCAGTGAGCCGAGATCATGCCACTGCACTCCAGCCTGGGCAACAGACACTCTGTCTCAAAAAAAAAAAAAAAAAAAAAAAAAAAAAAGAGATACAACTTCATACCTACTCGGATGACTATAATAAAAAAAAAGGAAAGAAACAGGTGTTGACAAAAGTGTGGAGAAATTAGAACATTCACACATTGCTGGTGGAAATGTAAAATGATGCTGCTGCTATGGAGAACAGTGGTTTCTCAGAAAGCTAAGCACAGATTTACCATATAACCCAGAAATTCTACTCCTAGGTACATACTCCTAGGTACATACCCAAAGGAATTGAAAACAGAGACTTATTTGTATGCCAGTGTTCACTGCAGCATTATTCACAATAGCCAAATGCTAGAAACAACTCAAGTGTCCATTGATGGATGAATGGATAAAGAACTGTGGCATATCCATACAATGGAATATTACTTGGCAATAAAAGGGAATGAAGTTCTTGTACATGCTGCAATGTAGACAAACCTTGAAAATATTATGCTAAATGAAATAAGGCTGACACAGAAGGTAAAATATTGTATAATTCTACTTATATGAAGTATCTAGAATAAGCAAATTCATAGAGAAAGTAGATTAGAGATTACCAAGAGCTGGGGGAAGGGGAAAATGAGGAGCTATTCCATAATATTACAGTGTGTCTGTCTGGAGTGATGAAAATGTTTTGGAAATAGATAGTGGTGATGGTTGCACAAGATTGTGAATGTAATTAATGCCACTGAATTATACACTTAAAAAACAGTTAAAATGGGTTGGGCACGGTGGCTCACACCTGTAATCCCAGCACTTTGGGAGGCTGAGGCGGGCAGATCACCTGAGGTCGGGAGTTCAAGACCAGCCTGACCAACATGGAGAAACCCCATCTCTACTAAAAATACAAAATTAGCCGGGCGTGGTGGTGCACGCCTGTAATCCCAGCTACTCAGGAGGCTGAGGCAGGAGAATCACTTGAACCCAGGAGGCGGAGGTTGCGTTGAGCCGAGATCACACCATTGCACTCCAGCCTGGGCAACAAGAGTGAAACTCCATCTCAAAAAAAAAAAAAAGGAAAAAAAGTTAAAATGGTAAATTTTATGTTATATATATTTTACCACAACTTAAAAATTAATAATAAATAATGAGTAACTTGGTTTAATTGCTCTTTAAGTTCCCTTCCATTGCTGAATTCTGTGATTTTTTTTTTAAGGTCGGAAAATAGGTTATATCCATTGTTGAAAATCTAGGAAATCTGGGGCATACTGATAACAGGAGAGGCTAAACATGTGCAGGGACAGGGAGTATATGGCATATCTCTGCACCTTCCTTTCAATTTTGCTGTGAACCTAAAACGGCTCTAAAAAAATAAAATCTTAATTTTTAAAATATCTAGGAAATCTCCAATTATGTCCCATGCCTTGGGTTCAGCTTAACATTTCAACGGAACAGAGCCTGGCACATAGTACTAGATAAGCGTCTGTTATTATGATCATCATCATCTTTTTCAAAAAAGCCCTGTGGGACAAGTAGGATTAAGGCCATTTTAGATGAGAATAAACAGACTCAGAGAGGGTAAAATTTTTGAGAAATTTGAGAAAATTTATTTTCTCAATAAATCTCTCAGCCAGCAACTGAGTGAGCTAGGATTTGAACCGATGATAGCCTGGTCAAAGAGCCTAGGCTGACACCACTAAGTTCTTCCCCAGCCCAATCTATTCTAGAACTGCTGTGCATACAGGTCTGATCATTTTTCTGCTCACTGTGAATGAAATGGTACCACTTTACCTGGTACTTTTTCCGTGTAGCCACATGGACAATGCATGTCAAAGCACTTTGAAAACAGAAAATCCTATTCAAATGATAGGTATTATTTAGAAAGCTGGCTTTATAAATGCATGTTTTTGGCAGCTTCAATTAAAGTTAGGATCCTCCTAAGAGAAATTATCATTGTACCTTCTTTTGTGAAGTCAAAGCCTTCAAGACAGTACTCAAAATTCAATAAATAGGTTTTACTATGTAGATGAACAAAGCTTTAAAGTGAATAAGGACAGCAGTGAAGGGCAAGTCAAGGATAGATACTTCACAAGCCAACTGAATGAAGACCATGGATTCGTTAGCTCTGAGCCGTTTAACATTTCATATTATACTTAGCAGGAATGTATGACAATATTACTTTGATTTTTTGCTGGTCCCGCTTAATTACTGCATCCAGTTGCTTCCTTTTTTCATTTTCTTCTTGTAGTTTTCTTTGTAGCTGTATCTTTTGATATTTCATGTGATCTACACTCTGCTCTAGTTCATTAGCACGTTTCTCATTTTGGATTGACAGTGATGCCAGTTTCTTACTATCTTGTTGCTTCTTCTGTAAGACCTGAGATCATATGGAATATTTCAAAATGAAAAACTGAATCTCTCACAATCCTCAACTAAACTTAATCTTTTCATTTGATGGTAAAAGAAGAAATTTTCCCTAGATTTTCATTTATTTTTGACAGGTTCACAAACAATTGCTTACTATCATACATTTCCATTTTTGCAATTAGGGAAACCATCATAATTTGCATCACATATGTAAAAGTATAAAGAATCATGAGACTTCCTGATGTGGACAACAAAATGAAACAGATGATTTGCTTTTCATTAATAAGTATTTTAATTTAAAAAATAGTTAAAACAGTATAAAGCTGAATTTATATTTTAAGAGTCACTCTTATCATATACCCCAATCTACCTGTCCTGCTTCCCAACACAAAATTATCAATTTCTTAAATATTCTTCCAGAAAAAAATGTATGCATATGCATGCAAACAGCTGCATATGTATTCTATATAGACTACTGTCTCCCTTTTTTCCTACTTATCTCAGAGGTCTTTTCATATAGATTTGTTCCAGGTGGCTGCACAGCATTCTACTGTGCTCTTGTTTTTATAGCTACAGCTATAGCCTAAATCGTTAATCCCTGAGTTAGGATGATCAGAGCTGATAACATCTTCCCTGAGAGTGACCAACCATTATAATTACTATTTTAACATTTATCTTAAATTCCTTCTCATCTAACTAAAATTACGTACAGATAGCATTAGACTTTCAAAGTGTTCACACCACTAATATAAAATACTTGTGTTACAATTTAGTCCTGACCAAACAAACATATATTAAACTTGTATAATGTGATTAGCATTGCACTAAGTACCAATTAGGTGGCATAAAAAAGGTAAAGGGATGTCATTCATAAATTAGGCAGACCACAATTATTTCCTTTATTTTGGCAATAAAGTGTTAGCATAGGCAAGTTTTGTTTTAATTAAACTAAGTATCCAAGAGGCACTGCTGCTTAGAGCAGTGCTACTCAAAATGTGATCTGTGGACCAGTGCTAGTTCACAGACATTGTTGTCAATTTGCACTCCTCAGCATACTGTTAGATTCGGTTGACGTTTTCATGCGAGACTTTTTTGATCAAGGAAGCTGTGCAATGACTGACCTTTATCTCATCACAGAACAAGAACAATCGGCAGATGGACTACTTTGGGTACCACTGGCTTGGAGGCCACAGGCCTTTGCCGTTTCCAGTACCTAAATTTGGACACTGGCTTTGCCACTTACAATTGACAGTAATTACAATACTGCAGCAAAAATGCTAATACCAGCATTTTAGTGTCTTTTTCACATAATATTAAAAATATCAGTGTACATCCTAAAAGTCTTAAGAGTGAGATACTGTTGCCATTGTCTTTTGCACTTATTTCATAGTTGCTCAAAAGTGCATCTGTCAGCATTAAACTATTAATGAAGCATGTAACGCTCTACATATACTTAAAGACATTAAAAATATAGGTTTTAGAAGTTTTTAATTTAAAAATGTTTTGTTTTAAAAATTGAAATAACTGTTTTATACCAATAATAATACTAGTATTTCAATATTTTAAAACAGCATGATATGGCTGGGTGTGGTGACTCACACCTGTAATCCCAGCACTTTCTGAGGCTGAGACGGGTGGATCACTTGAGGTCAGGAGTTTGAGACCAGCCTGGCCAATGTGGTGAAACTGCGTCTGTACTAAAAATACAAAAATTTGCGGGTGTGGTGGCAGGCACCTGTAATCCCAGATATTTGAGAGCCTGAGGCAAGAGGATCATTTGAGCCTGGGAGGAGGCAACTGCAGTGGGCTGAGATCATGCCACTGCACTCCAGCCTGGGCAACAGAGCAAGACTTCACCTCAAAAAAAAAGTATGATATGTTAGAGAACTGAAAACCGGTATTGTCATCACCACTCTGGGACTCTGACTGAGTTATTTTACCTTTCTAAACCTTTCTTTCCACATTTGTAAAATGGCTAAAAATGCCCACTTCAAAGGATTAAATAATGCGTATAAACCATTTGGTATGCATAGGCCCTCAACAAATGGTAACTACTGTCCTCCTCATCCTCCTTATCATCCTTATCTCCATGAGTAGCGCATGGATATGTCAAAGGTACAAAATTTCTAAAACTATGTCTTCTTTCTGTCCTCTGCTGTATCAGATGTTTCTTTTGAGGTAAAGTTCTACACCTTTCATTTTCTTTCCTTATCAGTACTCTTAGCAGAAAAGGATATACAGCAGGAAGCAAAGCATGGAAAGGTGAATTCCAAAGTGGAAATAACTATGCTGAAGGAAAATGGAAGGTGTAACATAGATAACCACCCTATGTCCTCCTTTAAGCAGTTCAAACATTCAAGCCATATTATTTTAACTTGATGTTGACTTGAGAAGCTATTTAGGTAACAACTTTTAGTGGAAATATCCAGATGTTTGAGGTGGCATCAGAAACCCCAGGAGGGACTTTTCTGGCCTGTCACACCAGAATATACTGGTATATTACAATATACCGGGCACACCAGAGGTATATTGTAAACATCTATTTTGTTGAAAGCAAATAACTGTGGCATAGTTCAATAATAATAATAATAATGCTGTGAATAGGTTAATTACAACTCTACCTATAATGGAAAAATATAAAAATGCTTCTATAACATGAAAGAAAACAGTAGACCATGAGAGATAAAGAAATAGAGGACACATCCTAGAAAGCTCATTATGATCAGACTAACAAAGCACTGTGACTATCTCCAAAGCACCTGGAAATGGCTTCATCACACAAAATCTCTATGTGATGGAATATTTCTCATAGAATAGAATTTTTAACTGTAGCTATTTCTAAAGTTAAAGCTAAAACCAGGCATTAGGAAGTTAAGGATGAATTGCAGTACACAAAGTTATTAACCTTTCTTAAGCCAATCAGTTATGGTTTGGGAAAACCATATCTCGAAATAGTTCCCATTTGTTGAGTGTCTACAAAGTGTCATATATGTACCAGCTGTTTTATTTGTATTATTTAACCATTATTTAATCCTTTGTCCTTCAGAAAAAAACACTGTTTTGTGGTTATGTTTATTTCTTACCATGTGGTTTTTTGATATGATTGAAAGAATATACTTCTCGAATTAAGAAATATACTACCCAGATTGTAAAATATGTAAATCGACCAGCACACTACAAAAGAAAAGTTAACACCCAGTTTCTCTTGCTGGTATAAACTGAATCCCACTTCTTTCCTAACTCAGTACAAGAATCCTCAGAAGCAAGAAAGCTTATATAAGTTTTCTCAATTACATTTTTAAAATTACCTGAACTCTCAGCTTTGCAGCATCCACCTTTTTACGAAACTCTTTCTGTAATTTTACCTTCATTGCAACATCAGAAAGATCTTTGTTTTCCAGCTCCTGTAGCTGCTTTTGTGTTTCAGTTAGTTCGACTTTTGCCTGTTCTGCATCATGCTCTAGCTTTGTTACTTTCAAAGTATACTGCTTGCTTACAGACTTGGCATCGTTACCTTAACCGTAATAATAATTACTATTAGTATAAATTATGTAAAAAGAAGTTAAACATCAAAAACATAAAAATACTCTACTCTAAAATCCAGCCAGGCAGTGATACTATTTAAGGCATAGCATTAAAAACCCAGTTGTCCCCACCCACCCCCATCAAACACAGCTTGCCATCAGGCCTCTTAATAATTAGTTCCTTAATGACTGTTCCCATCTGCTGCCAGTCAGTCTCACTGGTTCAATCTTTGGCATTTTACAGTGACATTTCTGGTCCTCTGAATTTGTAGTTGAGCTTTGCTGGCATCAAACTCAGTTAAGAAGGATATTTGGAGTGACTGTCCTCTTGCTTAGTATACTCCAGCCTCCTGCTACCAATAATCTGTCTGCTTGAATTCCTTTTTCAAATTATTATGAAAATTTTTAAATATAACAAAAGAAATAATAAAATGAACCCCCATCACCCAGATTTAAAAGTTATCAAGATTTTGTCACAGCTGCTTCAAATATGTCTTTTTACTTTGCTTAAATATTGTAAAGCAATCCCAGATGTCACTCATCTCACCTATACATACTTCATTTTGTTAAATTCCTCTTTTTACTTATACATACTGCAATCGGCATTCACACAAAATATGGACATAACCAAAAAGTCATTATCACACTAACAATATTAACACCAATCAGTCCATATTCAGACGTCCCCAACTGCCTCAAAATGTGTCTCACAATTGGTTTATTTAAATCAGGATCTAAACAAGGTCCACAATACATTTGATTTGTTATGTCTCTTAAGAATCTTTTCATCCAAAGCTAACTCTCTCCTTTTTCACTAACCTGAACTTATTCAAGATTAATTCCTTTTAAATTCTTTTCTTATTAATATATAGAACAGAAAAAATAGAATAAAGATATTTCTGTATCTCTTTTGATTCTAAGTCCAGCTAGTGACCCTAAAAGCTTGGTTTTGATTTGCTCTGAATAGGCAACCGTCCCTGAACTAGACTGGCAAACTCGTGGCAGTAGAAAACAGGAGTCTAAGGCTCAGGGGGTGAATAATCACCAGAGACAGTTTATTATACTATTTATTTATTTAGACAGAGTCTCGCTCTGTCACCCAGGCTAGAGTGCAGTGGTACAACGTAAGCTCACTGCCACCTCCGCCTCCTGGGTTCCAGCAATTCTCCTGCCACAGCCTCCTGAGTAGCTGGGATTACAGGCACACGCCACCATGCCCAGCTAATTTTTGTATTTTTAGTAGAGACAGGGTTTCACCATGTTGGCCAGGCTGGTCTCGAACTCCTGACCTCAAATGATCCGCCTGCCTTGGCCTCCCAAAGTGCTGGGATTACAGGCGTGAGCCACCGCGCCCAGCCTATTATACTATTTATATAGCTGGTTATACTGCTATCCAAAAATACTCATCATTTTTTGATAAAAGTTATTTAACTAAATGTAGTGTGAACTGTCCTCTGACTCTAATTTATGATTACTTGACTAACTTTAGAATACATACAACTACTATATTTTAACAAATCATTTTGGACTATTCATTAATTGTTCAATACACCAATATTTTATGAACCAGTAAAAAAATATACAGTGCCAATAACAACATGTTTATTTTATTTTTTTGAGACAGTCTTGCTCTGTCACCTAGGCTGGAATGCAGTGGTGCAATCATGACTCACTGCAGCCTTGGCCTCTGGGGCTCAACCAATCCTCCTACCTCAGCCTTCCAAGTAGCTGGGACTACAGGCATGTGCCACCATGCCCAGTACGCATCAGTAGTTTTTATAAATTTTTTTGCAGTGTATTAGAATTGATAGAACATAGTATAGATGTCCTGTAATTATTAGTTGGCAGAAGTAGCTGCTATTCAAGAGAAGTCTTCAGTGAGACCGCATTAAGGGCATTAAGTTTTTGTGGGGTTTTTTTGACATTTTTTAAAAAGCATCCTCTGCTTAGCTACTTTCCCAAAGCTTTTTCCTTTCTCATTCTATGCATCAACCTAGCTCCAGTTACCCAGATGTTTAAATGAGTTTGACCATGCTGCTTCCCCACAGGCAGGATCAAACACCAGTTGACCCCTCCTAGGAGTATCTAGGAGCTGATCTAGAATGGTTTCTCCATTCCCAAGATTTCAGGGTACTGCCTGTGGAAGTTGAGGATATTTACCCACTAGAATCAACGACTTTCTTTCAGAAAGGTTATCTTACTATGGATCTCATTAAACAAGCATGTGTTTGTAGCCTGGTATACCCAACGTGGTTGTTTTAAAATAGAGGATACCAGAGCTTACACAGAGAAGACCCTTTTCTTGCTCATTAGAACCAACGGCAATTTGGAGCTTTCCTAAAAATCCTCAGAGATGGTGACTATCAAAAGTGTCAATGAGTGCTTACTTTTCAATGCCCTCTCACTGAAGACTTCTCTTGAATAGCAGCTGCTTCTGCCAACTAATAATAACAGGACATCTATACTATATTTTATCAATTCTAATACACTGCAAAAAAAATTTATAAAAACTACAGGTGCGTACTGGGCATGGTGGCACACGCCTGTAGTCCCAGCTACTTGGGAGGCTGAGGTAGGAGGATTGGTTGAGCCCCAGAGGTCAAGGCTGCAGTGAGTCATGACTACACCACTGCACTCCAGCCTGGGTGACACAGTGAGATCCTGTCTCAAAAAAATAAAATAAACATGTTGTAACTGGCACATTAAGTGCCACAGAATTTCAGCACAATGCAGAGTTCACACCGGTTAGAACAATTCAGAGGTGAAATCCCAAAAGAAAAAAATTCTTCTGATAACTAACCTCCACATATTGGCCTAAAAACTCACCTTGTTACACCAATCCAAGCTAAGTGGATAGACCTGAGCTTCAAAAACTAAAGTAACTGTTACCACATCAGAAGCAATTTTAGAAGTTTTCTTTCTCATATAAGCTGGTTCACAAGATACTATTACCTGTTTTTATTAATTCTTTAATCAGATCTTCCTTCATCTTGATGTTAACTGTAAGTTCTCTCATTTTTTGTTTGGCTTCAGTAAGTATGCGTTCTGAATTCTTTAATTTTTGCAAATTCAATTCTTGACTCTCCTGGAGACAATCAATCTTTAAATCTTTAAAAAAAATGGAGAAATAAAACTATCTGCTGGTAAAATATTCAACAGAAGTAGAGTTAAAAAAAGAAAAGCAGACTCAAAAGCAATTTAGAGGTGGCAGTGGAAGAGACAAAAAGGAAGGGGAGGAAAAAGGGGAAAAATACACAGCAACTGGGACTCAAGCATTCCAGCTTACAATAAGAGTTTTTATTTTCTTACAAATTAATACATATATGTATATATTCTTTCTTAATATCCCATAGGTTCAGACACACAGTTTTTCATTGCCTTTAACATGAGTTATTTGAGATAGGTGTAAAATTTCCAGATGGATAGAGGGGTGAATTTGTTTCCTATCAACTTCTACTTTTATTGTAATTGGAGAATGCAGACTATACCAGGCTACTCAGAGTGTGGTCTAGCACTGTTTGTTACTGTCCTGCACCAGAATGTAAATCAACTATGTCACTAAGCACACTGCTTTAGTTCAGGTGACATTTTTTTCATAGCCAGACTTTCTCAAGGAAGGAACTAGTGTAAGCTCATTTACATTCCGACATAAGTTTTTTTCCTGGTTGCAGAGCAGTAACAAACAGCTCAAGCATGGCTGCTTGAGTAGCATTTACCTTTGTTATTTCCACATTTTGAAATTTATTTTAGTTATACTTAAATTTTTGGCTCATAAAGCCACATATAGATTCTTAAAGAGATGCTCTATATTTTCAAAGTGTAGCACTTGTATTATATTCCCTATTCCCTTATTTTTTGTGGGTCAACCACGCATTGACCAAAAGAGATGAGTTAACAAAATCTACTACTACCGGCTGGGCAAAGTGGCTCACGCCTGTAATCCCAGCACTTTGGGAGGCTAAGCTGTGCAGATCACAAGGTCAGAAGTTCGAGACCAGCCTGGCCAACATAGTGAGACCCCCATCTCTACTAAAAATACAAAAATTAGCCGGGTGTGGTGGCACACATCTGTAGTCCCAGCTACTTGGAAGGCTGAGGCAGGAGAATCGCTTGAACCTAGGAGGCGGAGGCTGCAGTGAGCCGACACTGCACCATTGCACTCCCGCCTGGGTGACAGGGAGAGACTTCGTCTAAAAAAAAAAAAAAGTTGTGAAAACTATAGGGTAGTAGGAGTTTTTTTTTTTTTTTTTTTGAGGCAGGGTCTTGCTCTGTCGCCTAGACTAGAGTGCAGTGGTGTGATCTCGGCTCACTACAGCCTCGAACTCCTGGGCTCAAGCGATTCTCCCGCCTCAGCCTTCCTCCTGAGTAGGTACACACCACCATGCTCGGCTAATTTTCTGTAGAGAGACAATCTCACTATGTTGCTCAGGCTGGCCTCAAACTCCTGGCCTCAGGCAATTCTCCCGTTTCAGCCTCTCAAAGCACTGGGATTACAGGCATGAGCTACTATGCGTGGCTCATAAATGTTTTTGATGTTGTTATTGATGCATAAAAATTCTTAGCAGTTGTGTACTAAAACATTACCAACACCCAGTACACTAATTGGGCTCTAATGCCAAATACATCATTGACGTTAGGCACAAGTCCCAGTGAAGGAGTAGACACCTAGTACAATTATTTATACTGTATTTTAACATCATCAGGAATACAAAGCATATCAATTCAGGTCTGAATATAAAAATCCTTATTCTGAGGGAGTTAGCCTATATCTCTAGCCATAATTAATTGATAGAAAATCTTTTTTTATTAAGGAGTAAAAGAGGTAAAACAGAGAACATAAAAGAAGTTCTATCAACTAGGAAACCATTTGTACCAAATTCTGGTCTTTGAGAATTCCTGGATGTTTCTTAAATTATCAACTGAGGAAAAAGATAAGTGTCCTATAACCATTAGGTCTACATTATTTAAGAAGATCTATGTACCTTCATTCTCCGAATCTGACTTTTGTGTTTCATCCTGAGTATCACTCAATTCAACAAGGGAACAGAGTCTGGCTTCTGAATCCATGAACGACTTCTACATCTTAAAAAAAAATCAGAAAGTTAACTTATTTGTTAGTGTTTTCTAATCTGCCCTCAAATTAGTTTCCCCAAAAAGTGACAGTAATGTTAAAAAAATTATTAATTACATATAAAAACAGAATGTTACTAATATTGCTCAAAATAGAAGGATGCCCCCCTCACCCATGTTGAATCCAGCAGAAAAGTCATGTTTGTTGCCAATGTGGCAGCAGAATAAGGAAATCCAAAAAAAAAAAAAAAACCCTCTGAAAATTAGAATCTCATTACTATAAAAGCTCTAAAAGCAAAATTATTTTTCAGTTATAAGACTGATGACTTGTGTTCAAATACTATTTTCATAACACATTAGATGACAGTACATTTAGCAAAAGTTACCTACTCTTCTATTAAACATAAAAGATATACTCCAATGGAAAAAACCTACACTTTTATATTTATTGCAGCATATAATTCTAAATATTTATTAAATCAGTGTATATTTAACATACCTAGTTCCAGATTTCTCTTGGCCTTCTGATTCTTCATCATCACTGTTATCAGAAAATTGGCAGTGGAGGACCTCATCTCGTTCTTCTACGTGATCCAACAGCATCTGACTTTGTGTTCGAAATCCAGCAAATATTCGATCCAGAGAGTACATAGGCGGACTTGTGTGGACCTTGCAAGTGATTCCCCTACCCAACAACAAAAAAAGTGATATTTTAAAAGTCTAATTTTATCCTATTACTCTAAGTGCTTTTAAAGGGGTTATTAGATTGGCACTCTTAAAATAGCCAATCACTGGAAAATGCTCCCCTCAAACAAAGGTCAAAATTAATTTAACAATACTGTTGTGCCTCACAGACAAATACTTCTTTCAGAATCTACACAGCTCCTTCTCTTCTGGACAACTCTTCTATCTTCACTTACGGAAAACAGTATTCAAAAATGAAACCAAAAGAACGCATGGAAAACATCCTAGCTCTTAAACACAACACAGACACACCCCAACAAATGTGCCCTCTTCCCCATCTTCCCAGTTCAGAACACCTGGAGAACTGTGGTGCTGCCGCCAAAGGTCTGCATCCCCTCCAATCCAAATCCTACCACAGGAAGAAACCCAGAGCCGTCTCCACTCCCTCTGCCAGGGCAATATTCCTAATCTGAATACCACAATGTATATACTTATTCTTTATACATGGTAGTTAGGTATAGCTGAATTAAGGCTCTAGGAAAAATATTTAATATATGTCATAGGACAAATAAAATTGTATGGCTAGCCTGGGAATTTTCCACAGTACAACATTCTTCTATTGGAAATGCATTTTAAATTCTCAAAAAAAAAAATGACCTTGGAAAACAACAACAATAAATTAGAAATTGCCTTTATACCTTTGTTCTGGTTTCTATTACAAAATATTTCCTCTGCACCATCTCTGTAACCAAACCTCAAGATGACTTCTCACAACAGGCAATAAAATCTTAGAGGAGACAGTCCATTTATCAATATAAATTATTATAAGCTGTTAAAATTATAACATATAGTGGAATATGAGTATCACACGGTGTTTGGGATTTAATCACTTGACAATAGGCCCCCGTCATGTATTCTCTCCTAAAAAATCCTACCTGATTCTGAAAATCATCTTATATCTGATTTTTGTGCTTCTGCTGTCAGTCACCTAATTAGATCATCTGTCACATCAGCATCATGATAGATGGGCGTAAAGTTTTTTAGGTGGCCTCCCAATGGGGTATGAGGGAGGGGAATTCTTTAAGAAGAACCAACTCAAGAAGTACTGATCTAACAAATACAACGTACTAGACATGGCTATTTTATCCCATAACTGGCAGGCATCTAGTTTTCTCTTGTGAGAGTTTGGGAATTATTTAAGGAGCAAATAATAAAACCTTTTGTTCAGAGTCCAACTTCGTTCTCTGGGATTGTAATTTCCTTTTAAAATTTCTTAAATTATCAACTGAGGAAAAAGGTAAGTGTCCTATAACCATTAGGTCTACATTATTTAAGAAAATCTATGTACCTTCATTCTCCAAATCTGACTTTTGTAAAAAAGAAAACCAAATGTCCAGAGCTATTATAGTATTCATACCACCCAAGGCTGCCTGATGCAAAGTCCATGGCACTGCTCATGTATCACTTGCCTTTCATTTCTTATCCCTCTGACTGTAACAACCAGATGGATCTCACGTGAACAAATCATTTCCCTTCATAAAATGAGGAAATAGAAACCACAATTCATGAACCTGCTAAACCAAAACTCATGAATCTGCTAATTAAGTCTTTTCCATAATAGAGATTCTTTGATAATTCTTAAAACTGTGTGTGTATATATTTACCAACCACAAACTAAAATTTATATTGATATTTATATTGTCTTGATTATGTCTACTTGGTAAGACTGAATAGCATATAAATATTATTTCAAAAATGACAGACCAAACAAGTTGAAATAAATATCCTCTAACATCTCAACTTTGTGTGGTTAAAGGAAGAAATAAATTCATGTAGATATTAAACTTGGTCATGTCTGAAAATATGGCAAAGGATACCTTTTTCACATTGATGAAGTATAGACATTATCTCCATCCAACTATTCCCTCCAAATGTAACTGTGTATTCTCTTATTAGTTTTTTACTAGAAAGAAGTATGCTTAAAAGGTATATACAAAATTCCATAAAATCAAACAAAAAAAATCTGCTGAGACTGTATAAATACACTGTGATACTACACATGGCTAAAATTTTTTTAATCTCAAAATAAGGAAAAGATTGTTTGGACTTTACCCTCCTGGAATCTTGTCTTGATGGGATATAAATATAATGCCCCAAATGAGTATCAAATGGTACAGTATATGGTCTCTTTTCAGGGATCCTGGCATCTGGCCCGTCTCCACAATTTTCTTTAGCTGAAGAAGTCACTGACAGGTTAAGTTTTGTTAGTTCTTCACTCAGTTGATCCACAAGAAGTTGTTGTTCTATTATTTTTTCATTCTTTGTAGAAGAGAGACGAAAAATTTTAAAATAGAGCACTTCAGTACATTCAGATTATGATTAAAAACGAATTTTACATTGACCAAACTCATAACTACTTTAATAATACAGTCAATTCTCATTTATCCAGAGACTAGCCTTCTGGTGTTCACAAGTAACTAACATTGTTCTGAGTGGTAAAACCTTTTTAATAGTAAGGAGCAACAAACACAGCCAAAAAAGTCAAAAGTCAAATACTCAAAGATAACACCCCATCCACTGTGACTGGTTGCTTTGCCAACCTGAAGCACTTTGATTAGCTTTCTGTATTAAAGTATGGACTTTCTGAGTGAAATCCAAAAAGTAAAAAGAAACAAGAAAGTTCAAAAAGTGGAGAAAGAATTGTAGGCAGCAGAGTTTGCAGCAAAGGAGGCAGAAGGAGGTAACAAGTGCAGGGAAGTGAAAGCCTTAGTGAAAAAGGAAGCCAAAAGCAGACAGATAGAAGATAGCCAACTGATAGTCCTGAGAGGAAGGAGAACTTGGAAATCAAAGGCAGAACAAATTGTTTATCAGGAATGTGTGTGTGTGTTTGTGTATATGTGATTTAGTTTTTTTTGTGTATCCTCTAAAGAAAATTTTTGAAGTGTATCAAATCTAGAAAGTTCTAATGTCAATCTTTGTTTTACAAGCACAAATTTATGTAAATAAGAAACACTCATTCATCTTAATACTTCACATGTACTACAATGTTGAAATAGGAAAAAAAAAAAAACCTTATGTTTTCATTGTATAAATGCTGAGCAATAAAAATGCAACCTTACTTAAAAATCACGTATTCAGATAATTAAAATATACAACATCAAAGGATTCAATGGAGTTCTTACATTGCCTGGGAAAAGGATAAAAGTACCAATTAATATTAGGGTGCATGGTATACTCTCTAGGATAACCACTAAAAAAAGAGTAAAACTATAACTTCTAAGTTAGTGGAGAAAACAACAGAAAAAGAATAACCAACGATCCAAAGGAGGGAAAAAGGAACACAGACGAGGAAGGATAAATAAAAGGCACAATGGTGGATTTTTAACAAAACAGTAATTATGTTAAATTAATAAATGAATAATGAAATTAAAAGATAAAGACTATCAGAAAGGATTTTAAAATTATCTAACCATATGCTGCTTACAAGAAACATATCTAAAATAGACACAGAAAGATTAAAAATAAGATAGAAAAAGAGATACCATGTAAATATTAATCAAAAGAAAGCTGGTGTAGCCATAGTAATGTCAAGGTAGACTTTAAGGCAAAACTCATTAGATAAGAAGAGGTAAAAATGATTAAAAGAGCAATTCACCAGGATGGTATAACAATTCTACATTTGTATGCACTTAATAACACAGCTTCAATATTTGTAGTGTAAAAACTATCAGCACTTCATGGAGAAATAAGACAAATCCAAAATTATAGTAGGGCTGGGCACAGTAGGGCTCACACCTGTAATCCCAGCACACTGGGAGGCCAAGGCCAGTAGATCACTTGAGCCCAAGAGTTTGAGAGCAGCCTGGACGACATGGTGAAGAACCCCTTCTCTACAAAAAATACAAGAATTAGCAGGGCATTGTGGTGTGCGCCTGTGGTCCCAGCTACTCAGGAGGCTGAAGTGGGAGGACTGCTTGAGCCCACGAGGTCGAGGCTGCAGTGACTCATGATCGTGCCACTGTGCCCCAGCCTGGGTGACAGAGTGGAGGTCTGTCATAGTGGGAGATTTTAACATCACTTTATAAATTACTGATATAACAAAAAGACTTCAAAATTGAGTAAAAAATGTAGATTTGAATAATAGGATTAACAGTGCCCAATGATTGCAGAATGCATATTCTTCTCAAGTACCTCTGTAACATTTACAAACATTTGCCTTATTCTGAGCCAAAAAGCAAGTTTCAATACATTCAAAGGACTGAAATCAGAGATAGTATGTTATCTGATCACAACGCAATAAAAATTGATAAAACAAAAATAAATCCCTCATGTCCTGTAAATAAAATAACTATGTTATTCACAAATCAAAAAGTCACAATGAAAATTAGGAAACATTTTGAGCTCAATGTGGAGTGCAAGTCAAGATAAGCTTAGAAATATGTAATGTTAAATGCATATACCAAAGAAGAGAAGCTAAAAATCAATATACTAAATATTCATCTAAAGATGTTAAAAAGATAGCAGGAGGTTACCCCAAAAGTAGAAGGAATTAAATAATAAAGGGCAGAAATTGGTGAAATAGTGAACTAATGAAATAATGAACAAACATACACTAGTGAGGATTAACAAAGTCAAAAATTGTCTCTTTGAAGAGACTAATGAATTGGTAATTTTACTAGCTAGTGAAACTGCAAGAAAAAAAAGTGAGAGAAGGCACAAATAATCAGGAATGAAAAAGGGGACATGTGACTACACAGCTAAAGATATTAATGAATAAAAGACTATCATAAACAAACTTATGCCAATACATTTGAAAATTATATACAATGGTCAAATTCCTAGAAAAATAAACCTTATCAAAACTGGAGGAAAATAAAATACTAATATGATTTAATTCATAAAACATACCCCCAAAGAAAATTTCCAGTCCCAAATGCTTAACAGGCTAATTCAACCAAACATTTAAGAAAGAAATAATACCAATTTTCACACACTTTTCCAGGTATAGGGGGAATTAAATAATCTATATTATGAGGCCAGCATAACTTGTTACAATATCTGACAAGAATACTATGAGAAAGAAAAATATAGGACAAGCTTACTGACAAATATAAACATCACACTAGCAAACCAAATCTAGGTCAATTGTGCAGAAGAGTTAACATAGCAGACCTGACTGCTATCTTTTAGAAGATCTGCTATGAGGTTGTCAGATGTCTGAGAGCTTGGATTTTGGGAGTGTTCTTAAACACTCTGATAATACTGACTCACTGTGCTCAACTATTTGCACAATCAATGTGGTTTATGGTGTACACCTGCTTTCCTTGTAGTCTGGGACTCTGGTAGTCTGGGCTAGGCAAAGGGTGCCTTCATGACCCACGCATCCTCAATATAACCCATAGGCACTGAGTCTACTTAGTTCCCCTGCCAGATAACATTTTATAGGTGTTGTCACAACTCATTGCTGGGGGATTAAGCACATCCTCTGTGACTCTGCTGAGAGACAAGTCTTGGAAGCTTGTGCCTGGTTTCCTCCAGACTTTGTTCCATGTGTCTTTTTCCTTGCTGATCTTGCTCTGCATCCTTTCACTGTAATAAATCCTAGCCAGGAGAATGAATATATATTGAGTTCTCCTAGTACGTCATCCAATCTGAGGGTGGTTTTGGGGAACCCCCAATACAACAGTATATCGCAACATCAACAACAAAAAGGGTTTATTCCAGGAATAAAAGATTGGTTAAAAATCAGATCAATCGGCCGGGCTTTGTGGCTCACGCCTGTAATCCCAGCACTTTGGGAGGCCGAGGTGGGCAGATCATAAGGTCAGGAGATCGAGACCGAGACCATCCTGGCTAACACGGTGAAACCCCGTCTCCACTAAAAATGCAAAAAAAAAAATTAGCCAGGCGTGGTGGCGGGTGCCTGTAGTCCCAGCTACTTGGGAGGCTGAGGCAGGAGAATGGCATGAACCCGGGAGGCAGAGCTTGCAGTGAGCCGAGATCACACCACTGCACTCCAGCCTGGGTGACACAGTGAGACTCTGACTCAAAAAAAAAAAAAAAAAAAAAAAAAAAAATCAGGTCAATCAGTGTAATTCACCATATTAGCAGAATAAGGAAAAAAATCATATGATAAAGAAAAATCATTTGATAAAAATCAATATCCATTCATAATAAAAATTCTCAGTTATTTCCTTAGTTTGGGAAAGGGTAAATTAAAAATACCTATAGAAAATATAATACTTCAGAATGAAATTTTGAAAGCTTTTCCTCTATGATTGGAAACAAGACAAGGATGCTTTCTATCACCACTTGTATTCAACACTGCAGTGGAGATCCCAGCAAATATAAGAAGGTATTTTTATAATAACTTTATTGAGACAAAATTCACATACTATAGAATCCAACTATTTAAAGTATACAATATAGAAGATATAGAAGAAGAAAAAGATACAGAAGGTGAAAGGATTATAAAGGAAGAAATGAAACTGTTACTATTTGCAGATGACATAATTATAAATGAAAATCCAAAAGAATTTACAGATAAAATATTAGAATTAAAAAGCAAGTATAGACCGAGCACGGTGGCTAACGCCTGTAATCCCAGTACTTTGGGAGGCCAAGGCAGGTAGATCATTTGAGGTCAGAAGTGACTGACTGACATGTTGAAACCCTGTCTCTACTAAAAATACAAAAAAATTAGCCAGGCATGGTTGTGCATGCCTGTAGTCCCAGCTACTAGGGAGGCTGAGGCAGGAGAAGCACTTGAACCCAGGAGGCATAGGTTACAGTGAGCCGAGATCATGCCATTGCACTCCAGCCTGGATGACAGAGTGAGACTCTGTCTCAAAAAACAAACAAACAAACAAAAAAACAACAAAAACAAGTTTATAGCCAGGCGTGGCGCGGGTGCCTGTAATCCCAGCTACGCAGGAGACTGAGGCAGGAGAATCGCTTAAGCCTGGGAGGCAGAGGTTGCAGTGAGCGGAGATTGTGCCACTGCACTCTTATCTTGGGTGACACAGTGAGACTCCATCTCAAAAACAACAAAAAAAAGAAATTACTTCCAAAAAGTTTGGATCTTTTCCATTTATCTTGGGAATTTTGAAGGCTCCCCACCTGATGGTAACTGTAGACACTCCTGATCAAAAACTGAGTTTAGTCAGATTGCTGGATATATAATGTATTAATATCTAAAAATTAGTACAGTTCCACATACCAACAATTGGGGAATTTGAAAAATAAAATTTTTTAAAGATTCCAATTTACAGTGACAGAAAAAAATCAAGTACCTAAAAAGAAATCTATAAATTATTTGCAATATTTCTGCACAAAAAAAGTAGGCCATTACTGAGAAAAAACAAAGGAAATCTAAGTAAATAGAGAACTATACCATGCTTATGGATTAGGAGACTCAATCAAAATACGTTCATTAATTCTAAACAGATATATAAATGTAATTCAATGTTAATTAGTTAATTAATGTTAACCAACTTGATTGAATCTTTCTATAATGTATACATACATCAAAACATTACACTGTATCCCAGAAACATACAAAATTATTTGACCATGAAAAATAAATAAATGAAAATAGCGTACTTAGTGAAAGAAGTCACACACAAAGGCCACTTACTGTATGATTCCATTTGTATGAAATATTTAGAATAGGCAAATCCATAGAAGTAGAAAGTAAAGTGGTTTTTGCCAGGGGCTGAGGAAAGGAGGAAAATGAGGAGTGACTGCTAGTGGATACAATATTTTCATTTTGGGGTGATAAAAATATTCTAAAATTAGATGGTGTGATGGTTAGACAATTCTGTAAATACATAAAAAATCACTGAATTGTATATTTGAAGGGCTGCATTCTATAGTATGTGAATTATATCTCAATAAAGTAATTACTTAAAAAATTTAAAAATTAAAATAAAATTTATATGGAACAACCAAGACATCTGGGGAGTTGGGAGGGAAGGAGAACAGCAGAAGGCCTTGCTCTACAAAATATCTAGACTTATTATAAACCTACAATAAATAAGAAATGTGATCTTGGCTCAAGGAGATACAAATCAACCAACAGAATAGAAGGCCAAGAAATAGACAAGAGAGTCATGCACAAATGGACCTTGATTTATGATAAAGATAGATTTATGATAAAGATAGCACTCAAAACAATTGTGAAAAGATGGTTTCCAATAAATGATGCTAGAACAAATGAATATCTATATGTTTAAAAAATGAAATTTGATCTTTACTTTACTCCATACACAGAAATCAATTCCTGGAGGACTATACAGCTAAATGTGGAAGGCAAAACAATAAAGCTTCTGGAAGATAATATAGAAAGTATCCTCAGAGGAAACAATTGAGGAAAGGAAAAACTTATTAAATAGAGAACAAATACCATTAACCATAAAGGAAAAGATTGATGAATTTGATTACAATAACTCTTCATCAAAGATACCACTGAGAGTAAAAAGCAAGCCACAGAAAAATTATTTGCAATCATGTAAGTGACAAAGCGCTCACACCCAGAATATACAACAAACTCTACAAATTAATCTAGAAGACAGGTAACTCAATAGAAAAACAAACAAGAGACTTGAATGAGTACTTCACAAAGGAGGATATCCAAATAGCCAAAAACATATGAAAAAAATGCTCAACCTCACTAGTCATCAGGGAAATGCAAACTAAAGCCACAATAAAATGATACTACATGCCTACCAGATTGGCTAAGATTTAAAAATTAATAACAAATGTTGAGAAGCATATGGAACAGTGAGAATGCTCACATGGAATAGTGAGAATGCTGGGTGGGAGTATAAAGCGGAAAACAATTTGGTAACACCCACAAAAGTTGAAGATATACCTACCCTATGGCCTAGCAATTCAACTCCTAGGCACAAATCTGAAAGAAATGTATGTGCATGTGCACCGAGAGACACTGAAAATTCACGAGAAAATTTCACAGAAAGCCACAAATGTCCATCAAACAGTAGAACAGAAAATAAATTGTGGTATAGTCATACAATAAAATCCTATGTACCTATAAAACTAAACAAACCACAGTCACACATTACAGATAAAATATTAGAATTTACAGAAAAAATATTACAATTAAAAAGTGGATGAATCATAATAATGTTCAACAAAAGCAGCGAGATACTGAATAAGCTATACTGAATTAATAAAAATTCCAAAAACTAAACTGTAGTGTTGAAGGATACATATTTAGATAGTAAAACCATAAGAAAAGCAAAGAAATGATTACCATGTAAGTCAAGAGACTGGCTCTCTGAGGAAGAGGGAGGAATAATAATTGTAAGGAGGCACTAAAAATTTTGAGGCGCTGGCAGTTAGCAATTTCTTGACCTGGTGGTGGTTACCCAGCTGTTCTCTCTGTGATAAATCACTGATTAATATGTATTGTTTTGTATATACTTTAGTTTTATGTTTTTAAATTATTATACAATTAGGGCCAGGCATGGTGGCTCATACCTGTAATCAATCTCAGCACTTTGGGAAGCTGAGGTGGTAGGATCACTGAGCCCAGGAGTTCGAGACCAGCTTGAGCAACACAGTGAGACCCCGTCTCCACAAAAAAATCAGAAAATTAGCCGGGCGCGGTGGCATGCACCTGTGGTCACAGTTAGGAGGCTGAGGCGGGAGGATCACTTGAGCCTGGAAGGTCGAGACTGCAGTGAGCTGTGATTGTGCCAGCGCACACCAGCCTGAGCAACAGAATGAGATCCTGTCTCAAAACAAACAAAACAACAACAAAAACAAACAACAACAAAATACAATTAGAAGGGTTAAAAAAGAAAACAAAAATCAAACAACATGAAAATCAAAATCTGATGTGTGCTGGATCAGATTATTTCTCGGAGCATTAGTTATTCCCTGATAGGAAGCTAAAGGCTTTAAATGATATTAACTATTTGGGGTGATGGGAGAAGCCACAGCCAGGGAGTATAATATGTAGAGGCATACTATGTTATACTGTAGACATATCCATGTTAATATAATAGGAAAGCTAAGATAGAAAATTTGAAAGATGTAAGCAAAGTTAAAAAGCAAACCACTCACGAGGTATAAGAGGATAATTTAATACATTTTAAAGTTTAAATTATGTATTTACCATCCAACTCCTAACAATACTGCATTTCCTAATACCTTGGCAAACAACAGGAAGGAAAAGTATGGAAAAATAACCATGGTATGATTTATAAATTAATTTCCTGGGTATTATCTTTATATTTCTAAAACCAAAGTCAGGCTAACAATAAAAATGTTTCCATTTAAGCAGATTTAAAGGAAAAATTAATAATTCTCTCAGGTGCCTATGTTCAGAAGTCTTCAAATGAACATCCTTTTTTTAAGTTCCCATTTATCATTTAAAATGCTACTGTGTTTAGTTAGGTACTATTTCAAGAAAATCTACAGAGCTAGATGCATTAAGAAACTCTACCTGCAGTCTATTCACTTTTTGCGCTTCTTTCAAAGATACAGCATGCCCTTTGTTTTCCTGTACCATCATCTGCACTTGATTCTTCAGTTCCTTAACCTCCAGTTCCTTCTGATTAAATACTACTTCATCAGCAGCAAGCACACACTAGTGGGGAAAGAAGGCACAAGTGACATTCACCATGGAAAATAATCAAGAAACCCCATATGATAACACAAAAATGGTGATTTGATTATAGCTTGATGATGTCTCATAAATTTTTTTTCATTTTCAACTTTTTCTGATTTCTTTCTAAGAAAGGCAGAAAGAGTTCAGAGAACCTACCATTGCTATAACACAGGAATTCATTACCATGAAGACAGAAGATTTTCCTGATTTTTACTTCCTGTATATAAAAACTAGTTGTTTTGGTTCTAGAGTACCTTCACTAAGATTTTTACAAGTTTGCTAGAACTGCTATGAGATTTTAACGTGGATCACTCAAAGAGCTCACATTTTCCAAATTGACATATAGGGTTATAAGAATACATTAGGGCATTTGAATGAAGCAGATTTGCTGATTTTGTACACTTTCATTATGAAGAGATATATTTTGAAGATGTCTAAAAATGATTAAACAGTTTTACTTTTTGGTTTCTAGTAAATTTGCCGATTTTTAAGTACATTTGGGATATGTAAATAATAAAGTAGTTTTTAAATGAAATAAACAGAAAATTATTTGTCGAGAGCCTCATTCCACATATTGGCTTGGCATTTTAAAAATCTCACTAAATAAGATGTTGGTGTGGATGCGGTGATCAGGGAACACTTCTACACTGCTAGTGGGAATGTAAACTAGTACAGCCACTATGAACAACAGTGTGGAGATTCCTTGAAGGACTAAAAGTAGAACTACCATTTGATCCAGCAATCCCACACTACTGGGTATCTACCCAGAAGAAAAGAAGTCATTATACAAAAAAGATACTTGCACACGCATGTTTACAGCAGCACAATTCGCAACTGCAAAATTGTGGAACCAAACCAAATGCCTATCAATCAACGAATGGATAAAGAAACTGTGATTGATATATATATATATATATATATATATATATATATATATATATATATATATATATATATATATATATATATATCTATATCACAACTCCTATATAAACCAACTCCTATATGTGTCCCAACATTCAAGCTTCCAATTACCAGTACTTCCTGTTCCACCAGTTTCTTATACTAATGAGGAAGGGCCTGCTCTACCTAGACAGTTATTACCTTTCAGAAAAAAAAAGAACTAAAAAAAAGATTTAAGAAGTATTACCTTACCTGTTTTTATGCTATTATTTATTTATTCATTTATTTTTAGAGACAGGGTCTCACTCTGCCACCCAGGCTGGAGTGCAGTGGTGCAATCATAGCTCACTGCAGCCTTGAACTCCTGGGCTCAAGTAATCCTCCCACCTAAGCCTCCCGAGTAGGTGGGACCACAGGCGTATGCCACCATGCCTGGCTAGTTTTTTGATTTTTTGTAAAACAGGTCTCATTTTGTTTCCCAGACTGGTCTCAAACTCCTGGGCTCAAAACAATCCTCCAGCCTCAGCCTCCCAAAGTGCTGTGATTACAGGCATGAGCCACTGTGCTGGCTGAGACTAGTACATTTTAATGTACCGATCTTAATGTAACAAGATAGTTTCAAATCTCATATTTCAAGTAACTAGAAATTTCTGCTTGTTGAGTTTGGTGTAATAGGAAAGAAGAACATCCACAATTATCTGAAAAAATCAGTGAAATACTCCTCCCTTCAAACTATGCAATTATGAGGCTGAATTTTCTTTACAAACTTCAACCAAAACATATTGCAACAAACTGAATACTGAAGCAGATATGAAAATCCAACTTTCTGTTATTAGGTCAGATGTTAAAGAGATTTGCAAAAATGTAAAGGAATTCTACTCTTACTAAAATTTTTTGTGTGTTGGCCAGGTACGGTGGCTCATGCCTGTAATCCCAGCACTTTGGGAGGCCGAGGCGGGCGGATCATGAGGTAAGAGATGGAGACCATCCTAGCCAACATGGTGAAACCCCGTCTCTACAAAAATACAAAAATTAGCTGGGCATGGTGGCATGTGCCTATAGTCCCAGCTACTCGGGAGGCTGAGGCAGGAGAATTGCTTCAACCTGGGAGGCGGAGGTTGCAGTGAGCCAAGATCACGCCACCACACTCCAGCCTGGCGAGAGAGCAAGATTCCATCTCAAAAAAAAAAAAAATTGTTAGAAAATATTTTTCATTAAAAATGCCCTTTATATTAACATGTAATTGGGTTACTGTTAGTTTTGAATGAATAAATAGCTTAGATTTTTTCAGTTTTAATTCTAACACAGTAAATATCAATAGATATAACCCACATAAACAAAAGCTCTTTGAGGGATCTCGCTTTAAAAGTGTAAAGAAGTCATCCTGTGATCAAAAAGTTTGAGAACTTGAGCACTGCTGCAACAGAGGATAATACAAATGCCTTCTTTATAATATTACATGTAAAAAGGCTTTGAGGAAATATTTCTAGCTAGATAGAGAAATAAGCTTAGAGCCTAAAAAAAAGGAAATATACTTAACTATATTTCCTTTTTAACTAAAAAGCTATCTTTTTAAGTTTTCCTATTTTGAAAAATGGACAGAACCATGGAAGCTGGGAACCATGTTATCTCAGGAACAACTGAAGGACCATTCATTTGCTCACTAGCTTGCAAACTCCACCCAAGCAAGCAGTAACTAGGTGTGTCCTGTCCTCCACTATTCCCACGACATACAATCTTCACACAATAGTTTCTGAATGAAAAGCGGGGAAATGTAAATCTGAACTCAATACATGTACATATAACATGTATACATGTACATGCCTACATTCCTTAAACATTAATAAATATGCTAATTTGTTGGTTTTTTTAAAAACCTATACTCCAAACACAAGAGATGAAGTAATTTTTTCTTTCAAGAACTACTGACCGACAAAGGGAGAAAAACTCAGTAAAAGATAACTTAAGTTTTATTTCTGAAACAAGTTTATTTTCAGTCTCTAAATTGACAACCAGATCCACCGAGTTCTATTTAATAAATATAACAAATTAAAATACACTTTAACCGAAGGAGAAAGGAAGAGGAGCCAAGAAGGGTATGAATTGTGAGCAGGAAGCAATATGAAAGGGGAGGGTAGAAAGAAGGAAGTAAGAGACGCAAGTGGGATCTTTTTTTTTTTTTTTTTTTTGAGACGGAGTCTCGCTCTGTCCCCCAGGCTGGAGTGCAATGGCGCGATCTTGGCTCACTGCAAGCTCCGCCCCCTGGGTTCACGCCATTCTCCTGCCTCAGCCTCCCGAGTAGCTGGGACTACAGGCACCCGCCACAACGCCCGGCTAATTTTTTTGTATATTCAGTAGAGACGAGGTTTCACCGTGTTAGCCAGGATGGTCTCGATCTCCTGACCTCGTGATCCACCCGCCTCGGCCTCCCAAAGTGCTGGGATTACAGGCGTGAGCCACCGCACCCGGCCTATATCCAAAAATATTTCAAAGAGAAGTAGGTGGACTTAGGAATTGAATCAGAGAAGGAAAGCTCCTGATTTCATGCTCAAATTATATTGCCATAATTCCTCTTTACTCAGATACTGTCACATCACTATTTCTTTAAAAAATAATCATTTCAGTTTCATTATTTCCATCATGACGCTTTTTAAACAACCCAGTTCATTTAAAGTCCTGTAAGTCATAGTAAAACTTTCATTAAATTTTTCCAATGTTAGGCTATAAGTTAGCACTATGGTTCTTGAATGCAGATGCAAATCACCTGGTAGCTTTATAAAAAAGAAAGTGCCAATGCCCAGGTACCATCTCAGACCAATTAAATCAGAATCCCTGTGAAGTAGGACCCAGAAATCAGTATTTTTAAAAAGCTTCCCACGTGTACTAATTGTGTGGCAGCAAGCATGGACATCACTGCTTCATACAGAGATTCTAAAGAAATATGTCAAACAAATGCACTTTACTTGTGAGTGGGACATTATGTAAGACATACTGTAATTTAAGATCATTTGTAACATCCTTCCAAAATTTTTTCAGCATTGATATCAGATATGAAGTATTTTGATCAAGTTTATCAAGAGTGATAGTGAAGTGTATATACTTCTATTCTGCTTGATATTTTACAAAGAAGCATGTATTATTTTTGTAACTCTTTGATAAAAGATGAAAACATTCAATAATTGTATTCCATAAGATAAAGGAGCTCAAAACATCAGTCTGAATTTTATCCAGAAGAGATAAACTGTACTGAATTATCTAATAAGACCATAAGCTACCATATATAGTTTCTTCTTAAAAAAACAAAAACAAAAACAATTTCTTCAACCATGCAGGAATGCCAGGACAGGGGCTATAAAGATGCAAGATTTGCTGCCTCCTGTAGGCTGCTATTTGAATGACTAAAGCCATCTTACTTTCCTAGCTGCTAGGAAATTCCCTCCTCTGGCAGGATCTCCAGGAAGATTCTACTAAATATGGTTTTTAGGGGAAGAAGACATCCAAGAATAGGACAGGCATGGTGGCTCACGCCTGTAATTCTAGCACTTTGGGAGGCCAAAGCAGGCAGATCTCTTGAGCCCAAGAGTTCAAGACCAGCCTGGGCAACATGGTGAAACCCTGTCTCTACAAAAAAATACAAAAATTAGCCAGGTGTGGTGGCAGGTGCCTGTTAGTCCCAGCTACTCGGGAGGCTGGGGTAGGAGGATCACTTGAGCCCATGAGGTTGAGGCTGCAGTGAGCTGTGATTATGCCACTGCACTCCAGCCTGGCTGACAGAGGTAAGACCCTGTCTCCAAAAAAAAAAAAAAAAAAAAAAAAAAAAGAATAGTCACTGCAATATTATTTAATAATAGTTAAAACCTAGAAACAGCCTAAATGTCCAACAATGGAATATTAAATAACTATAAACACATTCATAAGACAAATTACCATATAAACATGAAGAGTCAAGTATGAAAAATATTTAATCATGTGCGAAAATATTCAAAATATAAATATTAAGTGAAATATAAAATGCAAAACTGTGTGTAGGGTTGCAAGTACATATTTTTAAAAAATTATATGGGCCAGGCACGGTGGCTTACGCCTGTAATCCCAGCACTTTGGGAGGCCGAGATGGGAGGATCACGAGGTCAGGAGATTGAGACCATAATGGCTAACACGGTGAAACTCTGTCTCTACTAAAAATACAAAAAATTAGCTGGGCATGGTGGCAGGCGCGTGTAGTCCCAGCTACTTGGGAGGCTGAGGCAGCAGAATGGCGTGAACCTGGGAGGCGGAGCTTGCAGCGAGCCCAGATCGCGCCACTGCACTCCAGCCTGGGTGACAGAGCAAGACTCCGTCTCAAAAAAAATAAATAAATAAATAAATAAATAAATTATATGTACCTAGAAAAATAATTCTGGAAGGAAACCCACCAAAAAGAGATGTTGGTATTTCTAGGCTCTAGAATTAAAGATAATCTTTTAACTTTCTTCCTTACACTTTCCTGTTTTGAAAATACTCTTGATGAACATGTTAGCTTTTAAACTAGAAAAGCATAAATTGTTATTCTTTAAAATATTTGCAGTTTGAGCCTCCCATTCTAACCTTCTCCCATTTCCAACAAATGGGTATTGGTTAATGAAATTAACAGGCTACTAATGCAGAAAGTCAGACCTTGAGGAACACAACAAAACAAACAGGTAAATGTCAATATCAAAAAACAAAAATATAAACTCTCAACTTTAAAAAAAGAAGTATGTGTGCTGGGACAAAAATCAAAGAAAAGAAAGGCAAGTTCTGGGTCAACTTTGATAAACACTTAAAGCAAAAGCCACCTCCAATCTCATGGTAGAGCTGAGAGGAAAAAAGATACAAAAACAAATTTAGCCTATATCACAGTCTCACCTGAAGTGAGTCTAGAGGGGAACGATAGGAATTCAGTATCTTGCATTACAAATTAATAACTTCACCTTACCAACCAGTCTGAACTACTTTTTCATCTGAGTGATTTAAGAGAGATTAATAGGCTGGGAGCAGTGGCTCACGCCTGTAATCCCAGCACTTTGAGAGGCTGAGGCAGGCGGATCACGAGGTCAGGAGTTCGAGACCAGCCTGACCAACATGGTGAAATCCTGTCTCTACTAAAAATACAAAAATTAGCCAGGCATGGTGGTGCGCACCTGTAATACTAGCTACTCGGGAGGCTAAGGCAGGAGAATCACTTGAACCCAGGAGGCAGAGGTTGCAGTGAGCCAAGATCGCACCACTACACTCTAGCCTGGGTGATGGAGTGAGACTCCATCTCAAAAAAAAAAGAGAGGGATTAATAATAAAGCTGTTCAATTTAAAAGTAAAAATAAATTCATTTTGCTTCTACATCTGTTTTTAAAGATTCCTTGGAATATATCCAGAAACTTAAAGCATTAAAGCATGTCTGTCTGCGAATGAAGGCAACTGATTAAGCGGGCTACTTTACCTGTGTTTCCTTTTTCATCTTTTCGGATGTGAAGATCTTTCATGGATGTCTCCAATTCTAGAAGATCTCTTAGGTCTTCCTTGTACACTTCTATATAAGATACTTTCACATTAAAGTCAATGCTAGGATGTTCAGAGATGCTTTGAAATATTTCTTGAATAGCTCGAAGAATGATACCCTTTTGGCCCTCCACAACTGAAGCTGAAAATTTAGAAAAAGAAAGCATATCTGGAACTTAAAACAAAAGAAAAGTTACAACCCCAAATTTATAGTTAATTTATTTTATCACATTTCTATATATTATAACTTTTTTTTTGGCGGGGGGATGGAGTCTTGCTCTGTTGCCCAGGCTGGAGCGCAGTGGTACAATCTCAGCTCACTGCAACCTCCGATTATCAAATTCAAGCAATTCTCCTGCCTCAGCCTCCTGAGTAGCTGGGATTACAGATGCCCACCACCAGACTATTATAACTCTTTTAAACCACAACTATAAAATTAACAAGTGAACGTTTTCACATGTATCCCCTTACCAAGAATTCATTCATGCATTCACTGAACAAATATTTATTTAGTATCTACTATGTGCCAGGCACTATTCTAGGACTCTGCAGTCCACCAATAAACAAAACAGGGAGAAAAGAAATCCCTTCCCTGGTGAGATTCTGCTGAGGAAAGACAGACAATAGCAAAAAAGAATAACTGATAAGTGAATTACATGGCGTATTAAAAAGTGTTAATTGTACCTGGAGGAAAAAAAACACGGCAGCGTAAGGGGACTAGAAGTGTAACCACCAGCCAAGAGATGCTTGCAACTTTAAATAGGAAGGTCATGGTGGGCATCATTCAGAAGGTGACATCTGAGAAAAGACTTGAAAGAGGCCGAGTGCAGTGGCTCACGCCTGTAATCCCAGACTTTGGGAGGCTGAAGCAGGCAGATCACTTGAGCCCAGGAGTTCAAGACCAGCTTGGGCAACATGGTGAAACCCTGTCCCTACTAAAAATACAAAAATTAGCTAGCTAGGTGTGGCGGCCCATGCCTGTAATCCCAAATATTTGGGTGGCTAAGGCATGAGAATCACTTGAAGCTGGGAGGTGGAGGTTGCAGTGAGCTGAGATAGCGCCACTGCACTCCAGCCTGAGCGACAGAGGGAAACTGTCTAAAAAAAAAAAAAAAAAGAAAAAAGATTTAATAAGAAAATATATTTGAAAAGGCCCAGGAATCAAAAAGACATCAAGTGGCACAGGTGAATTTCAAAGCAGGTAGATATGGTAGAAATGTACATTTTAATATAAATGATAAAACTATATGGGGTGGCATTTTATTCCATAAATAGGCCATACTGTGGTGGCTCACACCTGTAATCCCAGCACATGGGGAGGCCGAGGTGGGTGGATCGCTTGAGCTAAGAAGTTTGAGACAAGCCTGGGCAACATGGCAAGACCCCTTGTCTACAAAAAACACAAAAAATTAGCTGGGCATCGTGTTGCATGCCTATGGTCTCAGCTGCTTGGGAGGCTGAGAAGGGAGGATTACTTGAGCCTGGGAGACAGAGGTTGCAGTGAGCCAGGAGACAGAGCCTAGGTGACAGAGCAAGACCCTTTCTCTAAATACATACATACATACATACATACATAATCTTTCCCAATTCACTGTTGATTAAATACTAGATCCAGAGAGGTGGCCCTTGGCTCATAAAACATCATTCTACACAAAGGGCTTCCCCTGCCCAAAGCCACTCCACCTCTCGGATATTCACTACTACTAGTGGGAGCCATGTTATAGAAATGTTGATGCTTTTAGATGACATATAATTTCTAAAGCACAAAATAGCTGTAAAAAGCAGGAAACTGACCCTAGGTAAGACCAATCTATTTCACAGTCCTTTGCACTAAAATATCTTTCTCTTTAGATCATTTATTATGGTCTGGGTGGAATCCCAATCACTGGAGCACAATTCATTTATGTTGGCAAGAATGCTTTTTAAAAAAAATTCTTGTATCATATTTCTTCACACGTCACCAAGTCTATCTGTTCTGAGATTTCTGGATGGGGTGAAAAGGTGCAAGGAGCTTGAGAGTAGAAAGGGATAACGTGAAAAGACAGGGACGTAAGCCAGAGTTGATGGCGACAGAGAATGTGTGCAGAAAATAGGTGCAGAAAGGCCAGTTATGCCCAGTCCTAGACCCTCAGTTCAACAATGAGGAAGGAAACATCTCTACACCTCTTCTCCTCCAGCACTATCTAAGCCCACAGCTTCTACAAACCAGAACACAGACCAGTACAATAACATCATGAGTAAACACTTATTTCTGCTCCCACTTGTTTCAAAAAGGAGTTAGAGCAGCTTTACAAATAGGCGTAGGAGGGACTCAAACAGATACTTCTACATCGGTGTTCACAGCAACATTATTTACAGGAGCTACAAGGGGGAAGCAAACCAAATGTCCATCAAAAGAAGAATGGATAAATAAAACACAGTATATACATACAATGGAATGTTCTTGGAAAAAGGAATGAAGTTCTGATAGGTGACATAACATGCTAAGAGAGAGAAGCTAGACACAGAAGGAAAAATACTGTATGATTCCACTTCTTTTTTTCTTTTCCTTTTTTGAGACAGGGTCTCACTGTGTCACCCAGGCTGGAGTGCAGTGGCACAATCACAGCTCACTGCAGCCTTGACCTCCCGGGCTCAGGCGATCCTCCCACCTCAGCCTCTGAAGTAGCTGGGACTACAGGCATGTGCCACTACATTAAGCTAATTTTTTTGTTGTTTTTTGTAGAGACAAGCTCTCACTATGTTGCCCAGGAGTGCAGTGGTGCGATCTTGGCTCACTGCAACCTCCACCTCCTGGGTTCAAGCGATTCTCCTGCCTCAGCCTCCTGAGTAGCTGGGACTACAGGCGCCCACCACTACACATGGCTAATTTTTGTATTTTTAGTAGAGATGGGGTTTCACCATGTTGGCTAGGATGATCTCGATTTTCTGACCTCATGATCCACCCGCCTTGACCTCCCAAAGTGCTGAGCTTACAGGCGTGAGCCACCACGCCCGGCCCACTTTTATGTGTTTGGTTTGGTTTTGTTCTCTGAGACAGAGTCTTGCTCTGTTGCCCACACTGGAGTGCAGTGGCACGATCTCAGCTCACTGCAACCTCTGCCTCCCAGGTTCAAGTGATTCTCCCGCCTCAGCCTCCAGCAGCTGGGATTACAGGTGCACACCACCACGCCTGACTGATTTTTTTGTATTTATAGTAGAGATGGGGTTTCACCATGTTGCCCAGGCTGATCTCAAACTCCTGAGCTCAGGTGATCCTCCCAAAGTACCGGGATGACAGAACTGAGCCACCACGCCTGGCCTCCACTTATATGAAATATCTAGAATAGGCAAACTAAAAGAGACAGAAAGTAAATCAGGGATTATCAGAGAATGCGGGGAGAGCTATTGCTTAATGGGTACATAGCTTCTGTTTCGGTGATGAAAACTTTGGAAATACTGGTTATTATTGCATTAACAATTAGTATATTTGATGCTGCAGAACTCTACACTTGAAAGTAGTTAAAATGGTAAGTTTGGTGATCTTTATATTTATATGTACTTTATCACAATTGTAAAAATAGTAAAAAAAAAAGTGTATGAGATAAAATTTAAAGTAAGTGGAGGGAAAAATTGAGACTTTAAAAGTTTCTGTAGGCTAATTTAGAAAACTGCCCATCATTTTTAGCATTGTTCCATGGAAAATGTATTCCAAGCAACAAAGAGTTGACTTACAAATGAAACTTAAAAACAACTTGCTTCCAAGTTGAAGATTACCAAAGTTTAGGTTTTTGGCAACAATCGTTCTGAAAATCCGAGTTTCCATCAACTTTGATGGCTGCCTTTCCCCTAATTTAAGAGGCAAGACTGCCATCATGTGGCAAGTAAAGTAAGTTGTGGGTTTTCTTCTAATACAGTACAAAGGAAGATTCCCTTTTAAGAGCTTATAGGAACTAGCCTGTAGGAAATATCTAAACCTTTCAAACTGTAGTATAGATAAGCAATCTTGATTATCCAGAATAAATAATTGACCAGAAATAGTTCAGTTACTCCCCACATCTATAGATAACAAAGCACAATTTAAAAGACGTATCAAAAAGCTTAATTTCAAATATTTATAATAAAGCTCCAATATGTATTTTGATAACTTGAATATAAAATTTGCAATGTTAGTCTTATATTCCTGAAATAAACCATTTCCAAAAGAAAATCTGCAAAGTTTTATACCTCAACAACTCTCATTTAGCTATTATATGGTATTTAAAGAGTACACAAAAGTTTTTGGAAAAGGCTATACCTTGTAAAGGTAATTCCAACGTTCTGAAAAGCAGGAAAATGAATATTAGCTAAATAAGCATCATATTTAAAAATAAAGCCAGGCATGGTGGTTCACGCCTGTAATCCCAGCACTTTGGGAGACTGAGGCAGGGCGGATCACTTGATCTCAGGTGTTCAAGACCAGCCTGGACAACATGGCAAAACCTTGTCTCTGCAAAAAATTAAAAAAAAAAAATTAGTTGGGAGTGGTGATATGCCCCTGTAGTCCCAGATACTTAGGAGGCCAAGGTGGAAGAATCTCATAAGCCCAGAAGGTTGAAGCTGCAGTGAGCTGTGATTGTGCCACTGCACTCCAGCCAGGGTGACAGAGCAAGGCCCTATCTCAAAGCAAAATCAAAAACAAAAAACAAAGTGAGACTGTCTCTACAAAAAGGTTTTTAAAATAAAGTAAAATACATTTTAAAATAAAAGAGTTTCATTCTGCCCTAGTGCCCAGCATGGTAACCTAGACACTGCAGATGCTCAATAAATATTCACTGGAGGGGGAAAAAGAAAACATTATTTGCATGGTCAATAACCAAAAAGCTGACCCAGAATTGGTGTTCTATAGAGACATTCTGGGAAACAGAAAATGCTCACTAATACACCAAAAAATAAATCCAACTTTTTTTTTTTTCTTTTTGAGACAGTCTTGGTCTGTTGCCCAGGCTGGAGTGCAGTGGCATGATCTTGGCTCACTGTAGCCTCCGCCTCCCAGGTTCAAGCGATTCTCTGCCTCAGCCTCCCAAGTAGCTGGGATTAAACGCACGTGCCACGATGCCCAGCTAATTTTTGTATTTTTAGTAGAGACAGGGTTTCATCATGTTGACCAGGCTGGTCTCAAACTCCTGGCCTCAAGTGATCTGCCTGCCTTGGCCTCCCAAAGTGCTGGGATTACAGGCGTGAGCCACCACGTCTGGTCTGAAATGATATTTTACATTGTTAAATGCAAAAAGAAAGTTACAGAATCACAGGTATAATATCTCATTAAACAAACAAAAACCCAAAAAACTACACAAGTGAGTAATATGCATCACACTTATTTCTTTGGGGTGAGAGAAGCTGTCACTTGTTTAATTTCTTATGCATCACTTGCAATCCTTCTTATAATAAATATTTCTTTAATTTAAAAAAAGTAGAAAGAAAACACCATCCAAAATGTTTTTAATTGTCCTCCATTTCTTCTGATAGAGGGAATTTTAGAGCAATTAAAATGTTAGGACAACAGATAACTTCAATAACTTTTTCTCTTACAAAATTAAAATAGTACTCATGGTCTCTTAATAATAAAAAAAAAGGATAGCTATAATTAAGTCACCAGCTCCTGAACATTTATAACTCCTATTGGTATAAGGCACATAATGGGTCATTAGGATTATAAAACATTTGCCAATCAAAAAAAAAAAACCCTACAATCCTAAAGAAAAGCCACAATTTATACTAGAAAAACTGAATTCTTTTTATTGTAAGACGCTGAAACAATCTAGTATCTGTGATCTCCTAATCCTACAGAATATACAGATTGTTTTCTTTTAGTTGGAGAGTATTGGCCTCTTAAGGCTCCTCCATTTTAATCTTTGGAATAAAGATTTCCTGAAACTACACAACCACCCTCTGAGCCACCTCCCATCCATGCACATAATCAGAAGTTTCTTTTTAAAAATTTTTTTTTTATTGTTTCAGCTCATATCTGAACAGCTAAAGAGTTTCTGAAAGCCATATATTTTACATTTGTGAAATATGAAAATAGAAAAATATTGAGAGCCACTATTCATACAGAGAATACTAACTAAAACTTTAGACAATGATGCATATGTGCACTACTCAGAAGTTTGTTTTTAGTGGAAAAATATAAATACAGTAAACAATCTTAACAGAGGACTTGGCTGTCAATTCCCCCACTCTATTACCAGACACTTAACTAAAATGATTTCCAAGGTTCCCTTCAGCTCTATATGAGACCCTATGACTCCATCTTTTCCAAACTATAATTACAAGCAGCAGCAATTGTCCTAAAATATTCAGAATTTAAAAAAGAAATCTGGCTAGAATATGAAAAAAAAAGATACTTTACATAATAAATTTTTCCTACGGTCCCTAAGTCCTGATTGCGGGACTCTTAATATTTACAACTGGCTTGTTAAAGAATGCAAAATCTGATCATGTTAACTCATTTATCTCTATTTTAAATTCTGTTCAAGATAACAAGGGCTGACCACTGAAAACTATTTTAAACTTCTTTCCTCAAGCAAATATAATCCTAAGTTAGATTGCTTAATGAAACTTCAATATTTAAAAATGAATCTTTCAAAGATGATGATCTTACGATCACATTTGATTACATGATTCATTCCTTCACTATTCAACCAATATGCTAAACACCTACCATGTGTCAGGTATTGGTCATATTTTAGCTTCTTTCTAGCGTCACAAATAAAAGTCAAAGAGTATGAGAATCTTACCAATATGGCCCCCTCCAATGGTGTATGTCTTCCCAGATCCAGTTTGTCCATAGGCAAAAACAGTTGCATTACAGCCCTCAATGAGTGACAACACTAGGGGCTTTATACATGTGTTATAAACTTCATCTTGAGTGGAATTTTTGCCAAAAACAAAATCAAAAGTGAAGACTCTATCTCTCCCAATGATAACTTGCTGGCTGTTTGGAATAACTCTCACACAAACTTGGTGATTATGAAGAACTTCTTTGCAAAGCAGAGGTCTAATTCTTACAGCAACTTTTACTGGTATTTCTTCCTTGGCAACTTAGATTTTACTAAATAGATTTTCTATTTAATGTTCAGTATCTAGTGTGAGAGACTTCCATCTTATGTAAGATCTGGATTCCTGTGTATCAAAAATAAAAAGCAAATTTTAATTACTGATTCCTTGTATCCCAATAAACTAACCACCTTCTAAAGCAAAGTCAATTAGAACAGGTTTTGTTTCAATACAACATAGTTGAAATGAGTAAACCTGTCTTGTAAAATACATCGTAAATTTGTAGACAAACTAGTATGTCTTGGGTTTGCTTCAAAATAATCTAGGTGTGGGGTCCATGAGTTGATAAATGATGAAGCTAGGTGATAAGTACATGGGATTCCATTGGGCCTTTATTTCTACAGTAATAATGTTTCCCAGTTCATTAATCTAAATATTAAATAACCAGGGAGTTAGAAAGTTAAGGCAAGGAGATAAGTAAGGAACTGTACACACTTTTTTTGTTTGTTTTTTGAGATGGAGTCTAGGCTGGAACGCAGTGAACCACAATGAACAAAGCCCCTTTACCAACCTGTGGTGGACATGGTAGCTTGAGCAAGAAAGCAACTTTGCTGCTTTCAGCTGCTGAGATTTTCAGATTGCTACTGAAGCCTTATCAAGACTTATATCTTACACAAAAAAATTTCTTTCCATTCTAGGACTGATATGAAAACTGTGAATTTCATATATGGATTATTTGCATGCGTTATTCATAAATGTCTATTCTGAAACATCTCTCCAAGGCTCACAGAAATTTTCTTTCTGTAGCATAAGGCAGAGCTATCTTACCAGGGTATCCTTAGATAAAGTTTCCCTTAGGCCTTGGGGCAGCCAGGAAACCCCTGAAAAAGTAAAAGCCTCTGTTCCAGTCACTTCCAGATACAAGAAACCTCATCCAGTGCTCCTCAGTGGGTAGCTCCTGCACAAGCTGCTCTGGAGTTATGTCAACTATGAAAAGGGAAGTGCTCCAAGTCCTAGTAATCTACCTCATCAGACAACTGCAGAATGCACTGCTACCCATTATCAAAGACAGGCTTGTGAAACTGTTGGAAGATTATGTTCAAGGTGCCTAAACAGCAAGGCACACAGTAGAATAAGCAGCAAGTCAAGAATGGGGGAGCCCAAAATCTAGTGAGCAAGGTTTCCTTAAAGCAACAGCCTTAAATTTCTATATTGATTATATTTTTACCCATTTGCCAGTGACATGCATTTTCAGCATCAAATCTAGCTGCAAGGTGACTGCTCAAACAATGCATATGCTTTCTGTCACCTAGAGCTTTGTCATTAAACACTTGAAATTAGAAAGGTCAACTGAATTTGAAATCCTGTCATTCACTTATTTATTCATTTGTTTATTTTTGAGACAGGGTCTCGCTCTGTCGCCCAGGCTGGATTGCAGTAACATGATTATGGCTCACTGCAGCCTCGACTTCCTGGGCTAAAATGATTCTCCCAGATCAGCCTCCTGAGTAGCTGGGACTAAAGGTGTGTGCCACCATGCCTGGCTAATTTTTTCTATTTTTTTATAGAGATGGTGGGGTCTCCCTATGTTGCCTAAGCTGGTCTCCAGCTCCTGGGCTCAAGTGATCCTACTGCCTTAGCCTCCCAAAATGCTGGGATCACAGGCATGAGCCACCTCAACTGCCCCAAATCCTTTCATTTTTATCACAAGAAATTTTCTATTACATTTTTGATGAAAAGAGCTGTTAGATTATTTAAAAATAATTCCAACTGTTGTAAATTACTGAATGCTTAGATAAAAATTGTTTTTATTACCTACTCATACAAATGAAATTGTAATGGGCACTCAATTCTAAGAAATCATTATTTAAAAGTTTAGATCAGGAACTGAATATTCTTATTTCATGGATAAACTGATTTTAAAATGAAAAGTTAATGTTTACAGAAGCAAGTACAATTCTCTCATTAGAAACCCTGAAAAGAGTCTGAAGTTTTATAGAAATTCAACATTTAGTAACTTTCCTATAAATTTATATTATGTTTTACTTATCCTATACTATAACAAAAACGTTTTTCACATTTTTTTCCATCTAGTTCAATACAGACACCTTTAAATCTCTTTCCAGTTTTGGGAGAATGAGATGCCTCTGGTTCTTTATGTCAGTAATGCAAAAGGCAAATGGCAGGGAGCACCAGCACAAGACCACTGACCTGGAGCCAGAATGCCCATCACACCCAACTTGCTACTTACTGTAAGTACTTGAGCAACCTACTTGATCTCTCTTGAGTTGCTGTAAAGACTGAATAAGTTAATATATAAAGCACTTAGAATAGTAGCCAGAAGCATTCAATATACTCAAGCATCACTTAATGATGGGGATACGTTGTGAGAAATGCATCATTAGGTGATTTCATCATTGTATGAGTATCACACAGTGTACTTACACAAGCCTAACTGGTACAGCCTACTATCCACCTAGGCTACATGGTATGGCCTATTGCTTCTAGGCTACAAATCTGTACAGCCTGTGACTGTATTGGAGGCAACTGTAACACAATGGTAAGTATTTGTATATCTAAAGAAAAGGTACAATAAAAATACCGCTTTATATATGTCCATCATTGACCAAAACAAAACATAGTTAATGCAGCACATGACTATATAAGCATTTATGGGTGTTCTTACTATTATTATTAGACTGAAATGTGCCATGAGGTGCTATGAGGCATAGGAGAATTGGTACAAACTATTTAAAAATTTGACTAAGCATGCCTGACTCCATTGCAAAGTGTTTTGAAACTTTATCAACATCTGGCCCCTATATAAGCTAAGGCTTTAATCTTTGAAATAAAAAAGTTTTTAGGCATTGAGTAGTAGGTGAGTGGTCAGCCACTGAAAAGAGTCAAAGACCTAAAGATTACACATAACATACTACAGAAGGAAAATACCTATCTACCAGAAACCCAAGAGTCACAGTTGAGACTATATCTTAAATAGTGGGCATACAATAGATAATAAATGTTTCTTGAATGAATGAAAAAAAGTAACAAAAGAAACAAAAAGCAAACAGAAAGTATTATGACAAATACTGTTAATCAAGAAAAGAACCAATGACAAACACTCAAAAGACAAAATTATTTTTCTGGTAAAGCAGCTACTTATGCTGTGTCACATCAGCAACCTATGTGTTAACATGTCTTAACTTCTAAAAGGGTAAAATGGAAAGGGGGAAATGCTCCTTTAATGACCCCTTGTTTGATCAGGGTAAAGTGCAAAAAAAGAGTAAGATAAGTCCTTGCCCACGCCTATGTCCTGAATGGTAATGCCTAGGTTTTCTTCTAGGGTTTTTATGGTTTTAGGTCTAACGTTTAAATCTTTAATCCATCTTGAATTGATTTTTGTATAAGGTGTAAGGAAGGGATCCAGTTTCAGCTTTCTACATATGGCTAGCCAGTTTTCCCAGCACCATTTATTAAATAGGGAATCCTTTCCCCATTGCTTGTTTTTCTCAGGTTTGTCAAAGATCAGATAGTTGTAGATATGCGGCATTATTTCTGAGGGCTCTGTTCTGTTCCATTGATCTATATCTCTGTTTTGGTACCAGTACCATGCTGTTTTGGTTACTGTAGCCTTGGGCAAGGACTTCATGTCCAAAACACCAAAAGCAATGGCAACAAAAGCCAAAATTGACAAATGGGATCTAATTAAACTAAAGAGCTTCTGCACAGCAAAAGAAACTACCATCAGAGTGAACAGGCAACCTACAACATGGGAGAAAATTTTCGCAACCTACTCATCTGACAAAGGGCTAATATCCAGAATCTACAATGAACTCAAACAAGTTTACAAGAAAAAAACAAACAACCCCATCAAAAAGTGGGCGAAGGACATGAACAGACACTTCTCAAAAGAAGACATTTATGCAGCCAAAAAACACATGAAAAAATGCTCATCATCACTGGCCATCAGAGAAATGCAAATCAAAACCACTATGAGATATCATCTCACACCAGTTAGAATGGCAATCATTAAAAAGTCAGGAAACAACAGGTGCTGGAGAGGATGTGGAGAAATAGGAACACTTTTACACTGTTGGTGGGACTGTAAACTAGTTCAACCACTGTGGAAGTCAGTGTGGCGATTCCTCAGGGATCTAGAACTAGAAATACCATTTGACCCAGCCATCCCATTACTGGGTATATACCCAAATGACTATAAATCATGCTGCTATAAAGACACATGCACACGTATGTTTATTGCGGCATTATTCACAATAGCAAAGACTTGGAACCAACCCAAATGTCCAACAATGATAGACTGGATTAAGAAAATGTGGCACATATACACCATGGAATACTATGCAGCCATAAAAAATGATGAGTTCATGTCCTTTGTAGGGACATGGATGAAATTGGAAACCATCATTCTCAGTAAACTATCGCAAGAACAAAAAACCAAACACCGCATATTCTCACTCATAGGTGGGAATTGAACAATGAGATCACATGGACACAGGAAGGGGAATATCACACTCTGGGGACTGTGGTGGGGTCGGGGGACGGGGGAGGGATAGCATTGGGAGATATACCTAATGCTAGATGACACGTTAGTGGGTGCAGCACACCAGCATGGCACATGTATACATATGTAACTAACCTGCACAATGTGCACATGTACCCTAAAACTTAAAGTATAACAATAATAATAAAAAAAGAAAAAAAAAAAAAAAAGAGTAAGATAGTGCAGCCACTTCCCATTATATTATACTTTACATAACAGTAAATATTAAAGACAAAAAATAGCACTACTTAATCTGCAGCTAAGGGGATAGGAGATGAAACAACTGGAAGGGTTCAATCATCTGAGCTATGCTATACTTAAAAAAAAAATAGCCAACATATCAACACATCATCTACTTCAACAGCCTTGACAGAAATCTACATGCTATGTCAAAAGGTACAATGACCAGTACTTCAGAAGTAGAAGAGAAGGAAATGTAATTTTAAATGAAAGAAGGGAATAAAACTTAATATGAAAATAATCCCCAATTTGTAAATATGTCTATTATTCATACACATACCAAAATGAAGAAAGAAATGCATGGGATTACTCACTATGCTTATTTTCCTTTCTATAGTTTTTACTATTTCCCCAAATATTCTACAATGACTATATACATATATATATACACACATACATATATATACACATACACACACACACACACACACACACACACACACACATATTTTTTTTTTTGAGACAGGGTCTTACTCCCACACCAAGGCTGGAGCAGTGGTGTGATCACGGCTCACTGCAGCCTCAACTTCCTGGTCTCAGGTGATTCTCCCACCTTGGCCTCCGGAGTACCTGGGACTACAGGCACGTGACACCATGCCTGGCTAATTTTTTGCAGAGACAGGGTTTTGCCATGTTGCCCAGGCTGGTCTTGAACCCCTAGGCTCAAGCAATCCTCCTACCTCAGCCTCCCAAAGTGCTGGGATTACAGGAATGAGCCACCATGCCCGGCTCTACAATGATATTAGTTCTTAAAAAAAAAAAATCTCAAAAAGAAAAAATGGTTATCTATACTCAAGTTGAAAAAGTTAAGCATAATGTAATCAATACAATATTGATTTTTTTGCCCTGTGTCAAAATTTAGAAAGGGCAACTACAGGTCAGAATTGACAATGAGACGCCTTTGGCCATTCACATCAGTGATGGACAAGTCAAATGACAGAGAGCAACTATCGAAGACTAATATGTTGCATACTTTTAAGAGAACATTATCCTCGTTAACTAATTTTTCAGAATTTTCAAAAAGATAGTCATGTTTTGCAATCCGGGAATTCCTCCGTAACTTTTTTTTTTAATCTTGATAAGAAGAAATAAATAGGAAGACTACGAAAACATTAGGCTTTTAAAAGATACTATATTTCAGGTCATGGCTAGGGTTAGTATTCCTTCAGTCTTGTGTCCTAAACTTCTGCATCTCCACATACAGTCACATCTAAGAGATGTTAGGATAAATAGATTCAAACACAGCTCTTCTCCCTCCCTCTCTATACTTTTTCTCTTTCAAATACACTTGGTCTTTAAAATTTAGATGCTTCTATGCTCAGACATTTATATACACATAATATAATTAAGGCATACAATGCAAATGAAAATACAATGGACTGCCAATTAAGTTACATACATTAGTCTATGAATATGGTGGCTAATACTGTATATTAAACATTTACATATTATTAAAATACTACACAAATCAGGTTTTTGGTGCAGAAATCTAATGATTATTTTATTTACATTTTCCCCCTCTTCCCTTTGAGTTCCTTTGAAAAATAATTTCAAGGATATCTTGGCTCAGTGGTGCACACCTGTAATTTTAGCAACTTGGGAGACTGAAGCATGAGATCACTTAAGTCCAGGAGTTTGGGACCAGCCCAGGCAACATAGCAAAACCCTATCTCATAAAATAAATGATAAAACTAATTTCAAGGATAATGCATAGTTGAAGGAAGACAAAATAAATTCACAAGATAATTTTAAAAACAGAAATGTTTCAGGGCAAAATGTGAAATAAACACACATTCTCAATATGCAGGCAGTTCACCATAAATATATCTTCTACTCTCTTCCATAATGTAATGACTACCACTAGTAAAAACTATTAATTTATACTTAAGATGGCAGCAGGCCAGACATGGTGGTTCATGCCTGTAATCCTGGTACTTTGGAAGGGCTGAGGTGGGCAGCAGATTGCTTGAGCCCGGGAGTTCAAGATCAGCCAGGGAAACATGGCAAAACCCCTTCTCTACAAAATGTACAACAGTTAGCAGGCATAGCGGTGCACGACTGTGGTCCCAGCTACTTGAGAGGCTAAGGTGGGAGGATCACCTGAGCCTGGGGGTCGAGGCTGTAGTGAGCAGTGATTGTGCCACTGCACTACACCTTGGGTGACAGCCTGAGACTCTTTGTCAAAAAAGAAAAAGAAAAAAAAAAGATGGCAGCAGTGTCAAAAATATAACAGTCTCTATTTTACATATACTTCATACCCAAAAAGCCAACTATTTGACTTATTAAATGTAATAGCATGCGTTAGGGCTTTCTCTAGCAACCCTCTTTCTTCAGATTTTGCATGTACTCCAAGAAAAAACAACTTGAAATTTCTTGAACACACAGTTTACTTGTTCATATCTTTAACTATGCTGTTCTCTTTTATCTACAATGCCATCTATCTCTTCCACTGAAAACTTCCATTTATTCCTCAAAATCCTGCTCAGGTGCTAGCATATCTGTGAAGCGTTCTCTGACCTGTTCCTGAAGTCAAACATTCCCTCCTCGGTAATATTTCCATACTTTAAACTTACTATTATTGAATGGACTCCAAAAAAATTCTCTTTATTGTTGTGTCTAGCCCTATGATCCTGATTTCAAGATCCTGAAAGACAAGTTTCTATCCCTTACAAATACCACAGGACCTGGCACATAGAAGACACATTTATTGAACTCAGTGTTTTCTTCATGTTTACATTCTTCAAGTACACAGCTGTCTATGCAGTGAAAAATGTGCTCTACAAGTAGAAAAAGAAATATGTGAAGTGCACAATAGACAATCCTCAATTCCCATAATGCAGATGTGCATGAGCAATTATTAGCAGTTCAAAGTTGTTTCATTACGGTAAGTACTATTCTAACAAACTAACTGCCCCAACCAATTTTGTCTAGGAAGCATATATGGTTTTAAAGTGTTGATTTACGCCAGCTGGGCATGGTGGCTTACGCCTGTAATCCCAGCACTTTGGGAGGCCAAGGCGGGCGGATCACAAGGTCAAGAGATCGAGACCATCCTGGCCAACGTAGTGAAACCCCATCTCTATTAAAAATACAAAAACTAGCTGCGAGTGGTGGCGCACGCCTGTAGTCCCAGCTACTCGGGAGGCTGAGGCAGGAGAATCGCTTGAACCAGGGAGGTAGAAGTTGCAGTGAGCCAAGATTGCGCCACCACATTCCAGCCTGGCAACAGAGCGAGAGACTGTCTCAAAAAAACAAAAAACAAAAGTGTTAATTTAAGAGAATTAGGATGCATCGGTTGCTTACGTAAACTCTTCTAAAAATGAATAGCCTAAGCTACAAGCAGGAGAACTTCTTTTTTTTTCTCTTTGTGTATACATGGGGTCTCACCACGTTGCCCAGGCTGATCTCAAACTCCTAAGCTCAAGCAATCCTCTAGCCTCGGCCTCCCAAAGTGCTGGGATTACAGGCATGCACCACCAAGCCTGACCCAAGCAGAAGAATTCCTAAGTGGCTGGTAGTCTTGGCCTCTATCAAGGTTTGGAGGCACATTGCCATTATGACCTTACCCTCTACACTATGACCTCACTAGAATCAAGACAGACAGCAGCAGCCATATCTCAGTCCAGAAGACCACAATTAGGGAGCTTCAAAACACACACACACACACACACACAATTATATATATAAAATCCTTAAATCAAGAACAACCAAATATATCACTTTTTATGAGATGAATGATAGCCATCTTCTATTAACACTACCAATTAGCCTGACCAAAAAAAGGTATTAATGTAGATGCCAATTAGTGTGGCCTCACTGAAATATAACTTAGATTGAAATTAACTGAGCGTAATATGAAATGGCACCAAGTATCACTGATTTAACACCTGGTGAAATAAAAAATTGTGTTATTTCATGTTCTGTTCTTCAAATAACCAAACAGTATCTTTCACTTTGGCTTCTTAAAAATTAGCGTTCACAGGCCAGGTGTGGTGGCTCACACTTGTAATCCCAGCACTTTGGGAGGCAGAGGCGGGCGGATCACAAGGTCAGGAGTTCCAGACCAGGCTGGCCAACAAGGCGAAACACCATCTGTACTAAAAATACAAAAAAAAAAAAAAAAAATTAGCCAGGCGCCTGTAATCCCAGCTACTCAGGAGGCTGAGGCAGGAGAGTTGCTTGAACCTGGAAGGCAGAAGGTGCTGTGAGCCGAGATCGTGCCATTACACTCCAGCCTGGGCAACAAGAGCAAAACTCCGCCTCAGGGAAAAAAAAAAATACAGTTCACAATCAGCAAGTGTGAAGTGCATACTAAAACTCTGCTCCAAACACACTTACTGTAAGTGATGTAAACCCAATGGGTATGCCCCAAACTCCATTTTTTCCTCACAGTTAAGTACTGAGACCCCTCTCCAATCTGCAGCTCCCACTTTCTGTAGGCCAAGAAAGTTAAACAAAAAAATACAAGCAGGTACTCAGTGAGGACCTGAGGGATTCTCCCACGAGTAAAATACATCTATTTTCACACAAGGTTCTTTTGGTCAACTTCTGGGTTTTGCTCTTACTCCAGAATTGAAGCTACTATAGTGTTATAAATCTGTTGAGAAAAGAAATCTAGATTTGTATGAAGATCTTTAATATTTTAATTTGCCAAAAAGCTTCTCAAATATTTTTATAGCTACAAGTCACATTTATTAAGTGATTCCAGTTACAATCCCAAGCACATTTACTACACAACAGGCAATGCTAAATGTTGAAGAAAAGTGTCTCCAGCTTTTTAGTGTAAGACAGACGATCTTTCATTAGTCCTTCTAATGAAAGCATTAGCATCTACTCTGAAAAATCTGGCGAAGGTAAAGAGTGAAAAAGAGGAGGAAGAGAAAAGGCAATCAGCCAATTTGATAAACTATTTTTGTCGTTACTGTTCAATATTTATGAAGCACCTTAATGCTCGAAATCTGACAAAAATTCGGTAAGGCTGTTCCAAACAATAACAGAAAAAAAAATCACTTTTCAATAGCTGGCGGGGGAGGACGAGGAGCACTATATTCAAAAAGTAATTCACTATACCTCATTCATGAATGAAAGCCAAATTTCACCCATAGGCTGTTAACCGATGCTCCGAAACTTATTCGCAAAGTACATAGAGAAAGAAATTGCGCTGGGCGAAACCTAACTCGGCCAGAGAAGCGGCTTCAAAACCTGAAAGGGAGAAAACAACGAGTCAGGTCGTTGCTCCAGAAATTTCCGAGCGCCTGGCTCCCCGGGAGGGAGTGCGGGCGCCAGCGGCGGTGAGGGGACGGTGGCACCTGTCACTCGAGCGGCCCCCACGGAGTCTCGGGAGGCTCAGCGGTCGCCGGCCTGGGAGTCGGGTGCGAGTCCCTCCCCGCCGCCCCGAGCCTTGCGCCGAGCGTAGGGCCGCGGCCCCTTCCGCGGAGCGGCCCTCCCGTGCCCTCTGCCCAGCGGCTCCGGCCAGTGGGGCCCGTCGCCTCAGGCCGAGTCCCCGCCACCCTAGGAGCCGAGGGGAGCGCTGTCGAGCCGCTGCTTACGCCTCCGGGGTTCCGGAGCGGACACCCGCGAGGCGGGCCCGCCTCCGCGTACTCACCGGGCCTCCCGGGCCGCCGGCTCGGCCCTCCTCTCCCTCCTCCCCCCGCCGCCGCCTCTCCCGCGGCTCCCCAGGCGGCCGCACTGGGCGTTGGGACTGGTCTGGGTCAAGTGTCGGCAGAGCTGGGGGCAGGCTCGCGCCGGGCGGGGGTCGCGGTCGGCCCACAGGCTGGGCACTAACGGGTCCCGGGGCGCCGGGGCGGACTGCGGCGGTGAGCGCGGCTGCAGGCCGCGGTGAGGGGCGGGAAGAGCGCAGCTGCGAGCAGGCGGGCGGAGGGTAGCGGGAAGCCCGGGCGGAGGGGGCGGCGTGAGAGCCTCGGGGCGGGGGCGGGGCCTGGCGCGTCCGCCGAGCGCGGGGGTTTGTTTATTTTCCCGGTTGGTAGCGGCGCTGGCGCTGGTTAGAGGTTCGCCGGTGACGTGAGCGCCCGAGTTGGGGGAGAGGACCAGAACCACCTGCTGGAGAAAGGGAGCTACGGGGGCCGGGCAGGGTCCAAACGCCTCACGTGGGCGGCGGCGCCACGGTCTTCGGGGTCACAGGGAAGAGAAGGGCTCTCCTCAAGCGGGTGGAAGGAGGGAGGCCTCCCGAGGGAATGAGACTCCAGGCCACTCCCCCGCAGCAAGGCAGGATCACCTGCGTCGCGGAGAGCAGTTAGAGGTCCCTGGAGTGGAAAAGGGCAGTGGGACCTGGTAGCTTGGGTTCCCTGCAACTTGGGGTTCGACCTCCAGGCAATGAAGTAGGGATGGTCCTGCAAGTCAAGATTCCAGTAGCAAGAGTGCATCAGATCTCTGTAAGGAAAATAACTAACATTGCTCAGTTCCCTGTAGAGTTGCAGGGCGCTTTGACGTTATCTCCCTTGGTTCTCCATCAGGTCGTAGTGGACTAATTTTACAGGCGAAGTTAAGTGACTTACCCAAAACCTCACAGCTAATAAACGGCAGAGCCGGCACCCAGCTGTACTGGCTTCCAGCGCATCCCATTATCTCCATAAATCCCCCTGATTCAACTAATATTAGACGCCCCACAGGTAAGATGCTTCAGAGTTAGAGGGGAGTTGAAGATACCTTTGCCTTCAAAGAAGTAAGGAATGAAACAAAGATAAAACAGACAATAAAAGACAAACCATGATAGGTGCCACGTGAAAAGTGGCAGAGTACTGCCGGGAATCAAAGAACCGTGTATATCTGTCTTGGGGATAAGGAAAGAAACGCAGCATGAAGGAGTAGGCATTTGGGATTGACCTTGAAGGAGACAGGGAGAGTTTTACAGCAAGAAGGGATAGCATGAGAATATATATGAAGGCGAATCAGTGAAAGTTGTGTTGGGGAAAGAGCAAAGACTCCAGGTATGTTGAGAGGTAGAAAAGACAAAGGAGTATGGGGCCTAAGATACCAAATGGATGAATTTATATTTAATTCAGTATTTTGAGTTTTTATGGTTCAGAAGTTTGGGGGAAGAAAAGGAAGGTTTTTTTTTTCTTTATGCTAGTGATTTATCTGTGAAGGGAAGCAGAAATCAGAGGTGGAAAAACTGACAGATCTACTGTAGGCCAGGTAAAAGGTAATGATGAGTCTGACCTAAAGGGACAGCCAGGGGAATTTAAAGAGCATAGTTGAGAGATGATGTGCATGCAGAATCTATAGAATTTGCTAACTGATTGATTAATTGTGGGTAGGAAGAGAGAAATCAAAGAAAGTGGAGGTTTTGAGTTTCTAGATAATTGCAAGAGAGAAAAGAGACAATTACAAAGGAAAGGAGAAGGAGCTACTTCTTGAGAGAAGATCAGTTTAGATTTAGACATTTTAAGAATTCAAAGGGTTGTCAAGACAGCCAGACGGACATGGACACTAATAAGTTAGAAATAAAGGTTTTGTAATATGGGAAAGAGGACTGAGCTAGAAAATAGACTCATAGATAATCAGCCTAGGAGTGATATTGCTGTGAGATAAAAGAAGAAAACAAAGTCAGAATCTTGGAAAACACCCTCTTCAGAGTCTCGCTGCTCAAAACGTGGTCAGTGGCCCAGCAGCACTGACATGAGGACCTTAGTTGGAAACTCAGAATCTCAGGCTCCACCCCAGACCTGCTGAACCAGCATCTTCAACTTAACAAGAACCCGAAGAGATTTGTGCCACATCAAAAAGTTTGAGAAGCTCTGATCTAGGTGAGCCAAGCCAGCAAAGAAAGGGGGTGGAGCAGAAAATGGGAGGAGAATAGGGTAATGCAGAATCATCAAGACAAGGTAAATTGGACTTTCACAAAAACGGGGCTGGAAGGAGTGTTGCTCAACAATATCCAAAACCACAGAGGTTGAAAAGCACAAGGAAAGAAGGTATGTTTGCACTTTGTGATTAGGTAGTAGGGTCTTTAAGACCACATTGTTCTCATTGAAAGCCTGGGAAGAAAGATCCCCTTTCTGGTCAAGGTTAGTCTAGGGATCCATCCCCTCTTCCCCAGTTCCCACGTATATGGGACATGTCGAGATAAGTAGATAGATTGGACAGTGGGAGAAAGTAGTTCTCTTCCAGTTGCTTCTATTTTCTCAGCAAAGTGAGGAACAAGATCATTTTGGCAGACTGCTAATTGTCCATCATAATTTAGTCTCCCCTTCTCCCTGAAAACACAGACTGCTTTTCTCAGCCTCTCTTTCAGTTGCATATGGTCAAGTATTAAGTTATAGAACATGAGCAGATGTTATGTCTGCCACTGTCAGGCCAAGGCGTTTACTTTGAGAGTACTTGTGCCTCTTTCATACATTTTCCTTTCTGCCAGCTGGACCCTGGACACGGTGACTCTGATTCAATTATGCAGATGACCACAAGCCTCTGGGGTTGGCAGAGCCACAAGAAAGAAGGTGCCTGGATGAAGGAGAGCTACCCACTGACCTGGACACCCAATTATGTGAGCAAGATATATTTCTATTGAGTTGGAGCCATAACATTTTGCAGTCTATTTGTTATAGCAGTTTAGCCTACTCTAGGTAATGTAGTCCTTAACGGAAAGTATTGAGAAAAAAAGAGAGAAGGGAGGTGAAATCAGAGTTTATGAGTGAGGGAGAGTGAACTGACTAAAGAACATGGTAAAGTTTCCAGGCATTACTAAGAGCCCCATTGAATAAGTGGTCATGAATTTATAGTGAGGCTAGCCACTTGGTTATGCAATTTTCTCTAGCCATATTCAGTTGCTCATGTGCAGGCACTGAGTAGGCAGTTTTGGCAGTAACCAGGACTGAGATTTGACCAGGCAAGTATAAGGGGAAGATAAGGGCAGAGTTGGTGGTGGTAGAGGCAAAGGAGGCCTTATAATTTCAGAAGTGGTAAGAAGTAAAGCTATGAGAGGAGTGAAGAATGGTGGAAAGACGGTAGAGTGACTGAATTGGTGTTTTTGATGAGGTTGAAGAATTGTTGAAGTTTAGTTACTATATGCAATGACCTTGGAACGATAAGAGATGGTTGGAGAGTGGAGGCTTGAATTAAATTAGAGGAGGAGCTGTAGTTACCAGTAATATTACAGTGTAAGGAATGCATATGAGAATGGATAATTGAGGTACCAGAGGGTACAAGATCCTTTGAAAGGAGGTAAAGGAATTGAGACACAGTAAGGATTTTGAAGTGAACATCCACATAGTTATATATATCTATTATACATACATACATACATATATACACATACCCCTCACAAAGAATTACCGCAAGAGTGATTCCACAGTAGTGTTGTAGTAGTGAGTAGTTTTGGAGAGAGTGATAGCAGCCCTAGTACTAAAATCTTTAATCTATGAGTGAGGGGTTGAATTCTTCAAATTAGGCTGCACAGGGACATCAGTGGTTTAATATGTTAAACTCTTGCAAATATCACATTTCATTAAACAGATGCTTTTACGTTTTATGTTGCTAAAGTGAGATTTCTAATTGCTTCTCTCTGACCTCTCAAATTACGATGGTAACTGCCTTCTTTTACAGGAAATGCCCATCTGTCTGTATTATAAACCAGACACATGCCAGGTTTTCCAATTTAAATGACAGTGCTTTAAAACTTGTCATAGACTACTCTGTCCTACCTCCAATGTGTATTTCAAGTAGATACATCTACAGATGCTAGCTCTGCCACATCAAACAATGCACAGTGAATGTTCAAAATCTACATTAAAAACCTTGGTTATAAAGAGCTAGATACCCTGTTTTACATGATGTGATTATTACACATTGCATGCCTGTATCAGAACATCTCATATACCCCATAAATATATACATCTACTGTATACACACAAAAATTAAAATTATTATTATTTTTGAGATGGAGTCTTGCTCTGTCAACCAGGCCAGAGTGCAGTGGTGCAGTCTCGGCTCACTGCAACTTCCGCCTCCCTGGTTCAAGCGATTCTCCTGCCTCAGCCTCCCGAGTAGCTGGGACTACAGGTGCATGCCACCACACCTGACTATTTTTTGTATTTTTAGTAGAGACAGGATTTCACCATGATGGCCAGGCTAGTTACGAACTCCTGACCTCAAGTCATCCACCCACCTCAGCCTCCCAAAGTGCTGGGATTATAGGCATGAGCCACAGTACCCGGCCCAAAAATTAAAATTAAAAATTAAAAAATTAAAACTTCAGTTATAGCTTAAGTTAACAGTAAGTAGGGATTGGCTAAAGACCTGATAAATTGAAAATAAGATTACCTGTAGCTTGGGAAATGATGTACCATGTTATATAAGATTGCTAGGGGTAGAATTATGAGGTTATTGTGAGGATAAGACACGTTACACACACACACACACACACACACACACACACACAACCATTCTAAAGACTGCAAGTACATATAAGCATTAAGTTAGGTATGGTTATTCTATTATCATACTTATTTCTAATTATTATGGAATTGCTTTAACTATACATGGACTTTTCCTACTTAGAAAATGTTCATTGCATATGTACATGTTAAGACCCAGTGGCAAGGGGACTTCTGGTTAAGCATAGTGCATTGAACATACGTTTGTCTCCACTTATTCCAGAGACCTCATTAAAATGACAGTAAAGGAATAAAAAAGATATAAATCTATAAAGAAAAAGCAAACAGGGAAAGAGATCCCCGCTGAATAAAATGCCAACAAAACTTAGAAACGTGGAAAGCAGATGGATGAGTGATCACTGACTTACCAAAGCTGCCAAAGTGACTACTTCAGCTTTTGGGAGAAGGCAGAACTAGCCAGAAGTGAGCCTATCCATGTCACAGCACCCTGGAAAGGCTCTAAAACTACAGCTGCTTTCTCTCCGAAAGCAGAAGGAGAGCAAGGCTAAAAAGGAGAATTCACTGTGAATGTTTTCTAAAGAGAATGAGATCCTGCCTCCCCTATATTCCCTACTCCATTCCATGCTGCCCAAATTCACCGGAAGATAGATGGTTTACTTTCTGGAGAGGTTCACTCAGAGCTCTCTTAGGCACCAGGCAGAGCTGAAGACAGGGGTGACTCACTACACAGAAAAGCAGAATTAAGTGAAGTTGTGCATATTAAATTATAAGGCAGACCCCTTTCCCCCAGCTTCATTCACAAATTCAGATCCTGGAATGCTGGGATCCTTTCAAGAGACTGGAAGCTTCTTAGGGGAAAACCAGCTGCTCCAAGAGAAGAGGTCTCCAAATATTGAGGTTTGGGGATCCCATGGTGAAGAGTGTGGCTTGTTGACTGTCTTTTACAGTCAGCCCAATAGTCAGCAATCCCTGATTGTACCTACAGAGGCTCTCATCAACATTTTATTGCCTCATTCTTTTATTTGAAAAATTTTGACTGGGCGCACTGGCTAACACCTGTAATCCCAACACTTTAGGAGGCTGAGGTGAGAGGATCACTTGAGCCCAGGAGTTCAAGACCAGCCTGGGCAACATAGTGAGATCCCACCTCTACGAAAAATAATAAAAAATTGGCTGGGCCTGGTGGTACACACCTGTAGTCCTAGCTACTTGGGAGGCTGAGGCTGGAGGATAATTTGAGCCAGGAGTTTGGGGCTGCAGTGAACTGTGATTGCACCACTGTACTCCAGTCTGGTTAACAGAGTGAGACCCTCTCTAAAAATAATACAAATTTAACAAGTTTTTTATAGATGGGGTATCTCTGTGTTGCACAGGCTGACCTCAAACTCCTGGCCTCAAATGATCCTCCTGCCTGTGTAAATTAGTTCAACCATTGTGGAGGACAATGTCGCAATTCCTCAAGGATCTAGAACTAGATATACCATTTGACCCAGCAATCCCATTATTGGGTATATACCCAAAGAATTGTAAATCATGCTACTATAAAGACATACACACACGTATGTTTATTGCGGCACTATTCACAATAGCAAAGACTTAGAACCAACCGAAGTGTCTATCAGTGATAGACTGGATTAAGAAAATGTGGCACATATACACCATGGAATGCTATGCAGCCATAAAAAGGATGAGTTCATGTCCTTTGCAGGGACATGAATGAAGCTGGAAACCATCATTCTCAGCAAACTATCACAAGGACAGAAAACCAAACACCGCACGTTCTCACTCATAGATGGGAATTGAACAATGAGAACATTTGGACACAGGGCGGGGAACATCATACACCAGGGCCTGTCGGGAGGGATAGCATTAGGAGGTATACCTAATGTAAATGATGAGTTGATGGGTGCAGCAAACCAACATGGCACATGTATACCTATGTATCAGACTGCACATTGTACACATGTACCCTAGAACTTAAAGTATAATGATAACAATAATAATAATAATAAAGATCCTCCTGCCTCAGCCTCCCAAGTAGCTGGGACTACAGGCATGAGCCACGATGCCCAGATATCACCTCATTCTTAAATGTGGTGAACAGTTGATGATCTCCATTTATTTGAAGAAACCTCCTTACATGAAAGACAGAACCTACAATGAACAAACAAGAAAAGAAAAAAAAGAGCTTTAGAGGCCAGGTGTGGTGTAATCCCTGCACTTTGGGAGGCCAAGGTGGGTGGGTCACCAGAGGTCAGGAGTTCGAGACCAGCCTGGCCAACATGGTGAAACCCCATCTCTACTAAAAATACAAAAAAGTAGCTGCGCGTGGTGGCACACACCTGTAATCCCAGCTACTTGGGAGGCTGAAGCCGAGAATTGCTTGAACCCAGGAGGCGGAGGTTGCAGTGAGCTGAGGTCACGCCACTACACTCCAGCCTAGGAAACAAGAGCGAAACTCCGTCTCAAAAAAGAAAAAAAAAAAAAAAGAACTTGGAGGAAATAAAAGCAGTACAGAAAGCCAGAAAACATGTCAAAATCAAGAAATTCACAAAAATTTTAACTTCCATATACTCTTCTCACTCAGGAAACTGCTAGAAGGAGAACTCCATCCAAGTAAAGGTGTATATCAAGAAACAGAAAAACATGTGGCTGGGCACAGTGGCTCACACCTGTAATCTCAGAACTTTGGGAGGCTGAGGCAGGTGGATCACTTTAGGCCAGAAGTTTGAGACCAGCCTGGCCAATATGGTGAAACCCCGTCTCCACCAAAAATACAAAAAAAAAAAAAAAATAGCCGATGTGGTGGCACATGCCTGTATTCCCAACTACTTGAGAGGCGGAGGCAGGAGAATCACTTGAACCTGAGAGGCGGAGGCTGCAGTGAGCGGAGATTATGCCTCTGTACTCCAGCCTGGGTGACAGAGTGAGAGTCCGTCTCAAAAAAGAGAAAAAGAGAAACAGAAAAACATGGGATCTGGTAAACCAGAACTCCGACAAAGCAGAAAACAAAGAGAATTCTCTAGATCAAGCTTTTCCAACCCGTGGTGTGTGGCCCAGGATGACTTTGAATGTGGCCCATCACAAATTTGTAAACTTTCTTAAAACATACTTTTTTGTGATTTTTTTTTTAGCTCATCAGCTATTGTTAGTGTATTTTATGTGTGGCCCAAGACAATTCTTCTTCCAGTGTGGCCCAGGAAAGCCAAAAGATTGGACACCCCTGCCCTAGGTGAAGGTGAAGGGAGGTTCCAGGAAGTCAGCTGTGTAGCAGGCCTGGAGAGCACACTAGAGGATGGAAGGCTCTAGAAGGGATATCTCCAAGAAAATAAAATGGAAATGATGGATTACCTAATATGTCTGAACCTTTTGAACAAAATTTCACAACTCTGGTGGAAAATACGGAGATGTAATGGTGATAGATATAGAGAAAACTAAGCAACCACCAGGTGTGGTGGCTCACATCTGTAATCCCAGCATTTTGGGAACTGAGGCAGGAGGATGGCTTGAGCTCAGGAGTTTTGAGACCAGGCCAGGCAACATTGTGAGACTTTGTCTCTACCTTAAGTAAAAAAAATTAGCCAGGAGTACTGGTGCACATCTGTAGTCCCAGCTACTCAGGAGGCTGAGGTGGGAGCCTGGGAGATTGAGGCTGCAGTGGGCTATCATCGCGTCGCTGCACTCCAGCCTTAGTGAAAGAATGAGATCCAGTCTCAGAAAAAAGAGAGAGAGAGAGATAAAACTAAGCAACTTAAGAAAGAAGAAAGAGCCGGGCGCAGTGGCTCATGCCTGTAATCCCAGCACTTTGGGAGGCCGAGGCGGGCAGATCACGAGGTCGGGAGATCGAGACCATCCTGGCTAACACGGTGAAACCCTGTCTCTACTAAAAATAAAAAAATTAGGCGGGTGTGGTGGTGGGCACCTGTAGTCCCAGCTACTCGGGAGGCTGAGGCAGGAGAATCGCTTGAACCAGGGAGGCGGAAGTTGCAGTGAGCCGAGACTGCACCACTGCTCTCTGGCCTGGTTGACAGAGCAAGACTCCATCTCAAAAATAATAATAATATTAATTTTTGTGCATACACAGTAGATGTATATATTTATGGGGTATATGAGATGTTCTAATACAGGCATGCAATGTGTAATAATCACATCATGTAAAACAGGGTATCTAGCTCTTTATAACCAAGGTTTTTAATGTAGATTTTGAACATTCACTGTGCATTGTTTGATGTGGCAGAGCTAGCATCTGTAGATGTATCTACTTGAAATACACATTGGAGGTAGGACAGAGTAGTCTATGACAAGTTTTAAAGCACTGTCATTTAAATTGGAAAACCTGGCATGTGTCTGGTTTATAATACAGACAGATGGGCATTTCCTGTAAAAGAAGGCAGTTACCATCGTAATTTGAGAGGTCAGAGAGAAGCAATTAGAAATCTCACTTTAACAACATAAAACGTAAAAGCATCTGTTTAATGAAATGTGATATTTGCAAGAGTTAACATATTAAACCACTGATGTCCCTGTGCAGCCTAATATGAAGAATTCAACCCCTCACTCATAGATTAAAGATTTTAGTACTAGGGCTGCTATCACTCTCTCCAAAACTACTTACTACTACAACACTACTGTGGAATCACTCTTGCGGTAATTCTTTGTGAGGGGTATGTGTATATATGTATGTATGTATGTATAATAGATATATATAACTATGTGGATGTTCACTTCAAAATCCTTACTGTGTCTCAATTCCTTGACCTCCCTTGAAAGGATCTCGTACCCTCTGGTACCTCAATTATCCATTCTCATATGCATTCCTTACACTGTAATATTACTGGTAACTACAGCTCCTCCTCTAATTTAATTCAAGCCTCCACTCTCCAACCATCTCTTATCGTTCCAAGGTCATTGCATATAGTAACTAAACTTCAACAATTCTTCAACCTCATCAAAAACACCAGCCTCCGTCTCAAAAAAAAAAAAAAAAAAAAAAAACTAAGAAGAAGAAGAAAGGGATAAAAACCTCCAGGAGAAATAGTCACAGCCATAAAAAACAACGAAATCATGTCCTTTGCAGCAACATGGATGCAGCTGGAGGCCAATTATCCTAAACGAATTAGTGCAGGAACCAGAATACCAAATACCATGTGTTCTCACTTACCTTACCCCTAAAAGTTAGGTGCCCTTCCTCCATACTCCCACAGTACCCTCTATATTTTTACCAGAGTCATTATATTCCTCTTTACTTTGTGAGCCCCTTAAAAGCAGAGACCGGGTCTGTTTTACTCATTGGTATGTCACTACAGTGCCAGGCTCATTGTTCGCATTCAAATGGTTGTTGAATGAACAAACTCAAATGTAACTGCCTGTTTACTTGTCTGTCTTTCCTCAACAGGCTGTATGTTCTTTGGTGGATGGATCTGTGGTTTATTAAGCTTTGTTTCTTTTAGCATTTAGCACTCAGCATGAAGACCTAGCACACAGAAGTTTATTGAATAAATTAGTCAGCATTATAATTAATCTTTAAAATACAGTATATAGCATTGAAGAATATATACAAAGTATTCTCAAGATACAGAGAGACATGGGTTGCTCAGGATTATTCCTTTGTGTTTCACTTATAGGAAAGATCTCATACTATAGACTACAAATGCCAAATGACCTACTGTGCTCATACCACCCTTAACCTAGAAATAAAATAGAAACAATTCCTAAAGAGACAGTCTTAAAAATAACCAGCTAAAATTTTATCAACAACAACAAAAAAGTAGTTGGGGTTTTTGCTCATTAAATTAGTTTGTATGGGTAAGCACCACCTAAGTTTCTTGACTCATGGCATGTGTTCTTAAACCAATTTACTATCCACTAAAAATAAATAGTGATCAATATATAAAAAGCAGTTGTATTTCGTGACACTAGCAATGAACCATCTGAAAATGAAATTAAGAACACAATTCCACTTACAGTAGCATCAAAAAGAATAAAATATTTAGAAATAAATTTAACCAAAGAAGTGTAAGACATGTACACTGAAAACTAAAAAACATGGTTAAAAGAATGGAAAGACAGCCCATGTTCATGGATTGGAAGACTGAATATTGCTAAGATGGCAGTACTCCCCAAATTGATCTACAGATTCAATGCAATTCCTATCAAAATTCCATCTCCCTCTTTGTAGAAATGGACAACTGGTCCTAAAATTCATATGGAAACTTAAGGGACCCCAAATAACGAACAAATGTTGGAAAAGAAGAACAAAGTTCATGGATTCACACTTCGACTTCAAGATTTACTACATAATCAAGACAGTGTGGTACAGTCTGTCATAGGACAGACATATAGACCAGTGGAATAAAATTGAGTCCAGAAATAAACCTGTGTGGTCAATTGGTTTTCAACAAATGTATGAAGACAATTTAATGAGGAAAGAATAGTTTTTTTCAACAAATTGTATTGACACAACTGGATATCTGCATGCAAAATAATGAAGTTGGACCCTTAACTCATACCATGTACAAAAACTAATTCAAAATTGATCAAAGACCCAAATGTAAGACTTAAAACTGTAAAGTGCTCTTCTCCTTCCATCAAAGCTGGTTGGATGTGATTTCCATGTTCAGATACAATTTATGATACTTGCTTCTTTTGGGCATGCATACATTAGAAGAGCATTTTTTGATCAGTATGTTTACATGTAGTTCTTAACAGCTTTATATATATGTGAGCTCAGAAACTTATTTCCATCTGAAAAAGCACCCCTAATTTTCTATTTCCTTACCCTGCTTTACTCTCTCCATAAGTAATATCACTGGACTATAAGTTCCTTGAGGGATAGGGCTTTTAGTCTTCAACTCTATCAGCAAAAATATAAAGGTTGATAGAAAATATAAAGCAGGAAAATGCCTATAAATTAAAAGCCTGTAGAAATTTCCATCTTTACATTTTAGCATTTACATATAGATGCCATTTTTTTATATTTTCAGGAAATAAATAACTTTAGCTACCAGCCCACCCTTTGGAAGAGGTACAGATTATTTCCCATATAAGAACTAAACCCCACAGTACTGGCCCATGTCTTGAAGGGTGAAGGGCCAACTAAACTCACATAATCAAATGCTTAAACCTAGCTTCCTTTCTTATGGGAGATACTGAATTTTGTAATAAACCTTACTAAGAATACCTCATACCACTTAAGGTAACTCAGGAAAACTATGTTAGTATTCTTCTTTTCTGATTTATTTGTTCACAATCCACTAGAATACTTATGATTGTAGGTTCCATTACCCTTAAAGTCTTGACCTTCTCTTTCCTTGGCTGCTCAGGTCATAGGTGCTGCAATCTAGAGACAAAATATTCCTTACACTGCCAGATACTTGCAAACTAAGGGGAACGAGCTTCCCTCTGAATGTTTATGAAGGAGAGACCACTGTGGTAATGTTAAATTTAATACACTTGTTGTATTTAGGAGCTAAAAGTCTCAGATGCTAAATGAGGACTGATTTCTTTTTATTTGATCATATACCTATACATGTGCAAAAAAATTAACTTCTTGTATTATAGTGTCTTTGGGGAAAAATAGTTTAAAATTCTTATCAGTTTTAAGAAAAGTTATTTTCCAGCTATAGTTCAATAGCTCACAAACGTAACTGTTACTAAAAAAATAAGTAATAAATAGCCAAAAACTGGTGGCCAAAGATCCAGTAAAAAACATCCTCTTTCACTCATAAATCAAAGAAATAGTCATGAAGCACTTCTATGGCTATAAAAATAGATTCAGCAAGTCTTTAAAATATTTTTGCTAGAATTCACATTAATCTTCCCAGAGAATACTCTTATTTATACTGTTGAAACATACATAACTAAAATTGGGAATTTGTTTAGAAGATATATATAACTAAAACTGAGAATTTGTTTAGAAGATGTCTTATGATTTGTTTATATAAAATAAACAACCATGTGTGCCAAACAGTTATCCCATTTTGACATCCAACTGTATGGAAAACCTACTTATAATTTAATCTTAAACATATATGATGCTTCAATTTTCAAAGTGCTTTCATTTGATAAAGCATTTATTTGATAAAGCATTTATTTGATAAAGTAAGACTATGTAACAAAAATATTTGCTATGTAACAAAAATAGTAATTTCCCTCCTAATTACTTTGTGTTTCATTTGAAAAATATGATTTTGATATTAAATGCAGGGTAGTGATTCATAAATAGTTTTTTAAAGGCTGTTTGGTTTAGAAAATATCATTTAATGTACTCTATTAATAAAATTACAGCCTGTGTCTTTCTAGTCATGTCTAACAGCTGGTGACACCTGGAGCTAGCCAGGAAAATGTCTAGTGAAACGGATGGGCTTAGCCCCAGGCCTTGAATGGAACAATTCAGATGCTGTCCAACCCTCCCAGGTGATGGGAATTTCAAAAGGAGATTAACTCCTCAGTATTAAAATACCTTGCCCTGTTCCCATTATTCCCATCTAGAAAAAGCATGCTAGAAAGTAACAACAAAACTTTGACTTTAATAGTTATAAATTATGAAAATTATCAGTTAGTTGAACTCAGATAACTCCTCACTCCTTTTCATTCCTAGAGGATAGACAGTGAAGTGCAACTACAGCCCGCAAATGAAAATGAATAAAATTAATCCAGCCCCTCAAGGCAGGCAAGTAGCTGCTGGTTTGTAATCTTGAATTAAAGTTTTTTTATACACAGGTTTTTCGGTAGACAAAATCAGGGACATTTTAGCAGAGGGAAAAAAATAAGCAAAATAGTTGAGATATCATTGTTTTACAAAAATAAATCCCATTTTGCCTACAGCAATTTTTTTGTTTGTTTTGGCATATCATTCATGGTTCTTCAAAGGTAAAATCACTTAAGTCCTAACTGCTTTCCTTCAGTGTATGTTGTTAGGCCATTGGAATTTACCACAAACTGCTATTTCTTGTAATTCTCTATTGAATGGCTCCACAATTTCTATTCAAATTCGATCTAGGATGGCTTCTTTTCATAATATCCTGAGTGAATAGTAAACATAGGAAAAGGAACCAGTATAAAAATATACCAGTATGAAAAATAAAAACCAGTATAAAAAATAAAAACCAGTATAAAAAAGTTATTTTTTAATGGCAAAGTCAGTACTAACCAAGAGTATTCTTTAGTGTTTAGAGATAGCCAAAGGTTGAATTTAAGTTTCAGTCCTTATGCCAGAGAAATATATTCTCTCAAAATATTTTTTGAAAATCCTTTGCTTGTCTATGGAATGCTTTCAAATAAACCTCTTTCCCCCCTGTCTCCCTCCCACTCCAGTCATCTGTCTTAGAGCTATTGGAATCCTGGATCATTGTGGGAAATGAAAAGTAAGTAAGTACATGCCTATGATTTGTTGTTGGTAAGTGTGGTGTGGGGTCCAAGGAATGGTTCGTTTAAAAATATGACACTTCAGACCACATAACTTTTTTTTTTTTTTTTTGAGACGGAGTCTCCCTCTGTCGCCCAGGCTGGAGTGCAATGGCGCGATCTCGGCTCACTGCAACCTCTGCCTCATGAGTACAAGCAGTTCTCCTGCCTCAGCCTCCCGAGTAGCTGGGACTATAGGTGTGTGCCACCACACTCGGTTAATTTTGTATTTTTAGTAGAGATGGGGTTTCATCATGGCCAGGCTGGTCTTGAACTCCTGACCTCGTGATCCACCTGCCTCAGCCTCCCAAAGTGCTGGGATTACAGGCATGAGCCACCGTGCCTGGCTGATCACATAACTTCTAACAATATTTACCACACTGGACTTGAAAAATTATACCTTGCTTTATATATGTACTTAATAAGCTTGAAAACACAATAATACAGTATACAAATAAGGTTTTAAAATAATTCCTTTTCTACTTTAGTTATATAATTATTAATAGATAGTTTTAAATTTCCAAGAATCATTAAGTATACATTTTAAAAAAATATTTAATTTTCTATTCTTTTCTGTTGTGAATGGTTTTGTTCCTTGGGCATATAGGGATCTTGCTCATTATAACAGACTATGAGATTGTTGTTTTTTCCTCTTAAAGTACTGTAGATAACTCAATAGAGCTGTGTGTTACAATTAACCAGTAGAACATAATATCTAAGTCTTATTCAATATATTTGGGTTCAAATTACACTGTTAGCATTTCAAATAGTGCCAATTCTGTTGACTCATTGCAGAAATTCCTAGAAGGAAATATAAAAACAGACAAATGAGAACTATGCAAAATATCAAAAGCCATCATTATAACATCAACTTTTTCTGGGATTTCTTTTCATAATTTCCTTTGTTCTAATTACCTCCATGTTGGAGTCATGTTGGGGTCAACATGAAAGCCATTATAAAAATCAAACACTATTCCAGTGTTTGATGCTTTCTCTTTGTATGCAGTACATTCCAGGGAATGGAAGGAATCGCAGCAGTCAACCTTGGTGTAGGCAATAAGGGGTGCATTGTTTACAGATAATTTAAAAACAACAAAACCTATGAAAAGTCAGCCTGCTTTTATCAGCAGCAATGACAGTGATAAAATACTTCTCCTTATTGGGCAGAGGCTCCCCAGTACCCTACCCTTGGTGTACTTCTGCCAACATAAGCTCAAAAGTACTACATGCCCAATGCTTTTGAGATGCTTATTGCAAATGGATCTCACTCTCGCCTTTATTTTCAGTTTTTGAAAATATAAATGTAGAAGAATATATTATCAGTGTTAATCAAGGCAGCCTACAATCTGTTACAACTTTAAATGTTTAAAATATACATAATGAATTTTTTTAAAAAGTCCAATGAAGTTGAGAGAGGAATTGTGGACATAAGTAACTTTCTACCTGAACTTTCAAATACTGATACCCCACTGTTTTAAAGTCACGAGTAGGTGCCTAAGGAAATAAGTGAAAGATCAAAATATGTCATACTTGCATTTAATGTGTAAGAATTTGTTTTGACCACAGAACCGAACTCCCACTAAGGATTTCACTCCCTGATAGTCATTCCAAAACTTAATATAAGACTTTCATTTTTTTCTATATAAGGAATTTAGTCTCAAATAAGCATTCCTCACTTTACTGGCCTAGACTGAACAAGGCAATGGCTAGTGGCAATCTAGTCCACAATTAATGAAGATCATATTTTTGCCGACTCCTTGGACCCTGGGTTCATGAAGATACGAAGAATTGAGGCAACAACAAAAAAATACATTAACAAAAAGAAAGCAAACATTAAAGCACAAAAGCACCTTCATCAATGTTCTCACCACCTGTGGTTCCCAACATAAAGAATTTTCCATCTCTGTTAGCTATAACACTCTAGAGCTAGGAAAGTAACTAGTACTTTACAAATATTTTTCCTTTCAAATGCTTTATTACAGTTAGAGGAAAAAAGAACGTAATGAACAAAAAAAAGAAAACCACAAACATTTTATATACATGCAAAAGGGCAATAAAGTGACAAAATGTTTAGAAAAAGCATGTGAAAAAGTAAAATCATTTAGTATATGTAAAAAAATAATTTTACTTGCCTTGGGTAGGTGTTTAATTTTTTTCTTTCCTTTGTGAGAACACCGACTAAACTAGAATGACCAGAGGTTGATTTCCAGAATATATTATTCACGACGTTATTTATATGTGTGTTTGCATATGTGGCATGAAATCTGTCATATATATAAAGGATATATGTTTAACCAAAAGGAAGAAAAACACCATACCTTTGTTATTTAGAAAGCAACTCACAATTGCATAATCAAACCTAATCGTTGTTTTGATATAAATTTTCTTGCTTTATTAGTGAGTTGGCTTTGAGGAAATGTGTATTTCCACAGGTAAAACAAGTATGTGTTAATTTCTTGAGCAAGTAGGATTCCAGTATCAGAATACATTCTCAAATGAATTATTCCTAAATAACGCATAGCACATTACTTAATCTTATAAGGAACTTATTATTAGGATCTTCATTAATAAATATTTATTTATAAATATTGCTGTGCTTGTTAAGGGCACTGACCTTTGGCCATTATATATATCTATATCTATGTATATATACAAGTGTATCTATATATACATTATAGCTATATAATGATATATCATGATATAAAATCATATTAAATAATATAAAGTGAAATAATGTATAATGTATACCCTATATCTATATCTATATACAAGTATATAATACTATATATATACAAGTGTTTATATACAAGTGTATATATTATAATGGTAAAAGGTCAGTGCCTTCAACAAAGCATAGCAATAATATATTTAAATAAATATGTATTTATTAACAAAGGTCCTCATTATAAGTTCCTTGTAAGATCATGTGCTATGCCTTAATTAGAAATAATTAATTTACACATACTTGTTTTACCTATGGATATACAAACACATTTCCTTATATACTTGTATAGGTACAAGTGTATATATATATATATGAAATATATATAATAATGGCAAAAGGTCAGTGCATTTATACATATTTATAATGTGTATGTTTTACCTTTGGTTTCTATGATTTATATTTATATATAAATATACATAAATTTATAAAAGTGGAAGACTAGCTGGAAACCAGAATCTGACTTCAAACAGTCTCTGGTAAAAATAAAATTTCCCAGTTAGTTTGTAAATTCGTTTTTTGAAATTTAGAAAATAGTATCTCATTGGACCAATATTTATAAATTGTTTCATTCCCAGGTAAGTCCACAGAAGTCTATTTAATTTAAATAAATTTTAGTACCATGCTTAAGAGATAAACTATTTTCCTTTTTATAAGTTTGTTTTGTTTTGGTTTGTTTCTTAAAGGAACTGGTTTTTAGCAAGGAGACCAAGAAACTCTACTCCCTAGGGGCTAGCAATGAGAGAAAGGAAGCCTTGAGTCTTTGAGCACAGGGTGACAGTTTGGGTCCTATGTGAGATGATCAAATCCACAGCAACAGAGGAAAGGACAAAAGGAAAAGGTCTGTAGCAGCACTACATCAGAAAAAATGGATTCCGCAAGGAAGTGGGTGACTCTGAGTAAGCATCCATGTCAGGATGGTTTTGCTACAGCCCCCAACCAAACATTAATTAGTTTAAGAAACTCAACTTCGGTTTACAAGTGTTTTGGAAAAGTAACAAAGAACAACCTAAATAACAAAATAATTCCTCAGGTCATTACAATGGATGTTTCCTATAACTGAAAAATATGGTTAAAAAGTACAAACTACATTTGGTGTGCAAACTGTTTAGTTCTTAATTCCAAACTAAATTGTACATTATATAGTAAAATTTTGACCAGAAAAACTTGGAGATTTTAGTAAAAATTTCATTGACATATTTACAGCCCCAGTGTAGTTTGGCCAGTGTGCAAAGCCTGACTAAGGAGGTTATAGAAAAAAATATCAGACTTGAAGCCTATCAAATCATTAAAGATGCTTTAGCAAGACTTCAAGCTTTACAGACATACTCCATGTGACCAGAGATGTCATAACCAGTGTTCTTTCTCTTGAAATGTTAGAATGCTTTAGTTTTATTCTATAATTTCCGTGTTCCATGGAACAGCATTCATTTCTCCCAGTTTTAGTAACATAATGAGAGATATATTGAGTGTATAGAGCAGGAAAGACATGAAAACTTATATTGCATAATATTAGCAAACAAAAAAGATAGCATTATAAATTTTTAAAAATCCAAAAAATTTCCAGAAACAGAACAGTGAGCATGTTTAAAAAGTCAAGACTGACCATTTCTGTGAGCTCTGAGGACTGTAAATGAGCCTCAATCCATAAAGCTGAGAGGTTGTCTTAGCCCACATATGCAGCAGGTGACTCCCTCTGACAAAAGCAAGATTTAGCTGGATCTTTTAAAAAATAACAATATACTTGTATTTGAGAATAACAATAATATAGTTATATTGTAACATACTTTTATAATGTACATTTATATTATATAGTAATACATACTTGATAGATATTTTAGTCTATTACTAGTTTTATTCTTCAAATATGCCTGGAAAAACATTTAAGCGTATTTATAAATGTAAATATTTAAATGTTATCAAGTATTGGAAAACATGTTTGATTACTATGGGAATATAAACTAAAACTCCCCGAATATATATAGAAGATGTACACATCTATAGCATATAAAAGAATTAGGGATTCCTTCCTCCCCTTCTTCCTTTATGCTGAGGAAAGAGGTAGTGAACTTGAGCTTTAGTTTTTAACAGGTTAGAAAAAGGAATCTTTTTACATATCTACTAAAAGTTCTATTATTCAATGTCTAAGTTTTTAAGTCCCTTGGTTTTCTAGATACTTCGATGGAATCAGCAGCCATTGATCCAATGCCAACTCCAAGACTGGAACGTCGCAATGATAGTTCCAAGGCGGAAATTTGACGTAATTCTTTTCGACACAGTTTTACAGGTGTGACACCATGAAGTCGTCCCACATTTCCCACAACCTGAATTTGGGATGACAGTCGACTGAGATTTTGTAAACTGATTATCATCTGTTTCTGTTTTATTCTCATTACCTAACATATGCCCACTGGGGGGTGCTAAAGAACTATGAATTGGAGGTAATTCTGGGATATCTTCCCAGAGCTTTTGAGGATTTGGCTGTGTTCTTAAGCTGCTTGCTGAACTGTCCATTTCTCTTTCTCTTCCACTTAATTTCATACTTTCAGGTCTGGATGCCCATTTTAATTCTTCTGAAAGCATGCCTCCTTCTGGCTTCAGGACTCCATCTCCAGCCTTATGATCTAAAAATAATCCCCAAACCAAAAAATTAGATATTATTTCCTCAAAATTAGGTGTTTTAATCAAAACATCTTAACATAAATACATTATTATCACCCAATATGCATAATGTTGTTCAACTTTTTTGTTAAATGACTTATTTTAGATGAACAGATGTGTGAATATGAATATTTTTATTTCACTTACAGGCATCTTGCATGTGAATAACTCACAACTTTAATTCATGGAACAAATTGAGAAATAGTCTTTTGGGGGTTTGGTACTCCCTGGAAACATAAGAGTGCTTTGGGCACCTCTGGTGCCTTTCCATGCCTGCCTTCTCTGCTGTTCTTGCTACTAGTGAATTCTAAATCATGGCCAAGTGATGCCAGCACTGGATAATATTGGCTCTGCCCCATATCTCGAGGGAAAACTCTGGGACTTGGCATTATATGTGTGGGAATCTGGCCTTGGTTGGCACTCCCAGCATGATAGCAGGGTTCTGCTGTCTGAATGTACTCTGGGGTGTGCGCCACAATTTCTGTCATCGAAATGGAGATGAGAGAATATGCCCTTGGTGGGGACACCCCACTGGAATTAGAGTGAAGAGATCAAAGCTAGAGGTTCTTAAATCAAAGAATGTCTAATAGCAAAGACAAAAACTTGCTTAAGAGAAATGCATACAGGTACTAGACCTAATATGATGAAAAATGCTAACTTCAACATATTGATGCATGCTTAGTATACTTTTAGTCCTGCAAAGACAAAAGTTTTTTGTTTGTTTTTTTTTGAGACGGAGTCTCGCTCTGTCGCCCAGGTTGGAGTGCAGTGGTGTGATCTCGGCTTACTGCAAGCTCTGCCTCCTGGGTTCACACCATTCTCCTGCCTCAGCCTCCGGAGTAGCTGGGACTACAGGCGCCCGCCACCACGCCCGGCTAATTTTTTGTATTTTTAGTAGAGATGGGGTTTCACCGTGTTAGCCAGGATGGTCTCGATCTCCTGACCTCAGGTGATCCGCCTGCCTTGGCCTCCCAAAGTGCTGGGATTACAGGCATGAGCCACCGCACCTGGCCCAGTCCTGCCAAGACAAAGTTTTAAAACACAGGTTGCACATTGGCAGCTCTCAAGCCAAATCTGGCCCATAGACATGGTTTGCTTGGCCTATAATGTTAGTAATACTTGACCCAAGATTTAAAATTTGAAAAGTTTCATATAAAAATATAGATTTACAGCTTTTCTAGAAAAACTATAAGAGTTAACAGTTTCTGAATTGCAACAGCAGCTGGAACACCGTTGCCACTGACCATTTAGATGACTGCTGCAGTCCCCACGGCTCACTCTGGTTCAGGTAGGGGTTCTAGTTTGTAACCCCTGGTTTAAAACATAACTGACTCTCTAGTTTTTAAAATTCTCTCAAAATCAAATAACCTGAACTAGCAAATGATCTAGATCCTCGTACATGGAACTCATACTAAGTTGACCACAGACAGTGGCTCCCAAACTCTGCAGTACATCAGAGTCACTGGGAAGCTTTAAAAAATCCTGCTCCCTAGCTGGGTGCAGTGGTTTATGCCTGTAGCCCCAGCTACTTGAGAGGCTGAGGTGGGAGGATTGCTCAAGCCCAGGAGTTTGAGGCTGCAGTGAGCCATGAATGTACCACTACACTCCAGCCTGGGCAACAGAGCAAGACCCCAACTCTAAAAAAAAATCCTGCTCCCCAGGTGACAGTATCTGGGGGAAGGAGTAAGGCATCTTATTTTCAAAAGATCATAAGAAAAGAGGCTCATTGCTGAGGCTCACTCCGGAGCCCACTTGGATTCTTCACAAGAAAGTTTCCCTCTTCCAGAATTTTATAATTGAGGGAACCGACTAGGGAAAGATTAATTTGCCCAAGGTCAAACAACTAGTAAAAGAAGTAAGGATTCCAACCCAGATCTTTTGACTCTATTATCCTTACATATAGTTTTATAGTGATTTAAATTGATACAAGGATAGGTTTAAATACAAGTAGAATGCAGGTTCATATAAAACTGATTTTATCCTCATGTTAGAAAACATATACACTGTAACAGAGGGATGACCATCAAGTGACCAAGATATTTTAGTCAAAAGATGAATTTTTCTGCAATTGGAGAATGCCAAAAATATTCAAAGAAAATATAAGTCTTGTAGGCAGTCTTCTATCAAAACCCACTGAACCGCTGGGCACGGTGGCTCATGCCTGTAATTCCAGCACTTTGGGAGGCCAAGGCTGGTGGATCACCTGAGGTCAGGAGTTTGAGACCAGCCTGGCCGACATGGTCTCTACTAAAAATACAAAAAATTAGCTGGGCCTGGTGGCGGCACCTGTAATCCCAGCTACTGAGGAGGCTGAGGCAGGAGAATTGTTTGAACCTTGGAGGTAGAGGCTGCAGTGAGCTGAGATAGCACCACTGCACTCCAGCCTGGGTAACAAGAGTGAAACTCCATTCAAAAACAAAAAACAAACAAAAAAAAAACAATGCACCAAATACTAAGTTATTAACTAGGATACTGATTATTAAGCATGTAAAACATTTTATGGAACTCAGAGTTTGATGTAAATTGCTATATTTTATAATTCAAACAAACCTTGTTTCATGTCATTATATTAGAGTAGCATTATGAGACAGGATATAGTGTAAGCTATATCCCCAATATAATTGCAACTGTATATTTTAAAGCATGGGGAAAATATGAAAAGAATTATGCTCAAATGTGGGTAGGATTATAACTGATTTGTTTTCTTCATTTTCAGATTTTTCTATAATGACTATACATTATTTTTATAGTCAAAAATAGAAGTATTTTAAATGTTTCTAGGTAGAATAGCAAATTAGCTGAAATAGTATCTCCAACGTTATTATCAAGACTAGACTCCTTGGGTAAATTGGTCAGAACAGTGTTGTTCTCATTTTACACCTCTCCAAGATTAACTATGTTTTAGATTTGTGTGTGTGTTTGGTTAAAGAGCCAGGATGAAGATCCAGAGTTCTTAAACCTGTATACCACCATACTACATTGTCATTTTAAAGAAATGTCTAGTAGACTCGGTGGCATAAACATGGGCCATTTACAAACTAGATGTCTAATATCAGATACCTCAAATTTGACAGTAGACTTTTTTTCAAAGCTAAAGTGGTCTTATGTTGACTATTTTGTTTCTTACTTGATACTTGTTTACTTTTTAATTTTTGGCAAGTAATGTTTCAAGTTAAAGTTTTAGCTATATATAGCAGGCAGTATTTCAAGTAAATGAGTTACATCAGTAAACACCTCTGTATTACTAAACTGAGAATCAGAAAATGTAATCTCTTTGGCAGGATTCGTATGTTTGTATCACGTCTTTATCCTCAGGCAACTTTTATCTTGGAATACTGAACCAGCAGTCAGAATATGAGGGACATTAGACTGTGTTATAGTTACTGTTCTGTCCTTAAGTCACTTGCCTTCTCTAAGTGTCAGTTGCCTCATCTGAAAATGGAGTTAGCAGACCCCAGCCTATCCTGAGTTTGAGGGCTAAAGGGAATTATTCTTGAAAATGTCTATACATGATAAATGTCACAAATATAACTTAGCATTTTTTTTTTGAGACAGAGTTTCGCTCTTGTGGCCCAGGTCGGGGTGCAATGTCGTGATCTCAGCTCACTGCAACCTCTGCCTCCCGGGTTCAAGCGATTCTCCTGCCTCAGCCTCCTGAGTAGCTGGGATTACAGGCATGCACCACCACACCTGGCTAATTTTGTATTTTTTAATAGAGACGGGGTTTCACCATGTTGGTCAGGTTGGTCTCGAACTCCTACCCTCCGGTGATCCACCCGCCTTGGCCTCCCAAAGTGCTGGGATTACAGGCATGAGCCACCGCACCTAGCCAATTCTACTTCTATTACATTTTCAGCATATATCACTTCATTGCTCCTCCATATTATTTTTCACTGGTCTTCTTACATCTTGTGTGCCCATATTTAAGTAGTTTTCTTTCCAGGTAAAAAATACATGTGTGCCTAAAAGATTTTAAAGTCAACTTTTCATAAACCATACCTAAATTATCAAAGTTATTAGAATTATTAGAAAGTATTAGCTAATTCTTTTATAAAATGTAGACTTTATTATTTTAGAAATATTGATTCCTCTCTATTCAGCTATCTTAAAGAGGGTATATTTTAATCATCGCAATATATTACCTTCATAGTATTTTTTACTTTTGCAAAGTATATTTTGTCATGTTATTTCATTTAGGAATGCACTAAATCTACATATCTACATATGATTATACAAGGAAACATCTTTGTCTCAAAAATGGGTTCTATTACATTTTTTAATTTCCAGGGGTCATGATATATAAAAAGACCTGATTTATCTTAAAAATACATACTTTTATTCTTACCTACCATACATCTTTTTTTGTGATAATCAGAAGGCTTAATTTACTATAAAATAGGAAAACAACAGCTATGTTAGATTATATAGTTAATTTAGGGATTAAATGAGTTAAGGTCTACAAGCCCCTGGCACATGGCAGACAATCAATAATTGATCATTTCCTTTGCATCTATAAATTTGTTCATTCACTTCTCATGTGGTTCTACCTTAGACAACGATTTTTGTTTACAGAGACAAATAGAAGTATCTAATCCTAAATAACCCAATCAATTGGTAAAGGCTACACTACAAAGCTGGCATGACTTCACCAAATGCTAGAGAAACAGTGTTAAGAGTGACAACACTAAAAGTCTTACACTCTGATGATGCTAGTTGCCGCCGAATTGCTTCCCCTACCAGTTCCTTAAGTTTCTTCTTATGATCCCGGCTGGTTTTCTTATAGAAATAAAGATCTTTTTCCAACTGCTGGATTTTATCTTCATATGTTTTGAAAGTTTCCATAATGCCTTCTCCATCTTGTTCTATACAACAAAAATTTGCATTTAAAATCAGTTTTAAATAAATGATGCAAAATTATGTTTTTGTTTGTTTCTTTGTCTTTTTGAAACGGAGTCTTGCACTGTCGCCCAGGCTAGAGTGCAGTGGCGTGATATGCTCGGCTCACTGTAAGCTCCGCCACCCAGGTTCACACCATTCTCCTGCCTCCGCCTCCCAAGTAGCTGGGACTACAGGTGCCCAGCACCACGCCCGGCTAATTTTTTTGTATTTTTAGTAGAGACGAGGTTTCATCATGTTAGCCAGGATGGTCTCGATCTCCTGACCTCGTGAACTGCCCGCCTTGGCTTCCCAAAGTGCTGGGATTACAGACATGAGCCACCGTGCCCGGCTGCAAAATTATGTTTTAACATAGGCCCTGGACTATATATTTAAAGGATAAGAAGCATGTTACACATATCTGTTACCTGAATGGGTTTGTTTTCAGCTACAATTTGGATTTTTCTGCCTGTAAAATTTCCCAAAGTAGGATTGAGCCCTTAGTCACCTCCATCCTACCCCCTACCAACCCTCACACTTTCATAAGATTTTTTTTGCAGTAGCTACCAACTAGACCTATCCTTAGAACACCAGAAGTAAGGTGTTTTCTATAAAAAGTTCAAGTTTGGAACTCTGTTCATTGGCTGCTTTAGTATCTTCTGTAAAGTTTATATCAGGAACTGTGGTTATATAAAAAGTCACATGACTAGGATTTATAGGCCCAAGAAATATACAGCCAAAACCCCCACAAAAACCAAAACCTGTTAAAAGAGGCCATAAAGACTAAATCACAAAGGAAAACACCACAGAAAAAGAAGAGGGAATATAATCCAGCATAAAGTTCTAGTTTATGCCACAATATAACTTAAAGTTTCTAAACTTTAAGTTTACAGGTAATAAAGTTTAGAAACTTTATTAATATTTTCATTAATATTTATGAATGTCTAACATTGTCTCCATTGGGTTATGCTCTTGAACCAGTGAAATCCAGTTTACTAACCTTCAGAAAAAACATAATTTCAGACCTACTCTCCCCTACTGGCATATTTATAAAATGATCCTACTGGTTTGTGATTTTCTTTGGCTACAATTGGCTGTTTTGTAGAATTTTGTTTAAGTATATTTGTATATTTTAAATTAGTCCATCATCTTGTTTTAAAAAATACTTAAAATTAATGAGATCATAAATCAGAATCCCCATAAAGTATGTCATATAAATCAACTTAATTTTATGTCTGATATTCAGTTGAAATTAGAAAATGCATGAATTGTTAGCATTGTCAGTTATAACTTTGTTTTTATTTTATTTTCTATTACTATTATTTTCGAGACAGCATCTCACCCTGTTGCCCAGGGTAGAGTGTGTAGTGGTGCAATCATGGCTCATTACAGCTTCAACCTCCTGGGTTCAAATAATCTTCCCACCTCAGCCTCCAGGGTAGCTGGGACCACAGGCACATGCCACCATGCCCGGCTTAATTTTTTAAATTTTTGGTAGAGATGGTGTGATGGTTACTATTGAGTGTCAACTTGATTGGACTGAAAGATGCCAAGTATTGATGCCAAGTATTGAGTGTGTCTGTGAGAGTGTTGCCAAAGGAGGTTAACATTTGAGTCAGTGGGCTGGGGAAGGCACACCCACCCTTAATCTGGTGAGAACCATCTCATCAGCTGCCAGTGAATATAAAGCAGGCAGAAAAAGGCGAGACTGACCTAGCCTCCCAGCCTACATCTTTCTCCCATGCTGGATGCTTCCTGTCCTCAAACATCAGACTCTAAGCTCTTCAGTTTCGAGACTCAGACTGGCTCTCCTTGTGCCTCAAGCTTGTAGACAGCCTACTGTGGGAACTTGTGATTGTGTAAGTTAATAATAAACTCCCCTTTATATATATAGAGATATAGATATTTATATAGATAGCTATATATATTTATATTTATATAGATATCTATATCTATATCTATATCTATATCTATATCTATATCTATATCTATATCTATATCTATATCTATATATCTCCTATTAGTTCTGTCCCTCTAGAGAACCCTGACTAATACAGGTTTTGGTACCAGGAGTGGTTCTAAAGGAACAGAATATTAAGGATGGAGTTCTTTTGTTGGTTTTGGGGTTTCTGGAGTTGGCTGCTTAATCTGATTAGACCCAAAAATGCTAAGGACTCTACTCCTAATAGTATGGAGAACACTGATAGTCCTTGGCATGAACTGTTTACAGAATTATGCAAAATAAATGCATTTGACACTCCTGATTCACTGCTCGTGAGAGGCAAGGAGTTTAGTGACTCTATGTAATAAATTTGACCATATGTGGAGAACCAAGGAACATAATGAAGCTGGTTGGTTGCTCCTCAGTTCAGTGGACAAACTGATGAAAGAAAATGATGAACTCTTCTACCTCAGTAAAATTTCTAGGGGTCCAGTGGTGTGGGGCCTGTCGAGATATTCCTTCTAAGGTGAAGGATAAGTTGCTGCATTCGGCCCTTCCTACAACCAAGAAAGAGGCACAATGCCTAGTGGGCCTATCTGGATTTTGAAGGCAGCACATTCCTCATTTGGGTGTGTTACTCTGGCCCATTTATTGAGTGACCTGAAAGGCTGCCAGTTTTGAATGGGGTCCACAACAGGAGAAGGCTCTGCAATAGGTCCAGGCTGCTGTGCAAGCTGCTCTGCCACTTGGGCCATATGACCCAGCAGATCCAATGGTGCTTGAGGTGTCAGTGGCAGATAGGGATGCTGTTTGGAGCCTCTCGCAGACCCCCATAGGTGAATCACAGTGGAGGCCTCTAGGATTTTGGAGCAAGGCCCCGCCATCTTCTGCAGATAACTACTCTCCTTTTGAGAGACAGCTCTTGGCCTGTTACTGGGCTTTGGTGGAAACTGAACGTTTGACTATGGGTCATCAAGTCACCATGCGACCTGAACTGCCTATCATGAACTGGGTGCTTTCTGACCTATCTAGCCATAAAGTGGGTCGTGCACAGCAGCATTCCATCATCAAATGGAAATGCTATATATGTGATCAGGCTCAAGCAGGTCCTGAAGGTATAAGTTACATGAGAAAGTGGCACAAATGCCCATGGTCTCCACTCGCCACCCTGCCTTCTCTCCTCCAGCCTGCACCGATGGCCTCATGGGGAGTTCCCTATGATCAGTTGACAGGGGAAGAGAAGACTAGGGCCTGGTTCACAGACGGTTCTCCACGATATGCAGGCACCACCTGAAAGTGGACAGCTGCGGCACTACAGCCCCTTTCTAGGACATCCCTGAAGGATACCAGTGAAGGGAAATCTTCCCAGTGGGCAGAACTTCGAACAGTGCACCTGGTTGTGCACTTTGCATGGAAGGAGAAATGGCCAGATATGCGGTTATATACCAATTCATGGGCTGTAGCCAGTGGTTTGGCTGGATGGTCAGGGACTTGGAAGAAGCATGATTGGAAGACTGGTGACAAAAGAATTTTGGGGAAGAGGTATGTGGATGGACCTCTCTGAGTAGTCAAAAACTGTGAAGATATTTGTATCCCAAGTGAGTGCTCACCAACGGATGACCTCAGCAGAGGAGGATTTTAATAATCAAGTGGATATGATAACCCATTCTGTGGATACCACTCAGCCTCTTTCCCCAGCCACCCCTGTCATTGCCCAATGGGCCCATGAACAAAGTGGCCATGGTGGCAGGGATGTGGGCTCAGCAACATGGACTTCCACTCACCAAGGCTGACCTGGCTACGGCCACTGCTGAGTGCCCAATTTGCCAGCAGCAGAGACCAACACTGAGCCCTCAATATGGCACCATTCCTCAGGGTGATCGGCGAGCTACCTGGTGGCAGGTTGATTATATTGGACCTCTTCCATCACAGAAAGGGCAGAGGTTTGTCCTCACTGGAACAGACACTTACTCCGGATGTGGGTTTGCCTATCCTGCACGCAATGCTTCTGCCAAGATTACCATCCATGGACTCACAGAATGCCTTATTCACTGTCATGGTATTCCACACAGCATTGCCTCTGACCAAGTTACTCACTTTATGGCTAAAGAAGTGTGGCAGTGGGCTCATGCTCATGGGATTCACTGGTCATTCGCAGGATGAAGGTCCCCATCATCCTGAAGCAGCTAGACTGATAGAACGGTGGAATGGCCTTTTGAAGTCACAATTACAACACCAATTACATGACAATACTTTGCAGGACTGGGACAAAGTTCTCCAGAAGGCCGTGTATGCTCTGCATCAGCATCCAGTATATGGTACTGTTTCTTCCATAGTCAGGATTCACGAGTCCAGGGACCAAGGGGTGGAAGTGGAAGTGGCACCACCCATCATCACCCCTAGTGATCCATTAGCAACATTTTTGCTTCCTGTTCCCACAACATTACGTTCTGCTGGCCTAGAGGTCTTTGTTTCAGAGGAAGGAACACTGCCAACAGGAGACACAACAATGATTCCATTAAACTGAAAGTTAAGATTGCCACCTGGACACTTTGGGCTCTACCTACCATTAAGTCAGCAGGCTAAGAAGGGAGTTACAGTATTGGCTGGGGTGACTGACCTGGACTATCAAGATGAAATCAGTCTACTACTCCATAACAGAGGTAAGAAAGAGTATGCAAGAAATACAGGAGATCCATTAGGGTGTCGCTTAGTATTACCATGCTCTGTGATTAAGGTCAATTGGAAACTACAACAGCCCATTCCAGTCAGGACTACAAATGGTCCAGACCCTTCAGGAATGAAGGGTTGGGTCACTCCACTAGGAGAAAAACCCACAACGTGCTGAGGTGCTTGCTAAAGGCAAAGAGAATAAAGAATGGGTAGCAGAAGAAGGTGGTCATCAATACCAGCTATGACCATGTGACCAGCTGCAGAAACAAGGACGGTAACTGTCATATTTCCTCCTTATTTTGTTAAAAACATGTTTGTGCATGTATACACTTGTACTAAGAAAATATCTTCATTTTATTTCCTTTTTCCTTTATCATGTGACATAAGATTTATTGACTTCACATCAGCATTTAAGTACTGTTAACTTTATGTAATAGCATTTGGGTTGGGGATTGGTGCATTTCTGGTTGTACGAAGGATAGTTGTATTATGTTAGGTGTAATTATAACCTTATTATTGTCTTTATTTGAAGATTATGTATGATCTCAGGAGATGTGTATGAGTTCAAGTTGACAAGGGATGGACTTGTGACGGTAAATACCGAGTGTTAACTTGACTGGATTGAAGGATGCAAAGTATTGATCCTGGGTGTGTCTGTGAGGGTGTTGCCAAAGGAGGTTAACATTTGAGTCAGTGGGCTGGGGAAGGCAGATCCAACCTCAATCTGGTGCACCATCTAATAAGCTGCCAATGAATATAAAGCAGGCAGAAAAACATAAGAAGGTGAGACTGGCCTAGCCTCCCAGCCTACATCTTTCTCCCATGCTGAATGCTTCCTGTCCTCGAACATCAGACTCCAAGTTCTTTAGTTTTGAGACTTGGACTGGCTTCCTTGCTCCTCAAGCTTGCAGACAGCCTATTGTGGGACCTTGTGATCATGTAAGTCAATACTTAATAAACTCCCCTTTATATTTATATATATATATTTATATAATATAAATCCTATATATTTTATATATCCTATATATTTTATATATCTATATATATATCATATATATGATATATATATGCTATTCTGTCCCTTTAGAGATCCTTGATTAATACAGATGGGGTCCCACTATGCTGCCCAGGCTGCTTTCAAGTAAGCCTCCCACCACAACCTTCCAAAATGCTGGGATTACAGGCATGAGCCGCTGCACCCAGCCACAACTTTGTTATGAACAATTTGTACAGCTATAGAAATGAATGACTTTCTTACTTTTTTTTTTTTGAGACAGGGTCTTAACTCTGTCACCCAGGCTGGAGTGCAGTGGTGTGACCACAGCCACTGCAGGCTCAACCTCTGGGACTCAGGTGATTCTCCCATCTCAGCCTCCCAAGTAGCTGGGACTACAGGTGCGTGCCACCACGCTTGGCTAGTTTTTTGTATCTTTTGTAGAGATGGGGTTTCGCCATGTTGGCCAGGCTGGTCTCGAACTTCTGGGCTCAAGCAATCCTCTTGACTCAGCCTCCCAAAGTGCTGGGATTACAGGGATGAGCCACCATGTTTGGCCAAGTTTTTATATATTCTTATTTGGCTATGGCATGAACTTTTGTGGTATAATCCCAGTCACTTAAAAAAATATTAAAATATCAGTTTCGGAACCAAACTAAGGTAAGGAGAGCATGTTTGAATGTAATGATGTGTGAGATCTTGCCAGGAAATTGTCATTAGGCAACTGGTTGCTAATTAACCAGTGACAGAATTAACTTAGAAGCAAATTGCCTCAACAATCAAATTCACAGATTTTTCCAATTTTCTGCTTACTCAGGTTGCTTCTTCTAGATCCCTTTTGATCTATTTTCAGCTATGGATTCATGAGAATCAAGACTAAGCAGCCTGAATTGAAGGAGTAACAGTATCACCTAACAATGATTTTGCTGCCATAGTAGCTGTTTGTATACTGGCCATATGCCTAGGTAAAATGAGGCCAGATCACTCTCAGAGTTTTCTATCAGAGTTGGTGGTGAACTACTGCTCACTGATAATGGTATGTGCCCATCAATGGCAGTATAATTTTGACCCAAGATATTACTTTAATGCATAAAATTTTATAATCAACTGACAATTATAACCAGAAATATAACTAGGAATATGACAGAACCTATCACTTTAATTTTGTGAGTGGAAAATAACTTAAATATGATAGTATTATATCCCTGGGAAATAAAAAAAAATTCAACTGTATACCAAAAAGCCTGAATCAATCCCACATTTCTACATAAAAACTAGACCAACAACAAGCTGACAGGATTGTAGCAGTTCTTATGTGCATACTGGAGGCAGGCAGAAGGGATGGCATTCCAAGCATGAATAGCCCTACAACAAAGTCAACTGTCCCAAAATGCGGCAACCAAAACATGTAAAGCCCAAAAACTTGTCTAAGTAGCAACTATTTAAACATGTTGAGCTTTTAAGTGATCAAATTCTGTCCTATCTTCCTTCAGTACCCACACCTACACATCAACTTTACATAACTGTCAAAAGGGGAAGTTACCTTTGAAATGATGTAACAGCAACTGCATCTTTTGTTCGTGCTCCTTTTGCTGGAGGGTCAGTCTCCGGTCACACTGCAATTTTAGATGGTCCAGTGCAGATTCTAATTCACGAACCATATTATCCCGTTCCAGAACTTTCATTTTCATTTCTTCATTATATAATTGTTGTTTCCGTTCAGCTTCTCGCAAATTCACCACCTAACAAATACATATTTTGACCTGTTAAGTGTGTCTTAGATAAGCTAATATAATAATCTACTTTTCTTAGGCTACTTCAAGATGAACTTCCTTAATCTCCATAGTGTAAATGATTCCTGCCAGGTATTGGGTCCTTAGGCAAATGCTTTGTAACATATTCACAAAACAACCTAACAGCCTTTTGAATTTGTTAGAATTCAGGCCAGGCACGGTGGCTCACGTCTGTAGTCCTAGCAGTTTGGGAGTCTGAGGTGGGGGGATCACTTGAGGTGAGGAGTTCGAGACCAACCTGACCAACATAGTAAAACCCCGTCTCTACTAAAAAATATATATAAAATTAGCTGGGTGTGGTGGTGCACACCTGTAATCCCAGCTACTTGGGAGGCTGAAGCAGGCGAATGGCTTGAACCTGGGAGGCGGAGTCTGCAGTGGAGCCAAGATCGCCCCATTGCACTCCAGCCTGGGTGCAAGAGCAAAACTCCGCCGCAAAAAAAAAAAAAAAAAAAAAAAAAAAAAAGAATTTGTTGGAATTCTGAATTGATGACACTTTCTTTTTTTTTTTTTTTTTTTTTTGAGAAGGAGTCTCTCTCTGTCACCCAAGCTGGAGTGCAGTCGTGCAATCTCGGCTCACTGCAAGCTCCGCCTCCCAGGTTCATGCCATTCTCTTGCCTCAGCCTCCCGAGTAGCTGGGACTACAGGCGCCCGCCACCAAGTCCAGCTAATTTTTTGTATTTTTAGTAGAGATGGGGTTTCACCGTGTTAGCTAGGATGGTCTCGATCTCCTGACCTCGTGATCTGCCCACCTCAGCCTCCCAAAGTGCTGGGATTACAGGCGTGAGCCACTGTGCCCAGCCGACACTTTCATTTTTAATATATTGTTGCTCTAATGATCACCCTTCCATAATTTCTTAAATGTAATCTATGCAGTTTACATTTAATAATTCTGTAACTTTATTTCTCTAGTCTAAGTGGATAGTGAGAGGGTAAAGATTCTTGAAACATCTAGACAATTCCAAGTTTTAACTCCAGAATGGATGTTATAAATAAGTGACAGTTTGGTTGTTTTGTTGTTGTTGTTATTGTTAAGATGGAGTCTCACTCTGTCACCTCAGGTTGGAGTGCAGTGGTGCAATCATAGTTCACTGCAGCTTCCAACTCCTGAGATCAAGTGATCCTCCCACCTCAGCCTCCCACATAGCTGGGACCACAGGTACATGCCATCATGCCTGGCTAAGTTTTTTAAAAAATTTTTTCGTAGAGACAGGGTCTCACTATGTTGCCCAAGCTGGTCTTGAATTCCTGGACTCAAGTGATCCTCCTGCCTTGGGTCCTAAAGCACTGGGATTATAGGCGTGAGCCACCACACCCAGCCATGTTATGCATTTTGTCTACTGGATTCTTCCCTGCTGATGTGAAGTAAAAATACTTCAGACAATGTCTATATCACAGAACTTGTTAATAATCTAATGACCTCTCCAGAAAAATAATCATTAATACAAGGGTTCCCAGGATCAGAAAATCCACTGACCTTAGCCAGGTTGCCTTGCTTTAAGAGTAGCACAAGGGCCAGGCACGGTGGCTCACACCTGTAATCCCAGCACTTTGGGAGGCCGAGGCGGGAGGATCACGAGGTCAGGAGTTTGAGACCAGCCTGGCCAACATGGTGAAACCCCATCTCTACTAAAAATACAAAAATGAGCTGGGCATGGCAGCACACGCCTGTAATCCTAGCTACTCAGGAGGCTGAGGCAGGAGAATTGCTTGAACCCAGGGGGCGGAGGTTGCAGTGAGCCGAGATCACACCAGTCTGGACAACAGAGTGAGACTCCATCTCAGGGAAAAAAAAAAAAAAGAACAGCATAAAGAGTTATCTATATCAGGCTGGGCGCGGTGGCTCACGCCTGTAATCCCAGCACTTTGGGAGGCCGAGGCGGGCGGATCATGAGGTCAGGTGATCGAGACCATCTCTGTCTAACACAGTGAAACCCCGTCTCTACTAAAAAAAAAGTACAAAAAAAATTAGCCAGGCGTGGTGGCGGGCACTTGTCGTCCCAGCTACTTGGGAGGCTGAGGCAGGAGAATGGCGTGAACCTTGGGGCAGAGCTTGCACTGAGCCGAGATCACGCCACTGCACTCCAGCCTGGGCCACAGAGCGAGACTCTGTCTCAAAAAAAAAAAAAAAAAAGTTATCTATGTCAAAGCACTCCACCATCTTTCTACCCTCCAAACATGCAGCAATAGGATGCACTCTCATCAATAACAATAACAGTAGCTTACTACTGATGATGATTATCCAAGAGGAGGCTGTGCATAACATTTTCATTTATCTTATTTCACAGAATTATAATTTTATTTAATTTTTTGAGACAGGCTGTTGCTCTGTTGCCCCAGACTGAAGTGCAGTAGTGATCATAGCTCACTACAAACTCAAATTGCTGGGCTCATGTGATCCTCCTGCCTCAGCCTCCCAAGTATCTGGGACTACAGGTGTATGCTACCACACCCGGCTAATTCTGGTATTTTTTGTAAAGATAGGATCTCAAATTCTGGGCTCAAGTGATTCTCTTGACTCAGCCTCCCAAAGTGCTGGGATTACAGGCATGAGCCACTGCACCTGGCCTTAGGACTTTATTTTAAAATATCAGTGTTTTATTTTTCATTGATTGTCTGATATTCCCATAAATTGAATGTACTTTTCAGAGAAGAGTTATCTCATTGTTTAACACTTCATAATATATAACTTAAGTGGAAAAGACATTAGAGAAAAGACGGATATAGTTCTCAATGCTATGAAACATCTCTGGATCAGTAAATTGACTAATCTGTAAAAAATACAACATTTTAATTGATTTAAGCACATTCAGGTTAATAAAATCTACTATTATCTTTGCCACTGATACACCACTTCATCTTCATTTCAACTCATACATGATGAGAAAGTACAGATTCCCCTACCCTGCAGCAATGAAGGAAAGGGAATCAAAACTTGGAGGGCCCTTGATTTTTCATGAGTGCCAGGTAGAACATCCAAATCTAGAAAACATCCAAGAAATAATGAGCAAGGAATATAACTTAAATTCTTTGGTTTTAAAAACTTTCAAAAAGGACTTCTTTTGAAAGGCCCTCCAACTTTAAGAACCTCACAAAGTTAGGCCTACATATTTGGATAATCACAAAGCTTTTAGATAACAACATTTAGTTCTATAAAGAGAAATCATGCTCAAATTTGTAGTTACACCATCAAATCTTTAAGCCTTTCAATTTCTTTAAAAATTCAAAATAAATATAGGATGTATGCATCTTGACCCATCTTTATAAGAAAAATATTCTGACCCTCAAAAACAAACCTTATTGAAATATCTGAAAAGAATAGCTCTAATCTCAACAGGACTCAGGCAAGCTAGTTTTTCCAAGACATTTGCTTCACCACGAGAGAGGTTATGGAATGATGCTCTAAGTGACTTCTGGCAATTCTGGATACTTTCATTCTTGTATTCAATTGCAGCTTCCAAAGCTTCAATCCCTTCTTCAAGTTGGAAAAGAACATGTTCTTCCTAGATATAACAGAAATCACTCATTTTAAATGAAATAGTATAACTTTGACTTTGTCATATACTCAGATACTACTAAACTATTTGAGTCTAATGGATATTACCACTCTTGTACTACATTTTAAGAAAATGTTTTTTGAGTGCTTGCTATGCCACATAATGCAGTGTGTGTATACATGTGTGTATACATACACATACACACACACACACACACACACACACACAACAGATTAACATAATCATTAAGCCCTCACAATAAACCTGATGGAATAAAATGGAAAAGACAGAAGTTTAGGGGAGTTCTGAAATGTTCCAAGGTTATACAACAAATGCTGATCATCTAATCCACGGAATATACTTGAACAAAGCCTAAGCCCACAGGATTAGCAGTATTGTCATATATCTCCTCCATGACCCCTAAAGTGCATATTGTGTGTCAATATTTCCACTAGTGAGATCTAGAGACTCACTGTTGTCCCTTCAGTGATCTATCAAAACAATATACTGCCTAGAGGGAATAACTTATTCTAAATGTTAGAATAAGTTATTAAGAACTAGTAATAAAAAAGCACAATATGGCATAAAAAAGTAGTGAGGATTTAAGTATCTGAAATATTTCATAAGATTCCTATGAAATGTTATTAGAAGGAAAATGTAGGTGTTAAAAATAGGGCAACGTAATATTTTTTCACATACTAGAGAAGATCGATGAATCCCTGTAGGAAAACCTACAAGTTCTTTTTTTCTTTTTTTTTTTTTTTTTTTTGGACACAGGGTCTCGCTATGTTGCCCAGGCTGAACTCAAACTCTTGGGCCCAAGCAAACCTCCTACCTTGCCCTCCTGAGTAGCTGGGACTACAGGCACACGCCACCATGCCCAGCTCTTCCAGTTCTTTGAACTATCCAAATACATGTTATGTTGGTGATACAAATCTATGGTAAGGAATTACTTCAGATTGGTGAGATTTGGATATATGTTTCCGTATACCCATACCTATCGTGGAGGCCACCTCGATAAGTTCCTGTGGCAGACTATCTTGTCCATCTGCACACCCTTATTGCCTAGCACAGTACCTATCACATAGTTTGAACTCAATATCTGTTGACTTAATGAAGAAAGAAGAGAAAAAAATTTCATGTGTCCTTGGTTACAGGACCCATGTTATTTCTCTCCACTCCTTCCCCTAAAATCCCAAAGGAAAATAATGTGAATATTTCTTTTTTTTTTTTTTTTTTGACAGGGCCTCACTCACTTTGTCATCCAGGCTGGAGTGCAGTGGTGGGATCTCAGCTCACTGCAACCTCCACCTCTTGGGTTTAAGCAATTCTCCTGCCTCAGCCTCCCAAGTAACTGGGATTACAGGTGCATGCCACCACGCCTAGCTAATTTTTGTATTTTTAGTTGAGAAGGGGTTTTGCAACATTGGCCAGGCTGGTCTTGGAACTCCTGACTTCAGGTGATCTCCCTGCCTCAGCCTCCCAAAGTGATGGGATTACAGGTGTGAGCCACCATGCCTGGCCAATAATGTGAATATTTCTGATCTACCTAAAGAAAAATGTTCACCAGCCATTCTATTTCTCTGTGCAATCACTAACCATATGGAATTTGATGGTTTGATAATTGCTCCATAAGGAATAAAATAATATTCACCTTTACAAGAAAAAACCCCTTAAATACTAAAATGTACTTAGGTGAACGAATAAGAGGAGCCACAAATAAAAGTGAATTATCCAATATAGAGTAAGTCCTTATCATCAATAGGTTCTTGGAAACTGTGACTTTAAGAGAAACAATACATAACGAAACAAATTTTTTTTCTTATTAACTTTGTAACAAAAGCAACTATGTTGAAGGAAAACAATGTAATTTGAGGACCTGATGTACATGGTGTCTCTTAAAGTCACAATTTCCAAGAACCTATCCACAGTGTTCAGTGAGGACTTTACTGTACTTGACTTTTGAATTTATACTGTGACTATATTTTATCAAAAACAAATGTGAAGAGTTTGCCTTTATACGTGGCTGAGGACAATTTCGTATAAATTCAGTTTCTATGGTTTTAGATCTAAGTTAAGGAAGTACTGAGATAATATAAGGTAGTGTGAATATAGAAACCCAAGGACAGCCCGCTCCAGTGAGGCTGCAGCATATCAGTGTTTGCAGTTCCCTCTAACTCAGCAATAGGTGTAGGTTGACAAGATACGTGGCAATGGGTAACTATCCTGGGATGAAAAATTTGCCACAATACAAACCACAGGTTATCAAGAGTTGACTCTGCTTTATGATAGAGCACTGCTTTTCAACTTTAATGTGTACCCAGGAGCTCACTAGAATTCAGATTCTGATCCAGCAGGTCCACTTGGGGCCTGAGGATCTGCATTTCTAACAAGCCTCCAAGTGATGCTGTTGCTGCTGGTCCAGAGACCAAGTAAAATGAAACAAAAAACTAACAACAACTTTTGAGCAAGCACTGCAGAGATTTCCCTATAAATTATATGTTCTCAGCAGGGTGCGGTGGCTCAAGGCCTGTAAACCCAGCACTTTGGGAGGCTGAGGTGGGTGGATCACTTGAGGTCAGGAGTTCGAGACCAGCCTGACCAACATGGCGAGACCTCGTCTCTACTAAAAATACAAAAATTAGGCTGGGCGCGGTGGCTTACGCCTGTAATCCCAGCACTTTGGGAGGCCGAGGTGGGTGGATCACGAGGTCAGGAGATCGAGACCATCTTGGCCAACATGGTGAAACCCCATCTCTACTAAAATACAAAAAACTAGCCAAGCATGATGGCGTGTGCCTGCAGTGCCAGCTACTCGAGTGGCTGAGGCAGGGAAATCGCTTGAACCAGGCAGGCGGAGGTTGTAGTGAGCTGAGATCGCGCCACTGCACTCCAGCCTGGTGACAGAGCAAGACTCAGTCTCAAAAAAAAAAAAAAAAAATTAGCTGGGCATGGTAGTGCACATCTGTAATCCCAGCTACTCAGGAGGCTGAGGCAGGAGAATTGCTTGAACCCAGGAGACGGAGGCAGTGAGCCGAGATCGCACCACTGCACTCCAGCCTGAGTGACAGACTGAGACTCCATCTCAAAAAAAAAAAAAAAAAAAAAAGTATGTTCTCATCATAAAATGAGAAATTAAAAGTTTAAAAGATTAGAGAAACATAATAGTTCTTATATTTTCCTCCCTACCTATTAAGCAACTACTCTGTATTATTAGAAATCTAAAGTTCAGGTATTCTTTAATTTTAGTTTCTGGATTTTACCAAAAAAAAAAAAAAAAGCGGTGTGACCTGTCTGTAGTAAATTGTTAGGTAATCTTCTATTAGTGTAACGATCTAAAATCTTTCTATCCATTTCCTTAAAGTAATAAAATTAGGAAAAATATTTTAATTTACTGTGGAAAGAGAAAATTATCCTAAACAAGTTTAAAGACATTAAGATAGCAAACCATTCCAACTAGATTTTATTGATACCTTGTGTCACATCAGAATCTCATGTTCTCGATCATCTGCTAGTGACAGATCTATTTGGAATATTAACCTTGGCTTTAAAATCGTGATAAGAGCAGAGCCTCACTTGAGAGGTACACTAAGAAGAACCAACCATGTGGAAGAAAGGTGCATAGAAGCTCATGTGAGTAAGTAGAACTCTACCAGTTGTAGGAGGCTCATCATTCCCTCAAACCCCAGTCCAGAATAGCCGCAAAATAGGTATCATGCACCATACTATATTTTCACCACAAATCTGTAAATAACGTTTTTTGTTATGGGATCCCACATGAAATAGAAACCTAAATGTTTCTTGATATTAATGGAACTCTACCCTACTGCAAACATAATTTGTTAATTCTCATCTCTGTGCCTTATTCAAAGATGTTCTGTCTAAAACGGACTTCTTTCTTGTATCTGCCAGTGCATATCATGTTTTTCATAATCTAGCTCAAGATTCTGATCTACTGAGGCTGCCTTGATGAATCTTCCCCCAAATGATCACTTCATTGCTTTGAATAAATAATGTAAGAGGTATAGCTGTAATACGTTATCCACAACTTGATTTTCAGTGTCCTTCAGAGTTTACAGTTTTCTTATATTTCTATCTGTTTTCCCAAATAGAGTATTAATTTCTCAAGGGAAACATAATACTTTGGGTTTTTTTTTTTTTGGCTTCTTCTATCTTCTATAGAGCTTAGTAATAGTCACAGGCAGGCAGAATTCCTTAAATATTTGAATTCTGCTGTATCTTAGGCTCTCATGTCTTCAAATCTATAACCCTTGGGCTCCAATTTAACACCTTGGGAGGACACCCTGGCTCTCTGTTCCTCTGCACAGCTACCCAGCTTAAGTTATAAAACGGCAACAGAGGGCTATAATGTTCCTTTCAACCGCCATTTAGCCCCCAATCAAGGATTGATTTGTAAGTCAATCCTTTCATCAATTCTCAATGAGCAACAATCTAATGTTATCCTTGCTCCTATTTCTTAACTAGCCCTCATAACTTCCTGTCACTTGCTCCAAACTAAAACACTACAAGATTCACCACTGTGTATGATTCTCAGCTATTCACCTTCTCTTAGCAATTTTCCCTTGGTTTGGTAATGATGAGACACCAACAATAAATATTTGCAGAGGAAGTTCAGATTCAAAAATTCATCTTTCTCTGATGAAGTAAGGTAAAGGTACCACTGCCAACTGACTGAAAATTTTGAAAAAAGACAAAGTCTGGGGCAATTTGACAGCCCATAAATGAATCATCTTCTACATAGTTTTAAAAAACTATAACTAAAACTATAGTTTTAAAAAAACTGTAACTAAAACTATAGTTTTAAAAAAACTGTAACTATAACTAAAAGGTCTTTTACTGGGATTGGAATTTTGTGCATCTATTTGGCTGGACATAGTATGGACATTGGGCCTTTTAAACCAAGGTTTCATGGAAAGAATTAACCCCTAATTCCTTAGGCATCTCTTGTATGTAATAAATTACCTAGTATCCTTCAAGAAATATATATAGAGAAAAGTCAGGTGCCCTCCAGTAGAGTCCCTCAAATCATTTTCTATGTTCTGTGATTTCAGACGAGAAACCCCAGCTGAGAAGGCAAATATACTCAAGGAAATTAATAGTTTCCAAATGCCTGGCAGTGCCAGGAAGAGGCCATGTCCATGGACCACTATGTAAGGATATCTCAGTCTCTAGTCAAGCGTGGTTTATGGTGCCAAATAAGTGCCAGGTGAACTCACTACATCTGACAAAATCTCAAGGAACCAAGTTTACCAGATAATATTTATGATTATGTGAAAAAGACTGAGGAAATCACTCAAGTGATCCATCATACAGCACCTCCAGTTCCAAAGAATACTGACTTACTTCAGGTGATAACACTCTACCATTTTTAAGTTTTTCATCTTAAAAATGTGTCTTCGTTTCTGGAGCTGATCCTTTTCTTTCTGGAGGACTTCAACTTGCTCTGAAATCTTTGTTTTCTCCTCAGCTGTACTGGTCTGGAGCTGCACATTCTTTTCAGAGAAGTCTTGTTCCATTAAGTTCAGGCGAGTTGATACTTTCAAACTATCTGTGTTTAAGGCCTAAAAGATACAACCCACCAGACACCCCGAAAACAGTTACTAGAAATCTAGACTGCATAAAAATTAGGAAAAACATAGAGAAAATTGCTAAATGAATATATTTTTAGTTTTTACATTATTGTTTTCTCCCATGGATTTTTTTGAGGGAGGGGGTATTCATTTTCTTTTTTTGTTTTTGACATGGAGTTTTGCTCTTGTTCCCCAGGCTAGAGTGCAATGGTGCAACCTCAGCTCACTGCAACCTTCGCTTCCCAGGTTCAAGCGATTCTCCTGCTTCAGCCTCCCTGGTTGCTGGGATTACAGGCGCTCATCACCATGTGCAGCTAATTTTTTGTATTTTTACTAGAGATGGGGTTTTATCATGTTGGCCAGGCTGGTCTCGAACTCCTGACCTCAGGTGATCCACCCGCCTCAGCCCCCCAAAGTTCTGAGATTACAGACGTGAGACACCCACCCGACCGGGGTGTTCATTTTCTAAAATCTTAAGTTGAATGCCTTTTTAAAAAAAAAAAGTCTATTTAAACTCTGAGTTTACTGCCAAGAATTGCCTTGACTAGGTTTTCAGAGGCAGTATTTTTCTTTTTTCTTATTTTCTAAATTGAACTTTTCTTTCTTGGCTTACATTCTACATTGTAGAATTATGTTACAATTTACTAGGGGTTGAGATGTGGTGTGTTTAAACATACGATTGGTTGGCTTAAACATATAATTTGTTTTTACTCGTATTTCATTCTGATCAGAAAATATGGCCAGATTTATGGAGATGTTCACTATGGTCAAATTTCAGGTAATTTGTAAAATACTTTTCACAGTAATTATTTGTATATACTACCATGAGGTTTATTATAGAGACACATACTATCATAAGGTTTATAATTTTAAAAAAGCATTCCCCTCCCCCAAGCTTTTAATTGAATCCTACTCCCAGACGGCCACCTTCAACCTTTTCAGTTGGTTCTTCTGGTGTTTATGTCCATGTTTCTAAATGGCATTATCAATTTTAGACATTGTCTACTGACTGTGTATTATGGGAGATAAGGATTTAGCACTCTTATACCTACTCTACTTCCCATCCTCCTCCATTCTCCCAATATAAGTTACATTATAGTTTTTAGTTAAATCAATATTCATTTTCATTATTATAACTTTGTTATTCATAGGTGAACTATCTAGTATGAAATGATCATGCTTCTGTTTTGATACAACTTTTTTTTGCACCTTATACTAATTCTTCTCCAACAGAACTATAAAATTCCTCAACACTTTTTCATTTGATCAAACTTATCAGGAAATCTTTTCAATCTATTCTTTTCTGGAAACATTTTGCCTGGAGCATCCATCCTCCTGCTCCACACTGGACCAGTTGTCCTGGGTCTTCCCTTTGGTATTTCCTGAGAATTTCCATGTTGGAGCACATTTTCAGAATCCTGAGTCTTCCTTTTTCATAGTTGGTGCCCTTATTTTTGTGGGGCACATTCTCTAGTAGTTTCTCTGGACAGGCTTGATGTGAGGGTTTTTTTTTGTTTGTTTTTTGTTTTTTTGCCTGAAAATGCTTATTCTAGCTTCACATTTGATTGAGAGTTTGGCTAAGAAGAAAATTATTTATTAGACTTAATTTTCCTCATGAGTTTAAAGATTGCTTCAGATCTTAAACTTCTAATGAGGAAAGCTGAGAAGTCCAATGCCATTCTGATTCTTGCAACTTACAAGTAGTCTTTTTTGTCTAGATGCTTTCAGGACCTTCTTTTTTCCTCAGTCAGTGTATCCAAACCTTCACAGTGATATGTTTTGGGTACTCATTTTGCTGGGCCCTTGATGGGCTATTTCTTTCTATATATATGTATAAACTTTATATACATAAACTTTATAAAGTTTATATATATATAAAGTTTTACATATATATAAAGTTTTATATATATAAAGTTTTATATATATATATATAACTTTAAGTTCTAGGGTACATGTGCACAATGTGCAGGTTTGTTACATATGTATACATGTGCCATGTTGGTGTGCTGCACCCATTAACTCGTCATTTACATTAGGTATATCTCCTAATGCTATCGCTGCCCCCTCCCCACACCCCACAACAGGCCCCAGTGTGTGATGTTCCCCTTCCTGTGTCCAAGTGTTCGCATTGTTCAATTCGCACCTATGAGTGAGAACATGCAGTGTTTGGATTTTTGTCCTTGCAATACTTTGCTGAGAATGATGGTTTCCAGCTTCATCCATGTCCCTACAAAGGACATGAACTCATCATTTTTTATGCCTGCATAGTATTCCATGGTGTATATGTACCACATTTTCTTAATCCAGTCTATCATTGTTGGACATTTGGGTTGGTTCCAAGTCTTTGCTATTGTGAATAGTGCCGCAATAAACATATGTGTGCATGTGTCTTTATAGCAGCATGATTTATAATCCTTTGGGTATATACCCAGTAATGGGATGGCTGGGTCAAATGGTATTTCTAGTTCTAGATCCTTGAGGAATCGCCACACTGTCTTCCACAATGGTTGAACTAGTTTACAGTCCCACCAACAGTGTAAAAGTGTTCCTATTTCTCCACATCCTCTCCAGCACCTGTTGTTTCCTGACTTTTTAATGATCGCCATTCTAACTGGTGTGAGATGGTATCTCATTGTGGTTTTGATTTGCATTTCTCTGACGACCAGTGATGATGAGCATTTTTTCATGTGTCTGTTGGCTGCATAAATGTCTTCTTTTGAGAAGCTTCTGTTCATATCCTTCACCCACTTGTTGATGGGGTTGTTTTTTTCTTGTAAATTTGTTTGAGTTCATTGTAGATTCTGGATATTAGCCCTTTGTCAGATGAGTAGATTGCAAAAATTTTCTCCCATTTTGTAGTTTGCCTGCTCACTCTGACGGTAGTTTCTTTTGCTGTGCAGAAGCTCTTTAGTTTAATTAGATCCCATTTGTCAATTTTGGCTTTTGTTGCCATTGCTTTTGGTGTTTTAGACATGAAGTCCTTGCCCATGCCTATGTTCTGAATGGTATTGCCTAGGTTTTCTTCTAGGGTTTTTATGGTTTTAGGTCTAACATTTAAGTCTTTAATCCAGCTGGAATTAATTTTTGTATAAGATGTAAGGAAGGGATCCAGTTTCAGCTTTCTACATATGGCTAGCCAGTTTTCCCAGCACCATTTGTTAAATAGAGAATCCTTTCCCCATTTCTCGTTTTTGTCAGGTTTGTCAAAGATCAGAGAGTTGTAGATGTGTGGTATTATTTCTGAGGGCTCTGCTCTGTTCCATTGGTCTATATCTCTGTTTTGGTACCAGTACCATGCTGTTTTGGTTACTGTAGCCTTGTAGTATAGTTTGAAGTCAGGTAGCGTGATGCCTCCAGCTTTGTTCTTTTGGCTTAGGATTGTCTTGGCAATGTGGGCTCTTTCTTGGTTCCACATGAACTTTAAAGTAGTTTTTTCCAATTCTGTGAAGAAAGTCATTGGTAGCTTGATGGGGATGGCATTGAATCTATAAATTACCTTGGGCAGTATGGCCATTTTCACAATATTGATTCTTCCTACCCATGAGTATGGAATGTTCTTCCATTTGTTTTTGTCCTCTTTTATGTTGCTGAGCAGTGGTCTGTAGTTCTCCTTGAAGAGGTCCTTCACATCCCTTCTAAGTTGGATTCCTAGGTATGGTATTTTATTCTCTTTGAAGCAATTGTGAATGGGAGTTCACTCATGATTTGGCTCTCTGTTTGTCTGTTATTGGTGTATAAGAATGCTTGTGATTTTTGCACACTGATTTTGTATCCTGAGACTTTGCTGAAGTTGCTTATCAGCTTAAGGAGATTTTGGGCTGAGACGATGGGGTTTTCTAGATATACAATCATGTCATCTGCAAACAGACAATTTGACTTCCTCTTTTCCTAACTGAATACCCTTTATTTCTTTCTCCTGCCTGATTGCCCTGGCCAGAACTTTCAACACTATGTTGAATAGGAGTGGTGAGAGAGGGCATCCCTGTCTTGTGCCAGTTTTCAAAGGGAATGCTTCCAGTTTTTGCCCATTCAGTACGATATTGGCTGTGGGTTTGTCATAAATAGCTCTTATTATTTTGAGATATGTCCCCTCAATACCTAATTTATTGAGAGTTTTTAGCATGAAGGGCTGTTGAATTTTGTCAAAGGCCTTTTCTGCATCTATTGAGACAATCATGTGGTTTTTGTCTTTGGTTCTGTTTATATGCTTGATTACATTTATTGATTTGCGTATGTTGAACCAGCCTTGCATCCCAGGGATGAAGCCCACATGATCATGGTGGATAAGCTTTTTGATGTGCTGCTGGATTTGGTTTGCCAATATTTTATTGAGGATTTTTGCATCGATGTTCATCAAGGATATTGGTCTAAAATTCTCTTTTTTTGTTGTGTCTCTGCCAGGCTTTGGTATCAGGATGATGCTGGCCTCATAAAATGAGTTAGGGAGGATTCCCTCTTTTTCTATTGATTGGAATAGTTTCAGAAGGAATGGTACCAGCTCCTCCTTGTACCTCTGGTAGAATTCGGCTGTGAATCCGTCTGATCCTGGACTTTTTTCGGTTGGTAAGCTACTAATTATTGCCTCAATTTCAGAGCCTGTCATTGGTCTATTCAGAGATTCAACTTCCTCCTGGTTTAGTCTTGGGAGGGTGTACGTGTCCAGGAATTTATCCATTTCTTCTAGATTTTCTAGTTTATTTGCGTAGAGGTGTTTATAGTATTCTCTGATGGTAGTTTGTATTTCTGTGGGATCGGTGGTGATATCCCCTTTATCATTTTTTATTGCATCTATTTGATTCTTCTCTCTTTTCTTCTTTATTAGTCTTGCCAGCGGTCTGTCAGTTTTGTTGATCTCAAAAAACCAGCTCCTTGATTCACTGATTTTTTGAAGGGTTTTCTGTGTCTCTATCTCCTTCAGTTCTGCTCTGATCTTAGTTATTTCTTGCCTTCTGCTAGCTTTTGAATGTGTTTGCTCTTGCTTCTCTAGTTCTTTTAATTGTGATGTTAGGCTGTTAATTTTAGATCTTTCCTGCTTTCTCTTGTGGGCATTTAGTGCTGTAAATTTCCCTCTACACACTGCTTTAAATGTGTCCCAGAGATTCTGGTATGTTGTGTCTTTGTTCTCGTTGGTTTCAAAGAACATCTTTATTTCTGCCTTCATTTCGTTATGTACCCAGTAGTCATTCAGGAGCAGGTTGTTCAGTTTCCATGTAGTTGAGCGGTTTTGAGTGAGTTTCTTAATCCTGAGTTCTAGTTTGATTGCACTGTGGTCTGAGAGACAGTTTGTTATAATTTCTGTTCTTTTACATTTGCTGAGGAGTGCTTTACTTCCAACTATGTGGTCAATTTTGGAATAAGTGTGATGTGGTGCTGAGAAGAATGTATATTGTGTTGATGTGGGGTGGAAAGTTCTGTAGATGTCTATTAGGTCTGCTTGGTGCAGAGCTGAGTTCAATTTCTGGATATCCTTGTTAAATTTCTGTCTCATGGATCTGTCTAATATTGACAGTGGGGTGTTAAAGTCTCCCATTATTATTGTGTGGGAGTCTAAGTCTCTTTGTAGGTCTCTAAGGACTTGCTTTATGAATCTGAGTGCCCCTGTATTGGGTGCATATACATTTAGGATAGTTAGCTCTTCTTGTTGAATTGATCCCTTTACCATTATGTAATGGCCTTCTTTATCTCTTTTGATCTTTGTTAGTTTAAAGTCTGTTTTATCAGAGACTAGGATTGCAACCCCTGCCTTTTTTTGTTTTCCATTTGCTTGGTATATCTTCCTCCATCCCTTTATTTTGAGCCTATGTGTGTCTCTGCACGTGAGAGGCCTAGAGTCTCACATTACTGGTGTTGAGAAAATTGTTTATATGATGTCTTTGATAATCTCCTCTTTTCTGTTTTCTCTGTTGTATCTTTCTGGAATTCCCATTACTTGGATCTTGGGCTTTCTGAATTTATCTGCCAATTAAAAATGTTTCGCTCCTACTTTCTATTAACTTGTATTTTTACTTACTTTTCAGAATATTTCCTCAACTTTATCCTCTGACCCTTTTTGTTGAGATGGAGTTTTGCTCTTGTCGCCCAGACTGGAGTGCAATGGCATGGTCTCGGCTCACTGCAACGTCTGCCTCTCAGGTTCAAGTGATTCTCCTGCCTCAGCTCCCAAGTACCTGGGATTACAGGTGCCCACAACCACGCCTGGCTAATTTTTGTATTTTTAGAAGAGACGGGGTTTCACCATGTTGGTCAGGCTGGTTTCGAACGCCTGACCTCCCGTGACCTGCCCGCCTTGGCCTCCCAAAGTGCTGGGATTACAGGTGTGAGCCACCGCGCCCTGCCTATCCTCCAACCCTTTTAATTTCCAAGAGCTCTTTCATGTTTTTCATAACTTGTAGTTCTTTATAGATAGTCATCTTTTACCACATTGAGGATATTAAGATTTCTGTGAAGTTTTTTCAGCTTCTTGTTCTATCTCTAATGTCTCTGAGTTTATTTTTTCCTTTTGTTTTGTTTTCTGTCTTTAATAGTGGCATTCCTGAAATGTCCATCATATTTCAGAGTCAGGTATCGAAAAGCAGATAAGATTTGTGGTAACAGCATATATGTGGGCCACTTATTTAAGTGGGGGCTTCCAAATTTAAGAGTTTTCATATCTTTTTAGATGTTTCAGAAAATATGCCAATCTCCGGCTAGGAAGTATAAATCTGGCTGCCAGCATTCTTAGATCCAAGTAGAGATTAGGAAATAGATGTTTCACAATTCATATGCAGACTTGCATTCATTCCCTACTTGGAGTTTTTTTGACTTATCACAACCTTTGCTGTGCCTGGTTCAATCTTCAGAAAATAAATCGGTCCCAGAGTGAGAAAAAATAGTTTCATGACTATGCCCTGTTTTCATCTTTATGCTACTCCTGCCTTCTGAAAATCTTGGTCCCTTCATTTCTGAGTCTTTTTGATGTTCTATGTGAATTTTATCTCTCTAAAACTGTTATTTTTAAAAAAGGAAAACATCTAAAGCATTCCTAAAATGCCCATCACATTTCAGAGTCAGGTATTAAAAAGCTGGTAAGATGTGTGGTGATAGCATATATGTAGGATCTTGGCCTGGCTCTCATTTGTGTCTCTCTAGGTACTTGCAATGCAGCATCTTCTGTTCTGCTAAGTTAATAAGCTCTCATCTATTTGCTTTCCATCTTTTCTTTTTTTGTAATCTTTTGTCCTCTGTTATCTCCTCTACTGTCTTTTCCCTTTTATGGCTTTTCAAAAAACATAATAGCTTTAATGAGATATAATCTACATACCATGCAGTTCACCAATTTAAAGTATATAACTCAAGGCCGGGCATGGTGGCTCATGCCTGTAATTCCAGCACTTTGGGAGGCCAAGACAGGCGGATCACAAGGTCAGAAGTTCGAGACCAGTCTGACCAATATGTTGAAACCCCGTCTCTACTAAAAATACAAAAATTAGCTGGGCATGGTGGTGTGTGCCTGTAGTCCGAGCTACTCGGGAGGCTGAGACGGGAGAATCACTTGAACCCAGGAGGCAGAGGTTGCAGTGAGCACAGATCGCGCCACTGCACTCCAGTCTCAAAAAATAAAAAATAATAATAAAGTATATAATTCAATGGTTTTTCATATATTCACACTTATGTAACCATCACCACAATCAATTTTACATTTTCTTCACCCCCCCAAAAAAAAGAAACCCCACACCTATTAGTAGGCATTCTATTTCCCCCGCCCAATCCCCCACCAACCCTAGGTAACCACTATTCTAGTTTTTGTCTCTGGACAGAAATGGAATTGCCCATTCTGGAGACTTGATACAAATGGTATTATACAAAGGTGGTCTTTTGTGACTGGTTTCTTTCACTTAACATAGGTGTTCAACGTTCATCCATGTTGTAGCATGTATCACTACTTCATTCCCTTCTATTGTCAAATAATATGCTATTGTATGGATAATCACAGTTTATCCATTCATCACTTGATGATCATTTGTGTTGTTTTGTTTCTAGCTACTATGAATACTGTTACTATGAATGTTCATGTTCAAGTTTTTGTGTGGATACATGCTTTCATTTCTCATGGAGAAATACATACAGAGATAGATCTATCTATCTGTCTATCTCTCTGTCTATCTATCTATCTATCCATCTATCCATCCATCCATCCATCCATCAATCCATCCACCCACCCTCCCACCCATCCCTAGGAGTGAGATTACTGGGTCACATAGTATCTCTAAGTTTAGCCTTTTGAGGAACTACAAGATGGTTATCCAAAGCGATTGCACCATTTTCCAATTTCACCAGCAGTGTATGAAGGTCCCAATTTCTCCACCTCCTCCCACACATTTCTTATTATGTTTTTCTGATTATAGCCATCCTAGTGGGGAGTGGGGAGTGGTTTACAACCAGAATCAAGTAGTGTATTAAACAGAATACCTGACTAGATCTCAATTTCTTATTTTCCAGGTGACTCTTCTCCTGTAACAGAGCCTCCTTCTTAGAAACTATGGCCTCCCGTTTCTTTAAGTCTGCTTCCAGCTCCTCTAATTCTTGGCATTGGTTCAGAACTTTCTCTACTTCTTCATCTAACTATTTCTTTTGCTTATCCAATTTCTACATTAAAATTAAAAAAAAAATTACTTGTTTTTCCTTCTGCCATAAAAATTATATGGTAATAATAGAATTTCAGATTGGCTGAAATCTCTTAAATGAACATTTAAAAACTATCACTTAGAGTAACTCAGGTAGCCGTCTGAGATCCTAAAGACATCAGTGGTTCTAGTCAAGATGTAGCTATGTTGTTTTATAAAGAATTAAAATTTACCCCCCAGATATGTTAAACAGTCTAGGATTTTTTAGCCTGACGAAGAAAGGGCTGATAATTTTCTATGCCTATATTAAGAACATGCTGGAGTATTTTACTCTGTTGTAGTGCTGCACAGTTCCATCACAGCACTTACACTGGTGGCTGCCCTACGTATCTATCTCCCCAACTTGAGTTCCTTGATTGATTGCAGGGGCTGTAGTTTTTACCCGTCTATCCACATGGCTGGTATATTGCCTGGGCCACAGTGGGCATTCAATAAAATGTTAAATGAATGAGTGAATGAATGCCTGATTCAGTCAGTCAATGAAGTGAATAAATGAATACACACAGTGGAAGACACAGATGATGGAGGATGGAAGGAAAGCCAATTTGCATTGTAGCTTGTCAACCTCAAATAATTATTTTAAAAAAAGAAAAAAACAAAAATAAAAAATTGCTGAAAAGATCTCCAAAACAAACATCTGAGTACTCTCTTGAATTAAGGATATGCGGAAACAAATACAAACATAAATATAGATGGAATATGACTGTTTAAAAGGAACTCTACCAAGTGGACACGGTAATGAAGCACTGCCACCAAAACAACAAATAAATAGGAAAAGAAATCCATATAGTATTATTTCCTAGTCCTTCATGAACCTTATAGAAAGGGTTTCTGGAAATCTATCATACAATGAGACAGTGAATATATATGAGAAAAAGAGAGCAAAATGGCCAAGACAAAGAAGATGCATAGTTATTCGGTCTTCCAATAACACCAGGATATTAATAGTATAATCTTATAAGCACTATCATGTCCAGATAACACTGGAGCCTAAAATATTATAGTAGCTCTACAATTATTAGGAAGAGAAAGAGCAACTATAAAAATGTTAATTTTGTCATATCCTTAAATACTCCAGTAGGAGATCCTAGGAAGTCTAGCAAGTAACTTAAATATATTCTACAAACATTCTTAAACTGTGAGTGGGGTTTGAAAGATGAATAAGAGATTCTTTTTAAGCTCTACTTAAAAGGAAAAAACCTAAAAAATTACAACTGGTGATGACATTTCTGGGTGGAATGGGTGTGTGTGGGAATGCACCCATGTCACTATTAAACGTCACTAAGAAAATGTAATGTAAAATTTATGAAGAGAGAATAAATCTTTCTAAAGTAAGGTAGAGATAATTGCATTCTAGGTATTTTAAATACAGTATTTTTTGCTTACATAAAATTTAAAATTTCAATTTCTTTGAACTTCAAAATTAGTTTGTGGATTATGACTTTCTTTTTAAAAGGTGGCACTAAAATAATGGCTTTTTAATATATAAAGTACATATACAATTTGGTTTTCTTTGAATGTAGAGTTCTGATTTTTAGAAATATACTTGTCTTTGGCTGGGCGCGGTGGCTCACACCTGTAATCCCAGCACTTTGGGAAGCCAAGGCAGGCAGATCACGAAATCGAAACCATCCTGGCTAACATGGTGAAACCCCGTCTCTACTAAAAATACAAAAAATTAGTCGGGCATGGTGGTGGGCACCTGTAGTGCCAGCTACTTGGGAGGCTGAGGCAGAGAATGGTGTGAACCCGGGAGGCGGAGCTTGCAGTGAGCTGAGATCGTGCCACAGCACTCCAGCCTGGGCGACAGAGCGAGACTCCATCTCAAACAAAATAAAATATACTCGTCTTCATGAGATGGGAATAAATACAGTCCAGTGAACGTGGATTTCATGTTTATATTCTACAACATTCAAATCAACTCCTTTCTACTGAAATAAGAATATATTGATTCTGCTGAGAGCAAGGAAAAACAAAAAATACAGCACATTTCTGGATGAGAAAATAATTTTGTAATAATAAAAGTTTCACTACTTGGGCAACAGGATTATTAGAAGCCCAAATCTTAGCATCACACAATATACCCATCTAACAAACCTGCATGTGTATCCCTGAATCTAAAATTTAAGAAAAGAAAAATAATAAAGTTTCAGAACAAATACTAGAAATTTTGCATTTGGGCGGCATCTAGTGTTTGAAGGTTTTATTCAGAGTCCAACAGTTTTTACATCTATCTATCTATCTATCTATCTATCTATCTATCTATCTATCTATCTATTTATTGAGAGGGAGTTTTGCTCTTGTTGCCCAGGCTGGAGTGCAGTGGCATGGTCTCGGCTCACTGCAGCCTCCACCTCCAGGGTTCAAGCGATTCTCCTGCCTCAGCCTCCCAAGTAGCTGGGATTACAAGCACCCGCCACCAAGACTGGCTAATTTTTATATTTTTAGTAGAGACGGGGTTTTACCATGTTGACCAGGCTGGTCGAACTCCTGACCGCAGGTGATCCACCCACCTCAGCGTCCCAAAGTGCTAGGATTACAGGTGTGAGTTTACCTCTATTTAGACAACCATCAGATTGAAGAGAAACCAGGAAACGCTAAATAGAATTGACAAACCTGGAGATGGTCTATACTTCCAAACGAACCTTTTCTCCTTTTCAAGTTACATGCATCAAGGTCCTCAGCTTTCGGTTTTAGACCTTCTTCCTGTCCTGTTTTTAATTGTAGTTCCTATAGAAAAAGAAATTGAAAACACCTTATTGCTTTTACACCTGACCATTAAGTACACTGATGACAATTTTTTTTTTCTTTCTTTTTTTGGAGACAAGATCTCGCTCTGTCACCCAGGCTGGAGTGCAGTGGCACAATCACAGCCTCAAACTCCTGGGCTCAAGCCATCCAGCCACATTTTCTTAACATTTACTTCCTTAGTCACAGAAAGAGAAAATGAGTAGATGACAGTTGGGGCTCTATTTGAGAAGAAAATAATGTGGGGATTTTTTTGTTTAAAAAAATTTTTTAGAGATAGGGTCTCATTCTGTAACCTAGACTAGAGTGCAATGGCATGATCATAGCTCACTGTAAGCTCAGGCTCCTGGGCTCAAGTAATCCTCTCACCTCAGCCTCCCAAGTAGCTAGGACTACAGATGTGTACCACCACATCCAGCTAATTTTTTAAAAATTTTTTGTAGAGATGGGGTCTTGCTATGTTGCCCAGGCCAGTCTCCAGTGATCTTCCTGGCCTCCGGTGATGCTCCAGCCTCAACTTCCTAAAGTTCTGGCATTACAGGCATAAGTCACCATGCTCAGCCTTAATTTTTAATTGACAAATAATAATTGTACATATTCGTGAGGTACACAGTGATTATTTCAATACATATAATGTATAGTGATCAGACCAGGGTAATTAGCATATCTAAGAAGAAAGGAATGTTAGCTCTTACTGAGGCAATACAATACAACTGCAAAAATTAGGATTTACTAACAAAACTGAGCGTTTTTTTCATTCTTCGTGAGTGTTACACATTAGCGTAACAAGGATAAGAGTCTGAAATTTATAAGTGGGTTATTCTCTTCTGCCTTTCTGAGCTTATTACTTTCATAGTTACTCCACCCAAGACATCCATCTGCTGTGAGTATATTAAAATTTATTATAGTAGAAATGCAAAATGTAATGTTCAATTTCTTGTGTTCAAAAATGGGAGTTTGCAATATGAGAATAGACTTGGAAGACAGATCATGGTCTTATGAAGTGCACTTTCCAAATTTCTTTAGTTTCCATCCACATCTTTTTTTTTTCTAGACAAAGTCTCACTCTGTCACCCAGGCTGTATGCAATAGCATAATCTCAGCTCACTGCAACCTCCGCCTCCCGGGTTTCAAGTAATTCTCATGCTTCAGCCTCCTGAGTAGCTGGTATTATAGGCGTATGCCACCACACCTGGCTAATTTTTGTATTTTTTATTTTTTAGGAGAGATAGGGTTTTACCATGTTGGCCAGGCTGGTCTCGAACACCTGAACTCAGGTGATCCACCTGCCTCAGCCTCCCAAGGTGCTGGAATCACAAGCATGAGCCACCATGCCCAGCCTCCATCCACATCTTAAGGGTCAAGTCAAGAGGTGCGATGTTGGCCAGGAGTGGTGGCTCATGCCTGTAATCCAGCACTTTGGGAGGCCGAGGCAGGCTGATCACCTGAGGTCAGGAGTTCAAGACCAGCCTGGCCAACATGGGGAAACCCCGTCTCTACTAAAAATACAAAAATTAGCCGGGCGTGTGCCTGTATTCCCAGCTACTCAGGAGGCTGAGGCACGAGAATCGCTTGAACTTGAGAGGCAGAGATTACCGTGAGCTGAGATCGCGCCACTGCACTCCAGCCTAGGTGACAGAGTGAGACTCTGTCTCAAAACAAAACAAAACAAAAGGTGCAATGTTCATGGTGCCTTCTAGGGGTTTAGAAATGATGTTGTCCATCACTAAAGCTTAGCAGGACAGGAAGGACGCCATGAGTCAGAGCTGGCCAGTTCACATACTCTCTGTTACTGGTCCATGATGGATAAGTACGCAATTGAAAGTGCTGAGATACTTTTATAGCAATTTGACAGAATAATTTTATGTCTGATGACTCTAACAATTTTTAAAATGGACTTTTATTTGTATATTTTAAATTTCACTTTTCTACTAATTCATGTTTTATAAAAGTGTTAGGCTGTGACAAATTTATAACAAAATAAAAACTATACCTTCTCCACAAGTAATTTCAGAAGCACTGATAGAAAGGAAGTAAAAGAAAAGCCTAGTGCTCTCCAGCCCTGGGAATGGCAGAAAGGAGAAAAGAGACAGTAAGAAAGACTTGTTTCCCAATTGTCCTCTGTCTGAGTTTTGGTCCAGAAAGGGGGATGATAAGTAAAGGTATCAATGGGGAGAGACGGGCTCCTAAACTATTCAGGAGAGAAAATGCAGACTGCAGTGCAGAAGCCCCACACCCATATACAATTGCCCAGCCTTGCTGAAAGAGCAGAGAGGTACGATTAGGAAAGAGACCCCAGTTGGACTCCTTGGTCTCAAGTGGCATGGATCCTGAAAGTTGAGAGCTAATGTAGGTAGTCACTGTGGGGAACTGGCTCCCAAACTGGGTATAAGGACAGGCCACTGGGCTAGCAAGCTAGACGGAATGCCTAGTAGCCTCAGTAGGGGCTTATAATGCTAGTGGGAGATGAGATGAAGGGAAAGCACCCCCATGCTCCAAACCAGAAGCAAGATCAAACTGCAAGTTATACCAGCCAGGGGTTTCATCATCAGGGGCCAGCAGATTAGGCAGGGTAAGGTGGACAAGGGAGAACAATTTCCAGCTGGTCACAATCCTCAACTCCAAGGCATAGGATAAAAGAAGGCTATACACCCAACTACAACATACACTGGCTGTCATCTTAGGGAGAGAAGCATAGGGAAGAGGAGGCTAAGAGACTGAGCATTCTTATTCAAAAGACCTGAAAAGTATTTAAAGGAAGTGTTTACATTTTTAGAACAAGGTTTGAACAGAGAGAACATTTGATTAGTTTCCACCATATTTCCAGCAATAATCATGACATGGATAGAAGAGAGGTGCACTCACAAAGAAAACAGGTGCCATAGACTAAATAAAGAAAAATGTTACACCCATCTGAGTTATAAGTGAATTTGGACTCTATTATGTTTACCATCCATAGTTCTTGATGCTTCCCTAGTTCTAGTTCATAGCTATAATTTAGCCCCTGTGATAGCCCTAGACATTTCAGGATGATGAAATAAAGCTACCTTAAATAAAGAGACCTTATACTTGGAGTTGACTCTCTACTATTTCTGTTTGTCCACATACACTTTAAAAGTATACTGCACTTGTAATCCCAGCACTTTGGGAGGCCAAGGCGGGTAGATCACAATGTCAGGAGATCAAGACCATCCTAGCTAACACCATGAAACCCTGTCTCTATTAAAAAGACAAAAAAATTAGCCAGGCATGGTGGCAAGTGCCTGTAGTCCCAGCTACTTGGGAGGCTGAGGCAGGAGAATGGCATGAACCTGGGAGGCAGAGCTTGCAGTGAGATGAGATCACGCCACTGCACTCCAGCCTGGGCAACAAAGAGAGACTCCGTCTCAAAAAAAAAAAAAAGGGATACAGGAGTACTTCTAATTCCCTCTTCCACATGTTGCTCCAGACAATGCCTTTTTTCTTACATTGTAATTTTTGTTATACATATTAAAATAACTGTGTACCAGGCACTGTGCTAGGCTTTTTATATCTATTTAATTATCCCATTTAGCCCTCACAACAATCCTATGATTTAGGGACTATTATAAAATCCATTTTAAAGATGAGGAAATGGGTGGTTAAAAAGCTTAAGATCACACCACCACCCACAATTTCAGGAGTTCTCATATCTTTTCTTCAAAGCCTATCCATGGACCTCAGTTAAGAACTGCTGCTCTGAAGAGAACCTATGCAGAAGTTGTACTATTCTTTGGAAATGGTTTAGTCAAGTAGAAAAGAGACAGACAGGAGTCTCAGAGAGTTAGCTCCAAGCAGAGAGCAAATATCCTTTAGGACTGTAAGCAGGTTTTCTGTTTTTGCATTAAGTAGAGGATACATCAATATATCTTTGGGAAAGTCTGTTCCTTTTTCTGGAATACCTGATATCCCCCATAAGTGGGTCATTTCACTAGAATTAGAGATGTGGCAAGATGGAATAAAATTGCCCTACGTGGCAAGGTGTGGTGGCTTGTGCCTGTAATCCTAGCATTTTGGGAGGCTGAGGCAGGAGGATCACTTAAGCCCAGGAGTTTGAGATCAGCCTGGGCAACATAGTAAGACCCTATCTCTACAAAAAATTAAAAAATGTGTGAGGTACGCTGGCATGTGCCTGCAGTCCTAGCTACTTGGGAGGCTAAGGTGGGAGGATCGCTTGAGCCCAAGGCTGCAGTGAGCCACGATCACACCACTGCACTCAAGCCTGGATGACAGAGCAAGACCTTGTCTCAAAAAAAAAAAAAAAAAAAAAAAGTGCACTAGATAAGAAGGTAAAAGTTTGAGTTACAAGCAGAGTTGCATTTCAGCAGACTTCTACTCTTTGAAGAAGACAGTGTCTTCTTTTCCCTAAGCATGGATTTAAAGAGTGCTATGTCTTGCTGGTTTAAGCCATGGCCTATAAGAGATGAGGAGTTAAAACCCAAAGACCACAACACTGAACAGGCTGGCCTGATCTTCACATTGGAAGAAGAGCTAAAACAAAACAGACTAAGTTGTTGGCAGAAGAAATGAAAATTGGACAGATTCATGGTGTTTTAAAGATATACTCTGAAGGCTTTAGTGGTTCATTGGATATGCATAAGAAAGACGCAAGAGCCAATGATGATGCCCAAACTTCTAGCACACCCAACTGATATATCATGTAAGGCACATTGGAGAACTACATTTTTCCCCCATGAAGGGAGCAGGGAGTGGGGAATCATGGAAAGGTAAGTAAGGAAGATCATTAATTCATCTATAAGACAACCTAGGGGAGAGGCTGGAGCTCAAAGAACAGACTTGGGATTAAGCATTAAATTTGGAAATTTTCAGTTTAATTGCAGCCACGGAAAAGTATCCTATATTCACCTAGGATAGAGTATAGAAGAGGGCAGAGACCAGAGCCATGAGGAACTCCCACATTTATAAAGGACTGGTGGAGTAGGATGAGCTAGCCAAGACAGAGAACAAGCAATCAGGAAGAGAAGAAAAAACAAGGAAAGTATAATGTCATAAAGGCAAGGGGAAAATACTTCAAGACGGAGGGAGTGCTGAACTGTGCTGGATGCACAGTATTACGATAAGGACTTTAGTGACAGAGAGAGCACTAGTGAACTTCTCAAGAGCTGTGAAGTGGGTGATAGAGCCAGAAGCCAGGTGGAGAGGATAAGAGAATGAATGAAAGTAGAAGTAACAGAAACAAATGCAGTCAACTTTTCCAAGAAGTTTGGTTACAAAAGGGAGGTAAGAAAGGGATGGGAAAAAGGTTGAAGGAGGATAATTTTAGGATGAAAAAAACTAAGATATTTAAAGACAAATCCAGAAGAAAAAAAAAGTTGAAAATAAGAAAAAAGGATAAAAGATGACACATACATGCTTAGCAAAGTATTGCTTGAATATAAATCTCAATAAATGTTAACTATTGCTATAATTATTATTACCATTATTATGAATATCATTATTATTATTACCAGTTCTTTTAAATATGGGAGTTCCTCATGGCTCTGATTTTTGCCCTCTTAACTTCTATACTCCATCCTAGGTGAGTATAGAATACTTTTCCATAGCTGCAATTAAACTCATACTCTTCACTGGGTTGTCTTATAGTGTCAAGGAAATTTAAAAAGCAATTCCATTTATAATAGCATCTAAAAGAATATCTAGGAACAAGTTTAAGTAAAGAGGTAAAATACTACTGGTACACTAAAAATTATGACATTGCTGAAAGAAATTAATGAAGACCTAAACAAATGGAAAGACTTCCCATGCTCGTGGATAAGGAAATTTAATATTGTCAAGATGTCAATACTACTCAGAGCAATCTAGAGATTCAACAATCCTTATCAAAATTCCAATGGCCTTTTTTGCAGAAATGGAAAAGCCCATCCTCAAATTCACATGGAAAATTATAGGGGCCCTGAATAGCCAAAATCATCTTGAAAAAGAAGAGCAAGGTGGGAGAACTTACTTCCTGATTTCAAGACTTAATATAATCCTACAATAATCAAAATAGTGTGATACTAGCATGAGGATAGACATATAGACCTATGGAATAGAACTGAGAGTTTAGTAACCATATATCTGTGGCCAGTTGATTTTTTAAAAATAAAAATTGGGGCCAAGCATGGTGGCTCAGGCCTGTAATCCCAATACTTTGGGAGGCCAAGACCAGAGGATCACTTGAAGCCAGGAGTTCAAGATCAGCCTGGGAAATATAGCAAGACACTGTCTATAAAAAGTAGAAAAAAAAAATTAGCCAGGTGTGGTGGTATGCGTCTGTCGTCCCAGCTGCTTAGGAGGCTAAGGCAGGGGGATCACTTGAGCCCAGGAATTGGAGGCTGCAGTGGGCTATGATCATGCCACCGCACTTCCAGAGTGAGACCCTGTCTCAAAAAAAACAAAATTGTACATATGTAAGGTATACAACATGATGTTTTGATATACATAGTGAAATGATTACTATAGTCAAGCTAACATATTTATCTCTTCACATAGTTAGCATTTTGGTTTTTTTTTTGTGGTAAGAGTACCTGAAATCCACTCTCTTAGCAAATTTCCAGTATACAATAGTCATCATGCTGTACACTAAGTCTCTACTCAATTTTGCTTCTCTCTCTCTCTCCCCCCACTCTTTCTTTTTGTTAGAGGCAGAATCTTGCTCTGTTGCCCAGTCTGGTGTGCAGTGGTGTGATTACGGTTTACTGTAGCCTTGAACTCCTGGGCTCAAGCTATCCTCCTGCCTCAGCCTCCCAAGTAGCTAGGACTACAGGCATGCACCACCACGCTCAGGTAATTTTAATTTTAATTTTTGTAGAGATGTGGGGGGTCTCACTATGTTGTCCAGGCTGGTCTTGAACTCCTGGCTCCAATGATATGCCTATGCTGTCTGGGGTATATACCCTGTGGTTTGTTTTGTGTGCCAAGAAAGAATTTAGGACACAGACACATGTGGGTGGGTTAAGTAGTGGAAAGTTGATAGTTAGAAGAAAGGAGAGAGGCAGCTTTTTGGGAAAGAGAGATGTCCACAGAGGGGGTGAGGCAGTGGATCGCAGCAGATTTTATAGGCAGCAGGTTGGAGAAGGCGGTGTCTGATTTATATGGGGCTCACAGATTGGTTCCATCAGGTATGACGTCTATATACTGTGTGGGGGCAGGGGGAAAAGGAAGGCTGGTCGCCCCACCCTAATCTTATTCTGCAAATGGGCTTTCCTGTTGATCTGCACCATGTTGTCTGCTTCTTACTGTAAACGTGGCTGACAAAGAGAAGGGAAGTGGAGCTGCCATCCTGAACATGTCTAGCCCCGAGTTTCTGCTGGCATTCACCAGTGCAAGCTCCCAGATTGCTTGTCTATGTCTGGAGCTCGAGCTTACAGGCTGCTCTTTGTTAGAAAATGATTTGGGGCTGCTTTTCATTAAAGAGAAAAGCCTTACCAAAGGCTGCCATACTCTCACTGTCTGCCTAAGTGATTTCTTCTTAACTCCTATATCACCAATTGATCCTCCTGCTTTGGCCTCCCAAAATGCTGGGATTACAGGCATGAGCCACCACACCTGGCCTTTAAGTTCAATTTTTCTGACCCCGAATTATATATCATTCACAGTTTACCATGGAAACCATTTGCCACTGTAAAAGATTTTGCATCAGAACCATTCAATGTGTGAAATCCCAGATTGCTTCCCTCCATTTCCCAGTTTTGCCGCATTCATTTAGATTCAGCTCTGGTCGTTTGTACTACATTCTGTTCTGTGGTCTATTTGTGGTAAACCTTTTAGTTTGACACAAGGCAGTGGTTAGGTATTTTGTTGAGCATTATCATTTGCTTAATTCCTCAGAAGATCTCAAGAGGACTGTCTGGTACATAAGAGGTGCTCAATAAATGGTTGATTGTTGAATAGTTATAACAATCAATCCTCTAACTCCAGAGGACCAGCTATGTTTCAGAAACCTCATGATCAATCATGCTCTCCTAACATTTATGTTCTAGATGGAAATTGCTGTAGACTTTTTGAGAGGTCCATGGCTGTTCTAAGCCTTATGACTATAGAGTTTTGTAATACAGTGTGTTGCATTTTGTACGTTACCTTATTAAAAGCATGGAGATAAGGTGATCCGCAGAAGAGGAGAAAGAGATAGCTGGGCTCCAATGTTCACCTCTCTCTCCCCATGACTAGTCCAAAAATGAAACAGGAAAACATTTACTGAGTACCTACAAGGCTGGACTGAATAGAGGAATCCAAGTTAAATGAATTCCATTATATAGTCCAACTCTGATCTATATCAGCCATTCACATTTAGTTTTATATATCATAATAAGGTTTATTGAAGAAGCTGTGGAAAGAGTGACCAATAGAAATTAGCTCTGTGTTTTGTATGGTTCAAAGTAGAGAGATAAAAGTATGATTTCATGAATCACATTGAAAGGCGTCAGCCAGCTTGCTTTAGGCAGATAGTAAGCAAAGGGTCCCCAGAGAAGCTCCCACCCATGTTTCGTACAGATAAGGGAACTTACACAGGGGTCTTGCCTAAACATGCCTACAGTGGACTAAGGGCCCGCGTGCACACTGGGGGAATGGGGTGGAGCCACCAGGAATTTGCGCCTTACACAAATAGGGAACCTGGCCCCATCAGCTTGCATGTAAAAGCCCCTGCATTCAACTGTGAAGCGGGCAACTGGGAACCTGCTTTCAGGATCCTTCTCTTTGCTGAGAGCTTTCCTTTTGCTTAACAAATTCTACTTCACTCACTCTTCAAGTGTCCGTGTACCTGATTTTTCCTGGTCTTGAGACAAGAACCTGGATCTAGCTGAGCTAAGGAGGAAACAATCCTGGATCAACATGGTTTATTGCCATGTGAAGATAATTTATTTTCTTAGGTTCACAATGTATAGAGGCAGAGAATTAAGAGAATAATTTCACAGGGAATACACTCCATAGATGATGTTTATTAACTACATAGTGAGTGAGTTCCAAAACTATTAAAACCTAGTTGTTCAATTAAGATTGAAGCAGACCTCTGTGGAAAGTAAAGTCTGATTAAGGATTGAGGTGGGTGTGGTATTAATGCCTGTAATCTCAGCATTTTGGGAGGCTAAGGCAGGAGGACTGCTGAGCCCAGGAGTTTGAGACCAGCCTGGGTGACTTAGGGAGACCCCGACTCTACAAAAACAATTAAAAAAATTAGCCAGGTGTGGTGACGTGTGCCTGTAGTCCCAGATACTCAGTGGGAGGCTGAGGTAGTACGATTCATTAAGCCTGGGAGGTCAAGGCTGCAGTGAGCCATGATTGCACTACTGTATTACAGCCTTGGCAACAGAGTGAGAGTCTTGTCTCAAAAAAAAAAAAAAAAGAAAGAAAAAGAAAAAGAAAAAGAAAAACAACTGAGGTGTACCTTTACCTTTTGGAGGCTGAGGTTCTCGGGAGAGATGGTGTCCAACATACAGGAGATCGGTGAGGATATGCAAGGTCCCACGATGCTAGAGGGCTGTGCCAGTGTTGGTGGACAGGCTTCAAAGCTTAAAGGCTAACAGGGTGTGGCCCTGTTGCAGCCTGAGCTGGTAGCGTTCAGGGAAGTGGCTGACAGAGCACGCGATCTGCCACCCGCTGAGCTCTCAAAGTATCTTGCAAATTCTTGAGTTTATATGTATTTCGAAATCCTGTAGTTGAGGTCAGTAACATATATATGGTGTTTGATAAGGTGTAACGTCACATTAGCTAGGAGAGGTGAAGTTTATTTCAACTTCATACACGTGGGATCTGATGAAGAGTGATGTCACATTCCCAGGGGGTGGGGGAGTAGCTCTAAGTTCTTAATTACCGCAAAACATAAATCACTCACTCTTGTGGCAAACTATGTGATTGGAATCATTTCAAAGCTATGTAATGCTGCTATTTATCTTGTGTGGGTTAATCTCCTGGGTCTGTGTTGTGGTCATCAAACTATGCTAACAGTGCTTGTGAAAGTGGGATTCAAATTCCACAAACACACACATCCACATAATATCTTCCTATATTGCAGGTTGACTCATTTAGAAACATGTTCTTTAAGAAAAGTTTCAGGTATATTACATACATATTTAGCATTATTGTAAAATTATTACATTATTATTGGGTATTTTCAGATAATACGTTTCTGATTGGGTGGTTTGGGGTGGTGGTTGTTTCAAAATTATTTTAAATACCGTAACCTATCTTTTAGTGCTCACGATGAGGGAAACTACGATGTTTATAAAATGGCAGTTTCTTGTTCATCTGAATAAAGACATCTACCAAGGGCAAACTGTAAGAAGCACTGTGGTGTACCTTGGGTTACTTTTTGAATTGCTTTCACACCTGCTTAATTTTATTTGAACAAGATCATAAAACAAAACAAAAATCTCACAGTTCTCAATGCATTCCCTTATCTAGTTGTGATATTACATTCCTTACCATAAACAGTAGCAAACATGTTCTTGTGCAACGTGAAAAAGTAAATGATGTCAGTATTTATTTGCAATACATTGCAGTACACTGAAGTACAGTCAAAACAGAAGGGGGTGTATTAGTAATTTCTCTGACACATTACTTTGGCTCAGATAAAACATTCCGCCTTTGCCTTCAGTAGCCAACTTAGCATTACCGTTTTGATTATATGCAGGCACTTTTTCAAAAAACAGTAAATCAGCATGCTATTTTGTTCGCTGCAGCACTAGGCATCTAATTTACTGAGATTTGGCCACAAGGTGCAATCCTGTTGTTTTCTGGGAGCCCGATTGTAGTAACAGCATGTCCCTTCCAGCCTCTTATTATGGACCCTCCTTGAGGTCAGGAAAGGTCTAAGCTTTACCGCAGTCCCCAGCGTTTGATGCGACCCCGGGATCACGTGGGGAGCTTTAAGAACCCTTCCTAAGAAAGTGACTGATTGATGGCGGGGGAGGGGGTGGGCGCGGGCTTAGTTCCGGGAAAAGGCTGGGGCCCTCGTTGGGAGTGTACAGAAAGATGACTTGAAGAACGTGGGGAGTCGCTCGCAGTTCGGTACGGAGGGGCGGTGGCCGGGGCTGCTGGGTACAAGGGACCGGCAGCGCGCGGAACACCCGCCCCTAATTCCCGCTCCCGTGCGCGCTCCGCCCCCACGCGCGCGCTCCCTCCCGTCAGGCGCGCAGAGAGGCGGGGCGCAGCGCGCACGGAGGTAACAAGGGACGCGGCGGGAAGAGGGCGTGCGCTCCGCCCCGCCCCTTTCGCGGCCTCGCACGCCCCGCCCCCACTCCCTGCGCGTGCTGGGAGCCGGCTGGCAAGGCGTGCGGTGGGCGGGGCGCCGCGCTGACGTTGCCCGGGATGCGGACAGGTTCCGCCGCCTCCAGCGCCGCCGCCGCAGCTGCCGCCGCCGCCGCCTCCGCCTCGCCTGCCACCGGGGTTTGTATGAAAACACCGGGCGGCGGGCGGCGAGGGATCCGCCGTGATCCAGGTGCTGAGCCGGGTGCTGCGGCTCTGCGCGGTCCCCGCCAGCGCCCCATCCTGAGCCGGTGAGCGCCCTGCTGCAGTCCTCATGTCCCGGCCGGCCGTCCCTCTGCTCTCCCCGGGCCGCGGGAGATGCGAGCGACGGCGCCCGGGGGTAGGAGGGGCGACCCCGGATCCCTGCGCCCCTTACCTGACGGGTTGTGTAACGCATGTTACACATGTGACGCGTGAGGGGAACGCACTCGGTCTTGAGGGAAAGCCCTGACGGGGTGGGGCTTTGACTGGGTCTGGAAAACGCCTTCCCCAGTCCCCGGACCCTCGGTGGATCCCCGTCCCAGACCTTGCGGAGGGTATCGGGCGCGGTCTCTGGGCGGAGGCCGCCCTTTCTGCTCAGCCCTTTCTCTCGGGCCCGAGCTCGCGGCGCCGCGGGGAGTCCAGCCGAGGGGCTGCAGGGCCGGGGGCGGGCGCGCCCAGCCCCGCTCTCCCCCGCCCCAGTGGTAGCGGGCCGCTGAATCGCGGGCCCCTGTGCTTCGAGAATTCTAGCGTTCCCGACTGAGCGCCAGCAAGGTGGGATTTGCTGTGACATCGGCGATGGGCACGTTTGCTTCCTCTCGCTGGGTGGTTTGAGCTGAAGTGTGTCTTCTGTTTACAACTTGTCGCCTTGAGCGTTTGGTTTGAACCTGAATCAGATCACCCTGGATGACAGTGCAGAGTTTCCTTAGTGTCTTCCTTCCTGAATTGCGGGTTCTCAATTGCAAGTGTTCAAGGACTGTTGTAACCCAAAGGCTTGCTCGACTCTACCGTTGTTTTACCCCTTGTGCGGTATAAACCTCTTACGAGCACCAGGGCAATTGGAGTTGGTTGGGTTCCTTTCTTGGGCGTTTACTCATTGTAGAATGGAGTTTTCATGCATCATAGTGTAATCGATGTGAATGTTGATAATTTAAAGCCCATTTCCCGTTTTAACATAGCTTACTCAAGTGCCTGAAGATAGCGGAAATTTTCTTTGGCAGTATTAATTCTATGTGGGTTTTTTCCTTCAGGTGTTTAACATTGTAGTTGTGTTTAATTACAATGCATGACAATTTGTAGTTAGAAAGGACCTTAACAGTCTTCTTAATCGGTCATTTTCACTTACCTTTTATGTCCGTTTTTTAAGCTTTATGTAAATCAAATTATCCTTTGTGAACTTCTGAATTATTCTTATAAACTGGTTGTCTGAGAAAACCGGAAAGTTATTTTTGTAATTGTATTGTGGAATGTTTTTAGTTCAGTAGGCCAAAAAAGAAATGATTTATTTAAGGAACTTTAAATGGTGCTTATTTTAAAACATGTGCCAAATGTCAAAACCAAACAAAACTCTGAAAGATCTGTATTTCCTATGTAGAATTACTGCGAAATAATAAGTCGTGCCTTACCCACTGTTTCTCATCATGCAGGCAGAGTTCTAATATGACTTGCTCTTTTTCCCATTCCACTTCTCTTAAGTTAAATTCTATGGTGAAGTTACAGGTTCATTTTTAATGATCACAAAACTCTGCCTTGAATTGATTAATCACATAATTACAACTGCAGACTCACTCTGAACTCGGAAATGAAGTGGATAGGCTTAAAACTACCCTCGTATTTGGCCAACATTGCAAAGCATTTAAATCTATTAATTAAACTTTTGTAGAAGCAATTTTTATAAAGCTTTTCCGAATTGAGGCATTCTTCTCTTTAGAAAAGTCTGGCTAGGCTGCTATATAATAATGGTTTTACTTCCATTAGCAGAAGGAAAAGAGGTCCAACAGTTATGAAATTTTGTAATTTGTATTTTACTTTTTTTTTTTTTTTGAGACGGAGTCTCACTCTCTCGCCCAGGCTAGAGTGCCAGTGGTGCGATCTCGGCTCACTGCAACCTGCCCCTACCGGGTTCAAGCGATTCTCCCGCCTCAGCTTCTTGATTATAGGCGCGCGTCACCACGCCTAGCTAATTTTTGTGTTTTTAGTAGAGACGGGTTTCACCATGTTGGCCAGGCTGGTATCGAACTCCCAACCTCAGGTGATCCACTAGCCTCAGCTTCTTAAGGTGCAGGGATTACAGGCGTGAGCCACCAAGCTTGGCCTGAATTTTTTTTTTTTTTTTTTTGAGACGGAGTTTCGCTCTTGTCGCCCAGGCTGGAGTGCAGTGGCACGATCTTGGCTCACTACAGCCTCTGCCTCCCGGGTTCAAGCGATTCTCCTGCCTCAGCCTCCCGAATAGCTGGGATTACAGGAGCACACCACCACGCCCGGCTAAGTTTTTGTTTTTAGTAGAGACGGGGTTTCACCATGTTACCCAAGCTCGTCTTGAACTCCTGACCTCAGGTGGTCTGCCCACCTCGGCCTCCCAAAGTCCTGGGATTACAGGCGTCCGCCACCACGCCCGTCCTGGCCTGAATTTTTTTAAACCTCATCCAAAGTATTCATCTTCCCAAATCTGCTTTTCTTGCTTGAAGTCCCCCACTATCTGAAAGTTGAACAGTGCGTGAATAGCAATGGATGCACCTGTCAGAGGGCCATCTGCAAGATGGGAGCTTTCCTTAGGCAATGGGTTTCAGTATAAACAACATAAATTTTGTAGGGTGGGCACTGAATTTTAAACTTCAGATGTTATTGTTGATTACTGTGCCTGTGTACTATGGTGTAGTGGCTAAGGAGTTGGGCCTCAGAGCCAGATGGCTCGGTTTGGGTCCTGGCTTTGCTTTAGGCAAGTTATTTTTATTTTTATTTTTTTAAGACAAGTTATTTGTCCTTTTTGTACTTTAATTTTCTCAGCTCCAAAAATGACATAATATTAGTGTATACTCTTAAGATATTCTCAAATATTAAGTGATTAATACAAGTAAAGTGCTTAGCCCACAGTGCCTGGCATGTAGTAAGTGCCCAGTAAATATTGCTATTATTACCGTTGCTCTTCCTCAGTCTTCAAAGGGATCTAGTAAGCAGAAAAAGGACTTTTGGGGGATGGAGCAGTATTAGTGCAGATTAATTCCACTATGACCCATTTGCTCCTTTGGGGTTAAATGAGAGCTTAGTCTCACTGTCCTGCCTCCTGCCTTGGAAACATGTAAGTCAGTTTTAAATAGAACAGCTAGACCCTGAGCTGGGTGCCCTGGGATGCTACTGGAGAGCTGTTGATAAATCCGTTTGTCCCTTCTGACAGAACCTTGGATTGTCTCCCTCCTGTTGGTGATGGCTGCTATTTTAATCTTTTAATCATCTGTTTTTGAGTTTGTGATTGGGTGTTTCTTTGACTATAATGTGCCGCTATCAAAAATGTGATCTGTCAAAATATTGGTAGGTATGTACTTGTTTATTTGATCAGAATATTGTATGTTGTTTCCAGGGCACACAAAATCAATTTTTTTAAGCATTCTTTTTTATCTAAGCATTTTCTTTTTTATTGATATTATATAGTGTGAAATCAGTTTTGATTTGACATTGTGTTCATTTTCAGCTTTCATATAATTTTCCTAGGAACTTTTTTTTTCCCTCCAGTATGATTTTACATACTTGTTCTTGGTTTGCAGGGATCTAATATTAAAACTCTAAATGCTTTCAAACTTTTGGTTAGGACCCTTTTACATTGTTAAAAGTTGTTGAGGATCCCCAAAAAGCTTTTGTGAATTTATCTATGTTTACTGTATTGTAAATGAAAAGGGAAATATAAATTGTCAGTTCACTTAAAATGACAATTATAAACTCTTTACATGTTAATATAAACACCCTATTTTTAATGAAAACAACTTTTTTTTAAAACAAAAAATAAGGTAGTGAGAAAAGTGGCATTGTTTTACTTTTTTTGTAAATCTGTCTGGTTTAATGGAAACAGCTGGATTATCATATCTGCTCCTGCATCCAGTCTATTGCAATATGTTGTTTGGGTTGAAATACATATGGAGAAAATCCAGTCTCACATAGTTAATGGCTAAACAGGGTGGGGAGGCCGGGGAGGGAGCATTTTAATAGCCTTTTCCGATAATTGTGGACATTCTTGTTTGGTATTATATTAAAACTCAGTAAGTGGCAATTTCTTAAAGGTTAGATGCCGTGAGAAATCCAGTAAGTGGATTTTTGCATGCTCTAGTAAAACCCATTGGTTGGAACTTTGAATGGGTCTTATACTCATTCCTGAGATTGTAACATCATTCCTTGGTCATTTGTAAATATTGGTTCAGTGTTATGCAGATCTTCCAAATGTTGACATCTTTCATCATGCAATATTAAAGAAAGTTATGGTTGTTAATATCACCACCCATTTTGTTAGAGACAAATTATTGGGAAGCTGTTTAGGTCTTGACATGACAATGGTGGATATGAGTTTTCCAGAATTCGGATTTTTGCTTGAAAGCTCAAATTTTATCATTGGCAACAAATGTGACTTGTTTACTTAAAGTGACAAGCTCAGTTTATTCATTTCTGAGAAAACCTCTGCCAAAATATTCCAATTTGAGTAACCATAGTCTGTCAATCATTCTTTCAGTCACTTTCATTAAAAAAGAGGCTAGTTCAAGCTGTCAATTCAGTTACAGAAGCACTTTACTTTGAGACAGCCATCAACTATTGTAATTCAGTATGTAGCAGAAATGGTTCATGGAAAGTTCCCATTTTGTCACATAAAAAGGTGCATAAAAATTAATAATTTTTACTGTTTCAAGGACATTCTTAAGTGACATTGGCTTTTTCTTGTCTTTTTATTTTTTATTTTTTGAGATGGAGTCTTGCTCTGTCGCCCAGGCTGGAGTGCAGTGGTGCAATCTCTGCTCACTGCAAGCTCCGCTTACTGGCTTAACGCCATTCTCCTGCCTCAGCCTCCCGAGTAGCTGGGACTACAGGCGCCTACCACCACGCCTGGCTAATTTTTTGTAGTTTTAGTAGAAATGGGGTTTCACCGCGTTAGCCAGGATGGTCTTGATTTCCTGACCTTGTGATCCGCCTGTGTCCGCCTCCCAAAGTACTGGGATTAGAGGCGTGAGCCATGGCTGGCTTTTTCTTGTTTTATAATTGTTGGTGGTTGATGGTGACTTTAACTCAGTCCAAGATGCCAGTAATTTTAAGATTTTAAATTTTAGTATTATACAAATAGTTTTGAACTTGTGGGTCCCCTAAAAGAGTGTCAGGACCACAGGGGCCCACGCACCGTGCTTTTAGAACTTCTGGATTTAAATCTTAAAGAGGCTTTCTCACAAACGTTTGATTAAGAAGTGAAGTGGTAGTGACAGTCTCTTGTTTGCTTTTGTTTTACGCTTTGGGTAAAGGTAAAGGTCTTATTAAAAAAAAGTATTATAGCTAGATAGTAGGAATAAGCTCTACAGTGTTCTCTAGCACTATAGGATGACTGTAATTGATAATATATACTTTCGAATAGCCAGGAGGATATCAAATGCACAGAAATGATAAATGTTTGAGATGATGGATTTGCTAATTACCCTGATCTGATTGCTATACATTACATGTATCAAAAGATCACTGTGCCTCATAAATACATATGATTATTATGTGCCAGTTAAAAAATTTAAAGAAAAATATTTTAACATACAAAATTAAGTACAATAAAGGTTATTCACAGAAAGTTTCTTAATGGTTTTAGTCAGGTGCTGATACAATGGGATTATAGTATTAGTAATCTGAATACCATCTAAAAACAAAAATCAGACCCGGTAGTACATTTCTATATAAATGTTCAAATTTAACATTTTGGGAATGTAAATATTAAACAGTGAAGGCACAACGTGAAAAGCTCCACTAATATCTAACTCATAAGTTTAAAAAAAAGTGACCTGGTTTCCCTTCTTAATCTCTGCTCATTTCTCACTTAATTCATGCTGAGAATGAACTGCCCTATGGAGAAATTCCAGGCACTTGCTGTCTTTGCCTCACATTTTTCCTTAAGGGGAAAATGATTTAAAATTATGAAGATTATAAGGATATTGGTTATATAGGGATTAAAAACAATAATAAAGTCAGCCAGAGGGATTTATGGTCGGATAATGTTAATAAAAATCTGAACACTGCCTACATGTAATAGAGTTTAATGAATTAAAAAATATTATTTTAACAAGAACTCTTTAGGTTTATTAATTTATGGTCAACACACTTTCTAGACTCCTTTTTGGTGCATGGTGAAAACTAATCTCTCACCTTTTAATTTAATCTTATTGATTTTAACTTTTATTTATATTTGAAACAACTTTTTTCCCAATTTTTAACACAAGGTTCATATTTTGATCTTTAAAAAAATATTTATTTTAAAAATTGGTGGTAAAACATATATAACATAAAATTTACCATTTAAATCACTTTTAAGTGTGTAGTTTAGTGGCATCAAGTATATTCACATTGTTGTGCGGCAGCCACCACCATACATCTATGGAACTTCTTTTATCTTCTCAAATTGAAACTCTGTATATATTAAACAATTACTCTCCCCCTCCCCCATAATCCATTCCCTGGCAGGCACTGTTCTATTTTCTGTTGCTATGAATTTGACAACTCTGAGTAGGTCACATGAGTGGAATCAATCATACAGCGTTTATCTTTTTGTGACTGGCTTATTTCATTTAGCACAATGTCTTCAAGGTTCGTTCATGTTGTACCGTGTGTCAGGACTTTCTTTTTAAGGCTGGATAATCTGTTATATGTATATACCAGATTTTGTTTATGCATTCATCCGTTGATGAATGGACACTTGGGTTGCTTGTGAATAATGCTGCTTTGAATCTAGGTATGTAAACATCTCTTCAAGACCTTGCTTTTTATTTATTTATTTTTAAAATTTTTTTAGATGGAGTCTCGCTGTGTTGCCCAGGCTGGAGGGCAGTGGCGCGATCTCAGCTCACTGCAACCTTTGCCTCTGGGTTCAAGTGATTCTCCTGCCTCAGCCTCCTAAGTAGCTGGGACTACAAGTGTGTGTCACCATGCCTGGCTAATTTTTTTTTGTATTTTTAGTAGAGACGGGGTTCTACCGTATTAACCAGGATGGTCCCTGTCTCCTGACTTCATGATCCACTTGCCTCGGCCTCCCATGGAAGACCTTGCTTTCAGTTCTTTTGAGTATATACCCGGAAGTGGAATTGCCAGATTGTATGGTAATTCTATTTTTAATTTTTCAAGGAACCTTCATACTGTTTTTCATAGTGGCTGCACCATTTTATATTCCTATCAATAGTGCACAAAGATTCTAATCTATGCACATCAACACTTACTATTTTGTGTTTTTGTTTTGTTTTTGGTAGCAGCCATCCTAATAGCTACGAAGTGATATCTTGTAGTTTTGATTTGCCTTCATGTTGCTGTATTTGGTTTCCTAGTATTTTGTTGAAGAGTTTTGCATTAATGGTCATAAAGAATACTGGTCTGTCATTTTCTTGTAACATCTGTCTGACTTTGGTATCAGGGCTGTACTGGCCTTATAGAATGAGGTAGGAAGCGTTCCTTCTTCACTTTTCTGGAAGAGTTGAAAAGAACTGGACTTTTTTTTTTTTAAGTATTTTGTAGAATTTACCAGTGAAGCCATCAGATTCAGGGCTTTGCTTTGTAAGGAGGTTTTTTTGTTTGTTTGTTTCAGACGGAGTCTCTCTTTGTCGCCAGGCTGGAGTGCAGTGGTGCCATCTTGGCTCACTGCAACCTCTGCCTCCTGGGTTCAAGCGATCCTTCTGCCTCAGCGTCCTGAGTAGCTGGGACTACAGACACGCGCCACCACGCCCAGCTAATTTTTTGTATTTTTAGTAGAGACAGGGTTTCACCATGTTGGCCAGGCTGGTCTCGATCTCTTGACCTTGTGATCCGCCCACCTTGGCCTCCCAAAGTGCTGGGATTACAGGCGTGAGCCACCGTGCCCAGCCTGTAAGGAGGTTTTTAATTACTGATTACATCTCCTCAATAGTTATGGGTCTATTTAGATTTTCTATTCCTTTGTGGTTCAGGCTTGGTAGGTTTTGTGTTTCTAGGAATTTATCTCATCTAGGTTATCCAATTTGTTGGTGTACTGTTGTTCACAGTACTCTGTTATAATCCTTTTTGGTTTTGTGGAATTGGTCATGAATGTCTCCCCTTTCATTTCTGATTTTAGTAATTTGAGTCCTCTCTCTTTTAAATCTTGCTAAAGGTTTGTCAGTTTTGTTAATCTTTTCAAAGCACCAACTTTTGGTTTTGTTGATTTCTTTATTGTTTTTCTAGTCTCTATTTTAATTATTTCTCCTCTGGTCTTTTTTATTTTCTTCCTTCTGCTCACTTTGGGTTTAGTTCTTCTTTTTGTAGTTCCTTAGTTGTAAAGATAGGTTGTTTTGAGATCTGTCTTCCTTTTTAATGTGTTTATGTCTATAGATTTTCTCCTCAGCACTGCTTTTGCTATATCCTGTAAGTTTTGGTATGTCATGTCTTTGCTTTCATTTGTGTCTATTTTCTGGTTAACCCAGTGATTTCTTCTTTGATTCATTGGTTAAGAGTACGTTGTTTAATTTCCATAAATTTGTGTATTTTCCAGTTTTCTTTCTCAGATTGATTTCTAACTTAATCCTGTTGTGAGGTTGGAGAGCACACTTTGTATGATAAATATCTTTTAAAAGCAATTGAGACTTAATTTGTATCCTAATATGTGGCCTGTTTTGGAGAATGTTCTGTGTGCACTTGAGAGGAATTTATATTCTGTTGTTGAGTACCTTGTTCTAAATATATGTTAGATCTAGTTGATTCATTGTGTTGTTCAAATCATCTCTCTCTTCACTTCTTTCTGGTTGTTCTTTTCCTCATTGAGAATGGTGTATTAAGTATCCACCTTTTATTATAGAAGTATTTCTCCCCATAATTATGTTAATTTTTACCTCGTATTTTGATGATCTGTAACTACTTCATATATTTTGTTGGTGTGTAAATGTTTATAATTGTTTTATCTTCTTGCTCTGTTGAACTTTTTATTAATATATAATATACTTTTTCTCTTGTAAACTTATTTGATTCAGAGTCTGTTTTGTCTGATACTAGTATAGCCCTTCCTGCTCTCTTTTGGTTACTATTTGCATGGAATATCTTCTTCCATTCTTTCACGTTCCATGTATTTGTGCAATGGGATCTAAAGTAAGTCTCCTGCAGACAACATACAGTTGGATCATTTAAAAAAATCTATTCTGCCAGTCTTTGTGTTTTGATTGGCAAATTTAATCCCTTTACATTTAAAGTAATTACTTCCTAAAGTAAATTACTTATTTCTGTTCTTTGTTTTTTATATGCCATATTAGCTGTTTTTATTCCTCATATTTTATATATTTTGATTTATATTGGGATATTAGCTGGAGCTGACTTTGGGTTATAGTGGTTTTCTTCATAAAGTGGTTTCTTCAAAAAAACCCAAACCACTATTTGAGTTATAGTGGTTTCTTCATAGTCCCGTCCTGGCTAACATGGTAAAACCCCGTCTCTACTAAAAATACAAAAAATTAGCCGAGCCTGGTGGTGGGCGCCTGTAGTCCCAGCTACTTGGGAAACTGAGGCAGGAGAATGGCCGGAACCCAGGAGGTGGAGCTAGCAGTGAGCTGAAATCACGCCGCTGCACTCCAGCCTGGGCGACAGAGCAAGACTCTGTCTCAAAAAAAAAAAAAAAAAAAAAAGGGTCATAGTCATAGGTTAGAGGCAGAGAAAAATGTGTGTTTCAAGGTAAGATTTTAAATCTCATTTATCATCTGTATAGACTTAGAAATTTTGGCTTTGTTTAAGTCTGAAAATAGTTGAAATCTGAGTTGGAGGAAGAGTTATTTTAAACAAATCATTTAATAGTTGAAGGGTAATGAGATTCTGCTCTTCAAACCTACCTCATTTATTGATAGTAAAATGGAAATGTCACAAAGCAAAACTAATTAGACTTTTTATAAGTATCTGAACATTTTTTGTGGAGTAGTGTGTGAACCTTACAGATTTGTTTGGTTTTGATAAGAATGCATGATCAGGAAAGATACATAAGCTTTTTGTAGATTTACTCTTACCCATACTTTTTGATAAAATTAATGACAATAAAATAGGTGAAATCAATTTTCCTGTTTGAAGATTGGACTAAAATATAACATAATCATTGGGCTGGGCTTGGTGGCTCATGCCTGTAATCTCAGTACTTTGGGAGGCCAAGGTGGAAGAATTGCTTGAGCCCATGAATTTGAGACCAGCCTGGGCAATATGACAAGACCCGGTCTCTACAAAGAATGGAAAAAACAATTAGGTGGCTGGTGGTGTGCACCTGTGGTCCCAGCTGAGGCAGAAGGATTACTTGAGCCCAGGAGTTTGAGGCTGCCGTGAGCCTTGTTTGTGCCACTGTACTGTAGCCTGGGTGACAGAGCAAGACCGTGTCTCAAAAACAAACAAACAAACACACACAAAAAAACCAAAACACTTCCCTCCCCGAAAAAAAAAACCCTGCCAAACTACTTCCAAAGTAATTGCACCATTGTACATTCCTGTCAGCAATGTGTGAGGGTTCCAGTTTCCCACATCCTTGCTAACACTTGTTATTATCTGTCTTTTTAAAGTTTAGCCATTCTATTGGTTGTGAAGTGGTATCTCATAGTAGGCTAAGTTTCAAAATAGCAGTTAGGCATAACAGGAGTGATAGTACTTTAAGATGAAGTTAATGTTCCAATTAAAATATTGAATAGGCTGACCTAGGAATGGTTCTTGACCCTGGCTATGCATGATTAGTATCACTTCCTAATTTAAAAAAGTTGATGTCACAACTTCATTTCATTTCTGAGGATATTGTACGATTCCTCTCCTACTCCATGGCCCAAATCCTTCATTTAAAAATAAAACAGTAAAGACACACTTGTAGAGAAAGAACTACTTTCCCTTAAGCAAAGAGAAGGTTTACCATAGGCTGCTAAATAGTTTAAAGAATTGTTGGAATGTATCAGTATGGGTTCAATCAGGAGATAGAAACCACATAGTAATTTAACAGGGAAAGAATAATATAAGGAATTATTGACTGTAACAGGGGATTGGAGTAATAAGAGATTTACCAGTGAGAAGTAAAGATAATGCTAAAGAATATAGGAATAGCAGATATAAGGAGCAGTGACTATCCCAGGACTAAGATAGAGTGCGTTTCCATCTTCCAGATGAACTTAGATCTTATTGGAAAGGGCACGTTCAAGGCTATGTCAAAGGGCAAGTTCAAGCTATGGTACAGCACTAGTGGCATTTGCTGGAAATTTACCCCTTAGGGTACCAGGGAATGCTGTTTATGAAGAGGTATCTCATCAGAGACCTCTACTACAAAACTACCTAGGCTCTTATTGGAAAAGCAGCACACACTGAGGAGCCTGGTGGTAGAAGAACCATCCTTGTTGAAGGAGTGGGTCCCTGGAAAAGCCTTGCCTACTGGAGCCAAGTGAATGCCCTGGAACTAGGAAGCCCAATTCTTTTCCCTTGCAATGCTTTTCCAGAGCCGTCTACTGACACAGCTTAATGTCATGTCAGCTGGCAGATAAAAAAGATATTTAAAGGACACAAATTCATTTTCACAGAGCAGACAAAAAGGGCGAATTGGGAGATGAGGGGCAATAAATCAATATCTGGCACAGGCATTAAGTGGCTTACTTAGGAGGAATTAAGTTGAGAGATCTGAAGAAAGAGACATAGGTTGAGCTTTAAGGAACAACTCTCACATCTTACCACAGAACTGGGAAACCAAGAGAGTTACCTCTTTTATGATTAGGAAACCTCTGGTCTAATTGTGAAATTGCTTCTAGAGCTTCATTTCTGGAACCACACTGCTGTTTCAGAATCTGGAAACAGTTGAGGTCAGGAGGCTCTGGTAATCAGGAACCTCAGACTATCCTTACTAGCTGTAGAACCATGTTGGGCCTGTTCTGGTGTGCACCAGCTGCCTGCTAGTGACTGCCCCAACTTTTCTAAATCTTTATACCCTGGAGGAGCTGTGAAATAACTTTTAGGTCTCTTGTCTTTTTGATAATAGCCATCCTAACAGGTGTGAGGTGATGATATTTCACTGTGGTCTTGAATTCCATTTCTCTGATAAGTGATGTGGAGCAACTTTTTATATACCTGTTGGCTATTTTAATATATTCTTTGGAAGAGTATTCAGGTCTTTTGCTGATTTTTTAATTGGGTCATTCTTTTTTTTTTTGCTATTGAGTTGTGTTTCTTATGTATTTAAGATATTAACCCCTTGTATCTTGAGATAAGCTATATATCTAGATGTATGGCTGGCACATACTTTCTCCGAACCTATAGGCTGTCTTTCATTTGTTATTTCCTTTGGTGTGCAGAACTTTTTAGTTTGACGTAGTAGTCCCATTTGTTTTTGTTTTTGTTGCCCATACTTTAGATCCTATGCAAAAAATTGCCAAGACCAGTGCTGAGCAACTTGTTCACTGTGTTTTCTTCTAAGAGTTTTATGGTTTAGGTCTTACATTTAGGTCTTTAATTCAGTTAGTGTAATGTTTTCAAGGTTCATTTATGTTGTAGCGTATATTGAACTTCATTGCTTTTTATGGCTGAATAGTATTCCATTGTATGTTTCTACCATGTATTGTTCATTCATCTATTGGTGGGCACTTGGGTGGTTTTCATCTTCTGACTGTTGTGAGTAATGCTGCTTCATTCTTTGGCATGTGGATATCAAGTTGTTCCAGCACCATTTGTTGAAGAGACTATTTTTTCCAACTGAATGGACTTGACATGCATGTCAAAAATCGATTGGCCATAGATATATGAGTTTATTTCTGGACTTTCATTCCATTGGTCTGTATGTCTGTCTTTATGCTACTACTAGCTGATTTTAATTAATGTTATTTATTTAGGTTGGTGTGAAAGTAATCACAGTTTTTGCCATTACTTTTAATTAAAAGTACAATTAACATTAAAAGTGATGGCAATAACTGTGATTACTTTTGCACCTAATATACCATGAAAATTATTGACAATATCAAATAGCAAAGCTATTAAAAACCATAAGCCAAGGTAATACTAATAAAAATATAGTCCAAGTCATAATTTATGTAAGATTTTGAAATAAGCCAACTTTTTTTTTTTTTCTGATTGGCAAGGTGAGGCTGAAATATAAGTCCACAAGTTAACAAAATATTTGTATGTGTTTTGATTTTTTTCATCTTTTGTAGGCTTTAACATATACAATAAAATTGCCTTTTAAAACTAAAAGAAGTTCATCTTGTTCACATGAAACCTGTTTTTGTTTTGTTTAATTTGAAATAAGCATTCACAGTTTTCATTTTTATCTGACATGAGACAGTTCCTCCTTGCTGTAGGTGCTTGTTAAGTAAGAAAAAACTTAAGAAGTTGAAAACTTGCAGCTAAATGTTCATTACTTTCCTATGATTGGCAGGACATTACTGGTTCAGGGAAATCCATAACTTTTTTAGGGGTAGATCAGTAAATCTCATCTCGAGTGTATAATCAAGAGCATAAATCTCATCTTAAGTGTATAATCAGTGAGGAGGAAGAGCAAAATTCCTCCTCCTCAAAGTTAAGTTCTCAGCCTGAGCACAAGATTCAGAGAAAGGGTTCCTTCCTCAGTCTTACATTTATTTGAAAAGAAAAGGGAAATACTATTTACTTTTCCTTTTCAATATTTTTCTCCTATATCAGCAAGACTTGAGATTTGCAGATAAACATTCTTACTCACAAGCCCAAGAAACAATGGAAACGTTTTAAGATTGCCTTTTTTTAATCACAGGATTTTTTTTCCCAAGAATCTTGTCACTTGAAGTAAATATGTGTGTGTGTGTGTGTGTGTGTGTGTGTGTGTGTGTGTGTGTGTGTATATAAATATATATTTTGAGACACGGTCTTGCTTGAGTATAGTGATGCAGTCATAGCTCACTGCAACCTTGAACTCCTGGACTCAGGGATTCCTCTTGCTTCAGCCTCCCAAGCAGCTGGGATTACAGCCATATGCCACCATGCCCAGCTAATTTTTTTAATTTTTTTATTTTTTTGTAGAGATGGAGGTATCACTATGTTACCCAGGCTGGTCCAGAACTCCTGGCCTCAAGTGATCCTCTTGCCTTGGTCTCCTCAAAGCACTTGGGATTACAAGTGTGAATCAACACAACTGGCCTTAAAAATATTTTCTCTAAGGCCTGGCAGAGAGTTGTTCAGTTACTTCATGTGATAACAAATGTTTGTAGATTGGGCCATTCTTCATTCTCAAAATACTTGGCAAAATCTGGTCTGCTGTGTTTGTGAAAGTACTCCTGGAATTCGTCTTTCAGCTTAGATACCTGTTGAGAATTCTTCTGCTAAGCCACTGTATTTCTGTATGTAGTAGATTTATGTCCTCTTCATCCACGTTTTTACACAGTTCTTTAAACACTGTTGAATGAGCAGGTTTTTATATAACAGTTAATACTTTTTTGGAGCTTCAATTAGAACTTTAAAAATTTCCTTTCCTAGGGCTTTTGACACCAGCATCTCTCTGTGAAGAAAACACTGTGTTGTGAAGTGGGGTTTGCTTTTATTTTTTTGAGACGATGTCCCCCTCTGTTGCCCAGGCTGGAGTGCAGTGGTGCAGTCTCGGCTCACTTCAGCCTCCATCTCCTGGGTTCAAGTGATTCTTCTGCCTCAGCCTCCCGAGTAGCTGGGATTACAGGTGCGTGCCACCATGCCCGGCTGATTTTTGTATTTTTGGTAGAGACGGGGTTTCACCATATTGGCCAGGCTGGTTTCGAACTCCTGACCTCAGGTGACCTGACCACCTCATCCTGGAGTGCTAGGATTACAGGCGTGAGCCACCACACCCGGCCGAATTTTGGAGCACTTTGGATTTCAGATGTTCAGATTTGGGGTGCTCAACATGTACTGTAGAACTTTTTTCAGTTTCTCTTTCTGTATCTCATATAAACATTTTACTGATCTTTTACTCAGTGTAATTTTACACTTTTTTATTATACTTATAGTAGATTCTCACCACCAATTGTGTGACTTTCCCTTTTCTGGGCCATAAATTCTACTACTATGTAACTTGCTGCCTCAGTCTTTTCACTGATTTTTTTTTAAAACAAAATCTTTATTCTGTTTGTTTTGAGATTCCAGTATATTTGACACTTAACTTGTCAAATGAATGTAATTTGTATTTAAGTGTCTTTTGAATTTTGCTGGAACCATTGCTGTATTTGTAAAGTTGTTTTCCACAGACAACACAAAATGGTATAGGAAAACTTAGTACAGCCCATGTATACATCCATTGATACTTATTTGCATTGTAAAGAGGGACTTGTTTTATGTCTCTTGATGCACTAGTGCAATGAAATGACTCACTAGATACAGTTCTTTACCAACCTTACTGGAATTTTCCTTTGGCCCTATTCTCACACTTCATCCTCAGAAATTACCACATCGGATTATCGGGCATTTGTAAAACACAGATGTTAATGTATAAGACTTAAGACCATAGCAAAAAACTAATTGAGAAAAATCACAAAACTAAATTTTCATGATATAACTCCATTGTAATTTTGTCCATGTTTTGCAAAGCTTGCGCCAAATAGCAAAACATTGGGGGTAACTGAGTTGCAACATGTAAACATTTTTCTTTTTTTTTGTTTTTTGTTTTTTTTTTTTTGAGACAGAGTCTTGTTCTGTTACTCAGGCTGGAGTGCAGTGGTGTGAACATGACTCACTGTAGCCTCAATCTTCCAGGCTCAAGCGATCCTTCTACCTCACCCTCCCATGTAGCTGGGACCATAGGTGCATGCCACCACACTGGCTATTTTTTTTTTTTTTTTTTTTTTTTTTGAGATGGAGTCTTGCTGTGTCTCTCAGGCTGGAGTGCAAGTAGCATGATCTTGGCTCACTGCAAACTGCAACCTCTGCCTCCTGGGTTCAGGCAATTCTCCTGCCTCAGCCTCCTGAGTAGCTGGGATTACAGGCGTGTGCCACCACGCCTGGCTATTTTTTTTTGTATTTTTAGTAGAGACGGGATTTCGCCATGTTGGCCAGGCTGGTCTCGAACTCCTGACTTCAGGTGATTCGCCCGCCTTGGCCTCCCAAAGTGCTAGGAATACAAGTGTGAGCCACTGCGCCTGACCTAATTTTTAAATTTTTTGCAGAAATGGGGTCTCCCTATATTGTGCAGGCTAGTCTCGAACTCTTGGGCTCAAGCAGTTCTCCCACCTTGGCCTCCCAAAGTGCTGGAATTACAGGTGTAAGCCACTGTGGCTGGCCTTTTCATCAGAATTAAAATTTCTCTCCAATTTTCCATTACACTTGTAGAGCTTTTTTGCTTATATCAGGTAGTTGGCGGTGCCTATGGAGAGGTTTGTGGAGGTAATTTGAGAGGGAGAGGCTGATGTTCATTAGCCCCCTACCATCCTCCCCCTATGCGTAGCAACCACCAGTTATCAAGGACAACTGTATCTCAATAAACATGGTTTTACTGTGCACTACCACATGGCTAATTTCTAACACAATTGTTAATGAGGTTGTTCATTTACTGTCAATACTGCCATTGCTTGATGCACAAAAGTTAAAAAAATTTTTTTTTTAATTTTTTTGTTAAATTTCTGATCTCTCAAAGAACTCAAGCAGTATCTTCAATATCTTGTGGACTCCAGGTTGAGAATCCCTGCCTTACACTCTGGGACCTCTTCATACATTGTTGTAGAAAAACTGAACATGTCTGTGTCTATGCTTTCCTCTATAATCAGGCAGCTTTTGCTCATCTTCGAAATCTCTCACAAGTGACGAATTTGGTAGACTTAAGTTACAACTGGAAGTGTAGCTGCAGGGTGCAGGGGAGTCTGGGAAATGCTTTTTGGTTTTTAAACTTCCAAGTTCCTGTGGTATAGGAAGGCACGGTAGAGGGAAATTGGGATAGATACTGTGTGCCATTATACCGTATCTGCCATATTACTGGATTTTTAAAAATGAAGACTTTCTTGCTTGTTTGTGTAGTAAAATTTTTTTTCAAAAGAAAACTTAAAAGCATTCATTAATTAAAAAATTTATTTAGCACCTGCAATGTGCTGGCATTCTTCTAGATACTTGGGAGGCATTTAGTAAGCAAAACAAAGATCCATGCCCTCATGGAGCTTTAATTCCAGTGGAAAGAGATAGATAATAGGCATAACACATTGTTAAATTAGTTGTCTGTGTTATTGTGTGAATAAAAAGAATCAAGTAGTGGCCAGTGAAGTCTTAGATATTATACCATGTGAGTATTTATGCGGATATGGTTTTCCCCACAACCTTGAGGAAATAATCTATTTTGGTTGCTTTTGTAGTAAACAATGGTGATAAATGGCTAAGGGTCTAGGATAAAGTAGATTGTGGCATTAATGTATGTGTTATGATGTGGCATATATTGAGCATTTGTAAGTTTATAGAAATAAACTGATTGTTCTCTCAAAAACTGGTTTTGACACAGGTTTGTATATAACTGGTTATTCAGTAATGATAATTTTCAAAGTTGTCTTAGTCTATTTGCACTACTACAGCAAAATACCATAGAGTAGGTAGCTTATAAAGAACAGATGTTTATTTCTTTCTTTTTTTTTTTTTTTTTTTGAGACAAAGTCTCACTCTGTTGCACAGGCTGGAGTGCAATGGTGTGATCTTGGCTCACTGTAACCCCTGCCTCCCAGGTTCAAGTGATTCTTCTGCCTCAGCCTCCTGAGTAGCTTGGATTACAAGTACTCACCACCACACCCGGCTAATTTTTGTATTTATAGTAGAGTTCGGGTTTCTCCATCTTGGCCAGGCTGGTTTTGAACTCCTGACCTCAAGTGATCCACCTTCCTCGGCCTCCCAAAGTGCTAGGATTATAGGCATGAGCCACCGTACCCGGCCAGATGTTTATTTCTAACAGTTCTGGTGGCTGGAAAGTTTAAGATCAAGATGCTGGCAGATTCATATCTGGTGAGGATCTGTTTCATGGTTCATAGATGGTGCCTTTTCATTGTGTGCTCACATGGTGGGAGGGAAGAGCTTTTTCTCTAGGGTTTCTTTTAGAAGGACAGTCAACCCAGAGGAGGCTTCCAAGATGACCAAATAGGAACAGCTCCGGTCTGCAGCTCCCAGCGAGATTGATGGAGAAGACGGGTGATTTCTGCATTTCCAACTAAGGTACCTGGTTCATCTCAATGGGACTGGTTGGACGGTGGGTGCAGCCCACGGAGGGCAAGCTGAAGCAGCGCCTCACCTGGGAAGCGCAAGGGGTCAGGGGATTTCCCTTTCTTAGCCAAGGGAATCCATGACAGTCTGTACTTGGAGGAACGGTACATTCCTGCCCAAATACTGCGCTTTTCCCATAGTCTTCGCAACCCACAGACCAGGAAATTCCCTCCTGTGCCTGGCTCAGCAGGTCTCACGCCCATGGAGGCTTGCTCACAGCTAGTGCAGCAGTCTGAGATCAACCTGCAATGCTGCAGCTTGGTGGGGGAGGGGCGTCCGCCATTGCTGAGGCTTGAATGGGTGGTTTTGTGCTCACAGTGTAAACAAAGAGGCCAGGAAGCTCGAACTGGGTGGAGCCCACCATAGCTCAGCAAGGCCTACTGCCTTTCTAGATTCCACTTCTGGGCAGTGCCTACCAGAAGAAAAGGCAGCAGACAGCTTCAGCAGACCTAATTTTCCCTGTCTGACAGCTCTGAAGAGAGCAGTGGCTCTCCCAGCATGGCGTTTGAGCTCTGAGAACGGACAGACTGCCTCCTCAAGTGGGTCCCTGACCCCCATGTAGCCTGACTGGGAGACACCTCCTTGTAGGGGCTGACAGACACCTCCTACAGGTGAGTGCCCCTCTGGGATGAAGCTTCCAGAGGAAGGATCAAGCAGCAGCATTTGCTGTTCTGCAGCCTCTGCTGGTGATACCTAGGCAAACAGGGTCTGGAGTGGACCTCCAGCAAACTCCAACAGACCTGCAGCTGAGGGGCCCGACTGTTAGAAGGAAAACTAACAGAAAGGAATAGCATCAACATCAAAAAAAAAGCACATCCACCTCAAAACCCCACCTGTAGGTCACCAACATCAAAGGCCAAAGGTGGATAAAACCACAAAGATGGGGAGAAACCAGAGCAGAAAAGCTGAAAAGTTCAAAAAACCAGAGCACCTCTTCTCCTCCAAAGGATTGCAGTTCCTCACTGCAAAGGAACAAAACTGGATGGAGAATGAGTTTGATGAGTTGACAGAAGTAGGCTTCAGAAAGGTTGGTAATAACAAACTTCTCTGAGCTAAAGGAGCATGTTCTAACCCATCGCAAGGTAGCTAAAAACCTTGAAAAAGGGTTAGATGAATGGCTAACTATAATAAACAGTATAAAGAAGACCTTAAATTACCTCATGGAGCTGAAAACCACAGCACGAGAACCTCGTGACGCATGCACAAGCTTCAATAGCTGATTCGATCAAGTCGAAGAAAGGATATTAGTGATTGAAGATCAAATTAATGAAATAAAGCAAGAAGACAAGATTAGAGAAAAAAGAGTGAAAAGAAACGAAGAAAGCCTCCAAGAAATATGTGACTATGTGAAAAGACCAAATCTACGTTTGATTGGTGTTCCTGAAAGTGATGGGGAGAATGGATGCAAGTTAGAAAACAATCTTCAGGATATTATCCAGGAGAACTTCCCCTACCTAGCAAGGCAGACCAACATTCAAATTCAGGAAATACAGAGAACAACACATACATACTCCTTGAGAAGAGCAACCCCAAGACACATAATTGTCAGATTCACCAAGGCTGAAATGAAGGAAAAAATATTAAGGGCAGCCAGAGAGAAAGGTCGGGTTACCCTCAAAGGGAAGCCCATCAGACTAACAGTGGATCTCTCAGCAGAAACCCTACAAGCCAGAAGAGAGTGGGGGCTAATATTCAACATTCTTAAAGAAAAGAGTTTTCAACCCAGAATTTCATATCTAGCCAACTAAGCTTTATAAGTGAAGGAGAAATAAAATCCTTTACAGACAAGCAAATGCTGAGAGATTTTGTCACCACCAGGCCTGCCTTACAAGAGCTCCTGAAGGAAGCACTAAACATGGAAAGGAACAACTGGTACCAGCCACTGCAAAAACATGCCAAATTGTAAAGACCATCAATGCTATGAAGAAACTGCATCAATTAACAGGCAAAATAACCAGCTAACATCATAATGACAGGATTAAATTCACACATAACAATATTAACCTTAAATGTAAATGGGCTAAATGCCCCAATTAAAAGACATAGACTGGCAAATTGGATAAAGAGTCAAGACCCATTTGTGTGCTGTATTCAGGAGACCCATCTCACATGCAAAGACACAAATAGACTAAAAATAAAGGGATGGAGGAAGATCTACCAAGCAAATGGAAAGAAAAAAAAAAAAAAAAAGCAGGGGTTGCAATCCTAGTCTCTGATAAAACAGACTTTAAACCAACAAAGATCAAAAGAGACCAAGAAGGCCATTACATGATGGCAAAGGGATCAATTCAACAAGAAGAGCTAACTATCCTAAATATATATGCACCCAATACAGGAGTACCCAGATTCATAAAGCAAGTCCTTAGAGACCAACAAAGAGACTTAGACTCCCACACAATAATAATGGGAGACTTTAACACCCCACTGTAAATATTAGATCAATGAGACAGAAGGTTAACAAGGATATCCAGGACTTGAACTCAGCTCTGGACCAAGTGGACCTAATAGACATCTACAGAACTCTCTATCCCAAATCAACGGAATATACATTCTTTTCAGCACCTCATTGCACTTATTTTAAAATTGACCACATAATTGGAAGTAAAACACTCCTCAGCAAATGCAGAAGAGCAGAAATCACAACAAACTATCTCTCAGACCACAGTGCAATCAAACTAGAACTCAGGATTAAGAAACTCACTCAAAACTGCACAACTACATGGAAACTGAACAACCTGCTCCTGAATGACTACTGGGTACATAACGGAATGAAGGCAGAGAGATAAAGACGTTCTTTGAAACCAATGAGAACAAAGACACAACGTACCAGAATCTCTGGGACACATTTAAAGCAGTGTGTAGAGAAAAATTTACAACACTAAATGCCCACAAGAGAAAGCAGGAAAGATCTAAAATCGACGCCCTAACATCACAATTAAAAGGACTAGAGAAGCAACAGCAAACAAATTGAAAAGCTAGCAGAAGGCAAGAAATAACTAAGATTAGAGCAGAACTGAAGGAGAGAGAGAGAGACACAAAAAATCCCTTAAAAAAATCAATGAATCCAGGAGCTGGTTTTTTGAAAAAAATCAACAAAATAGACCACTAGCAAGACTAATAAGGAAGAA